>NC_000007.14:15240242-17740242 GCF_000001405.40 Homo sapiens | reverse complement strand
TCCACAATGGTTGAACTAGTTTACAGTCCCACCAACAGTGCAAAAGTGTTCCTATTTCTCCACATCCTCTCCAGCACCTGTTGTATCCTGACTTTTTAATGATCGCCATTCTAACTGATGTGAAATGGTATCTCATTGTGGTTTTGATTTGCATTTCTCTGATGGCCAGTGATGATGAGCATTTTTTCATGTGTCTGTTGGCTGCATAAATGTCTTCTTTTGAGAAGTGTCTGTTCATATCCTTCCCCCACTTTTTGATGGGGTTGTTTGATTTTTTTCTTGTAAATTTCTTTAAGTTCTTTGTAGATTCTGGATATTAGCCCTTTGTCAGATGGATAGATTGCAAAAATTTTCTCCCATTCTGTAGGTTGTCTGTTCACTGTGATGCTAGTTTCTTTTGCTGTGCAGAAGCTCTTCAGTTTAATGAGATCCCATTTGTCTATTTTGGCTTCTGTTGCCATTACTTTTGGTGTTTTAGTCATGAAGTCCTTGCCCACGCCTATGTCCTGAATGGTATTGCCTAGGTTTTCTTCTAGGGTTTTTATGGTTTTAGGTCTACCATTTAAGTCTTTAATCCATCTTGAATTAATTTTTGTATAAGGTGTAAGGAAGGGATCCAGTTTCAGCTTTCTACGTATGGCTAGCCAGTTTTCCCAGCACCATTTATTAAATAGGGAATCCTTTCCCCATTTCTTGTTTTTGTCAGGTTTGTCAAAGATCAGATTGCTGTAGATGTGTGGTATTGTTTCCGAGGGCTCTGTTCTGTTGCATTGGTCTATATCTCTGTTTTGGTTACTGTAGCCTCGTAGTATAGTTTGAAGTCAGGTAGCATGATGCATCCAGCTGTGTTCTTTCGTCTTAGGATTGACTTGGCAATGTGGGCTCTTTTTTGGTTCCATGTGAACTTTAAAGTAGTTTTTTCCAGTTCTGTGAAGAAAGTCATTGGTAGCTTGATGCAGATGGCATTGAATCTATAAATTAGCTTGGGCAGTATGGCCATTTTCAAGATATTGATTCTTCCTATCCATGAGCATGGAATGTTCTTCCATTTGTTTGTGTCCTCTTTTATTTCATTGAGCAGTGGTTTGTTGTTCTACTTGAAGAGGTCCTTCACATCCCTTGTAAGTTGGATTCCTAGGTATTTTATTCTCTTTGAAGCAATTGTGAATGGGAGTTCACTCATGATTTGGCTCTCTGTTTGTCTGTTATTGGTGTATAGGAATGCTGGTGATTTTTGCACATTGATTTTGTATCCTGAGACTTTGCTGAAGTTGCTTATCAGCTTAAGGAGATTTTGGGCTGAGACGATGGGGTTTTCTAGATATACAATCATGTCATCTGCAAACAGGGACAATTTGACGTCCTCTTTTCCTAATTGAATACCCTTTATTTCTTTCTCTTGACTGATTGCCCTGGCCAGAACTTCCAACACTATGTTGAATAGGAGTGGTGAGAGAGGGCATCCCCGTCTTGTGCCAGTTTTCAAAGGGAATGCTTCCAGTTTTTGTCCATTCCGTATGATATTGGCTGTGGGTTTGTCATAAATAGTTCTTATTATTTTGAGATACGTCCTACCAATACCTAGTTTATTGAGAGTTTTTAGCATGAAGTGCTGTTGAATTTTGTCTAAGGCATTTTCTGCATCTATTGAGATAATCATTTGGTTTTTGTCTTTGGTTCTATTTATATGATGGATTACGTTTATTGATGTGTGTGTGTTGAACCAGCCTTGCATCCCAGGGATGAACCTGACTTGATCATGGTGGATAAGCTTTTTGATATGCTGCTGGATTCAGTTTGCCAGTATTTTATTGAGGATTTTTGCATCAATGTTTATCAGGGATATTGGTCTTAAATTCTCTTTTTTTGTTGTGTCTCTGCAGTATCAGGATGATGCTGGCCTCATAAAATGAATTAGGGAGGATTCGCTCTTTTTCTATTGATTGGAATAGTTTCAGAAGGAATAGTACCAACTCCTCTTTTTACCTCTGGTACAATTTGGCTGTGAATCCGTCTGGTCCAGAACTTTTTTTGGTTGGTAGGCTATTAATTATTGCCTCAATTTCAGAGCCTGTTATTGGTCTACTCAGAGATTCAACTTCTTCCTGGTTTAGTCTTGGGAGGGTGTATGTGTCCAGGAATTTATCCATTTCTTCTAGATTTTCTAGTTTATTTGCATAGAGGTGTTTATAGTATTCTCTGATGTTAGTTTGTATTTCTGTGGGATCGGTGGTGATATCCCCTTTATCATTTTTTATTCTGTCTATTTGATTCATCTCTCTTTTCTTCTTTATTAGTCTTGCTAGTGGTCTATCAATTTTGTTGGTCTTTTCAAAAAGACCAACAGCTCCTGGATTCATTGATTTTTTGAAGGGTTTTTTGTGTCTCTATCTCTTTCAGTTCTGCTATGATCTTAGTTATTTCTTGCCTTCTGCAAGCTTTTGAATGTGTTTGCTCTTGCTTCTCTAGTTCTTTTAATTGTGATGTTAGGGTGTAAATTTTAGCTCTTTCCTGCTTTCTCTTGTGGGCATTTACCGCTGCAAATTTCCCTCTACACGCTGCTTTAAATGTATCCCAGAGATTCTCGTATGTTGTGTCTTTGTTATCATTGTTTTCAAAGAACATTTTTATTTCTGCCTTCATTTCGTTGTGTACCCAGTAGTCATTCAGGAGCAGGTTGTTCAGTTTCCATGTAGTTACGCAGTTTTGGGTGAGTTTCTTAATCCTGAGTCCTAATTTGATTGCACTGTGGTTTGAGAGACAGTTTGTTATAATTTTTGTTCTTTTACATTTGCTGAGGAGTGCTTTACTTCCAACTATGTGGTCAATTTTGGAATAAGTGTGATGTGTTGCTGAGAAGAATATATATTCTGTTGATTTGGGGTGGAGAGTTCTGTAGATGTCTATTAGGTCCACTTGGTGTGGAGCTGAGTTCAAGTCCTGGATATCCTTGTTAACTTTCTGTCTCATTGATCTGTCTAATGTTGACAGTGGGGTGTTAAAGTCTCCCATTATTATTGTGTGGGAGTCTAAGTCTCTAGGACTTTGTAGGTCTCTAGGGACTTGCTTTATGAATCTGGGTGCTCCTGTATTGGGTGCATATATATTTAGGATAGGTAGCACTTCTTGTTGAATTGATCCCTTTACTGTTATGTAATGGCCTTCTTTGTCTCTTTTGATCTTTGTTGGTTTAAAGTCTGTTTTATCAGAGACTAGGGTTGCAACCCCTGCTTTTTTTTGTTTTCCATTTGGTTGGTAGATCTTCCTCCACCCCTTTATTTTGAGCCTATGTGTGTCTCTACACGTGAGATGGGTCTCCTGAATACTGCACACTGATGGGTCTTGACTCTTTATCCAATTTGCCAGTCTGTATCTTTTAATTGGAGCATTTAGCCCATTTACATTTAAGGTTAATGTTGTTATGTGTGAAACTGATCCTGTCATTATGATGTTAGCTGGTTATTTTGCTCATTAGTTGATGCGGTTTCTTCCTAGCATCGATAATCTTTACAATTTGGTATGTTGTTGCAGTGGCTGGTACCTTTTCATGTTTAGTGCCTCCTTCAGGAGTTCTTGCAAGGCAGGACTGGTGGTGACAAAATCTCTCAGCATTTGCTTGTCTGTGAAGGATTTTAATTCCCCTTCACTTATGAAGCTTAGTTTGGCTAGATATGAAATTCTGTGTTGAAAATTCTTTCCTTTAAGAATGTTGAATATTGGCCCCCACTCTCTTCTGGCTTATAGGATTTCTGCCGAGAGATCCACTGTTAGTCTGATGGACTTCCCTTTGTGGTTAACCCGACCTTCCTCTCTGGCTGCCCTTAACATTCTTTCCTTCATTTCAACTTTGGTGAATCTGACAATTATGTGTCTTGGAGTTGCTCTTCTTGAGGAGTATTTTTGTGGTGTTCTCTGTATTTCCTGAATTTGAATGTTGGCCTGCCTTGCTAGGTTAGGGAAGTTCTCCTGGATAATATCCTGAAGAGTGTTTTCCAACTTTGTTCCATTCTCCCTGTCACGTTCAGGTACACCAGTCAGATGTAGATTTGGTCTTTTCACATAGTCCCATATTTCTTGGAGGCTTTGTTCATTTCTTTTTGCTGTTTTTTCTCTAAACTTCTCTTCTCACTTCATTTCATTCATTTGATCTTCAGTCACTGATACCCTTTCTTCCACTTGATCGAATCGACTACAGAAGTTTGTGCATGCTTCACGTAGTTCTCATGCCATGGTTTTCAGCTCCATCAGGTCATTTAAGGTCTTCTCTAGGCTGTTTATTCCAGTTAGCCATTTGTCTAATCTTCTTTCAAAGTTTTTAGCTTCTTTGCAATGGGTTCGAACATCCTCCTTTAGCTCGGAGAAATTTGTTATTACCGATCATCTGAAGCCTGCTTTCGTCAACTCGTCAAAGTCATTCTCCATTCAGCTTTGTTCCATTGCTGGCGAGGAGCTGCGTTCCTTTGGAGGAGAAGAGGCACTCTGATTTTTAGAATTTTCAGCTTTTCTGCTCTGGTTTCTCCCCGTCTTTGTGGTTTTATCTACCTTTGGTCTTTGATGATGGTGACGTACTGATGGGGTTTTGGTGTGAATGTCCTTTCTGTTAGTTTTCCTTCTAAGAGTCAGGACCCTCAGCTGCAGGTCTGTTGGAGTTTGCTGGAGGTCCACTCCAGACCGTTTGCCTAGGTATCACCAGTGGAAGCTGCAGAACCGCAAATATTGCAGAACAGCAAATGTTGCTGCCTGATCCTTCCTCAGGAAGCTTCATCTCAGAGGGGCACCCAGCTCTATGAGGTGTCTGTTGGCCCCTAATGGGAGATGTCTCCCAGTTAGGCTACTCAGGGGTCAGGGACCCATTTGAGGAGGCAGTTTGTCCGTTCTCAGATCTCAAACTCTGTGCTGGGAGAACCACTACTTTCTTCAAAGCTGTCAGACAGGGACCTTTAAGTCTGCAGAAGTTTCTGCTGCCTTTTACTCAGCTATGTCCTGCCCCCAGAGGTGGAGTCTACAGAGGCAGGCAGGCTTCATTGAGCTGCAGTGGGCTCCACCCAGTTTGAGCTTCCCTGCCACTTTGTTTACCTACTCAAGCCTCAGCAATGGCAGATACCCCTCCCCCAGCCTCACTGCCGCCTTGCAGTTCAATCTCAGACTGCTGTGCTAGCAGTGAGCGAGGCTCTGTGGGTGTAGGACCCTCCAAGTCAGGTGCGGGATATAATCTCCTGGTGTGCCGTTTGCTAAGACCATTGGAAAAGTGCAGTATTAGGTTAGGACTGTCCCGATTTTCCATGTACCGTCTGTCATGGCTTCCCTTGGCTAGGAAAGGGAATTCCCTGACCCCTTGCACTTCCTGGGTAAGGTGATGCCCCACCCTACTTGGACTCACATTCAGTGGGCTACATCCACTGTCCAACAATCCCCAGTGAGATGAACCTGGTACCTCAGTTGGAAATGCAGAAATCACCTGTCTTCTGTGTTGTTCATGCTGGGAGCTATAGACTGGACCTGTTCCTATTCAGCCATCTTGGAACCGGACCATTCCCCTTTGTTTTGAAATGATGTTTAAATAACCTCTATAGACAAAATTAATTTTTTCTCAACACATATCCTCATGCGTTTATAATTTACCTAAACAAACATATCTTGCTTTCTTTGTACTCTTTACATACAGAATTGTTTTTCTTATATCTACTGGTTTTAACGACATAGATGTAATTATTTTAACTCTTAATAACCCTAATTTCCAGTGAAAATCCAGGAGGTAAGCAATTTTAATTGTTATGTACAAAGTGCAGAGCTCAGGACAGAGGACAAAGCTGTGAAGACCATGCCTGGAGGATCCGACTCTCCCAGCACATCCAGAAGGCATAGCTGAGCCAGGGAGGATGGGGCCATAATGTGCTTGTCCCTGCTCTGTAGCTGGTGACCCAAGCTCTGTATATCCCTAGGACTCAGCATGGCCACTTGGCTAGACTCCTAAATTCAAAGGCTCAAAACCAAAGACATAACCTCATAGACAAATTAAACTAAGTATAAAAAATACCAGGTTTATTACCTTAAAACATCTAGAAGAGAAAGTATAAATATGTCTGACCAGTTGATCCAGTCAAAAATGTCTAAAATTCTGTAGGCATTTTGATTTTATTTTACCAAAAATGTTAAAACTATTTTTCTTTACCAAATATAGTTGACTCTTGAACAACACAAGGGTTGAGGAGCCAATCCCCCACAGAGTTGAAAACATTTGACTCCCACAAAATGTAACAACAACTAGCCTATGGTTGACTAGAAATCTTACTGACAACATATTAACAGTTGATTAACAATATTTTTATGTTATGTATTATATGCTTTATTGTTACAATCAAATAAGCTAGAGAGAAGAAAATGTTATTAAGAAAATCATAAGGAAGAGAGAATATTTACTACTAAGTGGAAGTGAATCATCATTAAGGTCTTCATCCTCATGATCTTCATGTTGAGTAGGCTGAGGAGAAGGAGGAACAGGAGGGGTTGGTCTTCTTGCCTCAAGGGTGGCAGAGGCCGAAGAATATATGCATGTAAGTGGACCCTTGCAGTTCAAGGGTCAACTCTATTACTAAAGTGAAAAATATTTGGGCAAATTATTTAATTTATGAATGTGTCCGGAGTTGGTTCCTGCCTGGGTTCATGGTCTTGCTGACTTCAAGAATGAAGCCACAGACCTTCGCAAAGAGTG
This sequence comes from Homo sapiens, assembly GCF_000001405.40. Taxonomy (NCBI): domain Eukaryota; kingdom Metazoa; phylum Chordata; class Mammalia; order Primates; family Hominidae; genus Homo; species Homo sapiens. The sequence continues at coordinate 17,733,530 of NC_000007.14, read as the reverse complement.
AGCAGTAGCCAGGTTTATTGTGAAGAGCGAAAGAACAAAGTTTCCGCAACGTGGAAGGGGATCTGAGCAGGTTGTTGCTGCTGGCTGGCTTTTATTCCCTTATTGGTCACTCCTATGTTCCATTGCTGTCCTATCAGAGTGCCCTTTTTTCAATCCTCCCCACGATTGGCTACTTTTAGAATCCTGCTGATTGGTGCATTTTATAGAGCGCTGATTGGTGCATTTTACAGAGTGCTGATTGGTGCGTTTTACAAACCTCTTGTAAGACAGGAAAGTTCCTGATTGGTGCATTTTACAAACCTCTTGTAAGACAGGAAAGTTCCTGATTGGTGCATTTTACAAACCTCTTGTAATACAGGAAAGTTCCTGGTTGGTGCGTTTAACAAAGCTCTTGTAAGACAGAAACGTTCCCCCAGTCCCCACTGGACCCAGGAATTCCAGCTGGCTTCACCTCTCATGAGTACTGACTTATTTGTAAGTCCAATTTAGTACCATGTAGAGAATATGCAAACACAGATGTGTACACATGTATACACACAAAGAAACAGACAAACATAAAGATTTTATAGCTCTGATTCTAAAATTTTAGCCACGAGGCAGGTAAAACTCATTAGTTTAAAAGGACAGTTGGATTAAACTGTGCCTCTGTAAATGGAAACATCATTTATTGTTCCATTTGTTCCACAAGTTTATTTGTTCCACAAGGCCGAAGCCCTTACCAAGTTTTAGAAAAAATAGGTCGTAAATTTGCATCTCAAAGTGCAGAGAGATAATTTAAGCTTTTTCAAGAAGTTGGGTGTGTTAGAGGAAGATCGAAAATGGACGCCAAAATAACACAAAAACGTAGGAATTCACTAGCGGATTTTATAAGGAGAACAATTTAGTTAGTTACCAATTAAGTCTCCCTTTTCCAAGTGTGCTTAGGGCAGAGCCCATCAATGCATAGGGCTGTCAAAGCATTTGCAGCTTCTGGGGCTTAATGCTGTTATATGTGAAAAGCAGGCAGAGCTGGAAGAGCGCTTGCTTGGATCCCCAGGTGTCATTTTTCACTGAATCCTGGGTTCTCCAGAGGTGAGGCAAAAGCCCAAGAGGAAGCACCATACCCTTCCACAGTGAACCTTGCTGCAAGGACATTCCCCTGAGGCTAGTGGGCAACCCAATGCCAACCAGCTCACTCTGTGATCGGCCCAATCCCCATGGGAGTCTTATCCTTTGATGGCATGTGTTCCCACAGCCTCCAAGTGCCCAGACCATGCTTTGCTTATCGAAACACACAAAGAAACAAGTAGCCCCTTGTAGTGATAACCATTGACTAAAACTGCTGTCAGCTGCCTCCAGAATTGCAGCCTTGCCAGGGACTCACCAGCCACAGCATACTCAAAGGTCAAGTGCTCACCCACTGTGCAAAGTAACTCCCGGTACTCCCAAAAGCCAGAGAGATCAGGGAACTCAGTGCAAATGGCAGCAGAGCTTTAGACTTGACAGGACCCTGTCTATGACTCTTGGGGGTCTGTGAGGAAGACAGAAGGCCCCCCAAAATGAGTGTGTGGTACCTTTTTCTGTGTTTTTCAAGAACATAGGTCTCAGGGTCACTAGACATCCCGTCTAGATCTCTTCATTTGATATCGAAGGAAGCAAAAGGGAGAGAAGAGTAGAAGTAAATGAGAACCAGTTTGGGAAGGTTTTAAACTTCCAAAAACATCAATGAAGTTTTACATTTTTCTCAGCAAAAATCATGCCAACAAGAAAGGAAGTGAACAGAGAGATGTAACATATACATTTTAAAAAAGGGTTTTAATTGACTGAAAAAATTCCCAGGGGAGAAATAGGATCCAAAAGAGAAAAAGCAGAAAGGTTATTAAAAATACAGCCTGAATATCAGCTTTTAATTTTGACTATAAAGCTCTTTTAAAATTTGTTTTAAATATCCAAGCAGCAAGTGTTCTATCCTACAAGCAGTCAGCCTTTTGCCAGAGCCGAGAGTGTGATGGCTGCAGTAGGGTCCATCTCCTCAGCTCAATGGTTTGGTTTCCAGTGGCAGAGGGAGGTATGGCTCTCTGGCCTACTAGGGGAAGCAAGATCAATGGGGAAAAAAAGTTGCTATCACACTCTAAATACAAAAGTTTTAAAGCAGAGGTATGCCTGAACTAATGACTCAAAACCAAAACAAATAAGCACACATGAGACTAAAAGCAAGAAGTCCTTTATGGCTTTAACTAAAGTCTCCAAAGAGGGAGGAAAACTGCAACTCACCCAAGAGATCACCCCCAATGACAGCTCAAAGAAAGGAAAGTTTCACTCACCCCAAATAGGGCACAACCCACATTTCTGTCTGACCATATTCTCTGGAGTCTCAGCTTCTTAGCTGACCATCTGCACACAAAGGCCTGACATCTAGTGTGCCCCGTAGATGGAAGATTACAAGAGACACCCGTCTGTAAGACAGGACATCAAAAACTGTCCCTGAGGGCAAAAAGGATTACAAAACAATGGATACCCTAAAAGTTAAGAGTCATACAAATATCAAACCAGTTTTTATAGATTTTTTTTTCCTTTTGATTTAAAGGACTTACATTTCCAAGGAACTGGCTCCCAGACAGGACTCACACCCAGACCATGGTGGTTTAAGTATGGAATCCTAGCCATGAGAGTACTGGCTAGAGTCCCTTCTTTGCAAATCTCGCAGGGGACCCAAAGCAGGCAGTTTGAGTATACAAAGGATTTTAACTTTGTTTGAAAACTGATTTCTGCTATTTTTTTTCTTTTGATTTTTTCAAGGGATTTTTTTTAAGGCTATTGTTTGTTTGTTTGTTTGTTTTTTCTAATAGGTACCAATAAGATAGCTGTTTAAGATGAGAACTCTCTAAAAAGTTTTTTTAAAAAAATTATAGCCAATTTATTTATTCCCTAAGCAGCTCAAGCCAATAATCCTTTTTAATGAAAAGTCCCAGTGGTAATTTTCCAGATTTAGAATACCATAGATATAAGTGGTGTCTTAAAAATCAGCACAGAAATACCATTTGACCCAGCCATCCCATTACTGGGTATATACCCAAAGGATTATAAATCATGCTGCTATAAAGACACATGCACATGAATGTTTATTGCGGCACTATTTACAATAGCAAAGACTTGGAAACAACCCAAATGTCCAATAATGATAGACTGGATTAAGAAAATGTGGCACATATACACCACGGAATACTATGCAGCCATAAAAAAGATGAGTTCGTGTCCTTTGTAGAGACGTGGATGAAGCTGGAAACCATCATTCTCAGCAAACTATCGCGAGGACAAAAAACCAAACACCGCATGTTCTCCCTCATAGGTGGGAATTGAACAATGAGAACACATGGACACAGGAAGGGGAACATCACACACCGGGGACTGTGGTGGGGTGGGGGGAGGGGGGAGGGATAGCATTAGGAGATATACCTAATGCTAAATGACGAGTTAATGGGTGCAGCACACCAACATGGCACATGTATACATATGTAACAAACCTGCATGTTGTGCACGTGTACCCTAAAACTTAAAGTATAATAATAATAAAATTTTTAAAAAAATCAGCACAGAAGATGCAGTCCCCTATGACTCCCCACCAAAAAAGTCACTCACAGAAATAGTCTAAGATAGCAAAAGACTGTTGTTGCTACAGACAGTTAAGGATACAGTTTGTGCATATGATGCCTCTGGTATCCCACAAATTTGTGTGTAGGGGAGCGCCAGTCACAGACCCATTGATCCGGGACACTGGGTAGGCCCTCCTAGGATTAGACTTTCCCAGAACTGACCAGGCAACAAAAGTTGAGACAACAAAAGCTCCTTATAGATGGGATTTATTAAGACAAACGCCCATAAAAGCTTGGCACATTTGGAACAAAAAGTGTTCTTAATATCTTATGTGTCTTGGGGTTCTCAGCCCTTTCATACTGTCCACTGAATGTGACCCAAAAATCCTGGCCCCTGAGATGGTGGAGACCAAAATAGGGTGCTCCCACTTGGTCACAAGTCAAGCCCTCAAGGATGTACAACAAAATGAGAGGGAAATCTCCAGTGTTTTGGCAGGGGGGGTGGGGTTTGCTTTTTTTTTTTTTTCAGTGACAGTCTTGCTCTGTCATCCAGGCTTGAGTGCAGTGGCAATTATAGCTCACTGCAGCCTCAAACTCCTGGGCAATCAAGTAATCCACCCACCTCCCGAGTGGCTGGGACTATAAGCAGATGCCACTGTGCTCGGTTAATTTTTTTTTTTTTTGTAGAGGTCGGGGAGGGGGCCCTTTGTTGCCCAGGCTGGTCTCGAACTGCTGACTTCAAGTAATCTGCCTACCTCAGCCTCTCGAAGTGCTGGGGTTACAGGCGTGAGCAACCATACCTGGCCAACCTTCGGTTTTTATTCCATAGTCTATAGTATCCTTCTTTATGACGAAACAGCACGGGAAGACAAAGACAAAGAAAAAACAAAGACTATTCCTGGAAGGAAAAGGATCACACAATACACCTATTTATACAAAACCAATGACAATAACATCAAAATTGCTAAACCTAAGACCAGTCTGTATACATGCTTTTCTCCCACAGTCTTAAATTGGGAAGAGGAAAAAAGAGACAGTGATTTTTACCATCCACTCAACCAGATTCCACAGACAACCAAGAAGCTAATTGTTAAAGAATTCTTACTATTCTGCCAGCTTGTCAGGTCCTGGGTTCCCTTGACTGCAGCTTCTGGAAGAGCAGAGCAGTTTTGGTTATCCTGCTGACAGCACCAAAACTGTACGGGCTGAGGGTTTGCCCTTTGTCCTCTGAAGGTTTGCTGAAAATCAACTGACAAAGGGCAGATTAATAGGAGAAAAGACATAATCAAATTTATTAACATACGCACATGTGCACAGGAGTCATACAAAATATAAAAACTCAACGAAAGGCCCAGGTGGTTGACACTTGATATGGTTTAGGTCGGCTTCCCCACCCAAATCTCATGTGCAATTGTAATCCCCAGTGTTGGAGGAGGGGCCTGGTGGGAGGTGATTGGATCGTGGGGGTGGATGCTTCACGAATGGTTTAGCTACATCCCCTTCATGCTGTTGTGATGGAGTTCTCATGAGATTCTATTGTTTGAAAGTGTGTAGCAACTCCCACTCTATGTCTTAGTCCTGCTTCTGCCATGTTAAGATGCCTGCTCCTGCTTCGCCTTCCACCATGAGTAAAAGCTACCCAGAAAGAACAGGGGCTTGCAATGTGTCAAGACAGGTTATGGGAGAGAGGGAAGGGGAAAGGCATGGCTAGGAAGAGTGGTCTTGTTATGTACATGCAACCTCATTTGTAGCAGCTCCCAGAAAGAATAAATGTCTCCTAGGTCCAGACTGGAGGGGAGGCGTTGTCAGAGAAAGCCTGGCTATTTATTTCCCTAATGTAGATTTTTCTCTACAGATGCAAACCTCCTCCACAAAAAGCAGTTTTGCAGGCTATTTCTCTCTACAGGTCTTCTGAATATCCATCCCAAAATATATCAAAGAAGGAGTATATTTTGGGGTGAAATATTTTTGGCTTTTCTTAGTGGCTGTTATCTTAATTCTGACTTTACCTCTCCGATGATAAGAGGTGCTATATTAAAAAATAAATAGCCAATACACTTTACTCACTTTATTATTTCTCATCAATACTCTTGGGAAAATGGCAGTGTAATGAGGCGAGGGAGTGGCAGTGGATACACTTATATACAGATGAACTATTAGAAAAGATTAACAGGCTCTAGAATGCATAATGCCTTTTGGTGATGAAATCTGTCATTAGCAGCCTAATTCAGATTAATATTTAATGAATAAAGAAAAATAAAATAGGGTGTGTGCTCCAAAGGCTAAGATAATTTCAGACGTCAGAGTCTCTCCCTCGGTTAGAGGTTGGGAGCCATCAGGAACCCTGAGAGAAATACGTGAATGTACATGTGTGCACAAGACTGGAAAAGAAGTTTTATGAATAGCAAATGGCTTTCCAAGAATTGGGAATACACAGACAGAAACTGTGTGTTGCCAAATGCTGTACCACAGCCCAAAAATGGAGAGAACTTCATCAAGACTGGGGAGTGTCAAGAAACAAAGTGGCCTCTTTTGAGGTCTGTACCCAACAAATACCACTTTGGTTCCCAGACTGTCCTCTAAATTAATTGCTATATGTAGGCCTTGAATATAAAGCTGGCAGATGCAACCCAAATATAGCACAACATTTTTAAAATTATTATTACACTTTAAGTTCTGGGATACATGTGCAGAACGTGAAGGGTTGCTGCATAGCTATACATGTGCCATGGTGGTTTGCTGCACCCATCAACCTGTCATCTACATTAGGTATTTCTCCTGATGCTATCCCTCCCCAACCCCCACCTCCCGACAGGCCCTGGCGTGTGTGTTCCCCTCCCTGTGCCCATATGTACTCACTGTTCAACTCCCACTTATGGGTGAGAACATGCAGTACAACATTTTTTAATTTAGGGAAAAATTAGGGGCTAAGGCTGAAATCTAAGAGGATGGTTGGAAATAAGGGATATATTTTTAAATATCAGGGTCATTTTAGACCAGCTTCTATAGAAACTAGAGCCCACAAAAGCTTGTATTGGAATACATTATTAGGGAGTGCAGCCCCAGGGAAGCAGGGTTGAGGGAAATAGGAATGAGGCAGAGAAGGAGGGAGGGCAAGTACGAGGGTGTGCACTATGGAGCTGGCTGCCATCTGATACTGAGTGCACCGATTGCTCTACCTCACAAGACCACTTTCTGAGAAGCCGCATGAGCTACCAAATTATTTAGGAAAGCCTGTCTGGGGAGAAAAAGGAGAAGAATTTATTTGACAGCCTCCATTTCCCACTGGTCAAAGATTTACCCTACAGGGTATGAGCTCTTTACGGGATATTAATGCCATACTTCCATGGTACACATAATGAACCATTAGGAGGATCCCTGGCTTCTCATGCTCCAGCAGCAATGGAGAAGCCGGGAGGAGAGCAGAGGTGTGGAGCTGCACGCATGACGTGAGGCATGGCTGGCTTTTGCCATGGAAGCTGATGCAAAAGCGAGTGGCCAAGGGCCCTGGAGGTAGGTGCTGCCGAGAGAATTGGTGGTACAAATATGAATTGGAATACAGGGGGAGACTTGAGTCTGGGCAGTTCAGCCCTTGAATGCCTGGCCTCTCAACATAAATCAAGATAAAATGCAGTTAGCCCTGCGTATGTAGAGAGCCCCATAATAGAGGCTCTCCCTGTGCCCGCTTTATGCAACAGGACCCATATCAGGTCTTTGTTCTCCTCTTGAGCAAACTGGGACCCAACTTTTTGTGTATACCATTAAGATGGATTTGATGGAAAGTAACTGACAACTCAAACTGATGGAACATTAAAGAAGCTGATTAACTCAGATAAGAGGAAATCCAGAAGTTGTTGGATTCAGCAGTTGAATCACATTTAAGCTGCCTGCTTTCAAACAGGCTACCATCTGCCCAGATTTCTTTCTTTCTTTTTTTGTAGAACAAAACAGTCATACGCAATGTGTTCCAACATCATAAATCTTTCTTATTTGCCTTTATACAACAGCCTCAGCACCCTAAGATATAAAATTCAACTGTTTAGTCAGCTGTTTCACAACTTCCTAAGAAAAGTTGCCAGTTTCTCAGCTAGATAAATTAGTTGGGTTCTTGTTTATTTACGTTCCCTTATTTGCCATAACTCCTCTTCCTTCATTGTATTTTGTACTTTTAGGATCCTTGGTGGCAAACAACACCAAAAACATGGCTACTTCAAGCTAAAATTGAATCTATTGAAAGTCTATCTAGGCTGCCAGAATCTATGGGAAAGCTGGAAAAACAACTTAGGCAGAAACCATGACAGGTTAGGCACAGCCAAAATTCTGTCACAGGATGCTTGGCTTAGGATACCATTGCATGGGTAGCTCTGCCACCCTACACCTGCCTCAGTGCAGCTGGATCTCTTATTTCTGCCTAGCCCCCCACCCACCCTGTTGCACTGCCTCACCCATCCATTCAGTGATGATTTCTCATCATTTTTCTTTGCTGAAAATAATAAAAAGTTAACAGTACTTGCATTTCAGAAACAGAAACCTTTATAATTGAACTGGATTTTTTCAGCCCTTGTCTCTAAAGACCAGGCTTTTCAAATAGTGAATCTTAAATATTATCCAAGAGTTAACTTAATTCTTATGTGATCTGAGTTTCCTGTTGGGAATGACTGAAGTTTTCTCCCCATTGATTTTACTTCAGTTTTAATCAAATATCATCAGATCATTTGAATTTTCTGCCAGACTATTTGGCATGTTTTCTGGTGGTGAAATGAATAAATTTATTGAGCATGCATAGCTTGAAATTTTCTGGTAATTGTGTTTTATTTATTTGCTCTTGTATAATTAAATCAAATAAGCTAACAGTTCTAGGTACCCAAGCAGAGAGAACATGACTTAAACATTTATTGGACTGGATTTGATATTTTGTAAAATTGTGTTGATGGACACACTGGACCATGCAAGACGAAATATGAAATGTAGTAAACCTCACGTATTATCCACAGAGCAAAATTTACTTTTCTCTAAGCTGTCCAGAGGTTTTAGCACCAGCTGAGGAGGAAAAGGCCATAGTAATGGTGGCTTATATTATCCGTACAAATCTGATTACAGCTAGGAAATATTGATTCTTTTTAACCTAGAGAGTCTTTCCTCCAAGGAACACCAAACCACAACTACGTTTTATATATGTTTTTTGATGTATTTAGTTAAAAAAAAAATTAGGAGTCAATAAAAAATTTAATTTTGGAAGTGGGATCTATAAGATGCACATGAACGAAACGTTATTGATTGACTTTTTAATTCTCAAGCCAGCATTTGAGATGTGTTGAACTAATCAAAATTTTCTATAAATACTCTCAAGTCTTCACTGAGACTGAGTTAAGGGTTTTAAAAAGGAGGAAACCACCTACAGAATGGGGGAAAATATTTGCAAATTGTGCATCTGACAAAGCTCTAATACCCAGCATCTGTAACGAACTTAAACAAATTTATAAGAGAAAAACAAATAACCCCATTGAAAAGTGGACAAAACATATGAACAGACACTTCTCAAAAGAAGACATACATGTGGCCAACGAGCCTATGAAAAAAAGCTCAGCATCACTGATCATTAAAGAAATGCAAATCAAAATCACAAATACCATCTCAAATGAGTCAAATGGCTATTACTAAAAAGTCAAAAAATAGCAGATGCTGGTGAAGTTGCAGAGAAAAGGGAACCCTTATACACTGTTGGTGGGAGTGTAAATTAGTTTAACCATTGTGGGAAGCAGTGTGGCAATTCCTCAAAGAGGTAAAAGCAGAGCTACTATTCAATCCAGCAATCCCATTACTTGGTATATACCCAGAGGGATATAAAACACATGAATGTGAGTGTTCATTGCAGCAGTATTCACAGTAGCAAAGACACAGAATCAACCTAAATGCCCATCCGTGACAGATCAGATAAAGAAAATGTGGTACATATACACCATGGAATACTATGTGGCCATAAAAAATGAGTCATGTTTTTTGCAGGAGCGTGGATGGAGCTGGAGGATATCATCCTTAGCAAACTAATGGAGGAACAGAAAACCAAATACAACATGTTCTCACTTATAAGTGGGAGCCAAATGAGAACTTATGAACACAAAGAAGGAAACAACAGACACTGGGATCTACTTGACGGGGGTGTGTGGAAGGAGGGAGAGGAGCAGAAAAGATAACTATTGGGTACTGAGCTTAATACCTGGGTGATGTAACAATATGTACAACAAACCCCCATGAAACGTGTTTATCTATGTAACAAACCTTCACATGTGCCCCCCAAACCTAAAATAAACAGTAAAAATAAATAAAAAGGAACAAACCCAGAACACATAACATCATGTGAACTTATCATATTCACAGTTGATTAATAGAATCAATGACTGGATTATTTTGCTCTTCATAATGTGGAAGTAAAGAAGCAACCCCTACCAGGCCCTCTGCCTTAGCCACAGGGTTGCATAATATATGCTGTACACTGCCTTGATTCTTCTCAAACAGCATATAGAAACTTCAATCCAAATAAACCTAGAAATATAGTGTCTTTTTTTTTTCTAACCAAAAACAAAGACCAGGGCTTCAAGAGTAATGTGTTGAAACTAGATGCATTTGTACATTAAATATTTACAAATGGTATCATTGCATGAGTGGCGACCTTGTCCTAGGGCAAAATGGCAGGAGGTTGTCCTCTTTTTACCTGGATGGCAGCACTGGCAAAACAAAACGGGGCAAATTTTGCAGAACTTTTATCACTCTTTATGAACATTGCTAAGTAAGCCCTTCTGGAAAGGCTGTTTAGATACTAGAGATACTTCAAAAGAACTATTTCAGAAGCCTGTGGAATGCAGGTTTCCTCCACAAACTCTAAAGAGCTTTGGGAGCTACCTGAGTTTCTCCGGCTGGAATGTATTCTGTACTTGGCAGCAATGAAACTGACTCAGATCTATTACAGACTCACCAAAGTCAGTGGCTCTTGACCTTGTAAAGATCGGGTGCTCCCTTTCAAATGGCTGACCTGGTAATCCTAGTTGAGAGGTACAGAGTGAGGGTGACCTGTGATTTTCAGGTTTCCTTTTGATCTTCCAGTGCTCCTCATTTGCTGTGCTGCCACATGTGCATTTCAGCACAGCAACTGTCCTTGCACCTTCCCTGGAGAGCAGCCCACCTGCTCCCTGCCAGACGTCCCTTTGAAGTGAGGGCTTCTTTGCACGTGACACCCCCATCACTCACCCTCCCACTCCCCTAGCCCCTCCCTGTCCCATTTTTTTAAAAAAAGAGAAAAGAAAAAACAGACGAGGCACCTAGTTCAGACTGGAGAAGCCGATGTGATCTCTTTGCTTTTAAATTTCACAGCGAAAAGTATATCATGGTTTTTAATGCTTTTGTAACCAATAGGAATGGTACAATTAAGCAAATATTACTTAGTGATATTATTAAATCAGACCTCTTTTCTGTGTGGTGACCTAGGAGTCATTTATAAATACAAACCAACTGCCACATTATGATCCAGAACAGAATGTTTCTTGGCACTCTTCCTTTAAGTTGTAAGAACACTGTTGTGAAGTTCTTATGGAATTATCACATCATTTAATCATTTATCAAATGGCCATTCCATGTACCTATTGTTCTGAGTACGTCATTTTAGAACAATGATCAACAATGATGAATTACTTGATGTTTGAATGATTTACTAGCAATTATTTAACACAACAAACAAAAATCTTGGTTTCTCCAATTCTTGAGCAACTGGAAAACAAAAGCAACTGGAACAAAAGCAATGGATCAATTTTTTTAAAAAGACTCATCTTCATTAAATCAATATCCTTATGGAATGCAGAGCTTAGAATAAAACTGGAGACCCTTTTATTCTGGGGTATCCACATTACATTTTAAAGCAGGTTCAGATTAAGGGATAACAGGATGGAGTCTTGCTTCATCTTGTTTGGGACAAGCTTCTTAACTTCCCATTCATCCACAAAATGAGGCTAATTGTTACATAAGAATAGTGCTCAAAAGTATTGGAGCCTATGTCACAGGCAGAAATCCCAAAAGTCAAGCCAAGTCCTCTTCCTGGGGGAGGAAGTTAAAGTCTCTGAGAATTAGGTCTTTTGTGCAGTACCTGCTAGTGAGCCACATCCTCCTTTCTCCCCTCTTTATCCCTCAAATTGATTCTTACTCATTGCATAGCAATAACCACCTGGCCTACCAATTCCAATTCCCTAAAGCACAGGTTTTTCAACAGTAGCATTTGCCACTTACCCAGGACAAATTTGTAATATTTTTTCCCGCATAAGCCATTTTGACCAAACTAATATGTCCATGTTTAGGGACCCCTACTTTAACAAGGAAGAAGTTGTAATGAACGATTGATGATTACAATATTTTAATTGAAATCATGCCAACATTGAAGACTTTCATGATTCTCTATAATTCAATTTAATCACTCAAAAATTTTTATATAGCACTTAAACCTTTTTCCGATTTTTTTGTATTTTCATCAGAATTAATTTTTTTCTATAGAAAGCTTATACCAAAATTTATTGATAATTTTGTTTTTATTCATCTATATTTTTATTGCCATTATAAAATTTATTTTGCCTTTATTTCTGTGATTTTTTAAATTGTAAAAACATTCCAACTCATAGAAAAGTTGAAAAAAGAATAAAATGAATGCTCATATATTCCTTTCCTGAAATCATTAGATCTTATGACACTTGCTCCAGCTAACATTTTCCTTTCCCCAAATCATTGAGAATAGGATGCAAAATCATGATAATTCACCCCTAAATACTTCGGCGTGTCAGTTCCAAGGACAAGAGTATTCTACAGAAACCAACTCCTTCGTTGTCTTGGGCTCAGAGTTAAGAAGGGGAAAATTATTTGATCAAAGTAATTCAGTAGCATTCACTAACATAAAGGACATATTGAATTTTCCCAAATTGTGTCCAAAAGGTCCTTTGTAGTTCTTGTTTATTTATTTATTTTATCTGGGAGCCAATCAACTCATGCCTTTTATGTAGCTGTTATTTCTCTTGCTGAAGCAGGAGTGATACTCTTCCACTGTTAATAACTCACAACCCATCACAGTCAAGAGAAAAAGCACTTTGCACCGTGAGTTAAACAAAGGTAATTGAGCCACCATGTATGTTTCTGATCCCTAAACAAAAACAAAAGTAAAGTATGAACATTTACCATAAGCCTAAACTTTCTAGCAAAAGCAAGTTTATTCTTAAATTTTACAGTGCTAATATTGCAATATATTTTATGACCTTTGTCAGTCTGTTGTTTGTTTGTTTTTGGTTTTTTTTTTTTGTAGAGATAGGGCATTGCTATGTTGCCCATGCTGGTCTTGAACTCCTGGCCCCAAGCAATCCCCCTGCCTCAGACTCCCAAAGCACTGTGATTACACCCATGAACACGACACCTGGCCTGTATGTTAGTCATGATGGAAAGTTGTATTTACACTATGTAACCTAGGTAACCTTGATAAGTTTTGCTTTTTTTTAGATGAACTGGTGATTTTTTTTTTTTATGGTGGGCTGATCCCCTTGTGCCTTTCTGCATGACCTTTATATACTTACATTTCTAATGATTCTGTGGGCCCTCCTGAGCCTTCTTCAAACCAGTACAATACCACTGCCTCACTGTTTTTCATGACACTGACTTCTTTGACGAGTCAAGGCATGTGGTCCTGCAGAACATCCTGCCTTCAGGATTATTCTGTTCAGCGTGATAAAATCCATGACCATCATTACTCTTTTTGCTGCCAACCTCGTTCCAAATTTAGCCAGCGTGTGCCACATCAAAAGCCAGCTGAAGTGTCCTACTATCATGACCCCATTAATGTTTGAGTACTTACTTGCTTTCCAGTACAATACATTGTTCCCGACTCATCCCAGCTCTGGAATCAGTTATATCTCTAAACAGCTCTGGTTCCTTTTAATGGAGAATAGTGTTTAGAAACCAATATCTAGGCCCTATAGAGCTAGGATAATTTTTAAAAAATCAATTGTACTACTATTTTTGGTCAAATTCAACAATATTGCAATTTTCCCTGTTTTTGTCCATTTCATTGTATATCTTCTTTCTCCTGCAGTGAAGCTACTGGCTCTTAACAACACCACTATATTTACTTATTTATTCCAAATTGCAATGTACTACACTTTCAGAATTACAGCACCAATCCCAGCAAACCTATTAAGGAAAGGTTAAGATTACTTTCAGTTCTTTTTGTCCTCAGAATGTATCCACAGTACTGTGTTCTGTGCATAATTGCATGAATTATTTTCTCCATGTGGTTGTTATCAATTACATATATGGTTAGGATAATTTGTTTTGATTGCATTTAATTTTAGGATTTACCTTTTCCATCATTTCTGATTTAATTTTATTTATTCACTATGTAAAACATTTACATGGTATAAAAGTCAAAATTAAAATATAAATTACAATCAGAAAAACCTCATTCCAATTCCTAGACCCTCTAGCCCATTCTTACCCATTGCTCTTGGTAACTACTTTCATTAGTTACGGAATTATCTTTCCTGTGGTTTTCTTTGCGTGTGTGTGTGTGTGTGTGTGTGTGTGTGTGATGGAGTTTTGCTGTTGTCACCCAGGCTGGAGTGCAATGGCATGATCTCAGCTCACTGCAACTTCTGCCTCCCAGGTTCAAGTGATACTCCTGCCTCAGCCTCCCGAGTAGCTGGGATTACAGGCACCTGCCACCATGCCCAGCTAATTTTTGTATTTTTAGTAGAGATGGGGTTTCACCATGTTGGCCAGGCTGGTCTCAAACTCCTGACCTCAAGTTATCCACCTGCCTTGGCCTCCCAAAGTGCTGGGATTACAGGTGTGAGCCACTGGGCCTGGCCTCCTGTGTTTCTTATAAGCAAAAACATATATATTTTCTTAATACTTTTATTTTTATGTATGTATGTATGTATGTATGTATGTATGTATGTATGTTTTTTGAGACGGCGTCTCGCTCTGTCACCCAGGCTGGAGTGCAATGGCACGGTCTTGGCTCACTGCAACCTCCGCCTCCTGGGTTCAAGCTATTCTCCTGCCTCAGCCTCCTGAGTAGCTGGGATTACAGGCACCCACCACCACACCTGGCTGATTTTTGTATTTTTAGTAGGGACGGGGTTTTACCATGTTGGCCAGGCTGGTCTCAAACTCCCATCCTCAGGTGATCCACCCACCTCGGCCTCCCAAAGTGCTGGCATTACAGGCGTGAGCCACCGCGCCTGGCCAATACTTTTATTTTTCTTCTATAAAAGGTAGAATTACTATTTATAATCTTTTTGAACTTTCCTTTTAAACTTAACAATGTAACTCAATGACTCCTAATAGGTTCGTAGAGCTATCCTAATGGGCATTATTTCTATAAAGTTCAATTTTCCTGTACATTTACTGTGTACAGCCAGTCAGTTATGTTCTTATGTTTTTATGAGGTCAGTTTAAAAAGGTATATTTCATTACCACCAAGATACTGTTATTCTGTCAATCAGTTTTTAAATCAAGAACAAAATTTTCTGTTTTCGTGTCTTTTTTATTGCAATAGTAATTTTGGCATTTTTAAAACTATAGGATTTTTTTTGTTATTTCTTATGGAAATATGTATTGTTAATATGACAACTGACCTGTGATTTATATTTATTTCTCATCTAATCTATGAGAAAAGTTTAAACCGTATCTTTTAGGATTGCTCTATTGTTTAGGATGAGATAGCAAGTCAATTTCACATTCTTTTCTTTTCTTTTCTTCAGACAGGGTCTTGCTCTGTCACACAGGCTAGAGTGCTGTGGCATAATCATAGCTCACTGCAATCTCAAACTTCTGGGCTCAAGCAATCCTCCCACCTCAACTTCCTGAGTAGCTGGGATTACAGGTGAGTGCCACGATGCTCAGCCCAATTTCATATTCTTCATATCACTTTTGGTGATGTGTAGTCACTGACCACATTGCTGGCTGAGAAAAGTGTCAATGGCAAAGTTAAAACTGCTTAGGGCACTCGGTTTAAAATGGTGAATCAGATAGTGGGGTCAAGTCATTTGACTTACCTTCATGACAACTGTATGCATAATCTATGTATGCCGCTTCATTGAACAGATTGTTCTGATCTGTAGCATGGATGATTCATTCAAGTTGGCTTTGGACATTTTACCAGTTGTCAATATCCTCTTTTGTCAGCACCAATTAGAGTTTTCAAGTAAATTATTAGAAGGAGACAAGTGTCAGAAAAATTTGGTGACTTGGTAAATCTATGTCTCAAGCCTAAAATTCTCAAGAACAAACCCCAGTCAGGAGATTGTAGTTCTTCCTCTAGCTCTGTTACTTACTAGCCATTTATCTCAGGATCTTTTAAGCAATAGCTTTTCATCTGTAGAATGAGAGTAATGATACTTACCCTATCATCCAGACCATAGTTACCATAATAGTTTTTGTGTGATAGCCGTGGCAATTTGCCAAGTGGTAATAATTGGGAAGTGATTATGAGCCTTGGAGTTTGCTGTGATGTAATATGGTAGCTCTTTCAAGTCATCATTTATTTGAAGAGTGGATTCACTTTCTTCCATGGCTAGTGAATAAAGCATTATGAATATTAAGCCATGTTTAATTCTAGATAAAGGGGCCGCTAGAAGCATACAAACTTTATACCAGAGAGTGCTAGCCTATAGTAGGAAAACAGAATGGAGATCCAAGTTTGAATGTAAGCTGTCTCCCTTTGGCTTTGGGCATGTCTGGCAATGCCTGGGATTGTGGCAACAGGCTCTGGAAGTGGAGATTTGTAAGAGGAAAAAAAAGGCACCTCATACTATGTAATGAGAGAGTCAAGCCAAGTTTGGTCTAGTAAGATTCTGGTTTTGTAGAGGAGAATGGAGCTGAGGATAACATGACAATTATCATTCAGAGCCTCCTGTGGCCCAATCCACAAAACTGATTCATGGGAGAGGGCTTTGAGCAGAGCAGACAGGAGAGAGTTGCGGACTTAAAACTGCTGTGCTTTGGGAGCTGTGTAATAGGAAAAAGAAATCTGGTCACCTTGTTTTGGTGAATTGGAAACTCTGGTGCCAGCCGTTCTGACAGTAGCAGAACACAGAGCAAGTGAAGTCTACATCATCTGAGACTCCCCTGGGGACTCCAGAAATCATTATGTAGTAGAGTGTGTGTGTGTTTGTGTTTTGAGTGAATGCGTTGGAAGAGGGACTTAAAAGAGGCTATTTGTCCTAAGAGAACATGTGGAGAAAGAGAGACACAGGCAGAGACACAATTTTTTTTTTTTTTGCTATTATTGGAACCCTCTGTTTTATCATAGACTAGTTCACTGATTTGATTAATATTAAAAAGTGAACTTAAAATTAAGTTTTCAATAATTTAAACAAGGGGAGACGCAACAATGTGAATATATGTAATGCCACTGAACTGTACACTTAACAAGGGTTAAAATGGTAAATTTTATGTTATGTGTGTATTTTGCCACAATTAAAATAAAAAAAATGAGAGCAAGGGAAATGGAAACACAGAAAACTTTTCTTTTTAAGGAAAAAGAAAAAGGTAGCTAATTTAATAAATAGGACAATACGGGACAAAGGATAACCCCAAAGGGATTTCTGCTAGCCAGGCTGAATGATAATCCATGCTGGTTGGGTCATTAACTCTCCTATCTGCTCATTAATCCCCGTACTTTGAAAAAAGGCATGAATCAACTGCAGTCTTCAGTTCATTTCCAGTAGGATATCCAAGTTACACTCACTCCACTGAACCTTCTCCAGGCCAGATGTTTGAAGACTTTTCAGTTCTCTGGATGAAAACTATTCTTTATCATCTTGATTTATGACAGCCTTTCATCTGATGATCAAACAAAGCCACTAATAATTCTGTTATAGATGTCTTAGAAAGTCCTTAGGAGAATATTTATACCCATAGGCTCTTGGCCTTCAGTTCTGCCTTACTATATCAGCAGCACAGGTGTTAATGCACTGAGAACTTTCTTCCATGTTGGAATATTGTTACATATTGTCCTTTTCCTTAGTGTTTTTAAGATCAGGTCTCTGCAGGGTCACGCCTGAAGTGGTAGTCACCTAGGGTGAAATGCCACAGGTACTGCACCAAGCCACTCCTGTAACTTGGCCCTATCAAGTCCTGTGATTCTTCCATTGTCACACTGTGGTATTAGGAAAAGTTTTGTTTTACCTACTCAATCCAGTAAGGAGGTGTGGGAAGTGTGATTCTTATGTGGTAAGAAATAAAATGACTGTATATTATTTAAAATCTGTACTTTCTCTCAGGAGAAAGACAAAAGGGTCATATTTTCCTTAAAATAAGAAAAGTTGTTAGAGGATTCAATAAGAGTGAAGTGGCTGGAGCATTCAGAGGAATTCACATTTAGAAAAATAACTTGCTATTTCTACTTGATTTTATCCCCTGGCTATAAGACTCACAGAGCAATTGCTTTAGCCTTCTTCGATGTAAAATCACACTGCTCAGAGCCCATGCAGCAAGTGATTGAAAAACACTTGGTTTGATTTTGGATAAAGCCACAGATCAGTAGGTATTTGTAGCTGTAAGAATAAAAGGTGGTTATATTACTTATAACTGTAAAGAAAAAATGCATGTAATTTTGATAGGATAGAAACCTTCACACTCAAGAATAGCTTTCTTATCCATAGTCAGGTGGCTGAAGAAAAGATGCTAATATTTTTTCTCTTCTATAGTTGAAGACCTTATCTAAAAACATCTATGGAAGGAATTAAGCCATTTTTTCTAAGTGGGGAACTAGCTATTTTAAAAATACCCAGGACTCTTGTTAAAATGTTCATTTGTTACCAAGATCTTCTGAATCAGAAATTTTCCAATCTACATATTCACAAGCCCCCAGGTCATTTTTTTTTCTACCAAAGTCTGACATCACTGTTTTAATATGGTATTTGTCATCTTGACATAATGGAGCTGCCATCTTGAGGACAAATGATGGTAGGGAGGAGACTTAGTGGGCAATCAGGAGAGGGATGGGGGACAAGACTCAAGGGTGGAGAAAAGGAGGGAAGGACCAATGGAAAATAGAAAGGTCGGTCACAGAGATACGTGTCCTGTTTCACACTTGGAATTTTACATTTTGAAAGGTCTTGATGATGTTTCAGAACATGCAATATAGGAGCATTAGCAAAGGAAATAAAAATTCAGACCATAAGCTGAAAATAAAAGAGGAGACATCCTACTTGACAATGGAGGAATGATAGCTTGTAACTCTTGGAAGCAATACAGGAAACCACAAAGTGAAAGATGATGTAAAACTCCATAAAAACAACATTTTATATACCTAAACAGAGGAGCATGAATGCCTGCAGCACTTAGGATCAATATGGTTAACTATAATTTATTACATACTTTCAAAAAGCTAGAAAAGAGAATTCTGAATGTTTACAACACAAATAAATGATAAATTAGGTAATGGATAGGCTAATTACACTGATTGGATTGTTATACCTTACATACACTTATCAAAATATCACTCTGCATCCCATAAATATGTCATTCTTATGTGTCAACTAAAAATAAAAGGGAAAAAGAACATAAGTGTAAATTGAAAAAAATCAAAATATAAACACACATTTACCAAAAATGTGACAGAAAAATTATAAAGGAATTTAACATGTATGATAAACCCACTCTATGCCATGAAGTTGCACATATTTATGTAAATTAAACCTTACAACTGCCCTACAATATACTTATTTCTATGTTGCGTTGGGAAAATAAGAAAACTCAGGATCAGAAAGTGTAAGTACCTTGCTGGATATGATAGTGACATGAGTGTGTCTCACTCTAGAGTCCATGTTTCTACCACTGAGCACAGCAGGTTTCATACCCTGGTAACGACTGATAACGACTCACCACAATCCATGGGGATACAAAATCTTCCTGGGTATGCAGCTGGACTCCATTTTCCAGAACCTCTTCAGTGAGGGTGGCTTTATGACTGAGTGTACTGAATGGATTGGCAGTAAAAATAAATGTTTCACTTCCAAGCCTAGCTTAATAAAAACCCTCTTGTGAATAACCCTCTTGTGAACACCCCTCTCTTTCCTTTCCCTAGTCTTGTTAACTGGAATGGAGATAAGCTGCATGCTATGTGTCAGCCCAGTAACTGTGTAGAGGCTGACCTGCATAAGCAAAGAACAGATTCCTCATGGACTTAAACCATGACACATGTAGACTTACTGATTACAATGCTCATCCTGTCATAAGTAATGTTCATATGAGGAATTCATATAACACATCTAAAACTCCAGGGACAAATGACATATATATATATATGTGTGTGTGTATATATATATATACGTGTATATATATATGTATATATATATATATACGTGTATATATATATGTATATATATATATATACGTGTATATATATATGTGTATATATATGTATATATATATACACACACACACATACACACATACATATATATACACACACACATATATATACATATATTTGTGTATATATACGTAACTGCTTGTGTGTGTGCATATATATGTATACATATATGTATATACACACGCACACACACACACACAAGCAGTTATGTAACAGGAAACATCCCCAATAAGTTTATGTAACAGGAAACATACCCGATAAGTAAATGTACAGAGCCATATTCTACCTACGGAATAATTAAAAATTATGAATTAAAATGTGAATTGTGCCAAAAAGATTGTGGTGGCCAACATATATTGATACAACACTGAGGCATTATATGTTAGTACAATCTTTTTTTTTGGAGGGAAATTAGGGACTTTTATTAAGAGGCATTGTAACATTCACCCTTTTTGAATTGAAACCTAGTCCTAGATCTTAATCTTGATAATGATTTGAGATGATCATCAACATAAAGTTGTATTTAGGACAGCAAACAAGCAAACAAACCCCAAACACAAAAACCAGTGTATTGGTCAGGATTCTCCAGGGAAACAGAACCAACATGTACATATATCTATCTACATCTACATCTAATCTATATCAAGATTTTAAGGAATTTGTTCATCCAACTATGGAGGCCGGCCAGTCCAAAATCTGCACATCTGCAGGGTGGGTCAGCAGGCAGAGACTAAGGGAAGAGTTGCAGTTTGAGTTCAAAGACAGTCGGCCGGCAGAATTTCTTCTGTTTCAGGGGAGGTTGGTATTTTCCTTTTCTTTTGTTTGTTTGTTTGTTTGTGGTTGTTTTTCCAGGAGCCTGGCAGGGCCCTTTCGCTCTTTTTTTTTTTTCTTCAACTTTTATTTTCAGCTCTGGGGTACATGTGCAGGTGTTACATAGGTAAACGTGAGCCATGGTGGTTGACTGCCCAGATCAACCCATCATATTGGTATTAAGCCCAGCATCCATTGGCTATTCTTCTGATGCACTCCCTCCCCCGTCCTCTCCCCTGATAGGCCCCAGTTTGTGTTGTTCCCTCCTATGTGTCCATGTGTTCTCATCATTCAGCTCCCACTTATGAGTAAGAACATGTGGTATTTGGTTTTCTATTCTTGCATTAGCTTGCTGAGGATAACGGCTTCCAGCTCCATCTATGTCCCGCAAAGGGCATGATCTTGTCCCTTTTTATAGCGGCATAGTATTCCATGGTGTATATGTATCACATTTTCTTTATCCATTCTATCATTGATGGGCTTTTGGGTTGATTCCATGTCTTTACTGTTGTGAATAGTGCTGCGATGAACATACACATGCATGTATCTTTATAATAGAATGATTTATATTCCTTTGGGTATATACCCAGTAATGAGACTGCAGGGTCAAATGGTATTTCTGCCTCTAGATCTTTGAGGAATCACCACATTGCCTTCCACAGTGGTTGAACTAGTTTACACTCCCACCAACAGTGTATAAGTGTTCCTTTTTCTCCATAGGAGGTTGGTATTATTCTATTAAGGCTTCAACTGATTGGATGAGGTCCACCCACATTATGGAGGGTAATTTGCTTAACTCAGCCTACTAATTTAAATATTAATTTCATCTAAAAATATGTTCATAGAAACTTCTAGAATAAAGTTTGACCAAACATCTAGGTACCACGGTCTAGCTAAGATGACACATAAAGTCAACTATCACTATCAGTATACTTAAATAACTAAAAATTGTGGCCAGGCACAGTGGCTCATGCTTGTAATCCCAGCACTTTGGGAGACTGAGGTGGGCGGATCACTTGAGGTCGGGAGTTCGAGACCAGCTTGGCCAACATGGTGAAACCCCGTCTCTACTAAAAATACAAAAATTAGCCAGGCGTGGTGGCACATGTCTGTAATCTCAGCTACTCAGAAGGCTGAGGCAGCAGAATCACTTGAACCTAAGAGGCTGAGGTTGCAGTGAGCCAAGATCATGCCACTGCACTACAGCCTGGGCAACAAGAGTGTGACTCTGTCTCCAGAAACAAAACAAAACAAAACAAAACAAAACAAAACAAATAACTAAAAATTGCAAAATGTTTTATCAAACTATGGCAATCAATTTGGTCAACTATCACACAGCCATTCAAAATTATGAATATGAAGACTCTATAGAACATGAAAAATGACATTTTCTCATTTCACAAAAGCTTGTTGAATGCCCTAATTGCCAAATTGTACACATAATGATTAAGAAGCTACAACTCCTTATCTCAAGAAATTCACAGCCCTGTAAGATGGACTTCCTGGAAAACGTTTCGGGGTCATGGGGTGCTGTGGTAGAAGGTGGGGATTAGTGGCACGTGAAGCTGAAGATGTGGGCAAAGACCAGCTCACAAAGGGCTGAAAGATTAATGTGTTATTGAGGCATTTGGGCTTTACCTTGTAGCAGCAGGGAGCCCCTGGGGTGTTTTTAAGGTGAGTAGTTTTGCTTTTATAGATCAGTTTGGTAGCAAGATAGGGATTGTTGTTTAACAAGCCCTGAGGCCAAGAGATTAATTAAATAGGCCTGGTAAGAAATGACTTGAGCCTGAATTAGAATGATGGCAATGGGAGTGGAATGGGGGAAGAGATTCCAGGGATATATAGGAAAAGCAGAGTCAATGGAATTTGATGATAGATTGCCTACAGAGGCTAAGAGAGAGATAAAACATTAGAAAAAGACTCCTAGGTTTCTAGCTCAGTTGCTTTCCAGCAAAGATACAGAACAGAGGAGCAAAGAAATTAATATGAGGGATTAGGTAAGCAAGAAAAAGTTAACAAGGGACATTTTGGTAACACGGAGCTAGTAATTACAGAAAACAGCTTCTACCCTAGGGCTGAGGGAAGAAAGAGAAGGAATTGGGGTTTTTAGAGCAAGAAGCTTGAAAGATGCCCTATGGAGTCAGGACAGACTCCCAAGGAATGATGATGAGGCTGGGCTGGGAGGACTGAAGAGGAGTTGGAGACCAGAACAATAGGCACCACAGGGATGAAAGGCTGTTGCTGGGGCCATGCTGACAGAACAGAAAGGTAACACAAGAGTGACTCTGTCCTTCCACCTCCAGGCCTGCCATCTCCCTCAAGCATCTCCTATTTGCAGAGTCCCTACCCGTAAAGGGGAAATGCAGTTTGCTTAGTAGAAGTCCCAGCATTACAGAGTACAGAAGGATGGGTTTAAAGATGAAAAAGTTATTTAGGAAACAGTATCAGAAAGAAGAAAGGCTGAAAACCAGTGACTGAGGTATCTATCTCAAAAGTTAGGAGAAGACACAAAATTAATCAAGAAAAAACATTAAAGATAAGAGCAGTCATTAGTGAAAGTGAAAACCGACATATAATAGAGAAAATCAACAAGGTCAAAAGTTGTTTAAGATAAAACTAGTAAAATTCACCAATTTCTGGGCTGAAGAAAGTATATTACTGCACATTCCATAGGCATTAAAGTGAGAAAAAATATATTAAGAATGACTTGATCCAATACATTTGAAATCTCTGGAAACTAAAAATGAAAGAAATGCTTTTTAAATGTACCAACCCTGGATGTGAAAGCTTGCTAAATCAGGGCTGCTCTGTCATTCTAGAGGAACACTGCTTTTATTTTAATAGAAAGTCTAGGTCAGCTCTAGTACCTTTGGCTCTTCTGAGATGAGTAAATATTCTTCATTAGGAGTATGAAGACATTCATCGTGATATTTTCATACAATGACTACACTTGCCACAGTGAACATGAAGGAATCTTAGGCAGACACAAAAGAGTGTGTCGTGTGTGACTATTTCAAGTTTGAAGGAAGGTAAAACTGGCTGATGAAGATAGAAACTGGACTTGTGGCTGCCTATGGAGAACTAATGCCTGAGATGAGCCATGACAGAGGCTTCTGGAGTACTGGATATGGTCTATATCTGGATCAATATAGTGGTCATAGGGGAGTATTTGATTTGAGAAAATTCCTCAATCTGTACCCTTATAATTTATGTACTTTATGTATCTTATACTTGAAGAAAAATATACTTTAAAAATCCAGTTGGAATAGAGACTAAGAGAGGGATTCTGTCTTGCTGTAGACTAATTTCTTTTCAACTCTTACTTGATTCTACATTGTCTTCTGATTTGCTTCTGTGCTTCCTTCACTACCAGGTCAACAACCTCTTTCACTGGGGAAGACTCGAGGTCTGGTTTGCAGTAACTAGAGATGTTGAAATACAAACAAGACCTTTTAGTTTTCATTAGGAAGGCATTATTGGCTAGATTTCACCTGCCCTGGCTGTTTGTGTTGATCACTGTTACTTTGCAAAGCTATAAACAAGGGAACTGTAAGAAGAGGGGCTTTCCCAATGCCAGGGCACTCAGTGAAGGACATCTGCAAAATTGCTGGTTCAAAATTCTGGTGGGTGAAAATTTTATAAATCTCAGCCTTCAGACAAAAAAAAAAAAAAAAGATACCTCTTGATTGGGCATCTTCCAGAAATCCTTTCTGCTGTGGTTGTTTTCTAGTCTATCACTAACAAATGTCCTCCTGACAAGAGAGCTGAAATTCGAGACTGTCTGCTTGCTGCCGCACTGGGATTTTTGCTGTTTAATTTTTTCATGGCTACTTGTCTCTAGGTGTTGCCTACTTAATAAAAACTTCAGTGGATTAAATTTTTTAAAGTAACTATTACAGAGTAGTCATATAAAAATACTAAAAAAAGACGCCACCAAACAAAATTACATTTATAAGGAACACACACAAATACACACATTAATACTTTTGTAAAAATCCCCAAGCATTTGTTAGCTTTGCTTCCAAAACCTTTAAATTTTGATGAAGTCCACTTTATGTATTTTTCCCTCTTGTTGCTTGTGATTTGGGTGTCATTTAAAAAATAAATTGCCTAATTCAAAGTCACAAACATTTACACCTATATTTTCTTGTAAGAGTTTTGGAGTTTTACCTCTTAAATTTGGGTTTTACATTTTGATTCATTTTGAGTTAATTTTTGTATATGATGTGAAGTAAAGATCCAAATGCATTCATTTGCTTGTGAATATCATCTCAGCACCATTAACATTCTTATTCCTTGTCTTAGCATCCTTGTCAAGAATCAACTGACCATAAATGTGTGAATTTATTTCTGGACTTTCACTTCTATTCTATTGGTCTATACGTCTACACTTATACCAGTACCACATAGTATTAATTACTATAGCTTTGGAGTACATTTTAAAATCAGGAAGTGCAAAATCTCCAACTTGGTTCTTCTTTATCAAGATTGTTTTGGCTATTCTGTGTTTTTTGCATTTCCATATAAATCTTAGAATTAGGTTGTCAATATCCAAAAAAAAAAGCCAGCTAAGATTTTGATAGGAACTGTGTTGAATCTGTAAATCAATTTAAGTATTACCATCTTAACAAATTTGGAAGATCTTAGCAGTATCTTCCAATCCATAAATTTGAGATATTTTCCTATAATAAATAGGTCTTCTTCAGTTTCTTTCATTGGTGTTTTGTAGTTTTCAGTGTGTAAGCCTATATAGTTCCTTTGTTAAATACTAAGAATTTTTTGATGCTATTGTAAATGGAGTTGTTTTCTTAATTTAATATTTGGATTGTTCATTGCTTGTGAGCACATTTTATTTTGTCCAAGAATGAACTTTCAATTTGATTGAAATAGTCCTTAGGAAGTCACTCTCAAATATGGCTTAACAGAAAAGATGCCTTTTATGGCATGAAGAATTTAGTGGGAACAGTAACCCCTCGTAGATAATTTTTTTGTAACTCCTCAAAACTTGAACTTACACTTCTAAAATTGAGTTTAATCTCTTTAGAGGAGGTAGAGTATGCATATACATCTTTGTAGTGTTATCAATGAGACAATCGTGCTAGTACAAATTAAGAGAGGTACACAAAGCATTCATTTCCAGATCATTTTGGAAAATATCTTATTTTTCAGATTAGTCATTGTAACTCCTAAATTTGATTAGTAACTTTCATGTTATCCAGATAGACTGTTATAAGGTATAAGTTGCTTCCAGGCTGGGTGCAGTGCCTCATGCCTGTGATCCCAGCATGTTGAGAGGCCAAGGCGGGAGGATTGCTTGATGCCAGAAATTTGAGACCAGCTTGAGCAACATAGCAAGACCCCATCTCTATATAATAAATTAAATTTTAAAAATTGCTTCCATAAAATACATCTCGGCTATACCCTGAAGATACTTTCATGTCCCAGGGGTATTGTGTACTAAGCATTACGTGTGTCTGGTGAATTTCACAGTTTTCAAATGTTCCTATAAAGTGCAAAATGCATTCGATCAGCAAAAGGATTTTGTTAACCCAACTTCATCTTGTCACTAACCAACATCATTTGTCATCATTTCCAGGGTTGAAACGAAATTTTTGTCTATTTTTTAAGCCAGGATTACTCTATCTTCTGAGAAGACAAAAAGTACCTTTTGCTAAGATTTCCCTATACTGTGGTCGTGTACCAAACAAAATTCTTTAGCTTTACCTGTGTGGAGCTAGAACAATTGGGTAGCCAGCCAGCCTTCTTCTCCTTGCCCACTTGAAGGCTGCAACTGTTAAACAGCACTGCCCTCTTGTGAGCAAACTCCAAAAGGACCAGCTTGAAAAAGTCCCCTCAATTTAAGTGCTGCCTGTCTGTAATAAAAACTGCACTCCAGTCGAAACCTAAATTTTGTGAACCACCAGTTTCTACCACAGGTTCACAGAACCTTCTAGAGATACTCAATTTTCATCCTAAAAGAACAAGAACATTCCCGGCATTCTAATAATCACAATCTTCTCTCTCTTCCTCTATCCCCAGCAATTTAATATTTTTTAGGTTTCTAAAATCTCAATGTGTTTCACAAACTGGTGTAGTTAAACAACTTCAACTATGTTTTTTCCCTCAGTAATGAATGCTTCATGACAGTAGGAAATTGACCGTAAAGAAGAAGGCAGGAAAATCGATGTAGATTGTCAGTTTGTTTCAGAGATACTGCCCCTCATTTTTGTGGATGAGAAACCAGAGGTCCAGAGAAGTTCAGAAATTAGCAAAGCACCTGGTTCAGAGTCCTTGTCTCTTGCATCTCAGTGCAGCCTGTTATTGCTACAGAATGTGACAGGATGTAATTTCTTAAAGGCAGAAGCTGCTTCCATAACGTTTCTATCTTCCTGACAGACTGGCATTGTGAGCAACATTGAATATGAAGGGCTTTCTCACTCATCATTTTTTCGTGTTAAACTATAGGTTTTGATTTATTAGTTATATAAATAGTGTTTGCATTTAATGAAACTATAACATCAATACAAAGTATTGCCAATAGGAATTATTGCTGTCCAAGCAGGACTCTCCTTAATACATAAATAATGCTATCAATACTTCAATACTTCTAACAACTCATGTCTGTTGTCCCATTCCTCGGGCTCCTTTTTCCATTCAGCAAATGTTTATTAGATGTTCCATGTGTCAGGTAATATATTACTACAAGGCCCTGTGGACTTTTCTTATTCACATGCCTCTCATTCATTTTCATCTACATCTTATCAGGTTGGAACACAAGATGCTTAGTTATCCACAGCACATTGTTTAGTGCAGCAGGCTGTACTTGTAAACTGCAAATCAGCAGAAGCAATGTTGGATGAGTGCTTTTTCTCCTTTCATTCAACACACGTTTTGAACTGTGACATTTCCCAGCTTTAAGATATTTTATAGATTTAAATTGTGCTCCAAATAAAAGAGTTGAGTGTGTTAGCTGCAAAATAGACAGGTCTTAAGCAGAAACGGATACTTAGTTTATTGTGACCTTTTTCCTATTTCAATGAACTGGCTGCCGGAGAGAAATGGGTACCTATGAGAGGCAATAGCACCGTGAGGTTTGAAGCCAGGTGGATGGGTCATTCCAGTTCTGCTTCTTTTCAGCTGTATGAGCTTGGGCATAATTAACTTTTTGTTTTTAGCTTCATAGGTTGTTATGAGGATGAAGTGAAATTTTACGCACACACACACAAATTAGCACACCGTAAGTGCTCAATAAGTATTCACTCTTATTACATGCTCTACCTTGTGTTTTCTTTCATTTACTTTTAGTAAAGTATACTATTTCTTATCATTTATTGTATTTTATTTTTATTTTTGGCAGCTTTATTGAGGTATAATTAACAAATAAAATTGTATATATTTACCGTATACAATGTGATGTTTTGATACAGGTACACATTGTGGAATGATTACCACAATCAAGCTAATTAACATATCCATCACCTCACATAGTTATCTTTGTGGTGAGAACACTTAACGTCTATTCTCTTAGCAAATAGCAAATATATAATACATTATTATTAAGTATAGTCACCATACTGTACACTAGGTCTCTGCAGGAATTATTCAACTTATAACGGAAAGTTTGTACCCTTTAACCAACATCTTCCGATTTTCCCCAGCCCTCCATCCCTGCCAACCACCACTCTACTTCTGTTTCTATGAGTTTGACTTTTTAACATTTCACCTGTAAATGAGATCATGCAGTATTTGTCCTTGTGTACCCGGCTTATTTCATTTAGCATAACATCCTCCAGGTTCATCCGTGTTGTCTCAAATGACAGAATTTCCTTCTTATTTAAGTCTAATAATAATATTCCATTGTACGTGTGTGTGTGTGTGTGTGTGTATGTGTTTATACATGCCATATTTTCTTTATCCGTTCATCTAGCAATGGACACATAGGTTGATGTCATATTTTGACTACTGTGAATAATGCTGCAATGAACATGGGAATGCAGATATCTTTTGGAAAGAGCAATTTTATTTCCTTTGATATGCACCCAGAAGTGGGATTGCTGGATCATATGGTAGTTTTAATTTTAATTTTTTGAGGACCCTCCATACTGTTTTCCATAGTGGTTGTATCAACTCTCATTTTCTCATTCCCACAAATAATGTCTAAGGGTTTCCATTTTTCTACATCCTTGCCAACATTGTCTTTTAATTTTTTTTTTTTTGTCACCCAGGCTAAAGTGCAGTGGTACAAACATAGCTCACTGTAGCGTTGAACTCCTGGGTTCAGCCTCCTGAGTAGCTGAGACTACAGACATATGCCACATGCCACCGTGCCTGGCTAATATATATATATATTTTTTCCATGGAGACGGGGTCTTACTATGTTGATCAAGCTGGTCTTGAACTCTGGCCTCAAGTGACCCTCCTGCCTTGGCCTCCCAGAAGTGCTGGGATTACAGTTGCGAACCACTGAGCTGGACCTTATCTTTTGAATTTTTGACAATACCTGTCCTAACAGGTATGTGGTAATATTTCATTGTAGTTTTGATTTGCATTTCCCTATTGATTAGAAATATTGAGTACCTTTTCATATACCTATTGGCCATTTGTATGCCTCCTTTGGAAAAATGTCTATTTATGTCCTTTGCCCATTTTCAATCAGGTTATTATTGCTATTTCTTATATATTTTGGATATTAACCCTTTATTAGATATATGGTCTGTAAATATTTTCTTCCATTCTGTAGGTTGCCTTTTCTTTTTGTTGATTGTTTCCTTTTCTGTGCAGAAACATTTTAGTTTGATGTAGTTTGTTTTTGTTGCCTGTGCTTTTGGTATTACATCCAAAAAATAATTTCCAATGGCTTTGGCTTTTCTAATTCAGTAAGTGTAAAAAACAAATAATAATAATAATAATAATAATAATAATAATAACTAAGACAAATGTCATAGAGTTTTTCTCCTGTGTTTTTCTTTAGGAGTGTTACAGTTTCAGGTTTTATGTTTAAATATTCAGGTATTTTTCAGTTGATTTATGTGTGTGGTGTAAGACAATCATCTAGTTTCATTTTATTTGCATATGGATATTGTTTCCCCAGCATCATTTATAGAAGAGATTGTCCTTTTCCTATTGTGTGTTCTTGGCACCTTTCTCAAAGACTAGGTGACTGTAGATACATGGATTTATTATTAGTTCTCTATTCTGTTCCATTTATGAATGTGTCTGTTTTTATCCTGGTACCGTACTGTTTTGATTACTACAGCTTTGTAATACAGAACGATGCCTCTAGATTTTTTCTTCTTGTTCAAGATTGCTTTATCTATCAAGGTCTATTTTGGTTCTATATAAATTTTTGTATTTTTCTATTTTTGTGAAAAATGCCATTTGAATTTTGATAGAGATTGTGTTCAATCTGTAGATTGCTTTGTGTAATATAGGCATTTTTAGACTATTGATTCTTCTAATTCGTGAATATAGGATATCCTTCCACTTATTTGTGTCTTCTTTAATTTCCTTCATCAATATTTTATAGTTTTCAGTGTAGATTTTTACCTCCTGGGTTAAGTTTACTCCTAAGTATCTTTTGTTGTGCTATTGTAAATGGGAGAATTTCTTTTTCAGGTAGTTCGTGTTATTGATAGAAACACTACTGTTTTTTTGTAAGCTGAGTTTGTGAACTCAACTTTACTGAATTCCTTTATCAGTTCTAAGTTTTTTAGTGAAATCGTTAGGATTTTCTATATATGAGATCGTGTTGTTAGCAAACAAACAATTATACTTCCTTTTCTATATGGATTTTTTTTTTCCTAATTGCTCTGGCTGGGACTTACAGTACTGTGTTGAGCAGAAGTGGTGACAGTGAGTATCTTTATTTTGTTCCTCATCTTGGAGGAAAATCTTTCAACTTTTCACCATTCAGTGTGATGTTGTCTGTGGGACTGTCACATAAGAACTTTATTGTGTTGAGGACATTCCGTCTATACCTAATTCAATGAGAGTTTTTACTGTGAAAGGATGTTGAATTTTGTCAAATGCTTTTTCTATGAATTTTGTTCTTCATTCTGTTAATATGAGGAATATCATTTTTTGATCTATCTTGAACCATTCTTTCATTCTAGGGATAAATCCCACTTGATCATGGTGAATGAATCTTATAATGTACTATTGAATATGGTTTGCTAGTATTTTGTTGAGGATTTTTCACATCTATGTTAATCAGTGATATTATTCTATGGTTTTCTTATCTTGCAGTGACATTTTCTGGCTTTGGTATCAGGGTGAAGTTGGCCTAAAAAATTAGTTTGGAAGTATTGCCTTCTTTTCAACTTTTTTTGAAGACATTAAGAAGGATTGGTAATAATTCTTTAAATGTTTGGTAGAATTCAGCCAGGAAACCATCTAGTGCTGGACATTTCTATGATGGGAGACTTTTAATTACTGATCCAGTCTTCTCACTCATTATTGATTTATATAGATTTACAATTTCTTCCTGATTAGGTTGTATGTGTCTACAAATTTATCCATTTTTTTCTAGGTTATTAGACTTTTTTGGTATATAGTTATTCATAGTAGTCTCCTATGATCCTTTGCATTTCTGTGTTATCAATTCTAATGTCTTTTCTTTCATTTTATTTATTTGAGTCTTCTTTCTTTTTATCTTAGTTGATTTGGCTAAGGGTTTGTCAATTTTTTTTTGATTTCTCAAAAAAAAAAAACAACTTTCAGTTTGTGGATCTTTGTTATTGGTTTTCTAGTCCCATTTACTTCTAGTCTAATTTTCACTATTTCCTTCCTTATGCTAACTTTGAGCTCAGTTTGTTTTTCCTTTTGTAGTTCCTTGAGGTGCAGTGTTAGGCTGTTTATTTGAGATCTTTCTTTTTTGAGGTAGGCATTTATTGCTATAAACATCCCTCTTAGAAATGCTTTTGCTGCATCTCATGTTTTGGTGTGTTGTGTTTCCATTTTCATTTGTCTCAAGATATTTTAAAATTTTGTCCTTGACTCTATAGTTGTTCAGAAGCACACTGTTTAATTTCCACATATTTGTTGATTTTCCATTTTCCTCCTGTATTGATTTCTAGTTTCATGTCATTATCATTGGAAAAAATATTTGATATGATTTTAATCTTCTTAAATTTGTTAAAACTTGTTTTGTGGCCTAATATATGATCTATCCTGGAGAATTTTCTGTGTGCACATGAACAGAATGTGTATTATATTGCTGTTGGGTAGAATGTTCTGCAATGTCTGTTAAGTCCATTGTTGCCTTATTGATTTTCTCTCTGATTGATTCGTTGATATTGTTGAAAGTGATTACTGAAATTCCCTACTATTGCTGTGTTACAGTCTATGCCTCCCCTCAGATCTATTAATGTTTGCTTTGTATATTTAGGTGTACCAATGTTAGGTACCTATATATTTAATAATTCTTACATACTCTTGAAGAATTGACCCTTTAATCACTACATAATGACTTTATTCTCACTTTTTACAGTTTTTTACCTAAAGTTTTTATCTAAAATAAGTATGGCTACTTCTGTTCTCCTTTGGTTTCTATTTGCATGTGATATTATTTTTCATCCTTTCACTTTCATTCTGAGTGTTTTTTAAGTTGAAGTGAGTTTCTTGTAGGCAGAATACAGTTGGGTCTTTCTTTTTTAAATCAATTTAGCCACTCTATGCCTTTTGTTTAGATAATTTAATGCATTCACATTAAGAGTAATTACTGATAGATAAGAACTCATTAGTCCATTTTGTCCATTGTTTTCTGATGGTTTTGTAGATCCTTCTTTTTTCTTCCCCTCTTGCTTGCTTTCTCTGTGGTTTGATGGCCTCCTGTAGTGGTGTGCTTTGAATCTTTTTTTTTTTATTATCTTTTTTGTATCTATTGTAGGCTTTTGTTCTATGGCTACCCTAATGGTTTCATAAAGTATTTTAAACTTATAACCAGCTATGTTAAGCTTGTAACACTTAATTTTTGTCAAATACATAAACTCTACAGGATTTCTCCCCCTACTCCCATGCTTTATATTTTTGCTGTCACATTTTACATCTTTTTATTATTTGTATTCGTTAACAAATTATTGTAGCTTTAGTTGTTTTTAATAGTTTTGCCTTTTTAACCTGTATACTAAAGATATAATTGATTTATCCATCATCATTACAGGGTCAGAGTGTTTTGGGTTTGACAATGTAATTACTTTTACCAGTTAGTTTTATAATTTCATATGTTTTCATGTTACTAATTTGTGTCTTCTTCCTTCAGTTTTAAGAACTACCTTCAGCATTTCTTATGACATGTCTAGTGTTGATAAATTCTCTCAACTTTTGTTCGTCAGAGAAAGTCTTTATCACTCCTTTATTTTTGAAAGATAGAATTGCTGGGCACAGTATTCTTGGTTGGCAGGTTTTGTTTTTTTTTTTCTATCAGAATTCTGAATACAGCATCCCACTCTCTTTTGGCTTGCAAGGCGCTGAAAAATCCAGATAATCTTTCAGGGGCTCCCTTGTACATAATAATGTGCTTTTTTCTTGCAGCTTTCAAGAATCCCTTTGTCTAACTTTTGACAATTTGATTATGACGTGCCCTGGTGTGAGTCTCTTTGGACTAATTTTACCTCATGTACATTAAGCTTTCTGAATATTTTCTCCTCAGGCTTGGGATGTTTTCTGCCATTATTTCTTTTAAAATGTTTTCTCTCTCTTCCTATTCTTTTAGCATATCAATAATTCCTAATTTGTTCTGCTTAATGTTGTCCCATAAGGCCTCTAAGCTATCTTCACTCTTTTTAGTTTTTTTTCTCTCCTCAGCTTGGGTGATTTCCAGTGACCTGTCTTCAAATTCACTGATCCTCCCTTTTGCAGAATCTGTTGTCAAATTTCTTTACTAAAGTTTTCAATTCAGTTATAGTATTCTTTAGCTCTATGATTTCTGTTTGGTACTTTTAGATATTTTCTATTTCTTTGTTGGAATTTTCAGTCTTGCATTGCTTTCCTACCTTGATGTGCAACTTTACAGTCATCATTTTGAATTCCCTGTTGGGCAGACCACATATCTTCACTTCACTTGGGCCAGTTTCTGGAGATTCATGTTGTTATTTTATTTGGAATATATCTCCTTATTTATTCATTTTTCTTGACTCACTGTGTTGGGTCTGTGCATTAGATAAGACATCTGCCTCTTCCAGTCTTGTCAGACTGGCCTACTGTAAGAGAAAAATCTCACCAATTTGCTTTGCCAAAGATTTTAAGATGCCTTTCAAATCTTGTGTTTGTCTCTGTTTTTGGTGCTGCTCCCCCTCCCAAATTAGGATGGGCCATGTTCTGTCAATACCCGAAGACCAGTAAGGTAGGAGCCAGTCTCTCTGATGTAGCTGGAAAAGCTGGAGGGTGGGGGGCGGTGGGTGTTGGGTATGTATTTTAGCTGCTATCCTCATGGTGAAGCTGAGTGTTGCTGTTTATCTCCCACTCTTTCTGCACTAAGCTAGGGAGAGGATCTGTGACAAAATCCTGTACTGGAGTTCAGGCTGCATCTTCTGAGCTTGAGGAGATATCTGATGGAAGTAGGCCTGTTGTATGTCCACCTCTTTGTTTTCTGTGGTCTAGGGCCACTCAGGAATGCAAAGCCCCATCAACTTTCAGAGCTAGGTCGTTAGGGAGACAGTCCCTTTGGTGAGAGCTATACATTTGTGGCATTTGGTGCATGGACAAACTCCTTCCAGGAAAAATAGGTAGACCTTGGTGTGAGGAAAGGCTTGAGAACTGCCCAGCTCTGGCGCTGACTGCTGGAGGGCTAAAGTTTGTCTCACCTATTAGCTCCCTGATGCAAGTTTATTTGGAGCCAGGCTGTCATATAGCCACTGGAAGGGTGTGTAGTGAGCCCCTTCTGGAGAGAAAAATGGTAGCTGTATTTCAGCCTCATTTCTGCACTGTTCCCAGGAAGTATGGCCTCTGGAAGTGTTTCTGTGTCCATTTAAAACCACCTTTATGTTCTATTATCTAGAAG
This sequence comes from Homo sapiens, assembly GCF_000001405.40. Classification (NCBI taxonomy): domain Eukaryota; kingdom Metazoa; phylum Chordata; class Mammalia; order Primates; family Hominidae; genus Homo; species Homo sapiens. The sequence continues at coordinate 17,698,747 of NC_000007.14, read as the reverse complement.
TACTCACATATGCCTCGTCTCTTCTGCTCTCAGGGCTAGGAGGTTTTTAGGATGCAGTTCTTCAGACAGTAGCTATGAAAGTTGGGGCACTCAATGCACGGCATAAATCCCTTCTGCAGAGAAACAGGAAGCTGCTTTTTAAAAGCCCCTTCTCCACACTGCTCCTAGGGATGGAGCTTCTGGAAGAGCTGTGGATGTCTACAAAACTGCCACTTTTCCCCTATAGTCTAGTGAGAATTGTATATGCTTAATCTCCTTCACTCCTAAAGCTGGTTAAGTAAGAGCCAAAATGTGGGGAAGCTAAGAGTTAGGGCATTACATATGAGGTCTATACCCTACTCGCCACAGTGAGAAGCTGAGTTTGGGGATTCCTTTCCTGATTGTATGATGTGGTGCCTGGGATGGCATCTTTGCCTGACCATGCCTCGGTTTTTCCCATCTGTTCGGTGTGGATATTTTTCAGTTGCCTGGTTGGGTCAGAGTTTCTCAATTGATTTCTTACTTTCTCTCAGAGAGAATTGATCTGTGAATAGATGTTTATTTGGTGTGCCCAAGAGTGGAGGGAGAGGCAAGGGCCTCCTATTCTGCCAAGTTGCTGAGGTCACCTCCTTGTCTCTTATAACTCCTTGTTTTTTAGGACCTTGTCCCTCTGTAACATCATACCTAGTATTATCTTTGTAATGTGGTTGACTTCCTATGCCGTACTTGGAACAGCATGAGCGTTCAAAAATGTGCATTAAATGAATGCATTGACCCTATGTTAAAAACATTAGAAAAACCTACTCCTGCTTCTTCAGAGCTCCTTCCACAGAGAGAAGGTCACATCAAAGATGATTGTTCCAATGGAAACACTTGTGATACAAATTACTGGACTAATCAAATGACAGACATTTAGCGGGTATGTGCAGAGTAGGCAGAGGTGGCGACAGAATTCCCAGTAGATAGACTGAATAAATGCTTAGATCACCAGTAAATGGGGACATGCAAATAGAACAAAATTTAGATACAGATTTTGATGTTTTAAAAAAGGTATTGCATCATTATCATGCTAAGAGTTTGAACTTTGTTGAAATTCTCTTTTACTTCAGGGTTTAGATCTTAAAAAAATATTGTATTACATATGGTGGATAGTTGTGGGATGTGAAGCATAATCTCTTTAATGCTCAAGACTTTTAAAGATCTTCATCCAGCCCTGGGAGGGTGTTGCCTCTGATCAAATTATGGTCAGAGTCTAATTTCCTGGCTTCAGAAAAATCTTCTATTAGTTTCTGAGGTCATAGGGCAAGGAAAAAAATCTCAGGATTCTGGAATGAAGTTTGAAGAGATTAGAGCTTGACAGAACAGGCAGTACATATCCTTCCATGAAGACAAAACATTGGCTTCAAGCTTTGGGTTTTGCTGGTGACTGACGAGCACTCAGGGACAAAGTCCCTGTGGAGAGGACAGGAAAGGCCTCCCCAGCTGGTCATCTTCATTCAGCACCATTTGCTACCCTGGCCAATGTGATTGACCCTCTGCCTCTCACGCACCCCTTGGCAGCAGGTTGCCCCTTCCTGATGAATTTTCTTCATTCAAAACTGCTCTGGAGGCACATCCTGACCTGATTTTACCTTTGTTAAGAATTTCTTGGGTGACTGTAGAGATATTCATGGATGACTCTGCAGTCACCCATGATTCTATAGATATTTATTAAGGCCCAGAAATCTCTAGAGATGGTCTTCACTGAATGGATTTCCATTTCTTGCAAAAGAAAAAAAGAAAAGGCTCAAATTAAGACAAGTAGTGAGATATGAGGTCAGAAGAAAATAACAAGGAGAGTTCACAGACTCAGTCATGACATAAATCAAAGATAGAGATGTTTAACTTAGAGAACAGTGGTGAATTCAACCTCATGGACAGAAAAAAAACATGGAAAGACAGCTTGTTAAATTAAATTTTCTGCTGTTTATCAAGTTGAATATCTTCATCTTCCCTTTTATTGACATAGATGTCTCTCTGGTGAAATCATTTCAGTGACTGAGAAAGGCTGAGTAATTTTCACCACTGGCCTTGTCTAGGAGGGGCCCCTGGGACACCCGTCATTGTTTGCACTGCTTGGGTTGAGTGATGCAAGTCGCAAGCGGCAACCTGCAATAGTCCTGGCCTCTCTGAGTGCCTCGGGCCTTGTTCTAGACAATATTTCTTTTTAGGCTAAGGAGTGGCAGGCTGCCCACACTGCTTTCTTCCCAGTACCAAACGAAACCTTCCTTAAGTGTTACTACATGTTAATAAACGTAGTCAGTGAAACCCACTTAAAAAGAATGAACTGTTTATGAAAGAAACCTTTTGAAAGACAGAATATTTTTGCCTGTGGGCCAAAGCTGAGGCAGGAAAACAAAGGGCTCTTTCAAAGGCTTAGAATATGATGGAGGATGGATTCTGACTTTCCAACTACAAAAATAATGATGCTTTTAGCATCAATACCTGCATTACTCCAGGGAGTTGTAAATATACTTTACAGACACAGGCTGGGCCTTTCCAACTTTTTACCTCAGTGCTCTTTGAACTCCTTAAAGGGGAGTAATGTTGGCCCCAATTTGCACACTGAGAAACTGAGGCAGAAGAAATCTAAGCAATTTGTCCCATGCCACCAGATAACTTATAAGTGAAGTCAAGAATAGAACAAACTGAAACTGAATGCTTCCATGACACAGGAGCATCTGCCATCTGGAATAGTTCCTTCTTTTTCTCTAGTTGATCTCTTTCTTTTCTGCTTTTATCTTTCATTTTCTGATTCATTAACTCTTAGCTCTTGTCAATGAATTGAGGCCAGTGTGAGTGTTGACATGTCCATCAGAAAGTCTGTGTTGGTCCAGGTGACAAAGAATCTACAGCTTGTATCAGCCAGCCTGTGCAGGTTGTTGCAGTTCCTTTGAACAATATTACTAGCAAAACTCATCTTGAAAACAATATTCTTTCATCCTAACCTATTTTGTACTTCCAGAAACACTACTGTAAAGTACAGATGCTCCTTGACTTACAATACAGTTATATCCTGACGAACCCATCATAAGTTGAAAATATCCTAGTTAGAAATATATTTTATGAACCTAACCTATTGAACATCATAACTTAGCCTCACCTACCTTGAATGTGCTGAGAACATCTATATTAGCCTATAATTGAGAAAATTAACTAACACAAAGGCTATTTTATTATATGGTGTTGAATATTTCATGTAATTTATTGAATACTGTATAGAAAGTGAAAAACAAAATAGTTGCATGGGTACTCAAAGTATGGTTGCTACTGAATGCGTATTGCTTTTGCATCGTCATGAAGTTGAGAAAGTCTACGTTGGAATCTACAGCTTGTGTAAACCAGCTTGTGCAGCTTGTTGCTGTTCTTTGAACAATAAGATATTAGCAAAACTTATCTTGAAAACAAGATAAACCATCACAAATTGGGTATTGTGTGTATAAAATTTTACATTTGTACATTTAAAAAATATCCGGTGTTTGGCTTTTTAAAAAAATAAATGGTACCTAAATAGTTCTTAATTTCCCCTTATGGGTAGTCTCCTAGCTGTTAAATGTACATTTATTTACTCATTCATTTTTTTATTTGACAGCTATTTGTTTTGAATTTACTTTTGGCACAGCACTGGGCTTTGTAATGAATACTGTACAACAGATCAAAATCTTATAGAAGATTTTAATAAAGATTTTATAAAGATTTTAATAAAGATTAAGTCTTTAAGATTTAAAAAAATTTTAATTTCTTTTTTTTTTTTTTTTTTTTTTTTTTTTAGGCTGAGTCTTGCTGTCACCCAGGCTGGAGTACAATGGCGTGATCTCGGCTCACTGCAACCTCTGCCTCCCAGGTTCAAGCGATTCTCCTGCCTCAGCCTCCTAAGTAGCTGGGACTACAGGCGCCCATTACCACGCCTGGCTAACTTTTGTTATTTTTAGTAGAGACGAGGTTTCACCATGTTGGCCAGGCTGGTCTCGAACTCCTGACCTCGTGATCCACCTGCCTCGGCCTCCCAAAATGTTGGGATTACAGGCGTGAGCCACTGCACCCGGCCAAAATTTTTAATTCCTTAAGAGTAAAAAAGATTTAAATCTTTAAGATTTTAAACATTTTTAATTTCTTAAGGTTAAAAAAGATTTAAATCTTTAAGTTTAAAAAATAAACCCTATTTAAGGAATGGGAATTAGTGTCTGGTTGGTTGCTTTTGTCCAGTTGAAGAATAGCCAGGCACAGGCTCATGCCTGTAATCCCAGCACTTTGGGACACCAAGGCAGGAAAATTGCTTGAGGGCAGGAGTTTGAGACCGGTCTGGACCACATAACAAGACCCCATCTTTACAAAAAAGTTTAAAATTATCTGGGCATGGCAGCGTATGCCTGTAGTCCCAGCTACTTGGGAGACCTATGTGGAAGGATCTCTTGAACCCCAAGAGTTCGAGGCTGCAGAGAACTATGATGACACCATTGCATTGCAGCCTGGGCAAACAGAGCAAGACTCTTAAAAAATTGCAAGTTTCCTCAGTGGAAATAAGTGTCACTTTGAGTGACCAACCATTATTGATGTATAGGCTGATACTATTTTGAAATATTGATATACTTTCTCTTATGTACACCACGGTAGAAAACCTTTCTCAAGTCAACCAAGTACCGTATTACCTTGGTGAGGCTAAGTTTCTAGAGATGTTTAAGAATAATAAAGGATCGGTCCAGCACAGTGGCTCAAGTCTGTAATCCCAGCACTTTGGGAGGCCGAGGCGGGTGGATCACCAGGTCAGGAGATCGAGACCATCCTGGCTAACACGGTGAAACCCTGTCTCTACTAAAAATACAAAAAATTAGCCAGGTGTGGTGGCGGGCGCCTGTAGTCCCAGCTACTTGGGAGGCTGAGGCAGGAGAATGGCGTGAACCCGGGAGGCAGAGCTTGCAGTGAGCCGAGATTGCACCACCGCACTCCAGCCTGGGTGCCAGAGCGAGACTCCGTCTCAAAAAAAAAAAAAAAAAAAGAGTAATAAAGGATCATTGTTCAGCCTTGACAAGACAGGCAATAAGACCAAAATTATTCCCAGAGGCAATAGTTATTAAAGCTAAAGCTTTCTATTTGAAAAAAAAGTTTTTGAGTATGTTTTTGAAAAATTTTACAAATACATAAAAACTTGTAAATGAATGTTCATAGCAGGATTTTTCATCTTATCTAAAAGGTGGAAACAATCTAAATGTCATCCATGGATGGATGGATAAGCACAATGTGGTATGTTCATACAGTGGAATGTTATTTAGCCATCAAAGGCATAAAGTACTGACACGTGCTACAATGGGGGTGAACGTTGAAAACAAAAGTGAAAACAGCCAGATATAAAAGGCCACATTTTGTATGATTCCACTCACATGAAATGTCCAGACAAGGTAAATCCATAGACAAAATATAGATTATTGGTTGCCACAGCTGGGAAAAGGAGGGAATTGAGGTGATTACTAATGGTTAAAGGGTTTCTCTCAGGTAATGAAGAGGTTCTCGAGTTAGTGGATATGGCTGCACAAGTGAATATACTAAAAAAAAAATCGCTGAATTGTACACCTTAAAAGAGTAAACTTTTATGGCAAATGAACTATATTTCAGTAGTGATAACACCAAAACAGCAGCAACAGCTACAACAACAAACTTGAAAAGAGAATATGGGAAGAGTTAGGCTAAAGGTTTCAATGACCTCCTGGGCTGGAAGACTTTTGCACCCCAACTTTGCAGAAGGAGATCAGTTTGAAAGATTGCTCACGTCTTCATGATGAAGCATTGTGAGATCCAAGCCGACTTTGGTGGAGGATTTGTTCTTGAGAGGGAGCAGAGAGGAAACAGCGGAGGTTACTCAGCAACAGGTACCTTCAAATCCCACTTGTATTTGGGACCAGAAAGATCCTTGCTTTTGCTTCAAGGCTTTGCTCAGTCCATCCAAAAATTCCCCACCTTTAAAAGACTGGGCAATTGAAAGTGACCACCTCTGAATTAGAAACAAATGAAATGAGCAGAATAAGGTTCATGGAGCTATAGATGCCAGAGAGCATAGAAGTAGTCTGCAAAGGAAAGTCCTAGATGTCAGCGGGGCCTAGTGTAATCTGCTTGATATCTTCTCCCTACTCTGAGGCATGAGAGGGATGAGACCTATCTCCAGGTTGTCACCTTATAACTTACATTGTGGGAGGCCATTCTTCTGCTGCACTGTTGCTCTTGTGGTCAGTTGTGTTGATGCTATGAGTTCTGCTTCTGGTTTTTCCAAGAACACCACTCCTTTGATCTTAGCCTTCACCCTCTGTAGCTTTGGGGCCTAGTGGAAAGAGATGGCTTTAGAAATCAGAAATACTGATTGTAAAACAACCTCTGCTTATCCGTGATACCTACACTGGAGTCTACCAACCACAGTGTTGCAAATGCATTGTGGTGGTGCTTCAAACTGTGGATCTCTCTAACCCTTGGGGTCATTCAGAAACTGGGTGGCTGAGACTCCCAGGAACAGCACCTTTGGCTGTTAGCTGGCTTGCTCAGGGTGCCTCAGAGGGCAAACCTAGCAGGGTGAGGCCTGCACAATACCAGTTGGTGAGCACTGTTAGCTACATCAGCACTCATGGCTCCCCGTCAACACTGTGCACTGCCAACAGGAGCTCTGACACCAGGATGTCTCCAGCAGCCAGGGACAGGCAGAACCATGCCCATATTGTGGAAATGTGGCCGATGGTTTGTAGGGGGCAGGGAAGGGACATGTTCCCAGTGTCCAGATATGCCCAGAGTTTGGCCAAGGTGTGGACAGTTAGGAGTTGGATGTGGTGCTGGGGGAGGGATTCTGGCTGGGGACTCCTGAGGGCACTGACCCACATGGCAGTCTCCCATTTTTCTCTTCGTATGTATATATATAATAATTCTGTCCCAATTTGGTTGATGCGCTATTTTTATAAGATTCCAATTCATAGGACGATGATTCTTTCTTTTGAGATGGAGTCTCGCTCTTTCACCCGGGCTGGAGTGCAGTGGCACCATCTCGGCCCACTGCAATCTCTGCCTCCCAGGTTCAAACAGTTTTCATACCTCAGCCTCCTGAGTAGCTGGGATTAACAGGCATGTGCCTCCATGCCTGGCTAATTTTTGTATTTTTAGTAGAGATGGGGTTTCACCATGTTGTCCAGGTTGGTCTTGAACTCCTTGGCCCCCAAAGTGCTGGGACTACAGGCGTGATCCACTGCACCCCACCCATAGAAGGATGGTTCTTCTAACAACACCTGCAGCTTTTGCAGATTAGAACTTCATTGTTATCTGGAAATATTTGATATAAAAATTCTATTAAAGCCAAAGTCCATTTGCCTTATTTTGATCAAATTAATATTACTCTTGTCCATGAAAGAAAGGAAGAATTGTACCAAAACATACTGTTCCCAAATGACCAGTTTTGACGTGTGCCCTACTGTCGAAAGGGATGTGAGGAAAGAGAAAGTTCCAGACTTTCTGAGCCTCAATTTTCTCACCTGCAAAATAAACATAATAATTCATAACTAATTTAGGCTAGTGCTCAAGGGTGAATCTATTCTCCTTTCCATGCCCTAAAATATTTAGGTTTTTTGATTAAGACATAAAAAAATTCAGAATTTCATAAAACAGGAATCTGGTAGGAGTTTTTTCAACTAAGTCCTTTTTATTTTATACTTAAGGTAACATGAATTAAGAGCAGGCATTGCTCATAGTGGTTTCTCAGCCTTCTGCTGGTGAAGTTTTCACCTCTTCGTTTTACATGTTGAAACAGTGTAAATCTGTCAACCCTACAATCTTGGGAGGCAGACATGGAGATATCCGCAGGCCAGCTCCAGGTATAGGGTCTGTTTCCTGCTTCCCCCCAGGGTAAGGTGTCCACCTTCTTCCTTTGTACTCAGGTTAATCTACAGTGATGGTATCTTGTTATAAATGCTTCACTTTCTCATTTGGTCCTCCTCTGAGCCATGTGCTTGGTAAAACTATCACAACACAGGACAAAACAAAGACTGAAGCAATCACATACTTTCTACTCCTCCTTTGATTTATTTTATATAAATTATCTCTTGGGACTGGAATGGTCCAAGCCTTGGGATTCTGTGTATTCAGGTCATGTCAAGTTCACTCGTTCCCCATACAAAGGGAGAATTGTCAAATGGCAGAAAGCTAAGAAGCCTTGACCTACAAGGACATACACATACAAGGATTCTGTGACAGACCATCTTGCTGGGAACAACATTGCAGGGTTATGATGAGAATCAAATGTGGTTATATGTATTAGGGGGCTGGAAGAGGCATGCCCTTCTCTGGGCATTGTAACTCTCCCGCCCTGAACCCAGAGGAGAGAAGAGGTTATAGACCACAACGAGAAGCTTGTTTTCCTACCTAAAAAATGGTTCCCTTTTCTGAGGACTACTCAAGCAGAATGGCTGGTGTAATGAGAAGGAATGTTACCACAATGCTGACTCATGGCCTCAGGTCACCCGTCAGAGTGTGCAGCATGAGGACAACCAGACAGATTCAGCCAGAAACACCCACCATGCTAGTGGTGCTCAGGGCCAAGAATAACTCTAGAAAAGACTTGCTAAACCACACGCCCTATTCTGGTCTTTCTACCCTACAGGTGGTTTCATCAGCTCTAGAAACTTACAGTAGTCTCAGGGGACACAGGAGTGGGAGCTTGAGGGAAAGTCTTTCAATGGAGCAAAGTAAGAGTGTTAAAGAATGTAAATATTCCTGCTTAAATCTTGGAATCACACACCAGCAAGAATCACCTTAAGTACATTAATACTTACTAATGCATAAAAGGTTTATTCTAATTTACCCACGTTTCTTCCAAGGAGATAATTTTTTAGGTGTTGACATTGTTCCAAATTAGCCTGGAGCTGTGTTTGTAGTCACTATTTCATCAAGATAAAACAGACGATAATAGTCTCAGTAACCGAATCAAAACTTATCATCTTGAATTTGGATGATGGACAGGAGTTTCATCATGCATGTTAGTGCTATTACCTGCTGGGTAAGGAGTGTGGGCCAAGTGTGTTGTAATTAAGGTGCCAATGACCTTGACTGTTCTGTGAACCAATGTCAACTATAAATTAAATCTATTTGGTGTGTGCTGAAGGTCTTGTTGGGAATTTTTCCTTTCACAGATGGATGACCTTCGTATTTGGCTGTCCTAGGTGCTGAAGGAGCCTCCTATCATTCCTATTGTATCATATAAATTGAAGAGGCATTAATTTTATTCTTCAGTACAAGGTGTAAGGCATATCATGTTTCTTTTATTTATTTACATCAAATTTAACCTAAGTTCCCATTCTGTAAGGTGGGTGGAAATTTCTATTTCTATTTTCTTTACCTCGGCCCCAGGATCTATGAAGACCCTAGCTCCACTCATTGTCCAGAGCATTTAAAGAAAGCCCTGTGGCCGCTTGAGTTTATAGTAATTACTATAGATATTTTATTTATCTTGGCCCACTTGGTTCTTTAAAGGCAAATACCTTGACTTCTTTTAGGCCAAGCTCGAAGATGGGCTTTGACAAGGTAAGATGTCTTGCTAAGCTGTACTGCAGAGATTAGCAAAGGCTTCACTCCCTTCCTGATCCTGAGAGGGAACTGTCAACATTTTTTTTTAAGACTCCTGGGCTCAAGCGATCTTCCCACCTCAGCCTCCTGAATAGCTGGGACTACAGGCTCACACCACTATACCCTGGCTAATAAAAAAAAAAAATTTTTTTTTAGAGATGGTATCACACTACGTTGTCCTCTGTTCCTGGGTGGTCTCAAACTCCTGGCCTCAAGCAATCCTCTTGCATTGGTCAGCCAACCTCGTCAGAAACCATCAATATTGTATATCTCCTTCTGATATGCCCACATCTTCAACTCTAATCCCATTCTTCTATCCGTTTACCTCTCAGAGTATCTGGCATAATTCTCCTGAATGAGCTAAGTTTCCTATGCATAAATATCAAAGAATAGTGAAGATGTGGTAAGGTGGTGGTTGGACATTGATTTTTGGATACCAGGCAATGCAGAATTTAGCCCTGCAACACAAAATCTCTGGGGTAAGGAGAGTAAAGCCTTGGCAATTCTCTTACTGTAAGGAAGAAAAGAGTCTTTTCCAGAAAGATTGGGATAAGAGGTTGGAGAGAGCCTTCTTGGTAGTGCAGGGCCACAGGGCATGTTTAGATACCATTGCAGGGGTGGGAGTGGCAGGTAGGAGTGGGGGAAGCAGGAAGCCCCACCTTTCTGCCTGATCCTTTACCCAAAGCAAAAGTCTTAAGCTGCCGGAAGAGGAGGCAGCAACATTTGCAGCATCTAAGGCAGATACAGACTCATTGCTGCTGAGGAAACGCAAACTCTTTACTCTGGGGGTTACAAAATGCCCTGGGCCAGAATCCTACACTATCACCATTAGGATCTCCCATCACTAGGGGAAGGCAGGAAGACTCACCACAGATACAAAGCAGAGCTTGGCTTTCATGGGAAGGATCATCGGGGACACTCAAATTCTGCTGAAGGGACCTGGAATATGCCAACCAAAGTATGCCTCTTTAGCATATGGATTATTTTGAGCTAAAGGCCATTGAGAACCAGCAGATGCAGGAAAAGCTTTAAAAATGGGGAAAATTGTTCTTTCTGTAAAGGAAATTTACATTTATAAAGAACATCTCTATTTGTAAACCTGTCTCTTTCTCCAGGAGAGGAGGACCAGGAAGAGGAGGACTATACCAACTCTATCCATGGGGAAGGTACTGATGTAAACCTGCATAACGAATCTTACTAAATAACCTTTGTTGACCATGCTTTTCTTGGTCACTCTCCCATAACTTGCCACCTCCCCCCCTCCCTAGAAGGCCCAAACTCCTTTTCCTTTGTTTAGCCTAAGATGGTATATAAGCCTCAATCATCTGGCTACCTCCTAGAGATACATTGTTTTCTCTGTGAACTCCCGTGCATGCGTATTCGTTCATAATTAAAACTTTTTTTTCTCTTGTTAAAAAAAAAAAGAAAGAAAGAGTCCCTATTTAATGAGAGCAAAATTAATTATCCTGTCAATTAACTTGTCATAATTGTAAATGTCACATTGGGTCCATAATCACTGAGAGCAAAAACTAGATGTGACTGAGAAACATAAACTAGGAGGGAAGGCGAACATACTGAGCTCCTATTATATGCTAGATGCTGGGACACATATAGGTGTTTCATGTTTCATTTAATCCTCACAATAGGCCCGCTAGGAAGGCATCATTATTCCCATTTTCAGAGAAGAAATCAGGGACCCAGAAAGATTAAGTGACTTGCTGTGATAGACATCCTTGGCTGCTAATCTCACACACTCCCACCCCTTTCTCCCTTGTCCATCTTCATTGTAGAGACAGGAAGAACTGAAGAGTCACTTTCTCAAACCTCTCTTTTGGCTAGGGGTGGCCCTGGGACACAGTGTTTGGCTATGAGACAAGTAGGAGGGTGATGGGAACTTTTAGGGGAGACTTTGCCCCCCTTTTCCCTTTTCTTCCTGTCTTGAGGATGCCTATTCGTCTTCAGGCAACTTGCACAAGTGTGAGGCTCAGCAGTTGTTTCCCCCAAAGTCCTTAATGCTTTTCTAGTGACGTTCATTGTCTCACATAATTTATTCAGCTGGGAGCAGCCTGCGTACTCCATCTCCTGCCACCATGTCCCAATCCTTCTCATACTTGTGAACCGAGCTCAATTATCGCCTCTTTCCTGGAAACCTTTTCTAGTCTTCCTGAATACAGTGATTATTCTATCTCCTATGTCTCCATGACATGGTATCTATACCTCCTTTATGGTTCTTATGGTCTCCATGTCTGTTTTTCTCTGCTGTCATATAAGGCTTTCTAAGCAGGCCTGTGTATATATTTATACTCCCCAGAAAAGCCTAGCATACATAGTGCCTGAAATATAGTAGCGTTCAACCAATATTTTTTGAGTGAATAAGAGAGAATATTAATTCTCCAAGGTCAGATTTGACTTTGCAGACTACCAAGAAGAGGACAGGAGACTCCTACATGCTGGTCCTAACATAGTGAAGTCTGTTGAGTGAATGCCAGGCACTGCTATCCTCCAGATGTGGGTTATACGAGATAACTTATTGTCTTTTGCATAAGCCACTATTTTGGGGGGTATTGCGTGATTTACAGCTAAAAGTCTGCTTTCTCCTGATACACTCCCCAAGGCCATGGAACTGTCTCTAAAATCCAGCGTAGCATACAGATGACACAATTCAACATCTGAACATTTAGACAGTACTAAACTACCTATAAGTGGGCATAGAATATCTGAAAAAGATATTTGAAAAAGTTTTGAAAAAGGCTGGTGAACAGATTGAGTAGGTATTAAGATATTATTAGAGATGGGTAAAGTCCCCAGGATGGCACTACACTCAAGCAGAGCCTGGGTACAACGGACAGGAAGAAGATGTAGCTTTCTCTTGTTGCTGCAGGATAATGATTTCAATTTATCAAAATTATGGGGACTAGTCAGTGTGAGCATCTTCTCAGATTGCTGGGGTGACCACATTTGCAACAAGGTTATCCTTCTGAGTTTGAGTGTTTTGTTTGTAACCCAGATGGTAGTGGATGGAGAATCTCCATGTGTTCCATGAATATCTATGGCTGCCCCTGACATAGAGGGGTTGGAGAAAGCAGCCGGTTAATTCACACCTGAAACTGCTTAGAATTCTTGGCACTTTACGGATCTTTAGAGAACATTTAGAGACCTGTAGTTCAAAATACAGTAGTGGCCAGGCGTGGTGGCTCACTCCTGTAATCTCAACAAACTGGGAGGCCGAGGGGGGTGGATTACTTGAGTCCAAGAGTTTAAGACCAGCCTGGGCAACCTGGTAAGACCCTGTCTCTACTAAAAATACAAAAAATTAGCTGGGCATGGTAGCACACACCTATAGTCAAGTTACTCCGGAGGCTGAGATAGGAGAATCAATCTAAGGCCAGATTTGACTTTGAGCCTGGGAAGTGGAGGTGGCAGGGATCATACTACTGCACTCTAGCCTGGGTAACAGAGTGAGACCTTATCTCAAAAACAAAACAAAACAAAAAAATCAGTAGTAATTCTCTCCATTTAAATTCACCATATCAAAGTGGATAGAAAGTGAACTAGAAAACACACTGCCAATTCATTTGAGGCAGTCAGTGAATAATCATGTGTGATTGAGAGAGTGGTAGATTTTTTGTGAAAGAAAAGCAAGGTTCTAAAAGTGGGGTGCTATGGACTGAATTGTGTCCCCACCCCCAAATTTATATATGGATGCCCTAACTTCCTGTGTGACGGTATTGGAGATAGAGCCTTTAAGGAAGTCATTAAGTTAAATGACATCATAAGGGTGCGGTCCTAATATGATAAGATTAGTGCCTTCATAAGAAGAGGAAGACAGAGATCCAGGACGCAAAGTGCACTGCGGAAAGGCCGTGTGAGTGCACAGCAAAAAGGCAGCCATCTGCAAGCCAGGAAAGGGCCCTTGCCACAACCCATCCCTGCTGGCACCCTGATCTTGAACTTTCAGCCTCCAGAACTATGAGACATACATGTTTGTTGTTTAAGCCACCCAGTCTATGGCATTTTGCTCTGGAAGCTGGAGCTTAGATGTAGAGTATTCTCACAGAAAGAGCAAAGAAGGGTTTTAATTTTGATGAATTTATGGTTGCAGAGGGGTGTACCGTGGAGTGTTGCCTTTCAGCAGCAGTATTTGCTTCTGAAAATAAGGCAGTTTTAAATATATCTTATATTTGTTGATTTGTTTGTCTGGGAGTTACCTGGTCAGAGAGGTTCAAGAGAAACAATAGCTTCAAGAGGCTCCAGAACAAGTTTGTATGCCCAGGAGTCTTTGAAATTTTTCCCCCCATCAAACCCAGCTTGAAAATAAAACACTAAAAGAACTCTTGGTATTATAACTGCCTTTAACTGGAATCAGTGTTTTCACTGGTCTGCATTTTGGCATGAGATGAAATGACCCCCAGCAGCCCTTGCTTTAGGTAGCATCTGATCTCCTTAGAGGCATTAAAGATCTGACAAGCCAGAGGTCTTGAATAGCAGATTTTTGACATGACCATATTACTATTATTACTTAATATTTTATAAACAATAATATCTGCAAATTAATGAATCTGGTAGACTAGTCGTATTTTTCATTGTATGTTAAAATAAGTATTCAACTATTAAAATAATAATATAGTTAATCCTGTCATCTAAACCCACTTTGTATTCTTCCAGGAATACCTGGGGAAATACTGTGAAAGCCCTGAGGAGTTTTGGTTAAAAACTCAGATGTGTAAAGCTGCTATTTACAAAAGAACTTTTCTGGTTGATCGCGATGTCACCATGAAAAAGTGGAAACTAGTTCTTTTGACTTTACGCTTTTAAAAAAAGCATTAAATATGTGATTTGCTCTAAAATTCAAAGAGGTTTTGACTCTGACATGTTGATTTTTTAATATTATAGTGGACTTGATTAAATGCCTTTTTTGCAAGTGAAGTTTCAGCTTGGGGTTTGCTTGCATGGGTTATTTATATATCTTTTTGCATTAGCTTTTTTTTTCTTCCATCTAAAAATACATGTAGCACACTGAATGACTTCCTAGCTATCCCCAGGGAATCCTAAGGAAATTCTCAGTTGAATTTTTGATTTAATCTTACATCTTGGCTGTTTCTTAAAGGTAGCTAGCTGCCAACGAGTCTAACACTGTTGGGTTAATAGTACTTAGTATTTCAGCTCCCTGCTTAAAAAACTTTTGGTTGCTCCCTTGTCCTGGTACTGAAAAGCCTTCTCAACACTTTAGTTAGTGTAACTTCAGCATCTTCACCTTGATAATACTGAGTTGCTTATTTTCAATATACTGGATACTTAGTGCTTTTTAAAAATGTTCTTTGACTCATATTGTTTACACTTTGAAGTGGCCTGTGATTTATCTCCTGTGTCCCAATTCCACCCCGGTGCCCATTCTTTAAAGGTCCAGCTTAACCATCACATCTTTTCTTGGAACCTCTTCTTATCTCCATAAAACGCTGTTTTATGTCCTGACATCCCACCTCCCTTTATATATTCTTTATGGCTTGTATTGCAAGCTTGCATTGTAGTTACACATGTACACATATAACTACATGTGTGTACATGCTTTGGTCTTCTCTGATGTCACACAAGGCCATTAAGAAGGGCCTATATGTATTTTAATTTCTTCTAGAAAAGCCTAGCTCATTGTGTGGCATACAGCAGCATTCAGTAATTTTTTTTAAGTAAATAAGTGAATACCCGAGCATCCAAAGCCAGCTGTGTGTGTGTCTGTGCATATGTTAGCAGAGTATGTGTAGTCTAGGATCCACCAGATATAGATGTAATACCTTCAAGATCCATAGAAATGGAATTGACTTTGTGTGAGAGAGCTAGGTCTTATGGCAGCTTTTGGGACTTAGAAAGTTTCTGTCACAGAAATGGTTAAAGCCAAGGCTGTAGCAGTTTTGAACAGTTTGGGAGTCTTTCAGACTCGCCTAGAGCCATAGTCCTCAATGATGTCCCCAGGGTAGCTGTATCAGCATCTCCTGGAAGTTAGAAATGCAAATTCTTGGACCCCATCCCATACCTACTGCATCCACAAGTCTGGTGGTGGAGCCCAGCAGTCCGTGTTTTAACCAGCCCTCCAGGTGGTTCTGATACACACCTGAATTGTGAGAACCATCGGCTTAGAGAAAGTTCCAGGAGAGCTTCTGTTCAGTCTTGATATCTCTCGGCTCAGCTACCAAATAGGGCTTTTATAATTACAGAATGATTGAGTGTAAATTCTGTGAGAGTGAGGGGTCACAGCATGCAATAATGCTTGCTCAATTTCAGTGCATGAATCAACGGATGACAAATTAAGAGCCTAATTTGAACTTCCATCCTCATTTGGTTCATTGTGAAAAACTGCTGCTCATAACAGCTTGACAAGTGAACAATGATGCATACATCTGAGCAAAGTATGCTGATGTGTGAGAAGTAGCAGCAGCTATCAGCTTCCTATCAGCTGACTAGTGAAGGTCATAGTGGGACTAATATCCGATGCTAAAGGAATATTCTTTGAGTCTGAGTTGCCTGAATGTCCCCTGTTTTCTTTCTTGCTTTTTCTTTTTAACCTTTTAAAGAGATGGGGCCTCAGTCTGTTGCCCAGGCTGGAAAGCAGTGGTGTAATCATAGCTCACTGTAGCCTTGAACCCCTGGGCTCAAAGGATCCTCCCGCCTCATCCTCCCAACAAAGTGGTAGTACAGGCAAGTGCCCATTCCTTCTTTTCTGATCTCTCCTATTTCTTGAACACAGTGATGTCCTAGTGTTTAGTTACACTACCCCAATACAGCAATCAGTGCTGGTTCACTTACCCAAGATTTATTTTTCTTTTCTTGCATGCTGGCAGTACCCGTTTTGTGCCAATGTCCACCTCTTCTCCACATGAGTCAGATCTGATTTGTCAAAGCCAATTATGATCCTTCCGTTCTCTCAACAGTGACTTGTGGAGGATTGGGCAGGTGACCCAGTTCTGGTCAATAAATTGTGAAGGCACATCTGTTGGTATGTTTCCGTGAAAGCTTTTTCTCATTTTTAAATAAGAGATGCACAAGGGGAAAATGACCCATTCTTTTGGACTTTGGTGTGTCCGGATGTGGTGCTTGGAGCTGAGACAGCTTTCTTGGCATGCAAAGGCATCTTAGGCAGTCCACTGCAGACAGCAAAGTTGAGAGAGTGGAGGGAACCTGGGCCCTGATAGGGTTGCTGAACCATTGAATTAACTGGAGCTGCTTGTATTGGAACTTTTGTTATAAGAGTTAATAAATCTCCTTCAGCCAAGAACTTATTAAATATTAAGTAATTATTATATCTGTTTCTTTCCCTTTATTTTGAAAATGAAAAGGGAATGGTATGATGACATCTCTAAATTTCTTCCAGCCCTAACGATTGGTAATTCTTTGCTTGAAGTGGTTCTGTGGAGTTTCAAGATGCGATGCTTTAGCAGACATGGAATCTGGAGGGGGTGTGCAAACATTGCCTGAGTTAGGGTCGTTTGTGTGAGGTCCAGGAGGTAGAAGCAAGGTAAGGCGGTGCAGTTGAAGCATGAATTCCTAGGGACAGCCGAAGTGCTATGTCCTAGAGCACAGCAAAATCAGAAATCCATAGGAATAGCCAGACATTGAAGATAGTAGCTAGGAATCAGATATAAAACAAATTAGAAAAATTGTGATGAGATTTGCTTGCCAGCAATCAGAGCTCATGGCATGTGTTTAGCCTAGGGCCCTCTCAAGGTACCAAGCATGGATGAAGGGCCAGCAATCTCCTTGGGGACATTACCAGCATCTGGAATCCTTTGGCTACCCAGGTTTACTGAATTTCCTCCCTGGTCATTCATCCCGTGAGCTTCTATGCTTGGCCTGCTGCGTTTCACTGTCTCTGTCAACCTCAGGCAGCTGCTTTTCTTTCCTTTCCAGTTGTCCCTTTACTGAATATTTTCCAAATCTACGTTTCAGTTCTTGGTCTCGAGTGCATAGTAGTGCAATTCTTCAATTTTTTGATGTCCCGAACCTTGGAAAACAGATTTAGGTCAGCCACAAAATACAATAAAATGATGTTTACATTGGTTTCTCACATTTTTTAATCAACATTGCCACCTAGTGGTAAAATAATCCTTAAAACTGTGCACAATTATTTTCATTTGGGTTTGGATATTTGATTCAATGTCAAGGATCTTCAAATGGTAAAATTTTGAGCAAGAAGAGACCACAATGATTATTCATTTAAATGTATTGTTTTACACCTAAAGAAATTGAGGCTTAGGGAAAGTCATATGGTAACCAGTGTCTTTTAGGCTCATTAATTATTGCGCTAATACGGTAGGGTCCTCATTCACAGACTATCACTATTTTCCCCCCAGAAATTCTTAATTATTTCCTCTTGAGGTTTTGGTTGATCACTCAGTTTTTCTCCCTTAAGTTTTAAGATGTTCTTACTCAATTTAGCTATTTCCTGGTGGTAAGTAAAAAACAAAACGAAACAAAAACAAACAACAAAAATCAGTTTCAAATGAAGCAAGGTTGTGTATTACATTCTCTCTTTTTGACACATTTGTTTTGTCTTTTTCTCCCAAGTCTTTCTCAAGATGTGTCAATCCATGAGCATGTCTTCCTTTCTTGTGTACATTTAAATACAGGAAAAATATTCTAATACATCCTGTGTTCCATCCAGTCCAGCAGTATTTACACAGTTTTGGGCAGGTCTAGGGTAGAACCAGAGATTCTGAATTCACACCAAGCTTCCCAAAGATGACAAAACTCCTGTTTTGGGCTCACACTTTAAATTGTAAGGCTTTATAGAACAATGACTACATCCTTGAGAACTCAAAATCTTTCTTCAGAATGGATGAGTAAACCGTGTGTTCTGTTTGGGCAAATGAGGAGCACAAGGGGAAATTCCTTTGCCTTAAGCAACGTCTCCGCTGAAGTGGCTAATTCCCTTTTTGGCTGCCATGGGGGTCATGTGCCCTGTGAAACTGCTGCTGCTTGCACTGCTTAACGAGACAAGGTCAGGGAATTTCCCTGCACTCTGTGATGACCATTGACCCTCTCCAGGGGTCCGTGATAACCGGGTCTGGAGAATGCCCTCCCAGGACATTCCAGGAGTGATCCTAGGCTAGGCAGTTGTATTAAAGTTCTAAATTTGGTTGCACATTGGGATCACCTGGAAAGCTTAAAAACATACTAATGTCTGGGTCCTGTCCCTGGATACCAGGGTTTTCAAAGCTCCCCAGGTAATTCCAATGAGTAGCAAGCCTGAGAACCACTGGAAACCTAAAGGCACGTAATGGGCCAAAGGACACCAGCTTGTCCCTCCCCTCCTCTCCTTTCTCCTTGTCACCAGTTTATTCTGAAACAAAGACTTCAGGATGCTGCTGGAAAGGGAATTCAGCTCCTAGCAGCTCTGGCTTTATTTACCCTCTCAGGCCCCTCCTCCCTCCTGCGCCCCAACTGGATGTGCATACTTTTTGAGGCAAGTCCAGTCCCTTCCCAAAGTTCCTAGGGTGGCCTTCATAATGCATTTTATTATGTCACACCCACCTGCTCTGCTAGGCCAGCCGAGGTCATGTGATAAGGCTGCTGCATCCCAAGGAAAGGGTTTCGGCTTTTACAAGGACAAGTGCTGGATCAGCCTGATCTCCTGGGAGTTATGAATCAGATGGTCTGAATGTCCTTGCGAGACTTGTGGAAAGAGAAATGTTATCCAGGTTTTTCCTTCAGAACTTTTCATAGGCGATCCTGGGAGCTCTGACCTAGAACTGAAATGACTTTTGATTTTGAAAATAATTAGAATTAATTTTGTAAGGCTGCTTCTCTCTCTCTCTCTACATATATATATGCTTCTAAATATATATATTTGTAAAATACAGTAATCTATGGGCTAGAAACTGTGATAAGAAGCTATAATAGAAATTTACAGTTAAAGAAATGATGGATAATGTGGGATTGTGGTTAAAGATCAGAAGAAAAATGCTTTGGTTCTCCAATCTTGACTTCTTGCATTAGGTATTTTGCTGGGGGAAGAGAGGGAGGGAGACAGAGAGAGAGAGAAAACTATATATATATATATGTGTTTAACAGGACATCTTTCTCTTGACTCTTCTGTGGTTTTGGCCCTGTTGTTAATCAAACCTTTTCCTTGAAACTGTTTTCTCGGCTTTCATGGTATCGCTACCTCCTGGGTTTTCTTTAACTGCCCCAGATGCTTTTCAGACTCTTATTCTTCTCCATTAAATGTAGAAGATCTCAGGAATTCATCCTTGGCTTCTCTTTTCCACTCCCCTGGGGAGGATATCACCCACAGCCCCCTCATCCCGGCTATCCTCATCACTGGGCTGATGCATGCGGCACTGATGGATGTAGCCCCGCTTTCCTTCCGAGCATCAGACCTGCATTTTCACTGCTTACTCAGCATCTCAGTAAGTCCTACCGTAGGTGCTGCAGAAACCTAAAATTCAACATGTCCTGCACTGAACTCATCGCTCACTCACACAATTAATATTTACTGAGCAGCTACTCTGTCCCAGGCATATACATCTCTGGAGATTCACTCTGGAGCAAATGAGAAATACACTGTTCCTACCTACATGGAACTTGTGTTCTGATGGGCGAGATGAGCAGAAAACAATACAGTATGTTGTCAGGAACAGATGAATGCATTGAAGAAAAATACCACTAATTAATCAAGGTAATGGAGGATGACGGTATTTGCATTTTAGGTGGGAGAGTCAAGGAAGCCCTCTCAGAGAGGTGGCCTGGAGCCCAGACTGTAGCAAGGTAAATAAGAGAGTCACGGGCTCTCTGCAGGGAGAGGTTCTAGGCAGAGGACTTTCTCCAGATTTGCTTCTCTGTCTACCTTCCACTTAGTTGCTCAGCCTAGGATGTTGGGTGTTTATGAATCCCTTCTTCACTCCCATGCCCCAAAGTCATAAGACTTATCATGTTTTTGACCTTAATCTCTCTTGAGGCTTTCCTCTTTTCTTTAGCTCCATTACCACTACTATACTTTAATCCATCCTTCAGTTGTTTTATTTTTCCCACCAGGATAACTGCCATGGACTCCAGAGAATCGTTCCCATACCCAGCCTTATCCTTTCAATTCTTCTGTTTTCCATAGTCATATGCCTGTTGCATTCATCTGATCCTCAACATTGCTCTTTGATAGCTCCCCCGAGCTTTCAAGATGAAGTGCAAACACCACTGCGCACACAGGGCTTTGATGATTTGGCCCTTACTTCTGTCTTGAACTTTATTTCTCTCTAAAGCAAGACTATTGCCTTGATCTCCTAGTTATGCTTAGCAATTTTTCAAATAAGCCGTATTTCTTTTTACTTCCAGAGTTTACACGCTGCTACTCTTCTTGAGAGAGACTTCCTCTGTTCTTCGCCTGAAAAACCCAGTCTCATCCTCTAAGATAGTTAAATGACCCTTGTTTCACTGCATCCTGTGTTACCTCTTTCAAAGGGCTTAACTATCCCAAGCATCTTGACATGTCTAGCTAATCCATTCCCAACTTATTTATCATGGAAGCCTCAGCATATGATTCATAATAGGTCCTTTACTGAATGTACAAAAAAATGTAAAATACAGACTTAGTATTCTTTATCTGAAATGCTTGGGAACAGAGTGTTTTGGATTTCAAAAGTTTTTGGATGTTGAAATATTTGCATGTACATAATGAGACGTCTTGGGGATGGAGTCCAAATCTAAACACAAAACTCATTTATGTTTCATAAACACTTTATATACATAGCCTGAGTGTAATTTTGTACAATATTTTAAATAATTTTGTGCAAAGTTTTGCCTGCATTTTGACTGAGACCCATCACATGAGGTTTGGTGTAAATTTTTCCACTTATGTTGTCATGTTGGTACTTAGAAAGTTTTGGATTTGTGAGCATTTTGGAGTTTTGGACTAGGGATGCTCAGCCTGTATACATTTTTATATTTTAATTTTCAATATTATTATAGAAATAAAAATGGCAATAGTTACAATACTTATTAAATGCTAAGTACTGTTTTGAATACTTTATATGTTTATCTCATATAAACCTCGTGACAGCTCCTTTGAAATAGTTGCATTGTCTCTATTTTACAGATGAAGAAAGTGAGGTAAAATAAATTTCCCAAGGTCATATATCAAACCCAGGCAGACTGGCTCACAGTTCGTGTTCATAACCTCGATGCCTTGTTCCCTTTTTATAGCATTAGAAACAATTTCATGTTCTGGTAAATTTTTTTTTTAAATGTGTAGAATGATGTGTGAATTATACAGAAAGCAACCTTATTTCTTTAGAGTTATCCTTTATGTTTAACTACAATAGTTACTTCCCAAGGAAAGAAAGATTTCTCTAGGCTGGGAGAAAGGGGTAGAGATGAGAAAATAATTTCCCACATCAGTGGAAAAATGGCCTCACAGCAATCTGTAGACGTGAGAAAATGTGTGGATAGATGATGTGTAACCAGAGGGCCTCTTCTACCCTCAAGATATCTTGGACCTGCATAGAATCTTGGAAGCACGCCACAGACCCATGTTGGTATTGGTGGACAGGGAACCTTAATGACTGAGTTAAATTTTCTACCTGCATGGCCCAATGGGAGCTTATAATAAAATTAAATTATTTTACGGAAAATGTACAGTTGCAAATGTTCTTACACACATAGTTGAGTTTATAGTGATTTTTATACCCTTCTTACATCCTTTAGAGAGCTGTTTTTCTCTAAATGTATCCACGCCTTCTATGAATTGGTCTTTTCAAAAAGGTTGTTGACTGAGGAAAATTTCTAACACAACAATCTGGCCCGTTCCCAAATTGGGCAAAGCCATCCTTGGAGAGCAATTAATGTCTGACCTCTGGTCTTAGAATGAGAGGGGAATGTGTTTATAAACATGAAATTTAAAATGAAATATCAGGTGAGTGTAATCAGAATTGTTGAAAGGACCCAATTCAGAGAGATTTAGTCTGTTTCTTGATAACCTCTGAAGTCCAAGAATTGCAAAAGGCTTTAATAAGTAGTAGATCTCATGTAAAATCAATAATTGTGGTTGTCTGTGGCCTCCAGTAAAATTTCATTAGTGTTCGTTTTCACTAGTGTAAGCATCTCTTTGGTGCACCATGTATTCCATGGTCACTATTTAAATAGTGAGGCACTAACACTGTATTTGAAGCACACATCAGAAAGCCAGTGGGTATGGGATTTTGACTATAGGCTATTGAGTCAGAATGTTTTTGTTGTTATTTCACCTTGGTTAATTATCCTCTTCAACCGACTCTCATACTGTCTACAATCAAGATAGCATTCCTATTAATCTTTCATGGGAGGCGTTGCAGAATCTATCTAATGTTTTATTTTGTAAGCATATTTTTAAGCATTTTAGTAGTTTTCCATGTTTACTGTATTTGTTTGTATTCAGACAAATGAATGTTTCAAATGTTAAAACTCATACTGAATGCTACTACGGGCCAGTTATGGATGATGTAAAGATGAATAAGACAAGGCTCCTGCCCTCCAAGAACTGTAGAGCTGTGGTGGCAAAGAGAGGCAGTAACCTGGCAATTCCAAGTCAGGGATGAGGCAGACACCATTGGTTCTCTGTTCAACAGTCACTCTTTCTGTCTTCCTGGCTAACTGGGCCCTGATTTAAAAATAAATAAATAAATAAAGCAGCAAGATGCCCAAAGAAGGTAGGCCTCATTATTCAGGGATGCATTATGATTGGTTAAAGCCACTTAGGTAATCCTGTTCCCCTTTACCATGATTGGCTGGAATGGCCATGTGGCCTTCTTCCTGGCCAGTGAGACAAAAGTTAGACTCTTCTGGAAAAGCATACCTGGAAAGGAAATCCTTTCCACTAATCAAAAATGGAGACAAGTGGGTAGGATATCGCTCCTTCTCTTCCTGCTTTTGAGAGTGGTTTTGAGGTGATGGTGGTTGGAGCTTGAGGAGCAATTTTCTAACTCGTTGGGGATGGTTGATGGACAGATAGAAAGGAGATCGTCCTTGATAACAATGTAGAACTGAACTAACCGTGCTACCAACTTTCTCCAGAATTCTTGTTCTGTGAGGTAGTAGTGATAATAATCTCCTCTTGCTTCAGGCACTTCTAGTTACTTATTAAATTACCGGCACCTGAAAAAAAACTCTACTTGATAGGTATTTCAGTAAAGTTAGGTACAAATCCCTAAAGAAGCACAGGAGACAAGAAGGTAATTTAGCTGGGGGAATGAGAGAGGGTCTCCTAGATAAGGTGAACTTTGAGCTTTGTTTTGAAGAACAAGTAGAAATTCACTAGGAAGAAATGGCAGGGAAGGGCATCCAGGAAAGGCACGTAGAATGGCCTGGAGGCATGAGGGCCCTGGCCTCTCTAGACTACAATGTGGTTTTAGATGCCCAGAGTACTTTAGATGCTCAGTGGAATGGATCTCATAACATGAGGAGATTTCAAATTCACTTACATGAGATTGTTAAAGGTTTCAAATTAAGTATACAGTCTGAGATGTACAGTAACCTATAATCTTGATTTAGAAGCCTTGAATCTACATCCTGTGGCTTTGAGTTTGGAAACGGAGGGGCAGTGAACAAGTGACGGCAGAGCACACAGTGTGGTTTCCAAGTTCTCTGTTTTTTTTTTTTTTTTTAATTGTTGTTCACAGCTCGGCAACTTTTATGAAGCATTCGAAGTTTGGTTCTTTTGTTAGTGCAGGTCATCTGAGAAGCAGATGAAAAGACATGAATAAACATGTAAGGATTTTATTAGGGGAACAGCCTTGTGAGAGGAAATGGAGAGTGAGCAGGGTGAGGCCACGGGACTGGGATGCAGTTGCAACATAGACAAGGAAAGAGGGAGGGAGGGTTGTGTGAAAGTGCCCTAGGCCACTGTGCAGTCTAAGGAAGGTTCGGAAAGGCCATGGGTCCTCAAGCCAGAGTCATGGTCAGCACAGTCTTCTGTCCCCCAATAAAGAGCCTGCCTCCGCATCCCTGCCCCATGCAAAGCAGCCAATGGGAAGCCCAACCTCGGCACAAACATGGCAATGGATCTTAGAGCACAGCTGCTGGGGCCACATATTCCTTGCAGTTGGACGTTTGCAAGGATTTTCTGTTTCTTTTCAAAACATTGCCTTAAAAAGAAAACTGCTAAGAGTGGTGATGGAATTATAAAAAAAATCAAATATTTTATACATTTTTTTAGGTAAAATTCTTAACCTTTTTTGGGTCATGGGACCCATTCAGCACTTGATTTCAGCTATGGACTCTAGCATGACCCATTGGCCTCGTCTTAGCTTCCTGAGCCCCCAGCTTTCCCGCAGCTGGGCTCCCAATATCTGCTGCTGCAGCACCTCCACAGCTTCCCACTTGATGACACCTGGAGCTCTTCTGCCATTGCTTGTCCTCCTTCTTGGATAGACTCATGGTTCAGCAGCTGCAAGCATACTTTCGCTTGAAAGATACCTTGGCTAAGAGTATTTATGTTTTGCCCTTCAGGGCCTCTATAGTTCACTTCCAATCTCAGAACTATCTCTGAATCCTCACTGAGTATTAATTCCTAGACTATCTAAAGGATGAGATTACTTCTATTAATGTGTTTAGATCTATTAACGTGCCTTGTCCACATGGTCAACTGGCACCTTTTCCTGTCTTCCTTAGTCCATATGAGCTCTTTGTCTCAAATTTAGGGTTGACAACCTAGACTATGTTCTTGACTTCATCCTTAACACTTAAGGATATATACCCCCTTTTTTAAAAGCCCCCCCAACCATTGTGCTCACATAATCATAAAAATCACATATATAATACACACATATACGTACTCCCTCAGACACAGTATTAAAAATGCATATGAAGTCGATTCTCATTATCCATGGTAGTTATGCTCTACAGAGTTGCTGTGAACACTGAATTAGTGAATACAGAACTATTTCTCCCAGGGAAATATGTACACATATATACATAGATTATAATATAAATCCCGAACCCAATTCATGCTAGTAGATTCTATTTTCTTTACTTTTTCAAAAGAGAAAACAAGCATCAGAAGTGTTAAGTGACTTGTCTGAGGCCACCCCACTAATAGGTGCCAGACTGGGACTCAACCCCATCCAACCAGCCCAGAGCTGGAGTTTCCAGCACTGCCCAGATCAGTTCCTTGCTGTCACCACCCTCGACTCATCTCTGTATGAGAACTGAAGCCGAAGGCAGAGCTTTTCCGGGTTCCACCTCAGCTGGGAATGTGCTTGTTGGGGCAATCCAAAATTTCTGCCAATGTATGAATGTCTGTGAATGACGGTGAAGGCATGCTAGTATTGATTTTGGGGTTACACATAAATTATAGCTGGTAGACAAATCTGCAAACAGGAAATCCATGAATAATGAAGATCAACAATGCAAGGTAAAAAAATAAAAATGTACAAAGGGGTGTACAGTGAAAAATATGTCTCCTTTTCCGTCTCCTTAGATTTCTGGTTCTTGTATCCCTCCACCCCCATCCTCAAGGAACTGCTATTATCAATGTCTTATTTATTCTTTCAGAGATAACCTTCTAATAGCACCTTGGGCAAAATGAGTGGTTAAAACGGGGAATTTGAATTTAAACAGATCTAGCTTTAAAAATGCTAATATGGGCAACTTATTCAAACTCTCTAGGCCTCAGTTTCTTCAACCCTAAAACAGAGGCCTCCTAGGTGAGCTGACAGGATTATACAGCCTCGTGTATGTAAAGTACCTGTCACTGTAAAGGCCCGTATGACAGCTGTGATCTTCACCTCCAAAGCACTGAGCTTCCCAAAGACTTCTTATTCTTTTTTTTTTTTTTGCAATGCCAAGGTTTCTTACAGTTTAATGTTTTGCATGCCAAGGTGGCATTGCGAAAAATAAATAAATAAATAAAAGAATAAGAAGTCTTTGAGAAGCTCAGTGCTTTGGTTAGACCCAAAGACTTCTTACTCTACACTGTGGTTCTGACTTTAGCTGTTTCACTGCCTGTGTCTCTCCCACACATCCTCAACCTTGTGTGGGAGATATGAGTTCAACGTCACAGTGAGGAATCTGGCTGGAGAGAGGAGTTTATTAGCTGGAGCCATTCTATGCAGGCTAAGCCATCACTTCTAGTTAGGATTTGTGGAAAGGGTCACAGGATTTTTTTTTTTAAGAACTGGTGTAAATCAGGGCTTAGCTTCAGCTTCAGCCAAACAGAGAGGGGAAATAGGAAGATATAAACTAATGGAGAAGAGAGGGGCCATTTCCTTATTCAAATAAATAGGTACTTCATTCAACGTAGGCATCTAATAAGGCACCCAGTGTTTTTCCCTTCTTTCAAGTGGAAGTCTATCATAAATTTTGGGCCTTAACCATACTTGAAAAGATCTATGTAAAAATGGCTTCCTTGAAAGAATTAAATAGCATCCCCTCCCCCAGCCATTGTAAATCTTTTTCAATTGTACATATATTTTCATTTGCTAGATGTGCTACCATTGGTAAAGCCTTTAGGAAGGATTCAACATTTGAGCTATCATTTTTTAAAAGAAAGTTGTTGTTGTATTTGACTCACGCCTTTCTTGCAGTCAATCTGCCTAGCATATAATAAAATTAAAAATAAAATAGAAGACCATGTCATGGGGAAATGGGTCTATATTTGAATTATTTGGTTTCTTTACGTTATCAGGCAAAGCCGTCTGCAGCTTGGTTGTTACTGAATGTTCAGAATACTGGCATTTCTCTGCCTTGTGTATCTCCAAGATTTAATTCCTATTGACTTCAAAGGGAAAAAATACACATCAAGTTTCTGTTTTGGGGAGGGCCTCAGAAGCTTGTCTGCCTTTTTAAAGAAAATAAAAGCCTTTCTATTTCCTTGCTTGCTCAGGAGCAGCTATCATCATAAATGTCAACTCAGATTTCTTACAGTTTAATGTTTTAAGTTGGGAACGGGATATCCAATGTATGCTTTCCCTTTTTCTGTATCAGTTGACTTTTTGTATCTGGATAGCCCAAAAAGACTTGAGTTGAAATTAAGGTAAGTGAAATGTATTCTGGTCATTGAACAAATAATTCCTCTTTTCCATTTTTGAAGTCTCAGCTCTGGGCCTGTACTTGGCAGGGTGGGAGTCTTTTGTTGCTTGACTCTTCAGAATCTCTGATTGCAAATATAACTGTTGGGGTACTCACTGCCCATTCCCCGGTTCAGATCAAGGTGTGAGAAAAAGCTAATCATTAGATACTGTCCACAACTTAATTTTTTCTGGCTTGGACAAGTGCACTAATGCTAGTTCTTTTTTTTTTTTTGGCAGTCTGTAATCTCTACCATAATTATTCAAAAATATTTTGTTGGTTGATCTCGATGAGATGAAGGGAAAATTCTCATCGTATCATTTAGCTCTGTTGATAACTTAAAAAATTTGTAGATAAAATGCTCTTTTTTTCTCCATGTGCTGTAGTTTGGATGTCTGTCCTCCCAAATCCCATGATGAAACTTATCCCCAATGTTGGAGGTGGGGACTAATAGGAGGTGCTTGGGTCATGGAGGCAGAGCCCTCATGAATGGTTTAGTGCAGTCCTTGTGGGAATAGAGTTCTCACTGACCTCAATCTCATGGGAGCTGGTTGTTAAAAAGAGCCTGGCACCACCCCTGTCTCTCTTGCTACCTCTCTCGCCATGTGTCTCTACACACACTGACCCTGCTTCACCTTCTGCTGTGAGTGGAAGCAGCCATAGGCCATCATCAGAAGCAGATGCTGGTACCAGGCATCTAGCACAGCCTGCAGAAGGGTGAGCCAAACAAACCCCTTTTCCTTATAAATTACCCACCCTCAATTATTTCTTTATACTAACACTAAATGGACTAAGACACCATGTTTCAATAAAAAGTTATATTGCTATATGCTTATCATTAGATTTTCCTCCTCCATGGGTCAGTGGCCCTTAAGAGGAATAAACAGATTCCCTACCTCTGCCAATAATGATTCCTTCTAGTAGTATCAGATTCAACTGTGATCAATACAAGGAAACGGGGAAATATGGTTCTTGTTCTTGGGATGCTTACTGTCTGGCTAGTGAGAACAGACATGGAGCTACTTGCTATGATATAGAAGTGATAAATGGGATTGTGGTTTAGATAAGTAGTTTTCAACCTGTTTTTGGCCACAACACACATGTAAATTGAAGTTCACGTTTGTGACACACACTCAGGGGTGTAATAATGGTTGGTTAAACACAATTCTTTAGAAAGTAGCTATAGCCCCAACACTTTCTCTCCTATTTAAGAAAACATTAGCATGTGAGTAAGGAAATAAGCAGGCTAGAATGTAAAGGTTGTCCTTAAATTTATCCTCATTTGTTTACAAATGTCAATTATTTAAAAACTTTAGTTATTAGTAGTGTTATTAGTAGTAGTAACATTATTATTAGTAATGAATTACTCACAACATACTTCACAACTGACTTCACATTTTAGAATTGGAAAGGTGCTGATTTATGCAATAATTGTTACCAAGGTTTTGTTGGGTCTCACAAATACATACACAAACATAGTTATCAAAGAGCCTATGAGTACCTCTGTCTCAGGCAGAGGGCAACCCCCAAATCTGAACATATTCTCTTGTGATTATCACTCTTGAGGCTCCAAAGAAATGTTTCTCTACCTCTCTTCCCCTGTGTCTTTGATTTCTTGTGTCAGAATGCCATGAAACGTTATAGTTGGTGTTCCTGCTGATGTCAGAGAATGATGCTGCCTCCCAGCTCAGACAAGATTTCAGTGGTAGAAGTGCAGAGGTATGTCAAATCTGTTCGCTCAGGAAAGCAGTGTCATTTCTCAGTAGCTTCTGAATAGCAGCCTGGCCATGTGACTTGCTTTGTCTATTTAAAAGTAAAAGAAGTGACATACGTCACTCCCAAATGGAAGCGTTCAGAGCTATTGCATGGTTCCATCATTGCTTTTTCCTTTGCTGCAAGGGCAGACTCACTTCCCAGAAAAAGAACTACCCTGGAATGCCAAAGATATGAAGTTCAACTGAAACCCGTCTGCAACAGACATTAATATGAACAAGAAATATACCTTTGTTGTCATCAACACTGAGATTGTGGGGTTATTTTTTTGTTTGTTGTTTTCCATCAAGCATAACTTAAACTGATCAATATATATAGTGTTATGAAGATATCATCAGTTTTCATAGAGTCTTGGTTTCAAGTTTGATTTTTCATGTTTCATGGGCATGTTCCTTGACTTCTCAGAAATCAGTTTTCTTATCAGCAAGATAGGAATAAAAAATAATTGTTACCATTGCCGTGAAAATTAATTAGAATACTGTAATTTAAAATACATTATAAACTTCCAAAATGTGTAAATTTAAGGAGGCAGCTTCTCTTACAAGGAAGACATTTTTTTTTTTTATTATTATAGTTTAAGTTCTAGGGTGCATGTGCGCAACGTGCAGGTTTGTTACATAGTTATATGTGTGCCATGGTTTGCTGCACCCATCAACTTGTCATTTACATTAGGTATTTCTCCTAATGCTATCACTGCCCCAGTCCCCTACTCCCCAACAGGCCCCCGTGTGTGATGTTCCCCACCCTGTGTGCAAGTGTTCTGATTGTTCAATTCCCACCTCAGAGTGAGAACATGCGGTGTTTGGTCTTCTGTCCTTGTGATAGTTTGCTGAGAATGATGGTTTCCAGCTTCATCCATGGCCCTGCAAAGGACATGAACTCAAGAAGGAAGACAGTTTTTAGGGTAGAACAGACCTAGGTTTGCAATCCACCCCAGCTTTTTACTCACTTTGAAATCTTGCACTGAGATATTACTGAAGTCCTTTGAGCCAGTTTCTTAATATGTAAAAAGAGGATCTGAAAACTATGCAGGTTTGTTGGATTGGGTAGTTATTGTTTGAAAAATATCTCTGTCTCAGCAGTTAGCACACACCAGGAGCTCAATACATGGTGACTGCTCTTATTGTAAGAACTATGAGTTGTTTTACTATATATGTTGTAGATTCAAGGTATACAATCAACAATGTTAATCAGCACTTTAAGGGGTCATGCACATGTACCACCCAATTAAAGTGTATGGCAGCTATTGCTTACCTGGCTATTTCTCTTTCTTCAACTCTGATTCCCTTTAGAAAAGGGCAAATTCATCTTCCTTTCCCTGACCCTAGCACATAGAATCTCTTCAAAAAACATGTGTTGGATTTTAAAAGTTTGAAGTTTAATTATGGATGTTCTAAAATACTAAAAGTTAATAATTTGGGGCTTTATATTTTATGTTAGTATTTCTCAAGATATGGTCTTAGCGCCACTTGCATCAGAAGGATAGCGGGGTGGGAAAGGTGGTGAGCTGCTTGCTACAGTGCAGATTTCAGACTTACTGAATCCAAATTTCTGGGGGGCTTCTTGCTCAGAGAGTCTGGATTTTTACTAAGAACTTCAGTTTGACTCCCATAAATACTGAGTTTTTGAGACTTGATGCTCCAAATGATAGAAACCTCATGGAGGAATGGCGCCCCCTGCTACATTAGTGTGAGGGGCAACTAGACAGCTGGTACAAATGCAGATTCAGAGACCTCTCCTCATATTTTAAGATTCAATATGTCTGTGGTGGAAGCCACGAATCCGAATTTTTGACAAATATCCTTCCATGTGGCCCCTCTCCCTACCTCCAGCGCAGGTGTCTGGGACACCAAGCTTGGCGAAATATGCAGCTAAAATCTCTTTTTTTAAAAATTATTTATTTATTTATTTGAGATGGAGTCTCGCTCTGTAGACCAGACTGGAGTGCAGTGGTGCGATTTCAGCTCACTGCAACCTTTGCCTCCCAGGTCCCAGTTGAAGCAATTCTCCTGCCTCAACCTCCTGAGTAGCCAGGATTACAGGCACACACCACCCTGCCCAGCTAATTTTTGTATTTTTAGTAAAGATGGGCTTTCACCATGTTGGCCAGGCTGGTCTTGAACTCTTGACCTCGTGATCCACCTGTCTCGGCCTCCCAAAGTGCTGGGATTACAGTCGTGAGCCACTGCGCCTGGCTGGAGCTAAAATCTCTTCAAGAACTGATATGTTATTATATTTTTTCCTTTATTGTTTCAATCACTGCTACTTCTTTGGACTTCTTCTATTTAACTGAAAAATGTTTGAGGAAACTTTAGAATTTTCTGCTGCTGGATTTCACCTGAACCAGGTTGTGACAGCTGGGGAAATATAAGCAACATGTGGTTTTCCTGGCTGTGGTTTGTGGAAAGGGATCCATAAAAATAATTGTTATCCCAAGTTTTAAATATGGCATATTTTCATGGGAAATGCATTTACTTAAATATTTTGAGAATATCAGCCAAGTGTGGTGTCTCATGCCTGTAATCCCAGAACTCTGGGAGGCTGAGGAGGAAGGATCAACTGAGATCAGGAGTTTGAGACCAGCCTGGGCAACATGGTGAAACCCCATCTGCACTAAAAATCTAAAAATTAGCTGGGTGTGGTGGTGGGCACCTGTAATCTCAGCTGCTTGGGAGGTTGAGGCAGGAGAATCATTTGAACCCAGGAGGCGGAGGTTGCAGTGAGCCGAGATTGCCCCACTGCACTCCAGCCTGGGCGACAAAGTGAGACTCTGTCTCAAAAAAAAAAAAAAAAGAAAAGAAAAAAATAGAACACCCCCCTACTATTTTCCTTAAAAATATAACTTCTTCAGTAGAATGCCAAGCACGCACAATTATTTCAGTTTAAATGAAACATTAAATAAAGAAATGGTAATCTTACAGCTATGCATCCAGTTCCTACCTCAACAAGCACTGCTCCAGCCCTCACCCATGCCCCTTAAGAGTTTACTCTCCTCTGCCATTTGGTCATAAAAGTGTGGGGAAAAAAGAAATGCCACTTTAGAGGCATTTGTTCATCCTCCACTCATTTTCGTCAAACATTATTTGAGCATCAACACTGTCCTGGGTATTGTAGCCATCTTGAGCTTAAGAGCACGCTTCTGCAGAGATCAGTTTCAATATTGTGCACATGATTTCAAGGTGTTTCATAACTGTGTATCGTACAAAGCTGCAGGCTGCATAATTAGTGGGAGGACATAGATACCCTTGAATTAGAAGAGACTGCTTTAAAGTCTTTGCTTTGCTATTTAGGATTAGGTAAAGCTGCTTTCCACTATGCCTTAGTTTTTTCATCTGTAAAGGGAAATAATTTTATTTGGAATTGTATTATGGAATCTATGCAGATACCATATATAATATTTAATATATAATAATTGCTAACCTTTATTGAAGCCTTACTATATTTCAGATACTAAGTATTTCATGTTATAAATGGCATAATCCTCACAAAGGCACTCTAAGACATTATCCCCATTTTGTAGAAGGGGAAACTGAAGCAGAGATGTTAAATGCATTTTCCCACGTTACACAAGATGCATTTCAGGTATGTGCCTAGGCAGTCTGACTCAAGAGCTCAAGTTCTAGCCTCTTTGGTCTACGTGTTGCCTGGCACAGCCTTGGTCTAGGGAAGGCAGGGTATATACTCTGCAGGGCCCAGGGCAAAATGAAAATGTGGGGGCCTTTTTTTCAAAAAAACAAGAGAAAAGTGGCCTTAAAGGTAATAAAATATAAAACTTGCTACCCTGTCTCTCTCTCGACTGATCACGGTATTTTTAATTTGATACTTAATGTTGCGTTCTTTTAGCCTTCCCAGGCAGCGGGGCATGTGGGCAGAGCACAGGCTACTGAGGTCCGCTTCCCACCGGCTCTGTGGGCGGTGGTCAATCCCAGTTTCTCACAGTCCACAACCTCAATCCCCGGTCATGGCAACGCCTAAATAGACTGCACTTGGTAGCAGGATCAGAGTAGGCAAGAGGCTGCCGCTAGCAGAGTCATTTGCCCAACCCACGGCGGTGCCGCCAAGGCCATGTCTTTCCTTGAGACACGTGTTGGGGAGAGTTGGGGACCATGGGTGCGTCCGACCTGGCTCCTCCCTGCGCAGGCACCTCCCGGAATGCGGGCCTCTCTGTCGGTGCACTTGACTCAGTGGGCCCCATTGGAGGGCGGCAGCAGGGGCTGGGCAGGGAGCCAGGAGGGGGAAACTGGATCAAGTTCAGGTTGTCAGGGGCCGAGGAAGCTGACTGAGAACCCATCTCGGAGGGGTATGGAGGTGCCAGAGAAGGGACTGCATGTGAGCTGGGACTCCGAATCTTCTATATAACTTCCAAGCTGAACTTACTAAGAAATTCAAGACAGTGATTGACGAGTCTTAATAACCTAGTGCAGGGCCCTTTTGAGGAAGGGCCCTGTGCGACTCCACTGGTCACACGCCCTGAAGCCTGCCCTGGGTTTAGGAATGAGTCCTTTTTGCTCCTCCCCCATAGACGCAAAAGGAACTGTAGGGCTCTTGGTTGTAGGGCTGTCGTTTTTTAACAGGTGTGGAGGATTTCCTCATTGTTCTTGCATGCATAATGCAAAACAACCCCTTTGGACCAAGATAATGTTGCAAATCAGTACATTCTTTTGTTCTTTAAGTTTTTGTTTGTTTGTTTGTCTGTTTATGGTGATGAGCGGTAATTACAAAGTGCTATGAAAGGACTGAGGAACTGTTCTCTCCTGGATGCTTCAAGGACGTTTTTTTTCTTTAGGACTCCCTGTAGACTTAAATCTCATATGCCCACAGGGTCAACATGGTCTAATTCCAGAGAAACGACATGGATTTCTACTAAGAGAGACCACATTTACATTTGATGTGGATATATAATATTTTCCACATGTGACCACAAAGTAACCCAAATCCTCCATCACAGGAGACATGATTACGATTTTAAATAAACCCAGAGCAAACAGCAGGTGATGAGGGTAAATAAAACTCTGAAAGGTGAGTTCTTGCTGCCTCCGAGGCTTCCACTGAATAATTAATTCAATTTTAGAAGCCACTTAAAGATGCTGGCTGAAGATTATATTGATAACAGCAATGAGATATACTATATACTACCTTGCCACTGCTTTTCCTCATCACCTTGAGTACATTCTTTGTGCTGTTTCTTGCAAAGTCAGGGCAATGTTATGCTCTCACGTCTTTTCAAGAGTATGTTGCTGTGCCGTGCAGATGACAGTCATTGATCCTAGTTTCTTTTAGACCCTTTATCATGAATGGATTCAAAAGAACTAGAATAGTAAGTGCCTTACTATTCCATGTGGTACTTTTAAAACTGGAGTGTCTTGAAATTGCTAGGATACCAAGTAGATTTATAGTTAGAGATGCTGAATGGCACTAATAATGGTAATCTCAGAGAAAATAAATAAGGACAAGTATCCCACTCTCAGGAACTTCTAGAGTTTAGTAAAGACGGTTTCCAAGAACTTTTCTTTTTTCTGCATGAAGAAAGGGGACAAAGTAGATTGCTTCTCTTCCGCTATTTGAGATTGGGGGTCTGGTGTGTCAGAGAAGAGTAGGTGCTTTGTTTGTTTTAATCTTGTTTCGCTTCTTTTATTCTCAGTGTAGGTTCATTTCATGATTCTTTCTTTTTCATTATTCCTTTATTTTTCTCCATATTACTAGTTATCATCTGACTTACTGTACATTCACCTGGTTGTTAGTCTATTGGCTGTCACCCCCAGCAAAATAAAAGTTTCATAATGGCAAGGACCATGTGTTTTATTCTCTCCACACCCAGTGCCTTACACAGTGACTGGCAGATGGTGACAATTTAATAGTTGACAATCACTAACATTTACTAAATATTTACTATGTGCCTGACAATGTTCTGAAGCACTTGACATTTATATTACTTGATCCTCACCATAGCTCTTTGGAGATGTCATATTCTTATCTCCATTTTACAAATGCAAAAGTGAAGCTTAGAAAAATTAAGCAAATTTCCCAAAAGTCACACGATTGGAATGCGGGAGAGGCATGATTCAAACCTAAGCCAAGTGGTTCCTGCATTTGCAGCTAACTGCCAAGTTGTGAGATTGCTCCATGGGAACAGGAACCTGGGCTGTCTTGTTTCCTTCTGTGCCCCCAACCCGCAAACACACACAAAGCTCCCAATAAATATTTTTGGAATAGTTGAAAGTTCAGCCTGAAGGGTAATGTTCCTGGTAGAAGGGGTAGTGGCCATGAAGGACAAAGAAAAGGCCAAGGCAAGTTCTTGGGACTGAGCAGCCGGGTGGGACCTGTTCTCAAGGATAATGTGGAGGCTGCTCTCTCCATCATGCCTGTGCTTCCCCCTTCGCCTTTTTTCCACCCTTCCCTCACCTACATGTGCACTGCTGGGGGCAGGGGCTGCTCTGGATTCAAAGAGGACAGCTCTGGGAGAAGCCTCCAGGGCAGATCTGCCCATACATCCAAGCAACAAATCCCTTTGATGTGCAGCTGAGTCAGTGGTGTTGGCGGAGCCATCCCCTGCTCAGCCGTCAGTGTCCTGGATCTCATCACAGGCCCCCACAAGTTGTTTAGTCCAAGAAACGTGTGGACTCCATTGACTCATGTTACATTAATTTGATGTCTTTTATAAATAGCTGTCTCTGGGGACAAGCCTTTGACGTCCCCTTCTCTTGTCAAACTAAAAATGCTCTGTGATGTGTGTGTGTGTGTGTGTGTGTGTGTGTGTGTGTGTGTGTCTGTGCGTGTGTTCAATGACTGTGGCTGGGCCCAGACAGCATTTGGATCAGCTTTTAAAAATTAAGTATAAGACATTCAATGTATTTTGTTCTCTCTTGTCATACAGCTAGAAAATTGTAAGAGAGTTCAAGGGCAGCTTTGGAAAAGAATACTTCAGTGTGTGTGTGTAGGTGTATGTGGGTGTGTGTGCACACACAGGCTTGTGCACCTGGGTAGGAGGGAAAGGGCAGGCAGGAGATGGAGGTGCATTACAAGGCCAAGTTTCAAGTGTAAAAACGCAAAAATGTTGCTTCATCTGGGACTGTTAAGCTTTGCAGCCCATTAACACAGACAGTGGGGGATCGTTGCACTTTGCATGCTTGGAGGTAACATACACAACTCCTACTTGGACACAAAGGCTGCCTTGGGAATGAGGTTGCTAACCACAGTTGAGGGAAAGCCTTTCAACTAAGAAGGAAATAAAAAAGGCCTTTATTTGTGGGCACCTGACAAGCTGAATCCTGCTTCTCTTACTAGGGAATTTGTTTTAGGATCAAAGTATGATATAAGCCCATAAAAACTGAACAAAGAAATAGAATTGCTGCTTACTAATCAAGTTCTGATAAATATAAAGGATGCCTCAGGTCTATTTCATACTTCCATAGAACAAAGGAGGTATGTAATAGTATAAAACTCATTTGGCAGCCAAATATTTCTTATCATGTATTCTTATATGAGAGTTTGGAAGCTTTTACTTTGTTTAATATGTTGAATAAGGAAATGCCATTCATGCTTTTAGTTTATATCAGCGTTTTTGTTTTTTAAGTTAATTTTCCTATTTTTGCTTCTAAAGTTTTGGTGTCTTGATAGAAGGTCCTTGCGAAGATGGTCACAGCAGGCATGATTTGCCTTTGCTTGGTGATCACTGTAACCCCTGTCTTGGCACTATAAAATCTCATCAGCACTTTGAAAATCTTGAAAACTGTGACTTTAAATAAAGAGTAATGATAACAAATAATGTATTAAGTCCATGTTAAGTATTTTTACATGCTAAAAGTGGGTTATAATCATCTTTGTATGGGAAAAAACTCCTTCTAGATTATTACTGAGAGCGGGGTAGTTAATTTAGTTATCTTCTAATACAGAAGAAAAAAGGCAAAGTTCTCTCTCCTCTTGGAGACTACATTATTTTTGGAGGAAAGACTATTAACAATAGCATAATAAATAAGTAAAATATATATCAAATTAGAAGATGATACATGCCGTGGATAAAGAAAAGTAGAATGGGGAAAGAGAAGATATAGGCAATTTATAATATGATGGTCAGGTTAGAACTCATTGAGAAGATAACAGGGTGATTAAACAATTGAAACAGGCAAGGGAGTTAGATGTATGGATATCCGGGGAAAGAGGATTTCAGAGAAAGGGGAAAGCCAATGCAAAAGCCAATGTGTGAACACACCCGGCACATGTGAGGAACAGTAAAGAAACCTGTGGGGTGGGGGTGCAAGCAAGTGAGTAGTGAGATTTGAAGTCACAGCAAAGGGGAGTCTTAGGATCTTTTAGGTCTTGTAAGGATTTTTACCTTTACTCTGAAAAGGAGGGACTCATTGCAGGGTTTTGAGCTGAAAGATGACTTTATCAGACTTGTTTAAAAGCATAAGTCTCTGTACTCTGGAAAGGTAATAGTAGAAGTAAGGAAACATTAGAAGGCTATTGCTATAATTTTCACGCATTAGTTATCTAGCGCTGTGTAACAAGTTACCCCCAAACTTTTCAACACATGTTCAGACAACGAACATTTATTATCTCACGGTTTGTGAGTCAAGAATTTGGGCAAGGTTTAATTGGGTGATCTGGTGCAGCGTCTCTTGTAAGTGGCAATCAAGGTGTCAGCCAAGGCTGTAGTTGTCTCAAGGCTTAATTAGGGCAATATTCACTTTTATGCTTACTCGTGTGGAAGCCAGTTCCTCGTGGGTTGTTAGACTGAGGGCTTTGGTTTTTTTTCTAGATATTAATTGGAGACCACCCTCACTTTCTGGCCAAATGTACCTCTTAGGGACATTGTAAGGCAACTTACAACATGGAAGCTTATTTCAGGAGAGCAAGCAAGTGAGCAAGCAGTAAGAGCCAGGGAAAGAGAAAGCATGCATAAGATGGGGGCCACAGTCTTTCAAAGCCCACTCAGAAGTGATATCCCCTTAGCTTTGCCATATTCTACTTGTTAGAAACAAATCATTAAGTTCAGCACACACTCAAGGGGAAGGAATTGCACAAGGATGTGAATACCAGGAGATGGGAGTCATTGCAAGCCACTTTAAAAGCTGTCTAATATGCTTTGCAAGAGATGATGCTAGAGTAGTAGCAGTGGAGTTGGTGAGAAGTGATGCCAAAATACATGAAAAATCTTAGAATTGTAATCCACGATCTACCCTTCTTTAGGTGACTTCAGGTACCTTGTATAATACTTCTGAGTTTCATATTTCTACTTAGTATTATTTTTGAGATAGAATTTCACTCTTCTTGTCCAGGCTAGAGTGCAATGGCATGATCTGAGCTCACTGCAACCCCTGCCTCCTGAGTTCAAGTGATTCTCCTACCTCAGCCTCCCAAGTAGCTGGGATTACAGGCACGTGCCACCACGCCCGGCTAATTTTTGTAGTTTTAGTGGTTGGCCAGGCTGGTCTTGAACTCCTGACCTGACGTGGTCCACTCACTTTGGCCTCCCAAAGTGCTGAGATTACAGGCGCATATCTCTACTTTAATTGAAAGTCTATTCACGCACTACTCTACAAGTAGCTTAAACTTAGTTTGAGTAACTAGCCAAAGTCTACATAGCTAGTCAGTGATAGTGATAAGGTTAAGTAGTACTTAAACCCTGGCAGTCTGACTCTACTGCCTGTTACTCTTAATCTCAGAGGACACCAGAAAAGATACAAATGTCTGTAACTGTTGTAAAAAATGCAAAGTTCTATATAGTACAAGTAAATCATGCTCCCTACTATGGACACAAGAAGGTAAACGCTTAGTTTTAAAGAATGTTCATTCCAAAAGATGATACTGGTGTCAATTTTCCTGTGTGGAGAAATTGAGCAATGTCGGGCAAAAGATGGAGCCCTTCCATCTTTCCATGTGGTGGAAGCAGAAACTAATTCCTGCTGCAGCCTGCTTTTATGCAGCATGGCAGCACTCAGATGCTACTTGGAATAAAGCCACATGGGTTTTGACCTAGAGTTCAATAACTTGGGCTGGAGAAGAAAGGTTGGTTTGGGAACAGATGGAGAATTTGACTTACATGGGGCTGGTTCTGATTTTAACCAAGAAGACATGTGGCTATGACAGGGGCAGAGTGGCCTCACAGGACCCTGCAGTGGAATGAGGTCTGGATCTGAGTGAAGTCCACTAGGGCCTAGGGAGTTCAGGGTGGAACCTTAGCGCTTGGGCCAGGCCGAATAGCAGCAATGTGAGTAGAAGCAGGCATCACATTAATAGAACAGAATGAGGCAAAAGCCTTGGTGATACTTGGCTAATATTGGCAGTTACAGCCATTCTAATATTAATACAGAAATTGCAGCTGTCTCATGCATAGCTGTGCATGGTAGCTCTGTTACCCTCCTTTTATTTTATACCATCTGTATTATTATATTTTAGAGGAGTTTCTTGGTACCATATAGTTGAATTGTGCTTTTTTGTTTTTGTTTTTGTTTTTAAGACGGAGTTTCGCTTTTGTTGCCCAGGCTGGAGTGCAATGGCGCGATCTTAGCTCATCCACAACCTCCGCCTTCTGAGTTCAAGCAATTCTCCTGTCTCAGCCTCCTGAGTAGCTGGGATTACAGGCATGTGCCACCACACTCGGCTAATTTTGTAATTTTAGTAGAGATGGGGTTTCTCCATGTTGGTCAGGCTGGTCTCGAACTCCCGACCTCAGGTGATCCACCTGCCTTGGCCTCCCACAGTGCTGGGATTATAGGCGTGAACCACCACGTCCAGCTGAATTTCACTTTTTTATCTGGGCTGACAATCTCTGCCTTTTAATTGGAGTGCTTAGATTATTTATATTTAATGTAAATGGTGGCATGATTGGTTTTAAACATAGTATTATGGTATTTGATTTTTATTTGCACCATTTGCTCATTTTCCTTTCTCTCTGCCTTCTTTTGGATTAACTGAGCACTTTTCAGGATTTAGTTTTATCTTCACTGCTGGCTTATTAGCTATACCTCTTTGTTTTATATTTTTGGAAATTATTCTAGGCCTTAAAATATGCATACTTACAACTCACCACAGTCAACTTTCAAATAATATCATACAGCTTCATATATAATGTATAAATCTTTAACAATGTACTTTCATTTTCCTCTTCCATCCTTGATGCTATTGTCATACATTTAATCTCTGCGTATATTAAAGATTCTACATATACTTACTGTTTATGTTTAGTCAATTATCTTTAAATAAATTAAAAAGTGAGAAAAAAGAGTTTTAATTACCAATATATTTACTATTTCTGTCACTCTTTATTCCTTTGTGTGGATTAAAATTTCCATGTGGTACAATTTTCCTTCTGCCTGAAGAACATCCTTTAATGTTTCTTACAATGCAGGTTAGGTGTTGAATTTTCTTAGTTTTCATGTTTCTCTAAAAAACCTTCATTTTGCCTTCATTTCTAAAAAATATTTTCACTAGGTATAGAATTATAGATTGGTATTTATTCTGTTTTATTATAAAGACCATACATCATAAACTTTACCATCTTAACCTTTTTAAAGTACACAATTCATTTTTAAGTGTACAGTGTAATAGTTTTAAGTATATTTACATTATTGTAAAACAGATTTCCAGAACCTTTTTATCTTGCAGAACTGAAGCTCTGTACTCATTAAACAACTTCCCTCTTTATGCTCCCTGTAGCCTCTGGTAACCACCATTTTATTTTTTATTTCTATGAATTTGATTACTTTATAAACTTCATATAAGTAGAATCATGCAGTGTTTGTCATTTTGTGGTTTACTTATTTCACTTAGCATAATATTCTCCAGGTTCATGCATGTTGCAATATGTGATAAAACTTCCTCCCTTTTAAAGGCTGCCTAGTATTTCATTTTATGTATATGTCACATTTTATTCATTTACTCATCTGTCAACAGACACTTGGGTTGCTTCTTCCTTTTGGTTATTGCATAGTGTTGTTATGAACATGTGTATGCAAATATCTCTTTGAGGCCCTGCTTTCAATTCTTGTGTAGATATACCCAGAAATGGGATTGCTGGACCATATGGTAGTTCTATTTTTAATTTTCTGAGGAACTGCCATACTGTTCCAAAGCTATTGCACCATTAAATAATCCTACCAGTAGTGCACAAAGGTTCCAACTTCTTCACTTTCCTGCCAACATTTGTTATTTTGTTTTCTTGTTTTTGTTTTCATAGTAGCCATCCTAATGGCTTTGAGATGATACCTCATTGCGGTTTTGATTAGCATTTCTCTGCTGATCAGTGATGGTGAATATTTTTCCATATGCTTGGTTTGCCATTTGTGTGTTATCTTCAGATAAATGTCTACTCAAGTCCTTTGCCCATTTTTAATTGGGTTATTGATTTTTTTTTTTGCTGTTGAGCTGTAATAATTCTTTCTATTTTAATTTTCTAAATATTTAATTTTGTTCTTTTTTCACTTTTGAAGGATGCAGGAGTTCTTTATGTATTCCGGATATTAACTCCTTATCAGATACCTGATTTGCAAATATTTTTCCTATTCCATAGGTTGCCTTTTCAATCTGTTGACTGTGTCTTTTGATGAACCAAAGATTTTAGGCTTGATGTATTCCCTTTGTCTATT
Source organism: Homo sapiens (assembly GCF_000001405.40). Taxonomy (NCBI): domain Eukaryota; kingdom Metazoa; phylum Chordata; class Mammalia; order Primates; family Hominidae; genus Homo; species Homo sapiens. Next base: position 17,656,760 of record NC_000007.14, on the reverse strand, counting down.
TTTGCTTTCGTTGTCTGAGGACATTTATTTCTTCTTTCAGTACTTTAAGATGCTGTTCTTTTGTCCTCTGGCTTGCATAGTTTCTTTTTTTTAAATTTTTAATTTTTATGGGTTCATAGTAGGTATGCATATTTATGGGATACATGAGATGTTTTGATACAGGCATGCAATATGTAATGATCACATCATGGAAAATGGAGTATCCGTCCCCTCTAGCATTTATCCTTTGTGTTACAAACAATCCAGTCATATACTTTTAGTTATTTTTAAGTGTACAATTTAAATTATTATTGAGTATAGTCACCCTGTTGTGATATCAAATACTAGGTCTTACTCATTCTTACCGTTTTTTGTACCCATTAACCATCCCCTACCTTCCCCTCTTCCCCCAACTACCCTTCCCAGCCTCTGGTAACCATTCTTCTGAATTCAATTGTTTTTACTCTTAGATCCCACAAATAAGTGAAAACAGAGGTTGCATAGTTTCTGAAGTAAGAAAGATCTGTGGTATTTTTATCTTCGTTTCTCTGTATTTAATGTGTTTTCTTTCCTCAGGCTGTTTTTTAAAGATTTTCTCTTTTTACTGCCTTTAAGCAATGTGGTTATATTGTTCTGTAGTGTTTTGTGTGTGTGTTTTTTTTACGTTTTTGTATTTTTCTTGGTTGAGGTTTGCTGAGCCTCTTTGTGCATTTACAGTTTTCAATTATGGAATATTTTCAACCATTATTTCTTAAAAATTTGTTTCTATTCACTTCTTTCTCCTTTTGGAACTCCAGTTTTACTTGTGTTAAAGTTCTTAATGTTCTTTCACAGATCGCTGAGCTCTGTAAATTTTTTTTTAGTAATTTTTCTCTATGCTTCATTTTGCCTAATTTCTACTGCTGTCTTTGAATTCACGAATCTTTTCTCCTGAAGCTTCTAATCTGCTATTGATTCCATCTAGTGATATTTTCATCTCAGATATATTTTTCATCTATGTTTCTATTGACTAATTTTTTTTTTTGGTTTTGGTCCATATTTTTCTGCTTCTTCTTATATCTAGTTGTTTTCATTTGGAGCATGTGGCAGACAAGATTTATCTGTTTGAATCTTTTAAAAAGAGATTTTAAGGGCATAGCTGGAGTCGTCTTTATACTAGAGGTAATTTAAACTCACTTTTTAGGTTGGCCCTTCTGTGGTCTTCATTGGCTGCTACATGTATCCCATGAGGACTTTGTATTCTCACTGGTGGAAACTCAAACTATTCCTGGCCTTTTATGAGCTCTAAGAATTGTTTGGCTTATAACTCCTCAGTACATTTTCTTTCCTCAGAAGTCATTATTTGCCGTACCTTAGGGTGTTTCACACTCTACAAGTGCATATTGATAATCAGACATAGATTCTAGAGTTCTTCTATGCTGATTTCTAGAACTCTTTCTCTGTATCAGCTCCAGTTTTTTCGGGTATTCTGGCATGTAAATTAAAGCCACCTAAATCCTCCTGAATCTCATCTTTGTTTCCTCCACTCAGTGAGATTGCAGTTTGGGTTTCCCCTCCTTGCTCAGCAGTTCAGAAATTGCCTTTAGGCAAAGAACCTGGGCAGTCATAGCACTCTATTTCCTTTCTGTCTGGGATCACAGTTCTCTGTTGCCTGTTGTCCAATGTCTGAAAATAGTTATTTCCTGTATTTTGTTCTGCTTCTTAGTTGTTTACAGAGGAAGGATAACTTCAGATCTCATAGCCAGAAGTGGTTTTTTCCTTAACTGTGTTGAAAACTCTACTTATGTAGATTTATGCACACCGAGGATAGAGACCTAGGAATGGAAAGCACTTAATAAAGGATTTTTGAAAGAATTGAATTAATGAATGAAGCATGGAATTAGGCTGAGCCACATGAAGTTGACAGTTATTGATGATTTTAACACATATGATTTATATGGTTCAATTTTATACCTTGGCTACTTTGGATTAGCTAAGGAAAGCAGACTCAAGTAAAGGCAATTCTACCTTTAAAGTGAGATCTCAGGCAATGATGGATCCTTTGTTTTTTAAGTGATGTCTTATCCTGTGCATCTGGCAATCTTAGAACACTTCCGTTGAATTTATTTTTCTAACAGAACATGGTAGGTCTATCTATGTGGGCTTTGGGTTTTTAGGTCAAACTAGTTTCTTTGGAGAGGAAGACACTTTCTGTGATTGGGTTTACAGTCTATTCAAAGAGTATATCCCTGTTCCTCATAGGATCAATTGAGTTATGCCTCAAGACAAGGGGTTTATAAGAGGAGATTTCAACCTTATTGTCATCAGGGTGATGAAGCACAGTGACACAACCTTTGTGAACTGGGTTGGGGATCTTTTAGCAGGATGGTGGTGGAATTCTTTTTAAGGAAAACAGTGTTACTAAGGACATAGGCATATTATTGGTTGTTGAATTTGTGGTTGTGGTGGCTAGGAAAGACAGAGGATTTGATGACCTATGATACAGGGTGGATAAGGCTATATTATTGTCTCATTGTTAAATGCATGAAATGGAGAATGAAACTGGATAAATACCTCGGCAGAGGATGATTGAAGAAAAAGCCAAAGTTGCTGTATTCACAGATTATTACCAGGTGTGGTTTTAGTTTGACTCTTTCATATTATCGTACAGTAAACCACACATACATTTAGAAGAAAAGTGTTTTATAGGTGACCTGATTGTAATGAATTTCACTTAGCATCACAGGATACTAGTTTGTGAGAATTATAGTAGCTTCTTGCAAACTATTCATGAGCTGACACATGGCCCAGTGGGTTTGGCATCCTTGCTTCTCAGAGTGCAAATTGACCTTAATGTTGTCAGCAGTGTTCACCATATAAGAATGAATAGATGGTTGTTATGGCCTGAATTTGGTACCCCTGAAGTTTATATATGGAAATCCTAACCCCTAGTCCTTCAAAATGTGACCTTATTTCAAGGCAAAGTCTTTACAGAGGTAATCAAATTAAAATGGGGTCATTAGGACTGGCCCTAATCCGTCACGACTGGTGTCTGATCAACAGGGGGAAATTTGAACAAAGAGATATGCATAGAGGAAAGGCAATGTGAAGAGACACCAGGAGAAGATGACTGTCTCCAAGCCAGGGAGAGAGGACTGCAACAGATCCTTCTCTCACAGCCCTCAGAAGGAACTAACTCCGCCAATGCCTTATCTCTGACTTCTAGCCTCCACAGCGCTGTGATACAATGAATTTCTGTTGTCTAAGCCACCCATTTTGTGATACTTTGTTACAGCAGCCACAATAAAGTAATAAAAGGGTCTTTGCTGAACTACTGTCATAGACTGACTTGGTAGGAGAAACATGTTAGGAGCAGTGGGCCATCAGGAAACTCCTTGAAGCTGTGAGACTGTTAGATAGGGTGGGCAATCGGTTCTTGTCTTTATCCATTTTGTGGAAAGACACAAACACCACCCAGCTGAGCAGAATAGGGCAAGGCAGCTGACCTAGCCAAAGGCCTCCTAGGAGCTTTTACCCAGCGCTCATCTGAATGGGAGGGGTTTAGGAGAAGTTGAATTTCCTACGTGAGCTGTAAAGAGATGTTATGGCTTCCAAAGAGATTATTTGAGGTGCATAGATGGTTTGGAAGAAAAACTCGTAAACGCTAACTTTTGCCATTGGCATTTAAAGAAAGTTAATAATCTGCAACAGTTATTTTATACTCCACTGCTCTGAAAGATTATGGTTACATAATCAAAGTAAGATTACATACTCTGAAAGATTATGAGATATAAAGAATATGTATAAACCTTAGTATTTTAGTTCATGTTTAGGACTTCTGAAAGTCTGCCCTATTTCTCCCTCTGCCTCTCTGTCTCTTTGTCCCTGTGAATTATGTGGGTGACAGTGCACTTTTTTTTTTTTAGATGGAGTCTCGCTCTGTTGCCCGGCTGCAGTACAGTGGCGCGATCTCAGCTCACTGCAATGCAACCTCTGCCTCCTGGGTTCAAGCGATTCTCCTGCCTCAGCCTCCTGAGTAGCTGGGACTATAGGAGCCCACCACCACGTCCAGCTAATTTTTGTACTTTTAGTAGAGACGAAGTTTCACCATGTTGGCCAGGATGGTCTCGATATCCTGATCTCGTGATCGGCTCACCTCAGCCTCCCAAAGTGCTGGGATTACAGGCATGAGCTACTGTGTCTGGCCGACAGTGCACATGTTTTGATCCTTGACTCATCCTATTACCTATTTGCTGTTATGTTTATGTTGAAAAAATGTTGCTGCTGTTAATATGGCTGCTATCCTAATGTACAAAACAAAGGATGTCCAAGTGTTACCTCCCAAGCAAAGAGATCTTATTAATGGTGGAAGTGAAAAGCCCCAAGACACTCACTGAGTGAGTGAGGCTACAAGAGGGGCCCCAGGCCTGTAAACAATCTGTTATCATTGATGTCTTTCCAGTTTCTCCCACCAGTGTATAATTTAAAACTCAGTTGGCCTGTGCTTTTTGACTTGATTACAACAGTTCCCAGCCTGTGAGGCGTTAAGCCAAAGTGGTTTTCATTAATTTGCCTTCTCCCTGAAGATTTTAGGCTTGCTGTTTCAAAGAAAGCTAGATACCACAATGAGCCAACTATTTGGTGAGAAGTTTCTCCTCGGGGAGAGAGCTGTTTGCTGCAATTCCAGCCTTCCAAATGTCAAACGTTACTCATTCTAGCTTTGGCTCTTGTAAATATGTGTAGTCCTTTTTATTTTAATTTGAGAGTGTTTGCCTCCACTGGTAGCTCAGGGAATTTTTACTTGCCGTTTGAAATCTAACCCTGGAACACAAAAAGTATGACTAATCCTACTTACTGGAATTTCAGTGTTTTCATCAAGGCTGCCTTTTCCATTTCCAATTTTATATAATAAGGGCAAAATACCAACTGGCAAACATATTCCTTTTTTTTCTTGGTTGCTGTACATTAAACTATCTACTGTGTTATAATAAAAAGTGATGCTTCATAATAGTGATTTTTGCAATTGAGACAAAACAGTTTCCAAGGGTATTTAAAGAGTGGATAGTTCATGATATGAATCCCCAGCTAATATATTTACACAAAGAAGCCTAAAGGTTTCAGCTGCTTTTCATCTTCTGTATGGCAAAGATATTAGGTTATCTCTAGGCAAGAAGAATGGTTAATACACTAGAGTCACAGCCAATGGAAAGATTTTAGAACAATATACAAACACTCGTGCCATAACACTGACTTAGTTAAGCAATTATTGTGATGACCATTGGAAAGATGAGAGTATCAGCTAACGCAAACCAAGTTTTTGTCTTCTTTCATAGGAATCCTTTATCATTTCCTTATGTCTTAGAGCTCCAAATGTGGATTTCTGGAATGCTGTTGGGAAGATCTCATATGAGGAAGCTCTAGTGGAATTGGGTTGAGACTTACTGACCAGGCAGTTCTTTAAAGACAATATCTGAGTAGCTTAGAGGGAATATAGGTACTAATTTGGAATGACCTAAAAAGAGATTTCCAATCCTTTCTGCTTTAAGCAATCACCTGGAGATTTGAAAAATGTAGATCTCCAGTTCCCATTCCCAGAGTTTCCAGTTCAGTGGGTCAGTGTACCTATGTTTGCTTCCAGATTATTCTGGGTGCTGTCACAACTGGGAACCCCTGGCTCCAGTTGTCAGTTTGTAACTGTATCTACAAAGAAATTATTATGAATTATTGGATCTGCAGGGGCTGCGGAATTTGGCATGTAAAGGAAAACTTTTTGCTTTGTGGTTTAATCTGCAGATCACCCTAAATCTCTTGTTGTTAGTATGGCTTCTTTGACTCCTCATGGCCTGACACACTTGTGGGTCAATTACTAAGCACTCAGCTGGAACTACTATGACCTGGCCCCGGGTGGATATCAGAAACACCTGTGGAGCTACTTGAAACTAGATTATTTTTTTCCAGAATTCCTGAATCACAGTCTTAGGGAGGGGTCCAGATATCCATTCTTCTATAAGCTTCATCGTTGATTTTGAAAAGCAGCTAATTTTGAGAATCTCTGAGTTATACTAATGGGGAGGAATATTGATTGACTGGCATTGGATACTAATTGAAGCTATAGAGAAATCACGTTAATTTGATTAAGATGATTAAAACTATTCATTTCACTATTCTATGATTTAGGCTTTGTGTTTGATCAACAGATATTTGGTAATGGTCATATGACCATTACAAGAGGGGGCAGAACTCTTTACCACTTGAAGTATATAAAAGCTTTCAGATACAGCTTAAGGTGAATCTTTAAGGCAAATATTTCCTTAGAACCTGAATAGGGAGTGAAGTAGGGGGGCATACCGTTCCGGGTGAAAAGGACAAAATGAATGAAGTGATTAAGATGGGAACTAGAATTCTGTGCTAGTAAGACAATGTGTCTTAGAGCTCCAAATATGGATTTCTGGAATGCTGCTGGGAATAACTTGTATGAGGAAGCTCTAGTGGCATTGAGTTGAGACTTACTGACCAGGCAGTTCTTTTAAGGCAAGATCTGAGTAGCTTAAAGGGAATATTGATATTAATTGACCTAAAAAGAGATTTCTAAACCTGGAAGACAATGTGTTTTCCATATATAGTGGGAAATAATGGAATATAAAATGTACAAAGTGGACTGGGGTCTTGGAAGTGGCTTGAAGTTGAAAGAAATCAGAAGCCATTACAGCATTTTTGTTGTATCAATTTACAGGAGTAAAGTGAAAACATTTTCTTTTTTTTTTTTTTTTTTGAGATGGAGTCTTGCTCTGTCGCCCAGGCTGGAGTGCAGTGGCGTGATTTCGGCTCACTGCAAACTCCGCCTCCCGGGTTCATCCCATTCTCCTGCCTCAGCCTCCTGGGCAGCTGGGACTACAGGCGCCTGCCACCATGCCAGGCTAATTATTTTTTTGTATTTTTAGTAGAGAGGGGGTTTCACCTTGTTAGCCAGGATGGTCTCGATCTCCTGACGTCATGATCCACCGGCCTCAGCCTCCCAAAGTGCTGGGATTACAGGCTTGAGCCACCGTGCCCGGCCAGTGAAAACATTTTCTCTTGGTAGGGTAGGCAGAAGTTCAGAGGCAGGGCTGTGGCAGTAATGCAGACTAAAGAGATGAGACTTGGTCTAGTAGTGCTGGGGGATTGGAGCAGGATAGATTTGGCAAACATGTATGGAAGTAGTCTAAATGAAAATTATTTTATTTGCAGATTATTTATACATTTTCTGCTTAAGAAAAAATTATCCTGCAGAAGAGGGCATAAAATATCTATCTCTGCAACTGCATAATAACTTCTTTGGTCAAACTGGTTTATTGTTTAAATGGTCAGCAAAAACATTCAGAATCAGCATTAGCAAGATATTTGGTTATGTTCCTGGTTGAAACTTAATATGAGCATACAGTCAGTATAGTTTATTGCTTGTGTAGCAAGCAGACAGACATTCACGTATTTGGGTATTGGGAATAAGCAGGTAAGACAAATCAGTATAATTAACTGTAAAGCTGCCTAAATAGTCCTTTTATCCCAATATGTGTAATGTTTGCGGTTTTAAATGCTTTTATACAAACAGAGTGACATTAAAAGACAAAGATTTTGAAATTTTCCTGGTTTCCTCCAATCATGCCCCTAGTATCTTTCAACATCCATTTCAAAAACTGCCTTGTGGGCAAATATTTCCTTAGATGCTCCTTTACATGCTTTACCTTCCATCTGATGGCTCCAGTTGTTTCTACTCTCCCTTCTCTCACTCCCAGAGTCTTGATGCCAGAGGACTCAAGTGAGCAGAGGTCTTTGGTCCAAGGCAGCAGATGGCCTCTGTAAAAATCAGAGGACTCTCTCTGCCGCCAGAGCAATGTAAGGGAGACTCAGACTAGCTGAGGTGGACTCCTGGAATCTGGGATCTGGGGTGGAGCAGAATAGGGAACAATGAGAGTCAGAAAAGATGTGGAAAGATCTGCTTTAAGATGTGGATATATCAGGTGTCAAGGTTGTAAAATAGCTTACAAGTAGGAAAGCAGTTCTATAAACATTCACCAGCAGGCACTGGGAAAATAGCACTGAACAGAGCTGGACATAGCCTTTGCTCTTGTAGAGCCATGCCTCAAAATAACCTCCATTTATGAGGAAAAAGATGGGGAATTATAGAATATATACCAACTCTTTATGCTTTTTGACCCTATGTCAGTTTTGTGGGAATAACTCCTGCCTTGCCGCAAAGCACAGCCTTCACACTTTATTAGATTCAATATTGTGTTGCTTCATGTCCTTAAACATGAAAATGAAATTGAAAGGTGGACAGATCTGAACAGCACAGATTTGGGGTGCTGGCTCTTATGGCTGAAGTAAAGAGCTATATGATGGCTTAATTTTTTTTAACAGTCTATGGGCTTTTTCTCAGGACACCAGTCCAATTTCTCTGTAATTGTTTTTTTTGTTCTCTTAGGAAATTCAGAGAGATTGCAATGTTATTAAGCTCATAATATTTTTCTTTTCTTTTTGAAGTTCTAGTTCATTTATTTTAACCTTTAATATTCCATTGTATCAATATACTACAGTTTTTTTAAACCCATTCTCCTATTGATATTTAGATTATCTCCAGTTTTATGTTCTGACAAACATAATCTCAAGAATTTCTTAATCATTATCTAATCAAAGGTTAAAGAATGGCCTCAATTATTACTATGAACAATAGCAAGAGAAATGTAATTTGTCCATCATGCTGTCAAATACAATAATGCCAATATAAATTTCCTTAATGAACAATGAACACTTCTATTCAGTTACAAAAATTTTTTGGCTAAGTGGTAGCTGGAGATTGGACTTTGTGCTAATACTTAGGTTAATTGCATCTCATGTTAATATGTCTTAGTGGGTGCAATTAAGTAGAATTATAACTTGTTCATGTTATAATTCCTTTTGCCTTTCTAATTCATCGGTGAACTCCCATAACTTAACTCCTCCTTCGTTTAGGTGTCTGCCGCTTCACAGGGGAGAGAATGTTAGGAGATTTTCTTTTATAGCTTAGGTTACTTTGACAGAGAAATATTAGGCATCATCTTAATTTCAGCATGATCATCCTTTTTTTTTTTTGAGATGGAGTTTTGCTCTTGTCGCCAGGCTGGAGTGCAATGGTGCAATCTTGGCTCACTGCAACCTCCACCTCCTGGGTTCAAGTGATTGTTCTGCCTCAGCCTCCCAAGCAGCTGGGATTACAGGTGCCTGCCACCATACCCAGCTAATTTTTGTATTTTTAGTAGAGACGGGCTTCCACCATGTTGGCCAGGCTAGTCTTGAAGTCCTGACCTCAGGTGATCCACCCAGCTTGGCCTCCCAAAATGCTGGGATTACAGGTGTGAGCCAGTGCACCCAGCCATCATCCCTTTTTGAAGGCAGAACCACTGGATATGTCAATCAGTTGCTGGAAGATTCACTCCCATGGTCCTTCTAACACCATACCTTGGCCACATCCTCAACTGGAATTCAAACTTGGGGTTAGAAGGAAAATGCTCTTCACCAGCCCTTAAAGATTTCTAACGTAAACTTACAGCAGTAGTCCCTTAAATATGAAGAATAATCAAGCTCAATAAATACTTTGATATTTTTGAAAAAAATGACAGATTTTCGGCATTGAGAAATTCTCTGAAGTATAAGCATATCCAAGAAGAATGTCATATATTCTGTCCTTTTCTTGCTAGATGGAATGTTTAAAAGCTGGATAACACTGCATTCGAATGTTAATTCATGTTTTGGGTTCAGTTTCATAGCTCAGCATCTGATATTTATTATGAATTCACCTGAGGTATATTTTCTTTATTTTTTAAGCGATATAGTCCCTAGTTTGAAAGATAACTTGAGAGATTGATTCTTGACACAGTTAAATTCTCTTTCTCTTGAGCCGTGTTTTTTAACCTCAGATATTGGTCTTAAAAAAAAAAAAATCCAGTGCCAGAAACTCCCAGCAGATGTCATTGTAAGGCAGATTTGTTTAGCAAGGCTTTTCTAGAATAGTGAATAGAATTGTTGCATATAGTAGTGATGTGTGTATTAGGCACTGGAGTTAATTGATTCTAGTCTCATCAGAGTGGGATTTGTTATGAAGAGGTAAAGAGATTCCTGGGATTCTTGCCTGTCCTTTTATAATGTGGGAGCACTGCTTTTCTGCAATATAAGTTAGAGAACAAGAGTAACAGCTTTTCACCCAAGCATTTCCTGGGCTACTCTACCTGGGGCTACCAGCTTAGCACAAGGCATGACTGTGTTCTGCATGGGACAGAAGAGCCATGGGGAGGAGACTGTTGCTTAGACATATAATGTAGTAAGTGAGGGAGGTGCAGTTTCAAATCAGAGAGCCTCACTAATTCTAGACTCCACACCCTTAGTCCTGAAGGGAAAATACAAATGGACATGAAAACATGTGTCCCAATAGAGCACATCTGGTCCTTATCTAAAACGGAAAGGCGAATTATATTGGAACTGCCTAACTGATTTCATGGATATCAATTTCAAGTGAAAAAAACATTTATTCCCAGGGAAGGTCACGATACATTGTCTTATTTACTATAAATGTAAATGAAAGTCAACCTAAATTCGCCTTTGTTTCCATGTATATATGTGGTGATATATGTTGGTTACCTATGAAGATCTTATTCTTTTACTCATCAATATTGTAAGAGCTTGTTTCTCACTTAACGATTTTTACATTGCTTGATTAGATTTTAAAAATAAACTCCTTTGATGAAGCCCTCTTTTAAAGCCAGAAATATACTTTGTATTGTATAACATTAACTGAAATGCAAATTGCTTAGAAAATGTTAATACAATGTGTTTGGAAATCAACTACTTTTAAAAAACTGCAGGGATCAGGTAAAAGAGGAAAACTATATCAAAGATGGAAGGATGAAAGTGTGAGGAAATAGTAAAAGATATGGACTTGGATATGGATTTGGATATTCCAACTGAGTATCTCCACTTAACTGACTCAACATATTAACCAATTTTTTTTTCTTATACTATCTGATGTCTGTATCATCCTGAAAGTAAGCTAGCAGGATCCCCACAGTTTTGCTTTCCCAATAGAATTGTGTGCCTGCCAAGGGTCAGGTGAGTTTGTCCCAATCCTGTTTATGCCACCTATACTTGCCATTGAATTAAAGTGGGTAATTGCAATATTATGTGAACCGTGAAATATGACTGCAAAATAAAAGGGGATTTTTATTTCTCTGAAAACTAATTATATATAATGCTTAGAAAGACTTGATAAAGAGAAGTTACTAGACTTGCTATTAAATTTGGATGTGGATGAAACAAATATAAGAGGTTGGAGGGGAAACTGAAAATCTTGAAGGCCTGTATTCTAAAATTTCTGCAAAATTATTTCTGGGTTCTTGCAAGGGAAGTGGGGATTTGGAGAGAACGCCTTGTGGATGTGGGTTATTCAGGAAAGATGATATGGATTTCTAATCAGATAATGTGCACTCAATAAAAGGAGACCCTCTACATTAAAAGATTGGTAAATTCATGTTTATTTTCAGGTTTTAAATTACAATATTTGATTTTAAAACTCCTCTACTTTGTTCAGCTTTTTCAAGTAACTGACAAACTATCGATATTGATCTTACCAGATGAAAGTTACTGCTCTGCATTTTAAAAATAATTTTTAATTATAGGCTATGGGTATTAGCCTGTTTTCATGCTGCTGATAAAGACATACCCAGAGGCTGAGGCGAGTGGATCACAAGGTCAGGAGATCGAGACCATCCTGGCTAACACGGTGAAACCCTGTCTCTACTAAAAATACAAAAAATTAGCCAGGCGTGGTGGCGGGTGCCTGTAGTCCCAGCTACTCGGGAGGCTGAGGCAGGAGAATGGCATGAACCTGGGAGGCGGAGCTTGCAGTGAGCAGAGATCGTTCCGCTGCACTCCATCCAGCCTGGGCGACAGAGCGAGACTCTGTCTTAGAAAAAAAAAAAAAAAAAAAGACATACCCAAGACTGGGTAATTTACAAAAGAAGGAGATTTAATGGACTTACAGTTCTATGTGGCCAGGGAGACCTTACAACATGGTGAAAGGTGAAAGGCACATCTCACATGGCAGCAAACAAGAGAAGAGAGCTTGTGTAAGGAGACTCCCATTTTTAAAACCATCAGATCTCATGAGACTTATTCACTATCACAAGAACAGCACAGGAAAGACCTGCCCCCATGATTCAATTACCTCCTACCAGGTCCCTCCCACAGCACATGAGAATTCAAGAAGAGATTTGGGTGGGGACATAGCCAAACCATAATATTCCACCCCTGGACCCTCCCAAATCTCAAGTCTTCACATTTCAAAACCAATTATGCCTTCCCAACGGTCCCCCAAAGTCTTGACTCATTTCAGCATTAACTCAAAAGACCACAGTCCAAAGTCTCATTCGAGACAAGGCAAGTCACTTCCACCTATGAACCTATAAAATCAAAAGCAAGTTAGTTACTTCCTAGATACAATGGGGGGTACAGGCATTGGGTAAATACAGCTATCCAAATAAAAGAAATTGGCCAAAACAAAGGGGCTACAGGCCCCATGTAGGTCCAAAATCCAGCAGGGCAGTCAAAACTTAAAACTCCAAAATGATTTCCTTTGACTCCATGTCTCATGTCCAGGTCATGCTGATGTAAGAGATGGGCTCCCATGGCCTTGGGCAGCTCTGCACCTGTAGCTTTGCAGGGTATATGCCCCCTTCTGGCTGTTTTCATGGGCTGGAATTGAGTGTCTGTGGCTTTTTCAAGTGCACAGTGCAAGCTGTCAGTGGATCTACCATTCTGGAGTCTGGAGGATGGTGGCCCTCTTCTCACAGCTCCACTAGGTAGTGCACCAGTGGAGACTCTGTGTGAAGGCTCTGACCCCACATTTCCCTTCTGCACTGCCCTAGCAGAGGTTCTTCATGAGGGCCCCACCCCTGCAGCAAACTTCTGCCTGGGCATTCAGACATTTCCATACATCTTCTGAAATCTAGGCAGAGGTTCCCAAACTCCAATTCTTGACTTCTGTACACTTGCAGGCTCAACACCGCATGGAAGCACCTCTGAGGCCATGGCCAAGCTCTACGTTGGCCCCTTTCAGCCATGGCTGGAACAGCTGGAACACAGGGCACCAAGTCCCTAGGCTGCATACAGCATGGGGACCTTGGACCTGGCCCACAAAACCATTCTTTTTTCTCCTAAACCTTGGGCCTGTGATGGGAGGGACTGCAGCAAAGGTCTCTGATATGACCTGGAGACATTTTCCCTATGGTCTTGGTGAACAGTTGGCTCCTCGTTACTTTGGCAAATTTTTGCCACCAGCTTGAATTTTTCCTCAGAAAATGGGATTTTCTTTCCTATTGCATTGTCAGGTTGCAAATTTTCCAAAATTTTATGCTCTGCTTTCCTTTTAAAACTGAATGCCTTTAACAGTACCCAAGTTACCTCTTGAATGCTTTGCTGCTTAGAAATTTCTTCTGCCAGATGCTCTAAATCATCTATCTCAAGTTCAAAGTTCCACAAATCTGTAGGTCAGGTGCAAAATGCCACCGGTCTCTTTGCTGAAACATAACAAGAATCACCTTTGCTCCAGTTCCCAACAGGTTCCTCATCTCCATCACAGACCACCTCAGCCTGGATGTCATTGTTCATATCATTATCAGCATTTTGACCAAAGCCATTCAACAAGTCTCTAGGGAGTTCCAAATTTTCTCACATTTTCCTGTCTTCTTCTGAGCCCTCCAAACTGTTCTAACCTCTGCCTGTTACCCAGTTCCAAAGTTGCTTCCACGTTTTTGGGTATCTTTTCAGCAGTGCCTGCTCTACTGGTACCAATTTACTGTATTAGTCCATTTTCATGCTGCTGATAAAGACATACTTGAGACTGGACAATTTACAAAAGAAAGAGATTTAATGGACTTACAATTCCACATGGCTGAGGAGGCCTCATAATCATGGTGGAAGGTGAAAAGCACATCTCACATGATGGCAGAGAAGAGAAGAGAGCTTGTGCAGGGAGACACCCATTTTTAAAACCATCAGATCTCATGAGACTTATTCACCATCACAAGAACAACATGGGAAAGACCTGCCCCATGATTCAGTTACTTCCCACCCACAACATGTGGGAATTTAACATAAGATTTGGGTCCCACCCACAACATGTGGGAATTTAAGATGAGATTTGGGCGGGGACACAGCCAAACTGTTAACACTATGATTTCAGAATGTAGCCACTACAGAGTTTATGCTATACCACAATGGACACTCTTTAGATGAGCTCAGTGATTTTCTAGGTATATGTTTTAGTCTTTTCTAAAAAAATGATTTTATAAACAGGTTAAGTAAATACTTTAAACTGGTGAACTACTTCTTGGCTTAGAATGATTTTATTCCAGATAATGATGTCAAGCTTAATTTTTATATGATGTGATTATAAAACAACTTTATAATTTCATAAATAATCATTTTTTTCATACACAGCTCTTGCTGGCATGTTGAGGATCTTGACAGGCTGACTTTGGGTTATAGGCTGGGAAAACTGACCCAGACACAGGGAGATGAACCTTGTGGCAAGCCACAGTCAGTTTGGTCCACGGTCAAGAAGATTCTAGTTTGAAATGTAAGAGAGTGGCGCATAGAGTATTCTCGACCAGAAGTGGCTCTACTTTTTTAGGCCATGTCTTATAGCACTTAAGTTAATCCAGCTTCCCAAATCATTGCAAATATGAAAAAATAGGTACATCCTATGCATAACTCCGACCTTACTAAGTGTACTTCTAAATTCACATAGTAGCAAAATGAGGACAGCAGGGATTGTTGTGATAACAAAAGAATCCTTTTGTTGTTTGCATCCATCATGTTTAACTCCAGAGTTGTTTGTCTTTAAAACAATTCTAATGTTACAATGGCAGTAGGAAGAACTATCTTTCACAGGGATAAACTTCCTTTTGAGGTTTCAGGTGGTGACAGGCAGAGACGGCAATGAGAATGAATTAAAAAAAGGTGGAAGATGAAGAGAAGAAAAGCAGACAGCTTACTTACAAGGTGAAATCATTTCTTGGAATCTAGTTTATTTCATTTTGCTTTCTTTTGGGCTCTATTGGGAAGATGTTTGCCTTACTAGTTTAATTAAATAGAATAACAAGCATTGATTATTTAAAGTCGGGATCTATACACACCTCTCCTAGGCATTTTAAATTAATACTTTCCCCCCTAAGCATTTGATCTTGTAAAGGAAAATCACATAATCTACTCGAGAATGATACTCTGAAGAAATATTTACCAGAGTAAGAGTATTTTACATCCTGTGATAAATGGAACAAGTGAAAAACTAGGTTCCAACTGCCATTCATTCTCCATCAGAGACATTTAATTATAGTGGGTGTATATAATTCATATTTCAAAGAAAGCAACACTTGCTGAAAAGAAAAGAATAAAAAATGACTCCCATGTAACTTAAATACTTTTCCATTGCTGAATTTAAATGTTTGGGGAGAATTCCCTGAGCGACTCTAGGTACGTCTGAAATGGAACTGAACTTTGAGCTTTACAGCCACATGCCAAGATTCTGGCTGTTCCCTTTCTCTGTCAGTGGGATATTGTTTTGGGGGTGACATCTTACATAACCTTGGCAGAGAGCCTTTCATTTTCTCCTTCTGGGTAAGTGGCTAGAGCTGAATTATTTGTGTTCTTGGACTTTGTTTTATCCTCAAAATATAATGACCTTAGACAGCCTGAAGTAGGAAAAAAAGAGTACTAGTTTCAAAAAACCTTTCTTTTGATAGTTCTCTTGAGGTACTGGAAAGGGTGCTGGGCTGGGTGTTAGATTTTCCTGCTTGTCCTAATTCTGCCCCTAGTGGGTGATCATGGCTATGACACTTTAATTTGAGGCGTCTTTCTTCAAGGACAGAATTTTAAAATTCAATGGAGAAAAAGGCTTTAGTCGCATTGTGATTCTCAGAAATTCTCTCCAGAGTTTTTGAAGCTTGCTTTGCTGAAAAAATTCAAATGAAATGACATCTAAAATCCAGTTTATATGTTACATTTTGGATCCTCTGATTTTAAGGCGTGCATTCGTGTTCACTTTGTTGATGAAAAAAGTGGAGGTAAATTCGTGTCTAAATTTCTAGACCACGGTCATGACTTATGGCGACAATAGAGCCTCACGTGGTCTGCGTCTTGGTTCTGTTATTTCTCAATCTCTTCCTAAGAGATTCCCTGTTTAGAGTGGATAGAACTTTGCCATGTAATTTTAATGTTGTTGAAAAGGTAGCACAGACTCCACACATGAGGCAGTGGCTGATCTGACTGCTCTGCTTTCCCGCAAAGACTTATGTGTTTTGTTTTGTTTTGTTTTCAATTTAAAAGACTATTATTTTAAGACAAAAAACAAGTAGTAAATTTTTAGGGCAAAATGTAATGAAGATGAATCGACATTTTTTTATTTTTCTCTTTATTTGACTTTCAGAGAGATAGGTACCTTGGTACCATCTTCCACAAATGCAAATCCTGCTATGTTCAGTTATGAAAGGAAAAAAACGTTTGACTTTAGCAGCAGCAGGCACAATCGTAGCCATAATAACCACTAATTCACATAGTCACTTGTAGATGCTGGGCTCACTGACTTCTGTACTCTGCACACATCATCTTGTTTAATTCTCACAGGGTCTTCATGAGGCAGATCTGGTTGTTATCCACATTTTACAGCTGAGGAAACTGAAGAATTGCAAGATTAACTAACTTGTTCAAAATATTCTAAAGCCACCAATATTTTTTATCTTTTTGAAGTTTTTAATCTACATTTTACCAAACAGTTTTAAATTCTGTTTCTCTTGCCTACTGTCTCCCTATCACTTTTTTTTTTTTTCTGGTTGAGTATTTGTCATTAAATGGCTCCAGCTGTGAAGTGAGATTAGGTACTTTCATTTTCTGATTTTCATGGAACTTTGTGTGAATAAAGACAGTTTAGAAATTGTATATCACAAGTTATTCTTCAAAATATGCAATTTAATATGATCACATACATGAATTTAAGCATCAATAGAGTCATTTTATCATATGGACTAGGTCTGGATAGAGTTTACTCTACTCTAAGAAAATCCTGTATGAGAAACTCTACATTTACTCAAAATATAAATGATGAAGTGGTTATTAATTATTCATTACGTAAAACATATTTTGCTTTAATATAATTAATAGTAGGGGCCTTTTAAATGTGATATTACTCAAACACATTTGCTGTTACATGAATGGATTTAGAATTGCAGAATTTTGGCAGAAGAAAGAAAATGCCTTTTTTGCGTGTTTAAAAAAACACACTCGGTGAATATTGAGAGCCGGGGAGGTTGTGCATGTGTGGGGATGGGGTACGTGAAAGCTCTCTGTAATTTTCAGTCAATTTTGCTGTAAATTTAAAACCAGTCTAAAAAAATAAAGTTTATATTTACAAAAAGGGGTCAGTTAGAATTTTAGCTCTGTGATTCACTATGATCTTGAACAAGTTATCTCTCTCTTAGTATTTATTCTGTCAAGTGAAGATAATAATAGATCCCATACCAATATCAAGAGAATTAACTGAAATTTATATATATGCAGCTCCTGGCTCATTATGCATACTTAAAAAAAATATTGGTTCCTTTTCCTTTAAATTCCCTTATGTCACACTTGAGGGATGTGGTGAGTTGATAGCTGAATAGGACTAATTACAAGTATTCTTCCTCCTTGTCTGATGCATTTTATGTAATCCCACACACTTACCAGAAATCCAGCTTGGTGTGCAGAGAGAGTTGCCTGTCTGTGCAGGTGGTGACTTGTGCAATCTGCATGGTGGGGGATGGTGAGGAGGCCCTGTAAGAATTGTAATAAGGAGCAATAGGCTGCTGTCTGTCAAAGAGCCTAACTGGGTTCTATAGTCTGGTGAGGAGATTTGAAGCCTACTGGTTTTGACAGGTGAAAAGCTGTGCACTTTAGTCATGGATGAGCCGCTTCCAGAAAAGGATAACTCACTCTATCTCCTGGATGGCTTAATTGCTTAACTGCCAAATGGTTTCTTCTTGTCCCTTCTAACTTTATTATTTTGATTCTCCAAATTACGAGCACATCTACTCCACAAAGCAGAAATTTTTAACCTCTTGGCATCAAGAACGGCTTTGAGAATCTGATAAAAACTGTGGACCTGCTCCTCGGAAAACGCACACACACATATACACAGTGACCTTTACAAAATGTTTGAATTAAATTTCAGGAAGCTAATGTCTGCTGTAAAAACCTTAGACATCAAAAACACTCAAACACATGGAGAGGAAGCAAAACTAATGTTGGAAGCGAAGACTGAAATATTGAGCAGTTGTTCTTCTGTATTAAACAATGAGAAATCCTAAAATAGGCCACCTTCGAGAAAAATGTTGACCTAAAGGCTTCTTACTGCAACTGGACTGTATGGGTTTACGTCTACCAATAGATATGGTTGCTGAGAGTGAAGAGTTAGTAAGAATTGTCTCGGAAAAAAAGCCTCTAATTCTACGCAGCAAAGGCAGCCAATGTTTAAAATTTTTATTTAAATAATAATCCTTAAGAAAGTATGTTTCCCTTTCCTTACATCACAGCAATATTACTGAGGTTTAAGAACCATGTCTAGAAAATCAGTACACATTGTAGCAAAAACATGGAGCACTTTAGGAGAGAAATCTTCGGGTGGGGAAAATGGATCAATAGCTCATGTGATACATATGACAGCTGGAAGATTGTTTTGGGAGGTTATTTGAGAATAAGGGAAGAATTAGCAATAGTTATATGGAAAAGGGAAAAAATAATAAAATAAGAAAGTGCTACTTTTTAGAAAAATGAAACAAAGTTGTACATCTAGGCAATAATTATAGTTTACCACTTGGTTTAGCAGTGACTATTAATACAGTCATGGTAATTTAAACAAAAATAATTGGGGGGGGGGTAGGTCATCTCTGATAATAAGAGTTGAATAGATTATACTTAAAATGGATAAATCAAGAAATAACAACATAAGCACAGTTTTTGGAAATAGCAAGATAAATATTTGGAAAATGCAGGTCATTAAAAGTGCTTACATTGGGGATTAAAATTAGAGAGTCAGAGATGTTAGGCTGGGGACAGCACTTTTCTTAAATAACTTGAAAAAATGTCCGAATCTTTAAAAAAAATCAAAATTTTAAATAAAAATCCAGTTTCTGGGATTTCTCAAGTAATTATAAAATTTGAAACTACAAGACTCAATTCCCAGAAGGCAAGCCTGTCTGGACCTGAGAATGAGCTGCCACCTTAAGAAGGGACTGCCTTCTCACTTTGGCTTCCTCAGCCAGCCCCATCCTCCTGCTGTTCTCATGGTGCATTTTCCAGCTTTCCTCCCCATCCTCCCCGACAGCTTTGTTGAGGTATAATTGACAAATAAAAATTTTGTATATTTAAGGTGAACAATTTGATGTTTTGATACATGTTTACATTGTGAAATAATTACCACCAACCTAATGAACATAGCCATCACCTCACATAGTTACAATTTTATTTTTCTTCTCTTTCTCTTTTTCTTTCTTTGCTGTGGTAAGAATCCTTGAGATGTATCTTTTAGCAAATTTCAAGTATGTAATGAGGTATTGTTAACAATAGTCACCATATTGTACATTCCATCACTGGAACTTATTCACCCTGCATACCTGAACCTTTGTACCCTTTGACCAACATCTCCCTATTTTCTTCTCCCCCAGTCCCTGGCAGACATTCTACTCTCTGCTTTTATAAATTTGGCTTTTTTAGATTTCACATGTAAGATCATGCAGTATTCGTCTTTCTCTGTCTGACTTATTTCACTTAGTATAATGTCCTCCAGGTTCCATGTTATTGCAAATGACAGGATTTCCTTCATTTATGTGAAGGAATAATATTTCATTGTACATATGTAACCCGTTTTATTTATCTGTCAGTGGGCATTTAGGTTGTTGCCATATCTTGGCTATTGTGAGTAATGCAGCAATGAGCATGGGAGTGCAGATATCGCTTGGAGATAGTGATTTCATTTACTTTGGATATATACCCAGAAGTGGGTTTGTTGAACCATTTTTAGAATCATAGTTCTATTTTAATTTGTTGAAGAACCTGCATTGCATTTTCCATAATGTCTGTACTAATTTACATTTTTACCAACAGTGTACAAGAGTTCTCTTTTTTCCACATCCTCGCCAATACTTATCTTTTGTGTTTTGATGATAATCATTCTAACAGGTGTGAGGCGATAGCTCACCACAGCCTTGATTTGTATTTCCCTCATGATTAGTGATGTTGAGCACCCTTTCATATACCTCTTGGCCATTTATATATCTTCCTTTGAGAAATGTCTTTTCAGGTTCTTTGCTCATTTTAGAATCAGGTTATTTGATTTTTAAGTTATTTTCTGATGAGTTGTCTGGGTTCTTAAATATTTTGGATTTGAACTGCTTATCAGATATATGGCTTGCAAATATTTTCTCCCATTCCAGAAGTTATCTTTACACTCTGTTTGTATTCTTTGCTCTGAAGAAGGTTTGTCTTTTGATGCAATCTCACTTGTCTATTTTTGTTGCCTATGCTTTCATTGTCATATCCAAAAAAATTATTGCCCAGACCGCTTTCAAGTAGCTTTTCCTCTATGTTTTCTTTTAGTAGTTTTAGGGTTTCAGATCTTACATTTTTGTCTTTAGTCCATTTCGAGTTTATTTTCTTATATGGTGTGAGATAAAGTTCCAATTTTATTCTTCTGCATGTGGATTTCCAGCCCTCCCTTTGATGAATTTTTAGTATTACTGTTCGTTAAAAATATTTATTTACAGTTCAATAATCCAAGCCAGTTTTACTCCAATTTCTGTTTCTTTTTAAATTCAAGTATAGTTTTATTTAATAATTCTACTAAAATCACATATAGTGTGATCCTTCTCATATACCATCATATCTACCTGTGTCTAAAGCTGCCCAGAGATGTCTGGAATTGTATTCATCAAAGATAGCATGAGCGAATCCAGAAAGGAGGATATGGGCGATTTATTGCTTTCTTTCTTTGTAATTTTCTACATAGCTTGATTTAAAAAAAATTAAAAAGACATGTTTTTTAAAAAACAATAAAATCATAGCTTAAAAAGAATCTCATCCACTTGCCAACTCATTTTGAAGCTCTTTTTATAAGTGAAATTGCATCTTGTCCTTTTTATCATTCTATGTAATTTGTTGTCAGGACTAGTTCCTTATCAAGCTAAGTTTTAAGTTTTCATCCAGCTACATTTGCAAGTAAACAAGTTTTCTGAGGGCAGATATTTTGTCTTTTCTGTTTATAGCTCTACCCCAGTACTTGGATCACTGCCTAGGTGCATATTAGGGCCTCAGAAAACATTTTTTGAAGACTAAGTGGATGAAGAACTTTGAGCACCTTTGATAGGAAGTCTTATGGTAGTAAATCCACATATTTATGACTAGCTGATTTTTAACAAAGGTGCCAAGAGCATACATTTGGGAAAAGACAGTCTTTTTCAATAAATGGTCATGGGAAATTGGATATCTATATGCAGAAGAATGAAACTAGACCCCTATCACTTACCATATATAAAAATCAACTCAAAATGGATTATAGACTTAAACATAAGACCTAAACTATGAAACTACTACAAGAAAACATAGAAAAAATGCTTCAGGACATTGGTCTGGGTAAAAATGTTTTTGATGAGACCTCAAAAGCACAGGTAACAAAAGCAAAAATAGATAAGTGAGACTGTCAAACTATACAGCTTCTGCACAGCAAAGGAAACAACAGAATGAAGAGACAACTTACAGGATGGGAGAAAATAGCTGCAAACTATTCACAGATAGGGGATTAATATTCCCTGTGTTGATTAATATCCAGAATATATAAGGAACTCAATAGCAAAAAAAAAAAAAAAACCCAAACAATCCAATTTAAAAATGGGCAAATGATTTGAATAGACATTTCTCAAGAGAAGACCTACAAATGGCCAACAGGTATAAGAAAAAATGTTCAACATCACGAATCATCATGGAAATGCAAATCAAAGCCACAGTGAGATATCATCTCACCTCAGTTAAAATAGCTATAATCAATAAGATAAATAAAAGACATACTGGCAAAGATGCGGAGAAAGAGGAATTCATATACTGTTAGTGGGAGTGAAAATTAGTGCAGTCATTATAAAATACAGTATGGAGGATCCTTAAAAACTAAAAATAGGGTTACCATATGATCTAGCAATCCCAGTACTGAGTATATATCCCAATGAAAGGAAATCAGTGTGTTGAAGTGATATCCACATTCTCATATTTATTGCAGCACTATTCACAGTAGCAAAGATATGGAATCTAAGTGTCCATCAGTGAATGAATGGATAAAGAAAATGTGGTAAATACACAGAAAGGAGTATTATTCAGCCATAAAAAAGAATAAAATCCTGTCATTTGCAGCAACATGGATGAACCTGGAGGACATTATGTTAAGTGAAATAAGCCAGGCACAGAAAGACAAATACCACATGTTATCTGAGATTTGGGAGCTAAAAAAGTTGATCTCATAGTCGAGAGTAGAATAGTGATTACAGAGGCTGGGAAAGGTAAAGGGGAGGAGGAATAGGGAGAGGTTGATTAAAAAGTACAAAATTATACTTAGATAGAAAGAATAAGTTCTAGTGTCTATAGAACACAATAGTGTTCTATAACACATAGTTAACAATAATTTATTATACATTTCAAAATAGATAAAAGAATTTTGAATGTTCTGAAGACAAAGAGATAAGTGTCTGAGGAGATGGGCATGCCAATTATCCTGATTTTATAATTATACATTGTATACATATATCACAACATCACTTGTACCCCATAAATATGTACAATTGTTATGTGTCAATTAAAAAGTCTTCCCGTAGCAAAAAGTATCTTTTCCCATAGCAAAAAGTATGAGAAGTACATAAATGTTACTAAGAATTTGTTTTGCCTTTTTGAAAGAGCTCAAGATACCTGATAACTTTTTTTTTTCTAAGAGAAGTTTTATAGGCTGGGCACGGTAGCTCATGCTTGTAATCTCAACACTTTGAGAGGCCAAGGTGGGCAGATTGCTTGATCCCAGGAGTTCAAGACCAGCCTGGGCAACATGGTGACATCCTACCTCTACCAAAAATATATACAAAAATTAGCTGGGCATGGTGGTGCATACCTGTAGACCTAGCTACTTGGGAAGCTGAGGTGGGAGGATAAATAGAACCCCAGAGGCAGAGGTTACTGTGAGCTAAGATTGCACCACTGCACTCCAGCCTGGGTAACAGAGTGAGACCCTGTCTCAAAAAAAAAAAAAAAAAATAGAAAAGTTTTATGAGGCAGATATTAGGCCTGTGTTACCAAAAATTTTGTTGTGTAACTGTCCTTGGTTGTTCCTCAATTCCAGTGCTGCTGACCAGTGTAAAATGGGTGTGGATCACATCTATTGCTTCTTCAAAGAAGCAGTATGGGAAAACAATGACTCACACTGTAGTGATAAATGGGAATGACAACACAGATCAACAATGTCTGAGCTATTGGTAAACCTAACTGAGAGGTACAAAGAGAGGCAAGGGAGTCCTCCTATGCCTCTTGTACCGAGGGTTGGGCTGCCTGGGCCAATTGATAAAGCAGTTCCCAGCAATGCAGCTCTGACTTTGGAAGGACCCCTGCTCCTTGCCTCCTTTTATTCCCTAGGCTTTAGGTTCTAGGGACTCAATCAGTGTCCCTTTTCTCTAGTAAGTCCAAGACTAGCTGTGGAGTAAGAACCACCTTCCTTGCTGCATACCCCATGGCATTCTTCCTGTTTCTTTGCTCCTCCAGAATTTTGGATGCAAGAAAATGTGCTAGTTCAAAGTTTGCTTTACAGGTTAGACAGACTTAGGTTTGAAGCTTTTGCCCATTCATAGGCTTGGACAAGGCACCCAACATCTTTAAAACCTCTGTTTATCTATAATAGTACCTACCTGTAGTATTATTGCACACTATTAAATAAAATATCCATGTAAAGCACTTGACAAAGTGTCTAGCAAACAGGAAGCACACAGCAAGAGTTAGCTAGTACAACTGCTATTGTTACGATGTTATTTGTTTATATATTTGTCTCCTCTAGTAATGACCTTTTCCAGGACAGAGATGATATTTTAGTCATCTTCGTATCCCATTTGCCTAACAACCTAACTTGAGTATGAAAGTTGCTCAATAAATCTTTGACTAATAAATAACTGCACATGTTTATGTGTGTGTGTGTTTGTGTGTATGTGCACATATATAATATAGAAAGAGATGAAATGGTCTTTTGAAGCTCTAATTTGCTTACAAATATGGATAGCATTATTAAAATCATAAAAAGCCCTATTAAAACTCTGAATTAATTGTATTGGAGATTTTCGCTCACCATAATGGAAAGTTTTCCAAATTTAATTACTTTTGACCTCAAGAAATTTGGACCTTCAGAGCAAGACCTAGTTCCTAAAATAGGAGACCTCATATCTATGCCCTAGGAATGGACTAGGCTAATTTCAGATTAAACTGAAAGGAGAGGACCAAATGCTTTGGGATAGCTGATCCCTTAGGAGTGGGAAGAGAGGTGCTGCAGGTTACTCCTTGTTGGAGTCTCTGTTTCATGGTGTCAACTCATCACCAGGGTCGGTTTTTTCATAGTAGGGAACTTGAGTGATAACACTGGCACAAACTGGAGACTCAAGAAGGTGGAGTAGGAGAACCAGTTTCAGGCGGATGAAAATTTAGCTATTGATTATTTTCAGTTTTAGTGATATTGTATTTGAGTAGATGTGTTAAGATGCAAGCGATAATAATATAGAGCGCTGGGCACGGTGGCTCACACCTGTAATCCCAGCACTTTGGAAGGCCAGGTGGGTGGATCACCTGAGGTCAGGAGTTTGAGACCAGCCTGGCCAAAATGGTGAAACCTTGTCTTACTCAAAATACAAAATATAGCCGGTGGTGGCACCACCTGTCATCCCAGCTAATTGGGAGACTGAGGCAGGAGAATCCCTTGAACTCGGTAGGTGGAGGTTGCAGTGAACTGAGATCATGCCACTGCACTCCAGCCTGGGCGACAAGAGTGAAATTCCAACTCAAAAAAAAAAAAATTATGGAGCTTGAGGTAAGGCTGCCACACTCAATGCTATAAGCAATACCACAGGCTGAGAATTGAGAAAAGCTATGTGAAGACATTTGAAAGTGTTTGAAGTCATTCTTTCTGGATATCTGTTCATGTTGAGTGTGCATGTTATGCTGGTTAGTTGATAAAGAGCATCACATAGTCTAGTTAGGATGGAGCTTGTTCTGATAGCACGAATAAAATTGAGGAATTGAGAATACATTAGCAACAAGGTCTGCAGTAGATCTTTGTCTCCATACACAGGACAATGCCCAAATGAAGCCTCATCAGAACCGTTCACCAGCCTTGTTTCTGACCAGCAGTTTGCGAGAGAAGTCAGCTCCTGGGAATGTAACTGCTGACCTTTCATTTTCATTCACATGCAGAAACCATATTTAGCCATTTAAGAATTAAGAACTGGACACATTGGAGCCCACCACATATTCAAAAAGAGATGGTAAAAGGAAAAGGAGGTATACAATTATAGATAGAATTATGGCAAGAAAATATTTTGCAAAAAGTGGGGAACTAGTATGGAGAGAAGAACACAGCAGAGGAAGAGAGATGAAAGATGTTGAAGGAAGCAATGAGAAAGTAAGATCCAAGAAACATGAAGGAACAAGATGGAGAGATTGGGGGAGTCAGTGTGGAAAATGATACCATTTTTCTCTGAGCCTTGAGAGAAGGATGAAATGACACAAGGAGAGTCAAGGCTATTTGGCAATGAACAGGATATTTGAGAAATTAAGTCATGTTAAGGCTATACAATTGTGTATCAACAAGGTTACCATTTATTGAGTTGTTACCATGTGCCAGGCACTGCATTCACTTTAATTCTCATGCCAATCTTCCGGATAGATATGATTATCACCGTTTTATGGAGGAAGAGACTCCTGTTTAGGGAGTTTAAGTAATTTGCTCAAGGTTACACTGCAAGTAAGTAGGTGGCCTGAGCACACATATCTGCAGGACATCCTAACTTGCTTCTTTTTTGTGAATTATGAACATTTTTGAAACTCTGATGAGAACAGTTTTCTCCTCTGATAACAAATAAACCCAAAGGCACGTACCTACCACATTTGACATGCAGTTGCAGGAGATTGCCCTGAAACCCATCTGTGCACCCTTGTGGATGTGTTGACACTGGATTAAGAGCAATGAATCAATTTTTCAACAAAATAATCTTTAAATATGTATTAGTCTTCCAAGTCATCACAATGCTATTCAAATAACACTTTTGCGGCTCAAAATATTTTTGGAGCTCTAACTTCAGAATGGCCTCAGAATGCACTCACTGGCTACAAAAGAAAATCAATCCCAGTTATTTACTTCTGTTTCCCTCAAACAGTATTTATTGTCCTTCCTTGTCCATTATCCTTGTTTTCAAATGGCTTTTGGCTATTTTTAAAAATACAAGCCATTCTCAAAGGAATCCATCATTAAATAAATCCAAAGAATGTGCAAGAGGCTCAGAAAGAAACCCTAACAGGGCATTTGAGAAGGGATTATATCCGAGGTTAAAGCTTGGGATAAGAAACTCTGTTCTCAAATACAACCACATGATAGCTACACATACTATCTGTGGTTATTACTTTAACGATAGTAATTCGTATTTCCATGTATAAGGCAAGGTGTGCTTCTTAAAATATTAGAAAATATACTCCTAAATTTGATTATTATAAGTTACCAAGTAAAATTTACTGCTGCCAGATATTTTTTGATTATTGGAAATAGAACTTTGTCACTCATGTAGGTAAAATTTAGTGGCTTTTGCAAAGCCAGTCCTTCAGTGAACTATGTAGAAATAGTACACTTAGTCATTGCGCATTGACTTTTCTTATGTGTTTCCATAGTCCAGTTAATTTTCAATGCTTCTGAGGAGGTAGTAAATAATTATATCTAAATTAATAATTTTTAAAAATTGTTTTTTATGGCAGCTTTTGTATCACTCTCTTTTCTTCTAATGTCTAATTGAAATATATCTATTTTAAAAATTAATTTTGTTTTGGGAATATCATGTTACTTCTTAAATCATTGGAAATAGTTCTAGAACTGTTTTTCTCAGCTCATGTTTATCTCAACTATATTAGCTAGAAAATTGTTCTTTCTCTATGGTGCTTGGGAAACCAGGGGTCATATATATTGCACATAAATGTCAATCTATAGAAGGGTATGCTTAAAATTTCCACAATATCATCTTGTCCCCCCGCCCACTTAAATGACTAATAACTTTGGTGATATGTCTTTTTTAATCAACCTGATGAGATCCCCTTCTGGAAGGAGCTCTAGGGCTAAAAAATAAGTAGTACACTTCTCAAGTTATGGCAGAAAAGTTCTTGAGGTGATTATTTTCACTTTCTTCTTTTCTGCCCCACACACCTGCTCACAAGTTCTTAAGGCAACATAGCCCTGTCAAGTAACTAATGGTTGGGTCACTGATAGCATAGGTTGTGGTGTACACAAGTGATTCTCAAGACCAGGTGCTTGTTCTAATTCTATCACTTTCCTCTTCAGTGGAAATGGTCATACTGGTGTACTGTGATACTATTGTGGACAACAATTGGCTTAGGGATAAACAGTTGATGTCCTGCTGTATTTCCTCAGTACATTTAGTATAGATTCTTGCTTTTCAAAGTATGACCCAGGAAACAGCAGCATCAGCATGACCTGGAGAATTGTTAAAAATGCAGAATGTCAGGCCCCACCCCAGGCCTACTGAATCAGTATTTGCATTTTAATAATGCCTTCAGGTAAATTGTATACACGTCAGAGTTTTGGTAGCACTAATTTAGATGGGTCTATGTAAGCTCTATGCTTAGCAATTGCAGAAATTCCTTAGTTGCTGTATTTTGGGTGATGGATATTGATAAAAAACCAATGAACAAAAAAACACAAGCCGACTGAACAGACGCAATTCCATCTATTGCAAGTGATGGGTATAAATATGAAAAATTGTTAAATTTCAGATATTTGGCTTATTCACTTTTAGTCTTTGGAACTGGTTTTTTTTCCATTTCTAATTTCTTTTACTCTGAGTTTATGTTATGTTCTGGCTCATGTAGTAAAGCTGACTGAAACTCATCATCCAAACCATTTTCAATTTGCTTCTCCTGAGAGTAAGATTTTGTGGTTTTATCTCATTTGCAACCACTGTTCTTGTGAAATAATCTAGTTTTATCCCAAATCAGTAGCAAGGATTAAGGATACAACAAACTGACCAAAATATATTGTAAGCCCAAGATGCAGCCGCAGGTCTGTGTCAAAAACAAAATGCTGTGCCTAAAAATTAACCTTCCATTGGAGACTCTGCAGAACCCCAGCAAATTTAGCCGGAGCTCCAGATAGCACGCTATCGCCTCCTGACCCACTATTTGGTGGGAGGTTGAAGTGGATTACCCTTCTCTCTTACCCTGCTAGTGGGATTGTAAATTGCTATAGGCCTTGTAGAAGACAATTTTGATAAATATATATTGAAATCCTCCAAAAGTGAATATTCTGTGATGCAGCAATTCTGATGATGCAAATTTATTAAAAAATAATTATATGTATGGATTAGTAAGTGATCAATTTTAAAAGAGATGGCTACAGTGTCCATGGGAGGCAAAAGACAGTTTGTGCTTGCTCCACAACTCGCATGCCCCTTTTTGTTCTACATCTATTTCTTCCTTCCTCAAAGTAATGGAAAGTCCTTTAGTAAATCAGTTAATCTCACCTGGGTGTCAGTTTCTTCATTGGACAACATGGAGTTTGGGGAGACAGTGTTTCTCAGAATATTATTTATGTAAACAACATGTGAGAGTCATTACACCTTTTCATATGAAATGCAGATTCCTGAGCCTGAATCATCAGAACACCCTGCGAAGAACGGATTATTATTATTATTTTTATAAATAGGGGGAAACTGGTAGAGCTTAGATTTGAATCCAGTTCTACTGATTAAAATTCCAGTGCTTGTTCTGTCACTCCTAGGTGTTATGGAAACAGGTGAGCAGAGAGGTGCAGACCTCTGCCCTTGTGAGCTAACATCCTAGCAGGGAGGACTTGCGATTGTTATTGTCATGTGCCCCACGTGGTTCCTTAAAGTGGCTTTTTGTGGTTGGAAGACTTTTGTAAATCTTAACTTCTTCCTGTAGAATTAGTAGAAGATGTGATTTTTAATAATTTTGAGTTATGTTAGAGAGATATTCTATTTGCCAGATATTTAATACTCAGTAGCCAATGAAAATGCTTCATCTCACTTTTAATTTGCAGACCTCGCTAGCAGGAATGCATGTTGCTCTGGTTGGAGAGAGAGAGGTGTTTCTGTGAACTGGAACAGGACTTACTCTTGTCTGTGGGTTATGTCTACTCTAATTGGCTATGCAACCTACCCTTGCCTTGTATTCCACAAAAGTCATGGTTTCATTTCCAGTAGTTACAGGTTTGATAGTGTCTTCAACCTATCCATTGAAAGCATATCCATTATACTTTCTGAACTGTTTCTCAAGCACAGGGGAAAAAAAGAATCTCCTTTAAAGCGTTATTTAAAAATATGTATTTACTGAGCACCTCATATGTGCCTAGCACTACGCAGTCATGGGGATACCCAGTGAACAAAATATCCTAAGACCTGTGTCCTGATGGATTTAGATTACTTTGTTAATGGTTCACTTTTAAACCCTTTCCCTCTTTTTTTTGTTATGTTCCACACAAATTTTAGTTAATTTTAAAAATGATCAATTGAAATGAAGTCTTATATATAATCTAACTCATTGGAAGCATGGTGGTGTGCAACATCCTGCACAACTTAAACCATTGCTTCCAAAAAGAAAGACCCATAATATGTTAACTCCTTATGTTAAAACTGTGAAATGTTTTTTATGGAGTCAAAGAATCGGATTGCTTTGAAAATCTTGTCATGCTATTTAATCCACTTTCATTATATTTGGTCTTCAGTTTTATGGGCTGCTTTAGTTAGTTGTAGTAATAGAAAATTATTGTAGCCTTTAGGGGGATGAAAGGAGGAATGGAAATGATTAAAAATAAATTAGTTTTTTGTGTACAGAAAGGAGGAATAGTGAAGAAGCAGCAATGCATTCTTAAAATGATTAAGTAATTTACTAGGGCATTTTGAAGCCTCATTAAAAATTAACAAATTGATCTTAATGCAGCTCATCTCATTTTGTTGGCAGGTTGCCCAGTGCCTTAAGGCTCTGGTTAATGGGCTCAGATGATAATCTCCACCAAATGGCAATAATCTAACATTTTAAAAAACATCTCTTCTTTCTGTTGCTTATATAGTGAGGCAAAGACAGAAAGAGGTAGGCCCTTGCAGATAATCCTTAGAGTGATTTTCAAAAGATTTGAATGTATTGATAACACAAAAAAGATGAAATCTGCCAAGCATTGCTACAGAATCTGGGACTTGTTGGCTTACATTGGGATTATAAATGCCATTGCTGAACACCAGCTACATCTACATACATTTAAGTAAATTCGACCAGAATGAAAATTCTAAATCTCTATAAACTCTGTGAATTTGCCATCATAATATGAAACTAGCGAGACAAGGAAGCCAGGTTTTTCCTGTGGTGCATTTGTTGGTTTAGGTCAATGCTGTGGCTTTGTCATGGATCATTACTTCCTATGAAAACTGTGATAAATAAGAATCCTTGAGTTAGAAAGCACCTTAAAAGATTCTGATTCAAATCCATGCCTTTAGGGCTTTTTCTATACCCACATTTTAGGGCTGAGGCTATATAATTTGCCTAATGACATAGAACTAGGACATGGAAGAGAGTCACACCAAATCCTTTCACTTTGTTCATTGCTCTCCCCTGCCCCCAAAGCATTAATCCAATCCTTTACCTTATTCATTGATTCAAAACATACACATACACACACACACACACACACACACACACACACACACACACACACACACACTGCATCCTCTCCTATTTCCAGTCATCCATTTTTAAGTGGAGGGATAATTTAATGATGCTTCTGAAGTAGTCTTCTAGATATATCCTTAAAGGGTTAAGAAATTCCTCAGTTATTTTTAGTCAACTCATCCATACTTTATATATTAGCAGTATTGTTTTTCTAGTCGTCCGTGTTTACGAATCTTTCCAAGGATTCACTTACATTCACGCATTTTAGTTTTTATAGAAATGGTCTTTTTCTACTCATATTTTATGGGTTTACATAAAATTTAATCGATTGTACATAATTAAAACAATAAGTCTGATTGGAATTTGCAGTTTTGAGAATAAACACCAGTTAGGAGCAGAAGTGTGCAAGCGTACTGGAGATGAATGTAGTAGCTGTAAGTGCTCAGTATTCCACAGACATCAGCACGCATCAGTTAATCTAGTGACTCAGTTATGAGGAGACTGACTAAGAGAGCTGTAATAACTAACATTTTTGGGGGGTTCATTCTGAGTCAGGCCCCATGTGAGGCACTTAACATACAGTCTCCTATCTAATCTTTACTGTAACTATGAGGGTTAGGCATTATTAACCTCATTTATACAAATGAAAAAAAAATCTCTGCTAAGTAGCTTGTCCAAAGCCACAATGCTAGCTAGCAAGTAGCAGATTAAGAGAAAAAAAAAACAGATTTGGCTGTCTCCAAAGACTTTATTTTTAACCATCATGCTATATCATAACAAGGGGTTTGACCATCTAAAACTCAAAGAAATCTGCATCTATAGAAAGAATGCAGATATCACAAATGAAATCTCCATTTTAAGAAATAACTATAATTATTCCCTACTTGGTATTTGTTTGTTGCTTTCCTGTTACAAGAATTCACAAGAAAAGTTTTGCTGAAGGAGCCTGGAAAAACACAGGCAATACTTTTGGGTTCTGCATAAATGAAGGTAAATAAACTAAATGTCCCATCCTGCTCTATGTTATTTATTAGAAAGTTTACAATTTCTGTAGTGAGTGATGTCAAATATAATATATCCTCAGGACTTGACATGAGTTCAATCAGCTTGCAGATTTTTAAGCAAGGAACATGGAGATTTTATGACAGACATTTGTTTGCTTGTGGTTCTTTGTACTGTTGCTCCACCCCACTCAGTTTAAGTCCTTCAGTCTTGATGACAGCTTTGATCTTTGATTAGAGAGAATAATTAGGATAATTAGGAAATGTTTGTGGGTTTTATTGGCAATCTAGACAGTGATAGCTATATGGCTAAAGCTATGGAATGAACCTGAGTTCATATGTACATTTTTCCTCTTCTCCTACCTTTAGGGATTAAAGGGCATTAACAAAATAAATTTAAAATAGAAAATTGGCCTTGACTTTATGAAATAAGTTTTGGAGGAAGCCAATCATTTGTTTTGGCTTTCCAAGAGCTCTTAAAATAGCTACCTAGAATCCTTATCCTATGTGGATCACAGGCTTTATGGCTCCTTGTTTTCTTTAATGAAGTTAAGATAATCCTGGGTTTAATAGATTTTTAGAATCTCCTGTCCTGAAATGGAATGCTCTTGCCTTAAATGAATGTGGCACTCAATTCCCTAGAGTAACCTTATCATCAGGATATTTATCTCATATCTTTTGTATATTTTCATGCATTCTGGAATTATTTCTCTCATTCTTGCTTCTGAGTCATGACAAAGAACATTTGATTTATCCAGAACAGCCCCTCCCTTAC
The DNA here is from genome assembly GCF_000001405.40 of Homo sapiens. NCBI lineage: Eukaryota > Metazoa > Chordata > Mammalia > Primates > Hominidae > Homo > Homo sapiens. Next base: position 17,623,970 of record NC_000007.14, on the reverse strand, counting down.
CTCATGGTGTGCTGGGAAATACTTAACAATCATGGAAAAACAAACAAAAACAAACCCAATGCCTTGGCCTGATTGGTAGCATTTGCTGATTTCCATAGTGTAAATACTCCTCCATCACCTATTTCAAGCTACCAACCTGACACCACTGGATGCTGGTTTGAAAATGTGCATAATGAGATCTCAGGAGCTGGCTCCTGAAGAGTCCTGCTTTGCCCCTTCTGTCTTTTCATCAAATAGCTCATGTGGGCTCAGCTCACTTCTGATGCTTTTGACCAATGGGAAGGCAGGCAACTTAGAGTTTCCTCCAGCAGCAGTTCCTTGCTGAGTGTCAAGTTATTGCTCTATCAGCTCTTTTACTTACCACTTCAAGTGTACTTTTAACTGTAAAATTTCATTTTAGGGATTATTTTGTCAAGATGCACACTCCTACACCCCCACACACATGAATTGATATTTGTTCTGTTTCAGGCCCTCAGTCTTGGTGTTGGCATACCATGTTTTTTCCAGTGTTCTCAAGGGTCTCAAGCCTTCTCTCTTCAATTTGCTCTCTTTAGCCTCCTGAGGCTGTAATGAAATCAATCCACACATCAGCTCATCAGCTTTAACTCTTTTTCCCAGTCTATACTCACAGATTTCCCAGGTACAACCCACTGATGTGACATTGGCAAGTACTTTACTACAATGTCTCTGAGTTTTGCAAAACGGCACAAACTATACAAATAGATAGCAGCCCTCAATTTTATGCAAGGTCGTCCTAATATGGGACTAGAATTCCAAGTGCAAGTAAGATGATTCAAATGATTTTTAATAATATAATGAAATGAGGTTAACTGTCTCATGATGTGTCTTCTGCTTTTCCAATCATGCTTTGAAGCTGTCTATATTGAATTGTATAACATCAGCAGGATGAAATATAGACTAATACTGTAATACTAATACTAATATAGACTAATACTATAGACACACTGGTTCTTCTTTCTTAAGACAAGATGTCCAAACTTAAAAAAGATTTGCTCTTCTTGAGTAAGACTTTAGTCCTTTCACCGTTGATACAAAGAAATGACCACACTAGCCAAGTTGATGTAGAGATTTTACACCTTGATAATCCCTTCTGCTTTCAACACATGGAAATGATAGATAAAATATAATAAGAGAAAAAAACCCAAACAAGCACAAGTAGCTCAAACACAAAGCAAACATTTTGAGGGTCTCAAAGTGTGGCAAAAATGCCCAAGAGTGAACAAAGCTGATGCTGCTGTCTTTCTCAAATGTCACCTCCTCAATAAGGCCTTCTTTGGACACCCTAGCTAAAGTGGCCACTTCCCTTTTCTCCCACTCTGACACGCACTATCCCTCTTCCCTGTTTCATTTTTATTGTTAGCACTTATCTTCTAAATATTATATATTTTACCAATTTATCTGACTGCCTGATTGGGTGTTAGCTTCAGGAGGGCAGGGATTTTGTCAGTTAAATATTTGTGAATGAATAAAGGAATGTTAATGCATGTAACACATTCGGCAAAGTACTAGCATGTAGTAAATGTTTAGTAAATGTTACTGTTAGTATTGACAGGTTGGTGCTGGTTGGTCTGAGGTTTCCTACCTCACTCTGTGTCTATCTCTCTCTTCCACTCCCTTGTTGCCTTTGCCTTTCAATGTATTGCTCTCTTTTCTACTTTTCTCCACTATTCTTTCTTTCCCATTTCCTTTCTGTCCAATGTTGGATCAATGCCGTGTGTCCGTGCAGAGCAATAGAGGCCACTTCGGGTTCCCCCTGCCCCAGTCTCTCAGTTCCAGCTCCATGTGGGTATCTGGTGGCCAAGAGAAGAGTGGGTGGTAGGAGAAGGCAGAGGCTCATGGCAAGGGTAAGACCCTTTCTAGTCCCTCCCCATTCTTAACTTCACTGCCATGGCTCAGGGCTACTTAATTTGGGTGAGAGCGGAGCCCATGTTCTTTTGACCTATATCAACTACACAGATAAAACACAATCACCTTGGTTTTGAATTTTAAGGATACATTACTTTTGTTCTTTTAACTTTATTGAGGTATAAGTGACAAATAAATATTATATATATTCAAGGTATATGACCTGATGTTTGTGACATACATGTATATAAAAATCACTGCTACAATGAAGCTCAGTGATGTATGCATCTCCTCAAATAGTTACTTTTCCTTTTTGCGTGTGTGGCAAGAGTATTTGAAATCTTCTCTTTTAGCAAATTCCTGGTATATAACACATTGTTGTTAACTACAGTCACCATACCATGCCTTTGGAAGGATACGTTACTTCTGTCTGTAGAATGAAACCTGGGTTTTGAGGTGAAATAAATAGAAATTTGTAGGATGAAGAGGTGAGATATAACCTACAACAAAGCCATAATAGGAGGGGCTCAGAACATGGGGAGGGATTTGAATTTAGGTGCTGAAACTATTTTTCATAGTCCAGAAATGTAATGAGGACAATAAAGAATCTCCCGCCAGAAAGAGAGTCTCAAGAGAAATAAGGAACCCTGATATTGGCTTTAGTCTCTGAGGTCCTGAACGTCTCCTAATTTCCTAGATTCCAGTCTACAGGTAGAGAGTAAGCAGTGTACGTGGAATACTATGTAGCCATAAAAAAGAACAAGATAATGTCTTTTGTAGGAACATGGATGGAGCTGGAGGCCATTATCCTTAGCAAAATAACGCAGGAATAGAAAACCAAATACCACATGTTCTCACTGAGGGAGCTAAATAATGAGAACTCATGAACACAAAGAAGGGAACAACAGATACTGGGGCCTCTTTGAGATTGAAGGGTGGGAGGAGGGAGAGGAGCAGAAAAAATAAGTATCGGGTACCAGGCTCAGTACCTGGGTGACAAAATAATCTGTACAACAAATTCCCATGACATGAATTTATCTAATAACAAACCTGGACATGTACCCCCAAACCTAAAATAAAAGTAAAAACAAATACATAAAAATATAAGAAACGCTATATTCATGTTCATATGGTGAAACAAAAGCTTTAACAAATGATACCTCCCTTTACTGTCTGTCATGCAACTTATTTTAAAAATCTGCTTATTTCCTTGTCTATTTTGTTTCATTACAAGCACAATATGCTGGTTGCAAGAACAAAAAAGAGTATGTAGTGTAGACGGTAGAGGGTGAAATGATGAATCAGCTGCGTTTGATGAGTAGACAGTTGTTGACTTTTGCTTGCTAAGAATAAAGTAAAACATGTGTCTTGTTCCTATTAGCACTTTGTAAGAGGTTTTATACCTTTATGCTAGTCCTCAGCAAATAGCAAAAATATTTTTAAGAAGCCACTGAAGGATTTTATCTGTCATAAATAACATGTGGACTGAAGGAGTTGTTTAAGAATACACTCAAAACTAGGTGTTAAAGCTAAGCTGAATATTTCCTTCTACTTTGAATTTCAAAATGAAATGACCATGAGCTAGCACACAGTGCCATGCCCCACACATCTAGCGACTGCTTTGTCAACAGATGTTAACTATACAGCTCTCTAAAACTCGAGCAATTAGCTTCAGAGTGATGCTCATCCTTGCTAGGTCTTTGAACTTGGGATGTGGTACTTAGGTCCCCTAAGGTAGCAATAGGAAGTGGGCAATGTCCACCTGAATAAACAGAGGCCTCCTAAATAAGTGGAGACCCTCCCAGAGTGACATGTTTTGGTTTTCACCTGCCTCAGTGGAGCCCTGCCACTCTGGCAGAGGCCAAAATTTGCTGTGGCCATGTCTCTGGGTCATAAAGTGATGAAAATTTGTTGAGGAGCCTCACAAAACAGGGAGATTGGCTTCCCATCAATCGTGGGGATCATTGCATTTCAGAACCAGGAGGAGTCTTGGGACATGCTCCAGTCTGTTTCCATTTCTGCACCCTTGTGGAACTAGTCTAGGCTCTGGGGCTATACAGATTAGGCCTAAATCCAGGCCACTCTATTTACCAGTTGTGTGACCCCTTGAAAGTCACTTAAACTTTCTGAACCTCAATTTCTTCAGCTGAAAAATAGAAATAATGGTTACTTTCAGGGTTGTTAAGACAGTGGACCTTTGGTTAGTTAAAACAGAAAGGAAGAAATATGAACCTTCTTCTATGCTGAACCCATGTTAGTTGTTGGGAATTCAATGGTGGGCAAAAGAAATACTCTCCTTGCCCTCACTGAATTTATAATCCAGCTGGGAAAGCAGATATTAACTAGTGACTAGTACAGAGTAGGGTCTCAAAAGATGGTAGCTATCTCATTATTTGTTTTTGAAATGAGGGCATTGCCATGCCAAGAGTTTAAGTGACACGCTCCAGATTTCACAGTGAATGCTGGCAGAGTCAGGACTTTATGACAAGGCTACAGAATTTAAAATCAATAGTTGTCGTAGAAGCTGGTGGTGTTGGCCCAGAACTTTGGTGACAAGACTAGACCTTTTAATTTACTTGGGGACAGTATTTTCCAACCAGACGCCAAGGTAGCATGGGTTTCCCTACACCATTGTCAAGTATTGCCAGGTCAGATTTATATCAGGTCAATTGGAATAATTCCAAAGCCACAATTAGTTCATTCTATATGGAATTTGTTACGCTCTTGTGGGTTCTTGAAAAATCTGCACAAAGGTCAGTAACATAAGCCATAGGCTTAGGGTTAAATGAGCATTGATTTGCACTGACCGCAGCACTGGTATTAGGAGAATGAACATTCTCCTCAATATGTAGCTCAATGATTCCCATTAAAGGATTTTATTTGAAAAATTATTTGAGAGTGTAGTGGCAACAAAAATTTGCTCCCTCCTTTCTTATAATGGGAGTTATGTAAATAATTATGTTTACCTTTTTGCCCCAACTGCCAAAAGACTTGGACTCAAAATTGTGCCCATTTACAGGGAATGCATTAACCCTGGAAGCTGGCATATAAGTTTCCTTCTCATTTCCTTGGTTCTGATATGTCATTCATTTCTATTATTTTATTGTCTGTATGTTCTTTTATCTAAGCTAATATACCAAAATAATATGTCATAAGCTGCTTTCCCTTGGAGGGCAAGAGAGTGCTAGCTCCTCCAGGAAAAACAGGAAAAACTGTGAATGAGCATGACCTCTGGACAATTATTTTGTCACAAGCTCCTTTTCCCAGGTAACTATAGGCTTTCTGTTTGCTGCTGATAGAATGAAGCCTGAGGACCTATGACCGCTCAGTTGATCTAGGTCTGATCTCAAAATGAATGCCTTCCAGCCTTTTCTTTCAGTTTCTGTGTACATTTGCTGGCATATCAGATAAAGTTCAGCAGTTAAAAGCCCTTTGGTCCCAGATTTACTGTTTATCTAGATTTGCAAGGTTGGTTTAGCCTCGGCTTTCAGTATGCTTGCTGTGATCGGGAATTTGTTCTCCGTGACCAGAGTTACCTTTACTTCTATTTTCTTTACCTTTGTCTGCTAAGTTCACATCAATTTTCTGCAGAATGGCAACTTTCTGCAAAATTGGTTCTTCTGTTCTTGTTGCTAATCGAAAAGGGAATACAAATAAAGTATGGGAACTCAACTCTTCAATAGTAATATGTTTCGAAGAAGTAGAGCTAGAAAAACACAATAAACCCAGATTTACTCCAGCTCTTCTGCCTAGGACACAGTAAGATCACGGTAATAGTCACAGAGCAGCTGATTTCTAGCTCAGCCCAATTAGTGATATTGCTGCAATCCAAAATTCTTTCTAGTTGAAGGGGTCACTGGGTGCCCTATAACATGCTCACTGAAGCCCACAAATGACCTGTCCTTTTTTTTCTGCCTCGAGGGTCCCACTGTTCTCTCTGTGGCCCCCGTTCTACATTTTTCCAGTGATCGTCTCCTGGCTGCAGTGCTTGAGACTCATTTTGAGGACACTCTTCCTGGTACTCCACTCTGCTGGCTCCCATAGGAATGGATATAGCTACTCCTCTGATCCTGTTTCATGATGTCTTAGCTCTCCCTGACCAGCATTACACCCTGGTACCAGGCACAAAGCGCAGCTTCCTATGTCCTCCATTGTCTAGAGGTCCTTGACTATCCTGACACTTGACCTGCTCGTTGTTTAACTGGGTGGGCATGGCAGACTGCTGATTATATCCCCAAATCTGTTCTTTCTCTCATCCATGTAATATGGCTGCCTCTTCAGAGTACCTTTCCCAGTTTGTCCTGAAGCCAATTGAGGCCATTTTACTAGGCTCTCGCTAAAGGAATGTGAGAGTTTACATTTGTGGTCACTTTCTTAAAAAAGAAAGATTTGCCCTGTACCTTATCCTTTCCCCTATTTACCCTAGTGCAGCAGTTCTTTAAGTGTGTTCTGCAGACACCTGAAGATTCCTGAGGCCCTCTCAGGGAGTCTAGGAAACCAAAGCTGTTTTCATAATAACACTAAAATGCTATTTGCCTTTTCACTGTTTTGCATTTGCACGGATGGTACAAAAGCAATGGTGGGTAGAACTGCTGGTTTCTTAGCATGAATCAAGACAGTGACATGAGGTAGAGCCAAGATTCATAACATTCTTCACAGCTTTGTGCTTGCAATAAAACAAAGCAAAACAAAATGCCAGTTTCAGTAAAGAATGTCCTTGAGGAAGCACTTACAAATGATCGATTTAATTCAATCACTGTCATTGAGCACACTTTTAAAAAAGATTCTGTGTAATACAATAGGGAATATGCATAAGTACTTCTGATGCATATGAATACATGTTGTCTCCAGGAAAAAGACTCGGGTGATTGTTAGAGAGTTGTGAGTCGAACTACTCACTTTTCACATATAACACCATTTTTACTTGAAAGAATGATTGTCGGCCAGCCGCAGTGGCTCACACCTGTAATCCCAGCACTTTGGGAGGCTGAGGTGGGTGGATCGCCTGAGATTAGGAGTTTGAGACCAGCCTGACCAACATGGTGAAACGCCATCTCTACTAAATAAAAAAAATTAGCCAGTCATGGTGGTGCATGCCTGTAATCCCAGCTACTAGGGAGGCTGAGACAGGGGAATCGCTTGAACCCAGGAGGCAGAGGTTGTGGTGAGCCGAGATCACACCATTGCACTCCAGCCTGGGTAACAAGAGCGAAACTCCATCTCAAAACAAGAAAACAAAAAAAACAAACAAAAAAAGAATGATTGTCAAGTTATGTTTATTTAGACATTTCTTTAAAAATGGGCCTGTTACTTCAAGGGAAAAAAACTGACAATATTTGTTACCAGTGATAAAATTTGAGTTTTCAAGAGGAAATTTTAATTTTGGAAAATATCTATCTGTTACTATAAACTTGGCAACATCCCAATATTTTAAAATGCTTCTGATGAGACTAGCAATAATATTAAATGTGATTTTCTGATATTGTGTAATAAAACGTGTCAAAATTTGGAAGTTCTGCATAATTCAGTGAACCAGTAATTTCTAAAAACCAATGCAAAATATTAGGAATCTGTGCATGGGTAAAAGAGCCATTGGAACTATAAAATAATAAATTTTGCTTGTTTTTTGTTTGATCCGTTTTGACAAATGTAATCAGTTGTATAATTACCACCATTCTAATGGATTTTAATGTAATAGAGTATTAAAAGTTTATTGATATGGTTTCAGATTCCACACAGCAGTTAACTTTTAAGAAACTACCATTTGAGTTTTGGTGTAGTATCAAAGAACAGTATTCATAATTGTCTGAAAAGGAGTATTCATCCCTTTCCCAGCTATATTTGTGTGAGGCTGGTTGCTCTTTACATGCTCTTTTTTTTTTTTTTTTTTTTTTTGAGATGGTGTCTTGCTCTGTCACCAGGCTGGAGTGTAGTGGTGCAGTCTGGGCTCACTGCAGCCTCTGCCTCCCGAGTTCAAGTGATTCCCGTGCCTCAGCCTCCCGAGTAGCTGGGACTACAGGCACGCGCCACTACACCTGGCTGATTTTTTGTATTTTTAGTAGAGATGGGGTTTCAGCATGTTGGCCAGGATGATCTCCATCTCCTGACCTCGTGATTCCCCCTGCCTCGGCCTCCCAAAATGCTGGGATTACAGGCATGAGCCACCGCACCAGGCCACTCTTTACATACTTTAACTAAAACAACTTAACTGTACCAGATTGAATGCAGAAATATTTCATAGTAATAATAATGATAATCTGTCTTCTAGTAAGTCAGATATTTAAAAGATTTACAAAAATATCAAATAATGCCACTCATTTTCACCATCTTTTTAGAAGATTTATTTATTTATTTATTTATTTTGAGACAGAGTCTCACTCTGTCTCCCAGGGTGGAGTGCAGTGGCGCGATCTCGGCTCACTGCAAGCTCCGCCTCCTGGGTTCACACCGTTCTCCTGCCTCAGCCTCCTGAGTAGCTGGGACTACAGGCGCCCGCCACCACGCCCAGCTAATTTTTTGTATTTTTAGTAGAGACGGGGTTTCACCGTGTTAGCCAGGATGGTCTCAATCTCCTGACCTCGTGATCTGTCCGCCTCGGCCTCCCAAAGTGCTGGGATTACAGGTGTGAGCCAGTGCGCCAGGCCAAGATATATTTATTTTTTATAAAATAAGTAACATGTTAACAAACATTGAGTTTATCATGCTTTTAAGAAATGAATTAATAAAGTGTTTATCATAACAGGATGTTGAATTTTGTCAAATGCTTTTCTTCTGCATCGTTTGAGATAATCATATGTTTTGATTCTTCATTCTGTTAATGTGGTATATCACATTTATTGATTTTTGCATGTTGAATCACCCTTGCATCCCAGGGATAGGTTCCACTTGAACCTTTTAATGTGCTGTTGGATTCAGTTTTTGAGTATTTCATTGAGAATTTTTTACATCTATGTTCATCAGGGCCAATGGAGTATGATTTTCTTTTCTCATAATGTTTTTATCTGGCTTTGGTATGAGGATAATGTTGGCCTTGAAAAATGAATTTGGAAATGTTCTCTTCAATTTTTTGGAAGAGTTTGAGAAGAATTGACATTAATTCTTTAAATGTTTGGTAAAATTCACCAGTAGAGCCATCTGGTCCTGAGCTTGTCTTGTCTTTTCTGGGAGATTTTTGATTATTGTTTCTACTTCTTTACTCATTATTGTTCTGTACAGATTTTCTATTTCTTCTTGATTAAGTCCTGGTAGGTTGCATGTGTTTAAGAATTTATTCATTTCTTCTAGGTTATCTAATTTGTTGGCATATAACTGTTTATTGTATTCTCTTATGATTCTTTGTGTTGCTGTGCTATCAGTTGTAATGTTTTCTCTTTCATTTATAATTTTATCTATTTGATTCTTCCTTTTTCATAGTTAGTCTAATTAAAGCTTTGTAAATTTCATTTATCTTTTTAAAAACCCAGGTCTTGGTTTTGTTGATATTTTCTATTGCCTTTCTCATCTCTATTTTACTTACTTATGCTATGGTCTTCATTATTTCCTTCCTTCTGCTAACTTTGGGTTAAGTTTGTCCTTCTTTTTCTAGTTCCTTAAAGTTTAAAGTTAGGTTGTTTATTTGTGATTATTCTTTTTTCTTAATATAAGCATTTATATTATATGCTTACATATAGTATTTAAATAGCAGCTCCCTCTTAGAACTGCCTTCATTGCCTCTCATAAGTTTTGATATGTTACGTTTCTCCATTTTTGGTTGTATCAGAGTTTTTAAAATTTACCTTTTGATTTCTTTGACCAATTGATTGTTTAGGAGTGTTTAATTTCCACGTATTTGTGAAATTTCCAATTTTCCTCCTATTATTGATTTCTAGTTTCATGTCAAACAATGCTACTCTTTTTATTATCTTTTTAAGAAGATTTAAAAAATGAAATATATTATGACTAATATCAATAAGATGGTGGAATAGAATTTTCCAACGCTCATCCATCCTTTCACAGAAACATCAATTTGAACAACTGTCCATGCATGGAAATGCCTTCACAGGAACTAAAGAAACCAGATGAGAGATTATACCACCTGGGTGTAGCACACAAATAAGAAAATACATTGAAGAGGGTATGAACGACAATTTCACATTACTTACATCACCCCAGCCCCAACCCTAGACAGCAGAGTGGGGAGAAATACACCCTTTCTATGGCAGAAGGAGAGTGGAGTGAGCAAGTGAGCACCATGCTCTGCCTCAGACTCCAGCCTAGGACCATGCCAGTAAACTCAGTTACAGGCCAGTCCCAATGGCCCCAGGCTTCAGGCCCACTCCAGTGCTAGGCCAGCTCTTGTGGATTCAGGCTCTAGGCTTGTCCCCATGGATCCAGGTGCTAGGCCCATTTCAGTGCCAGGCCAGCCCCTGAATATGCAGGCTGAAGAAGGCCTTCCCCAGTACCAGGTTAGCCTCCATGGGTCCAGGCTTTAGGCTGGCCCCTGTGGATACAGGCTCCAGGCCTGTCCCTGTAGACCCAATGAGCAGGCCCATGCAAGTGGACCCCAGTGCCAGGTTGGTCTCATGGACCCAGGGTCCACCCACTCCAGCAGACCCAAGCTGCAGGCCTGTCCAAGTGAACCAAGGCTCTGGGTCCTACCCTGCAAACCCAAGTGCCAAGCCCGCCTACCTGCTGACCCAGACACCCAACTTGCCCAGGCCTGGCCACATACCATGCCAGATGGCCTGCCCAGAATCTCTGTGTGGGCTGATTACTGTAGGGCTTTCCTTGCAAACGCCATTCTGTAAAGACTGGAATATGTGCCTGCTTCTTCAAATGTGCAGGCATCAGTGCATGGCCACAGGATCACAAACAATCAGGGAAACATGACATCTCCAAAGGGTCAAAATAAAGCACTAGTTACTGACTCTAAAGGAATAGAGACTTTTGAACTGCATGACAAAGAATTCATAAAAGAAGTTACTTTTGTTAACAAACAATGGGTTGATTATAGTTTTATAAAATAAGTTAATACTTAAATATTTTTTAAGTTCAAATTTCTTTTTCCTTCTAATTTCTAATATATTAATTATCAACAGATATTTCCTGCATAAACAAAATCTATTCACAGTCCTCAATACTTTTTTTTTTTGAGATGGAGTCACACTTTGTCACCCAGGCTGGAGTGCAGTGGCACAATCTCGGCTCACTGCAAGCTCTGCCTCCTGGGTTCATGCCATTCTCCTGCTTCAGCCTCCCGAGTAGCTGGGACTACAGGCGCCCACCACCTAATTTTTATGTATTTTTAGTAGAGACGGGGTTTCACCATGTTAGCCAGGATGGTCTCGATCTCCTGACCTTGTGACCCGCCCACCTCGGCCTCCCAAAATGCTGGGATTACAGGTGTGAGCCACCGTGCCCAGCCTAGAGTCCTCAATACTTTTTAAGAGTATAAAAGGATCCTGAGAACAAAACATTTAAGAACCTTTGCCTTCAGTTATGACAGAGCTACACAATGAAATCCACCTGGACCATTGAGTGAGCTCTTAGAATACAGCAAGCTTCTTTCAGACTGGTATGTGGAAGAGAAATGCATCTGTGTTTTGTTTGAGCCACTTGTGTATTGGGGACCCTTTGGTACAGCATCTTGACCCATACCCTAAGTAATATATTGGTCTAGAAAGTGATCAATGGACACAATTAGAATTGTTCCTCCCCTCAACCCCCAACCAGTATCTCCAAATCAAACTTGCATATCTTGACTCTCCCAGATATAGCCTGAATGATTGAGCAATGGCTTTTTTCCTTTAACTTTTTAGCAAAATCAGTATGGTACAGCCATTAGTATGAACATGTCAAGTCGATTATCCTTCCCATGAAGGACCTCAAGATTCTGAAAGTGTGGAATTTTTAACAAGTAAATGGCTTATACCCGTATTTTGGAATTTGTTACAGAAGGTTTTAATCTGCATTCTGTTTTTGTTCTCTTAACGTCAGTATGTTTGGTTTAGTTGTTATGGTAGTAATATTTTTCAGAGACAGCAATGAGGCTTGTGGTTCAACGAGTATAAGGGTATCATTTGGGACAATGGAATAATACTGGAATTTTAAATTTTCTGGAAAAATTCATTGCTTTTGGTCATCATGCTTATAACAAAAGTCCCTGGAATATGGGAATCACGTTTCACTAATTTTTCTTTACTGGACTTTGCACAGTCGATAAAATTGATTTGCTAGGATGCTTTTTAACTATGGCATAGCTTTTCTACTGTGTAAACTTAGGAACATATAAATGCTCACAAGTCCCGATTACTCAAGAGAGGAGAGGAAACCTCCTGCTCCTTTGCCAATTTCCCTCTTATCTAAACCATGTTATGTTTTTAAAATCTTATCACTTACTTGTTTAAAATATCATGAATGACTGCCTATTTTCTCCATGATCGAGTCTAATTTCCAATCTGGGCTTTTAAGACTTCATAATTTGGCTTTATTCTACCCTACCACTGGTATTCTTGACAGTTGATACAAAGCCCTGTAGACTACTGAGTTCACAAAGGAGGAAAAGAGGGAGGAGTGTAGCTTTCTTAATCAGATACTATAGCTAGTCTTTAAAAAAAAACACCCTTTATTCTTTTGTCCCCAGTTGTAATCATCTGTAACACCAGAACCCTGATTAAAATTAACTCTACCTACTTTGAATCTTTATCTAACAGCTGAGCATCATTGGAGAAAATTGAGCAACTGTGCTTTCTTCCTTTAAAATTGTAACTACAGATCTAAAATGGGCACTCAACATAGGCTGTCAATCCTACTAACGTCTTTCCTACATTCACTCTCCCACTTACTGAGGTGACTTTTTTTGTCTTCTAACTTCCTCAGCTGATAACATTGCCTCATAATTTATTTTTGAAAGAATAGATAAAAACTGACATGTATCTACTCACTCATTTTTTACCTTCCCTCCTTTTATGATGGGAGAATTGTCCTCAGTTCATATCCAAGGACTACCCTTCTCACCCCCATCCCATTATTTATACTTGAAGATCATCCCTGTGAAATGGGAGAGAGCATTTCTATGCTCTCCAGAACACAATTTATCACACACCCCCGTTCCTTGTGCCACAGATATATTGACTTCTTTCTGTTTTTTGAAATTTCTATCTCTGGTCTCTTGCACTTGACATTTTCTCTGCTTGGAACAGACAATGCTCCTTTAAGTTTCAGACCCGATATTACTTGTCATCACCTCACAGAAACCTTCCTTGACAATATTAGCTAAGGTAGGCTTCTGTATTAATTTTCTAGGGTTGCCATAACAAAGTACCACAGACTCGGTAGGTGAACCACAGAAATTTATGTTCTCACAGTTCTGGAGGCTAGAAGTTTGAAATCAAAGTGTTGTCAGATTTAGTTTTTTCTAAGGCCTCTCTCTTTGGCTTGTAGATGGTCATCTTCTCACTGTGTCTTCACATGGTCTTCCCTCTGTGTCTGTGTCCAAATTCCCTCTTCTTTTAAGTACATCAGTCATACTGGAATAGACTGGAATAGCCCATCCTAATGAAATCATTTTAACTTAATTATCTCTTTAAATATCCTGTCTCCAAAATAGTTACATTATGAGGTACTAGGGGTTAGGATTTCAATATATGAATATTAGGGAGACACAGTTCTGCTCATAACAGCTTTCCTATTGTGCTATTTTTCCCAGTATTTGTCACTCTTAGAATTTGAATTATTTCTCTATTTTTTAACGCACCTCTCTCCTTCACTAGACTATACGTTCTAAGAATGGAGAGTCCTTGCGTGTTAGTCCATTCTGCATTGCGATAAAAGAATATATGAGGCTAGGTGATTTATAAACAAAAGAGGTTTATTTGGTTCATGGTTCTGCAGGCTGTACAAGAAGCATGGCACCAGCATCTGCTTCTGGTGACACCTCAGGAAGCTTTCAATCATGGAGGAAGGCAAAGGGGAGCTGACGTTTCATATGGCAAGAGAGGGAGCAAGAGGGATATCAAGCTCTTTTAACCAATCAGCTCTTGTGTGAACTCATTACTGCAGGGAGTCTACCAAGCCACTCAAGAAGGATACACCCCCTTGGTCCACATACTTCCCCCAAAGCCCCACTTCCAGCATTGGAGATCATATTTTAATATGAGATTTGGAGGGGACAAACATCCAAATTATATAACACATCATTGAATATTCCTTTCTGTTGTTCTTGAATTGCCTAATGTCTTCATATGCGTGCTCTGTCTTTCTAGTGAGATTTGATGTCCCCAAGGGTATCAACCATCATTTATATATTTTGATTCTGGGTATGCCGTAGAGCTTTATGTTATAATAAAGCTGAATTTTGTTTTTTTCACCCAGAAAAAAGAGAAAAAAATGCTAAAGCTTTCTTTTTTTCTTTTTTAAAAATAATTTCGACTTCTATTTTAGAGTTAGGTGGTACATGTGTAGGTTTGTTATCTGAGTACATGGCATGATGCTGAGGTTTGGGGTATGATTGAGCCCATCACCTAGGTACTGAGCATAATACCCAATAGTTTTTCAACCCTTTCTCTGCTCCTTCTTCCCTCTGGTAGTCCCAGTGTATATTTTTGCCACCTTTTTGTCCATGAGTCCCCAGTGTTTATCTCCCACTTATAAGTGAGAACATGTAGTATTTAATTTTCTGTTCCTGTATTAGTTCACTTAGGAGAATGGCCTCCAAATACATAAATATTGCTACAAAGGAAATGATTTTGTTCCTTTTTATGGCTATGTAGTATTCCATGGTGTATATCTACTACATTTTTTTTTTTTTTTTTTTTTTTTTTTTTTTTTGAGACGGAGTCTCACTCTGTCACCCAGGCTAGAGTGCTGGAGTGCAGTGGTGCAATCTCGGCTCACTGCAACCTCCACTTCCTGAGTTCAAGTGATTCTTTTGCCTCAGCCTCCCCACTAGCTGGGATTACAGATGTGTGCCACCAAGTCCAACTAATTTTTTGTATTTTTAATAGAGATGGGGTTTCACCATGTTATCTGGGTTGGTCTCGATTTCCTGACCTCGTGATCCACCCGCCTTGGCCTCTCAAAGTGCTGGGATTACAGGCGTGAGCCACCATGCCTGGCCCCATACCACATTTTTAAAATCCAATCCACCATTGATGGGCACCTAGGTTGATTCCATGTCTTTGATATTGTGACTAGTGCTGTGGTGAACATATGAGTGCATGTGTCTTTGCAGTAGAATGATTTATTTCCTTTTGGATAAATACCCAGTAATGAGATTGCTGGGTTGAATGGTAGTTCTGTTTTAAGTTCTTTAAGAAACCTACAAACTGCTTTCCACAGTAGCTGAACTACTTTACATTTCCACCAATAGTGCATAAGCATTCTCTTTTCTCCACAGCCTCACCAACATCTGTGATTTTTTTTTAACTTTTTAATAATAGCTATTCTGACTGGTATGAGATGGTATCTCATTGTGGTTTTGATTTGCAATTCTCTGAGGACTGGTGACATTGAGCATTTTTTCATGTTTGCTGGCTGCTTGGATGTCTTCTTTTGTGAAGTGTCTGTTTATGTTTTTTTGCCCATTTTTAAATGGAGTTATCTGTTTTTTTGCTTGTAAAATTGTTTAAGTTCCTTATAGATTCTGGATATTAGACCTTTGTTGAATGCATAGTTTCTGAATATTATCTCTCATTCTGTAGGTTGTCTGTTTACTCTGTTGATAGTTTCTTTTGCTGTGCAGAAGCTCTTTAGTTTAATTACTTCCCACTTGTCATTTTTTGTTGGTGTTGCAATTGCTTTTGAGGGCTTAGTCATAAATTCTTTCCCAAGGCCAATGTCCAGAATGATGTTTCTTAGGTTTTCTGCTAGGATTCTTATAATTTGAGGTCTTACATTAAAAAGTCTTTAATCTAACGAGGTAATTTTTGAATATGGTGAAAAACAGAAATCCAGTTTCATTCTTTTGTATATGGATAGCCAACTATCCCAACATCATTTATTGAATAGGGCATCCTTTCCTCATTGCTTATTTTTGTCAACTTTGTAAAAGATCAGATGACTGTAGGTTTGCAGCTTTCTTTCTGGGTTCTCTATTCTATTCCATTGCTCTGAGAGTCTGCTTTTGCACCAGTACCATGTTACTATAGCCTTATAGTATAGTTTGAAGTTGTGAAGCCTTTGACTTTGTTCTTTTTGCTTAGGATTGTTTTGCTTAGGATTGTTTTGGTTACTCAAGCTCTTTTTTGGTTCTACATGAATTTTTTTTTCTTTTCTTTTTTTTTTTTGAGATGTAGTCTTGCTCCGTCACCCAGGCTGGAGTGCAGTGGCGCGATCTCGGCTCACTGCAAGCTCCACCTCCTGGGTTCACGCCATCCTCCTGCCTCAGCCCCCTGAGTAGCTGGGACTACAGGCACCTGCCACCATGCCTGGCTAATTTTTTGTATTTTTTTTAGTAGAGATGGGGTTTCACCGTGTTAGCCAGGATGGTCTCGATCTCCTGACCTCATGATCCGCCCGCCTCGGCCTCCCAAAGTGCTGGGATTACAGGCGTGAGTCACCACGCCCGGCCCTCTATATGAATTTTCAAATAGTTTTTAATAGTTCTGTGCAAAGTGACATTGGTAGTTTAATGGAATAGTATTGAATCTGTAGATCTCTTTAGGTAGTATGTCCATTTTAATATTGATTCTTCCAATCCAGAAGCATGGAATGTTTTTCCATTTGTTTGTGTAATCTATGATTCCTTTCAGCAGTGTTTTGTAGTTCTCCTCATGGAGCTCTTTCACTTCCTTGGTTAGGTGTATTCCTAGGTATTTTAATTTTTTGCGAGTATTATAAATGGGATTGAATTCTTGATTTGGCTCTCAGCTTGCACATTATTGGTGCATAGAAATGCTACTGACGTACAGTGTACATTGATTTTGTATCCTGAAACTTTACTGAAGTAGTTTATCAGTTCCAGAAGCCTTTTGACAGAGTCTTTAAGGTTTTCTAAATATAGACTCATATTTTCCAGAAGAGAGAGCGTTTGATTTCTTCTTTTCCTATTTGGATGCCTCTTATTTCTTTCCTTTTCCCCGATTGCTCTGGCTAGCACTCCAAGTACTATGTTGAATAGGAATAGTGGGAGTGGGCTTCTTTGTCTTGTTCCAGTTCTCAAGACAAATGCTTCCAAATTTTGCCTGTTCAGTCTGATGTTGGTTTGTCATAGATGCTCTTATTATTTTGAGGTATGTTCCTTCAATGCCTAGTTTGTTGAGGGTTTTTATCATGAAGGGATGTTGAATTTTATTGAAAGCTTTTTCCATATCTGTTGAGATGATCATATGGTTTTTGTTTGTAATTCTGTTTATGTGGTGAATCACCTTTATTGATTTGCATATGTCGAACTACCTTTGCATTCTGGGAATGAAGCCTATTTGATCATGGTGAATTAACTTTTTGATATACTGTTGGATTCAGTTTGCTAGTATTTTGTTGAGAATTTTTGCATCTATGTTCATCAGGGATATGGCCCTGTAATTTTCTTTTTTCACTGTGTCTTTGCCAGGTTTTGGTATCAGGCTGATACTGACTTTGTAGAATGAATTAGGGAGAAGTCCTTCATCCCATTTTTTTTAATACTTTCAGTACAATTGATACCATTTCTTCATTGTACATCTGATAGAATTTTGATGTGAATCCATCTGGTCTGGAAATTTTTTTGGCTGGTAGATTTTTTTCTTACTGATTACATTTCAGAACTTGATATTGGTCTGTTGTGAGTTTCGCTTTCTTCCTGATTCAGTCTTGAGAGCTTGTGTGTTTCCAGTTATTTATCCATTTCCTCTAGATTTTCTAGTTTGTGTGCATAGGGGTTTTCATAATAGTTTTTGAGGATTTTTTGTATTTTTGTGGGATTGATGGTAATTTCACTTTTGTTGTTTCTGATTGTGCTTGTTTGGATCTTTTCTCTTTTCTTTGTTAATTTAGCCTGTGGTCTATCAATCTTGTTTATCCTTTGGAAGAACCACCTTTTGGTTTTGTTGAATTTTTGTATGATTTTTTTGGGTCTCAATTCTGTACAGTTCTGCTCTGATTTTAGTTATTTTTTTTTCTTCTGCCAGTTTGGGGTTAGTATGTTTTTGTTTTTCTAGTTCCTCTAGGTGTGATGTTAGATTGTTAATTTGAGATTTAGCTTTCGAGGTAAGCATTTAGCACTATAAAATTTTCTCATAACACTGCTTTTGCTGCATCATAGAGACTTTGGTATGTTGTATCTCTATTTTCACTTATTTCAAATAATTTTTTTATTTCTGCCTTAATTTTGTTGTTTACTCAGAAGTCATTCAGGAACAGGTTGTTTAATTTCCATGAAATTGTATGGTTTTTTAGGGATCTTTAAATCCCTTTTAGGGTTTTATGTTTTTTAGGATTTTATGGATTTTATGGGATTTAGGGATTTTATGGTTTTTTAGGGATCAATAAAGATATTGACTTCTATCTTTATTCCACTGTTGTCTGAGAGATTGCTGGTATAATTTCCTTTCTCTCAAATTCATTGAGACTGGCTTTACGGGCAAGCATGTGGTCAATCTTGGAGTATGTTCTATGTGGAGATGAGGAGATTGTATAGTCTGTGGTTGAACAAAGTATTCTGTAGATATATATTAGTGTCAATTCGTCAAGTGTTCAATTTAAATTTAGAATTTTTTGGTAGTTTTCTGCCTCAATGATCTGTCCAATGCTGTCAGTGAAATGTTGAAGTCCTTAATTATTATTTTGTGGCCGTCTCAGTCTTTTCATGGGTCCAGAAGTACTTATTTTATGAATCTGTATGCTCCAATGTTGGGTGCAGGTATATTTAGGATAGTTAGGTCTTCCTGTTGATTAAAACCTTTTATCATTATGTAATGCCTTTCTTTTTCTCCCCCCATCCTTTTTTTTACTGATGTTGATTTAAAGTCTATTTTATTTAATATATGAATGGTCACCCCTGCTCTTTTTTGTTTTCCATTTGTGTGGTAGATCTTTCTCCAACCCTTTACTTTGATCCTATGGGTGCCATTATGCGTGAGATTGGTTTCTTGAAGACAGCAGATGGATGGGTCTTATTTCTTTTAGCCCAACTTGCCACTCTGTGCCTTTTAAGTGGTGTACTTAAACCACCTACATTCAAGTTTAATATTGATTTGTTAGGTTTTGATCTTACTGTGAAGTTGTTAGCTGGTTGCTTTGTAGTTTCTATTGTGTAGTTGCCTAATAGGGTATGTGGTCTATGTACTTAAGTGTGTTTTGTGGTCACAGGTATTGTTCTTTCATTTCCATGTTTAGAACTCCCTTAAGGATCTCTTGTAAGGCCAGTCTAGTGGTAATACATTCTCTTAGTGCATAGTTGTCTGGAAATGATTTTATTTCTCCTTCACTTATAAAGTTTAGTTTGGTAGGATATGAAATTCTTGGTTGGAATTTCTAGTCATTACGAATGCTGAAAATAGGCCCCCAAATCTCCTCTGGATAGTGAGGTTTCTGCTGAGAAGTCTGCTGTTAGCCTAATGGGGTTCCCCTGTACATGATCTGACCTTTTTTTTCCTAGTTGCCTTTAGGATTTTTTTCTTTAACATTGATCTTGGACAGTCTGATGACTATATGCCTTGGTGCTGTTTATTTTGTATAATATCTAGAAGGTTTTCTTTGCATTTCTTGTATCTGAATGTCTACCTCTCTACTAAGATGAAGGAAACTTTCTTGAATTATTCCCTAAACTATGTTTTTGAAGTTGTTTACTTTTTCTCTTTCCCTCTCAGGAATGTCAATAAGTCATAGGTTTGGTTGGTTTACATAATCCTGTATTTCTCTAACAGTTCTTTTCTTAAAATTCTTTTTTCTTTATTTTTATCTGTCAGCTTGAAAGACTGATCTTCATGCTCTGAAATTCTTTCTTCTGCTTTGTCCAGTTTATTGATAAAGCTTTCAATTGTATTTTAAAATTCCTTAAGTAAGATTTTCTTTTCTTTTCCCTTCTTTTCTCTTCTTTTTGTTTTAGAGATGGGGTCTCACTCTGCCTCCCAGGCTGGAGTTCAGTGGCACAATCATAGCTCAATGCAGCCTTGAACTCCTGGACTCAAGTGATCCTCCTGCCTCAGCCTCCAAAATAACTGGGACTATACGTGTGTATCGCAATACCTGGTTGAAAGTGAGTTTTTCAATCCCAGAGCTCAGATTGATTCTTTTAAAAATGTTTATCTCTTCATTCATTTCCTGGATTGCTTTAGAAGTTTCTTTGTGTTGATTTTCAACCTTGTCTTGGATCTCATTACTCTTCCTTGTAATCCATGCTTTGAATTCTTTATCTGTCATTTCTGAGTTTTCATTTTGGTTAGTGACCATTTCTGGAGAGCTAGTGTGATTCTTTGGTGGCATAAGTATATTCAGATTTCTCATGGTATCAGAATTCTTGCACTAGTTCCTTCTTATCTGGAGATACTGGAACTTCTAATTTTTATAATTATTTCATGCAGGTAGGATTCTTCTCTTTTTCCTTCCCTGTAATTTTTTTTTATTTCCCTTTCCCTTTCTCCTCCTCCATAGAGGGTGTAACTGTAGAAAATGCTGTGTAGAGTCTTTTGGCTTTGTTTCTATATCCTATGTACTTTTGTTAGCAGGATTTATGTTGGGCTGTGCAGTTCAACCTATAAGCCAGGATATCATGCTTCTAACAGCCAGATTGTGGCCAACATGCTGGGTATATACTTGATCCTTGTTTACTGGAAGAAACTCTCTGTTGCCTCAGGAAATGGGTTGATTCATGGAGTACACAGTGGTTTGAGCTCTCTGCTCAGCTGCAGGAGAAAGGGGGCCAAGATGGTCAGAGCCAGACCAGGCGTATCCATCTATGGGTCCCCCAATGGCAGGCACAAGCACCAGCTCTGAGGAAGAATCCAGTGGGTGGTGACTAAGTGCCCAGAGGTGTGTGTAGGTGTAGCGTTGGGAAATCTCCTCATTCCCAAGTTCTCTGCATAGAGAAGCAGGCAGCCTCAACTAATCCAGGAGAGTGAGTGCTCCAGATGCCTCAAGATCTGCCTGGGCATAGAGAAGAAAGCCCTCCACCACCACCTACACCAAGATCTTTGTGCAGGCAGGTGGGGCAGCTCAGGCTTCTGAACCAGGCAAGCAGGTGCTCTGAATGCCTTCAGATCTGCCTGGGTTTGAAGCACAGAAGGTCTCCCTATAACAGAATTTCTACACAGGAAGGGTGGGGTGGGTCAGGCCACTGCTCCAGGTGAATAGGCACTCCAAATGCCTAGATATCTGCCTGGTCATGGAGTGGAGACGGCCCTCCTGGACCAGGATCTCTGTGCAGGAAAGGTTGGGCAACTTAGGCTGCTGGCCCAGGTGAGGAAGTGCTCTGAATGCCTGGAGTTGTGCCTGCGCGTGGAGTGGAGAGGGCCCCAATGTTAGGCCATCTCAGGCTGCTGATCCAGGTGAGGAAATGGTCTAAATGCCTGGAGATCTGCCTGGGAGTAGAGTGGAGAGGGCCCTGCTTCACCATGATCTCAGTGGAGCAGGCTGGTGCACACAGCAATGGCACACTCAGACCAGTTTCAGGTTACCAAGGTGGCCCTGGCTGCAAATCTCATCACCCCAAAAAACTGCAGTGGTAGCAGCTCTCCTCCCACTCCACACCTGTGATGGGGGAGAGCACAATTCCAGGATCTACTCCTGAGGTACTTTCCACAGTCCTAGCTGTGGAGGCCCCTACCCTGCTTCAGAGCAGGTGCTGCAATCTCTGGCCCAAGAGTAAAATGCCTGTGCAGCCATGATGCTGTGTTACCGAAGAATGGCTGATTTTGTATGCACTCAGAATAAAAATGACATTCTCCTCTTGGTTCTGGCCTGGGAAAATGTCTACAGCTTTTCCCAATGTCTTTCTCTCACAGTATGTCCAAGCTTCTCCCCATTTTAGCTCCAGAGCTTAGGAGAAACAAAATGCTCTCCCTGGCCTGGGTTGCTCAGATCCTTAGGGGAAAGGTGAGTCATAGAGGGAGGCTCTCTGCCTCTCTCACATACTAGGGCTTCAGTCAATTTTATCAGCTGTACCTATATAGGGGCCATTTGCCTATATTCTCCTCCTCAGGAGGTAGTGTCCTTCATGTTTCTGGTAGATTTCCTTTTTCCTTCCTGAATTAAAGTTCACAAAGTTGATATGTGTGCACTGTCTTTCTATTTCCAAGTGGCTGAGGAATGCTAAAAGCCCCCCATCCACCAACTTGGGGAAAAAACCCCAAAGGACGAAAGCTGACTTTAACAGACTTGGATGCAATTTCTATTCCTCATTTAGCAGCAAGGTAGGAATCTCTGGACAAGAAATTATGAGCGGATTGGTAGCTCCATGTGGTGTGCTTTCTGAAGCATGAAGGAAAATTCTGCCTTAATTACACATTTCTGGCCCATTCTTTCCTCCACATTTGCTGATAGATGTCTAAAATTTCTTTAATGGCAACTTGCTGAGAAACTTTTAGGTTGAAAAATAGAGCAAGGTGTTTTAAATGCAAATATCCTCAGGGGAGGCAAAGCAATGATTTATCTTAACATATCCTGACTGGTAACTTGTGTTTTCTGGAAAACAGACTTATTGGAGTGTGGGAAAGGACTGGATGGCTGAGGTGGGAAAAACATGCTAAGAAAGGAAGCTGAGGACCTGATTTAAACTTTAGCCTCTCAATCCTGACCTGGCCTGTCATGCTGAAGAATGAGATGTTTCCTTGAGTTAGATTCAGGTGTGGCTAAGTCTCTGGTTTAAGGTGGTTCAATCACTCTATCAATGTGAGCCACGTGATCTTCGGAAAGTTACTTCTTTGTATTTGAGAACCCCCATTTGTAAAATCCGTTACTTCCAGGTTATTGTGAGGATTAAATTAATGTTTAATAAATATTAACTGCTACTGCAGGGCCCCTTTCTTAATTTAAAGCAGTCTCACTATAAGTAAGAATAAACACATTGTCTTAGGAGTGTTGTAGAAGGTGGATAATCAGGTTAACTGATTTATACATAAGTGATTGCCATTCCTTCCCTATATGCTTTCTTATTAAGGGTAGCGGTCCCCAAACTTTTGGAGAGGAGATGCTACTTTTTATTTTCCACACAGTTTGAAGTTACTAGGATGTAAATTAGAAGAGAGGTGTAGATATTGAAAAATCTCTGGGCAAGTTTAGGTGACCATGGGGTGATATGCTAATGTTGTCTCTCAGAGTGAAATTGCCCCTGAGAGATATCAGAAAGAGATAGTTTATCATCACTGGGAATTCTATCAAGCTGTGGAAAGGAGGCTAATCCTAAAAAAAAAGGTGGTCTAAGATTATTTTCATTTTTGAGTAAACTATAGCCAAGTGAACTGACTTGAATGAAAATCCCACAGATGAACTCTAAATCAAGGGTTCTTTTGATGACTTTATTCGGCCTTTCCCACACACTTCAGAAGTGAGCTGTGCTGCAAAAGTGCCAAAACCCAAAGAATATTGTAGAAGTCCATGTGGGACCTCTTAGTGGTAGAGCTGACCTCTCATGTAGGGTAGGGATGACCTTGTAAATAGTTTAGAAATACAATGTTTACATTACATCAGTATTTTCATAGGCCCTACCTACTTTGCGGCCAATTTTATGCTCTGGAGACACATACTACTTCCTGCCAGCTACCTAAACAGCCTTGAAGCAATGGGCATAATGACTCATGGTCATGTAACATTCTTTTCAGACACATATCAGCATATTTGTTATTACATTACTGCCCAAACACCCACAGAATCCCGGGAGGTAAAATAGGATTAGTGTTGAAGAATTTAGTCCCACCCATTTCTCTTTTATTCAAATCAAACTTTTGAAATGATCACTGTTGAGGGTTCATTTTTGCTTCTAATAAGGGATATGGTAAAGATGTGTGATCAGGCTGGTCTCAGTCTTTGGAGTCAAGCCATATTCTGGAACTATATTATTTGGAAACCACACCTAAATCATAGCAAGGAAGTCATCCGATATGAACCACATGATCCAACTTGCTGGTGTGAAGGTGCTGGCATTACATAGCACAGCACAGAATGGGAAACAAGAAGATATCCTATAAACTGTCCATTAGCTATTCAACATAGATAAGTGGTTTGCTTACAGCTGAAGCTGGTAATTTATGTCGAATAAAATGGTCAGATTCACCTGTCTCAGCCATAAATCTCGTGCCATACATCCTGGCTAATGACCAGATTCTTCTGCGTGATTTCCTAAACCGACCTGTAGATAGCATAAAGTACACGTAATATTTACAGTGCATATTGGATTAAGGGAGCAGCTATTTTATGCCAACAACAGGGCCACAAAGTACTAACACACACTGAGAGTCCATTACATGGGCATTGATTAATTTCACTGAATTTTTTTAAGTGCTAAAAGTGTTTTAGTAGTCCCTGAAATATTTATTCTCTTGCTTTTCAGAGCAATAGGGTTATTCATTTATTCGTTCATTTGCTAAATGAATGAATTAATGATTATGTATTAAAATATCTAATCTGAGCACTCACTCTAATCCTTACTTAGCTGAGTGAACTTTGGCAGTTAACCTTTCTGCTTCACTTTCCTCATATGTAAATAGGAAAATAATTGTGTTTATCTCCTGAGGTTGTTGTCATGATTAAATGAATAAATACATATGAAGTGCTTAGAATAGCTCTAAACATGACAATAAAATTTATTTTTTTTTTGTATTGGAGACACAATGATTATATTGCTGCCTACCAAATTACCCTAAAACTTAGTGGCTTAAAACATCACTTCTTTACTATCTCATAGTATCCATGGGCCATAAATCTGAGCATGGCTTACTTGGGACCACTATTTCACAGGTTAAAATTAAGGGGTCCACTGGGCTTAACTGAGGAAAAATCTGCCTCCAAACTCACATACATAATTGTTGGCAGGATTTACTTTGTTGATGGCTGTTGGGCAGTGATTGCCCTCAATTATTTGCCATTTGCATCCTTTCAACTTGGCAGCTTGCTTTGTCAAAGCATGCAACTTGAGAAGCTAATAGAGTCAGCTAGCAAGACACAACTCACAGTCTTTTACAACCTAATTATGGAAATGATATTCCATCACTTTTGACATATTTATTTCAGGTGAGTCACTAGGTCCAGCCCATGCTCAAATGGAGAGTATGATACAAGAGTATGAATACCAGGATTTGTGGATCACTGGGAGCCATGTGAAAAGCTGCCTATCATGATGGTGAACAACATAAACATGAAGATTATGTTTGTTAGGGGAGACAGATATAAAATACAAATACAATATCCATTACAAATTTTGATAAATACTATGGATTAGAAATATAATGTTTGATGACAAATTACAATACTGGTACTTGATTTGAGTTGGAGTATTTCAAATCAAGCCATCTCTTACAAAATAATATTTAATTTCAGATTTGAAGGATGAGTGGAACTACTGAGATGTAGAGCAGGAAAACAGACGAGTCTCTTTGGAAGAGTAAATAGATGACACATAGGCCCTGAGATGGGTGAGCACCTATGCATGGTCACTCCATGTAGCGTGGGTTCTCAGAGCATGGTGGCTAGTTTCTGAGATAGAGTGCTGCTTCCTGGAGCACTCCAAGAAAAGCAGAAGCTGCCAGGTCAAGGTATATAGCAGCCCTTCCAATGTATTTTATTGACCAAAATAGTCACAGGTTCAGACCCGAGTCAAGGGCAGAGGTAATAAACTTTACTGTTTGAATTGAGGAGCAGTCTGCTTATACAAGAACCAGCATAATTGTTTTGGGCCATCTTTGGGAAATAACCATGATCAAGAGTAATTTAGATTAAAGACTGTATGATAAAAAAGCAAAGAAAGGATGTGTAGATACCTCTTTAAAAAGCTTGGGTGGAGCTGGGAGTTGACACTTAGATGGGTAACTTTAAGAAGATGATGGTAAAGACAGGAATTTTATGAAAGTGATGTTTGTATGTTATAGGGCATGATCCTATAGAAAAGAAAAGCTTGACGATCATGACAGAGATGAGATAGTGGATGAGGAAGGTTTCTGAGAAACAGGAGGACAAAAAAATTCAGAATACAAACTTGGGTGATTGGGCTTTGATAGAACATTTTTTCATAGTAACGAGAAGAGGGGATGGTATGAGCAGATGTAGGTAGTTGTTGAAGGCTAACTCTTCCATTAGCTTTGGGGACCCCATGTAATGGAGACTCAATAAATATTTGTGAATGAATAACTATCTGGATTATAGCAACATAAGCAGAATGCAGAAAAGCAGTGTGTGGACATGGTGCAGGGGGAACTCTGTGCCCTGCAGTGGCGCAGGGAAGAAAGGAGAATAAGAATTACCACAGATGCAGCTGAACCCAATTCAAGAGAAGAGTTTTAGTTTAATTGGTATATTGCTACCTCAACGGGTTGTTTTATTGCAGATTTTATTCTCATTTATCTCATTTATCTCATCCTGAACATGAAGCAGCACAAGAGAAGCTTTAATCAGTTTCATGATCTCTGTTCTCTCCTGTTAGGCTTGCTTCCTAAGTTAAACTGAGCCAGATGAGGAAAATTTCTTTTGCAAACAAAGGACCCTCTGCTGGAGGACCTATTTATTCTTCTGCCTCTGTGCCTTCTTCACTTGTGGAAAACCCGCTGGGTTCCAGGTCACCACTGTGTCCTCAGCTTTAATTGGAGGATTATACAAGAAACAGATTATGAAAAAAATGTTGAAAACTCTTTTCTGCCTGTTAATACATCCACTATTTGTAACATAAGGCCAGGCATGATTTATTCTTTCTGAATCTTGGTCTCAAAATTTTTCTCTTTTGAAGGTCCCATTTAATTTGTTGGAAAATCAAAATGCTAACATAATCATTGTTTTCTGCATTTTTTTTTTGACATCAGGATCTCAGAACTGAATTTAGTGCTGTACCACAGTATCTATGGGTAGACATGACAGAATTTAAGAGTGTAGATTTTGAAGTCATATTTCTCAAAGCCACATTTTTTATCTGTAAAATGAAATAATTTTGGAACCTATCTTATAAGGTTATTTTAAAGACTAAATGAGTTCATACCTGTGAAGTACTTGGCATATTACTTGGTATTTGATTGTTAGCTCTGTTGGTCTTAATTGTGCCCTTTAATTTGGGTGGCTGATTTGCAAATGTGGAACTTCCCAGTTCTCTAGGCTCACATTTCTTCTTTCTTTCTTTCTTTCTTTCTTTCTTTCTTTTCTTTCTTTTTTGAGATGGAGTCTTGCTCTGTCGCTCAGGCTGCAGTCGCCCAGGCTGCAGTTCAGTGGTGTGATCTTGGCTCACTGCAAGCTCCACCTCCTGGGTTCACGCCATTCTCCTGCCTCAGCCTCCCGAGTAGCTGGGACTACAGGCACCCACCACCACGCCTGGCTAATTTTTTGTATTTTTAGTAGAGACGGGGTTTCACCATGTTAGCCAGGATGGTCTCGATCTCCTGACCTCATGATCTGCCCACCTCGGCCTCCCAAAGTGCTGGGATTACAAGCATGAGCCACCGTGCCCGGCCTTGGCTCACATTTCTATAAGTAGGTCCAGTTTTATCTGATGTAATCACCTTTTCTTTCTATTTCTTCCTTGTAAAATATTTTACCCAGGATTTCTCTTTTAAATCTCTCTATTTTCTTCTGCATGGCCAAAGTAGATGACAACTAAGGAATTTTCCAGTTGTTTAACTGTATCATTTTATGACTCTTCTCTGTGGATGTAAAGATGAAGAAGAACAATATGTATGTAAGGCAACACACAATCAATATGAATGGTTCTAACTTAACATAGACGGAATCTTTAGTTACTTTGGAACTGGAAAGTGGATACTAATTTGACACTTGTGATATTCTTTTTTTTCTCTATAAATCTCTTCCTTATCTAGTGTGAATGGATAGGCTAGGCACATGACGGATTTACTGGCTCATATAATCTGGGAAAAGGCAGGGTAAGAAGGCATCAAAATTCTTGGCATATAGGGGCATAGGTTATTCTTCTACACGTAGGTACGAAAAAATGATTATTTATCATTAGGATGAGGAAAAGACATCAAGCAATACACATCATTTTAGGCACCCAGTGATTTCTCTTCACGTAAACATTGTGTTGGAAGATAATCATTTCCTCGTTCAAATAAACTTGAGGACCATTTTTCTAGAATGTTGTAGTGAGAATTGATACATTAAATAGAAGATTATGGTAGATACAGTAGAAACTCTAATGTTCTTCCAACTCTTAATAGTCATGCTTTTAAGATTTTTGTCTTCAGAGCACTGAGTCTGGAATTTCTCTACTCGCAATGTGATTCTCATCTGAGAATTAGGTGAGTCATTTTGATTTCATAGTAGGTCTTGGGGTCAGGGCACCCCAAACATAGCAATCAGACCTTTCCCTGGTATTTTAAATTAATCCCTTTGAGATAAACTGTAACTATATCTTCAATATCTGGCTCTAATTGTGCATGCTTTCAGATGACAGTATAATTTTTTATTTGAGGCTCTATCATAATAGGAGTTGTCAAATCCTAGTTAAGGGTTGGCTAGGTTAGGTGTACTTTTACATGAAATAAGGACTTTTTTGTTTCTTCGAGATTCTGAATCTAGCTTGGCACAAGAGATAGATATACCATAGATCTTTTTTTTTTTTTTTCCTCCTGTCTGAAGCATCAGGAATCCACTGGCTGCTACTTAAGCCTTTGAGTCAGGCTGGGGTCTCCTCACCAGACTTGATTCTTTGTTTATACTTTTTGATTATGTGGGTGTATGCTCAAACTTAAAGGCATCACTATGGGTGGGGGAAGGCAGCTATCTAGGGTCTATGGCAGGGGCATAGGCGGCAGCTCTCTTTATACCCTGAATCTGCTGGAATAAAACTCACTTTCTTTTGAAAAGGCCAGAATGCTGTAAATTTATCAAGACTCCACACTCACAGTCCTTATCTGAAATAGCCAGATGCATAGATGTCTCAACACCACTGAATGGAAAGAAGACACCTGATTCATATGTGCCCAACATCCTGGAAGACATTACACAAAGAAGAGTAGATACTAACTGCCAATTATTACTTTTGACGAATGGCATTGATAACCCACATGTGCCTGCTACTTTCTCTTTTAGTTCTTGCAATGTCAAACTAGCTAGGAAAGATAGGCAAAGATGTATGTATTTTGTGTTTCCTCTCTCTAATATTTATTTTATTTTATTTTTGAAACAGGTTCTCACTCTGTTGCCCAGGCTGGAGTCCAGTGGTGTGATCATAGGTCACTGCAACCTCGAATTCCAGGGCCCAAGAGATCCTCCTGCCTCAGCCTCCTAAGTAGCTAAGACTACAGGCACTGAACACCATGCCTGGATATTTTTTTTAGAGACAGCATCTTGCTATGTTTCCCAGGCTGTTCTTTAATTCCTGGCATCTCACCTTGGCCTTCCAAAGGATTGAAATTATAGGCATGAGCCACCATACCCAGCCTCTAATATTTTATCTTCTAGGCTATCTTTTTTTTTGCCTCTTCATTTTAAATGATCTTGTATTCTCTGGTTGCTTAAACTGTAGACAGGAAGCCTTTCAATGGCAGGCACTGGGCTTCTTTAACTCCCTTTTAGTATCTTAGAGCCTTCTCCAGGACTAGGTCAAAAGTAGAAGTAATCTCTTGAGACTTACTTTTTGATTAACTAAGAAATAGAACTTGATTCCAACTGATGCATTAAAAATTGAACTTTTTTAGGTTATAGGTTATGTTTATTCAGATTATCCTAGGTGGTCTAACAATTGAATAGTGTGGAATGTGGCTGCATACTTTCTCCTCAGGGAAGAGTTAGTGTGTCAAAATGAAAGGATGGGGAAGAGGCAGAGAGGAGCCGAGGGGAGGCATGGGGACAGGCTTCCCTAAAGCCTAGCACATTGTCTGCCTGGTGTGTGGTGGCCACTTGGTGGAGGTTTGTTGATGAATGAATGAATGAATGTATAAAAGCTGAGTTAATCTGAACAGTCAAGTTGGGTTAACTCCAAATCCCTCTCTTTTCTTGGGAAAGCTAAATTAAATCCAGCTGCTCTTCAGACTGCCAAACCACTTTTGAGCAAGTTCTATTTCTTCCATTTCTATTTATTTTCCCCTTGGGTACTAAAGAAATAAATGCTTCACCAATTATTTATTCTTTATAGGGGTTGGCCCTCTGCACTTGACATTTGCTTAATTGTTCACATTCTGCATGTTATTTTCCTAATGTTGTTCCATTGTCAGCAACATCTTATGTGACTCCAGTGATTAGAGTGTAGCAGGATTTCCTTGTGAGTCCTTTTATTTTGTTCTTTCCATGTCTTTGCTACATATTCTTCCTAATACCAATATTCGTATCTAAGCTGACCACACCATTGACTATATACATGTGACTTGGAAGTTTCAAATGACTTAAGACGTTGTATCCCCTACATTTTATTGATTAATTGATCGATCGATTGATTGAGACAGGTTCTTGCTTTGTCACTCAGGCTGGAGTGCAGTGGTGCAAACATTGCTCACTGGAGCCTCGAACTCCTGGGCTCAAGCGATCCTCTTACCTCAGCCTCCCGAGTAGCTGAGACTACAGCTGTGCCACCATGCCAAGCTAATTTTTGTATTTTTGGTAGAGACAGAATCTCACGATGTCTCCCAGTCTGGTCTCAAACTCCTGGGCTTAATCCATCCTCCCACCTCGGCCTCCCAAAATGCAGGGATTATAGACATGAGCCACTGCAACCAGTCTCTCCTGCATTTTAAACAAAATGGTTTAAAAATATCGATGTGCAACTTAGCTCTTTCTCCAAAATTCTGCCAGGCTTTTGGAATGAATTCACATCAGTCAGATTCACCGATCACATTAGCAACACCTGACAAACTGGATTAACCCACACCTGTGTAGATTTGCTCAACATGAAGCAACAATAATGTGCCGCACAGCCTCCTGGCACCGCTAGGCCCTGCAGGACATGATCATAGAACGTATTAGTTCTAATAAGAACTAAGAACAGAGAATCTCTCAGAGCACCTTCTAGGACAAACACCAGTACCCTTCAGCCAGCATACCTTAACAAGGAAATACATTGGTATTAGAGTCAATTTTAAGAAAAACAATCATTGATCTAATCTACAATGCTATTCATGATACTGTCGTTCAATTCTTGTTCCCATAACACTTTAAAAAAATAGTAATGATAACATGCAACTTTATAGTCTGTTCTGTCCTTGATCTTTCTATGTATGATGACACTTTCTTTGTTGTTATATCACTTATAGTTTACCTTGCTTCTGTCCTCATTTACCAGATCTTCCCCCTTTCTTCTTAAACATTAGCTAATATTATTATTTATCCTGCTTAACTTCTGAGTTACTTTGCAATCCAATGGGCAAAGCCAACCAAAACACAACCATAGTCAAACTTCCTCCTCCTCCCCCTCCTTCCACTCCTCCTCCTGCATTGTCTCTTCTGTTCTCTGTCCCCCTCTCTTTCTGATGCACAGAATTGGATTGATTTAATGAATTATACTCTTACATTGGTAAGAAAATATCATAATTTGTCTAGGCATAGCCTTTATTTTATGATCCTTTTATACCTCATTCCCAGACATGAGTCTCATTCACAAAATATCCTATTTTCAGGCAACCATTTTGGCAATTCTTCGACTCATCAGATACTTCAGTGTCCTTGGAGCATGTCTGTCTTTTTTGGAAAGAGGGAATTTCCTCACATTTCCCACATTCATTTGATTGTGCTGGTGTCAGTGATAAATACAGTAGAACAGTGGTTCCCAAATGTCAGTGTGCTTGCTATCACCTCGAGAGCTCATTAAAACAGATTGCTGGGCACCAGCGTCAGAATCTCCACTAGGTCTTTGGTGGAATGCTGCAATTTGCGTTTCCAGGTGATGCTGGTAATGATTAGGGCCCACGTTTGAGAACTACCTCATTCGAGGATTTCCATCTTTTTATCAAAGTACAGGTGAGAGAGATTGGCAATTATTTAAGGAAGAGTGATTTGCCTTAGGTCAGAAACCCAAGAATTTACTCTGCATATATAAAACCCCAGCATATAGGACCCCTTGTGAGAGTACCAAAATTGTATAAAATGTGGGGTTCTTTTATTTCCAGCAAGAGCAAGAGCCATACTGAGTCAACCCCTAGGATAGGGATGTACAGCAGCCAGTGGCTTCATATCCAAATATGTTAATAGCAGTAAATTATCTGGGGTGCTTCACTGTAACATTGGCTTTAGAGGAAGAGTGCTTTTCTGACAAGTGATAAGGAGGAAAGAACATTTCCACAATTGCCTCCTCGAGTAGACACACCTTTAGCCTCCACAATCTATCAGGCCATTGTAGAAGACAGTAAAATTGTAGAGGCCGTCACTGTTACTATTATTATTTTTAGTCTGCCAAGAGAGCACTCCCACTGTCCTTCCTCTAGTCACAAGCCCACCATCTCTGGCTGTGTATGGGTACCAGGTGTAGCTACTAACACTCCTTCATCCGCGGGACGTAAGTTGAGCATGTGATACAAGCAGAACCAATGAGCATCCTTCCCTGTGATTCATGGGGTGGTGCAAGGCTGAGGCTGCTAGTAGCCATGTCTCCTGTTAGCAGAGAAGGCCAACTTCCAGAAGAGAGTGAAGCCAACATATGAGGAGGAGGGATGAGAGGCAAATGGAGAGAGAATCCAGGAGGTAAGGAGTTCCTGGGGGTGTTGGCTCCAGCAGCTTTCTTCAATGCTGAGCCTACCCCAGTAAACATAATAGTTTCCTTTTTGCTTTAGTTTGAGTTGAGCCTCTCTGTTGCTTAAATAGGGTCCTAACCCAGGTGACTTTCTTAACTCCAGACTCTCCTCACTCATCATTACAGCTGGCAAACCGTGGCAGGAAAATCTTTTAAAAATGCTATTTTCTGAATATTCTTTTCATAAAAACTTGTATGATACTACTCTCTATTATATTGAGTCTATAGTCTTTTGGATTAATTTCAAAGCCAAAGAAAAGATATTGATGACCTTTCAGACTTTCAAAGCACTAAATGATCTAGGGTATAATCTAAGAATAGAGAAACCTCAAATGCCCTAATCCATTTTGGAAGCTGTAATGAGTTTGTCTCTGAGGGTGACAATTTTTAATGTTGTCCAGTGGGAGTTGACCGTGATTATTGATGACATCTGGGCTGAATCAGAATTTAAATTTGGACTTGCATGAGTTCACTGTGAAGGGCCTTCCTTATGAGGATCCGGGTTTTCAGAAAAACTGAAACCAATAGTCCTTTCTTTGCTTCAAGCTGCTGCAGACCAGAAAGTGGTCTAATCTGATAAATGGCAGACTTCACTGTCTTTGGGAGTCTGCTTCCCAGGTGATTCAGGTACCCTTTTCAGAGAACGTTGCCATTCCATAGACTTCTTTACAGTATTAATGGGGCAGTAGAATATAATCTCCAAATGCTTGGCTGATTTTCAGGAGACTGGTTGTTTAGCACTCACAAAAATGCCTTCTTTAAATTTACGCACAGAGATAGACCTATCCAGCATGTGTTGGATTTAGACTGTCATGATTTTTTGCTTAAATATCTGGGAGTTGGCAGCATGTTTTCCACTAAGCAGACCTGCCTTGTTTTTTTGAACCAATGAGTTATTTGAATGTATTAGGATTCACATGTTTTTCATTAATTCACAATTAACTCATATCAAGATGTTATTTTATGAGAGCATTTTAACATCCATCAAACCCTCTGAGTATTTCTAAAATGCACTCTAAGCTGCCTTTTAACCTTAGAATATGTTAGGCATGGTATCAAAGGCAGTTGTTTCAAAGGTGGAGACGTGGATCTGGCAGAGAGACAAGGGCAGAACATCACAGTGTTAAATGAAGAGCCAATAAAGCTTCACTTTATTAGTAGTTAACTAGAAATTGAAGCTGGGTACCAATTTAGTTGTGAGATAATGGGCTTTTCTTGCATTTACTTTCTTATCTATATAATGGGAGTAACAAGGAATTTTTCAGAACATAAAAGGATATAAATACATTTTTAAAATGCCTTGAAAGATGGGGACACCGTTCAATACAAATAAACACTGGGATTCGTGTAGTCTATCAAACCTTTCTTTCTCAATGGTGACGACAGACTTGATATTGAAATGAATTCTGCCTCTGCCATGTACTCGAGTTATAAGCTAACATGTGTCATGTTTCCCAAACACTTCCCAGTGCCTTTATTTATTTTTGTCTTATATTTCCATAAATGCAAGCTTTGTGGTACAATTGGATAAACACAGAATTCTAAGTCAGAATTGCATGTGTTGAGACATAGAATGAAGGCAAGTCAACGATCCTGTTTTTTCAATGTTTTCTTCCCTCATTGGAGGAACATAGGTGCAAACAGCTGTTGTGAACACGTGGCCAATTTGCCTATGAGGCATTGGTCATCTATCTGCCTGAATAATTAAAATAGGAATATTTTCCTTTTCAGGGATGTATATTCTTTATGTAAATATATAAACAACGCATTTGATATACAAATATATACAATACAATTTGGAGAAAATTAAATAAATTAATTCCCCAGATACAGCCTGCTTCATTGTCTTAGAAAGTCATTTTCTTCATATTCTTCTTGTCAAATTCCTTTATATTAAGACCTAGCTAAAAAAGCCACCACCTCCACGAAGCCTGCCATGTTTTTCCAACAGCTGTTTGTGTAGATGATAAATACTTGTACTTTGCTGTGAGTTAGTATGAGCCTTTCAGGAACAGGACTGGGTGCCCATCATCTTTGTCTTCTACCATATTGACTACTCCAGGATTGATCATGTAGCAGATCTCCAGTGAATATTTCTTGAACTACAAATTGAGTTCAAGTGATCTTTTCAAAGTTTTTCTACTAACCTCATTATTGCTATTTCCTAGGACCAAGCTCAGACGTCCTCCACAAATTATTCTCTGATAAGCTCAGCCAACAGCTTCCCTCCTTTGTATAACTTTGACTTCAAACTTATATCTTGCCCTTTGTTCCTGTTGCCTATTTTCTGATGGGTTGACTGTCAAATTGCATTTTAACTTCCTTAAAAACACAGATTAAGTGAAAGTATAGCACCTGGATAGTGCTCTGTTATAATAGGTGCCCAATTGCTAGTTATTCATTGACCAATCCCCACAGCAGGAGATAATGGCCTATAAGGAAGAGATGATTTTGTCATCTGCTGTGGTTCATTCTGCCCAAAGTACAGATGATGCAGAGCATTGGGAAAGAGGCTCTAATGACTTCGATATTAGAATCTAGTCTTGATCAATATACAATAAATCATTATTGGGCAAATCCTGTTTCCTATTTTTGGAAATGTTTGGTATGCAAACAGACTTTTATTTAAAATAATTTAGGTTATACTTGTCTGGGATAGTTTATCAGAGACTGTAAAGTAAAACTGTGGAAGGCTCTCAGCTTGATCATGAGAGGGAGTATTTGGATTAACTCTTCTTTGGGGGATAATATCTACAATTTCGGTAGCTGCCACCAGTGGAATGGTGATGGCTTGTGGTTATGATGGGAGGTACATATTAGCATCTCTGGAGACTTAACATATAATACACATTCCTGGGCCATGCTTACCCTAGGAGTTTCTGATCCAGATGGTTCGAATTGGGAACAAAGTGGGTGTGGGGTGTGTGTGTGTGTGTGTGTGTGTGTGTGTGTGTATGTGTGTGTGTCTTGAAAGCTCACAGATGATTCTGATGTACATTTACAGTTAAAAGCCATTGGTTTGGAGTTTGGAATATCTTGGTGCCCAAGAATAGATTTTCTTTTTTTAAAAGTTATGTTTTTAAATGTTAGATTCAGTGGGGTACATGTGCAGGTTTGTTACATAGATACATTGTATAATGGTGAGATTTGGGCTTCTAGCGTACCCATCACCCAAATAGTGAACGTTGCACCCAATAGGTAATTTTTCTTAGCCCTCACTCCTTCCCACCTTCCCTGCCTTTTGGAGTCCCCAGTGTCTTATTTTCATCTTTATGTCCATGTGTACCCATTGTTTAGTTCCCACTTATAAGTGAGAACATGCAGTATTTGATTTTCAGTTTGAGCTATTTCACTTAGGATAATGGCCTCCAGCTCTATCCATGTTGCTGCAAAGGACATGATTTCATGATTTTTCATGGCTGCATAGTTTTCCATGTTGCCTATATACCACATTTTCTTTATCCAATCCACCACTGATGGACACTTAGGCTGATTCCATGATTTTGCTATCAAGAATAGTGCTGCAATAAACATATGGGTGCAGGTGTCTTTAAAAATATAGAATGATTTCTTTTCCTTTGAGTAGATAGCCAGCAGTGGGGTTGCTGGGTCAAATGGGAGTTCTATTAGTTCTTTGAGAAATTGGCATACTGTTTTCCACAGGTGTTGTACTGATTTACATTCCTATCAACAGTGTATAAGGGTTGCCTTTTCCCTGCACTCACAGGTTTTCTTCTGGTAAGGATAAACTGGAATCCAAGATGGAAAGCAAGGTGCATTTGACTTTGCTTTTTCATACAATTATTTATGAAGAAAATGATATGTATATTGATGAGCTGCTTTTGTCTTATAATTTAGTGTCAAAGAAATGGATAGTCCTAAGTGTAGTTCATAGGATGTATTTGTAAGTAATAGCTAACAAAAACTGAGTATTTAAGAATTTAGCTTCCTTTTATTCTAAAGGAAGGTTTTTAGTGTTCTTCCATGTTTGAGACTATTTTGGTACTTTTTCATGTTTCTAGGCCCCATTCCAGCTATTCCTAACTTCTATTC
This sequence comes from Homo sapiens, assembly GCF_000001405.40. Lineage (NCBI taxonomy): Eukaryota > Metazoa > Chordata > Mammalia > Primates > Hominidae > Homo > Homo sapiens. The sequence goes on along the minus strand of NC_000007.14, from coordinate 17,587,291 downwards.
AAAGGAAAGGTATAATTTTTTTTTCTTCTGTAAGCCTCTCCTGTTGCAATGTGTCCTTAATTAGCCTTAATTACTTTTACCTTCGTGTTCCTCTGATCCATAGATTGCTGCCTGGTTACCGAGCATTTGTTCTGTCTGCCGTCTAGCTCTGAATTACCTCCTAAGAAGAAAAATAGTTTTGGAAGTATAAGTGTTAGTATTCTCTCATTCAAAATCTCTGTTTCTTTATTTTACTGTTTTCTTAAAAGGGCCAGACACTTTAAATCTGAATACTTAAAAATCATCAAGTGAAGTAGCTTTTAAATAGGATCCAATAGCCGATGCATGGCTGTTATTAGTATGAACTGTGCTTAAAAACTTTCCAGGAAACCACAAGCGTTAATCTGGAGGAAGATAAGACCGTGGATGTCCTGTCTATTGTGCCACATGGATGCCCTTTCTATGAAACAATCTTTCACCAAAGTCCTTTAGGTACTTATGTTCATTTAAATGGGGGTTATTAACTAGAATTTTATGCTAGAAGAGTGTTATATCAAGATGGATTTTTATGAACATTTATTGAGTAGGTCACGTGCCAGCCATTTTTGTGAGGCAAAATGCAATCCTCAAAACCACCTCATGAGCAGATGTTATTCCCATATTCTGTATAAGAAAATTGAGATTCAAAGAGTTACATAATTTGTACATAGTCAGTGCAACTGCTTGGTGTGTGTTTCATATCTCATTGCAGCCAAGTCACCATCGACTTGGACTTCTGACCCCCGTCAACCAAGGCAGAAGACACAGAAGTTGTAAGGAAGCCAAGTTCAGAGCATCCAACCAGTAGCGTTCCTACATTCTACACAAAGGATGGTATAATGGCGCATTGTTCCTGTTAAAGTCAGTCAGTCACACAAACTGTCATATCCTTTGAGCATATCCATTTTCTTCCACAGAAATAAACTGCCTCTGGACAAATGTGCAAGCTTCCACAAATCTGCCCCATTCTGCCTTGATTTTGTTGGTTAGAAGACTTCTTTTCTGCTTTTAGGCAGCATCTTTGGTGGATTCTCTACATTTCTGGTTAATTATCACTACTATAACTGAGCTCAGTTTTCAATTTCCAAGCTCACAATTTAATCCAAAGAAATCCAAATTTTTCTGCTTCATCTTTTAGGCGCAAATACCTCCTGTGTCTTGGAATTGAAGGAGGGAGTAGAGGAGGTGTCTGTCTTCATCTGGCCCTGGTTTAGATCTCTTTGTTGGTGGTTGATGCTTCTCTGCTGTCCTTCCATGCCTCTATGGGGCAGCATCCAAGTGTCCACCTTTGGGGCACAGAGTGGAGTCTGTCCACTGCCCGGTTTTCGGAGTGGAACCTTATACCTTATAGCCCAGACAATCCCCACCACCAGTAGTCTAGCCACAGATTTTTGCTGCCACAACCCAGACTTTGGCTGGCACCTGGTAAACAGCTTTCTTGGGTAACCTATGATGAAAGACGGCTGCAGCATAGCTGTCTATTCCATGTCACTCTCTTCTGTGTACCATAATGTTGTTCTCATTCTCTTCCCACACAGGCGGAGTCTAAGCATACCCCTAAACAGCATCCTTTCTTACAGGAAAGCCCTCTTGGACTTCTTTCCAACCACATTCCCACTCTCCAGGCTATTCAGAGAAGAAAGATACATCTTACTTGGAAGTGGTAATCTTCTCACTGCTTGAGAAGAAGATGACCATCTTATTGTCTGCACTGCTCCCTTCTCTTGTATAGCAGTCATTCCAACCTTGCCTGCAATTAGAATTACCTGGGGAGCTTTAAAAAACATCTTATTGCCAAGAGTGGCACCAGACCAATCAGATATCTCTATAGGAGGCATCTAGGCACAAGTAGAAGCCTGATTTTGCCATCTCTTAATCCTGGCAGATGTTGGGTGCTATCTGCAGCTATTGACATTCTAAAACGTTCTAAAACGTTAGGATACTTCTGTCCTGTCGTTTCCAGTCATGGATCCTAGCCAGTCATTCAGGGAAAAATTCCCTTCAATATCCTGTTCCACAAGGATGAAATGACATGCTTGAGTATAGACAATGAAGTGAAAAGAGGGCCTTTTGCTTTCCTCAGCTATGGCCTCTAAAAGGGAGGTTACCATAAAATTCACCACCACCAAGTATTTGTGCTACAAATGAGTTGTATGAACCAGTGCAACAGCTTGCTTTCTATTCCTTCATTTCCAGGACAAATATGGACAGACAATACGTGTGGTTAGTTTTCTCTCTCTCTCCCTTTTTGTTGAAGGAATGCATAATGCTGAGGCTTGTTTGTTGTGGTTTAACTAGTCATGGCTTGGTTGTAGGGAGATGTAAATTGAGTGTAGCTGAGGGAGAGAAATTCCATCTGTAAAAATAAGAAACACAACCATATCTAAAATTTGAGGAGAAAAGAAAGCATTTTGATAAAGAGGTAGCAAAGAGCCTTAGTGACTGGGATCATGAAAACTTGTGTTGGATGTGTAGTAACAGATATTTTAGAGTGAAAAAAAAAGATTTGGACTCGGGGTCCTTGTGTTCTGGGTTTCACTCTGCCACTAACTGGTTTGGAGAGGCAACTAGAGCAGTGATTGGTAACCTGGTGTATGGAATCTACCTCCACCTGCCTGGGAACCAATCCTGGCTTTAGTGCTGACAAGGGGAGTCTCTTAATTGCTTTGTGTCTCAGTTTCCTCATCTGTAAAATGAGGATCACAGTAGCACCATATCAAGATTGTTATGAAAATCAAATGAGTTAATGTTCTAAAATATTCCATGTAAGCAGTTATTAAATGAAAAATAATTAAATTTGAGCATTTCATTAAATCTTTATGTACTTCAATATACTCATCATTAAAATACCTCTTTAAAATACCTAATAACCTCCATATTCCCTCCCTCCAATACCTATACAGATTAGACATTTTTCATTTACCTAGTTAATTTTGTTTATTTATAGATAAATAACACTCAAACAGCTTTGGAACTACATATAACAACGTACCTTCACCACTGGGATTAATGATATAACAACTTTGATTTGTTTTAAAGATATCACAGTAATAATTATTAAATAAGGATTAGCTATTCAGGAAGACTTGTTCTTAAGAGTGTCAGAAACAGTCCATTATATGCTATGAAATTAGAGAATTGGACACCAGTGAGGAAAAGTCACCAATGTCCTTTGCAATCTAATTACAAACTCATGATGTCTTCCCACCATGTCTTGGTTCCTACTGCCTTTTTTTTTTTTTCTTACCTGGAATGCCCTTTGTGTCCAGCAGCATTGCAGAGAGCTGAGCTATCCTTCAATGACTAGCTCAAATACCTCCTTCATTACACCTTCCTTGATTTCTCTTGTCGGAAATGACTACTACCTTGTATCAACCTCTCCTGCAGAATTTTGGGGATTATATTCAGAACTATAGTTATTTGTGTACTTATCTTTGGCCTTCACATTAGACTGTAGAGCTCATGCCTGCATGGTATGGTATACTATATCATAATACGTGGTCTTTAAATAAAAGACTTTGAAGAGAAGAACAATTCTTATTTTCCAACTTAAAAAAAAGTTAATTTTTTAAAATAAAAGTTTTAGGTTCACAGCCAAATTGAGAGGAAGGTATAGAGATGCCTGTGAACCTCCACCTCACACATGTATACCCCACACCTGCTGACATGTTTCGAACCAGGAATGGTACTCTTGTTTCAACTGATGAACCTACATTGACACATCATTATCCACAGTCCATAGTTTACATGAGGGTTCACTCTTGCTATTTTTTAAAAATCTTTTTATTTCTTCTAAAAAAAAGGGATACATGTGCAGAACATGCAGGTTTGTTACATAGGTATACATGTGCCATGGTGTTTTGCTGCTTCTATTGACCCATCCTCTAAGTTCCCTCTGCTCCCCCAACCCCCCAACAGGCCCTGATGTGTGTTGTTCCCTTCTGTGTGTCCATGTGTTCTTATTGTTCAACTCCTGCTTATGTGAGAACGTGCAGTGTTTGGTTTTCTGTTCCTGTGTTAGTTTGCTGAGGATGATGGCTTCCAGCTTCATCCATGTCCCTGCAAAGGACATAATCTCATTCCTTTTTATGTATGCAAAGTATTCCATGGTGTATATGTACCACATTTTATTTATCCAGTCTATCATTGATGAGCATTTAGGTTGGTTCCATGTCTTTGCTATTGTAAATAGTGCTGCAGTAAACATACGTGTACACGTGTCTTTATAGTAGAATGATTTATATTCCTTTGGGTATATACCCAGTACAGGGATTGCTGGGTCAAATGGTATTTCTGGCTCTAGATCCTTGTGGAATTGCTGTAATATCTTCCACAATGGTTGAACTAATTTACATTCCCACCAACAGTGTAAAAGCATTCCTATTTCTCCACAGCTTTGCTAGCAACTATTGTTTCCTGACTTTTAATCATCACCATTCTGACTGATGTGAGATGGTATCTCATTGTGGTTTTGATTTGCATTTCTCTGATGATCAGTGATGTTGAGCTTTATTTCATATGTTTGTTGGCCACATAAATGTCTTCTTTTGAGAAGTGTCTGTTCATATCCTTTGCTCACTTTTTGATGGGGTCATTTTTTTTTTCTTGTAAATTCTGGATATTAGAACTTTATCAAATGGACAGATTGCAAAAATTTTCTCTTATTCTGTAGGTTGCCTGTTCACTCTGATGATAGTTTCTTTTGCTGTGAAGAAACTCTTTAGTTTAATTATATCCTATTTGTCAATTTTGGCTTTTGTTGGAATTGCTTTTGGCGTTTTAATCTGCCTGTGCCTATGTCCTGAATGGTATTGCCTAGGTTTTCTTCTAGGGTTTTATGGTTTTGGGTTTTACATTTAAGTCTCTAATCCATCTTGAGTTAATTTTTTGTGTAAGGTATAAGGAAGGCGTCCAGTTTCAGTTTTCTGCATATGGCTAGCCAGTTTTCCCTCACTCTTGCTATTGCATATTCTATGGGTTTGACAAAATGTATAATGACATGTATCCACCATTCGAGTATCATACAGAGTATTGTCACTACTCTCAAATCCTTGGTCCTCCACCTATTTTTCCATTCCCCAACCCCTTGGAACTGCTGATCTTCACCTTAATCTTTTACCTTAAAAATTAACAATTAGTGACTTTCTCCTTGGTAATTAAGATACTCCTTTTCTGTTGATTGTGGTGTTTCTGCTTTTACAACTAGGTACTTCAAATTATGCAGTTATTTTCTTTCAGATTCTACAGTATGTAGTTTTTATCAAATAGTTCTTCAAATAATTTGCAGTACCTTATTTAACTTACCTAGCATAATAAAATCCTAGTATTATATGTACACACATATATGTACATCATATATATTTCAATAATTTCAGGTAAAGAATGATTTTTACATACTCATCTCATTTTTCTTCAGAATTAGAAAATGAATTATATTTGTGCTTGGGGCAGGATGTTGTGTAAATTTCTGTGTTATGTTTATATATCTAACTAAAATATGGTGTTACCAGATTAGTTTTGTAATTTCAATCCAGTTTTTTCAAAATGCCCAAGAGATGTCCGTTTCAATCATGCAAGAAACTTTTTGTTTTAAGTCAGACACCAGGATGAAGTTACTGGGTGGCTTGTTAATTTTTAATGATCAATAGAGTTCTATCACAAGGGAGAATAAATGGAGATGGTAAAAAGCTTTCTCAATTCTGAAAAAAAGCATAGACATTTCTGTGCTGCTGTAATTATTTGCAGATCCTTGTGGAAGCAGGGGGAAAGTTCCATGTGAAGATTATTTCCCAATGTTGAGTCTGCAAATAGTTCCAGTCTTAGGTGTGAGCATTCAGTTTCTGGTTGTGAAGAATCATCTACCTGCACAGAAGCAAGAGATTGCTGATTATTTTTCCTTCAGCAATTCATCGTTGTGAAGATGACTCTAGAACTCTGAGTTAAATTGCCTGGCAGGTCTCTTGAATTCTGATAACATTTTCCTGAATGCTTATGTTTTACATATATTTTTAATTTAACTTGCCTTTTTAAAAGAGAAATTGCTCTGTACACATGCTTAAAGAGATAGTATGAAACAAAGGCAATCAGTGCCTCTACTAGCAAGACATGTAGAAACACAGGAAACACATGGAGAATTAATTTCCAACATCCAGGTTCTGTCGATTATGAATAAAGTTGCTATGAGCACTAACATACAAATGTTTGTGTGGACATATGTTTTCATTTATCTTGGGTAAATACTTATGAGTGGAATTTCTGGGTTAGATGGTAAGGATGAGTCTGACTTTATAAGAAAATGCCAAACTGTTCTCCAAAGTGTCTGTACCACTTTGCATTCCCACCAGCAGTGTTGGAGATTTCCAGTTGCTCCACAGCACTTGTTATCAATCTTTTTAAATTTTAGTCATTCTAGAGGGTGTGTTGGGACATTGCATTGGAGTTTTAATTTATATTTAACAATAATGACATTGAATACTTTTTCATATGCTGTTTTCCATCAGCATCTTTTTTTGAAGTGTGTCTATTCAACTATTTTGTTAAAATTGTGGCTTGTTAGTCTTGTTATTGAGTTTAGAGAGTTCTTTATATTCTCTGCACACCTGTTCTTTACTGTTTGGAGATAACTCTTTATGGATCTCTCATATTTCTGCACATATTGTGAGCAGGGACATTGACAACTATTGTTCTAGACTATCTTTTCAAAGGAGTTTGTATAGCAAAAAAGCCTTGGATAATTGAGATATTGTTTTCCTTTTGGGAAAGAGAAGATATATTTGGTGTCCAAGATAATAGATATCTCCCTTGTTTTCTTGCAGGCCTTAAATAAGACTGGGCTATTAAGCTTGGAGTTACTCAGTGGCAAGACAAATCTACTGCATGTGCAGCATCTATCGGGGCCAGTCACACACGTACATCTCACCATCCCCACTACTGTGAGTAATAAAGTCCTTTGTCTGTGACTCAGGAATCTCATGTCTTCTGCCAGAATCCATGAAACTGGTGGGCGGTGGGGAGCTAACTTGTCAGTTTGCTGGTAGTATAAAATCCCAGAACTGTCATAGCTCTTTACAAATACATGTTTTCCACAAATTTTTCTCCCAGCTTGTGGCTTGCCTTTCATTTTTTAAACAGTGGCTTTGAGCAGCAAACTATTTAAATTTTTGTGAACTCTAATTTATTGGGATTATTTTTTTCTGTTCTTGCTTCTTGTCCCCTATGATAAATCTTTGCCTAACCTAAGGACAAAATTTTTTTTCCCTGTTTTCTTCTAGAAGTGTTACAACTTTAGGATCATGAGTCATTTAAGTTAATTTTTATATACAGTGTGAGGTTTATGTTGTATATACTTTTTTCACTTAGGGATATGTAATTATTCCAGCACCACTTGTTGAAAAGATTCTCTCTTCTCCATTGAATTTCCCTGGCACCTTTGTCAAAAATGAATTGCTTAAACATAGATAGGTCTGTTTACATATTTTCTATTCTGTTTCCTTAATCTATATCTTTAAGTCATGCTATCTTGATTGCTGAAGCTTTATAATAAAGTCTTGGAATCAGGTTGTAGAAGTCCTATAACTTTCTTCTTTTTTGGAAAGTATTTTGGGTATTTTAGATCATTTGCATTTCCTTAGATATTTGAGAATCAGCTTGACAGTTTCTACAAAAGGTTTCTGGAGTTTTTATTGGGATTGTGTTGATCTATTTTATTGGGATTGTTAGATCTATTTGGGGAAAAATGACTTCTTCACAATACTCTGTTTTGATTTGTTAACACAATGTGTTTCTTAATTTCTTTAGGTCTTTAATTTCTCTATGTAATGATTTATATTTACCACTTATAAACCTTGTAAATATTTTTTAAAATTTAATTTAATTTTAAGTTTCTGGGTACATTTGCAGGATGTGCAGGTTTGCTACATATAAAAACATGTGCCATAGTGGTTTGGCCTGAAGTTTTCATTTTTCGTTATCTCTGCCAGGTTTTGGTATAAGGATGATGCTGGCCTCATAAAATGAGTTAGGGAGGAGTCCCTCTTTTTTAGTTGTTTGGAATCATTTCAGAAGAAATAGTGCCAGGTCCTCTTTATAACTCTGGTTGAATTCAGCTGTAAATCTGTCTGGTCCTGGGCTTTTTTTGGTTGGTAGGCTATTTATTACTGCCTTAATTTCAGAACTAATTATTGGTCTATTCAGGGATTCAAGTTTTTCCTGGTTCAGTCTTGAGAGAGTGTAAATGTCCAGGAATATATCAATTTCTTCTAGATTTTCTAGTTTATTTGCATTAAAGCGTGTATCATATTCTGTGATAGTTTGTGTTTCTGTGGGGTTGGTGATAATATCCTCTTTGTCATTTTGTATTGTGTCTATTTCATTCTTCTCTTTATTAGTCTAGCCAGCTAGCAGTCTATCTATTTTATTAACTTTTTTCAAAAAACCAGCTCCTGGATTCATTGATTCTTTTTGAAGGGTTTTTAAGTTCCACTCTGATCTTGGTTATTTCTTGTATTCTTCTAGCTTTGGGGTTTGTTTGCTCTTGGTTCTCTAGTTGTTTTAGTTGTGATGTAAGGATGTTGATTTGAGATCTTTCTAGCTTTTTGATGTGGGCACTTAGTGCTATAAATTTCCCTCTTAACAATGCTTTAGCTGCATCCCAGAGATTCTGGTATGTTGTCTCTGTTCTCATTGGTTTCAAAGAACTTTTTGATATCTGTCTTAATTTCATTACTTACACAGGAATCATTCAGGAGCAGATTATTCAATTCCCATGTAGCTGTGTGGTTTGAGTGAATTTCTTGAGCTCTAATTTGATTGCACTGAGATCTGAGAGACTGTTATGATTTCAGTTCTTTTTGCTGAGGAGTGTTTTACTTCCAATTATTTGATCAAGTTTAGAGTAAGTGCCATGTGACACCAAGAAGAATGTGTATGATGTTTTTGGGTGGAGAGTTCTGTTAATGTCTGTCATATCTACTTGATCCAGAGCTGAGTTCAATCCTGAATATCTTTGTTCATTTTTAGTCTTGATGATCTGTCTAATATCGACAGTGGGGTGTTAAAGTCACCCACTATTATTGTGTAGGATTCTATGTTTCTTTGTAGATCTCTAAGAACTTGTTTTATGAAATAGGTGCTCCTGTATTGGGTTAGTTCTTTTTGTTGAATTGAACCCTTTAGCATTATGTAATCCCCTTCTTTGTCATTTTTGATCTTTGTTGGTTTAAAGTCTGTTTTGTCGGAAACTAAGACTGTAACCCCTGCTTTTTCTGTTTCCATTTGCTTGGTAAATATTCCTCCATCTCTTTATTTTGAGTCTATGTGTATCTTTGCATGTGAGATGGGTCTCTTGAATACAGCACACCAATGGGTCTTGTCTTTTTATCCAGCTTGCCATTCTGTGTCTTTTAATCAGAGCATTTAGTCCATTTTCATTTAAGGTTAATATCGTTACGTGTGAATTTGATTCCGTCATCATGATGCTTGCTGGTTATTTTGAAGACTTGTTAATGTAGTTGCTTCATAGTGTCATTGGTTGGTGAACTTCAGTGTGTTTTTGTAGTGGCTGGTAATGGTTTTTGTTTTCCATATTTGGCGCTTCCTTCAGGAGCTCTTGCAAGGCGGGCCTGGTGGTGACGAATTCCCTCGGCATTTGCTTGACTGAAAAGGATCTTATTTCTCCTTTGCTTATGAAGCTTAGTTTGGCCAGATATGAAATTCTGGGTTCGAAATTCTTAAGAATGTTGAATATTGGCCCCCAGTCTCTTCTGAGTTGTAGGGTTTCCACTGAGGTGTCTGCTATTTGATGGGTTTCCCTTTGTAGGTGACCTGGCCTTACCTGATCTTCTCTGTGGCTGCCCTTAACATTTTTTCCTTCATCTTGACCTTGGAGAACCTGATGATTATGTGTCTTGGGGTTGACCTTCTCATGGAGTGTCTTACTTGGGTTCTCTGGATTCCCTGAATTTGAATGTTGGTCTGTCTTGCTAAGATGGGAAAGTTTTCCTGGATGACATCCTGAAGCATGTTTTCCAACTTGGTTTCAATCTCCTCATCTCTTTCAGGTAGCCCAATCCATTGTAGGTTCAGTCTTTTTACATAATCCCATAGTTCTCAGAGGTTTTGTTCATTCCTTTTCATTCTTTTTTCTCTAACCTTGCTGCCTGCCTTATTTCAGCAAGATAGTCTTCAGTCTCTGAAATTCTTTCTTCCATTTGGTCTATTTGGCTATTGATACTTGTGGTTGCACCATGAAGTTCTTGTGTTTTGTTTGTCAGCTCCATTGGGTTGGTTATGTTCCTCTCTAAACTGGTTATTCTGGGTAACAGCTCCTTTACTGCTTTATCATGGTTCTTAGCTTCTGTGCATTGGGTTAGAACATACCCTTTTAGTTCAGTGAAGTTTGTTTACCTACCTTCTGATGTTTATTTTTGTCAATTTATTCATCTCAGTCTCAGCCTAGTTCTGTGCCCTTGCTTGAGAAGTATTGAAATCATTTGGAGGAGAAGAGGTACTCGAGCTTTTTGAGTTTTCAGTGTTTTTGCGTTCTTTCTTATCTTTGTGGGTTTATCTACCTTCGATCTTTGAGGCTGCTGACCATTGGACAGGGTTTTTGTAGGGTCTTTTTTGTTGATGTTGTTGTGGTTGCTTTCTGTTTGTTTTTCTTTAAACAGTCAGGCCCCTCTTCCACAGGGCAGCTGTGGTTTACTGGGTGACCACTCCAGACCCAATTTACTTGAGTTCCTCCCATACCTGGAGGTATCAGTGAAGGCTGCAGAACAGCAAAGATTGCTGCTTGCTCTTCCCTCTGGGAGTTCTGTCTCAGAGGGGCACCAAGCTGATGCCAGCTGGAACACTCTTGTATGAGGTGTCTAGCGACCCCCATTGGGAGGTCTCACCCAGTCAGGAGGCACAGGATCAGGGACCGTCTGGCTGCCCATTGGCTGAGCAGGTTTGGCTGTGTTGGAGAGAATCCCCCCTTGTCTGGACTGCCAGCAGGCGTGTCTTCTGTCAGAATCCATGAAACTGGTGAGGGGTGGGGAGCTAACTTGTCAGTTTGCTGGTAGTATAAAATCCCAGAACTGTCATAGCTCTTTACAAATACATGTCAACTGTGAGATCCACTGAACTGTGAAACCATGTCTGCCCCTTCCCCCAGGGGCTCCTTCCCAGGGATATCAAAGTTCCGTCTGTAAACCCCTAGCTGGAGTTGTTGCAATTTCTGCATGGAGGCCCTGCCTGGTGAGGAGGGATGGATCTGGGTCCCACCTAAAGAAACAGCCTGGCCACAATCTGCCACAGCCACTGTGCCGTACTATTGGGAATTCCTCTCAGTCCAAACCACCCAGTCTCCCCAACACCAGCAGGGGGAAAATGGCGACTGGAGGTGCAGTGATGGCAGCCACCCCTCCTCACAGGAACATGGTCATCTTAGGCTGTGTCTAGCCTGCTGCTGCTAGCTGCAACTCGAGCAGATTGCACAGCTCTCTGTTTGGGACCCAAGGCTCTGGTGGCATAGGCTTACAAGGGGATCTTCTGATCCATGGGATTTACAGATCCATGGAAAAAGTGTGGTTTCCCAGGTGGGGTAGCATAGTCACTCACCACCTCCCTTGGCTTGGTGTGGGAGCTCCCCTTATCCCCTGCAGCTCTCAGGTCATTGCTCCACTCTGCTTTTCCTCTCTTTGTGTGGGTCAACCACCTAGTCAGTCTCATTGACAGAACCTGGATACCTCAGTTGATGGAGCAGGATTCACTCACCATTTTCTTTCTTCTCAGTGGGAGCTGTAGACAGAAGCTGCTTCTAATTGACCATCTAGGCCCTTCCCCCAACCTTGTAAATATTTTAAGTTTATCCCTAAATACTTGGTAATTTCTGGTGCTACTGTAAATGCTTTGTTTTAAATTTAAATTTCCAATTATTCATTGTTAGCATATAGAAATACAGTAGATTATAAAATGTTGATTCTGCATTTTACAAACTTGTTAAACTCACTAATTATAATGGAGTGTTTTTTTTGGGGGGGGGGGTATATTCCACAGATTTTTCTACATAGACTATCATATATTCTGGGAATAAAAAGAGGGATAATTTGTTTTCCCAATTCATATATATTTGATTTTCTTTCTTACATATGTACTGGATAGGACCTCCACAATAGTGTAGAATGGAAATGGGCTTGTTCTTGAACTTAGGAGGAAAGCACTCCATCTATAACCATTTAGCATGAAGTTAGCAGTAGGTTTTTCATAGATGCCCTTTCTTAGTATCAGGGAGTCCCCTTCTATTCCTAGTTTGCAGATAAATTTTTATCACAATTGGTTGTTGAATTTTGTGGAGGGGCTTTTCTATATATGTTATTTAAATGGTATTTTTATATGGCATTTCCTTTTGTAGGCTCTGGAATTCATGAACTATATTGATTAATTTATGAATGTAAGACCTTGTGTTTCAGAGTAAAGCCAATGTGGCAGTGATAATTTTTTTATGCATAGTTAGTTTCAGTTGGCTAAACTTTTAAGGAATTTTGTGTCTCTTGTGGGAAATATTGGTCTTTTTTTATTGGATGACTTTATGTAGTTTTGGTATTAGGGTAATGATATTCTCATAGAATGAATGGGGACATGTCCCCTCTTATTTTCTGGAAGAGTTGCAGTATATATAACATTATTTCTTAAGTGTTTGGTAGAATTCATAAGTGAAGCCAAATGAGTTAGGACTTTTCTTTGTGAGAAGTTTTGAAACCATTAATTTATTTTCCTTAGTAAATACAGGACTATTTAGATTACTTTTTTCTTTTTCAGTGAGCTTTGGTAGATCATGTATTTTAAGGGATTTAAATATTTCATCAAGTGTCCAAAATTATTGACATAAAGTTCATCACTTTCCCTTATTATTTTAACATCTGTAGGTTATGTAGTGATATTTCCTCTTTCCTGATTATGGTTATTTGTGTTTCTCTATCTCCTCCTTTCTCTGTCTTTTGATTTTTCTGGACAGACTTTATCAGCTTGTTTGAAATTTTCAAGGAACCAACCTTTGGTTTTATTGCTTCTTTATTATTTTACTGTTTATTATTTTGATCTTTATTATTTTCATAATTCTGCCTATTGGGAGTTTAATTTGTTCATCTTTTTAGTTTCTAAAAATAATTAGAAGGAAGATTAGATCATTGATTTGAAATCTTCTTTTATCTATAAGTGCTGTAAATTTTCCTCTAAACACTGCTTTAGTTGAATCTCATAAATTTTGATATGTTGTGCTTGCATTTTTATTAAATTCAAAATATTTTACAATTTCCTTTGATTTCTTTGACCTTTGGATTTCTTGGAAATTACAAAAAAGATAGGAATTTCAAATGTTTTTCTGTTGTGTATTTCTAATTTAATTCAGTTTTGGTCAGAGAATATATTTTGTTCTTTTCATCTTATTGGAACCTGTTTTATAGCCCAGAATCTGGTGTATCTTAGTAAATGTTCTATATGCACTTTAATAGAACATGTATCTTGATAATGTTGGTAGAGTCTTTTAGAAATGTCATTTAAGCAAACTTGTTGGTGCTATTCAGGTCTTTCATATCCATACTGATCTTTCTTTTTTGGTCCAATTTTTCTATCATTGAGAGGGGGGTTTAGAAATTTTCAACTATAATTATGGATTTGTCTTTCACTTCTTTTAGTTGTATCAGGTTTTGCTTTATTTACTTTGAAGCAAAATATTACTTTAGTAATATTGTTTACTTTGAAATCTACTTAATCTGATATTAATTTAAACACTCCAACTTTGTTTTGATTAGTGATAACATGGCATATCTTTTACCATCTTTTTACATTTTATCTATTAGTCTCTTTATATTTAAAGTGGGGTTGTTGTATCCAGCATTTAGGTGGGTCTTGCTTTTAAAATTTTAATCCAATCTGATCATCTTTCCCTTTTTAATTGTAGAGTTAGACAATTTACATTTAATGGATTATCAATATGCGTGGGTTTAAATAGGTCTTGCTATTTTTTTCTGTTCCATTGGTTCTCTGTTCTTTTTTCTTATCTTTTGAATTAAATAATTTATTTCATTTTATCTACATTATAGGCTTATCAATTATACTATTTTTTTTTTTTTGAGATGGAGTTTTGCTCCTGTTGCCCAGGTTGGAATGCAATGGTGTGGTCTTGGCTCACTGCAAACTCTACCTCCTGGGTTCAAGCGATTATCCTGCCTCAGCCTCCCAAGTAGCTGGGATTACAGACATGCATCACCATGCTTGGCTAATTTTCGTATTTTTCAGTAGAGAAGGGGTTTTGCCATGTTGTTCAGGCTGGTCTTGAACTCCTGACTTCAGGTGATCTACCCACCTTGGACTCCGAGGTGCTGGGATTACAGGCATGAGCCACCACGCCCAGCCACCTTATCAAGTATACTATTTTTTTTTTTTTTTTTTTGAGACGGAGTCTCGCTCTGTCGCCCAGGCCGGACTGCAGACTGCAGTGGCGCAATCTCGGCTCACTGCAAGCTCCACTTCCCGGGTTCACGCCATTCTCCTGCCTCAGCCTCCCGAGTAGCTGGGACTACAGGCGCCCGCCACCGCGCCCAGCTAGTTTTTTGTATTTTTAGTAGAGACGGGGTTTCACCTTTGTTAGCCAGGATGGTCTCGATCTCCTGACCTCATGATCCACCCGCCTCGGCCTCCCAAAGTGCTGGGATTACAGGCGTGAGCCACCGCGCCCGGCCTCAAGTATACTATTTTTAATGGTTGTTCTAGGGTATAAAATTGTATCTTTAATCCAGCACAGTCTATTTTCAAACATTGTACCATTTCATATATAGTATAAGGATTTTACGACAAATACTTTCGTTTCCCCTTTGCTAGCCTTTGTGCACCAATGTATTTTGTTTCTGCATGTGGTCTAAATCACATAATATAGTGTTTTGAATTTTGATTTAACCAACTTATTTTCTTTTAAAGGGTTTTCAAAAATTTCAAAAGCTTTCATGTTTACGTATTATTTCCAGTGTTCTTCATGCTTAATTATACATCAAAATTTTCCTCTGGAATTAGTTTCCTTCTTTCCACAAGGCTATTCTAAGTATTTCTTGCAGTGCATGTCTGCTGGCAATGAATTACATCTGTTTGTGTTTATCAAGTCATTATTTCACCTTCTTTTTTTTTTGGTAGAGATTTTTGCTAGGTGTGGAATTCTAGGTTAGGTTTATTTTTATCCTTTCCACTGTCTTCTGGCTTTCAATGTTTCTGACCAGAAGTTTTATGTAATTCTTATCTTTGTTCCTTAATATATAATGTATCCTTTTTCTTTGATTATTTTAAAGGGTTTTTAAAAAATGATTTTTAGTGATTTAATTATGTGATTTTTGCTATACTCTTCAGCTTTTAACTCTTGAAATTAGATTTGTGACTTTTTATCTTTTATCAAAATATTTTTATCAAATCTTTTAATTTGCTTCATCTTTCCTCATTTCCTCTCACTTTCTACTTCTCTGCATAGGGATGTTAAATGAGAATGTGTGACAGTACCTTTGGCCTTTTTAAGAAGGCTGGTATTGTGAGAGGGAAAATTCAACTTGAAAACTATACTTTGCCAAGGTGGCTCCAAGATGGCCAAATAGGAACGGCTCCAGTCTACAGCTCCCAGCATGAGCAACACAGAAGATGGGTGATTTCTGCATTTCCAACTGAGGTACCGGGTTCATTTCACTGGGGCTTGTTGGACAGTGGGTGCAGGACAGTGGGTGCAGTGCACCAAGCATGAGCTGAAGCAGGGCGAGGCATCGCCTCACCAGGGAAGCACAAGGGGTCAGGGAATTCCCTTTCCTAGCCAAGGGAAGCTGTGACAGATGGCACCTGGAAAATCGGGTCACTCCCACCCTAATACTGCACTTTTCCAATGGACTTAGAAAACTGCACACCAGGAGATTATATCCTGCACCTGGCTCAGAGGGTCCCATGCCCACAGAGCCTTGCTCATTGCTAGCACAGCATTCTGAGATCCAACTGCAAGGCAGCAGCAAGGCTGGGGGAGGGGCGCCTGCCATTGCTGAGGCTTGAATAGGTAAACAAAGTGGCCAAGAAGCTCGAACTTGGTGGAGACCACCGCAGCTCAAGGAGGCCTACCTGCCTTTGTAGACTCCACCTCTGGGGGCTGGGCATAGCTGAACAAAAGGTGGCAGAAACCTCTGCAGACTTAAATGTCCATGTCTGACAGCTCTGAAGAGAGTAGTGGTTCTCCCAGCACGGGGTTTGAGATCTGACAGCGGACAGACTGCCTCCTCAAGTGGGTCCCTGACCCCCGAGTAGCCTAACTGGGAGGCATCCCCCAGTAGGGGCAGACTGACACCTCACATGGCCAGGTACCCTCTGAGATGAAACTTCCAGAGGAACGATGGGGCAGCAACATTTGCTGTTTAGCAATACCTGCTGTTCGGCAGCCTCCACTGCTGATACCCAGGCAAATAGGGTCTGGAGTGGACCTCTAGCAAACTCCAACAGACCTGCAGCTGAGGGTCCTGATTGTTAGAAGGAAAACTAACAAACAGAAAGGACAACCACACCAAAACCCCATCTGTACGTCACTATCATCAAAGACGAAAGGTAGATAAAACCACAAAGTTGGGGAAAAAAATAGAGCAGAAAAGCTGAAAATTCTAAAAATCAGAGTGCCTCTCCCCCTCCAAAGGAACGCAGCTCCTCACCAGCAACAGAACAAAGATGGATGGAGAATGACTTTGGCGAGTTGAGAGAAGAAGTCTTCAGACGATCAAACTTCTCCAGGCTAAAGGAGGAAGTTTGAACCCATTGCAAAGAAGCTAAAAACCTTGAAAAAAGATTAGACGAATGGCTAACTAGAATAACCAGTGTAGAGAATGACCTGATGCAGTTGAAACCCTGATGGAGTTGAAAACCATGGCACAAGAACTACGTGACGAATGCACAAGCTTCAGTAGCCGATTTGATCAACTGGAAGAAAGAGTATCAGTGACTGAAGATCAAATGAATGAAATGAAGCAAGAAGAGAAGTTTAGAGAAAAAAGAGTAAGAAGCAATAAAGACTCCAAGAAATATGGGACTGTGTGAAAAGACCAAATCTACATCTGATTAGTATACCTGAAAGTGACAGGGAGAATGGAACCAAGTTGGAAAACACTCTGCAGGATATTATGCAGGAGAACTTCCCCAACTTAGCAAGGCAGGCCAACATTCAAATTCAAGAAATACAGAGAATGCAACAAAGATACTCCTCAAGAAGAGCAACTCCAAGACACATAATTGTCAGATTCACCAAAGTTGAAATGAAGGAAAAAATGTTAAGGGCAGCCAGAGAGAAAGGTTGGGATACTCACAAAGGGAAGCCCATCAGACTAACAGCGGATCTCTTGGCAGAAACTCTACAAGCCAGAAGAGAGTGGGGGCCAATATTCAACATTCTTAAAGAACAGAATTTTCAACCCAGAATTTCATATCCAGCCAAAGTAAGCTTCATAAGTGAAGGAGAAATAAAATACTTTACAGACAAGCAAATGCTGAGAGATTTTGTCACCACCAGGCCTGCCCTAAAAGAGCTCCTGAAGGAAGCACTAAACATGGAAAGGAACAACCAGTACCAGCCACTGCAAAAACATGCCAAATTGTAAAGACCATCGATGCTAGGAAGAAACTGCATCACTAATGAGCAAAGTAACCAGTTAACATCATAATGACAGGATCAAATTCACAAGTAACAATATTACCTTTAAATGTAAATGGGCTAAATGCTCCAATTAAAAGACACAGACTGGCAAATTGGATAAAGAGTCAAGACCCATCAGTGTGCTGTATTCAGGAGACCCATCTCACATGCAGAGACACACATAGGCTCAAAATAAAGGGATGGAGGAAGATCTACCAAGCAAGTGCAAAACAAAAAAAGGCAGGGGTTACAATCCTAGTCTCTGATAAAACAGTCTTTAAACCAACAAAGATTAAAAGAGACAAAGAAGGCCATTACATAATGGTAAAGGGATCAATTCAACAAGAAGAGCTACCTATCCTAAATATATATGCACCCAATACAGGAGCACCCAGATTCATAAAGCAAGCCCCTAGAGACCTACAAAGAGACTTAGACTCCCACTCAATAATAATGGGAGACTTTAACACCCCACTGTCAACATTAGACAGATCAACAAGACAGAACGTTAACAAGGATATCCAGGACTTGAACTCAGCTCCACACCAAGTGGACCTAATAGACATCTACAGAACTCTCCACCCCAAATCAAAAGAATATATATTCTTAGCACCACATAGCACTTATTCCGAAATTGACCACATAGTTGGAAGTAAAGCACTCCTCAGCAAATGTAAAAGAACAGAAATTATAACAAATTCTCTCTCAGACCACAGTGCAATCAAACTAGAACTCAGGATTAAGAAACTCACTCAAAACCGCTCAACTACATGGAAACTGAACAACCTGCTCCTGAATGACTGCTGGGTACGTAACAAAATGAAGGCAGAAATAAAGATGTTCTTTGAAACCAGTGAGAACAAAGACACAACATACCAGAGTCTCCGGGACACATTCAAAGCAGTGTGTAGAGGGAAATTTATAGCACTAAATGCCCACAAGAGAAAGCAGGAAAGACCTAAAGTTGACACCCTAACATCACAATTAAAAGAACTAGAGAAGCAAGAGCAAACACATTCAAAAGCTAGCAGAAGCCAAGAAATAACTAAGACCAGAGCAGAAATGAAGGCGACAGAGACACAAAAAACCCTTCAAAAAAATCAATGAGTCCAGGAGCTGGTTTTTTGAAAAAATCAACAAAATTGGTAGACTGCTAGCAAGACTAATAAAGAAGAAAAGAGAGACGAATCAAATAGATGCAATAAAAAATGATAAAGGGGATATCACCACTGATCCCACAGAAATACAAACTACCATCAGAGAATACTATAAACACCTCTGCGCAAATAAACTAGAAAATCTAGAAGAAATGGATAAATTCCTCGACACATACACCTTCCCAAGTCTAAACCAGGAAGAAGTTGAATCTCTGAATAGACCAATAACAGGCTCTGAAATTGAGGCAATAATTAATAGCCTACCAACCAAAAAAAATCCAGGACCATACGAATTCACAGCCGAATTGTACCAGAGGTACAAGGAGGAGCTGATACCATTCCTTCTGAAACTATTCCAATCAATAGAAAAAGAGGGAATCCTCCCTAACTCATTTTATGAGGCTAGCATCATCCTGATACCAAAGCCGGGCAGAGACACAACAAAAAAAAGAGAATTTTAGACCAATATCCATGATGAACATTGATGCAAAAATCCTCAATAAAATACTGGCAAACTGAATCCAGCAGCACATCAAAAAGCTTATCCATCATGATCAAGTGGGCTTCATCCCTGGGATGCAAGGCTGGTTCAACAGATGCAAATTAAGAAACATAATGCAGCATATAAACAGAACCAAAGACAAAAACCACATGATTATCTCAATAGATGCAGAAAAGTCCTTTGACAAAATTCAGCAGGCCTACATGCTAAAAACTCTTCATAAATTAGGTATTGATGGGACGTATCTCAAAATCATAAGAGCTATTTATGACAGACCCACAGCCAATATCATACGGAATGGAATATCGTGAAAATGGCCATACTGCCCAAGGTAATTTATAGATTCAATGCCATCCCCATCAAGCTACCAATGACTCTCTTCACAGGATTGGAAAAAATTACTTTACAGTTCATATGGAATCAAAAAAGAGCCCACATTGCCAAGTCAATCCTAAGCCAAAAGAACAAAGCTGGAGGCATCACGCTACCTGACTTCAAACTATACTACAAGGCTACAGTAACCAAAACAGCATGGTACTGGTACCAAAACAGAGATATAGATCAATGGAACACAACAGAGCCCTCAGAAATAATACCACACATCTACAACCATCTGATCTTTGACAAACCTGACAAAAACAAGAAATGGGGAAAGGATTCCCTATTTAATAAATGGTGCTGGGAAAACTGGCTAGCCATATGTAGAAAGCTGAAACTGGACCCTTTTCTTATACCTTATGCAAAAATTAATTCCAGATGGATTAAATACTTACATGTTAGACCTAAAACCATGAAAATCCTAGAAGAAAACCTAGGCAATACCATTCAGGACATAGGCATGGGCAAGGACTTCATGTCGAAAACACCAAAAGCAATGGCAACAAAAGCCAAAATTGATAAATGGGATCTAATTAAACTAAAGAGCTTCTGCACAGCAAAAGAAACTACCATTAGAGTGAACAGGCAACCTACAGAATGGGAGAAAAAATTTGCAGTCTACTCATCTGACAAAGGGCTAATATCCAGAATTTACAAAGAACTCAAACAAATTTACAAGAAAAAAACAACTCATCAACGTGTGGGCAAAGGGTGTGAACAGACACTTCTCAAAAGAAGACATTGATGCAGCCAACAGACACATGAAAAAATGCTCATCATCACTGGCCATCGGAGAAATGCAAATCAAAACCACAATGAGATACCATCTCACACCAGTTAGAATGGCAATCATTAAAAAGCCAGGAAACAACAGATGCTGGAGAGGATGTGGAGAAATAGGAACACTTTTACACTGTTGGTGGGACTGTAAACTAGTTCAACCATTGTGGAAGTCAGTGTGGTGATTCCTCAAGGATCTAGAATTAGAAATACCATTTGACCCAGCCATCCCATTACTGGGTATATACCCAAAGGATTGTAAATCATGCTGCTATAAAGACACATGCACACGTATGTTTATTGCGGCACTATTCACAATAGCAAAGACTTGGAACCAACCCAAATGTCCATCAATGATAGACTGGATTAAGAAAATGAGGCACATATACACCATGGAATACTATGCAGCCATAAAAAAGGATGAGTTCATGTCCTTTGTAGGGACATGGATGAAGCTGGAAACCATCATTCTGAGCAAACTATCTCAAGGACAAAAAACCAAACACCATATGTTCTCACTCATAGGTGGGAACTGAACAATGAGAACACTTGGACACAGGGCGGGGAACATCACACACCGGGGCTTGTTGTTGGGTGAGGGGAGTGGGGAGGGATAGCATTAGGAGATATAACTAATGTAAATGACGAGTTAATGGGTGTAGCACACCAACATAGCACCTGTATACATATGTAACAAACCTGCACATTGTGCACATGTACCCTAGAACTTAAAGTATAATAAAAAAAGAAAAATAAAACTATACTTTGCCTTTTTATGACATTGATAGTAAAGTAGATTAAGTAATATTAATTATAGACTCCTAGAAAGTAGGTAGTATACATTTCCTTTCTCAACACAGGACATACTAGAAAATTGCTTTTATAAGTGATCTCTTTGGCTTTTCTGTTTTTCCAATTAATTGGTTATAACCATACCACTTAAATCTTATCTTTCTGAGCACCATGAAAATGCTCATGATTGTAATACTTTTCATAAGCACATGTCTAAAAATGGTTTGTATTTGTATGTTTTTTAGAATATGATGTTTTAAAAATATTTTATGCAGATATCTTTGTGGTTTTTTTATGGATAAACTGTCATATACCATAGTCTTATTGTTTTCTTGTGGATTAATGCAGACTGGACAGATTGAGACTCTGGGTACATTTTTTAGAATAGTTTAAACATATTATATAACATATTGAAACTGTAGAATATTTTTCCAGAACTTTAAGGAAATTTATAATTTTACTGCTTGGCTCTTTGTCCATCAGATTGTTACTTGGTTAAATGACTTTTGATTAAACAAAATACTAAGGCTAATAACCTTGTGTTTCATCCAAGTAAAAATATAAGGATGAGATGTTTTATGTGCTCTAAAATAAGCTAGTTATTTTATTGTCTGGCTGATAGTACCCTGTTATGTAGAGGACTACTTGTTATATTTAAATTGGTAACTGGGTATTTGTGGAGTGTATGAAATAAAAAATGTTTTAATAGCACTGATATGTATAGTACTTTAAAATTTCTTGGTAACTTCCTCAACATCTTATGAGATAAACAGGAGGAAATTACTATTGTGTCAATTTGGTAGCCAGGGCATTAACAATTTAGGTAAATTTCCAGGTCTGTACAAGGAGTCAGGATTAGAATAGCCTTCAGGTTTTGAAGGCAAATGCATTCTTCAAATCCGGGCTTCTGATGAGTCACAGTGGTGAGGAAGAAGCCCCTTTTAAGAGATCCTTACTCTCTGCTATTTCTGTGGGTAGCACTGTTTTGGTTTATTTGAAACCAACTTCCTCATAAATCGTTAAGTTGGAAAGGATATGTGGTCAGTTTATTATTCTTAAAACATATGCAAAGGCATTTGTCTAGTCGTGGAAATAAAGTATATTAGAAGCATCTCTTGTGCAATCTGTACTCTATTGCTCATATTAATTGCTTTCCTACACATTTAAAACTAGGTTTCAAGTGGATGGAATTATTCAGAAAGTTGAGTATATATTATTTGGCTATGTAAATATGCATATATACACATATATTCACATATATTTGAGAGGGAGAGGGAAAGAGTCTGTTTATATGGCCATAACTAAGGTAGTTGGAGGTAGTAGAAATAGTTGTTTTTAGTGTCAGGAATTAGGAAGAAAAATAAGGGCAACAGTGAAAGTGAGCTTGAAATGTCTTTCCTAATGATTGACTTGTTATAAAAGATTATTTCTCATTGACAGAAAAAAAAAGTTATCATTTTATTTTATTTTTTATTTTTATTTTTTGTCCAGTAGTTATTCTTTCTTTTACTTGCATTCTTTGTGTAACCTTGGCCAGGACACACCCTAAATTCTCTCCAACTCTTTTTCTTTTTTTCTTTTACTTTAAATTCTGGGATACATGTACAGAATGTGCAGGTGTGTTACATAGGTATGCATATGCCATGGTGTTTTGCTGCACCTTTTGATCCATCCTCTAAATTCCCTCCCCTCATCCCCCACCCTCCAACAGACCCTGGTGGTGTGTTGTTCCCCTCTCTGTGTCCATGTGTTCTTATTGTTCAAATCCCACTATGAGTGAGAAGATGCAGTGCTTGGTTTTCCATTCCTGTGTTAGTTTGCTGAGGATGATGGCTTCTACCTTCATCCATGTCCCTGCAAAGGACATTATCTCATCCCTTTTTATGGCTGCATAATATTTCATGGTGTATATGTATCACATTTTCTTTATCCAGTCTATTATTGATGGGCATTTGGGTTGGTTCCATGTCTTTGCTGTGTAAATAATGATGCAATAAACATACATGTGCATATGTCTGTATAGTAGAATGATTTATATTCCTTTGGGTATATACCCAGTAATGGGATTGCTGGGTCAAATGATATTTCTGGTTCTAGATGCTTGAGGAATTGCCATAATGTCTTCCACAATGGTTGAACTAATTTACATTCTCACCAACAGTGTAAAAGTGTTCCTATTTCTCCATGGCCTTGCCAGCATCTATTGTTTCTTGACTTTTTAATAATCACCATTCTGACTGGCATGAGATGGTATCGCATTGTGGTTTCTGATTTGCATTTCTCTAATGATTGGTGGTGTTGAGCTTTTTTTTCATGTTTGTTGGCCACGTAAATGTCGTCTTTTGAGAAGTGTCTTCATATCCTTTGCCCACTTTTTGATGAGGTTGTTTGCTTTTTTCTTGTAAATTTGTTTAAGTTCCTTGTAAATTCTGGATTTTTGTCTGATGAGTAGATTGCAAACATTTTCTCCCATTCTGTAGGTTTCCTGTTCACTCTGATGATAGTTTGTTTCGCTGTGCAGAAGAAGCTCTTTGGTTTAATTAGATCCCATTTGTCAATTTCAGCTTTCTTTACAATTGCTTTTAGTATTTTAGAGATGAAGTCTTTCCCCATGCCTATGTCCTGAATGGTATTGCCTAGGTTTTCTTCTAGGGTTTTTATGGTTTGGGGTTTTACACTTGTCTTTAATCCATCTTGAGTTAATTTTTGCATAAGGTGTAAGGAAAGGGTCCAGTTTCTGTTTTCTGCATATGGCTAGCCTGTTTTCCCAGTACCATTTATTGAGTAGAAGAGCCTTTCCGCATTGCTTTTGTCAGGTTTGTCAAAGATGAGATAGTTGTAGATGTGTGGTGTTATTTCTGGGGTCTGTTCTGTTCCGTTGGTCTATGGGTCTGTTTTGGTACCAGTACCATGCTGCTTTGGTTACTGTAGCCTTGTAGTATAGTTTGAAGTCAGGTAGCGTGATGCCTCCAGCTTTATTCTTTTTGCTTAGGATTGTCTTGGCTCTACAGGGTCTTCTTTGATCCCATATGAAATTTATTTATTCTATATTTCCATAAGTTATTGGGGTACAGGTTGTATTTAGTTACATGAGTAAGTTCTTTAGTGGTGATTTGTGAGAAAATACATGCTTTAAAATCTCTTTCAGACATGGGGATTATGATTTTCTCCTAAGTAGTTTACTTTTCTCATATAATAGGAAGTCCAGAGTAGGTGTTTGCTGGCATTGATTTAGCTCCCTGATGCTTCCATCAAAGATCCAGGATCTTTTTATCTTTTAGTCCAATTGTCCTTGTTTTGTTGTCTTTTATCCTTAGGATTGCTGCCTATGGTCACAAGATAGCTTCTGAAACTTCAGTTAATTACAGGATGCCTCATTAAGCAGGAAGCTGGAGGGAATGGGCTATGCCTCTTGTGCCTATCTCCTTTTGTCAGGAAAGCACAATGACAGAAGCCTACCAGGAGACTTCCCTGTACTTCTCATAGCCAGGACTGGACCACATAACTATACCTGGCTGCAAGGGAGACTGGGAAATAAGGAACAAAATTATGACTTGGTCAGTCTAGTCATACTCTATCACCTGTGCCAGGGCACATTGCTACCCCAAGGAATGAAGTGTGAGGGTAAATATTGGCAACAACTAGCAGCATCAGTCTCATAGGGTCGTAGATATATCCTTCTCTACTATGATCTAAGTAGTGCTCTTCTATATAATAGTATAATCCATGCATTCACTAAAAGAGAATTACTTTGTACTCTAAAATTCTTTACAAATGTCAAAAGATGCTGTGTGAAGTATCTTAGTATTTTTATTTATTGATTCTGTGTCTTTTATGTTTGTGGGGGAAAATTCAACTGATTTGTCAAAGATTTGATTACAGATACAGAATACAGTAGAATTATAAACCACCCCTCAAAATTTGTAAATAGGAATTATCATAAAACTTTCATGAAAGCAAAAGATATTTCCAAATTTAAGGTGTGTAGTGTGTTGCACAGGAAATATTGTTGCTCTCACTTTCTTGATTCTATAGCATTTGATAGTGAGCAGATACCAAAGTTTGATTCATATGTCCATGTTTCATCATTCAATCAAGATGTTGAAGTTCATATTTAAAAACAATCTTAATAAATATCTAGTAAACACTTTGTTTCAGGAATCATGCTAGCATACTTGCATGTATATGTACATATGCAAGTTAAAGTCTTCCTTCTCACAACAACAAATTTCTCAGTAACATAGGGTAGGATGTATAAAAAGTCTAAAGCACTAAGTTTGGGGTTTTATTTTGTTTCCAAGACTTGCAACTTGAGTCTTGATATGAAGTAGGAGCCTCTAAATATGGGGTAGCTGGTCTTTTTTAAATAGAATAAAATCAACAAACATAAAATCAAAACGTGCTGTTTTTCTAACTTAGGGATATAGAGACGCAGCAAATATTAGGTAACAATATTTTCCTACTTTTGAGCCAATTGTTTTGGCATCCTGAAAACATAATTTAAGTTACATAGTCAAAAGAAGTAATGCTGTTACATGTGGAAGATATATTCACATACAATTTACATTTCAGTGTACATTCTAAAGACATATGAATCAAAAATGATTGAAGGAAAATAAAGTATCTAGGTTCACAGATATTTATTTTGAAACCATGATCGTCAGGCCTCCATGATAAAGCATGTGCCTAAAAGGTGTTCTGGCTTTCACTTTGGAGATTTGGAAACAGTCTCAGGGACCAGTAACTTGCCCAAATTCTTGCAGGTTTCATAGCCATGACAGCTCTGGCAACCCTAAGGGTCTAAGGGATAAGATTTCTAAATCCACTTCATACAACTAACAGTGGTGCTCAACCATGACTCACATTAGAATCACCTGGAAAGCTTTTTTAAAAATACTAGTGCCTGGCCTCTACCCTATAGCAATGAATCCAAATTTTTGGTATTGGGGTCCAGGCATTGATTTTTTTTTTCTTTTTAAATAAAAACACTCAAAAAGCCAAAAATTTCCTCAGGTAATTTTATTACGCAGTGTAGGTTGAGAAACACTGATTATGCCATAGACCTGAGAATATGATTAATTGGGTTGTTGAATCAGGGTGATCCATAGCTAATGGGTTCTCAAACATTCAGTTCATGTGGTATTTCATGACCTGAAAGCAAATGCAGACAAGTTTTTTGTGTCTTATTTGAAATGCTGTTGTCAGACAGTATCATCTTTTCCAGCTATTCTTCTCTTTTCATTTTCAGGTGACTCATGCGGAAGAGTGTGCTTGCTTCATGTTGCAACTTAGTCCTTCACATGGTTGTCCCAATGCCCCATTTACCTTTGTGGCCATTGGCACAGCCTGGAAGTTTAGAACAATGCAAGTCATCTTGACATCTAAAACGTGATTTCTGGTAATGCCTTAGGAAGTAGTTTCAGGTTAATTTGTATTTCCAAACCGCCTCGGACTCCTTCCTGAAACAGATTAAAAACTGCGTATTGGCAAAGAGTGAGGGGAACTAGGTGAGGGGGATTGGGCTAACACTGGCTCCTTGTGATTAGTCCTGATTTAAATGCTGGAAATGACAATGGAGTTTGTTTATGGCTTTTCTCACCCTGAAGATATCTTTACAGGAATATTTATTTGAACACTAACTGGGTAAAGATTTACAGGGGCTCAAACAATTCTTTTTCAAGGAGCTGAGGGCCTAATTTTTATCATACACATCAATACATTTTTTTCCTTACAGGAAATGTGTGGGTGTCTGGGCTTTTAAAAATTGTATATCATACTCTTCTTTCTTGCCTCAATGTTGCTTTGATAAAATGATTTACTTGAATCTTAAACTGATTATTTACCAGCTATAGGACTTGGGAAAAATTGCTTAACTCCTATGAGACTGGGCACAATCATCTCTGAAGCAAAGACAGGGTTATCTGTGGCTTATTGTGGTTGCAGAAATTAAAGAGATAATTTTCAAAAAGCACCTAGTACAAAGTCTGGGTTAGGTAGTTCTCCAATAAACATAATTTATCCTCTCTTCCTTCCTCTTCCGTCAAACAGAATATATTCTCCAGAAGAACCTGATATAAGTGGTGTGTACATAAATGAGAATTTGTCATTTTTTAATTTCCTCGAGTATTCTGTAAGAGTAGACTTTAATAATACAGTTTTATAATACAGTAATACAGTTATAATGTTTGCCATGTGCTTTACTATGAGAGTTGTTGATTGGATGGCTTGTCTTCTTTGGTAGAATTCAGTATCAGTGAGTGGAAAGGTTATTTTTGCATGTGGTTGGTCAGGCAACAGAGAAGTCACTCCATACAAGCAGCTTTCTACTCTGCATACAAGGTAGATCCAGTGGAAGTCACGTTGAGTGATGTGTTTGTGCAAACAGCAGTTAATGACCATGTAGGATATCCCATCATCAGAGCTCTATCCCAGCTGACTCAGAGTAGGATTAATCATGAAAGCCTGGATTTAGATGTGTGTCTGAAGATACATGTGTGCTGGGAAAGAAATTAGGCTGGACTTTTATAAAAATTGTTACAAAGAAGCAACAATAATTAGAATAGAAAAAATGGCCTTCAGCCATTTAGTGTCCTGGTAGACATGAACCAACACAGCCCACTTCAGGCTGGCAGATGTGAGAGAATCTGTGGAAGGGAGGCTTGAACCGTCTTGAAAATATTTCCCAAAGCCTCTGCTGCTGGGATACTGGTCAGAAGTGCCCCAAGTCTGTTTATCTGGAGACATGGAACGCTTTATTCAAGGACCTGTGGAGAGAAGGCAGACAAGACTGTAGAGTCTGCACTCTCATCCTCTTGAGGGCACACCTTATTTACAAAAGGAGATTTAGATTACTTGATCCCATAAATCTTGGCATAGAGAAACTCAAAGCAAATATTTATTCTACAAGGATGGGTTAGCAGTGTTAAGGTACTGAAATTTACCTTGTACAACTTTAAAGAAGTTTATTGAGTTGTTAATGGAATAGCATTACCTATGATTAACTAATGTTGAGAAACTGTTGGCAGGTTCCTGGTAAATATTTAACAACACTTATGAATCAGACAACAGAAATGGAATAAAATTCCAAAAAAGCTGTAGTTTTTTCATTTGGCTTGAAGTCAGTATAGAGAAGTTATTTAAAATAAGATTTTCGTCCCACGGAATTGTCCCCTTTGTTATTGTATATCCTTCAGGTTTATGGGACAGCACTAGAGGAAAGTGACAGCCTCAGAGGACCTTCAGGTAAGCTGGCTCCATTTTGGTGACATACATATAGAGGCATAAATACCTGGTTTTTACTGAGAATACCCTGGATAATTATTAAATTGGATTTGGACTAAGGAAGAAAAGGTCTTCTTGCTTTTCATTTTCTCTCTCCACATGAATGTATGTATGTGTGTGTATGTATGTATGTTTTTATAAAAATATTTGAAACTTTGAGCTCCTGAAATCCTAGACTTGGCTTCCTTGAACATGATTGTTTTCTGTTGAAAATTCTTTTCATGCCAATTCTATCTGACTAGTTTCAACTCTTCGATAACCAGGAGTCTGTAATAGATGATGTCATAGGGGTCTAGAATATTGGCATCTGACTTCAAACAAGAGATCAAAACTAATTTCGAGACAAGTTCCAAGTGTGTTCGCTAACTGCTATAAAGAGCACTAAACATTCATGATTCATTTAACTGTGTCTACACCACATAGAATGAGTGGAGACTTGCTACTTTTCTAGTCATTTATTATCCACCTATGCTGACAGATCCCATTAATCAGACTAGTTGGTTAATTGACAGATCTCCATTTTGCTTTTTGTTTATAGATAGTTCTGGTGTATAGATGCCAAACGTGGTATTCTATCATTGTGCACGATTCTTAAGATGACTTTTGGCCAGTCTAAACACTGCCTAGGAGTTGTTTATCATGCTTGATTTACTACTCCTCCTGAAGCATGTATACTATTAATTTCTGCTTGAGAATTTCCAACAAAGCAAACATTTACACAAAGAGGGTGATTCCCTTCTGGCTGTAGGGATGGATCAAGACAGTGGTACCAAAATAGATATGACTGTGTCCAAGTTCCTGAGACTTTAATCACATTTAATCACTGTACAAGTTGTGCTGGGAGGAAGGAAGATGTGGTGTCTCTCTGTGGCTGCACAATATATCTTGTCAACTCTTCAGCGAAGCTACGTACATGGCTGCAATAAAAGGGCTACCGTGTGTGTGTGTGTGTGTGTGTGTGTGTGTGTGTGTGTGTGTTTGTATTTTTCCAACTTCATTTACCAGTTTTTAGTAGAAAGCCGTATTTTGTGTATTTAAAAACACTGAGAATTGGGCAAGGCAAAAAAAAAAAAAAAGATGTTAGGATAAAGGAAAATTTCCCACAGGAATTACCAAGAATTTATCCCACAGAGGAAGTCCTTCTCAATTGCTTCTTGCTCATGGAAATATTTTCACCTGCCTTGCCAAGGCCTTGATACTGATATCTGGAAGGTATTAAGCAATCCAGAAAGTTTATTCATCAACTTTGATTCATCTTAATAAGAGAGCTTAGAAATCAAAGTTATTTCCCTCCTTCCTGCAAAAAGTTCAGGATTTGTAATGCTAAATGGCTTGCTCCCTACTTAGAGCAAATACTTTAGTCAAATTTGATATATTGACTCATAACCCACACATTAGAGCCAAACATGTCCTGTTATGAAAAATTAAGACTCTCTCGACACACAACTTGGCTCTGAATTTGAACCCAATAAACAGTTTTTGTTTAAATGCTCCATTTGAAAAGTAAATTAAAATACATTAGAATAAGTGTTTCTGATTCTCAAAGATATCACTGGATCCAGGGCAAAAAATCCTGCACATGTTGGGCTTCCTCTCTGAAATCAATGCCCTTCCTTAGGGCTTCTGAACCAATGGATATGAATTTGAGGCTGGGGTAATGGCTGTGGTTGTTGCAAAAAAAGAAGAGAAGGGAATTGAGTCTGTCTTACAGAGGCAGATCCTGGTCTAGTATGAAGAGCATCATTGATGCTTTGAATTGAACCTGAACTCTAACACCTCAGAAACTGCCACAGTTCTAACCATTAGAACCAAAAGATAATTGCCCAGATGGATGCACTGTGCATGATCTGCAATCATAGCCTTTTGATAACTATAAATCAGCAATACTAAAAATACTGCTTTTTTTAACCAAAATATTTGAGATCCAAGGAAGAGCAGACTAGCAGCTAACTCCTAATAAAGGCAGGCTTCAAAGAAGTTACCCAATCAGACAATATGTTGCCCAGTTTTCTGCAAGAAAAAAGGTCTCTCAAACTTAAAAGCAGAGTTTTTTTCCACTGAAATCAAGAGAATCCTTTAGGTTATGGGGACATGATATTAATTATTTGGGGAACTTTAGATCTTGGCTATTTTTAGACTTACTTTTTCTGTATCTTTAAAAAAGTTTTCTAAATAGAGATGCTTTCATTTCTTGTAAATGTCAAAGCCACACTGCAGCTGTCTGCCGTGTCCTCAGAGGTGCTTGCTCCCTGCTCACTTTCCCTGCAAGGTCAAGTTGACCTTTGAGTGCTAAAGCCAAGGGAAAGCAGGCCCTGGTTAGAAGCAGCTAGACTGTTACTGGCAAAGTTACCATATGGCAGCAGGCTCTGCTTAGCATGGAGAAGAAATAGGAAATCATGGATTGTAGAAATGAGTTTGAAGCCCATGGAATCTGGGAATCAATTGTATATTCATTGAGTAACTCAATGTTGTTTTCAGCACGAGTACCTACTATGTGCCACACACAATTCCACACTGTTTCTTACTGCCTTTGGCCTCATAGACTGTTATGCCTTGTGTCCTTCCTTTACCGCTACTAGCAGCAGCATGGCCTAATGGAAAGTAAGAGGGGTTCAAATAAGAGCCCCAAATTCATATTTGAGCACTGACCTTCACTTGTATGACCTTTGGCTACTTAAATTACCTGAACCTGAGATTCCCGATTTATAACACAGGAATACAAACATTGCCTATATTCAAAACCATTGATATGCTTAGTTAATTTTAGCTAATGATTTTTTTCTGGAGTTTTTAGACATGAGAAAAATATTTAAGGGACATGGCAGCGGTAAAGAAGAAATAAACAGATGTAAGTTTGGAAAATAGTATTTGTGAGGGGAAACCAGAGGCCAGATATGGCACAGGCAGTTTATGAACCAAGGTGGGTGGGTTGGGTTGCCTGGGAAAGGATTTTAGAGGCATACTGCTAAATGAGTCAGTTATATCCAGAACTGGTGTCCAGTCCTTTCTGCCCTGACCCAACTTTATGTGGTTTGATTGATAATAAAGCAGTCATTTTGATCCTATTTACCAGAACCACCTGTAGCAAAACAGAGCCCATCCTTTGTGCATGAGGTAGAGTAGGCCTGTACTCTTGGTGAGAGGACAAGTGGTTTGAGTAGAATCATTGTTCTGCTCTGAGCTGGGAGATTTCTATCTAAGGCCCGTGGCACCTGAATTAAAGTTGGGAAGTATGCAGCAAGGTACTCTTGAGCATCACCTTTTCTTTTTGCCAAGGCTGCGTGAGTGTTCATAAAACCGAGAAACAGGGTTAGATGGGCAGACTCTTGGAAGGAGATCAATAAATGCCTGTTTTTCTTTTGCTAAATGCTTCCTTTGGCAATTTTTATCTTTTCATGTGCTATAATGCATCTTGATTTATTCTGAAAAAGTGAACATAGTCTACTTAGCTGGCCAGAGGTCCAGCTGCGAATAAACAGTAGCAATGTGTCAAGTCAGAGCAGTTGGCTAAAGCCAAGCAAGCACGAAGGTACCTGAGATGCACAGAGGCGGGTGAGGTGCAGAGTCTAAGGTCAGATAATCAGTAAGTGCTTGCTTTATAGATGGGGCTGAATTGTGATCTCACCAAAGAATCTGTGCTCTGCCGCTTTATGTAGCCTTTTGGGGTGGGAGTTTAGGTGCAGCTTGCCACCAGATAGACATCTACAGGTACAATTTACCCCTGATCAAGAAACACTAAAATTGTTTCATGTTGGCAGGCCAGGAGGGAGTGGAGATGATGGGATAGGAGGTAGACTGAATGAAGAGGAAGAGTGCATAAAGTGTGTAATCCTCATAGAGGAAATTGAAAGTTGATTGTGTCCAGATGGTTCTTCGACGGTTGGTTTATTCCGACAGTGATAGCAGCCAACTGCAAGAGTGACTTCCTCTATTGTGTGAGCCGGATTGAGTACTAGTTCACAAGTGGAAGGGTTGAGCTTAGATGGAAACATATTCATCTGAAGGAATAGTGGGGAAGGTGGGGTACACAGTAAACGTGCAGTTAGGTGGGTAGACCACTGGATGGAGAATGAGGACATTCTCTTACTGCTTCTATTTTTCATGAAATGAGAAATGAGGCTATCAGCTGACAGTGAGAAGGTGGAAGAGTTGTTGGAGGTATGACTGGAGAGTGAGTCGCAGAAGGATCAAGGTTACTGGAGGTGAGGTGATGATCATGAGACGTAAAGGCTGAGATAGGGGAAGGATTTTCTACAGGGATATGAAGAACTGTGAAAACACTGGTGTTGAAGGGACAGAGGGAGCCACAAGCTAAACTCTTCAAGAAATGCCCCATGAGATGGATGTCAGTAGGTGACCACAACAGGGAGGGGTATTGGGTACTATGATGTCAGAGGTTACTTTCAAATTGCTAGAAGTTTCTATTGATATGAGAAGAACAATGATTTGGAAGGAGCAATAAGCACAAGAAAGACAACTATTGAAACTGCTGGCCTTGTGGCACAGAGATTTGAGAGAGAAAATAGCAACCCCATGAGACGACTAAGGCTATAAGAGAAGCAGTGTCCTCAAAGGAACTCAGCTTTCAGATACAGCAAGATGGTCAAGAGAGCATTTACATAAAATGTTTAGGATACCTGTGGATTTTGCTGATGACAGATTGGGAGTACCAGAGAACAAAGAGGAGTAAGAAAGATCAGAGTTGGCTGGGAAAGTAGGTCAAGTCAGGAGACAGACAAAGCCATATGGAAATGACCATGTGGGTGCTGATGATTGATCTTGGGTCTTAGGAGATAAAAAGATCTTATGAGCATATTTTTTTTTTGTAGCCAGGGAATGTGGGGGCTATGATATTTAGCCTCATCATCATCATCATTATTAGACTGGATCAGTACTTATTGCTTTGGATAGAGCCTATACGAGATTTGTTCTGTTAGTGTAGGTTCTATCTCTCAGACCATGTTTATTCCTATTGATCCATTAGACTTGAAAAAAATCTCAGAGGCATCTAGTTTATTCCTATGTGTTTTTTGGTCAGTTCTATTACGGTATAATTTATATATAAAATTCACCCTTTTTAGTGTATTTTTTCATGTGTTTTGACAAATGTGTACCGCACCAAATCAAGATCTAGAACAGTTTCAAAAGCCCCCCCAGATCACTCTTACCTACCTTCAGTGCCTGGCCACCACTGATCTGCCTTTTATTCCTATAATTTTGCCTTTTCTAGAATGACAATTAAATGGAATCGTACAGTATGAGGCCTTTTGGGTCTGGATTCTGTCACCACAATACAGTTGAAATTCATTTTTCTCATCTGTATTACAAATTTGTTTTTCTGGCTGAATTTTATCTGTATTCCATTGTATGGATAAACACAGTGTATTTATGAATTCACCAGCTGAAGGACATTTGGGCTTTTACTAGTTTTTAGTGATTGTGAGTAAAGACCACTGTAAACATTCAGTTTTTGTGGGGACAGAAGTTTTCATTTTTCTTGGGTAAGAGTCATGAAGCAAGATTTTTAGATTTGTGTGGTTAAGTATATACTTAATTCCTAGGAAACTGCCAAACAACTTTTCAAAGTGGCTGTGTCATTTCACATGACCACCCGCAATGCCTGAGAACTTCAGTTGTTCCACATCCTTGCCATGTTGTCTGTTTTTTCCTTTTTTCCTTTTTTTTTTCAATTTTTAATCAATGAGTGGGGTAGTGGTATCAGATTATGGTTTTAGTTGACATTTTCCTAATGACTAAATACTGAACATTCTTTCGTGTGCTTATTTTCCATTTGTATATCTTCTTTGGTGAAATGTCTGTTCAGTTTTTTGGCCTACTTTAAAAATTATCTTCTTACCTTTTCGAGAGTTCTTTACATATTCTAGATACAGATTCTTTATCTGACATGCCTTTAAAAACATTCTCCAGATCTTATTTTGCATAGCAGAAACTTTAGCGTGGATTTATTTTTGGGCTTTCTGTTCTGTTCCATTGGTCATGGGGCTGTGTTCGTGTATGCAGTCGGGTCCACAATCAGTGGGCCTGTAACTACTGGAGGGTATGGGTGGGTGTGACCCCTCTGTACTGGGTGGGTGGGTCACCCTCTGGGACTGCGTGAAAAGGAGCTGATGGTGGGTGATGGGTTACTGCTTCTGATTGTGGAGCTGCATCAAGCGGTTGGCCTGCTACCCCAGGGCACAGGCCTGCCTTGTCAAAGCAGCTTTCCATGGCCTTGGGCTCCACCAGGCTGTCACAACCCCCCACCTAGATCCTGAAGCTCCTAAAACTTTTATCCGCAGATGGTTGAGAAATCAGTGCTTCTGGGATGAGAATTGGGCTGATGGCTGTTCTGCCATCCTGTTGATGTCATTCTCTGAC
Organism: Homo sapiens; assembly: GCF_000001405.40. Classification (NCBI taxonomy): domain Eukaryota; kingdom Metazoa; phylum Chordata; class Mammalia; order Primates; family Hominidae; genus Homo; species Homo sapiens. The sequence goes on along the minus strand of NC_000007.14, from coordinate 17,552,334 downwards.
ATGTCTTTCAGTAATACCTTATTTAGGTCAATTGGTTGTATTTATTTTCTTAACAATATATTTGGAAGAGTAGAAGTTTTATATTTTGATAAATCTAATTTCTAAATTTTTAAAAAATGGAACATGCTTTTGGTTTTGTATCTAGCAAATCACTGCCTAATCTAAGATCACAAATGTTTTCTCCTAGGTATTTTATAAAGATTTACATTTAAGTCTATGATCCATTTAATGTTAATTTTTGTTTATAATACAAGATAAGAGTGGAAGGATTTTTTTTTTAATTTTTGCATGTTGATATCCAATTTTTCCAGTGCCATCTGTTGAAAAAACTATTCCTGCATGCTCATATTTCCTTTGCACCTTTGGCAAAAAAACTAACTGACCATATTTGTTTTGGTAAAATACTGTTTTGTTCCATTGATTTATGATTCTATTCTATGTTAATACCATACTTTCTTGATTACTGCTTTATAGAAAATCTTGAAATCAGGCAGTATGGGCTTCACTTTTTTCTTTTTCAATTTTTTTGGGGGCTATTCTAATTCCCTTGTCTTTAATTTTATTTAATAAACAGGCATGCAAATTAAAAAAAATAAAATTACTTTTTAAATTATTTAACTTCAATAAAAGGGAAGAAGTTCCCTTTTATTTCTAGTTGGCAGAGAGTTTTTAGTATTATGGTTGTTGAGTTATATGATTTCTCTGCATTTATCAAGATAATTCATGTGGTTTTCCTTTTAAGACTGTTCATACAGTAAATTATGTTGATTTCCCCCCCCAATATTGAACAGCTTTGTATTCCTGGTTTCAACCCACTTGGTTGTGATGTATTATCTTTTGTATACAGTGCTTGATTCAATTTTCTAAGATTTTATTGAGAATTTTTGCCTCTATGTTGATAAAGAATTTTGGTCTGTAGTTTTCTATTCACTACAATTCTTTCATCTAGGTTTGGTATCATGGTAATGCTGGTCTCACAAAATGAGTCGGAAAGTGTTTGCCCCTCTTCTTGTTTTTCAAGATTTTATAGGTAATTCATATTTCTTCCTTAAGTTATTGGTAGAGTTTGCTATGAATACAACTTGTCCTGGAATTTTCCTTGTTGGAAAGTTTATTTCGATTTCTTTGAGATAGACAGTTGTTTACATTATGTATTTCTCCTTGAGTAAGCTTTGGTAATTAGTATTTTTCAAGAAATATGTTCATCCCTTCTGAGTTGTTGAAATATTGGTGTTTGTAATTGTATCTGCTCTCCCTCTCTTTTTTTCTGTAATTCTGCTTAGAGGTTTATCAGTTTTTCCCAGCTTTTGGCTAAATTGATTTTTTTCTCCATTTTTCTCTTTAAAAAATTTTACTGGTTTTTCTGTTCTCATCTTTCTTATTTCCTTCCTTCTGCTTGTTTTGGGTTTAATTTGCTCCTTTTTTTGTTTTTGTTATGATGTAAGTTTAGATAATTGATTTAAGCCCTTTCTTTTCCTTTTTTCCCATTTTTATCTTTTTGGAAAATTAATGTATCATAGTTGTACATATTTTGAGGGTCCTTTCTTCTCTTCAGTATATTTAAGGCTATACTTTTTCCTTGACTCACTGATTTTGCTGTTTTCCACAAATCTTTTTACACTGTATTCTTACTTTATTTCAAAGAAAAATATTTTCTAATTTCCTTTTTGACTCTTTAATTCATGAGTTACATATAATTCTGCTGCTTAATTTCCAAATAAGTGAGAATTTCTAATATGTTTTTGTTATCCATTTCTAGATTAACTTTTTTTAGTATAATAGAATACAGTTTGTATGATTTTACATACAAAGATTTGAGATTGATACAAAGGTTGAGATTTGCTTCATGGTCCAGAATGAGACCTGTCTTGTTGAATGTTCCTTGTGCAAAAGAATGGGTGCTGTTTGGTGGTTTTTGTAAATACCAGTGAGCTCACAGAAGTTGGTTGCTAGTTTTGCTAAGGTTCTACAGACTTATTGGTTCTCTTTCTATTTGTTTTATTACAGAAAAAGGAAGAGAAAAGTATTTAAGTTTCCAACCGTAATGTTGGATTTGTCCATTTCTACTTCTAGGTCTCCTCTTTCATTTTGCTTGTCATATCTTTGTCATTAGGCACCCCTGCCTTTGCATTGTTAAGTCTTCTTTGTGTATTGACCCGTTTGACATTATATAATATCACTTTTTCCCTAAAAATATTCCTTGTTCTGAAATCCACGTTATGTGACATTAATGTAGTCACTGCAACTTTTTTTTGGATTAGTGTTTTTGCATAGTATATCTTTCCCCATATACTTATTTTTACCTTTTTGTCATTAGAATTAAAATGAGCTTATTGTCAATTGAATGCATTTGCATCTTGTTCTTTTTCTTTTTAAATCTATCTTTATTTTATAATTAGTTTGTATTGACCATTTCAATATAATTGTAATATAATTACCATTATGGTTGGATTAAAACATACAATCTTGCTGTTTTCTACTCTATCTTCTCTTTTTCTTTTATTATATATTGAATTAAGTATTTTTCATTTCCATTTTATTTCCACTATTGACTTATTATTTGTTTCATTATATTATTTCCACTATTGGCTTTCTAAAATGTTTTTCATCTCATTGGCTAGCATTTGCCATATATATATCTCTAATTAATTTCAGTCTACATTCATGTAGTCTACCTCTTCGTGAATAGTGTAAGAACTTTACAACAGTATATTTCCAACTCCACCTCCCAGACTTTGAGCTCATGTTGCTATAGATTTTACTTTTATATGTCCTCTACATACACAATAAATGTGTATTACAGTTGCTTTCAAAAGTCAATTTTCTTTTAGAGTAATTAAAATGGGAAAAAGCCTTTTGTTCGTCTTTATTTTAACCAGTTTCAAAGATCTTTAATTCTTTGTGTAAATCCAAGTTTCTGGCTTGTGTCATTTTCTTCCTGCCTGAAGAACTTTCTTTAACAGTTTATAGTACATGGCTGTTGGTAATGAATTTTCTTTTTTGTATGAAAGTCTTTAATATGCTTTCTGTTTTGAAGGCTATTTTCATTGAGTATAGAATTCTCAGTTGCAAGGATTTTTTCCTCCTGGGCTCAAGTGATCCTCCCACCTCAGCTCCCCAAGTAGCTAGAACTACAGGCGCATACTACCAGGCCTGGCTAATTTTCTTTTTTAAAAAATTTTTGTAGAGAGAAGGTTTTGCCATGTTGCCCAGGCTAGTCTTGATCCCCTGGACTCAAGTGATCTACCCGCCTCAGTCTCCCAAAGTGCTTGGGACTACAGGCATCAGCCACCGCACTCAGCCTTAGATTTTTCCTCCCTCTTCTATCATGTCTTCTTACTCTAGTACTTTCTAATGAGAAATCTATTGTCAATTTTACCTTTCTGTAAACTTACCTTTAAGTAATGTGCCTTTTTTCTATGGCTGTTTTTAAGATTTTCTTTTTCTTTTTACTTTTCCACACCTTATATATGATGTGTGTGTGTGTGTGTGTGTGTGTGTGTGTGTGTGTGTGTGTGTGTGTGTGTGTGTGCTTTACTTGCCTTAAACCTCTGAGCTTCTGGGACTTATGATTTGATGTTTTATTAATATTGTTGGAAAATTCTTGACCACTATTTCTTCAAATATTTATTTTGTCCTATTCTCTCTCTCATCTCCTGGGATTTCAGCTGGTGTATGCTGGACCACTTGGTACATAGCCCATTGTCTTAGTCCATTTGTGCTGCCATAACAGAATACCACAGACTGGCTAATTTATAAAGAACAGAAATTTCTCACAGTTCCAGAGGGTGGAAGTCCAAGGTAAAGAGACTGGCATGTGGCGTCTGAGGGCTATATCCTCCTGAGGGAGGGAATGCTGTGTCCTCGTGTGGTGGGAGGTGGAAGGACAACAGAGGAACAAACTCCCTCCATTAAACCCTTTTATAAGGGCGGGTGATCTCATTCATGAGGGAGAGGCTTTTGTGGCCTAATCACCTCAAAGGCCCCACCTCTTAATACTATCACATTGGAAACAGCTAATTTGGGAGGGAATCCATTCAGATCATAGCACCCTTGTACACTCTCTCCTGTTTCAGCCACTATCCTTCTCTCTGTGTTTCAGTTTGGGTAATTTCTGTTGACCTATTTTCAAGTTTACTGATTTTTTTTTTTCCTTCAGCACTGTGTCTGCCTAAGTGATAATTCAGGGCAGTCTTCATTTCTGTTTCTTTGTACTTGTTTCTAGACTTTCCATTTGACTCTTTTCATTTTTAACTCTTATGAAAATCAACATCTGTTCATGCACGTTGGCTACTTTTTTGGCTAGACTTTTTAACATGTCATATTAATTTTAAATTTGCTATGTTATGGCTCATTATACAGGCCATCTCTGGCTTTGTTCATTGTTTTTTCTCTTATAAGTGTGTTGTTTTGTCCTTGTTTGTGTGTGCCTCATAATTTTTCACTGAATGCCAGATATGTGTAGAACAGCACAGCAAGAAACTAGTATTTATGCCTGGAATGGGCGCACCCATCTCTGCTAGGCTGTCATTTTGGGGTATTAGGTCATTCTACAAAAAAGTTGAGCCAGATTTGGGTTGTGTTGTTACTATGGCTTTATTCACTGTATCTCTGACTTCAAATTCCTCCATCATTACCTTGTGTTCAGGGTGGGGTCTGCAATCGGTTTTTATTAATATTACTGTACCACCTCATCATTAGACCTTCTCTGTGCACCCGTATTTTGGAGATGGTTTGTCTCTATTCTTGTCACTGCCACAGTGATAGGCTGCTATTGCCTATCATTTAGCTTCTGCTACTCTAGTAGGCAGAGGGGCTCTGTTTTGTTATTAAATAATCATGGAGAAGATTGAGATGGTACAGATTTCCCTTCTGTCTGAAATTTCCAGAAGTTCTGTATTCTCATAGTGGCCTACTCTTAGACTTTAAGAATGTATTAAATTTTAATGGAACTTGTCTTACTTACTTGTATGACAGCCAGCCCTGTCTTCCTTCTGCTCTCATTAGTAAGTCCATGCTCATGTTCTCTTTCTTCTTGAAGACACCTGTCTTTTCTTAGGTATCTAATTAGCCTAAAACTTCACTTCTCTAGGCTCAAGAAAAATTAAGATTTGTAGTATAGCTAGCTTTTTCTGATTGATAGGGTAGGAGTGACATTCTTTCCTCATTTGTACATCCCAGGAGAAACCAAAGTCGGCATAAGCTTTTAAGTAAAATATTTGTAGCATTTCATTTTTATTCATACCAGAATGGATGCTGAAACATTTTGATATTAACTATTTGATATTGATTCTGATAAAAAATAAAGCTGGGCTTACAGAGCTCTGAGCCTAGCTTGCACAATTCCCAAAAGGACCCAACTGTATATTCTACAGACGATGATTCTACATGAAAGAACCATATCCTTGGGCACTGAGTTGGCCTTCATAGTCATTTATTGCCATACTATGAGCATAATGAGTCACAGGCACACTTCTAAATATATCAACAGCTCTGCAAAGTGTTTCAGGGGCACATCCATCAATTATGGTCATGGGAAAGGTCACAATAGTACAGGCTTTCATCATAATTCAGCTCTTCCTCCCCAGTTTGCCTTGGGTGTGTTGAAATACTGTGATTGTTCAGTTAGAAGCATTGTTCATTTTTGAGGACTAACTGGAAATGAGTAAAATATCTGAGGGAGGCCATTCCATTTGAAGGCTTATTGCCTCATTCAAAAGCTTTTTTGTGTAATAAAAGTATCTCAAAAACTCTTCTGTGAGATTCACCAACCTCGTTCCTTCTAAGCCATTGATTATAATCCATAATTTCAATGGAAGAAAAGATCCACTGTGAACTTGGATGCTAGCCCTTTTTACTGAATTCCCCTCTTACACTCCTGTTAATAACAAAAGCAGTGTAGTTCTCAGCGCTGTGGCTCTTCTGTCCAGCACAGTGAGTATTTCTGAAAGTGTAACTCCATCAGCATCAAACAGTCCATAGAGTCCTCTGACATTTTAATGTAGCTCTAAAATACGGTACAATCTTACAGAAAGCTACTCTGGAAATTAGCCTTGGATAAGAGAAGATTGTTCTGAATGCTGTTCCCTTGAATAGTGTTCTTTTTTTTTTTTTTTTAAATACCAAAAGCAATGATCCTGGCAATATTCCACAGCCTGTACAAATAAAATTAGATATCAGGAACCAGAAAATCAGAAAACATTTCAAAATTAAATATTAAAAGATCTAAAGCCAACACTCTTAGCCGGAATTTTTAAGCCAGAATATTTTAGTTTCCCTTTGGTGAATAGTAATTTAAAGCAGTTCAGGCTTTCCTTTGCTAACTTTTAAAAGTTGTGTAGATTTTTCAGACCTCAAGATTATTCACCTAAATAATTGTAGGAACCTGTTACTATGTGCTGCCCACCTTATGGCATATCAGAGTTTCCTTGGAAATTAAAGGTCACATTTTCCCCATACTATATAGATTCAGAATGAATTCCAAAACGAAATCACACCTCTTTTTTTGTCTGCTTACAATTTGAAACTCATGTGCTTTCCTATCCAATTAATATGGAGGGTTTATTTTAGCAGTACTTCATCACTTCTTATTATTTGTTCTCCATGGATTTATATTAACAATGAATGGTGAAATAGTTAAACTACTAAGTTTATGATCACCCACAGCCCTGTGAAGGTCTGGAACCACATCATAAAAGCCATTTGACACAAAAGTAGAACATATTTATTTTGGAAGAGAAACAACATTAGTGGAGATTTGGATATATTTTTGTTTGTACTAGAACTAAATTAATCAAGCCAGAAAAGATTGCCTAGCAACATCTGACATTAAAAGATTCCATAACAAAAAATAAACCACATGAAGGATAAGATAGAAGACAGCCCAAATCCCATCCAGATAAGAGTCATACTCTGTAAATGGAGCTGCCTTTAACCCTAAAGAGAAAAAGTAGAAAAGAAATTAGAGTTAAATACAAAGGAAGAACTAAGTTAACATAAAGTAATATATATTGAGTACCTACTAGATTTCAGATCCTGCACCAGGACATGGCATACATCTCATTTAATCTTAAAATACTGATGATCTCCATTTACAGAGAAGCAAGGCAATGTAGTTAAATACCACTTAACCCGTAAAGCCTGACATCTATTTAGATTCTTGCTAGATTCTTATCACTTACAGAAACCTAGGCAAATTTGTTATCCTCAAATTGCAGCCAGAAAGTAGTATGTTTTGAAGAAACATAACTTTATAGGTTTGAAATCGTTTCTCAGAAAGTTAACTAGAATATTCAACTTTTCAAACTTTCTGATTAAATGAATTCTTGTTGCTGAAACAGACACATACATGGTGTGCCCGCATCAAGGCAGAATTCTATGGAGGCAGCACTGATAGGCAAAGTTGGCCAGGGCTACTGCCACTTTAGAGGGGAGGATGGTTCTGATGGTAAGAACCAAGAATTGATGGTTAGTGCTAGGTTTGGAGACTCTTCCAAAACTGTAAGTCTTTTAAATAACAGAATTAAAGTTTTTTTTTTTTGTTCTGAAAAAGCTGGAGAGGGAGAGAGAGAGCGAGTGTGAGAGTGTACAATATCAAGTTATAGCAGAGGAAAGAAGACATCAGCTAAAAGTAATTCTTAAGATGTAACACTCTACCAGAGCAGGGGGTCAAAGGATATGTTATCAATGGATTCATACATATGCTTGTTTTGGTAGTAGATGGAAACCCTGAAGTGGTGACTTGTGATCATCTTGTGATTTGGATGGTTTAGACATTTATGTGGCTTTCTTATTTGGCTACTTTTTTAGTCTGGGCATCTATGTTTGTGTATATGTGTGTTTTTTTTCTTTTCTTTTTTTTTTCTTCCTTTATGCCATGGTCCAAGCCACTGAGCACCCTTCCGATTTCTACCTCAGTGTTCTCAAGGGGCTACAAGGCTCAGATCCAATTAAGGAGCAGAGAAGCCTGTAAAGTAAAACCTTCCAGGGACCTGACTCTTCCCCACTACTCCATCTTCTTTCCTAAAGTCACTGTTTTCTTTAGAGTGAGCAGAACTAGGCTTTCCTTTAGGCTCTTTTTCCAATCTACACAGAGCTGTCAAGGTCACATTAAATTAATAAAACAGTTCATTTTTTTTTTAAAGTCACATTATCTAAGCTAGAAAGAAAAATCAGAATGAGATACAAGTGGGATCTAGAAAAGCTTAATGAGTTTAATTCTACTCTTCAAACTTGGCAGGGAAAAATGTTGGCTTTCTTGGCAGATAAGGTGAGCATTCTCTCTGTTCATCACCATATTGAGCAGGTGAATAAGTTGGCTCCCCTGATAATCACTCGGTCTTACTTCTAACGGTATTGTGAAAACATCTATTCTCTTTCCTGAATCTTTTCAGCAACAGTCTTTCTTCCTTCATCCCTCTGCACTTTCTCCCCTGAAAAACACAACAGAAGACATATCCTCCCAAGGTAGGACAATCTACCCTGGGGCAGTGGGCTCAAAGACACAGTAATCCTTCTTCTTCCTGTTTCACTAGGAGTTACACATATGCTCCCCTAGCAAGCTTCCCAGTGTGTTGTTAGGGACTAACCTTAAGGAGTCTGTAATTCTCAAAGCACCTTAAGAAATATCATTTGGGAATTTTCAAGGTTATGAGGTCTAAGAGAAATATCATAGTTTTGATATTCTTCTAGCATCTCTCAAAAAATTACATGAATCTAAAACACACATCCTCATGGATAATAAAAAGTATTTTTACATTTACATGGGATTATAAGTAAAAACAGTTGTCTGTAATGAGAAATCCAAAAGCATTTTGCCTTAGAAGAACAACACTGGAAGAGATTTAATCCTGTCGTTTAAGAATCCTGGGTTTTGAAGATTACTCAGGAAGACATCATCACAGTTCATTATAGCTGACTTGAGTAGAAACTTGAATATTTGAAGTAAATGTTTTATATGTGGAAAATATTTTGGAAGACTTACATTTAGATAGAGTTTCTGGCTACAATGGTTGATTTGGATTGAGCCTTTTGAGAAAGACTTATTTACAACCAAACTAGCTGTATATCAGTGTTTGGGCCAGGCAGTGGAGAATAGGAAACTAGGCGAAGTTTGATTGTGTCCTTGGCTACTGCTTTGTGCACTCTTTTGCTTCCCTTTCTTAGCAGCACATTCTCAATACTCAAAGAACTTCACCTTGAGGTGCCACAGAAAAATCTTATTGGTAACATGATCCTACCGGGTCTAACTGTGAGTCCCAAGGATCTCCTGCAAGTCAGGAATGGGACCTCCTTCATTCGGGCCTGCTTCTTCAAATGGCCTTATTACCAACTAAAGATTTCTCTGGAAATATATATATGTGTGTGTGTGTGTGTGTGTGTGTGTGTGTGTGTGTGTGTACATTTGAGGCCTGGTAAATGTGGGGAAATGGAATGGTTCCTGTGTTTTTCAGAACCATATGTTTCCTAAGTGACTATTGCTTATTTTCTTTCCACATTCTTCACACACAAACACTCCTGTTGAGTATATTTGTTAAGCAGAGTACCACAGGAATGTTGGTTTTCTGTTTACTTGTTCCAAATTGACTAGGGGCGAATTCCACCTGGAATCCTAAGTTTTCAAACAATCCTGAGCAGCTAGGCCAATGGCTTGGCGAGGGGGACATGCATAATAGGGAAGATCCATTCTCCATGTATGCCAACCTTCCTTAATCCCTGCAGCGAACGCTCAGTATTGTGGGGTAGGGGAGCCCTCTTTTTAGAAAATTTCGATATTTACATTGCAATCCTTAGTCATTGACTATCCTTTGCTTTGGAAGTAGACACTGTTCTGTAGATGCTGGAGGCCCATTTAGTGATGTTTATTAGAGACTACTGTCTTTGTTCTTTATGATAAAAGGAATGCAAGTTCAACTCGAACAACATCAATGAATGCAAACAAACCTATAATCTTACCATCCCAAATAATTTTAATACATTTTGGTGAATATCCTTTCAGTCCTTTTTAAAAAAGTTACTATGCATATGTGTGTATAAAAGAGGTGCTAGGTAGGAGAGGAGGAGAGAGCCGGGAGGGGAGTGGGCAGGCCTATTTGTCATAGTGCTTTGGAGCTTTCTCCTTTCATCTTTTAGCTCATTGTGGACATTTTCTCAAGATAATAAGTATTCCTCTGTTAAAGTGATTGTCAACCAGAGACAATTTTCACTGTCAGAGAACATTAGGTAACATCTGAAACCTTTTTTTTTTTTTTCTGCTACTGGCATCTACTAGATGCTGGGGATATACTGCTAAACATCCTACAACGCACAGGACAGTCCCCCATAAGAAAGAATTACATAGTCTAAATGCCAATAACGCTAGACTTTGCCATGGCAGATGAGCAGAAAGCAAAATGGTATGGCCTGAGTTTACATATAGGCATTTTTCAGGCCCAAATCTAAACCATCAGATTAAAAGGAAATAATATCTATAAGGGTTTAGCATACAACCTGGAATATAATAAGGGCTCTATACATTTTAGCTATTATTTAGGCTTAGAACCAACAAGTCTTCTAACTTCGCAGAATTCCCTCTCTGTTACGTCCTGCAGCCAGTCCAGTGTGGACATCTCTTCACTATGTCCTTGGTAATTGATTATCATTTTGGTCATGACAGCTCTGTTTGGTCAGAGCCTGAATTGCTATGCTCAGGGTCATGTCACCAATCCAATATGTGCAGCTGAACTCAAACGACATTGACAACAAAACAACCAACTTTTTAGAAAAGGCAGTCTCCTGTAATAGTACATTATATATACATATATTTCTTCCCCCCAAATGACCAGGTGAATGTAGATAAGGCTGTTCTTCTTCAAATCAGTCATATTTTTAATTATTCTTCAAATTATTTTGTATTAGAGTCTGATCCTTTTTCTTTCTCTTCATAAGCCAGGAATAGGTTTGTTGTATTGATGCTGACAGAAAATTCATTTTGGTATTCAACTTTTTACATGCAGTGTTCATATTTTTGAAAGTGTCTCTTGATCTGTGTTCAGATGTCTGCAAAGCACCTTTTTAGTTGCCTGGAGGGAAATACACATGCTTCCAATTTCCATTAACCTCACATCTCTCCAGGGAATATCTCATGCCTTCTTCATCTCTATACCCAGTGCCTACCACGGTGCCTAATCGTAGGTGCTTAACACACATTTATTGAATCAAACTGAATATGACACATTTCCCAGCATCTGAAATATCAAGTATTATAAAAGGTTAAATAAAATTGAAGAGGAATAGTTGTTGCTTTACTTTTCCTTAGCTTATCGAATCAGTCTTTCCTTCCTTCTTCCCTCCCTTTCTTTTCTGAGTTCCTTGTATTTCTGGGGCTAGGCAGGCAGTGGGATACAGTAAAAAAAAAAAAAAAAAAAAAAAAAAAATTCAGAATATCCAATCCTTTGACCATCTTAAATTTAACCAGTTGTGTTTACATATGATCTTTTCTGAGATCCTTTTTAAAATACTGTAAAGTGGGAGGTACAACATTTTAGTGTTGTATGTTGTTTTTCCTTAAAGGACCAGAAAGTACTGACCACACACAGACAGATTTTCTCTGTGTTCTGCTGTAAAGTAGATCACTATTGCTGTTTTCAGAAAATGAAGCCAGTCTAATTCCAAAGAGTTCAAATTTTCATCAGAAATATTGCATTGCCTAATCTCGCACAATAAACAACAAGATTCACTTTACACTGCAGAGATTCTTGGGAGGGTGGTAGTGTTCGCTTGAAGCAGCTCTTCTAGAGATGCTAGTAGTATCCATAAGTCACCAGAAAATTAGTTGCTAGTTGCATTTCTGAGAAAGTTAAGTCAGAGTCTTGAACCCCACCACATTCTCTATCCATTGCCTAAATGCAAAGCACTTAGAGCCCTGTTTGGCATAGCATCAGTACTGTACAATTGTTAGCTTTTTATGGAATAATAGCAGGCATGCTGGTCTTGTTTATTCTCTTATGAAGGAAATGCTTTCACATTTTCCCATCAAGTACCATGTTTACCACAGGCTTCTGTAGAAATATTTTATTAGGTTCCTTTCTATTCTGAGTTTTCCAGGAATTTCTTGAAAAATCATGAATAGGTACTAAATTTCATCTAATACTTTTTCTGTACCTGTTGAAATGATTGTGTAATTTCTCTCCCATAACCTGTTAATGTGTTGAATCATTGATTTTATTATACTAACTTTCCATTCTTGAGATAAAACCAAATTAGTCAACATGTTTTGCCTTTTGTATTTATTACTAGATTTGGTTTGCTAGAATTCCATTTTGGTGCATCTCTATTCAGAATGAATTTGACTGTAATTTTCCTTTCACTTAGAAACCTTCTCAGGTTTTAGGATCAAGTTTTTACTACTAGATTCAGAAAATAAGTTGTGAAATATTCCTTGCTCTTCTACTTTCTCGATTAATGTTTCTAGGGTTAATATTATATGGACCTTAAAATGATTGGTAGACCTTGCGTGTCATGTCATTTAGTCTTTGTGTTTTTTTGTAGAATTATTATAAACTGATCCATTTTATTAACTTGTGTGTTTCAGTGTCTTTTTGCATTTCTCCTTGAATTGATTTTGTTAAATTATTAAAGAATTTATTCATTTTAGCTAAGTTTTCAAATTTAGTGATAGAAAGTTGTTCAGACTACCCTTTCAATCTTTGCCACTGTGTCCCTCGTTTCATTTCCAATGTTTGTGAATTTCCTCTGGTCGTCTTGTTCAATCTTACTGGAGTCTGTCTTTTTTTTTTCTGGTTTCTCAGCCTCATTAACTTTATTATTTATTTATTTATTTATTTATTTTTAGTCTTTTTTTTTTTTTTTTAAGATAGAGTCTCGCTGTGTCGCCCAGGCTGGAGTACAGTGGTATGATCTCGGCTCACTGCAAGCTCCACCTCCCAGGTTCAAGCAATTCTGCTGCCTAGGCCTCCTGAGTAGCTGGGACTACAGGCGCCCACCACCATGCCCAGCTAATTTTTCATATTTTTGGTAGAGATGGGGTTTCACCATGTTGGTCAGGCTTGTCTTCAACTCCTGACCTCATGTGATCCACCCACCTCAGCCTCCCAAAGTGCTGAGATTACAGACGTGAGCCACCGTGCCTGGCCATCTTTTTGTATTTTGGTAAGTCTTTGGGGAACAGGTGGTGTTTGGTTACATGGGTAAGTTCTTTAGTGGTGATTTCTGAGATTTTGGTCCACTTGTCACCCAAGCACTGTACACTCTACACAATGTGTAGTCTTTTATCCTTCCCTCTCCTCCCACCCTTTCCCCACCGAGTCCCCCAAAGTTCATGGTATCATTCTTATGCCTTTGCATCCTCATAGCTTAGCTCCTAATTATGAGTGAGAACATACGATGTTTGGTTTTCCATTTCTGAATTACTTAAGCTAAAATAATAGTCTCCAATTTCATCCAGCTTGCTGTGAATGTCATTATTTCATGCCGTTTTATGGCTGAGTGGTATTCCATGGTGTATATATACCACATTTTCTTTATCCACTCATCGTTGATGGGCATTTGGGCTGGTTCCATATTTTTGCAATTGCAAATTGTGCTGCTATAAACATGTGTGCAAGTATCTTTTTTGTATAGTGACTTTTCCTCTGAGAAGATACCTAGTAGTGAGATTCCTGCATCAAATGGTATATCTACTTTTAGATCTTTAAGGAATCTTAAATCACACTGTTTCTCATAGTGATTGTACAAGTTTACATTCCCACCTACAGTGTAAAAATGTTCCCCTTTCACTACATCCCCACCAGCATCTATTAGTTTTTGATTTTTAAATTATGGCCATTCTTGCAGGAGTGAGGTAGTACCTCCTTGTGCTTTTGATTTGCATTTCCCTAGTACTTAGTGATATTGAGCATTTTTCTATATGCTTATTGGCCATTTGTATATCTTCTTTTGAGAATTGTCTATTCATGTTCTTGGCCCACTTTTTGATGAGATTGCTTGTTTTTTTTCTTGCTAATTTGTTTGAATTCTTTGTAGATTCTGGCTATTAGTCCTTTGTTGTATGCATAGTTTGGGAATATTTTCTCCCACTCCATGGGTTGTCTGTTTACTCTGCTGATTATTTCCTTGGCTATGTAGAAGCTTTTTAGTTTAATTAAGTCCCATCTATTTATCTTTGTTTTTGCTGCATTTGCTTTTGGGTTCTTGGTCATGAAGGGTTTGCCCAAGCCAATATCTAGAATGATTTTTTCTTCTAGAATCTTTATGGTTTCAGGTCTTAGTTTTAAGTCTTTGATCCATCTTGAGTTGATTTTGGTCTAAGGTGAGAGACGAGGATCCAGTTTTATTCTACTACATGTGGCTTGCCAGTTATCCCAGCACCATGTGTTGAAAAGGGTGTCATTTCCCCACTTTGTTTTTGTTTGCTTTGTCGAAGATCAGTTAGTCCCCTACTCCCAACCTGCTGGGATTACAGGCGTGATCCTCCTCACCCAGCCACATTTCTTAGTTAATATTTTTAGTTGCCAGATAGAAGAAGTTTAAGATTTTAAGCCAACTGAGGGGGGTCGAGGCTAAGTGTTTAATTTTAAATGCCTTAAATAGCCAGTTTTGAACATCTTTAAAGGCCAAATCCTTGTAAGGATTTGGCATTATTTCTGTGTTCTCTATTCTGTTCCATTGGTCTATGTGCCTATTTTTACAACAGTATCATGCTGTTTTGGTGACTATAGCCTTATAGTACAGTTTGCAGTCGGATAACGTGATGCCTCCAGATTTGTTCTTTTTGCTTAGTCTTACTTTGACTCTTTGGGCTTCTTTTTGGTTCCCTGTGAATTTTAGAATTTTTTTTTCTAGTTCTGTGAAGAATGATGGTGGCATTTTGATGGGAATTGCGTTGAATTTGTAGATTGCTTTTGGCAGTAAGGTCATTTTCACAATATTGATTCTACCCATCCATGAGCATGGGATGTGTTTCCATTTGCTTTTGTTATCTTATGATTTCTTTCAGCTGTGTTTTGTAGTTTTCCTTGTAGAACTCTTTCACCTCCTTGGTTAGGTATATTCCTAAGTATTTTATATGTTTTATAGATATTGTTAAAGGGGATTGAGTTATTGATTTGATTCTCAGCCTGGTCGCTGTTTGTGTATAGCAGAGCTACCAATTTGCGTACATTAATTTGGCATCCTGAAACTTTGCTGAATTTATTTACCAGTTATAGGAGCTTTTGGAATGAGATTTTAGGGTTTTCTAAGTATATGATCATACCATCAGCAAAGCAACAGTTTGACTTCTTCTTTACCAGTATGGGTGCCCTTTATTTATTTCTCTTGTCTGGGTGCTCTGGCCAGGACTTCTAGTACAGTGTTGAATAGAAGTGGTGACAGTGGGCATCCTTGTCTTGTTCCAGTTCTCAGGGGGAATGCTTTCAACTTTTCTATGTTCAGTGTAATGTTGGCTGTGGGTTTGTCATAGATGGCTTTTATCACCTTAAGGTATGTCTTTTCTATGCCAATTTTGCTGAGGGTCTGAATCTTAAAGGAATGCTTGATTTTGTCACATGCTTTTTCTGCATCTATTGAGATGATGATGTGATTTTAAAAAATTTTCTATTCTTTAAAAATCAGCCTTTGGGCATTTGATTATCTCTATTATATCTGTTATATGTTTAATTTTTATTCATTTTTGTTCTTTCAGTTTCTTTTCATTTCTTTAGGTTGTGTTTATTATGTTAAGTTGGTTTAAATTTGTCTCCACATTTTTCCTTTTAAAAACTGGTCTGTCTGTCTATCTTTCTTTCTTTTTTTTTTTATTTTATTTATTTTATTTTATTTTTTACCAAGTCTCACTCTGTTGCCAGGCTAGAGAGCAGTGGCACAATCTTGGCTCATTGCAACCTCCGCTTCCCAGGTTCAAGCGATTCTCCTGCCTCAGCCTCCCGAGTAGCTGGGACTACCGGTGTGTGCCACCATGCCCAGCTAATTATTTTTATATTTTTAGTAGAGATGGGGTTTTACCACATTGGCCAGGATGGTTTCAATCTCTTGACCTCGTGATCTGCCCACCTCAGCCTCCCAAGGTGCTGAGATTACAGGATTGAGCCACCATGCCCAGCCACATTTCTTATTTAATATTTTTAGTTGCCAGATAGAAGAAGTTTAAGATTTTAAGCCAACTGAGGGGGGTCGAGGCTAAGTGTTTAATTTTAAATGCCTTAAGTAGTCAGTTTTGAACATCTTTAAAGGCCAAAACTTGATGATGAGCAAATGAGGCAAGCAGTTGTCTCTGCATTTCATAGGGCATGGCTAATGACTGAAGTGTCCTCTCTTTATACCCTGCATGTTGTAATGAATGATGTCATCAGAAAATTATCCCTTTCTTCAAGCAGAGGTATTAATCCTTGGATGTTACTCAACCCACAGACTAATTAAATCCTTATTTTCTCTCTTCTCTTTCCAAAATTGTATCAATCATTGAGATATAGAATGTACATATTGTAAAAGCCTTATTGGTAGAAGCATCACATGACTGAGTAGTTTCTTCTATCCACTTGTCCATGCATAGCAAAAGCAGCATTTTATACATGGATTATAAATTATATTTTACTGTAAAAAGCAAAAGGACAGCACAAATCTGATCCTGATTTGCAACATTTCCTATTAATTGCTTACACAAGATACGTATTTCAGTACTTTTCCAGTCCATTTCAGAGTTTCTTCTGGAGAAAAACATTTCCATGTTTAAGGTGCCATCATTATCTGTGAATTAGGGACTAAAATTAACTGCATTGAAAGCCAGTGCTGTCATATTTGTGATTTTAAAACAACTGAAGTATGAGATTTTCCTCCTTTAAAATCTTTCTTCCAAATAAATTATTTTAATGACTATGGGCATGTTTCCTATATAAAATGTGCCTGGCCCATGGAAGTGTTTAATAAACTTCTGTGAATGAAATGAATACGACATTTTTTATTTGAGAATTCCTGCTATGTATTGTATCTGATGCCACAATTTCAAAGGCATAACTTGACATTCTGTAGTTTCCGGAAAAATATTTTTGTAATTCCAACAGCTACTCGTGACAACACCTGCAGTACCTGGGTGGTGGGGCTGAGGTTGTGAGACCCTGCCTGTTAAGGCATTTCAAACCAGTATTGAGGCTATATGTAGGACTTGGACATAGTCCTGGTACAAATTATTTCCCTCCAAACCAAAAGAGTATATAAATTCAAACATGTTCAAATTGATTTATGTGCCTGATATTTTAAAAAATGAATATTTCAAACTCTTAAAACTGTCCATTGTGTTTCATTTTTGAGGAATGAGCCTTTAACACTAGCAAAGATGTTTCCTTAAACATGTCAAATCTCATTCTATATAACAGTATCAGATGAAAAGGGACTTATATTTTATTCATTTAGCAATGTGTCTGCCATTTTCTGAGGTGTGTGGGCGGGGGGTGGCTTGTGGGAAAGATAGAGTGTTGACCAGTGGTGATTTCAATTCCTAGAAATGAAAATGTTGCTAGCTTTGGAGACAAAACCATCTTGGATTAGAGACAATCACCAGGATTGACACTATTTACACAAATGTAGTCAGGCACCCACCATCAACCTACCCAAAATCTAAAATCTGTGAGGTAATATTCTGTCTGAATGCGGATGCTAGGTCCTGGTATATTATATTTCCAGTTCAATAATGTGAATTGGAGGTGAAGGTAGTTTGACTGTGATTTGAATAACAAGAATAAATAAGTGATTTCCTGGAAAGAAGAGATTGCATTGGATTGCAATGAAAAGAAAATTATTTCAGATGGATTAAGCAATACTTTGGGGAATACACTGTAGCCACCTTTGACAAGGCGAGCTTCTTCTACTTAATCTTCCAGTTCTTCAGCTGTATGTAACATGATAGGCAATCTATTATTTTGTTCAATCTTTGGTTTTTCATAATAACATCGTCACCTGTTTTTCTTAATGATTTTCCTCTTGTTTTTGTTTCTAGTATCTGCTGTATGAGAACATTTTATATGCTTACTCTCAAATTTTATTTTTGATTTAATAATTCTGCTTTTTCCAATAAACACCTTTTATGGTTTGAATAGTTTCCCTTCCAAAACTCATGCTGAAATTTAATCTCCAATATAGTGGTGATTACCTCACCTCCAACTGAGAGATGAGGTCTTTGGGAGGTAATTGGATCATGAGGTCTTGGCCCTCCTGAATGGATTAGTGGATTAATGGGTAGTGGGTTTTAATGGGTTATCATGGGAATGGAACTGGTGGCTTCACAAGAGAAAAAGAGCCCTGAGATAGCACACTCGGCCCCCTCACCATGCGATGCCCTGTGTGGCCTTGGGATTCCTCAGAAAATGCCCACCAGCAAGAAGGTTCTCACCAGATATGGCCCCTTGACCTTGGATTTTTCAGGTAAGGAATAACTAAGAAATAAATTCATTTTCTGTATAAATTACCCAGTTTTTCATATGCTAAGCAACAGAAAATGAAGTAATACAACATATTTTTTTCTTTTAATGATTATACCCCTAAGATGCTGTATTGCAGCTCCCTTTAAGCTCATGTTACCCAAGGCACGATAGTTGCTTAGACAGTAATATGTGTGAGGATGACCCTCTTGATGAGTTTAGTTGGTTTAGAGATGTTGGTAGTGATTTTTCCCTAGAGGTGCCTTTTAAGAAGACCGTTGGGATGGAGTAAAGGACAGAGTGGGAGGATGGGAGAAGGACATGCTCAGGAATGGACAGATTTGCTTATTCCTGTTGTTAACTCTTCACCTTCCAGCCAGGCCAGAATTGTGCTCCAGGTATATTCAGCCACCTTCAGTGGGCACTGGATGGGCCCTGGCTTTCCTGTCTTGTGGTGGTGATATGTAAGGCAATGATGTGCTCAGAGGGATGCAGGAGAGAGAAAAGGACACACAAAAATCGCTCTACCCCATCCACTGTGTCTTTGAATCTGGAGGGTTGCCTGAGTCATAGTGGAAGAAGCTGGAAAGATGGGAGACAGGCGAACAAGAAAGCAGTAGCTATTGGGTGACTCAGGAGTGTGGTCAGTCCTTGTGTATGGCAAAGAACAAGGAAGGAGATATTTGTGCAACAAATATCACCACTTCCTGGTCCTTCCTATCAATAAATCAGTTCTTGAAAGCACTCCCTCCCTATTCTTGTATTCATGACTCTTACCTGAACAACCTAATTCACCCTGCCAGGGACAAAAAACAATTCAAGAAACCTTTTCTTGGATCCTTGCCTTCATTGTGCCATGGTCCACAGGAGGTTGTATAATTTATTAGTGGGCCTTTTGTGTTTCATCATTTATGTCCCTGTCTGATGAGTAACCCATTTTATTTTTTAGGCAGCTGATGTGGCAGTTGCATCAACAAGCAGCTATAAAAACTAAGCATCTGTAAATCCTTTTGATAAATATTTGTGAAGTTTCAGAATCCTCATGTCTGATCAGTGTAAATCAGCAAGCAAGACAGTCTCCTAGGAAAGCCATTTGGAGACACAGTAGTGCGTTCTGACCATGGGAACTTCCTCATGAGGGTCAGGGATAAGAAACTCATGAGGTCTTCAGCAAAGATAAATTAGCCTTCACAGAAGCAGATGCTTCAGACTACTGATACTAAATTTTACTGGGTCAAACATTGAAAACCTCGCTTCTGAGCAAGGAGAAGTTGGAGGATCAAAAGTCAGGTTGAAGGGGGCAAAATAAGAGTCCATAGAAGACGTCCCTGCAGTTTGCCGTCCTCATTGAACAGAGGCAAAATTCTACATGATGTGGAAGAAAATTTTAAATGGGGTTTATGTAAATTTGCAACTATAAATAAGCAAGGTAAATAGACTTTAATATAGATATACCCTTTATGATATTTTCCTGAATTTTGAACATGGACAAAAAAATCCTCCCCCCCGCAATATATTTTTCACTTGAGCAATGCCTAATATTACCTGCTTTGTTCACTAAAAAGATATTAGAAAGTAAAATCCCAACTGGATCAACAACCTAATGGGCTAGACTCCGCAGTATAAAATTAGAAAATAGCTTCATTTTTCTCCTACCACTTTTGCAAACCTCTCTGTTAGATATTCCTTCCTTTTTCCTCATGATATTTTATGGTCACTTTCAGTTTCATTTTTTTCAGGTATTAAAAGCGCAGTCTGGTCTAAACTAAACTTGTGATATCAAGTTTAAAGCTTTTCCCTTTCTTTTGGGCCTGACCTAGAAGGTTGGGCAAGAGGTGTGGTGAGTCTCTCCTCTCTTTCTTGTTCCATATCCTTCTGACATGAAAGATGTCATGGTGGTGATGTGCCTCTGGATCTTCCAGGGCTAGATGGGACAGAGGATTAAGACCTATTAAGACCTAGAAGGCAAAAAGAGTCTCATGTACTTAGCTGGTACTGTTTGTAGAGCTTACTTGGCTGTCATGGGCTCTCTGTCATGGCAGGCTCTTTCTTTAATAGGGCACTATCGTGGGTTTCCTGGTCATTTCCTTGCTGCAGGAGTTGCACTTTCTGGTGAACCCATTTCCTTCTGCTCTTTTTGCCTGTTGTTGTTATACCTGCCACCCCACAGTTTGACTTGCACTGGGATCACTCAGATGTGCGAACAGCTTGTCTGAGTGAACTTCTTTCAAGGTTACTCAATCCCAGTGGTCTTCTATAGTCTTCCAACACTGGGAATCCGGGCCACTTTTGAGGAGTTCATCATTTTATCTAATTGTTACATCTTGGAACAGGTTCAGCTTCTATAGCCCAGGAAGTATGATGGTAGCAGGGGGGCGTGTGTGAGAGAGATTTTGGTGAGAGAGACTTCAGCAGTTTCTGCTCATCCAGTCATGGCCTGTAAAAGGCAACATTTATGCTGGTGGAATGAGGCATAGGCCAGCTGAAGACATTTACATTGTTGTAGTTCAGCATCAAACCCAAATAGCCAAATGAAAATTTCTCAACATTTGAAGATGACTTTTGGAGACAAACTGATGTATTTTAAGACTCAAATGAATCTGAGATGATGTCCACTAACTACCATTCAGAATCCACACAGGGGTTCCTGACTGGACCAATGAGAGTGTTTTGGTTACAAAGGAGGGTTGAGAATGTTTTTATCTGAATGTGCCTGTAGGTGTCACCAAAGTAAATGACTCCTTTACCCTTGGTTTGATAACGGGGGCAAAAAAGTAGAGTAAAAAAATGATATTTTGTAAAGCCTACAGGGGTAAAAAAGTAAAGTAAAAAATGATATTTTGTAAAGTCTGTCTATGTTGTTACATTGACACCACAGAATAGCAGCAACAAGGTCATTCACAGTAAAGTCTGCAAATTCTCCTTCGATTTTGCAATTACGATTTATCTAAGACGATGAAAGTATACTTGGCAAGGGAACAGTCTTCAGTGTATAGCAAGCAAGGAAAACTCCTTTCTCCTCCCCAACAGACACGCCTCCTTCAAGACAGGAGAAGTTTCTTCTTTACCTGATTCTAGTCACTCATTAGACACACTGTCTTTAGGCAAGGAATACTGATGCCTCATGAAAGAAAAAAAATTACATGGGCATTGGTAGTTAAAGAAGAAAAAAAGTGAAGACAACATTTAAAAAAATGATTGGGAAACATTCAATTCCAAAAGTATTTAAATTTTTTTCCTCTGTACTTTTTTTTTTTAAACTATAAATTTTGATTCTTTAGAAAAAAATCAGAAAAGATTTTTTCTTTAGAAAAAAAATCCTTCCTTTTAAGGAAGGAAAATCCACTGCAAAATGATCAGCTAGAAACTCTTATCTCTGAGCTTTCACAGCCAGGGAGGGTAGGTGATGTTACCCAGAAAGTACTTGGACTTGGCACTTGTATTTCAGTACTGTGAAGGATGTTTCCAGCTGGGCTCACATTCTGTACGTCAGTCTTCTCACCAAGAGGCTAAAACAGCATTTCATCACAGAATGGCCAAGACTGAGACCCACTGAAAGAAGAATGCTCAACAAAAAGGAATTTACACAGCTCCAGCGCCATGTTAACAGAGTGTGAACAGCCTTTCTTATGTTAGCAAGAATTTTGTAGGCCTAATGAGAAAAAGAATCCTCTCTAGAAACTTCTGGTATTTAAAGTGAAATCTAAGCAATTGAAAGACACAGAGAATAAAGTCTCTGGAAATGTTATTTGTCAGTGAAACATGGCTCAGGACAAGAAAGACATAAAATACTGAGAATTATCAGCAGAACCTAGAAGAAAAAAAAAATTCAGACAAGGACAGACTATACTTGTAGTTATTCTAGAATAAGTACTACATATTGTGTGAGGAAGAATTGAAAGTTGACTGTAAGACTTCATTGTATATACTTTGTGATAAATAAGCATATGCAAATACTAAGAGTAATCTTAGGTATTTCAAAGTAATATCTTCAGATTCTAAGTAAGCATTTAAGCATTTTCTACTGACTTTTTTCCTTATAAAGCCCTATGCCTTTCTGGTATTATTACCTATAGATACATAGTACAGTCATAATTCTGTTGTCCAGATTGAAAAAAAAAAACAAAGTAAACAGCATCTTTTACAAAGTTCTGTCATAATGAGACTTATTTATGTTTGGAACATTTTTTTCTCTTTGGTAATGTTGCTCAAAAAATTATTCCACTCAGTATATACAGTAAAAAGTTTTAAATGTGCTTTAAAAATTTTTCTTAAAGTTAAAGATAGAATTACCACATGGCCCAGCAATTTAACTCCTAGGTGGCATATACCCAAGGGAAATTAAAAAAAACATATGTCCACACAAAAACTTGCGCACAAATGTTTAAAGCAACATCATTCATAGTAACCAAAAGATGGAAAAAACCCAAGTATCCATCAACAAATGAATGGATAAATAAAAGGTAGTATATCCATATAAGGAAATATTATATGACAATAAAAAGGAATGTGGTGCTGATACTTGCCACAACATGGATGGACCTTGAAAACATTACACTAAGCGAAATAAAAAGCTGATCAAAAAAGACCACATATTATATGATTCTATTGAGATGAACTTTCCAGACTAGGCAAGTCAATAGAGACAGAGATGGCTGACAGGGATGGGGCGGTCTGGGGAGTGGGAAAGGAGATTAGGAGGTGACTGCTAATAGATATGGGAGTGACTTTTGGGGGTGATGAAAACATTCTGGAATTAGATAATGGTGATGATTGCACAGCGTTGTGAATATACTTAAAAACTACTGAGTTGTGTCCTTCAAAGGGGCAAATTTTATGGTATGTGAATTATATCTCAATTTAAAAAGATGGATTGTTTGTTGGACATGATGAATTCAGTTTGAATTTCCTTCATTAATGCTTCCATGAAGAGAAAGTTTCTCATTTGATCAATTAAAGAGTGAAAGGGTAGTCATAGGATTGTACCTCTGTCTTACTTGTAGGGATAGAGAAAAATGTCTAGGAGACATGTATTATACTGGGGTAGACAGATGGATGTGGTCTTTTGTTAGTCACTCTGAAGACCTTTTTCCACTGTGCAGCCTGTCAGTGAATACAAATAAGTCATTGCCTAAGGTAAATGAATCACATTAAATTCAGGGGGTGAGGAATCCTAAAATAAACAGTGGATTTATATTAAAAATAACACATTTGGCCAGGCACAGTGGTCCACACCTGTAATCCCAGTATTTTGCAAGGCTGAGGTGGGCAGATCACTTGAGCCTAGGAGTTCGAGACTAGCCTGGGCAATGTGGCAAAACTCTGTCTCTACGAAAAAAATACAAAAATTAGCTGGGTGTGGTGGCACACACTTGTGGTCTCAGCTACTTGGGAGGTTGAGATGGGAGGATTGCCTGAGCCCAGGAGGTTGAGGCTGCAGTGAGCAGTGATCACACCACCACATTCCAGCCTGGGTGAGAGAAAGAGACCCTGTCTCAAAAAATAAAAAGAAAAGTAAAAATAACACATTTGCAGAGTTTTGTGTGTATATGCATAGATATTATACAGGAAACCAATTTAAAATTTTTCTGTTTCTGCTTTTACTCTTTCTGAGTGAAATATAGTGATACCCAAAAACACCTTTAAAACTACAAGTATAATTATTTTAAGTACAATACTTTCCCCTTGCAAACAATATGAATAAATTACATTCAGTTCCAGACAATCTTGTCATTATATGGTTGACTCCAGTGGCTTTGAGTATAAAGTGTATTTATGAAAACCCAATGGAGTTTTGTAACTAGCAAAGCCCCAAATATGCTCCTAACTATAACATGTGGTGTTCAGTCTGCAGGTGGATGTTCTGAAGGCTTTTTTGTACACCTTGGACTGTTTGTGTTTTACCATGTGCTGCTGTTCCTCTGGCTCAGGATGGATTCCTGTGATCAATAATCAGTAAATTAGTGGCAGTATCTGTGATGACATTTATGTTCAGCTCTTTGAAATGTTTATTTTTACTTCTTAATGTTTTTAAGTGCACTTAAAAGGTGTCTAAACATTGTTCCCTCCAGAAGCCAAAAAATAACAATTTTTACATAGTTGCATCAAAACTCATTAAAAAGTACGGGTGGAGCTCATGCATTTCTAGGCAGCCTAACACTTAAAAAGAAAAGATGAAAGAGTAACAACAAAATAAATCTAAAGCCTCTTCTCCAAAGACATCAAGAACTACAGATATAAAATTAGGTCTTCCGGGAATAAAGCCCTCATCTCTGCATTTGGAGGCTCTGTCCCCTCTTCAGCCTAAATTCATTTTCCTTTATTGCCCTCGCCAATATGAAGCCTGCCAGTAGACAAGGTCCACCCATATTTGTTTGAAAGACCTCACCATGAAATAAAAGATAACAGCAGAGGGGACTCATAATTTATATCCTAGAAAATCAACCCAGTCCACTATTCTTCTTCATAAGAAGACAGCCAAAGATAACAAAAAACATAAATAAAACCAGCAGCACAAAATAACTAAAACAAGAACATTTACTTTAGAAGAAACAGATAATTCAGAAAAAGGAGAATGTTAAAAGAACCTAGTTATGCAATTAGCTTGAAAATTTGAGAGGATATTGCATCGAAAAATAAGACTAGAAAAGTACAAAAGAACAATGGAGAACAAAATAAGATATTTTGTCTTGAAGATGCAATTGCAAAAATTCAGACAGTTACGAAGATGAAACTAAGAAAATCAGAACAAGAGAAAAAAGACAAAAGAAAAAAATTTTAAAAAGATAAACATAGAGGTTCAATCCCAGAAGCTTGACATTGACCTAATATTCTGGGAAATAAGAGAGGGAATTGGAGTGGGAGGAAGTTAGCAATGGAAATATACAAGAAAAGTTTTTAATACTAAAGCACCAGAATTCTTTAGGCCCATTGGGTTCCCAGGATGCTGAAAAAATTTATATCTGAAATTTCAGAACACAAGAAATTTTTTTAAAACTTTATAATTAGGATGTAGTGAACACAACCATATTTATGATTCATAATGTTAAAATGAACCAGATTGACATCAGACATCTCACCAACAATACAAGATCTGAGAAGCAATGAAACAATGCATTTGAAGCTCTGAGAAAAATTCTAGGCTTAGTCACTTGGCAATCAAGTGTGATGGTAAAATATAGCTATTTTCAGACTTTCAGAAACTTTCTCTTATGTACTTCTGTAAGGAGGTTACCTGAAGATTTGCTCCAGTAAAACAAAGGTAAAAACCAAGAAAAAAAATGGGGGAAATATACAGAAAAATAACCCAGTTCTATTGAAAACAAATCCCAGCGCACACATCAATTATATACGAGATCTGGAAAGCTAAGCCCAAATTACCGTAAGGCATAATCAAGATGAGACCCGCAAGGTGGTATCAGAGTTAGTGTCTAAGGTTTCAGGGAAAGGAGAGAAAGAACTAATGACAAGGACAAGAAATGAGACTGCAAAGTTACAGGAAGTAAAGTTCGTTCTGATTGTATGTGATTTTTCTAGGAGTAGTGAAGACTGAATATTAGAACTGAACACTTTTGATAGTTAAGAGACAGTATTAACTAGAAATTACTATCTGAAAGCATGTGACAGCAAAAATACAAAATTAAGAATGGCTTAAAAACAGTTTGTTCTATTCTAAAAAGAACTTCAATAGTCAGAATTTTAATAAAGAATTTCCATTAATTCACAAAGTCCCAGGTTCCATCCAGCTATTTTCCTCTGCTGCCCAAGGGTATGATCCTTGTCAGTATTGTCTGCATTCTACCCAGCAAGAAAAGTGGAGGCAAAGCACACAGCGCTTGCTTTGTGGAGATTTGCTCACCCCATTTCTGTGTACATCTCATTGACTAACAGTCACATGACTGTACCTAAATGAAATTGGGTGTCACTGTGTACCTGTGGAGGTTTGGGCAGGGGGCTGTCTATTTGTGAAGATAATGAAACTGATAATTGAAGACATAAAGGGCCTTTTCCACAGACCCCAAGCAAAAGTTCTTTTGGTGGTAGTTTGTAAAATAGGTCTTAATGGCACATTTTATTCCCTGTTGAATTTCCGTTAAAACTTCCATTGTATTTGTGAAGACACAGGATGCAAAGATTTTTAGAAAACAAATAGAATGGCTAAATCAGGGCATTAGGGTTTTTGCAGAGATCCATGAATTGATAAGGATCTCCAATATTGTTATGAAATAAAATAATATTTACGTATTTATTACTATTCATATCGGTACACTTCTGATTCATAAAATACAATTTCACATAACTGAATTTATTGTAGCTTATTGCATTTTTCATCAATGTCTACTTGTGTAAATAGAATTGTTGGGTATCATGGCTGTGGGGGGCATATTGTCATTTGAGGGTGATCTATGAAAATTTCTGATTTTAGAAAAAGTGACCTCATACTAAAAAACATTGGGAACTACTGTTATCAGATGTTTTGGTAAAGATTTGTGTGTTATTTTTTCTTGGCTTCGTTTCATAAGCTCTGCCTTGTCTTTTTGCCTGAATTATTTCTCTTCTCATGTTGCAATATTTTATTGTTGTAGGGAACCTTATATTGTTTTTGAAACAGGTTGGGTATAAGCATAAAATCTGATAATAGCTTCACGTTCTCTGCAGCCAGGTACTGGCTACTGGGGTGGATAACATTTTAGTATCTAGGAATTGCAAAAGAACTCTCATCTAGGTGTATAAGGATTTCCAAGTTGTTGGGGCAGTGGCCTTTGGATGTATAATTGTCCTTTGAACCCATATTTAATTTCGCCCTTTTCTTGTTTGAAATGGCTTGAAATGTGCATCAATTTTCAACTGGCTTCTAGTTTCCTGGAAATCCTGGTTTCCTGTTAAACCCTTCAGAGTTTCTTCTCACACTCAGTGTGCCCCAGACTTGCAGTGCCTTTAGCTTGTCACCGCCTTACTCATCATCTCTTTTGAATGCTTGGTTTCTTTCCCTCCTTCAGTTTTTCACTTTTGTTCCCTGGATATTTAACATTTTTGTTATATGTGGTCAGTTCTTTAAATCATAAGTGGTACTATTGGCTTGTTTCCCTTTTTTCTTCTACGATGGGGAGGAGATACTAAGTATTTTCCCCTGGAGATCTTTAGTTTTCTTTTACATTTATCTGTAGCCTTCTCTGGGGCTATTAAATGTAGACTTCCTCTCAGTTATCTTGAGTTTCTATGGATTAGCTTGTCAAAATAGTCAAACATAACTGACAAATATACAATCTTCATCTTGGCTTGGGTCAACCCCCTGCTCTTTTATGAGCCGTACTGAGACCTTTGAAGTACTAGTTCCTCTCTCCACTGACGGCTGCTGGCAAAGATGCAGGCAGCCTGAGGTTGATGGCGACATGGGCAGGTATCATTGCAAATAGCTGCGGCATTGTAAACAATGCAGAGTATCTTGCCAACGACTACTCATTGACCTTGTTTGGCTCTGGGAGCAATGAGGTAAGGCTGTTGAAATAAGTTTGAGATTATGAAACACTAGACTACCATCAAAAACATAAAAATAGGATAATCTTTTTCAGCAGAGTATGTAAGAAATTTTCATAAAAAGAAATAATTATCACTCTGTACAGACTGGGGATTTTCTTTTGGTTTGAAGAATTTGACATTTGCTGTGATTTACCAAAATAAGTGTTGATGGACCTAAGCTGAATGTAACCTGAACTGTGAATAGAGCCAGAACTGTGCGGAACTTCCAGTCATCTCCATAGAAATACAGAATGCATAGAAAATACAAGGGTAAGAAGAGGAATCATGTGGAAGAAGAGTAAACATCTGGTATTCAATGTTTATAACTCCCTTTATATAGGTTATGCAGATCTCTTTAGGTTAAGCAATTACCCAAGTGCTAATCAATAGTACAGAAGTCCAAAGAAAGCCAGCTGGAGTTCTGATCAGGAAGTCCATATTCCACAGGAGGCTAACAGAAGTGCTTCTGTTTTTTGTGTTTCAATTAGCAATCCGTATGGAAATTAGCAGATTGAGCAGAAATTTGCTTGTATTGGTGAAGTGGGTGACTTATAAATTAGGATAATTTCACTGCTTGGCAAAATTTTAAGTTTTCAGGAGAAATGATTTCTTTAAAAACATGTTAGAGACATTCTGCATATTTATATGCCAATGGAATAAGAAACCAGTGAGGCCTTACCATACCCTTAAAATAGTGCCCAAGGCTTGATCCCTAAATGGTCCTGTGGCCACCCATTGATTTATGAATTTTTCAAGTTGTCTGGAGCTAACTATCAGGGTACTAGGCCCTGCTTCTGGAAGGCTGTCATAATTGGTTTCAGTTATTTTTTTATGTTGGTGGGGCGGCTGATCACTTAAAAGGACAATGCTGGCATTTCAGTGAAACTACAGTACAGGTTGTTTTTTGCCTGCTTGTTAATGAATGTTTATATAACTGTAAGTGTGGGAGAATTTTGTACGAGACTTGCTTTCGTTACAACTTGGCAGCTCAGTTTTACTGAATGGTTAACTTCCAAATCAACCTGAGAAAACATAAGAACAAAGAATGTATTATTGGCTAGGCCTATCATTTAAAATGTTAACTATTTTAAAGAACTAAAAGTATGCCATTTTCTTTAAATTTTACTATATCTTTGATTATTAAAGGTGAACATTATTTGTGTTAGCCATATGTATTTTTATTTTTCTGAATGTTCAGTTCATGCTCTTAGTTGAATTATCTTGTATATATTTTATCCAGCTTGTTTTTACTATTTAGGTTTCTGAGGTTTTACGATGGGCAGAAATAAAAAATTTTAGATCTTTAAATCTAGTAATCTGTTCCTTTGTTTTTGAGCTTATTATGCTTTTCTTTTTCTTCTGTGAGTGACAAATTTGCTTATTTAATTTTATTTTTTATGTTATAATATTTGGTGTTTTTTTACATTTTACTATCATTATTTTGGAATTGTTCGGAACTGTTTCTCAAACAAATCTCCTTCTCATTCATTTGGAAGGCCTCATTTATTACTTTCTTGATTCTTACGTATTTGACAGTACCGTGCTCTTCACCTCGTTAGAGCTTCATAACATGTTAATATTTCGTAGTGCTAAACTCTCTTCTCCCATTACTCTTCCTTTTCAAAATGCTCTTAACTCTTCATCATTTATTCTTTCACATTAAATCTAGAAATATTTCAAAAGAAGCCCCCTTGACATTTTGGTGTAATTGCTTCACAATTATAAATTTGAAAAGATCTAACATTTAATAATAGTCGATTTCCTCATCCATGAACAGGGAAAATTTCACCATTTGTTCATGTTGTTTAAATGAATAACTCAGAAAGGACGTTCATGGTTCTTGCTCATTTGTTTAAAAAGACTATTTCTATATATTTGTCGTCCTTGTCTACTATTTTTGTTCTATCTTATATTTTAACCAGCTATTGCTGACATGCCAAAGAGTGATTGCTCTTTTGATTTTATCTGGTGTCTATCTGATTTACTGAAATTTCTTATGTAGTCTAATAACTTTTCAATTGATTATCTTGAATTTTCTAGGTAGACTAGCAAAATTCTTTTTCCTTTATATTTTGATAATAGTTGAAAATCCTAGAAAAATTCAAAATACTGGGATTATGAGCATCCTTTGTCTATTCCAGATTTTAATGTATGGGCTGCCTAACAGTTCCTCTCTTAAGCAAGCAAATAGCTGTTTTAGGTAGATTAATGTTTTTGCATATAAATAACATCCTTTTTCATCCTGATGCTAACAAAAATTTTAAATCAGAAATGGGGCTGACTTTTATCAAAATGATTTTTAGCAGCTGTTGAGCTAATCAAATGTTCTGTGTGTTTGTTTTGGGTCTCTTGATATATTACATAGAGTTCCGATTATTAAACTCCATTTATCCAAGGAGATGTTTCCAAAGCTAAAACTCAATGAACCCAGCATACCTTAACACTTTATTAAATCTCTCATATAGATATCATAATATATATATAACAAAAGGAAATTTTACTGACATGTTTCTTTGTTTTTCTTAAAACAGCTCCTCAATCATATCAGATATCTAGAAAACAAAGTTGAATTTTTTTTTTTTTTAATATTAAGGCTGAACTTTCCCCACCCTTCATTTGTTTATTTGTTGCCTTAGGCTTGGAAATGGGTATTTTGCTTGGGAAGATTTTTCTCTTTTCAATTATATTTGGAAATTTTACTGTTTCACAAAATGGCTTGCCAATGTTTTTCTTTCACATAGCTTATTCCTTCTCATACCGGTTTCAGGAAATTATCTGTGGCCAACACTGTTTTGTTATTTTTGTTAGCATGTGACTCACGTCCTCTGTCTTCCTTCCTTCATTTAGTTTTTAAAAAGCTTAAAGGAAAAGACCAAGGGATTGAGTCTATGTAGCAATGACAACAATTGAAAAAAATACTTGTGTAAATGCTAAGATTAAAAGAATCATTATTTAACTAATAATCTTCAATTTTGTACAAACAAATTATATGTAACCAAGGTACTTTGTGAGCTATCAGGGACTTAGACTGTTATCTTTTAAAATTGAAATTTGCAGGCTGAGGTTGTTAATACCATCTGTTTAGGGAAAGTCCACATTAATCACTTTTTTTTTTCTTGGGGCTCAGCTTTTGTGTTCCTTGGCTGTAGCATTCTGTACAAATTCATTATAAGTGAAGGAGATGAAGAGAGTCAGTAAAGGTTTTAGAACATCTCCTCACTAAATAGCATAATGAAAAAGCCTGAAGACTAGCTAGTATAATGAGAGAACATGAATGGTCAGATACATCATTGCAGAGTACAAAATACCTCTCTTAATACAGGCACTTGTGCCATTTAGTCATGGACCAAGCATCTAGAAGATATTTCGTGGGTAGACTATATGTACTAGCAACTAGTATTTGAAAATAGTTTTGATTAAATCCATTAAAACTCAGGGACATGAAATAGGAGAATCTGAACAGTTACTAAAATGGGGAGGTCAATCACATTATGAGAAAAAGAAATTCAACATTGTTACTTATTTTTTTAACCTGATTACAGTTTATAGTTTAAAAACAGTAACAACTTCTGGATGCTATGTCAACTAATGAAAAAAGGGAAGAGAAATGTGGTTTTGAATCCCCTCTGCCATTTATCTATGTGGTTGGGCAAGTCAACCTCATTCATTTGCAGTTTTTGTATTGGTGAAATACAGATAATGATAAACATCTATCTCATGGAATTGTTTTAATTTTTTCTTGAATCTTCATGTGTAAATATACATGTGCATATGTTTATATATGTATATGTATGTATGTGTGTGCATGTGTATATATATATTCTCTAGCCCGTTGTTATTCAAAGAAGTTCCAAACTAGCAGCATGGGCATTACCTATGAACTTGTTAGAAATAAAAATATCAGCTCTACCTAGACCTAATGAAAATCAGCATTTTAACATGGACCCCCCCAGGGGCTTCCTTTGCACATTAAGTATAAGAAGTGCTGCCCAGCCTAGCACAGGGCCTAGCACAGGGTGGTGTCCAGTTAGTGTAGTTTTCTTCTTTCCAAATTAAATGAGTTTTAACCCATGAACTTGACTACCTTTGCCATAAAAAGAAACAAAAACAACCCAACAATAACAACTATAACCACAAAATACAAGATTGATGTATTCTCTCATTTGAGCTTATTTTTGGTAGTCCTCCCAAACAGAAAATATATATACATATATATGGGATTTCCTTCTCTTTGACATTATTTATGCTGACCTCTTGAAACAGAATGTTAAAATTGAATTTTGAGCAAGATACCAAGAAAAAATAGAGATGAATTTCACAAGACAGATCCTAAATGTAGAATTCATCAGTTCCGTAATTCTTGGACCCTTCACCAGATGGAAGATATAAGACTGAGGTAGAGTGTGGATTGGAAGAGAGTGGATTTCAGGGGAGAAGGTATCTTTGGAGAAAGCTATGTTATGAGCTATACACCTTGGAGGCGGGGTGCCTGCTCCCTATCATCAAACCTAATGATGAGGCTTCCAAGGATACTTGGGCAATTTCATATGTTGCTCCCGCATTGAGGCTTTTGGTAGTGTGGCTCCCAACAGGTCTATTTAAAGGGCAAAAGATGCTAGCTGCTGCTGGTAATGAAGCCAGTAGAAGAGCAATGTTGGGATTTGCCTGTACTTCTAAAAATTGTTGGGGCTAAGGGATGTTTGTTTGCCATGGAACCAGTGCTGTGCTGAAAAACTGATTCTTAAAAAAAAAAAAAAAAAAAATCCACAAAAGTAGTCCTCTTCCCATCCTCAATTTTTAGCACTTCTGGCAGTGTATATAGGGAAGTTATAACCTACCTGAAGCTGTTAATTTGACATCATTAAACGTGGAGTTGGGCAGAAACAACCACAATCGGCTCTACTGAGCTTGTAGGAGCTGGCTCCAGCACGCAGAGAGCTAAAGACTTAAAGTGACTGTAAGACTGTTTATTATCCAAGAGTCAGTCTTTGACCTGGTGCTAGAGGAAACTGCTCCTATTGAATAAGGTTTAGAGGACAATTGTGGGGATGAAACTATCATATTTCAATTAAGTCACGTATCGTCCTGGGTCAGTATAGTAGTCATACACATATAATACTTTCAAGTTTCAGCTGCCAGCTAGAGATTCAATCTATAGGTCAAACTTCATTCCACACTGGGTATTCTTTCTGATACTGCCTTAACAATTTAGATGTGTTTTGTAGCATCTTGTATAGTGAGTCCTTAACAATTATTATGTTCTTGTGAACTCTTGACTTTTTCCTGATGCCTACATAAATGTTCTCCTAAGACCAAAGACTGTTTCTTGTACTACCTGTTTTTTTTTTTTCTTTTTTGAGACAGGGTCTGGCTTTGTTGTCCAGACTGGAGTACAGTGGTGGTATCGCAGCTCACTGAAACCTTCCCCACCCCCTAACCCCCACCCTGCCGGCTCAAGGAATCCTCCCAGCTCAGCCTCCCAAGTAGCTGGGACCACGGGTGTGCACCACCATGCCTGGCTATTTTTTGTGTGTTTTTAATAGAAACTGGGGTCTCACCATGTTTCCCAGGCTGGTCTCGAACTCCTGAGCTCAAGTGATCCACCCGCCTTGGCCTCCCAAAGTGCTGGGATTACAGGCGTGAGCCACCATGCCTGGCCTATTTCTTGTACTTGATGTAACTTTTCCTTCTCCACTAAAATCTTCCAACCTTCACTTCCTATTAAAGAATATGGCTGACAGCTGCTTGTTAAAAGAATGGAATTAAATTTTTATTTTCAGTGACTTTTTTGTTTTGTTACTAAAGCAGAAATAAATTTTAAAAGCACATCAAAAGAGGAGAAAGACATTTCTTGTATGAGCCTGGCAAATTTGGCCCCTTAATATGGAACATATTACAGGGAAAAAGGATATTTGCAAACCTTTTTATGTCGTATTCTTGAAAATGTCATGTTTGCAATCTAAAGGGCTACTGAAGATAAAATGTTAGAATTTCTTGAGTATGTTAGGTCAAGCTGCCTTCCCGGTAGTACCAAGGTCAGTGCTGTGTGCCTAGCCTTCCATACATAGTAGGTGCTTAACAATGTTGGATAATGTTCTCTTACCTCTTCCATAATGAGAAACTGAGATTATAATAAAATAAAATTAAATGTACATATTTAACAACAGTCACCAGAATTCTTCTTAGAAAGAATTGGAAATGTTACTTCAAGAGCCCATCCAATAGGAAGTTGGATTCCCAGAGCTTTGGTATTGGCTGGCACCAAGGTTCTGGGGAAAAGGCAGACAGTGCCTATAGCTATGAGAGACCGGGAAAGAACCTGTTACTTCTTCAGAGAGGGAGAAGGACAATGAGAGAATGTATAAAATGAAGCATGGAGAGAAAAACCAACAAGATGATGAGAGCTAGGATTACATAAAGTGAAAGGCCAGTGGCAAGCCTGGTGGGGATGTAACCAAATGAAATTTTAAGATAGATGATACCTATTATTTCATTTGAAGTTGATTTTTGTGGCTGGAACATGAACTCTTTTCTGCTCTATTCCAGGAATCATTTAAGAAAGTCTACCATACCCTCAATTTTTTTTTTTTTTTTCTTGAGATGGAGTCTCTCTCTGTTGCCCGGGCTGGAGTGCAGTGGCGCCATCTCGGCTCACTGCAATTCTCCTGCCTCAGCCTCCTAAGTAGCTGGGATTACAGGTGCCTGCCACCATGCCCGGCTAATTTTTTGTATTTTTGGTAGAGATGGGGTTTCACCATGTTGGCCGGGCTGGTCTCCAACCCCTGACCTCAGGTGATCCACCTGCCTCGGCCTCCCAAAATGTTGGGATTACAGGTGTGAGCCCCCGCGCCCGACAAATAATCCCTCGAATTCTTACTGTGTTTGCTTATTTATTTGTTCTGTAGAAATCAGAGAAGATTTGTTTCAAGTTTAGGTTGGAACAGAAGAGAGAGAGCAAGTGTGAAAGCAGAATTCTAGATCAAGAAGCCACAGATATAAAGATCTTCACCCTCCTTCCCCATGCCATATGAGCGGGTAGAGAACATGGGGAGGTTTTTATTTTTTATATTTACAAAACCCATGGACTTGTTTGGAGATGAAAGGATAAGTGAAATTAATGGGGTGTTGTGTAACTGACATTTGGGTTACAATCTCATTATTGCCTATGTTTATATTTTGGTTTGACAGTTCTTCCTTTTGAAAAAGATCTATCTCTAATAGACTTACTATAAATCCCATGCATACATCACACCAGCCTTTTTCTTAAATATTCTTGAGGTCAAAGTAT
The DNA here is from genome assembly GCF_000001405.40 of Homo sapiens. Lineage (NCBI taxonomy): Eukaryota > Metazoa > Chordata > Mammalia > Primates > Hominidae > Homo > Homo sapiens. The sequence goes on along the minus strand of NC_000007.14, from coordinate 17,517,117 downwards.
TAGGAATTTGGAAAGCATTTTCTTGGGAAAAGCTTAGCCCAAACAACATCTTGATTCATCAACTTGAATGGGAAAATTTTTGAGCAGCAATTTAATGGCAGTGAATAATTATAATCAGCTGCCTATATTGGCAAGTATGGCAAAATGCCTGACATCTGGATCTGCACGGCACAACATCAAGATCTTCACACACTCAAAATTAGGAATGGATGAGTCAGTGCAATCCAGCATTATTGTGCATATACAATAAAATCATCCTAACATAAAAACTATTCACTATGAAGAAAAAAGGAGAAGACTTTTTGTAAGCTACTCAGTATTTTAAGGCTAAAAATGAACTTCCTAGATTAAATCTTCCTTTCTATCTTCCCAGTCTTTTTGTTGTTATTTAAATATCCACATCATATGTCAGAAGACTGACAATGCTAAATGGTGGCATGACTGCTGGATCATATGGTAAGAGTATGTTTAGTTTTATAAGAAATCACCAAACTCTCATCCAAAGTGGGTATATCATTTTGCATTCCCACCCTTAATGGAAAGTTACTGTTCCACATCCTTGCCACCATTTGGCATTGTCAGTCTTCTGGATTTTGGTCATGCTGATTAATGTACTAGTATCTCATTATTTTAATTTGTATTTCCTCAATGAAATATGCTGTGGAACATCTTTTCATACGCTTACTGACCATCTAAATGTCTTCTTTGGTGAGGTATCTCTTAAAGTCTTTGGTCCATCTTTTAATCGGGTTGTTTTCTTATAGTTACGTTTGAAGAGTTCTTGTATATTTTGGATAACAGTTTTTTATTAAATTCGTTTTTGTAAATATTTTATCCCAGTCTGTGGTGTATCTTTTTCTTTTCTTTACAGTGTCTTTCACAGAGCAGAAATTTTTAATTTTAATGAAGTCCAGCTTATTAAGTGTTTCTTTCATGGACTGTGCTTTTGGTGTCATCATCAAACCTGGTGTCATCATCAAACCCAGTGCCCTCTAGATTTTTTTTTCTATGTTATCTAAGAATTTTATAGTTTTGTGTTTTATAGTTAGGTCTGTGGTCCATTTTAAGTCAACATTTATGAAGGGTATAGAGTTTGTATATAGATTCATTTTTTTATATGTGTATTTACATTTGTTCAAGCATCATTTTTTGAAAAGACTATCTTTTCTCTATTGTATTGTCTTTGCTTTTTTGTCAAAGATCAATTTACTGTATTTATATAGGTCAACTTTTGAGCTCTCTGTTCTGTTCCATTGATCTGTTTGTCTATTTTTCAACACTATTGTCTTGATTATTGTAGCTTTAGAATTAGTTGCAAACTGAGGTATTGTAAGTCCTCCAGTTTTGTTCTTCTCCTTTAATATTGTTTTGACTATTCTGAGTCTTTTGCCTCTCCATATAAACTTTAGAATTGGTTTGTCTACATCTGCAAAATAGCTTGCTAGCATTTTTATTGGGGATGCATTGAATCTATAGATCAAGTTGGAAAGAACAGATATCTTGACAATATTTAGCCTTCCTATCCATGAACATGCAATATCTCTACGTTTATTTAGTTCTTCAATTTTTTTCATCAGAGTTTGGTATTTTTCCTCATATGGATCTTGTACATCTTTTGTTAGACTTATACCTGTTGCATTTTTTTGGTGCCAGTGTAAGTGCTATTGTGTTTTTAATTTCAAATTCCACTTACTCATTGCTGGAACATAGAAAAACAATTGCTGTCTGTATAGTAATCTCATATCCTGCAACCCTGCAACAAAGGCTTATTAGTTCCACGAGGCTTTTTGTTGTGAATTCCGCACCCCACCCTCCAAATTTTCTACATAGACAATAGTGTCATCTATGAAAGAAAGGCAAGTTTTATTTTTTATTTTCCAATCAGTATACTTTTTATTTCATTTCTTGTCTTGTTGTATTAGTTAAGACCTTCCAGGACAATGTTGAAAAGGAGTGGTGAGAGAGGACATCCTTGCTTTTTTCCTGATTTTACTTGAAAAGCTTTTCATCATTAAATATGATGCTAACTGTAGGTCTTTTTGCAGTTATTCTTAAACAACTTGAGGAAACTCCCCTGTACTGCTACTCTATTGAGGGTTTTTATCATGAATGGGTATTGAATTTTCTCAAGTGCTTTTTCTGTGTCTGTTGATAAACAATATGCTTTTCAGGTGCACATGAAACATTTACCAAGATAGAATGTGTATTAGGCTATAACATATGTCCTAACACATAGAAAAGAGTAAAATCATGCAGTTTGCTCTCTGATCACAACAACTAAATGGAAAAAAACTAGCCAAAAGATATATGAAATACCTTCAAATTTGAAAATTAAACAACACTTTTCATTAAAACAACACAAGGTCAATGAAGAAAAATCACAAAGTCAATAAAAAATGTAATGAAATGACACCTAAAACACAGAATATCAAATTTTGAGAGATGCAGCTAAAGCAGTGCTTAGATTAAAAATTACAGTTTTAAATGTTTATTTGAAGAGAAGGAAGTAGGCCAGGCACGGTGGCTCACGCCTGTAATTCAAGCACTTTGGGAGGCCAAGCCGGCTGGTTCACTTGAGGCCAGGAGATTGAGACCAGCCTGGCCAACATGGTGAAACCCTGACTCTACTGGGAAAAAAAAAAAAAAATTAGCCTGGTGTGGTGGTACTCACCTGTAAACCTAGCTACTGAGGAGTCTGAGGCATAAGACTTGAATGATGGGGGCGGAGGTTGCAGTGAGCCAAGATTGCGTCACTGCACCCCAGCCTGGAGGACAGAGCAAGACTCTGTCTCAGAAACAAACAAACAAACAAAAAGTAGAAGGAAGTATAAAATAAACTCTCTAAGCCCCATACTTAAGTAGGCTAGAAAAGAGAAGGGCTAATTAAACCCAAAATAAGTAAAAAACAAAACAAGGCCGGGTGGGGTGGCTCACACTTGTAATCCCAGCCCTTTGGGAGGGCAAGGTGGGTGGATTGCCTGAGGTCAGGAGTTGAGGCCAGCTTGGCCAACATAGTGAAACCCCCTCTCTACTAAAAAATACAAAAAGTTAGCTGGGCATGGTGGCGGGCGCCTGTAATCCCAGCTACTCAGGAAGCTGAGGCAGGAGAATCACTTGAGCCTGGGAGGCAGAGGTTGCAGTGAGCCGAGACTTTGCCATTGCACTCCGGCCTGGGCAACAAGAGCGAAACTCCATCTCAAAAAGCAAAACAAAACAATAAAGATCAAAATTAGTTAATTAAATATCAATGAAACAAAAGCACATTCTTTGAAAACATCAATAAAATTAAAAATATATAGGGGTATTCATAAAGAAAAATGAGAAAAGACAAATTACTAATATGAAACATGAGTGACTACAAATCCTAGGGACATTTAAAAAAGGATAACCAGGAGAAGTCAGCAATCCCTTTATACCATAATCAGACAGACATAAAAATAGTATAGGCCAATATCCTTTATGAACATAGGTACGAACACTCTTAACAAAGAATCAAGCAATATACAGAGAAGATATTATGGGCAAGTTGGATTTATTTCAGAAGTGGAAGATTGGTTTCATGCTTGAAAATCAATGAAGTTCACAGAATTAACAAAGGTGAAAAATCCTTTATAAAATTATCTCCATGGATGTAGAAAAATACGTGGTAAAATTTAACATTCATTATAAAAATTCCCAGGAAACTAGGAATTGAAGAAAACTTTGTTACCTGAAAGTGTATTTAAGGCATCTGTGAAAATCCTGTAGCTAATATCATCTTTAGAGGTAAAAGGTTAAATGCTTCCTCGTCTAAGATCAGAAACAAGGCAGAAAATGAACTCTTAACTCCTATTCAACATTTTACGGGAGTTCTTATCCAGTGCAATAAGGCAAAACAACACTTCATATTTAAAAGAAAGAAGTAAAACTGTTTTTTATTTGCAAACAATATAATAAACTGTGTAGAAAATCTGATAAACAAAAATGCTATTAACATTGACAAGTGAGTTTAGGTTTAGCTATCTGTAAGCAGCAGTGGTAGCTTACCCTAACTGTGATTTGAAAGTAGAAATAACAGAATCCAGTTTATTCAAAGGCTGATTCTCCAATGACTACTTATTCTTCATTTGATATCTAATTTTGAATATACCATATCTCATGTGCACACAATTGAATTAGTTTTTTTATCTATACAGAAGTTCTCAACAACCTGACCTCAATCCTTGTAGATTGTTAGCTGTGTAGATTAATTAGCTGATAAAAACATTTGGTAGAAACATTTTGGGTTCATGAAATTTAGTTCATATCATACTTCCAATCCAAGAACTAGATACTGATATTTATATTTTGAGGGGAAATGCAGTGGGATATTAATTTATTAAAGATAGAATTTCTGATAGTGAAAGTTATAATTTCCCACTTTGGAAAACATAGACCAAGCATTTTTTCTGGAATAGAAATCCACATGTTGGTATTTTTTTAATAAGCAGCATTTGCACTTAGTTTTTTGGCCAATGCCAGATCTGGGAGTTAAAAATACACTTAAAACACACAACTTGGGAGAACGCAGCATGGTGTTAGCATAACCAACAGAAAAATGTCTTCATTATTTAGTTGCATTGATACTTGTTTATTTACATCATTACTCAAATAGAACATTTTAAAGGAGACTAAACTCCAAACATCTGTGGACATTCCCTGCATCTGTTTCTGAAAATAATCGCTGTGCATTTATTGTTTACATCAATTGGCATGGAGTCTCACTCTCTCAATATTTACATATTGTAAATCTGCCAAGCTGCCTTAGAGTACATGATCATCACATTTGAAGGGATAAAAAACTAAAGATGAGAGTTAATGATCAGAAATTGATAGAGTTAAAAGCTTCCTTGTTGGAATGAGATGAAGGATTTTAGAACCTACCAACAAAAAGAGATTGGTGCCTTGTCATTTAATGACTTCTGTTTTATTGCAGCATATCCACATATCCATGAAAGTATGAATCAGATTTAAATGCAGAGAATCAAGAGCATGGTAGCATTTATAAATATTTGAAGGGTATAAATGTCATGAAGAAGCAAACTTTAACATAGAAAATGAAAAAATGTTGGAACTTGGAGCACAGCCATATATTTAAGGCAAATGGAAGTGTAGTTCAAGTATGTAGAAGAAAAATTGTTCCATGAATAATCATTTATATTATTTTGATTTAAAAATCAGTATATTAGAGGACATGCTATTTTTCCTTATGTACATCCCTAAGGTCTCCTCTTACTCTTTAAATTTTAAAGAGCTCTGGCCCATTTAGAAGTAAACAGCTAAGTGAAACAGACATTTGAACCTCACAAAGCTAAACTATAGCAGATTAATTGGGCATCTAACCATAAAATATTCCACATGAATAGAAAAAGCTTTTTGAAGATAAAGTTCTGGTGCCATTGTTAATGAGACACTGGAATGTTTACAGGAGGGGGGAGAGTGGCAGTTTAATATGCTTCATGACTAGATAAAACCTATTTCCTTGTGTATAACACAAGCAAATAAATAAGGCATTATTTTCACACATTTTCAGAAATACCTGTCAGCAGGTGCCTTTAATAAAAGGTTTTTTTGTGTCTTCACTTTTTTTTCAGAGTTAATAATTTGTTTACATGCCCTTCTTCTTTCAATATCCTTGTAGCTTCTGGTGAACCACTATACCCCTAAAATAGCTTATCACTTTATCTTAAAAAAATTCATGAAAAGTGAATGAGCAACTGAAATAAAAATTTTTTCTTTTTACCATAATATGCTGGAAATCATGGCAACAGCCAAAGTAATTTCAACCATAAATTGTTCTAACCTGAACAGTTAAAGAGGAAGCCCCCATCATTCAGTATCAACTCAGCCATATCTTGATTCTGTAAATATATTTAGCTACTTTCACTTTTCCATGAGATTGATGTTACAATAAATTTCTGTTCCTATAATCAAGACTATTAGTAGTTAAAGAAGAAAGCAGTCTTAACATGGCTCTTGGCAGAGTTCTCTGGGAGGTGGAAGAGTAAAGTAGAGGGGTAGTTGCACCTGAAACCTACTGGATCCTAATGAGAGCAGAAACCTCTCTTAATAGGTCAGTACAGAATTCACTGAACATTCAAAGGTAGTTTGTGGAGAGTCCCTTGATCCATCACAGCCATCCTAACTCCCATGCTCGAGACCTTTTTCTTATGTGCCCAAGTATAGTAGGAGGAAACTTTTTAAGATCAGTGAGAGATAGTTACTTCAACTGTGGCCTAAGAAATATATCCAGGGTGATAATAAAAAGAAGCTCATTATTAAGCTTTCTGTAACTCCTTTTGTTACTTAAAATATGTTTCTATTAGTTGCTATTCAAATTGTTGTATTTCTAAATCTCACAGACTAGATGATTTTCGAGTTAATTCATATAGTTCTAGGAAAATGACCCGTAAAAGAAACCTCTAAACCCAAATCATGTAAGTCATCTATGTGTGTAGTTTTGGAAAACATCATTAAGGATTCTTCTATTGAGATTTTTTGAAAGAAGTCAGTATTTAGATTGGTGCCTAGTATATATAGAACTTACAATTTATAGTATTCAATTGATATCAGACATCAAACAATCTTCTAGTATCTGTGTTGAAGGAGTATGACTATTAAGACATACAAAGTCCTTTTTTTTAAAAAAAAAAAAAAAAAAGGAATCAAAGCAGAAAACAGAAAATTCAGTTTTAAAATGCATGGGAACTTAGTATCTTGCAGCACTTACTGCAAGGAATTTTATAGCCAGGGGTGCAAGATAAGTGATCCTTCGGCCTTGGCTTCCCAAAGTGCTGAGATTACAAATGTGAGCCCCTATGTCTGGCTGCATTATCTTATTAAATTGTCCCAAGACCACTATTACTCCAGTATTATAAATGGAGGCTTATAGAAGTTAAATAATATAATAAAAATTCAGGGAATAGGGTTCACTTCTCCAGAGATTATTAGAGAGCCTGTAGCTCTCTACATCTGTAGCTATGCCTTAAATCAACCCACTGGTATTCAGGAGATCTAGTTGTTGTTTTTATTTCTGTTTTTTTTTTTTATCAATGATAAAGGACAACTGACAAACTTCTAGTGGGTGCATCCTTTGGTTCCCAAACCAATGCTTTATTATGGATCTTATTATTATTTTACTTAAAATGTGCATATAAATAGAGTTTTTAGAACTCTAACATGTTTTGAATATTAAAATAATAAAATGAATTGGGAATATTTCCTTTTTTATGATCTGGGATTATTTAAATGACATTTGAATTGTCTATTTTATTTTTTGATATATAGATGGAACTAAGTCAGAAAACCAAGTGGTCCTCGTCTGTTTTTTTACACGAGGAATTTTAACAAGTGTAATAAAATCTTTGGTAATTGGTCTATTCATGTTTTCTACTTCTTGGGTCAAAGTTGGTAATTTATATTTTGGAGATCTGTTGAAATAATGTGTTATCATACAATATGATGAAGTTTTGTTCTAAGAATGCAAGAATTTTCAATATTGGGAAACCTCTTCAGTGTAGTTCATTACAATGAACATGTTAAGGGATAAAAATCCAAATGTCCGTAGAGTAGATGCTTGTAGAAGTAACTGCCAGTTGTCCTTCGTATCTGTTCTTCACATCTTTAAAGATAATAAAATCCCAATTTTAGCTGGCCACATGATTTCCCGGAATAAATACTTTCTCAGACTCTCATGGATTTACTCATGGCCGTATCACTAAGTTCTCACCAATGTAATGCAAGCAAAAGTAGCATATGCATCTTTTGGCAATGTTTGTCCAGGAAGGGGACTTGCCCTTGATTTTTTCCATTTTCTTCTTCTTGTTTTCTAGAATTAAAACATGATAATTGGCCCTGAAGCAGCCATGGGGCCACAGGCTGCTTGTTGAGGTGGCAGAACAGGAGAGGAGGAGCCTGGGTGCCAACGGTTGTGGGTCTGTTTTACCAGCCCTTGACTTACTACATTTATACAATAGAGAGGAGTTCCTATTTGTTTTAAGCCACTGCTATTTTCAGTTAGCCATTTCTCACAGCTGAACTTACCCTATGTGACAACCATTGGCACCCAGGTTCCTCCTCTCCTGTTCTGCCACTTCAACAAGATGGTGTCTCCTTATGTGGCCCAGGCTGGTCTCGAACTCCTTGGCCCCAAGGAATCCTACCACTTTGGCATCCCAAAGTGCTGGTATTAAAGGTGTGAGCCAAAAAATAATAATTTTAAATAGTTGGAAGGCATATTATATTCTTAGATGGAAATACGTACCAATATTATAAAGATATCAGTGTTCTATTTTTATAAACATATAAATACAATGCAATTCCTATTAAAATGCCAACAGAGTTTTCTGTACTCAATTTCCAAAAATGATACTTTATAATTTTTGGGGCCAGGCGTGGTGGCTCACTCCTGTAATCCCAGCAATTTGGGAGGCTGAAGTGGGCAGATCACCTGAGGTCGGGAGTTCAAGACCAGCCTGGCCAACATGGGGAAACCCCATCTCTACTAAAAATATAAAAATTAGCTGGGCCTAGTGGCAGCTGTCTGTAAGCCCAGCTACTCAGGAGGCTGAGGCAGGAGAATTGCTTGAACCCGGGAAGCAGAGGTTGCAGTGAGCCAAGATGGCTCCACTGCATTCCAGCCTGGGTGACAGAGCAAGACGCAGTCTCAAAAAAAATAATAATAATATAAATTTTTTTGAAAAAAGTAATCCTCAAGGATCACCAATATTTTTTGGGAAAAATGAGGTTAGAATTGTCTTACAAAATATTAGAATATAGATGAGAACTACTTATGAAATCAGTATAGTTTGGCATAAGCATAGAAAAAATACATCAGTGGGGCAGAACAGAGAATCAAGAAACGATTATATGTAAAAATGTATTTTAATTTAGTGGGAAATCTATGATTTATTAAGTTGCATTAAACACTATCCTTCTGAAAGAAAGCAGGACCCCTGATTTCTATCTGTTCCATACCAAGAAGGGCTCCAGCTCATTTTTGAAAACACTCCAAACCCCATTTTCAAACTCCATCCACATTCTGTGGAAGCGGCCAACCCTTGGCTCTCTCTCGGACTTAATGGGTACATGCTCCTACAGCCTTGCCTGCCCTTAGAAGCGGGCCCTCACAGAGCCTATTTGGGGAGGAGTTCTGACGCTCACAGGACTTGCAGCAGAGTGTACATTGGAATGGGAATAGATAAATGGACTCAGAGAAGCCATGACCTTTAGCCCTTCAGACTGCTCTCTTCATAAAGAGGCACATGACTAGAGGAAGGCCAGATCAGACTAAAGAGTGTGGACTAGAGCAGGGCAACTCTTGCCTGGGTCTCAGTGAAGTAGTGTCACCATATTCTTTTTCCTTTTGCCATTACAAGTGCAACAACCTCTTCCTCAGCCAGAATATAGGAGTAAAGATAACTTTGAGCATAAATACAGCTGACCTAAAAAGATAATATTTATTTTTGGGCATTATAGTGGCATCACTGCTAGCCATTCCTTACTAATACATATGTGTATCTTTGTATGTGTACATATGTCTGTACATGGAAGTTCATCAACTAGTTTGTTTATCTAAATGACATGTGCCTAAATCTAAAAGGACATATGCCTGTGGGTATTTGTACACAGGGAACTACATGAAATGATGGGTGCTAAAATGTTAATGGTGATTATTTAAACGTGGTATCTCGGGGGGTGGGATATCATGTTTTTACTTTCTTTCTTAGAATTTTATGTCATTTGAGTTTTCCAAAAGATTGTTATTTAAGTAGCAAGAGAAAAAGAATGAAACCATTTCATTATAGAGGAAAACAAAAGACTAAGCCTGGAGAATGTCGGCCAGTTTCTCTCCTTGAATTGGACTTCCTTCTCCTCCCAATGATTGTGACCTCTTTTCTTCTGGTAAAGTGCAGTTTGTTCCCAGAGTTTACCTAGATTTCAACAATTTTATAGGATAGACATCATGAAGTTTTCCCCAGTTTCATTAAATGGATTGGCTAATTCATGAGAGAAGGTAACCACAATAATTAAGCTCTTAATGTGTGCTATGGATGTTAGCCTTATGCTGCGGCCATATCTGGGGCTGGTGTGTTGATAGGGTTACCTAGTGTAAAGGGTCCATGATAGTGGTCACATCCTTCTTTCAAACTGATTTCACAATGAAATGATGTGTCTAGGAAGGGAATTTAGGAATCAGTTGTGGAGATCTGGAAGAGATGTTGTAAAACCCCTAGGAAGAAAGAACATCTTCCACCTCTTCTTGCTTGGGGCCTGGACTGACCTCCCAGATGCCTGCCTTTAGCCAATATTTCTGCTTGCCAGTTATAAAAGTTGGGTAACATCTTAAAGAAGATGATAAAATAACCAAGATAACATAAACAGTAAGATAAAGTGGTATAAAATGAGCACTATAAAATGGCAAAGTAAAAGCCAAGAATTAATAACAAATGATAAACGTTAGAGAGCCAACGATGAAAACTAGAAACTGAAGATTAAAGAAAATAAAATTGAGTTTAAAAATAATAGCTTGAAGAGCAACATACAATCATAAAATACAATATGTAAATTAGCTAAGATAATAAAATTGTTAGACTAATAAATGAGGGGTTAACTGGGACCCTTTGGGGGCTACTGTGAGCAGCAACTGAGCTTCAAGCTCAGTTTTTCCTCCTAGGCTAGGAGTCTGTTGGCAGTGATTTCTGAACTTTGAGGCTCCCATATGGTTGATTTCAGGAGAGCGGAGCCCTGAGGTTTTGGCCGTGAAGGTCCCTTCTTGTATTTTCCCTATCATGTCCCCACCCATCATTTCCAGTCAGGCGGTTGACCTCCTTACCTCTGTACCTCCTCAAACATGATTGATGCAATGTTTATTTTAGCACATACTCAAATATTTGCATTTCTTTGTACTAGTTTATTTTGGTAAAGGGAAAGATTAAAATGAAACCAACTTAGCAAAAGCCCCTAAATTTTACATTTAGCCCTTATTCTCATTTTTTTAAAAAAGAAATCATTAAACACATGAGAGTCTCCTTATTTGTAAAGCCGGTTGTTTAAATCACTTCTGTGCCAGTGCCAATTCATATTGCAAAATTATAATGTTCACCTCATTTTATATATATATATATATATATATATATATATATATATATATATGAAGTACTTAAAGATCTGATTTTTCTCCACATTATCAGCTGTATAATAGGAATGGCCTACACTGCTTTGAGTCTTAAAATCTAGTTTTACCAGGGTTTTATTTCAGTCCTGTAAATAAATGAAAAACTTTTATTAAATGAAATTGATGTCATTGAGATTTAAGTAATGAACAAGCTTTTTCTTAAGTAGGTTAATCATTTTATTTAATCAACCTACAATGATTATGTCATAAGCAAAATGATTTAAATTAAACATATATCCTTGAATAAAATTTCACCTTCATTTGATTCCCATTTGACCAAATCAGTTGTAAAGTAGTCACACACTGTATATACATAGTACTACATGCATGTATTCACTATAAACAGGCAACAGATGGTAAATATATCAAAACTGACACACAAGAGTAATTGTGGTTCAGAAAGATCTTGAAATCTGGGAGAATTTGATAAGACCTCAAAGGGAGGCCTCATCAGAGGTGCTCAGTGGGAGAAAGCAATAAGGCCATTTGGAGATTTGGGCATTGACTGTTTTCTAATTCATTCATTTCAGAATTAGTGACTACTCTCCTTGAGGAAAGATTTCAGCAATATAGTCTACAAAACCTCTTCAAAAGTAATTATTCATTAAATAACAGCAACCCTAGGATTGGCTCTTAAGGATGAGCTAAAGTTATTTTAGTTTAATATTTCAGACCTAAATGAACTTCTCTCAAATAGTCCTAGCTGGTTTAAATTGGTTTTAATGTCACAGTTGTAAGGGAAGCCTCAGTATTGGTGGACCTACTGGAAGATGAGAAAACAGCAGGCATGGTGGTGCCACTGTACAGACTGCATGACAACATTATCTGGCAGAGCTCAAGAGCTGCCCTCAAAAAGCCACAGAACTCAACATACAGTGAAGGGCCACCTGCATGGCAAGGCCATTGTCACCCTTCCTATGCCATGACTTGCTTTGCGGAACCAAGTTTAAATGTATTTCAGATGCTTATGGATCAAGTATGCTTGAGAAACTATATGTATTCCTGATTCCCAAGTACTTTGGGAAATGATACTGTCAGAATCACTGTTAACTCTAAGTCCCCTCCATCACAAGTCCTGATGATGGATTGACCGAGAGGGTCTAGTTCAGCCGTTTCTTAGGACATTATTGATCTCAGACAAAACAGCAGCTTCTACAGGAAGCATTTGGCTGTATAACATAATCAAAACTACTATTTTGAACCCTGGGCTTATAATTATGTCTTTATTTCAGAGTGACCTCATTAAAATATTTGGAGGAATTTGCGTAATTACTTACAAATTTTTCTATACTCTCAAGCAGAACTGACCCTTCTTCTGGGAGTATAGGTGTTACAGATACCACCTACAACTTCTCTGCTTTGCTCAATGGATCTCAGTTTTGTCTGGTGCTTAGAAAAAATATTCATACAGGCTGGGCACAGTGGCTTACACCTGTAATCCTAGCACTTTGGGAGGCTGAGGCGGGTGGATCGTTTGAGGTCAGGAGTTCAAGACCAGCTTGACCAACAACATGGTGAAACCCCATCTCTACAAAAATACAAAAATTATCTGGGCATGATGGCAGGTGCCTGTAATCCCAGCTACTCGGGAGGCTGAGGCAAGAGAATTGCTTGAACCCAGGAGGCAGAGGCTGTGGTGAGCGGAGATCGCACCATTGCACTCTAGTCTGGGCAACAGAGCAAGACTCCGTCTCAAAAAAAAAAAAAAAAAAAAAAAAAAAGAAAAAATATTCATACAATCTCTGGTTTACTCCATTTTACTCTTATTGGCACCCCACACTTGGGAGAAATCTTTGGTTTGATGTACATACATCACAGGTGTATGTACATCTGTCTCTTCTTTGCCCAGTTCTGCCACAATGTTAAGAACAGGTATCTAGGCTTGTTTTATGTTGACTGATCTATTATCTTGCTGACTTTGCTCAGTAAGACTCTCTTAATTAGCTGTAGCCTTGAAACCTCCCACAGTCACTAAGAAACCAGAACGTTTAGGCTTCCAAGACTATAGAGATATAGTATCCGGGGAGCGAAAGGGACACTGAACACAGGAGTGCATTTGAAAAGTCCACTTTGACCCACATTTTGTAGCAGGTTTCTGCCAGGTAAGCCTTTGTACCTATTTTCTCAGCTTGAGTTCAAGGATAATGTTTAGTTTAACTCACTTTTTTTAGAAGCCTGGCCCTTTCCTGCCCTTTCACATCTCCAAGACAGCTTGCTTAAAAAAAAAAAAAAAAATCCCAGTGTATGCTCAGATCATACCAATATAACTTCCTTGCTGTATTTTCTTCTACCTCTTGGATTCCCCATTTTCAGATTCATCTTCCCTGGCTCTAGCTCTGTAAGCACCAACTGTGTATTTTCCTGACTTGACTTTTGATCCCAGAATCCTGATCATCTCTTACATTTTACATAGCCTTTCTTCAAAACGATAATTGATATTAACCCCCACTTTCAGTATTATCCAATTATTTTAGTACCAATATACCATTGTTACAGACATTTCATTCCAGGCATGTCTCATTCTACAGGCAGGCATTGGACAAAGCTAAGACCAAGAGAAAATTGATGAAAGTGGTTCAATCCAACCTAAGTTAGTTCAGCCTAGTTCTGACTATAACAAACTTGGTTCAAAGGGATTCAATTTAGGTTAGAATAATTAAAACTGGTGACCACAACTCAAATTGGAGATTCAGTTTCATGTAGTTCTGTGCTAGTCAGTAGCCTGTTTAAGATACAGTAGGAATAAATTGGAAAAGGAATGTTTTCTTCATTTGGCATCTTAAGACCTTATGTCTGTAAAAGAATTCTTTACTCAGTAATATTCATATCAATCTACTTGAATCTAAGTAATTTCATTTTGAGAAACACTAGATAAAATGTGCTCACTCAAATGGAAAGAGGTTACCTGAAATCTTAGAAAAATATAGATTAGAAAATACATACCACTTCCAACATTTTTTCTTTGAATTTCTAAATGGTAAAATCATCCGTGTCTGAGGATATGAAAACAGAAAGCAGCATAACTTTTAAATCCAATATTATTAAGGGAAATGGGGAAAGAAAAGAGAATGTTAAAACTATGCAAACTATTTCCATTTGAAATACAGTTCTTAAAATTCTAAACTTTGACCTATACTTCTTAAACTATTGAGTCAACACCAAAAAGTATATATTTTTAGGTATCAAGTTGTTCCAAAATCAAAAGAAAGGAGTCTTGTATTAAAAGGATAAAAATGTGTAGTGTAAAACTCATTTCCCTTTGAAGCAGTGTTCATATCCAGTTTTTTAAACCTACCTAAACATCTTATTCAAGCACCATGTTTTTTCAATCAGTTTTTGGCAACATATCTTAAATTTAGAATTAAAACTGTTCCATTGAAGCCTCCCAGAAAAGAGAAAATGAAAAATTAAGTGCTGATTTCAGGCTTATTGAAGTCTCTGTCTAAATCTGCTTTTGAGAATTAATAGTGCCAACGTTATTTCATTTGTGACTTATTTACCATTTGGCTGAAATGAAAGAATAGAAATCATTATCTTATCACATCTCTGCCCCCAGGGCCAGCAATTTCCCTTCAGTGAGTACCTCCTAAGACAATAATTTTTATAGAGAAGTGATGTCTTGTTTGAAAGCAAATATTCTCTTGGCCTCTACTGGAGATGTCTTTTCACACTTAATGGATGGATGGTGCTTAATGTTTGTGTTGTCCTTTGTGAAAAGCTTAGCATTTTTGATACTTATTGTATTGCATGCCATGCAAAAGAATCAAGTTATTGTGCAACTCTTTGTCATTTAGATGCAGCCTAACTAGTGAAAATAAATAGTATCATCATATGAATCTAAGTGATTTGAGGGCAAATGCCTTGGAAAGAGGAGAAAACTATGTATCGTTGAATCAGAATGTCAAGGGATGGAAAAGATCTTTGAGATCATTCAGTCCAAACTTATTTTAGTTAGAGGTGACAAAATTAAAATTTAGAGAGTTTTGGGTTGCTCTTCAAATTCCACAGATTGTTTAATGCAAGAATCAAGCCCAGCTTCCAGAGTTTTTCTGGAAATGAATTAAGTAAATGTCCACAGTGTACTTTTAATCAAAAAGGAATCTCTAAAGTTGCTTGGTTGCCCACAAGCACTGTTAGTCAAGCTGTATATTGTGAATACCATGATTCAGTTAGAAAAAAAAAAATACACTTCTGTTTTCATTTGAAGTTGGGCCACAAATACTCAAATATGCAGTTGGCAGAAAGCTAAATTTCCATCAAATAATTTTGTTTTGTTTAGTTGATTTTCCCCATCTGACCCAATGTCCAGCCAATTTTGAACTTAATTGAAGGGCCCTATTGGGGAGCCTTAGATGATCATGATGATAATTATTCTGCATGATTCATAAAGCTTTCTATAGTTCTCTGGGTTAACTTTTATTTCTGGGAAATGGCCATGGCAGTGGTTTTGAACATTGGCTCAACATTGATATCACCAAGGGGGCTTTAAAAATATTAATGTCTGGGTTGCAACTACAGAGATTTTTATTTAATTGGTTAGGGTAACACATGGGTATCAGATTTTAGCTTGAATGCTCTCTGGGTGAATCTAATGTGTAGCTAAGTTGAGAAAAACCACTGGGTAAGGAAAAATGGTTACTGTCACTATAGCCAACTGGAGGACCTTGGAAATCTCAGCTGCTGCTCCAGTCCTCTTAGGAATCCTCTTCTCGCTCTTGTGTCTCAAAGCTAATATGGTAGGCTACTATGTTAGGGGTCTCTCAAGTAGGAAGTGCTTGCATTTCTCCTTTTTGCCCTTAAGAAATCTTTTCCTGGAGAGTTCCTATTTGGACTCCAGTATTTTCCTGTATTAACATGGCAGAGATGTAAGAATGTAAGTGAAAACCAAGTGTACTGCCATGTTGGTAAGACAGCCAAGTAAAAAGGGCCTCTTGGCAGAACTTTCTTCTGGTCTGTGCACTGGGAGGAGTGTGCACTGGGGTGGAGCCTTGGGAAGTTTGCACTGTTTGTGAGGGGAGGAGCCTGGCCTCTCTTGTTCCAGGTGGAATCTGGGATTCAATCTGTGAGGTGGGAAGCCAGCTGGCAGGACTGTTTCCCATTTTTTTTCCTCCCTCTTTGCCCAATACATTCCATTTTTCTCTTCAAAGTGTCTGAGAGCCTAATCTCTCATGGTCATATGACAAGGACTCCGTTTTTAGCTGAACTAAGGAGAAAGTCCTACAACATTGGGTCAGAAGTCCCAATGCAACGCTTCCTGGCTATTAAGGGTTACATACACTGGTATTCTGCAGAATACTCAAAATCAGCAAAGTGATGCTGTGACAGACCCTTTTTTAATTTCTTTTTGGTCTTGAATACACTTTCTAGTTTTCAAAGTTATAGAGGGGACTCGATAAATTTACCTAAACCAACTTCAGTGTGATATTTCTGTTCCATTTGCAAAATATACCCTTCCAGACTTCTCTAATTTTATACTAGGTAGTTTCCATATTAACCATAGTAAATAAATATGTACCTGCTATTGCCTTTGAAGTTCTTTGGATAAAGTTACCCATGTGAGATAGAGCTTAGTAATATGTCAAAACCTACTCTTGGGACTTACAAGTTAGGGTTTATATTAACATTTTTTTTGGCCCATAATGTTTTATATTAATATCAATTCTCTCCTAATCAGTTGTTACCAAGCCTTTGAGGCCACCTCAGTTTTGGTTTCTAACAGTGAATTTTATACATGTCATATGAGCCGGTTTTCAACTAAACCATCCCAAACATGTCCTCCAAATTAGGAGGAAAACTAAGAAAATTAACATTGTATTTCTTTGCAATGGGGTAATGATAATCAAATAGCCACACATGTAATTTTATTATATTGATTATAAGGTAATTAACCAGTTCCACAGGTTCTAACAGATCCAGTGACCTTTTTCCTAACACAGTTTGGCAATCCCCTTCTCCTTGGTGCCTCTTTGACAGGCATTGCCATCCACATGTCTTTTCTATTATAACCCCCAGCCCTGACTCCCCCTCCAAACTCTTCATCTTCTGGTTTTCAAGTTACTCTACTTCCCATCACTGTGTGCTGTGTCCAGTCCAGTATGTTTTTCTCTTTGTACAGAAACAGCATGATTTGTTCCAGCTCCTTATCCCAATGTGTAGTTTCATTCTTACATTGGGATTTGATGCAAAAGATATTCACCCAGGTAAGGGAAGGGTCTTGAAGTTCAGACTCATTTAAGAAAATTGGCACACTTGCTGAATACCTTGACAGCTTTCTAAAGCAAGAATCATATCAAAAAGCAACAGTTTAAATTTTAGTTTTCACCAGTCTAGCTCCAGTTTCTTTTGCTAGGCTTCTGATTTGACAGCTAAGGCCATAGATGTTCTAGGCAGCCAAATTTGTCAAAATTTTAACAATCTGACCTCTAACAGAAAAGCTGATCTGTTACAGATTGAAAGAGAATACAATTTGAGATCCATGTGAATTCCTTTTTTTCCCCCCAAACTATTTACTCATTATACGTTTAAAGGTCACCAGTATACAGCGGTGTTTCAACTATCTGGGAATTTATTCACTGCTGGTAACCTAAATGCGGCCGCTCTGTTTTTCATTACTGGCTGGTATTTTTAAGTCTGAGCTCTGACCTTCTAACTTAGAACAAAATAACTTGGTTTCAACATTCTCAAACATGGCAAAGAGGTTTTTTATTCCCAAGATGACCACAGGAACCGATGTCATGGTATCTCCTTCAGTAACCAACATTATTCTAAACAAGAGACTCGTATTTTTGTCACATTGGGCTAAAGATGAAGCCACCTTTGCAAAATTATAACTCAGGAAATGATGACAGTGAAAGAAATCAGACCTAACTGCCTCCATCTTTCTTCTAACCTTTAAGCTGTCCTTGTTCATTCCTGAGCATAGGCTGAACTAACTTTGGGAAGGAAGTCAGTTCATGGTTTGACTCTGAAACACAATCGATAATAGTCCTTTCCTGAAAAGCCACCCCCCCCACCCTTCTTGCCTGGGGATCAGTCTATCTTTGCAGGACTAACAAATTAGCTACAAGATTAGAAATTACAGTTTAGGGGTCATGCAGCCTCTGGCTGCAAAAGTCTGAACCTCTCCAAATTGCTCCTGGGGATAACATCACTATTATAAAACTTAAGATCAGTGCTTGAGATATTTCGCAGACCCTACACTGGATGGATCAACTGACACCACCCAGACCGGTAATCTGGCTCAACCAGTTCTGCCATCCCACCCAGGAACAGAAAACAGCAAGAAAACCTCACATAGACCCCCTATGATTCCATCTCCAACCTGACCAATCAGCACTCCTCACTTCCCAAGCCCCTACCCACAAAATTATCTTTAACTACAGGAGACAGGAGTAATAATAAAACTCTGGTCTCCCGCACAGCTGGCACCGCGTGAGTTACTCTTTCTCCACTGCAATTCCACTGTCTTGATAAATCAGGTCTGTCTAGGCAGCGGGCTAGGTGAACCCACTGGGAAGTTACACTGATAGGTGAAAGTTTCAGTTGAAACATTGCCAAGTGTCTGTTGGAGCAGGATAATATTGTCTCTTTCAATAACTTGTTTTTATTCTCTCTTTAGAAACAGTTCTTTGGATGGAAGAATAAAGTTATCAATAGTTTTAGCTGCTTGGTGGGATCACATGTGATTTCCATTTGTTTGATGAGGTTTTTCCATGTTTTAAAACTTGTCACTGTAAAAATGTGGGGCTTTTTGTAATTAAAAAGAAACCTACCAGATATTACAATTATAATTAACGTTGTCGTTAGGCTTTTTTTTTTTCAAATGAGTGGTTTTTTATCTGTCATTCTGGGCAACGGTTTTGAGGAGGAAATTTGCCAAGACTGTAGGGCTTCTCACACTTTAATATGCATAGTAACCACCTGGGATGTCATTAAAATGCAGTTTCTGATCCAGCAAGTTTGGGGTGGGGCCTGAAATCCTGAATTCATCTTATGAACTCCTTGGCAATGCTACTGCTGCTGCTCTGATAACCACACTTTGAATAATACCGCTCTGACCCTTGGTTTTTTTAGCTGGCACCAAAATCACCTGGAGGGCTTGTTGAAATGCAGTTTGCTACTCTTCCACCTGCCCCACCCCATGACTGATTGAGTATATCTGGGGTTGGGCTTGATAATTTGCATTTCTAAACAGGTTTCCACGTGACATTGTTGCTGCTTCAGGAACCTCATTGTGGCTGCTGATCTAGAGCCCTGTTAATCAAAGCCTTGTTTCTGGACCACACCAGCATCACTTGGGAGCTTGTTAGAAATATAGAATCTTAGACCCTACTCAGACCTACAAGGGTAGAATTTGAGAAGCACTACTTAGTCTCTTTGTGCCGCAGAATCAACAACTCAGCTTTAGCTTGTTAGAATCAACTGTGGAACATTTAAAAATCCTGATGCCCAGGCTGAACCTGGAACAGCTTCATTAGAATCTCTGGGGCTAGGGCCAAGGCATCATTAGTTTCTAAAGCTCCCCAAGGGATTCCAGTGTACAGGCATGTTTGAGAACCACACTGTAGATGGAACTGAAAAATCCAGAGAGAGTAATCTTGTTTCCCAACAGAAGGAGACTTGGAGGACTAATTTTCCCTGTTGCCATCCTATTAGACAGTGTGTCATCAGCCACTGGACCAACAGGAAACACTTGGGGCCCAAGCATTAAATTGCTTTGATCACTGGATTTTTAGCAGCCTGCATACACATATCGGCTTTGTTGTTTGGCCTTACTTTGTTCTAGCTTCGTTACATACCAACTGGAGCTAACCTCTCCTGTACTCTGTCATCTCTGGGCTAAGACCTTAGAAATATAACCCATGGGTCATTAGCTTATTTCCCCACCTCACTTTCATTCAAAAGGTATATTCTCTATAAGATTTTAATGGGAACAGAAAGTTCTCCTGCATGGATAGGTCAGGATATAGATTAAGCTAGAGAGAGAAATAGTACATAATTTTACAGATATGAGATGATTTTTGCAATGTATTAAATAGAACAAAATACTGTCCTTGAGCTCATATTGGTCATTTTCCCTAAAAGCACAGTTAGGTTTTGTGTGGGCATGTGAGCTGGAATATTTGCCATTATAAGCCTGTCCTAATATTCTCCAGTTTTAAAACACTAGGCAAGCCAAGTGTTTGTGGTTGATGGTTGATTTTGGAAAAAGTCATTTATTACTCACCTATGAAGAAGTGTTACATTGTTATTTCCAAGGGTTATAAAGGCTACATTTAATTCTGGATAATGTTGAAAGGATGAGCTACCTTTCTACATACAAACCAAAGGAATTCCTGCGTGGATAAGAGCTGTGATCTATTTTGTTTTGGCAAGAAAAGCATAGTTTATGAAGAGAATTGAATTTATTCCAAATACCCTCCTCAGAGACGAGAAATATGTTTGAAATGTTGCTTCCTTTGTACCTCTGTCAACTTTTTAATTTATTTAAATTTTTTTGAATCACCTACTACTACCTGTCAGGCTAATGATTCCTGTAAGCTGATACCCATTGTCTGAATTCATAAGTTCCTTTCACTCTTCCTACATTTTCTTCCCTAGTAAGGTGGCACCTGTTGACCTTGCTGCCTGCCTTATTCCATAGAGGAGACTACTCCCAGCACCTTCTCAGGCGTCTCTTTCAGGCTGTGTGTTGTCCCTGTCAAGAAGCTCTCTATCTCTATCCTTATGCCATCTCCCCTGAGGACAGGAAGCACAACTACATGCAGAGTTTCAGATATGCTTCAGTTTGCCTTCTCATTCAGGTGGAAAACAAAATCCCCTTCATAAACATTATTGAGAAAGTTATTGAATAAACAAACCATAAACTATGGCATTTTTATTACATGGAAAACTCAAAAACAAATATCCTTAAGGAATCCTCCTTCATTCCTCCATAAATGTTACTAAATGTTTAACAACTATCTTTGGGGGTAGAGGTGAGAGGCTTGATTTGTGGCATTTGCTAATTTCAGTGGCATAAAGATTCCTATCATGAGTGACTTCAAGCTGTTGCGTAGAGATGTACACAATACACTCTTGCAGGTTATTGTGAGTCAGACCAGGCCCAGCACACCAAAATATTAGGTGCCAAAACATTTGTGATATTTTAGGCTTCCAGATCTCATTTTCCTTTCATTTTCAAATGACAGGGAGACTTATTAGTCAGAAGATGTCTCAAAGATATATATTTCCCTAGCAGGTGTTGTCTTTGTAATCTACTCCTGTATGACTGTTTTTCAGGACGGTTTTAGAATCATCTCAGGAATCTCCAGTACAACGTACTTTTTTGTCTGACCAGCATTCTCAAATTCCTGTAAAACTCAGGGTGAAAAGCAAAACAGCTCAGTTATAATCCAATAGTATATTCAGGAATCAAGGTGTAGTGCCTAAACCGTAAGTCACAGAGCATGAGAATGTTTAGAGCTGATTTAAAAGCCATCTAAAGTTGTGTTTCTTAAAAAAAGTAAGTCCATGTATGTCCATGGCTAGTGAAAATAAAAATGGAATGGCCTCCTGGACATGTTATGTCTTCTACCCCCTAGTTGAAATCATAAAATCTATGAATATTGCCAACAATTGAGGTTCTACCAATTTTTAGTCTGTATTGTTATAAGAATATTTTTGTTTTCGAAAATCTATTAAAATGCTCAATATAATTTGAAAAATTTATATGCCCTACTCTTTTCAATCTCAAGATTCTAAAATACCTGGCAAGGGAAAAAGCAATGTGACAGATCCCCTATTGTACCTCTGCCTCTCATTGAGAAACTCTGATCTAAAGACTGAGCCACCTGCTAGAGGCCACCTAATAAAACAACTGGTAGTAAGACAGGAGAGTTTCCTGGTCCACCTCACAGGACGTGTGACAGGGATGTGGCTCTCTGTTTGGCTGCTGCTAGCTCAAACCCTTATGGGAGGGGGAGCACAAAGATGGGCAGGTGTGCGAACTAGGGTGAGCGCTTTTGGGCTTTGGCCCCACAGCAGCATCTAGGGCTGGGTGCCTGTGACTGTTGAAGCCCCACTGTTACATTTGCTCTTTTAGCTCTGCAGTCCACAGACGGCTTAAGTGTTAAGCAATTTAGTGGACTCCCCTTGGTACCCAGCTTCTTGTCCAGCGTCCAGGAAGGATCAGGTCATACACAGATTTGAAGGATGAATGCAGGGGTTTTATTGAGCGGTGGAGGTGGCTCTCAGTGGGATAGATGAGGAGCTGGAAGGGGAATGGAGTGGGAAGATGATCTTACCCTGGAGTTTGGTTGTCCAGTGGCCGATCTCCTCTCTGACGGTCCCCAGCCAAACTCCTCTCGGTGTTCATATGCTTCTTCTCTACTCTCCTTCTCTGCCATGCCGCTCTGCCATTCATCTGCTCATCTGCCTCTGGAGCTTGGGGTTCGGGGTTTATATGGGTACAAGATCAAGGGTGTAGTAGGCCAGAAGGCAACTTTTTGGGCGTGAAAACAAGAATGCCTGTTCTCATTTAGGACTGTGGGTTTCCAGGCTTAAGGCTGGGGTCTTTCCTGGTAGCATTCGTCTACTCAGTATTTCCCTCTCTCCTGTCCCTATCAGTGGGGACCACAATTTTTTACTTATAGAAACAAATATACTACCACCCTTCTGATTAGACTTCATATTAAAAGGGTTATGTATGTGTTTTATATATTTCATCCTTCTGAATGGCAAAGTCCTTTGGAAACCAGTTCAGTAACTTGGAAAGCAAAACATTTAACTTAAAGTTTTCATATGTTTTAATACAATGTTTATCTCCAGGTAAATCTCTATGAATAACCCATACAAATGCATAGAAAACTAAACACATTAGATATCGTATGGACTATATTTTATGTTTCTTAGGCTAACATTAAATATACATCAAATTCTCTGGCCCCAGAATAAATAGGTATAATTCCTGTAGCAGGGTACTAAGGAAATCCTATGTTAGCACTAAAATATTACATAGCGAAATGCAAACCTGCTCCTTGTTAATTTAATAGCATTGTTTGCATCTCTCAAGATGCTTTGGGGATACCAACAGTATGAAGTTAACTGGACATAATTATTTAAAGTAATTTACTAATTTTGGTTATATAAGTATATTGGAAATAACAAAGAAGCAATGTATATATGCTGTTTCACAAACCTAGATTTCGCCATTATTTTGTGTACTGGTGTTAGAACATGTGGAATGTGAATTGCCATAAATTGTACTAAAGAAAGTACGGAAGTGAGGCAACCATCATAATTGTTTTATGTGTTTTAAGCTGTTGCTAATGCTTTCCTAGATGTTAACTTTCCATTACATTGTTGTGGTTATGTTATGACATCCTTGCTAGTAAGGGGTAAGCTTAGCAATATTTATATGTTGCTTCTTAATGATTGTATTCCAGTTCTGGTTAGTCTTGCCTTACTGTATAGATGGCTTCTCTATGAGCATAAGGATGGTAGACTTTCAGGAGCAAATTAATGCCTACAGGATTTGCATATTTCTTACTGAAACAATTCTCAATCTTCTACCAGTCCAGTTTCTAACAACTTATGTCATGTGAAATCCTTATATTTATATGAATGTAAATTTTTAGTGTCCTTCCTTCAGAGTTGGATAAACTTGACTTTATAGCTCCGTCACTTTCTCACTGTTAAGTTTAGGCAAATTATGTTCAATCTATAAGCCAACCTCAGTTTTTTGTTTTGGAAAACTGGACAAACACTTTGGGGTTTGTTGTGAGAATTATATGTGAAAATGAGCATAGTCCTGGCACTATGCATATATAACTCATTACATGCTATGCACATATGGGCATAAATACATATAGACGTGCATGTGTATCAATAAATAGAGATGGAAATAACCCTATATGCATATAGAACTTAAGCCTTTTGCATAGTCCTTGCACAAATTGTCACACTTTGCTGCAAATCTTTGGAAACCTTTATAGCATCATTGTTACCAGAGATGACATGCACTGCTGTAAACAAGGAGAATACATTCTTTGATGACCAGAAAAGAATTCCTGTTGTCTGTGGGTGGACATGATAATCTTTTGTAGAGCAGGGACTTTTTAAGAGGTTGGTTCCAGCAAGCTTGTTTCATAGATTCTTACATAGAAATGTCCAGTGATCAAATGAGCTGTCTAAATAGAACTATAGAATGCGAACTGGAGGAGTAGTCAGTATCACCTTGCCAACCCCTTTATTTACACAGTGGCAGACAGAAACCCAGAGAACTAGAAAAATGACATTTGAGGTTTCACACGCTAAAAGTGAGCACAGAATTACTTGCCGTTTCATGTTGACGATTCTGGAAAACTCATTTCTTGTTAGGGCTTGCATGATCTTAGCCCAAGAACATTTTGAACACAATGCCAACCATCCAGCTTGGGGACAAATGGAACAAGCTTCTCAAGATGAACTGTCTAAATATTCAACTGGAAGCTGGGAAACAGCAGTAAAATAGCCAATCATTTTGTTTCACATGTTATATATGATGGTAGATTAATTAGTGTGAACCTTGTGTGGGTAGGAACAGCATGTAGTTCAGCTCTGAACCTTGGCCAATAGGAGGCATCTAATAAATTTATGTCGTGAAGCATCTAGAATACCATAGGTTCCCAATTAATGTGCGTGCAGAGCAATTAGTACATGCTGGATAAATGTTGAATTAAATTTGGGGGTCGTAGGTGTACCAGGCCACTGAACACTATGATAATGATTTTTGTATCATCCACATTTTCAAATTCTCTAACATGAGAACAAAGAAGAGAAACAACGTAAAGTACAAGTTACATACAAATGCAGAACATAGAAATAACATAAGCAAAGAAATCACATTTGGAACATAATTAAAGTCCATTTGTAATGTGTTTGTGTTTAAGAGTTTTATTCTTGGCAAAACAAATTGTTGCTTGAAAGATGAAAGACTTATTTTACAAATGGCTTCAAATGCAATTACTTTCTACAGAGCAATTAGTTACCGATAGCATTTTAATGGAATAATATAAATGAATAAAAAATATATGAACCTGACTCTCCTGAATTCCAATATGATTGCAAATGAATGGAAAAGATACTCTTATGAATACTTTTAGATTTTTAAATCCAGAAATTGTTGTTGGTAGCTTGCTATATATGAAGGATCAAACATGTATCTGGGCCAGGTGCGGTAACTCACCCCTATAATCCCAGCACTTTGAAAGGCTGAAGTGGGAGGATTGCTTGAGGCCAGGAGTTCAAGACCAGCCTGGGCAACATAGCAAGACCACCCTGTCTCTAAAATTTAAAAAATAAAGGAGAAATGTATCTGAATTTACATATCCTTGTTCAAATATTTATTCATTGCTTCTACACACATTCACTGAGAGCCTAAAATATGCCAGGTACAGCAAGCATTTGTTACTTAGGGAGTGGACAACACTTTAATTAGGGCTTCGAGCATCAGAAATCCAAATTTTAAAAATGTTCTCTTAATTTTTGCATCTTCTTGTCCTTGGTACTTGTGTGGACATAATTGCCTTTGGTATGCCAAGGTGCAAAAGTGATAAATTAGCTCAATTAGGCCACATCTTGCAATGATGTACTTTACCTTCTATCAGCTATTTGGGTAACTCTGATATATTTGCTGCATTTTCAATTACATACACTTTTTCTTCCTCATCTTGGTTGTAGTCTTAAGGTCTGTATCCTTCAGATAATACATTTCATTTGTTTCATACGTTACATAGAATTACAGTAGATGTCTCCTAGGTTTTTTATTGGCTTTGTGTGATGCTTAGCTTCTCAAATGGAATAGATAACGTAAGCCCTAATAAGCCCTTGTGAAGATTTTAGCGCCAATCTAAACGGTAGAAATCAAGGTTCCTGTTACTTTGAGTCCTTCTAAGAATTTCAGATACCTTTTATGTTTTCTAGCAGAGCTGAGAAACCTCAAGCGTTAGAAGATTTGAGGTGTGGCTCTTTCAGAGAGAAAATTTTGAAAATCTAGGTTGATGTTCCCAAAAGCTCCTAACATAAAAATACAGGCTTGACCTACACTGTGATAGCAAAACTCTAAAATTATCAAGTCCACTTCTTCAAAGGAATACATGTGGAAATATTAATTGTCATAAGAAGGTGAACAATCTTTTATAATATAAACAGTAAAGATAAGCTGTTAAGTACTCGTGATACATTGGTCCATACCTTTATGAAGGAATCCATAATTTTGAACAACATTAGACTTTGGGGGGCTGGGGACATTACATAGCAGCACATACATAAGCTCATTGTAGCTAATATATGCTAAATGTTATATAAGCTTATGTAAGCTAAGTTTTCAGGTGAAATTTAGTAGATAGCTTGTATGGTGAGTAGAAGGTGAGACACCTGGATGGAGGCGGAGGATAGGCCAGGAAAAAGAATTGAAAAAAATTATTGAACTATAATTTAGAGTATTACATTTTACCTAGTAATGCACTTGTACACCTCATACTTATCTGTATAGCTGAAACAAAAGTAATGATATGTATTCTATGTCGGATGCTTTCTGGTATTTTCAATTCTATTGCATAACATTAAATAAACACTGTATCCATCATAGAGATTTCACAAAAAGATAGTAGTAAAAAACTTCAGTTGGAAAGGCACTGAACTTGAAGGCGGTAGTGGGGACAAGCCTGGACAGGTGTAGAGGGAAAGGACAGTCAGTCTAGGGCAAATAGGATGAGGCTTGTGAGGCAATTTAAGTAGGTACTTACTCAACTTCTTAACACACCAACCCTTCACTTGCGACCTGCGAGTGAGTGCCTCCTTAAATTTTACTCCTTTGCAATTCACTGCATGCCCTAATCTCAGCTCTGAAGACCTTCCTTATAGGGACATACCCATTTCGTTCTGGCAGAAAAATGACATCAGAACCAGGAAGATAAGTGAGTTCAGAAAGAAAAATAGAGCAAAGATTTTTAGGGCAAACAGCAGGTAGAAAAAAATCACCCAATAAACCAGTTTGCAGCACAGTATTCCAGGGGGCAGATCCAAGTTAGAAAAGTCCAAGCAAAGAGGAGAGCTACAAAAACAAGAGGCTTAACCTAGAAAGGCTGGATGTTGCCAGTGCCAGTGATCTTCTGGCTGGGATGAAGCACTTCTGTTCCAGGGGCAGTAGTTTGGTTAGAGATTATGTTTTGTCGTATGTATTCCGAAACCCAATAACAGTGGCTTAAACAGAGGCTTATTTTTGTCAAGTAGCATCAAGTCTAGGGGTGGACAGTATAAGGCTGATACAGCTGCTTTACGGACCCTACCAAGGACTCAGGCTTCTTGTTCCATCATCCTTAGCATGGACCTTCGTCATCACAGATGCAATTTGGCCACGCCACCCCTAGCCTCACACATTCCAATAGTGGAAAGAGGAATAATAATAAGAGGAGGAAGAAAAGGAGAAAGCAACAAGAAGGGGACAGAAAAGACTACTTTCCTAGAAACCCTCAGCTGAATTCATCTTGGGTCTTCTTGGTCAGAATTATGTCATATGGCCATTCCTAGCTGCAAATAAGGATGAAGGATGTTGTTTTTTTAAACTGGGTACATTGCTGTCTCCCTCCCTTCACTAAATGCTGGAATTCTGGTAGCAAAAAAGGAAGAATGGATATGTAACTTGTATTGTTGGCCATATACAAGAGGAACTAATCCCAGAATGACCAACCCATGCAGAGCAGTTAATTGAGAACACCTGCTAGTGGAGGAAATAGGTGTTTGCATTGCCATTTTACACCTAAGAATGCTGAGGCTCAGAGGGTAAGCAAAGGGCAGGGCTCAGATAGAAACTCCAGTCTGTTTGACACTAAAGCCAGATTTTTTTTTTTTTTTTTTTGACACCGTGATACTCTCCAAGGGTAAGTCAGCATATATCAGTTCCTCTTTCCCAAGTTGTTATCTGCTGGCTCATTTGGCCAAATTTTCTTTTCAGAATAAGAGATAAAAACATCCATGAGTCTGTAGCTAACAGAGAGAGAGGAGGGCATCATGTTGGGAAAAATAACTCATCAGATTAATTATCCTGAAACTTAGATTCTAGAGAAAAGGGAGGCAAGAAAGAATGTCCCAGTGTTGCCACCTTTCTGGAGGTTAAGGAACCAGTGTGTCTGTTTCAGAATATTTGGGGAAGTTCAGTGCCAACCCCTGGGCAACAGCGTTTGTCCTATGTGATCCATGGATTAGGTAGATCAGAACCACCTGGTGTCTTCTACAAAATGCAGATGCTAGACAAACATTCCTGGCATAGAAAATCAGAACCTCTGGGGATGGGGCCTGAGCATGTGAATTCTAACAATATCCTCAGGTTAATTATGATGTACAATACACTTTGGAGTCGATTGATATTAAGTATTAATAGCATTTATTGAGCACCTATTTCAACAAGCACTGGATCAGACACAGATAGATATTGTTTAATCCCAACACCCTTGCAAGATCCACTGTCTTATTATGTTCAGGCTCAAAGAGATTAAGTATCTTTTCGAACTCAGTTGGTTCTTAAGTGGCACTGGGGATTCCTTCCTGGAGTTTATTTCAGTCATCTTTCTTCCTAGGCACCAGACTCATAAGAATAGGGAAGCATACTATATTGTTTTCTTTAGAGAACCCACTTAAATGAAGTTTCGAGGTTCATAAGAGAGTTGAGTGTGTAGCTAAAGAGAAAGACACATTAGACAAATACTGTGGTGGTGTGAGTTGAGGCAAGAGAATTACGGATGGAAACATCTCTCTCAAATGTCCATATTCTAACTTTGGAGTTAGGTTTCTCAGCCTTGCCATTATTGAGATTTGGGGCTAATTTATTATTGTGGTGGGGGCTAGGGGGCTGTCTTGTGCATTGTTTAACAGCATCTCTGGCCCCTCCTTACCAGATTCCATCTTCTCTTTCTTCACTGGTTATGACAACCAAAAATGTTTCCAATCATTGCAAATGACTTCTGGGGGCAAAATGGTCTCTGGTGGGGAACCACTGGGTTGAAGTATGAACCCTGGTAAAATCCCATTCTGGTGGTTTCACTGACAGAAAATTCTACTTATGCCCAGAGGCAGGAAACAAGGCCATGTGAGAGTGACGGGAGACCTGCCACTATATTGGGGTCTGCTGACTCCAGCCCTGAGGGTGCATGGTGAAGTAGGCCCTCTTCCTTTATTTGGGAAGGCTAACAATAGGGAAGGGAGAAGAGCAGGAAAACAGATACGCCAGAAATGTGCCTTTGAATCTGGGCTGAAACGGCAACAAAGAGGGCAGCAAAGACCCAGCAGAGAGCTCTCACTTGGCTTGGATATTGTCTTGTCTTTTCTGGGAGTAACTTTTTTTCCCTTAACAGAACCATTTCATCTGAGTTAGGAAAGCAGTAAATAATTAAGCTAATCTGTTTGTGAATGTGGTTCAAAGAAGCCTCCAGAAATGGTGGTTCTGTAATTCTAAAGCAGTGAAGCCAAGCACAAAAGCAAACCTTCATCAGTATAATGCACTGAATGTGGGGCTGGGAAAGGACTGACTTTAATTATTCACCCTCAACATCTGGAAGGTCAATTTGGCTTTTAGAATTTGATTATATTTAGGATTAGGGTACATTTTGTTGTCAAATGTTTCTAAGGCCACAACAGGGACAATGGCTTGCAAATGGGTCCATATTCTTACATATTCTCTCTTCCCGAACCAAGTTTCCACATCTTTCCTTTCTTCCATTTTTCATTTATCTTCTTTTACTTATTTTTTTTTCCTTCAATCCTTCACCTCCCACTCTCTTTGTTCTTGTGATTTTCCACACTTGTTTTCACTGTTCCTCCCTGGGGACTTTGTACTGACCAAGGATTTCCTAACCATTGATCTGTGGAAGCCTAGGCAGTCCATGGAAGATCCTCCCTGAGGTTTGTGTAACCCTTGAAATCATGTGCTGCATTTTGTGTGAGTGGGTCTGCTTTTTTTTCTATATAGTGGGTCCTTAGATTCCCTAAAATTCCCAGAGTCCTTGACCTGAAAGCGGTAAGAGCCACTGAGGAGCATTTGCTATGGACTTGCAGCATAGAAAGGGGAGGGCATGAACATGGCAGTGCCTTCTCTTTGGCAGGCTCATTGCCCTATTCTCTCATTTAATCCACACAGCCTCTATATAACATTAGGTGGTATTATTTTCATAGGTAGCTGAGGACGTGAAGACTTGAAGATGTTAGGTAATTGACAAGGATATCCAACTTTCAAAATGGCTCCATGCTCAGAATTTAAGTACTTCTTTTTGATACTTGCTCAAAAGCCTCTTGCCTGGACTTAAGATTGAGCCATTGATAATTAAGCAGAAATAGAAAGGACTTATATCCCCATGCTCTCCCCACCAGAGGTGGTAAAGAGAACTCAAGTGGGCTGTAACCAGCTTCCTAGAAAGAAAGATGATTAGAACAAGGATATTCTTCATTGCATTACTACAGTATTTTAATAGCCTACACTATAAATACCATCCATGCCTTCTGACTGCTATGTTAACACAAAGTGCTATACCAACACAAAAGGCTGATGGCAATAGATGTGAGAAGAATGAATTTATAATTCAGTTTCGCTAATTTGTTGGAAACTCAATTTTTAACATCTTAAATTAATTACTTTACAATACTTATTGCCAACTAACATGTAGTACACGTTAATGGCAGGTTTAAAAATAGTGAACCTTAGTTTTGATTTCACAGAATGATCCAATTTATGTGGCCCACTCCTGTCTGACATAAAAGGCTTATTAGAATGTGGTCACTTCTCTCAATTGCTTTTGGAAAAGAAAAAGATGACTCATCATTACTGTTTTTAGTCTTGAAAATTTTCTTTCAGTGTTTATTTGTTCTCCTTATTCACTTAATATTAGTGTCAAACATTTCCCCATGTTTCTGTCATTTCCATGTTGCTATATAGTCATTAGACTTATTTTAATGGCTGTATAATATTCCATTATGCTGATGTATAGTAACTTAAACAGTACCTTATTGCTGGATGTTTCAGTAATTTTGTATTTGTTGACAATTGAAATGAGTTGAAAGAAATCTCCTTGTGCAAATAGCTTTTCTCTTCTATTGAATCATTTTATTCCAGGGTAATAGATTGGCAAATCTATTTTGAGTCATGATGATTAACTTTTATCAGAGATTTTAAAAATGTGGTTCTCTTTATAAAAATCAAAAGCCTTAGAATTTTGTATACACTTTGACCCAGCAATTTCACTTCTAAAAATTCATTGAAAAGTAATTGTTGCATGTGTGTTGAGAATAATAATGACCGTCCTCACACTCATGTTGACTCTGTTCTGTGAATAAAATGGGACCCATTTAAAGATCAGGTAACAGGGGATCAATAAAATAAACAATGGAGCAATGAAATAGAACCTTTACTCTGCTTAAGGTTATTCTATAGACAAATAATAGTAACAGTAGATAAGAACAGTAGAATAACAGTAACTAATATTTATTAAGCACCTAGAACATGTCAGATATTGTGGCAAATTCTTCATGTCCTGTGCATTTTCATTTAACACTCAAAACCTGAAAGGATTCATTCATTCCATAAATATCAAATGCCTATTATGTGCTTGGTATTATACTAGATGCTGGAGATACAATGCCGAATACCGTAAAGTCCTATAGTTATGCTCCTAAGGAGTTTGTGGACTGTAGGGGCAGATGGACATTAATTCCATCCCTAGAAGAGAGGGAATGAGGGAGAGAAGGAAGGAATGTAGGAGCCTCTGTTCTCTGGCATCTCCATCACTCCTCCTTAGCCCCCAGTACTTCATCTGCTTTTCAGAAAGCATTCCTTGCAACTGTAAAAGGTTAGGGTGGGGCTAATTAGACCTCATTGATGAGGGCTGTGTAGACCTCATATGAAGTGCCCAAGGCCGTAGAGATGACTACCTGTGTTCAAGGTTGGGCTGCAACATGTAGTAGTAGGCAAGCTACCTTTTCTTTTTCCCAATTTCCTTGAGTAAAAAATGGGATTAATAAGAGCTCCTACTTTTAAAATTATGACAATCATTTAAGGTATGAAATGTAGTGCTCCAGGAAGTTTAGCCACTATTACTAGCTATATTGGTGATGATATGGTTGGAATCTAAAATTTTCCTTTTGCTGACTAGCATGTAACACTGTCAACTTTTATACCTTATTGCCAATTACTTGTTTTTTTTTTTGAGGCAGAGTCTTGCTCTGTCGCCCAGGCTGGAGTGCAGTGGTGCGATATCAGCTCACCACAACCTCCGCCTCTCAGGTTCAAGCAATTCCCCTGCCTCAGCCTCCCCAGTAGCTGGGATTACAGGTGCATGCCACCATGCCCAGCTAATTTTTGTATTTTTAGTGGAGATGGGGTTTCACTATGTTGTCCAGGCTGGTCTCAAACTCCTGACCTCAGGTGATCCACCTGCCTCGGCCTCCCAAAGTGCTGGGATTACAGGCGTGAGCCACCGCGCCCAGCCGCCAATTACCTTTAAAGGCAGAACCAGTGCAAAAACAACTGTTTGAGGTAGTATGTAGATATATATATATGTTAATGTGTGTGTATTCATATATATTGAATAGTATGAAATCAAACTTATAGTTGAAACTGTGGACACTAGATTCAACATAAGTTGTAAGTTTCATTATTAGAAGTGAGAAATTGAGAGTTGTGTATTATTCTGTTCCCACACTGCTATAAAGAATACTACCTGAGACTGGGTAATTATAAAGGAAAGAGGTTTAATTGACTCGCAGTTCCGCAGGCCTAACAGGAAGCATGGCTGGGAGGCCTCAGAAAACTTACAATCATGGCGGAAGGCACAGGGGAAGCAGGTGCCTTTTACACAAGTGTGACAAGAGGAAGTGCCACACTTTGCAACCATCAGCTCTCCTGAGAACTCACTATCATGAGAACAGCATGGGGGAAACCACCTCGATGATCCAGTCATCTCTCATCTAGTCCCTCCCCTGATATGTAGGAATTACAATTTAGATGAGATTTGGTTGGGGACACAGAGCCGAATCATATTAAGTTGAAAGATATGCATTAACTCTTGATAACCTAGTATGTTCCAAGCATTGTTTCTTAATGATGTAAATATCTAGATGTACAGTAGTCCCCCTATAACAGAGGAGGATTCGTTCCCAGATCCCCAGTAGATGCCAGAAACTTTGAATCGTACCAAACACTATATATACTATGTTTTCCCCTATAAATACACACTTTTGATAAAGTTTAATTTATAAATTAGGCACAGTAAGAGATTAACAACACTAATAGAGCAATGATAACAATATATTATAATAAAAGTTACATGAATATGCTCTCTCTCTCAAAAAAAATCTTAATATATTCTACTCACTTATTTTCAGATGGTGTCCTGGGTAGCTGAAACTGTGGAAAGCAAAACCGTGGATAAGGGGGAACTACTATACTGAAAATGTACAAAACAGAGAAGATTTCATTGAAGAAGTCTGCTGTTTCTGGAATGGGAAATTAAGGTAGGAATTTAGGAAAACGTTCTGAATTTCAATGCCACATGGCAGGGTGGTGAGGAGGAAGCTGGAGCCAGGGTTCAAGTAACTAATGAGTTCTCTAGTTGCTAGTTCTAGTTCTCTTTTGAAGAGAAAAGGGTTATTATTAGATAATTCTCTTTTCATCTATTATTTTTATTTTTATTTTTTTGAGATGGTGTCTCACTCTGTCGCCCAGGCTGGAGTGCAGTGGCGCGATCTCTACTCACTGCAAGCTCCACCTCCTGGGTTCACGCCATTCTCCTGCCTCAGCCTCCCGAGTAGCTGGGACTATAGGTGCCTGCCACCACCCCTGCCTAATTTTTTGTATTTTTAGTAGAGATGAGGTTTCACCGTATTAGCCAGGATGGTCTTGATCTTCTGACCTCATAATCCACCCGCCTCGGCCTCCCAAAGTGCTGGGTTTACAGGCGTGAGCCACCACGCCCGGCGTCTCTTTTCGTCTATAAAAGAAATATGTCAGAATAAATTTGTAGGCATTCTTCAGTCCAGAATTTTATGATTTTAGTATTGTAACTTGCATCATTGTTTTAATAATGAGAATATAATTTTCTAAAAGAATGGTTAAATATATTTAAATTGTCATACAGATAAAAATTGAAGCTCTCATCTTCTATAACATCATTGGTTCTTTTGAAGCACAACTGGAACAGTTATCGACTGTGATTCTTGCTGGGACCAATAACCTTCTACAAATACCAACATCAGTTTTTATGAAAGGCAAAGAGCTGACAGGTTTACAGACTGCACCCTAACATTAAGCTACCAGGAGAAACTTCCAAGTTACCCTCTTGTTACTTGTGCCCCAGAGGTGAACACTATAAACTGCTACAGCATGCAATTTAGGTAAGCATTCAGGTAACAACAGTGCCCATGATGAAAAAGATAATGACTTTTCACTGTCTGCAATCTTTCATTTGGGCGAACTTAAAAGGATTTTTTTTTAATATGGAAAAAAATCTTTCCTGAAATATAGTCAATTGTGTGATGAGGAATTATACAGAACATTTGTTTAAATTGAGATATAATTCACATACCATAAAATTCACCCTTTAAATGTACAATTCAGTGGTATACATAACATTATAAAATTAGATCATTTTAAATGGGTCTGGCACACAGTAGCCACGTCATACTTGTTAGGCTCATTTCCTTACATCAATACATTTTGAGCCTGAAATAAATGAAATGACACAGGAGATATCTGGGGTGGTTTTGTTTTCCATGACCCCCGTGGTATGCTGAAGCCCTCTCAAGAGAGCCAGTTGTCTGCATCTCTTCACAACTCTGTGTTGACTGACGCCACATAAATAGCTTGAAATAGGCCATGATGGGAATATTTATATCATGGAAACTGACCAGTGCTACAAAATCAGAGCTTTTTTATTGTTTGAGAGCTGATTGTTAAACTTTGACCGGCACATCACTGCTAGTGTATATCAATTTCTTCAAGAGTACAATTTATTATTATTCAGGGCCACATTTGGAGCCTCATCTCTTTGTCATGACCAACAAATTTAAATCCTCATCAACTGGAAAGAGGAAACTTCATCTGGATAAATACTATATTCATAACTAGTATGTTAATTCTATATTACTTTTGGGGGATGGTTTTAAAGAAATTTTTATTGCGATAAAAAACACATAACATGAAATTTACTGTCTTAACGATTTTTAAGTATACAGTTCAATAGTGTTAAGTGTGACTTATTAATTTTTTTGTCATCCATAGCATGGCTTGTACTATAGATGATGGGTTTCATTATGAAATGTCCAAATGAGTTTTGAAATTTCATTTGTAATGAGGTAGTTAAATTTTATTCTGGTCAGGCTTATGCTCTCAGAATTAGTTTTTGGCTGATTTATTTCTGGCTAGTCTTTCAGAATATCTTACAAGCAACTTTATATTAAGACGACGAGCTTCAGGGAATTTGGTAGCCAGGCATCCTGGACCTCCTTCCTAGAACACTGCAGTTATGTGATGCAGCTTGAATGACCCCTGACATCTCTGATTCTCAGGTCCAAATTCCAGATTCCTAGGAAAGTACTGGGATTCACCAAGCTTGGGCCCAGAAGACACAGCTGCATTGTTCTTATGCTTCCTCCCATAGTGATGATTTTGAAGGACATGCTGGTAGGGGCAGAGTTCAGGACCTGTTACTTCATATTAGAGAGATGCTGGGCAGTTAAAGCATCCAGTGTCTAGTAGGAATGGTTTTCATATCAGATGATAATAAATGATGACTTTAAAGAAAATATTTCATCAAAATAGTTGGTATTTAATTAGGGATATTTAGAATATTGCAGCATAATGTAGATAAAATTGGCATAAAATTTCTGTAATCTTAAAAAGAGAAATAATAGAGTGAATTAACATAATTCATTTGGGACTGTATCTGGTTAAAATTTTAGTTGTATAATCATACAACTAAATTATACAACTAAAGTTGTATAATCCTTGGGCTTACAAAGGGACTGTTCTGCCTGACAGTTTCTGGTATGATTTAAGCCTAAACACATGTATTCTCAGATTGTTCAAATGAGAAAGGAGGTTTCAGAAAATCTCTACCCCATTTAAAGTGGACAAACTGTGATAGAAATAGTTGAAGTAAATAATTTCTGGGCACTCGAGAGTTTACAATGAGGCCTGGTCTTCTTCCAGCCTATGTTTCCCCAAGAGGCAATTAGAGTATATGAGATAGCATGGAGATTGGAAATGTGAGTCACTTCTACCGTTTTTACAGTATTTATTAATTATATGATCTTGGGGATTTCACTTGATATTACCTGAGCCTCAATTTCCTGTCCATAAAACACAATAATATCTATTTGACACTGTTGTTTTGAAAATTAAATAATGTATGTGAATATCCTTGCAAACTATGTTGTTTGCATACATATAAAGTAATGTAAATTAAAAGTAATTGTAAAAACCACGATTACTTTTTCACCAACCTGATATTAAATACTTTTACTCGGTTTTCAGTTACAGGTTATCTCCCTCATGTTTAACCAACCACTTACACATATTTAATGTCTACAACTTCCTCAACCATTTTTGGCACTCACTATGTGGTGGATACTGTGCCAGTTTATTGGAATACTAAGATCTATCTAAAGTAATCCCTGTTCTCAAGTGGCTAAACACAAAACTCTTTGTATTGAATATAAGTGGTTGTCATCAGTGCTTGTCTTATAAAGCCATACCTGAAAAGCGCTAACAATTGAAATACCAGGATTTTGCACATGTTCTTCACATTCAGTGGGCTATAGGTTATGCAATCCTTACAGTGAAGAGTGTAACAAATAGTAGGCTTGAGAGATGGCCTCTCCTGGAAGGATATTTCTGGAAGAGGATTCTTTGTGGCACTTAGGTTGTGTAAGTGTATCTTCATTAGTGATTGTGCGTCTTCTATATAACATAGAGATTTTAGTTTATCAGAAAACACGCTTCATCCCTTTTAAAAATCCAGATTTATTTATGTTGATGACTACAAATTAATCCATTGAGGTGGACACTGTGATACACCACCAGAACTCCCTTGCAAGCTTCAAAGACTTATTCCTCTAGCTGCCTGGAGTGCCACAAAATACCACACACTGTGTAGCTTAAAACAAGAGAGATTTGTTCTCTCTGAGTTCTGGAGGGTAGAAGTCCAAAATCAAGTTGTTGGGAGGGCCTTGCTGCCTCAAAGACTTTGAGATGAGAACCCTTCCCTGCCTTTTCCAGCTTCTTGTAGCCCAGGTGTTCCTTCACCTGTGGCAGCATCAACCCCGATCTCCACTTCTGTCTTCGCATAATGTTCTTTCTTCTGTGTCCCTGTTTCCACGTCTATGTACAAATTTTTTCCTTTGATAAAGACACTAGTCGTAGTGGATTAGCATCTTCCCCCAATTTAGTACAGCCTTAAACGAAATACCTTTGCAAAGGCTGTATTTCCAAATTAGGTTACATTCACAGGTACCAGGACTTAGTACTTGAATGTATCTTTTGGAGGGACAGGATTTAATTCGTAATATCCTGATTATTCCTCTATAGTATTCTTATTAATTAGACGTTCCTATGGCACTTTCAATAATGGTTCTGGAAAATTTAGTTTTGTATAATCACATTCTATTTATTGAATGTATAGTCAAGGGAGACAGCAGTGGGCCGACTCCTGGCTTATAAAACAGCTCAGAAACTAATAGCCTTAACTGAACTCACTAAACAGAGTACAAGAAGAATATGTTTTCTGTTCTAAGGACCAAGAACATATCTTGAACCCTTTGCAATTTTGCATCTCACTCAAGAGTGTGAATCTACTGATTTTTTTTTTTGAAAGGATATTTGGGAAGAATGTAAATGCCCTTATTGTGACTAAATGTTACAAGGCACATTCTGGAGCTATTTCGTAGTGTGGTACTTTGAACTATGGCATACAAAAACAAGTGTCAATGCCAGAAGGCTACCCCCACAAAGTGACATTTGGTATTATGGAGGATGAGTTAAAGCTACCATCCTACCAGCCACAGCAGAAGCTTCCCCTGTAAGGGTCACAGGAGTCCCTTGCATCTTGTCTGTCATCTCAGACAATGTGCCAACTGTGCCTTCGGGAAGTCTGTTGGCAAGGAAGCCTGTGATATCTGCTCCCAGTGCTGCAACGTGATCTTTCTTCTTTTCTCTGTTTTTTTTTTTTTTTTCCTACAAAAAATGGCAATGAAGACATCTATTGAGGAGGGGAATGACATAACCCATTGCAAATAAAATAAATTTAATGAACAAGACAAGCTGATCTGGAAATCAAGGGATACTATAGTGTTAGATGAGGCTTTATACTCATAAATAGTTATGTGTTTTGGTTTTGTGTTGTTTTTTATTTTGTTTGCCTTTTAGAGCATATGGCAGCATCCTCTATATTTGATAAAAATAAAATTATAAAAACTGAATAAGAGGCATAAAGGAACTTCTAAATCTGAAATATCCTAGGATATATATAATAAAATGTACTGAGCCTTGAAATTCAGAGCTAAATAGGAATGATTGTTTATGATTTTTGTCATGGCTTGTAGTGGTCATTAATAGTGACAGACAAGGCAAGAACTTATCTTTAATTGTGCTGGATGGCTGTTTGTAAAACTTGAAACATCTTCTGATATGTTAAGAGAATATGTGTATTCTGGACTAGGAGTTGATGTATGAATTAACAACTTTGGGCTATAATATAGTGTGAATTACTTTCACCAA
Source organism: Homo sapiens (assembly GCF_000001405.40). Classification (NCBI taxonomy): domain Eukaryota; kingdom Metazoa; phylum Chordata; class Mammalia; order Primates; family Hominidae; genus Homo; species Homo sapiens. The sequence goes on along the minus strand of NC_000007.14, from coordinate 17,478,145 downwards.
GAAAAGAGATGTTTTAAGAGAAATAACTGGCTCTTGATATGTGAATACTTAGTTTGAGCCCCATTTTAATACCTCAAGTGTAAAAGAATAAAAACCATATGGATTACATCTTCCTTCAAATATCCAAGTCAAGAAAATAAAGAGAATATGTGCTTGACAAAATGATTGAACGTATTTCAAGTTAGTAATACAAATTTTGGCTGATTTAGCTATTTCAAATGGATTTCATGCTTCTATTTGGGGAGTTTGTTTTCTGTCACTTATACTATAAAACAATTATCTATTTTAGAAGCACTACAAGTATCATTTCATGATACTTAAATACATTCAAATGTCTCCTTTCATTCCATTCTTTTCAATGCTATGCATAACAAAACTAAAAGGAATGCATATAGCTTATTCAAAGTACTAAGGGTTTAGAGTGTTTTAACTAATTTTTTATCTCTATTAATTTATAAATTCCTCATCTTCATCAAAGACCACTTGTCTTAGATAAATATATTTACAGTCCTTGCCTGATAATTCGACTCCAGCTTCAGATGCTTTTTTCAAGTTACATCTGTTCTTGGAACCATTTTTTTCTTTATGTCCTTCTTTGGTCTTCCAGTTTGAAAACACTCTCTATTATTCAAATACTTCCTAAAATACGACATCCTCCAATAAAGTTTTTAAAAACTACTTAGACGACACTTTTATGGCCAATATAAAAATACCATTCAACTATATAAGAGTTTAAGATTTGCCAGGAGGAGACTCATGGTTCATTCCTTCAAAACTATTCATCCATAGTCTTGGAGGCTATAAAGCAATCTAACAAGTGGTACCACCTTTCTAGCTGTTCAACTATTTGAATAAACTCTCAGGTCCTGACAGTGACAGATCTGGGTAGAGAGCAGCATTGTGGCCAAAGGTAACAAATATTTAGATCTGTAAATTTTGGTTATTAGTAAGTTTCTAGGACCACATCAGTGATATAGATATGGAATCTAAGTGTGAGGACTGTGGCATGTCAGCATCTTTTGAATGCTTGGTTATGGAGAAGCAGAAAATCCTTTCCTGAGAATGGCTGAGAATGCTTAATGAATCATAGGACAGCCTGGTATGAAGTCCAAAGGCACAGCCATCCTAGGTCAATGTGAAATAGTTGTGCCATATTGTCTCTCTAGAACCAAGAGATTAATAATAATAAAAAACAAGGAAAAACAGACAAATGTATTTCATTTAATGTAAATATTAAGTCCTAAGGAATGACAAATGTATTCCTATGTTTAAGTGATAGGGATTTCTGCAAAAGGTTTATGAATTGTTAATCAGATATCCCAACCTTTACACCTACATATTTCCCTAAGAAATAAACTCTGGTCTGGATCTACCATGCAATGTTCTTCTACTTTTCTGAATAAGAGTTTAAGCTAACTGAATTCTTTCCTACATAAAAAAAAATACATACAGAATAAATAAAAGTCTTCTCACATTAACTGGCTCAATTTAATTTCTGATGAAATGCCATTCTAAACCTTACTTTGCAGAATGTTAATATTTTTATGGTTAATATAGAAATATTCATTAGTTTTATCTTTAAGGAATCAAAAATTTTTTATTCAGCTGATAAGAATAAAAGTGGAAGTTGAAATACAAAGAGTTATGGCATTTAGTAAAATGTCAAGCTTATTACTAATTAGTCTTCACAGTATTTGTAGCTGATAAATTTTCTAATCTCCAAACTGAATAATAAACTTTCAAGTCCTTGGTTCAGCTACTGGTTCTACCAACTACCTGCTGAATGCTTTACTAAGCCTAGGCACCCAGTCTAGACTTACAAAAAGTTTTCCAAGATCTTTACTTTCACAGAACACACAGTTTCCTGAGGTAGAAAGTATTGGTAAGAATAGAAATATTTGCCCAGTGGTATTGCTATCAGAATTAAGTATAGAATGGTTATGAAAGAGTTTAGTGCATTTTTGTTTTGTTTTGTTTTGAGACAGGGTCTTGCTCTGTTGCCCAGGCTGGAGTGCAGTGGCATGATCTCTGCCCACTGCAACCTCCACTTCCTGGGTTCAAGCAATTCTTATGCCCCAGCCTCCTGAGTAGCTGGGATTACAGGCGCATGCCACCATGCCTGGCTAATTTTTGTATTTTTAGTGGAGATGGGGTTTCACCATGTTGGCCAGGCTGGTCTCAAACTTCTGACCTCAAGTGATCCACCCACCTTGGCCTCCCAAAGTACTGGGATTACAGGCGTGAGCCACCGCGCCTGACCATGAATTTTTAAAAGAGAATATTAATGGTTATTAATAATTTTAAAAGAATTAGGTTAATAATTATTTCAATGTGATTAATCTGTTTCTGAACTACTTATTGTCCACATGGGATTTACTATATTGGATGAGCTAATACTTTCTATATTTAAATTTAGTAAGAACTCATCAAGTACAGCTTCTCACAAAAAATAGTCGTTGCTATTTATCTCTTAAAAAAATAACCATTAGTGGCTGGGCATGGTGGCTCACTCCTGTAATCCCAGCACTTTGGGAGGCCAAGGTGGGCAGATCACGAGGTCAGGAGTTTGAGACCAGCCTGGCCCATATGGAGAAACCCCATCTCTACTAAAAATACAAAAATTAGCTGGGCGTGGTGGCACGTGCGCGTAGTCCCAGCTACTTGGGAGGCTGAGGCAGAAGAATCGCTTCAACCTGGGAAGGAGGAGGTTGCAGTGAGCTGAGATCGCACCACTGCACTCCAGCCTGGGCGACAGAGTGAGACTCGATCTCAAAAAACAAAAACAAACAAAAACATTAGTTACCAGATAAATGTTTTTCTTTTCATTCATCCTCACATCACTTGTATGCACAAAACCTTAAGGAGTCCACGTTTTGGCTGTTAGATTTTTTTTCCACCTGGATTCCAACTAGGAATTCACTTCAGGATAATCAGAAAGTGGAGTTAGCTGCTCAAAGAGCACCAACCGGAAGGAGAGAGCAGAGGGGCTGAGAGCACCGATGAGAGAGGAGGTCGGCCCCCTGCAGGATGTCTCAGGCATTTCTAAGCAGTGAGACAACTTTGGAGCAATACCTAATATTTTAACATTTGAGCCTTGCATCTTGGATTAGGAGGAAATCCAGGAGAAAGCCTCCGCAGGTGATTGGTGTGTGTGCATTGGGGTGAGCGTCAGGCTGGCTCTAGGTCCCTGTTGCTGCTCGCATAAGAGCTGGGCACCTCTGTCTAGGTGTAGGTCAGCCTCGCCCTTCTCTACCTTCTCCTCCGACTGCTGCAGCTGATCCTTCAGATTCACCGACCCCTGGGGCTCTTCTCTCTTCGTGGGGAATGAAGAGAAACTCTATTCACTTCTCATGACCAGCGCGCTCCCAGGAGAAATCCCACAGTAGGACTGGACCCTTAACTGCAGTCCTTTCCCTGTCAGGGTAGGCAAGAATGTTGGATGGGGAAGGTTAGAAGGACTGTTACGGGGTGTGGGTGGGGCTCCCACTGTGCCTGGACCCACTGTTCGCTCCAATTTACAAGTCTACTCCGAAAGTCTTCATCTTCTGCATCTTTATGGCCAGATATTTTTGTTTCATGTTGATTTTTGTTTGTTGTTTCCTTGAGGCTCTCTGTTGTCTGTTTGCATCCTGTCTGCTAGACAGGCCCACAGATGTCAGACCTGTTAATAATGACCTCCTAATCCAATTCATTTACTGTGTTACCAATAACAGATTTAGAAACATTTTTGTATATAACAAGGACCCATATTCAGAATGTGAACATTGAATCCCAATTTATCCCCAACTGTGACTGAAGCTGCACCAAACACACAAAGACAAATTGTGAACTTGGATGACACAAGGAAGGGACTCCAGGCTAGACTGGAACCAAGGCCCTGGTTATAGTCATCCCAGATTCTTTAGAGCAAATTCTAAACTATATCCCACAAACCCATTGTAAGTTGTATTTTCTTATCTACACCTAAATAATTGTTTAAATCAAATAGGCAGTAAACTTTGTGTAACCTGCTTTGCCATTATCAATCCTTTAGTGTCTTCACAAAGTTGAATTAAACGACCCATCTAGGTGTAGTTTTTTTCAGCAAAGAATCTCTTGCTCAGACTGAGCAAAATCACACCAGTGTTGCTTTAAGATGGCTTCCTTTGCCTGGTTGGCTTTATCTGATACCAGAATAGGATGAAGATACAAGTATTGTTGAAAATAACATGATGTGTTAAAATTTACAGATGGTATAATGTGTACCAATTAGCATTAAGAGGTCATTAATGGACATTAGAATGTTGTAAGAGAACGTGCCAAACTTTGCAAGTTGACATCATTGGGAGAAAAAAGCATTTGGGGCCATCATCAGAACGAAGCTCTTTTTAGCCTGCAGGACAATTCTAATGACTTAAAGAAACATGATAAGAGATTGGGGGCTCTCTGCTAGAGGTTTAATACCTCATTAGATCTGTTTTCACATTCCTATTTTATTTTCCTAGGATTCTGTAATCTTATATATTTTGTTGTACTTTAATTTTTAATACTGCTATTAGTAGCCACAAACATAAGATAAAACAAAAAATATTTTCTTCCTCTCTGGGTGACTTATACTTGAGATTACCCTGACACATGCAAAAGGGAAAGATAGAGGTAAGGATTGCTAAAGGACATAGTTAATTAAAACCGATAAAAATATAGGACCAATGAACGTGAGTCAAATCGGATGTCCTGAAGATAAATATAACTTCGAGCATGCGTTAGACAATGTACATGCTTGCACAACTTCACTGTCCCTGATGCCCAGCAATTCCAGGCTGGATCCCCAACTCCAGGATGACTTTACACGATACAGAATATAAATATCTCCTTGCTGTGTTTTGTAACAATAGTAAAAGGCTTTTGCATTTGTGACTTCTAAGTATATCTAAGAATCAATGTAGGAGGCTTTGTGTGCTGGATATTAGCTGTATCATCTTTGATGCAACATTTAAATTTCAACTACTTCCATTTCCTCTTAAGGTGAAAAAATTGTGCTGGATAGGCTCTAATGTTCATCCAAGCGCTACCATGATTCATATCAGAAGAAAGAAGTACACTTCTTTCTTTCCTAATAAAATTAATAGCACTTATATAATTTTAGTGTTTGCTAATGGATTAACACTAATACAAGTCTGCATAGAATATAAACAATTCAATGGAAATGCCAAACCATTTAAAGATTTAAATATTCTATGGTCTATTGCACTGTATTATAAAGGCAATTATACTTTCACTTTTTTTCTGGGCCATTGAATTCAACCTGTGAGTATATTTTTGGTTAGAAAATTTGTTTTAAAATGAGGCTGGCAGGAGTTCAAGACCAGCCTAGCCAGCATGGTAAAACCCCATCTCTACTAAAAGTACAAAAATTAGCCTGGCGTGGTGGCACACAGCTGTGGTCCCAGCTACTCAGGTGGCAAGGCACAAGAATCACTTGAACCTGGGAGGCAAAGGTTGCAGTGTCTCAGGATCACGCTACTGTACTCCAGCCTGGGTGACAGTGCAAGTCTTAAAAACAAAAACAAAACAACAACCAAAAAAACCCAACGACAACAGAAAAAACCATGACTGGGCACAGTGGTTCACACTTGTAATCCTGGCACTTCAGAAGCTGAAGCAGGAGGATTGCTTGAGCTCAGGAGTTTGAGACCTGCCTGAGCAACAGAGTGAGACCTAATTTCTACTGAAAATAAAAAATTAGCTGGATGTGGTGGCACCTGTAGTCCCAGCTACTGGGGAGGCTGAGGCAGGAGGAGATCGAGCCCAGGTGATTGAGGCTGCAGTGAGCTATGATAGCACCACTGCACTCCAGCTGGGGCAACAGAGTGAGACCCTGTCTCCAGATAAATAGACACCTTTTTTCTTTACTTACTGGATTTCTGTGCCTTTGAGTCATGTAATATATGATTACTCAAGTGACAAAGGGCATGGTAAGGTAGATTTCTATCATAAAAATATACCCAGTTAAATTCTAGTTGACACATTATTAAAGATTCAGAAAATATATAATTCTTAAAATGAAACTTATGTTGAGATAAATGTAGATTCCCATGCACTTATAAGAAATAATACAGAAAAATCCTGTGTACCCTTAACTAGTTTTCTTCAGTGGTAATATCTTGCAAAACTACTAAGTACAATATCACAACCAGGATAATGACATTCAAAAACACAAGATACAGAACACTTCCATCATCACAATGATGCCTCTGTTGCCCTGTTACAGCCATACACATTTCCTCCCATCACTACATCCTTCCACACCTTCCTTAATGCCTAGTGACCAGTATTCTCTATTTCTGTGATTGTGTCATTTCAAGAATGTTATATAAATGACATACAGTGTGTAATCTTTGGGGATTTTTCTTCCTTCACTCAGTATAGTTCTCTGGAGATTTTCTCAGGTTGTTTTATTTAGCAATTGTTTGTTTTTTATTGACAAGTAGTATTCCAAGGTATAGATGTACCATGGTTTATTCACCCATTAAGAAACACATGGTTTTTTTTCTGTATGTGGCTATTATGAATGAAACTGCTATAAACATTCATGTACATGTTTCTTTGTGAATATTTTAATTTTTCTGGGACAAATGCCCAGGAGTGCAGTTGTATGGTGTTTGCATGCTTAGCTTTTTAAGAAACTGCAAAACAGTTTTCCACAGTGTCCAGGCTATTTTATCTTACCACCAGAAACATATGAGTGATCCAATTTTTCCACATTCTCACCAGCATTTGGTGTAGTCAACTATTTTTTATTTTAGCCATTCTGAGAGCTTTGTAATTATACTGTGGTATTAATTTGGATTTCCCTAACGGTTAATGATGTTGAGCATCTTTCCAGATGCTTATTTGTCATCTGTACACCATCTGCAGCAAAATTATTCTTCATGATTTTTGCCCATTTTCTAATTGGATTTTTAATTTTTTGACTATTGAGTTTTTAAGACTTCTTTATGCACTCATTTATCAGATATGTAATTTGAAAATATTTTATCTCAGGCTATAGCTTATCTTTTCATTGTCCTAACAGAGAAACAGGATCTCTTACAGAGCAAAAGATTTTTAATTTTGATGAAGCACAATTTATCAATTTTCCTGATTTGGACCATGCTTTTGGTATCAAATCTAAAAGTTGTCTAGCCCTAGATGCAAAGATTTTCTGTGCTTTTTCCCTGCAAGTTTCATAGTTTTATGTTTTAATTTAGGATCTTTTCATTCTCCCTGCCTTTTCTTTTTCTTGACTTATTGTACAGACTAGCACTTCTATCCCCATTTTGAATAAGAGTGGCAAGAGTCACCTCCTTGTACTCTTCCTGATCTTTGGAGGAAAGCATTCAGCTTTCTACCATTAAGCATAATGTTAGCTGTAGGTTTTTAGTAAATGTTTTTTATCAATTTTGGGAAGTTCTCTTCTGTTCCTGTTTTTTTAAGAGTTTTTATTATGAAGGGGTATAAAATTTTTGTTGAATACTTTCTCTGCATTGATTAATCATATGATTTATTTTCTTTAGCCTGTTAATATGGTTGATTACATTCATTGATTTTCAAATATTGAACCAGCCTTGCATCCCTAGAATAAGCCTCACTTGGTCACGGAGTCATGGAGTATAATTCTCTTTATATATTGTAAATTCTATATGCTAATATTTTGCTAATAATTTCTGTATGCATATTCATAAAGGATATTGGCCTAAACCTTTCATTTTTTGTACATTTTTGCCTGTTTTTGGTATTATAGGGTGTCTTTGTATGTTCTGACTGCTGAAACAAAATGTCTTTGATGGGGTAACTTAGAAACAACAGAAATTTATTTCTCACTGTTCTGGAGGCTGGAAAGACCAAGATAAGGTGCTAGTGGTGTCTGCTTGAGGGCCCACCCCTTATGGATGGGGCCTTTTAACTGTGTACTCACATGGTGAAAAGGGCAAACATGCTCTATCAGGCTGTTTTTCTAAGGGCACTGATTTTATTATTGAGGGCAGAACCATGGGCTTCCTCCAGGAACACAAGGCTGGTTCAATATTTGAAAATCAGCTAAGATAGCTGGCCATATTAATAGGCTAAAAGAGAAAAATCATATAACTATACTAATCAATGCAGAAAAAGCATTTGACAAAATTTTATACCCATTCATGATTAAAACTTTAAGAAAAATAGGAATGGAAAGGAACTTTCTAAAATTGATAAAGAGCATGTACTAAAAATCTAAACTTAATATTATACTTAGTGGTAAAAAGCTAATGCTTTCCATCTAAGATCAGGAACAACAGAGCACTAGAAGTCCTTGTCTCCTAATAGTATCACCTTGGGCATCAGAATGTCAGGATATGAATTTGAAGGGGGAGCATAAACCTTCATATTATAGCATAGTATTAAAAAAATGAATTGGGCTATTCATTTATTTGATCTTGGGTAAGGAAATTTCAGTCATGTGATATGTGCTTTATGGTGGGTAAGCACAGGTACTATGAGAATCCATAGATGGGGCCTGATTCAATCTGGGCAAGAAGGTAGGCAGGGGTAGGGAAGGCCTGCTAGAGAAGATGATTAGGTTGGTGCAAAAGTAATTGCAGTTTGGCAAAAACCTAATAGAGGAGAGTAAACCAGGCTAACTAGGTAGGTGGGGAAGAGATCAGGATGTGTAAGAGAAAACAGTGTAGAGGGGATAGTGGTAGAGTTCATTAGGGGGCCTGCCTTTTTTGTTGTGTCTAGAGCCGAATGTGTGTCTGTTGGGTATTGGACAAAAGAGGATCTTGAAGGGAGACAGAATAAGAGGTAAGACTAAGGTGTGAATAAAGACTTAATCCTGGACAGTCTGGTAGGACCTGCTAAGGAGTTTGAACCAGTAAGTACAATGGTGGGGAGTCATGGCAGAGTGTCAAGTCCAGAAAAGACAAATGATTGTTGACTTCAATGTATACAATGGAACTTTTGCCTGTGAGTACTCGCTGTAATAAGGTATGTAAAATGTAAAGTAAAATATATTCAACCAAGACTAGATTTTCTTTAGATTGCATTTCCTTAGATCTCTATTTAGACTAGAGAGAGATTGTTCCTAACATAAGTAACAAACCAATTTTTTTAAAGAACCAAAACAATTTGGGTTGCCCACTTAAAAACTGAAGTCCAACTCTCATTCTTTTCCCACTGCCTAGGAAAATATAAACCATTGGATGGACATGTTTTCATTGAAACATTTAAGCACTTTTTTGTTTTCTTCCTTTTGACCAGTCATAATTTAGGTTTTTGTAAATTACTAGTCAATTTGTCTCCCTTTAAATATTTTAACATACATTTAGTGAATAATTGTGAACAAGGGCTCATCACTTCTGAGACACCTGAAATGTCTCATAGTCTCATCCCACAAGTATCATATGATTGGAGAAAAAAGACATATGTGTAGGAAAAAATTCATAATAATACAGGATGATGTGTGATATCAAATAAGTGGGACTGACAATAAGGGTGATTAAAATTTAGGGAAGGCAGAGAACACTTTGAACATGATGCAAGGGGAACTGGCTTCTTTATCTTTTCCTTCATAGCTTTATTGAGGACCTGTCCTTGGCATTGAGCTAGATAATATCCCTGTTCTCATGGGGCTTACTTTCTTTGAGGGAGATAGACATGGTAAAAATAAGACCGTTTCATTACGAATATGAAACAGGGCAAGGTAGACTAAGTGAAGTGGGTACTATTTAATCAGGGAGGCCTCTCTGAGGAGGAGACATATATACTGAAACAATGCCAAGAAGGAGCCAGCCATGATTTAAGGTGAAAATTCTAAGCAAAGGTACTAACCAATCCAAGGAATAAGCTTGGGGTGTTTGAAGTTCAGAAAGAAGGCCAGTGTGGCTGAAGGGACTGCAAAGAACAAGAAGAGATGGTAGAAAATAAGATCAAAAGTGTCTAGATCACAAACGTCATGGAAAGCCATTTCAGGATTTTAAGTAGAGGAGTAAAATAAAATGTTTATTAAAAAGACAATCTCGGCCATGCGGGGTGGCTCAAGCCTGTAATCCCAGCACTTTGGGAGGCTGAGGCAGGTGGATCACCTGAGGTCAGGAGTTCAAGACCAGACTGGCCAACATGGAGAAACCCCATCTCTACTAAAAATACAAAAATTAGCCTGGTGTGGTGGCACCCGGCTGAGGCACAAGAATCCCTTAAATCTGGGAGGTGGAGGGTGCAGTAAGCCGAGATTGCGCCACTGCACTCCAGCCTAGAAGACAAAGACTCTCAAAAAAAAAAAAAAAAAAAAAGGCTGGTGACTGGACAAAGAAGGAAAAAATCAGATTCAGATGTGTCAAGTGCTACTGGGTGTACCAAAGGTTTAAAGAAGTGACCATTGGACTTGACAACGTAGAAATCCTGTGACCCTGACTGGAGCCACTTCGGTGGAATAGCAGCAAGTGAAGTCCCAACAGGAGTTGATAGAGGAGGAAGTACAAGCCATGAAACACATTTTTTGTGAAAGTGATTAAGTGCCTTTAAAAATATTCTGCTAAAACATCGCCTTCTGCTGAAATACTTTGCGTACTCCTAAAATGTGTTTTTGAACAATGTTTTTTAAGTTGGAAGGAAATTTAGAGATGATCTAGCCCAACCCTTTCATTTTACAGATGGCCAGAATAAGGTCTGGGGAATTCCACTAGTTTGCAGAGCCAGATGCCTAACTTACAGTTTGCAGTTTTTGTTTTTTAATTCTACACTGCTACTAATGGTAACTAACATTTAATTGAGTGCTTACTAGGTGCCATATACTATGTCTAAAGCTTTACATATATTAATGTAATTCTCATGATAATCTTATAGAGTTCTAGTAAAATCTCTATTTACAGCTAAGAAAATGAAGGCACAGAATGTTGAAGTATCTTGTTTAATGTCATATATCTGACAAGTTCTGTGGAGCCAGAATTCAAAACCCAGATACGCAGGAGGACACATTCTTGATCGGTATTTTATTCTATTATTTTTATTAGTTCCAATCCTTATGACTCTGTTTAAAATGAGTATCTGCATTATTGTGCAAACACTTCTGAGATCTCATCACATACCTGATCCCATTTAACTTCAGTCTATCCCTCCATTACTTTTTGTGGAAAGTGCTATCTAAGTTGGAGGTTCTGCTTGAGTATTCTTAATTTTTCTTCTTTTTAATGCATACGGTGGTCAAAGTAAATAGCTAACATATTGGCATCAAACCATTGCCTATTGAAGCAAGCTTTGAATGAAATTGGTTTGTCATTGACCACTGTAAGAAACTCATTTGTAAAGATAATACTGAAAAACATCCTGACTCTTATGTATGCTTGCCTGTCTCTGAACTCCACCTCTATCAGCATACTCAATACATTGCCTCTTTCCAACATTTATCTCCTATTTCAGGAGAAAGTTTTGTGGGAGCGTCTACCACGTTGCAAAGATTCAACATTTCTCTTAAAAATAGGAGTTTCTTTTAGATATAAGCAATGAAATTTCAAGCAACAATATTACTTCTCTCATGTCCTTTGCTTTTTTAAGATCTGAACCTCAAGATTCAAATGGATTTTCATTGAAATTCACCACGATCCCCTCTGCAGCTGTGGTCTGAAAGTACCATTTCTGCATTTATTTTAGCCCATGGAATAACTGTGCTGAGAAACCACAGAGTCAATCAGATTCAAAATGTTAAAATCCTTCCTGCTTGGAGTTTTCCGTCTTCACATCAAAGCATTTCATGCCCGTCAGCAACTTTTTAATGCATTTGCTCCTCGTTTGCACAATTTCCATTTAAAGACTTTCCTTGGCTGACTTCTCTGATGAGGTTTCCTGCTTGCCAGGAGAGCACGCTAATGCAGAAATTACAAAGGGGGCTTCACGTCCCTTTTCCGGAGGACCTGATATTTCAGATAATTTCCAGCTTCAGTTTTGGAGAAACGACTGTTCTTTGCACCAGGGGAAAATAAACTGATTTTCAGTGTAAGCAACCTGTGAAGACAGAGACAAATATAAGTAAATGAGAATGTCATTTAGGAAGAGAATTGAAGACACAATAGAAGCATTTACTAGACTCCATACAATAATGTCATGTCTTTGTTCTAACTTAAGCTTGCATGTATACAATGGGGTTCAAGAAACTTGGCAAGAGTTTTTTTTTTTTTTCTTAAACTGAGTTAAACAGTCTTGATTGCCTTCTTTTAATTAAAAGAAAAATAATACATATAACAATAGATTTGAAAAGGAAGAGCCCAAATCACTAAGGGCAGTAATCTTCTGGAAAATGTGAATATTCATGAGTTATAGGAAAGTGATGAGAGCCAACACATCACTTTTTTTTTTTGCTCCGAGTAATCAATTCTTTGCCTACAGCCAAACCAGGCCTTTTAACAAAATTATTATTACTTAAGTAAAAAGATAAATTATTAGTTAGCATTCATAAGTCAAAAATAATAAACCCAGAGTTTATATTTTATTGATATACCTTTCACATCATGTAAAACTATATTTGAAAACAACTTGTTTCATCAAATCATGATATTTCTGTACTAAACAACAGAGTTGAATGAAGTTTGGCTTAAATATCCTTATTTTATTTCTGTATTTGTCCTAAATCAATTCACCATGGTTCAATATTTAGTTGATAATAAGTGAACTGGCTAATATATTTATTTGATAAATAAATAATTATTTAATAAATACATTTATTTATTGAATTTTCATCCTATACTATGTAATATTCATAACTATATAAAATATACAAATACGGAGTTCCCATTCTATGACTGCTAAATTAAGCACATCTAGATCAGCCTTTTGTCCATTTTTCATGTTTCCTTCCTTCTCTTAGGAAGAGTTGTGATTTCTGAAATGGTGGGAAAATTTTAATACCTACATTTCACCTCTACTTTTTCAGGGAGAGGTTCGTGAAGAAGTGATTGGGAAAGAGAGCAAGTCTTGGTTGGACAGTGTGGTAAGTCAGCAAGGGTGAAAAGAGAGGGGGTCCCTGTCAACTATATATATAGTTCTTCCAGGGAAAGAAACATAGCCTCAAATTTGCTTTTCATCCTGTTCTGACATTGCAAGGAAAAAATAGTGAAACTCCTTGGACCACTTTTATAACTTGCAGTGTTCTCAATAACTTGCAGTGTTCTCATTGAGCTACATTTTTTTATTTGCTTGCTTCAAGGACTTAGAAGTCTGTAAAGTGCAAATCTACAAATAAAAGCTTAAAATCATAGAGTTAATCACAACAATAGGTGAGAAAGATATAGCACGCAGAATGCCAAACTATTAGCTGATTAACTGAAAATCTGTATGTATTTTTCAGCGGTTAGTGGAGAGATCAATAGAACACATTTAATTAGCCATGTGGTTTGTTTTACTGGTACTGGAGCTACATGTCTCTCCCACTCTGCCAGGCTTTTAGGACTTCACAAGCTTAATATATACATACACACATACATATTTTGTAAGTTTTATTTTATACACACACACACACACACACACACACACACACACACACATGCTTATGTATTTTGATTATCCAAAATGAGACTTAATATCCAAATCACGTTTAGTTACGTTGCTAAAAAAGTAAGAAAAACTAGCAGTCTAATTTCCATTCTTTAACGAGCAGGAAGATTGGGAACTTTTGGTTTCAAGTGCATAAAATGCACTGTTTTAATTCCTTCATATATTATGAAAGAATGTTTATATTTTATAAAAGATTAAAGCATGTTATGCATCTTAGAAAAAAGTGTCAAGAAAATATAGTTTTCATGACTTAGTACTTTACTGGATTTTTTTTTAAACTATCCATTTACTTTGGGAGAAATTTTATGTTAACAACTATTTTCTAGTCATAGCACAGATCTAGTAAGGTTAAAATATAATTTTAATTAACATAAGTAGGGTTCATAAATTTTCACTCAGGAAAAACAAGCTACTTGGGAAACAGATAACATTCTTAGATCTGAACACTTACCACATAAAATCCACATTGAAAAATAGCTAATATATATATTTTATTAAAGATGAAGTTATAATATATAAATGTAAAAAACAGCATGGCAGTAGAGCTGATGATTTTAAGAATGGTGGCAAGCTCAAGCTCAGTAGTCAAGTTCTAATACAGTTGATATTTAAAGTTCTAAGATCTGTGATATGTATATCTATATATAGAGATATCCTTTTCCTCTGCCAAACAGGAAGCTATAACCACAAGCTGTTGAATGCAAGTTACCTATTGAAAACTTACTACAACAGCGGTTCCCAACATTTTTGGCACCAGGGACCGGTTTCATGGCAGATAATTTTTCCAAGGACCAGGGTGGATGGGGGATGGCATTAGATTCTCATAAGGAGTGCGCAACCTAGATAACTTGAATGCAGAGATCACAATAGGGTTCATGCTTTTATGAGAATCTAATGCTGCCACTGATCTGACAATAGGCGGAGCTTGGGCAGTAATGCTGGCTTGCCTGCCACTTACCTTCTGCTATGTGACCCTGCTCCTAACAGGCCACGGACAGGTACTGGTCTAGGGCTTGAGAACCCCTGCCTTGTAATAAATAATTTATTTTTCTATTCTCCAAAAGATTCAATAGAAATGTGAGGAGGAAAACTGCAATTATTTCTGAACCTTCCCATCAGCCTTGTCTCTGATAGAATTGGCCTGTTGTGGACGGGCTTTGTGTAGATTAGAGAAAGAAGAAGATGCTCTTTTGGTGTAATTGTTCAGGTGAGTCCTTCATGTCAATTATTTCATTCTTGTTCTTGTTACGTTATTTGTATTAGTCTGTTTTCATGCTGCTGATAAAGACATACCTGAGACTGGGCAATTTACAAAAGAAAGAGATTTCTTGGACTTACAGTTCCACATGGCCGGGGAGGCCTCACGATCATGGCAGAAGGCAAGGAGGAGCAAGTCACATCTTATGTGGATGGCAGCAGGCAAAGAGAGAGCGAGCTTGTGCAAGGAGACTCCCATTTTTAAAACCATCAGATCTCGTGAGACTTATTCACTATCAGGAGAACAGCAAGGTAAAGACCCGCCCCCATGATTCAATTATCTCCCACTGGGTCACTCCCATAACACGTGGGAATTATGGGAGATACAAGATGAGATTTGGATGAGGACACACAGCAAAACGATATCATTATCCTTTTTATGGATAAGTTACTAATCATAATATATAGTCATTTTTTCTGGAGGTTACTGTGAAATGACCTTCCCTCAGGCAAGAAAACCTAAATATCACAACCCTCAGATTTCATGAGTCCCTTTTATGTAGGAAAATAACTGATACTTTCCCTATCAAATCAATAATGTTCAGCCAAGGCATTTATTTTTTATTTTTATTTTTCAGGATGAAGGTAAAATCTTACAATTCAAAGTAACAATGTGGTTCATTTGACGAAATAATTACTGTGGACTTTAGGACCATTTATTCAAATTGCTGTCTTTGATTAACTCAAGAACTCTTGGTGCCTTTTTTCTTCTAACTTTCTTCAACAACTGTAATTAATCACAGAATTTGTCATCAATCTTTCCACCAAGGCCATGAATACTCTTTGAATGAATGACGATTCTTTCTTTGTGTTAAGTTTCTGTGCCCCAAGGCTATTAAAATTTCATAGTTTCTCCACATTCTTCAAAGCTTTCAACTTTTGTCTAAAAACAACATGACAGAACAAGATCTATTATCTGGGTTTATGAATTAATCTGCATTCAAATGCCTGGTGATTATAGCACTTAAACCTGTTTATCAAAGCACAGGGCTTTTGAAGAAAGTATTTCTGAAAGTTGTGCCTATAAAAATGGTAGAAAAGACTCCAAGACTCCGGTATGATCAAAGCATTTGGATCAGGCAGCCATTCAACCACGTGGACTATTGGGACAAGGATTAGGCCCCCACAGAGAAGCTAAGTTTATAAAATGATTCAGAGGAGCCAAAAGATCAGAAAATAGTAGGATTAGTTGTCTGTTTTATTGTTCTGGGATTCTGTTTCTACATTATGAAAGATCAAAGGGGTTTTCCACCTCTTCCCATGTTGATGTCTAGAACCTCCTTTCCAACTAGTGTGGTAAGGCTTATCAGTATATGATGAAGATTTGGGATTTTGCATCTGGCTTTTAAACTTCTTTGTGTAAACTGGACCTTTATCCCTTCACTTCATCCTCTTGATATGGAACATCCCCTCCGATCTTAATCTCTCCGTCTTTGCATGGCAACAAATCAGAATTGTTGCTCTTCTTTTCCCCTAATTCTCTGACATTTCATAATTCCTTTCTTCTGTGCTCTACCTACTGCCCTGCTCCCATAGTTCTAAATGACCTGTAGAAGGCCTACATCACCCATGCCTATCCTAGTATAGGATCAGTTGGCAGAGGGACTCCCTGCTTTCTCAAAGACTTCTCAACATAGAGAAATGCACAATAGAAGAGAAGGGGAAATATGGTTAAACAAAGTAAGGATTTAGTTTTTGGAGAACGTTCAAAAGAAAGTTGTGAAACCTATGGGAAAGGTTTAGAGGAAATAGTCTCACTAAGAGCTAATGGGGGCTAAAGATTGTTGTAGAGTACATGTCAAATTACAATGCCTGGAAGCAAAGCAACAGTCTGGTCCCCAAAATAATATGAGGAAAAATACATGGTCAAATTGTTATAAATTCCATGTTTTCATGGTAAAAATGTTGTAGTCAATAGGAAAACAATAGGTAAAACTAGATTCAAACTTCATACACGGAGAGAAAGAGAAACTCAAGCAGAATAAATCCTCCACAAGGATTGTTGTCCATTGCATTTTGACATCATTAACTTGGGCAATTACCTCAGTGCCCAATTAATATGATGTTGGAATGGATTTCTAAGCCCACATTGCTCACCTAACCCTGTAGACTCTTCTCATTATTTTTGTTGTTCATTCTGTTATGTGCCAGGCAGTGGTCTAAAATTAACTGAATATCTTACTATACCCAGGCCCCATCTTAGATGTTTTATATTTGTTAATAGAGTTAATCTTTACAACTAATACAGGAGTTATTAAGAAATAATTTTTAGGCAGCTAGAAAGGGTAAAGGTTCTCAGTGGTAATTTTCCTGTAAGAAGAAGCAACCCCCAAACCATTTCGTTTCAAACAGAAAGGCAGCTTGAAGGCCCAGACCAGTAAGCTTTGATATGCAAATGCAGGCCATTAGAAACTGGGTCTACCCAATATGGCAATTCCCACCTTCCTCTTATCACAAGGTGTGCCCAGTGTCATGGCCACCTCCAGATAACTCAACATGTTCAGGACGTCATGGCAGCCCACATTTACATATTAAAAGACTAAGGTGGGAGGACCAGGTTTTTCTGTGGGCTACGTGAATGATGCAGCTGGTCAAACCAATCCCCTGGGCCCTATGCAAATCAGACACTGCCTCCTCCAGCCTCCAATATAACTGACCATTTTTCTGCGGCACACAGGATTTCTCTCTTGGAGCCTCCCTCCCTCTGTCTCTGTATGGGGGAGCTGCTGCTTTCTCGCTTGCTTGTTAAACTTTCTGCTCCTTAAAACTAC
Organism: Homo sapiens; assembly: GCF_000001405.40. Classification (NCBI taxonomy): domain Eukaryota; kingdom Metazoa; phylum Chordata; class Mammalia; order Primates; family Hominidae; genus Homo; species Homo sapiens. The sequence goes on along the minus strand of NC_000007.14, from coordinate 17,460,578 downwards.
TCCATGTGTGTCTGTGTTGTTTTAGCTAAATCAGTGTGAGACCAAGGACCCTGGGGCTCCTCCAGTCATTGCAGCTGTATCACAACTACCCTGACAGGTGAGTTGTACTACCCTCATTTTACAGAAGATGAAACTAAGGTTCAGGATGGTTAACCAACAAAGGTCACATGCTAATAAATATTAAAGCTTAGACTTCAGGCCTGACTTCATTGATTGGGCATTTTATCAACTGTATATATTTAGAGTTCTAAGTCCATTGTTGAAAACTTGAGATTAATTCCAGAAAGATTTGGAGATACATGACATGAAAGGAAGGAGGTCATAGTTTTTAGGTCAAATGATGTAACAAAGTCAACATGTCACACAATTTTCATTCACCTCATGCTGACCTTTTTAAATGAAATGACATGGGTAATCAGGGTCACCCTTCCTGGAACTAGGTAGAAAGAAGTGATGTTTCCTTTAGCTATTTAAGGATCAGCCTCCTACATTCATGGGGAGCTTATTATACAGGGCAATGTGACAGGCAATGGGGATATAAAATAAATGATTTCATACCAGAAGGTGTTTTGAGTCTTAAGGAAGGAGTAAATATGCAAATGAGTAAATTCCATCAAGTTTAAGGCACCATTAACTTATCTCTTACTTTCCTTTCCAAGGGAAAAAAGATGTCAAACTATATCATGCCTTCAGTTGTAGGATTTGAATATTCCTTTTAGAATCAATTACGTAGAGTATATGCCATGCCAGATGTCAATGCATTTATAGTGATGATGTTACAGCTGGGATGAAGACGGGCCCAGAAGAGAGTCAGAAAAATCTTTCTAGGCCAAGTGACCTTTGAATGTGGAAAGGTAAGGAGGAAGTGGTGTGAAGAAGAGATGTGCAGGCTATTCCATGCAGAATAAACAGAATGGGTAAAAAAGTATGCCTTTCTAGCTGGGACCCAGCCTGGTGTGTCCTGGGGTAAGGAAATGGGGAAGCTGTGTTGTGGGAAGTCAGGGACCCCAAAAGGAGGGACCGGCTGGAGCCACAGCAGAGGTACCTAAATTGTGAAGATTTCATGGACATTTATCAGTTTCCAAATAATACTCTTATAATTTCTGATGCCTGTCTTACTTTAATCTCTTAATCCTGTTATCTTCATAAGCTGAGGATGTAGGTCACCTCAGGACCACTATGGTATTTGTGTTAACTGTACAAATTGATTGTAAAACATGTGTGTTTGAACAATATGAAATCGGTGCACCTTGAAAAAGAACAAAATAACAGCAATTTTAAGGGAACAAGGGAAGACAACCGTAGGGTCTGACTGCTTGCAGGGTTGGGCAAAATAGTCATATTTTTCATCTTGCAGAGAGCCTATAAATGGACATGCAAGTAGGGAAGATATTGCTAAATTCTTTTCCTAGCAAGGAATATTAATAATTAATACCCTGGGGAAGGAATGCATTCCTGGGGGGAAGGTCTATAAATGGTGGCTCTGGGAGTGTCTGTCTTATGCAGTTGGGATAAGGATTGAAATATGCCCTGGTCTCCTGCAGTACCCTCAGGCTTATTAGGGTGGGGAAAAACCCCCACCCTGATTTGAGGTCAGACCAGTTTTCTGCTCTCAAACCCTGTTTTCTGTTGTTTAAGATGTTTATCAAGACAATACGTGCACTGCTGAACCTAGACCCTTATCAGTAATTCTGCTTTTGCCCTTTGCCTTGTGATCTTTGTTGAACTCTTATCAGTTTCTGGTTTTGCCCTTGTCCTGTTTCCTCAGAAGCATGGGATCTTTGTTCTCCTTTTTGCCCTTTGAAGCATGTGATCTTTGTGACCTACTCCCTGTTCTTACACCCCCTCCCCTTTTGAAATCCTTAATAAAAACTTGCTGGTTTTACAGCTCAGGTGGGCTTCACAGTCCTACCCATATGTGATGCCACCCCCAGAGGCCCAGCTGTAAAATTCCTCTCTTTGTACTCTTTCACTTTATTTCTCAGCCGGCCGACACTTATGGAAAACAGAAAGAAACTACGTTGAAATATTGGGGGTGGGTTCCCCCGATTAGGCTGGGGCATCACTGGGGGCCTGGAGGCAGGATGCTGGTTAGGAATGAGGCTCCAAAGGTTCAGGCCAGACTGAAGGTCTTAATGCTAGGGAGTATGCATTAACTTATTGCAGACAATGGGAAGCCACTGGAGAAACTCAGCAGGAAGCTGAGTCTATCTAACATCTTTTTCTTCCTTGTTTTTGGGTATGCTCCTATCAGAGGCTTTACAAATAGCTACTTTTATATCAAACTACATGCAACTAGTTTTCTGTGCTGGACTTCCATAGTTGTGAAGCCATGATTACCAGAATTTCTGATTCAAAGATTCTTGGTGAGTTTCGCTCCTTGGAGTCTTTTATCTCCTTTCTCTTGATTTCTCTTTGCCCTGATCTTTACTCTGAAATTCTACTCATTTGAAATGCCACTTCTCCTAGGTATTGTGTCTTGTTCTTCCCCAAGTGTACAGCAGCTTACCATCATTATATGAACCCCCTTATACTTTTTTGAGCTCTTACTGAACTTCTCTTGATTTATATATTTTGGTATATTTGGTCTTTTAGATTGAGCTCTTGGGATCTTAATGTCTTATCAATCCTATGTCAGTATCTGTTTTGAGCTCAGTCTAATAAAGATGACATAATAGGTATATTGAATTGTGTACCTATACACATGGAAAAAACATCCCCTTTCCATATGCCCTGTTCTGCCTCTGAGAAGCAACAGAGGGAATAAATTGCCCCTACATTTGTATGCTTCTTAGTGTGATAGCCAGCCTCCAAGGCACTCCCAATGATCCCCACCTCCTAGAATTCACACCCTTGTGAAGTCACCTCCTATATCATACCAGCGTCGGTCTGTGGGATCAAATAATATGGTGAAAGTGATGGTATGTTACTTCTGAGATGAGGTTGTAAAAGAATGCTAGCTACTGACACCTTGACCTCTCTTTCTCAGATTTCTTGCTCAGGGCAAGCCACCTGCCATGTCTTGAGAACACTCAAGCAGCACATGGCGAGGAATGGAGATGGACAGACATGGGCCAGCAAGAAACAGGCTTGCCAACAACAGCTTGCGTGATCCTGAAAGTGGGTCCTCTAGCCCCATGTGACTGTTGCCCTGGCCAACAACTTAACTGCAACCTCAAGAGATACCTACCCTGAGTCAGAACCACCCAGTCAAACTACCCCTGGCATCTTAACTCAGAGTAACTGTGAGATAATTACTGTGAGATAATTATGATGATTTTAAGCTTCTCAGTTTGGGGGTAATTTGTTATGCAGCAACAGATAACAAAACACTTAGCAAATGTTATTCCAATGTTATTTGATTGAGGGCCATAGGGATACAGGAGAAAAGAAAGGTGAACACTCGGGTTTAGAAAACAAAAGAAATTACAATCAATCAAATTATTTTTCTAATAAAAAGTGGGTACTTTGCAATTTTGCCTTAGCTTCATTTTAAGGTAGATCTATGTCAGAGTTCAAATTCAGTGTTCAATGACTTACTGCCTGACTGTACAATGATCTGTCTAGTCTCCTAAAGGAAGCCAGAAGAAAAGAAGAGTGATCTGGTAAAAAGAGGGCTGAGATCCTCCAAGAACTGAGTTTGTGTTCCAGCTCTGTCACTATTTGATTATCAACGGGCAATTTATGTAATCTGTTTTAAATCATGGTTTCCATACCAGTAAAAGGGATATAATAATTTAGATCCTGCATATCTTGAGACTAGATGAGTCAGTGTGTGTGGTGCTTTATAATACTGATGTGTTTTTGACTTAACAGGCCCCGTTGACTGGAGGATGGCCATTTGACAACACATTATTTCCTGAGGAAACTTTTGACTTCTGGTGACTTGGGCCCCAGGCAAGTATGTGCCAATCACAAACTTTCTGGCTCATCCTAGGCTTCTCAGTCTCTGTCCCTCTATATTGAATTTGATTTTGAGAGGAAGGCATCCAAAAGAGTTGGTGTGAACCTAATACTGTCACAAAGCTGGGAAAATTTTGGGCTCAATATTTGAGACAGGAAGAGAACCCCAGCTGCCTTACTGAGACTGATTTATAAGAGTAAATTATAAAAATGAACATTTCCTGTCTTACGTTTTGAATACAAATTTTTGGATATATTCGTAACTCACCTTATACTTTATATGTATTCAATGCTGAATGGAATTTTGATAGACTTAAAATCTGATAATCATTTTCTCTGCCATTTTCCAAAAGAACTGGAGTTTAAGCAGACTATTTAGAGGCCTAGCTATGTTCAAAGGCTTTCAGGGAAGATATTGAGTAACTTCTATAGTGGATGCTATTGGTGCCCAACACTTATTCCCTCAGTGCCCATGATTTAAAACAGATTCCATAAATTGCCCATTGATAATCAAATAGTAAGTGACAGAGCTGGAACAGGAACTCAGTTCTTGGAGGATCTTAGCCCTCTTTTTACCAGCTCACTCTTCTGGCCTCATTTAAGAGATTAGATAGATCATTGTACATTTAGGCAATAAGTCACTGAACACTGAATTTGAACTGTGACATAGATCCACCTTAAAATTAGTTCCTTTTATGGCTGATTAGTATTTCATCATATATATTTACATTTTCTGTATCCATTTGTTGATTGATGGACATTTGGGGTGGTTCCATGTTTTTGCAATTGCAAATCGTGCTGCTATAAACATGTGTATACAAGTATCTTTTAAAAGATACTTGTATACACATAATAATAAAATAATGACTTCTTTTCCTCTAGGTAGATACCCAGGAGTGGGACTGCTGAATCAAATGGTAGATCTACTTATAGTTCTTTAAGGAATCTCCACACTGTTTTCCGTAATGGTTGTACTAGTTTACATTCTCAACAACAGTGTAAAAGTGCTCCCTTTTACCACATCCATGCCAACATCTATCATTTTTTGATTATGTCCATTCTTGCAGGAGTAAGGTGATATCACATTGTGGATTTCATTTGCATTTCCCTGATAATCAGTGGTGTTGAATGTTTTTCCATATATTTATTGGCCATCTGTACATCTTCTTTTGAGAATTGTCTATTCAGGTCCTTAGCCCACTTTTTGATGGGATTTTTTTTTTTCTTGCTGACTTGAATTTCATGTAGATTCTGGATATTAGTCCTTTGTAAGATGTATAGTTTGTGCAGATTGTCTCCCACTCTGTGGGTTGTCTGTTAACTCTGCTGATTATTATTATTTTGCCATGCAGAAGCTTTTTAGTTTAAGTCCCACCTATTTATCTTTGTTTTTGGGTTCTTGTTCATGAAGTCTTTGCCTAAGACAATGTCTAGAAGGGTTTTTTCCATGTTATCTTCTAGAATCTTTATGGTTTCAGGTCTAAGGTGAGAGATGAGGATCCAGTTTCATTTTTCCACCTTTGGCTTGCCAATTAACTCAGCACCATTTGTTGAATACAGTATCCCTTCTCCACTTTGTTTTTGTGTTGCTTTGTCAAAGATCAGTTGGCTGTAAGTATTTGGCTTTATTTCTGGGTTCTCTATTCTGTTCCATTGATCTATGTGCCTATTTTTTACGAGTACCATGTTGTTTTGGTGACTATAGCCTTATAGTATAGTTTGAAGTCAGGTAATGTGCTACCTTCAGATTTGCTCTTTTTGCTTAGTCTTTCTTTGGCTATATGGGCTCTTTTTTGGTTCCACATGAATTTTAGCTTTTTTTTCTAGTTCTGTGAAGAATGATGGTGGTTTTTTGATGGGAATTGCATTAAATTTGTAGATTGCTTTTGGAAGTATGGTCACTTTCACAATATTGATTCTACCCATCCATGAGCATGGGATGTGTTTCCACTTGTTTGTGTCATCTGTGATTTCTTTCAGCAGTGTTTTGTAGTTTTCCTTATAGAGGTCCTTCATCTCCTTGCTTAGGTGTATTCTTAAGTATTTTATTTGTTTTGCAGCTATTATAAAAGGAGTTGAGTTCTTGATCTGATTCTCAGCTTGGTCATTGTTGGTATATAGCATTGCTACTGATTGTGTACATTGATTTTGTATCTGGAAACTTTCCTAAATTCATTTATCAGTTCTGGGAGCTTTTTGGAGGGGTCTTTAGGGTTTTCTACATATATGGTCGTATCATCAGCAAACAGTGCTAGTTTGACTTCCTCTTTACTAATTTGGATACCCTTTATGCCCAGACAATCTAAGGTCACATACCTCAAGGAATTAGAGAAACAAGAACAAACCCAAACTCAGCAGAAGAAATAACAAAGAAAGATCAGAACAGAACTAAATGAATGAAAAAGCTTGTTCTTTGAAGATAAACAAAATTGATAGGCCATTAGTGAGATTAACCAAGAAAAGAACGAAGTTCCAAATAAGCTCAATTAGAAATGGGAGACATTATCACTGATACCAAGAAATGCAAAAGATCATTCAAGGCTACTGTGAACACCTAGAGGAGTTGGTTAAATTCCTAGAAATATACAACCCTCCTAGATTAAACCAGAAAGAAATAGAAACTCTGAACAGACCAATAACAAGCAGCAAGATTGAAATGGTAATTTAAAAATTGCCAACCAAAAAAGACAGATTTACAGCTAAATTCTACCAGACATTCAAAGAAGAATTGGTACCAATTTCCAAAAGATAAAGAGGGAATCCTCCCTAAGTCATTCTATGAAGCCAGTTTTACCCTAATACCAAAACCAGGAAAGGACATAAAAAATGAAAACTACAGACCAATATCCCTGATGAACACAGAGGCAAACATTCTCAACAAAATACTATTTTTAATAGACTGGTAAATTGAGTAAATGTTGAGTTCTGTAAGCTATTCTAGCAAATTACTGAAACTGAGATGAGAGTTATGGAAACTCCCAGTGTATAGCTGGTCAGTCAGAAGTACAGGAGGCTGGGACTTGCTATTGGCATGTGAAGTGTGGACAATCTTGTGGGATCTAATTTCTGATAGATAGTGTTAGAATTTAATTGCATTTTAGGACACCAAGTTGGTGTCTGCTAGGAACTGGAAATAAACCCTACACATTTGGTATCAGAAGTGAAGTGTTATTTACAGGAAAGACCATTTAAATAGATAGATAGATAGATGTCTTTTGGGGTAATCCAAAACTGGTTATTGGAATGTCCTCCCTGGGGGAGCTAGGTGGGCCTGCAAGGAAAGCCTGCTCACCGCATAATTCCTTGAGCTGGAAGAAGCACTCTACTTGCCCCCAGGGCGGTCCTTTTGGTTGATGTATCAACAAGCAGACTCCCACCTAGCTATCTTCTGTGGTGGTCTCAGGATACTCATGCATCCTTGTGAGACGGAAGTGGGAATCCAAAATGTGTCACTGCACCAACCTAGTTTCCTGTCTTTCCCATGCTCTAATGCGTATAGGTCACCAAGTCTCCTGCAATACAATTATAGAGCATATTCCATGCAATATGTCTAAATATGTGAATTATCAACCGTTAGCACTTAATATGGTATAAAAATAGAGGAAATGAATAGATATTGGTTGAGAGAACAGAGGTTTAGTTATTCAACAACTCTTTATAGACAAAGATGGTTCTCAAATCAGAGCCACAGTGCTCCCATCTTGTTCTATTTTCATTGCAGAACAACATCTGTTCATTTACATGGTGTATTATATATATACTGAGACTGTAATTAAGGCACCCACAGCCTTCTCCTCTTTTGGCCAACCAACATCATTTCCATGGTCCCTTCCTCTTAAGCCTGGGTTTCCAACTCTTTAATCATCACTGCTCTCTTCTAGATCCAAATGTCCCACTTACTTTTAAACTGTGGTGACCTAAACGGAAAGCTATCATAATGATGCTGTAAAAGTTTGGCAAATTTCAGCAGAAGCCAACATCTGTTTGGTCCTTTCTCATTATCTTCTTGCTGACTTTTCATTAAAGAGTTTTGGAAAAGCTGTAAAACGTATTTTTGAAATTAATTCAACAATATCCATTCTGGCCCAAGTCTCTGCATGTATACAATTTTTATGCACAAATTGATTCATAAATGAAGGGTTTTTAAGCTTACACATATAAGCCTTTATACAATATTATAAAATATTTTGCATGTTCTTTTTTTATTTGTAGTTTTGACTGTATTAATTTAACAGTGGCATGGCTTTTGAATAAATTATTTTAACTTAATGTTTTTATTTAAACCTTTCCCTTGGTATATACACATTGAATAAGAAAAAGAACAGTGTTACATGCACTTACCATGTGCCAGAAAAGGGTTTTACATGTACTAACTTAATTTTCATAACAACTCAGTGAGCCAAGTACTATTGTCATCTCTATTTTTCAGATGATGCAGTTTAGGGAGAGAGAGGCTAAAGATTTGCCGAAGATAAGCCCAACAAGTGAGGGTCAGAGGTGGAACCTAAGAGCAGAGACTGTAGGGCGAGGCTTCTAGTGTCCATCATGATATGCTGTTGTATGTACATGAACACCTGGGTGACTGGCCCTTTGGTAGAACCTTTTTATTGGTGATCATGAATATACACAAGCAGAAGTTTTCTTTGTGTTTAAAGATGATTTTTCTAATATAGTAATCATACTTGAGTACTGATGCTGGTTTAACTGAAGAAATGACTCATGACTATTTCTTTATGGTTGTACTTTCTAAGCTCCCTTAAAGGTTTCATTTATTTTTTTGTTCTGAGAATATAAATCCTACAGTTGGTAAATTTAACTTTTTTTGTTCAAATATTGAGCTCAGCTTGCCATTGTGAATAGCAAATGTAGGAGCCTCCACGAGCCCTATAAAATTAGCCCAGGCAGCTGTGATGTACATTTTAGGCTACCTACAAATACAGAAGAATGCTTTTTGCCCTGAGTATAATTCATTTCAGAGTGAGGTTTCCAGAAGAGATGGTACTATTGTCACTACCCAGGTCTTCCTGTAGGGCTTTCGGAAACTGTATTGCCCTTTCAAAGAACTCTTGATACCATTCTGAGAGGACTGTCTACACTATGAAATTAGTGGTGTGGTGTATCTATACCTCAATAAACTTGCTCCAGCTACACCTATTTGTTCCTTCAAGTTTTCTTTAAACTTTAGGGAAAATAATTACCTTGATAAATAAAAATCATATCCCAGCTTACTTTATTTGCCTTAAAAAATTGAACATAATATTAAAAATTTCTCTAAAAAACCAAGACTAGAGGTGCTTTCTCTACCTATTTAAGAAGGTTATTTGAGAAAACCCACAATCCTGTCCCCAAATGTGCCTTTAAATTTACTATCTGTATAGAGTAGAAGAAAGCAATGCTTCTAGTCATAGATAAGCATTTCAAAGAAATTTTAACACGTACTCTTTACTCCCTAAATGTTCTCTAAAACAATGATTTCTCTTTAAAAATATTATATGCATACAGTTTTATGGTAGGATCTGCATCTATTAGGAAATACTCAAACATCTTTTAGTATGCTGATTTGTAAAGAATTCATAGCAAAATGAATTCATAACAAAATATGAACAATATTTACCTTTCTGCAAGTAGAATGGGGACTGTTGGGAATGGAGATGAAGACTTCACTTCATGTTATTCATTTCCTGAAATGATAAAAAAGAAGAACAAACTCTGTACATGTATTTCTTTACAAGTAGTTATGTGAGCAGTGAGATTGAGCTACTTTGTTTTCATATATTTTTCTGAATTAAATAAAATTAAATGATTTGTCTAAGTTCACACAGCTAGTTAGTGGCTAGACCTAGAATCCTGGTCCTCTAACTATATCATCTTCCCTAAGTATTATTTATAAAGTATATCCCGTTAATTTAATTAGACCATAAAACCAAGCTTTAGAACGGGTATAAATACACATAAGAGATAAATATAATGACTCATAGGTGAAATGAATTGTAATTGTGTAAATATTAAGTGCTAGAAATAGGCTCAATTTGAAAATAAAATGATGCACAGTTGAAGGAAAACTCATTTTTTAAAGATGGTGGATTCTAGATGAAAACAATGGAGGGAAATGGCCAATATGGCTGTCTAGAAGCAGCTACTGTGTGTAGCTCTCATGGAGAGAAACGGGAGGGGTGAGTAAATACAACACCTTCAACTGAAACATCCTAGTATTCACAAAGGGAGTAATCAAGGAAACAACTTGACTCATGGAGAACAAAGAAAACCAAGACAGGACAAAGCCCATCTGGGAGAAACACGGAGACAGGGGACCCTCCCCCACCTAAGGAATCCATGCTTCTTTGACAGATCTTTGCAACCCTTGGGACAGGAGATATCCTTGTGAACGCAGTCTACCAGGGACTTCAGTCTGACAGAGCTACATGGAGTCTTGGCAGAGCAACCACTCAGACATGCGTGGAATCACTGGAGCCTTAGATACTTGGGCTTTCCAGCAAAAGTAGCTGCAGCTCCAGCAAAGTGGGAGGTTAGAACCCTGTACATACCCATAGAAAAGAGGCTGAATTCAGGGGGCTGAGCAGCAACAGCCTGCAGGCCCCAAGTCCATGCTACCTCACAAGATAAGACCCACAGCTTAGAATTCTGGCCAGCCACTGGTACCAGCATTGTAACTCCCTAAGGAAGAGCTCCCAGGGGGACAGGCAGGCCTCCATCTTTACTGTTCAGGTACATTAGCTGTTCCAGCCTTCAGGCTTTGCAGAATCCAGGCCAATCGGGCAGAAGGGATCCCCCAACACAGCACAACTGCTGTACCAAACATGGCCAGACTACTACTATAAGCAGGTCCCCAATCTCATTCCTTTTCACTGGACAGGACCTCCCAACTGGGGTGCCTCCAGCCACCTCTCCCCTAAAGGTGTTCTCTGGCCAACAGAGATTAGTAACTTCCCAGGGATGGAGCTCACAGAGGGGGTGGGCCACCATCATTGCTGTTTGGGTGACTTAGCCATTCCAGCCATCGGGCTTTGGAGTGTCTAGGCAACCAGGGGCTGAAGCAAATGCCCAGCAAAGCATATCTGCTCTACCAAAATGTGGCCAGACGTCTTTTTAAAGCAGGTCCCTGATCCTGTTCCTCCTCACTAGGCAGGATCTCCCAGCTGGGGTCTCCAGCCACCTCCTACAGGTGCCTTTGGGCCAGCAGCAGGCACATACCTCTCTGGGTCAGAGCTCCCAGAGAGAGGGCCAGATTGCCATTTTGCTGCTTCACAGCCTTCATTGGTGATACCTCCAGGTACTGGAAAATCTGATGTGACTAGGGATTGGAGGGGGCCCCAAGCATACTGAAGCAGACCTACAGAAAAGTGGCCAGACTGCTACATGGGTGCTTGTTCCCATATCCCATATCTCCAGGTCTTTCAGGCCTGGGCCTCTAGCCATCCCCCACCAGAGCTATCAAGCCCGTGGCAACTTGGCAACTCCCTGGACAGAGCACCCTGGGTCAACTGAAAGCTTCTCCTGTATTGCTTTATTTTGATTCTCATTCTCCTTGGATTGGAGTTTGCTTCCCTCCTGAATCTCAATGATGTTCTTATCCATATTCTGAATGATATTTCTGTCATCTCAACCAGGTTAAGAACTCTTGTTGGAGAACTGATGCAGTCATTTGGAGAACATATGACACTCTAACCATTTGAGTTACCAAAGTTTTTGTATTCATTCTTTCTCACCTCTGTGTGTAGATGTTCCTTTAACTGGAGTGTAGGTTGAGTATAATCCATAGACTTCTTTCCAGGAGCTAAAGAATGAAATAGCAAGTATAAAAAAGAACCTAACAAGTCTGACAGAGCTGAAAAACACAATACAAGACTTTCACAGTGCAATCACAAGTATTAACAGCAGAATAAACCAAGCTGGGGAATGAATCTCAGAACTTGAAGACTGGTTCTCTGAAACGAAGCAGTCAGACAAAAATAAATAAAAAAGAAAAAGAATAAACAAAACCTCTGAGAAGTATGGGATTATGTAAAGAGGCCAAATCTATGAATCACTGGCATCCCTATAAGGGATGGGGAGAAAGCAAACAAGTTGAAAAGCATATCTTAGGATATCATCTATGAAAACTTCCCCAACCTTCTAGAGAGGCAAACAGTCAAAATCAGGAAATAGAACTCCTGCAAGATTCTCCACAAGAAGATCATGCCCAAAACACATAATTGTCAGATTTTCCAAGGTCAAAATAAAAGAATGTTAAAGGCAGCTAGAGAGAAAGGGCAGGTCACCTACAAAGGGAACCCCATCAGACAGTGCAACTCTCAGCTAAAACCCTACAACCCAGAAGAGAGTGGGGGCCTATACTCAACATTCTTAAAGAAAAACATCATCTTCAAGAATTTCATATCCAGCCAAACTAAGCTTCCTCAGTGAAGAAATAAGATCCTTTCCAGATAAGCAAATGTTGGGGGAATTCATTACCACCAGACCTGCCTTACAAGAGATCTTGAAAATAACACTAAATATAGAAAGGAAAGACTGCTACCAGCTCATACAAAGACACACAGACCAGTGTCACTGTAAAGCAAACAAGCCACCATAATAACCAATTAACAGCACAAAGACAGGATCAAATCCACACTTATCAATACTGGCCTTGAATGTAAGTGGGTTAAATGCTCAATTTAAGAGGCACAGAGTGGCAAGCTGGATAAAAAAGCAAGATCCAATGGTATGCTGTCTTCAAGAGACCCATCTCATGTGTAATGACACTCATAAGCTCAAAATAAAGGGGATGGAGGAAAACATACCAAGCAAATGGAAAACGGCAAAAAGCAGGGGTTACAATTCTAATTTCAGACAAAACAGATTTCAAACTAACAAAGATAAAGACAAAGTATATAATGGTAAAGGGTTCAATTCTACTAAGAGACATAGTTGTCCTAAATATATATGCACCAAACAGGAGCACCCAGATTCATAAAGCAAGTTCTTAGAGACCTACTATACAAAGAGACATAAAGTCTCCCACTATTATTCTGTGGGAGTCTAACATTCCACTGACAATATTAGATCATCAAGGCATAAAATTAATAGATATTTAGAACCTAAACTCAACATTGTACCAATGGATCTGATAGACCTTTAAAGAACTCTCCACTGGAAAGTAACAGAATATACACTCTCTCATCACCACATGACACATACTCTAAAATTGGCCACATAATTAAACATAAAACAATCCTCGGCAAATGTAAAAAGAATCAAAATCATACCAAACACTCTCTCGGACAACAGTACAATAAAAATAGAAGTCAAGACTATGAAAATCGCTCAAAACCATGCAATTACATGAAAATTAAACAATATGCTTCTGAATGACTTTTGGGTAAATAATGAAATTAAGGCAGAAATCAAGAAGTTCTTTGAATATCATGAAAATAAAGATACAACATACCAGAATCTCTGGGACACAGCTAAGAAAGTGTGGAGAGGGAAATTCATAGCACTAAATGCCCACATCAAGAAGTTAGAAAGATCTCAAACTAACAACCTAAATTAAATGGAAAGAATTAAAGAAGCAAGGATAAGTCAACCCCAAAGCTAGCAGAAGACAAGAAATAACAAAAATCAGAGCTGAACTGAAGGAAATTCAGAGACAAACCATTTAAAAAATCAACAAATCTAGGAGTTGTTTTTTAAAAAAAAATTAAAGTAGATAGGCCACTAAATAGACTAATAAAAAAATTAAGACAATTAGAAATGATGAAAGAGATATCACTGACCCCACAGAAATGAAAACAACCATCAGAAACTACTATAGAGACCTCTCCACACACAAACTAGAAAACCTAGAAGAGATGGACAGATTCCTGGACATATACACCCTCCCAAGACTGAGCCAGGAAGAAATTGGTTTCCTGAACAGACCAATAATGAGCTCCAAAATTGAATCAATAATAAATAGCCTACCAACCAACCAAAAAAAAAAAAAAAAAAACAAAAAACAAAAGCCCAGAGCCTGATGGATTCACAGCCAAATTCTACCAGATGTACAAAGAAGAGTTCATACCATTCCTACAGAAACTATTCCAAAAAAACTGGGTCGGTTGCAGGGCGAGGACTCCTCCCCCACTCATTCTATGAAGCCAGCATTATCTTGATACCAAAACTTGGCAGAGACACAACAAAAAAAAACATCAGGCCAATATCCTTGCTGAACATTGATGCAAACATTCTCAACAAAATACGTGCAAGCCGAATCCAGCAGCATACCTAAAAGCTAATCCACAACAGTCAAGTAGGCTTCATCTCTGGGATGCAAAGTTGGTTTAACATATGCAAATCAATAAATGTAATTCATCACATAAACAGAACTAAAGATGAAAAACACATGATTACCTCAATAAATGCAGAAACGGCTTTCAATAAAATTCAGTCTCAGCACTCTGGGAGGCCAAGGTAGGCAGATCGCCTAAGGTCAGGAGTTCAAGACCAGCCTGGCCACCATGGTGAAACCTTATCTCTACTAAGAATACAAAAATTAACTGGGCATGGTGGTTGCACCTGTAATCCAAGCTACTAGGGAGGCTGAGGCAGGAGAATTTCTTGAACCTGGGAGGTGGAGGTTGCAGTGAGCCAAGATTGCACCACTGCACTCCAGCCTGGGCAACAATGCAAGACTCCATCTCAAAAAAAAAAGAAAAAGAAAAAGAAAAACAAAAACGAAAAAAAAAAAGTTAAGAAAAAGAAAATAATGATCTTGTGGTTCATATTCTGATATTCTGGCACTCTTTCAGAGTGTAACAAGACCTTCTAATTAGACTTCATATAAACTCTCTACTTTTAAATATCTTCTTTTCTTTTTTTCTTTTTTTAACAAAGATTGGCAGAGTAGAGACATATCTTTAAGGGAGAATCTTCCTACTTAACTAATCATCTGTCCATCTGTCCATCCTATGCCTGTCTTCTTTCTCCTTTTTTTCCCTCAATATGACCACATATTGAACACCTACAACATGCAAAGCATTGTGCTAGGTTGATTCCTATTCCTATTTCCAAAAAGTCTTAGCTGCCCTCTTGGAATCAGCAAACAGCTACATATATAGGATTCTTGGAGTATCCTTTTTCCATTGCTTATAGAAACACACATATGCTTTGCTCCTTGGACTGCTAACCCCACTAAGGAAACACTGTCCCAGAGGGATAGTTCCTTTCCATATAGAAACAGTGATGCAGCACTGAGTAGGCACTCAGTAGTTACTGAATAAATTCATCAATAGCTGTGACAGCTTTCCCCTCTCCATGCCAAACTCCTAAGTAAGCTTTGAAAATCCTTCAAATTTACTTCTATTCCTTTCCATTCTACCATTTTTGAAATGGAAATACGTGAAGGAAAATGGATCCTGAATAATTTCAGCCCAAATTCCTGGAGGAAAATAGTAAGAAAAGGGAAATTGCTACTTATTTGGAGCTGCCCACAAGTTAAATTTTTATGATAAGATAAATTCTCATTATTTCAGCATTACCTCCTTCCTAGTAAAATTTATCATTGGTAGCTACCCTCATTTGCATTATTTAATATGCCCTGCTAGGATAATGTTATTTTTATTTTTTTTCACATGTCAAAACAGAGGCTTTGAAAAATTAAATAACTGGCCACCCAAAGAAGTCACTGGGTCAAAGATGGGGCTAGCATGGGGGTTTGAACAACCTGTTTAAGAAGGGACAGGTGCTGAATTAGTGGAATGTAAGAGTTGGCACTGAGCAATAGGCAAGCCCAAAAGAAAGAAGGCTGACTCACCAGGAAATGGAATTAGCACAAAAGGTCAACTTTCTCTCACAGATAAAGGAAAACTCACAAGTCATATCCCCGACAGGACAAAAACAAAGCCTAGACACTTCAGCAAAAACATAGCATGCCCAGAATATGACTTTTCTAGGAAAACTTTTGAATAACACTTACATATGGGAAAAATGTTTTAAAAACTGGGTACATATTGGGATAGAAAGAATATTCAGGTACGCATTAAGGATATTTCTAGATCTCTTGTCTCCTCTGGGTACAACTAGGTGTACAGAGAAAAATATTTTAGGAGTTTTCATTTCAAAATAAACAGAACAGGAAAATAAAGAATTCATTAAAAGAGTATAAAATTAATTTTAGTTGCAAAATAGTATGACTACCATTTAAACTAAGAAACAGCTCTTCTAGCGCTGCTACTACGGGTTCAATTCATTACAACTGATAAGATGTGGAGGACATGAAAGGGAGAGAAGGGTTGGACAGGAAAACCTTCAGGAAGATGGGGGAAAGCCACTAATAGTCATTGGTTCTAGCAGTCCATTAAAACATTTTCCAGCCTGCTTATTGAAGCTGTGGAAAAACTGGGGACTCATATTTCTCACTCTAGGATGTGGAAAGTTTAAATTACAAGAAGATGGAAAGGGAGGAAATGGCAAAAGGAAGGAACACCATGAGTTAGTTACAGCTAATCTCAATATATGGATATTTCTTAATTTAAGAAATGCAGGGAAAATCAAACAAAACGATGGGGATTATAACCAAACTGCCATGAATTTATGTACCAAAAAAGCTGAAAAAACAGGGCTTTCTTAAAGCTTATACAAATGAAGAGAAACATTAGACTGTGTACTTCATTATTATAATAAATACCCATTGAGCAGGCTGTCTACATAATGCATGTACATATAAGAGGGCAATAAAAAATCAACTGGGCAACTTTTTATTGTCCTCATATATACATAATGGGGCAAGTATAAGTCAATGGACCATTCTGAACATGCCCATATCTAATGAATTGGCAGCTATCACTTAGATATTAGAATTGCTACTATTCATTAAATGCTTCCCATGCTGTGGGCATATTTTAAGGAAATTTACATGTTATTTCATTGAATTCCTCTAGCAGCTCTGAAGTATTGTTACCCTCAGATAGATAGTAGATGAGAAAACTGAGGCTGAAAGAGAGTAATAACTCATCCAAGGACACATGGGTAGGAAATAGAGAAGCCAAGGCTTAAGCCTAAGGATAATTCTCTCAGAGTTCATGCTCTTTCTACTATGCCACACTCTTTCACCTCCATCTTACTCTGGGGTATGATGAGCTTGATGAGGTAGAGAAAGGCTTCTAATGACATGGAAACTAAAGGCAGTACTCCTCAGGAGAGAGGGCTAAATAAGAGTATTTAAGATGATAGCATGGAAAACAGACTGCATGTTGTAAACACCTAGTGCAACGCTTGGCATATTGTAGGTGTTCAATGTATGGTCATGTTGATGGAAAACAAAGAGGAGAAAGAAGGCAGGCATAGGATGGACAGATGGACAAATAGTTGGTTAAGTAGGAAGATTGTCCTTTTCCTTTGAAGTTTACAGGGATCTGTGTGAAAGCCAAAATTTCAAAGAAACGGAGGGAAGCATACACAGCTGAGGTTGTGCCAGAGCTAGGGTTCTTACAGGAGTGGAAGGACATCATCCCATCAGGACATGAAAGTTGGAGACATGGTCTCTAGGACTCCAAAGAGAAGGCATTTTTATCCCTTTGCTCATGCAAGATAGGCAAAGCATTTAAATATTTGGGATTAGAATATATTATATTCTATATATATATATTTTCTGTATGTGTGTGTATATATAAAATATATACTCTCCCAAACTTTTGAAATCCCAAATATGTTAAAAAAAATACATATATATATATAATATATATATGGCTATATATGTAGGGGAATAGGTATGTATATATATAGATAGGTATAGACACAGGCAATTGCAAGATATATATACCTATATATACACACACACCTTACAATTGCTTGTTTTGTCATTTACTTTTGTTAAACTTAAAGCTGTTTCTGTGTTAACTTGTTTGCAAGGATTAGTGTAAGAGAAGAAAGTGATTTTTTGGTTCCTTGTCTTTTCTCATGCCTACTGTAGGTCATGGTAGGCTTTTTTTTGTCAACATTACAATCTGAATTTTTAGCATCATATTGTAATAAGCTTTCCCTTGTTTTCCTGATACACTGAAAAAATTTAAGAGCATTCATGATGCTGTTGAATGTTTCTTTGAAGAAACAGATAACAGGGGCTGGGCGCAGTGGCTCATGCCTGTAATCCCAGCACTTTGGGAGGCTGAGGTGGGTGGATCACGAGGTCAGGAGATTGAGACCATCCTGGCTAACAAGGTGAAACTCTGTCTCTACTAAAAATACAAAAAACTTAGCCGGGCATGGTGGCGGGTGCCTGTAGTCCCAGCTACTTGGGAGGCTGAGGCAGGAGAATGGCATGAGCCCAGTAGGTGAAGCTTGCAGTGAGCAGAGATCAAGCCACTGCACTCCAGCCTGGGTGACGGAGCAAGACTCCATCTCCAAAAAAAAAAAAAAAAAAAAAAATTAAAATTAGAGAAAACCTGAAGTGTTTGGAGGTTTTGATCAGATGTATTCTCAAGTGGAGGGCTTCTATGAAATAGCATAGCTCTAGGAAGGGGCAGTTAAGCATGAAACCCTAGGTAGCATTAAATAGAAGGCAAAATAAAAGTTGCATGTTTTAAACCACATTTCTTAAAATATCTTAACATGTCTGAACCATGCCTAAGCCTATTTTATCAAAGTTACCACTAAAAAATTAGCTAAGTGTCTTCAATTTACATTTCAAACATTTCTAGAGTAAAACTCTTTTTGGTCACTTTCCTTGATGTATTGGTAGTAAATTATATTTTTTACAATATACATGTATTTCATGAGTTCTTATTAATATAAAAAGTAAGGCATCATTTTCACCCTTTCAGAAAAAAAAAAAAACAAAACACAAAAAACACAAAACCAAAGAGGAAATGTCACCATCCAAAGACAACAATCTTGATATTTCCTATAGGGCTTTGTGTGTGTCTTGGAATGGAGAAGGATGATAAGCTTCTATAGGATTCTCAGGCAGCCAAGATCAAGACATGTGCTCTTCTTGCTCTCTGGGACTCACTGCCTCTAAGAGAACTGTGGTCTAGGAAATCCACTGTGATGGCTGTATTATCTTAAGTCTGTAGTTCCAAAAAGACAATAGAAATTCTACCCACCCTACAAAGTAATAATCCCATCTCTAGAAAATCAGGCACAATGAAGTAATTCTTTAAATTACAGATAGTATATAAAATGACTTCAATTTTCCAAACAGTCTGCATGATTTTGCATATTCATAGCTCATAGATGACTCCATAGTGACCTGGCAGCAACCTCTCTCCTAATTGGGGCCTGATTCCCAGGTTCCAGGTCTCATTTTCATTCTAGAGAAGATTCCCGCACAAGATTGTTTTATACTTAAATCTAAGGAGACTCACAGGTTTTTGGTTTGCATTTCCTTTTCTAGACAGAGGCTACTGATTATATCCTGTACTAGAATAAGTTCCTGTATACCCTTTGATATGGTTTGTCTCTGTGTCCCCACCCAAATCTCACCTTGAATTGTAATAATCCCCACGTGTCATGGAAGGGACTTGGTGGGAGGTAATTAAATCATGGGGGCGGGTATTTCCTGTGCTGTTCTCATAATAGTGAATAAATCTCACGAGATCTGATGATTTTATAAAAGGGAGTTCCCCTCCACATGCGTTCTTGCCTGCTGCCATGTAAGACGTGACTTTGCTCCTCCTTTGCTTTCTGCCATGATTATGAGGCTTCCCCAGTGGAACTGTGAGTCAGTTAAACCTCTTTCCTTTAAAAATTACCCAGTCTCAGGTATGTATTAGCAGTGTGAGCATGGACTAATACAGTAAATTGGTACTGGTAGAGTGGGGTGCTGCTATAAAATTACCTGAAAATCTGGAACTGACTTTGGAACTGGGTAACAGGCAGAGGTTGGAACAGTTTGGAGGGCTCAGGAGAAGAAAGGAAAATGTGGGAAAGTTTGGAATTTTCTAGAGACTGTAGGGCTCAGAAGACAGGAAGATTTTGGAAAGTTTGGAACTTCCTAGAGACTTGTTGAATGGCTTTGACCAAAATGCTGGTAGTGATATGGACAATAAAGTTCAGGCTGAAGTGCTCTCAGATGGAAATGAGGAACTTGTTGGGAACTAGAGCAAAGGTCATTCTTCCCTATCCAAAGAGATTGGAGGCATTTTGCCCCTGCCCTGGAGATCTGTGGAACTTTGAACTTGAGAGAGATGATTTAGGGTATCTGGCACAAGAAATTTCTAAGTGGCAAAGCATTCAAGCGGAAACAGAGCATAAAAGCTTGGAAAATTTGCAGCCTGACAATGCGATAGAAAAGAAAAACCCATTTTCTGGGGAGAAATTCAAGCCTGCTGCAGAACTTTGCATAAGTAACAAGGAGCTGAATGTTAATCACCAAGACAATGGGGAAAATGTTTCCAGGGTATGTCAGAGACCTTTGTGGCAGCCCCTCCCATCACAGGCCCACGGGCAGGGGGTGGGGGTGGGGGATGGTTTCCTGCACCAGGCCCATGGCCTCCCTGCTGTGTGAGCATAGGGACTTAGTGCCCTGCCTCCCAGCTGCTCCAGCTGTGGCTAAAAGGGGCCAAGGTACAGTTCAGGCCATGCTTTTGGAGGGTGCAAGCCCCAAGTCTTGGCAGCTTCCACATGGTATTGAGCCTATGAGTACACAGAAGTCAATAATTGAGGTTTGGGAACCTCTGCCTAGATTTCAGAAGATATATGAAAACACCTGGATATCCAGGAAAAAGTTTACTGCAGGCACGGAGCCCTCATGGAGATCCTCTGCTAGGGCGGTACAAAAGGGAAATGTGGGGTTGGAGCCCCTACACAGAGTCCCCACTGGGGTACTGCCCAGTGGAGCTGTGAGAAGAGGGGCCACTGTCCTCCAGACACCAAAATGGTAGATCAACTGACAGCTTGTGCTGTGTGTCTGGAAAAGCCTCAGGCAACACCAGCCTGTGAAAACACCTGGGAAGGGAACTGTACCTTGCAAATCCATAGGGGCGGAGCTGCCCAAGGCCGTCGGAACCCACCTCTTGCATCATTGTGACCTGGATGTGAGACATGGAGTCAAAGGAGATCATTTTGGAGGTTTAAGATTTGACTGCCCTGCAGGAATTTCAGACCTGCATGGGGCCTGTAACCCCTTTGTTTTGGCCAATTTCTCCTATTTGGAACAGCTATATTTATCTAATGCCTTTACCCCCATTGTATCTAGCAAATAACTAACTTGCTTTTGATTTTATAGGCTCATAGGCGGAAGGAACTTGCCTTGTCTTAGATAAGATTTTGGACTATGGACCTTTGAGTTAATGCTGAAATGAATTAAGAATTTGGGGGACTGTTGGTAAGGCACTATTGGTTTTGAAATGTGAGGACATGAGATTTGGAAGGGGCCAGGGGTGGAATGATATGATTTGGCTTTGTGTCCCCACCAAAATCTCACCTTGAATTGTAATAATCCCCCCATGTCATGGGAGGAACCCAGCAGGAGGTAATTGAATCACAGGGGTGGGGTTTTCCTGTGCTGTTCTCATGATAGTGAATAAGTCTTGCTAGAGCTGATGGTTTTGTAAAAGGGAGTTCCCCTGCCCATGCTCTCTTGCCTGCAGCCATGTAAGATATGACTTTGCTCCTCATTTGCCTTCTGCCATGATTGTGGGGCCCCCTCAGCCATGTGGAATTGTGAGTCAATTAAACCTCTTTCCTTTATAAGTTACCCAGTCTTGGGTATGTCTTTATTATCAACATGAGTCCAGACTAATACACCCTCCTTTCTAAAAGATCCTTTCTTAAACTCAGGCATTAGGCTGCATGGCCTCTTAACAATTAAGAAGGTTATTAGTTTTACTGGTTTCTCACTCAACATTTTTTCTTGTTTTTATCTCTCTTATCTGGATTCATATTTTACTTACTGGAGTATGTTCACAAGTAATTCTTGGACATCTGAAAAAATGAGACTAGCTAGTTTTTGTGTGATACCTATTAATAATGCCTCTGAACTAGTGTTTTATGAAATACACTTTGGAAAACAATGACATAAATTTACTTACATTGACCAAAAACATTGAGATTTCTTAGTTAGATTTGATTTCATCAGGATCAAACTTTCTTGTCACCAGTGAACCCCCATAAATATGGATTCAAATGGACCTCACAGACAGAATTACCAGGAATACACATTTCTCTTCCCTTACTATATTTTTGAGTCATAGACAAGTAAGCAGAAAGAGGATATCAAACACTTTTCACCTAAAGTCTTAAAGAACGACTTCTCAAACAAGGTAGAATAAATAAAGTTGTAGACTTATTAGAATCCCTCTACCCCACTCTTTCCACACACCCCCCACATAGGTAAATGAAACCATATAAAGGACAAGAAGATACACATTTTTCTACTTGTGAGCCAGTATTACTATTGAGCTTTGTATGGCCAAATTTGTTTTTGCTACCAACTTAGGGAAAATGAGAAAATGAGATTTAGAAAAGAACAAATGCTATGGTAAAGAGTGAGGCCAGAATCCCAGATTAGAATAGCAACACTATTTGAAGTAGGACTACATGAATAAATGTTTTTCATTTATACCTGCTAATTTCCATCCTCCTCTTCCACCCTCAAGTTCCTGTAGTGTGAAGGCATTTGAAGAAACATAATGAACTCTCTCTGGGAAATATAGAGTTAACTTTGAAAGACAAATCTCTTATTGGAGATAGGCTACATGAGATTTTTCTGGATATGGAAAATAAATGTGATAACCTTCACCTTCATTTCCTGGAGTAACCCTGACAAGTCCCCTCCATAATTCCCACTTGGGAACTTGAAATAAGATTTGATTTCAGTCTCTACAATGCACATATGGTGTATGTACAAATAGCTTCTAAGCCTTTTGATGTCCATTAAGAGGAAGGAATGGGGAGCTGTTTCCTGTAGGAATATGGGGCACTAGGGAGCATTAAAGAAAGAAACAATGGCAAAGGAAATGTCAGTCTTTTGCACTCATTATGTTTCTATGAACAATGAATTTCATGAGTTTTGAGGCCTTTAATGGATGCGTTACATGTTCCAATTTTGTTCCCACAACTATCTTGGGGAGCCATACATAATAGATTTACATTTGAAAAAACACCCAACATCATCCCAACCCTCCTTTCCTTGGTCACCTAGTGGGGATATTGGATTGTTGTGATTCCAGACAATATGAAAAGCCTTTTGGAACATTTGTAGTTAGAAGATCTATTAAAATGCATGATTATATCAAGTCTTGTTCCTTCTGCCCTCCAATTCCCCACATTAATTTTCTTGGGGAAAGAGAATATTAGAAAAACAAATAAGAAAATAATAGCCCTTCATAAATACATCAACCAGAAATAATCTCAATATATATCCTTCAAGTCATATAAGTATGTATATATTTTGTCAAAGAATTAAAGAGTTTTGTGTTATAACAAAGGGGATTAGTTTATTTAAGCACAGTTATTAAAATAGAAGTCTATTATGTATTTTACTTTCCACAAAACTTTGTTTTTGCCAAACACCCTAATTTTTATTTTTTCTGACCTTAAAGCATAGTAATACTTTAAAAGTTTTAAATGGACTTTGTATGACTTAGACATTTCACATGTATTATTGAGCTTGTACCATCCAAATCCTTGGATTGTTCCAAAGTTACAGAAAAAGAAATCAAAGTACTTGGGATAGTGCCTTACTCAGAAATTCACATATGAATTTTTTCAATGGACAAAGCTCCAGCCAGAGTCTAATCCACACTTAAGCTTTTTATCTTAGGACTTTCAATGTTGAATATGGTTGAACAATAAATATTGAGCTAGCAATTATGTAACACCTATAATTTCCAAAGAACTATGTTGGAAAGTTTATTTATAAGACAATTCATGGTCCTATAACTAAAAATGGATGACTCCTGTTATGTTTTTAGAGAGGCTCTTTAGGAGAATTGTTTTGTACTCAGCCTCCACTGTGTAACCAGTTAATTAAATCATTCAGGAATGAAAGTTATTTAAATTTCAAATGATATCAGACCCAGCTCAGTTCTTCCCATTCCTCTCCTGTCTGTATTTAGAGCTGTGCATCATGTTTCTAATTGCCCCTCCTCTTCTTCTAATAATTTTCAATCTCTAAAGAAGAATATAAATGAGGGCAGGTAAAAGCTTTTTATTGAGTATTACGTCCTCAGTAATACTCTACATCAGCAGGTGCTTAGCACTTATTATCTTATTTGACTTTTACAACTATTGATATTGATATTTCTGGTTAATAGCTATTTGTCCTCAAAATTCCATTCTCCCTTTTTTCCTGGGCATGTCTTCCCTATTCAAGACTATGTTTCTCAGCTTCCCATGTGGTGACAGTCACGTGACTAAGTTCTCACTAATGGGATCTGAGGGAAAGAACAAAAGCTCCTGTGTGTGAAACTTATTGAAAAACAACTGCTCATCCTGGACTTCTTTTCATCCTTCTTGCAGGCTGGCTGAATTTGCCAAGACCCGGCTTTGCCCTTGCATGTGTGAAAAATGGCCTCAAGTATGACCCCATGGCAAGATGGAAAGAAACTGTGCTCTTGAATAGCTTAGAGATTCAGAGCCCCCCAACCAGCTTGAAACGCCCACCTCAAAACAATGACATGAGAAGAAACAAACCTCTAATTTAAGCCACTGTCTTTTTAAGAGCATTGTAGTTTGAGATCTCTTTCTTTCAGCTGTTTAGTCCCCAGCTAAACACTTACTGACCTTATCTTACAGGTCAAGAAAAATGAAGTTCTGGGGTACAAGTCACTAATGTATTAGAAATTTTCCAGCTCTCCCTCCTTGCCCAGCAGAGTATATTTCCACTCAAACACAATGAACCCATTTGGAATGGGACAAAACAAAATGGGGTGGGCCTGGAACAAGAGAAAGTTCAGCTACACAGGATCCAGGTCAAAACTCTTTAATCCTCCCATTTCTGGATTTCAAATGAACACCTTTTTGTCTAGCAGTTCTCCTCCAGAGGTTTGCTTTCCCACAACAGCTTGTCAACAGTGTAAGAAGTTCAAAAAGAACTTTTGGGGTTGCACGTTGCAGGTTGTGTGGCATCATCCCAGCTTGTCTCAACACCTCTGATGAACAGTAGCGGAAGAAAGGACTCTTTCCACATGAGTTCCTCGGCGGTCCCCGTCTCTTAGGGAGTTTATAAAAAAATCCATCATCTTGTTCTACTAAACCCAAGTAAATATAATTAACACCAAATGTGTGTTCTGCTCATCAAATTGTACAGCCATAAAGAGATAATCTTTGTAAAATAAATGACTAGGCTTCCTTGATAAGTCAATAAGGCAAAAACCTTGGGAGTAAATTAAGACAAATGGGAAACCAGCTGGAAGAAATCAAACAGGCAAAGCAGGTGGGGTGGCTTGTGTTTGGGAAGATAAAACACAGCATGAAGCATTTGCACATTTACACAAAAGCAAGATCTATAACCTTATGCTTTGAACTGAGCTAAATGCATGACTTATTTAAGAAGAGCTGGTAGCTGGGAACTGGTTGAACTAAGAGTGTCAAGACCAATTCTGATGATGTTTTCTTGTACTTTGCCTGTTTTTACATGCTCTGAAGATTGCCAAACAACCAGCAGCAGATGGTCCTGTATCTAAGTGCAATGCTAAGTGGTGTGAGGGATGGCATGATTGACCATTTACTCAGAGGAGCATAAAAGAAGGAATTCTTGTTAAAAATGCCTCTGTTGTATCAAGTGGCTGTAAAACAGGCAAGAGGTGAGTAGACCTTCAACAATCTGTCCCTTACTGGGAAAAACCAACACTGGGTCCAACAACCCTGAGGCATTCCAACATACATCTGTAGACACGCAAAAGCTCAAAAGCTACAGCATCACTTGAAATACATCCTTAGGTGACAATCCTGCATCCAGCAACTCCATGGCCTTTTCCCAAAGAATATGCCTTGCTGTTGTAAAAGTAGATTTAGACATCTCAGTTGATCCCGTTTTGGCAGGATTCATTTGGCCAAAAATAACGATTGCCCCTTTCATTTTGGGCCTCTGACAATGCTTCAGAAGTTGTAGTCCAAGCACACACAAATAGTGCCAGGAGTCGAGTTTCCAATAACTTCTGGCTAAAAGCCTCAGAGTCAGTCAGCCTTTCCCAGTTTCTCATGCAAAACGTTTAAAATTAACAAAAGCCACCTCAAACTACAATTTTCAGAATCTGGGAACTCTTATATCCAAGAGCAAGATGGATACACTTGGATTGAAAAATGCAGCCAAGACCCACAAATGCCAAGTCCTTGCCACAGAACAAGCTGTCCAGCTGGAAGAAACTAGAGGAATCCCCAAACCATTTGTCCTCTGACTCAAGAACACCAGAATTATACCAAGACAAAACTGTGCAGCTATCACTGTTCTGCACAGGTGTACCGCCTTGTGAAGTGATCCGGGAGACTTCTGTGTTACCAAACCCTCCTCACATACACTCACTCCCACTAAAACATCTCCTTCTATACAAATTAGAAACTGAGGCTCCCAGAAAACAACTTGAAAGGAATGTAGAGAAACTTATGATTGTCAGATTTAGCAAATAAAAATACAAGGATGCCCAGTTGAACTTGAATTTCATACAAACTACAAGTAATTTTTAATATAAGTATGTCCCAAGTCTTAAAAGAGGACTACAAATAATTTGTTAGTGTGAGTGTGCCCGTAAGTATTTGGGACATACTCACACTAACAAATTATTTGTCATTTATCTGAGATTCAAACTTAACTGGGCATTCTATACTTAACTTGGCAATTTGAGGAAGGGTGAAAAAAGAGAATACATTATTACATTGCATCATGGAGATACAGACCTTAAAAATAAAAATGTTGTAGGCTGAGGCCAAGACACAGAAGCCTTTGCAGCAGTGCTAATTGGGCATTATAAGTTTATATTTATTAACTCTTTTCAGAAATCATAATCTTGAAGGAAAATATCCCAAATCATCTCAATACAGACAATATCCGTACAAGGATACTACTTGACATATTCAATCAAAACAATATGAATTCTTACAAACTAAGAATTGGACTAGAATTTAGAATGTATGCTCATTGGCCTTTTAGCTATTTATAGCTGGAGTCCCACAGATACCAAATGTCATGAATGGAAATCCACATGCCCATCATTGACAATCTAAACAGAACTTGTTTGATTAAGAATAAAGGAGGAGGAAAACAACAAAGGAAACTATATTTCAGAATATGGGAACGTGATTACTATCCCAAGAATATAAAAAAGTATTTTTATACTATCTGACATAACCAAAAGAATATGAATTACATGAAACAAGAGCCAGAAGGTACAAGGATGAATTAAGAAGCTTGTTAGGCGAGTTAAAGACATTTCAAGAAATTGAAAATATAGGAGTATTAGAGTCTTTATTGAAATCAGTGAAGGAATTGACAATGTCTATCATCGAATTAGAGTTTAAATATCAGATGCTGTCTCAGAACTCATAAGAAAAATCAATGATAAAGAGATGATAGCTCTAAAATGGTAAAAAAAAAAAAAAAAAAATAAAGTACACGAGTTAATTTAAAAAGGAAAAAAAGGTTTGCATAAGATTTGCCTTCTGCAACAATAAATTCCAGAAGAGAGTAGAAAATATCTATAACATTTGAGTAAATATTGCTCCTCCAAAGTACATATTTACTCGGTTTTCCTTGTGTAAAGAAGTGAAAAAGACATTCTCACATATGAAAGAACCAGAAAACATATCACGTGTACATTTCTTGAAAATACATTTCAATGGGAAGTTTAACCTGTGCTCAAGAAATTAACCAAATTATTAATTCAAAACTAGGTAAGTTCTGGAGAAAAAGCCCTGACAGTTTTCATAACAATCTGAGGAACACCAAGGTCCATGCTGGCTGAGCAGTGTGGTCTCTAACAGCGGTTTTTAAATATGAATGCACATGATAATTACTGGGGGAGAACATTTAAAAACATCGAGATTAGACCCCCGCTTCAGATTAATTAATCAGAAATTCAGAATAGTGGATGGAAATGTGGGCATTGAAAGTTTTAAAAGCTCTGCGGCTGATTTTAATGTGTATCCAGGGTTGAGAACCATCCTTTAGATAAAGAACAAGCATGAAATCAGGTCTGAGTTTGAACTCCTTCCTATGATTTATGGGACATGAGGTGATTGCAGGCAGATGGCTCAACCCACCTAGACTTTATCAGTTTTAAAATCTGAGATAATTGTGTCTCTATCATATTATTAGCATAAAATTAGAAAATATATGTCATTCACCAAAGGTGGGGTTACACAATTTGTAGCCACAACAAGGCAATATTTTCACAGTATTTTCTGGGAATGGCAGTATGCATATGGTGTTTTTATTTTTCCATCATAAATAAGAGTTTTGTAGTTAAGCAGGCGTTTCTCCTGTACACCATTAAGTTCTATGTAATTCTAAATATATTTCAGTTCTGCAGAGAGCAGCAGCTCATTTGCCAACCTTTAAGGACCTCTAATATCTGTCGACTCCCACTTTTAATCTGAACCAAACACACTGCTCTCCTTGCCAAATATTCGTGCAAACCCAAATGGTCCCACCATAGCCCTGCTCACTTCTGCCTTGGTGCGGCTGCTCACATGGGTCACTGGCTCACACCTGCTGTCTTTTCCTCTCATTGCTCTTTCTTAACTCTAGCTCCAATTGACCTTCTATAGTGCCCTCTAAATTTACTACAGTTCTGCAGTAAATTTATATATTTACTTATATATTTATATATTTACTACCTTATATATCATAGTATTGTATTATTTATTATCTTGTATTGATTTTCCCCAATCTAAACTTTAGTTTCCTGTGGATGGTGTAGGAAGAAGAAAGGGTGATATGGAAAGAGTATTTAACAATGCACAGAAATGCTCATCAGTGGTATTGAAACAAAAGTAGTTCACTAAATGAATCTATAATATTGATTATGGAAAATTGCATTTGGCAAAGACTGAAAAAAAAATAAACTAAAGGGTTGGCAGTGGTAACCTCTTAGTGGTAAGATTATGAGGGACTATTATGTTTTCTTCATATTTTTCTCTATTTCCCATGAGCTACATTTATTAGTTCTATAGTGAGTCAGCATACGCAAAATGGCATATACAACAAAATCAAATTTTTCAGAAAGCAACTGTTAAAAAGATATGAGGAAAGGATACAATAATTATTAACAGTATTCATAAAAGAAGATATAAGAGTGGCAAATAAGCACATGAAAAATTGCCAAAGATTATTTATCAAGGAAATGTAATTTAAGCCACAATCAACTATTACTACACAAACCAGAACATAACTAAAATTAAAAGGTCTGACAACACCTAATAATGACCAGAATATGTATCTATATTAAATGTTCACAGCAATGCCTATAACAAAACATTGGAAATAACCTGACCCTAGAGAAGTAGTTGGAAAATTGTTTAACTTCAAAGCAGACTATTTTACAGCCACCAAACGTTATGTTTTGATAGAATTTTAAATGATAGGTTGAAAGCTTACAGTATTAACAAAGCATGTCAATTATCAAAAACAGTTAATTCTGGGGGGGTGGTGAGAGAGAGCTAATTTTTTGCCTACATAGTTTTCCAAGTGTCAGTATGCATTACTTATATCAGAGGAAAAAGCAAATAACAAATATTAATGTGATGACTTGTTTTTGGAATACAAGTACAATTACCTCAGCAAAGGAGTTCATGTTTCATGAACCAGTGACACTTAATGCTGATTGTTCAATGACTTGGATTTCTTAGGTAATAGCTTTACTTGATATATTGTGTATTTTTGGTTTAATTGTTGGTCAGTTTGGTATTCCATATGGTAGTGCTACTCAAAATGTGTTGTGAACCCTTGGTGGCCCATAGAGTCAAAACTATTTTCATAATAATGCTAAAACATTATTTGCCTTTTTCATTGTGTTGACGTTTGCAGTGATGGTGCCAAAGCAATAGAGGGTAAGACTGTTGGTGCCTTAGCATGAATCAAGATAGTGGCACCAAACTTGACTAGTTATCACTGTATTCTTTGCTATCACATACTCACTGTTAAAATAAATAAAAAATTTAAAAATTAAAATAATTACTTCAGAATGTCCTTATGAAACAGTGAAAAATTACCATTGAATCTCTGCCCTTGAATATATGTGTTTTAAAAATTCTCTATGCCACAATAGGAAATGAAGCTAAAGCATACCAAGTACCATGGTTGTCTTAAGGACAAGCACCTGTGCTGTTGATTAATGTGGGCTGAACTGTCACTTTTTTAGAGCATGGGTAACCATTGTTACTTGAGCACCACTCTTCCTTGAAATGATGAATGACAGGAAGCTATCGTTCTTCAGATCTAATATTTGACAGAAATTTTCTTGAAAATGATCAAAGTGAGCCTGTTACTCCAAGGGGGTCAACTGGCAGTCTCTGTTGTTGGTGATAAAAATCTGAGCTTTCTGGTAACAATTAGGATTTTGGGAAACTGGTATCCATTGCCATGAGCTTAATAGTTTCCTAATATTTAAAGGCTTTTCCGATAAAATCAATTTTGTTATTATTAACATGATTTTTCCAGTCTGGGCAACATAGCAAGATCTCATCTCTAAAAAAATAGCCGAGCATGGTGGTGTTTGTCTTTAGTCCCAGTTACTCGGGAGGCTGGGGTGGGAGGATCATTTAAGCCTGGGTGGTTAACGCTGCATTGAGCCAAGATCGTGCCACCACACTTCAGCCTGGGTGACAGAGCAAGACCCTATCTCCAAAAACAAAAACAAAATGAAAAACCCTATGATTTTCTTTCAACATTACATGATGGGATGGATCAATGTTTGGAAGAACTACCTAACTTATTGAGCCAATCTTTTCCAAATGACCAGTCTGTGATGTTACAAAATCATTCAGAGGTAAAAGATCCATTTGAAGTGGAAAGAGAGACTGATTGTTTTTAATGTTGCAGAGTATGAAAAGTTCACTGATACAGTTTCAGATTCCACGCTGCAACTAACTTTTGAGAAGCTCTTTTCCACCTCTTTTGTGTATGAGGTGAGATTTTCTATGTATACGTCAACCAAAATAACATATCACAGCATATTAAATGCAGAAGCAGATATGAAAATCTAATTCAGTCATTCTCAATAAAGCTCTGAGGTTAGAAGTCCCTCAGGTATTGAATATAAATTATCATCAATTTTCTGGTACCTACATTTAACAAAAAAGGAAAAATTCCCTTTCTCACAAAATGATCTCAAATTAATCTTGATAAATTATTGTCTTACATATTAGAGAGGCAGAACTCAATTGTAACTTTGTTTTTTGGAATTTCTCATATTGTTGAGCTCAATACCAAAAATACATCATACCAATGTGTCAGGATTGTGTTCAGCAGCAGATAATATAAAACCAAAACTATAAGGAAGGACTTTTTTTTTTTCTTAAATGTTCAGACAAAATCTTGAAAAAGAACAAATGTGGGAGACTTGAACTTTTTGAATTTAAAATTTAATACAAAGCTACAGTAATCCAAACAGTGTGGCACTGGCATAAAGACACACATATACACCAATGGAACAGAATAGAGAGCCCAGAAATAATCCCTCACACATATGACCAAATAATTTTCAAAGGGATGCTAAGAACACTCAGTGGGAAAAGGACAATCTTTTCAACAAATGGTACTAGGAAAACTGGATATCAACATGCAAGAAAATAAAGTTGAACCCTTACCTAGCACCATATAAAAAATTAAAATGAATTAAAGACCTAAAAATAAAGGCTAAAAGTATGATTCTTAGTTAAAACATAGGGCAAAAGCTTTACGACACTGGATTTGGCAAGATGTGATATGGCACCAAAGGCACAGACAACAAAAAAAAGAATAGACAAATTGAACTTCATGAAACTTAAAAACTTGGTTTTTTTTTTTCAAATCAGAGTCTCACTCTGTCACCCAGGCTGGGGTACAGTTGTGTGATCTCAGCTTACTGTAGCCTCAACCTCCTAGGCTCAAGTGATCTCCTACCTTTGCCTCCAGAGTAGCTGGGACTATACGTGCATGCCACCAAGCCTGGCTAACTTTTCTGTATCTTTTGTAGAGAAGTAGTTTTGCCATGTGGCCCAGTCTGGATTTCAGCTCCTGGGCTCAAATAATCTGCCCACCTCAGCTTCCTAAGTGCTGGGATTACAGGCATGAGCCACCACGCCCAGCCAACTTAAAAACCTTGTGCATGGAAGGCCACTATCAACAGAGTGAAAAGGCAACCTATGGTGTCTCAGGTCATTTGTGCTGCTATAACAAAAATACCTGAGCCTGAGTAACAATAGAAATTTACTTCTTATGGTTCTGGAGGCTGAGAAGTCCAAGATCAAGGTGCTGACAGGTTTGGTGTCTGGTAAGGGCATGTTTCCCCTAGATGGTGCCATGTTAGTGTTTTCACATGGCAGAAGAGATGAAGGGGCAAAAAGGGGCTAGCAATTTCTCTCCAGCATTTTTTATTTTTGAAGCAAAACAAAAGCACAGATTTATTGAAACAAAAGTACACTCCACAGAGTGGAAGTGGGCTTGAGCAAACAGCTCAAGAGCCCTGGTTACAGAATTTTCTAGGGTTTAAATACCCTTTAGAGGTTTCCCATTGGTTACTTGGTTACACCCTATGTAAATGAAAACCTGGCCAACAACCAGTCTGATTGGTTGTGGGAGGGAACCAGTCAGAGGTACTTTCCATTTTTCATTTGTAAGGCAGTGGAAAGGGGGGGATTGCAAAGCGAGTAGCTCCTTTTTTCTTTTTTTCCTTTGTTAACAATAAGAAACTATTGAAACTGGACTGAAAGAAACTTTGGAAAGAATGTCGTAGAAGTAAACTGCCATTCATTATATTTTTGATATATAAGAGGTATGTGTTTGTGTGTGTGTGTGTGTGTGTGTATTTTGTTCAAATAGTGTGTATCTTGAAGGACTTCATAAGATATATATATATATTATATATAACCTTGATATATAGATATAGATATCTCAAGTCCTTCAAGATACACACTATATTCGTATCTGAACAAAAGTAAGAAAGGAATACTCATAGTATTAAGTAATAGCTTAAAGTCATTCAGGTAGTAACAGGCAAGTTCAACTGACCTGTGGCTCTGAAGCTATTCTCTTCCCACTCATTCGTGGTAAGAGTGTGTGACAACCAGTAAAAGGAAGGCACCTAAGCCATCCAAACCCTGTTTCCACCTTGGAATCATAACGTACTCAGATTACATAGCAATTAGTAATCTCCTGTAAAAATTATATGATTCAAATTCAATGAATTTCATTTATAACATATAGGAATGTATTATGTTAATGGTGAAACACTGCATAAAAAAGATGAAACCCATTCACACTGTCAGACTTAAGCCCATTTTATCAGTGGCCAGCAGATTCCAGAATATACAAACAAACACACTTTCAGCAAGCAGTTAACTGAGAAACAGCATGGTTAAAGCACTGAAAACAACCCATAAGAGACAACACATTGCTGTTGTTTAGGGTGACTAAATTCGTAGATAGAAAAATTCTATAGACACAGTGTTTGGATTTTAGCAAGTCACTGGCCAAAGCATGTGAGAAAGAATGAAGGATAAAAATGAATAGTAATAGAGAATGGATGGGTTCAAAAGCGGTAGGTGGACTATATCCATAGTGTTGACTAGTTGATTGATACAAATCTGAACTACTAATGTTGCTTTGTGATCACATCCCATACATACTTCCACATTGTTCCAATGAATACTAATCTTAGATGTATAAGTTGGATTTCCATTATGAATCTTACAAGATTACAAGATTAATAATGCAAGATTCATAATGGATTCATAAGATTACAAGATTCAAAAGGCAAATACATCTTATAGGTAGAGATTATTCTGTTCTTTTTTTTCATACTTTTAAGTTCTGGGATACATGTGCAGAATGTGCAGGTTTGTTACATAGGTATACACGTGCCATGGTGGTTTGTTGCACCCATCAACCTGTCATCTACATTAGGTATTTCTCCTAATGCTATCCCTTCACTAGCTCCCTACCCCCCCGACAAACCCCAGTGTGTGATGTCCCCTCCCTGTGTCCATGTGTTTTCATTGTGTAACTCCCACTTATGAGTGAGAACATGCAGTGTTTGGTTTTCTCTTCCTGTGTTAGTTTGCTGAGTATGACAGTTTCCAGCTTCATCCATGTCCCTGAAAAGGACATGAACTCATCCTTTTTTATGGCTGCATAGTATTCCATGGGGTATATGTGCCACATTTTCTTTATCCAGTCTATCATTGATGAGCATTTGGGTTGGTTTCAAGTCTTTGCTATTGTAAATAGTGCTGCAATAAACATATGTGTGCATGTGTTTTTATAGTAGAATGATTTATAATCCTTTGGGTATATACCTAGTAATGGGATTGCTCCCTCCAGCATTTTCATAAAGGACTTAATCTCATCCACAAGGGAAGAGTCCTCATGACTTAATCACTGTTCAAAAGGCCCACCTCTTAATACTATCACATTGGCTATTAAGTTTCAACAAATGAATTTTGGGGAGGACACATTTAGACCATGGCATATAGAATGCTGGAAAATGTTTGTTTGCAAATCACATATCTGATAAGGTATTAATATCCGTAACTCCTAAACTCAACAACAAAAAACAACCCAATTCAAAAATGAGCAAAGACCTCAACAGACATTTGTCAAAATACAAGACAAATGGCCAGTAAGCACATGAAAAGATGCTGACTATCACCAATAACTAGGGAAATGCAAGTCAAAACCACAATGAGATACCTCACATGCATTAGAATAACTAAGATTTACTTTAAAAACACCAAACAAGCAGAAAGTAACAAATATTGGCTAGGATGTAGATAAACTGAAACCCTTGTTAGTATTGGTAGGAATATAAAATGATACCGCTATTGTGGAAAACAATATGGCAGTTCCTCAAAAAATTAAAAATAGAATTATTATATGATCCAGTACTTCCATTTCTGGGTATATACCTAAAAGAATAGAAAGCATGCTCTCAAAGAGATATTTGTATATCTATATTCATAGCAGCATTATTCACAACAGCTGAAATGTGGAAGCAATCCAAGTGTCCATGAGTAGGTGAATAAATATACAAAATGTGGCACATAAATACAACGGGATATCATCTAGCCATAAAAAGAAAAAAATTCTGACATATGCAACAACATGGATGAACCTTGGAGACATTATGCTAAATGAATAGGCTAATCACAAAAAGGTAAATACTGTATGACTCCATTTAGCTGAGGTAGTTAGAGCAGTCAGAAATCAGAGACAGAAAGTAGAATGGTGGTTCCCAGGGGCTGGAGGAAAGGGGAATGCAGAGTTGTTGTTCAATGGGTACAGAGGTTCAGTATTACAAGATGAAGAGACTTATAGAGATGTGATGGATGGTGGTGATGGTTGTACAACAATATGAATGTAGTTAATACCATGTACACTTAAAATGGTCAAAATGGTAAATTTTATGTTATGTGTATATTACCACTATTTTAAAAATTGGAAAAAGTTCAGATAGGTCCTCCATTCTGGTGCAGTGATTCTACAATGTGGCTAATATCTTAGGCTTGTTACATCTTTCTATGCTGCCATCCTTAGCATGTAGTTTTAATCTCCGTATTTGCAAGATGGCTGCTTCACCATCCATGAGCTAGGCAGGAAGGAGGAGGAGAGGGAACAGAAAGCATTAGCAGCTGCCAGTCAGCTTTGCATCTCACTAGCCAGGACTGTGTCACATAATCGCTCAAAGCTTAAAGATAGTCTGGAAAAGTGAGTTTTATTACACTGTGGTAGAGGCAGACGGGGGAGGAATGGATTTGGAAATACAGGTTGATCAACCAGTCCAAGTGTCTGCCATATTCAGTGGGCA
Source organism: Homo sapiens (assembly GCF_000001405.40). Taxonomy (NCBI): domain Eukaryota; kingdom Metazoa; phylum Chordata; class Mammalia; order Primates; family Hominidae; genus Homo; species Homo sapiens. The sequence continues at coordinate 17,424,753 of NC_000007.14, read as the reverse complement.
AAGAAGTAACACTAATAATGGCTTTTTTCAGTGGAAGGAAAAATAACAGAAATGTATCAGCCCCAGGAAAAATTGACGTAGGCATATACTTTCTCCTGAGTGAATAGCAACAGCATTGACAGGGTGGCCAAATGTGATACTAACTGTAAAACATACCCTGTTGAGAGGTGGAGAGTAAATATAGAACTGTGTGTGTATTTCTTTTTTAATAGAGATGAGGTCTTGCTATGTTACCCAGGCTGGTCTTAAACCCCTGAACTCAAGCAATCCTTCTGCCTCGGCCTCCCATAGTGCTGAGATTATAGATGTGAGCCACCATGCCTGGCTAGAACTTAGTTATATTTTTAAAAACAAAAAAAAACAGTCAGCCTTTAATTTTCCTCATAGAGAAAAAACTTTAGGATTAATAACCTAATTACAGAATAGCAAACTTAGCAGTTGCCAACCTCTTTCATTTGTGTGGTCCACAATCTGTAAGGAAATTAAAAAAGGGAAGACCCAGTGTTTGTAGCTAATCCTCACGAGTAAGTCATGTGAAGATGTCACATATCCATCATCAGTACGGGGGGTTTCATTCCTTCCTTATTTATTGTTTATTAACTATGTGTGTGACCCTGTACTCTCGAGATAAAACAAAGAATTCTCATTTCAAAAATTTTAACATCCCAATGAAGTTTGCTCTTCATTTTTGTCTATATTTACAGGAGGTTTGGTGAGCCAATTGATGTAAAACAGTATACAAAATGGTTCTAACATCAAGATATATCTCTATTTTATACACTTAAACTGTAAAATCATTTGTTCTATAATTAGGGCATCTAGTGCATAATAAATGATTCTGTGACTCTTACTGGAGACTAGCCGGGACATAATTTTCTTGAAGCCAAATTCTTTGGAATTATTTTAAAGTAGGAGGAAGAGAAGAGAGCATATAGCTATGCATGCACAGAAGGGTGAACTGGGGAGGGAGGTGGAGGCAGAAGAAAGATTAGACTGGAAGTTTCTCTCAGCTGAAACAAGTGACTAAATTTGGCCAAGCGTGGTGATTCACGCCTGTAATCCCGGCACTTTGGGAGGCTGAGGCAGGCAGATCACCTGAGATCCGGAGTTCGAGAACAGCCTGGCCAACATGGTGAAACCCTGTCTCTAATAAAAATACAAAAAAAAGCCAAGTTTGGTGGCACACGCCCATAAATCGCAGCTACTCGGGAGGCTGAGGCAGGAAAATCGCTTGAACCTGGGAGGTGGAAGTTGCAGTGAGCCAAGATTGTGCAGGAAGTGACTACATTTTATCATCTTTCTTGAAAGACAGGAATTGATAAAAATAATTTTTAAGGATCAAAATTGGATTCTTTATGCAGCTTTCCAAAATTTCTGTGGTAGGAAATAATTGTATATAATGCTTTATCACTTTTTTTTAATACCTGATTTAAAACTTTTGTTCTTTAAGCCAAAATTTATTTGAAGCAGCTGTGAAACTTCTTGATGCATTTTTCTGGTTTGGAAGCTGACGTTAGTCCCAAATAAAAACAAATACCCACTCAGATCTTTTTAATAGTCTAAGAAGATTAAATACCCCAAAACCATAACATTTTTGTGGGTTTGACATTCTGAAGTTTTGCTTTCAACTCTACTTCCAAATCTTTAATTTGGGCAGGAAGGAAAGAAAGAATTTCAGAATTTATGTGGCTGTAAGGGCCAGTCAGAACAATAGATCTGCTTCAGCCATGCCTTCTGTAAATAACCAGCCCTATTCAACCCAAAGAGCCTCTCAGTTCGGGTTAGTCAGTTCTGGTTCTGTATAACTTTGAACTTAACATTTTGGAATCCAGAATGTGGAATTGTGGAAAACAGTATGGCAGTTCCTCAAAAAATTAAAAATAGAATTATTATATGATCCAGCACTTCCATTTCTGGGTATATACCTAAAAGAATTGAAAGCATGTTCAGTGGAATCCAGCCCCTTAAACAAGTTATAATATTGGAACATCACTGCACAAACTAACCTCTTTATTATGAAAATCTTGTGGGGTTTTTTGGAAAAGGGGAAGATCAGTTATACAGTTTATTGGAAAATATTTATGAATAAATTCTACATATAGTTTTAAGTCTAGGCTAATATGATTCCTGATTCTGCATCCTGTCACTCTAATGGAGTAATTACTTTTCCACCTGAAACTTTATTTCATTCATTCTTTGTTAGATGTATTAAAGTCCACACCTCTATAATAAAATTTAAACTTAATTTTTAAAGTTTAAATAAATAAAGTTTAAATAAAATTTAAACTTAAAATTTTTAATTTGTTTTGCTCATATGTAAAAGTCAAGGCATTTTTTGTAGATACCAAGTGTTAGTAACATAAATACAGTTTTCAAATACAAGGCAAAAGAGAAGGGGAGGCCCAGAGCACAGGAGATCTGACCCTTTGTCCAAATTCTGTCATCAGTCAGTGGTTAATCTCCCTTAAATTCCTTTTGTTTTTCATTTTAAATAAAGCTAACACATTGAGGCAAAATATCAGGATTTGTTTATTTCTAGAATTCCATGTATCTCCTAAGTAGTAGAGGAAAGTGTGTATTCTATTTACTGTTTATATATCTTTAAATCTTTTCAGGATATCCGGCACACCAATGTTGTTACATCACTGAGTACCCTACAGTTTACAAACTTACTCACGCATCACATACACTATTAGATTGATGTTTATTATCTCTTTAGGCATAACTTCTAGGCGGACTTATTTACGAGGACCAGAACAGACTGTTTAATGAGAAACACTTCCATTGAGCAAAGAGCAAGATTTACACTTCTGAAACCTCATCTAGTGGTTTCTATAAATATATGACCTATTAAAATCTAAATTCAAAGCATACCTAATACTAAAATTGTTTAGCTATTTCTCAGATTAAAAAGAAGTTGTACACTGCTGATTAGAGCATGTACACATTTTGCAAAAAGAAAAAACAAAAACAAAAAAACATACCAATGCTATCACCCTTTGTCATTAACTTCATATCAATATTTTGATATTATTTGTCCAGGACTCTGCTTGAGACAACATCTGTTCCATATTTCTTTTAGTATTACCAATCTTTTCAGGTTTCTTAAAACCCACTTCTAACAATAAACTTGATTTCACAGGACTCTTATTTCCAACACTATGAAACAGGCTTTCTTTGTTGAATGTGTACTCTATAGTACTTAAATTATGAAAATATGTTTTCAATTAAAAAAACTTCATTAGTAGGTATTTAGATGGATCTTAGTTTCAGAATGTACCAGTGGGGACTGTATTGACATTTTTCTCTTCATGGCTATTCACTAAGTGATTGTGATGGTATTTTCCATAATGCTTTGTTATTTTTCTAGTGACTTTTCCTATATTTTGGATTAAAATGATATTCCTTGCCCAAAACTCTCTCCAGCGATCAGACTTTATAACTGTCCTCGAGGGTATCTTAATTGCTTCTCTAATGACTTCATGCAAGAAGCACACACATGCTCCTCCACAAATACAAACCCAGATTTGTATTAGTATTCATTCATTGCTTTCACAATCCTTTCCATTTGTTAATATTGCTCTATTCATTCATTCAATAAACATATAGAGCACCTTTTATTTTCTGGGCACTACGCTAGGTACTGTGGACATAAATGCAAATATTAGATTTTTTTTGTCTTCAGCAGAGTGCAATCCAGTGTCTTAGACATATTTCCAAGTTTTACTATGCATGGTGATTAGGTGCTGTGAGGTTAGCAAGTGAAAAGAAATCAGTAGAACTCATAGCTAGAAAAAGTTTGAAGATTAAAAATAAGAGTGAAGACAAGGGGCTTGAGCTATTTTAAAACATTATGGCATCGAAGCTAGAACCTAACGCTCTTTTTATCCTCAAGGGAAGTCAGGTTATTCTCCCACACTACGTGTACCCTATAAACTAGCTTCACAGCATGACTCCCACATGAGGAATTTTCATTCCTCAGATAAAAGCTGTCATGCCCTCTGTGTGAAGAGACCACCAAACAGGCTTTGTGTGAGCAACAAAGCTGTTTATTTCACCTGGGTGCAGGTGGGCTGAGTCCAAAAAGAAAGTCAGCAAAGGGAGATAGGGGTGGGGCCATTTTATAGGATTTGGGTAGGTGGTGGAAAATTACAAAGCGGGTTGTTCTCTGGCGGGCAGGGGCGGGGGTCACAAGGTGCTCAGTGTGGGAGCTTCTGAGCCAGAAGAAGGAATTTCCCAAGGTTAATGGCTCAGTTAAGTTGTGGCAGGAACAAATCACAATGGTGGAATGTCATCAGTTAAGGCAGGAACTGGCCATTTTCTCTTCTTTCCTGATTCTTCACTTGCTTCAGGCCATCTGGATGTATATGTGCAGGTCACAAGGGATACGATGGCTTAGCTTGGGCTCAGAGGCCTGACATTCCTGTCTTCTTATGTTAATAAGAAAAGTAACATGAAATAGTATTGAAGTGTTGGGGCAGCAAAAATTTTAGGGGGGTGGTATGGAGAGATAATGGACAGTGTTTCTCAGGGCTGCTTTAAGCCAGATTAGGGGCGGTGTGGGAACCTACACTGGGGGAGATTAAGCTGAAGGAAGATTTTGTGGTAAGGTGTGATATTGTGGGGTTGTTGGAAGGAACATTTGTCATATGGAATGATTGGTGATGGCCTGGATGCGGTTTTGTATGAATTGAGAAACTAAACGGAAGACACAAGGTCCGAATAAGAGAAGGAGGAAAACAGGTATTAAAGGACTAAGAATTGGGAGGACCCAAGACATCCAATTAGAGAGTGTCCATGGGGGTTCAGCATAATTACTTGCTTGGTTGGCAAGTTTTGGGGCTCTATCCTTGAGTTTTTTTATCTTGTCATATACAAGGCCAGATTGATTTAGGTAAAAGCAACACTCTTTATTTAAAAATACATGGAGTTTTTTATTTTTTTATTTTTTATTTTTATTTGGCAGTAAGTCAAGGCCTCCGCGATTTTGGAGGAAAGGGAAATGCAAAGCCAGCAACTGCAAAGCCAGCAATTGTTAAAGAAGGATTAGAAATGGCTAGGAGAGAGTGAGTGTGATTGATAGTGTGGTGGAGATAGCTGGGGAGAGGCAGAGGATGGCATAAGAATGGGAACAGGAATAAGAGTGAGTATACAAGTAAAGAATAGGACTTCATCAGGGTGAAAGTATTGGAGTGTACCCTGTCAACAAAGATTATCCACTTTAAGACAGACTTAAGGGTAGTGGTTTGAGGTAAAACTAGGAGATATCAGTTATGATGGTTTGGAGGAAAAGTGTAAACCGGCAGTGTAAACAAGGGCAGGGTATTTACGAGTAGTCGAGAATGGTGAATAGGAGTATGACTAGAGAGAAGATAGTAGGGATGACAAGTTTTTGGGGTGCAGTTCAAGTTGGGCTGGTGTCTGGAATGATACTGGGGCCTAATAAAATGGAACGTCCATACAGGAGCTCAAATGGGCTGTACCCTGTAGCATCCTGAGGACAGGCCTGAATTCTGAGAAGGGCAAGTGGTAAAAGTATTGTCCAGTCCTTTTTAAGTTGGAGGCTGAGCTTGGTGAGGTGTGTTTTTAAAAGACCAATAGTCCATTTTACCTTTCCTGAAGATTGAGAACGGTAAGGGTTATGACGGTTCCACTGAATACCAAGAGCCTGAGAAACTGCTTGGGTGATTTGACTAATAAAAGCTGGTCTGTTATTGGACTGTATAGACGTGGGAAGGCCAAACCAAGGAATTATGTCTGACAGAAGGGAAGAAATGATTGCAGTGGACTTCTCAGACCCTGTGGGAAAGGCCTCTACCCATCCAGTGAAAGTGTCTACCCAGACCAAGAGGTATTTTAGTTTCCTGACTCGGGGCATGTGAGTAAAGTCAATTTGTCAGTCCTGGGCAGGGGCAAAACCCTGAGCTTGATGTGTAGGGAAGGGAGGGGCCCTGAGAAATTCCTGAGGAGTAGTAGAATAGCAGATGGAACACTGAGAAGTGATTTCCTTGAGGATAGATGTTTACGATGGAAAGGAAAAGAGAGGTTTTAAGAGGTGGGCTAGTGGCTTGTAACTTACATGGAAGAGGTTATGAAATGACGACAGAATAGAATGGGCCTGTGAGGATGGAAAGAGATATTTTCCTTGGTCCAAGAACTATTTGCCTTGTGTGGGAGGAGATTGACAAGTGGAAGCTTCACTGGGGGAGTAGGTGGGAGTGACCCACGAGAAGGAGGAAAACTGGCCGTGGACAGAAGTTGGAACACTAGCTGCTTTTTTAGCTACCTTATCTGCATAAGCTTTGCCCCGAGTGATGGGATCTGATGCCTTTTGATGGCCCTTGCAGTGAATGACTCCAGCCTCCTTTGGAAGTAAAGCGACCTTGAGAAGAGTTTTTATCAAAGAGATGTTAATGATGAAGGACCCTTGCTTAGTGAGGAAACCCCATCAGCCTATATAGCAGCATGGTGGTGCAGGATATGGAAGGCACATTTAGAGTCAGTATAAGTATTGATGTGTAGTCCTTTTGCAAGAGTGAGGGCTTGAGTTAAGGCAATGAGTTTGGCTTGCTGAGAGGTAGTGGAGGGGGACAGAGTGGTAGCGTCAATGATAGATGTGGAAGATACTATAGCATAGCCTGCCTTTGCTGGTGAGTGGTGATTAGGCCTGGTGGAACTGCCGTCAATAAACCAAATGTGATCAGGGTGAGGAACAGGAAAGAAGGAAATATGGGGAAATGGAGTGAATGTCAGGTGGATCAGAGAGATACATTCATGGGGGTCAGGTGTGGTATCAGGAATAATGTGGGAGGCCAGATTGAAGTCCAGGCCAGGAACAATGGTAATTGTGGGAGACTCAACAAAGAGTGAGTATAGCTGAAGGAGCCAGGGAGCAGAAAATATATGCATCAGGTGTGAGGAAGAAAATAGATTTTGGAAGTTATGAGAACTGTAGAGAGTGAGTTGAGCATAGTTTGTGATTTTGAGGGCCTCTAAAAGTATTAGGGCAGTGGCAGCCGCCACACAGAGACACGATGGCCAGCCTAAAACAGTAAGGTCAAGTTGTTTGGACAGAAAGGCTACAGGGCGCAGTCCCGGGCTCTTGTGTAAGAATTTTGACCACACAGCCCTGTACGCTGGCTATGTGTAATAAAAAGGGTTGGGATGAGTTAGTGAGAACTAGCATGGGAGCAGCTTCTAGGGCTGTTTTTAAGGAATGGAAAGGGGAGTGGGGAAAGGATTTAGGATCTATGGGGTTAGCTAGTTTTTTTTTTTTTTTTTTTTTTTTTTTTTTTTTGTGAGTTTATATAATGGTTTAGTCAGGATGGTAAAACTAGGTATCTAAAGGCAGAAGTACCTAACCATGCCTAGGAAGGAAAGGAGTTGTTGTTCTGTAGAAAGGGTTGGGGTTTGGGAGATTAGCCGGACACAATCAGCAGGGAGAGAACGTGTGTTTTCATGAAGAATTATGCCAAGATAGGTAACAGATGAGGAAGAAATTTGGGTTTGACTGAAATAATGGGGGCTGTCTGTGAAGCCTTGCGGCAGTACAGCCCAGGTAATTTGCTGAGCCTGATGGGTGTCAGGGTCAGTCCAAGTGAAAGCAGAGAGAGGCTGGGATGAAGGGTGCAAAGGAATAGTAAAGAAAGCATGTTTGAGATCCAGAACAGAATAATGGGTTATAGAGGGGTTGTAGAGGGAGGTATTGAGGATAGGAGAGTATATGGGTTTGGCACCACAGGGTGGATAGGCAAGACAATTTGGTTGATAAGGTGCAGATCCCGAACTAACTTGTAAGGCTTGTCCGGTTTTTGGACAGGTAAAATTGGGTATTGTAAGGAGAGTTTATAGGCTTTAAAAAGCCATGTTGTAACAGGCAAGTGGTAATGGGCTTTAATCCTTTTAAAGCGTGCTGTGGGATGGGATGTTGGCATTGAGTGGGGTAAGGGTGATTTGGTTTTAATGGGATACTAAGGGGTGCATGATTGGTCACCAAGGAGGGAGTAGAGTGTCTTATACTTGTGGATTAAGGTGGGGAGATACAAGGGGAGGATGCAAAGGAGGCTTTGAACTGGGGAAAAGGGCAGCAATGAGATGAGGCTGTAGCCTAGGCATAGTCAGGGAAGTAGATAATTTAGTTAAAATGTCTTGACCTAATAAGGGAGCTGGGAAGGTGGGGATAACTAAAAAGGAGTGCATAAAAGAATGTTGTCCAAGTTGGCACCAGAGTGGGGGAGTTTTAAGGGGTTTTGAAGCCTGGCCATCAATACCCACAACAGTTATGGAGGCAAGGGAAATAGGCCCTTGAAAAGAATGCAATGTAGAGTGGGTAGCCTCCATACTGATCAAGAAGGGGGTGGACTTACCCTCCACTGTTAAGATTTACCCAAAGCATCTGTTATGGTCCAGGAGGCTTCCAAGGAGATCAGGCAGGGTCAGTCATCAGCCGCTAAGCTGAGAAGATGTGGGAAGGAGTCAGTTAGAGAACCTTGGGCTGGAGCTTTAGGGGCTCTAGGAGTGGCTGCTAGGCAAGCTGGACAGTCTGATTTCCAGTGGGTCTCTGCATGGGTGGGACATGGCACAGGAGGAATCCCGGGCTGCAGACATTCCTTGGCCCAGTGGCCAGATTTCTGGCACTTGAAGCAAGGTCCTAATGGAGGAGGTCCTGTAGGAATGCTTGACCATTGTGGCTTAGGCATGTGTGGCTTAGGCATTTTAAAATTCTTGTGTGCTGGAGATGTGGCTGGGGTTTCTCTCACAGTGGAGGCAAGGAATTGCAGTCTCAGAAATATGTTGCTACTTGGCTGTCTCTACTCTATTATTGTACACCTTGAAGGCGAGGTTAATTAAGTCCTGTTGTGGGGTTTGAGGGCCAAAATCTAATTTTTGGAGCTTTATTTAATGTCAGGAGAAGATTAGGTAATAAAATGCATATTGAGAATAAGACAGCTTTCTGACCCTTCAGGATCTAGGGCTGTAAAGCGTCTCGGGGTTGCTGCCAAACAAGCCATGAACTGGGCTGGGTTTTTATATTTGATGAAAAAGAGCCTAAATGCTAACTGATTTGGGAGAGGTTGGATAAATAAAAAGGGGCATTAACCTTGACTATGCCTTTAGCTCCAGCCACCTTTTTAAGAGGAAATTGTTGGGCAGGTTGGGGAAAGCTAGTCGCGGAATGAAACTATAAGACGTAAGCTGGACTGGGTGTGAGGAGGGGAGGTGATAGAAGGATTATAGGGTTGGGGAGCAGAGGCTGAGGAGGAATTGGAGCCTGATTCGGCCTGGCAGGGAGTGACCTGAGGAGGAACAGTCTGGGGAGGAGGGGAGAGGTCAGATGGGTCAGTAGAAAAGGAAGATTGAAAAGACTCAGTGACGCTTGGGGTTGGGACTGAGGGGACAGGCAGGAGGGAAAGAAGGAGGATTTGAGACAAGTCACATTGGAAATAGAGACTAGGGAGGGACCCACGTGTAAAAGAATGCCTGGACGTCAGGCATTTGCCCATTTTACAAAAAGAATTATATAGATCTTGTAGGATGGAAAAATCGAAAGTGCCATTTTCTGGCTATTTGGAACCATTGTGGAGTTTGTATTGGGGTTAAGTGGTATTGCAGAAGAAAATAAGGGGTTTAGGTTTTAGGTCAGATGTGAGTTGAAGAGGTTTTAAGTTCTCGAGAACACAGGCTAAGGGAGAAGGAGGAGGAATGGAGGGTGGAAGTTTTCCTATAGGGAAGGAGGCAAGCCCAGAGAAAAGAGAGGATAGAGACACGGAGAGAAGGGGTAGGGGGTGATTGACCCCCAGGAAAGTGGTGCTTGCCACTAAAGGTGAAGGATCAAGGCAGGCTTCCCCATGGTGATCAGACACCTCTGAAACATGGGTGAGTAATCAAGCAGGTGTTCCCGCAGTGATTAAACTCCAAGGGAAGACTGTTTTCCTGAGTCCGTGACTGGCGCCAGAGTTTTGGGTTCACGGATAAAACGTGTCTCCTCTGTCTCTACCAGAAAAGGAAAGGAATTGAAATTAAGAGAAGAGAGAGATTGAAGGATGGTGCCAAGATTGAAAGTAGAAAGAGGTTTGAGGGATAGTGAGAGAGGCTGGAGAAGAGAGTAAAAAGAGGCCGCTTACCCGATTTAACATTGGTGAGATGTTTCTTGGGCTGGTTGGTCTGAGGACCCAAGGTTGTAGGTGGATCTTTCTCATGGAGCAAAGAGTGGGAGGACAGGGGATCGATCTCTCAAGGGAGGTCCCCTGCCCAAATGTCACGTGCGTCCATGTGAAGAGACCACCAAACAGACTTTGTGTGAGCAACAAGGCTGTTTATTTCACCTGGGTGCAGGCAGGCTGAGTCTGAAAAGAGAGTCAGCAAACGGAGATAGGGGTGGGGCTGTTTTATAGGATTTGGGTAGGTGGTGGAAAATCACAGTCAAAGGGGGTTGTTCTCTGGTGGGCAGGGGTGGGGGTGACAAGGTGCTCAGTGGGGGAGCTTCTGAGCCGGGAGAAGGAATTTCCCAAGGTTAATGGCTCAGTTACGGTGTGGCAGGAACAAATCACAATGGTGGAATGTCATGAGTTAAGGCAGGAACCGGCCATTTTCACTTCTTTTGTGATTCTTCACTTGCTTCAGGTCATCTGGATGTATATGTGCAGGTCACAGGGGATACGATGGCTTAGCTTGGGCTCAGAGGCCTGACAAAAGCTTCTCTTCTTTTGGGGCTCTTGCCATCTGGTTACCACCTTCCACCATCCTCCCTTGCTGTTGTTCACCAACACCCCAGTCACTCCACATTTATCAAGAACCTTAGCCCTCAGATCATTTTCTTTCTCACCACCATTTTCCAGGCCAATTTCAATATCAATGCAGACATCCAACAAACTTGCTTCACAGTTCCCTGATCGCTTCACTTCCAGCACCAGCACACCAGGTCTCTCTCACCATATGCATCAGGGCCTCACCCTGGACTTTATCAGTGCCTTAGTTTTCTTTCCTGGATTCTTAAACTTTTGGTAGTGCCTTCCTTATCCTCCCCACATTTCTCCCACTGTCTTATTTCCAGCACTCCAGTTATTTGACCACATCAAGGCCACCAACATTTTTACTGTTTACATTCTGTCCTTCTGCCCATTCTTGTCTTCTTTCCTTGACCTGAGAATGCCTAAACCGCATGGCTTGTGAATCCATTTACTTGAGCCTGGGTGCACCTGTTGTAGCACCCGCCGAGAAAAATGCAAAGCTTAGCTCAATCCAGACCTTTCCTATACTCTTACACCTGAGAAGCTTGGCATACCTGGCAAGAAGGAACAAATGGGTGTGATGGCATACCCATGGTCTCCAACTCGATCCAAACCCTTATTGCTGCTCTGTAATCGTTCTCTTCTCCAGCCTCACTGTAATTACTTGAAACTTCTACCACTCTCAACTGTCCTGACTTGCTTTGTTACTGATTAGTTTCAACAGATGATTGAAATTTTAATTCACAAGGAAACATATATATATGTTTCCTTATGAATTAAATATGTATATTCTCCTATTGAGAGAGAGGAGAGGAGATTTATTATGGGAATTTATTAGCTCACAAGATTTTAGAGGCTGAGAAGTCCCACAGTGTAGCTAATGGTATCATTCAGTCTGAGTTCAAGGCCAGAGAACTAGGAGAGCCCATAGTGTAACTCCCAGGCCAAAGTCAAAGGCCTGAAAACTGAGTGGGGGCAGGGATGCTGGTGTAAGTCCTGCAGTCTGAAGGTCCAAGAGCCAGGAGCTCCCACCAGTGCCCAAGGGTGGGACAAGGTGGGTGCCGGGTTCAAGCAGAGGGAGCAAATTTGCCCCTCCTCTGCCTTTCTGTTCTCTTCAGGCCCTCATTGGATTGGATTATGACCGCCCATGTTGAGTGAGGGTGGGTCTTCTTTACTCACTCCACTGATTTCAATGCTAATCTCTTCTGGAAAGGCCATCACAGATACACCCAAAAATAGTATTTTACCGGCTATCTGGGCCTCCCCTAACTCGATCAAGTTGACACCTAAAATTAACCATCACACTTGTATATACTGAGTCACCTGACCCATCAAGGACCCTCTTCTCCTCTGCGGTCAGCCTCACCTTTTCAGTGTGTTAACACATTCAAACTCCTCTCAGACAGAAAACAGAGACCTTTTCCGATTCTGTTTTCTACTCCAGCTACTTCTCTCTGGTCTCTTCCTTTCATACAAAGTGTCCACAAAGAAAGTAGCATGCACTGTTAGCCTCCACTTCCTCACCTTCTTCTATATTTAATCAATTATTGATTTTAAAATAGATAATCCACATAAAATATGTGTATATAAGATATAAATGATATTTAAAATATATGTGCTGCTTAGCTTAAGATTAGCAATGCCTTTAAAATAAATTTGTATTCCTCTTCCCAACTCCTCCTTCACATAAGGGCAATCAAATTTTTGCTTTTCTCTTGTTTCTTTATAATTTATACATAACTAAACAATATACGGTTCAGTTTTGCATGTTTTGATTTTCTGTAAATTCTATCATCTTGTTAGTTTGTTTCTGTGGCTTGTTTTGTTTGTTGCTTTTGCTCACAATAGCTCTGTGAGCTTTCTAATGATAAACAGAGCAGCTGTGGCTTATGACTTATATTATCTGAATAGATTATAAATGAACTTTGTTGTTCTCAGTTGCTATTATTACATTGAACCACATGAAACTGCAGTTTTTGTAGTTTCACAGCAGTTTAATATGGTTTAATCTTTACAAACAATACGCTGCAAACATTCTTGTCTGTGTCTCTTTATGCCATGTGTGAACGTTTTTCTAGGCTAGGGGTGAAATTCATAGTTCCAACAGGATGGGCATCTCCATATTTACTGCATCGTGTCAAATTCTTTTCAAAAACTATTATACAAATCTATATCCCCACCATTAAAGTATAAATGATCCCACTGTTTTACACTTTCAACACATGGTATTTTTCCCTCTGAAAAAATTGCAAAACTGAGAGATATAAAGTTATTCTTGGTTATATTTTTAATTTTAGTTTCCCTGTTTCGTGATGAGGTTAACTGTGTTTTCACATTTTAATTGGCCACTTGTATTTTCTCTTCCATTCATATTTGTGCCATTTTCTGTTTAAAAATTGTTTAGTAGGAGTTATTGACAAGTTCTGAATAGTAAATTTTTTCAGTGATACAGATTGTAAGTACATCTTTTCACTTGTGGCGTGTATTTACCCCCTCATTTAAAAAAATTATTTTAATTTCTGGGATACATGTGCAGAACATGCAGGTTTGTTACATAGGTATACACGTGCCATGGTGGTTTATTGCACTCATCAACCCATCATCTAGGTTTTAAGCCCTGCATGCATTAGATATTTGTCCTAATGCTCTCCCTCCCTACCCCCTCAATTTTTAGTGTGTTTTGACTAGAAGTTCTTAATATTAATGGAGTCAAATTCATCAACTCATTTTTTTTTCTTTTTTTGCTTGTTAAATCCTTTCCTACTTGATAGTCATAAAGATATTTTCCTACTTTGCCATCTAAACTTTTTGAAATTTGACTTTTACATTGAATTGTTTAATTCATTTAGAACAGATTTTTGTATGAGATGCAATACTGCATCTGTCATATATTGTTTCTCCATAAGCATTGTCTATTTCTGGGCTCTCTCTTCACTTCTACTGGTCTATTTGTGTATTTCTGCACTAAAGAAGCCATGATATCTGCTAGGGTAAGTTGTTACACTTCATTTTTTATGTCTTGACTCATTACCACTTCTACCCAAATCTTTAAATCACTCTCAAATTTCAAGGAAAATTCAGTTTAGGTTTCTGGAAGAAATTTCATTGACCCTATATATTAATTTGGGGATAATTGGCATATTTAAAATATTACATTGTGTATCTCTCAATTTAGATCTTTTAAAATATATTTCAAAATGTAAAAATTTCTCCATGAAATGATTGATCATCTCTTGTTAAATTAATCCCTAATTATCTATGTTTGGTTCTACAAATGACATTTTCTGTTTGTTAACTTTTGTGTATTGATCTTATATCATCACTTAGTCACTTAGCTAAGCTCTTTTATACATTTGAGTAATCTGTCTGTAGCCTTCTTTGGTTTTTCTATGTAAACAATAATATCTTCTACGAATAATGAGAATTTTGTTTATTCTTTTCTTATTCTTTCTTTTTTTATGTGGTTTCTGCCATCCTTAGTTCAATGTTGAATATGCATGGTAATAGTGGGCATCCTTCTTTTGTTCCTTCCTTTAAAGAAAATGATTTTACCACCTCTCCAATGAATATGATATCTCCTTTGAGAATTTTGTATTTACTCTTTTGCCAGTTATGAGAATTTCCTTCTATTCCACGTTCACTGAGAGTTTCTAATGTGAATGAATATTGACTTTCATCTGCAAAAAGAGATGATTTTATAAGTTGTCATTATTTTGTTAATTTATGTTAATAGTTTTGATGCTAATTAGCCTTTTATTTTTTGGATAAAGTCAATTTAGTAATTTGTGTGTGTGTTTAATGCATTGCTACATTTAGATTGCTAATATTTTGTATTGGATTTTGGAATCAAGATAACAATCATGGCCTCATTAAACAACTTAAAGAGGAACGTGTCTTTTTTTTTTTTATTTTCTGGAAGAGTTTATGTTAAATTGGAATATTTGCTCATTAAATATATTTAGCAGAATTTATTATAAAACTGTGGACTTCAGTTTTATGTGAAAAGATAGTTTAACTTCAATGTTTAACTAATTTCAATGATTCAGGACTGCACAGGTTTTCTAATTCTTTCATAAGTCAATTTTTGCAAAATATAACTTTCTAGAAATGTGCCCATTTTATCCAAGTTGTCATTATAATTAAAAGTTGTCTATAACATTCTGCTATCATTCTAGTCCTTCTGAAGTTGTTTTCTTGTGATTTGCCGATATTGTATCTATCCCTTTTTTCTTAATTTGTCAGAGACATCTAGATTTTAACTGCTTCAAAGAACAGAGGTAGTTTCATTAATTTTCCATATTCTTATGTTTTGTTAATTTTTGCTTTTATTTTTGTTATCTTCTTTTTCTGCTTTCTGGATTTATTTTTTCAATATTATTCTAAATCATTGATGATTACTTTATTAATTTTCATCCCTTCTGAAAGTCTATAAACTTCTCTCTGCACTATTTTATCTGTATTCCATGTTTTGATATATAGAATTTTTCATAATTGTTTAGTTCTAACGTTTTCTAATATCCATTTGAATGCTATTTTGATGTATTATTTAGAAGTTTGTTTTTAAATTTCTAAATATATGAGCTTTTTCATAATGTTTTCATCACTGGTTTTAAACTTTATTGTGATTAGAGAACGTGGCCCACATATTATGAAATATTTCTTTCATATTGGTTAACACTAGTTTTATAGTTTATTATGTGGCTCTTATATACTTATATGGTCAGTGTCACATGTGCTTAATTCTGTTGTCTCTAATTGTTTCATGCTTTATTCTACGTACAGCAATTAGTTCAAGTATGTTGTGGTCTTAACATTTTTTATGTATTACTGTTTTTTTGTGAGAAGATACGTTTTTGATTTTGTCTATTTAACTTCTGAATTGCCAAGCACTGTGTCTCAAAAGCACACACGATGATTCAGGAATCTCTGCTAATATTTACTATATACAATTTTGAATTGTGAAATTTGGTAGATGGTAATTTAGAGAGTTACTCTGTCATTATGTAGTCATCCTCTAACTCGAATTATGCTTTTTTACTTGAAGGTCTATTTTATCTGATAATAATATAGCCACAATATATTTTTTTACCCTTTTATTTAAAAATGTTTTGTGTCTTTAAGATTGCTGATGTATTTTGATTAATTCCTACCATCTTATTTTGTACTTTCCTTTCCAGCTTAATACAGTTTATAATTAATCTGTGTCTATTTGCACTTCCTACAAGGACTTTAGCATGCTTTAACTCTGAGCATGACCTTTCTGACTTAGTCTTGTTTTTGTTTCTCCAATTTCTCTGCGGTGAGCACGCCCTAAAGTGACCTCCTATGAGTCACGCCCTTGCACAATTTTCTCTGCTTAAGTGCGGACAGAACCTGTGCCCTGCTTCTAACCAATGAAATACGGCAAAGACAATGGGACATCACTCCCTTAAGTTATTTTATATGATAGAAGTGATAGGATGCCACTTTAATAATTACTTATCATATACATCCTGGAGAGAAATCCTTTTGGTGGCTTGAAGAAAATAGCTGTCATACTGTGAGAAGGTCTATGGGATGGGGTGGCCTGCCTGCAGCTGACAGCTAGCAAAAAGTCTGGGCCCTCAGTGTAGAGCTTAAAGGAAATTAATTCTGCTAACAACCTGAATGAGCTTGGAAGTGGATTCTTCCTCAGTGGCCATCCAGGTGAGAACACAGGCTGTGAGACCAGATCAGGGAACCCAATTAAACTGTGCCCAGACTCATGACACATGGAAACTTAAGGTCAATAAATTTGTATTGTTTTAAGCCACTAAATTTGTGGTACTTTGTTACACAGCAATAAAAAATTAATATACTCTAAAATTAGACATTATTATTGAGTATTATATTTAACATTTGTTTAGATTTACTCACATTTACCACTTTATTTTCGCTCACCCTTTCTTCTTGAACTCAGTTTTTCTGAAAGCATTTTCCTTATTTCTGAAATATATATTTTAGAAGCTCCTGTAGGGAAAAGATGTTTGTGAGGACTCTCTTGATCTTTTTTAATCTAAAAATGACATACAATTTTACAATTCTAGATATGTAGCTATAAGCATTTTTTCATGGATTTAATATGATCTCACAGTTTACTGGTTTCCATTGTTGTTGTTTAGAATTCAGCTATCACTGTAAATATTTCTTTGGAGGCAATGTTTTTCTCTCTGGATTTTTAAAAGTTCTTTTTCACTGGTGTTCTACAGTTCAGTGAAGACTGGGATTTGTTTTGCTTTCTAAATCTGAAGATTCATGTCATCTGGAATTCTGGAATTGCTCAGACATTTTCCCTCTGAAATTATCTCTCTTTCATTTCTCTGATATTTCTTTGTGGAATTCTGATTTGGATATATGTTGTATCTTACAAATATTTTTTATGTCTCTCTACTGCTTTTATACTCCCTCTGTTTCTCTGTGTTCTGTTAGAGCCAACTACTTCAGCTTTATAGTCTAGGTTTGTCATTCTATCTTCAGTCATGTCTAATAGGCTAAGCAGTATACCTATTGAATTTTTAATTTTAAGTACTGTAATTTTCATTTCTGAATGTCCTATTTTTAGTTTTTATTAGAACTGCCTAGTCATCTTTATAGTCACTTCTTCCTCATTCATGTATGTGACTTTCTTTTCCAACTTTATTCTTTTTCTTTAACTTTAAATACCAGTTTTGTAGTATAAATGTAACTAGTTCATTATCTAGGGCTGATTCTCTTGTTTATTGTTTCTACTGAAATTGACTCCTATTTCTTCTTTCATTTTGTAATTTTAGATTCTGGGATAATGTTGGGACTTTATAAATGGAAGTTCTTTGAGGTTGACAGTTGATTCATCTAGAGAAAATTATTTGCTTCTGTCAGGCAGTTAAGGAAGCTTCAAATCTAGGGTGGCAGGAGTCTTTTTCAGACAATGCAGTCGGTGAGATAGGGAATCCTGTATTAGTCAGAATTGTACAGAGATTAATAGGATGGATGGGTGGATGGATGGATAGATATATAAGAGAGATTTATTAGGAGAATTGGCTTACACAATTATGAAATCTGAGAAGGTCATCTGCAAGACGGAGAACCGGAAAAGCTGATGGTATGACTCTCAGCACAAGGTCAAAAGCCTGAGAACCCAGGAACTGCTGGTGCAAGTGCCTGAGTCCAATGGCTGGAGAACCTGGAGTTCTAATGTCCAAGAGCAGGAGAAGAAGGGTATCTCAGCTTGAAGGAGGAGAACAAATTTGCTTTTCCTTTGCATTTTCATTCTATTCTAGTCCTCAGCTGATGGGATGGTGCCCATCCACACTGAAGGCAGATTTTCCTTACTCAGTCCACTGATTCAAATGCCGATTTCTTCCAGAAAACCCTCACAGATGCACCCAGAAATAATGCTTTACCAGCTATCTAAGTATCCCTCAATCCAGTCAAATTAACACACAAAATTAACCATCACAGACCCTAACCTAGGGCCATTTGAGGACTAGCTCCGACTTATAAATTCTCACAAGATGCTCAAAAAATTCACCAGTTTTATTTGTTTCTTCATTCAGGGCAGGTTGTTTTTAATTTTTATTTTTTTCCTAATTTGCAGTTTCACTGAAGATGTAATTCATTATGGGTTCCAGAATTTGAATCTAACTCTCCCATTGTGCCGACCTGAGTTGATCTGTGTCACAACTGAAGCCCCAGGCCCCTGGAATTCATAGATGATTTCACTGCTTACAATTCTCTGAATTGGTCCTTCCCAGAACATTTAGCCTCTGATAACTCCAATGGTTTCCCTTACTCTTTCCAACACAGGCATGCATTTAAATGTGTTTTTCATTTTGTATCTACTACTTTTAGGTGCTTTGTAGCAGGATAGATTTTCAGGATATTTACTCTGCCAATACTGTTGGAAAAGGAAGTCTCTGTCTACTCTTCACCTTCCTGTAACCCCGTTTTGCCCCTAGCATTTTACAGATTCTATTCCTGCTAAGGTCACCAGTGACATCATAATTCCTAAATAAATACTCATCAGACCTTTTCTCACTCGGTAGCTTTCGAAACCTTCGTCCACTCTTTCCATGAATCACCCTTCTCCCTTGTATTATCTCATAATATTACACAGGCATGCATACACACACACACGTGCGCGCACACACACACCACACAAACCTTGGCATTTGCCGTTATGAGCTCTTAGGATATTATTTTCACACTGCCCTTCTTTCTAAAAAGGTCTACTAAGAAACATTAAAACAAAGAAATTTTCCTAATCCTCTATCCAATGAGATCCTGAACATACATCTTAATACCGCTGTCGCTTATTGCAAGAACCATTTGTCTCTCAAGTCTGCTCTGCCATTAATCTATTTTTTCATTAAAATTTATTTTTATTTTTTATTTTTAGATATGGGGTCCCACTGTGTTGCCCAGGCTTGCCTCAAACTCCTGGACTCAAGCAATCCTTCTGCCTTGGCCTCCCAAAGTGCTGTGACTATAGGTGTGAGCCACTTCACCCAGCCTTCCCTTTTTATCTTGAATAATATTCCTTGCCTTAAATTCTATTTTGTTTCATATTGGTTGCATGTTATACATTTTCCATTCTTTTACTTTTCTATATTCTTCTATATAAGGAAAATCTCTTGAAAGTAGCATATTTTTTTTTTTTCCAATCTGGCGATCTTTAGCTTTTAATTAGAGTACTTACTTTGCTGACATTTCATGTAATTACAAATATATTTGGGTTTAAATCTATCATCTTACTACCTTTTTTTAAATTATACTTTAAGTTCTGGGGTACATGTGCAGAATGTGCAGGTTACATAGGTATACATAGGTATACACGTGCCATGGTGATTTGCTGCACCCATCTACCCTAATACCTATGTCATCTACATTAGGTATTTCTCTAATGCTATCCCTCCCCTAGCCCCCAGCCCCCGACAGGCCCCGGTGTGTGATGTTCCCCTCCCTGTGTCCATGTATTCTCATTGTTCAGCTCCCACTTATAAGTGAGAACATGCGGTGTTTAGTTTTCTGTTCTTGTTTTAGTTTGCTGAGAACGATGGTTTCCAGCTTCATCCGTGTCCTTGCAAAGGACATGAATCCAGCAGCACACCAAAAAGCGTATCCACCACAATCAAGTCAGCTTCATCCCTGGGATGCAAGGCTGGCTCAACATATGCACATCAATAAACGTAATCCATCACATAAACAGAACCAATGACAAAAGCCACATGATTATCCCAATAGATGCAGAAAAGGCCTTCAATAAAATTCAACACCCCTTCATGGTAAAAACTCTCAATAAACTAGGTATTGATAGAACATATCTCAAAATAAGAGCTGTTTATGACAAACCCGCAGCCAGTATCATACTGAATGGGCAAAAACTGGAAGCATTCCCTTTGAAAACTGGCACAAGAAAAGGATGCCCTCTCTCACCACTCCTAGTCAACATAGTATTGGAAGTTCTGGCCGGGGCAATCAGCCAAGGGAAAGAAATAAAGGGTATTCAAGTAGGAAGAGAGGAAGTCAAATTGTCTCTGTTTGCAGATGACATTAATCTATTTTTAAAAAGGGGTGCCAGCCCCTCTTAGAAGTTTGCCTGTTGCTTAAAATCCTATCCATTACTGATTTTATTACACTCCTGCTTCAAATTTGATTCATTTGCTTATAATTACTGGCGAATAAATGGCTAGGTGCCACTTTCAACGGCAAGCTTACAGTTCTGTAGAAGCTATAAAAGTCAACTTCAGAACAGCTGCCGTAGGATGGCTTGGGTTGGGAGGTTCTAGAGCTATAAGTCACTTCACCACCAGAATGCCAGATCAAGGGTCTGCTTTTTAGTTGCACCCAACAGACAGGAAGCAGGCTTATCAGTGACTCTTTAGCAATGGCTAATAAAGAAGATAGCTTAGATGTGGAATCTCAAACAGCTGAATTCACAGTAGCAGAGAGTAGAATGGTGGTTATTAGGGGAAGGGGCTGGGAGAGAAGAAAGGGAAGGTGCTGGTCAAAGTGTATAAAATTTTAGGTATGTAGGGTGAATACATTCTAGAGATCTAATGTATAGCATAGTGACCATAGTTAGTAATACTATATTATATACATGAAATTTGATAGGAGAGTATATCTCAAGTATTCTCACCACACACATACACAAGGTAACTACCTGAGAAGATGGGTATGTTAATTAGCTAACGATAGCAGTCATTTAACTCTCTATATTAAAACATCCTGCTGTATACCTTAAATATATTCACTTTTTTTGAAACAGGGTCTCACTGTGCCACCCAGGCTAGAGTGCAATGGCACGATCAAAGCTCACTGTAGCCGTTATTTCCCAGGCTCAAGAGATTTCCCACCTCAGCGCTCCCAAGTAGCTGGGACCAAAGGCGTGCGCCACCACATTTGAGTTTTTTTTTTTTTTTTTTTTTTTTAAGTGGAGATGAAGTCTCGCTATGTTGCCCAGACTGGTCTCAAATTCCTGAGTTGAAGTGATCTTCTTGCCTCAGTCTCCCAAAGTGTTGGGATTACAGGCATGAGCCACCACACTTGGCCTGAAAATATTTTGAAAACTTTAAAAATAAAAAAAAAGAAGATAGCTTGGGGCCACCCTGAATATCGTTATGAGACTCACCTCTGTATGTTTTATAGTAAAATATTATTCATTTTACTCATAAATCATGTTCAAGTGATATTTGAGTGGAAATGTTTTTCTTTCAGCAAATTCAGAGGTAATATCAAGGAGCATGATCTGGAGAAGGCAGCGTGGGTCAAATACTAAAATCTGGACTTACTGTCTCAGCAGTTGGCAAGCAACCAAGGTGAAGCTAGTGCTGTGGAAAGTCCCCAAAGGACCAGAGCAGATATACTCAGTGTCCTTTACCTCTACAGCTCCGCATTTTCAAACTCCCCCACTTGTCCTTCAGTCCATCCTCTAAATACTGTTCTTTCTCAGCTTGTGTTCTCACTCATCATCTCTTCTCATGCCACCTGACCTCCTTATGTGAGGTTCTTGGCATCAGTCATCAGATTTACCCTGACAACTCCCACGGATACATGATTAGCTCTGATATCCACCGGGGTTTAAAGAACTGTTGCAAATTCTTCCTGATTACCTCCTCTTAAAGGCACCTCAAATTCAATGTGACTGAAACGGAGCTCTTCCCCTGTATATCAGCTGTCAGTTCTCATTGCTTCAGCACCTAGTAAATTCTCTCACCAGCTCACTCCTTTCAGACTACTCCATAAAATCAAGAAAAGCCTAAAATGGCCAAAAACTAACCTATCCTGCATAATCATCGCTTGTAATTTTGCCCACAACTTCAGTAGTTTGACGTAAAAGATGTTCCATTCTTTACCACTGAGTAAAGAAGTTAAAAATGTTCCGTAATTTCGAATTCCTCTTTGTTCTAAGACTTTACTCTCACCTCCGGGTTCACAGCTAAGCTCCCCCATGACTGATACCGCTGAAAGTCTTGTTTCAACAAAACATTCATGTATATGTAAAAAATAAATCATCTGACAAATTGAGAATTGCTCAATTTGAAAAACAGATTCAGTGATAAAGACAGAGGTCAATATTAAACCTATGAGTAAGGTAAAGAAATGGGCGGGAAGAAAAATAACCCCAAATCGTTGACTTCCCAGAACCCAGAGGCTAATAGGACTCTCACTTCCTGCTTGAGGTGAAAGCAAGCAAAGGCACCTCTGTTCCTATCTTGTCTTGGTCAAAAGATAAATATGAATTATTATTCTTTTCTTTTTTCATCAGTAAAGAACTTTCCATCACCCTTTTGGCAACTTTCTGCACCAGCCACTTCCCCCTCATAACTCCAGTCAACCGTTCTCACATCTGAGAAAAATAGGTGGAGGATATTTCCAGGAGCCTCTGTTGCTGAGGTTGCCCACAGTCAGGTAAAAGTGGGAGAAATTTCTGAACCACCAAAAACCTGTTCCTGAGAGACAGAAGTAGAAAAAACTTACACATATTTTTAAAAAAGAGAAGTTGAGGTGTAGGGGGATGGTGACTCAATAAAACTTCCTCCCATGATAAAATAAAGTAAAATAAAATAAAGTGAAAGTGTCTGCCACTACATTCTCAGAAGCCAAGCGTAGTCTTTTTATAGCCACCTCAGGGAGTATCTTCAGGATCTCCAAGCATTTAGATATTCCCAACTTCCACATATTTAGCACCTGGGGTGACAGGAAGGGTGTGTTCAACTCCATTAGCAGTATCCTTTGGAAAGGAAGCTGGGTGCACTCTTTCAGAACTGCTTAACATTTCCCTTTTAAAAAGATAGATCGGTAGAATTTAGTGAATTTTCCATATAGCTTAATTTCAATTCCATGTAAGAGCAAAATAACAAAATGGTCATATTTCTTTTATATTTGCTTTCTTCTTTTCTGAGCAGTTGGTGAGAGAGAGGTTGGTTTCTGGGAAGGTGATAATTTGGAGTCTTATTTTTTTTCTGCCCATTTCATATTATAGATTTAATATTGGCTCTGGATCATTGAATGTATTCTTCAAACTGAATGATGCTAGTGAGATGACTTCATTTATACATACATTGATACTTTATTTAAAGGCTCATGTTTTGTTAAGTTCTGTCTTAGGAGAAAATGACCCATGCTTTAAATAGTAGTACGTATGCTTCAGGAAAAAACATATGGTCATCACAATCTCACCATCTACTCTACCTGCTGAGATGGATGTTGGTTTAGGCATCCAGGTTCAAGCTCTGATTTCTATGTTTCTCAAATTTTGTTGTGTAGATGTTACATAATAGATGAAAGGGAGAAAAAGACTTCAAATTAGTCCACTGTGACTTGATTGCTTTGGACTGGAAAGGGCAGAGGGTCAGTAAATAAACAGAAGAGCTGCTTCTGTGCAAAGAGAAAGAGGACAGAAGCCAATGTGGGCTGCACTAAGAGTGAGCTTGAGTCAAACTGAGCAAAGGGAAGGCAACTCCTTTTCTGGTGAGACAATTATAGGAGTCTCAGGGAAAGAAGATTTTAGGAAGTATTTCTCTGCATCAGAAGTAGAATGTTCCTCTAGAATTTTTCAGGACACCTCATTAGAGATTTAAATTGCTTTCAGTTGCTGTTTGTGGGTATTGTACTGTCTCTTCGATTGCTGTAGGATACTGAGGTGGGCTCTAAAGGAGTAGCAAAAGCTCTGCCTGTTTATGGCTCAGTCCCATCGCAGTGGGATTACATTCTCCTTAAGAACTCAAGACACTTGAAAGTCACGTCAACATTTTAGGCCCTGCCTGTACTGAGTTAAATAATTTATTTCAACATAATTTGTTACTTTCGTTGTTATTATACTCGTATTTATTATTAAGTGATTATAATGTAGAAGGAATTGTGCTAAGTGTTATGCATGAGGTAATTTGATTAATCCTTCTACAATCTGAGGCTGGTGCTATTTTTATCCCCATTTAAAGACTGAGGACACTGAGACACAGATTTGACAGTCTGGCCAGTCCTACAGCAAATACGTGCCTATGCCAGGGTTCAAATGGAAGATGCCTGACCTCTAAGTCTAAGATTTTAGGCTTTGACTCAAAGGATCTGCTCAGCTTATGTGCAGAACTCCTAAAAATGAAACCATAGAGACAATTTTGAATTTAGAGTTATAAAACTCACACTTAGGTTTTTAAAAGCACAGTCATGAATAATATATCCTAAAATCCTGTCTTTAAATGGACTGGACTAGTTTTTCACAGGGAAAGTGATATTACTGTCCTCTGGGGGAAAAGTGATACTTTGATCTCATCACTAGAACTTCCTCCTAAAAGGATATGTCCAGAAAGGAATTAGAAGTTGAAAATGTTTCCTTTTACCTTAAGACTATTCCATACACCCTTCTAATTAAATAGGATGATTTTATGTTAAAAGGTTTGCTTATTCTCATCTCTTCCCAAATCTAAGAGATCCAGAAGACAATCTGGAGTCTGACACCGAGCCTCCCTGTCATTCATCATCTTTGAAAGTCACGTGTTGTGAAATGTGTATCAGTTACCCTCAAGATACAAGGAAATGGTTCAAAGAGACAGAAGGAGTTCTATTTTTCAGTTTCTCTTTTTGCAGCTTCAAAATTTGGCTTTTGGATTCCTGCAGGTAGATTTTGAAAACAATATGTTCTTCCAGGGGGCTAAGAAAATGAACGAATATGTGGGGAAAAAAAAGGGTGTTTCCTTTTTTTTTTAGATTTCAAAGTAACTAGTTTTCTTTCCATTCGTGAATGCATACATATATACATACACACATGTGCACACACACACACTCTCCAACTTCTACTCTGCCCTCCCCACAATGATATATAAATGCATACACAAATACACACACACACACACACACACACACAGTTGACCCTTAACCAACATGGTTGGAACTGTTTGAGTCCACTTATAAGTAGGTTTTCTTCCATCTTTGCCACTCTGGAGACAATAAGACCAACCCCTCCTCTTCCTCCTCCTCAGCCTACTCAACATGAAGATGAAGAGCATGAAGACCTTTATGATGATCCACTTCCATTTAGTGAATGGTAAATATATTTTCTCCTCCTTATATTCTTAATGTTTTCTTTTCTCTAGCTTACTTTATTGTAAGAATACAGTTTATAATACATATAACAGACAAAATATGTGTTAATTGACTATTTACATTATTGGTAAGGAGTCAACAGTAGGCTATTGGTAGTTAAGGTTTTGAGGAGTCAAAATTTATATGTGGGGCCAGGCATGGTGGCTCATTCCTGTAATCTCAGCACTTTGGGAGGCTGAGTTGGAAGGATCACTTGAGCTCAGGAGTTCAAGACCAGCCTGGGCAACATGGTGAAGCCCCCTCTCTACAAAAAACAAAAATTAGCCAGGTGTGTTGGTACACGTCTGGTCCCAGCTACTTGAGGGGCTAAAGTGGGAGGATGGCTTGAGCCCGGGAACCGAGGTTGCAGGGAGCCGAGATGGCACCAATGCACTCCAGCCTGGGCGACAGAGCAAGACACTGTCCTTAAAAAAACAAAAACCAGTTATATATGGATTTTTGACTGCTTAGAGGGTTGGTCCCCCTCGTTCCCCCACCGCTGTTGTTCAAGGGTCAACTGTATATCATTATAAATATATACATACACACTCAGTTACATACACAGTCAGATATTATGAAACATTTTTTCTTTTGTCAGTATTCTTCTTAATACTCTAAAGCCTTAAACAACACTAGAGATAACTTCCAAATTATAAACTACTTCTAGCAGTTCTGGCTGCCCAAGAATGTGAAGTTCTGGAAAGTCTCTCAGTGGATGCCACAACAGGGATAAAAACTCTACTTTGAACAACTGCCTTTCCAAAAATATTCCTACACATATTATTGACAGGATTACCTGGCAGCAAGTAAGGGGATGAAATGGTGATGCAACCTGTTTTACCCAGGAAAAGCAAGAATGCCAAACGTTGACCCAAGAAACAAACCAATATAGAGGAAAATATGACTGACCTACATGCCATGTGCATTCCCCTTTGGAAAACATATTGAGAGGAAATGAAGAATTGGATATCTAGGCTGGACGTGGTGGCTCATGCCTGTAATCCCAACACTTTGGGAGGCTGAGGCAGGTGGATCACTTGAGGTCAGGAGTTCAAGACCAGCCTGACCAACCCAGTGAAACCTCATCTCTACTAAAAATACAAAATTAGCTGGGCATGTTGGCACACACCTGTAATCCCAGCTACTTGGGAGGCTGAGGCAGGAGAATTGCTTGAGCTCAGGAGGCAGAGGTTGCAGTGAGCCGAGATTGCACCGTTGCACTCCAGAGTGGACAACAAGGGCAAAACTCCGTCTCAAAAAAACAGAAAAACAAAAATAGAATTGGATATCTAAGTATATTAAGGATATGACAGACAAGTTCACATAATGTGTGAAAGTCGGCTTACTCTGGTAATGAGGAAATTACAGTTCTTGGTGAATGGAGAAGTCCCTGGAGCCTAACCCCTAAAGTTCTTTTGTCCCACTTTCCTCTCTTCTAAGTACCTTTTGACATGATTATTTGACATTTATAATGCTCAAACACAAAAACATTTGGTTTAAGGGCTTGGGGAGTGTTTTAACATCCTGAATACAGAAAATACATGTCACATCCACATATGCGTGCACACACATTCACATGCACAGATATCTTCCAGCTTTTACTCCATCTCCCTGCCTCCACTCTATACCACTCAACAGCCAGAGTATTTTCTTAAAAAATATAAATTGTATCTTGCCTATCCCATGCTTTCCTTGGTTTGCAGTTTTATGCAGGAAAAAAGAAATTCTTTACTGTGGCCTTCAAGGTCTGTCATGATTTGCCCTATTCACCTCATTAGTTCATGTTATTCTACCCGACCGTTTGCCCACCATCTCCTGCGACTATGTTTCCTTGTGTTTCCTCCATAAGCTAAGCTTGTTTCTGCTTCCAGACCTTTTGTTAACCTGACATGTTTTTATGGCTGGCTTTTTTTTTTTTTAGTTTTTCTCATTTTTCTAGTTTTCCTTTTTTCCTCAGAAATGCCATTCCTGACTATCCAATTTAAAATGAGTCTCTTGGCCAGACATGGTGGCTCATGCCTGTAATCTCAGCACTTTGGGAGGCTGAGGGGGTGGGTCTCTTGAGGCCAGGAGTTCTAGACCAGCCTGGCCAACATGGCAAAACCCCATCTCTACCAAAAATACAAAAATTATCTGGGTGTGGTGGCACGTGCCTGTAGTCCCAGCTACTTAGAAAGCTGAGGCAGGAGAATCACTTGAACCCAGGAGGTGGAGGTTGCAGTGAGCCGAGATCACGCCACTGCACTCCAGCCTGGGTGACAGAGTGAGACTCTATCTCAAAAAAAAATTAATAAAAATAAAAAAATTAAAGTGAATCTCTCAATACTATCCTCATGACACCTTGTTCTCATTTAAAACACTTGTTCTAACTTATAAGTATGTGTTTATGTATTTACTTGCTTAAATCCAGTCTTGTATGCTAGAATATAAGTTAAAATAATGCAGGAACAGTATCTGACTTATTTTCTTATGTTTATTTAGACTCCGGCCCATCATTTGGCACTAGGGTGTGTGTGAGACTTTAAACTCTCCACTGTTTTCACCTATTTCCTCCAGTGAGGAGGAAACAAAACTTGGAAGCCATAGTGAATTTTGCAATGAAGTGAGGCAATAGGACACTCCCAGCTAATCTGTAGGTATACCCATAACATAGAAAAACAGCCAGTTAACTAAGGAGGTACCTTCAGCAATGCGATTTTTCCAGAAGAATTCCAACCCTAAATTTTGGTCAGTCTCATCATGGTGATTATATGAGATACGATGGGCATGGGCACGGTCAGCCCAAATATTAAAACTCAGACCTTATTATTCCATAATGACCACTTGGGCTCCCAGGTTGGCTCCTCAACTCTTTCTGATCGTGTGCAAGTAGAAAACATACCAGTCAAATTGGAGGTTTGTGTCCTACAGAGGAAGGAGCAGATTAGACAAATTCTTCATTTCTCACTAGTTCTTTTGGTGTCATATTGACCTTGCCATTAGCTTTAGACACTCTGCAAAGTAGTCACTTTTAAAATGTCATATTTCAAAATGGTCATGATGGTGATGGCTGCTACTTACTAGGGCACAGAAAAGAACATCTGTCACTTAATATGGCTCTGAAGAATCTTGGAGAATGTTTCCATCATTTCATGGAAAACTTTGAGTCAGATCACTTTACATATTTCAATTGCCATATTTATTCACAGAAATTACATTTTTTTTGCAAGACTGCAAATGTTTTTGAGATTTGGGGAAATGAAAAATAACTCTTGAAGTGCTGCAGATGCATTCCTCTGAATGGCTTTTCTTTCCTTAATACTGTCTTCTTGTCTCTCACTAAGTAGCTTCTGTATTGTTAACTCTCTTGCTGTTAGTAGTTCCTTAGCCCTTGGTTATTTTCTTGTGGTAAGCCTAATTTTCAGACTGATATGTAAATCTTAAAGAAGAAATTAGTGCTTAATTATAAAGATGTGGATACAATGGACTTATAAACTATATAAACCTTAGAGAAATTTGTAAAGAATCTTTAAGCACGATTTGGACCACTGCTTATAAAGCTACATTTATTGATAGAAAACTTTCATTATCTTTCTTTAGATGCTTCAGAAAAATTCCTGAATTATTATTTTCAATATGTATATGTATATACATTTCAACTTTTAAAATTCAAACACATAGGTTTAAACTTGTAGCTGGGTGATATGGTTTGGCTGTGTCCTCACCCAAATCTCATCTTGAATTGTAGCTCCCACAATTACCACATGTTGTGGGAGGGACCCAGTGGGAACTAATTGAATCATGGGAGCAAGTCTTTCTCATGCTATTCTCATGATACTGAACAAGTCTCACAAGATCTGATGGTTTTATAAAGAGGAGTTCCCCTGCACAAGTTATCTTCTCTTGTCTGCTGCCATGTGAGACATGCCATTCACCTTCTGCCATGATTGTGAGGCCTCCCAAGCCATGTGGAACTGTGAGTCAATTAAAACTTTCTTTTGTAAATTGCCCAGCCTTGGGTATGTCTTTATCAGCAGTGTGAAAATGTACTAATACAGTAAATTGGTACCAGTAGAGTGAGATGCTGCTGAAAAGATACCAGAAAATGTGGAAGTGACTTTGGAACTGGGTAACAGGCAGAGGTTGGAACAGTGTGGAGGGCTCACAAGAAGACAGGAAAATGTGGGAATGTTTGAAACTCCCTAGAGACTTGTTGAATGGCTTTGACCAAAATGCTAATAATGTTACGGACAAAGGTATCCAGGCTGAGGTGGTTTCAGATGGAGATGAGGAACTCATTGGGAACTGCAACAAAGGTGACTCTTGTTATGTTTTAGGGGCATTTTGCCCCTGCCCTAGAGATCTGTGGAACTTTGAGAGAGATGATTTAGGGTATCTGGCAGAAGAAATTTCTAAGCAGCAAAGCATTCAAGAGGTGACTTGGGTGCTGTAAAAGGCATTCAGTTTTAAAAGGTAAACAGAGCACAAAGTTTGGAAAATATAAAGCCTGACAATGTGACAGAAAAGAAAATCCCATTTTCTGAGGAGAAATTCAAGCTGGCTGCAGAAATTTGCATAAGTAACAAGAAGTTGAACGTTAATCGCCAAGACAATAGGGAAAATGTCTCCAGGGCATGTCAGAAACCTTTGTGGTAGCCCCTCACATCACAGGCCCAGAGGCCTAGGAGGAAAAAATGGTTTCCTGGGCCAGGCTAAGGTCCTCATGCTGTGTGCAGCCTGGGGACTTGGTGCCCTGCATCCCAGCCACTCCAGCCATGACGACAAGGGGCCAAAGCATAGCTCGGGTCATGGCTTCAGAGGGTGCAAGCCCCAAGCCTTGGCAGCTTCCATGTGGTGTTGAGCCTGCAGGTGCACAGAAGTCAAGAATTGAGGTTTGGGAACTTCCGTCTAGATTTCAGAAAATGTGTGGAAATGCCTGGATGTCCAGGCAGAAGAAGTTTGCTGCAGGGGCAGGCCCTCATGAACAACCTATTCTAGGGCAGTGCAGAAGGGAAATGTTGGGGGGTGCCCCTATACACAGTCCCCACTGGAGTGTGTGTATCCCTACCTAGTGGAGCTGTGAGAAGAGGGCCACTATCCTTCAGACCCCAGAATGGTGGATCCATGGACAGCTTGTCCTGTGCACCTGGAAAAGCCACAGACACTCAATGCCAGCCCATGAAAGCAGCCAGGAGGGAGACTGTACCCTGCAAAGCCACAGGGGTAGAGCTGCCCAAGACCATGGGAACCTACTTCTTGCATCAGCATGACCTAGATGTGAGACATGGAGTCAAAGGAAATCATTTTGGAGCTTTAAAATTTGACTGCCCTGCTGGATTTCAGACTTGCATGGGGTTTTCAGCCCCTTCATTTTGGTCAATTTCTCCCATTTGGAATGGATGTATTTATCCAATGCCTGTACCCCCATTTCATCTAGCAAGTAACTAACTTGCTTTTGACTTTACTGGCTCATAGGCAGAAGGGACTTGCCTTGTCTCCAATGAGATTTTGGACTTGGACTTTTGAGTTAATGTTGAAATGAGCTAAGACTTTGGGGGACTGTTGGGAAGGCATGATTGGTTTTGAAATGTGAGGACGTGAGATTTGGGAGGGGCCAGGGGAGGAATGATATGGTTTGTCTGTGTCCCCACCCAAATCTCACCTTGAATTTTAACTCCCACAATTCCCACACGTTGTAGGAGGGACCTGGTGGGACGTAATTGAATCATGGGGGTACTTCTTTCCTGTGCTGTTCTTGTGATAGTGAATAAGTCTCACAAGATCTGTTGGTTTTATAAAGGGGAGTTTCCCTGCACAAGTTCTCTTCTCTGGTCTGCCATGATTGTGAGGCCTCCCCAGCCACATGGAACTATGAGTCCATTAAACCTCTCTTTTGTAAATTGCCCAGTTTTGGGTATATCTTTATCAGCAGCAGCAACATGGAAATAAATACACTGGGCAAACAAAATAAAAAGCAAGACACTCACTCAAATATCCTGCATTTAGGAAAACAAGCAAGCAAAAAGAAAAACCAATGGTCATTGCAGAGGATCCATAAAGCCAACCATTTCAGATGTATTACCAAGAAAAATTGTTACAAAACTTCTGTAATACCAAGTAAACTATACCTGTAAGAAAAAAGTTTAGTCAGTTGAGGAGTATATCTCACAATTTGGGTTTAGAACAATACTTTTTAAGTGTTAGTGATTGTTTAATTCTTACCCGAAAGGCATAAGAAACATGCATTGGTTCTTTGAATTTACATAAAAGTAGAAAGAAAAATAGGAGTTTATTAGTGTTGGATGCTTTTGTGCTTATGTAACAAAAAAGTCTGGCTGAAATGCTTTGGCAAGTATGCAATGCATAATATAGTGTAATACTTATGGTGTTTTGGAAGAAAAATAAAGCTGCTGAGATATTGTGGTTTTGAACTTGGCATAAGAGTTGTAGAACAAAGTTGGCCCATGTACTTTCACAAGAACTTGCACAATGGATAACAGACTTTCTAAGAAGTATGTATAATGAAGTGATAAGCAACTTGATGCATTGAGTCCTACTGTAACTTTTTTAGGGTCCATATATTAAGAGTCTTAAAAGGAGATTATTTTATAGAGAAGGGTCCCTGAGACACCAATAAATGAACCTCTGGAATGTAGTTTAAGAAAGTCATATTTTATCCCAAGTTATATTCAAGATGAATTGTAATATAGCAGCATTTTAATTATATGAGCATTGATACTTAGTGAATATCTCCTATGTGCTGCCTTCTACAGAGGATACAAATATTAGTAAGACAGACAAGAGAGACCCTGTCTTTGTAGAATTTATGTCCTCATGGTCTTCCCATGTAGGCATATAGCCATAACAATTCTATAAGGAAAAATAATATAAGTGCTATCAGAGATAAAAAATTTCTGTGCTCCAGGTAGTTAGTATAGTTTGGATGTTTGTCCCCTCCAAATCTCATGTTGAAATGTAATCCCCCATGTTGGAGGTGGGGCCTCGCATGAGGTGTTTGGGTCATGGGGGCAAATCCCTAATGAATGGCTTGGTGCCCTCTCCATGGTAATGAGAGTTGCTCACTCTGTTAGTTCATAGGAGAGCTGGTTGTTAAAAAGAATCTGGCTCTCTCTCCCTTTGTCTTGCTTCCTGTCTCACCTGTGACACATCTGCTACCCCTTCACCTTCTGCTGTGACTGAAAGCTTCCTGAGGCTGCACCAGAAGCCAAGCAGATGCCGGGGTCATGCCTCTGCTTGCCCTGCAGAATCACGAACCAAATAAACCTCTTTTCTTTATAAATTACCCAGTCTCAATGTTCTTTTATAGTAATGCAAAATGGGCTAACACTGTAGTGGGTCAGGGAAGGCTTTGCTAGTGTCACTTTTTAATCTCTACAAGAGAGCTATTCCCATGATCACAACCAATATCGAAATCTGAATAAAACCACCTATCCAAAGACAGAAGAATATAATGAGTATAGAATGGAGAAAATTAAATCCTCAAATATGCATATTTAAGATGCTATAACAATGAATGGAGATTCTTTCCATGGGAAGATGGAGGAGTTAAAAATTTCCTCTTTGTGGTGCTCTCTTCCATATCATTTGGCTGATGGAGTTTTTATGGGAGTGTCCCGTGTTCTGAAGCAGCATCCATTTGGGGCCCTTTGGAAATGGGGCACTTCTTAAACCTGGTATTGTAATAAAGGGGTAGGTTTAGTGCGTAAAGTACCAATGGCCACATCTCTGTGTGCTAGAGCAGGAGGGAGCTTAGGATTTGTTACTAATCTCTATCTAGAAATCAGGAGCCTATCTTTTCTTTTTTTTTCAGTGAATCCCACAAAAATAATTCCCGCAGAGGAGGTGTCATCTGCCACTGGCAGCTCATAAAGGATTTTAGGATTTGCCATCCCAGCTGTTTCTCTCTTACAAGCTTTATAAAAGAGCTTTTGAAGTGAACTTGAAAGTCACAAGGGATTTCAACTAGCAGAAATAGGAAAATCTGAGAAAGAGGAAATCATATATATACACAGGTGTACAGAAGAGTGGGAGAGGTTGGGGGTAGGGGTAGCAAAGAGTTTTATTTGGTTGAAAAAAGAGATAAGCACGTGTTTCAAGAGAAGCAATGCTGAAAAGAGGTTTGGGGTCATATTGAAAATCTGGACAAGAAAGCTGAAATACATTTAGCAGGAGTTAACATGTCTTCAGCAATTCTACTTGAATATATGACCAAGATGCCTTCCCTATGTCCTAGAGGAAGATGAAATTTTTTTTTTCATTTTACTTCTATCTCTTTTAATCTATACTGTAAACTCCATCCTCCCACTTTTAGAGAGAATCTTGGGGTAGATCTCACAGCTTATGCGGGTATTAAATAAGGAGTCTCCTTTTCCAGGTATTAAAAAGCTTTGTCCAGCATAATATCAAAACTCAAAGCTGTCATCCAACTTACAACTTATATTTTTCCTCAGGCTGGGGATCTTGCAGTGGGGAAAGGAGGAGGGGTTAGCTCCTTCTCTCCCTGGGACCACCTCCTCTCTTACGTCCTAGCTGCATTTTCTGGTGGACAAAGGAGGACAGGAAGAAGCAGTAAATGAAGGGGAGTCTTATTTGATTGGCACAGTTAACAGGGCACTGGTACCCGCTAGTCATGGCAGATGACAAAGCTGACTCTCTCTTGCAGGACACTTCTGACAGTTCCTTAGATTCTATACCTACTTTACCTCCCAGACCTCCCACCGCATTTGCCTAGAGAGCCCCCTCAGCTTCAGTAACGAATGTTTGCTGTGCTCACAGCCAGAAGCCCTTTTCCTTTTCAAGAGTGTTTGTAGCCAGCTCCCTATCCAGCCGATGAAAAGCATGCATCTTGTATTTGCTGTTGTTGAAGGACTGCCCTTTTTCTCTTCAGTTTGCCTTCTCAAAACGCTGGACTATTTTTAGACTGTCCCCTAATTCCACATGCCAGCAGAAACATGACAAGTTCTCCAACTCTTCTTTCAAAGTTCCCTCACTTGATTTGAGATGAATAAAAAGACTCCTTTCCCATCCCCCTTGGAGAAATACATAATACATTTACTACTTGCTTCAAATGAATACCTATTACCTTGATTTTCATGCAAGAATATGTTATATCATCTGGATATGGACTATCAGTTGCACAATTTAGGATG
Source organism: Homo sapiens (assembly GCF_000001405.40). Lineage (NCBI taxonomy): Eukaryota > Metazoa > Chordata > Mammalia > Primates > Hominidae > Homo > Homo sapiens. Next base: position 17,390,291 of record NC_000007.14, on the reverse strand, counting down.
TCCTGAATAGATAGTATTATTCTCCCATTTCGAATCTCAGGTTTCTTGGCACTTATTGGTTTTAGGGGCCTCTGCTGAAATTTGGCAAGAGAATAGTTTTAATTTAACATCTTATTTTGTACGCAAACAACAGATCCACTGTTTATGAATGGCATTTCTAAAAGTCCACCTGTAAGTTATTTCTTTGGAACACTGAGCTTGTGTCCCATAAAAACCATCCGTAATTGTCATGTGTGAGATCCAGAGAGGATCTCAAAGGCTTATGTGGATCACAGTTATTGACACTGACCATATTAAAACAGAGAAATTTTTTAAACACAAAAGTACACAAGCACCTGGTTCTTTTAGCGGTTAGAGCACTGATATCACCTGTTAGCCTCTGGAAAGCTCCACTACACACTTGTGAGAGAACAAGTGAAAAAGGCACAGAGCATGTTGGTATTGTTATGAAAATAATTTTGACATCATTAACTTCCTGATGGGATCTCAGAACACCCCTCCTCCCCAGGGTTCACCCAACCATACTTTGAGGCTCACTTGTCAAGGGTGAGGACGAACTGAGGTCTAGGAAAGAAGAATTGTGTTCAGTACTCTCAAGTAAAAAATTCAGATAGTGATCATGAGAAGGCTGGGTGACAGGGATGGGACAACCCACAAAAAATATTCTGCAAAGTATTACATCACTGAAATAAAAGTATGTTTTTCTTCATTAAATATTTACATGACAAGCACTGGAAATACGGAAGTAGCTAAGACAGAGACTTTGGTCACATGGAATGTGTATTCTACTTTATACAGCAGACACTACAGTAAACAAAGAAACAAGTTGACTTGAGAATCGCAAGACCTCCAAAATAAAAAGCAACTTGCATAAAATCTGAATAGAAAAATAGACAATAGAATTTAAGCTTCAGAAGCAAAGGTCCAGCTTTCAAAAAATTATGCTAATCCTTGCAGGATACATTAAATTTTTTCTTAATACAGCATGGCAGCAGGAAACAATGAGCCCAATTATGCACTTCCAGTCCTAAATCAACTCTAAGTCAGAGCAAGTCTTTAGAGGAAATAAAGTTTGGACCATTTTAAGTTACAGATTTCCTCAAAAATCAACCCTGATTATAGATAAGGGAAGCAAGGGCACATACAGAGGATGAGCCACAGTCAATCATATTTGCTATGAGAATGATACACTTGTGTTCCAAATGAAAAGTTCTACCAAGAAATTAAATGCCTTGATTTTTCTACCACTGAGAACTTTCTTTGACAGAGACTTCAGATTGGAAGTCATTCAGCAAATTTCACACCTAAGTTAGTCTTCATCTGTTGTACTTCTGAGTACACAGTCCCTGTGTATTTGTGTAGGTGTTAGATGTGTGCATTTTAGAGTATGTTTTATATGGCAGTGTTTCCAAAAGGATTTGCAATATTCTCTAATATTAAAAGTAATCAGCTATGTCAGGGTATTCAGTTTAAAATTTTCATTTAGAGAGTCACCATAAATCTATTCTCTATTCATAGGATTTTACGTACAATTTCAACTTCAGACTTAGTTTGTTTGGGTGTTATTTTTTCGTTTTTGTCTTATGAGGAGTGAGGTTTTCCTTCATTTGTTTACCCAGAAATATTAATCCATGGCTGACAAATGTTTTGCCTTATATTATTATTTACAATAAAAGAATTTGGGCAGAATATATGTGGGAGATCTGATAGAAATACTTAAGGGCTAACATTATTGATCAGTAGTTTTTATGCATATATGACATTTATATAAAATGATATTTTATTAAAGATTTTAGAACTTATATATACAAATGAATGTTTTGCCTTCAAAGTAGTCACTATGAGCTGATGCAATTATTTCTCAGAGTATTTAAATATGGTCTCATTGCTTAATAGTCACATATAACAAATATGCCATACAAGTATGTATTACATACATTTCCACAAACATTCATAATGCTTACATGTAAACTAGCCATATTAGCAGATTTAAAATTTCTACTATATTCCAAATAAAGTATTGTTCAACTTTAATATAAATAATTTAAAATGTTTGATGTTTTCTAAAATCATAAAAACCCTAGAAGAAAACCTAGGTAATACCATTTAGGACATAGGCATGGGCAAAGATTTCATGACTAAAACACCAAAAGCAATTGCAACAAAAGCCAAATTGACAAATGAAATCTAATTAAACTAAAGAGCTTCTGCACAGCAAAAGAAACTGTCAGAGTGAACAGGCAACCTACAGAATGGGAGAAAATTTTTGCAAGCTACCCATCTGACAAAGGTCTAACATCCAGCATCTACAAGGAACTTAAATTTACAAGAAAAAAAACAACTCCATCAAAAAGTGGGAGAAAGATATGAACAGACACTTCTCAAAAGAAGACATTTATGTAGCCAACAAACATATGAAAAAAAAAATCTCATCACTGGCCGCTAAAGAAATGCAAATCAAAACCACAGTGAGATACCATCTCACGCAAATTAGAATGGCGATCATCAAAAAGTCAGCAAACAACACATGCTGGTGAGCCTGTGGAGAAATAGGAATGCTTTTACACTCTTGGTGGGAGTGTAAATTAGTTCAACCATTGTGGAAGACAGTGTAGTGATTACTCAAGGATCTAGAACCAGAAATACCATTTGACCCAGCAATCCCATTCCTGGGTATATACCAAAAGAATTATAAATCATTCTACTGTAAAGACACATGCACATATATGTTTATTGCAGCACTATTTACAATGGCAAAGACTTGGAAACAACCCAAATGCTCACCAATGATAGACTAGATAAAGAAAATGTGGCACATACACACCATGGAATGCTGTGAAACCATAAAAAAGAATGAATTCGTGTACTTTGCAGGGACATGGATGAAGCTGGAAACCATCATCCTCAGCAAACTAACCCAGGAACAGAAACCAAAAACTGCATGTTGTCACTCATAAGTGGGAGTTGAACAACGAGAACACATGGACACAGGAGGGGAACATCACATACCGGGGCCTGTCGGGGGGTGGGGGGCAAGGAGAGGGAGAGCATTAGGACAAATACCTAATGCATGCAGGGCTTAAAACCTAGATGATGGGTTGATAGGTGCAGCAAACCACCATGGCACATGTATACCTATGTTAGAAACCTGCACATTCTGCACATGTATACCAGAAGTAAAATTAAAAAAAAAAATGGCCTCAAGATTACAGAAATATATCTCTGACAATTTAATACGCACAAAATCGTTTGATGTTTTGGTTTGTAAGTTACATAGCTTTTGTAAGTTTTTCCTTGTTTTCCATCAATGTTGAGGCCACCATGACTGAGCTGTGTTGTCATTTAAATACTTATTTGCTGCAGCATAACAACAAAAGGAGAACAACAAATCCCCTGCCCATGATACCATATACTTTTTTTCTTGTAGAAACATCTAAATCTTTCCTTAGGCATTTTACATCACTTCTTAAAGAGAAATATTTCATTAAACAGTCTTGGAAGACATGGAAAAGCCAGATTTCAAAGTCCCTTCACTTTATTTGAGATGAATAAAAATCCATGCACCAGCACCAACAACTTTTTGTGCCAATGACTTTAGTTTCCTCAAATCACAGCCAATAGCATAAAACCAAAGTCTCAGGCAAAGTGTAATGATCTTTCATGCTGTGCCTGGATTTTGTAAGGCTCTGCATTGAACCTTCCAAAATGCACATACGTGACTAAGAACCACTGGTGTTAACTGATTATGTATTTGGAGAAAACATGTATGTTTTGAAAATTTTGATTTTTCTCCTAATTATACTGCCAAATCCGTATATCAGTTACAGGTAGAATAAGAATTTGTTGTTAAAAAACAGCTGTATCTACTTTAGAATTAAAAGAAACTAGAAATGAATATTTGGTAACTCTTTGAAGAAGGGCTTCATAGATTTAAAAGAGGTAGAATAAATTATAATTGAATAATCAAAAGATAAAATTATTAAACATTTATATTTCTGGAAATAACTGAAATAGGTAGCCAAATTACCAAACACAGATATAATCTGTAGTAATTCCAACAGGCATATTTTATTACCTCTATTACAGAGCTGTTTATTCAAGCTGATAGAAAAAAACACTAACATGTTCAATAAATTAATGGGCAAAGAGTCGAAATGAACTGTTGCAAAAGAAAGACACAAAAAGGCAATTTGCATAAAATTATCTATCTCCACTAGAAATGGAAGAGATACTGTTAAGTTTAGCCTAAAGCTGCATCTTCACATATTCTTAGTTCAGCCTAAAGTTTCTCCATACACAGTGAGCTATAACTTAGTTATAATCCACTAACTAAGTGAATCAAAGTGGCCAATCAAAGGTGGCAACTATTCAAACTGTGTTCAATCAAATAAGGCAAACACTGGGTTTTAACCAGTTGTCTATTTCTATATCTCACTTCCACTTTCTGTGTGTCATGTTCCTTTTTCTGTCCATAAATCTTCCATCACATAGCTATGCTGGAGCCTCTCTGAACCTATTCTGGTTGGGGGCTGCCCAATTCATGAATAATTCTTTGCTACATTAAACTCTGTTCAATGCAATTTGTCTAAGTTTTTTATCAATTCATATTATGACAAGAAGTTTACCTATGAAATTAACCATAAAAAAATTTAAAAAATTTTCAGTGTTAGTAATATGTGGTCACTACAATACTCTCTCATGAACTACTCTAGGAACCACGATTTTTAAAACTCTTTTGGAAAACAATTTGGTGATATGCATCATAGACCTTCAAATAATATCTTTTGACCGAATAATTCACTTGGATTGTTACTTTACCTTTTAGAAAGTTTGGGACATTAAAATGATAATGACAGTGTCATTTTAAATGACAAATTAAATGTTAAGATCAGAAAATGGTTAAGTAAATTACCATACACCAACATGATGGAACATTTGGTTTCCACTGAAAAAGATATCTGAATCTTTTAGAAAGCAGTGGTACCTTTGGGGCCAGCTTGCCATTTTGCAAATCCCCATATATTAGCTGTATGTCCTTGGACAAATGACATAACCTCTCTGGGCCATTTCTTACATCTGTAAAGGGGGATAAAAATGCTAACCACCTCATATGGTTCCAGTGAAGACATTTAATTAACATATGAATGAACTTAAAGCAGTATCTGGTTCATATCAGCATTTAATATTAGCTCTTATTGTACAGAAGCTTATATTTGGCAAGAGCACAATGACAAAAATATGCATGAAAAAGGTTGAAATTAAACATTTCACAAAGAAATAGCTGTCTTTACTTGGTGGAAAAATGGACAATCGACTTTATACTTATAACATTTTGTAACAAGTATATGATAGTTTAAAAGAGGGGAAATTATTGGAACAATTATTTTTAAAATGTAGGTCATGTTATCTGTCCTTAGGAAGTTTCAAATTCAAATGAGGACTGAAGTTAAGAACAGCAGTAACTATTGTTTAGGGCAGAATGTGTTAAGTATTACCACAAAGAAAGGAGGGAATTGATCTAGCAGAGGACAGAAAAGACACTTAACAGGGAAGGCAGCATTTGGCTAAAGCGTGACTGAATTGTATTTTGAAGGTGGCATTAAGTACTTGGTAAGATTTACACTTTTAAGACTGAAAACCAATGAACACAAAGGTAACAGTGGGAAAGGAACAACCACTAAGTCACCTGGATTGGTTGGAACACAGGATACTTGAAGGGACAAAACCAGAAAAGCCTGTTTGGAATCCATGAGGGAAGGTCTAAATCTAAATAAATGTTGACTATTTCTGAAGCCAATTGGGTCTGTTCAGATTTTGATTGCCCACCAATTATCTAAAAAAGAATAGATGAGGTTTTAACTCTTATTGAAATATTGCCACCCAGCTCAGATTCTAGCTCCGCTTCTGCCGGGTACCACGACATCCTCCAAACCCTCTGCGCTTACTTTGTTCCAAGAAACAAACATTCAGTCTGTCATTAACTACCTTGAGATCGCCCAGTATTCTTACCGTGAAACTTTTTTTTCTGCCTGGGATTTATTTTTCAGAGTTAAAGAGTATATTTGGGTTCAGGAATCAATTGTGATATTTCTTGGTGTTCTTCACATCATAATTCATTTTACCATGAGTCAATGCTAGGCTCTTATTTTTTTTGAGACAGAGTCTTGCTCTGTCATGCAGGCTGGAGGGCAATGGCCCGATCTCGGCTCACTGCAACCTCTGCCTCCCAGGTTCAAGCAATTCTCCTGCCTCAGCCTCCCGAGTAGCTGGAATAACAGGCACCCACTATCACGCCCAGCTAATTTTTCTATTTTTGTAGAGAGGGGGTTTCACCATATTGGCCAGGCTGGTCTAGAACTCCTGACCTCAGGTGATCTGCCCGCCTTGGCCTCCCAAAGTGCTGGGATTACAGGTGTGAGCCATTGCACCAGCTGGCTTTTTTTTTCACCAAGTCAATGAATTACTGAGCAAAAGAATGTGTGAACACCCTATATACACAGGAAGGGCTCTCAATCTATCCCATTTTGTTTTTGCAATTCTTATGAACTGTTTTTGCATTTCTTATGAAGAGTTTTAGATATTTAACAATAATTCCCTCAGTTTCTCTGGGGGATTGGTCCTAAAACCCCACCCTCCAAGGATACCAAAATCCAGGATGCTCAAATCTTTCAAATAAACAGCATGATGTCTGCATATAACCTACACATCCCCTCCTGTATTCTTTAAGTCATCTCTAGATTACTTATAATACTGAATACAATGTAAATTCTATGTAAATAATTGTTATGCCACATTGTTTAAGGCATAATGACAAGGACAAATATCTGCACATATTCAGGACAGACACCATCATCCACTTTATTTTCCAAATATTTTGTATCTGTGGTTAGTTGAATCCATGAACACAGAACCCACAGATAAAGAGAGCTGATTGTACCCTAGCCAAATCAAATTACTTTCTGGCCTAAGATGTATTTCTGCTCGCAAAATTTTTAGATGTTAACAAAAAATAATGAGATCCAAGTTTAGAACATTACTGGACTTAAATGAATTGCATAATATTTACAGTTTAAGGCAGCTCATTTGGAGCCAAATCAGCTTCAGTGTTAGAACAAAGAAAGATGTATAACAAGATGAGGTCTAGTTGCCAGTGAGACGGTGCTCAGTTAAAGTCATGTCATGATGAAGGCCCTGAAGAACAATCTTGAGATGAGAGAAAAGAGAGACCCTCTCATATTGTGTTATATTGTTTTATACTCAGTACCTGTTTTAAGAAAAAACAACAGGGAAGTAAAATCAAAGACAGGCAGCCTCACGGCAGGCCCAAAACCGGACCTGGGCCTGCCTGGCCTAAACCTAGTAGTTAAAAATCAACTCATGACTCCAGAAACCAATGTTATTCATAGATTCCAGACATTGTGTAGAAGAACACTGTGAAACTCCCTGCCCTGTTCTGTTTCTCTCTGACCACTGGTGCATGCAGCACCTGTCATGTACCCCTTGCTTGCTCAAATCAATCACGACCCTTTCATGTGAAATCTTTAGTGTTGTGAGCCCTTAAAAGGGACAGAAATTGTGCATTCGGGGAGCTCAGATTTTAAGGCAGTAGCTTGCCGATGCTGCCAGCTGAATAAAGCCCTTCCTTCTACAATTCAGTGTCTGAGAGGTTTTGTCTGCGGCTCACCCTGCTACAGAGACATACTTTTAATCACTTTCCCTCCATGCTAGCCTGACACAAGCAGGCACATGCAATATTTGTCATTTCAACTCAGTTTTCACACTAAAAGTAACACTGGCAAGGAATTTTAAATGACAATACTCAAGGATTAGCAAAGGTGTGATACCTGATCACTGTCCTACATCAATAGGAGTATTAATGGGTTTCAAATTTTTGCAGCATAATTTAATGCATATTGTCAGAGGCCTTAAGAAGTATATACCCTATAATACAGCCATCCTACTTCTAGGAGTTTTTCTAAGGAAATAATCCTGGATGTGCGTACCCATGTAGCTATTAAAACGCTTATCACTATACAATTAGCATAGTAAAAACTGGAAACCACCAAAATGTCCTATAATTGTAGACTCATAAGAATAATTTATGACATCATATACCTATACACATGTAGCAACTGGATATAGCCACCAATAGATGTTCTGGGAAAATATTTACTGACAGAAAAAAAATGCTCATGGGTATGTCAGTTTCAGTCAACAGGCTAACAAATATTTCCTAAAAAACAAAAATGTGCCTGATGTTGTTATAGGTTCTGGAGACAAGAGGTGACAGAAGTGGAGAGAAACATACTATGAACACTAACAAATGAATCGCAGGTACCGCTAAGGGATATAGAGAAGATAAAATAGGGTAATGTGCTAGAAAATGACTGGGAAGATGGGCTGGGGCTTGCTTTGTCTGGGCTTGTCAGGGAAGGCGTATCCTCAGAGGTGACATTTGAATTGAGGCCTGAATTAAGAAGCCACATGCAGATCTGTGGAACATCTTAAGCAGAGGAAACAGTAGCACAAAGCCCTTAGGTTAAGGAGTTTGTAATGTCTAGAAGCCTGTGTATCAGAATGCTAACTAATCATGGTTATTTCCTACTGGTGGGATTACAGATTACTGTGTATTTTCTTGTATTTGCTTAACTGTAATATTCTTATTTTTCTATAATTGACATGGATTAATTTTTAATAGGAAATAAAAGTTAATATAAGTAATAAAATATTGCTTTCATCCATGTACTTTAGATGGCAGTTTCCCAAAATGATTGCTCACAGTAACAAAGATAAGGCCTTAATTTAGAAAACCAGTAGGGCTCATTCTGTCAACTTCATGATTAAAACAGTCTATTTCATATGTCATTCTTATCTTGGCCCTCTATTTTTTCTGTTTTCTCAGTGATTAAGTTGGGAAGCAATTAATTTGACCAAGGTAAGATATTCCATGGAAGCATAAGAATAGCTTAGAGTTGCATATTTATTACAGAAGCTAGGTGTAGTAACATTAAAGCAGTGCATAAATCAGGGCAAGTTTATTTGGACTCAAAGTTACAATAAACAAGTTGGGCACAGTGGCATTTGCCTGTAGTCACAGCCTCTTGGGAGGCTAAAGCAGGAGTATTGCTTGAGCCGGCTTGGGCAACATAACAAGACTCTGTCTCTAATGAGTTATGATAGACAAAATGTATCCCGCTTACCTAGTGTTGAAATGGGGGTGGGGCAGCAATCCCTCATGTATGATTTCCAGTAACACAAATCCTCATTTAGATGCAGACATGCTATACATGATCTTACAAACAGAGTTTCTAGGCACCAGCACTTACTGCAAGATTGTCAGGGGTATGTGAATAAGACATCTGCTTTCTATTGATTCTGTAGGGAGCAACTCACTGAATCATCACATTTCTTCCCACTGAAATAAGCACTTTGGTCTTTGGTCTATTTTCTGATAAGATGGTAATAAATGATCCAAAGGAAAACATTCATTTGTAATCGTGCTGTATCGTTATTCTCATTTATTTGTATTTAAATTGATTTGACTTGATCTCTAAACACTGATTCTTTGCTGTGGCAATATAGAGATACATGATTTGAACTACACGGCAGGTTAATTCACTAAAGATATAGAAGGTCTATGGAAAAGGGAGCTATTCTGTTGTAAGTAATACAAAGTTAACACACTTTGACAAAAGAAGGGAGAGGCTTTGACCTCTACTGAGCTAAATTTTTATGAGCAATTACACCACAAAATTGAAATTAAATATGTGTGGGATTTGGATTAAGTATACCTTGGGGGATATAGGAGCAGGAGGAATGGATGTTTCGGTGGGGTGGGGAGGAATCACTTTCTGTAAAATTTTGCTTTAATTTGGCTCTGCCTAAGGGATTTTTAGGATTTATCTGATCTCTGAAGTTCTATTCGACTTTACCATTTAATGAAAAGCAGAATATGTTCAGTGTTAAAAGGGGCTCACTGTGTGGAAACTAATTAAAATGGAAAGTTTACAAGAATATTTATATTAAATATTTTTATCTACTCAGTTTTCTTTTAGATACTTCTATTGTAAAACAAAAACAAAAACAAAAAACAAAAGTTCTTAACCTCTCTGAAGCTGTTACAAGTTTACGGGTTAAAGTAGTTAATAAAACAGACAGATATGGGCTTTCTATAGACAAAAGGACCTCTGAAGTCTTGGTAGGACAGATGATAAAGAACACCATGTTTGCTTGGATTACACATAAATAAAATAAAAATCCATCAGACAAGCATCTTGAATAATAAATAGAGCATTTGGTATTATCTTCAAGTGCTAAAAAATGATCTTTGTAGTTATTTTTATATAAAAATGGTTGCTCTTCAAAAGGCATGATAAAAATATGGTTTTCCTCAAAGGAAATCTCATGGAAATCACATAATCATTAAATGAATTGCTGATTTGGATCTATTTTTGCAAGATTGCTAGTAAAAAGTCAGGATTCAAAAAACAGTGGTAACTTATACACACAACTACTTATGGGAATTAATCAAGAAAATTGGAAAACATGAACAAAATGTTGTAGGATTTTCTACCTAGTTCAGCTAAAAATGGGGTACTTGTCACATTGCCATAAAGTATGAGGCTTGCAGATACTTTCAAGGTTGAGAAAATGCAATTTATTGGGCAAAAAGGAAGAAAAGGGGAAACAGGTACCCTCAGCAGAGTGAGTCCTGCTAGTATATCCTTCCTGCCTCGCAGATTGAATCCCAGGTTCCTCCCAGGAGAGAGGAAGGGCCAAGCTCCTCCCTGCTGCAAATGGCACAAACTTCTGTGGCTCCACCCCAACGTGCACACTTTCCACTGCACGGGCTGGTTGGAATTTTTCCAGGAACCCCTTCACACTTGGCTGTCTCATTAAGTGATATAAACAAACATCGAATATGAGTCCATTATTGCAGATTCTGCCTTGGATATGACAAACACCAGTCAATTGATTATTGTGTGCAAGTAGTAAAATAGACAACCTAGGAGTAATTTTTACCATTTTTTGCCAACTGAAGGCTATGACTTTACTTGACTTTACTCAACAAAGAAGTTCTGGACATTGTACCTTGACAATGAACAACTGACAACATTCATAGTCTTTTGACAGTAGAGCTGTAATGAAAGATATAGACAGCATTCTTTTTTAGTAAGTACACGGAATATGTCTGTGAGCAGCTCATTATCTAAGTCTCATGAGATGAGGACTCACCTCCAGGACACCCTGAAGTTGTGGACTATTCGCATACCTTTTCAACAGTTCTATATTTATATATATATTTTCCAGGTTTGTCTCAAAGGCGCAGTATTTTAAATACACACATCAAATTGGATTTTTCTTTAAATGATCTAATTTAATGAGATGGTCTATCCATTGCAAAGTTTTTCAGACTTTGGAAGATGGGACAATGATATTTTAAATTCTCTAAAATATATTTTAGAGATGCAGAAGAGAAGCTCAAACTCAAGATATGACATTTATTTTAAAGGTTGATGAAGCTCAAATATACCATTTTAAACTGCAAGTTGTAATGACATTTTGGAACATTTCAATAAAACATAAAGTACAGACTCTTAAACTATTTTGTCTTCAGACTTATTACAGAACTAAGTGAATAAAATTCTTAGAATATAAACAAAAGCAATGAAGTTTATTAGTAAAATCAAGAAAAAATTATCCTGACATCTAGAAGAATATTGAAACAAAAATTTTTCATAGGTAAACTGCAATGGGTCTCTAAATTTTAGAAGGTAATGAATGACTACAGATGCTTCTATCGCTCTACTCTGGGCTGTAGAGCTCCCTTCCTGTCCTTGGAGCACCTCACAAGCAGTCTATGTCTTGTGACTTCAGGGATGCACTATGAACCATAGCATTGGTGTTGAAGAGTGGATCAAGTAAAGTTTGTCTTGTTTCCTCTTCATATACAATGTAAACTTACATTTCTAAGTTCTGGTATTAACTCGTGTACTCCAGTAGATTCTCCTGTGCACTTCTTGGGAGGCAATAACCACACTTGAGAGAGTAATGCTGTTAAGTGTTTTCATGCTTTAAATTCTAAGACTTCAAGATTAGGTCACTATCACTCTTCAATCCATGACTATTAGGCTGTGACCCAAATAATGTTTAATTACGCATCTTGCTAACATTCCTTCTGTGAACTATAATCAACTTTGCCTTAACACAATACTTAAAATTGGCCATTTAATATCTTATTAATCCCTTGGTCTCTGGGGAAGAACAATAAAGATGATTGACTATTCTGTATGTAATTTGCCTAAAGATTTAACATTTCTCCACATGTTTAAAGTATTTAGGGACATGTATTCTAACTTATACTTAATAGACATTATTAATGAAAATATACTACCCATAGAATATTCATATACCAAAAGCTGCATTGGAAGAAAGTAGTTTGGGATAAACCTTAGGATTTATCATAAAACCCCAGAACTAAGAGCTGTGTGATTAATAGAAAAGCACAATCTATTAGACATGCTTCCCAGCCGTTCTCAGAACTTTGTGATCTGTGGTCACACCCAGAGCTGAGAGACCAGCTGAACTTTGTAATTGAACTTAATATGGTTAAATCAGTTATTAATATATTTCTATAATTTTTTTCAGCTTGTATAGTTAATCATTAAGATAGGCAGAGGTGGACCCATAAAGGGACCTAAAGAATAAAGATAAAATAAAGATAAAGAGAAGGGAAGGACCCAAGCAGGTTTCTCTGTGCTTCATTATTTGGTAATCTTGGGAAAGTTACTTTCTTTTAAATTACCTTATTTAAACTGGACAATTTGTACTCCTTTTTTTTTGAGATGGAGTCTCGCTCTGTCGCCCAGGCTGGAGTGCAGTGGCACAATCTCGGCTCACTGTAATCTCCGCCTCCCAGGTTCACGCCATTCTCCTGCCTCAGACTGCCGAATAGCTGGGACTACAGGCACCCACCACCATGCCCAGATAATTTTCTGTATACATATATATATACACGTATATATATATATAAGTGTATATATATATGTGTATATATATATGTATATATATATGTGTGTATATATATATACGTATATATATATGTGTATATATATATATATATACACATATATATTTATTTATTTATTTTTTAGTAGAGATGGGTTTTCACCGTGTTAGCCAGGATGGTCTCTATCTCCTGACCTCGTGATCCGCCCACCTCGGCCTCCCAAAGTGCTGGGATTACAGGAGTGAGCCACCATGCCCGGCCCAATTATCATATTTAAGATACACCTGAAATGTAAGTTTCTACAGAAATCCCTGATTTACTTAATGGTAATCAGATAAAAGCTTTTGCCTTAATGCTTTTTATTGTGCACCTGAAAAGAATTTTACACCCATCACTAGGACCCTTCCTTATCACCCTGGGAAGAACAAATCTCCTTTTCTGAGTGTTCTAGAGAGCCTCAGGTGACAAAGTTGCTACCTATCACAGTTGGCTGCAGACGAGGTACAACTTTCACTTTTCCTTTAATATTTAGTAGTTTTCATTGCTCAGTGTTAAATCTACCTACCATATTCAGGAGATTCATGAGTTTATGAAGCTAATCCCCCAAGTCAAGAATGTTTCCTCTATAATTGAGGCACAATAATCAGGAAATTTTAAAAGACAGTCATGAAGGGAAAGAATGTTTCTTACCAATAAAATGTGTGTGCTCTCCCAAGCATGCTGTGTTATAATTTTTTTAGATTTGGACAAACATCTAAAATATTCCCAGAAATATTAAAGAACAGTAAACATCAGTTTAGGAAACAACTTTTGAACTACATGGAACCAATGTAAAAACTAAAGTTACATTCATTCTGAAAATGGCAACCAAATGAAAGGTACTGTCAGATCTTTCCAAGAGCAATATTATGAGAGGAAGAGAATAAAAACAATCATTTATGGGAAAGCATGGGCACATGTGCACACAGCCATCTACACAGATGTACTAACCCATGGTCATCCACTCGTGTTCCTCTACATACTTGTATATTTGGATACCTCTGAATGTTCTCATTGCTAAGTTTAGCTATGTATTTTTACATGGGCCTATTCATGTCGCTATTTTTCTATATCAACCACTTATACAAAACTCCCCACTCTGTCCAAAACATACAGACCAAAGTGACAGAACATGGACATTCACAACAAATAGGCTAATGGACAGCCTCAAGCTCTTTTGTTTCCACCAGTTGAGTTGTGTCCTGAGATTCAATTTATTTGTCCCAAACCTGAGAATAAAAATATTACAAATGAAATGCAACAAGAAATTTACTGCTCCTATGAAAATTTGGTTAAAAGTATTAAAATATTTTGACAATGGAAGTAATTAAAAATGTTTTTGAATTCGATGTGGGCAAGAAAATTGTTAAAGATTCGGGAGGAATATATTAACATTCTAGGAAGATTCTACACTCTTTAAAAGTGTCTCAGTTCTCATTCTATTTTAAAAAGTGGTTATAGTAGTTGATGAATTTCAGGTGTGGGAGATACAAGAAACACAGTGACAAGTTCTAGCAGTAGATCCTTTTCTAAAGACAAGGACTTGTAACAACCTGTATACCAAAAGATCAATTAAAAGATGCACATTTGTATGTTTTAAGTTAAAAAAATTTAAGGTGTGTATACATGTTTTAAGGACTCCCTGCTTTAACCACATTTTTCAATTAACCAGTTGCCTATTAGTCTGGACCTCATCATAGAAAAACTCTCCTAATACAGATAACTTACCTTGGTCCCATCCTACCAAGTGCTTGAGTCACCTTCTAAAAAGATGTACATGTTGCATGAAAGTATAAAATCAAAGCTGAGGTTTTAAGGAGGAACGGAAAAAACAAGGAGAGACCAATATAGCCAGTTTTATTCAGTTATGAGATTTGGGTCAGTTTAGTTTTCTAATGCCAAAGCAAAGAGACAAATTGACCGCAAGATTCATTGCATCCAAATTAAGAAAAAATAAAAAATGAAAAAGTGGTTGCTCAGGCAAAGCACAGCTTTTCCTGATATCAAGAAAAATCTGATAAAAAGTGGATCAATCTAGCAAAGTTGTTTGGATACTAACTATAGCTGAAATAAGGTACATTCATGAAATGTTTGAAAAACTAAAAAGAACTTCATTATATGGCAGTACTTCATCATAAATTTCCAACATAACCTTGTACTAATAGCAGCTCATTTACTGAGCACTTACCTTACCAGGAACAGGGTTCACGGCTTATGTGGATGATCTCATTTTGTCCTCACAGCATCCTCCTCACAGAGGGTGGGTGCTATTATTAGCACCATTTTAAAGAGGAGGAATCTGAGTCCCAGAGGCCAAGTAGTTGGGCCAAAGTTGTAGGGCTACCAAGCAGAAAACCAGCTCCAGCATGCTAAACCACTTTCCAGCACAAGGCTGAACTTTTCCCTTCTCAAGTATTTGCAGTTCGTGCTACTGAGCCTACTCCTTGGACAGCGTCCCTCAGCTGCTTTTGCTTGCAATCGTTCTCATACCCGACTACACACATATTAGAATTACCTGGGAAGCTTTAAAAAACAAGCCTTTTGGCTCCACCCTAAGTAGCTCTGATTCAATCCATCTGGGGAGGGACTTGGTATCAGTATTTTTTTTTAAGTCACCTTAGGTTGTTGACCATTGAAGGTGAGGTAAACACCTGTTTATACTTAACGATAAATGAAGATTTGCAAAATAAGTGTCCTGTCAAATACATTGGGGGCTGGTGTGATTGCACAATGGTCCATTGTGCTGCTGCTCTTGGCTGGCCCTATTTTGGGCAGCTCTAATGAGAGTTGATACACTTATAACACCTCACTTTGTCAGCTTTGTGGCTTCAGTCACAATTCCGTGTTAACACAAAAAGTTTCGTTGACATTACATTACATTAATTTGTGGTCAGCCTTGAAAGACTCTTCTGATTATTTTTGCTATGTAACAAATCATCTCAAAACCTAGCGGCAGGTAACACCACCATTTCATCATGCTCACAGATTCTATGGGTCAGAAACTTGGACATCGCAAGGCAGGTGTGGTTTATCTGTGCTCCACAGTGTAGCAGCTCCAGCTGACTTGATTGTACTGGGCAGGAATTATCTGGAGGCTTCTTCATTTATAGATCTTGCCTGGGCTGGAATGACTTGAAGGCTGGCTGCAGCTGAGACTGTCAACTTTAACACCTTACACCTGGGCTCTCCACACGGCATGGCCTCTTCCTCATACCTTCTGAGCCTCAGGATAGTTAGGCTTTTCACCTGGCAGCTTGGGGCTCTGGGAGTGAATGTTTATTCCACCTGACATCCATGGTCTTTTCAGCTTCTTGGTTTTTTCTGTCCCTACTTTGGACAATTATTTTGCATAATTTCTGCTGAACTGTAGTGGTTAAAAACAGTCACAAATTTCCTCAAGAGGAGGAGACCAAAAGCCCCACAAGTGCTTTTTAGCCTCAAGGATAAAATCCATTATTACGTTTCCTTCAAAGTATATAATTACCATCTTAATAACTGTTTAAATATTTATTGAATAAACTGGTAGAGCCAATTCATTATATAGTTTATAATGGTTTTTATACCTGTTGGAAGATAAATACAACTGTATTTAAAGTGCACTTTGCGGTTGGGCGCGGCGGCTCACACCTGTAATCCCAGCACTTTGGGAGGCCAAGGCGGGCGGATCCCATGAGACCAGGAGTTCAAGACCAGCCTGGGAACATGGCAAAACCCCGTCTCTACTGAAAATACAAAAATGAGCCAGGCGTGTTGCCACGCACCCGTAATCCTCGCTACCTGGGAGACTGAGGCATCAGAATCGCTTGAACCCGGGAGGTGGAGGTTGCAGTGAGCCGAGATGGTGCCACTGCACTCCAGCCTGGGTGACAGAGTGAGACCCTGTCAAATAAATAAATAAATAAGTAGTGCATTTTGCAGTGCATGTACTGTTACAATCTAACTGAAGTATTTTATTGTTACCCCTGCTTAAAGCAGTATAGATGCATAACTATGTCTGTTTAACTTCATTCCATAGTGAGACAGAGACACTTGGTTTCAAACATTTTTCCTTGAATATTACTGTGCAAGTTGTGCTAAAACATAATAAAATAAATAAATAAATAAATAAATAAATAAAAAATAAACAAAGTGCCCTTTGCTTAGCAAAGAATGCATCTAATCAGGCTCATTCAGGGTGGTCAGAGCAGGTTGCTTATGGAGAAGAGATCCACGCCACACTCTGCTTTCAAACAGCTTTTCATCAATAGATAGCATTGCTTATAAATGGGGTCTGGGAAAAAATAATGGCCTCAGTCAAGCTAATCAATTTTTCTAGATAATAATCCAAAGTGAATGTTGTATAGTATTATTACTTACCAATGTCTGTGATAAGTACAGCCAAGTTTGGGGTTTTCTGGATACTTCTTTTAGTTTTCCTTTAATTTCCAGGGAGCAGGTTATAATTACAGGGCCTTTCAGTGATGTTTTAAGGATTATTTTCATCTCACTGCTGCGTTTCTTATAAAAATGGAAAGTCCCAGATTTGTATTGGCAGATTGGATTAAAATTCATCACTCGCTGCATTTTTTCCAGGTCTATTTCTTAATTACTTAAACTGATTTAGGTAATTAGTTGGCTCTGTACCAATCCTTTACTAAGTTTAGTTTGAGTTTTGTTTCAGTGTTGTCATAGGATGAATAATGGCCTCTTAAAGACAGCCAAGTCCTAATTCTCAGAACCAGTGAATATGGGTACCTTGCTTTGTAAAAGAGACTTTGCACGTGTGATTAAGTTACAGATCTTGAGGTGAGAGATTATCCTGGGTTGTTGGGTTGGGCCAATGTAATCACAAGAGTCTTTATAGGAGGGAGGCAGGAGATCAGAGTGACTCACAGCAGATAGAGGCAAGAGGTTGGGATGACATGAGAATGAGGTCAAGAGCCACAGAATGCAGATGGCCTGAGAAGCTGATGGAGGCAAGAAAAGAGATTCTTCCCACGTCCCAGAAGGAACCAGCCCTGCCAGCACCTTGACAGTAGCCCAGGGAGACTGATTTTGGATTTCTGACTTCCAGAACTATAAGAGAAAAAATTCTCATTGTTTTAAACCATTCAGTTTATGGTAATTTGTCACAGTAGCCATAGGAAACTAATACAAACATTGACGTCATTCAAGACATACAGCTGTACATTTCATTTGATTGGTTGAACTATTGGGGTTAATATTTATTCCTACACCAAGTATCTAAGTTTACTTCATTGCTGTCAAAATGCAAACTACTGTTGGCTTAGATTTTATTGATGACTTGAGAAAATGTTATATATGTTCATCTATAAGGAAACCACTAAGTTAAAATTCAGAATTAAAAATCAGATAGAGTGGCTAGTCATCTTACTAAAGGTTGTTTTGTTTAGGCAAATTTGCTGCATGAGTCATAAATATCATGGAGCCACACTAAAACATTTCAAAAGTGAGTCAACTTACAAAACTGCAATTTGCTTCCAAACTCTTCAAGGACATCTATTGCATAAAGAAATCAAGCAAGGAAGTAAGTAATGAATGTAATGAACATAATGAATACTTAAAATCCATTCAAATTCTCTTAAAAAATTTTTTTAAGCGCAAAGGGCTGTAAAATAGGCTTGGCATTATTAGCCAAACCCTTTTCCTTAGATTCTCCATTTGTGCCCAAATGTACCGAGTTATTGTAAAAATAAAATAGATAAATTATGTGGCGGTGCCTAGATTAGTATCTGGCACATGGTAGGTGTACAATAAATATCAGCTGAGTGTGAATGGAAGGGGTGTTGGCAGCTGCGTAGCAGCAGATCTTGTTCATTGGCAGGTGATGGATGCCACCTCCAGCTTAGAACTGAGAGAATGCCTTTTCCTCCCTTTCAGTAAAAAAGAGGATAGAAAAGGTCCCTTCACTCTGGCCCTGTGCCAGGGCCTCCAGTTATTAATATTAGTACAGTAAATAACTAGTGTCTGCATGACATGTTTTCAGGCTGTCACATCTTAACAATGTTAGAGAATCTGTGAACAAGAAGTGAATTTTGAAGTACTTAATATGTGTTTTACTTCAGAGTTCCCTTAACAGCAAGACAACAGATCTAAGAACAAGTGGTTATTTTAGTAGATCACTTTTGTTCAGCATTTAGGCAAATACCTGATTGATTAATTGCTCTTTCTCTCTTCTTTTTGTCAGTTAAATGTTAGTAAAACATTCTCTCTCAAAGTGATGTGGAGTGTATTGTAAGCGGACTTACTGTCATTGACTGTACACATGAGCTGTTCCAGAATTTAGCTACATGGCTGAGAAGCCATGAGTAAAGAATAGGAAACACTTTTTTTTTTTTTTTTTTTTTGAGACTAGGTATCCCTCTGTCACCCAGGCTGGAGGAGTGCAGTGGCACGATCACAACTCCACTGCAGCCTTGACCTCCTGGGCCCAAGGGATCTTTCCACCTCAGCCTCCTGAGTAACTGGGACTACAGGAGTACCCCACCACATCCAGCTAACTGTTTATTTTTTGTAGAAACAAGGTCGAGGCTGCAGTGAGCCATGATCGTGCCACTGCCTGGGTGACTGTGAGACTCTGTCTCAGTGTGTGACCCCCAAATGCAGTAAAGCTCTCTTTCCAATCTGAAACTATATAAATCAATGTTTTAAGCTAGTTGTCCTTTCCAACATAGTATAAATTATTTTTGTAGAGGAGTGATTCTCAACCAAGGGAAATTTTGTCTCCTAGGGGACATTTGACAATGTTTGGAGACATTTATGTTTGTCACAACTGGGGGTGGAGTGCTACCAGCATCTAGTGCGGTGAGTCCAGAGATGCTGCTAAACAACCTTCTGTGCACAGGACAGCCCCTGCAACAATGACCCCAAACATCAGTAGTGCCAAGGCTGCGAAACCCACGAATAAGCTCATGTAGGGAATGACATGGGTTAGGGAAGGGAGCTTGTTATGAGCGAAAGCTAGCAGTTGTGTTCCCTGTGAACATTTTGCTAGTTGCCTAGCTGCAATTTCGCAATGTCGATTATTACTTAAGAGGAAGTAAAGCATGCTCAGACTGAGTGGGAGATGCAGATGTAAACTTTCTTAACTATGATAAGGTTCCTCTGCCAAGGACACTTAGAAATATGATTTGTGCATTTACAGAAATACAAAACATTTAAATGATCCATCTTCTCAGTTTTACTTTATTTCTGAAGAAAGCACTTGCATGAAATTCTATTCTTTTGCTATTCTTAGGCATAGCAAAAGAATTCTTTGATGGGAACTCCTCACCATACCAGGAAATGTATTCACAGTGGAAAGCCCTACATACTTTCTTGTGGAGGCTCAAGTCCACCCACACTAGGCAAGGCATTGCCTATAAATGCTCAATATTCAAAAGCGTAGGCCAGTAGTTGGGTCACCACCTGGGAGCTTGTTAACAGTGCAGAATCTCAGGCCCTACCCGGACCTACAGAATCAGAGTCTGCATTGTAACAAGATTCTTCAGGGATTCCCACACATGTTCAAGATCAAGAAGTACCGGAATGATCTTCATTCCATGGTAATAAAGCCCTAATATTTGAGATTGCAAATAAAATGGATTTTATTCTTATCAAAATATGTGGGGATTTGTTTATGACGAGCAATGCTGGATTGGGAAAGTTGGTTTACCTCTTAAGCTTCAGTACTGTCATTTCTATAAAGAAGGAGCGAAGATGAGAAGATCTCTAACTTCTTTTCTCACATTGTAGGGAATATCATGTTTTTTTTTTTTCCAGTGTAAACACAATCCATACAGTCTGGGTTGTCCTGCTGAGGGTAAATGTGAAAACCAGAGGGTCTCTGGCCAGTAGATGCCAGAGGTGCACAGAGCTATGTTAATAAACAGTAACTGAATTCTTATGCAATTCCACCTCCAACCTCGAAACTGAGCCTACTGAAGGGGTGTGCCCCTTGGTTGGCACTTGGGCCAATTCTTTGCATTGGCATTCTCTGCCTCAATGTTTGGCTGAACATTGTGTATAAATTAACCCATTACTCAGAACCAGCACAGTCTGCAGAAGTGGGCTCTGCCTGGGAGTGCCAAGGGGTACTGGGCCATGCCCACTGCTCCTGGCCCCTGGCCACCTCACTCGAGTGTTGAAGTAGAGGTTGTCCAGCTACATTCTAGCAAACACTGTCTGAATATAGACAGGCTGGGTGTGGGAGGATCTTATAGGACAGCTCACAAAGATAAAATGTGATCTACAGTTCAACTTGTTTCAAAAACTACCTCTGGCAAGTGATTTCGGGAGATAGTACTTTTGCTTTTTTTGGTGCATTCAAGAGACTGCCTTAGTTTGAATGCTGTAATTATTTCCCACTGCACACATATATCAAAACCTCACATTGTACACTTTAAATATATATAATTTTTGCTTGTTAATTATACCTCAATAATTATACCTCCAAGCTGGAAAAACATACATATTTGGATATTAGACTACATGTGAGGATACAAAAATGCTTCATTATATATAACCTAATATTTTAAATAAAATATTTGGTTGCCCAAAATTTACAAACACATGCAAAATAGAAAAGAGCAAGAGACTGCAAGATCACACTTGCAAGCCAAATCACAGACTCCACCACACCTCTGTTCCTATAAAATAATGGAGGGACCTTGAAAGTTACTTTTCCTTTGAAAAAGATGGAGTAATTAAAGTAGAAAAATAAAAGTTATTTTTACTATAAACTTACTATATTTACTAAACTTACTATATTTACTTACTATAAACTTACTGAACTTATTATATTTTCCTATACTAGGGTATAGGAAAAATATGTTTACTATTGTATAGGTTGCCAGTGTAAACTGCTCTATGATCTAAAGTTGTGAATAATGCCACATTTCTTTGTTTACCAAGTCAAATTAGAACTAGGCCCAGCTGCCAACCATCAAGTGGCAGAAACTCCGGATTACTTTCTCTCTCTGGTCATTCAATAATTTGGAAGGCTTGAGCCTTGCCTCTGGCAGATGGTGAGGTTGGAGGCCTGGGGTTGGTGTCCAAACTGGTGGCTACTGCAGACCCCGTGCTGCTCCTCATGTCAGGCTCTGCTCACACTGGTTCACTGCCATTGCAGTCCCACATAAGTTCAGCTTCCTGCCTGGCCAGGGCAGCCCTCCACTGATGGATTCACTCCATGGTGAGGTTACTCCATTCCCACTGTCCCATTAGGAAGAGTTTGGACCTTAGACATAGAAAAGACTAGCCCTTCCACCTCCTAGAAGGAGAATGTTTCTCTTCCATACCTGGCTAAAGAGCCACAGGGTTCACTCCTCCTGCCCCTCCATGAAGGGCACCCACAGAAGAGACACATACAGGTTAAGTTTCCAGCCGGTCAGCCTGCTTTACTGAGTATGTTAACTTTATAACACTTTCTTATATCTAATTAGAGATAGAACTGATATTTGAGTCAACCAAGGAACTTAAAAAATGCAGATGGATCTCTGCTGGAGCAAAGCTGTGTTTTTTAAAGCTCTGTGTGTGTTTCCAGTGATCTGCTGGCTTGGGAATCACTGGAGAAAAGAAAAGCACATACTTAGGAGTCAAATAGCCCAGGATTGTGATTCAGCTCTGCCACTCACTGTTCCTGTGAACTTGGGCAAAAAATCACCTCTCTGAAACTGTAATTATTATTATTTAATTTGTAAAATATGTTTAAAAAAAGAATCTCAGTCTTTCTTCTATCACAACGGTAAAAATTATAAAGCAGTCATTACTACTTGATGAATTTTTAAGCACTGTATTGGGAATTTGCTTTGTTACAATCTAAACTGTTTGGAGAGCAATTGGCAGTTATTTTTAGATATTTTAAATGTACGTATCCTTTGTTGCTGATATGTCAATACTAAGAATTTAATGAACCAAAATGTCTCCAAAAGTGCACAAAGATGCACATACAAAGATAATTATTTCTGCATTGTCAAATAGTAAAAAAAGTAAACAGCCTAAATTCTCATTAATAGGGAATAGATTAGATAATTTGTGTTGCAGGAATACATTAAATCACTATCCATATTCTTGTAAAAAAAATTGACTTACATATACAATCATGCAATCAACACCTTAACAGTGAAAAAGCTACACACACACACACACGCACACACACACACTACATTGAAATGATTGCTTAGAAATAGAATATGAAGGTATGTATTAATATCTTCATATTCACAGGTCATTCAAAATGGCTACCTTTGAAGACTGGCTTAGGGAGATGGTAATTTCGCTTTATTTATTTATCTATTTATTTATTTATTTTTGAGATGGAGTCTCACTCTGGTGCAGTGGCACGATCTCGGCTCACTGCAACATCCACCTCTTGGGTTCAACCAACCGCCCGCCTCAGCCTCCCAAGTAGCTGGGATTACAAGCATGTGCCACCACACTGTGCTAATTTTTTGTATTTTTAGTAGAGACGGGGTTTCACCATGTTGGCTAGGCTGGTCTCAAACTCCTGACCTCAAGTGATCCATCTGCCTCGGCCTCCCAAGTGCTAGGATTACACGTGTGAGCTGCTATGCCTGGCCTTGCTTTTTGTTTCACACATTCCTTTACTCTGAAATTTTTGCAATAGCAAGAGCTACTTTTGTAGATTTTTTTGAATGTTTATTAATGCTTGACTTTGTACAGTGGACATATATTATTTCTGTAAGCTGAAACAACAATACAGATGAACAATTTTTGATTATATAATATTACCAATCCTACCACTGTTTGGTCATCAACATACTACAAACTGTTATTCACTGCATATAATTTATTGTATCAAAGGCCTTTTTTCTCTGGACTCTGCATGAATAAGTGGCTTCCTTCTAACTGCCACATTGTGCCAGGTGATCGACTCTACAGAGTAAGCAGCCATTTACTAATTTCATGGGGGCAGTTGGAAAAGAGAAAGACACAGATGTGACACAGGACTTCTCAGAAAACTACCACTTAAGTCCATTTCCTGGACTTTCTTCAACACAGCAAACTCTGTCCTTTTGAAAGTGCTCCTTCTTCTATTAGTGGCTCTCAACTAAGGGTGATTTCCTCTCAATTCCAAGGGAGCATTCAACAATGTCTGGAGACATTTTTTGGTTATTACACCTGGAGGTGGGCGTGTTACTGATATCTATAGGTGTAGAAGTCAGGAATGCTGCTGAATGTCCTACAATGCACAGGACAGCCTTTTCTACACAGAAGACTTCTCTAGCACAAATAGTGCTGAGGAAGAGAACCTTGCTCTACATAGAGATGAAAGGGGCATTCCTTTTAAGTGGTGAGGAAATGCTATGCTTGCCTCAAAAAGTCAGCTTGTACCATTCATAACTGTATTGATGGTTTGTGTCAAACTTTTTAAATTCTCATGGATTTTTAACTAAAGCAATTAAGGAGAACTGGAGGTTCTAGATCCTTTAATGGGTATATTGCCACCATCATAAAATCAGAAAAAGAATCAGCTACTATGAACTTTATTGACGTGAATTCCAAATTGACTATGAATGTTAAATGCTCTCTCAGCATCAGTTATATCTAGTACCACAGCTTCTAGCTAGACAGGGTTGTGACCAGAATAATTTTTCTTCCTTTCTTTACATTTTTTGGTTTGTTCTTTTTTCTAAATCATTCTCAAAGAGTGTGTGTGTGTGTTGGGGGCAGAAGGGATGGAGAAGGACTTGAATTTGATTAGAACAAGAATACATTAAATAAAATTGTATGTAGCATGAACGGAAGATCTAAATGCAAAATAACAGCAGAGAAAGTGGAGAGTAGCAGGTTAACACAAGCTAGTGAGAGGTGAAATGATAACACAATTGTGCAGACATGTAAGGACATAATTCATTACTCTAGTGGTGTCCTGATTTGGTTTTGAGCTTCCTGGTGTTTGAAATAAAAAGGGAATCATTTACAGTTTGTTAGGGAGAAAACAGGCTGTTTTCTTAGTTCTAACACTTAAATAAAAGGCCTATGGATCTTTTCTAAGAGGTTTAACTACGTACCCTAGAGTAAATAGAGTAATATGTCTCATAAGGAAACTAAGACAAAAACAACACAACAAACCTCAGTGAAACACTTTCTGCAGATGGCCCAAATGATAGAGCTGAACCACAAAGAGTTATCTGATAGTCAACTTTGAGCGGAAGAAATTTTAAGAATATCTTTATAAGTGATGTGGAGAAATGACCATATCACTTATAAAGATTATATACTTTAGGTGTGGAGATAACATTAAACTCTTCCACACGGTGAAAAGCTAGATTAGGGGATGGGGTAGAAGAGTATAGGAAATTCTTATAAATCTCTGTGCTTAGGCAGAGAAATGTCAGATAAGTTTAACGTGGACAGATGCATCATTTGTATTCCAAAGACTATCTTAAATAAGAACTCTGGGCCACAGGGATCATACAAGAAAAGAGCCTGGGATCTTTTATCATAAATCAGGTTTTATTTAAGTATTTTCCTTGGAATGCTAGCACCATGTGATAAGCTCTGAAAATGGTTTCAGTGTCAAATGAGTTTGAAAAATATTGCATACCAAATTCCACTTTTTGGAAAATTACAACATATATTAATACATTAGAGACCTGCAGAAAAGGAATCTGGTTAACTTTTATTTGCCCAGTGTTTCCCAAACTTATTTGATAATGAAATCTGCATGTTAACATCTTGTGTGATTGATATTCTGTAAAACACATATTGAAAAACATTTTGTAGAATGTTTCTGAAGATATTGACTCAATGTATTATTGAGATTAAAATCACCAAGAAAATGTCATAGTGAAAAATGTTACAGGAACAGTGGACATTAACTCAGTGTTCTTGCACACCCAGGGCCAGAATAGAATTCTGGTATATCTACACTTCAAACAAGTTTACAATGGAAGAATGGCCTCCTCAAAACCCCAAACAGCTGGTAAAAATTTATTATCTATTAAATGTCTGGCACATGGGTGATACTCAGAAGTGAAACTTCCTTTCTATACTATAAAGTACATTGGGTAATTTGACTTTTGAAATGAATTTTTAAATGCTGTAGTTTGCAAATGGAAGGAAAATATGGGAGTCTATTATCCAAGTATTGTGTTTTCATTTTAAACTGAAATATTCTCATAACTTTTTAAATATCCAATTTGCAATTTAAGCTTTTCCTTCGACACGTACACAAATGTAAGAGTAAATTTTGTAAGTGGCAGAGGCACACATAATTTTCCAGAAAAGATGGAATTCTGGAAAGAACAAAGAGAGTCATCTTGAATGTCCTATAATAGATGGCACTGATGTCCAATGAGAGACATTTAATTTCATATCTCACTTGAATCAAGGAGAGAAACCCCCTGAAAGATTGGTCAGCTAAATAGCTAAATCATTCTAAAATTTTGTTATATTAATTTACTATACAAATGAGAGGCACTTCAGACAGAATAAGCATTAATTATCTCACATTCTATTCTCAATTTCCTCAACCATGGGAATAATAACTCCTCAATAGATTCTACAACAGTAATCCTGCCTTATTCCTTGGGATTAGCCCATAGTTGAACATAGAAACTAAGGGAAATTGTATATCCTTGATGCATGTAGTTAAACCAATGGTTCAACACTTATGGTATCCTGTCAAAGACCACCATGAGATATTTTTAAAAGTTTGAACTTGGAAGTCAGATGACTTGAGTAATCCTAGCTACTCAGGAGGCTAAGGCAGGAGAATTGCTTGAACCCAGGAGGCAGAGGTTGTGGTGAGCCGAGTTCGTGCCATTGCACCCCAGCCTGGGCAACAAGAGCAAAACTCCATAAAAAAAAAAAAAAAGATATCATCAGTTACTAGCTGTGTGGTACTTAATAATGTTGGATTCACCCTTTTTCATGAGAACTCACCTTCTAGTGTAGTAGTCAGAATCAATTCTGATAATGGATGTAAAATTTCTGTGCAAATAAAGTTATGAACAAATATATGCTGCACTATGTCCAGAAAAGAAGAGCTTTTGTGACAGTTTTGGGTCACTTTTCTCTTTTAATTGTCTTTTCTTAGAGCTTACTGGATGATAATATGATGATACCGGTACAAACTTGGTTTTTTTTTTCATATACAAACATCTTAAGATGTATAGCTGTAAAAAGTGTCCCCAAAATAGCTTTGTTAATTTTAAATGCAGAAGTAACACTTAAAGATGTGTAACTGACATTGTTTATGTAATGTCTAACCCACTTTAATACAGCCATTTTTCTTCCAGGAATCGGGCCAATTAGTAGGATTATTGCAAAGACCAGACATTTATCAGGACCCTTTTGCAGAAACACATGTGGGGCTGTAAGCGATGCATTTCCTGGCTTCTGACATGAGCTAAACATCTGTTCAAGGCAAGGCTGTAATGAAACTGTGAGTTGGCTATTCTTCCACATTTCTTTGCAATACCAAGGCAAGGCTGGAGCCCAGAAGGCACAACTGTCAGCCTCGTCAAGTGGAGGTTCTTTTGTAGGTCCCAAGGCATCTGAGAGTGGAGAGTGATTGGACTCGGGTGAAGACTCCAAGATGGCGATCGCCACCTCGGATACCCTGACTCAGCATTTCCGGGTTCACCTTTCCTGTTCCCGCCAACCCGACTAACGCGCATGCCCACTAGGGCGTGTCACACAGAGAAGTGCGAAACTCAACCGACCCCGCCCCTACCCCGCCCACTCCTCACCCAGCATCCATAAAAGCGTGCTGCCCCTTTGGCACAGCGCGACTTCCCTGGCCCTCCCCCTGCGGACCAGTGAACCTCGCCCGAGAGCTCAATAAAGAAGATTTTTGCCCTCTTTGTCTCTCCTCTCGGCCTTGTTGATCCACGGTGCCCTTCCATTGCCTTTCAGAGAGGAGGGACAGGAAGTGCTGCCAGACCTTCCTGGTCTTCCCCTGCAGAAGTTATCAAAGCCAGGGAGAGGTACAGAAAACAGCTCTCCTATTTTTCTCTAGCGATGGAGGAGAAAATGCATCTCTTGGCTTCGTTAAGATCTGTAACTATTGTATTAGTGTCCCATTGGTGCTGTAACAACTTACCACAACTTAGTGGCTTAAAAAACCCAAATGTATTATCTTAACAGTACTAAAATCAAGGTGCTGATAGAGCTGTGTTCCGGTGGCACTAAGGGAGAATTAGTTTCCTTGCCTTTTCTACCTTTTAGGGGCAGCCTGCATTCCTTGGCTTGTGACCCTTTATCTTCAAGGCCATCATCATTTCATCTTCAACTCTCTCTCTCTCTGACCTCTTCTTCTGTTATCACATCCCCTCTTCTACCCTCCTTTTATAAGGACCCTTATGATTATATTAGCACCTCCCCATCTCAATGTCCTTAACTTAATCACACATGCTTAGTACCTCTTCTGTCTACCTCAGCTATCTTAGTCATCTTTATGGCTTTTTTGAAAAACTGCCTTTTAAACATAAGATTTCTTTTTTAAAAAAGTATTTCTAACTTAATCATGTGTAAGACTAGGGTACTTGTATTAACCTAATGTGGATGTAGTGAGTAAATGAAATAACCTGAATTAAGCAACTGGCAGAAAAACAGAGCAAAGCACATACATGATGCTCTTAGGTCTACTCTCTGAAAGAGCTCTTAATTAGCAGGTGCAAAGCCTAGATCTCTCTCCACCACTACCTGTGTGACATGAACAGGCTACTTTGCTTTTTTTGGCCTTTGTTTCCTCAGCTTTAAGTGTGTAACTTGAGTTTTCTCATCACCCTGTGAGAATTGGTAATAATGACTCAAGTTTTAATATGACCCCACCTATGAAAGGAAGGACTTACAACCTCCCCACAGTCTCACCCATTTATTTTTATAAAGATATTTAGAGGATGCTTCACATGGATTCACCCGGTGAACTCTCTCTCTCAAGTCTTTCCAATTGGGGCCACTTTGGTTTACTCTGGTCCAGCGAGGAAAACAGATAATAGGAATAGGAAATAACAGATGATTTAAGACAACTGTGACTGGGAACATTAAAGAGGCCAAAAAGCAAAGAATTTCATGGACACTGCAAATAACCATAAGTTAAATGACAGCCTCTGGAAAGACAGGATTGAAACCATTATTCATAGCCATCATCCCATTACTGAGGCACTACTTCTACACTGAGCCAATTCATCTCCTGTAAAGGCTGCAAAGCTTTATTTGCCAACATTTTATCTAACAGCACTCATGGATAGCATAGTTCACTTCCAATATTCTCTCTACATCATTGTGTTTACTTTCTGCATCCTTATTTGGATAATTTAAATCCTACCATAAAAGAATATGTGGCAGCTTACATTAAAACTTTAAAAAAAGGATGTGTTATCAAGAGGGATGTAACAAATGAAGTAGGAATACCAGTAAGGCAGAAACACATATACTTTTGCCTGAAATAAAGGCAGAAGGAAGCTGTTGCATATAAGTAAAAAACTGAATTCTATGCTTCCTGGAAGTGTACAAGAAGTAAGCAAATTATACAGAATTTTTCCAGAAAGGACAAGTATATTTTAAGTCTGAACTCTGACTTCTGCACCTCATAGAATAATGGGCAATGTAAAGAACCCTTAGGAAAAGTTTTTACTCAACGGGTAAAACGGTAAATTTGCCTTATAATTATGATGATGATGGTGGTGGTGGTGGAGGTGATGTTTTTGATAGAAAAGTATTTTTCCTATTATGAGGTTTCCATGAAGAAGGATAAGTTTTCTTAGGCTCTTGACTCATTAAAAAGGACAGGAGGCAGAGAAATACTAAGTAGAAAAGGGTGGGGTCCCCAACAAGGGTTCCACCCTCATGCCTGAACCCGCAGCCCTAAATGAGAACTTCACATCCTTGCTTTCCCACCTGAATGTTGCCTTTTCCAAAACCACCCTGGCCTACCCCACTTCCTACCCTGTACCCATAAAAACCCCAAGCACCACTGGCAGGAGAGCAGAGAGGAGCGGCAGAGAAGGAAAGAAGAGAAGCAGCAGCTGGATGTCAGATAAATGACCTGATGGCGGGACTTTAGAGAAGAGTTTGGCCGGGGGTGGTGGAACTCCGGGGGAAGATTATCTTTCCACTCCATTCCCATTCCAGCTCCTGTGCCCACTGCAAGCCACTTCTCCCACCCAATACAATCCTCCACATACACCACCCTTCAATTCATTTGTGTGACCTGATTCTTCCTGGATGTCAGAGAAGAACATGGGCACCAAGAGGGCAGGGTGTAAAAGGCTGCCACCCTGATCCTCCACTGAGCTGGTTAATGCGTAGCTTCCCACAGATGGCAAATGCTGAAAGAGCACTGATTGTAACACATACCCTCTGGGGTCCCAGGGGCACAGATACCCCCTCCTGGATGGCAGAGCTAAAAGAGCATTGTAACACACTTAGATGCTGCTGCAGGGCCTGCACAGAACCTGCCTCCGCCTGAGAGGAGCAACTGGCTGGTTCCAGCATTTGTTCACTCCTGCTCCTGCACCTGCTGACCTGCGTGCTCCCCCTTCCAGGAGAGGTTCAGAGCTGTGGGCTGAGTAAACGAGCCTACCCTTCACGTGTCCTGTGAAGGGGTGTAGGGAAATAGCCCTTCTCATCATCACTTAATTCTCCCCGTGGTAGAAGGCCAAAGTGGGTGGCAGCCACTGTCCACATTCCTCAAATATGTGAAGCAAATCTATCAATGGTACTGGGTATGAAGAACTTGATCTCTTTCTCCGCTTTTGTCTATCTAGAATTGTAGGAGTCAGTGACACAGAAAGTAGGTTGGCTCTTTCCAGTCAGAGTATCCCAGAATAGTATGTTCTTAGGTTTAGATTGGAGCTGGGGGAATGGGGTGGGCCATCCTCCTTTGGCTCTCGGGCTAAGTTATGGTGACATGTTTAATAATGATGATGTGATTTTAACATAATGATGACTTTTTTCTCCCCCTTCTTTATCTGTTTATGCTTTGTCAAGTTATTTCTGAAAAGCTTCAAAATTCAAATAAAAAAGAGAGGTGCTACTTAGTTTTGAGGGCCCTTTAAATCCTCCACCAAAGTCTGTTTCTTCTTTTTCCACAGACAGATGGTAGTCAGGCCTATAGTTGTAGCTAGGTGTGACCATGGGACTATGTTCATGGGTACAGAATGTGAGCAGAAGTGATATGTACCAAGCTCTTACTTGTTCTCTCACAGCTCCTTGGCCTGCACACATCCCTCCCATTCCTTCCTCCTGGTTAGAAAAGGCAGTGTTGGGAGCATATTGACAATGAAAAAGAGTTGCCTCACCACGTGGGTTTGCTTTGTGGAGCAGAGGCCACCTACATTAGACAAATACACACCTAATGTTTAAAGAATGCTTTTTTTGGTATTTCATTATACCAGATTGGCTTTACTCTAATACAGACTCACCGAATAACAGGAGCTCACAATTCTTTAGCACCAATTATCACGTACCAGTCATTGTGCTGAGCAAGTTGAATACAGTATCTCATTTGGTTCCTATAAAGATCCTATGAAGTAGGGCCATTTTATTATCTTCTTTTTACAGAAGAAGAAACAAAGGCACAGAACAGTTAAATAAACTCCCCAATCATATATCTAGCAAGGGAGCAGAGCCTGAATTCAAACCTAGCATACACTTCCCTGAATCTTAAATATCACGGCATATTGCCTTTTATAAAGACTTGGAGCAAAGTGTTCAAGTCAGGGTTTCAAAGGTTTTTCCATGGGGAGCAAGAATGGTGTAATTTGAGAACAGAGAATTTTATCAGATTCGCCATGCTATTTATCTCAAATAAAAGTTGCCTCTGCAGTCTAGACTGGGATGCAGTCAAGAGAGCAGGATAGGTTGGCAATTTTAGTTGAAAGAGCAGGCAGAGCCAGTCATGATAAAAGATGGAGACAATTCCCCATGAATCTCGTGTTTCTGCACATCCTGTGAGCAGAGGGACTGGTTTTTATCTGAGCAAACTTTTCAAGGATGTCTGTATAGTAAGCAGCCTTAAAAGACAGAGGTAGTATCCCTCTTCAGAGCAAAGGATCAGGTATGCATTCCGCCCATTACAAAACCCTAACCTCGGGGTTCCTCTCCTGGAATTGCATGTGTAGATGCCACCTGGCTGTCTTTGTGTTGCCTTGTGGGGAATCAACACAAATGCTATTGCTGTGAGTAATAAACTTCCTTTGCCTCTGATACCAGAGTCTCATGTCATTTTGCCAGCATCCATCAAACTGTGACTGGCTAACTTGCTATCTTCAAAGTAGGGTAAAATCTCCACAGCTCTTCACAATAAGGTAAGATTTTCTATTCTCTTCTACATGCAGTGGATCTTCCTATTCAAAGATAGTCTGAATTTTCTACATATCAGTTGATTCCATAAGGAGGAAGACAAATACCTTCAAAGACAGTAGAAATTAATACACTTGAAAAAAGAATTTAAGCTAACCTAATTCTGAAACACAAGTTTTAGTCACAGTGTCTAATCTTTATGCTGAAGCCCCCAGGTTAGATAGTGATACTGTCAGATGTCAGGAAATATGTAGTTTAAAAATGTTTAAAGGACATTAACCTTTTAGTAAAAAATATTAAGTAACCATACAGGACTCTGGGAAAATAGAGTTGAAGATAAATTTGTAGACATTCCGTAAGCATTGGGATGCTCAGCTTTACCTGAAAGGAGGGTGAAACCATAATTCTGAATAAAAGGAAAACAAAAATTTTATTTATCAAAGCTAAAAATAAAATTGTGTGAATATGTTGTTTTCCCTAAGAATAAAGCTGACTTCTTGTGCTGTAGAATGAATACTCAGATCCAAGCTGAGAATTCATGAAATAATTTTATCACAGACAATGATACTTGCACAAAACAGTCTCTAGGCCTTTATATTTTTCAAACATAATGTTGCGGGTGTAAAATACATTATCTCAAAGATCACATCTAACATGGAAGTTTATGCAACTGTATAGTCTCAGAAGTAGAAGGATACTTAGCAGTGATAAACTATAACACACATTAGAATTTTGAATTATTTTCTTATGAATTCTAAGTGATCATTTCTAGAAACAAGATCATTACATTATAAAGCAGGTTGTTTTATCTCCAGTCATCTTTCAAAGGGTAGTCTTCTTCAAATTAAGGTAAAGGTCTGTTAACTTTTATCAATGATCCTGGCTTAATTTCTGGGCCCCAAATGGGAATCTTCACTTTCCATGCTAGAATATCAGTTATTTGAGGGATGTAATCATATCACAGATCACTCTTCTCTTTTTCAATATATTAATCACCGGTTCTTATAATGTATGAATTATAAGATTCTTATACGTATGAATTTGTTTCTTCACAATTCTGGTTGTTCTTTTTAATATATGAGTTGTTTCATGCTTGACTGTATACTTTAGACATCACACATAGAGTGTGGCCCATCTTACCTCTTGAGAAATTTTGCTGGAGATGGAGAGACTAGTATCAGAAACTGACCCCCCAGGGTCTGGATCTGCCCAAGATGGTGGTGGTGGGGCTGTGGGTGGGGGTGAGAACTGGAGGCAGGACTGGCTGTGCCTAGGATAGGGTTTTAAGTCTAAACTCAACAGCACAGGAGAGTTATTGGGGCCAACTTTATTCAGAAAGTTTTGATATCTTAAAGGTCTACTAGGAGACTAGGAGAGAAGGGCAGTTCGCCTAATGGAGGCAGTTTTGCTTTTCAGGTGAGAGTCAGAAGTGCAGTCAGGGTCACAGTGTAGTCTGGGGCAGGCCTCCTTAGTCTAATAATTGCATTTTGAGATTATACTAATGATTTGCAAGAATTACAGAAAGAGGGCTAAAGTAAATCAGAAATCAGGAAAAAGGAGAGTACAATGTTACAGAAGCCAAAGTAAGAAAGTCTCAAGGAATGAAGATTTCTTGACTTAATAGACCATTTGTACCTAGAAAATTGGGAATAAATTCAGACTGGGAAGGTTTAAGAAACAGAGGTTGGTAAAGAAGTAAAGAAAGTGTCTTAGCCAGCTGCTCTTTCAAATGTATAGCAAGTTAAAAAAGAAAGAAAAATCTAGTGGTAGTTGTATTTCACTTTTAGAAGAGGGTTGGAAGACCTGGTGTTTGATAGATCAGTAGGGTGAATATAGTTAACACTATTATACATTTCAAAATAGCTAGAACAATTTGAATGTTCCTAGCATAAAGAGCAGATAAATATTTGAGATGATGGATGCCCCAATTATCCTGATTTGATTATATAAATACATCAAATTATTACATGGACCTTGAAAATGTCTGCATCTATTATATATCAATTAAAAAACAGTAAAAATAAAAATATAAAAACTGGAGATATTCTGCCATTATAGAAGAAGAAAACCATAATAAGAACATATTTTAGAAAAAAAAAGGGAAGAAACTCATGTATTTAATGGCAGAAGTTGCAACAAAAAGAGGTAAGGAAAATCTGAGGAGATAGTTGATAGAAAGGAATACAAAGGCATAAAGTAGAAAACTGAAGATTATTTCAGATTGTTTTCAGTCAAGTTGGAGATAATGTCATTCTAGAGTGAGATGAAAATACCTAGGGGTGGTGGTGGGGCAGAGACTCTGTTTATCTCTTATGTACAGGAAGCCCAGAGGTAGTAGGCAGACTAGGGATTGACTGTTTGGTAGTTCCAAGTCAAGAGAAACCAGGCTCATTCTATTTTTTCTTCACCATCCTAGTTCATGGCTTCTGTCATCATGGTTCAAAGTGGCTGGTGGCTCTCTAGATACATATGTGTTGGTTACAAAGAGGAAAAGCAGAAAGGCAAAAATTGCTCATTTTAGTTGTATTAAGTCCCTTTAAGCAGCCTTCCTGGAAGTATTATACAAAATTTTTGCTTTCATATATTTGGGCAGAAGTTATGTTAGTTATGTGTATCTACAAAGGAGGCTGGAAAATGTAGTCTTTTATTTCCTCAATGTAACCAGTGAAAAGTCAGGGTTCTCTTACTAAGGAAGGGAAGATATCTCTGTAGGCAACTGTCAGTCTCTGCCACTGACATGATAAGACTGTGGTGAAGCCAATTATTTCTGTTTTGTGACTTTCTCTAGCAAGACTGCATATCAGGAAAACAGAGTCTTTTTGGCCAGGGCCATGGACTGGATCAGCAGTTACTAATAAGTGAGAACATCCAGGATATAAGCAAAAATATTTCTGAAATCCTGAAACTGAGGTCCAGGCTGCTGGACTATGAAAAAACAATGTATACTCAAGGAGCACAAGGAGGGTGCAGAGCTAGTTGAACAAGGAAGAAAAGATTGGAAAAGGAGATACTAAGTTGATAGAGGTAAGGCAGTTACAAATGCTCAAACTCTGAGGTGTGGCTGTACTTAGTTGGAACAGAAAAATAGGTTATTATAGTTGATGTGTAGAAGCTATGAGAACAAACCAAGAAGGGCCATTGATAAGGATGATGTTAGCAGATCAAAGAAGAAAGGAACGTTTTAGGAGGTTAAAAAGTGGGTGCAGTCCATGGAGGGCAAGCTGAAACAGGGTGGGGCATCACTTCACCTGGAAAATGCAAGGGGTCGGGGAACTCCCTCCCCAAGCCAAAGGAAGCCATGTGGGACTGTGCCATGAGGAACACTGCACTCCCGCCCAGAGACTATGCGTTTCCCATGGCCTTCACAACCCACAGATCCGGAGATTCCCCTGGGTGTCTACGCTACCAGGGCCCTGGGTTTCAAGCATAAAACTGAGCAGCCTTTAGGGCAGACACTGAGCTAGCTGCAGGAGGTTTTTTGTTTGTTTGTTTTTCATACCCCAGTGGCACCTGGAACACCAGCGAGACAGAACCATTCACTCCCCTGGAAAGGAGGCTGAAGCCAGGGAGCCAAGTGGTCTAGCTCAGCGGATCCCACCCCCACGGAGCCCAGCAAGCTAAGATCCACTGGCTTGAAATTCTCACTGCCAGCATAGCAGTCTGAAGTCGACCCAGGATGCTTGAGCTTGGTTGGGGAAGGGGTGCCCACCATTACTGAGGCTTGAGTAGGTGGTTTTCCCCTCACAATGTAAAGCAAGCCATGGGGAAGTTCCAACTGGGTGGAGCCCTCCTCAGCTCAGCAAAGCCACTGTAGCCAGACTGCCTCTCTAGATCCCTCCTCTCTGGGCAGGGCATCTCTGAAAGAAAGGCAGCAGCCCCAGTCAGGGGCTTATAGATAAAACCCCCATCTCCTGGGACAGAGCACCTGGGGGAAGGGGTGGCTGTGGGTGCAGCTTCAGCAGACTTAAACGTTCCTGCCTGCCAGCTCTGAAGAGAGCAGTTCTCTGAGCATAGTGTTCGAGCTCTGGTAAGGGACAAATTGCCTTCTCAAGTGGGTCCCTGACCCCTGTGCCTCCTGAGGGGGAGACACCTTCCAGGAGGGGCCAACAGACACTTCACACAGGAGAGCTCTGGCTGGCATCTGGTGAATGCCCCCCTGGGGTGAAGCTTCCAGAGGAAGGAACAGGCAACAATCTTTGCTGTTCTGCGGACTCAGCTGGTGATACCCAGGCAAATGGTCTGGAGTGGACCTCCAGCAAACTCCAACAGATCTGCAGCAGAAGGGCCTGACTGTTGGAAGGAAAACTAACAAAGAGGAAGAGCATCAACATCATTGAAAAGGATGTCCACACAGAAACCCCATCCGAAGGCCACCAACATCAAAGACCAAACGTAGATAAATCCATGAAGATGGGGAGAAACCAGTGCAAAAAGGCTGAAAATTCCAAAAACCAGAATACCTCTTCTACTCCAAAGGATCACAACTCCTCGCCAGAAAGGGAACAAAACTGGATGGAGAATGAGTTTGATGAATTGACAGAAGTAAGCTTCAGAAGGTGGGTAATAACAAACTCCTCTGAGCTAAAGGAGCATGTTCTAACCCAATGCAAGGAAGCTAAGAACCTTGAAAAAAGGTTAGACAAATTGCTAACTAGAATAACCAGTTTAGAGAAGAACATAAATGACCTGATGGAGCTGAAAAACACAGCATGAGAACTTTGTGAAGCATACACAAGTATCAATAGCTGAATTGATCAAGCGGAAGAAAGGATATCAGAGATTGAAGATCAACTTAATGAAATAAAGCATGAAGACAGGATTAGAGAAAAAAGAATGAAAAGGAATCAACAAAGCCTCCAAGAAATATGGGACTATATGAAAAGACCAAATCTACATTTGATTGGTGTACCTGAAAGTGACATGGAGAATGGAACCAAGTTGGAAACCACTCTTCAGTATATTATCCAGGAGAACTTCCCCAAACTAGCAAGACAGGCCAACATTCAAATTCAGGAAATACAGAGAACACCATGAAGATACTCCCCAAGAAGAGCAACCCCAAGACACATAATCATCAGATTCATCAAGATTGAAATGAAGGAGAAATTGTTAAGGGCAGCCAGAGAGAAAGGCTGGGATACCCACAAAGGGAAGCTCATCAGACTAACAGCGGATCTCTCAGCAGAAATCCTACAAGCCAGAAGATAGTGGGGGCCAATACTCAACATTCTTAAAGAAAATAATTTTCAACACAGAATTTCATATCCAGCCAAACTAAGCTTCATAAATGAAGGAGAAATAAAATCCTTTACAAACAAGGAAATGCTGATTTTGTCACCACCAGGCCTGCCTTACAAGAAGTCCTGAAGGAAGCACTAAAAATGGAAAGGAACAGCTGGTACCAGCCACTGCAAAAATGTACCAAATTGTAAAGACCATTGACACTGTGAAGAAACTGCATCAAGTAATGGGCAAAATAACCAGCTAGCAGCATAATGACAGGATCAAATTCACACATAACAATATTAACCTTAAATGTAAATGGGCTAAATGCCCCAATTAAAAGACGTAGGCTAGCAAATTGGATAAAGAGTCAAGACCCATCCGTGTGCTATATTCAGGAGATCCATCTCACATGTAAAGACACACATAGGCTCAAAATAAAGGGATGGAGTAATATTTACCAAGCAAATGGAAAGCAAAAAAAGCAGGAGTTGCAATCCTAGTCTGATAAAACAGACTTTAAACCACCAGTGATCAAAAGAGACAAGGGCATTTACATAATGGTAAAGGGATCAATGCAACAAGAAGAGCTAACTATCCTAAATATATATGCGCCCAATACAGGAGCACCCAGATTAATAAAGCAAGAGACCTACAAAGAGACTTAGATTCCCACACAATAATACTGGGAGACTTTAACACCCCAGTGTCAATATTAGACAGATAAACAAGACAGAAAATTAACAAGGATATTCAGGACTTGAACTCAGCTCTAGACCAAGCGAACCTAATAGACATCTGCAAGACAAACTCTCCACCCCAAATCAACAGAGTATACATTCTTCTCAGCACTACATCACACTTATTCTAAAATTGACCACATAATTGGAAGTAAAACACTCCTCAGCAAATGCAAAAGAACGGAAATCATAACAAACAGTCTTTCAGACCACAGTGCAATCAAATTAGAACTCAGGATTAAGAAACTCACTAAAAACAGCACAACTACATGGAAACTGAACAACCTGCTCTTGAATGACTACTGGGTAAATAACAAAATGAAGGCAGAAATAAAGATGTTCTTTGAAACCAATGAGAACAAAGACACAACGTACCAGAATATCTGGGACACAGCTAAAGCAGTGTGTAGAGGGAAATTTATAGCACTAAGCTCCCACAAGAGAAAGCAGAAAAGATCTAAAATTGACACCCTAACATCACAATTAAAAGAACTAGAGAAGCAAGAGCAAATAAATTCAAAAGCCAGCAGAAGACAAGAAATAACTAAGATCAGAGCGGAACTGAAAGAGATAGAGACACAAAAAACCTTTCTAAAAATCAATGAAGCCAGGAGCTGGTTTTCTGAAAAGATCAACAAAATAGACCGCTAGCCAGACTAATACAGAAGAAAAGAGAAAAGAATCAAATAGACGCAATAAAAAATGATAAAGGGGATATCACCACTGATCCCACAGAAATACAAACTACCATCAGAGAATATTATAAACACCTCTACACAAATAAAACAGAAAATCTAGAAGAAATGGATAAATTCCTGGACACATACACCCTCCCATGACTAAACCAGTAATAAGTTGAATCCCTGAATAGAACAATAACAAGTTCTGAAATTGAGGCAGTAATTAATAGCCTACCAACCAAAAAAAGTCCAGGACCAGACAGATTCACAGCTGAATTCTACCAGAGGTACAAAGAGG
The DNA here is from genome assembly GCF_000001405.40 of Homo sapiens. NCBI lineage: Eukaryota > Metazoa > Chordata > Mammalia > Primates > Hominidae > Homo > Homo sapiens. Next base: position 17,351,045 of record NC_000007.14, on the reverse strand, counting down.
AGCTGGTACCATTCCTTTTGAAACGATTCCAAGCAATAGAAAAAGAGAGACTCCTCCCTAACTCATTTTATGAGGCCAGCATCATCCTGATATCAAAAGCTGGCTGAGACACAACAAAAAAAGAAAATTTCAGGCCGAGACAAAGATGCCCTCTCTCACCACTCCTATTCAACATAGTATTGGAAGTTCTGGCCAGGGCAATCAGGCAAGATAAATAAATAAAGTGTGTTCAAATAGGAAAAGAGGAAGTAAAACTGTCTCTGTTTGCAGATAACATGATCATATATTTAGAAAACCCCATCATCTCACCCAAAATCTCCTTAAGCTGATAAGCAACTTCAGCAGAGTCTCAGGATACAAAATCAATGTGCAAAAATCACAAGCATTCCTACACACCAATAATAGAGAGTGAAATCATGAGTGAACTCCCATTCACAACTGCTTCAAAGAGAATAAAATACCTAGGAATACAACTTACAAGCGATGTGAAGGACCTTTTCAAGGAGAACTGCAAACCACTGCACAAGGAAATGAGAGGACACAAACAAATGGAAAAACATTCCATGCTCATGGATAGGAAGAGTAAAGATTGTGAAAATGGCCATACTGCTGAAAGTAATTTATAGATTCACTGCTATCCCCATCAAGCTACCAGTGATTTTCTTTACAGAATTAGAAAAAACTACTTTAAATTTCGTATGGAACCAAAAAAGAGCCCGCATAGCCAAGACAGTCCTAAGCAAAAAGAACAAAGCTGGAGGCATCATGCTACCTGGCTTCAAACCATACTACAAGGCTACAGTAACTAAAACAGCATGGTACTGGTACCAAAACAGATATATACACCAATGGTACAGAAAACTGAAAGTGGACCCCTTCCTTATACCTTATTTAAAAATTAACTCAAGATGGATTAAAGACTTAAATGTAAGACCTAAAACCATAAAAACCCTAGAAGAAAACCTAGGCAATACCATTCAGAACATAGGCATGGGCAAAGATTTCATGACTAAAACACCAAAAGCAATGGTAACAAAAGCCAAAATTGACAAATGGGATCTAATTAAACTAAAGAGCGTCTACGCAGCAAAAGAAACTATCATCAGCGTGAACAGGCAGCCTACAGAATGGGAGAAAATTTTTGCAACCTATACATTTGACAAAGGGCTAATATCCAGAATCTACAAAGAACTTAAACAAATGTATAAGAAAAAAAAAACAAACAACCCCATCAAAAAGTGGGAGAAGGATATGAACAGACACTTCTGAAAAGAAGACATTTATGCTGCCAACAAACATATGAAAAAAAGCTCATCATCACTGGTCATTAGAGAAATGCAAATCAAAACCACAATGAGATACCATCTCATGCCAGTTAGAATGGCAATCATTAAAAAGTCAGGAAGCAACAGATGCTGGAGAGGATATGGAGAAATCAGAATGCTTTTACACTGTTGGTGGGAGAGTAAATTAGTTCAACCATTGTGGAAGACAGCGTGGTGATTCCTCGAGGATCTAGAACTAGAAATACCATTTGACCCAGCAATCCCATTCCAGGGTATATACCCAAAGGATTATAAATCATTCTACTATAAAGACATATGAACACGTATGTTTACTGCAGCACTGTTCACAATAGCAAAGACTTGGAACCAACCCAAATGCCCATCAATGACAGACTGGATAAAGAGAATGTGGTATACTACAAGGCTACAGTCACCAAAACAGCATGGTACTGGTACCAAAACAGATATATACACCAATGGAACAGAACAGAGGCCTCAGAAGTAACACCACACATCTACAACCATCCAATCTTTGACAAACCTGACAAAAATAAGCAATGGGGAAAGGATTCCCTACTTAATAAATGGTGTTGGGAAAACTGGCAGCATGGAATACTATGCAGCCATAAAAAAGGATGAGTTCCTGTCCTTTGCAGGGACATGGATGAAGCTGGAAACCATCATTCTCAGCAGACTAACACAAGAACAGAAAACTAAACACCGCATGTTCTCACTCATAAGTGGGAGTTGAACAATGAGAACACATGGACACAGGGAGGGGAACATCACACACCAGTGGGGGGCTAGGGGAGGGATACCATTAGGAGAAATATCTAATGTAGATCACGGGTTGATGGGCGCAGCACACCACCATGGCACGTGTATACCTATGTAACAAACCTGCACATTCTGTACATGTACCCCAGAACTTAAATTAAAAAAAAAAAGATATTCGTCAAATCAGTAGTTAATGGGGACTGATGTCAATGTATAGCTTTACCTCCAACTAAGAGGAGGTTGTGAAGATACAGGAAAATAGTAATGAGAGACATAAAGATACTTGCTATGTGGCAATAAAAACTGTACTTTTATTAAAAAGTAAAATCTACTGTGGAATAATTTTAGATTTACAGAAAAGTCAAAAGGATATAGAGTTCCTTTACTCTCTTCAGCCAGGTACCTCTAACGTAGTATAGCCATGGTACATTGGTCAAAACCAAAAAATTAACAATGATGTGGTACTATTAACTAGACTTAGAGTTCTGCAGATTCTCAGTAATGCCCTTTTTCTATGAAGGATGCAATCGGAGATATCACATTAAGTTCAGTCATCATGCCTCCTTAGCCTCCTCTGCTCTGTGATAATTATTCAGTCTCTTTCTGTGACAGTGACACTTTAAAAAATCCTCTCAGAAATTTTGTGGAATGTCCCTGAATTTGCGTTTGATGTTTTGTCATAATTAGACTATGTGTTTTTAAGAAAATCAGGGAGCTTTGAGATGTACACTTCTCAAAGTATCATATCAGATAATACATGTTATATCAACATGACTTTTCACTGGTGATGTTAACCTTGATTACTTGGTTAAAGTAGTGCTTGCCAGATTTCAACAATGTAAAGTTATTTTCTTCTCTGTCTGTACTCTATTCCTTGAAAGCAAGTCATTAAGTCTAACTCATCCTTCCAGGGGAGGAGAACTAAGCTCATGCATCAGAGGGCATAGTAGCTACCAATATTATTTGGGATTCTTCTATAGGAAAGATGTGCTCCTTCTCCCCCATTTATTTTTCAACCATTTTATTTATATTAGTATGGATTCATGGATATTTACTTTATTCTTTGTGCTGTAATCTAATGCTATCATCACTTATTTAGTTGCTCAAATTATTCCAGTTTTGGCTACTGGCAGCTAAGTGATTTTATATAAATCACTGAATCCTCCAGCAATCCAGTGAGGCAGGTACTGTTAGCCTTAGTTTACAGAAAAGGCATCTTAGGCTAAGAGAAAGTAAGAAACCTTCTCAATGACATCTTATTTGTGGCAAAGCCAGGATTTATACCTAGTAGTCTGACTCCAGAGTCTGTGTGTTTAGTTTGGCTATGCTATGCTGCTCTCTCAGGGAAAGAATTGCTTCACAAATGTCAATCAGAGGTAAGGCATTGAATCACTTCTTCTTAGACAGTATGTACAGAAAGAGCCACAAATGGTCAAAACTAAGCCTGCTGCCAGGTGGGAGGAGGAAAGAGTGGTTAACAAAGGAAAGAAAAGGGATAATAGGAGCTTACAGGACAACTAATGTCATGGAAGGGAAGAAAAAAGTTCATTGAAAGTGTAATCAGTTTGGTTGCAGGGCCATAGAAAATGAGCCTATGGTAAGAAGTTTAGTGAACCGCAACACTGCAATATAATGGAAGGATGGAAAACAAAACCAGATCTCAGGAGATCAAAACTGTTGTTACAAAGGAAGAAGGTAAAGAAGTAATTTAATAGAGAAGAAAGTGCAGGTTCAAGTAATTTTTTTCCAGGATGGAGGAGGACCTATTCACAGGAAATCCTACAGAGAAGGAGAGCCTCTCAGAAAGCAGGTGTCGAAGCTGTGTGCATGAGAACGAGAGAGGACGGGGGCTAACCCTGGAGTTCAGGAAACTCTCCTCCTCACATACTGGAGGTAAGTCCAAGGATAGAGGAATTGCTGAGGTGAAGGTACAAACTTAGGATGATATCCTTGATTTTATTAGTAAAAACGGAAGCAAGGTCATCTGCAGACAGTGAAAGAAATGAGAGATGTCATCCAGCCCTGTCAGTGGCCAACATCCCTGGGTCGGTGTTTGGTAGAGCTGGTGAAATTGGACAAGCTAGAGTCATTCATGGTGACAGAAATCACCTAAGCGCAAGCAGAGATGCACTCAGGTTATCAGGATTTTTACTTGATTTTTTTCAGATCAAATAGTTAAAACTAAATATTTTATGTAATTCTTAAAGACTCAGGATTAGTCTAAAATGTTCAGAATTAAGTATGATGCTAACTTATGATATGCTAGTTGAGAAAAATGCCTAATTGTAAAGAACAAATATAAAACTAATAGAAAAATAACTGTCACAAGAATGAAAACATTTTCTCAGGAATTCTTCTTCAATCAATTCTAATTGCAGGGTTTTCCATGAATGTTCAACAGTTATGAATTTAAGGCCAAAGGCTTCTGTATCATTTATACTTATTAAACAGAAATACTAAGTTTGGGCAATGGTTTTTCTAAACTAAGCACAAAATACAGCTAACAAGGGTTATTTCGAATTTCTTCAGAAATATTCTTAAAATATTAAAATAGGATTTTGGATTTTAATCTAAGACACACTACTACACTGATAACACAGGGCTTTAAAAAAGTTCATTTCAGAAGCATTTTAATTTATGAAGCTACTGAGAGTGTTTTTTATATCCAGATAAAGGTCAGACATTGGGGGGCAAAATTGTATAAGAAGTTTATGAATTACTGACTTAACATATCCCTAAGTATTGTAGATTGCCCTCATCTAACATAGTTATAATACTACAGAATAAATAATTTCCTTTACGTGGACCAGAAAGAATTTACATTAAAACATATTATTCATATTTGTTATTTTATTATATATTATTGTATACAACTTTGATAATGAGGATATTATAAATCATACTTTAAGCAAAAATCTATGCATGATATATGTAAGCAGTAACATTTTGAAGAAAAAAGCCATGAAAGCATTTACCTAAAATTTAGTAACATCGAAAAACACTAGTTTGTGCATAGTAATGTTGAAAGCTTCATAATACACTAGAATACTGGTAAGTCTTCAGGTATTGTAAGAAAAACCTGGTACAGGAAAAGACTAAATTAGACACATCCATATCCTTAGATGTGCACATCATCTAGAAATAAATCCCACAATGTAGCAGTGCACTAAGTATCCTTTGTTTGGCACTTAACAATACAGACAAACGTGTATTTGGTTTAACGTGATTTTATTATTCTTAGATACATTTTAGTTATTTTATATAGATAAAAATATACAATATTGCTTTTCAAACTTTTAATTTTATAACTGTATAACTGATTGTCATCATATTCATGATTAAAAAGCCTATTTTCCACTAAACAATTTATCCAGTAACATGTGGAAGAGAGTAACAAAAATGGTTTATGTAAGACTTATAATAAAAGGTTTAAATGTAAAAATAGAGTATTAATCTAGACCTCTGGTCTAAATCCTTAGATACCTCATGCTGGAAACAAATTATGAAATGTTTCAGACAAATTTTTTCCAACACTTAAATTGATTCTACAGGTTTAAAGTTTTGACTGAAAATACACAGAACTCAGAGATATTTTGTCCGAAGCCATTTTTATATACATTAACTTACTAAAAAAAGTAAAAGAAATAAAAATTGTATTTTTTTTTTTTTTGGAGACGGAGTCTCGGTCTATTGCCAGGCTGGAGTGCAGTGGGGCGATCTTGGCTCTGCAACCTCCGATTCCCAGGTTCAGGCTATTCTCCTGCCTCAGCCTCCTGAGTAGCTAGGACTACAGGCTCACGCCACCATGCCCAGCTAATTTCTGTATTTTTAGTAGAGACAGGGTTTCACCATGTTGGTCAGGATGGTCTCCATCTCTTGACCTCGTGATCCACCCTCCTCGCCCTCCCCAAGTGCTGGGATTACAGGCGTGAGCCACTGCACCCGGCCAAAAATTGTATTTTAATACATCTCAGTTTGGGATTCCATCAGATTTTCAAATAATACATGCAAAATGTGTCTAAGCTCTTCAGCTCTCATATCTAAAGAAAAGAAGAGCTGAATGCAGTGGCTCACGCCTGTAATCCCAGCACTTTGGGAGGCCAAGGTGGGAGGCTCACCTGAGGTCAGGAGTTTGAGACCAGTCTGGCCAACATGGTGAAACCCGTTTCTACTAAAAATACAAAAATTAGCTGGGCATGGTGGCACATGCCTGTAATCCCAGCAACTCGGGAGGCTGAGGCAAGAGAATCACTTGAACCCAGGAGGTAGAGGTTGCAGTGAGCCAAGATTGTGCCACTGCACTCCAGTTTGGGCGGCAGAGTAAGACTCTCTCTCAAAAAAAAAAAAAAAAAAGAATAAAAGATGGTGTCATTTTTTCTTTTAAACCATGTTAGGACAGTAAAGTTGGTAGGGTGATTAATTTGCCTATTGGTAATGAAGATCAGTATATCATTAAAAAAACCTAAAGTTTGAAGGTAAACGAACTATGTGGTTGTCTTTTTATTAATACCAACTTTAAGCAGTTGGATTCATTACTTGATTTCTTAGAAAGACACATTGATAAAGTATGTAAAGCCCCAACAAATTAAGTGCATATATAAGGTATGGACTTTTTAAAATGAAAAACTGCAAATATCTTACAAATAATTTTGTTCATTATATCTATACAATGCACCATTCAATTCACTCATTACAATACTTTGCACCAAACCTTGCTATCTGCAATCTTAACACTCCTCAAATATGAGAAAAACACATAGTTTCCACTGTTCTAAGAAGCGAAATTTATAAAGTCAACACAATATATTATCAAGGATTATAGGTCTAAAACAGTTTTTAAAGACAATTTATACACATTGAAATGGGTGCTTTGCTTAATTAAAAAGCTAGAAATAAAGCTTCTTGCAATTTAATAAACAAGGTTGCAGTTAACAGCAGATTTTTCACATTGCAACATTCAACTATCATCATGGAGATATCAATAAAGGTAAAGAGTGGTATATTTATTTCTTCTGAAAACACTGTTGAGGAATTTAAGTGCTATTGTCTTAATATTTTTATAATAATTAAGAAATAATTTGGAAAGACATTTTACTTTTAAATTTTTTCAACATAAGGCACATAGCAACATTTATAGTCTAGAAACAACTAAATTATGTAATAAATAATTATTTTTTCGATCATTATTTGCCCTTTACCTGAAGAAAGTAGGTAAGCAGTGGAGTTAAAATATGCCTGAATTAATGAAAATGGTTGGATTTAGGAAACACAAATAATATTTGTGTGCAGAAAGATATTAATTTAAAAAAGAAAAAGAATACTTTATATAAAATATACATCCTAGAGTGTTATAGGTAGAAAAAAATGTGAGGCACTTAGATGAAACAGTGAAGGAGGAAAGCACTGAGATTATCTTTTTATAAAAAGCACCAAACCATTTATTTTAACATCTGAGATAAAAGCAGAGGTTAACATGATAGGAAAAACTAGTTTAGTTCTCTAACTTTGTATTTGGGGAACTAATAAGAATCCAGTAGCTCAAAACTCAAAGTATTTTATTTTTACTGTGACAGAAATAATTCAAATAGAGAATATTTTCTAATTTAAAAGAATCTTAGTTTCCCTGATAAAGTTTTGTATATTTTGTGGTGCCCAGAATAATGTGAAATGTAGACGGTACCTCACCACTCCGTGGCAGCACCCTTTCTATCTTGACTGTAGTATATGTAATTTTGATACCATTTTTAAACTCCCTTTTCTAAAAGCAAAAATTAAAATTTGGTTTGGAATAATTGTGAATAGCATGCATCAATGCCTCCATGTGAACTTGCTGACGTCCAACAGTGACAGTTTTATTTTTCCATAATCCTTCACAAACTAATTTAATCCAAAAACCAGGGTCAAAATTGGGCTTGGAATTACAGGAATCCACTGGATGTCAAATCAGGAAAAGGTCTGGCTTCTGACGGATGATGAAGTGGCTGAAGATGTGTGGTAGTCTGAGTGTTATTTATGTTATTTAATTCAGCTGGATATGTTTCATTTAAAACTCCATTCTGAAACTGAAAACAAAAATGGTGATGCAACTTATTGGAATAGATCTTCCAAGTATCTTAAGCCAGTAAATAACATTAACATGTATTTTTAAAATCTTACCCCTGAGAGTTGTAAACTTCAAGTTCCTTTACTGTTGCTAAATTTTAAATCTTTCACACAGTGAAGACATACTGAGGACATATTATGTATTAGTTGCATTTATAACCTGTTTTTCCATTAATTTGACAGGAAATTTTGAACATGGTACAGATGAGTGATGCAGCTGTCTCATTTCAGATTGCCTTTGGGTCAGGTAGGAATTGATGGGTCAAACAGCACAAGTCACAAATTACAGTTAAATATTCTCTATCATAAGTAGGTTTGCTTTGACCAGGTTTGAAGTTATAGGTATCAATGAATTGATTATATTCAGGAATCTTACACTGGAATGCAAAACTTTTCCAAAAAAGGCAGCTTCTGATTTTCTAAATGTTTCTAAATATTCCTAAAATATTACACCACAGGTATGATTTTCTTAACCGATTTCTTATTCATAATATACTTTTAATTAATGAATACTACTGAAAGCATAGTTCTAATTACAGAATCAAGTTACCAAAAGAAAATGCTCTGTCTTGTTTTCTTACACTGCAATGAATCTGGTTTCTATAACTGCTAGTAGAAAAAAGAAAAATAAAAAGGAAGGACATGAAGATGTATAGCTCTGTAGAGTTTTATAGATTACAGAGCCTTTATATTTTAGTTAGTGGACGTTCTGGAAACTTTAAAACAGATTAAAATCATATCCTTAATTGCTTCAAATAAAATCTACCTTTGTAAAGCCTACATAACTGGCTTCAGTAATCAAAATGTTAATTACTTCACAGATCCTCCAAAACATATATAAAATCTATAGTAAAAATCATATAACCTGTATCTTCAATGAATGGCAACACTGTAAATTCTTTAAATAAAAAGTTAGTATTACCTGGCCAGATAATGGTGAGTTTAAAATGATTTTTTCTCATTACTCATAACACAATTCATGTCACCATTCTCTTTAAACATACTGTACACAGCAGTGTAATCCAATAGAAATATAATGTGAGCCACATACAGAACTTAAATTTTTGGCTACAGTAGATTAAATAAAATACATTTCTAAAGTTAATTTTACCTGTTTCTTTTTACTTTTGTAATGCGGCTACTGAAAAAACTAATCATTTCAACATGAAATCAATAATAAAAGATGAGATATTTTACATTCTTTTTTCAAGCCAAGTCTTCAAAATCCAAAAATCCAATGTGTACTTCACACAGCACATCTCAATTTGGACTAGCCACATTTCAAGTGCTGAACAGCTACTCAGTGGCTCAATATTGAGTGTCTTAGCTCAATAACATGTACTCTGGAACATATGTAGGTCTATAGAATTATTTGGTTATTTACAAAGAAGCAGTGAAAAGTAGTGAGGGGAAAACACTGCAAAGAACTTATGTGGTACTCATGCAACTCCTTATTCAAAATGTAATTTTACAGAATTAACTTCTGTACAATTTGCTTTACTCAAGAGTAAAATATACTTTCATAGCAATTTTGTGAGACGGACTATAACTGAATATTATTCAATTTTAATATAATTGAAGGATGTAAGGAATAAGAAAAATTTTCACTGTCCTTTTCTATTAAAAAGCTCATATACGATTAGACAAGCAAAATGTATGAAAAAGCCAGAAAATACAATTAAAGATAAAGCTTCAGGTCATACTTTTAATTATTATACTCTAATACAGAGTAAACAGGGGTCAAGGAGCTTAATTTTAGTCAAGATATTCTTTAAAACTAAACTTAAATATACTTTAAAATGAACTAAATATTTTCTAATGGAAAAAGCATAAATGCAAACATGATGTATTCCTGAGTGGCCAGAGACAGCAGTTACTGACATTATGTTAACTTTTTTTTTTTAAGTGATCATTTTTAGATTTAAAGTGTGCTCACTGCCAGACGGATTCTGATGACACATTTAAACAACAAAAATGCACTATCAAGCTTGATTTCCATGACAGAAAGCCAGCTGAGTTACCTCTTTTAAGAAAGCCAGAAAAGAAAGCCATTCTACCTTAAAGGATGAGATGAGGATAGGGGAGGTAATGTGGAGGAATAGCTAGAGAACATGGAGGTGCCTAGGACTGAATTCCAGGGATATAATTAATCTAGGGTTTCAGAGGCATTGTAAGAAAGCACACTTAAATTTGAGTTTAACTCAATTTCAAACATATATAAAAAAATAGAGCTTTGAAGAAATTATTCTTAAAAATTGCAATACGTTTTTTAAAGCTTGAATTTTTAAATAGCCATATAATTTTTAAAGAATCCAGAAAGAATAAACCAAATTATCTATTTTAAACAAAATACTTCTAAAAACTAATTTCACCTGGTAATTTAGGTCATCTTATATTAAGGACACATTCATGTTGCTTCATTCCTTGATATCTTTCTCCCTCATGAATCAGGTGAATGATATATTAGTAACATACTGGAAAAAGTACAGGCTTGTAAAAAAAAAAAAGGTAGTCACAGATATAATAAAAAATGCTGTCTCCATGAATGCTGTAGATAACCGATTAAAATCAGCTGACATAAAAAATGTGTAACATGTCTATAAGGTAAAAAGAATCACTGAAAGATTTAATTCAGTTTGATAACACCCTTACCTTGTTTAAAAATGCCTGTTGGCCTGGCAGTACTGGATTGTACTGCATCTGACCCACGTGGGTGTGCTGAGGTTCTGGCTGGCACTGATACATCGACACGGCCCCAGCATAACATGTCTGAGGAGTTATTATGGCTGACTGTGGATTTAATCCATGCTTTTGGTTTTCAGGAAGTTGTAAACAAGTGACAAAATCTTCTAAACTAGAAGTAGTGGGGTATGGGGATGGTTCAAAACTCCCCATAGGGTAGTCCAGCTCTGTACATTTGGAATGTTGTGGTAATACAGGCTGATTACAGGAAATAAAGTTCTGTGTATAAGGCATAGAATCCATTTCAGATTTGTAGGGGAACTCTTGACTGATCCCATGTAAGTCTGTAAAGACATTATATTGTTGTGGGTCTTGCTGTGGACAATTGAAAGGCACGAATTGGTTAGAGTTCCAATTTTCAAACATGCCATTAACTTGCATGTGCTTCATCTTCTGACACAGCTGTTGCTGTGGCTCCACTACTACTTGCTTTTGGTGATGTTGCTGTTGCTGTTCTAGATGTAGGTGTTCCTGTACCATACAGCTTGAGTTCAGAGCCAAGGACTGTTGCTGTTGATAATCTGAAGGTATGAAGGGAGACTTACTTAAAGAATCTTGGACATACGTCAGGATTTCATCCGTTAAGTCAATGTCTCTGAAGTCAACCTCACCAGAAAAATCATTTCTGAAAAATTTTTCATTCTGCATGTGTCTGATGTCTTCAAAATCAATGCCTAGGTTTTTCATTATGCTGTACAAGTCACTGTTTTTACTATCTTGAAAGAGCCCTGGGTGACCTCCAGCAAATGAGTTCACATCCTGAGGCTGGTCAATTTGCTCATGTTTCAGGATAGTATCATTTCCCATCGGTGCAGTATTATCTTGCCAATTTCTGCATTCATTCATAGATTCGTTGAAAAAGTTGTTTTCAAAAGGTGCAGTACTTGAAGTACTTGAAGCAGGATAGAGATAAATAGACTCATCTTGTTGCATCATGGCAGCCAGGAGGGAACTAGGATTGAGAGAGTCCTTGCTTAGAGTGGATGTGGTAGCAGAGTCTTTTCCACTAGTGCCATTTTTAGTCCTTAGTGGTAAGGGATCCATTATGGCAGGAAAAGGGTTGGTTGCCTCATACAACACAGCTTCTCCAGTGGTAAACATAAAAGGCAACTTCGTATTTCGTTTTCGTAAATGCTCTGTTCCTTCCTCATCTCTAAAATTGTGTACAAAAAAGTCTTAGAAAAAAATTCTATCAAACATTTTAAAATAAAAATAATTTAAAAAAGAAAAACATAAAGCAAAATACATTGTAATTGAATTCAGAAAGGGACATATTTTATTTTCACCTCAATTATTCTCATGACTGGTGCTATAAAATTGTTTTTCAGACAAGCATATTTAAATGATTTAATTTTTAAAAAATAACTTAGTTAATTCCATGGTCAGGTTACATCCCTACCTGACACCCTGCAAAAAAAGAAAAAAATAATAAATTTGTGTGGAATAAATATCTACACATAAAAACAGACTACGAGAATTTAGGGGCCAGGCATGGTGGTGCATGCCTGTAATTGCAGCACTTTGGGAGGCTGATGTGTGTGAATTGCTTGAGCCCAGGATTTTGAGACAAACCTGGGCAACATGGCAAGACCCTCACCTCTACAAAAAAATAAAAACTAGCTGGGCATGGTGGCACATGCCTACAGTCTTCAGCTACTCTGGAGTCTGAGGCAGGAGGACTGCCTGAGCCTGGAGGTTAAGGCTTCAGTGAGCCACATTTGTGCCACTGCATTCCAGCATAGGTGACAGAGTAAGATCCTGTCTCAAAAATAATAATAATAAAAAAATAAAAAAATTAGGAATTAGAAAGTTAAGAATCTGAAACAACTAACCTCTATAATAAAACCCAGCAGCTATAAAGACAGATTGGCATAATAATATGAAAATTACTTAATATTAAAGTATTTGTATTTTTGCAATAGATTTTTTTTTTTTTTTTTGAGACGGAGTCTCGCTCTGTCGCCCAGGCTGGAGTGCAGTGGCGCGATCTCGGCTCACTGCAAGCTCCGCCTCCCGGGTTCACGCCATTCTCCTGCCTCAGCCTCCCGAGTAGCTGGGACTACAGGCGCCCGCTACAACGCCCGGCTAATTTTTTGTATTTTTAGTAGAGACGGGGTTTCACCGTGTTAGCCAGGATGGTCTCGATCTCCTGACCTCGTGATCCGCCCGCCTCGGGCAATAGAATTTTTAAAGAAAATATTTGTAACATAATGTATTTATAATTTAATATACTTATAAAATTTCATATCCATAATAAAGAGCTCCAATAGAGTCTGAGAGAGAGGCAAACAACTCAACAGAAAAACAGGTAAATGATACAAATGTAATTTATAAAAGAAAAATGTCATAGAAAAACGTAAAAAGGGCCGGGCGCGGTGGCTCACGCCTGTAATCCCAGCACTTTGGGAGGCTGAGGCGGGCGGATCACGAGGTCAGGAGATTGAGACCATCCTGGCTAAAACGGTGAAACCCCATCTCTACTAAAAATACAAAAAAATTAGCCGGGCGTAGTGGCGGGCGCCTGTAGTCCCAGCTACTTGGGAGGCTGAGGCAGGAGAATGGCGTGAACCCGGGTGGCGGAGCTTGCAGTGAGCCGAGATCCCGCCACTGCACTCCAGCCTGGGCGACAGAGCGAGACTCCATCTCAAAAAAAAAAAAAAAACAGAAAGATGTAAAAAGATGCCCCCCTTCAGTAATAAATGAAAACAAAATGTCTTAGTAACTAACAGAAGCACATAAAATATCAACAAATGTATACAAATATGAACACAATTAACAAACTAGACTTCTGATATATAAAAATAAGATACTCCCAAACTACAGAACATGTATTCTTCATAGGATTACATGGGATATTTTACCAACATAGACCATGTATTAGATCATAAAATAAGTCACCACAAATTTCAAAAAAACTGAAATCCATCCAGAGAATATTTTCTGACTACAATGGAATTAAGCTAAAAGTCAATCATAAAAAGGCAACTAGAAAAATCCCCAAACACCAAAAAGTACAGTAACACTGTATTTCTAAATAATTCATGAATAAAAATAAAAACAAATTAGCCAGTATTTTCAATTAAATAATAAAAATAAGATAGCAAAAGATGAGGGTTGTAATGCTGTACTTAAAGGGAAACTGATATATATGTTTAAGTATATATTTTTTAAAAGTTGCAAAAAATGATAAATTATACCCAAAGAAAGTAGAAGGAAGAAAATAATAATGAGCAGACATAATTAAAATTGAAAACAAATGTATAAAATAGAAAAAAATCAATAAACCAAAAGTTGGATCCTAATAAAGACTAATAAAATCTAATTAAAAAAAGTGCCTTCTAGAAACATTGATCAAGGGAGAAGTGACAAATTTGTAGAGGTACACACATACCCATGCACTCATATACATATGGTACACACATACTCATGTACTTCCATGGGTACTTATACACATACATACATTCATCATGTTCATGGGCTCAAAGATTCAGTATTAAAAAGATGTTAATTCTCCCCAAATGATCTACAGTTTCAAGGTAATTGCACTCAAAATCTCAACAGATTTTCAGACAACTGCTTTCTAAAATGTATATGGAATTATAGAGGGCAAAGAAGAACCAAGGCAATCTTGAAGGAGAACAAAAAAGGCAAAACAAACAAAATGACACACTCTGACATAGAAATATATAATAAAGATAGAATAACTAAGACAGTGTAATGCTAGACAAAATAGACAACTGCACTAATGGAGCTATTAATAGAACAACACAATCCAGACAGAGAACCACAGACAAAATCCCCTGATCAAAATACAGCGCAGCCGGGAAACAATGACCTTCTCGGTAAATCATCTTTTCAATGTTACTGGTCAATTGGGTATACGTATAATGGCTGGGGGGAATCAATCCTTACCTCAAGCTACAGACAAAAATCAATTCTCCAGAGTGGGAGGAAACATTTGCAATACAAATATTTGATAAAGGACTCATCTGCAGCATGTGTAAGAAACTCTTAAAATCACTGCTGGGTTTAGAGAATATATTCTAAATAAAGCATTGTTATATTTTTCTTCTTTTTTACCAATGACACTAGCTTTTCATGTGTCTTTCATATGCCCAAGATAAAACCCTAGAGTTTTATTATTCTTTCTATAGCTCTGCACATGTAGCTCTCAATCAAGTTCGTCAATTCTATCTTCTCAATGTCTCTCACCTGTGCTCTTCTTTCTAGATGAATTAAACTTTTCAATTTTTATTTACAGACTAAAGTCTGCTTGAATTATTTTTATGCTTTCACATAAGAGGACTTATGAAAACAAAACTGTTAAAACAGGAAACATTATTTGTGCTTACGTTAGTGGTCTCTGAGTTACAATGATATAATCTGGTCTTCCATTTTTATAAAGCAGGCGTGCATTAGACTGGACCCAAGTCCATCGGTTGTTTTTTGTAAGAAGCCGGAAAACTATCATGCCACTTTCTCCAGTCTTAATCACTAAAATAAAATTAAAAAATTAAATTATCAAACCCCCAAATCAATATAGTAAAGATTATTCCTAAAACAAAGCTCTTGTGACATAGTTCTGGATGTATTTCCTTTATCCCCAAAGACAATAAATTTTAAACAAAAAATAATAAAAGGCATGGAAATAGTTTTTCAGAGTTGTTTTAAATTTATTATTTTAAATGTTAAAGGGAAGATTATGTACCAAACAATTCTAGTAACACAGGAAAGTATAGAGAGAACATAAGTTGGGGAAAAAATTATTTTCATTTTAAATAGGGAATATTTTCCTACAGCCTAATACTTTATAATTTTAAACTAGAATTATTAACACTATTATTGTTACAATATTAACATAGATTTATGAATTGATAACGATGTAATTAAAAAATTCCCAAGCAAAACTTCATGGGCCAAAATGGTCATTTTTTAATAACTAAACAACAATATTTCTACATGGCAGGTGTAGACAAGTTAATGAACAAAGAGTGTAACCCTGGTTAATCATAATGATATGTTACTAAGTAGAAGTTTATCCATATACTTTACTTAAACACTTTACATTACGTAAGAATTTGAAACATGTACAACAGTATATGCCGTTTTCTTCTGACATGTTCATAAGGAACTACAACTTACTTCGGATATGGGACTCGGCACAATAAAGCATATCAGCTGCATGAATAAACTGATAACCTGAGCCTCTCGTGCACAGCTCTGCTTCAGTATATCCTAAAACAATTCTTCCTCTGTTTAAAATAAAAAAAGGTAAAATAAGAATGGATTAAGATTTAACATAAATGAAATAACCAAGATAAATTCATTGGTTTTACGCTAGTTTCTGCAATATGTTTTAGTTCACATTTAGAATTTCACATAAGTAGATGTGAAATTAAACACATCCATGTAAACTGATCTTCTTTGCTTATGATTGCAAATTTCAGTTTCAGCCTATTTTCTTTTCCTGAATAAATCCATGGAAATTAGTATGCTAAAAATGAATCTAATAGAGCAGATGTATGGGTAACAGAACATCTTTAATAAAAATCTGGAATGTTTTTATAATCTATTTTTAGGGAAGAAGGTTTTTCTAATTACCTCTCTGCATTCCCACATTAGAAAGGAGAAAAGCACTGATATGTTTGATATGATATAAATGTTTAATATCAGACTCCTGCTCACAATTTTCTGAAAGTTACTAAAACTTCTGGGGCTAGAAATCAAATAACATTTGTGCCATTTAAAAATGTAAAACAAACCAACATAAATGTCATCAGAAGAATAAACCTTACTAATATATAAGAACATCATCATTTGAGACAAGTATTGCAAAAATTAAAAAGATGATTTGTGAGCCTGATTAAATTATTTTACTGTAAAAGGCTACACTGGAAGAATGTACGATAATAGCCAATCTAATAATAAACAATATTACATACACTGTATGTTTTACATGCTAAGAGAGACTTACTGAAACATAATGTACATCCAATAAAATAAAAGTGAAAAAGTCTCACTTACTTGGCATCACAACCAATAGGTGTGAAGTCTAGTTTGTGTTTGGTTCTAAAGATAAAATTTTTGGTCCGGATTTCAAGTATGGATGGTGGCTGAAGTGGAGTAGCTATCGCAAACAAAGCCAACTGAGGTGGAAGTATTGATCCATCTTTCCCTTTCTTTTTCTGTCCATGAAGATACTTTAACTTCCCTTGGAAATTCATTGCCTTAAAAAAGCAACAACAACAAAAAAGTTCATTAAAATTAACAATATAAAATAGTGCCTTTTTAAAAGGCTCCATTATGGCTGCCTCTAGGGTTCTTGATAATTCCATAAATATTCCTGAAGCTGAGAACTGTTAGTTTCCTTCACTCCTCTCTCCATGGGACGCCCATTAAATCTATCTCAAAGAGTAATATGAAAAATATTCTAAAGGGATAAGTGAACCACTCCTTGTTCCTAATGGTCATAACATGAAAACCTATATCATTTTCCAAGCTTGCCATTACCCTATCATTTTCACCTCACACAGCTCCTTGCACACCAGGCAATCAATATATCCTGAATGGTGATAAAGTCCTAAAGTAAACATTCATTTTCAAGCATACATGAACTATATCACAGCTCATAGCATACTGCATAGTTCATAATCTTTTCTATAGAGGCAAAATATAATTTTATTAAGACACTAAAATGAATCATCATGAAAACATATAAAGAATGCAGAGCCCTACTGAGTAAAGATATGGAAGAAATTTAGAAGACAGGGAAAACAAAGGCACTTAAACATGAACATGATATATTTAATTGCTTAAAACAATATCAACCAGTCCAAGGGATGGTTCTGACATCAAAATAATAGCAGCACAAGGAGGAAAAGGCCCTCCTGCACACAGATATTCCACCTCAGACATACACTCACATGTCATTTAACAAAAGGGGCATGTTCTGTGAAATGTGTCCTTAGGCAATTTCATTATCCTGTGAACATCAGAGGGTAGGTTCACAAACCTAGATGGTATAGCTTACTACGCATCTAAGCTATACAGTATAGCCTTTTGTTCCTAGGCTACAAACCTGTACAGCATGCTATCGTACTGAATACTTAAAGCAATTGTAACATGATGGTAAGTATTTGTGTATCTAAACATAGAAAATATACAGTAAAAATACAGTATAAAAGACAAAAAATGGTATACCTGTATAAGAGCACTTATTGTAAACAAGGTAGGCAGGACTGAAAGTTGCTTTGGTTTAGTCAGTGAGTGAGTGGTGAGTGAATGTGAAGGCCTGAGACATTACCGTACACTACTATAGAGTTTATAAACACTATACACTTAGGCTACGCTGAATTTATAAAAAATATTTTCCTTTTGGCCAGGTGCAGTGGCTTATGCCTGTAATCCCAGCACAGTTTACTGTAACATTTTTACTTCATAAACTTTTGCATTTTTAACTTTTGACTCTTCTGTAATAACACTTAAACACAGTGTACAGCCATACAAAAACATTTTCTTTCTTTATATCCTTATTCTATAAGCTTTCTTCTATTTTTTAATTTTTAATTTTTTTACTTTTTAAACTTTTTTTGTTAAAAACTAAGACACAAACCCACACATTAGCTTAGGTCTGTACAGGGTGAGGATCATTAATGATCCTATCTTCCACCTCTACATCTTGTCCCACTGGAAGGTCTGCGGGGGCAATAACATGCATGGAGCTGTCATCTCCTGTGATAACAATGCCTTCTTTTGGAATATTTCCTGAAGGACCTGCCTGAGCCTGTTTTACAGTTAACCTTATTCTAAAATAATGATTAAAATAAAATAATTAAAAGTATAATACATTTAAAAATAAAGTAAAATAATGATTAATAGTAAATACATAGTGATTTATTATTGTTTTATTTTCAAGTATTATGTATCATATATAATTGTATGTGCTATACTTTTTATATGACTGGCAACACAGGTTTGCTTCCATCAGCATCACCATCAACATGTGAGCAATGCTATGACATCATTAAGTGATAGGGATTTTTCGGCTCCATTATGATCTCATGGGACTACCATCATATACATGGTCTGTTATTGACCAAAGCATCATTATGCAGGACATGACTCTACATACTAATTGTTCATGAGCAATAACACTGGGAAAACTGTCTCAAAGCATAATTCTAATTCTGGGTCAGCAAAATCCTCTTCAGAAATAAACACATAAACAAAAATCATTGCTTGGTAATGTTAATTTAAGATTTGATTATCTGTTTCAAATTCCTTGTTATTCACAAAAAGAATATACAATATACTTTGTATTTTCTTCTCCTGTACTTGGTAACATGAGCTAAGGATACAATGAGATAACAGACAAGTCCACTCTGAGGAATCCTAAGCTGTTCCCTACAGTCAACTCCTATGCAGGTGTTCAGACTTTGTAACAAGAAAACAGCATCTCCTATCAAATGATGATTCCACAATCATGAATATACAATCGTTTTTCTATGTGGCAGTTATTTGAGACATATGGAAAGGCCATAATTTCTCTGTCTAGCAGGCATTCAATCCCAAGATGGTAAGCATCCTCCTATTAAAAAAGGGCTACATAATTCTCTCATACCTTAAAAATCCTAAAATAGTCAAAATACAAGGCTTCGTGTTATTTCACTCAATTTTTGTTACTATATCCTAAAGAACAGTTTTCTGAGTTATAGAAGATAGTCAAAATCAGAAATAATTACTTTAAAATGTTACTTTCCTTTATCAAATTATTTGGTAGCAGATTTTTAAAGCTGAAATCAAAGATAACCAAAGAAAATTGGCTTGTTTTTTCTATAACTTAATGTTAAACTAAATTTGGGCTGAAGATGCCTCTGCTCCTTAAGTCCTTACCAAGGAATTGCAACTTCATTTACTATATAAGCTAACGGAAAGCCTAACAGTAGAATTAAACTTTTGTAACCAAATAGCTGAGTCTCAGTCAGTCACAGGTGGCCAACTAATCAGATCATCTTCAAATAAGGCAAATCCCAAGCTGTAATCAATCAAGCCATTTCTGTACCTCACTTGCATTTTCTGTTCATAAATGCTCCAGCCCATGTTTTTAAGTGAGCTCTCTGAAGCTCTCTGGTTCTGAGGGTTGCCTGATTTGGGAATAGTTCTCTGCTGAATTATATTTTGCTAAATTAAATTTGCCTCAAGCTTTTATTGTAACAATAGTAAAAGCCAGTATCATAAAATTTTGTACCTTACCAGAAAACCAGATGAATTATCCAGCAGACACCTTAGACGACATATGAAGCACCTCTCCATTAAAGGAGAGTTTTCTGGAGGAATCTGGTCTGGGTTATAACAGACTACTGTCTGGGGGAGACCAGTGGCTTCTGTAGAAATAAAGGCAAAACAAAATTTACTTTCCATTTTGCTGTAAAATTAAGCACTTGAATAGGTAAAATTTGTATTAGTTTCTAAACTGGAGTCTGTGTTCTGAATACAAAAAAATCATTTTCAAAAGAGCTAATGACAAGAAACTAAAAGTTTATTAAATATCACTTTTATCAGATAGAACTTGCATAATTTTTTAAATTTTTATTGAGCTATCACTGTCAACAATTTTCATATTTTCTAATGCATTTTTGTTTTCTTAACACTTTAACAAATTTCCAAAAACATTTTTTGCATTGAGAAAAGCATTTTTATACTTGCATATGCTAGCTTACTTTTTTCTTTGGTGCATTTTAAACACAATAATTTACATGCACTCAGGTATCAACCTTGTACCTTCCTTCCATCTTTCATGAAGGTACTACTTATTTTTATAAAATACATTACTGACTATGGCAATACTCTGTTGCCTGAAACTCATTAAATGGCTCTCATTTGCCAAAATATTCCTTAGCTCATCAGGCTCTTTGTGACCTAGCTGTGGCCTATGATTGCAGACTTTACATCTTTCCACTACTTCCCTATCATGGAGTTCTATGACCCTACAGGTTCCCAGCCTCCTTTCACAGACTCATATTTAAAAACTACCAACACTATTTTTTGTACCATCAATTCTTACCTTCAATTCCTTGTCCAGACTCTGTACACTGAGAAGGATTTAATGCCCAGTGTAGCTGACGCTGAAATTCAGCTCGGTCTTCGGTATGGATAAGTTCATATACACTCTGATGTATGACATCAGACTAAAGAAAAAAGATACAAGGAATACAACAAAAGGACTGATTAAAAAATATGGCTAAATTAATTTTAAAGCCTATTTAGATTAGTGGGTGCTTGCTAGTGGTGATGAATACGAATTGAATGATTCCTAAAATTCCCTAGTCACCTAAGATAGAACCTAAGGTAGAAAAAGCTAAAGAGACTGGCACTACAACAGATAAGCCAAAAGTTACTTGTCATCAGTTCCCAACATGAATGCTCTTGCTCAAATAAGTCACATCCCCATTCCTTAAATGCAACATATTAAAATCTGTTTATGTTCCATATTCATTTGTTAGTTTTTAGATTCTTATCTCTTCCATGCAGCTTTTCCTAACCACCCCAGGCCTCTTTGACTTCTCTAAGCTTAATGGTATTCTTTATGTATTTCCTTCACTGTTCTCTAAAATTTTCTTCATATAAAATTTTCACTCCAAGTAGACTCCACAAGAGCAAGGGATTGTGCCTTTACCATATTAAACCCACTTTCCTTCTCTTGCCTCTCACCATTTACTACGGTGCTGAGTCCTTAGTGCTTAAACCAGAGTTTTCCTTTTTTTTTAACTGCAAGTTATGATAAAAAATACATTTCCATCTGTCACAGGTGTGTGCACAGACATAAACACATGGAAAAGTTTCACAAAACACTTACCATTATTACATGAGATAACACTGTGTATTCTATATTATTTTATTCTATCCTAAACAACTAAAAAACAGTTTGATAGTGATCCACTGTCTCGACTGCATACCCATGAGCGAGTCATAACTTGCAGTTTTAAAAATGGTGTCTTAATCTACCACTTGCGTCAGATATGAATATTCTTTTAGGAAAAAAATCCATGTGTATATGCGAGAAAAAAATGGATTGGAAAATGGCTAATCTCTCTGATTTTCTTACTAATATAAATCACAATATCAAATCCTGATTAAGACAGTTATATAATACATTAGGCTTCAAACAGGCTTTTCTATGGACATTAATGTATTTTCTTTAGAATGCAAGAAATCAGGAGTTTAGACTTTGTGGTAGCAGTAGTAGCTAGATACCACTACTTTAGTCATCTACACTTAAATCTTCCTAGGAACCTAATCTTCTAGTATTAAATCATCTTGATGCCAACCATTACACAATTTCCAAAAGTTGCATCTGAAACACAAGTTGAAATATACACACCCCCTGTAACAAAACCCTTCAGTGGTTTCCACTGGGTATATAATATAGTTGAAGCTCTAGTCTATATAACTGTTATTAAGACCAGCAGCCTTGTGAGCTTAATAGAAATGCAAATTCATGGGCCCCACTGTGAACTACTGATTCAGAATATCTGACAATGGGGCTCACAGGGATGACCAAGTTTTATCAAGGTCTTCAGGTGATTCTTGTGCACAGTACAATTTGAGAACCAGATATATGAGAATAGCAAGCATTCAAATGTTACAATCTGTTCTCAAACCATAAAAGATGTTCTTGCCCTTCCAATATATCAAATATTTATAATTCCATCTATTCACTGTTCATTCAATAACATCAAACAAGTCAGACACGTCTGTTTCCTTCAATGACTTCCAGTCTAATGCTTACAGTACTTCAATATTCCTATGTTTTCTTGACCACCCACCTGTTACACATTATTTAGGTCAGCTTACATACCATTTGATTTAGGGTAACTTCCATAATCCAAATAAATCAGAATTAAAGGTATAAATCATAGGATTTTACTTGTACTTTTTAACAGCATCTCATTCATTTCATAGTTGTCATATATCCTCTGCTATCCATAAGTTATTTGATAGCAAATAATTTTGTATCTTCTCCCCTAGACCCTACGTGCCTGAAAGTTTCTTATATATAAGATTCTTGATAAGCGAAAGAAGAAACACAGTAACCATGAATCACATAAAGGTTTAAAGGAATTATAGTGCAGTAAATTATTAATATTAGAAAAAATTATTAGCTACAAATACATACTGTATTCTACAGCATATATTGATACTTTATACATACAAATGGCCAACTGTGTCCTAAATATATATAAAAAGTAAATGATATAATAATATAAATGATATAAATAATATATACTTACCTGCTGAAACCCTAGATAATCTTGTATAGTAGAAGAAGCATAAAAGACCAAAGCATCTGTAGTGACAACTAATACAAAGCCATTCAGAGCCTACAAGGAAAGGAAGTTCTAAAATTAGTAATATGACTTAATATTGACCATCAGATAAAGGTTATTACTTTTATCTCTGAAAATTCTTCTCTTCAAAATAGTTAAAATTGTCACATTTCACAAACACAGCCAAAACATACACTCCTGGACTAAGAAATATCTATTCATACCTTTTGATTTGTCTATGGAAAAATGGCTAAATTTAATGCTCAATCAGAATAACTTTGGTAGAATATGGAATTCATCTTCTTCATGTTTCAGATTTTCTCTTTTAAATATATTGTATATATTTTTTAAAAAACAAACTAGACATCATTCACTATAGTCTATCACACTGCTTTTTTTTAGAGGGAAACAGGAGGCAAAGATGTTGATTAGATTCTTAAACTGGGAACATTAATAGAAAACTCTTCTTGTACAAAGACATTTCAAGCACTGATGCTAACATTTTAAGTCACAGAACATTTTAAGACTTTTACAGGAAAACACTATATATATAAAATATACATGTAATTAAACTATAATACACATGTAAAGCAAGCATACAGTGAATTTAGTCCACTAAAATTTAATGTCATTATGAACACATACCTAAATTTATCATTTTATATGTGTTATTTCTATTTGTTCACAGCACATTCACATGTATAATGTTTCTTTTTCTCTCTGTTTTGCCTACTTTGGGTCCATTATTTTTTATTAGCCCATACTCTTTAGTTTGGATGTTATAGTTTCTTTTCCTATTACTGGATAATTCAAGTCCAATATCAACTAATACCTTTATTCTCCTCTTGGATAACAATAGTATCATAGATCACTTTATTATTATCATATATTTTAATTCTACAAGCCCTCACTATTTTCTCCTTGAGTTCAATTTGGTACTTGATCTATTCTTTACTATGTGATCACAGCTAATGTCTTCTAACACCCTGTTTTTCATGTAAGGAGAAACACAGTATGGTTTAGTTTAAGAATTGTACTGTGTAGTCAGACAGATTTGGTCTGGACTCCTGTCTCTGTCTATTACTAGCTGTGTGGCTTTGGTTAAGCTATTTACTGCTTTTTAGGCTTCAGTGTTATTTCAAAAACTGGCACTTCATCAGGTAGATATAATGACGATATCCCACCTAACTCAATGCTTGGCACAGAGCCAGCACTCAGTGTAATAAGGTACAATGTTATATGGTTGTAGAAATGAGCAAATAAAGATTTATATCACCATGCTTTGAGAACTATAAAGAGCTATATAAATAATAGTGATTCATTTATTCAACACGTAATAAACTATTACATACCCAAGAGGAGATATGTATGCTAAGTACTGGGATTTAAGAGTTAACAAGTCTTTGCCCTAGTGCTTATGCTGCTCACATATAGTCCAGTCGATATCTTCATTATCAGATGAAATAAATGAAATACAGTGACTGTCTCTCTTTCCACTCCAATTACTTTCCACCTTCAAGATTCTTGATCTATATTATACTTCTAAGAACTTGACTACAAAGATAACAACTATTATTTAGTATTCCTTTTTCTAAATGTTTTTATGTATTTGAGTGGTTTCTTCTCCCAAAAACCCAATGAGGTAAGTGCCATGTTCCAGTTTTACAATAGAAGAAACTGAGGTCAAGGACTATACCTTTAAAAGTAACTTGCCCAAGGTCACATAGCCAGAAAATGGCTGATCCAGGAGATAAATTCAGTCTGGCTCCAAAGCGTACTCACTTAAATAACATGATATGCTGCCTTTATGTGTTATCGATCCCAAATTGGTGCATGGTTCTGACTGTTTTGTTCTATTTTTTTACTTTTAAGTTCAGTGGTACAAGTGCAGGTTTGTTACATAGGTAAACTTGTGTCATGAGGGTTTGTTGTACAGATTATTTCATCACCCAGGTATTAAGCCTAGTACTTATCAGTTATTTTTCCTGATCCTCTCTCCCTCCTCCCACCCTGCAGCCTCTAAACGGCCCCAGTGTGTGTTGTTCCCCTCTGTGTGTCCATGTGTTCTCATCATTTAGCTCTCACTTATAAGGGAGAACATGTGGTATTTGGTTTTTCTGTTCCTGTGGTAGCTTGCTAAGGATAATGGCCTCCGGCTCCATCCATGTCCCTTTAACCACAAGCAGGCTCTCAGGTTTTTGACTGCAAATATGATATGTAATACCTGGCAATTCTCTTAGGATAAACAATGGTGATTCTACCCATAAGAACTTGAATAGTTAATGACTAACACATTCAAAATTGGATATTCTTAAATTCTCTTGGCAGTAACACTATATATCCGTCATTGCACTGATTCATCCTGAAAATATCTGCTTCTAGGGAAGATTATCCATTGATCACATTCATATTATTTTGTAGAACATCATACTTTTTCAAACAGTGAAACAAATTTAGTCACATTCCAATAAACTCATTGGTGTACATGCCAGAAGACAGAAGGATAATTTAAGTACAGTTATCAAATCTCTTTAGACAAATGTTATTATCAGAAATAAAAATCTAGAAACGATAGATGCACATCAATTTTTATATATCTCAAATGATCTCAAGTACCAGGAGACCCAAGGTTATTACTTGTATTGATTTCTCTCAATAAATTAACAGAAGGAATTAATATGCTAATTAAATAAAAGAGATCATCATTCTTTTAGTCACAAAGATTCACTCAACCTATCTGAAAATTTTGTTAAGCTCACTTATTATTTCAGAGAAACTGCAATACTGTTATATAAAATTTCAACTCCTGTCACTGAAAAACAAAGCTGCAAGATTTTAACAATACAGTATTAAATAGCAAGAGATATATTTTAAACTTATGAAATAAACATGTGAAGTAAATAAAGACACAGTTATTCACATTGTTTCATTTTTATTCCTTGTAAAATAGTAATAAATTGAAGCTAACCTAGAAAGATGTCTTAAACTTTTAATAAATTTTTTTTTTTTTTCAGATGGAGTCTCGCATTGTCACCCGGGCTGGAGTGCAGTGGTGTGATCTCTGCTCACTGCAACTACTGCCTCCTGGCTTCAAGCGATTCTCGGGCCTCAGCCTCCTGGGTATCTAGGATTACAGGCACCCGCCACCACACCCAGCTAATTTTTTGTATTTTTAGTAGAGATGGGGTTTCCCTATGTTGGCCAGGCTGGTCTTGAACTCCTGACCTCGTGATCTGCCCGCCTTGGCCTCCCAAAGTGCTGGGATCACAGGCGTGAGCCACCGCACCTGGCCTTTAATAAAAATTTTTGTAACATTTTCTTCATATGCCTTTGTTAAGCAAAGGAAAATATTTCTCCTCAAAAGTTTTAGGCCATATGGTATACAGAACCTCTGGTAACACCTTTCACACTGTAGTGGTAATTGGCTGATAACCGTCGGTTGCAATATAAAGTCAGATGTCATTATGCAATTGTTATAATCAAACAGCCATTTCCACATATCTATAATGTTTTTAGTCATCTTCTTCATAAAAAGATAACATATAAGCACAATCCTAAGAAAATCATAGAGAATGTGAGTCTTCCTATTAAAAGAGCAATCTACAAATGGTATTCAATATAAACAGGTAAGTTTATTTTAACTTCTTAAGGGTTACCAATTTGCAGATAATTTAAAATATATATATTCCATATAATTATAGCTTTACAGCTTTGCATTCATATTATTGTTATTCTGTTTCCCTGACATAGGGTATGTACACAATTTGCCTAAATGTTTTGGGAAAAAAATAAAAATGGCCCATAATTTAAACCAACTTGCCAAGTGTTACGTCAATCAGTACATATCTGTCTATTTCACCTGAAATACGGGATTTCATTAGGCCCTTAGTAGAAAACCCAAGAGGTGTGTTTAATCATCTTAAATAGCAATTATTAAAATGCTTTCCTATGACCTGAATAAGGAGTCTTTATGTTTGGGTTTACATATACATGAAGATCCTCAGTTGGGGCTAGGGGAGGACTCATGCTTTAATAGATTTACTTTGTTTAACATAAGTTAATTTTTGCTAACAGGACTTTGAATGTGATTACACAATTGTAATAAAAATGTTATATTATTAGGCACATCACCATCCACTGAATGAACTAGTGGAGTTACCGAAACTTAGGGTTACTTTTTGTAACAATGGTGAAGTTTTTCTAGTCAGTTCAGTGGGTGAAACTGATAATGATCACATAGCGGTGACAGCACACATGGCACACATCTTTATTCTATCTTTTTTCAACAAAATAAGTATCTGAGAATTTTAAGTGAGAATCAATCATGGCATCAATTCTAAAAAAAAGAGTAAAAAAAGATGCAAAATGCTTTCATAGACAAATTAGAAACTAAATTCTGAAGCATAAAAATAGGGATTGGAGTTGTTGAGAAAATCTTTAGTATGTTAATAAGTCACAAACAGTTGCTAAAATAAAATGTAAGTTATAACATATTGGCAAAATGAAATTTGGGTTAAGAACTATTTTAAACTATTTAAGAAATGCATTTAACAATTTTAATAGAGATACATTCCATAAAAATATATATAAATTCAACATCTTAAATTAGAACCTCTAAAATACTCTAGGAGTTCTTGCTGTTTGAAGAAATATTAATACAACAGAAGGGGTTGACCGGTCTTCTAACTAATCTACTTCATATACAGTCATGCATTACTTAACAGGGACACATTCAAAGAAATATGTGGTTAGGTGATTTTCATCATCATGCAAACATCATAGAGTGTACTTACACAAACCTAGATGGTATAGTCTACCATACACTTACGCTATACAGTATAACTTATTGCTCCAAGGCTACAGACCTGTACAGCATGTTACTATACTGAATACTGTAGGCAATTTTAACACATGGTAAGCATTTTTGTATCTAAACTAGAAAAATTACAGTAAAAAATATGGTATAATCTTACGGGACCACTGTCGCATATGTGGTCTGTTGTTAACTGAAACATCATTATATGGTGCATGACTATAATTCCAGTTTTTCATGTATTAAGCATCATTCACTATCGCAGTTCAGATGAAAGTGGCAAAAAACATTGAGCAAATCCTAAGTAAACAGGGAATTACTAAAAGACTTATTAATTCATTTTCCATTTACAACTGTCCTTAGTGTAAGAAACTATATTTACTAAAATTTACCTGTAATAAGAATTCTCCTTCTTGTAAGTTCAGGCCTTCTCTGAAATTTGCTGCTCTACAGTTATCCTGGCCTCCGTTTCTTTCAGTAGGGGAGGATTTTAATGCAACTATGGAAAAAAAGGAAAAACAATGATTTTAAAAGTAAGCAAGAGTAAAGAGCTATAATAGAAAACTTCTGAACACCAAACAAAGACAATTTGAAATACTGGCATCCACTGGTATTTTTAGTATTTGGCTAAAACAAGGTAAATAATAAATACTAGGTAAGTAATCCTGTTGCCAGTGGGTAGCTCCTTATTCTATGCTAGTAACAAAACTGAAGGGTTTAGTCAAGTTGTCAGCTGACAGATTGTTAAAAATAATTTTTGATGAGTTCACGATATAATTTTGTCACAAAACTTAGGAGTTTCAAAGAACTGCACAACACTGTTACAAACACTCCTCTCCACTCCTACCTCCTTTCTTAGGAGACTAAAGTTCTCCATAATGTAACCTATAAAAATGAATCCAACATTTTTATGTATTTATTGAAATATTAGGGAACTGGTGGTGGTGAGGAGAAAAAAAGCAACTATACACCTTATTGAGAGATGGATTTCTGATGTTTGGAATCTTCTTGTCCAGCATTTGGGTAAAAACTGTTAATTACTGTGACTATTTAATAGGTTCATGTTAAATTTATAAATTAACTCATGGAGAATTAATGTCTTTATAATCTTGAATCATTCTATCCAAGAACATACATTTCTTTCCATTTGTTCAAGTCTATATTTTGTCCTGCTAGAATGTTTTAAAGTTGTCTACAAAAAAGATGTGCACAGGTATCTTTATATTTACTCCTAGGTATTACATCTTGTAAAGTGGCTTTTCCGGTATAGCTTTTAACTGCTTGTGGATTATATATGTGAAGGAAAGTCTGATGGCATGATAGGATGCTTACTATTGGAGGTGTCATGTTATAATGCTATCTCTTCTTTTTTTTCCTCACTGTGTGTGTGTGTGTGTGTGTGTGTATGTGTGTGGTATGTATGTATTTATAGTCTGGGAGGAAGCGCAGCTGAATAGAAATAATAACAGCTACCACTTAAACATTTTGCCAAGCACTTTCAAATATTATCTCACTTAAAAGCATGTGGATATTGGTAACTGACAGAATTGGGCTCAAACCTTACCTCTGACATTTACTAAAAGTGGGAGTTATTTGAGCCTGTCTCCTAATATGTGAGGTG
The DNA here is from genome assembly GCF_000001405.40 of Homo sapiens. Lineage (NCBI taxonomy): Eukaryota > Metazoa > Chordata > Mammalia > Primates > Hominidae > Homo > Homo sapiens. The sequence continues at coordinate 17,321,378 of NC_000007.14, read as the reverse complement.
GTAATTAAAAAAAAAAATTTTAAAGCACATCTTGCAGGGCTGTTGTGAAGAGTAATGAGAATATATGTAAAGTTTCTGACACATAGTGGATCAATACTGTTCAACAAACAGTAGCTGTAATTAGTAGAAATATTTCTCAGAGCTTATGGATTGCTTGGTTATAAAGCATAATCTTTTAGATACTTGCCACTTTCTGACCTTCTTTTAACCTGTGATATTTGAATAAGAGAAACCATTAAATAAAACTGACTCTGGCAGTCCTCTTAACATTTATCTCACTATATTTTTATGTGACAAAATAATCCAGCTCTGAAAAAACTAGAGATTTACTAATAACTAGACTTTCTCTCAGTCTGAGCAGAGTTCCACATATAAAACCTGTCTGCAGTCTTTCATATTTGCAGTGTATTTTCTGGTAAATCATCAGTGAATGTGTCACACCAGAATCTCATGCCATTCTGGCCTTTGCAGAAGTTAAAACATATCTCTTTGCAAGAAACAGCCAAAAGCACGGTCTCTGAATGTAACTTCAAAAGGCCAGAGAACAGATTTCCTTAGGCCAAAAAACAGTTTGAGGTAAACTGACCTAACAGTTCATCAAGACCAAAGGAAATGTTTAATCTGTACACAGAGAGAATGGCAGAAGAGAGAATGGCCTTTTCTCCCTTTCTATTCGGTAAGTTATGTTGTTGCTTGCTTACTAATGGCCACATTTGCTTGAATGCACTAAAACCATACAACGTCAGAGTCAACTATATTCTGTTACTTTTCTAAAAGCTCTGGTATGAAGCATCAGTAACACTTGCTTTTAAAAAGAAAACAACAAAGCCAAACCCTTACATTATGAAATAAGCCTAAAAACGGACAATAACAGTGTCAGACTTTATATATCTAAATTATTGTTTGGAATCTCTTAAAATTAATATTTAATCAACACAATTGATATTAGTTCCACCTAGAGTCACTGGCAGTAGAAAAACATAAATATTAAGAGATAACTACTTGATCACTGAGAAGATGACTAAGCAATGAAAGAGACCATTCATCTTAGAGTAATTTATAATTTGTTCTTGGGCTTGTACTGGGAGTATTAGCCAATGTAATTAGACACTTGAGTCAGACCCTGTCTTTAAGTAGGGGATATAAGCTATGGAAATAACTAGAAAACAATGTCAAAAATACTAAGTACCAGAATAGGGTTTAATTAAAGTATTACAGGAACTTGAAGTAGAGAAAAAATAAAAAGAACAAATTCTTTCTAAACAACAATGCTTATAATTCCAAATGTTGGAAGGATGATAGATAATATGTGTAACTACTACATAAGTAGGAAAAGTGACAAGTTCATTTGGCGGAATGATCACTGGAGGTTTCTACCAAAAACAAATATGCAAATATTTCTGTTGCTCTTGTGTTTAAGGTTAATCACTGGTAAATAATTGAAGTAAATATTGTGCAAAGATGAGTCTGAGAAGGGTGGACTTTTAAAATCATTTAAAAAAACACTGCTGTGCTTTTTCAGGAAACATTTTATGTCATGGCCTTTCAGCCTAAACTATGTAATGTCTACCCCTGCATGAAGTTTTTCTTCTATTTCTTGCTCTCATGCCTACTACCTCTAACTTAGTAAATTACTAGAGGCTCTATCAATACTACTCATTTTCATGTATATATTGCTTGTGCTGATTAGAAAGAAAACAATGAGTAAGAAAGTGACATGAGACACTGTCACAAGAGCTGCTTCCTACCATTGGAGTGACCTTACTTAGTACTCATATGTGATATTGGGCACACACTGTACACCTAGCACTTTCCACGTATTATATCCTATTTAATCTTCATAATAGTTCTATGAGACTGACACTGTTATTTCAATATATTAGAAAGGTGAGACTTAAGGAGATTGAGAAAATGTTCAGAGTCATAGAGATTTAAGTGGCAGAGCTTAGACAAAAACTCAGGTAGCCAGACCTCAGTGTGTGAGCTATTATTAGCCACCGCCCACTTTGCTAACTACCTTTGACCTTTAGTTTCCTCATCTTTAAATGAGGACAATGCTACCTCTTGAGACAAATTCTTGTGAGGATTAAAATAACATGTACAATACCAGGGTAATGCCTGGAATCAATCACTGACAATCAAGGACAGAGGTAACGAAGTCTATGCTGACTTTATACACCCTCAAACCATGATGAGAAACTTACAATTAAAGTGCCCCTAAGGAGGTAACTGAGTATTTTTATCATCTTTAAGTGGAAAGCAGTAATTAGTATCTAATAGGATTACTATGGTAACTATATGACACATTTGAAAGTACAGCTGACCCTTGAACAACATGGGTTTGAACTATGCAAGTCCACTTACATGCCTCTGCCACTCCCAAGCCAGCAAGACCAACCCTTCCTCAGCCTACTCAACATGAAGACAATGAGGATGAAGACCTGTATGATGATCCACTCCACTTAATGAACAGTAAATATATTTTCTCTTCCTTATGATTTTCTTAATAACATTTTCTTTTCTCTGGCCTACTTTAAGAATACAGTATATAATACATATACAAAAGACACATTAATCGGCTGTTCATGTTATTAATGCATTGTTCAAGGGTCAACTATACTTCAAAACTGTAAATTGTTACATAAATTATATGCATAACGACACTTTAAATATTACACCACTGGAATTAAATTTATGACAGTCCACAGAAACAAAATGTAGTATCTGAAAATAGGTCACCAGCTGGGAAGTATCTGCTGTACCGTAATGGGCATTTGTTAAAATCTTCCCCATCAGTGAGGATATGTACCACTTTCCAAAGTGTGAGAATCAGACTCTGAACATTCAGTAGAATGTTAAGATAGTAAACCACCAAAATATTTCCACTATTTCCTCATTGAAAGATCTATGAAGGAGTCGTACAATACAAATAAGAATTTAATCTAACAAATGATGGAATTTAGAGTGCAAATACATCACAGCATTATCAAATGGTCATACCACAGATGACTCAAGTTTTATTCCCACATGCATTTAACCATATCCATGTTTCCTAATACGGTACTTTCCTTCCTTAGACATCTAAGCTCAGATTTCCCCTACTCCCTAAATGCCACATCTCTTCATATCACATGCTTTGAATTGGTCAAGGAAAAAAAAATTCATGAGGAATACCGAATAGTGGTAAACTATATTTTGTATTTTGTTACTATAGTTTGCATTTAAACAGAAAGATGATCTTGCCAGGGAAAGCATATCCCCTTTTAGTCCCTAACTGCTGCTATAAATTCAATTAATTTCATAATATTTACCATCCCCTTTACTACTTTGGCAGGGTAGTCCTTAAAAGTTTGTTCTATCCAAACTCTTACATAAAAACTGACTTCCAAAGATGTTTAACATTCTTCCAGTTACTCATTGGTACGCACTCAGTTTTATACAATTCCTCTATAACTATATGACAAATCTCTGCATTAATGGAACAAGAGCAGTTAATTGACCTTTTCAGTGGGGAATGAGTTGCACTTAGCTTTTCATATATACAAGAGTAGTATTTAAATTGCATTTTAAGTAACATAATGTAAATACTCAATGAGGGCAGTGATCCTTAAGCTTTCACAGACATTAGAATCACCTGGAAGGCTTAAAATACAATGCTTAGCCACACCTCTAGAATTTCTGATTCAGTAGGTCTAGGATAGGGCTTTACAGTTTGCATAGGTAACAAGTTCCCCAGTGATGCTGAGAATGAGGTGCCATTCTTTGAGAAACAGAGACTTAGAACCTCAGGATTTAGGAAATAACTCACGTATGTTCTGGATTGAATTCCCTCATACTTCTTAAAATTATCATTCCATGCTGTTCAGCACAGTTATTATTGTGAACTTCTTCGGGAAATAATAACAATTTTACAAACACAAAAGCTGAAGCACCTATCTTAAGACATAGCGCAATAACAGAAAATTTGACATGTATCCCAATAAAGCAAGTAGCATACAATGCCCAAAATTTCTATCCTCACCAAAGCAAGCTATCACACTTTTCCAAGTGTCCAGATTTGGAATATGTGCCACTTTCGATAAAAGAAAACAGTATATGTAAGTAAATTATTATGTATTATATCAAAAGGGGAAAAACAGTTTATTAACAAATTTCCATCTCTAAATAAAAAATATGAAATTAATTAAACAAAGGGATTCTCAATTGATATTAATACCAGGTCCGTAAAGGCCCTTATGCATATTCAAAAAAAAAAAAAAAAACAAAATTCTCCACTAAAACAAGTGAAATATCAGGATTCTGCAGGAAATAACTATGATTTCCATAACAGTAACAATTTTAATTATAAAAATTTTTCACAGATCTCTCATTTTTAGAATTTACTACAAACCTAATATATCAGGGCAAGCAAGCATCTTTATCAAACATGCTGAGAAGATGAAGACCCTGTGGAACAGTGAGGTTAAAGTCTATCAAAAAACACAAGATTCGTTAACTGAACTAGCATCCACAGCTCCTGCTGTCAGTGCTTTAATCACAAAACACAACCTCCCTCTACCATGCTGAGATAAAGAGATGAAATGTCTCCATAACACAGAAATTAGACACGATAAAAAAAAATCCAGCTGACAACAGAATGCTCTGTAAATATGACAATTGTATGAGAAAATTTCAGGCTAGAAAATACATGAAGAATTCAGTAGGTACAATTCATTAAGGTTCTTTATGTCAACCAATCCCATCAGACTACTTGTCTCCGTCTTTTGTGTGTGTGTGAAACAGTCTCACTCCTGAAGTTCAGTGGCACGATCATGGCTCAATGCAGCCTTGACATCCTGGGCTCAAGATATCTTCCCACCTCAGTGTCACGAATAACTGGGATACAGAAGTACACCACCAAGCCCAGCTAATTTTTTATTTTGTATGGAGACGAGGTCTCACTACGTTGTCCTGGCTGGTCTCGAACTCCTGCTTTCAAGCAGTCCTCCTGCTTTGGCTTCTCAAAATGCTGGGATTACAGGCATGAGCCACAGAGCCCAGACATTTGTCTCCCTCTTAATCTCCCACTGCTAACAACTGAATGGCTTTTTGGCCTCTATGGACAAACAAGGAACAGAAATCACCTTCTCTAGTGTTATTATTTTTCTGTACACACTTTCATTGCATTTCAGTTTACACTTTCATTTCATTTCAGTTTACACTTTCATTTCATTTCAGTTTTCACTTTCATGTACAGTTTTCTCTCTGGCTCTCCAATTTAAGAACACATCAAATGAAAGTATCTTAAGTCAACTCTATCACCTTAGCATACTTTCATACTCCACAGATTTCACTTTTTACTACCCCTGCTCATCCTTAAAACATCTTATCTTTGGTACTTTTCCTCTTATTCTACATGTTCTCCCCCTGGAATATTTTATTCACTTTAATGGCTTAAAATGTTATTCTGACGATAAAATGACTCTAAAATCTAAATCTCCAGCCATAAGCAAATAAACGAATTTGAGTTACTCATTAAAATTCATTGATTGAAAAGTCAAAAGGCTGTAAGAGCAAGATTTAAAAATAATATACAAATATTACCAAATAAAAATTTCTTCAGATTTTAATATAATTAATATTATATATGAATATGTTTTATAAAACACTATAACATGAAGGTGTACATTTCCATTAACCAGATCACAAACCCTCACGAAATATCTTAAGACTTAACTACAGATTTTTAAATGTCTGTATTTGAAAATTTTCTAAAAAAGGAAAATTGCTGAAAGTTGGTGATTTTAATGTTAGCCCACGGTAGTCTCCCTAAAAAGAAAAAAAATGATGACTAATGACCTGTTCATGGCCAAATAAGCAAGGATTCTAGAACCATGCAAGACTAGGTAATGATCAAAGAGAAATCCATTAAATCAGTAAATTTAAAAGAGACAGGAAAGCAGCAAAATACATAATATATGATACAATGAGTTTAGATTGTTTGAATCTCAGATATTTGTCACTGTGTTCTTCAAAATAGTTGTCAAAGCAAACAAAAGCAGAGATAAAAGTATCCTATATAAAGTTCTATCATATTAATTTATTCATATAATCTAATAAATCTTATACTGTAAATTGGGATATCTGAGGAAAAGAGAGATTAAATTCCTGAACCAAAGAGGTCACAATATTAAATATGAGAGCCAGGATTTGTATATTCATTCAATAAGAATGCGCTACTATTCTTTGTATTTATTCATGTTTAAATCTGCAGGGGTTCCATAAATTAAAATTTTAAAAGAACCTAGGTTTATATAGTTTTAGCTATGAAAGTTATCATGAATATTGTAATTAGAGTTTCATGTTTTAAAATGTGAATTAGGAAAAAAGATAACAGTTAAATCACCATTTAAGATGGATAATGCCATGGGTAAATCAAATTCAACAAATACTTTATTTGGTGATTTCAAATGTGCTAAACTGTTATGCAAACAAACCTACTTTGGATAGTCCTAGAATTAAGAAATAACATTTGCTATGATACTATCATACTGAAACTTTGGTAAATTACTTGACACACAGAAATTTTAAAATTACAACAAAGCAGATGAAATTATAGAATTCTCATGAATGAAAAAGCAGACATACAAATCTATTAGATTTTATAAAACATCAACACTTAGAAGTGCATTACTTCATTTTTACTGCTTGTTCAAGCTTGTTCTTTGCATATACACATGTACGTATACTTGTTTTTCAAGAATAATGTTCTGATCTAGAGAGATACCAAAACAACTGAAATTCAGAGAAATGCACAAGCTGAAGATGAATAAACACAATAGCTCTCTTTGGAAAACCTAATGAACTGGGAATGAACTGTTAAAGCATCTGCAAAAGGAAGACCAAGAACAGAGCACTTGTAATTTTTAATTTAAAATAAAGTCAAGAAAGATCCATGATAAACAATGGGGTCAAATAAATGTTAGATCATCACATAATATAACTATTATCCTCTCTTCCCACAGCATTTTTAGGCTTAATGAATGAAAATATTTTAACATGTAAATAATTCTACATTTTATAAAATGGTGATTATTTTAAGCATGTATAATGATTCAAGACTTAGATTTTCCCTAACATTACCTTGTTTTAAAAATAACTAGAATACTACTATTCCCTATGACAGCTGCAAATGCAAGACTTTGAAATCAGAAACTCGGATCCCTAAGCTCCATTTTGTCAGGCTCATTAGGTGTTTGTATGTAAACAGAAAACAAAAGTAGTCATTCCCGAATTCTCAATTTTGGGGCAGCTGTATAAAAACAGAATAATTTGAACAAAATATTTACATAATAATGGGCATTTCAAAAAATAGTAAGGAAATCTCATTAAAAATTGTATTAAAGATATGCTGAAATTAGGAATGAAACATTACAATGCTGATTAGATTGATCAACAAGCCCAGTGTACACTGTTTAACAATTTTGAGAGACATGATATAGGAGGAAACAATCCTTTCTCTTCACATCAACCAGTTTCAAAGATTAGATTGTAACCACCCAAATCCTAGTCTCTATTAATAAACTATTATTGATTGTAACCATTGTTATTTAAATTTTTAAAATACCCTCCATCTCAGAGATAATATATTTAAATGTAATGCTTAAATCATGTCAAAGAAACTATTTTCGACTTTATAACTGAAAAATTGCTAAGCCTTGTTCAAGTATTTTAAAGTTATATTTCAATATGTTTTAATTAATTAGAAATGGATAAATATTAATGTAGTACTTAAAACTTTATAGTGTTGCTTTTCAGACAGCAGCAGCAGTATAGTCATGGTTCCAAACTTTAAGAAGATCCATCCAAGTTGGATTATTTAAACTTGCAATAAATAGATGTATTTTCTTGGAAAAATATCTATTGTTACAGTAAAACTTGAGTTTCCTTTCTAACAAGATTGTATGATTACTCGTTTATATTGTTCTTTCCGCAGGAATTTACACACCCCCTGTTTGCATCCTGTTATTCACTTTGAGCTTCCCTTCGCTTCGCTATACTGTTTCCCTAATAGTGGAAGAGTGGGTCCAACTGCACACAAAAATCCTAATCATTGTTAGCATGTTTCAAATCTCTTCGTTTGCATCTACCATTTTTTCAGTTCATAAGGGTCACCCTTATAATTTCATTCTCTGTGTGCTCTGAAATGTTGCATTGCCTTTCCAGACCACTGGTAGTCTGGAGGAAATTTGGGGATTAAAAAAAAAACCTTATTATTTTCATTTTCCATCTAACTGTATGTTTCTGTATCAAACAATCTAAGAAACTGCTTAGGCTGAATGTACACCACTATAACACAAGCAAAAATATTCATAGACTTCTTTAAATTTTGTATGTTTGCATTTGTCATTCTGAAGGCAAAGAAACAAAAATTAACTTGTTCAGGGCATAATCAAGGCTAGGCTAAATCACTGCCTCAGACTCCGTAACATGCTTGTTAAAATACTGATTCTTGGGTTTTACACAGAACTTCCTTGTTATCAGCAGGGGCATGCCTCCAAATTTGCATTTTAAAAAGCTTTCTAGGTAATTCTTATGCACAATGCAGTTTGAAAAGAATCTAACGTTAAAGATAATGATAATGTAGTTGATGAAGGAATCATGCAAATAGGTAATAAGATCCTACTGTCAAATACACTGAACCAGAATAAAAAACAGACAAACTCATTAATGAAGAGCTGAGAAAAAAGTTTTTAACAATTCCGTGATGAACCCTGTGTTAAACTATGACATGCTTTATAAGATAGACTGTGAGATCTCCTTTACTTGAAGCACTGAATAATAGGACACTTATCTAATCATGTATGTGTCTGTGTGTATACATACATGAACACACATACACACATAATGTAGACATTAAATATAGAAATATATCTGTTTATATATGTGTGTTTCACACACATTTATATGTATCTGTCTAGATACACACATATGTACTACTTCTAAACAGAGGAAAAACCTATACTTTTTTTTTCTTTTTAACATATATAATTTGATTCCCCATTACAAAGGAACAAGAAATGGAAAGGTAAAATGACTCAAGTCAATAAAGCTTTATCAGAGTCAGAGAATAATGCCTCCTTGGCTTCTAGACTCCAGAATCTCTAAGGGTGGCAACCACGTCTTACACATCACAGAATCTGCCACCACATGGTCAAGCACTAAGCACAGCATGTGAGTAAATGCTAGGGATCAGGACAGCATTCCGTGACGCTGGGAGGAGGCCTGAAGTTACAATCTACAGCAGTGGCTCCTAAACTTCAATATGCATCTAGCCCTATCACCAAAGGTCCCACCACCTTAGATTCCACAGGTCTAGGGTTGGACCCAATAATTTGCATTTCTAGCAAGTTCCCAGGTGATGCTGATGCTGCCTGTCTGGATACTACACTTTTAAGAACCACAGGTCTAGGAAAAAATCCTCAGTGCTTTCCTATGCGAAGGTTCCCAGAAAAAAGTAGGTATTATTTGGTCAGGAAAAACAATATAAGGAATCTAGAAACCTGAGTTCTAGTTCCAACTATGTCAGCTAAATGACTATAGCTAATACACACATACTTACAGACCATCACTGAATACTGCGTAACTCTTCTCCCAAGATGAAGGGTTTGGTATAGAGGCAACTGAAAATTCAAACACTTTTTATATAGGTCAGAGAAAATTTGTGTACTATGAAACTTTGAAATATATAATCTTTCCTGAAATCACTATCCTCAAATCTGTATATTGCCCAGACCACAACTGTTAAACTAAATAGCTTTTGTCCAAAAGAAAGACGGGAGAGCAAGCAAGCAAATCAATAAAAAGATGCTCAGACGAAACACATCAGATTATGTAAACATAAATCTAAAGGGAAATTAACTGTTGCAATATTCTAAACACAAATTACCAGTCAAATATCCATAAACGTGTTGTCTAGGCACTTCCTAGTGACCTAGACCAGCAGGATCAGCATCATCTCGGAGCTTGTTAGACATGCAAAATCTAGGGACACACCTAAAGCTACTGAACAAGAATCTGCATCTTAACAAGATCCCTATGTGATTTGTAAGCACATTAATGTATGAGAAGCATTGACTGACATAGCCCACTGAGATTTTATCATTAACTTGCTATGGTTAGTAAAATTATATGATATTTTAAAAAGACCATTTCCTTAAAAAATCTATTTCTGCCTTATAGACAGATAAAAGATAAATCAAAAATTAATTTTACATGAGAAAATACACTGAAACATCATTTGCAAACAAAAACTTCCATTGCAATTTAAAGGTAACAAATATCATCCAGCTGCCTAGCTCAAAACCCCAACCTTTACTGCTGAGAAAACTGAGATACGGGGATGCTACCTGGTTTGGTTAATGACAAACAGTTTTCAGTGACACAATAGAGAATGAAATCAAATTCTATTGACTCTTACAATCAAATGTTCTTTCTAGTGAAAAACATGTTTTAATTATATTTCTTGCAGTCGGTATACAATTAATGTAAAATATTAGAAATAGGCCAGGCGCAGTGGCTCATGCCTGTAATCCCAGCACTTTGGGAGGCTGAGACGGGCAGATCACCTGAGGTCAGGAGTTTGAGAGCAGCCTGGCCAATATAGTGAAACCCCATCTCTAATAAAAATACAAAAAATTAGCTGGGCGTGGTGGTGGGCGCCTATAATCCCAGCTACTTGGGAGGCTGAAGCAGGAGAATCGCTTGAACCCGGGAGTCAGAGGTTGCAGTGAGCCAAGATCGTGTCATTGCACTCGAGCCTGGGCAACAAGAGCAAAAGTCTGCCTCAAAAAAAAAAAAAAAGATTAGAAATATACGTAAGTTTGGAGGGATAAATAAAATGACATGTCTATGAAAACACAGAAAATCCAGCAAGATGGTGTTTTATCTTTTCTTTTTTTTTAAAAAAGACTTTTAAATATTGAAGTAGAAGGGAAACTGGAATTTGACATAATCAATTTGAGTGTAACTTCTAAATATATGATTTTCAAAGAATGATACCATGCATCATTTCAGTGGCTGCATCTGTTGGGTGAATAAAACTGGAAAATTGATTTTAAGACTTATAAATCTGGCTTTGCCACTGAAATTTTACTATACAGCAATAAATTTTCCAAATACGGCTAATTTTTGTAGTTATTAACACAGAAACAGCTATATCTAGTACAAGTATTTTTTATACGTTATTGTAGACAAATTAAACCCTTCTGTCTTACCATCAAAGAAGCTCTTGGCTCTCAGGTAACTGACGCTGAGCCTAAGAACTGAAAGTTTGTCCAACTTATTAATAACATCTTGTGGGAAAGGCAGCAGGCTAGCCAAACGGTCCAACTCTGTATTAAGTCGGTCTCTATGCCGCTTGGAAGGATTTGACTTGATTCCTTCAGCTGGGATTGGCTTTACTCTGAAAAACAAACAAAATACCATAAAAAATCCTTTAAAAAATATAAAGCAAAAATTTCTATTGCATTATAACATCTCCTCAAATATTTCTCTAACACAACAAACTTTTAAAGTCTACTTAAAGTTTACGTAAGTCTTTCTAAAATCTTCCTTTCACATCTTAAGAAAAACAGGGAATGGGTTAAATTCTTCCGAATATTTCATTAAAAAGCTTATGAACTCATCATAGGAAAATGTTTGCTTATACTTCAAGCATTTGTAGCACAGTGATTCCCAATTAACAGATCTACTGGGATTTTTTTCCCCTCTCAAATGCATTAGCCATTGTTTGGTGGAAAATTAAAAAGAGAAATTTGTGATAAATTATATGAAAATCATACTTCCTTTGCTATCTTCCACAGGAAGCATCTCAGCATCATTGACGTTGTCAATAAACAAGGACAACCCTAAATAAAGTATTTATCTTCATATCACCAGCTTTCTGTATTTATTTACTTTCAACTCATTAGAGATAATGTCCCAAAGCCCCTCTGACACCTGCAGATGGTCCTCCAGCCATCTAATGTGGTCCTCAAATATTAAAAGAAGAATAAATTTGACTTTTGCTATTTACATTTCTTGTTGGCAAATATTAGAGGTTAATGGTGATTACCAGCAACTTTTGCTTTTACATGTAGACAATAATTATACTTAATTATTAGCTTTCGTAGCTTGTGTCTCAATTAGAAAGTTCAACGGAACCCTAAACAATTTAGCATGATTTTCACCTGAGAATAAAGACACTTATGGGTCAAAGAGGAACATGAGTTCAGAAAAGAAAAGTTGAATAACTTCACACAAAGACCCCAGCCAGGATTTCACAGCAGACATTAATCACTTAAAGTGAATTTAAAAATCATCAGATACCCACGCTGAACTGGGAAACTAAAGTAATTTATACCTTATACCTCTATACCTTCCTGTTAGCCAGAAGAGTAATTATCTAGCGTTTTCTTACAACAAAGACATTTTTGACAATTCAAATGGAATTATATCAGCTTTTGTAAAGTAGAAATTGGCCTGGGCATAGTGCTATTAATATGACCCAATCAAAACATTTCTAGATAATTTCTTTTCAGTGATGTATGTGGAGAAGTAATACTTTAGGCAGAAAGAAGATGAAAAGTAAATACTTCTACAAAAAAGGTAATACATCGGTAAAATGATGTGTGTGTGTGTGTGTGTGTGTGTGTGTGTTTATGTATGTATCAACAGATACCTTCTCCAGGTTGTCTGTACAACTGTGTATATAATAGAAATTGGTGATGGTTCCCCTAGCTATTTTCCCCTAATCATATTGCATTTATAAACAAATTTCAAGTCACACCTAATTACTTCACTTCTCCACTTAACCAACTGAATTTCAAACTTTACCTATAATGCTTGTCTACCTCATTGTGTAATTCTCTACTGGTTAATTAATAACTTGCTGACAAGTATTTATTTATATCCATCACATCCTGTACAGCCCAGGTAAACACTTTTCTCCTAACTATTCAAAAAGTGTTATGGGAGCTAAGCAGAAGCAGCAACTGCTTGAAAAAAGATTTTACAGAAAAGGTGGTATCTGAGATGGATCTTGAGTGAGGGACAGGATTTCATGAAGAGGCATAACTAAGGATTAGTGAACTGTAAGAATTCCCCCACATGAAGGGAGAGGCACAGGGTGAAAGAGAGAAAAGAAGAAGGATGGTTGGGGCCACATTCTTTCAACAAATGCTGAACACCTATCAAGTGCCCAGCACAGAACACTTACAGGTAAACAAAATATACAAAAGCTCCTGTTGTCATGGAGCTTACATCCTAGGTGGAGGATGGAGAAATAAACAAATAAACATATAACTTTTAGGGCGGTGAGTGCTAAGAAGAAAAATAAAGCAAGGTAAGAAACTAAGGGGTGACAGACGTGATGCTGGTTTGGACAGCCTAGGAAGGTCTCTCTGATGTGATGTTTCAGGACAGACATGAGTAAAATGAAGTGAGCTATGTGGGTGTCTGATGCAAAAATGTTCAAGATAGAGGAGACAGCAAAGTAACGATAGAAATCGGACTTAGGCATCTGTTCTTAAGTGTTGAGCTGAGATTTACAAGATCAGCCTGTGTTTCACCAAGCTGACTCTGGTGATAGAGTATACAGAAAGCAGGGCAGGGTTCGCTGAAGTTAGGATTCCGGGATGCCAGGAACTTCTTTCTAAAACATAAATCTGACTGTGTCACTCCTCTGATTAAACTCCTTCAGTAGCTCTGAACTGTCCATGTTCCTTAGCTTAGCACACAAAATCCTTCATGATCTTTCTAGCTTCATTTACCCCTCTGGCTTCATTTCTTCTATTGAAGCCGCTTTTGTCTATTCTACCCCAGAGCTAAGAAATTACTTACAGTTACAACATGTGGTTTAGTGCTTTCATACAACCTCCTTGTTATGTCCCATTGGTTTCAAGTCCCCGCTCAAGTAGATCACTTTCATGAAGTCCTCCCTGACCTACCTCACAATGGATTAGCAACTCTGCCCCATTTGACTTCTTATACAAATGTCTAATATAATGATTCCATTAAGGAATATTCCATACAAACAACTTCACAGAAATAGAAAGTGTGTACACAATCCAGTCCTGCACTCTTGGTGGCTTTCCAGTAATGATTATGAAACACTGGAGAGAAGAGAGTGACACAAACGCTGAAACAAGGCAACATGCTATGACACAGGGAGAACTAATAGTAACATAAAGGTATCCCTCCATGTGGTACTGCTGCCTGTCTTGTGCTGGCTCTTTGCAATATTCAGCCTCACACTAGATTCTGAGGCTTGCTTTTCATAATGCAAAATTGTCTACATTTCTAATGCATTACTATGTGTCTTACAAAATATTTAACATGAGAGCAAATTTCCATTGTCAAGTAACATAATTGCTTATACTTGTTTGCCTAACACCCTTATTTCTATGTAAGCTTAAATCATTTTTGTATCCTTAATGCCCAGCATAATAGAGTGGATTCTCAATTAATGTTTGCTGACCAAAAGTGCCAAGAAAAGGAATGATCACAACCTGACCAAAGGCAGTGACAGTGAGGTTAAGAAAGGACTGGCTTGAAGAGAGATTTAAGCCAGACTCAAATGTTCACTGAACTAAACTAACTCACTATAGGAAGTAAGGAAGAGGAAACCATTGAGTGAGGAGAGGTTGCAAATGGTTCTGCGATTTGTAGCTCAGAAGAACAACTACATTTCCTAATGAGAGCTGTACCAGAAAAGGAAAAAAGTGGCTTGAGGATAGACCTCAGTAATACCAACATTTAGGTATAGGGCTATGGAAGAGGCATAGACACAGAGAAGAAATGATAGACGGAAAAAAACCAGGGTAGAATATTTTGGAGGTCATAGAAGAAAGTCAAATACACAGAGGAAGAAAGTCAAATACACAGAGGAATTAAGGTCAGGGCTAAGAAGTACCCTCAGAACTTAACAATTCAGATGTACTGGATTTGAAGCTTTTAAAATGTCAGATTGTTAAAGCTAACAAAGGTAATGCATTTGACCCACTTTTTCACTGATTTTGTGAGAAATGTACAGATTTTGTTAAAATATTTAATATCTATCCATACATCTTGAAGATATACAGAACAATTAAAAATAGAGTAATCTTACATTAACTGCACTTGACTTGGATTACGCTAATATTTTTACTTTTGTATTGTCTTCGAATCTTTAAGAAAGGACACTGCTAACCATTATTTAAGGAAAAGCCTGTTTGAAATATAAATAAACATCCCTGTAAGATTGGATTTGGGAGCTCTGGAGTTCAAACATCTCCTGAAATAGACCGTATGATGTTGGTCAGGCAAAGGAGTAACTTATTATTTTTTGAAACCTTTACCTCAAAAATCTTGTCCCAATCTGTAAAATTGTTATGAAATCAAGACTCCAGCTGACTGCATGCCATGCTTCTGTTTAGAAGCCCTGCAAGCTTTAACTGCTGGTGGTAACAGGCCCAACAGTATGCCCAATGCCAGTCTGAATGCTATCTTGAAAGCCTTTTTAACATCTCCATCAAAAAAGTCTATGAGGTTCATCATTTGTAGCCAGTGTTTGAAGCAAAGCTGAAAAAATTAACCAAGTTTACTCATAAATATAACTGTTTTATATAATATTCATTATAAAACCTCAAAATGACATGCAAAGATATGGTTTCAGTAATCCTATGAGATCAAAGTGACGTTTTTTAACAAGAGATTGCCTCTCACAGTACTGAGTTTGCTCTATCGGATTTTTCCTCGGGGTGATTTAATCTACTCTTACTGCGTTGGTCTACTTACCCATAACTTGTTTATCTTTATTTCCAGTCCCTGTACCTGACCCTGTGCCCTTCCATTCAACATTCCCCTGGAGTTGGGCACCCGCTTCTCAGCACTATGGTGCTACTCTCCATCTAACAGCTAGGAAATCTGAAGTATTCCTCAATAAAATCCCCCTACCATACTACCTACACCCAATAAAGCCCAACTCTTAACCCCATTCATTCTTCATTTCCTTCCCCCAGCTTCAGTGCATCCGTATTTATCTCTGAATATAAATTTCAAATATTTACAATCATAAACTATGTGCTTAATGTAATGGAGGTGACACATAGCACAAATAGACCCCAACTTCATTGTCAGGCTGAACACAGCTGGATATTTTATTTCCCTATATGAGTCAAAAACATCTACAAAAACTTCTGAGAATTCTGGCTGGAAGCCACTTTTAATGAGTCAGAAGTCTTCTGCCACCCTCCTGCTGCTGCCCTATAATTGTGATGAGTTCTTTCCTTTCCCTTTTGTTTGCTATACCTGAGGAGAGATGATGAGATATAAACAGCATAGTTTCTAGCACAAGACATTAGCAGGGAAGATCAGGAAAATGAAATATGGCCTAGAAACCACTACTAGTTCCATAATCCTGGAAAACTCATTGTTTCCCCTCCCCCTTCTTCTACGCAAACACACATTTTTATTCCCCCTCGAACCCGCATAAAATGTATCTGCCTTACCAGAATCACTAAAACATTACCAAAAAAATTTTAAGTGGTAGTTAATTGTTAAATTAGTACATCTCAAATATGTACTAAGTGCATGGTACTGTACTGGGAAGCTCTGGTAGTTTCAAAGACAAATAATAGTCCTATCTTTAAAGACATTCTTTTTCCTACTAGGAGGAAATATATTTTATAACATGGCAAAATCAAGCATAATATATTGCTCAGTAACACAGGTGCTGCAAAAGAGTTCATGGAGATGTGGCATCTAAATCGGGTCTTAAATACAGGCAAGACACTTCTGTTTCTGTGACGGCAGAATATCTAGCTTTCTGCAACTACCCTTCTCTTCCAGAAAACCACACCAAAACAAGAAAAGCAGGAGCCAGAAACACAAACTCTGTCTCCGATGAACCTAAGTGACAGCTAAACCCAGATGCTAATAAACAGGAAGATGGTAGAAAAGAAATCAATAATAGCATAGAACAGGAAGGCAAATATAATCACAGTATATTACTTAGCTAAACAGTAAACAATATACAGTCAAAAATAATACAACACTAATGTGTATATAATCCAAAATTGTGATAAAATATATTGGGAGGATGCAGGAAGGTGAAAAAGGTTAAAGTGAGACAAGACAGCACTAAAATCCCTAACTACCACAGTAAGACATCAAAAGATAAGGCCTCACATGCTATACTTAAGATGTGCCACATATATAATTGACTTTTAAAATCTGCCAGTATTATTTAATAGGAATACATTTTAAAACAATATTTCAATAGAAAGAAGTAAAAAGAACAAACTAAAAGATGACTGAAAAATGTAAGACAAAACAAATGAATACGTAAAGGACACCCTAAGTAGAAAATCTGCAAATACAAGTGCTTCTCCTATACATAACCATGATCCCAACATATAACTTTAATTACCAACCACACTTTTGCCTATGAAATTGACAATAATATTTTTTAAGCAAAAATGCAAAGATATAGTCACATCCCCAGATTGATGATGGAATGTAATTAGTAAATTTTTCTTAATTTGATACTATCTCTTGGAGTGTACGATTTGGTTCAACCTTAAAACAACACATACTTTTCTATCCCAAAATTCCCTTACAGGAATTTTTTCCTAAAAAAATAAATTTGCATTAAAATTTACACGTCCCAAGGGTATTCTCTGAAATATTAAAGTATTAAATGGTTGGGAATAAAATTTCCTCCCAAAAGAAAAACAGTTAAAAAAATTATAGAATATTAGTACAACAGAGTATTATGCAGCCTTTAAAAACAATGTTTTAAAGAGGAAGGGAGGTGGGTAGCAAATCAATAAGACAGGAGAAAAGACTCTAAGAGGAAAGGACGTAAAAACACAAGTATGGGGATGAGCAAGTACAAATTATGTATGGGAAATGACAAATAATTTATTTCAGCCATAACACTATCTGAGAAGAAACAGTGAAAATCCCTAGGATATGGCTGTACTGTATGCATCACTGAATCTGTTCACCTGGACAGTACGAACACAAGTCAGTAAGAACACAAGCTTTGAAGCAAAAAGACCTGGGATCCAATATCCAAACTCTTTCTCATTATCTGAGCAACTCTGAATTTGAATCTCAGTTCCCTATCTATAAACTTAAATAATACTACCTTTCTTTAGTACTATTATAAAAATGAAGAAAATGATGTAAAGAACTGGGCAAGCTTGTATCAGAATAAGTGCTAATAAACAGTCATCTTTTGTCATATTAAGCCACTAGCAAAATATCAATTTTAAAAGAAGCATAAAAGTAGAAAGGTACTGTTGTAAAAGATTTGTATGGTATTTATTTCTAAGTAACTGTCTTAATTAAATACATGAGTAAGCACGTACTATGTAAATTTATTCACCAGTGAAGTAGCACATTTCAGCCGTAGCCGTAATTGAGAACATAATCGTATACTGCCTCTTACTGTTTCACGGGCGAATTGATTGTTCTGTGATAATGTAAGCTAAAAGAATAGAATTTACGTTTCTGTTTCATTTGTATCTTTAGCAGTCTTCACAGTTTATATATATATATATATTTTTTTTTTGTTCTGTTTTAGTTGTGAGAGTAGCAGTACAGGTGCTGACTGTCGTGCTTTATTGGTCAAGAAACTTGCCCAGATCTGTAACAGTGAAGAAACTAGACCTCATTTTTTAGTTTAGATCCAGTGCTTTCAATTTATACCTGTTTCCTCTTTTTGCCATTTAATGTTACCTATAACTAAACACTTTCACTTACTTCATTTCATAGTTCTAATAAGCAAGTGTCCATAACTACTATGTATATGCTATCTAAAGCTATTGGAAAGAAAAATGATGGAGAAATAATTGTGTAAATGAAAAGACCCATTCTTTTATTTTAGATGCTATTTTAAAAATGGCACCATAAATTTATAGAAAACATTTAATGAGTATTATGTAAGTAATACAATTCAGTATTACATATATGAAATTCATGACATTTAAAAAGAATAGCAAGACAATGCTTTTATATTATTAATATGTTAATAAAAGTAAAAGTTTTTATCAGTATGCATTTTAAAGAAAGATCAGCTAAGGCTCAGAAGTGACTTCCAGTTCTGACACTTCATAATGGCTTAATCACCACTACAGCTGGTATCATTTTAAAGTGTAGATCCCCTTTTCTCAACACCTATTATTTGCCAACATTCAGTGCTAACTTTCTATGTACAGGTAAGCTGAAATCCATTACAACTTTTTCTTTATGATTAAAACCTTAAAAATACAAAAATATATACAAAATTATCACTAGGGAAAAACATTCTATTTAATTATATAATGGCCTTTTTGACTATCTTCATGAGACAAAATAAATAAACACTTTCATTTCCAAAGAGAATAAAATAAACACAGGATTTGTTCTCTTTTTCTGAGTAGGGTCACTAAGTATGGGGCAACAGTCTAAGCAAAGTTATAGTAGATTCTATAATGAAAGTTATCTTTGATATTTTCTTCTTGAAGGTAGGAACATGAATTGGACGTAAAGTTGCTTCAGAGCCTTTAATTTCCCAACCTTCATTACTCCAAAAAGAAAGGAAATATTTATTGAGAGTCTACTATGTTGGAGATACTTCAGTGGGATTAAATTGAACACATTTAAAATGTATTTCCTACTAATAAAGATAATTTTCAATGTGAGAGCCGCCACTAGGGGGGGTTGATTTTTCTTAATAAATTCAACTCAAGATTGAAAGAGCTTCAGGTTACAATTGTCACCTACTTTACTCCAAAATTTTATGGAATACTTATATTCCATAAAATTTATATTTAATTGGCTGTCTTTTTAAACAGTCCTATAATAATGCTACAGCATATTTTATCTGTAAATAAAATAAAATGGCTCTCATTTAAGAGGTCAAAGTTAAGTAGGTCTGGATAGCATTTTCAGCTCAAAACAAGATCTATTTTCCCCAATGTTGGCATGTTTTGGGGCTCATTAGGCCACAAACTGGTAGTTTAATTTTAAAACTCAAATTTAATACTAGGTTTAATGACTTCATTTCTAAAATAAACTTTGATTAACTGCATTATAAAGTTAACAATTTTTCATTCAGGTAAAAATAATTTATATAAACACTTTCACTTGATAATGAAAATGCCAGCACTAGCCTATTCTTACAGAGCAAGCTGGTAATATTTAAGGCATCTGTATGATTAGAAGCAATATACGGTGCTCAGCAGAGATCTGATAAACATCTATGCTAACAAAATGTGGGTGAATGGAAAAAATACTTTTGTTATATTATAAGAAATTAATACAAGTATATTAAAAACTAAGTAAGTATAATATTAGGATAATCTAATAAAAAGTACATTTTACGCAAAATAACCAAAATCCATAAATGTTAAACTGTGTAATGAATACAAAATTATGGCATTTGTTTTTGTTTACAAAGCCATCCAGGTCCTTTGATAACACCCTAACTGAAACCCAGTATCTTAAAAACACATCAGGGAGATCTTCATGTTTTCTCACCATACACATAAAACCCATGACACCCCTATTATATATGATGCTAAGTGTATTATTATATTAATAAACACATAGAACAGACATTTGGGATGCCTCCCAACTTTAACCATCAATGACAATGTCAAATAAGACAAACATACTTTAATATAAGAAACCATTCTACAAAATTAAAAGTATTAATAACCGATGTCTCAAACTGCCAAGGTAGAAAACTGCTGGTTTGACAATATTCCCTTAAGACACACTGTACCATAAAACTTCCAAATTTTCATCAGTCTATTTATAGATTATTATCCTCTGTTAATGCCAATTCATAAGTATACTTCTGAAGAACTATGATAACTGAAATTCTGAAAGGAAACTAAAATTTTAGAATGAAACTTTAAACCAATAACTGGTTTTAAATGTAAATCTTAAAGTGTTATTTTTCTGGTTCCCATTAGTGATAGTTGGAGTCTAAGCAAAATGCACACTTCTGATTTGGTCTGAGAAGACGTTTAAGAGTTCTTAAAATTGTTTACGAAAACTTGAAACACATGTAGGTAAAGTAACTCAGAGATCTAGAAATAAAAAAATTGGAATAAACACATGAATACAACCACCTCACAACAGGAAATGTTTTGAGCACGGATAGTTTTTTCTGACACACACAAAAAATTGGCCATCTCACACAAATATTCCACCAAAATCAACCGACAACGACAAAAGCAAGTTTGTACTCACTCAACTAGAAGAAAACTTTGAAGGGGAAAAGAATTAGAGGTAGATGTTAAGAATGAAAACCTCTCTCAAATGCAGTTCTAAATCTTTTATTTTACAGACCCTAAAGCCACCCCAAAAGTGATAAGCAAGCTTCCGAAAAAGATGTCTGAAGAATACAAATCCTCCACCGTATCCTGTCCGTTGCATCCACTCCCACCTGCTACCACTTCTATCCACTTTACCGATATGGTCACGATGAGCGCTACAAAATTGCTGCCAAATAAGTAAATATGAGCGCAACACAAAGCCAGTTGGTGGGGACCAAAAAGTACCTTTAGAGGCACTCAGCCCCTTCGTAAAAGTCAGCATGTGTTTAGCTCTTTAAAACATCTCGCCTTACCAAACTCTACGAAGAATGAGAATTAAGACCGTCCTCTAACCTAACCCATGCGGATATGAAAAGTGGAAGGAGATTTCAAGACAGGTTTATACTAACTAATCCATTAGCCCAAGGCAGATCAGAGCTGTCAACAAATCAGGACCAAATCAGAAAGAACAAAGTTGCAAATGTGAGAGGGTGTGTATGCACTGGTGCGGGGGAAGAGGATGGGTGGGAGGACAATTTTTAAAATGCAATCATTGAAAACGGGAGAATCCAAGTCCTCTGTCTCCCAGCCGGCCTCCAAACCTCGATTCCACGGGCAGTGCCGGGAATGGACCTAATCCCAGGATCGCAGGGATTTGGGGGCGGGGTGGGGCTGCCTCCCGCACCCGCGTGCCTGAGCGCCCAGCCCCCGCGATGAGGACGCGCTCGGGACACTCACGTTTTCTGCACCGGCTTCCGCCGCTTGCGACTGGCGTAGGTGATGTTGGCGCTGCTGCTGTTCATGGTGCCCAGCCGACGGCGGCGGCTACTCCCCGGGCACTGGCGGCCGGGTCCCCGGAACCCGGTGTAGGCTGGGACCACTGCGGCGGCCGGCGCCGGGTTCCGCGAAGCCGCGCCCGCTCCACCTGCGTCCTCTCGGGACAGTGGCGTGGGCGCCGCGCCTCAACGCCTCGGCTCACGCAGGCTTCCGCAGCCCGCGCCAGTACAGGTGAGCTGCCTGGGCCTGGCGCAGTGAGGGTGGGCGAGGGGCGGAGACCCGCGAGCAAGGCGGCGCAGGTGCCGTCTACACCGGCGGAGGCGGCGCGGCAATGCCCGCAGGTGAGGCGGCCCGGGCGGAGGAGGAGCCTGGGCCGTCTATTTAGAATCCTGGCCTGGGTCGCTCACGGTGGCGCCGCGCCCCGTGACCGTCGCCGCGGCCCCTTGGGTGAGGGAGGTGCCGCCGCGCTGCTCCCGGGACTTCCTAAATCCAGGGTGCTTCCCGCCTGCGGAGCTCGGGCGCGGGCCACCAGTCCCGGCTGCTCCCAGCTTCCGTTCGGCTACACGGCTGCCCCTGTTCTGAGCTGGCGGTCCGGGGCACGCTCTCGGAACAGAGCGTCGACGGGACTCCCCAGCCACTGCCTCCCGCCGCCGCGCGCACCGGCTGAATAGCAGGAGCACCCCCGACCCCTCACCGGCCCCGCCCCGCCCAGATCCCGCGTAGCCCCGCCCCGTCCTGCTTGCCCCCGCCCATCTGGATTCCATTCCGTCTTCCTTGAGGGCCCCACCCTCATCCCGGCACGTGATGACGTAGGACGTAAGGACGCCCCCCCCCGCCGGTAGCCATCTTCGTGCATAGGCAAACTTATTGTAGCTAGACTGTACAAAGTATATCAAGATATGCCAAATATTGAGCTTAACTTCACCTGTTTGAGAGACGGTGGGTCAGCTAACTTGTGGCTAAGAATTACAATTAACTGGTAGACAACTGGTAGACAACCAATGGGACTGTATATTTTCCTAGTTGGGAAGGCTTCAGAAGGCCAGATTTGAGTTGAGACTTGAAGGCTAGGAGTTTCCTTGACCTTTTTTGGTGTGCGGGGGAAGTCTTTACAATAGACAGGAATATAGATAATAAGGGGACTATTATGTATTGTGTCATGGAGGACCATGTGGAAAAATATTGGGAGTAATTAACAATATTGAATACTGTTGAGAAATTCAAATTAGTTGAGAACTGAAAATGTCATTCTTGTTTTCTCAATGTGTAGTCACTGATGACTTTCGTGAATGCAGTGTTGGGGTAATGGGCCTGCAAATAACATTGAAGTGGGTACAGGATTGAGCTGAAGATAACAAAATGGCATCCTCAAGCAGGCAATTTTTCTTCCAAGTTTAGCTGTGGATGAGAGACACATCAGATTGTATGTAGGGGGAGTGAAGGGTTAAATGAGGGTTTTCTAGTTTTGGTTTAGTTCTTTAATGGGCGATACTGAGCGGCTTAGAGGGGGTAGAGATAAACTATGTAGGGAACCTGAGGGAAGAGTGAAGGAATGATAGATATTAAGATACCGAAAGCAGGAGGGAATGAGTGCCAAAGCATAAATGGGAGATTAGGACTAATAGATTAGATACTAACAGAAACAGCACTTACAGTGCTTTGCTATTCAGAGTACTCCACAGCTTCTTTTGAGAGTTACAGGAAATGCAGACTCTTTGGGTGTCCTTATTAAATCAGAACCCGAAGTTCACAGGAACTCCCAGGTGATTCAAATGTACATAAAGTTGGAGGAGCAGTTCTCTACCATAGCTGGAGGAAAGAAGGACAGTGGGTGAGATATAGTAGGCTACTAAATTTTGGATCAGAAAAATGAAGGAGATGTAACAAAGAGGGTATTCTAGCATGAGCTACAAAAGAACAATTGTGTTTTGTGGTCGATGATCTTTGTTTTAATTTTAGAAGAGCATAAAGTGAAAGTGATCTGGGAAGTGACAACAAGGAAGTAGATGGACATCCACCCTGTATCCTGTGATAAGAGAAAATAATTAGGCAGTATTGGGGAGACCTTTAGGAAAGTGATAGCCTCAGTAAGCCACCTTTCAGTTTAAGGAAAAAGATGGAGCAAATTCCCAAAGAAGACAGTGTACACTGGGAAAGTTTGATGTTTATGAATTAGCAATTGCAGAGGCAGAATCAACCATCTCTATTTTTCCCTTCTCTTTCATTTCTTCATTTATCTGTGCTTACTTATAGCCATTCTATCTAAAACGTGTAAGTGTAAAAGAATAATTTCCTCCTAGCTAGGAACTTTAAGGGTGAAAAATTTATATCAAAACATAATTTATTGATTCTGTAGCTTATAACTCCTCTTCATAAAAGAGATGTACTAAATGCAATGAACCAATCTTAATTTAGTGATTTAAAAAAATCCTACCCTTTTTAAGGTTGTTGGCTATTTGGTGCAGTCATTTTCTACCTTATTTTGACTTTCATACCCTTATTTTTTTATGGTTAAGTTTAGGATTATTTTCATTATCCAGAAGTCATATGCTATATTATGTTACATAGTCTTAGTTAAGTAACAGATCTTTGCATAATTAAGATTAAAATTGAATATCAACAAAATTCCCAGAATTCATTTTATTTTAATAGTGACATGAACTTACCTTAACAGTTTTGCTGGCATGTGAATACAGTATAGTGTAGTGCCATTTTTAAAAAATGAGCTGCCATTATCTAGAAACTTCCTGTATTGGCACTGTGGAACATGGTTCTCAAAGTATGGTTTGTGTCCATCTGCTAAGATTTAAAAACTTTTTTGTGAGCAGTTTTTTTTTTTGTAGTTACGTGATTTTTATCTCATAATAATTAATTTGGCTATAAGAGTCGGTGAACATTTGATTACCTTATCCAAAGAACATCCTTTTAATCAATTGGGTTGAGCTTAGTTTCTGAGGTTTCAGATGCAGCTGTATGTGTATGGGTTTCTTTCTCCTGCGAAATAGTATGAGAAAAATGTTTTAGGAATGCTATTATAAATATCAGCTGTTCTTGAATAAAGGAAAATAATCAAAATGAATGCTAAACCTATTCTATCACAGTTCATTTCACTAAGCAAGATTTTAGCCCCTATAATATACCAGACACTGTGGGTTACAGTAGTGATATCAGACATGTTCTTTCCTCTTAGAGCTTACATTCTAATGAGAGAGACAAGAATTAACCAGATAGTTACACAAATGAATGTATAATTACAACTGGGACAAGTACTGTGAAATGAATACTGTGAGAATGTATAATAGGTGGATTTAACTTGGTAAGGGTAACTTGGTAACCTCCCTGAGGGAGCTTGAGCTGAGTTTTGAGGCATAGGTAGGCATTTTATAGGTAGGCATAGGTAGGCATTTTATAGGTGACCTGGGGAGGAAGGGGAATTTCATGCAGACTGAACATGTATCACTTTTTAATCTCCTCTTCAATTCTGCAGCTCCTTACTTCAGGCCCTCAGAATTGTCTTTTACAGTTTACAACACACATTGTAGCTATATGAAGTATTTTACAGAGGGTAGTCCATGCTTCCTAAACTATGTACTGAGGCACCCCAGGAGCACCACAACAAACTCACAGGGGCACTATCATGGGATATTTTAAATTTTCAAGGCCAACACAGTGACATCAGTTGGACACCGTGCAAACCACTATCTTGAGGTAGTTCAGAACTTCTACACATTAAATTGTACTTCATTCCTTTTGACATCGTATCTTTGTGAGGCTGTGTTTTTGTAAATTGCTGTAATAAAACACAAGGACTATGGGAAAATTACTGTAGAACAGGAATGAGGGTAGCGGTTTCCAAGTTTATTCCTAAGTTTGAGAAGTTATGAAGTGCCCAACAGATGTGCACATCCCATTAAGAATAAAAAATGTTAATGTATATTATTTTTTAAATAGCTACTAAGTTGTTAGGATAGACAAACATAAGTTTGGGTTTAACTGTTTAATAAATGGAACTGTTAGGTGTTTCTTTTAGCTTGCAACACCATGAAAAAATTACTGAGACACTAGGAATGCTGTGAACTGAGAAAGTTTGGGACCTTTGGCATAACTAAATCCTTCATTTAACAGGTGAGAAACTTCAGGCCCAGAGAGATCAAGTGCCCTGCTAATCATAGCCTAGAATCTGGGTCTTGTGACTTCTGCCCCAGTCTAAAATGTATAACTTATCTGACTTTGAACTGTTCTGATTCATTTATTAAAAATAATCAGTTTACACATTGCTTGCTTTTACTCCTAACACTGAAGAACAGACATAGACATCTAAGGGCTGTTTCTAAATGCTTAATGTCTTCTTTACTTGCTTGGATACAACAATGTCATAGAAGCCACAGAGAAGTAATTAATAGATAATGCTAATCTTAATTCTGACAAAGAAACTACAAGATAGGAATAATTTGTTATTAGTCAAAATTATTTTTATTCACTTATGGATAATGCTTTGTTGCAAGAAACATTTAGGTTTTTAACACATGAAAGTACATTATTAAAATGTTAACATGCAGTAAGTTTGGATTTCGATTTCTTTCTTTCCGGACTTTTAATTCTTACGAATTTGAAGTTTGATTATGGGGAAAGTTATAAAAAAGTTTTATGTTTCACATGCTAAGATTCATGTCTAATTTATTAAACATTTTATTAAAATATATATGTATAAATATCATTTTTACTAAAATCCATTTAACTTTGGAGATAAATATATTTGAAAACTACATAATACATACTTTCTGCATTTTAAATCATGATATAGAAGAAACTGAAATTAAGATAAAATACATTTATTTAACAAAGAAAATTATTAACTTGATAAGAACAGCTTAAGGAAATGTAAATTATTGTAAAATGCTGACCTAAAATATATAATTTAGATTTGCTAAACTTTAAAAGGCTATCATTCTTATTCATATTAAGAAACAAAATGTATTCTTTACTGAAAATATTTAACAAATTTAATTAATGTGTGGACAGTGGTTCTCAACATTTGTTGCATATTGTAGTCACTTGAGAACTGTAAAAATTACGGATCCTTGGCTCCACTACAAAAATTTTTATTTAATTTATCTATGTTGTGTCCTGGAATCGGGATTTTACAGGTGATAGAGGTATTGTGGTTATATACCTCTATCACCTGTAGAGGTATATACCTCTAGAATAAAGAGAAGATCCTTATTCTCAGGAAATGCATGCTGCAACATTCATATATATATATGTATATATATATATATATATATACACACATATATATATATACACATATATACATATATATATATACATATATACATATATATATACACACACATACACATATACACAATTATGAAAGGTATACAAACATTTGTGGTATTCTTTCAACTTTGCCATATGTTGAAAAATTGCACAATAAAAACAAAAAATAAGTGCAAAAATAAATAGCCATGTACTTTCAAGTTAAAAAATTGAGAGACAAAATATCTGAAGCCTGATAATTGTTTCCATGGGAGGTCAGGACAGATACATATTAGGCACCCAGCTTTTACGTAAGATAAAGCTTTAGACCTTGCTCTAAATCTTGATATTACAGGAAACAGATGGAAGATAAATTTTAAAAGATTCAAAGTTTCTGCACTTCTCCATTTTGAAAACAAAGTTAGAATCCCAAATCTCCATTGTATGGCCTCCGTGGGCTGAAGAATATGTGTAGTTAGTTGTGCATTACAAGAATTTAGCTGATTTATACTAACCACAAATTATTCATTTTGCTGTATTCACCAGTTATTTATACTAAAATGCTAATAGTTTCTAATACCTTACGAATACCTTTTTGCTTGTTCTTATGCATTTGAAATTTCTCCTTTATCTACTTTCCTGTATATAATCACTGACTTTTCTGAGACTTTATAATGTATCAGTAG
Organism: Homo sapiens; assembly: GCF_000001405.40. Classification (NCBI taxonomy): domain Eukaryota; kingdom Metazoa; phylum Chordata; class Mammalia; order Primates; family Hominidae; genus Homo; species Homo sapiens. The sequence goes on along the minus strand of NC_000007.14, from coordinate 17,293,342 downwards.
ACAGGATTTATGTCTATAAGGCTTACATGCTAAAATAATAGTTTAAAAAAAAAAGTCTGGAACAAATGTTAACTTGTACTGCAAGTTAAAGCTTTTCACTTTAATGCTATGCAAAACAGCTGCATAAGTAATATTTTTAGGACCCTCCTCACTCAGACCCCATACCAAGCATCAGAAATACCTGCCATTACCTAATCGGTAAGTTGATGAAGGAGATCTGGTTACATAATTAATCAAGGGGATATAGCTGAGGGTGGAGTGTCCTGTAAAACAGAATGTTCTCCACCCTTCCCTCCTAAAGCAAGCTGTAGGAATTTTCCTTGTAAAACTTTAAACTTTAGTTGAGTGGCCTTCCTGCCTGAATGTAGATGGAGCTCCCATCTGTCTTCACAGAGGCGAGGGCTTCTGATGAAAATGAGTAGGAAGGATTCGATGTATTCCCAGATCTTGGACAGATCTCTTACATTCTTTTAATCCTTGCGTTAGGTTGAATTCATTCTGGTTATCTGAGCCTTTAAATAAATTACATAAAGCAAATATGTTTCAGAGAAAAGCATGTGAATCGAATAATTATTTTGGGATACATTGGTATTTAAAGAAATACCAAGTAGATTATAATGTAAACAATCCCTATCTAAACTCTTCAGAAACCAGGGTTTTCAAATATTCATTACATATTTGTGTTGTATTTTTCCATATTATTTACTTATTTAAACACATTTTGTGAGTGGTCATATTTATGCCAGTTTTTTGTATAATTCTTTGAAGCAAATCTCCCCTATAAAAGAAAGTTGACATACACCTATATGAGTAAAAACACCAATCTGTAACCTGTTAGAGTGCTTTGATTGTATATGTAAAGTAAATGAATGATATAAAATGCAAACTTTGGTTTTTTTTAGTTACTCTTGAACAGTTCAGACAAATGTTAATTTCAGTAAGAACTGCATTAACAAGATGAGAAAAATGGAGGTCAGTAGAGGGTAATTCAATCCCCCAGACCATTTTGTTTTAATTAGTATTTGCCTATTTTAGGATATAAAAAAGGTTGACATTCTGATAGAATTTTCTCAAATATTTATAAACATGCCCTACATGAAATATTAATAAAAGAAGTAGCCTCACATACAGCAGTTTATTCTTAAAAAGTTTGTTCATACTGAAGGTATTAGCCAGTTATGAAGTAGGTCGTGGTTTTTAGGCACACAAACACTCAATCCTTCTAAAAGAAATGTCATTATCAGTCAACCTAAAGATGATATTTTTTTCAATAATAATAAATAGTACTTAATAGCTGTAACTTAATAGCCCTTTTCTTACCTTTTAGTATCTGCTCAACAAGATGAGGAAAATCCATCAGTACACAAAGTGAAATATACTTCTCAAAACTGAGCACTTTATGTCATTACATCTTTAGGGTCAAGTCTCTAAGTGGCAATTTAAGTTTTATTTGGAAACTATACTCCTCAGTAGATGACTAGAATAATAATGGTTAATTTGGTAATAAACAATAGCATTGATTTAAGCCAGTAATTTCTGAGTTCTATATTACTATATGTTATGCTCAGAAAAAATAGATGGTAAATATCTGTCACCATGAAATTAATACTTAATTTTTCATGTTTTCTACACATCCTTTTAATTAATAGTCAAAAAATAAGAAAACAAAACAGTAAAGGAGTGTCAAACATTATAATTTTCCAATTAGCTCTTACTAGAGTCATGTACACCTCATTATTTTACCTAAAGAATAATGAAAAGCACTGTCTTTGACATTGAAATATATGTCCAACATAAGTCTGTTTAAAAAGCAAGTACACACACACAAACATACATATATTAAATAATATATATAATTACATATATATAAAATCATTATAAAGGTAACTTCAACTTCTGTAGTTTACAACTTATGGTCTTTGGTCATTTCTTTTTGTTTGTTTGTTTTTCTGTTTTGTTTTGTTTTTTGAGATGGAGTCTCAGTCTGTCACTAAGGCTGGAGTGCAGTGGCGCGATCTCGGCTCACTGCAACCTCCACCTCCCGGGTTCACGCGATTCTCCAGCCTCAGCCTTCCACGTAGCTGGGACTACAGGTGCATGCCACCACACCCAGGTAATTTTTGTAATTTTAGTAGAATTGGAGTTTCACCATATTGGTCAGGCTGGTCTCGAACTCCTGACCTCAGGTGATCCACCTGCCTTGGCCCCGCAAAGCACAGGGATTACAGGCATGAGCCACCATGCCCGGCCTGGTCATTTCTTATAAGATACTAAAAATGTGGGATAACTGAGATAGGGATATATTTTTTAAGTTCTACTCTGTAGCCCACTTACCAAATAATACTGCTGACTTTAATGTAAAAGATCCTTCAACAAAAAAAATACTATCACAATTTTTAATTATTTTTCTTTCTAATCTGAATGAATTTAGAAGTTAAATTGAACTTATTATTTTAGTTTCCTATGTAAAAAGCAAAGGAAAAAGCCTTATTGTGTGATCTCTCTAATATACCCCTCAACATTTATATGTGTGTATATTATATATAGAGGGGTGTGTGTATGTGTGTGTGTGTGTGTGTGTGTGTGTGTACACAGAGAGAGTACATAATGACTTTCAGGAGTGAAAACAGTCTTTTACAAAAGACGGATTCCAATGACAAATAGAAATGTTCAGAAAAATCTCAGGATCAATTGTTTTCTCTAGTAAGCACCCCAAACTTCTCTTGAGGTTAATCACAGCCTTCACTGCTTTGTGTGCTGAATACAATAGTTCCTTTTGATTTAAAAATTTGCCAACTCTTATAAAGTTAACATTCTGTATCTAATGAATATGTGGAGATAAATAATCTGTGATACTGATGTAATCTAACCTACACAAGACTCACATAACGTCTTTATTTGATCCTTAACAACCACATACATTGTTTCTTTATTATATTCTTTTCTATATGCTCTTAGCACAAAACTACTAGATCCACTTGATCTAACAACTTTTGAACAATAATTATCTCCTTGTTTAAAGAGTGCAATCAAATCTCTTCTAACTACAATCATGATATGTACCTTTTATTTATATGAATTTAATCACCTCTTTAATTTTAACATAGTATTGTTGCTTAAGTCTAATCAGAAGTGTTAGGTAGTAATTTCTATTTTTCTCTTAAGGTATATGTTAGGAATCTTTGTACTTAGGTCATTGTATGTACATTTTAAAATATGTTCCCCAAATTACTTTAAAGTGCATTTGAAATGAAAGTGATGATTTAATTGAATATGAATATTACTGAGGCATTATATTTTTTCATTTTGTCCAAATATTTGCATAGTTCATATTTTTTATTTTAATATTAAAGTACAAATCTAGGAATATTTGCTTCAGAGAGCTTTCATTCTACTTTTATGTGTAATTAGAATTCAAGGGGATTTAACATCTGAAATCTTTCCTTTTTTAATGTTTTTCTGTATGTGGTCAGCAGAAAACAAAATAAAGATAAGGTGCAAATATTGCCATATTGGTAGGTTTTACCCCAAAGAAGAAAAGACCACTAATGCAGTCTCTAATAACGTCCTTTCCCCCATTTTAATAAGAAGGTTTGTGTTGTTCTGACATTAAATGGATTAAGCAGCAAGCCTGCTGAGAAAAATACTCAAAGGTATTAAACCCTAGCAGTGTTGGTTTAACTGTAATTACTGTAAAATAAGATTAAGTCTGAGTTTGGAAGAAGAACTAGGTTTGACATAAGACTAAAAGGTAACAATGTTCACAGATGCCTGAATTAATGCTTCAGTGAAAAATATAATTAGCACAAGATTTGAAAATATGTCTCCTTTGGCAAATGTCTTCAGAGAGTAATCAGTGCTGTAGACTGATGTAGTGGAAAGAGCACTGGGCAAGTGGCCAAAATCTTTGAATTCAAGTTTGTTGCTCTAGCACTCACAAGTTCTGTGACCTTGGATAAGAAATTTCTAAAACCTTTGAATCTCAGTATGGTGGATATGGCCAACTGGCAACCATTTGCACTTTTCCATTCTGTGTATTTCTATACTACAGCAGCTGGAAAGCTAAAAACTAAATTTTCCCAGATTCCTGTGCCATTAAACTTCCAAATGTAAATAAGTTTCATCCAATTAGGTGCACTTGTTGAGATTTGGAAGCAAAAGTCAAGTGGAGGTCATCTTCCTGCTGCTTCCATTGTTTTCTGCTAATAAGTGAGATTGTGGAAATATGAGTTTTCTGTGATGGGTTCCAGCATCCAAGTTCTAGGGTTTGAGAGGCTGTAGGGGTGTGAGCAGTAGTGGCTCCCTGATCTCTTAATTGTGGCTACAATGGTGTGTTTTTGAAGTCAATAAATTTTATAGTGACTTCTGAAGTCCCCACTTTTCTGATTGAAGCAAAGGTCATCTTTCTCTAATAAGTCAGTTCTACAGTGTTATGGAAACATTTCTGAATTCCCAGCCTAGAGCCTCTCTCTCTAGCCTTCCCAAAGATTTAGTAAGCATTTTATTCCCTGTTTTAAATCCCTATTTACTTGAAATACCTGAAACTTATCTGTTTCCTGTACTAAAACCTAACTGACACACATGTGCAAGTTTCATTGATACCTTACAAAGTCTTTGAGAGGATTAAACCATATTAAGCATATTTAACATTGCTTCCTCTTTTGAAAGATAAGTATTCATGATATGAAAAGCAACTATCAAAATTGTCTCGTGGCATTCTCTTGTCATTAATTTTGCTCAGCTAATAAAGTCTAAACACAGTTTGTGAAGTATTGGTTCTTCTGGGCAAATAATGCAGAAGAAACAATTGCATATTCAATTGGTACCTAAATTTTATAAATCTCCAGTTCTAAGAATGTCTGTGAGTTTGTATGATACCTTTCCTATAAATGAATAGCTTTCACTTCAATTTACATTTTACTAGTATTTTTACTTTTTTTGCAGTGGTCATAATTAGAAGCACTATGGCTAATTCTGTAAGTGGAAGTGGACTGACATAACACCATGTCTGGCAAGATTTTGAGCAGATTTGGAAAAATATTGCTCTGTGCTTTGATCTTATACTTTCTAAAGGAATAAAATAATTCTCCTCCCCCTTTTCAATGAATTTCTTTTTAGAAATATGTGTTATATTTATGGCGTCAAGAGACTTTTTCACCTTTAAACTAGCCCACATATTCAGCCACTATTAAGGCACCGATGTGCTTCATATCAGTTATTTCCTGACTTGATTTGTTGCCCTCCTGTTTCAGCCTGGCTTCTGGATCTTGTCTCCATTTCTGTCTGTGGCTTCTTCTTTGGCTTTTTGATTTGTAGTCAGTCTTTTATTCTGCTTCTCCTAAAAGGGCTCATCCCACTGACATTTTTTCCCTTGAGACTTTCTTAGGAGGTGTGTGTGTGTGTGTGTGTGTGTGTGTGTGTGTATCTCCTAAGAAAGTTTCCTAAAATATACATGTGTGTATATACTTTAGTTTTCATCCCTCAGGACTTAAATTCAGTTGAAACTTGACTATGAAAACACTCTTCAGTTTTCCTCAATAGGTGAACTCAGAAAACAGGAGAATTACACTAAGTGCTCATTACTTTCCTAGGTAATTTTATATAGTAATTTTATATATTGGACAGAATAAACTACATCAAAATTTCCAGTGCTCTGTGCATGAAAGCTTATTCATTTACTTCCACGTGTATAAAATTACATCATATGATGGAATAAAGTTTTCATCTGTCATTTATTTTTATTTATTTTTAAGACAAGATCTTGCTCTGTCACCTGGGCTGAGTGCAGTGGCACAACTACAGCTCACTGTGGTCTCAACCTCATGAGCTCTGTAGCTGAGAAAACTTGGGAGTGACCAAATAATATAAAATAATATGAAAGTAATTTTAAAGATGTTTAACCTCAACAGTACAATATTGAAGCATATAAATTCAAGTTAAGTATATAAATTTAGCTCAATTCAATGCACATTGATTAAGCACTTAAGATTTCACCAGCCTATTCTTCAATTACATGAGAAATGTGGCTTATTGATTAAACGTCTTAAACAATACAAGATAAAATTTAAGTTATTGTGAAGAACATATGGCACAAGCAAGTACTGCATGAGATGGATCTTGTAGAATGGGTACAATTTAAGTAAGTGGCAAGTAGGTTTTCTAATTAAACATGATAAAGTGAGAAGTATGAATCTGACATATTGAGGAAATGAAGAAAATTAGTGTGATTGAAGTGGAAGGTATGCGTTAGGGAATGGGGAAAATGCCGTTAGATAAGAAAGCAAAGTTAGATTAGTTGATGGGGTATCTTAGGATTGATACTTAAAATTGATTTGATGAACAAGGAGAAATTATGGGTTCTTGAGAAGGAAACTTATGTGTATTTAGGAAAGAGTTTTCAGAACAGTTTGTGGTAGTATTTAAGATGGGATGGGGAAATTGGAAGTAAATCTAAAAATCAGGAACTATTTCATTAAGGTTAGAATTAGTCAATAAATGATAGCTGGAGCATGTGCAACATAGTGAGACCCTATCTCTATGAAAAATAAACAAATAGCTGGGTGTGGTGGCACGTTCCTATAGTCCCAGCTACTTAGGAGACTGAGGTGGAAGGATCACTATATTTTGTGTTTTCTGCTGACCATATACAGAAAAACATTTAAAAAGGATTTGGGATGTCAAATCCTCTTCAATTTTAATTACATATAAAACAAAAGTAGAATGAAAGCTCTATGAAGAAAACATTCTTAGATATGTACATTAATATTAAAAATATGAACTATGCAAATAAAATATATTTTTTCTTTTTTTTCCTTTCTTTTCCCAGTGTTGTGAACCACTTGTCATGGGATAACCAAAATTAAACCTGGAATCGCAGAAGAAACAAATTTTTTGAAGAAATTGGATGTACTTTTTTAAAATTTTTCATTCAACTAAAACTTTGTTAACTGTTTCTTGGTTGTGGTCTTCTCTAAATTGTAATCTTTGGCATTCACTTCCAAAGTATCCACCACTAAACTTCATAACATTTATTGTGTCTCTTCATCATTAAACTTTGATGAATTTACAGAGTGTCTTTTGAAATTATGTTCTTGAGAAAGGTAAGTTCCCTAAAAATCCCACCACCTCAGGAACAGAATTTTCTAAAACTGTTGTATCTACCTAAGTTACCTATTTTTGTCTTTTGTCTGGAGTCCACTTGTCCTCAAAACAAAATTAATGTTGTATTCCCTTTTGGTCAAGGACACATTAAACATTTCGTGCAGCATGCACATTTTTCAGGGATGTAGAATCATAAACAATTATTTTTATACACTTCTTATGACATAGGGTGACTTTTACAATGTGCTGTGCTATTTAAAGTTAAATGTTCACCACTACATATTGTACCTGTGAAAAGATTATAGGTTAGCTTTGATAATTTAAAATATTTTTGCTACAGCCAGTAGCTCTATTAACGATGATATGAAACTCTGACGTTGTTGTGATTACATTGTATTTTTTCATATCTGTTATGTGATATAGCAACCAACATATTAGTTATAATAATAATTAGGTAATGAGTTCACACAGTTATTGGATGGAGTGCTGTGTCCATCCCTAGGTGTTTGTTATTGTAGTGATACTTATAAGAAGTACAGCTTGGTGTACCTACATTAGCGCAAATTTCACTAGTCAGGAAAATGTGGATAAAGTGGTCCCTTTGATTCATTAGCCCTATACGAAGTATTTTGAAAAAAATATTTTAACAGATTTGTATCCTCTTTCCATATCTCATATAAACTGTAATTATTTTTAATTCCCCCAAATGAATGAAAGCCATCTTTACCATTCGATTCTTTAAAAAAAAAATAAGAATTAGTATTTATCGATTACAGGTCCTGTGCACTTTACATACTTTCTTTAATTTAGTCTTACAACAATGCTATGTAAAAAGTACTTTTTGAAAAAATGAAATAAAATTTATGTACCATAACATTTATCACTTTAGTGTTCAGTTCAGTGGTTTTTAGTATATTCACAAGATTACGAAGCTATCGGTACTAATTCCAGAACATTTTCATCATCCCAAAAAGCAGCTCCATACTCACTAGCAGTCACTACCCATTCCTCCTTCTGCCAGCTATTAGAAAACGCTGATCTATTTTCTGCTTCTGTGGATTGGCATATTGTGGAAATTTCATATAAATAGGCTCATAAAAGGCTGGATGGGGTGGCTCATGCCTGTAATCCCAGCACTTTGGGAGGCCACGGTGAGCAGATCACTTGAGGTCAGAAATTCAAGACCAGGCTGGCCAGTATGGTGAAACCCTGTCTCTACTGAAAACACAAAAATTGGCCAGGCATGGTGGCGGGCGCCTGTAATCCCAGCTACTCAGGAAGCTGAAGCAGGAGAATCGCTTGAACCTGGGAGGCAGAGGTTGCAGTGAGCCAAGATCGCACCACTGCACTCCAGCCTGAGTGACAGAGGGAGACTCCATCTCAGAAAAAAGGCCGGGGTGGGGGTGGCTTATACAATATATGGTCTTTTTTTATTAGCTTCATTCACTTACCATAATGTTTTCAAGGTTCGTCTATGTTGTAGCATGTATTAATACTTCATTTTTTATGCCTGAATATTATTTCATTGTGTAGATATACCGCATTTGTCTATTCCCTTCATCAGTTGATGGGCAATTGGGTTGTTTCTATTTTTGGCTATTTTGAGTAATGCTGCTATGTATATTTATATACAAGTTTTGGTGAGAACATGTATTTTCATTTCTCTTAAGTATATATCTAGGAATAAAATTACTGTGTTATATGATAACTATATGTTTAACTTTTTGAGGAACTGCCAAACTGTTTTCCAAGTGGCTATACCTTTTTACATTCCCATCAGCAACATATGAAAGTCCAAATTTTTCTACATCTTTCCCAGCATTTGTTATTGTTGTCCTTTTTATTGTAGTAGGGATAAAGTGATATTTCATTGTGGTTTTGATTTCCATAATATGAGCATGTTTTCCTGTGTTTATTGGCCATTTTTTATTGTCTTTGGAGGTATGTTTATTCAAACTCTTGGCTCATTTTTAAATTCGGTTATTTTATTATTGAGTTGTAGGAGTTACTTATACGTTCTGGATACTAGACTCTTAGATATGTGATTTGCAAATATTTTCTCCCATTCTGTGGGTTTTCTTTATACTCGACAGTGTAATTCTTTATATCTCGACAGTGTTCTTTGATGCACAAAAGTTTTTAATTTTGATAAAGTCCAATTTATGTAATTTCTATAATTGCTTATGCTTATCACTGCTTGTACTTTTATCATTGTCCAATTTGTCTAATTTTTTAAAATCATTGCTTATTTCATCAATTTTATGTCGTATTTAAGAAACCATTGTCAAAACTGAAATCATAAAAATTTGTCTCTATATTGTCTTTTAAGAGTTTTGTAGTTCTGGTTATTACATTTAGATATTTGATCCACTTTGTGTTAATTTTTGTAAATTTTGTGAGTTAAGGGTACAACTTCATTCTTTTGCATCTGGATATCCAGTTGTCCCAGCACTTCTGCTGAAAAGACTATTGTTTCTCCCATTGTATTACGTTGGCACCCCTCTCCAACATTAATCATTGCCATCTTCTTCTTGAACAGACTGTCATGGGTTTTCTCATACCTCTTCCAAGTCTTTTCTTATTTTTTTTTCTTTTTTTAATTGTGACTTTTCTGAAATCTCATTTCTTACACAAAAAATTCTTTTACCAAGCAAGCAAGTTAGAAAATATCACCTTATTCATAGCCCCATATAATAGTTTCCCCTCCATATATGTGTCAGCTGGTCAAACAGTTGAAGAGTTAAAGTCAAACTTCTAGAAAACAATGTCAAAAGTATACATAAAAATGTAAAAGCTATCCATATTTTGTGGAGCATTTATGTAATATTACTTAAATGATATTTATGTATACAGAAAATGGCCATATCAAAGATAACATTATATTGAGGTTTTCTGTCTCTATAAAGATGCTCAACATCAAAGGCAGATAAAGATTGAATACTATTCATTATACAAACACTTACTGAATAACCTGCCATATGTTCTAGGTAATGCACTACCATCACTGGCGCAAGAGAAACCTAACATAGCTCCTCTCCCCAAGGGATTTATCTAGGAATGGAGAAAGATCAGTAAACAAATGATTACATCCAAGCCCTATGGTAAGGGCATAAGTGTTATAAGAGAACAGGGAGGCAAATTCACTAATTTTGCCTCAGTGAATTACTTAGAAGGTGACACTCATTTGAATAGGTTATGAAAATAAAATAATTCTCCTAAGAAGACAAGAGGGACAAGTGAATTTCCAGCCTACTGGATGACATATACAAGGCAGAGAAGCATGAGAGGAGAACATGATGTATTGAAGAAAGGATCAATAGTCTGGTGTAACTGGGTGCTAGACTGTAGATGGAGAATATGCTGGCAATTGAGGACTGAGATGTAGGTTGAGGCCAAATTATAAACTGAGCTAAAGAGTATGGACTTGGTTATTGAGGCCACTGGTAATTGCAGAGGATTTTTAAGTAGTAGGTGATCCTGTGCTTGCCATAGTGTAAATGCTATCGCAATGACCTCCTTCCAACCATGAACTATTAAAAGAAGTACATAGTGATAAAAACTTGGACCCTAGAGACAGACAAAATCAATTCAAATTTGGTCTTCCCAACTAAGTTATTACATAATTTTAAGTAGGTTATGTAATTTCTCTGAAACCTCAATTTCCTTATCTGTAAACCTCACAGATTTGTTGTGAGAATTAAATGGGATGCAATTTTTAAGGTAAAATATGTAGCACAATTCCTAGAACACATTATGTGCTCAGTAAAGGATAGTTGTATAAAAATGTCTTTGAAGGCAGGCCGCCTTGTCTTTCCAGTGCCAAATCCAATGAATTGGCCTTCAGTCATTATTTTGGAATGACATAATGAGGTTAAGGGGTCAGTCCAGTAGCATTTAGAAATACAGATCTGGAGCTTAAGAGCGAGTCTGAGTGTAGTAGCTGTTGTCCATAATCAGGATATCATCTAAATATAAATGGGAAATGAAGCTCTCACAGTTGTAGAAGATTGAGCACATAGCAAATAATAAAAGGAAAATATTGTTCAAGAGGGAATATTGAACAGAAAGCAACTTTTAATGGATCAGTCTTTCATGGGTTTTTTGTGGCACATACCTTTGTAAAAAATATTAAAACTATACTATTCCCAAGAAAAATATACATATATTTTGCATGTTTTATATGTAGTGTTAAGGGTTTATGGACACCATAAACTCATCCTAAGAATCTCTGATTTAAGAAATGAGAAAATAATGAATTTAAAAAATGAGCCTTGGAAGGAGAAGGGAAAAAAAGTCTATACTGCAAAATATATAAACTTAGGTTGTTTCTGTGGTGAATATTTAAGAACCTAGGATCATTGCTGGTGATGTGGAATAGGAAATCAAGGACAATAATTGTTCATAACTTAGATGGAGATTCTTATTTATCCATATAGTTGAGTTCAAACTAAATATCTGGCAACCTTACATCAGGCAAGGAAAATCCTCTTGCAGTGTTGACAATTTTATGGTCAAATATTTCATGGATTTCCTCCAAGTATACCAGTCAAATACTGAGAGCAGACATTAGACAAAGCATATTGTTATTCATATTGTCTTTCAAATGCATGTTTCTCATCACCATTGAAATGACAATTCCAAAGAATACTCAAGAAATGATTTTTTTCTAATTCTCAGAAGTTTGTAAGAAAATCCTATTTAGACATAGCGTTATATATAGTGGTAGAAAAATCTTCCTGAAATGTATATATTTCTTTCTTTCTGATTTAAAAATGTTTTCTATATTTTATAGCCTCAATGTTTTTGCTTCTTTTTAAAAGACATAGAAAGAAAGGATATAGAGCTTTAGAGTTATATTTCTATCTAGTTTCTATTGATGAAGTAAGGTTTTTCTTATTGACTTATTGGATTCTCCTCATCTCTTTGAGCCAGGGGATTGGACGGTGTCATGGAAATGTCAAAGAAAAAGTGACACCTGAGAGAAAATTTGAAAGATGAAAGGTAAATATATGAAAAACATGAATGGGGAAGATAATTCAGGTAAAGGGAATAGCATGTTCAAAGGCATGATGGCATAATTCCACATGGTGTGTCCTTTGAATGACAAGTATTGCTATGGTATAAAAACTGGAAGAGAGGATAAATGGGTGCCAAGTATGCTGCCTTTCACGAACAAATTCCTGTGAGTGTGTAGGTAGCTGCTTGAAAGCCACGGTTGAATGATGAGATTTCTGAAGCTATATCCTTATTCCATGTGAAAGCTTGGCTGTGATTAATTTGTGATATCTGTCTTAAGCTTGTGGTTGAGAAGGAGCAGAAATTATTTTTTAACATCTTTATTATAGAAGATTCATTAGCAGATGAAAATGAAAAAATAGGCTGGAAGCAAACTGTAGCAAAACATTTTAGTGTCTGTGAGGTCCACGGATTTTCATTGAGTAGTTTTCAATGAGTGTTTTGTTATACAAACCATATTTGGTAAAATAACTCATAAAAATTTGGAAATGAATGGGAAAAGGTCAAACCAGTAGAGAGGTTATTATAATACAAAAAATGAAGGTCTGAACTAAAGGAGTACAGATAAAGAAGGAGAGAATAGGATTGATTTGACAAGTATTTTTTGGGAAAAAAAATAGTCTTTGATGCTCAACTGATGTGGAAGGTAAAGTTTTCTAGGATACCTCCCATGTTTCCTTGTCAATGATTGGGCAGATAATGATGCCATTAAGAGAGAGGGAATTCAGGAGTATATGTGTGTATATGGGGGAGTGAATTTGGTTTTGGACATACTGAGTACAAATTGTCTGCTGAACCTGAAAATAAAGATATCCAATAGGTAATTAGAAAATGATTCTAAAGGCTAAGGAGAGAAAGAGAAGCCAGAGATATACTTGGAGTGATCAACATATCACTGGTAATTAATTGTCATTTGCACAGCAGATGCACTAAAGAGGCCAATCAGTCATCCAGACAAGAATTTACCTCATGAGAGTCAACTGTGCGCATCTCTTCCCAACATTGTGATTGGTTATGTCATGTTGATAGCTTGAAATTGGACATAGTATGTACATTTACACCCCAGAAATCTCAGGTACTACAAACTAAACCTTCCCTTCTCTCATTCCCCAGTGCTGTTAATACGGAAACTGGTCTAATATGGAAAACAGGTGAACATGGAGCTGCTTTGTTTGACTCAGGGATGAGAGATACCCAGGTCCTAATTACTTGTCTTTAACTTTCCTTAGGGAGTACTAATTTGGGAGTCATTGTTCTAAACAATTAAAGTGAAGTAACTGTCCTGTTTTTCTCTTTTACCCTTGTGAACGAGGAAGCTCAGGGTTAAAGTCTATGTCTTTACTTATACATTTCTGTGTTGTAGGATCTTTTAATAAAGATTTTCTCCTTTTACTTTTGTATGTCATTAGCCCATCTGTACTTACCGTGCAAACTGCCTCAAATCTATTAAGTTTATTGCATGTACATTAATCACTCAGCCTCTCAATTTGATGAAAATAGACTCTCCGTTACCATTTCCCCAACAATTTAAGGCTGTCCCAGTCCTCTGCTGCAGCTTCCCATTAAGTACATGCTCAGCAAGAACTAGGGAATGATGTAAGGCAAACAGACCTCTCTACATCTTTAATAGTCACAGGTGGATTCTGGCATCAGAAATGAAAATATAATGGATATAATAAATGAAATAGATGATAATAATTAATAATATATCAAATAAATGAGAATATAACATATAATTAAAATACAAAATTATTTGTGGATTCTGAATTTGTGGAATAAAATGAATATCTATGGAATTGTGTGCCTTTTAAAAAAATATATTATGAGAAAAACATTTGCACACGCCAGTTTACACCCAAAACCAACAGATGATACATATAATCCGAAGCTAATGAAACTGATGACAGATACATCTATTTAAGACTACGGATTGTGACTCCCAGACAGCTGGAGAATGCTTTACTGGAACAGTTGCTAAATACAGTAGCTGTATTTAGCATATTATATTTCCCATATTGACATTACAACAATTGGCAAAACTGCATACATTGTGAAGCATGAGCTAAGAAAACTAACCACGGTAATTTCCCAAAGCTAGATTTGTAAAGGGCATGTAAGTGATGTTTGATAAAATAAATACCAACCTGCAAAGTCAATTGTGTGACAACAAACTTTGGAACTTTCTAATTCTCTTTAAATTGATCTATAAATTTGCAATAGGCACTGATCTGTAAAGTGAAAAAAATGAATATAAAAAGTTTATCTCTTCAGCCTTAAGAAATATTCAACTCTACAATTTGTTGCTAAAAACCAAACATTTGCTAGACACCATATTAAGGTTCAAGGTTTATAAAGGAAGCAATACATCAGATAATATATATACCTTCCATGAGAAGAATAAGAAAAAAGCAAGAATGCCAGAATTTAATTTAGCATTATTCTCCATTCTATACCTATTGGGATGCTCTTAGGACATATCTAAAGACCAGTGGTCTCTCTGTTACCTTGAACTCTCCTCTCTAAATGCTCTGCTTATTCAAGCCTTTGTTAAAGCATAGGTGGTAAATTCTGCCTATTTTAGGAAGGAGTAGACTGGTCTAGGTGTGCTTGAGGCGGCATTTATTATTCCCTGGCTTTCTGCTTCTGGGATATGGCAAACACTAAAATATTGTTAACCAATCAAAATTCAAGGACTAAAATTCATGACCCTCAAGTATTCCAAATTAGATTTATCATGATTCTTGATTCATCATACATTTCATCATTGGTTCACGAGACTCACTGGAAGTTCTTCCTCAGGTGAAACCCTACAGTCCCCAGCAACTTAGGGAGTCTGGTCACCCTAAGTCATATCCTTCATTTTTAAAAATTTAACCTTAGAGGCTGGGTGTGGGGGCTCACGCCTGTAATCCCAGCACTTTGGGAGGTCAAAGTGGGGGTGATCACCTGAGGTCGGGAGTTCGAGACCAGCCTGACCAACATGGAGAAACCCTATCTCTACTAAAAATACAACATTAGCCAGGTGTGGTGGCATATGCCTGTAATTTCAGCTGCTTGGGAGGCTGACTCAGAAGACTCACTTGAACCCAGCAAGCGGAGGTTGCGGTGAGCCCAGATCGCGGCATTGCACTCCAGCTTGGGCAACAAGAGCGAAACTCTGTCACACACACACACACACACAAAACAAAATAACAACAACAAAAAGAAACAAAACAAAAAAACAGAAAAAGAAAAAGAAAAAAAATTAAGCTTAGCGTCAATAGCTACCATTTCATTCATAGTATTACTGGGTTCTCAATACATGTCACATTCTCTTCTTTGTCTCTTTTTTTTCCTTATTTTGGAGAACAGGATCTTGCTATATTGTCCAGGCAAGTCTCAAACTCCTGGGCTCCAGCTATCTTCCTACCCCTCCCTCCATAAGAGCTAAGATTACAGGCATGAGCCACCACACCTGGCACATGTCACATTCTCTTCTAACACTTCAGGTAGATACTATTGTTAACCCCACTTTACTAAATAAAGAAACTGAGCACTGAGATTCTAAGTAACTGGCCACAGTTTTCACAGTTAGGGTAGATTCCAGAATCCACATTTTAAAGCACTTTGAGCTGGGGCCTGGAAACAAATTAAATAAAACATCAGTGTATTCATTAATGTGTCTGCTTGTTTTCACTGGCAAAACAAACATGTATGTTGCAGCTGGCATTGTTGGATTGAAATAGAATAGTATATTTCTAATGTTAACAGAGTTTTCGTGTAGCTATCATTTTAAATGATGTGACCATGTTTAAACTGTCCTTATTTGAATAATGTAGCCCATTGCAAAATTGTAATAAATAGTATGTTTTTTTCAGCTACCTTATAGAGCAAAGAAGTAGCTTATTGGAAACACATATTCTAGCCTTTAAGATTAATCCGTATTATTTTAGGATTGGGGCTTTAGAAGAAAGTATAATATTTTCATGACATTAGGACTAGTTCTAATTTTATAGCTTGAATCTCATTTGCCTTTGCCCTGTTAAAGATCATTATCTTTTTTTCTTTAAATGTACTTACACCTATGTTGAGACCATTTGTGATCCTGTACTTCTTCCTGTGATGGTTTATTTAATGCCCATCCGTTTCAGTAGACTGTAAGCTCCTCAGGGAAAGGATCCTATTTGTTGTGCTCAGCATTTTATTATCAGTGCCTGACACAGAGTCTGGTATATAGTGGGCACCCAATAAATATTTGTTGAATAAAATAATGCCTGAGGAACTGAATTAATAGACAAACATAAAGAAGTTTTAAAAGCCTTGAGTCAGAAGTGAAAAAATATAGCTGCCGAGAATTAAAAAAAACGACTTTAAAGTTTTAGAAGTATAAATTAATGCAATAAAATGATTTGGAATGTAAAATTAATGTTATTTTATTATTGCAGTTAACATTTATTGGGTACTTACTATGTGCCAAATACTGCGCTAAATGTGTTTTTAAAAATTTAATCCTAATAAAAATAATCTATGAAGCAGGTGCTATTATTGGCCACAGTTTTACATACGAGGAAATGAACCTTTGAGTGGTTAAGCAACTTTATTATGATCTCTCTGCCAGCAAGTAGTGGAACTGAGATAGCTATGCTAATACCAAGTGCTTCCACAGAACTCTGTACTTCCCTCATTATACTCCTCAAACTTCTTTGTAATTGTTTGTCCGGTATCTGTCCTCCCCACTCTATGAAGGCACAGTGTGGGCCTATTAGATTTCACATTTTATTCTCAGAACCAAACAAAATACCTGGTATCCAATGGTAGTAGCTCAAGAATATTTGTCAAACAATATTTGCCAAATGAAGTCAGAGAATAAATAAGCTTATGAAACAAGACTTTAAAATTATGGAGAAAAATAAAAGATTGCTAACATTCTTCAAGGGTTACAACATAGATGCCTATTCCCTGAGATGATTACCCACAGTTGGCTTTTAAAGAGACTGCAGCTAGAAAGTACACAGAATGATACATATATTTGGCACAGAAGCCAGACTCTCCAAGTAAAGCAGCCAAGGGCTCTACATTGTTGGAAGCTGTGCCTCATGAAGGGAAGTAACTCTTTGGCAAAATCTAGAAATGACAACTAGAGATTTTGAATTAATACTTCATAAGAGTGAGGATGACCTTGGCATGAGGACATTATTAAATAAACTATCATTGTAGTGGGATGTTTCTCTCCACCTTCTTTATTCCCCATGGAACTGCTCCCAACCCAAATAAGAACAAACAAAGGACGTAGTACAGCTGCTATCAACTGTACCGATCCCACCCTTTTGTAACAGAGCACAGCCTAGGGCACATGATGCTTAATTTAGAGAGAATTCAAGTTAGAAGCAGATGAGAACTAACAGTTATATCAGATGGAACTGCTTAATATATTCAGGAACACTTAATATACTTAATCAAGTGAAAATTGGCACTGCGGGTTTTTTGTACAGATCACTTATAAGTAGGTTTATCTGGAGGAAGATTAACCAGGGCATGATGGTGAGTGGATGGATGGATGGGTGGGTGAATGGATGCAGGTAATGACAACAGATAATAGAAAGGAAGGCATTTACCAAGAAAACAAAGAATAAATAATACAATTGAATAATCCTTTCTTCAAATACATTTTAAAGTAGGAGTAAAGATGACTATATGTTTGACATATAAAAAAAGAAATTTCTAGTGTTTTTTAAAATGGTATATTGGAGAGGAGCACAATTTAGTCAGTATGACAATGACTTTGGCTTTAGACATAAGTTAGCATATAGCAAAGATCTAAGAGAACAGGTGGAGTTATAAGATTAGAAGGTTCATGAGTGATCAGGAATAAAGACCAAGATTTGGGGATCATTAACATTGACATGGTCACTGAAGCCATCAGCATAGATAAATTTGCCAAGAGAAGAGAGCAACAAGACCAGTAAGCTTTAGAAATACCCACAGAAAAGAGACAAGAGGATAAGTTATAATTAGAGGAGTGGTCAGTGTTGGTCGGAAAGTTTGTTGTTCAGGATGATGGAAGCCAAATTATGGAAGAGTTTCAAGAAGGGCAAGAGTTAAACTTGTGTAATATGACCAAGGAATCAAGAGGGAGAAGATTAAGGAAAGACATTTGAATTCGTCTAAAAGGAAAGTCCCTGACGTGCAGAATATTGGCATATGGAAAGCAGCCAAAAAGCAGATTAAACAGTGAGAAAGTTAAAGGAGGTGGTAAGCATACACTACTTATTTTAAGGACTTTGGGTATAAAAGAAAGGAAAGAAGTATAATGGTGGGAAATGTTAAGGGCATTAGGTTAACAAAATAAAAGGATACTGATATAATAAAGAAGAATCTAATCTTCTTGAGTTAGAAACTACTCCCTCATAGTAAATTAGTAGCTGTGGGAGGCTCAGAAACTCTGTGAGGGCACTAGAGTATTGTTCCCTGCAGTGTAGTTGCGGTGCCTCACAAACCATAGAGGCTATTAATCATAGCTTTAGGAAAACCACTTCCTGTCACATTGGAGAGACTCGATAGGAAATAAAGAGACCATTATATGAGACAGAAGCAGCAGTGTCTGCTTTTCTAGAAGGAATATATATTTAAAGATAACTGTCAAATCAATTTGCAGAAAGTTAATCTGCTGTTAGATTTTAAGCCACTGGGCCATTCCTGTATCGTCGTTATGCCTCAGTTTCTTCATTTGAAAAATAAGGAGTTTATCTTAGTCTATTCTGTGTTGCTATAATGGACTACCTGAGGCTAATTTATAAAGGAAAGAAGATTATTTTCCTTATAGTTCTACAAACTGTATTAGAAGCATGGCACTGGCATCTGCATCTGGTACAGACCTCAGATTCCGTCCACTCATTGTGGAAGGTGAAGGGGAGCCTGAGTGCAAGAAATCACATGGTGAGAGAGACAACAAGAGAAGAAGGGAGGTACCATGCTCTTTTTTAACAACCAACTCTCTAAGAACTAAGAAGTGAGAACTAAGAACTAAGAACTCTGTACAAACTAAGAAAGTGAGAATGTATTCACCCCTGAGGGAGGGCATTAATCTATTCATGAGGGATTCACCTCCAAGACTCAAACACCTCCCACCAGGCCCCATCTCCCAACACCACCACACTGGAGATCAAATTTCAACAAGAGATTTTTGGGGAGACAAACCATATCCAAACTACAGCAGAATTGATAACCCACAAGGAAACTTTTAGCTTTCAAAATCTATGTTCTCCGATTCTTTCCTTCTCAGACAGTACCATTTGTAAAGAAAGAAAGGGTAATTGTAATATAAAATGCAATTATACAATTAAGAATGAACAAAGGCAGCTTCTTTCTTCTTTTTGTCTTCTTTTCCTCTCAATTTTCCTTCATTTTTTTACCCTTTAGTTTAAAAATAATTGATCTTGAAAACTTTTTCATGGATCTTATGAATTATGAAGCTAATACTTCATGGATCTTATGAATGCTAAAGGTGTGAAAATTTCTACAAAATAGTCATTGACTTTTTCTGTACTTTACCTATTATGTAGCTCCCAGGATCCTTGTAAATAGTATTATTATTAGAAATAGCATAAAAAAGTAGTAATAATAAGACCTATCATAATAGTGCTAATTCCTTTGACCTAATTACTTTTTGAAAACAGAATGCATATTATTGAGATGGATTCTTTCATCTGTAGGCTTCTTTAAAATTTATTTGTCAGGGTGTGAGAATTCTGTCCTCCATAGTCCTGTATCTTGTAAACCTTTAATGATGCATGTTGTAATTGTTAGGACCTAAAATACAGAATGTTTTCATTCAATTCAGCACACATGTTTTGAGGAGATATTATTGCGAGATTTGGGATATCAAAATGAAGACAAGGCAGTTACCTACAGGAGCTAAGTATCTAATTGGGAAGGGGAATGGCATATTTATAATAACTATCATCCAGAAGTGAATTTACAACTTAAAATGCGCTTTCACCATCGTTCTCCTTTGACTCTGACTACTACGCTGTAAAGTATATATGCTTCCTAGTTTCCTATTTATAGACGATGAAATCAAGGAAGAGAGAGGGAAAGTGACTTGTACCAAGTCAAAGTTGGTGAATGATGGACTAAACCCTGAATTTCCCATTAAAAATATCAAGTTTGTTCTATTCTGTACAGAGGCAGCAGGATGCAAGAAATGTTTGGACACTTGCAGTTAGAGTATATTGGAGGTGAAGTTGTTAGTGGTAGTGGAGGGCACATTACAAACAGGAGGTAAGGCTGGAAAGCAAAGTAGGAACCACACACTAGAGAAGTTAAATCCCAACCACAAGAGTTTACATGCTGTTATTTATGGACGAGTTGCTAATTGAAGGATGTTGAGCAGGGGAAAGATCAGATCACATTTGTGTTTTCTGAAAAGAGTACTGATGGCTAGAAGTGGGCTGGTGAGAAGAGTAAGAGACTGGGAGCCAGGGTATAGCTCTTAACTGTCTGATCTAAGAGGGTGACAAGCATGAGCAGCACAGAGGCAGAAGGCTTGGAAAGGAAGGGGATAATGTTAGATGTGGTTTCTTTAACAGGAGGCATGCCCAGTTTTGGATTTATTGGGTTGTTATGAGGCCTAGATTCAGGCCACATGTCATAGTGCCTACTTCTCAGTCTGTAAAGAAAATATCTAATCTTTCAAAAAAATCACTTCTGGTTATAAATCTACTCGGTAATTCCAAGTAATTAACTTGTTCAGCAAACTTTAGTGATACCACATTCCTGATTTTTCTTTCTGACAATATTTTTTTTTTTTTTTTTTTTTTTTTTTGAGACGGAGTCTCGCTCTGTCGCCCAGGCTGGAGTGCAGTGGCGCGATCTCGGCTCACTGCAAGCTCCGCCTCCCGGGTTCACGCCATTCTCCTGCCTCAGCCTCCCAAGTAGCTGGGACTACAGGCGCCCGCCACTACGCCCGGCTAATTTTTTGTATTTTTAGTAGAGACGGGGTTTCACCGTTTTAGCCGGGATGGTCTCGATCTCCTGACCTCGTGATCCGCCCGCCTCGGCCTCCCAAAGTGCTGGGATTACAGGCGTGAGCCACCGCGCCCGGCCTCTGACAATATTTTTAAGCTCTCTCTCTGCACCAGGTCAGGATATGAAATCAGCCCGTTAGTTTGATTTCTTTAATTTCTGTCGCATCATACTTTGCTGCTTCCTTCAAAACAGAAGTAATAAGAGTGATATCAGGAAGATGGTAGAGTAGGAGATACCAGCCTTTGCTCCCCCACAGAAACAACAGACAGCTATTCACAAATGAAAATAGCCCTGGAAGGGCTTAATAGTACAAATAAAAACCTATGGGAACATAGTGAAGTAAAAAACAGATAATAACAGCACAGAAAGGATTGCTGGAGAGAGCAGTATACTTGAGACATCTGAAGATGGCTAGTAACAAAGAAAAGCAGGGACTACCAATGTCAGCCATGCATCAGGTGCCACTACATTCCCCAGTGGCCTGCTCTTCAGAGGACCTGGAAGCTTTTGCCATTAAAGACCTCAGTAGCCCCTGCCACAGCCATGGATTCCCCATAGCTTTGGCAATGGAGGTTCCCTTAGTGTTCATCTGCATGGATCACAGTGGCCTGCTACACAGAGGATGCCTCAGCTTTTGCCACTAAGGTAACCAGCAACAACTGACACTGTGCACCTCCTGGGAGAGGAAGCTGCTTCCCCAACCCTCTAGCCAAGAAGGAGCCACTTTCCTGCTACTCTAGGATTGGGGCTATCACTGCCCCACCAACCCTATGCATACCCGGAACCCTAGAGCTGTGGCCATTGTGTGCATACCTTCATTCCAGACCCTGACTCTATGGCTGCATCACACATGTACATGCTTCATACACCAAAGCCACTGCTGCTATGGGCCAGCTGACACCCCAGACCTTAGAGCTACTGTTGCTCTAACCCTGGCTCAATGGCTTCTCTCTGAGTTCCTGCATCATAGACACCAGAGCCATTGCTAGAGCAGGTATGTGCATAGGCATATTGTTCCATACCTTGCAACAACAGTCTGCAGTCTGCTTGCATATGCCCATGCTCCAGATCCCAGCTCCATGGCCACACTGAGCACCTATTCCTAGGACACCAGAGCCACTGCCACAATAGGTTTATTTGCACCCAAGATCCTTGAGCTGTGGTTGCTCTATGCATGCCCACTCTTTGGATCCCAGCTCTGTGACAGCTTTGTGAGCACATGTGCCCAGGACAGCAAGTCACTGCCACAGCAGGAGCATCCACATTCTGAACTCCAGAGCTGCTGTAGTTCTGCACATGCCTGTTTTCTTGTTCTAGCTCCCTAGCTGCTCCATAAGCACCCAAGCCTCATGCAGTATTACCAATGCTGCTGCAGTAGCCCTGGAAACCCATGCCACCAACTATCACAGACTCTGGAGCTGTAGTTCCTCCATGCATGCCTACATTCTAGACCCCAACTCTGTGACACTCCATAGATGCCATGCATCAGATACTGATACCACTGCCCCATGAGCGTCCATGAGCCAGCCTTGGCACCCAGAGTGATCCCCTTGGCCACAACTTCCTCTGTGGGAGAAAAAGAGATCAAGTGGACCCCAAAAGCCTTTATCATCAAGGATCCCAATGGTCCTTGCCACCACTGCAGACACCCAGAGCTTTGGCTGTTGAGGACCACTGCAACCTTTGCTGATGCTGACCGTAGCTGACAGACCTGCACAGAGACTGTGCCTTCAGCAAACCTGGAATTGTCACACCCCACCTACATGGCATTCTTGCACCCACCTCCATGTGAAGGTCTTTTTCACCAAAACCAGTCTGTAAAGTCTAGAAGAGGTGACTGCTCCATCAAATGGGCAGACATCAATGCAAGGAACAAGAAACATGAAACAATCAAGGAAGCACAATATCAACAAAGGTATAAATAATTTTCTAATAACTGATTCCAAAGAAATGGATGTCTATGAATTGCCAAATAATTCAAAATAATTATTTTAAGAAAGTTTGGTGGGCTACAAGAGAACACATAGAAAACTGAACAAATCAGAAAAACAATACATGAACAAAACTAAATGGTCAATAAAGACATGGAAATCATGAAAAAGAACCAAACAGAAATTCTGGAAATGAAGAATACAATGAATGAAATGAAAAATGCAATAGAAAGTGTCAACAGCAAACTTGATCAAGCAGAGGAAAGAATCTGTGAGCTCAAAGACAGTCACTTGAAATTATCCAATTGAAGGAATAAAAAGTAAAATGTGACAAAAGCCTCAGTGATTTGTAGGACACCAGCAAGTGGCATGATATGCACATTATGAGAGTAACAGAAGGAGAAGAGAGAATGTGAAAGGGGCAGAAACCTTCTTTAAAGAAATAATGGCTCAAAACATCCCATATTTGCTAAGAAATATGGATATCCAGGAATATAAAGCTCAAGTTATATAAAGTTTATAAGCAGCTTCAAACCAAAGAGGTCTTCAATGACACATAATCTGTAAAAAAATAAAAGAGAATTCGAAAGCAGAAAGAGAAAAAACAACCTTGTGACATACCAAGGAATCTAGGAATCTAACGGTATCAGCAAATTTCTCAGCAGAAACCTAGCAGGCCATAAGAGTGTGGGATGATATATTCAAAGTACTAAAAGGAAACAGAAACAAAAACGAAAACAAAAAGAAACACTGCCAACCTAGAATACTTTATCCAGCAAAGCTGTCCCATGGAAATGAATGAAAGATAAAGACTCTCCCAGACAAACAAAAGTGAGGGAGTTTATCACCACTAGAACTGCCTTACAAAAAAATTGCTATAGGGAGTTCTTCATACTGAAATAAAATGCTGCTAATTAGTAACATGAAGTCATATGAAGGCATAAAAATTACTGGCAAAGATACATATATAGTCACATTCAGAAAATTCTTATACTGTAAAGATGGTGAGTAAATCACTTTTAAGTATAAAGGTTAAAAGACAAAAGCATTAAAAGTAATAATGACACAATAATTTGTTAATGGATACACAATATAAAAAGATGTAAACTGTGACATCAAAAAACATAAAATGTAGGTAGGGTGGGGAATAAAGGGTAGGGTTGTTTCATGCAATCAAAGTTATTGTCACCTTACAATAGACTGATACTATACTACAATAAAAAGTGTTATATAAGTCTCATGATAATCACAAAGAAAAATATCTATGGTAGATACACAAAGGATAAAGAAAAAAGAATCAAAGCATACCATTAGACAACATTATAAAATCACAAAGGAACACAGAGAAGAGGAATAGAACAAAATCTGCAAAACAATCCAAAAACAACAAAATGCCAATAGATTTAAATAGCTCTTACCTATCAAAAATTACTTTAAATATAAACAGATTAAGTTAATCAATAGCAGAGTGGTCTAATGAATTTTAACAAATAAGACCCATTTATGTACTGATTAAGGAGACTTACCTCACCTTTAAAGACACAAATAGGCTGAAAGTGAAGAGACGGAAAAAGATTCCTTGCAAATGGAAACCAAAGGAGAAGAGGGAAGCTATATTTATTCAGGCAAAATAGAATTTAAGTCAAAAACTGTTATAAGAGACAATGAGTATCTTTATGTAATGATAAGTCAATTCTTTAAGAGAATATAACAATTGTAAATATATATGCATCTAACATTGGAGCATCTAAATATATAAAGCACATTGTATTTGTTCTCATGCTGCTGATAAAGATATACCTGAGACTGGGCAATTTACAAAATAAAGAGGTTTAATTGACTTACAGTTCCATATGGCCGGAGAGGCCTCACAATCATGGCAGAAGGCAAGGAGGAGCAAGTCATGTCTTATATGGATGGCAGCAGGCAAAGAGAGAGCGCTTGTACAGGGGAACTCCTCTTTATAAAACCATCAGATCTTGTGAGACTTATTCACTATCACGAGTACAGCCCAGGAAAGAATTGCCTCCATGATTCAATTACCTCCCACCAGGTCCATCCCACAATACATGGGAATTCAAGATGAGATTTGGGTGGGGACGTAGCCCACCCATGATATATGCAATATGTGATATATGCAAATATATCACATATATTAGCAGATCTGAAGGGAGAAATAAACAGCAATATAATAATAGTAGAGGACTTCAGTACCTCATTTTCAACAATGGATGCATCAACTAGATAGAAAATCAATAAGGAAACATTGGGCTTTGAACTGTACTTTAGACAAAATGGACCTAATAGACATAAACAGAACATTCTATCTAACAGTAGCAAATACACATTCTTCTCAAGTGCCCACAGAACATTCTCCAGGATAAATTATATGTTGGGCTACAAAACAAGCCTCAACAAATTTAAGAAAATGGAATTATATCAAGTATCTTTCCTGACCGCAGTGGTTTGAAAGTAGAAATCAATAATAGGAGAAAAAATGGAAAAGGTAAAATTATGTGGAATTTAAATAACACACTACTGAACAATCAATTTGTCAAAGAAGATCAAAATGGAAAATATCAAAAAATTTCTGAATGAACGAAAATGGAGATACAACATACCAAAGCTATGGTATGCATCGAAAGCATTTCTAAGATGATATTTGTGGCAATAAATACCTACATGAAGACAAATAAATATCTCAAATATTCTAATTTTACACCCCATGGAACTAGAAAAAGAAGAACAAACTATACCCAAAGTTAGCAGAAGGAAGGATATAATGAAGATCAGAACAGAAGTAAATGAAATAGAGACTAGAAAAACAATACAGAGATCAAGAAAACAGTTGGTTTTTTGAAAAGAAAAACAAAATTCAAAAACCTTTAGCTAGATGGATTAAAAAAGAGAAAAGAATCAAAGAAATGAAATCGAAAATGAAAAAGAAGACAGACAACTGATACCACAGAAATACAAAGGATTGTAAGTGACTACTATGAACAGTTATGTCAACCAATTCTATAACCTAGATGAAATGGATATTTAGAAATGTACTACCTATGAAGATTGAATCATGACAAAATAGAAAATCTGAACATACCAAAAACAAGTAAGGACACTGAATCAGTAAGCACTATGACCCAAAAAGGAAAGTCTAGAAACAGATGGTTTCACTGTAGAATTCTACCAAACATATAAGAAAAAAAAATTTAAAAAATAATTTCAACTTCTGTATTAGATTCAGGCAGTACATGTGCAGGTTTTTTACATCTACCAAATATTTAAAGAAGAATTCATACCAATTCTTATGAAGCTATTACAAAAAATTGCAGAGGAATGAACACTTTCAAACTCATTTTATGAGGCCAGCCTTACCCTAATAACAAGACACTATCAGAAATGATTAGTTCAATATTCTTTATGAACTTTGAAGCACAAATCCTTAGAAAAATACTAGTGAACTGAATTTAACAGCACATTGAAAGGATCATACAGCATGACCAGTGGAATTTACCCCTGGGATGCAAGGATGGTTCAATATATGCAGATTAATAAGTGCAACACATGACATTAACAAAATGAAGGATAAAAATCATGTAATTACATTTATAGATGCAGAAAAAGCATTTTACAGAATTCATTTTTTCATGGTAAAAATGCTCAACAAATGAGGTATAAAAGGAATATAACAAGGCCATACATGACAAGTCCACAGCTAACATCATACTTAAAGGTAAAAAGCTGAAAGCATTTCTCCTAAGATCAGGAACCTGAGACAAGGGTGCCTACTCTCACTACTTTCTGTTCAATATAGTACTGGAAGTCCTACTACAGCAATCGAGCAAGAAAAACAAATAAAAGATATTCAAAGAGAAAATGAAAAAACAAAATTATCTCTGTTTGAAAATTACATGACCTTATATAGAGAAAACCTTTAAGACTCTACCCCCCAAATTTAAAACTAATAAATTAATTCAGTGAAGTTGCAGGATACAAAATCAACATACAAAATTAGTTACGTTTCTATATGCTAAAAATGAACTATGTGAAAATAACAGAACATTTACAATAGCATCAAAAAATAAAATACTTAGGAATATATTTAACCTAGGATGTGAAAGTTCTGTGTGCTGAAAATTATAAAATATTGATGACAGATATTGAAGAAGACACAAAATGGGAATATATTCTGCATTCCTGGGTTGGAAGAATTAATATTGTTAAAATGTCCATACTACGCAAAAGTATCTACAGATCCACTGTAATATGTATTAAAACCCAATGGCATTTTTCACAGAAATAGAAAAAACAATTCTGGAAGTCACATGGAACCACAAATATCTCTGAGGAGGTAAAGTAATCTTGAGTAAGAAGAAGGTTGGAAGCATCACATTTCCTGATTCCACATTACATGACAAACCTATAGTAACCAAAATAGTATGATACTGATATAAAAAGACACAAACCAATGGAATGGAATAGTGAGCTCAGAAATAAACCCTTACATATATGGTCAATTAATTTTCAATAAATGTTGGGGAAACAGGGAAACTGGATTTCCACGTGCAAAAAAAATAAATTGGACCCTTATCTTATACCATGCACAAAAATAACCTCAAATTGGACTAAAGACTTAAATATAATACTTGAAACCATAAAACTCCTAGAAGAAAATTGAAGGGAACAGCTCCTTGACATTGGTCTTGGCAATTATTTTTCGGATTTGACAACAAAAACACAGGCAACAAAAGCAAAAATAACCAACTGGGACTACATCAAAATAAAAAGTTTCTGCATAGCCAAGCAAACAATCAACCAAATAAAAAGACAACCAACAGAATCATTGGAAATATTTGCTATCCATATATGCAATTAGGGGTTAATATCCAAAATATATTGGCAACTAATAGAACTCAGTAGCAAAAGCCCAAATGACCCAAAATGGGCAAATGACCTCAATAGACATTTTTTCCAAAGAAGACATACAAATGGCCAAAGGACCATAAGAGACATAAAAATGAGCAAAGGACCTCAACAGACATTTTTTTTCCAAAGAAGACATATAAATGGCCAATAGATACTATATATGCAAGTGTTCTCAACATCACTAATCATCAAGAAAATCATAAAATACAAATACAAATCAAAATCATAAAATACAAATACAAATCAAAACCACAATGAGATATCACCTCATCCCTGATAAGTGTTGATAAGGATATGGGAAAAGGGAACCCTGGTATACTGTTAATAGGAATGTAAATTGGTACAGCCATTATAGGAAACAGTATGGAGGTTCCTCAAAAAATTAGGAAAGAATTGCTGGGTAATCCAGCAATCCCACTGTGGGTATATATCCAAGGGAAATAAAATCACTATATTTAAGAAATATCTGCAAGCCCATTCACCACAGCATTATTCAGTTTGGCTTTTTCCAAATCTTGGCTATTGTGACCAGAGACCAACAACAAAACAAATGTCTCCCAAATGAAAGATAATTCAGAGGGACAGCTTTCATCTTTCTTTGCTTCAGAGAATGAGGCCTAAGAGAGTAGTGTCATTAGTATTATAAACTTATTTCGTTTGGTATTGGTGGGGTTGGGGCAGGGATAGTTGGTATACTAGTTTTCTATTGCTGTAGTATCAAATTCCAAAAATGTAATGGCTTAAACAAAACATATTTATTATCTTATAATTCCATAGGTTAGAAGTCCAACACAAGTTTCACTGGGCTAAAATTAAAGTGTCAGCAGAGCTGCATTCCTTTTTGGAGGCTCTAGGGGAAGATGCATTTTCTTGCCTTTTCAAGCTTTTAAAGCTGCTCACATTCTTTGGTTCATGGTCCCCTTCATCCATCATTAAAGTCAGCAATAGTCGTGTCCTAGTCCATTGTTGCTATTATAGCAAAATACCATACACTGGGTAATTTATAAATAATTGAATTTTTTTCTCACATTTCTGGAGGTTGGAAAGTCCTAAATTAAGGTGCCAGCAGATTTAGCATCTGGTGAGGACTTGCATCTTCTGCTTCCAAGATGGCACCTTCTTCCTGTATTCTCACCTGACAGAAGAGATTGAAGAACTGTGCGGCTCTCTGAAGCCTCTTTTATAAGGGCACTAATCCCATTTATCTCGGAGACGGAGCCCTGATGTTGTAATCACTTCCCCAAAGGCCCTACATCTTAAGACCATCACAATAGGGATTAAGTTTCGAAATGAATTTTGAAGGGACACAAACATATAACCCATAACAGGTGGGTTGAATCCTTCTCAAGTTGCATCTTTCTGGCCATTCTTCTGTTGTCAAGTCTCTCTATCTGGCCAGAAAGTCAGGGAAGTTTCTCTGCTTTTAAAGATTGGGCTTATGCAAATAATCCAAGATAATCTCCGTGTTTTCAAGTCAGATGATTAACAACTTTAATTCTACTTGCAACCTTAATAACCTCTTGCCATGTAACATAATATAGTCATATAGTGACAAGTTCCTGGGATTAGGTCATGGACATCTTTGGGAGGTCAATAACCATGAAGAAATAGGTGTTATAGTGAAAAGCTAGACAAAAACGGCAATAGATTATTGAGATCAAGAGGAAAGTTGATCAATGTTAAAAAAAAAAAAAGAGACAGCAAAGAATTTTCTTCCAAATGAGAGCATGATTATTTATTTTTCAATATTTTGTCTAAGTACACTTCAGGAAGAAGTAATATATCTTAACTCTCCACAGTTCACAGGTGCTTTTGCATGTTTGATGTCTCAGTCCAGACTGCGTTGTTCCTGTCTCAATGCCCTGCCTGTCAAAGAGAATAAAGTTTAGCCTTGGAAAGTTGTGGGCCAAGTTACCAGTAATACTTAGGCTTGGGTGGATACAGGCCTCTCCCAGGGTTATGCATGGTAGGCTGTTCCCCAAAGTCACCTCAGCTGTTTAGGTTGAAGATCTTCCTACTCCTTGTTGCTTCACGGGTGTGAAGTGTAGAGCACAGGCTATGAGGACTTGGCTGTGGTGGACCAATTCTATGGACATGGATTGCTGTTTTCTGCAGGCAGATGGTTTCAAAATATGATGGCAGTTATGCCTGAGGAAGTGGGGGGCTGTAGAATCCCTCTGGTGGAGCACTAGACTTGTAAGGGGTGAAGCTGACCTCAGGCTTGGACATTGGCAGAGTGGCTGGGGCTGGGTCCTCTGAAGCCCTGCTTGTTATCTTGGGTGCTGGTTTGCCATGAAAGGAACTCTACCACCTCATGTTTGGCAGGCCTAAACTCAGAATGTTCCAGCTGGGCTAACACAATCTGGGTATAGATGAAACAGGACTAAAGCAAGCTGTAGTGCTGGAAAAGGGTCCTGGAAGTTCCTGAGCATTCACCAGTTAGTTACTTAACTGGAAGTTCTTCTATTTCCAGCAAAAGGAATAGGGTAAATATAGCAGCTATTATACCAACCAGTATAGAATTGCTTATAATTTAACAACTGAACATATCAGCTGTCTTACAGCCTTGATTTTGGCTCAAGCAAAGCAGTGGGCATTTTTTCTTTCCAAATCCCGAAACTCAAAGAGCATTTTTACTCTCCTCTTCCTAGGCAAATCAAACTTTCCATCTTATATCTCCCATTTTGATGCTGCCCTTGATGATTCTAAAAGGATTTCCTGTTCTTATCCCATGAAAAATCAGCATTTTTCTCATTAAAGATAAAATATATATCTTTACTCTTTGGCAAGGTATGCCCTCTATATCATGCTCATCAAGATGTTTCTTGAGAGGTGTACTGGGTTCAAAATGTGTTTACCAAGTTGAGTCCAAACTCTTCTAAAGATTGGAGCCCCCAAAGAGTAGCATGCAGTGAAATTGATATCCAGTTTTTTAAAACTTTCATATGAATTGGTATGATGATCACTAGCAGATTTATTCATCCTCAATTGACTGATATTCCCAAAGACACTCTCCCAAATTTAAAATCTCCAATTCTCTTCAATTTTCCTGTAAAACAAAAGCGCTGATAACAGTAACATATATATGACCATTCAGAGCTATTATATCTACTGGTTGACAAAATAGGAGAACATTGTGAGGAACAGTGACAAAACCCTAGAAGCTGTAGAAATACCTAGGAAAAAGATTGAGGAAAAGAAGTGTTGGATGAAAATATCAGAGGTACATACAAGATGGCTTTCTCCTGAGTACCTTGAAGTCAGTATTCATTCAATACATTTTTGTTTTGGTTTGGTTTTGGTTTTCGGGTTGTTTTGTTTTGTTGTTGTTTTTGTTTTTTTTTCTGAGACAGAGTCTCATTCTGTCACCCAGACTGGAGTGCAATGGCATGGTCTCATCTCACTGCAACCTCTTCTCCCGGGTTCAAGCGATTCTCCTGCCTCAGCCTCCTGAGTAGCTGGGATTACAGGAGCCCACCACCATGCCTGGCTAATTTTTTATTTTTAGTAGAGATGGGGTTTCACTATGTTGGCCAGGCTGCTGTCAAACTCCTGACCTCAGGTGATCTGCCCACCTCGGCCTCCCAAAGTGCTGGGATTACAGGCATGAGCCACCACACCTGGCCCATTCAATAGATTTTTATGAAGCTACTAAGTCAGACATCATAGTATATGCTAGAAATACAAATACGACAGCAGAGATTATTCTAGAGATATGAGGTTTACTGATGAGCAGTTGGTGATACAAGTGATGATTTTAAAAAATAGTGGGAATGGAAAGGTTTAGCAGAGGAAATGACTAGTCAAGATTTTGTGGGCTTAAGTAAATAATGTTTGTATTTGCACAGAACCATTTTACACCTACATCCTCTTTCTAATGATGCATAATCTTATGCCAAAGCTGAGTATCAATCATTAAGATTGAAATTTCTAGACTAGACCGATATTCTCAAGGTTCTTGGCAGAATGACTCATTTGGGTATGAAACCACATACACATTAAACAATCACACTACAGAGTCCAGGGTGATAGTCTGGTATTTCTCGACATTTACAACCTTAGAAATGAGTAACTGCTGAATGGCAAGTTGCTATACATGGTAATCTGATAGAACAGTAAGGGAAAATGCACAATAATTAAAATGAATTTATGTCTATAACTTCTAGTTTAAATATCCTTTCCCATTGATATGACTGGTACTTAGAGAAAAAACTGTGTCTACTACTTTTTTATTTGATGAAATCACGTAATTGAATTTTTGATCCACCTTCTCAGAAGCTATCCATGTACACTCTCAAATTTTTCCTTTTGACAAAAATATATTTATATTTCCACTGTTTAAAAACAACTGGTGTAGAACCAATTCAACTAGAAAGAGTTTAGAAAAAAAGGAAACATGCATTCTGTAAATGTTCATAGGGCTTGTTTCACAATGAAAACTTCAGTAGGTAAATATAATCAAACAGCATCAGGAAAATTAAATTCTCTTTCACTTTGCAGCAATGCCAAGCAGTAATCTACAAAGAGGTACAGTATGGATTATAAATGGTACAACCAGCATCTTGGAAGGCAAATATTTGGATTAAAATCAGCATTGTGAACTGAACTGGTCATAAAGAAAATAAATAAACCCAATGGAGTTCAAAGAGGGTATTTAAATGCTTTTACAAACTCAGTTAGCTTTTATCTTTAAGATTCAGAAATTAATATGAATTGCTTAATAATTAAAAGTAAACATTTTTATAACATTAGAAAACTAAGGAATGTAACATTAATTACCCAGAAAGAATCTATAAACATGGAAAAATTAATGAAAAGAAAGTGCATTAGAAGTTCAGAAATCAAACTTCAGTTTTCTCTTAAGGAAAATCTCAGAGAGCACAGGAGTATAATCTATATATTTTTCCAGTTAGAGAAAGAATAGAGTTCTAGGGGGATAGGTATAATATATGGACATAGTATTTTCAGAAATGTGATGTGCTTATGTTTTTTATATTTCCTTGTGAATGTTTTTTTCCCATAGTCGGACTTGGGAATTTAGTGGAAATTAGGCGAATTTCAACAAAAACGCAGAGAAGGAAAGATATTCTAAAAGGCAGTGTGCTGACAGACAGTAGCCTTGAAAACTACATATCTGAGAGGATTTTCTAAATTCCCTTTTTTCCCATTTAAAACTTCTAGAAGCTGGCCTAGCAAGATTAATCACAGAGTTTTGTGAAAAAGAGGTTCTAGTCAAAAAGGAAGAAGGAAAATCTTGTCTGGTTGGTCCGAAGAGTTGAATGGAAGAGAAAGGGAATGGCAGATTGAGGAAGCCAGAGAGACCCTTGTGTCTAGATCTCCTCTTTCCAGGCTGAAGTCCTCATGGGAGAAGATGTGTGACATGGAATGAGATGCCCCCAAAGGCTCTCATATTTGGCTGGCCCAATAGAGCAGATCACTTGGTGGTGGAGAGTAGACCAAAAGAAGGCCTGAGTGTGGCTTCCTCCTTTAATCTGCCTCCTGTGTGTCAGAGATAGGACTCACAAGTACCTGTGTGCCCTGAGGGAGACAGGTGGAAGTAAATTGAGAGTCAGGTTGGTCTAGAGAACTCTCAAGTCAGGGCTCAGGGGCTGTGTAGCCAAATGGTTGTGAGGCTTAAGGAGGGGCTAAGTCAACAGGAAGAAAACTGTGCCCTGACCAAGTCCAGAATGTCCACACCCTGAGTTCCCCCAGCTTACACTTTCTCAGCAGATGCGAGAACACTGCACAGATGCTCCACCGCCACTTGGCCCATACAGCAGATCAGGGCCTCACTGGCTTGTGCTGCCCCACAGCACAAACCAGTGAGGCCCTAGGAGGTAACCCCTTCCTACAGCCCCTGTGATGTCAAATAAGCTGTATGCTCCCAAACTGCAAATACCATTTAGATAATGGCTGAAGAAGAGGGCCTCTAAGATACTGCTCATTTTACCAGGGACTAATACTCTAATGGATTTAGTTTTTCAAATGGGACTATATTTTAGATTTTTCCTTTTTTGTTCTCCTTACCCTGTAGGTGCACATCATGGAGACAATCTGACTGGTACAGAGAAATGAAGAGACAACATTTTCTTTCCAAATCTGAGTGGAGATGTGAGTAAATTTGTAACTCTATTACAGGCATTTTGTCATTATTCACATCTTCAGAGATTTCTAATCTTTTTCTAGAGACCCAGATTATCTTTGCCCACTTCCCTAATAAGAATCTCTTTTCCAGGATCCCATGACACACTTCCCTTTGTCGTTTTTCTATCTCTCCAGAATGTCTTGTTTTGCATGTTTTTATCCTCAGATCTTTAAAACTAGCCACATCTAAGGCTCAATATTTGGTCGCACACATTAATTCTTTCTGTTTGGTGTTTTGTTACATGAGAAATAATTTGATACACACCCATGGTATTTTACAGATAATTGTCTTATAACCAACTTATTCTATTGCTTATAATTTTGCATTGGATAAGTGTTTTGCCTTTGTCCTTAAGTGAGTTCATGTGTGAATGGTCGATCTATACTGACTATATCTAAGTGTTTCAAGAACAGTGACTGTCAACCAAAGGACATTGCTCAATGCTTTATATACAGTAAGTTTTAACATAACTAGTATTGACTGTATATATACTATATGATTGATAAATACAAAGGGGAAGAGAGCATGATCCTGTTCTCAAGAAACCTTCAGTTCAGCAGAGGGAACAGACCCAACCAGGCAGAGGCTAAGTGCTATAATAGAGTATAAAAAGAAGGAAACACTTATTTTTATGTGATGAGGAAGACTCTTATAAGAAAATGGCAATAAGTTGCGCCTTGCAGGATGAACAAACTTTGGAAAAGATACTGAGCAGAGAGAACCATGTGTGCAAATGTATCTCTAAAAGGCTCATTTCCTTCTGTTTTTATGAATAATGAACTATAATATTAAATCAATCCATTTAATTATAAATGTATCAGCATTGTATACCAACACATGTGATATGACATTTGTAGTAAAAATACAACCTCAATTCCAAGCTTAAAGAAAATTCCCACTATTACAGCATTTTTCTTCATTGAGGTGAAATTCACATACAATTAATCATTTTAAAGTATACAATTCAATGGCATCAGTATATTCACAATGTTGTGCAACCACTACCCGTCTTTCTCAAAAAAAAAAGAAAACTCCATAAAATTAGAAACAAGCGAAGAAAAACTACACACACACACACACACCCAACTTTGGACCTGGGAATACTATGTCTAGGAATTTCTTCTAAAAAAAAGAACCAGATAAGTATGTGAATAAAGGTATAAAAGGAAAAAAAAAACTGTTACAGCATTTAAGAAGACAGACCAAAATTATCTGAATAATCATATACTCATACAATTTAAACTCTTATTATTGTTTTGTTTCTCCCAGTATTAATTGTTCTATGCTAGAGAACGTACAAATGTTATTTATCAGAAACTGTCTAAATTAGTTTGTAGTTTCAGGACTCTATACCTTCCAATTGTTTCAACCAATTCAATCAAAATTCAATTTTCAGTTTTTAATAACTTTTTTAGACAGTATTTCCATAAAGTTTAGGTTACCAGATGCACATTAAAATTCTTATCCATGGCATACTGGTACAATGGAATATTATTCAGCCTCAAAAAGAAAGGAAATTCTGACATATGGCTACAACATGGATGAAACTTGAGGATGATATGCTAAGTGAAATAAGACAGCCACAAAAGGAAAAATATTGTCTGATTCCACTTATATGAAGTACCTAGACTAGTCAAATTCATGAGACAGATGTCTCAGCATCCTCTGATAATGCTGTTGGCCATTCTCCCTTCCTTGAATGCTTTCCTCCCTAGCCTTAATACCATGCCCTGTTTTTGTCCTCTATTTTCCCTTCTCTTCAGGGACTTCCCTTCTACTATCCCATAAACATTGGTGTGCCCAGGGCTTTTCTTCCTCATATGTCCTTATTTTTCCACATACATAGCTGCATCTAGCACCAATATCCTTTGACACAAACCTGCATCTTTAGCCCAGATTTCTCTCCTAAACCATGACATGCACAAGTTCAGTGCTTCCTGGACATCTCTCCTTGAAAGTCCCACAAACACCTCACATTCAAACACTGAATCTGAACTACTCTTCTCTTTTCCCACGTCATCTTTTCTACCTTATAGTTTAAGTCAGGAATTAGAAGTTATTATAAATGAGCTAAAAATGAGAAAGTCCATAGAAGTTACTCATACCTGACAAAATAATTTTTTATGAGCATGCATTGTTATTGTCATTAACAAACCAAAAATATTCTTAGCAAACTCATATTTCTCAGCTCTCAATTTCACATGCAGATAAAATAAGACCTTAAAATTTCATTTGACATTCTGTCTGCAAGTTCCAGATTAGGATAATTGATTTATATGGTTTTCTAAGTACTAACCATTTTGCATTTCAATGAGACTCTGATAAGAAATAATTTGATCAATATGGTCTATGCATGATCTTTGTCTATCTGTGTGTTGACAGTAAACTGAGGGCATGGTTGAGTGCTGACACATAGACATTGGTAGAGATTTTAAATATAAATTAGCCCCAGGAAAATGTTTTTATGCCTGAATTTTAAATAGCAGAGTTTTATGTTTGGAAGGTATTTTGCTTAATAGAAGCAGCACCAAATATATTCAGGAGAAATGGTGACTCTTGACTATGCTGACAGTGTTGAACATTTATCATGACTACCTTGTTTTATATGACTTTTTTTCTCCATACATTAGGCAATGTTTACAAGGAGGTGAACAGCGCACCAGCAGATGTTTTGACTTGTAGAAAGCATGACTTGATTCTATAAGGTCTTGAGTAAAAGTTTTAAATGATGAGTTGAACTTTGGCCTGTGAAACATGCATGAATTGTTCGGAATCTTGGTCCTAAATGTCTTATTGCCAGCCTGGGTTGGCACTGCAAAGGTATGGTCAGATTTATAAACAACTCAAGACAGATCATTGGCAAATCAATGTTAAGATTTCATATTATTATATTTTCATTTTATTTTGCATTTGTGTTTCGAAAGTTGCCTTTAGTCTTTGAACTTATCTGCTCTGGTTATGAACAGTGGATATGTTCAGCATGAAATGTTGAAAAAGTTCTCACCAAACAAGTGCAGCAGTTTTATTCAGAATTTGCTGAAGGGCATAACACTGTAAAACAGAAAATGAACCACTCATTTGCTGTCATCAAAAATGAGGAAATGGCTCTAGGCAGTAGCCAAAGAGTTCTTTTGAAATTGAGAAGTTCACTGATTTGGCAGTGAGGAGGATCTTGTTTGTCTTGCTTGTTCTAAAAAACTATTTATCCTCAAATAATTCCAGTAAGATACAAGGAGAAAATCATCAATCTCATTTTTTCCAAATATCTCCTTATGTCATTATTATGTTTAATATAACTTCCAAAATATGGCCTTGGATTTTTATAGAGATCTTGATATATGCTGTATCTTTCCACTTAAAATAGATTATCCTTTAACCTAATACTGCAAATAAGAAAAATATATAATAATTTCATAATAAAATCAAACTGAGAAAAATCAATGCCTTGTTACAGAATGCTAACTAGGCTATCGAGGAACAAAAATTAGCATTTTAATATTTTTATTACACTGAGATATTTATGTAATGTAAGTCTTTATGCTAATGTGCTTTGTAATTTGATAACCTATTGATCATCTCTATCCCCACCTAGTTCAAGTCATCATTATCTCTTACTCTGGCAATTTCAATAGCACCATAATTGATCTGTCTGCCACCCTAAGATCTGATCTTTACCCAGACCAGAGCAATTATTTTTAAAACACATTTCAGATCATGAATCTGTTCTTTAAAACTGCGAGTGGTTTTGCATCTCACTCACTCACTCTTTAAATGGACTACACTGTGAGACCTGACCCGTGGCCACCACACTGCCACAGCTACCCTCCTAATGCTGCTTTAGCTGCTCTCATTTCCTTGCTGTTCTGTGAACCCCTCAGATCCAGAATCCCCTCAGGGTCTTAGTCCTTATTCTACCCTCTTCTGGAACATCTAGATAGCCATATCTTCTGTCACGTTTTTGCCAAGATAAATATCACTTTCTTGGTGCCCCTTCCAGGACCAGTGCATCTAAAATAGCAACTCTCTCTTTCTCCCAACCGTCTTCATTCTCCATCCCTCCATTCTGCTTTTTCCTTCACAGGAATTCTTACCCCTGATGTTCCCTATACTTATTTGTGTGTTTTTTATTTGTTTTGGTTTTGGTCCATTTCTCTCCAGTAGAAAGTAAGATATGTGAGTACAGGGACTTTGCTTTTTACTCTTCTATCGCAGTACCTAAAATACTTCCTGGCCCATAGTAGGCGCTCAATATATATTTCTGAGATGAATAAATACAAGAATGAGAATGAAGCTAAAATTATCTGTAGAAGAACCGGTTTCTACTAAAATTAATCTTATCAAGTTAATATATATCTCTGATACTTCATTAGTAACGTCAATTTTGATCAGTCAATTCCTAGTTTTCCATTTACTTTCAGATATGAGTAGATTGCCAGAGAAAAGAAGGTAGCAAGGCACAACTGAACATATTTATGAGCATAAGAATTCTATTAGATTTGCAGTTTTTCATTATTTTTTCAGTATCATTATATGAATTTTGGCAAATGTATAGGTTCATATAAAATAGGATACAGAAAAGTTCTGCCACCCCAAAAATCCTTCTCATGCTATCCCCTTAGAGTCATGTTTCTCCCTTCTTCCTTCCCTGAAAACCATTGATCTGTTCTCCATCACCCTATTTTATAATTGAGAATGTCATATAATATAATCATATATTATGTAAACTTTTGAACTGGCTTTTTCCACTCAGTATAATGCCTTGAGAGTTAACCATGTTGTTGAATGTCCATTCCTTTTTATTGGTGAATAGTATTCCATTGTATGTGTGAACAACTGTTTGTCCATTCACCCAGTGAAGGACATATTGGCTGATTCCAGTTTTGGCAATTATAAAAACAGTTCCTATAAATATTCATATACATGTTTTCATGTGACTATAAGTTTTCAGTTCTTGAGGGTAAATACTATGAGTGAGATTGCTGAGTCGTATGGCAATGCACGTTTAACTTGGCAAGAAACTTACAAATTATTTTCCAAAGTGGCAGCATCACTTTGCACTCACACCAGCAATGTATGGGCTGCTCCACATCCTCACCAGCACTTGATATAGTCAGCAATTTTTATTTTTTTATTTGACATAATCAGCAATTTTTATTTTAGCCATTTTAATATGTGGTGATAAGTTATCTTGGTTTTAATTTATATTTCCTCAATGGCTAATTCATATGAACTTCAATTCATATCTTCCACCATACATGAAAATTAACTCTAAATAGATCATAGACCTAAATGTTAAATTGAAAATTGTAAAACTTCTTGAAGACAACACGGGAGAAAATCTTTGTGATCTTGGGTTAGGCAGAGGTTTATTAGTTGTAGCACCAAAAACATACTCCATAAAATAAAAATATAATAAATAGGACTTCCTAAAACTTAAAAAGTCTACACTTCTAAAGACACTATTAAAAGAATGAAAAGACAAGAAGTGGGGAAGAAGAAGGGAAACCAGCAAAAGAACCCAAATGAGCGAAGAGTGTGATAGGAGAAACCAAGGAGAATGTGGCGTCTTGGGAGCCAGCTAAAGAAATAGTGTCAAGGAGGAAGGAGTAATCCACAGGGTCATAGCTTCAGTTGAGGAGTAATTCTTTTATTTTGAATCAGGGAATAAATAGAGACGAATGTCTCCAGGTGCTGCCAGCTCTGGTCACAGTTGTCTTCCTAGTCATAACTCAGCCATTCCATCAAGGTAGGAGCTACTGTACCAGTTTGGCCCTCCATCTGGTGAAATAAACTTAAACTTGGTGCCATTGGCTTCATATGTGGTATATGGGGGATTGAATTTAGGCTTCTATGCACTTAAATTTCAGTCACTATTATACCTCCATTCATTCATCCATCCATTCATTCATTCATTCATTCATTATTTATTGAGGGCCTTCTCTGGGCCCAACATTGAGCATACACTAGTGATTTAAAACAGGCCTAGTATCTGAGTGAATATGGAACGTAGGGAATGGAGACTATGACAAACATTAATCAAATAGTCACACTGGGTGAAACAATTATGGTTCTCTCTACTGCATAATAACAATGAAAAGTTCATTACTGCTCCTCTAGTCATAATATTATGGAGACTGTATCTGGAATTAATCTGTTGTCATCAATGTCATGTTTTTATCAATTAGCACCT
Organism: Homo sapiens; assembly: GCF_000001405.40. NCBI lineage: Eukaryota > Metazoa > Chordata > Mammalia > Primates > Hominidae > Homo > Homo sapiens. The sequence goes on along the minus strand of NC_000007.14, from coordinate 17,253,027 downwards.
CATACTGTGAATGTGATCTGAGTGTGAATAGACTGTGTTTTAATATATCTTTCTAACTCAGATTTCTTTAAATATCATTTCACAAATTGAAGTTGCCATCCACCTTAATTCCATTCTCAGACCCCAAATATATCTTCCCTTTGTATTTGATTCTCATTTAGAATAAATAAGCCAAATGTAAATGTAAAGACCAGCAAAAATATTAATTACTAATAACTGGGATGAATCAGAAACATATGTGGAATTTGTGTAATACAAATGTGTACAGGTTTTGCCAGCACTGGGAAACTGCCTGATAGACTGGATTAAGAAAATGTGGCACATATACACCATGGAATACTATGCAGCCATAAAAAAGGATAAGTTCGTGTACTTTGCAGGGACATGGATGAAGCTGGAAACCATCATTCTCAGCAAACTATCACAAGTGCAGAAAACCAAACACTGCATGTTCTCACTGATAGGTGGGAATTGAACAATGAGATCACTTGGACACAGGGCAGGGAACATCACACACTGGGGCCTGTTGGGGGGTGGGGGACTGGGGGAGGGATAGCATTAGGAGAAATACCTAATGTAAATGATGAGTTGATGGGTGCAGCAAACCAACATAGCATACATATACCTAGGTATCAAACCTGCACGTTGTGCACATGTACCCTAGACCTTTAAGTATATATATAAAAAAGGTACTACAAAAATAAAAAAAACATTGGCAATAGAGATGGAAAATAAAGATGCTTCAGAACAAAAATAAGTGTATTTGTGGTACATTCTATTTCTGCAAATGTGTCTCCATATAGACACATATTTATTGCTAGAAATGGCATGTTTTTGCTATGATCATTTTTCACAGAGAAAGACTATAACAGTTAAAAGCACAGATTCTGAAGCTAAAATGCTTGGGCTCCCAGTTTGTCTACCTATCAATTGTGTTAACTTGAGCAAATTATTTAATCTCTCTGTGCCTCGGTTTTTCTATTTGTATAGAATACACTTTTGTGCTTACTTTAAAGGTTATTATGAAGTTTAAATGTTAATATACATAGTATATATGTGTGTGTGTGTGTGTGTGTGTGTGTGTGAGAGAGAGAGTGTGTTTGTGTGTACATGAATGAGCACTCCTAGGCTCTAGGCTCTGGAGTTAGATAATTTGAGTGAATCCTGATGTCACTATTACTATCTGTATGACCTTGGGTACTCTAATTAACCTCTCTATGCCAATTTGCAAAACAGGACTCATAATGATAGTATTCATTCCTCCTAGAATGGCCATGAAATAGCACATGTAGAGCAATTAGCACATACAATGAATATTAGCTCCCATTTTATGACTGGTAGTGATGTGTTTCCAAGTATATAGATGAAATTTAGATATTTTTCTTGTGACCATGTAAATGGAATGTAATCATTATTTACTTTGTATTCAAAAGATGAAATGAGAAAAAGAATAAAAGAGAGGGGGCAGGAAGGAAAAATACACAGGAAGGAAACATGTAATAACATAAGTTTGCCTAATTCTAGCAATTCTAGGTGAATTTGGCAATTCAGATAATTTCCCGGAGATAATACCTTAAATTCAATAAGAACATAGAACATGCATGTTGACTGACTTTTAAGGTTACCAGAGTAAGTGAATGGCTTGTCATTAATTGATTTTCTATCGCTTAATCAAATTAGGGGATAAACTAGTCTTTGCTATACATAAAATTAATTTATCATTGAAGAGATACTAAATACATCAGCACTTTGGATCAGGTGGCCATGGGTAATAAATGCATACCAACAAGATATCTAGATAATTGAGCTGGATTAGTGAGCTGATAGCCATAAGTATGTAGGTAGAAAAAATATATACCTTTTTTATGCTCTAGAATGAGTTTGTAAGATAAATGTATTGAGCCGAGAAGCCAATGCAGCTTATAAACTAGCTGGCAAGCAGCCATAGCCAAAGAGCAAAGACCAGGACCATTGAGCATTTACAGGACTGGGTTACAAGTAGCTGCAGGCTTGGTCAGGCATGGTGGCTCACACCTGTAGTCCCAGCACTTTGGGAGGCCAAGGCAGGAAGGCCACTTTAAGCCAGGAGTTTGAGACCAGTCTGGGCAATAAGGGAAGACCCCCATGTCTACTAAAAAATTATTTTAATTAGCTGGGTGTGGTGGCGTGCACCTGTAGTCCCAGCTACTCACTTGGGAAACTGAGGTGGGAGGATCACTTGAGCCTGGGAGGTTAAGGCTGTAGTGAGCTATGACTGTGCCACTGCACTCCAGTCTGGACAATACAGCAAGACCCTGTGTCTAGACAAACAAACAACAGCCAAGTAGCTATAGGCTCTGTGTTTAATAACCATAAGAATCAAAATACAATCTACTGTGTAAAGAACATGGAAAGGTATAAAACTAGGCACATAGACCAATGGAAGAGAATAGAGAACCCAGAAATAAAGCCAAATACTTACAGCCAACTGATCTTCGACAAAGCAAAAAAAAAAAAAAAAAAAGTAAAGTGGGGAAAGGACACCCGATTCAAATGTTCAAATGGTGTGGATTAATTGGCAAGCCATATGTAGAAGAAAGAAACTGGATCCTTATCTCTCACTTTATACAAAAATCAACTCAAGGTGGATCAAAGACTTAAATCTAAGACCTGAAACCATAAAGATTCTAGAAGATAACATCGAAAAACTCTTCTAGACAATTGGCTTAGGCAAAGAGTTCATGACCAAGAACCCAAAAGCAAACACAACAAAAACAAAGATAAATGGATGGGACTTAATTAAACTAAAAAGCTTCTGCATGGCAAAAGAAATAATCAGCAAAGTAAACAGACAACCCACAGAGTGGGAGAGAATTTTCACAAACTATGCATTAGACAAAGGATTAATATTCAGAATCTACAAGGAACTCAAACCAATTAACAAGAAAAAAACAATCCCATAAAGAAGTGGGCTAACGACATGAATAGACAATTCTCAAAAGAAGTTCCACAGCAACCTTTCTCCTCAAAACAAGGTGAATTTCACCATTATAAGAGGATGTGATTGTGCTTACGATAGTTTGCTTTCACACTAAAAATTAACCTGGAGATAAAAAAAGATCATGTTCTTTGACTTTGATGGCAGAGACTGTATTTTGATTTTTGTCTTCATTTTCATGACTATAATTTAAGGGAGGTAAATGTTTTACACAAGTAGAAATTAAAAACCTCTTTCACTTAATACAAATTCATCATATTTACTAATTAAAAATCAAAGACAAGGCTTTCTGTTTCTCTTTAAAAGAATAAAGGTAGATACAAGTATACAATTTTTAATAAAAACCTCAGAGTTTTTCCTTCGATTTGTTAATATTTTATTAACAAGGTTTTATTATTTGGCAGTTGATTGCTATTAGTTCTAAGATTTACTCTTAAAACGAAAGGTTTTTTTTTTCTTTTTTTTTTTTTTGAGATGGAGTCTCGCTCTGTTGCCCAGGCTAGAGTGCAGTGGAGTGATCTCGGCTCACTGCAACCTCCGACTCCCAGGTTCAAGCGATTCTCCTGCCTCAGCCTCTCCAGTAGCTGGGACTACAGGCCCTTGCCACCATGCCCAGCTAATGTTTTTTGTATTTTTAGTAGAGACAAGGTTTCACCATGTTGGCCAGGATGGTCTCGATCTCTTGCCCTCGTGATCTGCCCACCTCGGCCTCCCAAAGTGCTGGGATTACAGGCATGAGCCACCACACCCGGCCAAAATGAAAGGTTTTTTTTTTTTTTATAATAACCAATAAAACTTACAAATTAGATCTGATATGTACACTTAATTTGTATATGCTAACACACAACCATTTAGGCAAGGGTTAAGTAGTGAGTTGAGCAACTTTCTAGTAAAAATCAGTAAATACAGTCACAATCTGTCTCCACCACTTAGGACCCCAAAAGTTCTTTACAGGTATCATGAATTATTTGCAAAATATTATTTCTTTAAGGACAATGTCACATCAGCAACTCCTGGGTCACAGGTACTTGACCAATTACTGAATAATGTACAAGAATTGATGAGTTCTAAGTGGGAAACAGACCAATATAGCTTTATGGCTAAGGTTAAAAAGTGAGTATTCAATTCAAATAAAATATTAAGGTTTCTGGACCTTCACAAACTTTTGAACTCCCCATGGCTTGCCAAATTTAGTTAAATTTTAATTGAAATGTAAATATTATTCATCTTAGAACAAAAAAGAAAATTAATCGAAATGTTTTAAAGCAGGCAGAAAGTATTCTGTGTAATGTTTTGTTAGATACACATTGATAGGGAACAAATACTGCTCTGCCTGATAACTTCATATATCCCCAGTACTTTACTTGCTAGTGGTATCATACAGTGGTCTAACAGGTAATTCTTAAAACTTGGTGGTGAAAAGGTCATGGTGTTAACAAGATTAAATTCATAACCAATCATCTTTAGAAATGTGAATGAAAAGGAGAAACGGAAAGTCTGTACACTGCAAAAATAGAGTTTCTAGCTCCCTAAAACCCTTTGAGCTGAAAGGTGACAATCAAAACATAAAAGAAAAATAAAATGTCTGCAAAATTGGGTTTTGTGTGAAACATTTACCTTAGTTAAATTAGCAGAATTCTGTATTAAGTTGGTGTAAGAAAGGATATGAGTGTGCATGAATGTTTTTGTTAGAAGCAGCATAATTTGCCAGAGATTATGAGTTCCACAGTTGAACTTCACACCATCTGACCAATTCTTCCTTTCCCAGACACTGAGAAATATCTTTTTCAGTCCAATAGACATCCTTACCAATTTAGGGCTTAATGTTTGACCAAGGCTACAAGGGGGAACTGTTAATATTTTTTAAAAAAATTACAATGGATTGGACCTTGAGTATAATTAGAAGCAGCCTTTTTTCTAGAGCCTAGAAATAAAAATATTAATAATGTGAGCCTGCTTGTTGAGTTCCAGTCTCAACTGATTATTGTTGTTCTCCTTCTCAAGGGAGTGTTAAGTCTTTTTGGAAGACTAGAGGACATTACATGGATAATATTTTCTCCAGGTCACACGTTAAGGATCCATGTTTATAGGATTGAAATATTGTGCACTATTCAATCTCTAGTCACCCAGTATGATCTCTGTAGTCTACATGGCTTTTCTATTTTCAGAGAATAAACATTTCATCTCCACTGAGTATCCAAGGAATACAAAGGATAATAAGGCTATATAGCAAATTAAATAAGTAAAGAAAATGTAAATTTTTATGTTAGCAAAGATTGCAAAAAGTATGTTTAGAATAGATTCAAAATAAGACCATTACATACTGTGTAGAAAATAACTTTTTCTTCTGCTCTTACACCACAGCAATCAACACAGCAAACTTCTTTTACCCAATGTGTGGAGATTTCTCCCAACCAACAAGCAAGCAATCAGTTCTGTAGTGGACACCAGCTGGGCGTCTTCTAATCCAATTCAATTCTTATGTCATCTTCCAGGAGATAGTGTCAGTTCCCACAAGACTGCCCCGCGTCAGACACCAGTCGCAAGTCCAGGCCTCTGAACTTCTGATCTACCAGCTTCCGGTTGGGGTTCCCACAACCCCCTCTTTAAGCGTAGTCAATTTGCTAGAGCAGCTCACAAAACTCAGGGAAACACATTTATCCATTTATTATAAAAGATATTTTAAAGGATATAAATAAAAAGCCAGATAAAGAAATTCATAGTGCGAGGTTTGAAAAGGTACCAAGTGCAGGAGCTTCCATTCGCATGGAGTTAGGGTGCTCCCACCCTACTGTAGATGAGTCTTGTTCACTTTCCTGTAAGTCTCTTTGTGTTCAGCTGTCCAAGCTCTCTGTACCCCATCCTCTTTGGGCGTCTTATGGAGATTTCACTGAATGGGCACGATTGAAGACTGAGCAACCATGTAGAAATGTGATGGAACAAAAGGGATACAGCTGATGCTAATAGACTCAGAGGGGAAACCCAGAAAGGCCTCTCTGTTCAGTCTTCTTGGTCTCACTGTGTAGCATCCCTTCCAGGTATGGGCAGGACCTCTTCTGAAATGAGGGTCTTATGACCTACAATCAGACAAGGTAGGTCAGAGAATTTCTTTATGGCCAGCTCTAAGACAGAAAGGTTGGGGGAAATTAGAGTAGATTTTAGTTTCTGCGGCTTGTCTTGGGGAGAAAAAGGAGAAGGTGAAAGGAGGGAGTGAGAGGGTCAGAGAGAGATATTCTGTTTTCTGAGGCCTGTTTCTGAGGCCTAAAGTGCCCCAACATTACAACAAGATACTATCTTTTACCGTTATTGCTCTGAAACTATTCTGAAGCTGCTTCAGGAACCAAGAACAAAGGCCAAATACTTTAATAAAATATATGCTCATTGTTTAATCAGTTAGGAAAAAACAAGGGCTATGGGAATTATAAGCCAGGAACTGTGGATGAAAGCTTATATCTATCTGTATCTATATATCTATCTGTATATATATATCATAATACATTTCTCAAAACCTGTGATATGTAGCCAAAGGAATACTTAGGAAATTTTGTCATCTTAAATGCATTTATTAAAAACTTAGGGCTGTGTGCGGTGGTTCACGCCTGTAATCGCAGCACTTTGGGAGGCTGAGGTGGGTGGATCACGAGATCAGGAGTCCAAGACCAGCCTGGCCGTCTCTACTAAAATACAAAAATTAGCCGGGCGTGATGGCGGGCGCCTGTAATCCCAGCTACTCAAGAGGCTGAGGCAGAGAATTGCTTGAACCCGGGAGGCAAAGTCTGCAGTGAGCTGAGATCGCGCCACTGCACTGTAGTCTGGGTAACAGAGCGAGACTCTGTCTCAAAAAAAGAAAAAAAAAAAACTTAGGTTAAAAACAAAAGAACTAAGCAATCATTCTAACAATCTAAAAAAAAGAACAAAAATAAATCCAAGAAAGGAATGAAGAAAGGTAAATATAACAATTAATGAATAAATGAAACTATTCATTGAAATAATTTGGAAAAAATGAATTCATTAATAGGTCATATAAAATAAATCAACCTTTGAAAATTAGGATTAAGACAAAATAAAGTATGGATCTTAAAAATTAATAAATAAGAGGAATATCTCTATATATTTCAAAACTACTAAAATTGGCAAAAGAAGAACTGAAAAACCTAAATAATGAAAAAGTAGTAACAGACACAGAGGTATATATTTTATTTTCTAACTGGCTGTTATTGATGTGAATAAAAGCCACAGTTTATTATATGTTGAGCCTATATTTGGCTAATTTGATTAAACTTCCAAAAGAACAGGAAAATCTAAATAGAGAAAAAATAATAGACATTGAAGTGGTCATAAAGTAATGATTTTCCCTACCTCTCAGCCCCCACTAAGGTTCCAGACTCAGATTTTTTTATGAGCAAGTATTTTTTTGTTGTTATTGTTTTGGTGTGAGACAGTGTCTCACTCCGTCACCCAGGATGGAGAGTGCAGTGGCACAATCAGAGCTCCCTGCAGCCTCGGCCTCCCAGGCTCAAGGAATCCTCCCACCTCCGCCTTTCAAGTAGCTGGGACCATAGGCATGCGCCACCATGCCTGGCTAATTTTTGTATATTTTTTGTAAAGATGGGGTTTTGCCATGTTGCCCAGGCTGGTCTCCAACTCCTGGGCTCAATCCCAAAGTGCTGGGATTACAGGCATAAGCCACTGCATAAAAGTTTCTATCTTAAACAGGATTACTATGGATACAAAATGTATAATAAAATGGTAACACATTGAAAACAGCAATTAAAAATAATAGCATAATGAAGTATGGATTTATCTTGGGAACATAAAGATGGCTCAACATTAGAAATCTTTTTATGGAATTCACTACATTAATATATTTAGGGAGGGAAATCCAATCATCTCACTTGATTTCGGAAAAGCATTCTGAAGGAAATATGTTTATAATAATTAAAAAACTTTTGTAAAATAAAGAAATATAAGGTAACTTCTTTGTCTTCATAAAAGAATCTACCGAGAATAAGCACTATCCTTAATAGTGAGATATTAGAAGCAGGCCCATTGTTGACTAGAAGACAACTGTTTAACTTTTAACTCAAGGTCCCTGCTAATGTAATAAAATAAGGAAAACATTTCAAATATTGGAAAGGGAGTTACAACATTTTCACAATTTGCAGATAAGAATTTACCTGATAACCCCAAAGTGACAAATTTTAAAGCCAGTAAGAAAGTTTAATCAAAATAGCTAAGTATATGCTCAACATAAAATAAACTATAGCTTTTATTCACAACAATAGGAGTCAGTTAGAAAATAAAATAAGAACAAGAGGTTTATTTATAATCATCATATCAAATACTTAGGAACAATCCTGACAAGACTTTACTGAAGGGCATAAAAGAAAACCTAAATAAGTGAGGAAAACAATTTTGTTCGTGAATGGGAAGTTTCAATACTTTTAAGATGTCTGTTCTCAGACACTTCTCAAAAGAAGACATTTATGCAGCCAAAAAACACATGAAAAAATGCTCACCATCACTGGCCATCAGAGAAATGCAAATCAAAACCACAATGAGATACCATCTCACACCAGTTAGAATGGCGATCATTAAAAAGTCAGGAAACAACAGGTGCTGGAGAGGACGTGGAGAAATAGTAACACTTTTACACTGTTGGTGGGACTGTAAAGTAGTTCAACCATTGTGGAAGTCAGTGTGGCGATTCCTCAGGGATCTAGAACTAGAAATACCATTTGACCCAGCCATCCCATTACTGGGTATATACCCAAAGGATTATAAATCATGCTGCTATAAAGACACATGCACACGTATGTTTATTGCGGCATTATTCACAATAGCAAAGACTTGGAACCAACCCAAATGTCCAACAATGATAGACTGGATTAAGAAAATGTGGCACATATACACCATGGAATACTATGCGGCCGTAAAAAATGATGAGTTCATGTCCTTTGTAGGGACATGGATGAAACTGGAAATCATCATTCTCAGTAAACTATCACAAGGACAAAAAACCAAACACCGCCTGTTCTCACTCATAGGTGGGAATTGAACAATGAGAACACATGGACACAGGAAGGGGAACATCACACTCTGGGGACTGTTGTCGGGTGGGGGGAGGGGGGATGGATAGCATTAGGAGATATACCTAATGTTAAATGACGAGTTAATGGGTGCAGCACACCAGCATGGCACATGTATACATATGTAACTAACCTGCACATTGTGCACATGTACCCTAAAACTTAAAGTATAATAATAATAAAATTTAAAAAAAAGATGTCTGTTCTCTACAAAATAGTCTATGAACTTAGTACAGTACTAACACGAACTAAGAGGATGTGTTATGGAAATGTAAAACTTATTCTAAAATCCATAAAGAAGAGAGAATATGTAAAAATAATAAAAATAAATCTATAGGAGAAAACTAAAAATATGCCTAATATGTATCAAACATGTTATAGAATTATACTAATCAAAATAATGTAGTGCTGGGACAGGAATTGAAAACTAGATCAAAGGAGTGGGCTAGGAATCTAAGAATGAACTAAAATATATATGATTATTTACTCAATGATAAAAGTGGCATTTTAAATGGGTAAAGTATATTACTTAATGTAAGTTCTTGGAAGAATTATCTACTTATTTAGAAATACATAGTTCTTATTCATAAAAACAAATTTCAGATAGTTATCATCTAAGCATAAATATAATGCCATAAAAGTATTATACTATATTGCAATGTCTTTTTGATGTTAAGTTTAAGAAGGTATTTTAATTAAAAAAATAGAAAGACACAGAATAATAAATTAAGCAGTTCAAGTTCATCAAAATTTAAAACTCATGATAGTAAAACATAACAAAATTTTTTAAACCAGTAGAAGAAAATTTTACAACATATATAATAGACAAAGGATTAGTAGCCAGAATACACGTGACCTTCCAGAGAGAAATAAAAATACACATACAATGAGATAAAAAAAAGCAAAGAAAATAAAACAGCCATTTACAAAAGAGTAAATATAATTGACCAATAAACGTATTCAAAGATGTCCAGCATCACTTGTTTTCAACTGTTTAAATTAGAAAAAAATAAAAGACTTAACAAAATCGAGTTTATTCTAAAGTATTGGAAAATGGGTACTCTCATAATCAACTGACGCGAACTAAAATGGTACAACCATTTTGAAATTAATTTTGTAGAATATTTATTAAAATACAAATATTCATAACTTATGGCCCAGAATTTCTAATTTGCATTATTTTTGCTTAGAGCTACTTGCTTAGGTGCAAAAAGAGGCATGTACAAGCTTGTTCATTGCACCGTCTTATTTCTAACAGCCAAGAACTGGAAGAGAATTAAATGTCTATGTATAGAGAGATTGCTAGATGATGCAATATAGGATATAATGCAGCAGTTAAAAGAAAGAAGGCACTGTTAAGGAAAAACAATTAGATTTCTGGTCTCACGGTAAGTGTATTATTATACCATTTATATAAAAGAGGAACACAAAACAACACTATATATTTTCATTGTTAACTATTGATTGTTACAAATTCATAGAACAAAAAGTGTAGAAGTATCCACATTAACCTGGTAGCAATTATTGGCTCTGTGAAGGGGGATTGGAATTTAGGATTATTGTCAAAGGTACGGTGGCCTTGTTTGTAATATTTAAATTTTAAATAAGAAGGATGTATAAAAATAGATAAATTATAGGTAGGTAGTGAGGAAAATGAGCATTATGGGGAAAAGTTGGTCAATCTCTTTTACAATTTCCACAAAGGAAATGACAAATATGAAAAAGATAACATGTTGTTAGAAGTAAAACAGCGCCTGATTTGACCGCTATAGAAAAGAACTTGTTTTACCAGTTCAGCTGAATCCCACAAAATGAAGTTTTAATTTATTACATATTTTAGTAAAACGAAATGTTTCTAAAATATTTCAAAGGATAAATTATTTTCACTTAGAAATAGTTAAATGAAACAAGCACAATGTAGATTGTAAATCTAAATGTTTAAACCATGCTATTTCTACATTATTCCCTGAGTCAAACTATTCTGACATTCTGCTTTGTAATTTATTATTTATTTATTTATGAGACGGTGTCTCTTGCTCTGTCACCTAGGCTGGAGTGCAATGGCATGATCTCAGCTCACTGTAACCTCCGCCTCCCAGGTTCAGGCAATTCTCCTGACTCAGCCTACCGAGTAGCTGGGATTACAGGTGCCCGCCACCACGCCCGGCTAATTTTTGCTTTTTTTATTTTTATTTTTTCACTAGAAATGGGGTTTTGCCATGTTGGCCAGGCTGGTCTCAAACTCCTAACCTTAGGTGATCCTCCTGCCTCAGCCTCCCAAAGTGCTGGGATTACAGGTGTGAGCCACCATGCCTGACCTCTTCTGCGTAGTTTAAATGCATAATGTTAACCCATGGTTCATATTGTTTCAAGTGTATTAGTATCCAAATAAGTTCTAGGAATTTCTCTACTTGAAAATAGTCAAAGTTGGCCATGCGGGATTCAAAAGCCGTATTAACCAAGGTCACTGGAATGGTCCTAAGAAAACAATGTTTCTGAAAAATAAACACATAGACCAACCTTGTGTGCCTTTTTTTAACTACGTGCTCATGTGTGTGTGTGTGTGCGTGTGCGTGTGTGTGTGTGTGTGTGTGTGTGTGTGTGTGTGTGTTTTAGCTGTGGTTAATAATTTTTTGCAAGTCTTATTTTGGTCTCCCTACCTCCTAAGAAGATAGAAATAAAGAGAAATAGGAAAATAAAAAGTGACTCTGACTGATACCTTAAATTTTATTAAAAGTAACGCCAGTAAATATTTTTTAAAAGATCGTTAATGCTGCTGGGTTTAGTGAGAAGAGCAATTTGACAATACAGGTCAAGAAACTTAACAAATCTACAAATGATTGATCATACTGGATCTGTATCTTAGGATTTTAATCTAAAAAACCAATAGTGACTAGAAAAAGATAAATATTCTAGGATGTTCATTATAGTATCATTTATAACATTGAAAGCCAACTGAAAGTTCGGCAATAGGGTACTTTTTATTAAACAAACTATGATATATCTGGATGATAGATTATTAGTCATTCAATAAGGTGTTTTTGGGGATTAATTTATGACATGGAGAGATGCTTATGTTTAATGAAAAAGATACAGAATTGTTATTTACAATAATGAATGCACACCCACACTAATAGATAAATATATAGAATATATATGTACATATATATGCATATATATACTTGGATTATATATTATATACTATATATAATTTTGAAGATATATATATACACACACATACATACATACTTGGAAGAAATAATTTCCAAGTGATTCCTGAGATAAAATCAATGTACTTTAATTTCCCCTAGCCTATGTTCATCATTCAGTCTAATCAGTTCTTTGACACTAGGAGCTGCAAAAGGGAAAAGTCTCATTATTGTGTAAAATGAAAAAATGAGAGAACAGTTAAGAGTGGTCTAATCATCTCTACCTCTAATTTCCCATCCCCGGTTCCCAGCAGAAGATTCTTCAAATCAGCGTATTCTTATTTGAGTGGCTATGGATAGACTCCTCTTGTTAAAAGACTTGGCGTCTGCTGGTACTTTGTTTTCAATGTCTTTGCTTGTTCTTAGGGTTGAAGTGACGAACATGTTGTGTGTTCTGAGCCCCTGAAGCACAAGTCTCACACTGTCTAGTGGAGGGTGGTTCTAAGGTCTGTAAGTTCAGTACTGCCTCAAAAAGCAGGTTATAACCTATAGGCTTCTAAGTCTGAGAGTTGGAGAGAGAGAAGGTAGAGGAAATATGATGTTGATCGTTATGAAAAACTGGGTCTCAAATGATATGAATGAATAATATTCCCTGCCATGGCCTTGTTATGGACTGGGGCCCAGCTGGGACCCTGTCAGGGCCAAAAGCATCACCACCCATCACGGGAGCCTCTGCCCATCAGAACAAGGCTCATTCCTTGAGGGTCTCTTTCTCTTAAAGCTATTACTTCCAAAGTGAGGCAGGACCTTATCTCTTATTGACACAACTACTCAGAGAGATAAGATTTAGCAATATTTGAAATCAAAACACTTCTCTGGCAATACTGTTCTGACCACAACATTTTTTGCTGATGAATTGTAACTTTTAAGCCAAAGCATGCCTGTTACTATCTGAACTCTGAGTATCAGTATGACCTCTGCTGCCACTTGTCTTTTTTCTAAACTGAATCTGCTGCCTGCTTTATTTAACCTCATTTCACAAAGGTGAGATAACCGCAAACAGGACTTTGGAAACAAACCTGCTTCAGGAATAGACCAACATATTAATAACATTCACTTTTAGGTTTTGGGATTGTGGGTGACCTTTATTTTATTTTTAATTTCTGTTATTTATTCAAAAATTTTTAATATGAGTAGCACTTTTATGCCAAAAGGAAAAAAAGGGACATACAACCACGTGAATCTTGGACAATGTTGACCTTTGTCTAAGCTATTTTAACTACATTTGAACCAAACGAAGAATTTTACTGATAGGAACAAAAATATACGTAGAGTGAGCATGAAAATGAAAAAAGAAAACCCAATACTGTTGGTAATTCATCTCTCTATGGTTGATATTTCTTTATTTTTTCATAATACAGTGTCACCAAATTCTGTGAAATGGCCTCAAGGGTCACCATCATAAGACCTCTGTCTCTGCCTCGTCTTTTCCACTCCCTCTTGCTGCTTTCCAAATTAGCCCTATGTAAAGTCACCCTTCTGCTTCCCAGTCTAGCAGCTCATATCACTCTGTGCATTCCTTCCACAGCATCCATCATAAAGGATGTGATTACTCACTTATTTTATTTCTCCTTATACCAGGAGGTATAAGCCCCATGTGGAGTACTTTTAAAAGGTGTGCTTTTTCTATAGCACCACCTCTCATATGAGATAGATATTTATAGACTCAATGATTAAATAAATTCTATATCCATGTTTATAACTTTGCTAGTTTTATTTCACAACCAGACATCAGCATAGTGCTCAGTGTGTTGCCCAGTTATTGAGATGATTAATTCATATTCCAATAATATCAAATAAATAGCATAATTTATGTTTATTCCACATGTGAACTAAAAACATGTTTTTTGAAAATGGATAAAAAATACATTTGGATTATTTTGTTTTCACATAATTTTACATTTCTGCATCCTATGATATTTTAGACTCCAGCTGGAATGGAACTGAAAGTACTGAAATACTATGAGAAAAACTATTCCTGTATAATTTCCAATCTGATTTTGCAAACTAAGTATGTTTGGAAAGGTTGTAGAGAATATGAAAGGGATTTTAGATGTGAATGCCATAAATATCTTAGAACTAGTCTCAAAAATTGATCTCAAAAAGCTACTAAATACTTCTTCCTTTCCCATTATACAAAATATATTGCATATGCTCTACTCTTTAAAAAAATATTCAAAGTAGTAATAAAAGCAAACCATTACATATAGTGCAGAGTACTGGCGATTGAAGTAATTTTTTGCCCCCTCTTTAGAGTGATTATTGGCTTGTCCTGGGTCGTACAGCTAGGCAGAACCAGAATTTGAACACAATCTGGTTTCAGAAGATTTTTCCTAACTCCCTTTGCTATAATGCTTCTTTAAATTACCTGTAATGGGTGAGAAGTATTAGACGGGCTAAGCCCATTCTCATTTATACACAGGCATCTAGGAGTGAGGAGACAATGGAGTTGGATTCACAAAAAGGCTTGGGATAAAATTCTTAACTCTGTCTCTGAAACTGCTACTAATGTAACTTGTTTCTTCAACTCTAAAATGGAGATACAAGTCCTTAATTATTGTGTTTTTGTGAGAATTAAGTAATGAAATGGTTCAAGTCTGTTGCATAATTCTGAAAACCTTAAAGAACTGCATGAGTACTCATGTTGTCAAGTGTGGTAGCCTACACAGACCTCTTTATTCCCTCAGTGAATAATGGAGCTCATGAAATCATTTAGAGAGATCTTGGATTTCAAGTCTTTGGTACTGCTGATCTCATATAAGAAAGAGAGATTCTCCTCATTTCTTTTACACTCAAATATTCAATTCAACAAATTTATCAAGTGCACTCAAGAAGTATAGAAAGTAGCAGGAGGAAAAGGCATGATCACTGTTCTCAAAAGTCTTGGACAAGAAAGGAGATGGGATACATCACACCAAAATCAAAGCAGATTATGACATTTGTGCTATGAAGGGAAAAAAAAATTGTGGGCTGGGCGCAGTGGCTCATGCTGTAATCACAGAACTTTGGGAGGCCAAGGTGGGCGGATCACTTGAGGCGGGAGTTCGAGACCAACCTAATCAACATGGCAAAACCCTGTTTCAACTAAAATTACAAAAATTAGCCGGGTCTGAGAGCACATGCCTGTAATCCCAGCTACTCAGGAGTCTGAGGCACAAGAATCGCTTGAACTGGGAGGCGGATGTCGCAGTGAGCCGAGATTGTGCCTCTGCACTCCCCACTGGGCAAGAGAGCAAGACATTATCTCAAAAAAAAAAAAAAATTGTGAGTTCAGAAGAAGGAGCCCTTTTGGGTTGGGGAGATTAGGAAAGAAGACTTGATGTATGAATATTAGGAGAAAAAAGGAGCAACAAATATGAAGAAATTAGATTCTGTCTGATTCATTTCAAACTTTCATTGAACATCCACTTTTTCCAATACACTATGCTAATTGGGGTATGAAGGAGAGGAAAGGAGGGAGAGGAAAACTCAGAGGTTAGAGTTTTGGGGAGATGACCTAAGTTAGTTCTCCATCCACATCAGCACAATGCCGAACACATGTAAACTAATAACTTATATTCCACAGTGAGTACTAAAAAAGCAAGTGGGTATAATGTCCTGTAGGAATTTCAATGAAAAAGTATTTGATTCTGCCTATGGGAGACAGAGATTCAGGAATACAACAGACAGGATGATGGTTGAGCAGAATCTCAAAGCTTCAGTAGATGGTTTCTAAGTAGATGAGAAAAGGGAAAGGTGGTTCACAAAAGGAAACAACAGAACCGTGGATTTGGGATGTTCTCTTGTCTTCTTTTTAGAGAGTCACAAAGTTGGAAACATTGTGGGGTGGCAGGATAACTCAGCTCTCTTATTTTTCTTTAAAAAATATAGATGGTCCCTTTGTTTCAAAAAAATAAAAAAAAATGTTTGGCTTGGCACCAGTATCTTCTACTCAACCACTTATGTCATGAGCAACTGAATTGACTCAGCTTCACATGTCAATCTCTGTTTTCCCCTGGTGAGTGTCCCAGAAAGTTGGGATGCAGGGGACAGTGATGCATTTAAGCAAAAGAAGAGCAGGTTCAAAGTGATGGAAGGTGATGATTGAGGAAAACAAAAGTTTTTAAAAACTTATGAAAAAGTTCAAGCACATATAATAAGAGATAGAATAATATACCCACTTTATTTTATCTCCTCCCACGTTATTTTGAAATAAATTTGAGATAGCATATCGTTTCATCCACAAGTATTTTCATATATACGCTAAAGGCAAAAAGACTCATTATGACAAAAACAATACAATGAACATACCTTCAGAATCGAAAAACATGAACTCACTTAACATTTTTGAGCCTGAGGACTTGCGAAACAATGAGTTTTGATGCTCTGAGATCAGGGCCCGAGATGAAGGAGTGTGGTGGCATTAACATGTGAGAGATGCCAAAGTGAAGGAAATAGATAACATCACCCAGGAATTTAAAAGGAGGCAAACAATGGAAGAATGAGTCTGTAGGGACAAATCTGAGTAAAGGCCATAGGTACTCTGAGTCTGGATGACATGAAGATCTGTGAGGGCTGAAGGAGTCAAGAAGTCTCATTTGTGAACAGAATGTGACTTCAGTTGGGCCTTAAAGGAGGATAGAATTTAAGTAGGCAGTGGTTTGTGTGAGGTAGTTCATATGAGGCAATTGGTAGGAATAGTTGCATGGAGTTCGAATGGTACAAAGGCTCACCTCACAGGAAGGAAGGCAGTGGTGAGAAACGAGTTCACCTAGGTATGGGAGGATACCATATACTTGTATAAGCCCAGCATTTGAATTTCATTCACCATTTCAGTAAATGATGATTGAATGTTTGTATCATACCAGACACCCTTCGAGGAGCTAGGGATACAACAATTTACAAGATAAGCCTTCTGCTCACAAGAAGCTTTAGATTTAACGTGTGTGTGTGTGTGTGTGTGTGTGTGTGTGGTGGGGGGGTGCATATAAGCAAAAATACCACAATTATTATAATTCATTCAATAAACACATATTGAACATATTCTGTAGGTCAGGCACCATGATGGGTGCTGCAGATACAATAATAAATAAGTCATGGTCCTCAAGAAGCCATTGAACTATTAAAGAGTTTTGATTAGGTCCCTGGTGGCAGATGAAAAGCATTATTTTATTTATTTATTTATTTATTTATTTATTTAATTATTTATTTGAAGACTGAGTCTTACTCTGTTGCCTTGGCTGGAGTGCAGTGGCATGATCTCTGCTCACTGCAACCTCCACATCCTGGTTCAAGCGATTCTCCTGTCTCAGCCTCCTGAGTAGCTGGGATTACAGGAGTGCAACACTACACCCAGCTAATTTTTGCATTTTTAGTACAGATGGGGTTTCGCCGTGTTGGCCATGCTGGTCTCAAGCTTCTGACCTCAGGTGATCCACCCACCTCAGCCTCCCAAAGTGCTGGGATTACATGTTTGAGCTACCGCACCTGGCCAAAAAGCATTTTTAGGGGAGGTTTTTTCTTTCTCCTTGTACACGCAATGAAGTAAAGGACAATCTGAGCCTAGATAAATGAAATGGTAAACCTTGATATAAGGTAGAAGCAACAATTGTGGAGATAAAGGGATTATATAAGAGATGTATTTGTAAAAAAAAAAATGGGGGAATTGAGTAACTGATGAACATAAGTCTCAGACAGAGTGAGAGAGAGAAAATGTATGAGACCATATTTGTTCTCTTTTTAGGTGTCTGAAAATTTGTTGTGACTAACATTTTAAATGTGACAATGTCATGAAACATTTTTCTGGGGACATCAGATTTCTTTGTAGAAAGGGGACTTCCCCATTGCCAATAC
Source organism: Homo sapiens (assembly GCF_000001405.40). Taxonomy (NCBI): domain Eukaryota; kingdom Metazoa; phylum Chordata; class Mammalia; order Primates; family Hominidae; genus Homo; species Homo sapiens. Next base: position 17,234,920 of record NC_000007.14, on the reverse strand, counting down.
CTTGACTCACTTATCTGTTCCTCCTCAGATGGGGAGTGAGTGTCATCTTAAAGCAAGCAGAGGTTTGTTTTGTTTGGATATCAATCTTAAGGTCTACTTGGAGCATCCAGAATGTTTCTTAAACGATTGACCAAATTGACCAAAGATGTTACAGTTTCTGAGGTGTCCACTCAGAGTCAGCAAACACTGCACAAATAAAAAACAATCGGTAAATTATTTCCAAGGATTGGAAACAGAAATCCTCAGATGATTCACCGATGACTCAGTTTTCTGTGTATCGCTTCTACTCTACTTGTTGCCAAGGGAACTTGGGGCCTACTTCCTACCACACGACGGCTATAAAAAGTACCAGCAAAAGCCGCAGTAGAGTAACTTCTCTACTCTTTTATTAAAAATGGCTAACGGACTAAATGTCAGTTACATAAGAAAGATTTAGGTTTGTCTGTGAAGGTCATATCTACCGGTACCATGAAATACTGAGAAACCACGTTGTTACTCTTTTTATCTTTCATTTGCTTTTAACTACACTGCTTTCTTTATGCGGGGCATTTTATATAATGTACCTAACATGCCAACAGAAATTGTATGTTCTTCATAAACTCCAGACCAATGTGCTTTTGCAGTGATAGAAGTGACCTGTGAAATCTGTGTCAACCTCAGAGCCAGGGTAAGATACCGTCATCACACTGCCAGCCTGCCTGCTTCTCTGGGTCCTTGTGGCAGGGGAAGGAGATGAGACAGGGAGTAGGAGAGAGACTGACTGCTACAAAGGGACCTGTGCAGCTTCACTCTTATAGCCACTGTCTGTGTGGATCTCTTTTGACAATCATCTTTTATCAAGCAACATAAAAATATCAGTACTATTAAGTATCCATAAGAAGGCACCAATCATGAGTGGATATTTCCATATATAAAACCTAGGTTTCTTTCCTTTCAATATGTGCATTGAGTTCAATTCTCATCTGGAAACAGGGAATGAAAGCCGCTTGTATGGATAGTTGTCAGGAAGACATATACAGGATATAAGTTAAAAGCACAGACAAGCATGTTCTGTGTTTACAGGGGGCAGGAACTCTCTCAGCAAGAAGTCCTGGTACGACAAGACAGTTAAAGGCATTCCAGGAATATACTGTTTTCATTTGGCTGTGAGTCTTCCTAGAAAATGTAAAAGAAAGTTTTCCCTGTTAAGATAACACATTTTCTCTTTATGGTTTCATGAGGGCAGAAGGAAGCTCTCAGCTGTTCTTACATAAAGCCTTGTCTGAGAGGTATGGGATGCCTGATATTTTTTATGCTTAGATTTATATAACATTATAGCTCTTCTTCTCTTTGAAGAGGCAATATGGTTGAATAAGATCATAAATTTAAATTTACTATTAAAAAGTATTAAGTATTATGTGTAATACACACTGATTTTTCTAAAATGCAAGTCTGATCTTGTCATCTCTTTCTACCTTAAAATTTATTATAGGTCTCCTATTTTTTAGAACATTAAAATCCAAGCTTCTTATGGGATGCAAAGCACTTGGTGGCCTCATCTCATTGTTCTTCTTTGTACTTGAGCATCATAGAGTTAGTTACTTGTAGCTTTGAATTCGTATTATTTTTCCACACCTCTGTGACTTGGTGCATAGGCTTTAATAAGCCTGAAATGTCTTCCCTCTCTTCCTATGTGATTGATTCCTATTTATCCTCAACACAAAATTCAGATATCGCCTGCTGTCTTGAGTCTTCACTGACTTAAAAGCAGTTCTTATGTAGGACCTCTACTCCTGTTCATATTTATGATGTTGCCTTTATAATGCTATATTTTGTCTGTTTCATCCTGTGTGCCTGTATTTTTTCTTTTTTTATACTGCATAATTCCTGGGATCCAGATTCATATTTCCAAAAAAACATCATTGTATTTCCAGCATTTTACACAGTCCCTGGCATATGGTAGTTGTTTATAACTTTTTGTTAAAGATCTTCCATTTTGCACCTTATGATAATTGTTAGATAAAAATCTAAAATAATGCATCACTAGAAAATGTAACATAGTAAATAAACATTGCATATGTGTGCCTTATAATGCCATGTAGAAAAGAGTGTGCTCAAAATTCCTTATTGGATAAAGAAGCAAAAGGTCATCGTGACATAAGTCTGATGCACGTAAATTAAAGAGTTATTTGTTCAACAAAGAACAGCAATAACAAAGTCTCCCAAAATCTGATGTCAGGATTAGCTGGTGAAAAGATTAAGATGTGTTTTTTTTTTCTCTCATTGTCCCAATACCTCTCAATGGAACCAACAAATATCTGCTGCAATGTCTGTTTCTTAAAAATTACCTGTTGGGCACCATGTACACTATTCAAGTTGATGGGTAGACTAAAAGCCCAGACTTCACCACTATACAATTCATTCATGTAACCAAAAACCGCTAGTATCACAGAAGCTATTGAAATTTTAAAAAAAATTAGCCTGCTTCTTAGCCAATCACTACTGAAGTTCTGCAACAGGCCTATCAACCAAGACGTATGAGATAAATTGCTCATTCCACCTACTGTTTCTTTGTCAGGGTACTCGCAAAGCTATGGACCCAAGTCTTTGAGAAGCCCTATCACTAGGAATAAAGGATAAGCATGAATTAACAGGGACAGAAGTATACGAGAAATTTTATTTTGAAGCAAGATTTATACTACCCCACTTCTGTAAGATCTGAAGTATCAGCACTATTTGACTTGCTGCAGAGGAAATCAGAACTAGTGTGAGGACCTGTAAACTTATATCAGCAACTTGGACCTTGCCTGGCCAAAGCTGTTAGAGCAGTATGTTGAGACACCTGGAGCTACAGAAGGAGTCACGCTCACTAAAAAGATGCCAGGACATACTGAGAAAGCTAAGGCAGAAATAGCACAATTGAGTCAAGTGCTGGATTAGGGCCAGAAAATGAAGAAAAATCACGCTGAGATATAATTGGGGAATAGAAGGATCTTTGAACAAGCATCGGGAATACTAAGTAGTTTTTGAGTGGTGTGTAGACAGGTAATCTTGGAATAAAATGTTTTGTAAATAATAAAAAACACCCTCTATTTCCTCTATGGGATAAACATTTTCTTCAAAGAGAAGAAAGTAGAGAGCTTATCTGTGCCAGGAATTCTAAGGCCTCAGTGGAGTTACTGCTTGGAATTTCTACCCAATCCCCTGGTAGCAGGCCTCCTGGCCAACTCCATGGAGCCTGGGTTTTCACAAAGCTGGAGCCTTACAGAAAGCACAAGGTAAGACTGAGAAATAGAAGGCTGACTTTAAGAAAAGGAGTACAATACTCTATTGAAAGTTGTCATCTAGATGTTCTTCTACCTGAGTGTTTTCTGGACAACATCCTTGTTCATTTGGCAGTCAAGTCTCTCAAGAACGCTTAGAGGGATGATTGATGACCTGGGCTGGATCCCAATTCTGGAACAAGATGGCATATCCTCGCTTTTCTCTGTTCCTCAGTGGCCCTCTCCAGGTTGCCCAATGACAGTAGGTAGCCCAAGGAAGTACCTTCCACTTCCACAGATGACACCAGAACATTGATTGAGCAGTAAGCCCAACAGCATGCGAAAAATGAAGAACCATTCAACCAGAATAACATTGCAAGAGCTCAGAAAACTAAACTTTCATTGGAACTAAAGCCAATAAAAGTAGGACAGACCTGACAAGCAGAACCTAAACAGGACAACTGCCTGCTAAAACAGAAGGTGTAAATAGGATCAAGTGTCTCCTAACATAAGAACTAAAATGTCCAGGATGTAACAGAAAATCATTCATCAAGAACCAGGCAAGCTACAATCTGAATGAGGAAAGACAATCCACTGGTGCCAATAATAACAAGATAAATTAGATGTTGGAATATCTGACAAAGATTTTAAAGCAGCTGTCATAAAACACACCAAAAATCAATTACAAATCCTCTTAAAACAAATAAAAATATAGAAAATCTGAGCAAAGAAATAAAATGATGGAAAATACTTGGGATAGCTTGCATAGCACCATTTCCAGGCCAACTTCTATGACCCTGGCTGCTTTTCAACTAATCATAACTATTAGACATGTTAGGAACAGTTCTGGATTGGAATACCCCCTGGGACAAACAAGGATATGTAGTGACTCTTAAGTTTCCTTATCTGTACTTCAAATTTCACCCCTCTTCCCTCTTTTCCTAATTTTCCTCAGTAAATTTAACTCTTTAGGAAAGGTCAGTGGTTCACTCAGCTCCTGGACATGATTATAGTATTCTAAGAACTAAAAATAACATGTATTCATGCTCTGTTCAGGGACTACCCAACCCGACCTGACTTGTTGCTGTCAAAATTGGCAGGTACCTACAATACTGATTGGGGTGGGGAGGGTACCCTTTTGTTAAAAGTTCCTGGTTTTACTGTCTCTAAGTCTATACCTAGTTTGAAGATAGATGGTTTTAGTGAGGTCACATATACTAATGGAAACAGAGTAGCAGCTGATGACCAAGATTGCCTTTAGAGTTTAGAAACACTGCCTTGAATTGGGCTTATCCTAAGCCCCAAATTTTAGCCTGCACTAGCCAAGTTGATTTTATTATTAGAACACTTTAAGTTCATATCTGTCATGTAGCAAGCAGTGGAAAGTAACAGCCAGACACCCAAGAATGTTATCAAGGTCTCCAAGCACTGGCAAAGGCATTATGCCCAGAAAGATCCTTGCGATGAGACATTTTCAGCCATTCAAATGTAGTTACAACTGACCAAGGCAAAATGGGGAAATAATAGTACCTGCTTCATCAGGTTGTTATGAGTATTACATGAGACAGCACATTAGTTATAATGATGATGGTCATGGTGATGACTTTTCTGGAAACCAAAGAAGGGATGCTATTCTGCAGGGCTTAGAAGTAGAGGAGCATAACCCCCTAAAAACAGTAAGAGAAGCTAAGACTAAAGGGGTGGGTTAAGACAGAGCCCATAATGCCCAAATGCCAAAAGAGTGGAAAAAAAGCAACAAATCCGTAAGAGAAAGACAAAACAGAGGGATACGCGCTGGATGTCAAGTCAAGAAAGCAGAACCAGAGGGTGAAAACAGCTTAAGATCAAATGGACTGGTGGCTGAGGGGTCTCAAACAATGTCCTTCAATGTTGTCGCTATCTGAAGCTGACTTTTATGATGCAATGTTAAGGAGTATGACCTGCCTTATAGGCCCAAAAGTGGGAAGGCAGTTGAGAGGCCATCACAACAAATAATTATTCAAAACCAGTTTTTGTATTCTAGTTTTGGTGGTGGAAAGCTGAAATGCTTATTTATGGATAATTGAGTTTTAACTATTTTATGTCATTTCATGTAGACATCATGAGATGAGATGTTTCTATTGTATTTTTAGTTTGTTTTCAAATAATGTGTTATGACATAAGATTCAAACTTGAATGTGCCAAAGGTCAGACTTGCTCAATTTGCCCAAAGGAAAGATCATAATGAAAATTCCTAGAGAGGTTTAATACGTCAAATGTAATTACATCTCAGTCAGTTGCTCAACATTTTAAAGCATATTCTTTGTGCAGAGTTCAAAGTAAAGTGCTTTAAATCTACATTTTCTGTAAGAATATTTTATTGGTATAGGTTTTATCTTCGAATAAGAGAAGCCTAATTCTCAAAGATCACAGACACATATGAATCATTTTTGGTTCATGGATTTGTATTTCTGGTCATAAAAATTCACTTCATTACACCCTTATATTTCCATTCTCTGTCTCTTGTCAGAAATATTTTGACACATGACCAATGAAAAATAATCTTTGATAAATGATAAATACAATTGACAACATAATCAAGAGTATATACGCATAAACTAGTCTGTATTACAATTAAACAATTGTGAAATAGAGACATAAATCTAAAGATAAATGAAGAAATCTCTAAATTAGTAAAGAAAACATGGCATATAATGATCAAAAGAATTACTTGTTCTCATGTTATGAGGAAAATAAAATCTCCAACTATAAATATTGTTTTATATTATTTCAAGATCAAATAGTTTAAAATATTTAGTGTCTGCGGTAGATGAGTTAGTATACCGTTTCATATTACTTAGACCAAAGACTTAAGCAAACATCCATATTTGAAATGAATGAGAAAATATTTGCTTTATTTTATATATAATAGTTTTGAATTAGAAGTTTTTTTTCTTTGAAACTGTATATGCTAAAATGTCCGAGACTGTATTGGAATTAATGTTTGTAATTAAACTCTTTACATTTAAGCTACTTGTTTGATTCAAAGTTCAATGAGAGGAAACTTCTTATTCATCTGTCTGTATAAAAGGACTATTCTTTGATAAACAATTTTGTCTCTTATCCCCACCTATAATCATAAGTGTTTACTAGGAAAGATAAAGTCTCTAAGGTTTTTGTTTAGAAATGACTTTTAAAGAGTGCAAATTGCACCATGCCTAGTACATTACATGCCAACAGTAAAAAGGTAGAAGAGCCATTTATGTTGATGGTTTAGTTTATAAGCCTTTTTTCCCTCTATTCTTTCATGGTTTTACTATTTTCATTTCCCCACTATGCAGCCTACTAGTTGCTGAAGAATACCAATTACCAAATGTTGTCTCATTTAGTGGATTTTCCAGTTTCAAAGGAAAATTGCATTTTAGCGTAATTTCAAGATGACTCCTGAGGAGATTCATTTCTGTTATTTGTAGACAGCTGTTTGTTAAATTTGAAATCTTAGAGATTACAGCTTTTCCTTTTTTATCAGTAAATATTTTCTGTGATGTCTTCCATATGGTAAACATTCAATAAAAATTGTTTCATGAATGAATTGTATAGTTCTAAAAATACAAGTATACTAACGTTCTTAACATGATTTTCAACCAGACATACATAATTCTTTACAAATCCACTTCTAGACAACATTTATCTTCAGCTTGAATGGTTATTGCTATAAACAGAGTGAACTTCATGATCTTGCAAAACTTAGCTCAAATCCTGACTCAACCTCTACTAACCATGTGACATTGGGCAAGTTACTTAACTCTGAATGTGAGAAGTTGTTTTTAAGAATTAGACACAAATACATAAGAAACAAATTAAGCATAATAGCTGTTTAATAAATGATTGCATTATTGTTATGAATAAAAACTTCTATTTTTTTTTTTTTTTTTTGAGACGGAGTCTCGCTCTGTCGCCCAGGCTGCTGGTTACTTGAGGCTCTTTGGAAGAGGGTTTCTTAAACCACTTCATTCTCACGTATATTAGTATATCCTTATGCAATATTATCCAGGTATCATACAGTCATGAAAATTAATGGATGGATATGAACAAATTATACTCAATAAAAATAAACATATCAGACAGAGGAAAGCGTATTAGTTTTAAGAACAAAAAGTTTCTTTTTCTGGCTACTTTTTATTAATTTCAAGTTTTCCTCTACCATAGAAAATACAGACAATGTGATATTGCGCTTTTGGGAAGGTATTAAAGCTTCCTTTGAGGCTTACTACAGTTTTCGTGAATGCCTCAGACATTGCTACTACATGCTACCAGGAAAATGACGTCCCTTAGGAATTGCCATTAAATTCATCGGGTAATTCTAAAATAATCATCTTAGAAGATGGTGGAGATAACCTACTAGTTCCTGGAGCAATTGTGGGGACAAGAACAGGAGAAGTAGGGATAATTTAGTATTCCCTTGTCGGACTTGTTTCCGTCATCTCGTTACTCTTGTTGGGACTGTACTGAGGTTATTCCTTGGACAATAGGTGGCCATGTAGGATGCTTCTATTCTCTCTCACCAAAAAATGAAACTAAAGAATTAAAACCTCCTCTGCCAGCCTCGCTCCAACAGTGTTACCTGATTCCTGTCTCTCCTGCAGGCTGCTTGTCTCCTTCACAACAAACCACGTCTGCCTTTCCTCCCTGCAGAAATCCAGTTATCATGTTAGTTCAGTGGACCCATCTTTCTCCTCTCTCTCTTATGTAGCATCTATAGTGTTCAGTTTGGGGAGGAAGCCAGCATCCTCTGTAGTTTATCTTTCTTGTCCAGAGTAGTAAGTCTCAAAATTCTTACCAGGATAATTTATCCCAGAGTCCTGTGCCAATCCATGCAAGAAGTTCTGATAATCTTATTTGAAAGTTGCTGTGAAGAGTTCTGAGTTATACATAATGTCGAACTTCGGGTGAATCATTAATCTTTCTGTTAAAATAAAAACACCATCGACTCTTAGGATATTTAATGTGAATTTTAAAGATGTTTCAAAAAATCAATGTAAATTATTTGAAAAGAAAATAGCCATTTTACTGTTTGATACAACTCTCTTTCTGGGGAAGGAAAATTTTTTTTTAAAAAATCAAGAAACATTCAGTTTACTAATTTGCTGGCATAGTGTTCCTGATATATATATATATATATATATATATATGTGGATATATATGGAGATATACATATATATGGAGATATATATATATGGAAAGGGATATATATTTATCTCCATATATATTTCTCCATATATATATATATCTCTCTCTATATATATATATATATCTCTCCATATATATATATTCGTATATGTATGTATCAGGAGATATATATATATATATATATATATCAGGAGATATACATATATATATATATATCAGGAGATATACATATATATATATATCAGGAGATATACATATATATCAGGAGATATATATATGTGTATCAGGAGATACATGTGTGTGTGTATATATATATATATATATATATATATATATATATATATATATGGTTTTTTTTAAGCAGTTGTCAAAATAGTTTCTGTGAAGCAGCCTACTAGGAATTACTTTGACCTCAGAGTGGCAGAGGTTATGGGGAGAAGCCATGGGTAGTGTTAGAGTAATACTTACAGGAAGAGCTACCTGATAGTGGAATGCATACCATCAGTTCAGTGTATGTGGGCATTGTTGACCACTGTCACTGTTTTGCTTGTGCAAGAACATGGTAACATAAGGCACCTCACCATCATACTGAAGGAATTTACCAATGAGATGATAAAAGCAATGACTGAATGCCGATTTTTTAGCTTCTCTATTTCTTTGTATAATTATTATACTTTCCAGTTTTTGCATTATGTATTCACATGAGTTCAGCTTTCTTTTGGAAAAAGAATAGAGCTGGCTATTACAAATAGTTCTACAATGAACATGGGAGTGGTAATAATCTCTTCAAGATTCTGATTTTAATTCTACTGTCCACAATAGACAAGGCACAGAAGTGACCTAAATGTCCATTTACAGAAATAGATAAAGAAAATGTGGTATATACATATATATGTACCTATACAATGGAATATTATTCAGCCTTGAAAAGGAAGCAAATTGTGCCATTTGTGACAACACAGATGAATGTGGTGGACATTGTGCTAAGTGAAACAAGCCAGGAACAGGACAAATGTTATATGATACCAATTTTATGGCAAATTTAAAATAGTCTCATGGAAGCAGAGAATAGAATGGTGGTTGTCAGGGGATGGTTGGGGGTAGGGAACAAGGAGATGTTAGTCAAAAGGTACAAAGCTCTAGTTTTACAAGATGAGTAAGTACTGGAGAGCTACCATACACCACAGCACTTATAGTTAACAATACTGTATTGTATGCTGAAAATTTGCTAAAATGTTAACTCTTATACTAAGCATTCTTATCACAAAAATAATAATAAGTAAAATGAGAGGAAACCTTTGGAAGTGATGGATATGTTGATGGCATAGAATATGGTAATGGTTTTATGGCTGTATACTTATTCCCAAACTCACCAAGTTGTATACCTTAAATATACACAGCTTTTCATATGTCAACTGCACCTCAATAAAGTGGTTAGGAAAAAATAGAGTTGGCTCAGATGGTTAGATCCAAAGAAGATAAATTTTCTTGTTCTCTTAGCAATGTTAAATAGGCATTCCCAGTGGTATTGGACATTTTACTCAAAACAGAAACAGGAAATATATACAAGACTTAGAGAATGACCACTGTCTGTCATATCTAGTACATATGCAGTCTGATATATGTCCTATAATTCTGTAAGACGTTAAAAGATTGCCAAGCCTTAAGGCCTAGCAGTGGATGACAGGTAGAAGAATACCAAGAAAAGTACCTTGATAACAACTGGATCTCTTTCAAATATACCACATCACATTGGGAGCACATCAGGCAGACAAGACCTTCCACTTTTTCTACTGTGTTTTAAAAATCATTATATTTTACAAGGATTAATATAAAGGATTTCTATATTCAATTAACACAATAATAGGTCTCACTGAAAATACTCATTAAAAAACTCTTGCATAAACATTCATGGTATCTACATTTTCAGACTCTAAAAACTGAGGGTGAATTGAGTACAATTCATTAATACTGATAGACCATAAAATAACTGTATGAGAGCATTCTCATTTGTTTTCACAGTTCCTATTCTGATAGCAGTGGTTTCTAAAGAAAGGCATTCTGTTCAATTCCCACCTATGAGTGAGAATATGCGGTGTTTGGTTTTTTGTTCTTGCGATAGTTTACTGAGAATGATGGTTTCCAATTTCATCCATGTCCCTACAAAGGACATGAACTGATCACATGGTCACAGGAAGGGGAATATCACACTCTGGGGACTGTGGTGGGGTGGGGGGAGGGGGAGGGGTAGCATTGGGAGATATACCTAATGCTAGATGACGAGTTAGTGGGTGCAGCACACCAGCATGGCACATGTATACATATGTAACTAACCTGCACAATGTGCACATGTACCCTAGAACTTAAAGTATAATAAAAAAAAAAAAAAAAGAAAGGCATTCTGCTGCAAAGTCCATAGATTTGCAGAGCTCACATGTCTAAAGGAATTATTGAGGTTAAGTAAAAAAACTAATGATGCTTTGCAAATCAAGTCCAAATGATAAAGTTTAATGCATATATGTATTCACATATATGCACACATAGAATGTATTCAGAGTTATTTTAAAATTATTGCAACCCTATTATGAATATTATTCTGAAACCCATTACAGTATTTTACATATTATGTAAAATCTTCACATAAGGTATTATAAACAATCTTTTAAATACAAACCATGGACATGTTTAATTTTATTTCCTAAGTCATCATGATGGAACATTTGAGTTGTTTTCAAGATGTCATGATTTTATATAATCTTTTGGTCAACTTTTAATAAACAAATATTTGGGAATATATTTCGTGATTTTTGTTAGACAGATCCTTGGCAGTGGAAATGATGAGTGAAAGGTTGAAGGCTTTTGAGATCTTTTGCCAAAATCCCCCTCAGAACAGTTGCATCAAAAGGTAATCTAATCAGCAGTGCATAAGTGCACACTTATAAAGTGTTCCTAATACCTACCTACTGTGTAATATCACCTAGATAATCTCACATGGCACCTCTGTAGAAATAACTTATTTGCTGCTAATCAAAATGCTACTATGATAACATTTGCCAAGGTAAATAATCAAATTAATCATGTAACCTCAAAAACATATGTATGAGAGGAGCCAATTCCTTATAACCATGCAGAATGCCATCAAAACTCTAAGAAATATTTGCAGCTATTATTCTCTGTTTCTCTCAGAGGATAAGCTGTGGATAAATACCGAAAGCTAGTTGCTTCCTAAAGTTGTTTTTCAGATTTGATTACCTAAGACATGCAGATGTCATGTTACGTCATCTTATCAGATTAGCACATGTAATAGATAGAATGTCAAACAAGAGTGAGAATTCAGAGGAAAGAAAAATGATCCCCAGGGCTAGGGTGTAAGTACTGTCTTAGCGAAACTATACTTCTAGATGTGACAGAAGTACCACAAGACCATTTTAAAATCTTAAGACCACCTTCATTCTGTCTGTTGACTCTGAAAATCATAGAACATCAATTACTCTAAAGTGATTTGGCATCAGAGCTGTTCACATTCTTTCTGGGTAGAATAATTTAGTATTTTTCAATCTTTGGTATAACGATACAATGGAAAGAGAATAGAAGAGAAGAAAACCAAATTTTTTTCTATCCCAGCTCCACTACATACGTAACTTGAGGTAGAGGAAGACACTTTTATAACATTAGCTAAATTTCATTGAGCACTCTTTATATTTCAGGCCTTGTGCTAGCATGTGTGTGTATGTGTATCTCATGTAATCCTATAATAACTACACTATAAGCGATATTCTGCCTTCTCCCCCTTCTTGTAAATAGGAACATTGAGGCTGCGAGTTCATATGCCTTTCCCAGAATGACTCAGTCATCAGTGATGGAGACTCATCAAGTGATGGAGACCCATTGTCTGTCATCCCAAGAATCCATAGACTTAACCACCACCCTGTTGTTAAAGTTGCTTTTCTAAAAAATGGGGCACTTAGGAAATAAGACTAGATATTTTCTAAATTTCTCTCAAAGTCTAAAATTCTCTTTCTTAGGACTTCCTACTTTGTTTATAATAAAATGGTATTATTTTTGTATTTATGGAATCCATATGGGCTGAAGGTACTATTTAAACTTCCCAGTTATAATCATACTAATTTTTAAAATCAGCATTAAAATATAACTCATATAAAGCATAGAATTCCTTGGTTTTTTAAATATTCACAGACTTGTGCAACTGTTAACACCATCAACTTTGGAACGTTTTTATCACTCAAAGAAGAACCCTTGTATCTATTTGCTAATACATACAGGGTATGGCTACACATTTCCCATCAACCCCCAATCCAAGTCCCAGTCCTAAGCAATTATTATCTACTTTTTATCTCTATGGATTTGCCTATTTTGGACATTTCATATCAATATATAGTCTTGTGACTGCCTTCTTTCACTTAGCGTAATATTTTCAAGGTTTATCCATGCCATAGCGTATATCAGTACTCTTTTTTAATGGCTGAATAATATTTCATTGTTTGCATATACCATGCTTTCTTCATCCATTTGTCAGGTGATGGATAATTCAGTTGTTTATACTTTTGAATTATTATGAATAATGTTGCTAAGAATATTCATGAACATACTGGTGTATGGACATATGTTTTCAGTTATCTTGAAACATATGTATGCTGGGTCTATGTTTAACATTTTGAGGAACTGCCAAACTGTTTTCCAAAGTGTCTGTACCATTTTACATTCTCACCAATAGTTTATGAGAGATCCAGTTTCTCTGCTTCCTTATCAACACTTGTAATTATCTTTCATATTATAGCATCTTAGTGGGTATGAACTGGTAGCTCATTGTGGTTTTGATTTGCATTTCCTGATAGCTAATGATGTTGAGTAACTTTTCATGTATTTACCACACATATATCTTATTTAGAAGATAAATAAGCATTTAGATATATAAATGCTTATTCAGATCCTTTGTACATTTTTTTCTATTGGAAAATATTTATTATGAGCTTTTATTACATTTATTTGTTAACTTGAATAATGTGAATATTTATATTTCTTGTTCAGGAACTTGGGTGTTTACAGTCCATTCATTTCCTTTTCTTCTTTTTTTTGAGTAAAACTGAATTTAATCTATGGATTTAATATTATTTTCATCTTCTATAAATGTAATTTTTTAATTATACTTTAAGTTTTAGGGTACATGTGCACAACATGCAGGTTAGTTACATATGTATACGTGTGCCATGTTGGTGTGCTGCACCCATTAACTCGTCATTTAACATTAGGTATATCTCCTAATGATATCCCTCCCCCCACCCCCCACCCCACAACACGCCCCAGTGTGTGATGTTCCCCTTCCTGTGTCCATGTGTTCTCATTGTTCAATTCCCACCTGTGAGTGAGAACAGGCGGTGTTTGGTTTTTTGTCCTTGCGATAGTTTGCTGAGAATGATGGCTTCCAGCTCCATCCATGTCCCTACAAAGGACATGAACTCATCATTTTTTATGGCTGCGTAGTATTCCATGGTGTGTATGTGCCACATTTTCTTAATCCAGTCTATCATTGTTGGACATTTGGGTTGGTTCCAAGTCTTTGCTATTGTGAATAGTGCCACAATAAACATACATATGCATGTATCTTTATAGCAGCATGATTTATAGTCCTTTGGGTATATACCCAGTAATGGGATGGCTGGGTCAAATGGTATTTCTAGTTCTAGATCCCTGAGGAATCACCACACTGACTTCCACAATGGTTGAACTAGTTTACAGTCCCACCAACAGTGTAAAAGTGTTCCTATTTCTCCACATCCTCTCCAGCACCTGTCGTTTCCTGACTTTTTAATGATTGCCATTCTAACTGGTGTGAGATGGTATCTCATTGTGGTTTTGATTTGCATTTCTCTGATGGCCAGTGATGATGAGCATTTTTTCATGTGTCTGTTGGCTGCATAAATGTCTTCTTTTGAGAAATGTCTGTTCATATGTTTTGCCCACTTTTTGATGGGGTTGTTTGTTCTTTTCTTGTAAATTTGTTGGAGTTCATTATAGATTCTGGATATTAGCCCTTTGTCAGATGAGTAGATTGCAAAAATTTTCTCCCATTCTGTAGGTTGCCTGTTCACTCTGATGGTAGTTTCTTCTGCTGTGCAGAAGCTCTTTAGTTTAATTAGATCCCATTTGTCAATTTTGGCTTTTGTTGCCATTGTTTTTGGAGTTTTACTCATGAAGTCCTTGCCCATGCCTATGTCCTGAATGGTACTGCCTAGGTTTTCTTCTAGGGTTTTTATGGTTTTAGGTCTAACATTTAAGTCTTTAATCCATCTTGAATTAATTTTCGTATAAGGTGTAAGGAAGGGATCCAGTTTCAGCTTTCTACATATGGCTAGCCAGTCTTCCCAGCACCATCTACTAAACAGGGAATTGTTTCCCCATTTCTTGTTTTTCTCAGGTTTGTCAAAGATCAGATGGTTGTAGATATGCAGCATTATTTCTGAGGGCTCTGTTCTGTTCCATTGGTCTATATCTCTGTTTTGATACCAGTACCATGCTGTTTTGGTTACTGCAGCCTTGTAGTGTAGTTTGAACTCAGGTAGCGTGATGCCTCCAGCTTTGTTCTTTTGGCTTAGGATTGACTTGGTGATGTGGGCTCTTTTTTGATTCCATATGAACTTTAAAGTAGTTTTTTCCAATTCTGTGAAGGAAGTCATTGGTAACTTGATGGGGATGGCATTGAATCTATAAATTACCTTGGGCAGTATGGCCATTTTCACGATATTGATTCTTCCTACCCATGAGCATGGAATGTTCTTCCATTTGTTTGTATCCTCTTTTATTTCATTGAGCAGTGGTTTGTAGTTCTCCTTGAAGAGGTCCTTCACATCCCTTGTAAGTTGGATTCCTAGGTATTTTATTCTCTTTGAAGCAATTGTGAATGGGAGTTCACTCATGATTTGGCTCTCTGTTTGTCTGTTATTGGTGTATAAGGATGCTTGTGATTTTTGCACATTGATTTTATATCCTGAGACTTTGCTGAAGTTGCTTATCAGCTTAAGGAGATTTTGGGCTGAGACAATGGGGTTTTCTAGATATACAATCATGTCATCTGCAAACAGGGACAATTTGACTTCCTCTTTTCCTAATTGAATACCCTTTATTTCCTTCTCCTGCCTAATTGCCCTGGCCAGAACTTCCAACACTACATTGAATAGGAGTGGTGAGAGAGGGCATCCCTGTCTTGTGCCAGTTTTCAAAGGGAATGCTTCCAGTTTTTGTCCATTCAGTATGATATTGGCTGTGGGTTTGTCATAGATAGCTCTTGTTATTTTGAGATACGTCCCATCAATACCTAATTTATTGAGAGTTTTTAGCATGAAGGGATGTTGAATTTTGTCAAAGGCCTTTTCTGCATCTATTGAGATAATTGTGTGGTTTTTGTCGTTGGTTCTGTTTATATGATGGATTACGTTTATTGATTTGAATATGTTGAGCCAGCCTTGCATCCCAGGGATGAAGCCCACTTGGTCATGGTGGATAAGCTTTTTGATGTGCTGCTGGATTCAGTTTGGCAGTATTTTATTGAGGATTTTTGCATCAATGTTCATCAGGAATATTGATCTAAAATTCTCTTTTTTCGTTGTGTCTCTGCCAGGCTTTGGTAATCAGGATGATGCTGGCCTCATAAAATGAGTTAGGGAGGATTCCCTCTTTTTCTATTGATTGGAATAGTTTCAGAAGGAATGGTACCAGCTCCTCCTTGTACCTCCTTGTAGAATTCGGCTGTGAATCCATCTGGTCCTGGACTTTTTTTGGTTGGTAAGCTATTAATTATTGCCTTAATTTCAGCTCCTGTTATTGGTCTATTCAGAGATTCAACTTCTTCCTGGTTTAATCTTGGGAGGGTCTATGTGTCGAGGAATTTATCCATTTCTTCTAGATTTTCTAGTTTATTTGCATAGAGGTGTTTATAGTATTCTCTGATGGTAGTTTCTATTTCTGTGGGATTGGTGGTGATATCCCCTTTGTCATTTCTTATTTCATCTATTTGATTCTTCTCTCTCTTCTTCTTTATTAGTCTTGCTAGTGGTCTATCAATTTTGTTGATCGTTTCAAAAAACCAGCTCCTGGCTTCATTGATTTTTTGAAGGGTGTTTTGTGTCTCTATTTCCTTCAGTTCTGCTCTGATCTTAGTTATTTCTTGCCTTCTGCTAACTTTTGAATGTGTTTGCTCTTGCTTCTCTAGTTCTTTTAATTGTGATGTTAGGGTGTCAATTTTAGATCTTTCCTGCTTTCTTTTATGGATATTTAGTGCTATAAATTTCCCTCTACACACTGCTTTGAATGTGTCCCAGAGATTCTGGTATGTTGTGTCTTTGTTCTTGTTGGTTTCAAAGAACATCTTTATTTCTGCCTTCATTTCATTATGTACCCAACAGTCATTCAGGAGCAGGTTGTTCAGTTTCCATGCAGTTGAGCAGTTTTGAGTGAGTTTCTTAATCCTGAGTTCTAGTTTGATTGCACTGTGGTCTGAGAGATAGTTTGTTATAATTTCTGTTCTTTTACATTTGCTGAGGAGTGCTTTACTTCCAACTATGTGGTCAATTTTGGGATAGGTGTGGTGTGGTGCTGAAAAGAATGTATATTCTGTTGATTTGGGGTAGAGAGTTCTGTAGGTGTCTGTTAGGTCTGCTTGGTGCAGAGCTGAGTTCAATTCCTGGATATCCTTGTTAACTTTCTGTCTCATTGATCTGTCTAATGTTGACAGTGGGGTGTTAAAGTCTCCCATTATTATTGTGTAGGAGTCTAAGTCTTTTTGTAGGTCTCTAAGGACTTGCTTTATGAATCTGGGTGCTCCTGTATTGGGTGCATATATATTTAGGATAGGTAGCTCTTCTTTTTGAATTGATCCCTCTACCATTATGTAATGGCCTTCTTTGTCTCTTCTGATCTTTGTTGGTTTAAAGTCTGTTTTATCCAAGACTAGGATTGCAACCCCTGCCTTTTTTTTTGTTTTCCATTTGCTTGGTAGATCTTCCTCCATCCCTTTATTTTGAGCCTATGTGTGTCTCTGCATGTGAGATGGGTTTCCTGAATACAGCACACTGATGGGTCTTGACTCTTTATCCAATTTGCCAGTCTGTGTATTTTAATTGGAGCATTTAGCCTATTTACATTTAAGGTTACTATTGTTATGTGTGAATTTGATCCTGTCCTTATGATGTTAGCTGATTATTTTGCTCATTAGTTGATGCAGTTTCTTCCTAGCCTCAATGGTCTTTACAATTTGGCATGTTTTTGCAGTGGCTGATACCAGTTGTTCCTTTCCATGTTTAGTGCTTCCTTCAGGAGCTCTTTTAGGGCAGGCCTGGTGGTGACAAAAATCTCTCAGCATTTGCTTGTCTGTGAAGGATTTTAATTCTCCTTCACTTATGAAGCTTAGTTTGGCTGGATATGAAACTCTGGGTTGAAAATTCTGTTCTTTAAGAATGTTGAATATTGGCCCCCACTCTCTTCTGGCTTGTAGAGTTTCTGCCAAGAGATCAGCTGTTAGTCTGATGGGCTTCCCTTTGTGGGTAACCTGACCTTTCTCTCTGGCTGCCCTTAACATTTTTTCCTTCATTTCAACTTTGGTGAATCTGACAATTATGTGTCTTGGAGTTGCTCTTCTTGAGGAGTATCTTTGTGGCGTTCTCTGTGTTTCCTGAATCTGAATGTTGGCCTGCCTTGCTAGATCGGGGAAGTTCTCCTGGATAATATCCTACAGAGTGTTTTCCAACTTGGTTCCATTCTCGCTGTCACTTTCAGGTACACCAATCAGACGTAGATTTGGTCTTTTCACATAGTCCCATAGTTCTTGGAGGCTTTGTTCATTTCTTTGTATTCTTTTCTCTCTCAACTTCTCTTCTTGCTTCATTTCATTCATTTGATCTTCCATCACTGATACCCTTTCTTCCAGTTGATCGAATCGGCTACTGAGGCCTGTGCATTTGTCACATAGTTCTCATGCGGTGGTTTTCAGCTCCATCAGGTCCTTTAAGGACATCTCTGCATTGGTTATTCTAGTTAGCCATTCGTCTAATTTTTTTTCAAGGTTTTTAACTTCTTTGCGATGGGTTCGAACTTCCTCCTTTAGCTCGGAGGAGTTTGATCCTCTGAAGCCTTCTTCTCTCAACTTGTCAAAGTCATTCTCCATCCAGCTTTATTCTGTTGCTGGTGAGGAGCTGCGTTCCTTTGGAGGAGGAGAGGTGCTCTGATTTTTAGAATTTTCATTTTTTCTGCTCTGTTTTTTCCCCATCTTTGTGGTTTTATCTACCTTTGGTCTTTGATGATGGTGACGTACAGATGTGGATGTCCTTTCTGTTTGTTAGTTTTCCTTCTAACAGTCAGGACCCTCAGCTGCAGGTCTGTTGGAGTTTGCCAGAGGTCCACTCCAGACCCTGTTTGCCTGGGTATCAGCAACGGAGGCTGAGAACAGCGGATATTGGTGAACAGCAAATGTTGCTGCCTGATCGTTCCTCTGGAAGTTTTGTCTCAGAGGAGTACCCGGCCGTGTGAGGTGTCAGTCTGGCCCCTACTTGGGGGTGCCTCCCAGTTAGGCTACTCGGGGGTCAGGGACCCACTTGAGGCGGTCTGTCTGTTCTCAGATCTCAAGCTGTGTGCTGGAAGAACCACTACTCTCTTCAAAGCTGTCAGGCAGGCACATTTAAGTCTGCAGAGGTTTCTGCTGCCTTTTGTTTGTCTATGCCCTGCCCCCAGAGGTGGAGTCTACAGAGGCAGGCAGGCCTCCTTGAGCTGTGGTAGGTTCCACCCAGTTCGAGCTTCCTAGCCACTTTGTTTACCTACTCAAGCCTCGGCAATGGCGGGCGCCCCTCCCCCAGCCTCACTGCCACCTTGCAGTTTGATCTCAGACTGCTGTGCTAGCAATAAGTGAGGGTCCGTGGGGGTAGTACCCTCCGAGCCAGGCACAGGATATAATCTCCTGGTGTGCCGTTTGCTAAGACTGTTGGAAAAGCACAGTATTAGGGTGGGTGTGAACCGATTTTCCAGGTGCCATCTGTCACCCCTTTCTTTGACTAGGAAAGGGAATTCCCTGACCCCTTGCACTTCCCAGGTGAGGCGATGCCTTGCCCTGCTTCGGCTCACGCTCGGTGCGCTGCACCCACTGTCCTGCACCCACTTTCCAACACTCCCCAGTGAGATGAACCAGTACCTCAGTTGGAAATGGAGAAATCACCTGTCTTCTGCATCACTCACGCTGGGAGCTGTAGACTGGAGCTGTTCCTATTCGGCCATCTTGGCTCCACCCCCGCTTTGTGTATTTTTTAAAGTTGGCTCGTCTTTTTATTAAATTATTGAATAGGAAGTGTTCTTGATATATTCTGGAGACAAATCTCTTATAAAATATAATTTGCAAAAATTTTCTCCACTTCTGTGGGTTGTCCTTCACGTTCTTGACAGTGTCCTTTGAAACAGAAGTTTTTACCTTTGATGAATTCCAGTCTATCTATTTTTTGTTTCTCATGCTTTTGGTATTATATCACAGTAACCATCGCCTAATCCCAGGTTACAAAGATTTACCCGTTTATTTTCTTTTAAGTGTTTCGTAGTTTTAGCTTTTACATCTAGGTATTTGCTCCATTTTGAGTTGATTTGCATATTTGGTATCAGGTAGAAATTCAACTTCACTCTTTTGTATGTAGATAACAGATGGTCCCCAACTTATGATGTCTCAACTTAAGATTTTTTGACTATGCAATGGTGCAAAAGTGATATGCATTAAGTAGAAACTGTACTTTGAATTTTGATCTCTTCCAAGGCTAGCCACATGCAGTACGATACTCTCTCAAGGTGCTGGGAAGCCGTAGTGGCCCACAGCTCCCAGTCAGCCATGGGATCATGAGGGTAAACAACTGAAACTCAACAGTGTACTGTGTTGCTAGATGATTTTGCAAACTGTAGGCAAATGTAAGGCAAACTGTTTTCTCCTTTGAAACATCTTAGAATTCATGGTGCCTACCTTGTTTTGATCTCTAATTTTTCATATCAATTTATTTTCTTTGTTTCTTAAACACTTGTAAATTCCTTAAATTTGGCAACTATGTGTTATACATATGTATGTACCATCCTTAGCATGTGGCAAAGTACTGAGTCTATTTATAGTAGGTACTAGTAAATACTTGATCAATTGTTTGGTTGAGCAGTAGAATTGAAAGTACCAAAGGGCTAATGGAAAAATCCAGGAGTTTTAATAAAGATAAAGATTGTAAATTTCATCATGCATCCATGTATCACAGCTAATAGTTTGGAAAATGCTGAAATAATGAATATTTGAAAAATAATTCAAATTATCACTCTATTAAAAGTCATTTCTGGCAGGGCACAGTTACTAATGTCTGTAATATCAGCAGAGGCAGGAGCATTGCTTGAGTCCAGGAGTTCAAGACCAGACTGGGCAATGAAACAAGACCCCATCTCTAAAAACAAACAAACAAAACATTAGCTGGGCACGGTGGCAGGTGCCTGTAGTCCTAGCCACTTGGAAGGCTGAGGCAGGAGGATGGCTTGAGCCCTGGAATTCAAGGCTGCAGTGAGCTATGATCACACCACTATAGTCCAGCCTGGGTGACAGAATGATACTCCATCTTAAAAAAAATAGGTAAACAAAGTCATTTCTAAATCACAATATTCAAATATACTACTATGTTAGTAACATTTGCTGTTGTGGGAGTTCCTTTAATCTCTAAAATTCTTTCAAGATATGGAGTCAACTTCTTTTATACACATTCTTATTTTAGTATAATGTATACAGTTAATTATATATTTCCTATGCTACTCTCTCATGTGCCCACTAATTATATACCTAATGGAATGTTTTTACCAATGATTCAGTATCATGTTTAGCCAAATAAACCACCTATAGCCATTAGTCCAAATAAAAAGGAACTAACTGTAAACTATTGTGCCTCTTGACTCATCATAAGGGCACATCTCTCTTTTAGATATTATATTCATGTTGACAAAGTCAGAGAATTTGAGTATAAAAATAAAAACACAGGCTTCCGCCTGACCTGCAAACATGAAACCTTTTTTTAAAAAAGTTCTGGTTTTCTGCCATTAAATGAATATTCAGTTAATCTAATCTAAGACTTGTTTTTTTAGTTAAGGTTTGCAATCAAGTCTCTAAAAATGCAAATTACATAATTGACTCTTGAGTTTTTCCTGTCCTTTTCCTTCATCTTATTAATCTTATAAGAAACATCATATATGTCTTTCAGAACATTGAATTTAAGTGGAGATGTTCCTGAGCAAAGAAATCAAAACATCACATAAGCATTTAACACAATTGTTATGAAAATAATTTGGATGGAAGTTTGAGAAATTAAGGCTTCTCTGGTTATTTTTACCAAATGATTGTCAAATTTAAAACTTTGGCTTTCCTTTTATGTAGTATTTTTAAGTTGAAAGTATACAAAAGTACAGTTCTGCAAAATTCTATAGGTTAAAAAACTTAAAAACACATTAGTACAGGACAATACTACATATTTATAGATTCAGACTGAAAGATATCGGTCTACTTATTTAGTCAGTTTACTTTTGTTTGTTACATTTTGCTTTAAGAGAATCTAGATCTACAGAGGGCAAATGAGGAAATTATGATGAGATATTTGATGTGTATCAGCAAATATAAATATAAATAAGGTAAATGATCTAAATATTTGTTAAGAAGCTGTTTGAGAACTTAGATTAGCATATATCTTACATTTCTTTGTCTAGTAATTACCCTTTCAACTAGCTTATCTATATCAAGTAACATTGCCAGTGCATAGCAAGTAGCTGATGAAGATCTTGTCCAGGGTAACTGAACCTTTTAGAGAGCAGACATTACCGAGGGATTTAGGAAAGATTAAACTCTTTGAACCCTGCCAAAAGCAATAATTAAAATGAATGCAGTCTAGTTATTTAAACAGCTGTCATTTCTCCTTCAACAAATTTTGCCAATTAACAGTGTCAAAAAAGCTAATATTCTAAGAGGAGTGAATTTTTACCATTTCCCTTATAATTCTCATTTTTTAAGGAAGATTCCTGAAACAACAATCAAAAGGAACTTTGGACTCTGACTGAGGACACATCCAGCAATGGCAAAGCACTCTAGCCACTGCCCAGACCCATGGAAACTTCAGGAAGAGGCAGTTTAGTGCTTCTGGTAGTTGTCTAATCAAGATTAGGACTCTTATTTATCATCTTCCTCTGGCATTTTTGCACCAGTCTTCAGGTTTTAGCATAGTAAATATGTTCCAGTCTGTGAAATCTCTCTGTTTTATTCCAAATAAATAAAAAAGCATAATAGTAGAAATTAAAATGAATTTCTGGTTGTTGAATTTTTATGTAGGAGACACCCTTTCTACCTCACTATCATCAGTAGAAGTGGGACATCTGAAAATCATGAAAGCTTTCTCTCCAAATTTTATGATGATTATAAGCTACAGGACATAGACTCCAAAGGTTAAGAGAGAGGAGAGGAAAAAAATATTGAATCAAATGTGAAATATAAATTTTTGAGTGATAAAGAAGAAGTGAATATATATTGCAAATTCCAAAATAATATTAATATACTGTATTTATTTTATTGTCAGAACCACTTGACTGATAGAAACTAAGGCTCAGAGAAAGTTTCTGATCTGCTTGAAAACCATGACTAGTGAATTGAAAAATTATGATAGAGCCTGATCTTCTAACTTCTAGGCCAATGTTTTTTCCCATTATTTTTTTTTCAAGAATGTTAAAGCATATGAACAGATAAGTTATAGAAAAATAACAGATGGCCTTTATACATGTGATAATATGTTCAACTTCAAACATAACAAAAGAAATACGCTGAGGTATCATTTATCACCCAGCAGACTGGCAAACAAACAAACAAACAAACAAACAAAAAACAGCAGTAGGCCTTGTTGGTGAGACTAGAAAAATAGCCACTTGCATGCATTGTTGGTAGGATTCCAGTAAGGTACAAGCCCTGTGGAGGAGAATTTGCCAAATCTAACCAGAGTCCACATGCATTTACACTTTGAACCAGCAATCCTGTTTCTAGGAATCTATCTTATAAATACACCCATAGAAATCTAAAATGGCATATGAACAAAGCTGTTCATTTTGCTATTATTTTGTAGCAAAAATGGGAAACAACACAAGAATTTAACAATATAGAATAGCCTGAATTAATTGTGCCACATTCATATGACAGAGTAATATGCAGCAGCATAAAAGAATGAGGACCATCTCTATGTACTGCTCTGGGGAGATTTTTTGGGATAATATTATTTAATGAAATAGTATTTACAAAATAGTGTATTTGTCATACTATCTTTTATACAAGAAATAAAGGAAATGTATATATTGCAAAAAGAACAGTATTAGAAGGATGAACAAAAAGCTAAAAAAATGGTTAATTATGAAGAGCAGGGAGGGGAAATTAAGTGAGAAAGATCAGGAGAGGCATCTATGTATACATTTAAAAATCAGGAGAGGCACCAATGTATACATTTTAGTTTTGACTTTCATACCATGTAAATGCATGGCTCTAATTTTTTTAAAAAAGATAAAAAAGAAAAAGGAATCCCTACAAATTAGAAACACACTAAAGCAAATGTACATTACTGTATATAAATTGTTAATGTAATCACAAAGAGAAAGAATATTTAAAGTGACTTTGGAGCATAGATCTTTGACTACATCTTTAGGGATGCATTCTATAGGGAAAAAAATGACAAAGGCATTTTAAACTTTCTTTAGTAGTTTTACTGTTAGGAGTATTTATTTAATAACTATTTTATTTGAAGAATATTATAAAGCTCTGTCATCAAGGTCCAACCAGGACAATAAAACTCTCTTTTTCAAAAGGGTATGTAATTTAGAGAATAAGCTACATAGGTAATGGAATAACTAAGAAGCCAGGAGGAGATAACGAGGCCACCCAGATCTTAGAGACACAGGAAGCCTCTCCAATCTTAGGTTAGAGGAGCAAGAAACGTAAAGATGGGTTTCAGAGCCCAGAGGACCAGATCACCTGTTTGCAGCTGGAGCTCAGGTCAGCCTATCCTGGAGCACTGAAACCCCAGATGAGAAGCAGTCATATCCAGAAGCATCTTCCATGACAGACAGAAAAGGTAGAAATACTCTGGCTTCTTCCTTTGTCCTACTTCCCAATCCCACCAGTGACTGCTATTGGCTGACATGGGAGCCTGCAAAGGTGATACACTAAAGGAAGGGTATCTTCCCCTATTTGATGTGAGGGAAAACAGGCTCAGGACAAGTACAGACGCCAACAAATGTTATTAACTATTAGATAACAAGATTTTCAATATTCAAGAGAAAAGAGGTACAATTACAAAACCAAAGAAGTTATATAAAAGTATTTTATTGTTAGTATTGAATTCAAAATCTACAAATGAATTTATGATTTAAAAATATATTTTCTTGCTACGTCCATTGATATGGCTTAGATGTAATTTTACCCCCAATATCAATGAGTATACTTAGAGACATTTTGGTCTCTGATATCATTCCCCAGTAAAGGCATCAGTTTCTTGAAGAAATGGTTGATTATTGACTGGAGACACAAAAGATACAGACCAATCCTTGTATAATTTGAGCTCAAGATAATTTTCAAAATTGAATGCTGTTATCTTAAAAGTAGACACAGCTTGAAAGGGCTCCCACAAGCCAGTGTTTTGATATATTGAACATCAAAAAGAATAATTTTTTGTAGTTGGCTTAAAAGTGATTTTATAAAAATCCCTCAATGCACAATTAAACTCTTTTTATAAGGCCAAAAGTGTATATATTATCATTTGGGTTAGGTATTAAACCAAATCTTTTCTTATAAAATCAATGATTTAAAAACTATCCTGTTTTTTTCAGTAGGAAATTGATTATCCCAGTATCCCCAAGTAATGAGAGAACATCTAGTTAACATAGAAGGAATGTAGAATTAGAAAAAAATCACACTTTTGCAGTAATTGATTCATTCATAGATTCTCATTTAGAATTAAAACGACATGGTAAATGGTTGAAGGAGAATTGAAGCTCTATACAATGCTATAGTTGTACTACACAGTTTACTTTTTGATCATAAGGGAAAAATAGAACAGCATAGTGGAGGGCTCAGACTGTGGCTCTGTAGTTTCGGTGTCCAGTGTCAGCAGTTGTAGTGGTGGGACAGGGGACAGACTCTGTCCTTATTGTAGTGCAGTTAACCACAGCATCAGGTGCGATGCATTCTAGCCCCAAATAGCTATGAGTATACTTAGACAAATAGCTAATTTGTTCAAGCTGTTAGATTGAACTTCCAATTAATTAAAAAAAAGAGAGAGTTAGATTTAAAACACACTTAGAAGCCATCAGATAAATTCAGAGATCTGCTCTCTCCAATAAATTATGTGAAACCAATCTTGATTGTTCTAGACTAAATGCAGCTTAAGGGGTATAATAGCTAGATGCAATGCATGATCCTAGATTGCATCTTGATTTTGGACAAAACAGGAAAAAAATGGAGAAATTTTATTTTGGCTGGGTCTAAAATGAAATTAAGAAATTATTTATTTTGCTAGATATTAAAAATCATTCTTTTGGCTATGCAGGAAAATACATTTATTTTTAAGAGCTGAATACTGACGTAGTTAGGTGTGTAATGAGATGTCTGTATTTAAAATTCTTCTGCACAAAACATGTTTTAAGAAAGCATTGGCCAGTCGCGGTGGCTCACGCCTGTAATCCCAGCATTTGGGAGGCCGAGACGGGCAGATCACGAGGTCAGGAGATCGAGACCATCCTGGCTAACACGGTGAAACCCCGTCTCTACTAAAAATACAAAAAATTAGCCGGGCGTGGTGGCGGGCGCCTGTAGTCCCAGCTACTCGGGAGGCTGAGTCAGGAGAATGGCGTGAACCCAGGAGGCGGAGCTTGCAGTGAGCCGAGATCGCGCCACTGCACTCCAGCCTGGGCGACAGAGTGAGACTCCGTCTAAAAAAGAAAAGAAAGCATTAGCATGATCCTTTATGACCTGACCCCAACTTGTTTATTTAACTTCATTTAGCCATAAGATAAAATCTATATCTTTATTTCTGTTTTAAAATAGCTCCCTTTGAGTCCTTCAGGATCAGCAACAGAAGCTTTGTTTCAGAGCAAGGATTTGTTTAGCCTCAAGTTCCTGAACAGATCTCAAGGTGCTTGGGAAGCACGTGTGTGTGTGTGTGTGTGTGTGTGTGTGTGTGTTTATGGGAACATATATTTACCTGGATGAGTTTTATGACTTTCATCAGGTTGTCAGAGGGGCATGCAACTCACAAATATTAAGAATGTCAAGAGTTTTCCAGTTTTACTTGTATAACTCACTGTACGGTAGCCTTTAAAAAAACAATGCTTAAATATTCATAGGGTCTTTAAGATAACTGATTCAAATTAAAATAATATACCTGAAGTTCATGGTTCCCTTGTTGAATTTTTTTGCCTTACAATGGTATTTCCATTTATATTTTCCATTGCATGCTGAGAATTAACTCCTGAGGGTTCTTCTTTTGTATACATTCATATGTTATACACTACGTCTAGTTTTCAGACAATGCGGGGGTGACAGTTGATTAAAAGGTGTGTCTCTGAGGCTTTAGAAAAGAAGAATCATTTAATCCTAAACCATTAGCTAGATCATGTATCTGGCATTAAAACCTGAATACTTACTTGGTTTTACAATAAGGTAAACTTCCATGGACATGGTAAAAGGCTGGACCACCAGAGGCCATTCCTGTACAGATAAGACTAGCAGTAACAGGGAAGGAAAAATGTCTAGGACCAGCTGCATGGGCATCCAACCTGTGCATCTTCACAGGGTTCCATACTTAAAAGAGCCTGATCCTTCATTTAATGATTGGCTGTCACCATCTCGAAGTTCTAAAACATTTTTTAATAAGGGGCCTCACATTTTTATGTTACACTGGGCCCCACATATTATGTAGTCCATCCTGCATATGGGACATGTCCCTGTGCTTATCTGTGTTGCTCATAGCTGTGTTCAACTTGGTTCTTGTTCAGCTATTGCTACCCCCAGTTTCCTTCCTGCAGATAAGGGCTGGGGTTGGGCTGCTTATTATGGCAACAGCACAAAAGGCATGAGCAAACATGTATTAGGATTAGGGAATGTGGAGGCAGGATAGCAAGGAAGACCTAAATTGGCAGAAAAAGTCCATCTAAATGGTGAATCACTAATATCACTCTATTTTTTATTCAATTTATATAACTTTCACTGACAACGCTCCTTTAAATTTCTAGTAATTCTCATCTTTCTATTCCCTTAGTCATACCTATGATGGAGGAAACTCAACTATTGAGGAAAATAGTCTCAGGGCTCCCCTATGCACTAATACTAAAATTGATCATGAATGACGCTGAATCTGCCATTTCAGATATTTTCTCTAAAAATTTAAAAGTGTTATTTTTCAAAATAACGTTAAAGACCTACAGGTGGCAACATTTTGATAAGGCAACATGTAAACATTTGTGCCAACAATGTTATGCTATGTTTTTTGTTTTTTGGGTTTTTTTTTTGCCACAAATTCGCAGTTTACCAGGGTTGCTGTGTAGGGCTGTACAGCAAATATCATGCTCAAGGGAGTTCAGAGGAGTTCAGAGGTGGCCAAAGACTAGACTATGACTGGCCTCTTATCTGATCCTGGCCTCTTTGTGATGAATTCTACTGAGTTTTTCAACAGAGGAAGTGCTCATGATAAGGGGGATTATCTTAGTGGTTTTCTTTCCCCCCAAGGTGGTCAAAGAGTAGCACTAGTAAGTACAGTAACCAAGTGTTATTATCTTACTTGTAATAATTAACCACCATATATGAGGCACCATGCTAACACTTGATGTGCCTATATCATTCAATGCTTCAGCAACCTGAGTAGTTACTGAATTATTCACTGTTTACAAAAGAGAAAATGGAGACAGAAAAGTGAAGTGAATTGCCCAAGGTTATGTACCTAGTAAACAATAGAGCAGAAATTTGAACCCAAAGCCAGAGGAATTCAGCAGCCGCGCCCTGAAGCACAGTGGTGCCCTTTGTCAGGCAGAGAACCCACTACGTCATTAAGAACAGGGAGTTTCTGGCTATGTCATTGCTGTAGGTTGAGTGAATAACTAACAAACAAAAAATTAATCAATGAAAGTGATTCTACTGTATTTTATATTTTAGCTATTATTCTAAAAAGTAACCATTGCTTTTTGTACATGATTTTAGCTCTGAAAATTTCCTGTCAGCAAGAAGTCATTTCCCAGGTGGGATTTTAGAGGATCCTAAATCATGGGCCTTTGCTGTCAGCTGTCATGAGAGGGGGAAGAATTGAGGAAGTAGACAGCAGATAAGGCTGGGAAATATATTCTCTTTCTGAGAAAAAAATAATTTTCAGAGATGGCATCTTTCTATGTTACCCAGTCTGCGGATCAGTGGCAATTCACTCTTCACAGCGACCATGGCACTACTGATCAGCACGAGGTAGGCAGCAGATAAGGCTGGGAAATGTATTCTCTTTCTGAGAAAAAAATAATTTTCAGAGATGGCATCTTGCTATGTTACCCAGGCTGGGGGGCAGTGGCAATTCAGTATTCACAGCCACTATGGCACCAATGAATCAGCACAGGAGTTTAGACCAGTTCCGTCTCCAAACTGGGCCAGTACCCAGCTCTCAGAAGGTCATCATATAGAGGCAAAACTTAATGCAGACACCCAATTGGCATAGATCACTGCAGCCCAGAAATAGTCTCGAGCAATCCTCCCACTTCAGCCTACTGAGTGGTTGAGACTATAGGCACGCACCACCAAACCCAGCAGAAAATGGTTTCTTATTGACCTTAAAGTATCATCACACTGATCACAAATGTATGAAATTTAAAATATGATATTTAAGAACCATCCAAACATCTATCGTTCTTTGTGTTTAATTATCTGGCTGTTTCACTTTTATGGCTGATTTAAGAAAGCACTGAATATGCCTATATGGAAAATCATATATAAATAACATTTTCCATGGAAGCAATAAAAGACATTAAAATACTATGCAATGAAAAGAATGTCTAATCATTACTCAAATGCAATCTGAAATTATCTAATTGTGTTTTATCCAGACAGGATTCTCTAAGATTCTTCATAGTTTTGTTTTATCTAGGCAACAAGAATGAGAGTAAATGTTAAGGAAATTCCCCAGGAGGAAATACTGATTTTGGAATTTTGCAATTGCATGGTATATTTGGCTGATGAACATGGAGATTAAAGTACAGTTGACCCTTGAAAAATATGGGTTTGAACTGCGAGGGTCTACTTATACGCACATATTTTCAACTAAATGGGGATCAAAAATTTGGTATTCTTGGGATGCAAAACTTGCATATATCAAGGGCTGCCTTTTCTTATATGTGGGTTCCAAAGGGCCAGCTGCAGGGCTTGAGTGTACACAGATTTGGGTATACTCCAGGTGCCCTAGAACCAATCCCCCACATATACCAAGGAATGACTGACTGTAGCTATAATTTCCCAGCTTCTCATTCTACTAGCTACCTACCAAGTGAAAACATTGGGGAAGCCAAATGCCAATGGCAGAATAGGTTTTGTTTCTTTTTATTCCCAGGGGTGCTCCAAAACACATGCTCCAACCATTGCTAGAGAAAAAGAATATGAGTTCCCAAGGAAGATTTAAGCAGAGTGAACATATTCCATACCTTTACATTCTCTGAAGACATAGGTACTTCTCTAACAGCAGAATTAATTCCTGAAAAGGCACTCTGCAGTAAGAAAAAGAAAAAATGACATCAGTTGAATCTCATATCTCCATAGAAAATATTAATAAAGGCTTATGGAACTGACTGAGTTTTTAAAAAATTATAATCTTTCTAAGCTAAAAAATTTTTTTAAGTATTATGTGTATTAAAGGAAGAATAATATAGTAATAAAATGAATACTATATGTGTTTATGATATACTAGTGTGCTATAAAAAGTTGTTACTTCTTCATATTTTCTTCCATATCTTACTACCATAATTGGGAAGCATTTGTAACATGGAATTCAGACAGAGTTCTGCAGAGATTCATGACAGGCATCTTGAGACTTTTTTTTGCACCAACTTAGAATCATTTCATGATCTTTAAGAAGTCTACATAGGATGTTTGTCTCGATTCCCTGTTTTCAGTGAAAAATCTGTCATTTACAAGAATAGGCATTAGAGATAAATTTACCAAATTTTCCATGAGTTTGAGATTGTGAGCCCTATCCAATTGACATCCTAGCTTCAATATGTGTAAGTGGCAAAGCCCATCGTGTATATGGATATAAGTAGAACTGCTGTGAATAGAAAACTCTATGCATAATGACAGATTCACATTTTAAATTCTGATGCTGAAATACTTTTATATTAGTTACTACTTAAATGATATTAGATACAAATTTAGTAACTTTATGACAACTTGAAACATTAGTATGATTAGATCATATAATTGCTGTATTCTCTGGACTCTTAATTTGTCAGGAACTGTGATGCATACTGATTTCCCAAGAGCCAGGGAAGTTTAAAAGAAGAATGGGTATAAGTCAAGGTTGCCAGATGGGAGTCCCCATAGGCAGCTGCACCCTCTGACGTGGTGGCAACGCAGCTTGGCCAGACCAACCCGATCATCTTTTCTGAAACTTAATTCTGTAAAGTTTTATCCATGGCTCCTCCTTGTCTGCCATCCTTGGTTTCAGGGTGATATATTTCCTTTTAATCCCAATTAACCTGGTCAGTTTAGGAGCACACTCTTTGCCTATTCATCCAAGCTAGAAACCTCCCCTTCACCTTACCTGCTATGTATCAATCACTGGGTTCTCTATCCGCCTGTTCAACTTCATCCCGGGACAAAAATTCCCTGTTTCTAAGCCTTAAAATTTCTTCCCTGAACTATTCAAGGCATCTTCCTAACTCTTTCCCAGCCTCCAGTCTTCACTCTCTAGTACATTCTCCACATCTTTACCAGCATGAACATGGTATACCTCGGTGAACTTGGAAGTATAAGTCTTAACATGTTTCTTTCTTTTTTTTTTTTTTTTTTTTTGAGATGGAGTCTTACTCTGTCACCTAGGCTGGAGTGCAGTGGTGCAATCTCAGCTTACTGCAACCTCCGCCTCCTGGGTTCAAGCGATTCTCCTGCCTCAACCTCCCGAGTAGCTGGGATTACAGGTGCACACCACCACGCCTGGCTAATTTTTATATTTTTAGTAGAGATGGAGTTTCACCATGTTGGTCAGGCTGGTCTCAAACTCCTGACCTCATGATCCACCCACCTCTGCCTCCCAAAGTGCTGGGATTACAGGTGTGACCTACTGTGCCCGGCCAACATGTCTCTTTCATAACTCCCCTTTGCTTTTGAATTTCTTGGTAAGGAATCTAGTAACCCTTATACACTTATATCACCTCAAATAGCCAGAAGAAGTCGTTGCTCTCAACGTAATGTTTAGTTTTCTCAGCACACCAAAGGCCCTCCCAATGTCATGCTGAGAACTGGAATGTCCTCATCTCCTACTATCATCTTATCACCCTTTGTCTTCCCTTCATGCGTCAGAACACTCAAGGCTTGGGTCAGACATTACCTCCTCTGATGTGTGTCTCTGAGTTAAGTGATCCCTTATCTCTGCTCCCTTATTACCTTTGCTTATTGCTTTCTCTATAATTGTTCATTTTCTTATCTGTGTAGATTTCTAGAGTGAAGAAACGGAACGTTTCTTAACTATGTCTTGCTCATTATTAGCTTAACTATGCTACCCTAGCACGTAGCACAATACCTGGAACATCCAACAAGCCCAACAAGCAAACACATATTTGCTGAATAAAACCATGAATTTATGACTCCAGTTGTTCATCCCCCCAGGCAGAAGAATAAAATTGGACTCTTATCTCACACCATCAACAAAATTAACTCAAAATGTATAAAAGACTTAAACATAAGACCCTGTAAAACTATCAGAAGAAAACATAGGGGAAACTCTCCATGACATTGGTCTGGGCAATTATTTGTTCGATATGATCCCCAAAGCATAGGCAACAAAACAAAAATAGAAAAATGGGATTGCATCAAACAAAAAAGCTTCTGCACAGCAAAGGAAACAATTAACAGAGTAAACAGATAATCCACAGAACGGAAGAAAATATTTGCAGAACACACATCTAATAAGGGACTAATTATCCGAAATATATAAGGAATTCAACTCAATAGCAAGAAAACAAAAAACTTGATTAAAAAACAGGCAAAGGACCTGAACAGACACTTCTCAAAGGAAAACATACAAACGGCCAACAGATATATGAAAAAAAAAAGCTCAACATCTCTAATCATCAAGGACAACTAATCACAAATTTAAACAATAATGTGATATTACTTCATAGCTGTTAGAATGGCTGTTATCAAAAAGATGAAAGATAAGTGACAGCAAGGGTATGAAGAAAGGGGAACCTTGATACAGGTACGCTGTTGATAGGAATGTAAATTAGCACTCCCATTATGGAACCACTATGTAGGTTCCTTAAACATTACCATATGATCTTGCAATCACACTTCTGGATCTAAAGGAATTGAAAGCCAAAGGAATTGAAATCAGTATGTCTAATAGATATCTGCACTCCCATGTTCCCTGTAGCACAATTCACAATAGTTAAGATACAGAAGCAACCTAATGTCTCTTAACAGATGATAGAATCAATAAATAACTTCAATAAAGTTTCAGGATGCAAATCAATGTATAAACATCAGTAGCACTTGTATCCACCAATAATGTCCAAACTAAAGCCAAATTAAGAACACAATCCCATTTACAATAGCCAAAAAAAAGAATGATATCTAGGAATGTAGCTTACCAAGGAAGATCTCTACAAGGAGAATTACGAAACACTGCTGAAAGAAATCAGAGACAACACAAACAAATAGAAAAACATTCCAAGCTCATGGATAGGAAGAATCAATATTGTTAAAATGACTATACTGCCCAAAGCAATTACTATTCCTATCAAACTACCAATGTCATTTATCACAGAATTAGAAAAAAAATTCCAAAATGTATATGGAACCAAATAAGATCCGAAATTGCCAAAGCAATCCTAAGGAAAAAGAACAGAGCTCGAGACATTACATTACCTGACTTCAATCTATACTAAAAGGCCACAGTAACCAAAATAGCATGATATTGGTACAAAGGCACATCAACCAATGGAACAGGATAGAGAGCCCAGAAATAAAGACACACATCTAAACCACCTGATGTTCACGAAAGTCGACAATAGCAAACAATGAGGAAAGGACTCCCTGTTTAATAAATGGTGCTGGGATAACTGGCTAGCCATATGTAGAAGATTAAAATTGGACACCTTCCTCTTACGATATATAAAAATTAACTAAAAATGGATTAAAGACTTAACTCTAAGACCTAACACAATAAAAGCCTTACAAGAAAACCTAGGGAATACTATTCTAGACATCAGCCTTGGCAAATAATTAATGACTGTCCCCAAAAGCAATTACAAAAAAACAAAAATTGACAACTGGGGCCTAATTAAAGAGCTTCTGCACAGCAAAAGAAACTATCAACAGACTAGACAACCTACAGAATAGGATAAAATATTTGCAAACTGTGCATCTGACAAAGGTCTAATATCCAGAATCTACAAGGAACTTAAATCAGCAAGCAAAAAACAACCCCATTAAAAATGGACAAAGGACATGAATAGACACTTTTCAAAAGAAGACATATACCTGGCCAACAAATATATGAAAAAATGCTTATCATAACTAATCATTAGAGCAATGCAAATCAAAACCACAGTGAGATACCATCTCACAACAGTCAGAATGACTATTACTAAAAAGCAAAAGAACATCAGATGCTAATGAGGTTATGGAAAAAAGGGAATGGTTATGTACTGCTTCTGGAAAGAATCACACTTCAGAGAAGGCAATTAGCAGGACAGAGCAATCTTCTAAGAGGTGGATGGCATATAGAGGTCTATTTCCAATGCAAAAAAGGCTTAAAACATCATGGAAGGGAGGGATGTTGGCAATGAGAAGGTAATCCCAGGGGAGGGAGTACAAAACAATATGCCGAGCATCCGAGAAGACAGACTCTAGGAGACATCTTGTTCCAAGTGCCTCATGATATGATTTTAGGGGTGAGATGACATCAGTAGTGAAGCAGGACCCCCAGGTTCTAGAATACTCCAATGACCTGCTGTGGTTGGAAGCAGCATTGCTTCCATATTGGAAGGATCAGAAATGAAGAAGTTCTTCACAGTGATTGGAGACTCCCTCCAATGTCTTCTACCTTTTATATCTATAGCCATGAAAAATTAGGAACGATATTTACAATGATACCCTAAACCTACAGAAAATTCTCAGGAATTGAAGAAAGATTGAATAACGTTCTCTTAACAAACATTAACGCATCAGAGGCTGAGTACCCACATAGTACTTGCTAACCTAGAAAAGTGGACAAAGACTAGTTTTAAAATGACTTTCAAAGATAAGGCTCAAAATAAAATATTCGGGAATTAACCATTATGTACCCCAAAAATTCTGTTATTAAAATGACCAGTCCATTTAAGAAAGTTCAACTATGGATAATGCTTCTCAGTGGTAAACTAAAAAATAGACGAAAGGATAAAAGCCTGAATTAACTATTATGTCAAGGAAGCAACTCACCGTTACATGACTGTTGAACAGTTAGAATCTGTTAACACACCATCATAAAGGGCTGGTGAATACTTAAATGAGCACATGGGAATTTGAAGCAAGAAGACAGAACTCCCTGCCAGTTTAGAAGACTAAATAAATTAATGTGGCAGAAGGTATAAACTCTATGGTTATTTTTTCCCCTACGGCCACTCTGATTATCTTAGGAGAGCACACTTTGAAAATTTCCCACCTACATGGTAGAAAACCTATCATAAAAGCATTCAGAATGAAACTGGAATTCTAAGGGTACGTTCATACAGGAAGTTACGCCTTCTCCTTGTCCACACCCACAAATACTCACATACGCACTATAAAAATGGAAGAACTGCTTCTTCAGTCATCCTTGATTAATATCAACTAAACCATACGTTACATAATTGGAAAACTTGTTTGGAAAAATAGTTGTACAAATGCCAACCTTATAGCTACAAATCAACATTGACACGACTAGCTATGAGTCCTGGAGGGGAGTTATGATGGAATTCACCAACCTGGTATAAGTGTCTTTAAGGTCACAAATGTTTGTCTATAACTCTGAAGAGAATTATTTTCCACTGGCCCATAACCACAAATTCAGCTTTCCTAGACTTTGTGCCTATAGCTGATTTATCAAAGAATCTTAGACTATTAGGACAAAAAAAGAACTTCAAAAACATCTCGTCCCCACCCCCAACAGATAAATAAAACGAAGGCCAAGAAAGCTAAATAACTTGCTAAGGCCTTGTCATGAGTTAGCACTGACTTGGTATAGGGGAAATTTTTAATGTAGAAATAAGTATTACTTAGGCACTAATTAAAAACATAAAAGTCATTATAGTACCTTGAAAGGGAGAGAATAAAGAACAGGGACTATTCAGGCTTCAATGTCTTATTTATTTGTGCTTCAAAATCTCAGTTGGAATGCTGTGACATTAGAGTGTTTTGGTTAATTAAATGTTCTGGTTGACTAAGTATTTGACCAAAAATACCTTTTGCTTCAATCCTTCATGCTGAAAAGATTTTCTTCCAGAGGCCAGGGCACTTTCTGGCCTTCAAAAGTATATGTTGTATTCAAACAAATCATTTTCTTATGTCTGAAGCTAGAAACTATATTGTGTGCTGCCATGCCCTTTTAGTACTTTTCCTTACCTTGTGTCTGCCTTCTCATCTCGGGAACTCAATGCACAGATAAGGCCGTGGGATTCCCTATCTAGAGGTAACTTTGCCACAGGAACCCATACTCCCAGTGCTTCCCAAATTTAGCTGCTATGCATTTAAATCAAGTGGAAGCTTTTTAAAACCTAAATATCTGGGCATCAGAATTCATGTGTAAAATACATGGCCCATTCCTTGTAATGTAGTCAGGTATTGTATTTAGCATTTAGAAAACGGCTTTAGATTAATCTCGCCCTCTTTACTCCAATGAATATACAGAATATGCAGCATTATTTAATGTGTGCCTTTTTAATTAATTTTATTTTTTATTCTCAAGGTATCAGTTGGAGAGAAATTCAATAAAACTAATGAAGGCTAGGATTCTAATAGTAATTACATTCTTTAATATTTACCCATTCTAGGATAATTTTCAATTTAGCAGTTAATCTATGAAAGGTAAAACTTTTAATTCCAAGAAATAAAGCTCTTAGATAGAATTTTAGGTACCAGAAGGAACCTAATTTTACAACAGGTGGAAGGCTGGATAGTTGGAAGAAGGAGGAATTATAACTCACAGCCTAGTCTTCATTCCAGCTTAGACTTTGGCAATCCTTAGATGATCATTATAAATAATATTTAGTGTTCACCAACAGTTTTATGTACTTATTTATTTCCATCCTTATGGAAGGGATTTAAGTTCACTTTTAAAGATTCATAAAATATAATTTAAATATGTGATTTAGAAGAAAAAGGATATAACTGGAGCCAAGGGTGAGACAAACAGAAGTCAAAAAATGTCAAGTGCTATGATTCTTAAATCTATTCATTCATTCACTCATAAATAATAAGTACCCACTATTGGTCTGGCACCCAGTTCGATGGCTATACAGTGACAGAATCCCACTGGCTGTTTACTTCAATGTCTATTCTGATTGATTGGTGTCTATGCCTTACTATTAATTTAATATTTTAAATATTACTACCTACCGCTGGGAGTAGAACAGAGAGACAACGAACATGGACCATTCCTGCACAAGCTTCTAGTCTTTCACAGACAGACATATTCAAGCAACTCCAATAGAGTATGGCAAAATCAAATATAATGCATTAAGGAAACAAAAAATAAAACAGCAAGAAAACAACCAAAAACCCAGTATGAGTTAGAGAGAGAGGCAGAGTTTGCACTTGACCCTTAATGGATTTTAAGCAGGAACATAAAATAAGTTGTGTTAGAAGGATACCAGTTACAAAAATCCCTCTTTTTGCAACAATTGTGAATGAGAGTTCGTTCCTGATTTGGTTCTTGGGTTGACTGGCTGTTGATGTATAGGAATGCTGGTGATTTTTGCACATTGATTTCATATCCTGAGACTTTGCTGAAGTTGTTTATCAGCTGAAGAAGCTTTTGGGCTGAGCCTATGGGATTTTCTAGGTATAGAATCAAGTCATCTTCAAGCATGGACAGTTTGACTTCCTCTCTTCCTATTTGGTGCCCTTTGTTTCTTTCTCTTGCCTGATTGCCCTGCCCAGAACTTATGTTGAATAGAAGAGGTGAGAGAGGGCATCCTCGTCTTGTGCCAGTTTTCAAGGGGAATGCTTTCAGCGAGATCATGTCCTTTGCAGGGACATGGATGGAGCTGGAGGCCATTTTTCTCAGTAAACTAACACAGGAACACAAAACCAAATACCACATGTTCTCACGTATAAGTGAGAGCTAAATGATGAGAACACATGGACACATAGAGGGCAACAACACACACTGGAGCATTTCAGAGAGTGGAAGGTAGGAGGAGGGAGAGGATCAAGAAAAACTAGCTACTGGGTACTAGGCTTAATACCTGGGTGATGAAATAATCTGTACCACAAACCTCCATGATACAAGTTTGCATATGTAACAAACCTGCACATGTACCTCTGAATTTAAAGGTTAAAAAGAAAGAAAAAGAAAGAAAGAAAGAAAGAAAGAAAGAAAGAAAGAAAGAAAGAAAATATGGATGGATGGATAGATAGATAGATAGATAGATAGATAGATAGATAGATAGATAGATCCCTCTGGCTGAAGCAGGGAACATCTCCTGCTGCCCCTACCTGGTCAAACTCCATCAGTCAAGATCTTGCTCAGAACTCCTCTCTATACTAAGGCCAGTTCTGAAAAGCAGTGGTTAATTCTGTGGTCTCTGGAGCTAGAATATCTTGGTGCCAATCCTGACTTATGAATCAAGAAATATAAACTTCTCTGTACCTGGATTTCTACACCTGTAAAATGCAGTTGAGAACCTACCTCCTAGGTAGATGTGAGGAATAAAGATAATACAAGTAAATAATACAAGTAAAATGTTTAGAACCTTGTCTAGCACATACTAACACTCACTGGGAGCTTTATATACAATCTTTCTCATCTTATGACAACCCTTTAAGGGAAAGGTCCTTATCGCCATTTTATCATAATCATTCATCATGCCTTTCAGTGTCAGACACAAAAAAGTTTTAGATTTGGTTAATTTTTTTTTTTGGCAATTACTGTTTCTCCCTGTTCTGATTTCATTTTGTAACCAACAATAATTTTGACTTTTGACTTTCCTTTTTGCCAGCATGGATTTGAAAGTTTCAGGTACTAAAATGTGGTTTGTGTTAACTTCCTAGACTGAGTCCAAATATGTTATCTCCTGAGGGACAGAGCCTCTCCCTTATGGTAGAAAAATTAAATGATGTTAACACCTCATATGTGTCTAAAGCAATGGAAATAAGATGAGCTGTGTGCAGCCTGCCATAAAGTATTTCAGACAACTAAAGAAGGAAGCGCTGCTGAGATCCACCAGTGTGTTGCCCTGCTCTGACTAAGTTTTATGCAAATTCTGCAGAAGGGAATGAAAACCATGGCCTGGTTAAGCTAAGACCTGCCATGCTCAAAGTGACATTGAAGTAAATATTTCAGTGGAAAAAGCATGGCGATTACTTGTCTATGAAGCTTGGGAAACACCTATTGGAAAGGCACTGGTGAAGTTTCCATATTTTTCTGGATTTGTCCCAGGTCAAAATAGAGCTGTGGACAGGTGTCAAATACTTCGTAAAAGGCTTTATTGGAACCAGTGTGCCTTATGTCACTGACTCTGGACATGCAGAATTTGTGAAAGCATTTTATTAGGCATTTTAGGAAACAGAAAACAAGTTTTATGACCCACTTTTTTCCCTGTGGGACAAGCAGCATGTAGTCACTAAATGCTTAGAGAAAAGGAGCTCCATTTGGGATGCCACCGCAGAGGGGCCCAAACCAGCTGGTGCCCTGCATAGTTTGCTCCTACCTGGGGATAAAAACATAGCACTTCAGAAATCTTTCCAAATCTTGCCCCCAATAAAAAACCAGAGCCTTCTCACTCTGTTTAGCTTCCTGTGGTTTCAGGTCTACTGTGCCCTATAGGTTTTCACCTCTCTGACTAGCCCTTTTGGTTTGAAGCTTTTCCTCTTTTTCTTTTTCTACTTCATTTTTGGCTTAGATGCTTTTGGGGGGATCTTTTTCCTTTCTTTTTGAGTGAAGTTCCTAATAATGAGTCTAAATGAAGGTTAGCCTCATTTCCACTCTGTTGTCCAGTCCAGGGTCATGGAATTTTAGTCCAATTTATTGTGCTCGACCCAGGTTTAGGATGGAAGAAAAACCTAAACTCAACGTTGAGTGTCAAGTAATTTCTCTTTGACAGCCTTTGAGGCCCCTGGAAACCAAGCCTTGGTTCCTGCTGCAGCAGCGGCTGAGACTCAGTTTCAACATCCTCTTTTCCCAAATCCATAATAAGTGTTTCCTTCTGCAATGATTGTTTGCCCGTTTTTCCACTATATAAGGAACCAGTCTGGTTCCCTGAGGCGATTATTCAGACAGTAATAACCCCAGATTTTAAGGAGATTCAGTGTCACACTCTTTACATTATCTGGTGAGGCTGTAAAATAGAAGGCAGTGTGCTCAGTTTAAATATTTGGGCTCTGCAGGCAGGCAGATCTCCACTATATTTCAGCTCTTCCACGGCGACCTTGAACAAGTATTTTTAACATTATTAGAGTTTTAAAAATTTAAAGATTTATTGAATTATAACATACATATAAGGCATATAAAACTTTTTGAAATTTTACAGAGTAAACACTCCTATGTAACCAGCACCCAGATCAAGAAAGAGGACATAGTCAGCCGCCCAGCAGGTCTCCTGGCGCCACTACCTCCAGTAACTACCCTGGGCAGGGAGGGGGTCAGGACTCCACATTATCCCAATGTCAGATGCCTTAGATTTTTTGACACTGTATTTGACCTTCATAAGCCTCAGTTCTTCACATGTAAAATCAGGAAAATAATACCAATTTCAAAGAATGTAATAATTAAACGAGATAGCCAATATAACGTGCTTTGCACCATATTATTTTAATAAACTCTTAAATAGCGTTCTTATAATTTATTTTATTATTCGCCTGCTTATTTCGGATTGGTCTATCACCTGCTAGCCTAACCCACGAAGCAAGCACCATCTCTTTCCAAGGACTGAAACCTATTTTTTGTGTGTGTATGCAATATTTTAGATTTTGAATTTGGCCAGGAAAGTTAGGGTTGTGGCAACCTGTGGAGAAAAAAAAAAAGTGAACAGATACACAAACAGAGTGGGGGTACATCTCAGAGAAACATTGGAAATTTAGTTTCTCTAAGACAACTTTATTTTTACTTTAGATTTAAGGGATACATGTGCAGGTTTGTTACATGGATGCTGAAGTTTGGGCTTCTATTGAACCCATCACTCAAATAGTGAATATAGTACCCAATAGGTAGTTTTTCAACCCTTATCTGCTTCCCCTCTCTTCTTTTGGAGTTCCCAGTGCCTATTGTTCCCATCTTCATGTGCATGTGTACCCCCTGTTTACCTCTCACTTGTAAGAAAAAACATGTGGTATTTGATTTTTTTTGTTTCTGTGTTAATTCACTTAGGATAACAGCCTGCAGCTATATCCATGTTGCTACAAAGGACATTATTTCATTTTTTTATAACAGTGTAGTGTTCCATGATTATATGTACCACATTTTCTTTATCCATTCCACTATTGGGCTGAGTAGACTCCATGTCTTTGCTATTGTGAATAATGCTGTGATAAACCAAGTACAGGTGTATTTTTGGTAGAACAATTGATTTTCCTTTGAGTATATACCCACTAATGGGATTGAATGGTAGTTCTAGTTTGATGTATTTGAGAAATCTCCACACTGCTTTCATAGGGACTGAACTTATTTACATTCTTGCCAACAATTTATGAGTATTCCCTTTTCTCTGCAACCCCCCCAACATCTGTTATTTTTTGGCTTTTTAATAATAGCCATTCTGATGAATGTGAGACAGTGTCTCACTGTGGTTTTCATTTGCATTTCTCTGATCATTAGTGATGTTGAGCATTTTTTAAAATGTTTGTTGGCTGCTTGTATGTCTTCTTTGGAGAAGTGTCTGTTCATGTCCTTTGCCCACTTTTTAACAGCGTTATTTGGTTTTCTTCTTGTTGATTCTAATAATTTTGATTGGCAGTAAATAGAAGAGGAATTGAGTGGGAACAAAGGAGTCTTGCTAGTAAGAAGTGGGAGCAGAGGGTCAAATGTTAGGTTTCCAAAATCAGAGACATTGAATTCAAGTTGAGCGGCCATGGAAACCACAGTTGTGAAAGTTCTGATACTGAATGGGGACAGATGGGGAGTAAGGGCACAGGAACTTTGGTGGGCCTTGGTATATTGATTTATTTTTAGGAAAAGAGTATGTTCGAAGAACTTCTTTTGAGGGTTTAGCTCCATGTTTCCTTGAAGGTAATATCAATTTATTAGCTTCTAATAGCTCTACCTTGACCCCTGGCCATCCAGAAATTTCTTTCATCTTACCGTTTTATCTTCCAGACATTGCCTTGTCTCTTTTGATTGTAGTTTAGGTGCCTCCCTTTCCTTCCCTAATTGTACACCATTCACCTCACTGCCCCATGGAATAGAGGGAGAAGCTTTCTGGCCCCATAGCATTTTGCTATACAAAGCTCTTAATCCCCAGATTTCATAAAGTGGCCTAACAGAATTAGGGGCATTGTTTCAACTTTTGCACCAAGGTCAGTTATTCCTTTTGAGAACCCAGGGCTATTTTAGAGAAACCATATTTGGTGTACTCTTTTTTTTCATATATCTTTTCCTGGGTTCGGAAATTGATTTGATTAAACTTTGAGATGTAGCATAGGCTGATGTGAAAGCGTACAATAGTACAATTAACAAGTACTCAATGAAGGACCATTTCTTCAACTTTTCCATTTGTCAGACTCTAAACTCCATTATTTAAAAAAGTATGCAAAGAGTACAGGATTAGGAGTCTAACATACCTGGGTTTAAAACCTGTATCTGCACTGACTAGTTCCATGATCTTGAGCAAATTGTGTAACATCTCTGAGTGTTAATCTCCTCTTTTATAAAATAGGGTTAATAATACTCATAACATAATGTGAAGGTAAGCAAAATTATTTACCTAGAGCACCTTGCTCAGCACCTGGCATGGAGTAGGAAATAAATACAATAGGTTTTATTAACAATCTTAACAAATGGCTCTCTGTTCTAATTTGGTTATATTGTCATTAATGTTC
This sequence comes from Homo sapiens, assembly GCF_000001405.40. NCBI lineage: Eukaryota > Metazoa > Chordata > Mammalia > Primates > Hominidae > Homo > Homo sapiens. The sequence continues at coordinate 17,191,978 of NC_000007.14, read as the reverse complement.
CTTTGTGTAGAATAATAACAGCAAATGTTTATTGAGTCTTTAAAATGTGTTAGACATTATTCAAAACGTTATCTTATTTCAACTTCACAATTACTCACCGAGCTTGGTGTTATTGAGATCTCAAGGTCTATAGATGATAAAACTGAAATTAAGTAATTTTGCTCATCTTATAGGATTAAGGGGTGGAATGAGCTTTGAACTAAGAGTTTGACTGCAGAACTCATGATCTTAACCATGTCTCTACACACTATGTTGCTCTTCCACTAGTTCTGCTTACAGAATCAACTTTAGAACTTGTCCAATACATCTGTAACTGTTTTTTAATAAATCATATACATATGGTTTTGCAGCATGCTTGGTTTCAAGGTTTTGAGCCTGGACATACTTGCCAAACATGTGTAAATTGGTTGTGTGAAAAAGGGTACTTGAGGTTAAACAGTTCACATTTAATTTCATTTGTATTTTCCTAAAGCTTCGTGCTTAATCTTTTGAATTACAAATACCTGACACTTCAAACTGCTTGCCTAATGCCAATCTTTCATGTGATAAGCATAGTCTTTCATCAAGGTCTGTGGTGAAGACTGCCTTCCATAAAAGCCACACTATAGGATCAAATTTACAATATTTGATAAAAAAAATTAAATATCATAGTGATCAATTGAGGGCCAATTAAAATCGTGGTTCACAATTGTTGCATATCAAATTTTAAAACAATGCTAAAGGGAGTTTTCATATATATGGATGGGAACCTGGAAGGAGGGAAAATGCCCTCCACATATATTTCATATTAGATATTCAATATTAGACGTATTATCAATAAAGCAATTCTTATTATAGGCATATCTTATATGCTTAACAAAAATGACTATATCATCCTCTTGCTTATCATATAGTCTCTTGTCTCTAAATCCCCTTGTGTCTAAGGCTAGCATTATTATTTTTTCTATTAATACTACTCTCCAAATTAATTATCGTATCTCTGAATCATTTCCTACATATGGTACCAACTAGTAGCCCCTCCTTCTTAATCCTCACCTCTATTAGCTTCTATAATATTCAACTTTTTCTTCTTGAAATACTGATGAATACCAGCGACAGTGTAAGTTATGTAAAACAAAGAATAGAGGGCCTTTGATCCTTCCCTAAAGATTTGTACAATATAATCAAGATATATGCAAAAAAGTGTGTGGTACAGTGAATCTCAGAAGCATACGCAAGGTCAAAAGCATGCATATAGCTCAGAGTCGGGGATGTTTTCCTCTCTGAAGAGGAGTTGCAGTGAGGGCTTTACAGGAAAGTTGGCCTTCCAGCTGTGTACTAATGGATACATAGAACCTTGCCATTTGTACCAAGTGGAGAAGAACCATCCTAAGCAGAAGGAGCAGCAGGAGCACACTCATACAGGCATGAAACAATATACCATGTTTAGGGACATAAAAGTAGTTTCCTATTTCTAGGTGATAAAGCAAAATGGAGAGAGCTCCAGAATCTCAAGCTAAAGAGGTGCTTAAAACTTATATTAAGAGTAAATTTTTATGCTTATAAACATCATCAGATTATTCACTCATTTGTTCATGCATGCAAGCATGCATTCAAAAATTTTGTGACTATTTACTACATATCTGTCTCTTTGACAGGTCCTTTGGCTTCCCTGGGAAACACTGGAATAATTATCTCGAGCCACAAATAAAATACACTAACAATAGTTGATGAGCTAAAAAAAAAAAAAAATTACAAAAAAATCTCTTGTATGTAGAAAACCCTAAAGACTCCACAAAAAACTGCTAGAACTAATAAACGATTTAGCAAAGTTACAGTATATAAAATTAGCACACAAAAAATCAGTTGTGTTTCTATATACTAACAATGAACAATCTGAAAAGTAGATTATGAAAAGTGAAAGAAAACAATTCCACTTACAATAGTATCAATAGCATCAAAAAAAAAAAAAAGGAACTTCGCCAAGGAGGTGAAAGACTTGTATACAGAAAACTACAAAACATTGCTGACAGAAATTAAAGAAGACATACAAAAACGCAAAGAAACCCTGCGTTTATGGATTCAAAGTCTTAATCTTATTAAAACATCCACACTACCCAGTGATCTACAGATTCAATGAATTCCCTATCAAAATTCCAATGGCATTAATTTTTTTTTAATTCTAAAATTTGTATGGAATCTCATGGGACTCTGAACAGCCAAAACCATCTTGAAAGAGAAAAGCAGAGCTGGAGACTTCACACATCTTGATTTCAAAACATATTACTCAGCTACGGTAATCCAAACAGTGTTATTGGCATAAAAACAGACATATAGAGCAATAGAGCAAAATAGAGAACCCAGAGATAACCCTCACATATATGGTCACAAAGGTGTGAAGGTTACACAATAGGGAAAAGGTAGTTTCTTCAACAAATAATGTTGGGAAAACTGAACATCCACCAGCGAAATAATAAAGTTAGCACCTTACCTTAGACAATACACAAAAATTAACTCAAAATGGATTAGACTTGAAACCATAAACTCCTAAAGGAAAACATAGGGGGAAAGCTTCATAATACTGGTGTTGGCAATGATTTCTTCAATATGACACCAAAAGCACAGACAAAAAAAAAAAAAAGCAAAATAGACTACATTAAACTTTCAAAATTGTACACAGCAAAGGAAACAATCAACAGTAAAAAGACAGCATATGTAATGAGAAAATATTTGTGAGCCATGTGTCTGATATGGGGTTAATACCCAAAATATATCAAGAGCTCCTACCACTCAATAACAACAAAAACAAACAATCTAATTTTAAAATGGACACAGGACTAGATATTTCTACAAAGATATACAAATGGCCAGGAAACATATGAGAAATATTCTGCATCCTTATGATCATTAGAGAAATGAGAATTGAAACCATAATGAGATATTACCTTACATTGTTTTTTATTTTTATTTTTAAGTCAAAAGAGGAAATAAGTGTTGGTGAGGATATGGAGAACCTAAGACTCCATACTGTTGGTGGGAATACAAAATAGCATAGCCTCTATAAAAAGCAATATGGAAATTCCTTTTAAAATTAAAAATATAATTACAATATGATCCTACAAGCCCACATTTGTGTATATTTCCAAAAGACTTGAAAATAAGATCTCAAGGGAAAAATTGTATACTCATGTTTGTTGTAGCATTAGGAGGTGAGTGGGAAAATGTAAGTCAAAGGTTATAAAGTACCAGATAGGTAGGATGAACACATCTAGAGACCTAATGTAAAACATGAGGACTATACTTAAATACTGTACTGTGCTCAGGATTTTTGCTAAAAGGAAATTTTAGGTGATCATGTCACAAAAACAAAAAAGGGTAACTGCGAGATGATAGCTATGTCAATTTGCTTCACTATGGTAACCTTTTCATTATCTGCATGTATATCTAAACATCATGTATTAAACCCTAAATATATACGGTAAGTTTTTTTAAAACACTTCAGACTCGGTGACACTCACTAAGTTTGCAAGGGATTTAAAGTTAGGAGGATAGATCTAATTTCAAATTCTACATGGACTCATTGTAGGACAAAAGTATATCCTGCTTGTCCTATATTTGCCTTTTTTTCTCTCCTGGTGAAGATAAGGAGTACCAATCACCAAATTATTTTATCCAGTAGTCCTTCGTAAGTATTGGTTACCTTCACAGTGAGGGTTTCCTGGTACCAATTTCAGATTCACCAGTTTGTTAAAAGCCAACTCTTCAATAAAATAGATTTTATTTTCCCATTAAGAAATCTCCCCTCCAAAGAAAAAAGTTTAAGATATTTCTGATGGAAAAGATTGGTGAAACTTATTTATTGTAGAAAGAAATAAGAAATTTGGATATAAAAATTCTTAGTATTCAATTCTATTATTTCCTATATTCTCTTGTATCCTAAATATGAAGGAGTAGTACTAAAGAGAACTGCTTTTTAAATGACCAAACTTTGAAATGTGTTCTTCAGACACAAATCAGCTGGACTACAAATCAATGTTATTTTTGACTTAATATTTTGTATTCTAGCCTTTGTTAATAAATGTAGTTTAGAGAATTGATCAGTATTAACTTAGCTGAATAAAAATGAAATCACAATATAATGTAGTTTTATAACTAAAGTAATTTTACTACAACCTATTTGTTGATATTCATGTTCAACAATTTTTTAAAAAGCATAGAAATATGCTATCCTGGTTTTTTAGAAAAGGTTTATTAGACATTCAGTTTCATGAGGAAATTGATAGGAAAATTTTCCAAGTTTTGATTCATTGTAATTTTGACTAATTGCTCTCTTGCTGTGAAGATGTGAAAATCTCCAGCTTTACTCACCTCAGCATTGGGGTGAATTAATATGCTTATATTTAGATGGTTCTACATTCTACAATCTGATTTTTTAGAGGGATATATGAGCCATTTGAGACCATAATTTTTTTCTGACAAAAAATAATTGACAAATTCCTTTAGTATCATGGATTAACTTCTAGAAATTATTAAGAACACCCCCCTCATAACCCCCCTGAAGCTCATAGAGTTTTGCTAAAGAGCAAGAAATTATTGAGACATATGCAGTGGTCAGCTCAGTTTCCTTCTCCCCCACCCACTTGATGGCAGGCAGGGTGCTCCTAATCAGACCTTACAGTATATATCTAGTAAGAGCCAATCAGATGACTTATTTGATGACTCTGTGAGCCTGTCATGTAATAAAGCTGATTCCTTTTCTCCTACCAGAAAACATGACTGAAACTGATGGCTTAGAGCTAAGTGAAAAACATATTAAACATGTATGAACCATTTGGGGCAAATTCCGTTTGATCCTGATGTATCATTATAACTTGAATTTTCTATCATCTTTGTTAAAGATTTATGATTTAATGACTTAAAGCCAATCTTAGTATGTCAATAAAATATGAAACTTTAATAATCAACAACAACAACAGTAACAAAAAACCTATTTACTTCTATTTTACTTGGATAAAACAAGGTGTAAAGGTCCCAGGTGATGGCAGTGTGGTCCCACATGTCCTGGCCAGGAGATATCAGGATGGGGATAGAGGTCGGGAATCTGGGCAGACCCCTGAAGCTGGTGGAAGTTGAAAAATGGATGGACAAAGGAGAAGCCAAGTAGAGGGAACCATGGAGCCAAGTGTCCAGAAAGCAGAGCCAGGATAAGGAGATGATCTGAGGATCTGTAAGTTTCATATTATCAAGCCAGTCATGATTGGAACATGAGATAAAAGCAAGTCTAAATGAGAAGGCACTAGTGTCAGAGAGAAAAGCCAGCAGTTTTCAGGGTACTGCTGCAGAGCCGTGTAAGTGGTGGGGCCAGGACAGTGCTAAGAATCTGTGACAGAGCTGGGACTCAAAACCAGGATCCAGGGCTGGACACTTGAGGGTCAACAGGGCCAGGGCTGAACCCACAAAAAGAATGCTTGTAAGGCTGTGTGTCTGAACTACTGGATATACTCCCAATATTTTCTCTAGCCCTTAGTAACCTGTCACCCTGAGACAGGACATGCAGGCCAGGGCTGAGCAGACATGTGAGGGCTTAATAGGGATGACTTCTGCGTTTAGAAAATTAGGAGACAAAGATAGAGACAGGCCAAGTGTAGAGGGATAATCTCAAAGACCACATCTGAGAAATGAGGCCCCTTTTTATAGATTTTGCTTTTCTTTAAAAGTATAAATCCTTTTCTTAAAAAGTGTAAATCTTGTCAGCTTCAAGGAAGAAACCTACTACCATTAACCTTTTCAGTTTTCCTCCCAGTTACAATCCAAGCAAAGCCAATTCACAGCGAAGCTGAGAAGTTTAGAAAGTTTGCCTTCTGTCTTATTCTCTCATTTTTGCAGCATTTTCTTCTCTCTGGTATAGTTATTTAATATATCCTGGTTGCTTCACCTCCCCGCCTCAAAACAGAGTAGGAGTTAAAAGCCATACTGTATGCTTTTGATTGAATAAGTGGCTATAATCTACTGCAGTGTAGTCTTAATGTGTTACCTCAAACGTAAGTTTTATTTTCAACAGGGTAGGCTTTTTTTTTCTAATTGCTTAAAGATATGAACCTTACCCTTAAGAAGGGGAAGTGGAATGAACCATATGAGTCAGTCAAAGATAGTCCACAGGAGGCCAGTCCGACCAAATCACATGTTAGACATACACTCTTGGAAACTGAAGAAAGCACGGAGAAAGCCATGACCTATTTTTTATTTTGTTGGAACTTGAAAGTTTTTTTTTAAATGAAAGTACTAAAGAACTCCAAAAATACATAGTAATGATAAAACAATCATATATCTATTATCAGGAAGCATAAAAATCATACAATAATCTAGTCCAGAGAGCATCATTACTTTGTCATCATTACTAAGTATTCCTTTTATAAGTAAATGTCAGTTCCTGCAACATTAGATAATTGTAGTTTAGAAATGAGTAATCTAATTTATTGGCCATGGCAGAGATTCAGCTCTTTGAAAAAGCATAGTCATTTTTAACCTTCTCATTGTTTATTGTTATGCATCTGACAATGGGATTTAATTTTTAGATATTTAAGCCTTTTCCTTATGCAACAATACCCCAAAGGCAGTCATTTCTGATGGTATTTGGAATCCCAAATCTTAATTCTTTTCCAGGAACAATGGAAATAAACAACCGATTTTAGGTGTTTCCCTATTTCCTTATTAAATAAAACCTTTTCACTTTGGCAGGCCTGCACTCTCTCTGTGAATGCTGGTTTATTTCCCCATTAATTGTCTTTCTAATTTTAATTAAACAGCCTTAAAGTGGCAGCAAAAGACACCTTTAATGTTTGTTAGTTCTGTTACTCTAGAAAGAAAAGAAGGTTTAATGTATTGCTTTAAATTCAACACACACACATACTTCTGATTGGGTAACACTAGGCTTTAAAGTACTTAAACCGAAAAGTAATTTCAAAATAAACATTCCTTTACTCTTTGGACTATTTGAAAATAAGCTGCCAGCATGACTGCCAAATGTCCCCTCTGAGTCTACATGTACATAAAAATATTTACCAAACCGTTGAGTCCACATCTCTATGAGGACAACATGCCATTTCTGATATGAGCTCTGGGGACTTAATGGCAGATATTTAGTTCTCAGCTGTCTTTAGCACATCCAATCCAATATAGTTGCGTATTACTTCTGTCTTTGGAGACAACCTAAATGATCTTACATTGTTAGAAATCTGTATCATTTAGATAAATAAATTTCAGATGTCACCTTTTTTCTTGGTGCCATTATGGTTATTTATAGTCCCAAATGAATTGTTGCAAATATACATTATAACTTTTATAATACATAAATTACAGTACATACATCTCTAAACTGGCTTGAGGTTAATTTTTAAATTGAATCTAGCAATGTGTGAATTTTCAAAATAGATTTAATGTTTTACATGAAAATTTGTTTAACTGCTAAGTTCATTTTTAATTCATTAGTGTGCTTGATATACTATCTTTAGAGGCAATTATTTTAACGACAAATTACATTAAATCAACAAATAATTTTTTTAAGCATCAGGGATTTCCTCTTTAACACTTTTATTGATTTATAATTAAGCCTATCAAAAAGACATTTGTTAAATGAGACTACAAGAACTCACAGATCCCATTTCTGAGTATAACATATTCATTTCATATTGACCTGCTTTCTTGTTCTCAAAAATTGTTTTTGCCCAACTTTGCTTAGAGGATTGCTTTTTATCACAAGCTATACTTAGGCTGTCATATTGAAAGAATATTTTAAATGCCACATTTAAAGTGACAAAGTTGGCAAGCCCAGAAAGAAACAATAGTGCTAAGAGCAAACAGATGTCTGTATCTGGGTGAGAGCTTTTCTCTCTAGAGGCAAATAAAATAGATAATAACCCTAAGTTGCCAGAATTTGACATGGTGAGCCAAAACCTATCAGGAGACAGTGAAATTAATTTATACAAGTCAGAAAGTAGTTTTTGAATGTATGGCAAACGCTTTGGTTTTGACTTTAAATGCCTATTCTGATCACTTTCAGATTGTTTCTGGCACACTCTAGATAGAAATTGTTCCAGCTAATCAGACCATTAGCAACTGGGTCAACCTTCTGAATCATACATCTTTGGAACTGCTTGTATTCATTTAGTTTGTCACATGCATTCTGTTTGTGATTTATTGAGCATTTTTTTGGTAAGAGCTCGATAGTTTTTAAGAGGCACTGTGTCATTTCTCAAAAGAATTATACTTCATGAGCACTAGCACAAGCTTCCCCAATTATGTGCTTTTAGCATATCCCCAAATTGGACTCTGACTGCATTTTTTTTTTCAGCAAAAGTACATACTTCATTTTTTTTTTTTTTTTTTTTTTTTTAGACGGAGTATCCCTCTATTGCCCAGGCTGGAGTGTAGTGGCTCAATCTTGGCTCACTGCAACCTCTACCTCCTGGGTTCAAGCGCTTCTCCTGCCTCAGCCTTCCTAGTAGCTGGGACTACAGGCACATGTCACCATGTCCAACTAGTTGTTTTTTGTTTTTTTGTACATTTTTTGTAGAGACGGGGTTTCACCATATTGGCCGGGCTAGTCTTGAACTCCTGACCTTGTGATCCACCTGCCTTGGCCTCCCAAAGTGTTGGGATTACAGGCATAAGCCACCGCACCCAGCCACATACCTCATTTCTCCAAGAACCCTCCTTTTCTGAGCTTCTTAACATCCACAGTCATTCCCTTCTATAGAATATACAGAAATGAGGTTAGCATTGCTTCAGGCAACCAGTCATTGCAAATAGCGTTCCTACCCCTTAGTATTATGTATACTGAAACAGAAAAGCAAGCATAAAATTTCATAAACATAAAAAGGGAACACTGCCTAAAACACACATTAATAAGTAATGTACTTAAAATATTCTGTGTGATTTTTATATTTGAGGGGTTTTTTTTTGTTTAAAATTTCTTTCTCAATGAAAACTAGTCAAATTAAAAAAGGAACGAACTAACTCAAACTTAGAAAAAAAATCTTATGAGAGTTTTCTCGTTCACATTCTGCTTTCAGAGGATGCTATAAATTTCACCTCTGCCTCTGTTCCAGAGGTATTTGGGGGATTGCAGTAAGTAGTCTATTAAGTAAGTTCTATTTAAGTTAATTAAATCTTCAGGTGGCTAACTCTGTCTACCTAATCATTAGGCATGGTTGTTTTATCTTCTTTCTCACTCCCTGTCATAAAATGTTTTTCACCATCAAATTCATTCATTCATTTACTAATTCAGGCACATCCTTCTATAAATGATACAAAGTAATATCAGAGAGATACAAATCACTAAAACATCAAGTTGGACAGAAAAGATATGAATGCACACAAAATTAAAGATAAAATAGTAAATAAGAAATGTCAAATAAACGGTGCAGACAAAAACAGCCCTGAGAAAGGAGAGAAGTAGAGATGCATTCAGTAAATAAATGAGTGACTCAGGAGCCCATAGATCCAAGTTTTGGCCATCAAATAGAAAGGAGTGAGCAGGCAGAAAAATGAAAACTCCAAGTGGGCCACCATCTGAGGTGGGTGGAGGCAAAGTTTCCATCCATGTCTAGCGTGGATACCTACCATGCTTGAGACACGAGTTTTAATAGAGTACATAATTCTATTTTGCACTGTGCTAGACATTGAGAATATAAAGCTGAAGAGATACGATCTACACCATCATGGGCTGACTGACTGTCTAGCAAAGGATATAGGTTTGCTGGCTTAGGGACAAGTCCTTAAACCAAATTTCTAACAATGTTTTGTGTGTTCCCTTCATTCATCTATTCAACGAATATTTTCTAAATGTCCACTTTGTGCCTGCTGTTGAAATAAGTAAAGGGGTGAAAAAAACAGACAATATCAGGCAATCTCCTACCCTCGAGGATATTATATTCTAATGGGGGACGTGGAAGACAGTCAACAAGTATTGAGTAAATACATAGTTCGTCATGTTAGATACATTCTATGGTGAAAAATAGAGAATGATAAAGATATTAGGACAGTTGGGAAACTGACTTACAAAGGAAGGGCACAGGATTCCTCACTGACAAGGTGCTTGAGCAAGTTCTCAAAGAAAGTGAGGGAAAAGCCAGCTGGCTCACTCAGGAATTGGGACTCAGGAAGAAGAAGAGCAATGAAGGCTGGGGTGGGAAGGGGCTTGTTTAGGAACAGCAAAGAGGGCAGCCTGGTTAGAGGAGAGTTGAGAAGGACAAAAGTGGTAAGGGTGGGTCAGAGACACAGGATAAGGAAGGAGTCAAGACGTCAAACCCCGTTAAGCAGCACAGCATGGTGGCGCTATAAAGTCTAGTGTAAAATGCTGACTCCACTGCTTACCACCTGGGTACTTTGGACAAGCTGCTTAAATTCTTTGAACCTCTCTTTTCTTCCCTGCATAAACAGGGGTAATAAGAGTTTCCTCATGGTTATTATGAGAATGAAATGAAATGATACTTTTTCTCTGAAACACCAAGGATTGTTCCCATACTAAGTACTAAATAAATAAATATTAGTAATTGTTAACGATTGCAATAACTGATTGGTCATGAGTTTCTGTCATTGTTTCTGTCACCCCTCAGGTTGCATTATATAAATAGCTTTCTCCCCAGTTCAGTTTATTTTTCACTGAGCCACCAGATTTCTTTTGCTTCAGCACTGCTATCATCATCATGTCATTTATGGCTTCTTATAATTTGGTCCACCATACAGTTCCAAAAGTATCATTCAGGACTTTGCAGGTGGGAATATCTATTCCAGCTTGGCTGGTATGTCTATTTACTTACCCTCCAATCTCTCCGTGTTGGACAAGACATCAGACCCTAGGTTTCGATCATCATGCATTTGAACTCGCCCTCTACCACAACTAATCGGATCCTACCAACATTTCTAGGTTTTGCCCTTTTCTCAAAAGAAACATTCCAACTCTACTTGACCTTTCCTCTACTTTTAAACCAGTCTCCTACTGTTGGATATTCATGGTGTTTTCATGTTGTTATTTTAATCAATGCTATTGTAAAAAATGCTAATTTAGAACATATCAAAATACTTCAGTGAAAACTTTTCAGACTGAAAAGGAGACTTCTTATGGGTGAAAATATCAGTAGTTCTGGTCAGTAAAATGTTTATACCCATCATATTAAATGGGTACCTAAAAACTTTTTATGCTGGGTGCATTTATATTACAGGCAACATGAAAGCAAATAATAAACTGTCGAATAGGAATCAATGAGTTCTCAGAGGTTGTCCCAGGATGAGGTCACAGTATAATACAAAATATATTTGCTTTGATGAAAAAGAAAAGCAAATATGTAACATAATTCCCATAGCTTTTTTGTTGTTTTTATTCTTGTTGGTATTACTCCAATGTGGTTAAAGCAATATTTTTCATCTTGGCATCTCTGGAATCTTTAATGGAAAAATTTCTTTTCAAAGAAACCCAAACAATTAAACAAAATTTCAAACAGAAATGTTAAATTTTTAATCTCACTAAATACGATTCTCAGAGTTTGGCATCTTGTGCTATTTACAGTGCAAACATACACAAAAGTATATTCCTAAATCATTTTCAAAATATTCTTATTTCTAATTTGAAAAATAATGTTCTTGATGTGTGCGTGTGCGTGTGTGTGTGTGTGTGTGTGTGTGTGTGTCAACTTAATATCAACCTAATTACAAGCTCAGTGAAGGGTGGGCTTTTCTATTGTCCTTACTGGGAATCCTGGCCAAGGAAGCCTAATCAGGTAAAAACTGCCAACTGTTGCTGGACACATGTGGTTGAGGGAGTTAAGAGGGGTTCCCAAAGAAAGACGATGATATTTCCAAAAGAAAAGAAGAATTCTAGGCAGAAAGTATATGACAACTAAATGCATTTCTGCCAAACCACATTGTTATTATTATTTGTCTAGAAGACCAGGAAGGAAAGGCACAGGTGAGACCTGAATATTCTTGTTTTTTGTTGTTATTGTTGTTGAGACGGAGTCTCGTTCTGTCGCCAGGCTGGTGTGTAGTGGCACAATCTTGGCTCACTGCAACCTCTGCCTCCCAGGTTCAAGCAATTTTCCTGCCTCAGCCTCCAGAGTAGCTGGGACTACAGGCACGTGCCACCACGCCCACCTAATTTTTGTATTTTTAGTAGAGACAGGGTTTCACCATGTTGGCCAGGATGATCTCGATCTCTTGACCTCATGATCTGCCCGCCTCAGCCTCCCAAAGTGCTGAGATTTCAGGCGTGAGCCACCGCGTCCGGCCAGGGCCTGAACATTCTTAATGCCATAACCTCTCACACAGTAAGAGGTGGCCACAACCGGAATTTTTGTCCAATTAGCCTATTGGGAGATTTTATCTTCAGTAACATGTAAGACAAAAAAAATAGGATTTTAAAATTGACTTCTGAAATATATATATTTCTAACTATAAAAAACAATTCATGGACATAGAGAAACTTTCTGACTGTATAAAATAATAAATACAATAAAAAGTGTATCACTTTCCCATTCCAGGCCTCAGTTTCCCTTCCTAGAAGCAGCAGTATAGCAGTTTCCTATGTACCCTTCCAGAAATATTTCCTGGATATAATACATAGAAAAGCTTATAAGGGACTTTACATGAATGGTGTGTGTGGGGGGTGGGGGGATGTATAAATATATATTCCTATTTTTACCCAAAAGGGAACATAGCATTTATACTGCTATATAATCTTACCGGTAGATGGTATTCCATTGTTTGGATAAATCACAGTTAATTTTGCCAGTCCCACATTGATTAAACATCTAGTTTGCCTTTTCTGCTTCAACAGTATTGCAAGGAATATCATGTCCTCATGTCCTTGCAAATATACGTGCATAATAAATTTCTAAAAGTAGAATTGCTGACTCCAATCTACTCTTCATAACTTTATTTTGACATTGACTCCCTAAAAATGTGTCACCATTTTATGTGCCTAGTAACCAGGTATCTGTATAAGAATGCTAGTTTCCACATAGACTTGTCAACACATTGTATTATCTATCAATTTTTCTTTACCTTGTCAACCAGTAAAATATATTTTATAACTGCATGGCTCTATTTATTCACCTTTATCATAACTGTAATTAATGATATCCTCTCAGGAGTGCAATGACTGACTACTTCCACAGCACAAAGTTCCTTTTACGAACTTTTTCTCCCAGCTATAAAGTGAAAAATTTGTCTCATTCACCTGAGTATAATCCTTGTTTATGAGGTGCAAAGTACATGAATGTGGCATAGCCCTTACACTGTGGTATAGATCAATTGCGTATGTTAATACACCTGACACCCCAATCAAAGTAAGAAATGCTGATTGGATGGACCCTCTGCCTTTAGGAATTGATTAGCCCTCCTAGCTGAGCTACAGAATTCAAAGTGGCAGGCCTGTACTGTGATGATGTTAAAGAACCTTCGAGTGAGCTCTGTCTCTCAGATTTGACTTGGGGAAATTTATATTTCCTGATTTCAAATGGCCAATTCTGCTATTCCATACTTTATAATTTCAAAGACTATCTGTCACCACATAAAGACAAATACACTTCTTAAAAAAAAAATCTGCTACTTTTTAAAACAAGCCTCAGCCCAGCTCTGTGCAATGAATGAAAAATGTGCTATAGATAGAGTGTCATTTCATGTTGCTTTTCATTTGATCAGCAAGTATGGAATGTTGGCACCTCAAAAAGTCAGCTCTCTACAAAGGCTTAGAGAAGCTTAGACAGTCTTTTTATATCTTTTAGTAGGTATTTCTTAATATAATAAATAATGAAATAAATTTAAGTCATGTTAGTCCTCTGAAAAATAAATTATTTGTTGGGATAACATTTGTTAGGGGTGGAGGTTTTAAAGCTTGTTGACTTTTATTTTTCCTCTGTGATGGTTTATGTTAAATGACTAAGTCTATTTCCATGAGAAAATTTCTCATCTGACAACTGTCAATATTGACACATATTAGGGCTCTAACAGTTTTTGCCATCTAACATACATTTTAAAAATTAAATAATATATGGGAACAAATCCAAAATATATGATGAATTGGAGAAATATCTATTACCACTCAAGGCACAGGTCAGGAGCTAATTTCTTTTTTCTTTCCTCTAAAGCTGTGCAAGTCCTGGATGGAAAATCTTAAAGCATTTTCCTATAGCCCTGGCTATCTGAGTCCTGATGGATGGAATGTGGCACAGGCTGGCACTGATAGTGAAATGTGTCCTCTTTCTAAAACTGAAAATTGGGACGATGGTGCCATTTTATCAGATACTTGAGTTCAGTGAATCTCAGAGAAAAGAAGCTCAAAGGAAGTCAAAAAGGCTGAAAGAGATAGTGTTTCACCTTCCAGTGCCAAATTCAAAGTACAAAGTCCAAACTGGTACGTTTAGCATCATCTGTGCAATGTTGTGAAGACATCACGAGAATATAATATGATTCTGTGCATGAGACTATTTTACATGATTGTTTATCACGTGGTATGTCTCAACAGAGAGTCATATATATTAACTCTCCACTAAATTAAGAAATCATCGAAAACAACACTAGTGAGTCTCAATGGGAGGTGGGTAATAGAGATTCTCACTTCCCAAGAAGAATTATCGCAGTTTCTTGGTGTGGAAGTGAGAGTTTAGGTGCTAATTGTTTTAAAAAAAAAAAAAAAAAAAAAAAAAAAACTCTTTGGGATCCTCTGAATGCTCCCAATCACCTAATTCCTATCCAAATTAAGATTTCATTGAGCCTCTCCTTTTCACCTTGATATTATACATTTGCTGATCAGTGGCTTATATGTTACAATGTACAAATGCTGTTTTTGCAGTAAATATAAAGCCTTTCCCATTTAGTATACAGCCCTATATTTTATTTTGTTCCTTCTACCTAGTTTTGGGAACACAGAATTTATCCATCCAAATTCCCACTTCTTACACAGGAAGACACTAGCTGTACGTGCTCCTGGGTGAGCAGAGGTACTGAGTTAGGGAGGAAGGGAGCATCCCAGTAAGACAGAAATAATACAGGGTGTTCGCAGGAGAATAAAACATTCCAGGCAGTTTCACGTGACTAAAGGCCATGGGCTGATAAGATCCTGAAAAACAGGGTGCCGACCAAGACCAGTAAGAACAACTGCACCTAATATGGCGCTGGATTTGACCTAGGTCTCACTTAGGACCTCGTCATATGCTCAACACGCTAAATCACACACCCAACAGCACCATGACAGTTCCGGGAACATCCATATTAGGTGTAAAAATGGGTGGCACCAAAGTTCCAAGAACTCTCTACCTTTTTTCAGGAATTATTCCACCCCTTGGTTGAAGAAATTCATAAAGGTAGCACCCCCAAACCCTCTCGCTCAACTCTCTCAAGTACGCCCACGCTCCCCTTTCTTGAGTGTGTACTTTCCACTTTGCAATAAATCTCCATGCTTTCACTATGTTCTGACTCATCTTTAAATTCCTTCTCACAATGGTGTCAAGAGCCTGGATACTGGCTGGGGGTGGAGTTCCCACCAACAGCATTGGGGGACCTACCCCAGCCCATTGGTATCACCAGCTCCAGAAATTCTCTGCTTGAGTCTAGTATAGAACAGATCTGAGCAGCTTCCTTTTTGAGATTGTCTTTATGGAGTAAGGTATCCATTGGAAAAAATTCTCTGTTGCTTTCTCCAGTATTAGGAGCTAGGAAGAGAACACCTTGCCTATGCCTCAGAGATCCACTGTCACTCCCCCTACCTGGCCCTGGTTTACCTCCTGATTTGGAGCTGAATTGTTCTCAGTGGCTTTCCTCGTGGGATTATACTCCCCTCAAATTTCTATGACTTAACGGAGCCTCTGTCCATGTTGCTGCATCCATCCATTCCTACAGTGGAAACACTAGTCCTGTTCCAACTGCAGACAGCAACATAAATACCTGCAGTTTTTCAAGGGGACATCAAATTTTCAACTAGGAGACGGTCTATTTTCTTTCTATAACTCTCCCAAGTATAACTGAATGTATTTTATTTTTTTCCATTCCAACATTATTTAGATGTCCTAGGGTGTACCCTAAAAGTGTTTTCACTTATTTTTTCTTATTTTATAGCACAGTGTATATTTAAAAAACCTTACATGATGTGTACTAAGACCTCATCTTTCCACTGCTTCACGCACAAGCAGTGCCTGTTTTGCAAAGTTACATTGTAGTTTAGACCTTCAGAGCATAAGCTAGAAAATAACCTTCATCTAAGAAGTAACCCAAATACCTCTGACCTCAATTATTCAAGAAAATTTACTCCCCTAAGCTGAGAGTCAGCTAATTTATTAAGGAATCATGGAGCTACTCTGTAACATACTGTGATAACAATTCAGAAGTAAATTTCAAGGTACATATGTAGCTTATGGCTCAAATTATAAGACATTAGTATTTACATACAGCCTTTTCCCACATGTAACTGTATAAAACTTAGTTCCTTTGAAGGGAGTATAAAAAAAACTTTGTTGGGCTTAAAAATGACAATATCATTTATGATATCCAGGATTGGCGCAAGATGTGAGGGAAAGCTGGCCGCTACCTCCACGCTATGAGCTGACAAGTGCTAAAACATTCACCTGACCAAAATAGCCTCACCTGGGATTTACACGCAGGGCTTGAAATACTTAGTTTTCTGTCTAAAGAATCAGCTGAAGCTCAGGCTAAGCCCCGCTATTCACTGCAATTCAGTTATATAAAACAAACACTTGTAAAGCAATTACTACTTGTCAAGGCTGTGCTAAGGGGATATAAGAAAATTACACACAATGAACAAGAAAACAGCGTAAGCCTCAGGAGCTAACAGACCAGCTGCAGAAAAACATCAGAAGGAAGGTCTCACAACGCAGATGATGCTTCCACGGACCGTGAAGGGTGAGTGGAATTTCTTCTGGGAAAGGAGGAAGAAAGAGCATTTAAGAGAAAGAGTAGCAAATGACAAAAATAGAAGAATGTGACAGATATAATATGTTCTGGGAAAAAAAATTAAAACTCCATTTCCTTGAAAACATCTGGAAAAACTGAACTTTTTGATGCATGTGAAAGTCAAGCTAAAAATGCAGCCGGAAAGGTCACCTGTGACTGGCACATGAAAGGTCTTATGCACCATGTCAAGGAGTTTGAGCTTTTTCCTATGGGTAATGGGGAATGACTGAGAGGTATAAAGCAGTAAAGTGACAGCACAAGGCCTGGATTTCAGAAAGTCACTTCACACGGAGCATGGAAAATGAAGATGCAGAAAGGCACTAGCATGTAGAGACTGGAGGACACTTAATGGCTAACTCTGCTTTAATGGAGGGGCTTGGTAAGCTTTCAGAGCATAGAGTAAAGGAACTGGAATTGAGAATATGGGACAGACACTACTGAGTTTTGAAGCGAGGGAAGGGTAGCTCTAGAGACATCACGAGCAAGGAGTAAATCCTGAGAGGTGATTTGATAAACTACAAGCACCTAATAAATCGACTAAAAGACAACTTGAGCAGGAAAAAGGGCACTGAGAAGTTACTGAAATTTAAATTTTACTACTTAGACTTCCTAAGTTTACAAAAATCAAATTTTACTATTACATTAGGACCTACTGCTAATTCTAAGTTAAGAAAAGAGAAGAGGAAACATATATTGTCAGCGAAATAGCCACTTTATATGTAATATTTTACAGACGAATCCTATGAGGATCTCCACATCTTGCTATGGTAATGGAGCTTGCATCAATTAATCTTCATGCTGAGAATAACTATGTAAACTGGATAAGCTACAAACATCAGCTCTTTGAAGTTTTTGGAGAATAATTATGACAGCCAGAACTTGAGGGGCCAAGATCAAGGAGCCAAGAAAAATCACAGAAAAGTGAGCTTGAAACCTTGTGCCACTGTTTCCCTCAAAGCATTTGTTGACTCTTAAATTGCATGGGGCAAGAAACAAACAAAAGTAGTATTATAGGCTACTAAGACAAAAATAGAGTTTGGTCCCACTAACAATTTAACTGAGATCTGTGAGGATCTATACTCCAGGAGTAAGAGCAAATCAAAATAGAGCCTTACAAAACAGAAATGCAGCCTCAAATCAATTAATCAATTTAATTCCTTACTGGATCAAATCCATTTCCTATCTACTAAAATAAGAGAATATTTGCTCTGGGGGAGATCACATCAACAACCTCTAGAGCTACACAGTCCAATACAGTAGCTACTGGTCACATGTGACTAAATTTGAATTAAAACTGGTAGAAATTGAATTAAACTAACAATTGAGTTCCTCAAATGACCACATTTCAACTGCTCATCAGTCACAAGTAGCAAGTCGCTAGCATATTGAAAAGCACAGATATAAAATTTTTCCACAATTGCAGAAAGTTCTATCAGGAACTCTGCTCTAAAGCCTGAAGAAGAAACAAGGATTCTCTCTGAGGGAAGAAGAAAACGGAAACAAAAATTATAAAGATTCTTAAAGGGGCCTTTCAGTTTTTAAATTACTGTATTTTTCTTTTCATAAATGTATTGAGATATAACTTACACATAGTAAATGGTGCTATTTTAAAATGTGGCTGTGATTTTGTTTTTATTAGGTGTAGTGAGGCCAACAGATCAGGTGAGAACTGCCATTGGAAAGATAGATAGTAACTTACATACAGTTCCCAAGGAAGGGGCATGCCATGCTGGGTCACTTGGGGAGGTACCCGGGTCAGTCTGGAGGCAGAAGGAATGAGGGAAAAGCATGGATGATGCTTTTTTTGTGTGGTTTCCCTGGGATAGGCATGGCAAGGTGAGTGAGGCTTGGCTAGTTTGAATAATTTCAGTGGGCTCTAGGGTTTAGGGCTGTCCTTAGTTACCTAGTACCTGGCCCTGGGGTGATTAGGGCAGTGGAATACTGTATTCTGGAGTTTATTGGTTTATTTGCATATGAATTTCATCATGCTAAGAATGGCATACAGTTAAAAGGTATTAATTTTTGTTTGCTTCTGAAATTTTCCATTTAATATTTTTGAACCAATGTTAACCCATAGATAACTGAAACTGCAGATAAAGGGAGACTACAGTACTTAAAAATTTGCTAAGAATGTAGATCTTATGCTAAGTGTTGTTACCACAAAGAAGGAGGTGGGGCTCAAGGAAACTTTTGAAAGTAAAAATAAAATTTAATTTTTTAATAGATATAAGACTATTTAGGCTATCTGTTTCTCCTTGAATGAGCTTTCTTGGTTGCATCTTTCAAGGTTTTTGTCTAGTTCATTTAAGTCATCTAAATTAATAACATAGTTACCAAAATAATATTTTCTCTTGCTATGTTTTTTAAATGTGTATAGAAACTCTAGTGGTGTCACTTCTCCTCCAAATAGTGGTAATTTCTGTTTTTTCCTTTTTTTTCTCATCAGTCTGACTCTATTGCTTTTATTGTCCTTCTCAAAGAACCAGCTTTTGATTTTATTAATTTTCTCCATTATATTTGTTTTGTGTTCTATGGATTTCTGCAATTATTTTTATTATTTCCTTTCTTCTGCCTACATTTGAGTTTGAGTTGCTTTTCTTCCTTCCTTAAATATGAAACTCTGACTTCAGAAGTTTCTTCTTTTTCTAATATAGGCTTTCTCTGCTACAGGTTTACTTCTACGCACTGTGTCTGCTGCATCCTTGAAATTTTACCATGTTGCTTTTTCATTTTGATTTGGTTTAAAATATTTTTCTAATTTCCCTTCTTTCTTTTCTGACCTATGGGATATTAAGAAGTATGATTTGTAGTTCCCAAATATTAGAGTGATTTTTATGGTATTGATTTCTAATTCAATTTCATTATGTTCAGTGGACATACTTGTTGATTCTTTTTAATTTATTGGCATTTTATTTTACAGCAAACAATAATATATATCTTTGTAAAATGTCCATGTGCTCTTGAAAAGAATGTGTATTCTGCTGTTGGGTGCGGTGTTCTATCAATATCAATTAGATAAAGCTGATTGATAGTGTCTTTTTATTCTATTTGTATCTATTTATTCAATACATTACTTAAAGTAGGTGTTAATTTCCAACTACAATTGTGGGTTTGCATAGTTCTTTCAATTCTGTTTTTGCTTCATCTATTTTTAAGGGCCTATCATTAAGTGCATAAATATTTAGGATTGTTAATGCCACTTGATAAATTCACCCCTTTATTATTATGAAACAACTTTCTTATCCCTGGTAACATCCTCTGCCCTGACACCTACTTTGATATTAATATAGCCAATCCAGCTTTCTGCTGACTACTTTTATGGTATTTTTTCCTATCCTTTTACTTTTAACCTATTTATGTCTTCATATGTAAGTGTATTTCATATAAGCACCATATTTTCTTGCTTGCTTTTTTATCTAAATCAGCAATATTTGCCTTTAAACTAGAATGTTTACATAATTTACATTTGATGTAATTATTGAACTGAATATAAATGTATCATCTCGCTCGTTAGTTCTTAATTTCCCCCATGTTCCTTATTCCATTCTTTTTTCTAACTCGTTGTATAAATTATTTTTTTAAGGTTCCATTTTATCTCCTTTGTAAGAATTTTAGCTAAAGTTATTTGTTTTGTTCTATTTTGTTATTAATGTTGCTTTAAGGCTCATAGTATACTTGTTTAACTTACCACAATCTACATTTGAGTAATATTATACCACTTAATGTACAGATACAAACCTTAAAACAGTATACTTCCCCCTCACTAGATTTTGTTCTATTGTTGTCATATATTTGATTTCTACATATATTACAAACCCCTGAATATGTTGTTATATTTTTACTTGAGATACTTGATTTACTTTTAAAGAGATAAAATATAAGTTAAAATTAATTTATATTTATATGCATATATTTTATTTCTAGTCAGCCCTCTGTATTTGCAGATTCTGTGTCTATAGATTTAACTAACTGTAGTCCAAACATACTTTTTAAAAATTTCAGAAAATGTTAACACTGTTGCTGACCTGTACTATGTAGTTAGGCCTACAATGGCTGTATCTATACTGAGCACTTACAGACTTTTTTGTCATTATTCCCTAAAAAATAGAGTATAACAACTATTTACACAGCATTTCTATTACATTAGGTATTATAAGTAATCTAGAGATAATTTAAAGTATACAGAAAATTTTCGTAGGTTATATGCAAATAGTATGCCATTTTATACAAGGGACTTGAGCATCTGTGGACTTTGGTATCCAACAGGGATCCTAGAACCAGTCCCTCATGAATACTGAAAGATGACTATATTCTTCATTCCTCTTTCTAGGTACAGATCTCATTTGTTATCACTCTGCTTCTGTCTGAAGGATTTTTTTTTACTATTTCTTTTAGTGCAGGTCCACTGCTATTGAATTGTTTCAGGTTTTCTTTGTTGCAGAAAGTTTATATGTTGACCCGATTTGTTCTTTAAGTACTTAAAGATACTGCTTACTTGTCTTCTTGCTTGCATTGTTTCAGATGAGAAATGGGTTGTCATCCTTGTCTTTGTTCCTCCATTTGTAACATATCTTTTTTCCTTTGACTGCTTTTAATGTGCTCAATTCATTACTTGTTTTAAACAATTTGTTTATTATATGTCCTGATGTAGTTTTCCTGGTCTTGTTTCTTGTTCTTTGAGTTCATTTCACTTCTTGCATCTGTAGGTTTATAATTTTTATGAATTTTGGAAATTTTTAAGTCATTTCCTTAAATATTTTTATGTCCTTTTCACTTCTATAGTTTATAGACTCAAATTATACATGTATTGAGTAACTTGAAGTTGTTCCAAAGCTTATTGATGCGCCTTTTTGTCAGTCATTTCTCTTCTGCATTCTGTCATTTTGGATATTTTAATTGTGTAGGGGAAGCAGATTTTCCTTGACCTTCTTAGAGTCCCTGACCAGCTTTAACAATAAAACCGATAAAGACATATTAATAAGACAAAAGCATACAAATTTAATAAATTTTATGTGACATGAGAGCCTTCAGTAATGAAGACCCAAAGAAACAGGGAAACGTATTTTTATGCTAAGTTTGATGAAGAAATGGATAGCCATTGAGAAGCAGAATTAGACAAAGAGGGTATGATCTAATGATGATGAACTGGGGGAAATTTAGCGAGGCTTATTTGTTTTGATTATTCTCTATGTCCCTATGTCTTCAAAGAGAAGGGCCTTCCTTGCCTTTGGGTACAGGGAGGGTACCTCTCATATGAGGGTCTTATAATATCCTCCAAGGAAAGGTGAGAATATTATTTCTAAGTTTTATGACCTGCATTGGGACAGAAGGTCAGAGGATTCTTTCTAGCCTTTATTACGTGCTTCAGGGGAGAAAGGTAGGAGAAGGTCAGAGAGAACTTCCTGCTTCTGAGGTTTTCTCAGCCTCCTTCAGCTTACAATACTCCATATGCCAAGGTGTCATATTTTGGGGTAGTGTGTTTTGAACCCCATCATTTGCTATGCCTTCAAGTTTACTAATCTTTCTACAGTACCTAGTCTTCTGTTAATCCCTTCCAGTAAACTTTTCATCCCAGACTTTGCAGATTTTATCTCCAGAAGCTGATTTTAGGTTTTTTGATATATTACACATCCCTTAACATGCTAAATTTTTCTCCATCTTATTGAACATACAAAACATAGTTTAGATAGATAGATAGATATAGATGTAGATATAGATTTTTTTTTTTTTTTTTTTGAGACGGAGTCTCGCTCTGTCACCCAGGCTGGAGTCCAGTGGCGCGATCTCAGCTCACTGCAAGCTCCGCCTCCCGGGTTCACGCCATTCTCCTGCCTCAGCCTCCCGAGTAGCTGGGACTACAGGCGCCCGCCACCACGCCCGGCTAATTTTTTGTATTTTTAGTAGAGACGGGGTTTCACTGTGTTAGCCAGGATGGTCTCGATCTGCCCGCCTCGGCCTCCCAAAGTGCTGGGATTACAGGCGTGAGCCACCGCGCCCGGCTTAGTTATATATTTTTAAAGTCCTTGTCTGCGCTTTCATCTGCATCACTTTCCAGTTTGTTTTGATTGATTTTTCTGTTCATACGAGTTGCATTTTCCTCCTTCATTGCATGCCTGACAATTTTTAAATTGTGAATATTACCTTGTTGAAGGCTAGATATTTTTGTAATCCTATTAATATCCTTGAACTTTACTCTAAGAAGCAGTTAAGTTACATGGGAAGAGTTTGGTCTTTTGGAGTCTTGCTTTTAAATTTGTTACACATAATTGGAGGAGCCTTTATTCTAGAGCTAATTTTACTCACTATTGATGCAATACTCCACCCAAATCCTCGAATTATGAGTTATTTTCCATTCTGGCTGATGGGAACAAACATTATTGCTGATTCTGTTCATGTTTTGAGGATTGCTTTCTCTAATCCTTTCATGTGGTTTTCTTTTTACTCAGACTCAGAGTTTCTTCTCAAATGTACACTGATAAATACTCAACTGAAGATTCAACTGAAATCCTCTATGGGTCTCCAGACTCCCCCATTCTGGAACTCTTCCCTGCAAATTCCAGCTGCCTAAACTCCCTTCCATCTCTCAGTTTCTCTATAACTGAGGAACACCGTCAGGCTCCAGCTGGATTTTCCTTCCTTGTGCACTGATCTGGAAAGTCTTTCACATCAGTAAGTGAGGGAAATCATAGAGTTCTCCTGGTGAGTTCCCAGCTCTCAAAATTACTGTGTTCTGTCATAGACAATGTTTGAAAATAAGTGTTTCTTATATTTTGTCCAATTTTTATTTGCTTCCGGCAGGTGGTTATATTCAGTCCCAGGTACTTCATCTAGGCTGAAAATAGAAGTTGCCTTTACAAGTTTTAGTGCACAGTAAAATTATCAGATGTATCACCCCAAGCCCTAGCAGGAGGCAGAAACAGAGTAACCATAAAGATATAACGAGAACTCTAACAGGTATTCTGGGGAAGTAGAATACTCAAGGAAGGACAAACTTTGGAGGGAAATCAGACTTTATTGAAGATTGGTTGTAGCCCAGTAGATGCTGGAGAAATTATCTGGGTATTCCAGGCCAGAGATAACCCATAGGAGCCAAACAAAAAAGGAAAGAACTTCTGTTCATTCAGGCAAGCTGATGGTTGTAGGCAGGTGTAAAGATATAGGGGGATTGTAGACATGAGGTCTGTGGCTCATTGTGATGGTTAACACTGAGTGTCAACTTGACTGGATTGAAGAATGCAAAGTATTGATCCTGGGTGTGTCTGTAAAGGTGTTGCCAAAGGAGATTAACATTTGAGTCAGTGGGCTGGGCAAGGCAGGCCCACCCTTAATCTGGGTGGGTACCATCTAATCAGCTGCCAGCAAATATAAAGCAGGCAGAAAAATGTGAAAAGGCTAGACTGACCTAACCTCTCTGCCTACATGTTTCTCCCATGCTAGATGCTTTCTGCCCTCAAACATCAGACTCCAAGTCTGATACATATATATATATATATATATATCTCCTATTAGCTCTGACCCTCTAGAGAACCCTGACTAATAAACTCATGGTATCTGCAATAAGAGGATCACAGGAAACAAACTTGCAGGACACAGGTGAGCTAAGGCTGATGAGCAGGTAGACAGAGGAAATTGGGCTTACAGAGGGAATTTGGGAGCTGTTGTAGGCACTGCTAGATTCAGGAGCTTGACAGGTCTCCCTCTTCAGGAATATAGCCCACTTCTTTGTATGACTTGGGCCAAGGTCACTGCTACCCAAGTGGATACTTACAGAAAACACTCAACAGTTAAATGCTGCAGAAGGGTGCACCCTGGAGGTGCCTAGCCCTGAAGAAAACCACGTGGGCTGTGCAGTGTAGAAAAAAGCACACCCTGGAAAAACCTGGTGAGACAGCCATAGCAGAACCGAGAAAGAATACTCTCTCCTCCAGTAATGACTTTTCTCAGCACTTCTATCAAAGTTTAACATCCACAACTGGCAAAGAAAACAGTTTATAGGCCCTGCTACAATTTGAATGTGTCCCCTAAAGTTCATGTGGTAGAAACTTAATCCCCAGTGTAACAGTGCTGATAGGTGGGACCTTTACAAGGTCATGACGGCTCTGCAATCATGAATAGATCAGTGATGTTACTGCAGGAGTAGGTTCGTTATTCTGAGAGTGGGATTGTTAGGAAAAAAAGTTGGGTCCTCTTGCTGTATCTCCTGTACTCTCTTGTTATGTGATGCCTTCAGCCACAGGATGAAGCAGCCAGAAGGTCCTCACAAGAAGCAGCCACTTCCAGCCTCAAGAACTATGAGCCAAATAAATTGCCATGTTTTATAAATTACCTAGTCTGTGGCATTTTGTTATAGCAGCACTAAAACTAAGGCAGACCTAGGCCCATTCTCATTTTCACAGAACAGACATCAAAGAGTAAAATTGGAGCTGAAATGTCAATTTGTTGATAGCAGCCAACACATGATAGCAATAGCACAAAATATAGGAGGAGGATAAGAACAGTTTGCATATTGTAAGATTATTTTATTTTCCAAAAAGTAGTAATACTATTAATTTATAGAGATTCCAATAGATCAAAGATGCATATGGTAATCTCTAAGAAAATCATAAGAATACAAAAGCTTGTAACTGAAAAAATAGAGAAAAATCAAAAAATAACTTGATTATTCCCAAAGAAGGCAATAAAGAAAAACAGGAGTAAAGAAAAAACTGGGACAAAAAGAAAACAATCCTATGAAATAAATGTTCATTCCCCATTTTACAGTTAAGAAAATGGAAACTTGGAGGAGTTAAAATAACTAGCTTCTTTGTAATGGAATTTGAGTTCAATTTCAAGCTTCTTTAAATAAAATGTTTATGTTCTTTGTATTACAGCATGAGGTCACATTGTAAAATGCTATGGCCTGAATTGTGTTTCCCCCAAAATTCATATATTGAAGCCCTAACTCCCAGTGTGACTATATTTGGAAACAGGGCTTTTAGGAGGTAATTATGGTTTAAAAAGATCATAAAGGTGGGGCCCTAATCTAACAGAATTGGTGGTCTTTTAAGAAGATCTCCTGCCCACCCCCTACATAGCAAGAAAGCCAGCTCTCTGAAAGCCTGTAAGAGAGTCTCCACCAGGAAATGAACTGCTAGCACCTTCATCTTGGGCTTCCCAGCCTCTGGAACTGTGAGAAAATAGATTCTGTTGTTTAAGCCACCCAGTATATGGTATTTTGTTATGCCAGCCCAAGCAGCCTAATACACAAGGTATGCTAGTTTCTTTGTAATACATTATTTTTTCCCTTTTATCTCTTTAAAAATGTAAAAGATAGTATATCAGTAACACTTCAAAAACTGGAAGATTAAAATCACTTATACTTTTATTGTCTCAGCACACCAATGTTATTTTGAATATTTATTTCTGGTCCCTTTTGATTTGCATGCACAGTACAATTATATTGCATATCACCTTGTTTCCGATTTCTCCATATATCATATTTAATTTACATATACAAACTTCAAATTTTCTGTCTGAAATTTGTTAATGCTTTTATTGTTAAGAAATATTTCCTGGCCGGGCGCGGTGGCTCACGCCTGTAATCCCAGCACTTTGGGAGGCCGAGGCGGGCGGATCACGAGGTCAGGAGATCGAGACCATCCCGGCTAAAATGGTGAAACCCCGTGTCTACTAAAAATACAAAAAATTAGCCGGGCGTAGTGGTGGGCGCCTGTAGTCCCAGCTACTTGGGAGGCTGAGGCAGGAGAATGGCGTGAACCCGGGAGGCGGAGCTTGCAGTGAGCCGAGATCCCGCCACTGCACTCCAGCCTGGGCGACAGAACGAGACTCCGTCTCAAAAAAAAAAAAAAAAAAAAAAAAAGAAATATTTCCTAATGGACTCAGTGTGTGTGCATTCACATGCGCATGCTATCACTGTATACTTGTGGTCATTATATGTGATGTACGTATAGATTTTACTACTGTTGCTTGTTAAACTTCCAGGAATAAGAGGCCAGGCATGACAGCTCACACCTGTAATCCCAGCACTTTGGGAGACCACAGTGGGAACATCACTTGAGCCCAGGAGTTTGAGACCAGCCTGGAAAACATAGTGAGACTCTGTCTCTAAAAAATAAATTTCCAGGAATAAAATTACTGGGAGACCAATAAGAGCATTAAAACTAATTTTGTTTCTTGTTGAAATTTTCTGTATCATTTTCTACCAATCCTCAAGTTTTTACTGGTAAAATTACTTTTATTACTATATTTTATTCAATAAGTATATCTAAAATATTATTCCTATAGGAAATCAATATAGTGAGATATTTCCTATAGGAAATCAATTATTAGTGAGATATTTTATATTTTTGATTTGTACTACATCTTTGAAACTCAGCATGTATTTTGTACTTACAACACATCTCAGTTTATGCTAGACACACTTTAAGTACTCAAATAGCCACATGTAGGTAGTGGCTACTCTATAGGATAATGCAGCCCTAGATCTAACTTGCCTATTTTTTGAAATAACAGTGTGTTTATTCCATCATTTATTAAATTTTGTTTGATCTGGTGAGTATAACTTAAGCAACATACCATGTGATGTTGTGTTCTCTAATTTTCTCAGTGAGAACTTACTGACCCAACAGATGCAATATTCTCATGGTTTATTTTATAATATGCTTAATTTGATAAGGTTTATTTCTCAGAAACACACTTTCTTCACGTCCCTTGTAAGTTGGATTCCTAGGTATTTTATTCTCTTTGAAGCATTTGTGAATGGGAGTTCATTCATGATTTGGCTGTCTGTCTGTTATTGGTGTATAAGAATACTTGTGATTTTTGCACATTGATTTTGTATCCTGAGACTTTGCTGAAGCTGCCTATCAGCTGAAGGAGATTTTGGGCTGAGACGATGGGGTTTTCTAGATATACAAACATGTCTTCTGCAAACAGGGACAATTTGATTTCCTCTTTTCCTAATTGAATACCTTTTATTTCCTTCTCCTGCCTGATTGCCCTGGACAGAACTTCCAACACTATGTTGAATAGGAGTGGTCAGAGAGGGCATCCCTGTCTTGTGCCAGTTTTCAAAGGGAATGCTTCCAGTTTTTGCCCATTCGGTATCATATTGGCTGTGGGTTTGTCATAGATAGCTCTTATTATTTTGAGATACATCCAATCAATACCTAATTTATTGAGAGTTTTTAGTGTGAAGGGTTATTGAATTTTGTCAAAGGCCTTTTCTGCATCTATCGACATAATCATGTGGTTTTTGTCACTGGTTCTGTTTATATGCTGGATTACGTTTACTGATTTGCATATGTTGAACCAGCCTTGCATCCCAGGGATGAAGCCCACTTGATCATGGTGGATAAGCTTTTTGATGTGCTGCTGGATTCGGTTTGCCAGTATTTTATTGAGGATTTTTGCATCAATGTTCATCAAGGATATTGGTTTAAAATTCTTTTTTTTGTTGTTGTGTCTCTGCCAGGCTTTGGTATCAGGATGATGCTGGCCTCATAAAATGAGTTAGGGAGGATTCCCTCTTTTTCTATTGATTGGAATAGTTTCAGAAGGAATGGTACCAGCTCCTCCTTGTAACTCTGGTAGAATTCAGCTATGAATCCTTCTGGTCCTGGACTTTCTTTGGTTGGTAAGATATTGATTATTGCCTCAATTTCAGAGCCTATTATTGGTCTATTCAGAGATTCAACTTCTTCCTGGTTTAGTCTTGGGAGGGTGTATGTGTCAAGAAATTTATCCATTTGTTCTAGATTTTCTAGTTTATTTGCATAGAGGTATTTATAGTATTCTCTGATGGTAGTTTGTATTTCTGTGGGATCGGTGGTGATATCCCCTTTAGCATTTTTTATTGCGTCTATTTGATTCTTCTCTCTTGTCTTCTTTATTAGTCTTGCTAGCGGTCTATCAATTTTGTTGATCTTTTCAAAAAAACCACATCCTGGATTCATTGATTTTTTGAAGGGTTTTTTGTGTCTCTATTTCCTTCAGTTCTGCTCTGATTCAGCTATTTCTTGCCTTTTGCTAGCTTTTGAACGTATTTGCTCTTGCTAACTACAAACCACTGCTCAATGAAATAAAAGAGGACACAAACAAATGGAAGAACATTCCATGCTCATGGGTAGGAAGAATCAATATCATGAAAATGGCCATACTGCCCAAGGTAATTTATAGATTCAATGTCATCCCCATCAAGCTACCAATGACTTTCTTCACAGAATTGGAAAAAACTACTTTAAAGTTCATATGGAACCAAAAAGAGCCTGCATTGCCAAGTCACTCCTAAGCCAAAAGAACAAAGCTGCAGGCATCACGCCACCTGACTTCAAACTGTACTACAAGACTACAGTAACCAAAACAGCATGGTACTGGTACCAAAACAGAGATATAGACCAATGGAACAGAACAGAGCCCTCAGAAATAATGCCACATATCTACACCTATCTGATCTTTGACAAACCTGACAAAAACAAGAAATGGGGAAAGGATTCCCTATTTAATAAATGGTGCTGGGAAAACTGGCTAGCCATATGTAGAAAGCTGAAACTGCATCCCTTCCTTACACCTTATACAAAAATTAATTCAAGATGCATTAAAGACTTACATGTTAGACCTAAAACCATGAAAACCCTAGAAGAAAACCTAGGCAATACCATTCAGGACATAGGCATGGGCAAGGACTTCATGACTAAAACACCAAAAATAATGGCAACAAAAGCCAAAATTGACAAATGAGATCTAATTAAACTAAAGAGCTTCTTCACAGTAAAAGAAACTACCATCAGAGTGAACAGGCAACCTACAGAATGGGAGAAAATTTTTGCAATCTACTCATCTGACAAAGGGCTAATATCCAGAATCTATAATGAACTCAAACAAATTTACAAGAAAAAAACAAACAACCCCATCAAAAAGTGGGCGAAGGACATGAACAGACACTTCTCAGAAGAAGACATTGATGCAGCCAACAGACACGAAAAAATGCTCATCATCACCAGCCAGAGAAATGCAAATCAAAACCACAATGAGATACCATCTCACACCAGTTAGAATGATGATCATTAAAAAGTCAGGAAACAACAGGTGCTGGAGAGGATGTGGAGAAATAGGAACACTTTCACACTGTTGGTGGGACTGTTAACTAATTCAACCATTGTGGAAGTCAGTGTGGCGATTCCTCAAGGATCTAGAACTGGAAATACCATTTGACACACCCATCCCATTACTGGGTATATACCCAAAGGATTATAAATCATGCTGCTATAAAGACACGTGCAGACGTATGTTTATTGCTGCACTATTCACAATAGCAAAGACTTGGAACCAAGCCAAATGTCCAACAATGATAGACTGGATTAAGAAAATGTGGCACATATACACCATGGAATACTATGCAGCCATAAAAAATGATGAGTTCATGTCCTTTGCAGGGACATGGATGAAACTGGAAGCCATCATTCTCAGCAAACTATCTCAAGGACAAAAAACCAAACACCGCATGTTCTCACTCATAGGTGGGAATTGAACAATGAGAACACATGGACACAGGAAGGGGAACATCACACACTGGGGCCTGTTGTGGGGTGGGGGGAGGGGGGAGGGATAGCATTAGGAGATATACCTAATATTAAATGACGAGTTAATGGGTGCAGCACACCAACATGGCACA
The DNA here is from genome assembly GCF_000001405.40 of Homo sapiens. Classification (NCBI taxonomy): domain Eukaryota; kingdom Metazoa; phylum Chordata; class Mammalia; order Primates; family Hominidae; genus Homo; species Homo sapiens. The sequence continues at coordinate 17,161,365 of NC_000007.14, read as the reverse complement.
TGTATACATATGTAACAAACCTGCACGTTGTGCACATGTATCCTAAAACTTAAAGTATAATAACAACAAAAAAAAGAAACACACTTTCTTGTGGCTCTCAGGATGCTTTAAATTCATAGAATCTCAACAACATGTTGATTCTTCTCAAGTCTTTGGAGTTACCTACAAGTAATAGTATCAGCACACACATAACAGACAAGGATGTGAATAACTGAATCCTTAGAAAAAGTGAGGGAAGACAATCAGGAAGAAAGAACTAATGAAATATTTTACTTTTGAATTCTTGTTGTCTTGTGAATAGAATAATTAGGAATAGCAAATCTTACTTCATAAAGTAAATTAACTTTCAAACAAAATCAGATCATTACTAGGCCCTTAACAAATTGCAAACATGAGTAAGGATTGTTAGACAAATTCTGAGCTACTCCATAATCCACCATGTGTCTTTATCTTTTTAAGGGATTCTTCAATGCTAATATGTAAAATATTCGGAAAAAAGCACCCTTTGAAATTTAAGTCAATATTATTGATCTCTCAGAAATTTATCTGCTAAACAGACAGCTTTTTCAACTCCAAGGAAATGCCCAATAAAGCAAACATTTTACCTGGTAAAAAGAATTTTAAAACTCATGATAGTTAACTTCTCTCCATATTTATGAGACACTTTTTATAGCAAACTTGTTATTTATCTTCTGTAAGTTTGAACTCAGGTTCAGATGTAGTTCAGGCAAATCAAATTATGTAAACAAGTTACAAAATAATTTAATTTCCTCATGTCATCTTCATGATGTAAACTTATCAAAATGAGAGTAGCCCAAGGTTGAAGAGGGTAAACTAATCAAGTTGAGTTAGAAAGACTTCTAGATATATTCAAAATAAACTGGAATATTGAAGCAATCTATCATAATAAAATAGTTGCATATTAAAACCAATCCCATCTGCATTTATTTATATTTATGTTGTCACAAGAAAGAATTAAATTTCAATGATCAAATAAAGCAAGATGGTACAAAGTAAGTGTAAAAGCAAAAGAAAAAGAATCAAAGATAACGATGTAAAATAAAGGCAGGACTAAGGATAACAGAACACTAGATTACACAGTGCCCTTTCCACTAATAAAATTAGGCCACACATTTGTTCTTAGCTGTCTAGCAGCCAATTAGAAAAGGGAAACCTAATCAGTTACAGAATTCAGTGTTCCTAAAATAGGATTAAGTTTCTTAGAATAAAATACAACATATTGTGGTACAAAGTTCAGAAAAGTAATGTTCTCTTTATTGTCTACATGAAGTAGACACCGTCTAATACAATGAATAATAGCGTCACCTATGTAGTACAAAGAATGGGGAATTTTGCAGAGCTCAGTACTGGCTAACAGGTCAGACAATCAACTGGACTTTCTTTGGTGAACTGACTGGTTATTTTGGCTTGAGATATGCAGAACAGGATTGTGTGTGGTGGGGAAACAACACTGGAGGTAGAATAAGGCAAATATAGACTCCAGTTCTGGCTCAGCCGCTAACTAAATCTGGTACCTTGGAAAGGTGCTCATCATTTTCTGGGTTCCTGTTTCCTCATCTGTAAAATAATGGGGCTGTTTTCTAAGGTTCTTTCCAGCTCATAATTTCTATGTTTCTAAGAAAGAAACCACGTGGTTTACTGCAAATTTGAGAGTCAATAGTAAGAATAAAACACCTTTCACTCTCACTGTCTGCAAAGTCATTTTGAAACAAAATGAGAAAAAGTGTTCTCTCTAGAAGAAAACAGAAAATGTCCCCATATCTGTCTGGGTAAAACATTACTATTTCAGGCTTTTCTATACCTGTAACTTATAAACAGGTGCACCAACATCATCAACAATGATGAATGAGTCTTACTGGCATCAATACACAAGCCCCAGTGACTTTTTAGTTACAAGTAGGTGTTTCCACCTCTGAGAGACAGATTGAATTTTGGCTCACCAAGGTTTGGGAAATAACTTGAAATGAATCCTCCATGGAAAAAAAAAAATCAACTAATATTTCATGAGCAGAAGCTATGTAAAATACATTATTTTGGACATTGTGGAAAATATCAATAAACACATATGAAGCAATACGGGAGCTTCAGTATTTTTTTTTTTTTTTACTTGTCACTGGCAGAATGTTTTTAAAAGTTATTCACTAGGCTGGGCGCCGTGGCTCATGCCTGTAATCCCAGCACTTTGGGAGGCCGAGGCGGGTGGATCATGAGGTCAGGAGATCGAGACCATCCTGGCTAACATGGTGAAACCCCGTCTCTACTAAAAATACAAAAAATTAGCCAGGCGTGGTGGCGGGCACCTGTAGTCCCAGCTACTCTGGAGGCTGAGGCAGGAGAATGGCGTGAACCCGGGAGGCGGAGCTTGCAGTGAGCCGAGATTGCGCCACTGCACTCCAGCCTGGGTGACAGAGCGAGACTCCGTCTCAAAAAAAAAAAAAAAAATTATTCATTAGATTCTTCATTTAACATAGTGTCATGCTTTATAATCTTTAGTAAGTGGTGAGTACATTTCAAAAATTACAATTAATGCTAAACAAATACAGTAATTTCATTTGTACCTTTTATCAGCAACGATTAAACCAGTAAAAGGAAACTTGTGATTTGCGTAGTATTAGTCTGAGTCCTTTGGATTTCTAATCCCAAAGACTGGATTGTAGTACACTGCAACTGCTTGAGAAAGCAGTGTTGCTTTGTCAGGCTGAATATTTGAAATGGGAACAGCATTTTACCTAATCTATATCGTTCTCACCTCAGATACGGGAAGAAGGGAAAACGTGGAGTCTTTCATAGCTATTATTCCTATAATTGATGTAGTGCATGGCTAAAGATTCCAGAAAGAAACAAGCTAGGCTACAGGCACCCAATAGGAGACACTCATGTCCTACAGATGGCGGAAGAACACACATTCCAAACACACAGCATACTTCTGTTAGTCCTGATCTCTCTTAAACTTCACCTACAACTAAAAGTACTTGCCTGTTAGTTCTTAGAACTTGAAGAGAAGCAGGAAGCATTAGACTACATGTGAGATTAAAAATCTTCCCATTAATTCTATATGGTACGTTTATTTTAGTATGGTGCTGGTCAATGTTCAGCTTTTGGATTGGATTTGAATCCCCTCTTTCCTGTATCCTAGACTTCTCTTACCTAAGCCTGATGTACACCTTCATTTTCTTAGACATGAGTCTTCCTCAACTTTGGCCTTCTGATTGGTTTTCCTTGTGTTTTCTAAATTTCTTCATGTAGACAATGCTTTTCCTAATTCTACATCTGTAGAACACCTATAAGAGTAAGAGACTGGAATCTCTTCAGGAAACAGAACAATTGTCCATTTTAACACACATCTAGTCACAGTCGGTCCCCCAAAAAGAAATCTAGAAAAGCTCAAAGTTGTCCAGTAGATTGGATGAGTGAAATAAAGGTGTGATCTGGATCAGAAGTGCAAAAATGAATGGAAGAAAATATAGACTGAAAGTCTGCTTCTACCAGAAAAAAAAAAGTTTCTGCTCTTAGGAGACCTTCACATACCTTTGAGGAAAATATGGTTTATGTGGTTACCATCGTGGATTCTTGGGGTCTATTCTTGCTCTACTACTTATTTATCAGTAAAACTTTAGGTAGAGTTATCTAACTGCGCTGAGCCTCATTTTTCTCATTTATGACATGTCAAATATAGTAGTACCTTTTTCATAAGATTGATGGAATACGCAAATAAGATTATATATTTAAAACACAAGGGCTGGCTAACTAAGTGTCACCTATTATACCTCATCTAATATACACATATTCTAAGAAAGTTAGACTTGTCTTTTCTCTTCAATTTTTATACTCTTTGGCATAACATCTCTTAGTTAAATCAGGTTAATTTAACTCCACTTTATAAGCACTAGCATCTTATTCACCTAATATTGGTAAGGTGGGCTTTCATGTTCTTCTGCACTAAAGCCTGCAGCAACTAATTTGTAATGATGGGTAGTGTTAACTCTTCATTTTTTATAGGGATTTGGGCTTGTAGGAAGAAAAAGGAAGAAAGGAAAAGGGAGACAAAAAAAGGGACTTCATATGAATTTCCCTTTAGGGTAGAATTACATACATTTACCCATGCTCAAAATTTAGTATCTTGTTTCAAGGGAGCAGTTAAGCACTTAATCAAGAAACAATATCTCACTTCTAAAATATACTCAGGAGAGGACTCTATGAGACAAATTTAAGTCCAAACCTGAACTCTACCAGTTACGAGAATTTAGGAAATCACTTAGCTTTCCCAAGTCTTTGTTTCCTCTTTGTTAAATGAAGGTAATTATTCTCATGAGGTTGTCTGAGGATTAGAAGTAAAACATCTGGTACACACTAGGCATTTGATAAATGCTAGGTCAACTTTCCACATTGATCGACTTATAAAAATAAACCATAAAAACATCAAACAAGCAAACTAAGATCCACCACCTGATAGAAATGTACTTTAAACATAACTTCTTTCTGTTTTGGTTATTGTCTATTATGTACAAATCAGTTAAACATGCAGTTTTAAACTCTTTAAACTCTTTGGGTTTCTTTAAACTCTTTAGGGATGTGCTTAATCGTCTAGTAATTTCTGCTATCTTTGTTTACTTGATCTATGAAGGTACTGGGAAAGATTTGCTAATATCTCCGCCATGATTACAGAATGTCTATTTCTTTTAGTAATCCTGTCAACTTTTGCTTCATATATTTGGTCACTTCATTTAGAATAATTACATTTTCTTTGTAAAATGATGTCTATTGCTGGGCGTGGTGGCTCACGTCCCAGCACTTTGGGAGACTGAGGTGGGCGGATCACCTGAGGTCAGGAGTTTGAGGCTAGCCTGGCCAACATGGTGAAACCTCATATCTACTAAAAATACAAAATATAGCCGGGTGTGGTAGTGGGCGTCTGTAATCTCAGCTACTCAGGAGGCTGAGGCAGAAGAATCGCTTGAACCCGGGAGGTGGAGGCTGCAGTGAGCCAAAATCCTGCCATTGCACTCCAACCTGGGTGACAGAGCAAGAATTGGTCTAAAGAAATAATAATAATAAAAATAAGTCTATTATTGTGTAGAGATACACTTTATCACTAATAATTATTGTGTTCTTAAAAAATACCTTAAATTGTATTTTTTTCCTGATATCATAACAGCATTTTCTTTCCTCTAGCTTAATATATACATGTTATTTAGTTTGCTATCTTACTTTCAATCTTTCTATGCCTTTAGGCTTTATGTATCTCCAGTAAATATCATGTAAAAATTGGTATGACACTACCTATTACTGAGCTTATTCCATTTACTTGAACTGTAATTACTAGTATGTTTACATTTATTTCTATTATCCTCTCCTATACAATTCATATCCCAGTTTATTTTTCTTCTCCTTTGTTTTCTGTTGGATCAATTGAGCCTTTTGTTCCCTGTACTAGTTTGGAAGTCATATACTCATTATTTAAGTGGTTACCCTACTGTTTTTTATAATATTTTTATTGAGATTTAATTCACATACCATAAAAATTAACCACTTGAAGTTTACAACTCAATGACTTTTATTATAGTCACAGAGTTATTCAACCATCACAACAATCTAATTTTAGCCCATTTTCATCACCCTAGCAAGAAACCCTATATCCATTAGCAGTCACAACCACAGTCCTAGGTAACCACTAATCTATGCTCTATCTCTTTAGGTTTGCCTACTCTTGACATTTCATATAAATAGAATCACACAATATGCAGTCTTGTGTAACTTTTCTCTTACTATAGTGGTTTCAGTCAACATAATGGACAAAGTTCATTCAAATTATAGTATATATCAATACTTCATTCCTTATGTCCAAATAACATTCTATTGCACAGATATGCATGTGCTATCCACAGGGGCTCCTGAAACCAATCTTCCCACAAATATCAAGGGAGGATTGTATTAGCATTTTAACAATGTTAAGTTTTCTTACCTGTAAACATAGGATGTCTTTCCATTTATTTATGTCTTCTTTAATTTCTTTTGACAATGTTTTATGGTAGTTTTCAGTTGACAAGTATTGCATTTCTTTTGTGAAATTTAATTATAGTTATTTTATTCTTTTGTGTGCTATTGTAAATGGAATTGCTTTCTTAATTTCATTTCCTGATTGTTAATGTAGAGTTGTCCCTTGTTATCTATGAGGAATTGTTTCTAAGACCTCATGTAAATACCGAAATCAGTGGACACTCAAATCCTAATATAAAATGGGATAGTATTTTCATATAACCTATGCACATCTTTTCTATATCTTAAGTCATCTCTAGATTACTTATGATACCTAATACAATGTAAATATTATATAAATTGTTGTTATACTATTTAGGGACCAAGAAAAATTCTGTACATGTTCAGTACAATTTTTTTTCAAATATTTTCAGTCTGCAGTTGGTTAAATCCATGGATGTGGGACAGGGGCTGAACACATTTATATGAGAAATACCACTGATTTTTGCATATTGATGTATCCTAAAACCTTGTTGAACTTGTTTGTTAGTTGTTAGAGTTTGTTTTATTCCTTAGGATTATTTATATACAAGGTCATGTCATCTTCGATTAGAGATAGTTTAATTTTTTCCTTTCCTATCTAGATTCCTTTTATTACTTTTTCTTGCCTAATTTCCTTGGATAGAACACCTAGTACTGTCATGGATAGAAGTGGAAAGAATAGGCATCCTTGTCTCGTTCCTGATCTTAGGTGAAAAGCTCTCTATTTTTCACCATCAAATATGATGACAGCTATGGACTTTTTCATAGATTTTATGATTAAGAAAGGTCCTTTCTCTTAGTTTGTTGCACACTTGTACATGAAAGGATATTTTGTTTGTCAAATGCTTCTTATTGATCAATTGACATGTGATTTTTGTAATATATTCTATTACATTGATTTATTTTGGGGTGTTAAACGAACCATGGACTCCTGAATAAATCTCACTTGGTCTTGATGTGTAATCCTTTTGTGTATGTGTTGCTACATTCATTTTGATAGTGTTTTGTTAATGATTTTGCACCTATATTTTAGGAGATATTGATTTGTCACTTTCACTTTCTTTTCTCATGATGCCTTTTCAGGTTTTGTATTAGGGTAATATTGGCCTCATAGACAAAATTGGAAAACATCTTCTGTTTCTTGGAGAGTTTGTTGGGGATTGGCATTAATTCACTTTTAAACGTTTGGTAAAATTCACCAGTGAAGTCATTTTTGCCTGTACTTTTCTTTGTGGACAGGTTTTCAATTACTAATTCAATCTATTTCTTATTATAGGTAGATTCAGATTTTCAGTTTCTTGAGTTAGATTCAGTAGTTTGTGTCCTTCTAGGAACTTGTCCATTTCATCTATGTTAACTCATTTGTTAGCATTCAATTGCTCAGAGTATTCCCTTATAATTATTTTTAAAAATTGCTTTAAGGTGGTAGTGACATCCTATCTTTTCTTCTTGATTTTGGTAATTTGGTTTCTAGAGCTAAGTTAGCTCTTATAAGAAATGGGAAACACTGTAGTTGATTCATCATTGAGGAGTCTGACATCAGGTCAAAATCTTATGTGTCATCTCTCAGAGCTGACTATAGACAATTACAAAGATGTTGAAAGTAAACGTGGTAAAATTACAAAGATGTTGAAAGTAATCATGCCAAAACATGGCATGGTCCACATGGCAAAAAATGGCGGGGGTGGGGGGCGCCTTTTGAGAAACCTTTCTTATTACATTCCATCAGCTGTTTTTCATTTATTAAGATTTTGTTGAACAGATAGTACAGAGAGCTCCTATATATTCCATCACTTCTTACCTCCCCAGTTTCTCCTATTATTAACATCTTGCATTAGTGTAGCACATTTGTTACAACTGATGTTACAATCAGTGGAACAATATTGATACATTATTAACTATGGCTAAAATCCAAAGACTCAGTAATACCAATACTGGTGAGGATTTGAAGTCCATAGTTTGCTTTAGGGTTCATTCTTTGTGCTGTACAGTTGTATGTGTTTTGACTAATGTGAAATGCCACGTATCTACCATTATAATATCACATAGAATAGTTCCAATGCCCTAAGAAATCTCCTGTGCTATAACTGTCATCCCTCCCCCTGAATTTCTGAAAAACACTAATCTTTTCTCTGTCTCTATATATAGTTTTGCATTTCTTACAATGTCATGTAGTTGGGAAGATACAGTATATAGCCTTTTTATACTGGCTTTTTTCACTTAACGATATGCATTTAAGTTTCCTTCATGTCTTTCATAGCTTAATAGCTCATTTCTTTTTATCTCTAGATAATACTTATCTTAGTTCATCTTGTGCTCTTGTAACAAAATACCACAGACTGGGTAATTTATAGAGAACTGAAACTTATTTCCTCACAATTTCAGAGACTGGAAAGTCCTAGATTAAGGGGCTGACATCTGGTGGCCTTGTTGCCAAGTCATCCCATGGCAGAAAGCAGAGGGCAGAGAGAGGGCAAGAGAGAGACGCAAGGGGGTTGAACTCATCCTTTTACAAGGAATCCATGCATGCCGGCAGAGCTCTCATGGCCGTATCACCTCTTACAAGTCCCATCTCTTAATATTGTTACAATGGCAATTAAATTTCAACATGAGTTTGGGAGGGGACAAACATTCAAGTTATAACAATATTTCGTTGTATAGATAGGCCACATTTATCTGCTCACCTATTGAATGACATGTTGGCTGCTTCCAGTTTTTGGCAATTGTAAATGAAGCTGCTATGAACATTCACATGCAGATTTTTGTGTAGACATAACTTCAACTCATTCATTGGTTTATTTATTTATTTTTTTGAGACAGGGTCTTGCTCTGTCACCCAGGCTGGAGTGCAGCAGCGTGATCACCGTTCACTGCAGCCTCGACCTCCCTGGCCTTAACAATCCTCCCACTTCAGCCTCCTGAGTAGCTAGGACTGCAGACACATGACAGCAAGCCTGTCTAACTTTTTTTATTTTTTTTGTAGAGACTGAATCTTGCCATATTGCCTATGCTGGGCTCAAACTCTTGGACTCCAGCAGTCCTCCTGCCTAGGCTTCCCAAAGTGCTGGGATTACAGGCATGAACCACTGTGCCCAGGCTTCAACTCATTTGAGTAGATACACAGGAGTGTGGTTGCTGGATCAAATGGTGGGACTGTTTACCTTGATTAAAAAAAACTGCCTGTCTATGCCATTTTGCATTCCTACCAGTAATAGGAATTACAGTCCCTGTTTACTATATATCCTCACCAGCATTACCTGGTGTTATCAGATTTTTGGATTTTAGCCATTCTAATACATATATAGCCATATCTTGTTTTTATTTGAAATTTCATGAAATAATTTTGAACAACTTTTCATATATTTATTTGAGATATACCTTTTTATCTTCTTTTGTGAGGTGGTTGTTTAGGTCTTTTCCCCATTTTTAAATTGAGTTGTTTATTTTCTTATTGAGTTTTAGGAGTTTATATATTTTTGTGTATCTTGCCTATAAGTTGATCTATAGTCTTCTCATCCTCTTAATGTTAACCACTGAAATTTCCAGTGTTTTTGAGAACACATTTAAGAGTAAAGCTTCCCATGTTCTGTTCCAAATAAAGTCAGTTCCCCTAGAGAGAGCTATGGAGTTCCCTCTTCCTACATGCTGCTGTTTGCCTTCGGGAGGAAACTCTGCACCACTTCTCCTGAGCTGGGGGTGGGGACAGTGGCTAGCTTCTCTTATAATGATACCCCCGGCCAGGCGCAGGTGACTTATGCCTGTAATCCCAGCACTTTGGGAGGCCGAGGCGGGTGGATCACGAGGTCAGGAGTTCGAGACCAGCCTGACTAACATGGTGAAACCCCATCTCTACTAAAAATACAAAAATTAGCTGGGCATGTTGGTGGGTGCCTGTAATCCCAGCTACTCAGGAGGCTGAGGCAGGAGAATCGCTTAAGCCCAGGAGGCAAAGGTTGCAGTGAGCCGAAATCATTCCACTGCACTCCAGCCTGGGCGACAGAGTGAGACTCCATCTCAAAACAAACAAACAAACAATCAAAAACACCAAAACAATACCCCTCTGACAGTTCACAGGCCTGGGACTTGAGTCTCTGGTCTTCTCTGCTAGCTTCTTCTGACATGAAATCTCTGCTCTCACTAATGAGCTGGAGCAGGAATGATTAGGGTTTGGTATTCTCAGTCTTCCATGGCTGGGCCAGCACTTCCACCTTGTGAGTGGGAAATGGGTACAGGGAGCCCAAGATCTATCGGCCATGCTGGCCTAAATAGAGATTCTACAGCTGAGAGCCTGGGAGTTGGGGCAGTGAGAAATGCAAGTGGCTTGTCAGGGAGAGACCACTCTCCTGGACAAGAACATGGGGAAAAAAAGAGCCCAGTTTTCTAGGTTACAGCTACCCAGAGAGAGCTTCCAGCTTCCAACACGTGGAGCTGGAAATGAGGTTGTAGCTCAAAACTATAGACGCTCACTCTTCTGAGATTTAGGTTTTCTTGAATAAATGTTTCTCCACTTGGTCTGTGCCCTTAGGACAATATACAGATACTGTAAATGGTTGATTTTTATAATTTTCACTAGTTATGATTGATTCTATGGGGAGTGAGTTCACGGAGTCCCTCATACCACTGTTCCTGAAGTGCTTCTATTATTTTTATATAAATAATTATTAACCAGGAAATGGGTGCATTTTTTAATGATTGAGGTTGAATACTAATTGATGAAGTGAAGAGAAAAAAATTTACAATTACACACTAGTCAGGTTGCATCTCAACTCAGTTTTTGTCTCCTAAAGGAACATGAGCTTACTTGCTTGTTGAATTATGCTTCCTGGTCAAATTCTAGGCACTTACTCAAATCACTTTTACTGCTAGCACCTGAATATGCCACTTTGGGTTTAACCATATGAAATAATTCACATAGTAAAAGCTGAAGTTTGTACTTTTATATTTTTCCATTCCCAAGCTATGTCTTATCTAAATATCTCTAACAATATATACTGATGAAATACTGTCTTTGCCATATAATTAAATCTGTATTAGGTTTTAACTGACACACACACACACAAAGAAATGAAATAGTGACTAATTGCCTTGTTTCACTTCCTTCTTGTATGTTTCAATTTTAGGATAGAAGAGGCCCTGGTTAGCAGCTTCAGATGATGGATACATAAAAATGGGAGAGAGAAAACATATAAGAGTGACTAATTGTTGAGGTAAATTTCTATAGGAGGTAATTCAGGATGGAATCATGGCACCAGTAAAAACAATACTCCGATAAAAGAACTTAGAAAAGATTTCTGTATTGGGATGGCCCATTCTGAATGTTTGTGAAATAATAAATCAGTAAATTTAATAATCTGTAGGAAGTGAGATGGGAGGGGAGGAGGAAATAGGGAGTTGATAATCAATAAGCATAAAGTTTCAATTAATACAAGATGAGTAAGTTCAAAAGATCTACTGTACAATGTTACTAATAGTTAGCAATACTGTATTGTACAGTTAAAAATTTGTCAAGCAGGTAAACCTCATGTTAAGTGCTGTTACCAGAATAAAATTTTAAAAAATAAATGAGATAACAAATTGGAATTTGTGGCTTCAGAAAAACAATGTTTGCAGTTGGATGGTGAAAATATTGCAGAGTTCATTCCAGATGAACAGAAGGATTACAGGACAGCAGTGTAGATAGTTTAAATAGTATGAATGTATAAATTTGCATAACATTTATGTGAGTTTTTCTAGTATGCTTGGCAACCCAGAAGTAGGAACAGACAAAGCAGATAAGTGTTGGAGACTTTCCTGAGTATGGGCTAGGCCTCCAAGCAAACACAACCCTGAATTGGCTGACTCTGGATAATAAAGCAAGGAAGACCAAAAAAAAACTAATGGGGTGTAAGACCAGGAGTGGGGTTTGGAGTGTTTTGATTAGAAGTGAGAGAGCAACTATGGGCTGGGCATGGTGGCTCACACCTGTAATCCCAGCACTTTGGGAGGCTGAGACTGGCAAATCACCTGAGGTCAGGAGTTCAAGACCAGCCTGGCCAACATGGTGAAACCCTGTCTCTACTAAAAATACAAAAAATTAGCCAGACGTGGTAGCACACTCCTGTGATCCTAGCTACTTGGGAGTCTGAGGCAGGAGAATTGCTGGAACCTGGGAGGTGGAGGTTGCAGTGAGCTGAGACCGTGCCATGGCACTCCAGCCTGGGTGACAGAGCGAGACTACATCTCCAAAAAAAAAAAAAAATGTGCCAAATATTTAGGTTGTGACCAAGAAGAGTTAGAAAACTTGGAGGAATTGAATGAATAAAGGTAAAGGGAGTGTTTTTTTTCTGAGCATGGCTTGAGGTTAAGTAAAGCTGATAACTGGAGCTGGTGGCTTTGTATTAATATATAAACTTTGTACACCTTCTCAGATTCCCTCAATGTCCTATTTCTGAAGAATCTACCCTCCTTGCAGACCATCAGTGACTTTACCAGTACCCTTGCATAGTTTTCAGAGCTGGCTTGGGTCAGATTTAAATACTGGGCCCAGGTGGTCTAATTTCTCACATGCCATGCTCATCCTTGCCAAGTCACCTCACCTGCACCCTGGAGGGTAAGATGGTATGATAGCAGGAAAGGGAATTCTCTGAGGCAAACTTCGACCACCAGGAAGTAGGAGTCAGAAGGTTCCAGGCAGACACATCTCCCTTTGTCTCTTTGGTTGGCTACTTTGAACTACGGCCTTTCCTTGCAATCCTTGCAAAGAAATTCCTGCCTACCAGAACATGCCTACTCAGGGCACTTACTGCTTCTTTTTGCAATTTGTTGAGAAGGCCAGCTAGTGCAATAGCCCATTGTGTTGCATTGCTTTGCATCTTTCCTTGTCTTACTATCAATTTTCTACCATCCCTGCCCCAAGCTTGCACTTCCTCAGTAAAGGGTAACTATTATAATCTTTGCTTCAGGCTCTGGTTTCTAAAGAGGGTAGGTTAAGGCAAAGTTTTGATGGGGAAGTATTTTCTTAAATGTGGATAGGGTCAAATATAAGAATTCTATTAATAGAATTTAAGTTTATTTAGATAGAAGTAACAGATTTGGAAGGATAAGATGGCTAATAGATCACCATCGAACATCAGCAATTCTCAATGTGACATGGAAATACTGTACTGACTATTTAGAAGAAAGGCTGAAAAAGCAGTAATCTCAGAGATACTAAGTTGAAGTGGTCTTACATAAGAAAGTGCTATCATAGTTTGAATATATTTACAATTATAGTATCATGAGAGAAGAAAAAATATCCAAAAGAACATACATATGCAGTCACACATACAAGGCCTTTAAAAAGGTTAGCTGAAAAATGTTTGTTATGCTTTTCACTGAAAAATGTTAAATCAATGTTCATTTTTCATTTACAAAATATTTCCTTGGGCCTTTTATGGGCTGGCACCCTATGTGCTCAGGATAAAGATAGGTAAATGTAAATAAAACGTCTCCTGAACCCTGTTTAACAGAGTTTATATTCTAACGGGGGGGAAGCAAGAAATAAAAAATAGATATAATAAGTAAATTATATACAATAAGGATAGTAAGTACTGTGGAGAAAATAGAGGAAGGGAAGGGATAAAGACTTTGGAGGAGGTGCTGGAAGGATGACAGTTTGCAGTCGTAAATAAGATGACCAGGCTATGCCTCACTGAGAAAAGACTTCGAAAAAGCTGAGAGGGTGAGTTACGTGGATATGAAAATGATGCAAATTCCAGGCCGAAGACAGCTCAGGCAAAGGCTTGAAGCACGTGTGGCGTTTCTGAGAACAGCAAGGAGGCTCAAGAGGCTGGATGAGAGCAAGTGATGGGGAGCGTGGTGAAGAGCAGGTCAGGGAGGTACTAGGGGAGAGCCAGACCATGTAGGGCTTCTGGGCTATTACAGGCATTTTGGCTATAACTTTAAGGGAAATCAGGAGCTACTATAAGGTTTGAAGTAGAGAAGGGACATACTCTGACTTCCATGTTATCAGGATTACTCTGGATGTATGTTGTAAAGATGGTAGTAACCTAAACTATGGCACTGGTTCAAGCCAGAATGTTAGCAGCAGAGTGGCTGATGAAAGACTGAATTCTGAGTATGTTGAAAATAAATCCAATAGGAGGCTTAATATCTGATGGACTGAAAATAGAGTATGAGAGAAAGTAAGGAGTAAAGACGTGACTCTAAAATTTCTCACTTAACCTGAAAGGTGATTAACATGAACTGGGATGGATAGGACTCTGGTTGGAGCAGACTTAGAGGAAAGATGAGAATTTGGTTTTGAGCATTTTAGATTCGGTACACTTTTAGACATCTAAGTGAAGATAGAAAGAGGGAGTTGGATATATGAATAGAAGCAGGTGTCCGCAGATATTTTCATAAAGGACCAGATAGTAAATATTTTAGGCTTTGTGGACCAGATGTTCTCTGTCACAACTACTCTGCCTTTGTGTAGCCCCAGACACTACGTGGGAGAATGACACGGCTGTGTTCCAGTAAAGCTTTATTTTAGAAAACAGGCTGTGGCTGAATTTGGCCTGAGGGCTGCAGTTTGCTAACTCCTGATCTAGAGTTTGGGGGAGAAATCTGCGTTGGAGAAGTACATTTGGAAGTTATCAGTATGAAATATTTGTAAGGCCATGTTAATTTGCTGTAATAACTTATGCATTTAATATTTGTGCTTTTCCCCTTGTGAATAGTAATTGCATTTTCTTAACTATATATCAGTTTTCCTTAAAAAGAAGCCTACAACAAACTATTAAAAAGCCAATTTCATGTTTTAAAAACATCTGAATGAGGACAATTTTTTTAAAAAAGAACACAACTGATCACTAAATATACATGTGGAAAACATGTAATATTTGGTCAGCTTGCAATATGCACATATAATTGGATATTTAAGGAAGGCTGTGCTTTTCAGCTTAGCCAATCTATAGACACAATTTAGCATACACATATACATATGTGTATATATTTATACTTGACCCTTGAACAACAGACATTTGAGCTACTCGGGCCCACTTATGTGCAGATTTTTAAAATAAAAGTGACACTGAGTGCACCTACCTCCCCTTCTGTATGATTCTTAATAACACTTTCTTCTCTCTAGCTTATTTTAAGAGTATAGTATATCACACATGTAACATACAAAATATGTGCTAATCGACTGTTTATGTGTGTATGTTATTGTCAGGGCTTTCAGTCAAGGGTAGGCTATTAGTAGTTAAGTTTCTGGGGAGTCAAAAGTTAGACACAGAGGGGGGTTGATTTCCCCAACTCCTGCATTGTGCAAAATGTCAACTGTACATATAAAATAAGGATGAAAATATGTTGTCAAATCATATTTTAAATAAATGAGAAATGGCATATATGCCACAAAAAGAGATTTGAACAAAAAAGGAAATTGTCACCCGTGAAATAACTCAAGGCAACCCTGATTTCCTAGCCAGAGATGCTGTGGAAATTAACAGTTTTAAGGCAAAGTGATATAATAGTAATGATAAAGAAAGATTCAGTTATCAAAAAGATGAATCAACAGGATGTTTAACAAGCATACACTCTAGATGGGTTCTTTCCTAATTACAAATTAGTTTAGCAAAGACAGAAGTACTACTAAAAATGCTTGCAGGCAGAAGAAAATTGTCAAATCTGAATACATGATATTCAAACCATATAGAAACACAGTATTAGGAAAACAGAGAAGGACAAAATAAAGGAGCTCATGAGCGGGCACTAGGAAAGGGACTGTTTCTATGCAATTCTTTTAGAAGAGAATAGGAGGCTATAGTCTTTAAAGCAGTGTTTGTTAACCTTTTTAAGTTTTACTACTGCTTCCTTACAGCATCTTTTTAGGCTATTTCTCCCTTATCCAAAGCTCCTATGAAATTTTATTACCCTAGATACATCACATATTTGTATATGTACAGATATGTAGTACATAAATTTTCTGGAGGGCCACAGCCAATTTAATAGCTAAGATTTTGCCTGCTGAGAACCGATGCTCCCCCCACCCCTAAAGACTGACCCATTGTTAGGGGCGATATTGCACCCTGGAGAATGCTTTAAATGGTGGACTACTTCATATCAGATCTACAGTCTTCAAAGTTTTTCTGAAATATCTTTGTCAATGGGGTGGGTGGTGGGAAGGTGATGGAGAAGTGGGTTCAAGGAGTACAGCTAAGGAAACAAAAGCTCGCTCTTATACTTGCTTTTTCTTATCAGTTGAACCTAATTTGACAGCGAAGCATAGAAACATATAAAGGAAAAAAAACAGTTTTAGCCCAGGTATCTCAATTTTAGGGAAATATGGGTAAAAATACTGGGGAAAAATAGGTACTAAAGATAAAGTGAAAATTTCAGAAGAAATATCCTTATAATTGATAGAATTATTGCCTCATATAAAGATCAAACTAAATATTACTTTCACTTTCTAAAGTTTAATCATCTACCAAAATCCTTTTGTAGCCAAGATCAGTGTGAGTTATAAAAGTATGCTCAATCTGTTTTGATGAGATAATCTGATTGTTCTAATATCTCAGTTTCCAGGGCTCAAACCAATCTTGAATTGGAATTTCAAGACATAAAAACCACTGCAGGAACCTGCTGGAGAAACGGCCTCTGGTATCTCTATCTGAAATATGATTATCTTAAGTTCGCAAAGCATTGTGTCTGCAGTGTGAGTTTGAAAACAACAATGTTAAGGCAACTTCGCAGCTTCTTAATCAAGCCCTTCTCCATCTCTCCGTGTGGTTTTTGGGGTGGTGGAGGTGGAGCCAAAAAAGAGAGGGCAGTTTCCCAGGGCTGAAGATGCTACCATGACTCATAGGATCTATGCAAACCCTGTGAGTGAATTCTGAGGAAGAAGAATGAGTAATATTTTGATTTTATTACTGATGGTAATAAGATAGTATCATCAGTGTGGTATATTCTGATTACTGAATTCTATTCCCTATTTTCTTCCTGTGGCCAAATAAAATTTGTGTGTGTAAGCTATGATATTTAGTGTTGTTATCTGATGAGACAGGTTTAGTGGAAAAGTTCATTTTAAATAAACATTAAAATTGTTTCAGCCTCAGATTTTTAATCCAAATCATTCCTTTGACACCAGAAGAATTTTCCTCAGAGTCAACTCCAAAGATAAAGCTGCCTGTTTTCCTATTTGCCCAGAAGTAAAGAGGTTGCAAAATGATAAGAATACGCAAGTAGAACATAAGGATGTTGGAAGGAGAAACTCAGGAGGATGGTAATGAACAGGGAGATTTTTCTACAGACCTGGTTTTCCTATCACCCATCAGCTACACTTCTGGCCTGTGACTTCTTTGGGACTCTTGTGTAACCCTTTTGCACATCTGAACAATATTCACTTTTTAAAGTGAAGAGTTGACAACAATTGTGAATTGTAGCTTTGAACTAAGCTCCATTATTCCAAGGTCATTGCTTAGCTAATTTTAAACCAATTTAAAATTTCTCAGGAAAAGCACATATTTAATGCTACATTTTTCCATAATCACGTTTCAATCAGTTCATTCACCCAAGAACCCATTCAATTATCCACCCAAGTCCTATTCATCCTTCAGTTTTTCCAAAGAACCTATTCCTATTTCCTACGAGATAAAATCCAAGCCACTCCTTGGCTTGACAGAGGATATGCTTCCCAACCTGAACTCAATCTAACTTTAATAGAAAATCTCTGTTGGAGCCTAAGCTTTGCCCAATGCCATCATGTTTGGGTGTGATTTGTACCCTGGTAGAAGAGCCTGTTGGGAATCATTTTACTTGTTTCATGTAGGAGCCACAGAAAGACATCCTTCTAAGAGAAGGGTGTGTCAGACAGGGAAATTGGCTCAATAACAGTATCTCAATTGTGAGTGCATCCTGCTATCTGTTAGTCAGCCTTGTTTACTGCCTGGATTCATTTCTGAAAATTAAGAGAGGGGCTAAAGTACAAATGGAAGGAACTATGTTCACTAATAACTCTGAAGCACTGGGGCACAAGGAAGCACTGTATTGGTTCCATTAGGCCAAAGAACAAAGCTCCTCTTTGAATCTCCTCAATTTAACTTATGTAAAGTATTGAATAAGTGTTGCAATAAATAAATGAGTGATGAAATCAATCAGTGAAACATTTCCAGGAAATACGCTCGTAAGATCTGTCATGTAAATGTGTCCTCAAATGCTAGTAGCTTTTATTTTCTTCTCATACACTTTAGTAGTATTTTGACATTTCATAAACAATCAATACACACTAAGAAATCTCCACCCATGTTTTAAGCACCCAGTGGCTTTTCTTCTAAGACACTAATACTTGGATTAGTTCCTTTTACAGTATTTTAATACTTCCCCATAACATTAGTATGAAACATCCATTCAGCAGAAATGGCTTAAAGAGTTACTCATCTTTCTTTGGGAATTTCCATTTTTTCTTGTTTTAGATGAAAAGTGCCACAAATTTAACTTTCTCACAGTCCTTCACTGTATTTACTCAAAGTATTGTCTAGCATATGAAAGCCAAAACACTTCTAAGCCAATAAATAGCAAAAAACTCAACTGAAATTAGAAAATTCATGATAAAACAAAAAATTAAATGTCAAATAAAAGTTGCTACTCAATATAACTTCAGTGTTTATATTGAACATTGTGAAGAATGTGAAAGTGAAAGTGAAAACACACTTCTTTTTTGTTGGGGCAAGGAGGGGTCTTCTTAGCTTTAGTTACAGGACTGGGGCCTGCAGTTAGCTGCCAGTATTTAATCTAATTTTATGCTTATATTCATTTTGTCTGTCTTCCAAAATTCCAGTGTATTCTGAAAACATTTCCTTTTTTTTTTTTTTTTTTTTTTTTTTTGAGACAGAGTCTCACTCTGTCACCCAGGCTGGAATGCAGTGGCGCGATCTCAGCTCACTGCAACCTTCACCTCCTGGATTCAAGCAATTCTCCTGCCCCAGCCTCCCTAGTATCTGGGATTACAGGTGCCCACCATGAAGCCAGGCTAATTTTTGTATTTTCACTAGAGGTGGGGGTTTTACCATGTTGGCCAGGCTGGCCTCAAACTCCTGACCTCAGGTGATCTGCCTGCTTCGGCCTCCCAAAGTGCTAGGATCACAGGCATGAGCCACTGTACCCAGCCTATTCTGAGTACAGTTCTAAACAAATCTAATAAATACATTCATATTCTTATTAAGTATTTATTAAACATACACAATAGTTCAACATATGCCTAGATGATAAACATATGGCAAACATGGTTCTAAAAGAAAGAAAGAAAGAAAGAAAGAAAGAAAGAAAGAAATCACTAACACATTCATTTTCCAGATAGAATATACCTTTAATTATAATTTGCAAGAACCTAAGAATATAATGTCAATATTGTAACCCATCAGGCAGTAAAAAAATTGATACTAAGGTTTCTAAAATGCCATATGGTTAATTTTATGAAATATGTTTGCATCAGAAATTTCTTTTAAATGGAATTGACTGTGGTAATTGACCACTGTTAAAATGGTATATGATGCATAATTTTTTTGAGACAGACTGTCATTCTCTCGCCCAGGCTGGAGTGCAATGGCACAATCTCGGCTCAATGTAACCTCCACCTCCCAGGTTCAAGCAGTTCTCCTGCCTCAGCCTCCTGAGTAGCTGGGACTAAGATGCATGCCACCACACCTGGCTAATTTTTGTATTTTTAGTAGAGACGTGGTGTCACCGTGTTGGCCAGGCTGGTCTCGAACTCCTGTCCTCAGGTGATCTGCCTGCCTCAGCCTCCCAAAGTGCTAGGATCACAGGTGTGAGCCACTGCACCCAGCCTATGTTGATTATATTTCTAAGCAAATCTAAAATACATTCATATTCTTATTATTTATTGAACATACACAACAGTTCAGCATATGCCTAGATGATAAACATATGGCAAACACAGTTATCTAAAAAAAAAAAAGAAAGAAATCACTGACACATTCATTTTCCAGATAGAATATACCTTTAATTATAATTTGCAAGAGCCTAAGAATATAATGTCAATATTGTAACCCATTAGGAAAATAGTTCGATATGACATATTTTTGCATCAAAAATTACTTTTAAATGGAATTGACTGTGATAATTGACCATTGTTAAAATAGTATATGATGCATTTTTTTTTTTTTTTTTGAGATGGAGTCTCACTCTGTCACCTAGGCTGGAGTGCAATGGCACAATTTCGGCTCACTGCAACCTCTGCCTCCCAGGTTCAAGCAATTCTCCTGCTTCAGCCTCCAGAGTAGCTGGGACTACAGCTGCATGCCACCACACGCAGCTAATTTTTGTATTTTTAGTAGAGACAGGGTGTCATCCTATTGGCGAGGCTGGTCTCAAACTCCTGACCTCAGGTGATCCACCAGCCTCGTCCTCCCAAAGTGCTGGGATTACAGGCATAAGCCACTGCAGCTGGCCTATGATACATAATTTTAAAAGCTGCCTCATTTCATAAGGAAGGCCATGTAATACATAGTTTCTGATCAGCCATCTAATTATTACTAGAAAGCAAAGTTTATAATGCCAGTCAATGTGGAATTTAAGTCTAAGTATTTTCCTAATTATATATCTCTATATATTGAAGTTAGATACTAAGGTTTCTAAAATGCCATAGGGTTATGATTAAAACTAATAACTATATTTTCTGTGACACAAGATGACTCAGGGGCTCTCAGACAATAGCTACTTTGTCTACATTAGTGGCCTCATCATTTCCATTAAATAGCTATTTACATTGTGAAAATGTATGCCGTGATATAATGGCTAGAAATGCATTTGTCTGTTAGAATAAGAAAATCTCTTCTGTAGTAGAGCACTGTCATCTTTATAATCCTAGTGAAAGTCAAATAAAATAAACAGCATCTACTTTAAATCATCTAAGCATAATGTTAGTATTCTGCTGTAACAGAAAAAGGAACTGTTGCATCAGCTATAAATCAAACACCTTCAAGATTCCCATCTGCATTTTTTCAATTTAAAACACTACATTTTACATAACATTTTGGAAACTGAAACGCCAGTTAATTAGGTTCATATGGAATCTATTTATCTAAGTGAGAATTCAAGTCGAACATATTAGAAATAATACTGTATGGGTATAAATGTAGAGATGCTGTTCTTTATTGCTGGCCTCCTCCTTTTCACAGGAGAGATTACTTCAGTAGCTACTGAACTACAGGCATTCTCACTGTTTTAAAAAAAATGCTCCATGAATATATTTTGATGATAGTTATATTCTAGTAAACAGCCTAGAAAATAGTTGTTTTCCAAAATTTAACATTGTCCAGCCAGACACATTCTTAGCAGCACCCAAGATTTTTTTCCACTAAGTGATGGAATATTTGTAAATACTGTTCATGCAGAGTTTATTGCAGCTACAATTCTTAGGAGCAAATAAAGTTTGCCTTGTAGCAAACTGTATTGCCTTGAGGCTCTCTTCTAAGGGGGAGCTTCATGACATCTTTGCCAGAATTTTCCAAGGAAAAAGGAAGTATTTTTTGGGATAGGAGATATAGGCCAACAAAGAATAAGGAGGTTTTTGCTTTTTGTGTTACATTTGCTTCCAGTTGTGGTAGAAAGTCATAGCGCCTTCCTGGAACAATATTTTATAGGACATTGGTGACATTAGATTTTCTGATAGTGTTTGAACGACTGTCCTATAAACTTTCATCAAAAGTCAACCACATTTCCTGTTTATTCATTCACTCACTCATTTATTCATTCCACAAACATTGACCCTGTTACAAGAGACAAATTAGTTAATATCCCTGCCCTGGGAGAATTCAAACTCATCTGTATTCTTTTCCTGTAATCTCTCTTAGCAGCCCAACCAGGCTTTTAAGACATTAGGAGGATAAGAAGCAGTCTCAATTTAGTCCCAACCTGTTAGATCCAACCACAAACCATGTATGTTAAGGTAGTGCTCAGTTTTACAGTCACCTTCAGGAAGCAATTCTGAGAATTAGCACTGTATAGTTTAAGAAACGTTGATTGTTTTTGATGCTTCAGTAAAATAAGCCTCAGAACTGAAACTGAGTCATGTATAAAAATTCAGGTTTTACAGTCAGAGTGCCAGGTTGATCTCACCTATAACCTATTAGCCATTTCTTCTGACACACTCAAGGTCAGGCTTTCTCCTTTCACTTAGACACTCAAACTTCAAACTAATGTGCACAGAGTCACCTGATAAAAAATATGGATTTCTGGGCCCCATAGCTTATGAAGTGAATCATAATCAAGGGTTGGGCCTAGTCACAGTCATTGGCTTTTTTATTTGCTCCAGAGACAAGTATGCACACTATCGTTTGAAATCTAGACCTAGAGAGACAACTGAGATGACCTCTTAACCCAATCATGTTAATATTTCATCCAATTTGCCTTAGATAGCTTTGTTAAAATAATCAAAAGTCTTTGGTGGCTATTTTTAAGGACTTCAATAAATATAGATCTAGCCAAATTTTTTACTTATTGCTTACTCCTGACCTACCCCAAACCTGTGCTGGATTAGTTCATGTTTCTTAACTATCACTATTACCTCCCCGCTCTAGCTTTGCTCAGCATGTTCCCTTCTTCTTGTCAACTTTTTAATCAGTCCAACCCAAATGGTCTCTCCTCCTTGAGACTTAGCCTGGTTCCCTCAAGGAGACACACTTTCTCTTTCCTTTGAGGTCATCAAACCCTTTATTTTATGATAGTGATCATATTTTACCTTATAGTTACATTTATATTTGTCATTCTCCCTTTAGACTGTAAAGTTCTAAAGTAAAGAATATCATGTCTTGCTGTAGTTGATAATATGTTCAACTGAAAAGTAGAACAATTAATGCTCTTTTCATCTTTGATGTTAGCAGAAATCATCTGTATGTTCTGCTGCGATCAAAGACTAAGCATTAACTGTTCTACATCTCAGGTGAGTATAAATTAAGTATAAATTGTGCTTTTATTTATTCCAGTCATCTCATGATCAGATATGTTGCCATTTATAGGATGTTTGTATTCCTGCTTTTCTCCAATATACTAAATATTGGTAGGTATACTCTATTACGTACTTCTCACTGTTTTTTTAATGTATAATGCTTATGAAATCTTGATATAAAGGAGAACTGTGAAAGGATTGGGAATCAGGGAATTCATGTGTTAAAATCATGCTAATATAGTTTTAGCACATTGCTTGTAACATATCTCTCAATGGAGGGTGAAAAAGAATCTATTCTTTAAAAAGTTAGTAATTAGCTTTTTTTCTAATGAATTTCAATTAAAACCCCCCTTTTGTATAAATATTGAATGAAAGTACTCTGGAAGTGATTGTTTAATGTAGAGGGAAATAAAGCAGATGACAGAATGAGTTGACGGCCCAATATAGGAAAGAATTAAGCAGAAATTATAGACTAGAAACAGGAAATGTATTAAAAGAAAAGCAAAAAGCAGTAAGAAATTGCTTAGAGGAACAGATCTACGGAAACCAATGTTTATAGATGACATTTTTAGTTCTGCACTGTTATATTAGTCATAAAAAATATTTCTCAAAATAACTGAGTTTTTCACTCTTGAATTTTCTTTATTTTTCCCTAAAATCTTAATAAATCTAAAAAATTAACAAAAGGTGTAGTTCAAAGAACTGAAAGTGTCAAGGAAGTCCTATAAATGAGACTAAGCGAAGAGACATTTTAAAAAGAAATTGGAAAAGAAAAAACAAAGTTACATTTAACTTGCTACATAAACATTTTTGATAATATTTTCTTGAGCTTCAAAGTAGATTTTTAAAATCAGTAGTTATTAAGATTTATTTATATTATAGGTAGGTAGCTGGGGAATTTGGAAACTAATGTCTCATAATGGCATATTACTAGCTGGTGCTTTCTTACAAAGTGAGAGAAGAAATACAATAATATTATTATCTCTTCTGCTCACAAATAGGTTTGTAAGTTATTGATGAAATTATGGCATTCAGCCCCTAAGGAAGACATAATTGGATGTGGACCAGAAGATAAACACAAACATTTCCATATTCTTTAAAAGAAACTCTGTGTACATGTATTGGATTTCCATTGCTTCTATAACAAATGAGTATACATATTGTGTTTAAGACAATGCAAATTTATTATCTTATGGTTCTTTACATGAGAAGTATTATATAAGTCTCCCTGAACTAAAATTATGATGTCCTGACAATACCAATTGCTGGCAAAGATGCAAAGCGACAAGAACTCTCAATCATTGCTGGCAGATACACAAAATAATATGGCCAATTTGCAAGACAGTTTTGAAGTTTCTTACAAAGTTTAACATGGTTTCACCATACAATCCAACAATCAAGTTCCTACTATTTCCCTAACTTATCTGAAGATTTATGTCCACACAAATACTTGCACATGAATTTCTACTGCAGCTTTATTTGTAATTGCAAAACAATGGGAAACAATACAAATGTCCTTCAATAAGTAAATGTAAATGGATAAACCAGAAGTGGTACACCCACTCAATAGGATACTATTCAATGATTTTAAGAAATGAGCTATCAAGCTATGCAGAGGCATGGAAATCTTAAATACGTACTGTTAAGTGAAAGCAACCAGTCTGAAAATGCTACATATTATATAATTCCATTCATATGATATTATGGAAGAAAAATTATAAAGATAATAGATCAGTGGTGCTAGGGACTAAAGAGTGGTTACATAGGTGAAACAGGAGTTTTGGGGGTGGATAAACCATCATATATGGAACTAAAATGATGGCTCTATGACACTGTACCCACAGAACTTTATAGCAGAAAAAAACTCACCATTAAATATATGTATTTTTTTAAATCACTTAAATAGTTGTGGGATCACATGATCAAATGAAGATTATGACAGAAGAATCTAACTGTATTACAAATGTGTGAAACAGCCTTGTTGAAAGGAGTCGGGGTAAAGTGCTGACCTAATTAACCTTGGAAATAAGATGTGCAAGAATAAGGTTAACAGACCTCAACGCAAGCACTGTGCTGTAGTTGATAAAGTGAGTTGATAAAGTCGTTTTTCTTGGGGGTATGAGTAATAAATCTGAAACCTCTATATAAGTATACGTGAATTGAACAGTTCAGTAAAATGGATGGTGAGCAGTGGGAGCCAAGTTTGTCAATATTCGAGTCTGAGGTTAGAGATAGGGAAGGGCAGGAACGTAGAATGATCCATGTGGTAATGGACTGGAGTTGTAGGCATCTGTATGGTCTCATTTTCTGCCTAATCTAGACAAATATAGTTACACATGAAATATTTAAGTATATATATACACAAGTTAGTATACTCATATTTTATTACTCTGCTAGCTGAGGAGGCCTTAGAAGCAACAATTCCCTAGTAGCAATGAGTACATCTAACCCAGATCTTGATTTCTAATACTGTTCACCAACAAAAGTAACCAGAATTTCTTGGAAAGAAAGAGTGACTGATTTCAGTAACACAGCAGGAAATTTATAAGATGAGCCTGGAGCATTTTGTAGTACCAGAAGTTAAAGAAGTGCTTGAAATATACAAAACACATTGATGATGGTATGTCAAAAGGACATAGGTGCCAACTGAAACAACACGCAATGGCCAAAGCTAGAACAATTTGAGCAGCAAAATATAGTAACAAATGGTAAACCAAAGTGTAAGTAAACACGCAGTCCATATACTAAAAATAATTGAATAAATGGAAGAGAATAGACAAACATCCCATGTAGAAAAATTCCAAATAACTTGTGTAGATACTCTACATTCAAGAAGTCAGAACATAACTCCCCACTCCTTCCATGCAGGCTGTACATAGTGGCTTCCTTTTAAAGAGTATAACGTGGAAAGATTGAAAAAGAGTAACTTTACAGTGGAGAAAATGGACAACGATGTTGCAGCCAGGCAATCCACGGTAATATCAGCAGTGACAAGGTATGCTGACAGGATGCACTCTCCTTGGTATTTAAGGAAAGATTGTTATCCACCCAAAAGCCCATAACCCCCTTTTAACCACAAGGTTAAACATCAGGCCACTTCACTAGATGCACGTTCTCAGCTTGTGCCCATCTCAAGTACCATCACTGTGGTCTCGCCTGGTACTCTTTTTGTTTTTTTTTCCCACAGTGGCCAGACAGGCCCTTTTCCGATTCTCCATACACACTTGAGAGTGGATTGTAATGTTGAACAAGGAAGAGAGATAGGAAAAAAAAAAAAAAAAACTATGCAGCCTAGAACATTGCTTCTAAACATGTCCATGCTCACAGATCTGCCGGGGTCAGACTCCTCATAGATGCAGCTCACCTGACTTCTCAGGAAGCCCTCAGATGAGTTTCACTAGTGATGGGGCAAATTGAAACTGCTACATATTGAGAATGGGAACTGGCTCAGAGAGTGTGGATTTCTCTCTTGAAGTCTGGTTTTCACTCTGTCATTGACTGAATATAAATGTGTCTTGATTTTCTGTGTGCACCAAAGAATACTTCCCCAACAGTTCACTCTGCAGCTTTCTGTCAGTGAAAACCCAGACCAACAATTAAGAAAATGTCCCACAAAGGGAATTAATGAGAAGAGTTTCCTCCTTTCTTGGCTCCAGAAAACCTGGCCCAAGAGAGCTGTGTCAATAAGTCTCATACATTTCGGTTTCTTTTGGTGGGGGTGGCAGGAAGGATGTTGGTATATTTGTTTTCTATTGCTGCTATAACAAATTATCATAAACTTGGTGCTTAAAATGGCATGACTTTATTATAGTTTTGAAGGTGAGGAGTCTAAAATCTGTTTCACCAGGCCAAAAGTCAAGGTGGTCAGCAGGCCTGGGTTCCTTGTGGAGACTCTGTGAGCAAATCTATTTTCTTGCCTTTTCCAGCCTATTCTAGAGGCTGCCTGCATTTCTTGGCTCGGGGCTGCCTTTCTCCATCTTCAAAGCCAGCAACAGAAGGGCCCCACCTTCTCAATGCTGCTGCCATGTCTGATTCTCTTCAGCTGGCTAACTCTTTCCTTTAAAGGACTCATATGATTAGATTGGGCCTACCTGGGTAATCCCAGCTACTCTCCCCATCTGTAGGTTCTTAACCTTAATGACATATGCAAAGTACCTTTTGCCATGTAAGATAACATTCACAAGTTCTTAGAATTACAGCATAGTTATCGTTGGGGGCCACTGTTTTGCTATCACACTGCAGCATTTTAGATTTAAATACATCTGCAATTACTCCCTGCTTATCACCTCCCACAGGCCTTTCAAACACATAATCCACAAAATTAGCCTTCCACCTGATGTGCTTCTTCCTTGTTTGCAGGTATCATCTCCATCCAACAACCTAGTTTACAGATTGAGAATAGTTTTCTGTAATCCTTCATTAGATTGGCAAATCTGCTGATTTTAATTCCTAAATATCTTTCCAATCATTTCATTTTTAAAATAAAATTTTAAAAATTTTGTATTTTGTATATTTAAATTTGTGTATTTTGTATATTTAAATTATGCAAGATAGCATTGAGATACATATATAGTAGAATGGTTATTATAGTGAAACAAATTAACGTATCCATCACCTGACATAGTTACTCTTTTTTTTTTGTCTATGGCAAGAACAGCTATAATCTCTCATTTAGCAAAAATAATGAATGCCATATACTATTATTAACTATAGTCCTCATGTTATACCTTAGATTTTTAGGCTTGTTCATGCTACATATCTTCTATCTTGTATCCTTTGACCTATATCTCCCCATTTCCTCCTTCCCACCTTGCCCTGGTAACCATTGTTTTATTCTTTATCTGTATCATTGACCTTTTTTATTCCATGTATAACTAAGATCACGCAATATTTTTCTTTTCTGTCTGGCTTATTTCATTTAATATGTTTTCCAGGTACATTCATGTTATGGCAAATGACAGGATCTCCCTTTTAAAGGTGGAATAATATTCCATTGTGTATGTATACATGTATATACACACCACAGTTTATCCATTCATTTGGCGATAGACACCCAGGTTGTTTCTATATCTTGATTATTGTGGCTAATGCTGTAATAAACATGAGAGTGCAGGTATCTTTACAAGGTAGTGATTTCATTTCTTCTGGGTCATATTTCCCCAATCTATCCCTGCCTTGCATCTCCCCTACAACAAACTACCCTCATGTAGTTTCCATTTTCCTCAATAGAAAGTATTTCTTGGTTAATGGTGTCTGACATTCATTAGCTGGTGAAGCTGCTAATGAGACTGATGTACCTGTTTGATTCACTCTGATGGGCTTACAGTCCAGCATAGAAAACACAGATTAAACAAATACATATGGGAATGTCCTGGGAGAAGACATTGTTGATCTTTCTAATCATGTATTCCCGATTCAGTTTTCAAACATTGAGGTCCAAAATTTATGACTCTCTAGAGAGATGACATCATGCCAACTAACAGAAAGCAGTCAAGAGTAATTGTGTGTGTGTGTGAGAGAACGTGTATGTGTGTGTGTGAGTGCATGTGTGCCTGTGAGCATGTGCGTGTGAGAGGGAGAGAGGACTTTTCCCTGATTCTGAAATACAAAAATAGAAAATAAGACTGTTAAATGTTAAATATGGCAACTTACTTTTAATAAGATCAAACAAAAATGGACTTCAAAGCCTATCTTGATCACTTGTTGAAATGGAGTTAAATTACAGATTTTAATGCCTCACACTAGATTGAATGAATCAGAATGCCTGGGATGGGGCCTGGAAATATGCATCTTAAACAAGCAGTCCATGAGTTTGTTGTGCACATTAGTATTAGGGAATTATTAAGCCAATTTCAACTCACCAATACTCCATTCCTTGCATTTTCCAGCTTTCAGCTTCTGCAGGCTGCCCGCATTCCTCGGCCCGTGGCCCCTTTCCACGCTCAAGTCGCATCCTACTGACTTTCCCATCGACATAGCACTCATTGGCCATAGCTGGCAAAGTTTCTCTGCTTTTAAAGACTGGGGTGACTAGATTGGTCCCACCTGGATATTCTAGTCTAATCCTCTCACTTCAAGGTTCTTAATTTAATCACCTCTGCAAAGTCCCTTTTGCCATCTAAAGTAATATATTCATAGTTTCCATGGATTGGGAGGTGAACAAAGTGGGTGGAGGGGGACATGGTTCTTCCTACCAGACTACACACTATATCTGTAGAACCTTGTCTCAGCTGCTACACATTAACCACCCTGTTAATCATTCCTACATTCTTTTTACCCAGGTGAAAATGAGAGTAAAGAGAAAACTTTCAGAAAGCATGCTGAAAAGACTTTACCACTCAACACTCCATCCCAAATGGAGCTTTACACTCAAAGGGAAAACACACTTTCCAATATTCTACTAGCCCTCTATTTGACTTCTAATCCTAATAAATATTTAACTTAATATACAAGTGTAAATGGCTAACAGCTTCATAGTTGGTAATTCTAGGTGCTTCATATGGCTGTAAGAACTTAGGATATTTATTGTCATAAGTTATCAAATATCTGTCGTGTGTTGGATATCATATAGAGATAATAGCTTGTGTTACAGTAGATGGGCACTTTAATTTGGATTATTATCTTTATACTTATATCCTACAATCAGCACAAAATCAAGCACGAAGACTATCACACAGAGTCTACAATCCTTATTTTAACATAATCTTATCCTGATGTACATTGCCATCGGCTTTTAAATGTCTGAGCCTTATTTGCTTGTGTTCCATTCGTGACATAGGTTTTTGTTGTTTGTATTAATTTTAGAAACTCACTAAGAAGTTGTGGAATGAAGCATAAAAAATATTAAACTTCAGATGATGAATTTTTTTGAGAGAACAGTTTAACGAGACAGAGCAAGGGTAAAAAAATAAAGGCATGTGGCTTAAGACATGCTTTATTCTCAACAAACTGCCTGAGGGATCTTTGTTTTTGTTTTTGTTTTGTTTTGTTTTATAGAGATGGTGTCTCACTATGTTGCCCAGGCTGGTCTTGAACTCCTGGCCTCAACTGAGTCTCTCACCTCAGCCTTCCAAGGTGCTGGGCATGAGCCGATATTCCCAGCCCAACCAGAGTTCTTTTAGGGAAGAAGTAACTCCTGACACTTGGAAGATACCACAGTCAAAGCAATAGAAATGATAGCGCAAAGAAGTAAAAACTTCCAACCTCACGGCAGGCTCCTTGTTCTTCACAAAGTTCCAGCTCTCCACTTAGGAAGCTACATAATGACATACTGTTTTCATCACACATGCCTGCTCAGAGATAAACAAACCAGTCCTGATGTGCATTCATGGAAAGATCGCCGTATTTTCAATTTGGTCTTTTCTGCTTAGTGTTAAGAAGATTAATGAGATGTGTGTTGGTTGGTTTCTGTTGGAAGTTTTGTGAGGCAAGTGCAAAGAAGTGTGCAGCTACACTTCCTATAACCCACGAGCACCAAAGCAAATTAAATTAATATCAGGAAGTATTCGAACAAAGATATTTTTCTAAATGAAGTGTTCTGAAATAACATTATCATGTTCCAAAAATCATTACGCTGAGCCCTAATCTGACATTTTACCACGTAAAGATCTCTGCTGAGAAACATAAAAGAATGGGCTAACAAATTCTACTGCCACATCAGTTTCATTTTGTTATAAATCTCTCTAAACCTACCCCATGTCATCTAAAAGCATATTTGGAGAGAGGAATATGTTACACCTGTCTATTAAACAAGATACCAGAAATTTTCCCCCACATACATTGCTTAATTAAAGCTCAGATGTCTTTCCCA
This sequence comes from Homo sapiens, assembly GCF_000001405.40. Lineage (NCBI taxonomy): Eukaryota > Metazoa > Chordata > Mammalia > Primates > Hominidae > Homo > Homo sapiens. The sequence continues at coordinate 17,130,592 of NC_000007.14, read as the reverse complement.
GGGCTGACTGTATTATTAGAGAATGCTTTTAGTAGATTCTCACATAGTTGGTAAAGGAATCTGGATGTTGACCTAGCTGTGATGTAACAGTAGCAACAGAGGGTGTCAGACAGCAGGGTCAATTTAACAAGGAAACACAGCTCATGTTACCAAAGGGTTTCTGTGTTTGCACACAATTCCTCTGGTGACTTCTCAGGCAAGCACCTCCGTAGACATCCTTTTTAACCCCCTGTGGTGTTTCTGATACTTAGCTGAGTAACAGAAATAAACAGAAATCTCTTCATTTTCTCTCTCCCTGACCCTAACCCCTCATGCTGCATGCAAAAGTATAATGTAGCATATTAGAAAGAAAAAATATCAAAATTTCGGGAGAAGAAATTGATTCAGCAAAGCTGAGTAGAGGCTAGGGAATGAGAGAGAAAGATCACAGTAAACTTACCTATTACGAACCTTCAAGAGAATGTAGATGCCTATTAAACTGGCATCTCTACTCCTAACTCTTGCGTGTCCAAATCTATTCTTCCAACTGCCATTAAACATTCACAGGTAGAAGTCCTATAACAGATATTTATCCACAAGCTAAAATAATTATTTTTTCTCCTATTAATTTTTTTTCTATTTATCCTATTTCAGTCACTTTTATCATCTTTCTTCCCAGGTTGGACATCTTGGAACCATCTTTTACTTTAAGGCAAAATGTTTATGGGACTATTAATTTCTTCTAGGTGTTGTTCAAATTTTCGTAGTTTAGGCCCATTCCAAGAGCTTAATAACTTCACAATTGAGCTTAATATAGTAGACCAAACTGGGAAGACTTATAAAAAAAAAAACACTTAAAAACATAAAATAAAGTTTCAGAAGTACTGAAACTATTTAGAGGTGGTTGGGAAGTGAAAACAAAAGTCATCAATATCAATTATATTGAAGATGTTTTTAAGATGTTGGCATTCTTCACACATGCAAGTACCTTTGTTATTTTAAGATATAAACCCCTCTAACAGCTGTTTCCTTTTTTTTAATAGTTTATACTCCTCTGAAGACTTTACCAAAATCCTTAAATATAATTGCCATAATGACATTGCTTTAGGGTATATATAATTCTTTACTCACATAAATCCGTCTTTGTTTGTGATCTGCACTCCTCTAATGCAGATCACTTAGACAAGTGTCTCCCTGTTCAAGAAAGCAGCAGGCAGAAAGCAACTGTGTCATTCACTTCCTAGCCACCATCCTCACTGGGCATGTCTCTCAGCCCGTTTTCTGTTCCTTGTAACAGAACACCTGATACTGGGTAACTTATCAAGAAAATATTTTTATAGTTATGGAGGCTGAGAAATCCCAAGGTCAAGGGGCCACATCTGGTGAGGGTCTTCTTGCTGGTGGGGATTCCCTGCAGAGTCCTGAGGCAGTGCAGGGCATCACACGGCGAGGGGGCTGAGGTGCCAGATCAGTTCTCTCCTCTTCTTATAAAGGCACCAGTCCCATTCCCACAATAACTGTTTAATCCGTTAACCTCCTAAACCATTAATGCATGAGTGGATTAGTCCATTCACGAGGTCAGAGCCCTCATGACCCAATCACCTCTTAAAGGCCTCACCTCTCAATACTGCCACATCTGGGATTAAGTTTCAACATGAGTTTTAGAGGGGACAAATACTCAAACCACAGAAGCATCTCTGCCATTTTACCTCTTCTATGAGATGAAGATCCATTAAAACAATTTGGTCTTTATTCAAAGAAGGGTGACCATGTTGCTGTGCTGCCCTCAAGGACAGAGCAAGTGAAAATAGCCCAAACGATGGAATAAAACTTCCAAATTTTATTTGCATTTTAAAGATAGTTTTCCACATCGGTATTTCAACATTTAGCCTATTTTTGCTTTGCAGTGTGATACAAATATACCTGGAAGCAAAGAGATGGCCAAATTGTTCTCTCAATAGTCCTTCCTTTCTACTGATTTCCTGCAACTATTGATGTTACTGGAGATGGTTAATATCAAATGGCATTATGGGACCTATGGCACACAATAAAAAGTATTAGTTTGGCCAGGCACGGTGGCTCACGCCTGTAATCTCAGCACTTTGGGAGGCCAAGGCAGGTGGATCACGAGGTCAGGAGATCGAGACCATCCTGGCTAACACGGTGAAACCCCATCTCTACTAAAAATACAAAAAAATTAGCCGGGCATGGTGGCAGTGGCCTGTAGTCCCAGCTACTCAGGGGTCTGAGTCAGGAGAATGGCGTGAACCCGGGAGGCAGAGCTTGCAGTAAGCGGAGATCGCACCACTACATTCCAGCCCGAGTGACAGAGTGAGACTCTGTCTCAAAAAAAAAAAAAAAAAAAAAGTGTTAGTTTGCCAAGAGCAGATTCAATAATTCTGTTTCCTTGTAGCATACGGGCACATTTATCCTACATTGGAGAAGGCTAGTGCAGTCTACCATGTGGACAAACATGTATTATCTTGGATTCTGGGAGAGCATCTGTCTAGGGTGAAGCAAAAGGCAGGACGTGAAGGGAAGTATCTCTTCCACGCCACAGGGGAAGACAAAAAGAAAAAAGAGAAGGATAAAAATGGAGCGTGGCTTAACAGATTTGCAATTTATTATCTGATTTCATCTATTTTCCATACTGTGTCCTTATTCCAATGACCTATTTTATATCTTTTCAGAGCATGATAAAAGTGTCATATCTAATGATGCAAGATGGTAAACAGCACTCTTCTCACTTGTCCAAGACATGTGAATGCTGATTTTTTCCCAGACAATTTAGTTACACTGCATGGAGAAGAAAGAACATTTCTTTAGTTCTTTTCACTTAGATGGAAAGATACAGCCAAAATGTTTCCTTGGTGCCCAACAAAAAGCAGCCAAAAAGTTTTTTTTTACAATGCCTTTTTGCACATCCTCTTTCAGCTGTTACATCATTAGAAGGTTCGAACACTACAAAATCAGCAATTAAAGAGCCACATAAAATTGCATCAAGATGCTGATCGATTCTAGGTTGCTAAGAAACATAAACTGTATCCTTTGATGACGTTACCATACTGCAAATATGCCCAAACCCATACATATCTCATAATCTCAGGATAATCCAAATTCATCAGTGTCACCGCCAATATTGGCCTTAATGCCAAAACTGCAATTATAGCGAACCTAAGGGAAGATCTACCATATAAGAAGCTACTACCATATAATTCTCTAATACTGAAATAGAAAGAATAAAGCCTATGAGTGTTCAAATGGGCATCAGTGGGACACAAACAGCTTAACTCAATGTAATCCAAGCTTCAGCTCCTTTTGCGCTGGTCTTTTGACTCTTTTATTTCCTTGTAACTACTGACCTTTCCACATTTGACCATGAACTACAGCTAACCTTCCACCCACTCATACTGCTTTTCTTCCTCTGCTACAATGTATGGTCTAACATACATGTTTTCCAATAAATGAGCCCTCCTTCCTCTTTAGTATTACCAACTTTTGCTTGTACTTAGAGCCTCATGAAATACTACTATCAGATCAGATTTGAAGTCTGTTGAATCAGTTTTCATTAAGAAGTATGTAAGGCTGGTATCAATGAAGTAACAGAATCATAAAATACTGAAAGACTATCATTTGTTTAGGACCAAATTAGACCTCGTGATACTGTAATGACTGGTTTCTTCAGTAAAGGACGTTAGTGTCCTGCTGGGGAATCCAGACAAACAAATAAGATGTGAAGCAAGACAGAATAGTCATGAGTCAAATGGTATAGTCCAGAGTTCTCATGCTATTTAAGTTAAAAAAAAAAAGTGGTGGGAGGGTCTGAAACTTTTAGACAAAGTGCAACAAAGTGGAGTGTAAGCTAGGAAATCAAGAAACAGTTTGGTATTGTTAAAAAGAAAGAAAATGAATATCCCAAGCAACATGAACATTATGAGCAAAGGTAAAGAGGTGAGAATAATCATCTTGAGTTATCAGAGCACTCAGAAGACATGTGTGCTTCTCCTTGTGCTTAGTGTCTCATAAAATACTTTCAGATCAGACTGCAAGTCTGTTGAATCATTTTCATAAAGCAATATGTGAGGCTGATATAAATGAAGTAAATGAATCACAAAGTACCGAAAAACTACCATTTGTTTAGGATCATGTTGGACCTGGTGTGTGACCTGCATCTGGATAATGGTTGCAAGTGAGCTTGAATGTGTAAGATGAGGCCTGACTCTTGATTAAGTTTTGTTGAAAACAGAGGTCATTTTAGCCTAAGGTAATAGAAGCCTTTATAACAGATAAACTTCACAATCTCTGTGACTTAACATAACAGATATTTATTTCTTGCTTCTGTAAAGTTGAAATCAGGTGTTTCTGTACAGAGACATTGGAGGTAAGTCTGTATTTAGGCTGATTAAATAAATTATATGATAGCTCACATATAGCTTCCTGCCAACATACATTTGTTACAGACTCACTTAGCAAGCATCTCTTAAGCACCTAGTACATACTAGGCACTGTTCTTGACTGACACTAGAGATCCTGACTGAGGCAAAAGGCATGGTCCCAGCCGTTTAGAAACGTCTAGCTGGTGAGGAAGCCAGGTAACAAGAAAAGAAATGAGTATTATATCGTCTGCTAGGGAGGACAAAAGAAGAAAGTATTTTACAGATTGTGGAAGCAGAGAACTCAAATTAGAGACTTTTAATGAGAATTATTTGACTGTCCAATCAAAGCAGTTGCTCTACTTTGTGACTAGAATAAACACTGCAAAACCCCTGAGTTCAGCAGAAAAACAACTGATTTTTAATCTATTGATTCTTGTCAGCTACAAGAATAACTGCCATGTCGCTATACTTCACATTCAGGTGTTTATTTTTCTATGTCCTTTTATAGCATTATGAGTATCTGCATATCCTATTTTTTGATTGCCACTCCTGGACAGAACTTCTTCAGTTAGAAGGCAGGTATATCAGAATTGGAAGCAGGGAGAAATAGGTTCTTATACTGACTCTGCCCATGACTAAACGTGTTTGTCTTTGAGGCTCACCAGGGCTTTAGGTTTCTCCTTGTACAATGATTCACAAAATTTCTTCCTTTTCCAGCTTGAACATATACTTCTTATAATATTCTGATTGAAATTATTTCTCCTTGGGATATTTCTCTTTAATGGAGTTTGTTTGACACTGTTATGTTAATTACATGGCTGTAGACATAGAAGCAGTAGTTGTACTGGTTTGGGGTGTGGGCTCTGGCGTCAGATTGACTGGGTTCAAACCCTGCATAATACTCTTTAGCAGTGTGAGATAGTGTAAACCTCTCTATGCCTCACTTCCTATAAAATGGAAATGAGAATGGAATCACCTGTTCGGTTGATATGAAAATTAAATGAGTTAATTCAGGGAGCCCAAACCTTCTTTATTCATGGTGCCCTTAGTGTCTCTGTAATTCTTTTCACTGTCTGTGTCCCTAGGCTCCATGAAATACCTAATTGTTTTGTTTATTATGTCCAATCAACTAATAAGTAGTTATGTCTCAACAACTTACAGTAGTAGTCTCATGAAAATACAATACACATAAATTAAAAGGAAAAATAGTATTTTTATTTCATTCTTAAATAAACATCATTACTTACTCATGAGAGGTATGTGTCCACATTTGTCTCTGCTCCATGATATCTGAGGCCTCAGCTGGAAGGACTTAAAGGCTGGGAGTGGGAATCACCTGGATGCATGCTAGCTGTTGGCAGGATCCTCAGCTGGAGCTGTTGGTCACATAATCTACATATGGCCTGGGCTTACCAGATGGCGGCCTCAAACATCTTACATCATGGCTCAGAGCCCCAAAGCAGAGTATCCAAAGAGAACGAGATGGAAACTTTCATTTCTCATTACCTACCCTCAAAAATCAGACGAATTCTTTTAACCATCGACACATCATATTTCTCCTTGGGATATTTCTCTTCAATAGAATTTGACACAGTCATGTTATTTACATAGTTATAGACATAAATTAAAGGGGAAAATATTGAGTGGACCCCATCTCTCAATGGAAGGCATATCAAAAAACATATAGGATGGAAATATTGTGGCCATTTTTGGAAAAAAGTTCTGCCACATCTCTTCTGCCTTCTTCTTTGCTTCTTCTCTCTTTTCCATCTATATTATATTCTGTGAAACTATATGCATTGGGGTCTCTGTATAAATTTTGTGTGTCATGTGTTTTATATATATGACACAGATATATGACATATATCTGCATTCATAACTTTCTAACTCATGCTGTTTATTATTATTTTCATGCACAAATTATTTCATCAGTCTTTGCCACCACATACTATTATGTCAGACACGTTTCCCAAAATAGCTCTGTTCTTGAAGGGTAAAAAAGTAAAACAAGCATTTACTTTTAATATACCTGCAGGCCTTCACCTGTTGCACTATACATGGTTTCTTTCATGTTTGGCCTCCTTACTTCTATAGCAGGTTCTTGTCTTGCTAGAAAGGGCTAGAAATAATTAACGTTTGTTTTATCATTATTTTCCTAGAAATTATTATTTTGATAGATAATAATCATAATTTTGGTAGAAAACACCCTTCATGACTTACGCTTTATGCGTTTCTCATTTGTAGTAAACGCATGTATGTTTTCCTGAATTACTCTATATTGCTCTAGATAATCTTAGAATTTTCTTTTTTATTTTATTTTACTTAATTTTTTGGCACACTGTCTTCTGAAATGAATTACTTTAGCATATTTAAACATAAACTGAGAGAGTCCTGGTTGGTTTTTGTTTTTGTTTTCTAAAACAAATTTGCTTTTCTATAGGGGTTTCCCCAGGAGTTGTGGTATATTTCAAATGCCCTAGATAACCTTAGGGATTGTCCAACCTCACAAGTAGGCTTGATACTCAGAAATCAGAATTTTAAATTGTGTGTGCAATCTTTTTTCTTGCTTTCCTATATCATCCGGAATGTTCAGGGATTTTTTAGATATTTAATTTTAGAAACTACTTTTGGTCTAATTAAAGGAATATTATCTCTTTTCTCACTTCTTTACGTGCCTGAATCTATTATATAGTATTTCCTCATATATGTCATCTTGAGCATCCTATACTTTAAAAAATATTTACGTAAGCACTATTGTGGAAATAGTAAACACATAAAGAGGAGGAAAGAAAAGGAGGTAAGTAAATGGTAAAAGTGTTTGAAGCAAAGATTAACCGAATGATTTTGGCTCTGTGAATTGAGCCACAGAGTTTCTCTTATTTCTCCTCACACATTCCATTCCAGCCATACACACTCATCAGCATTTCCCAAACTCCGTGGCCCTTCATACCTCTCTATTGCTAAACATGCAGGATATGATGTCGGGAATGACCTTCCCCTTTTTTCTGCTGAAATCTTACTTTCAGCTCAAATGTTATTTTCTATTTCTCAAATTACAGTTCCTGTTTCGAGTGTGTGGTTCTTTTCATGTCCTTTTAAATTGCCATTTACATGTCTATGTCTCCCACTAAGTTCCACAGGGACTGGGCTCATGTTTTACCCATTTCTGTAACCTTAGTGCCAGACAAATCTTTGTTCAATTCATGTATAATTAATGACTAAATTTATGCCTTTGAATAAGTTACTTAGTCTATCGGTGCTTTCTGCTTTGTAAAATGGAACTAATAATAGTACCTAACTTAAGGGAGGGTTTTGAGAATTACATAAAATAATTCATACAGAACATAATGCCTGACACATAATTCATGTTCAGTAAATATTTAGTTGTTGTTATGTACATATTTTTTAATACTGCATTTAAACACCAAAATTCTACAATTATTAATAGTGGTCATGAAAAAGGGTGTTTCATTGTCTTTGTTTTTGGATAAAAGGCCATTTGTCAGATGGCTGAAATACCAGTGTTAAATAAATAGATGAGTTTGCCACCACAGTGAAATTTCTCTCTATAGAAATGCCGCATGAAGGGTCTTCTCTGACTGTAATAGAAAAGCCAGTCTACAATTTGATGTCGTGAGGTGCTTACAGGGAAGAAATATTCCAAACAACTGCTAATTCCTGGCCAACAGTGTAAGCTCTATCTGATTTTGGGATATCATACATCTTTCTCTGAAGCTGTTTATCAATTCTCTTTCATCATATAAATTATCATATATATATTATGATTTAATTTTTTTCATATGAGAAAATTCGGAGTAGATTAATTCACCAACATAAGACAGATGCAAATTTTAGCCATTGGTTGAAAGCAGCAAATTTCACTGTCTATGGAGTTTTATGTATTTTCTAAAAAATAGATGTGTTTAGATAAATATTAAATGCCATATCACACATACCATACAGAGACTTTTTATATTGAAATATTCATTATCTTGACAGTAATAATATTCCATAAGTCTTATTTTGTTACATAAATATCTCATATTCCATCTTTCTTTTTATTTCAGTACAGCTCACCAAGAACAGTATAAACAAAGGTATTTCTTAGATTTATTTATTTTGGAAGATTCCAGTGAGGAAACATATTTTACTATATATTTATATAACTCTTAGCATTAGTTACCAGACTTTCCAAAATGAACACTTTTATTGAAAGCATACTTCTGACCAACTTCATTTAAAAAATAGAATTTGAAAGGTTTGGCTTTCTAGGGTCTTGCAACCTACATGATCACTCACTTCTTACATTATGCAGGCAAATTATTTTGTAACTCAGGTATTATTTTAACAACTGTAGCAAATTAACCAACTGCAATCTATTTATGTTCAGTAAATTTTTGCCAAACCATTCTATTTAAACATAGAGATTTCTTAATAACATGCCAGGAGATACAATGAGTCAAAAGAGGGCAGGGAAAGTGAGTACTCATTACTATAAAGTTTTCTAATTTGTAGCCTTCGCCAAAATTCTTCATTATGGAGACCATACTATTTAGTAGAATGGGTAACAGGAGGGAAAAGAACAGGGTTGTTTTCATTAGTGAAGATAGGTTAGTACAGCTTATGCTATACTTACACAGATTCCAAATCTTAATGGCTTAACTCAGAAAAACAGTATTTCTCATTTCTCTTATTTATGCAACATCCACTGTGGGTCTGAGAAACTCGAGAGAAACTCTTTCACGCAATGAAGACTGCTCAACCATTGGTTCCACCATATGTCCACAGGATTTCTCCATACTTGCTACAGCAAGGGCATGAGAGCACAAGGGAATCTCATATGAGCAATTAAACATTTCAATCTAGAAATGACACTGGTAATTAAATGCTTCATCCCATAAGTCATTTCCACTCACAGCTCAGTGGCTGTTTTCCATTTGCCTAGAAGGATAGGAGCCCCAGACATTGATAAAAATGTTAGAAATGTCTATCATGGGATTCTGCACAGAACATAACACAGTGTTTTCCCCACAATTGTCACTGCATATTGAATTAACTACAATTTCTATTATCTAAATAATTTAGTCTTAATCAGAGTTTTGCACATGTAGCTGGGGTTATGGTTTTGCCACTACTGGAATTCAGACGTTTCGGCAGCCTAAAGCTTTGATGGCACAGACCTACCAAAAGTCCATTTGCAGGAGAGATTGAGAGACCAGTGAGGAGGGGGTGCACCCAAAGGGAGCAGAAAGTTGAGAAGATCATAGTGTTTCAATAACAAAGCATTAGTCACTGGAGAAAGGGAAGTCTGAGTAGCATTTGGTAGGGTAGTGCTCTAAGTAGCAAGTGAAAGAGTACCTATACTATTAACTCTCAAAAGCATTGGGGTACATTCTTCCCTGCCTTTGAGCATTCATTTAACAAATACAATGCAACACAATACAAGGAGCACTCTCCCAGGCTTTGACCCTGAATAGAACTTGACACCCGGAAAGCTGCAGAATCAGCAGCAGGAGCTGATGTTTCCTGGTAATAAATAAAAGGTGGTATCCAATAGAAATGGCCATAGTGCCAAGAAGTAGTGCCAATAACCAGGAGATTTAGTGGTGTTCAGAAGATCAGGATCAATTTGAAAGCAATACTGCCTGACAAAAACAGAATAAATAGCCCAGAAGATGGGGATGGTGATACAACAGCATGACACAGAGTAGCATCAAAGCAGAAGCGTGGACAAAAATGTATAATCACTCTAGGGTAACTGAGCAGATTTTTTGGTAATGCCTTGCTCAGATCCACCTTAGCAGGCAAGTTCACCCATGTTGAGCATGCTCATAGTTCCCAGCTGGTCCCTCCTTAGAGAATTGCCTTCATCCAAATGGGAGTTCTCTTGCCCAGGAGATTGGCACCCTCCCCTCGAGACAGCCTGTAGTTAATAACTGGCTAATCTGGGGGTATAAACGACTGCATTTTCCTCAAGGTGGGATCAACTCGGTGTGACTGACACTCCTGATCCTGTGGGATCAGGCTGAAGCCACCTTCTAACTGAGACCAGTATCCTTGCTTAGCTTCATCTACAGTATTATCCCATTCTCTCTTCATTTCTCATGGACCTGAAGCCCTAACACAGTCTTTGATTCTAGAGAAATCACCAGAAACACTGAGGAAATGTGAACAGTCTACGGAAGACAGAATAAGGACACTAGCTTCCTAAAAGAGGTTGCATATGCATGGAGATCTGCAGAATGAAGAAAGTCTTCCCTTTCTCCAACCCTTTGCTCTCATAACTGGTTAGCTTGGGAAGCTCACCACTCTCCTCAATTACTGCAAATCTTACCCATCCTGTTAGACCTACCTCAGAGCCACCAGCTTTGATGGAATCTTTCCAGATCACTCTCATCCACAGTGACATTCTCTGAATTTTGATACTGTTCATTGTGTCATTAATTCAGAAATTGTCCCTTCAACTTTTTGAACATTTTAACATTTCAACAGCTCTTCCAAGTAGTTTATTTGTCTAACATTAGGCATTTAGTATGCCAGACACTGGGCTAAGTATTAGGGAAACAATGACAAATAAGACAGGGCACTACCTTCCATGAGCTATCCTTAATGGAGAATACAGATATGTAAGCCCATTAGAATACCTTAAAGTATATACCACAGTATGAGAATTGGAAATAGTTTCACAAAGACAATATTTTAACTGTGTTGGAAAGGATGGTTAGAAGTTAAGGAACAAAGTATTTTAGGTAAAAATATTTTAAAATTACACTCAAGGAACTGAGATTGATCCATTGGTTACTCAGTGAACGTGTTGTAAGCAGGAAGAAGAAAAGAGAAGAGGAGTAGAGAAAGGAAAGTAAGATTCTAACTGTAGAAGAACTATGCCATGCTAAGTGAGACATTTGCCTTCTACCTAGTAAGGAATATGGAGCCAGTAAGTGTTAGTTGTGCCAGGGTGATGACTGCAGGTATCATATTATAATCCATATTTCACAAGCTTTACTTACCACCCATGATTTCAGAATAAGATAACCTTTATTGGAGGAAACTATATTTTATATACATAAAATGTATAGAGCACATTATTAAATATTATTTATGCATGTTCCACTTAGCTTAAGAAATATTTCAATAGTTATCATCCCTTTTATTTTCCTTATAATTTTGCTACATGTAATGCATACAAATACAATCAACTGAATGTGTTCTGCCTTTTGCTTCCTTTAATGAATATCATGTTTGTGAAATGGACTCGTTGATATATGAAGCTCAAATGCGTTCACATTAGCCTAGAAGGGTAGGAGCCCCAGACATTGTTGAAACTACTAGAAATGTCTATCATGGGATTCTGCACAGAAACTGACAGTGTTTCCCCATAATAGTCACTCCATATTTAATTAACTCCAGTTAATACTACCCAAACATAAACTTAATTGATAAAGTAGCAGCAGGATTTGAGAGGACTGACTCAAACTTTGAAAGTTCTACTATGGGTAAAATGCTATCAGATAGATAGCGTTGCATGCTATAGAGAAATCTTTTGTTCGAGGAGGAATCCATTGATGCAGCAAACTTCACTGTCGTCTTATTTTAAGAAATTGCCACAGCCACCCTAACCTTCAGCAACCACACCCTGATCAAACAGCAACCATCAACATCAAACAAGACCTTTTACCAAAAAAAAAAAGATTATGAGTCACTGAAGGCTCAGATGATCATTAGTATTTTTTAACAATAAGGTATTTTTAAATTAAAATATGTACAGTTTTTAGACATAATGTTTAAATGCTTAATGGACCACAGTTTAGAGTAAACATAATTTTTTATGCATTGGGAACCCCCCCAAATTTGTGTGACTTGTTTCATTGCCATATTTGCTTTATTTCAGTGATCTGGAGCCAAATCCACAGTATCTCTGAGATATGCCTGTATATTTAAATATTATTTTTCTCATTTAACTCTTCATGTATTTTAAATTTATTTTTTATATGATGGAATTATGTACTCTATTTTCTCTCTATGTGGGGTTCATGTAGATTACTAAATAATAGATCTTTTTCTTCTTTTGGAAACAACTGAGACAAAGAAGCAATAGCAAGCAAATGGAATTCAAAATATCACCTTTATTACTAAAACAGCCTGATTGGAGATTACAATTTTAGATCTAAAACCTAATAGCTTCCTAGGAATTGACTCCTAAATTGGACATACTTGTTCACCCAGGCACTGGCACAAGTGGAACCCTATTAGCCTTCCACATCATTGGCAGATCCATGTGGATGAAAGTAGGTAAGAAACTTTCCTTTCAATAGGCAGACACAACTGAACACAGTCAGGAGAAAGGTGCTAGCAGAGCATGCTCAACAAGTTATTTCAAACTCGCTAAACAAAATAATCCCTTCTCCTTTCAAGATGTGGAGTCAATAAAGAGTAACCTAGGCAATACCACTCAGGACATAGGCATGGGCAAAGACTTCATGACGAAAACACCAAAAGCAATTGCAGCAAAAGCTAAAATTGTCAAATGGGATCTAGTTAAACTAAAGAGCTTCTGCACAACAAAAGAAACTATCATCACCAGAGTGAACAGGCAACCTGCAGAATGGGAGAAAATATTTGCAATCTACCCATCTGACAAAGGTCTAATATCCAGAATTTACAAGGAACTTGAACATATTTACAAGAAAAAGACAAACAACCCCATCAAAAAGTGGGTGAAGGATATGAGCAGACACTTCTAAAAGAAGACATTTACATGGCCAGCAAGCATATGAAAAAAAGCTCAATATCACTGATCATCAGAGAAATGCAAATCAAAACCACAGTGAGATACCATCTCATGCCAGTCAGAATGGCAATTATTAAAAAGTCAGGAAACAATATATGCTGGCGAGGCTGTGGAGAAATAGGAACGCTTTTACACTGTTGGTGGGAATGTAAATTAGTTCAACCATTGTGGAAGACAGTATGGCGATTCCTCAAGGATCTAGAACCAGAATTACCACTTGATCCAGCAATCCCATAACTGAGTATATACCCAAAGGATTATAAACCATTCTACTATAAAGAAACATGCACACATATGTTTATTGCAGCACTATTTACAATAGCAAAGACACGGAACCAACCCAATGATAGACTGGATAAAGAAGTGTGGCATATATACACCATGGAATTCTAAGCAGCCATAAAAAGGAATAAGATCATGTCCTTTGCAGGGACATGAATGAAGCTGGAAGCCATCATCCTCAGCAAACTAACACAGGAACAGAAAACCAAACCCCGCATGCTCTCTCATAAGTGGAGGTTGAACATTCAAAACACATGGACACAGAGAGGGGAACACACACACCAGGGCCTGTTGAGGGGTGGAGGGTGAGGGGAGGGAACTTAGAGGATGGGTCAATAGGTACAGCATACCACCATGACACTTGTATACCTATGTAACAAACCTGCACATCTGCATATGTATCCCATTTTTTTTAGAAGAAATAAATAAAAAAATAAAAGAAAAACGAGTGAGAGATGAGTTATTTCAGCTGAAAGTCTTCATGGGGGTACATAAGAAATGAAAGATAAGAGTCTTCCCTCCCTAATATTTAAAAAAACAATGAATACATGAATAGTAAAGCCACGCCAAAATGGGAGAGAGAGGTAGTCATGCTAGGGCATGTACAAAATTATAAAGCTAAAAAGAAATTAGATGAAAAAACAGAGATAAGCCTTTTCAGGGTGGAATCTGTAAACTCGTGTTTGAATTTCCAGTTCTAGTTAGTTCTGCTGTGACCTGCTGCTACTTTATTTCTCATTTTTGGATGACTCAGTTTGCCTATTGTGTCCTTACAACAACTCAATTTGTGTTTCCCTTCCTAGAGTAAACTAATGTTTCCTGCAACTGTCTAATCCATAATTAGATTAACTGCAGTTTCTGTCAATTGTGTTCTAGTTTAAAATATAAACAAAGTATCATAATATAAAAATACTTAAAATAATGTAAATATAAAGAAGACACAATAAGTAACATATAAAAATGGCAGAACTCACTCCTAGATGGGAATGGCAATATAATAACAGAATCTTCTAGACTGTAGTTTTTCAAATTTTCCACAGAATGAGAAGTTTGGATTCCCTTTTGTGGATAAACTACATGTTTAATTAAAGAAAAATACTTTAATGGAACTGTTGGTTATGCAAAGATAAAGAATAGCTTTTATTTTGGAGTGATATTCTGAGAAAATGAGTAAAAACTAGGTAAGGTAAAATTATCCAACTAAAATGTATTCTTGGAGGAAAATCTTGTTAAAGACTTCATAGACATGTAGGATAGTAGCTTGGATTATTGCTACTTGGGCATTAAGAAAAAAGTGTGTCTGATTTGTGAAGCCTGGAGAAGTTGTAGAAATTCCTGTTATCCAAAGTGTAAGAACACAACAGTCTGTTTTATCTACACATTACCAGACAGTAATGCCTGGAAAACTTCTGAGGTATTACCTGCATGAGCATGTCTACCATAACAATAGGAAGAATAAGTAGATTTTTTCAATTTTACTTCTTAAAAGACTTAAAATGTCAAAAACATCAAGAGTTAAGATATCAAAAATAATTCAATATATGTTAAAATATGGAGCAAAATACTTGACCCAGTGACTGTCAAGCTCACGAGTAAGCTGCTGTATAAAAATGTATTTGATAATAAGTTAACACATCACAAAAAGTGGATTTATTCTAGGAATGCAAGTGTGTTTTAACATTGAAAAATAAATGGATGTTGATATGCACTGGCAGAAGAAAAGAGAAAAGTTATGTGATATAAGAAAAGAAAACATTTCATATGATTCTGTGTCAATTTACCATGAAAACTCGTAGCAAACTAGGTATGGAATGGAACTTTCTTAGATAAAGAGTGTTCAAGAAATTCTTACAGCAAACTTCATGCTTCATGGTAAAATACTGAAAAACTTCCAATGAAATTAGTTATTACTTACCTGCTATAACTATGTTTATTACTTTAATAGAAAGACTAGCCAATACAAAAAGGTATTTTAAAAAAGCAAAAGTCAACACCTGTAAAAATGATTTAAAAAAGAAAGAAGAAAAGAAAAAACTACTTTAAATTTCATCTGGTACCAAAAAAAGAGCCTGCGTAGCCAAGACAATCCTACATAAAAAGAACAAAGCTGGAGGCATCATGCTACATGACTTCAAACTATCCTACAAGGCTGCAGTAACCAAAACAGCAGGGTACTGGTACCAAAACAGATATATAGACCAATGGAACAGAACAGAGACCTCAGAAATAACACCATACATCTACAACCAACCGATCTTTGACAAACCTGACAAAAACAAGTTATGGGGAGAGGATTCCCTATTTTATAAATGGTGCTGGGAAAACTGGCTAGCCATATACAGAAAACAGAAACTGGACCCCTTCCCTACACCTTATACAAAAATTAACTCAAGATGGATTAAAGACTTAGTGTAAAACTCAAAACCATGAAAACCTAGGCAATACCATTCAGAACATAGGCATAGGCAAACACTTCATGACTAAAATGCCAAAAGCAATTGCAACAAAAACCAAAATTGACAAATGGGATCTAATCAAACCAAAGAGCTTCTGCAAAGCAAAAGAAACTATCATCGTAGTGAACAGGCAATCTAAAGAATGGGAGAAAATGTTTGCAAGCCATCCAACAAAGGTCTAATATCCAGAATCTACAAGGAACTTAAACAAATTTATAAGAACGAAACCACCCCATCAAAAAGTGGGCAAAGGATATGAGCAGACACTTCTCCAAAGAAGACATTTATGTGGCCAACAAACATATGAAAAAAAGCTCATCATCACTGGTCATTAGAGAAATGCAAATCAAAACCACATTGAGATACCATCGCATGCCAGTCAGAATGGCGATTATTAAAACGTCAGGAAACAACAGATGCTGGTGAGGCTGTGGAGAAACAGGAATGCTTTTCCACTGTTGGTGGGAGTGTAAATTAGTTCAACCATTGTGGAAGACATTATGGCAATTCCTCAAGGATCTAGAATCAGAAATACCATTTGACCCAGCAATCCCATTACTGGGTATATACCTAAAGGATTATAAATCATTCTACTATAAAGACACATGCACATGTATGTTTATTGCAGCCCTAATTACAATAGCAAAGACTTAGAACCAATGCCCATCAATGATAGACTGCATAAAGAAAATGTGGCACATATACATCATGGAATACTATGCAGGCATAAAAAAGGATGAGTTCATATCCTTTGCAGGGACATGGATGAAGCTGGAAGCCATCATCCTCAGCAAACTAACACAGGAACAGAAAACCAAACACTGCGTGTTCTCACTCATGAGTGAGACTGAACAATGAGAACACATGGACACAGCAAAGAGAACATCACACACCAGGCCTGTCGGGGGTTGGGGGCTAAGGGAGGGAGAGCATTAGGACAAATACCTAATGCATGCAGGACTTAAAACCTAGACGACGGGTTGATAGGTGCAGCAAGCCACTATGGCACATATATACCTATGTAACAAACTTGCATGTTCTGCACACATACCCCAGAACTTAAATTAAAATTTAAATAAGTAAACCACAAAAAAGCAAAAGGATTGAAAAGGAAGATATAAAATTTTAACTATTTTCAGATAACTTGGGAGCATACATGAAAATAGTGACAAAAAGACAACTAATACACACTCAAGCCATTAGAATTAACTGAATTGAGGTTAAGATCTCTAGATATAAGGTCACTGTTTGGGATCAATTGCATTTTATGTTCCAAGAAAAGCAAAAAATAAAAACTTTTAAATGAAACCAATTGAAAAACACCTAAAACAATTTAGCTAGAAATAAATCTAGCAAAAAATATGTCATTAGAAAGCATTACTGAGAGAAATAAAAGAGGATGTAAATAGGCGTAGGAATACACCATGTTCATTAATTGCTAAACTCAATGTTGTAAAAATATAAGTTTTTTTCAAGTTGATCAAATCATGCAACATATATTTCAGCACTTTTGTTGCAAGTTAAGAGATTGATTCTAAAATATATATAAAAATGAAAAGGGCCAATAATAGCCAGGACAAACTGGAAGAAGAAAATAAATCTGGAGAAATTGTACTATCAGTATGCTAGACTTACTGTAAAGCTATGGGAATTAAGATGGTTTAGTTCAGGAGGAAGGACCGGCAAAGAGAACAGAGGGGCAGAGTTGAAAATCCAGAAACAAATTCATTTATGTATGTATATATGTCATATATGATATATAGATATATATGTATATCTATATATCATATAGATCTATATGATATAGATATATATCTATATATCATATCGATCTATATGATATAGATACATATAGCACATATCATATATGATATATATGATATAGATACATATAGCATATATTATATATGATATAGATACATATAGCATATATTATATATGATATATATGATATGTATAGATATATGTATCTATATCATATATTTCATATATTGATATATATTTATATATCGCATATAGCTATATATAACAGGTTCAATCATTTTATGACAAAGTGATACTATGGTGCAGCTGGGAAAAAAGTCTTTTACAGAAAAGATGGACTTTTCAATAGGCATGCCGGATCATCCAAATATCTATGTAAAAAATAAATTTTGATCCCTGCCTCACAACATACAAACCAGTCAATTCCAGATGGATTATAGATCTAAATGTGAAATATAAAACACTAAAGCTTTTCTAGGGAAACATAGGAGAATATCTTTATGAACTTGAGGTAGGAAAGGAGTTAGCACTCTGTATCTCTAGATTCTTTATTCATGGATTCAACCAACTGCATACTAAAAAGTTTTTTTAAAAAAATTGTTTCTGGTCTGAATATGAACAGACTATTTTTCTTGTCATTATTCCCTAAACAATACAGTATAACAACTATTTACATAGCATTTATATTGTATTCAGTATTATAAGTAATCTACAGATGATTTAAAGTATATGGCAGGATATGCATAAGATATATGCAAACACTATGCAATTTTATATCGGGGACTTGAGCATTTGCAATTTTCGGTATCTTCAGGAGGTCCTAGAACCCATCACCCATGAATTCTGAAGGATAAATGCATTTCATAAATAGCATTTGTGAACCCTGAATATCTAAGACAGGTCTCAGTTAATTTATGAATTTTATTTTGCCAAGGTTGAGGAGACATGCCTGTGACACAACCTCAGGAGGTTCTGATGACATGTGCCTGAGATGATAGGGGCACAGCTTGGTTTTATACATTTTAGGGAGACATGAGACCTCAATCAATTTGTAGGATGTCCATTAGTTCAGTCCAGAAAGGGGGCACCACTTGAGGTGAAGGTGGGACAACTCGAAGTGGGGAGGAGGCTTCCAAGTCACAATGGTTGCATTCTTTTGAGTTTCTGATTAGCCTGTCCAAATAAAGCAATCAGATATGCATTTATCTCAGTGAGCAGGCGGGTGACTTTGATAGAATGGGAGACAGGTTTTACCTAAGCAGTTCCCAGCTTGACTTTTCTCTTTAGCTTAGTGATTTGGGGGCCCCAAGATTTATTTTCCTTTCACATTCCCCACTCGATACCTTTTTTAAAAAAATCTTTGGGAGAAAGCATTTTAGGAGAAAATGAGTCTATGGTCTCAGGTTTCATCTGATCTCTCATGGCTAGAATGGTTTATTCCTAGACAGGTAGGTCCTGAGTTATTAGGAAAGTCCATTTTTAGCAGGTTGTGAAGTCTCATGTCCTATGAAGAGAAAATAGGAGGAGAAAAGGAGAAAAACAACAAGAAACAAAAGAACGATTCTGGAAAATTGAGATAGGCCACATTACTCTGAAGTCCATACATCAGTAGGCAGGTATGAAAGGGGCTTATGTAAGTAAATAGTTTGCTGTTACTTTCTTCTGAAGTTTAAGTTGTCTAGCTTCAGTTGCAGGGCTTTATGAAAGCACAGCTTAGTTTTCAGTGACTCCAAATTAGGAAATATCAGGAGAAAAAGAAGGAAAAAAATTGAAAACATTATTTTGAAGACTTGTAGCCAAGAAAAATTAGAGTTTGCTCCAATCTGTAGAAAATAAAAAAAATTGAAAAACGTTAGGCAAGACTAGAATCTAACAACAGGTGTACTATGGTTTTTGAAACATATTTTTTCTCTCTCCAGTTTCCCATTTTTATTAAAGACAAATCATGGTTGGACTGATTTGCTTTCTTATACTTGGCCTGATTATTTGTATACAGTGTGGCAAGAATAATGATTTTTTTACATTGGCTTTTAAATTGGCTTTGATGGAACTTTATTCCATAGAAGGAATCTCAGGTAAGACTTTTTTAAAGCCGAGCCCAGCCATGGATTTGTACCGTCAAATACCTATGAGTTGGGGAATTCCTCTCCATGTGAGGTTCCAAGATAAACTTGGGTCTCCTGGGCCTGTTAGAAAGTGACAATCTTTTCTTACCACAGGTCAGGAATGATGTGTAAGGACTGTGTAGACAAGGCATGAGGCCAGTTTTCCCAAGGGGCTTTTATTTGCTGTATAAGTCAATTGATTCCTTAAAGAAAAGCACACCATCCCAGTCAAAGCCTTAGTAAAATAATCAGTTTCTCCAATTGTGTCCTGTTATAAATGAGAACAAATTCTTATTGTACTTATGCAAATAACTGTTTTGCCATAAGTTAAGAATAATCCCAGTTTCCAAATTCTCAAGAAATCAGGTAGAAAGAAACAAATATGTTCTAAATTTTGCTCATAGGAGTATACAAATTTGTTAAAAGCTGTCAATAGCTCAAAAGAAAAGTTTCCTTGACTCTGAAAAAAAGTGAAACAAAGGATCAGCAATGTTTTAAGCAAAAAGTCAAAAAGATTACTCAATCTTTATTAGTTCAGTCCATGTAATTAATTCCTGTTCTGCTTGATATTCATGAACATTTCAGTTCTCCATGAGCCCAGAAAGTTTTTCTTCTATTCTGATGTCACAGTCTCCAAAGTTATCAGAAACTTGTGTTCAAGAGCACCAACAGGTGCTCTTGAGTTTTATGCTGATTATAAAACTACCTTCTAAAGTGGATCAAAACAAGACAATAATTGTCATGGATGACAAAAAGTTTTAGAGCAGCCAGAGTCAAAGACACAATTGATAAGGAAATTTGTTACCTCTGTGGCATGCAATAATTTAACATAACAATTATAATTATTACTGATAATGTACAATACATCATATCAGAATTATACAATTTTCCCATAATTTTGGAACACATATCAATAATATATTTATACAAATCAGCCCAAAGAAAACCAAACACCAGTTCATATTTGACAAGGCCTGCCATATAATTTTTATACCAAATAAGCCAAATTATGTCAGTTCTGGACTTCAGGGAACCTAATATCTTAAAGGATTAATTAGGTAAGAAAAAGATATAATTTATAATTTGATTTTGGAAAGTTCATCAAATATCAAAGGCTTAAAACACTTGGTATCACACTTCATTGTAAAATAAGTAATTCATTTGACCAAAGTGATAAAGTCAAGGATTTTTTTAAAAGGTGAAAAGCTTCATTCTTTGAGAGAAGAGACTTAGTTTTCCAAACAATAAGCCCCAATAAAAACAGCATGAAGCCAATTAAATTGGTTTTTCAAAATTTTATAATTTATAAAATTCCAATTTTGACCATAAAATATAAGTTCCAGAAGCCTTTTATAACCTTCATAACCTTTATTAGATGTCAGTTAATGCTTCAAGAAAACCTTCTTAAGCTGACAAAGGGGTCCATATGCTGGTCTTGCATCAGTGTGCCCTTGACATTAATAATTAAATTATAGAGAAACTGAACTTACTTTATCTCTCAAAATCGGCCCCTACAACCTCACACACCTACCTCTTCTGCAATAGTTCCTGAGTCTTGAGGAGTTGAATAGCTTTAATTTCTTGCCTTGTGCCTCAGGAATGCAGTTTATTTTTATTGGCATCTTCTACTAGGCCCGAAGATGATTAAAACTTACATAAGCAAACATCATTCTGCCTTGGGCTGGGTTTATAGTTTTGTGATCCTTATGTCACATTTTGACACCTTATAGTATTTGGCAGGGATAAGTATGAAATTGCTTGATTAATAAATGCAAACAAAAATCTATGCTGGCAATTCTTAAGACATTTCTAACATTACTTTACCAATAATTGTAAAATTTACATCATAAGGTATGGAGAGAAAAATTCTGCTGTGGTAAGGGGAAGTTAAAATGGATTTAATTACCAATTAAACATAAAATTATAGAAATTTTATAAAAGCCTTTTAAACACACACACACACACACACACACACACACACACACACACACACACACACACAAAGATCCTATAGCTTTTATTTCAGAACTTTAGCCATGAGGTAAATACAAATTCACTAGCTTGCAAACAAAAAACCTGTTGGATCCAAACAGTGGTTTTTATCTTAATAGAAAAATAACAGCAGATTTAAAGCATACAGAAAAGAAAATAGAGAAAAAAGAGAACTTAGGAACTCTATAGTTTGGAGACTGACCTTAGGGATCTTTTTCTTTAATGTAAATGTGTTCGAAGACCATATTACTTTCGTTTTACATAAACTCTGGCAAGTAGACGTGACATAAAACCTATGGAGTGCTCTAAAGGGGGTCATTCTCCTTGTTTTCTCCTCAATACTTAGATTATTTGTTTCCACTTTTTTTCTTAAAAGGAAGAACTGAGCTGTGACCTAGGGTTTTTATATGGTGGACTGATGTGTGCTGCTTGTGGGCAAGTCATTTCCACCCTCTTACGTGTCTCAGTTTCTCTCTCCAGAAATCTATGACCTATGAGAGGGCTCAAAACACTGGGTGATCATCCCTTATATGCTTTTCCTGGATGAGCCTTTTTAAAAATGAATTTTGTTGGGGATTTCCCTGCAGGGCCACTGGGGATCAACCTCCCAGACACTCCTACAGGGCCCCCAGTCACCCAAGGGCACCTTTCAGCTGAGAAGAGCAAATGCCCTTTTTCTTCAGAGCTGTGAAAATGCAGTCTCACATTTACCTATGAAAACAACAGTTCAGTTTCTCATGCAAATGCACATAGACAAGACTAATTGAGATTAATGTTGGGAGAAAAAGCAATAGAGAAGACCCCTTAGGATGCATCTCCAAACTAGAATTAAGATCCTTAAACAACTTCCAAGGAGAAAAAAAATAAATAACAACAGCCAAGACCACTCCCTGTAAACTGCTCAGCCATCCCTAACTTTGTAGCTCCCTTTTACCATTACACACGCCAAGGTCAAATCCTCTCCCAATACAAGGTAATCTCTGGTACCCAAGCCAAAGAGATCAGGTCATGCAATACAGGAAAACAGAGCTTTAGACCTAAGAAGATTCTGCCCATGACTCTTGAAACTACACAAAGAAAACAAAATACCCCAAAACAGGTGAGTGGCACCTTTGCTCTGATTTCTTGAAAGGGGTTCAAGTCATTAGAAGTCTTCTCTAGATGTTTTTGGCACTGCAGATGGCAAAATAGGAAGGAGGTATAGGGTGGAAGAAAAGTAAATAAAAGAACATTTGTTTTTTTGTTTGTTTATTAAGATAGGAAGCAAACACGGAAAACAAGCACATGGTTTTTTGGTTTTCGGTTTTTTCCCTCTTTTGCAGATGTGAGGAATTTTAGCCAAATTAGAGAGGTTTTGTTACCCACAATTTGGAATTCTCATTTGGATTTGACCAAGTCAGGTAGAGTTTGTCAAATCTGATGGAATAAAGATGGAACCACCATCAACACCAAATAACTCAACAATATGATCACTGAGTGCTATAACGGTAAGGAGAAATTAAGACAACCAGTTGTTAAACTTTAGCAAAGACAAAACCCCAATTCATCTACTTAACTAGGAATGGGTCTCAGGCTGAAGACAGCTTTTTACCATCCTAGAAGCAGGGAAAAAAAAAAAAAAAAAAAAAAAACCTCAAACATCTCGAACTTGTCTTCCCTGACAGGAGTGAGTTCACACTCCATAAAGGAGTTACCTGCCTTCCATCATCATGGAAGCAGGAAATCTTGCCTTCCTTGTTGGAAGCAAGTAAAACTCCAGAAAAGGAGAGTTGTACAGCAAAATAAACTTTAGATCTTGACCAAATTTTTGGAGGTCAGGGATTCTCTGAAGGGGGTGTTCCTAGACCTGAGCAAATTATCCTATTGGTTTGAGCCATAAAGTTAGCTCATGCTGGTACCAAGCACTGGTAGCAGATTTGTCAAAGATCAGGGGCATCTCCATTCAGAATCCCTTCATGGTTGCCAAAATGTGAACCCTGAATATCTAAGACAGGTCCCAGTTAATTTAGAAAGTTTATTTTGCCAAGGTTGAGAACTTGCTCCTATGACACCGCCTCAGGAGGTCCCGACAACATGTGCCCAAGGTGGTAGGGGCACAGCTTGGTTTTATACATTTTAGGGAGACATGAGACCTCAATCAGTATGTGTAAGATGTCCATTGGTTCAGTTCGGAAAGGTGGGACAACTCGAGGCAACGGTGGGACAACTCAAAATGGGGAGGGGCCTTCCACGTCATAGGTAGATAAGAGACATACTGCATTCTTTTGAGTTTCTGATGAGCCTCTCCAAATGAGGCAATCAGATATGCGTTTATCTCAGTGAGCAGAGGGGTGACTTTGAATAGAAAGGGAGGCAGGTTTACCCTAAGCAGTTCCCAGCTTGACTTTTCCCTTTAGCTTAGTGATTTGGGGGCCCCAGGATTTATTTTCCTTTCACACATTCTAAAAGGGTTAAATAAAAGAGAATGATTAATTGGACTATGCTAAAATGATACTATAATTTCTGTTCTTCAAAAGACACTGCGATGGTTAATATTAGGTGTCAACTTGATTGGATTGAAGGATGCCTGGATAGCTGTTAAAGTATTGTTTCTGGGTGAGTTTGTGAGGGTGTTGCCAGAAGAGATTAACATTTGAGTTGGGGGATTGGGAGAGGAAGTCCCACTCTCAGTGTGGGTGGCCACCATCCAATCAGCTGCCAACTTGGCTAGAAGAAAGCAGGTGGAAGAAGGTGGGATAAGCTGGTTTGCTGAGTTTTCTGGCTTTCATCTTTCTCCCATGCTGGATGCTTCCTGCCCTTGAACATCAGACTTTAGGTTCTTCAGCCTTTGGACTCTTGGACTTACAGCAGTAGTTTTCTGGGGGCTCTTGGGCCTTTGGGCACAGGATGGAGGCTGCACTGTTGGCTTCCTATCTCCTCAGCTTGCAGACAGCCTATCATGAGACCTCACATTGTGATCCTGTGAGTCAATTCTCCTTAATAAACTCCCTTTCAGATAAACAATATCCTATTAGTTCTGACCCTCTGGAGAACCCTGACTATTCATACACCATTAAGAAACTAAACTATATAGTGCATATAAAGTTTTTTTAATAAATGCATTGTGAAAGAATGTATAAAGAAGATAAAAATAACTCCTACAAATCAATAAGAAAAATGTAAACAACATAATAGGTGGGCAAAAGACTAGAAAAGGCAATTCACAAAAAAAACTATCTAAATAGCCCCAAAATATATACAAAGGTGTGTTAGTAGTCATCATGATAGGCAATACCAAATGTTGGAGAGGATATTAATCAAATGGAACTCCTATTGTTAGCAGAAATTACTAAAGCTTCTAGCTAAAGACACATATCCGATGATCCCACAATTTCATTCTTAGAAATGTATTCGACAGGACACCTGTGTTTACCAAAAGACAATGACAACATTCATGTCTGCAATAGAATAATAGCTCGAAACTGGAAATATCCAAATGTCTATAATAGTAGAATGGACATAAAAATTATGGTATACTGACACAATACATTACTGCTTAGCAATGAGAATAAATGAACAATAACTACAGTTAAAAACATGGATGGATCCCATACACATACTTGAAGTGAAAGAATCAGATACAAAACAGTACTTATAGGAAGATTTTACTCAATTAAAAAAATTCAGAACAGTAATTTATCCTTGGGTATTAATTATTGGAAGCGGGAGAAAGGAGTTTTCTGGATTCAGATAATAGTCTGTTTCTTCATCTGGTTGCTTGTGCCACACAGATGTCATTTTGTGAAGTAAACAGAACAAGCTGTACACATAGGATTTGTATATTTTCTGTATTTATTCTACATGCCAATAATAAGCTAACTTAAAGGTATTTTCCAAGGATCTATATTCAAGTGATTTTATATACTGATATTCGTAGTGATTCACAGTTGAACATTTCTTTTGGAAACTCCTTTGGAAATATCCCAACTTTCAGTGAGGAACAGAAACAATGCTGTTGGCATTATTTTGGGCTAAGTATACCACAGTAAAAATAAAATGCCAATCCACATGTGAATTCAATGTAACTGAGTGGTAACAAACTGTATGCACTGATGAAATTCAAGAGTATTGTTTCTTATCTGAAGGTCTCAACGTTGGTTTTTAGTTTACCATTTTCTAAGTGGAAATTGACTAGTGCACATTCATGTCCTGCAGCATACTCAGCACTATGATTTATAACAACGAGATGCCCCTGTGGAGAGACCATCATTTACCAATACAGCTCCCCTGAGAGCCTCATGTTTCTCCCTAGACCTTTCCCCTTGGATGATTTTTTTAATGCCTACTAATGTATTTCCTTATAAACTTAGAATTTACATAAATATGCTTTATTCTTTCCTTTAATTTTATTGGCATATTTATTATCTGGAGCGACATATAAGAAGCTTAAAAGTACAACTAGTTCTCCTTTAATTTAACATAAATAGAAATGGTATAATGAGCTTTTGGCCAATATTCTCTTAATGAAAGGGAGCCATCAACGATCTTGTTGATTATACCTGAGGTAGAGTTCCCATTTTAAAATGGACTGAACCTTTCAGTGGATAGAAAATACCACATTAAGGAGGGTAAATTATGGTTGGAGCACCCTACTCGTCTAGGGAGCTGTCCAACCTGACTTTATTTCAGGCACACTGTGATTAAGTATAGCTCATTCAGAACTAGCAAGAATGTTCTCTAGAAAAACGAAGTTTTCCCCTTGCATGTCATTACTTGGCTTCAAGTTAAATACACATTGTAGTTTTTGGCATTTTGTAACACGGTTATGAAATACGTAAATTACAAGATAATATTTATAAAAATATTTCAGTATTTATTTTATTTAAAAGTTTCCAAAATTGCAATACCTCTTTTCTACACATTTTGTGTATAATTGATTAGTAGAAGGCCACTGAAAGTCTTTTTTAATAATAATTATGGGTTGGATTCACTTTAAATTTTTTATGGTAAATTTGAAGCTATCATAAAATATTTCCTTGGCTTTTTGTGCTTTGAGACCTGTTCTTAAAGATGTACCTGCTAAAAATTTCCCTGGTGTACTTCAGTATAAAGTAGACAACAATGAAATAACTCTTTTGCATCTGTCTATTTTAACAAATCATAAGGGCAATTTTTTTTCTCTATAATGCTAAAGCACTAGCGTATAAAATATTTTGTTAGTTTTAAAGAACTACATGTACAAATGGAACCAATTTTGCCTTTTTATATTTAGGCACAGCATTGGTACAATTACATAAACACAGGACAGATCTACTCAGTCGAGGAGTTTGCTATATAGCTATTTATTTGTTTCTTTACTCATTCATTCGAGGCCTGGCAGTGTTTTCTATACAGATGTTAAAAATGAGGAAACTACAACTTACATCCTCAGTGGGAGATAGACGTGGGAACAATCAAGGACAGTGCATTAACACAAGGCTGTGGAGGTGCAAAGATCAAGTGCATGACAGAAGGAGAGGAGCAGCGACCTGACCTCTGGGGTATCAAGAAAACTTCTCACAGGGTGTTCTCAGTGTAACCCTAGGTCAGCAACATCTCAGTCTTTTCTGGGGCTTGGGTTTCCCTCAGTATCCTTCTTGCAATGATGGGCTCTGGGCTGGCACTGGAACAACCTATTTATTAAACCCTCCAGCCTCTACCCACATTTGCATCAGAAATTCCAGGGGGCCTCAAAGCAGATTAATTTGCAGGTAAATTTACTCTTGTGGGAAATTGCATCAGGAGTTAAATGGAGTTACAGAGCCAGAAATCAATGAAGTATTTTTCTTATATTACAATTGAGGGCAATGGAGTGTATAAAATTATACCTTTTCTTTAACAACTTTTGTCTGCTGTAACATAGAAAAAAAAATCCTTTGATCTGATTCAAAAGTAAACATCACCTTTAGATCCCATAATCCCACTAGCAGGTGGTTCTCAAGATTTCCATCCCTGAGTAATCATAGAGGAGTTATAGAGCTGAACCTAGGTTAGAACATTAGCCTTCACAATATATTTCCCCATTAAAATTACTAGTGAGCTATTACATTTAGAAGGACACAAACAGTAAAGAAACAATTCTACATATTACATATGTAGAAATACATAATTCCCATTCAGTGATTACTTTTTGATACACAAAATGGTCTAGGCATATACCTCATTTTATCTTACCCACGTGGTAAGAACTATCCAGTCTTACAGTTGGAAATTGAGGTTCAAAGAGGTTACATAATTTCCCATACTCACAAATATAGCAAACGGCAGTTCTGGAATTTGAAATGAGTTCTGTTTGGCTATAGATAATACATGCTCTTCCTAAGTAGTGACTATACTGTACAGTCTAAGACAGGTTTCTTTTACTGAGATCAACAGACTACTAGTGTCAGAATCACCTGGGCCCCTTGATAAAATGCAGATTCCTGATCTCCACCCAGACTAACTGTAATTTTAATAAATCGCTCAACTGATTCTTATCCAAAGTAAAATTTGAGACCACAGGGCCAAACACATTTTTTTTATAGTTGCTCAATACATTTAAATTTACCTCATTATATTTATTTAGATGACTGACAACTTGACCTTCCTCTCTTCTTTTTAGTGCAAGGAATACAAATAAAAAGATCCCAAAATAGCAAACCACTCAGCAATCATTACTTTCATTGTGATTCTTAGATATATGAGCAAAAATGTAGCAGAAGTTTTCCTCAAAAATATTAAAAATATTATTGAAAAAAACCAAGTTGGGCAACCTAAGGAACATAGATTGTCTTCTTGGACATTTGCCAGTTATATTTGGAACAATGTTGACTTTTTTTTAACTTGTATTTTTGGTTCAGAGGTACATGTGCAGGTTAGTTATATAGGTAAATTGTGTGTTACAGGAGTTTGGTATACAGATTATTTAACTACCTATTGAGAGCGGCAGGAGGCAGCCACATGGCTAGGCAGATAGGGGTGGGTCCCCAAGAAAACCCCACCTCCAAGCCAAAGGCAGTATTAAAGCCTGAAAGCCAAGCTACCAGTTAAATCCTCAGAATGGATTGAGAACCTGTCTTTTCATTTGGTGCACTTTCCTCTTATTGGTCCCCACCCTTCACCTATTTTACATATAACTATCATTTCCTAATTGGTTTTCTACACTGTTGTGCCCACCTTTGAGTGATGCCTTTGCTTTAACGTGTTTTGCCTACTCACAAACCAATCAGCATGCGCTACCCATTCTGAGTGCATAAGAGGACCCAGACCCAGCCACAGGGAAGGGACTTTTCTGCCTTTGGGTAAGGGAACTATCTTCCGCATCGCTGCTTTGCTGTGAGCTTTCCTCTCACTTAATACATTCTACTCCACTCATTCTCTGGTGTCCGTGTGCCTAATTCTTCCTGGTTGTGAGACAAGAACTCAGACCTAGCTGAGCTAAGGAGTAGAAAGATTGCGACATTATAAGGCAATGGGTGACAAAATAATCAATGATGACTTTTAATGGAACTTGGCATGGGGTTAAGCCTGGATATATCTCTTATATGAGAATATATATACCACTACCTAAATTTAAAACACATCCTTGTATGTGATTGTCACTTTCTGGGCAGTCTAACTCCCTTAAAGCACTAGAACAGAACCTAATGTATTCCAGAATGTGGGCCTAGAAGCCTTGGATGATCTGAGGTACTCCGAAGCAAGTTATGATAGGTCCAGATGACTATGGCCAGCCAAGCAAAATTCCAGTGGAATTTTGATTGAAAGAAAACTAATTTAAGGGCAGTTAATTGGACCCATGAATTTGAAGAGATTCATGGGCAAATAAATGAGGAAGCCCACTTACTCATAAAATATTTATTGAGCAAGTTTTATGTGCCTGGCACTGTGTTAAATGCTAAGAATTTAACATGCTAACGTTAAATTGAAAATTATGAACAGATTAAAAAGTCCTCAAGTAGTTCAGACACTGCACTGGAGACACTAAAGAAATGTGTGGCATTGGTTCTTTTTTTACAAATTTTATTAGGAGATTACTGAGACAAGATTTATAGGCATGAAATAATTATAAAATAATTGTTTTAAGCCTAACGATATTGAATAAAAACGTTCAAAAGGAGAAATCTAGTATGTTTGAAACGTTGGGCATTTAGTGATTGAATGTTTTATACACATATTCTCTCTTACTAATTTTCATAAAATTCTGTGAAATGGATATTACAATCTGTATTTTAAAGAAAATGAAACCTTATCAGGTAGTAGTGAGGAATATACACACGCATAAAATTATTACCATCAATACTCAGTTGTAGCAGCAATAGTACCTTTCCACATACCCAGCCAAGTAAAATGCAGAGTTGTAATTCAAATCCAATTTGTTCATCTCCACATTATACCTGTGCTCTTTCTGCTATACCACAATACTGCTTCCTTGTTTCAGAAAAGAAAGATGACCAATATGGGTTGATATATTCATCAGTAGTCTTTGTAAAAGCAGGAAAGAGTAAATGGAATATTAAATTGAACTTTGGACTTTTGAGCACTGCTAAACAGCAAACATCCTTTTGCACCAAAATCAAAGAAAGTAAATAAATAACACCATTACACTGCCAGAATACAGCCAGTCTTCATTTAATTCTTTTTTTTTTTTTTTTTTTTTTTGAGATGGAGTCTGGCTCTGTCGCCCAGGCTGGACTGCAGTGGTGCAATCTCAGCTCACTATAACCTCTGCCTCCCAGGTTCAAGCAATTCTCCTGCCTCAGCCTCCAGAGTAGCTGGGATTACAGGCATGCACAACCACGCCCAGCTAATTTTTGTATTTTTAGTAGAGCTTGGGTTTCACCATGTTGGCCAGGCTGGTCTTGAACTCCTGATCTCAGGTGATCCACCCGCCTTGGCCTTTCAAAGTGCTGGAATTACAAGTGTGAGCCACCGTGCCCGGCCCATTTAATTCTTCAGTAAGACCTACCACACCAAATTTTCACTGACCTTCTAGATGAGGGATTACCTTAGGATTCCCGGAATCTGGGCATGGTGAGATAAAACAGGACAACCACAAGTGTGAGGACACTTCAAAGTGCAGCTTCGAGCAATGAAGGGCAGCTATAAACTCCTGGGAAACAATAGCAGGAGCTGAAGCAGCTTGGCACGCGGGTTGAGTAATGGATAAGGAGGACTTTGGCAAGGTCACTAACAGGTTGTGCAATAAATGACTATAGCTGAAAACTCAGGGAGAGGATTTACATGGGCACAGGTATAAAGGAATGTTCCCGATTCCTTGTTTGGCCTGTTGAGTCACCCACAGAACTTTCCACAAGGCAGTTGCTATCCTGCTGCCCTCTGTTTCAGGCAAAGGCTCAGAAACAAGTGGTAAAATAACAGAATTTTGGAAATCATAAACATTTGCAACTTACAAAAAAACTTTGAGGACGATGATATCTACTTACCGCTTAGCAGATGAGAAAACGGAGACACAGATAAATTAAATGTGTTGCTCTGAGTCCTAAGGCTACTAAGGGGCCACTCAGCCCAAAACTTGGCTTTCAATTCCACTCTGGGACTCTGTACACTGTTCTTGTTGCTATTATACTGCCCAGAGAATGGGATGTTTCTGTTTATTAAATAAAAGTCCTTAAGTATACAAACATAGAAGGACTACATTCCTAATTCGCAAAAAGGGGGAACAAAGTTACATAGAATCCTAAAACTACCCTGAACAAAGCTGAAGTTGCTAGGATCTTACAGAAGATTCATCCAGGTCCAGCCTTCGAGGTGATTACAGGTCTCCAGTAGTCTGTCTACATCTTTCTCAGGTAATGCCTAAAGAAATGAATTATTCTAATATTGCTCTTTGCAAATACTTATCAATTACTTTATCTGCTTCTGAAAGGAAAGTAAAAATGAAATATTTTTCTATATATTTTGTTACCTTCTTCAGGTCTTTGCTTAAATGTCACTTTGCAGTTCACTTCCTTGAACACCTGCTTTATGTATTTATTTAACTTATTTTTATTTTTTTAGAAATAGGCTCTCACTCTGTTACCCAGGCTGGAGTGCAGTGGTACAATCATAGCTCACTGCAGTCTTGAACTTCTGTGCTCCAGTGACCCTCTCCTCTCAGCCTTCCAAAGTGTTGGGATTACAGGCGTGAGCCACCCTGCAGGCCAAACAGCCACTTTAAAATTATAAACCACACCCCACAATCCTTACCCTTCAGGCACTTGCTAGTCCTTCTATCCTGTTTTTTCCCCCTCTAAAGCAATTATTACCATTGAACAAATGGTAATTTACTCTTTGTGATATTAAATAAATTCATCCTTTATGTTTGCTTAAGATTTGAGTTTTAATTCATTTTTTTTTCTTCATGGATGTATGAGAAACTATTCTCTGCCTAAGATGGCATTATTAAACTTTTCAGAAATCATCAAAAATTTCTCAAAGTCTAAGTACATTAAAAATACCCTATTAATTTAGCACTTTCCTTGACAAAATTATTCTTCTTCTTAAGGTCATAAGAGGAAATACTGAACAATGTTGAACAATCCAGATGTAGTCACACTGAGTGAATCTGTACAGAAATCACATTTAAAAACAGTGACAGCAATAACAAGTCCCTGAACACTGTGAGAAGATACCACGCATGCATTCTTGTCCGTATGACCCACATAATCCAGGTCCCATGGCTTGTTTCTCAGTTTCTCTGTCTTCAACCCTGGAACTCTGTGCCAGTTTTGTTATCTAGCTATGTGCTCTCAAAAAAACCTGATTTTCAAAACATCGCAGCTACGAAACACAACTAAACAAAACACTCCTACGAGTGTTTCCTCCTGCCAGACTCTGAATCATTTAATATACATGAATTGAAAACACAGACCTGGGAGCTGAGGATATTTTAATGTCAACAGGTGAAGGTGGTGGGCTTGTGGTGGGGGTCTCTCCCACATCCTGTCTCCTCCCAGACCTTCATTTGTTTAAATACTGGTTGAGACCAATCATGCATCACAGTGTTGGTATTGCCTTATTCCCACAGGGCTTTTGGTTGAAAGCAATGCAGAAATG
This sequence comes from Homo sapiens, assembly GCF_000001405.40. Taxonomy (NCBI): domain Eukaryota; kingdom Metazoa; phylum Chordata; class Mammalia; order Primates; family Hominidae; genus Homo; species Homo sapiens. The sequence goes on along the minus strand of NC_000007.14, from coordinate 17,097,792 downwards.
CAGCAGGCAGGTTTCTTCGGGGCTTCTTGGAGATTATCTGTCTGCCTGTCCGTCTTTCTGTCTATCTATCTATCTATCTATCTATCTATCTATCTATCTATCTATGCACACATATATATGGAGTTCCTGCAAACTTAGTTCATTCTCAGAGAAAAATCTAGCTAATATGAGTTACCTTTAATATTGGTTCCAGAAATAAAAATGTATTTCCCCTGATTCTAATAATTTGGAGAGTTCACTGGAAATTTGGCTGGGGAGAATTCTATCTTCATCAGAAACCTGAAATCAAGAAATTGACTCACTCTGTAATTGTTTAATTAATCATACTTTTACTATTATTCTTCTCAGAAGGCATTTCAAATGAAAAATAATTATGTGTAAAAGTCTTCACAAATGGCTGAACACAAACCCTATGCTGCTAGAAAAATATTGATGAAAAATGTGGAAGTTTTAAGATATTTCTGTAAGACCAAAGATTATATATGAATCATTGAATAGAAATATAATTATAATCCATCCCCCAAAACAGACATTTTAATTTAAATTTTAGTTTTCATGAAGTGGGGATTTGATCTGAAAAAAAAAAAAAAAGAGCTTTGGTGACATGGAGCAGCTGTCACTTAGGATACCAGGAGGGGAAGGAGTCCCTCTCTGCCCATTTGCCTGATCCTAGATAATTGCTGAATGTCAGAGATTGCAGTGTGGCCACGAAAAACAGCTTCTTTTGTGGACCAGTTTTACTTCACATTCTGGGTCTCTGGACTTCAGTGGCAATGGGAGATTCTGTTGGGGAGCTTGGATGGCACCAGGGCTACAGAACCACTAACATGACTAGAGCTACACAAGGGTTATTAGATGAGATGTGCTTCATTGTGATGTCTTTTGTTAACAGTAGTACAACTCAATAACAAAACAAAACAAAACAACGAAACAAACAAGGGATTCCTTTCAATGTGAGAGTGGTTTTCCCATTCTTCCTTGTCATGGTAACCAAGAGATACTGTTAAGAGTGAACAAGCATCCTTTGGAGGATATTATCATAAAATGTGAAATGAGGGTCTCATATCATTTATTTTGATTATCCAATCCTATTTGGTGGATGAAAAATTACAGAATGGGGAAAGGAAGGGAAGCCGATTTCTTTAGCCTCCTGAATTCTTCAGTTAAAGCAGGTGCAAAGAAAAGGTGTGTTTTGTTACTCAACACTTCTATCCACTCAAGAGCCCATGAGAGAATTGAAATCCCTGCTTACCTTCCTGACACACAGAAGCTTAAAGCAAGTTGCAAGGCTTTGCCACATAGTAATCTGTGCAAATCAGAAAGATTAGCTCATGTAAGACTTCTAACAAGAAAAGGCAGCTACAGCTTTTTTTTCTTTTTTTCCAAATTGAAAAAACTATTAAGGATGATATTTAGAAAGATAATTGCTTCTATTTCCCATTTAGATGTTTGCTTCCAAAACCCCTTCAAATACATCTCTTATTTTACATCTAGTATGGAGTGGTTGGGTACTTTACATATTGATTAGCATGTTTCCAGTGCAGTGTTTTCTTAAAACACATTACAATCCTGTCCTTGATGCCCAGAGCTGGTGAGGAAAGCTGGATGGAGATCTACTGCTGCCAAGAGCACCGCACATTGATGGCTCTTGGAAATAGCAGGCACATGCCCACAGCCACCACTTCCTCCCAACCCACAAATGAATGCTTTATATATTAGGGAATTTCAGAATTCTTATTTCTGGCTTCACTTGAAATGATATGAAGACTCAGCAACACTAAGCTTGCGTTCATCTTTGATGACAATGAACTAGAGCTGATTAGTGGCTGCCTCAGTGGCTACTGTCATCACCCTTCACCCTGTCTAGCACTGTAAGAATTTTAATTTGCAAAACAAAGCCTTGGCATATCACAAGTAATATATGTCACAATAGATTTCCTCTTAGGTTCTAACTCTATGGAATCTACCTCTGAGTGAATATTAAGTCAGTCTTTCATCAAGAAGTATTTGTTGAATGAATATGTTATTGCCCTTGATTTACCTATGAAAACATTTTGTGGTGCTTCTGCTTGATCCAAAACATGAAGCAAGTACACTGTAAACCTTAAAAAATAAAGTTCTTGCCTGAGCCTTCCTAGCAATTACAGTATGAACCTCATTAGTTATTTCATTATCATAAATTCTCATTTTTTGTCCTCTTTCCTGTATATTGATCATGTCTACCCAATGAAACTGTAGCTCATCAAAGATCAGGATGTTTGTCTTACATCTTCATGATCCTCCACGGTGGTTTGCACATGGCAATCATGGGATAAATGCATATGCATTTATTTAAAAGCTTATGTGAAGCAGAAACATCCCAATATCGTCCAACTGTAATGACGGTGCATTGTCTGAGACCATCCTCCTCTGCCTTCTCTTCCTTTATAGGAATAATCCAGGGCTGAATCACACAAAGCAATGCCAACCAGTTTTTCTAGATGTGTCTTCTATTGGCTTTTTTCCCTCAAATCACAAGCAAGGCTCCTTTGAAGCAGGCCCTGCCAGAGGCATGATAATGATCAGGCTGAGATTATAATGAGCATGCAGCGTTGGAACACAGCACTGGTTACTGGCACTTACATGTTCACACCAGGCTCTGCCAAACCACATGTGCTCCAATACAAGGAGCTTCCTCTCAAACACTGGGCAGGCTCACAGGCTGCTCACGCAAGGAGATGAATCAAGAGCCCTGAAGGCAAGTAATAAACTCCCCTCTTCTTGGCATAGGCCATAGTCTAAAATGGATACAAATTGATTCCACAAACATAGATAATGATCTAAAGTGAATGCACCTAGACTCTCCCCATTGAAAAAGGAGCCATTAATAGATTGAAGTTGACTAGGTAGAAATGGAAATTTTACTCTTGGTTCAATGGGTTTAGGCAGTATGTGGCCATGGTCCCATAAATATAACATGATGACGTGGGCAAGTGGGTTTAAGAAATCTAGCCTTTTTCCTGATACTTTATTTTTGTCTTATCTTGTGCTGGTACAGTACATGGTATATTGCAAGTGCCCAACGACTGCTGTTGGATGGAACTGTCACTTTATTGTTAATAGTTACAATACTTAAATAGAATCTAAATCCTCATACTAAAAAAAAGAATTGTCAGCTTTAGAGAAGGCAAGCGGTTGCTGGTGAAAAATACTATAACTACATTCATACATAATCTAAAACAAGATGATTTTAAAATCAAAATGGTATTGTTTCATCATAAGTAAAAACAGGGAAAAAGATTATATTGATGCTCCCTTTTACTGCCTAGGTCTGTTGGGAGTTTTACTGAGTTTCTCGTGGGATATTAGCAATGCTGTTTGAATATGGTTTAATCACATTAGAGTAACACATGCAGTGATAATTAGTTCAGTAGGTAAGTGATTAATACAATAAGAGAAGAAATATTTATGTGGGCCTGGTTCTCATAATTTCTTTTCCCCTGTATAACCCACCACTGGCAATTCTAGAGTGACTTACATGGAAAAGAAACAAAGTGACAAGACCTCACATGCATTTGTGTCCAGTGAGTTATAAGGCTTGCCATCAGTGTTAATAGTAGGAATACCACAATTTTTTAAAGAACTGGTTTTTGATTTCAGTCTAAATTCTACCTCCTACCATCTCATCTAAATACTGCCCCTGTACCCACCTCATTTATGCTCTGAATTTGCCATATTTTAATATCTCTAATGCACTTACATTTTGAAATAACCATCTGTATAAACATTTTCTGTCATATTTACCACAGAGTAGGTGTTCAATAAATATTTTCCAAAAAATTAACAAATGAGAATTTAATATTTTCAAATAAAGTGACCACGTCAAAAATTAAACACATGTTCTTTATTTCCAAGTACACATTTCTGAGGTATCTTTGAGCGTTAGCCCATCTCTCATTCCATCTGAGCATTACTGTCCCATTTCTCAGCTTGGGGAGAAGGGGTAGGGACGTGGGAGGTTCAGGGATAGGGAAGAGTGGGTCTCAAGAAAGAGATACAGATTTGCTTTTCACTATTTTTTTTTGTAACGAAAAAGCAGAAGTTTGATCATTTGTTTTATAGACCACAGTAAACTCTTGATGAACTCAGCTAAAGACTCATTTTCTTGACTCTCTTGGAGTAGCCAAGCAGAAGTCATTGTGTGTGTCTTCCAGGAAGATGCTTTGCTTTGCAGTGGAATGACAGCTGAGAAAGAAGTCCTTTTACCCTTTCCGTCTCCTTCTTCCTCCTGCAGAGACTACAAATGAAGTGGCTAGAACTCACTGAGGCAGTGTTAAGGATGGAAGCTATACAAAGACAAGGGAGAGGAGAGACAGCCCCCTGGTCCACTGACGGCATCATGGGGCCACCATTCCAGCCCTGGATTGGTACCTCTGAGAATTTTTTCAGAGAGAAAAATACATTGTTTCTGCCATCATTATTTAGTGGGGTTTTTCTAAACTATTTATCCAAATCTTTCCTAATCAATACATTATTTTAAAAATTATGCTAAATAATATCAAAATGATCAACTGAGTCTAAATTGCCATGTTAAAATGGCTGTATCTAAATAGCATACATGTTCTACAAAGCTTTTACCTCCTTCATCATTTTAATGCTTACAACATACCCCATAAATCAATTAAAGAAGATATGGTCATATCCATTTAACAAATGAGAATATAAGACTAAGGAGGTTAGGTCTCTTATCCAAGGTTTCTAGCTGGTAAATCAGAGTGCAAATCATCTGACTCTTAGCCCAGGGCTGTTTCCAGTAGAGGAGGTTTGCCAGTTGCCGAAACGAGTGTCAGTTTCAAGAATTCCTACATACGCATTTTAATGATATTCATTATCTACATCCAGATTTCCTCTTTGAGAATGAAATTTTAAGAGCTTAAGCATGTATAAGGAAGATGACACTAAAATTTCTATTGTCACTAAATGATTTTTTTAAAATATTTCTATAAATTCTGAAATCTCTTCTGTAGAAGATATGTATAAAATAAATACTACAGGCAAGTTAACAATTTTTTTCCACTTCAGGTCCAGTTGGAGCAGAGTTAATGTTGCAGCTGGACACCATGATTCATACCTGTAATCCTAGCGGTTCGGGAGGTTAAGGCAGGTGGATCCTGGAGGCCAGGAGTTCACTACCAGCCTGGGCAACATAGAGAGAACTGTCCCTACAAAAAATGTTCTAAAAAAATTAGCCAGGCGCGGTGGCATACTACTAGGGAGGCTGAGGCAGGAGAATCACTTAAGATCAGGAGGTCGAGGTTGTGGCTGCAGTGAGCTATGATCGCACCACTGCACAGTCTGGTGATAGAGTGAGATTCTGTCTCTTAAAAAATAAAAGACTGTCGGCCAATGTAATTGACAATATGGGCCAAATAACTCAGATGGTAGATTCAAGAATGTACATTAAGACAAGGTGAGCATTCTAGCTGTATACTGCCAATACTTCATACCACAACAAAAGAGTGATACAATATCACCAGCTTTGGAGCCATTTCTATATTTATTGCCAATTAATCAAACAGATTGTCATACAATTGATCCAATACATTTAGGACCATCAGATTACATAATATTTATCAACTGGAGACACCTAATGACTCAAGGTGTATTAATACTACAAAATCCATTTTGTTGAAGAAAGATTTTTTCATATAAAAAGAAATTTCCTATAGATAAACCACAGATATTACATAAAATGAAAATTTCCTTATGTACATTAACATGTCCACTACTGCATGGATCACTAAATTTAAAATACTAAATTAAGAGGACAAGTTTCTAACCTGTGTAAAGCTGGGTTTTGAGGACTCACTTATGTTCCTACACTTTAGGTGGGTGACCTCATAGAAAAGAAAATTTATTTTTGTAACTCAAGAGATTTTTGAGCATGTTGGCCACTAACTTTCTAAGTCTCTTGACTGTGTACATTTTGAAACAAGATCGTTATTTTTCTGGACATAAAATAAATGGTAAGCAGAGATGATGGTCAATATTACACCAACACCAATGTTTTATATCAAAGATAATTTTTTAAAATGTACATATCCTTATCTATAGGGAATATAGAATATCATTATTTTGGATTTCATCTCATTTTAGAAATAACCTAGTAATGAAAAAGAGGAATAATTTTGTAGGGTCTGCCTAATCTTATCAGTACTGAAAGTATAAATATCGGATGATTTCTTGGACATAGCTCTCTAGGATGTTTCTAGACTTAGGCATACTTCCTGAGTCTAGACAAACTCCGAATATGCTCTGGGAACTTTCCTGACTGTTCTAAGATCTGGTTTCTACCTGCTGCAGTCCCTATACCTGATACCTACACTTCTTGTTATAATGACACATTTAATGTTTCTGGGCTGTTCCAGATTCTGTCCTACATCAGTGTCCTCATTCTTCTTTGTGTGGTTTTGGTATTATCTCATATGGCCTCTCAGGGAATCATATAATAATACATAACTAAAAAACTGACTTCTTCTTGCCTACAATATATATTTTTACAACCTAGACATTTGAGTAATATTTACCTTATGGATTTCAAGACATAAGATTTGCTCCCATGCTTTGAAAGAACTGCCAAAAACTCAGCTAAGCCTCTCTCATTACCACTTACTGTTCACCAAAAGAGACTAACGGTCCAAACAGAGTGTTCTTTCATTAGGTCTTTTTATTTTTTGCAAGAAAAATCTTCTCTCAGAGATTCCAGTAGACTTCCCATCATCATCTTACACATACATTCCTAAACAAATCACTAGAAAGAGTTACCATATTTTATTTGGAAGAATCAAGACTCATGACTCATGCCCTAATACTTCCAAGATGCGCAGCCTTTCTTGAAGCCTAGGGCTATTAACTGAAATAGTCAATTATGAAAAAAAGTTAGGGATGATGACTCTTGGTTAGGTGATGGGCAGTGTTTAGACAGCACTCTTCCAGGTATGAAATGATTTATCCTTCATGTTTACAGCTCCACTTTGCTGCCTTTAGTCTTTTAATAAAATAGGTATGTGCCCCTATATATGCGCATGTTTGTGTATATATACATAGATATGTGTATATAAAGATAATATATTTATATTTTCTTTATAAATATCTTCATATATACATATGGGTGTATATATATGCATGTGTGTATATATACACACAAACATGCACACATATGAAACCACATACATATATCTTTATATATACATATGTGTATACATATATATATATATATGCATGTGTGTATATACCTATCTTTCTGCCTATACATAGATATCTTTCTATGTATAGTTAGAAAGACAGGTATATACACACATGCATATATGGGAGGTTCTACCTATACACAGGTAGAAAGATATACATACATATATACACATAACGTACTTGATGACTTTCTACATAGGTAGAAAGATATACATACATATATACACATAAACATTCTATTTATTCACAAATATGTACACATTCCTTGCAACTTATAAAATGCGAATTATAAATATATACATTATTTACCAGGCACACATAAAAATTACACCTTCATATTTTATGATGATGATGCAGATGATGATTGTTTTGTGAGGATGATGTTGAAAAGATCAAAGCATGAATAATATCCATTATGTTAACCACATTTTTAAAATATTCCTTGATTTGGGACTTTGAGCAGATTGCATCTGATTTGGCCTTAAGGGGAGTTACTCCATTGTTCACTCCTGTAAGTTAATTTATTATTGGAATCCTCCAACCCAGTGGGAAAAACATTCAGTGGCTGAGGCATGCTGATTTGCCCCAGAGTGAGAGGCAAAGAGGTCACTGAGCTCCTTAAGAAGGGATAGAAGCTCTGTTTTAGAATTTAGAAACATTTATTTTTAGTTTAGGTTTGCCATACAGAATTTCTCCCAACATCACTAATTAAGGGGCATATTCAAGAGCTCTTATCCTTTAAGGATTACCAGAGGAAGAATAAATGGGAATAGATTTTAAAAAGTCATCAAGTATAATATTTAATAATTTCTGTCCTAAATTTTAGAGGGGGATGCGGAAGGTTTTGGGCTGGTGAAAAACATTTGAATTTGGCAGAAGTGGGAGTGTTGAGAGAAAAAAATAAACAAATTACTGCTTACATAGTGAATCCCTAAAAACAAGTAGGTATGTTTGTAAGGATATTGTTTAAAAATGGGATTTCATTTTTTCCACAAAAAGTTGTAAATTATGGTGAATCCCCAGTTTAGCCCAGTGAATCATAAAAAGAATGCCACTGATGACTGGTTTGTTCAATTCTTGGTATGGGAAAATTTACACTGAGCTGTAATACTTGATGGAAATTCTTCCAGTATGGTGGACTCTGCTGATACTCTGCTGTATTGTAGCAGCAGAAAAAAAGAGCAAGAATTACCCTATTTTTCAAAGATGGTTGCTCCTGGGATGGTGTCAGTACAGTATCTGTTCCTGAGGTGGATGGAAGGTAAAAACTATAGCAACGGCTGGGCGCGGTGGCTCAGGCCTGTAATCCCAGCACTTTGGGAGGCCAAGGTGGGCAGATCACAAGGTCAGAAGATCGAGACCATCTTGGCTAACATGGTGAAACCCCGTCTCTACTAACAATACAAAAAATTAGCTGGGCATGGTGGCGGGCGCCTGTAGTCCCAGCTACTCGGGAGGCTGAGGCAGGAGAATGGCGTGAACCCGGGAGGCAGAGCTTGCAGTGAGCCGAGATGGCGCCACTGGACTCCAGCCTGGGTGGCAGAGCGAGACTCCGTCTCAAAAAAAAAAACTGTAGTAACAGGGAGCACAGCCAGAGAGTCATCCATCATTGTCCCATTGCAGTATGAGCCACTCCTAGGTTAGGGGTCCATTTATTTGGCAGTCAGCCATTTATTAAGTTATGTAATATTTCTTGAATGTCAACCTCAGAGTAAACACTGTGCCAGCCTCTGGGGAAACAAGGAAAAGCAAAAAACAGACATGGTCTCTTCTATCTAGGAGCTTACACACTAATTTGTGATATTGGGATGGGCAAACAGTCAAATAATCACATGTGAATATAATATTGCAATTGGGATAGATGCTAGGAGATACAAGGTCTATTAAACAACAGAATTATACATTTACAGAATTATGCAGGAGACTCTTAACCTGGAAAGCTACAGAAGACTTTCCTGAAAAATAGATTTCTCCTAAAGGGTGTGTTAGAGATAATCAATCAGGAAAGAATTGGGATAAGCCAGTAGAGAGGCGTGAGAGAAGCCAGAGGGGCAAGGGCTGAGAGGCGGAGGGAGTGCTGTTAGAAGTGACCTGAGAGGTGGACTGGGCACCAGACCTAAAGTGCCTTACAGATCACGTTAAACATTTTGGTCTTTAGCCTGAGAGTATTAGAAAATCATTGATTTTTTTAATAGGTAGAGAAACCTGACTTTTGTTGTTGTTGTTGTTAAATATTGATCAGACTATAGAGTTGAGAAAGGAATGAAAGGGAATTAGAGTTGGGAAGCTATTGTGGTAACCAAGAGTAATGGAAATATCTTGGTAAAGAGAAGTGGTTCTCAAACTTCGGTGTGCATCAGAATCACCTGGATGACTTATTAAATCACAGATTGCTGGGTCCCAGCCTCAGAGATTTAAACTCAGTAGGTCTGGAATGAAGAACAAACATTTGTATTTCTAACAAGTTTCCAAGTGATATTAAAATTGCTGGTCTGACAACTGCACTTTGAAGACCACTGGTCAAGAGTAATGATGGTGGAATGGAGGTGAGAGAAGTGGACAGATTATTTGTATATTCTTATTTTCAATGCACAGGAAAGTCTCCTGAGTAAAATGATTTAAAAATTTCCCTTGAATACTTATTTTGTTCTTTGAAACTTTGAGGAATAATGAAATCTAATATAACTTAGCATTTTACAATTTCTGACAACACTGGTCTTGTGGTAGGGTTTTTATAAGATTAAAATGATTAGCTGTGTTTTCTTATTCTAGTCAATATTTTAATCACAAAATAAAAAAAATTTTACTTGAGCTGACTTAGAAATTTGCTAAATTAGCTATAATTTATGTATAGTTTTAAAATAAATATGTTTGCGTAAGACCCACATAATATGTGCTTGGCAGCAATGCTAAGATATCTGTAAAGGACCCATTTTTCCATTTGTTTGTTTGTTTGTTTGTTTGTTTGATACATGGTCTCACTCTGCTATCCAGGCTGGAGTACAATGGCATGAACATGGCTCACTGCAGCCTCCTGGGTACAAGCAATCCTCCTGCCTCAGCCTCCCGAGTAGGTGGGACTAACTACAGGTGTGTGCCACCATACCAGGCTAATTTATTTCAATTTTTTTTTTTTTTTTTGTAGAGACAACTCACTATGTTGCCCAGGCTGGTCTTGAACTCCTGGGCTCAAGTGATCCTTTCACCTGAGCCTCCCAAAGTTCTGGGATTACAGGTGTAAGCCACCATGCCTGGCACCATTTTCTGTTTTTTAAATTTCTTATCTGCCAGAACTAATATGTGTTCCACATGCACGTGCCTAGTGAGCAGTATGTATCCCATGGGCTCACACATAAATTCAGTAGTACCTGGACTGGTCCAGAATCTGTTCAGTGAGATGAATACACTGACCACATATTTGGATGTTGTTGCAATGTCAACTTTCCACAAAAGTTTCTAAATGCATACATTTCATTTCTGTAATTACCTTGTTGTGTATAGGTAGCCTACCATGCATGGCCTGGCAGCACAACCTTACAGGAAATATAATTATATTTTTTCCTGAAAATTATTAGTCAAAAGAGATCTTCAAAATGGGCAAAGTTCCGCTGAATTTCATAAATCAAAGTCAGCTTTACTAGTGTTTATTTTGCAAAAACCAAAATGGTAGCACAAAGCTAGGAATATGATAGATAATCAAGGTTTTGCTTTATTTTACTTGACATAACTTTTAAAGAAAGACCACAAGATTTCAGTAATTAATTTATTTTGCAGTGACTTTGTTTTATCCCAGCAATCTTATAATCTTTAAAAATTTGAATAAAATTTGACCTACGCTATAGGGTTTAATTTTAGGCAAAATTTCTTTGGATTTCTTGATTGTTCTTTCCTAATGTTTTTCTATGTGCTTGAAATCGCTGTCTAGTTAATGCTTAACTCTGTGATATTTTTTGGTGTTTAACGTGTTCAGGAACAAAACAAACGTTCCTGGTATCTGCCTAAGCAGGCTGGAAAACTCTCAGGACACGAGATTTAGTGCTTTACCCTCTAACTCATTTGACTGAAATGTTTTATCATGATATCAATAGTAAGACCCTAGAAGTTTTTTGAACAAATTAAAACATTTTATTTTTTCTAAGTATTGAAGTACTATACCATTCATTTCTATATCAGAATCCTTAAACATCTTGATATATTTATATAAGAGGAAAACAACCTTCCTACTTTTCATAACTCACAATGTCATGGGTATCAGTACTGCATTCTACTTTAGTGTATTTGCTGAGTAGAGAGAATAATTTAGACCTGAAATAAATCATTCATTTGTAGAGATTCATAAGATTTGAACTGCATTTCAGATTAGGCAGTAATTAACTCTCTGATGTGTTAGAAAAATATACCACTGGTTAAATATGCACAACTCCTGGCTCCACCTCTGAGAAGATGAAGTTGATGCACTTGTTCCTGTTTCTCCCACAAATTAAACTAAAACCCTGGACCTTACATGTAAAACAAGCAGCAGATGATTCTAAAACAAGAAAAGAAGGCAGATTGGCTATGAACCCTGGGACCTAAGAAATGATATGATGCTGAGTTCCCTAGATGTTCATTTGGTCTCATATATCCAAGACTTTCAGTTAAAGAAGCTAGCAGGCTGAGCGCAGTGGCTCACACTTGTAATCCCAGTACTTTGGGAGGCCAAGGCAGGTGGATCACCTGAGGTCAGGAGTTCGAGATCAGCCTGGCCAACATGGTGAAACTCCATCTCTACTAAAAATATAAAAATTAGCTGTAATCCCAGCTACTCAGGAGTCTGAGGCAGGAGAACCCACTTGAACCCAGGAGGTGGAGGTTGCAGTGAGCCGAAATCACTCCATTGCACTCCAGCCTGGGTGAGAAGAGTGAAACTCTGTCAAAAAAAAAAAAAGAAGGAAGGAAGGAAGGAAGGAAAGAAAGAGAGAGAGAAAGAAAAGAAAAGAAAAGAAAAGAAAAGAAAAGAAGCTAAGAAGCTGAAATCACTGATAGGCATGGACAAAAAATTAATATATAAGAAATAAAGCCTTTTCTCTGTAGGAAAAGGACCAGGAAAGAGGCAGTCTAAGACCAAATCGAAATAAAGACAAAAACAAATATTTAGACAATGACTATTCCAGCTAAACACCAGAGGCGGGGAGGGAAGAAAAAACCTACAGCTCCACTTATGCTCATTCCCACACCAGCAAATACTGAGGGAGGGACCAAAGTGCCTGGGCTTCTACCCATGGTAGGCTATGCTGAGGTGCCTCAACCTCCCTCCACAGAGATGGTGTCAGAGAATGTTAAGTGGAGAGTCAGAACTTTAGCAACCGCCAGCAATAAAGAGGCCATTTCTCCAAATCCAACACTAACAGTTGGAAATTCCAACACTCCTATCTCAACATTGATATTTATAGAACAACTAGACAGAAAATCAGCAAGAGTATAGATTACAACACTGACAACAAAATGAATCTAATAGACATTTATAGAGCACAACTTAACAACAGAAGAATATACATTCTTTTTAAGCACCCATAAAAATTTAGCCAGGTCATAAGAATTGAAACTGTAGAGAGCGTGCTTTCTGATAACAAGGAAATGCACTACTCCTCTACCCACTTCCAGAGAGGTATGAGTAAAAGCCTAGTGGGGAGCCAGCAATTCCACTCTGACCCAGGAGTAACATGGATCCTTCACTCCTCAGGTATCAATGGAGGCTGAGGGGGACACCTGCACTTCTCCCCCAACTGGACAGTGATGAGGTACCCCCATCTTTGTCTTACTGAGGTGGGGTTACAGTAAATAAGCTAAAACAGAAGGTTTAAGTGAGTTCCAGACTCTTATAACATGATATTCCAAATATTCAGGTCTCAATAGAAAATCATTAATCATCCCACAAAGAACAAGGAAGATCTCAAACTGAAGGAAAAAAGACAATCAATAAATGGCAACATCTAAATGACAGATATTAAAATTAGCTGACAAAGATGATAAGGAGGCCATCATAAAATGCTTCAATAAGCAATTACAAACACATTTGAGAGAAACAGAAAAACAGAAAGTCTCTGAAATAGAAAATCTCAGCCACAAAATAAAAGATGCAAAGGAGAACCAAATGAAAATTTTAGAACTCAGAAAATACAGTAACTGAAATTATTAATTATTATTTTAAAAACTCAGTGAAAGTGCTCAACAGCAAAATGGAGGAGCTACAGGAAAGAATATGTGAATTGAAAGATGGAACAATAGAAATTATGCAATTTCAGCAACGGACAGGAGGACAGGAAATAGACTGAAAAAAAAAATGAACAGAGCCTCAAGGACCTGGAGGACTATAACAAACAAACAAAAAAAACAAACATTTCTGCCATTGGAGTCCTTGAAATAAATGAGAAAAAAAAAGAGGAACTGAAGAATTGATCAAAGTAATATAAAATCAAATAATCAAAGTGAAAAACTTTCCAATTTGGTGAAAGACATAAACATACAGATTGAAGCTGAGTGAATAAAAAACACAATAAATCTACAGAAATGTAAAATAAGACACAGCATAGTCAAACTTTAGAAAACTAAAGAGAAAGAAACACTTTTATGGAAACAAGAGAGAAATAACACGTTACCTATACGGGAAAATATTTGAATAAGAGCAAATTTCTCAGCAGAAACCATAAAGCCAGGAGGAAGTATCGGTACCATTTTCAAGTGCTGAAAGGAAAAAAAAAAAACTATCAACCTAGGATCCTATATTTAATTAGTAAAAATACATATCAGGAATGAAAGGAAAATCACCATATTCTGAAATGAAGAAAAACGAAGAGAATTTGTTGCTGAAAATCCACTCTACAAGAATGGCTAAATAAATTTCTCTAAACAGGAATAAAATAAAATAGAATAAACTAGAATCTCAGAACACCAGGAAGGAAGACAGAACACAGTGAGAAACAATACACATAAAACATAGGTAAAACATTAAACTATGTTTGATGATTGAAGCAATTAAAAAATATATAGCAATGTTTGACATGGTTCAATATGTATGTAGAGAAAATATTTAAGACAATTATAAATGGGGGAAGGTAAATGAATATAAAGTGAATTAAGTCTTCTGAACTTCACTCAAACTGGTAAAATCATACTACCATTAGACTGTGGTAAGTTTTGTGTGTATAATGTAACACCTAGAGCAACCACCAAAAAATTATACAATGAAATAAACTCTAGAAACAATACAGATAAGTCAGAATGTAACATTTTTAAAAAGTTTGGCCAGGCATGGTGGCTCACACCTGTAATCCCAGCACTTTGGGAGGCCGAGGCGGGCAGATCACGAGGTCAGGAGTTCGAGACCAGCCTGGCCAACGCAGTGAAACCCCGTCTCTACTAAACATGCAAAACATTAGCTGGGCGTGGTGGCCGGCGCCTGTAGTCCCAGCTACTCGGGAGGCTGAGGCAGGAGAATGGCGTGAACCCGGGAGGCGGAGCTTGCAGTGAGCCGAGATCAGGCCACTGCACTCCAGCCTGGGCGACAGAGGGAGACTCTGTCTCAAAAAAAAAAAAAAAAAAAAAAAAGTTTAAGAGCCCAGTACAGTGGCTTATGCCTATAATCCCAGATACTGAGGAGGCTAAGGTGGGAAGATCACTTGAAGCCAGGAGTTTAAGGTGAGCCTGTTCAACCTTGAACGACCCCATCTCTCAAAAAATTTTAAAAAGTTAGCCAGGAGTAGTGGCGCAGCACAGCCACTCAGGAGGCTTAGGTTGGGAGGGTAGCTTGAGCCCAGGAGTTCAAGGTTACAAAAAGCTATGATCATGCCACTGGGAAGACAAAGATTGGCAAAGCAGATTTTAAAATACCACCCAAATATAGTTTCTACAAGAATCTTACTTCAAATATTAATAAAACAATGCAAGCTGATTAAAGTAAAAAGATAAAGAAGATATATTATGGAAATATTAATAAAAAGACAGTGGCAATAGCTTCTATTATAGTATCAGATTAAATAGAACAGAGAAAACAAAAGAATTAGAGTAAGACACCATATAATGACAAAAGGGTCAATCTACCAAGAAGACATAGCAATTATAAAAGTATACGTATCAAACAACCAAGATGCAAAAGATGTGAAATGAAAAGCAATATCACTAAAAGGAAAACTATACAACTCCACGACTAAAGTTGGAAATTTCAACACCCCTATCCAACAACTGATAGAACAACTAGACAGAAAATCAACAAGATTATAGAAGATTAAAACACTCTTAACTAAATGAATCTAATAGACTTTTATAGGACACAACAACAGAAGAATATACATTCTTTTTAAGCACCCATAAAATGTATGCCATGAAAGACCATATACTGGGCCATATGAATTGAAACCATGAAGAGTATGTTTTCTGATAACAAGGAAATCAAACTATAAATCAATAATAGAAAGAAAGAAAAATCCTCAAAGACTTGAAAACTGAACAACACAATTCCAAATAACTCATTGGCCAAAAAAGAAGATTTAAGAAAAATCCGAGAAATATATTCAACTGAATGAAAATAAAAACACACCATACCGAAATTTTGAGGACAAATGTAGGCAGGACTAAGAGGGAAATTTATAGCACCAGATGTATAGATAGCACTTAGATTAGGGTAGAGACAATGCTTCAAATCAGTAATTCAAGCTTGCTCCTCAAGAATCTATAAAAAGAAGACCAGTGTAAATCTAAATAAAGTAAGCACAAGGAAAGCAATAATAAAGATAAGAGCAGAAAAGCAATGGAAATGAAAACAAAAAAAAAATAGAAACGAAAAGCTGTTTCTTTGAATGATCAATAAGATTGACAAACTTCTGGCAAGACTGACAAAAAAGGAAAAAGATTATTCTAATTGCCAACATCAGGAATAAAACAGATCCTGAAGACATCAAAAAGATAGTAAGTGAATACTACAAACATCTCTGCATAACTAAATTTAATAACTTAGAAGAAATTTTACTATTCCTCAGGAAAAAAAAAAACAGAAAACTACCACAATTTATCCAATATGACATAGAAAATTTGAACAGATATTTAAATATTAAGTAAATTGAATTCATAAGCTAAAAACTCATCTCTATCCCAAATTAATCTCCAAGCCAAATAATTTCTCTGGAGAATTCTACCAAACTTTTAAAGAAAATTTAACACCAATTCTACACAATCTCTTGAAGGGAAGAAAACAGAACACTTCTTAATTCATTGTATGAAGTTAATATTACCTTGATATCAAAACCAAAGACAGTACCAAACAAAACAAAAGAAAGCTTCAGACCAATATCCCTCAAGAATATAGATGCAAAAATCTTTAACAAAATATTAGTAAATAGAATTTATTATACATCATGACCAAGTGGTTTAAGACTACTTTAATATTTGAAAATAAATTAATATAACCCATCAAATGAGCACCCTAAAGAAGAAAGAGCATATGATCATATACTCTATGAAGAAAAAGATTTTTGAAAAATTCAACATGCATTTATAATTTTAAAAACTCTCAGAAAAATAAAAATTGAGAATAACTTTCTCTACTTGATAAACAGCATCTACAAAAATATCACAGCTAAAATTATAAAGAATGAAAGATTGAATGCTTGCTCTGTAAAATCAGGAACAAGGCAACAACATCTATCTGCTGTTACCACTCTTATTCAACATAGTGCTCAAAGTTCTAGCCAGTGCAATAAAACAAGAAAAAGAAATAATGGCATGTAAATTGAGAAAAAAAGGGATAAACTGTGCTGTGTGCAGTTGGCATTATTATTGAAATAGAAAATCCTATGGATCATGCAAAGAAAAAATCTCCTAAAATTAAAAAGTGAGCTCCGCAAGGTCACAAAATACAAGATATACATTTTTAAAAATCAATTGCATTTCTATACACTAACAATAAACACTGGAAACAAAAACACAATTTTATTTATAATCACTTAAGAAAATTAAATAATTCAGTATAATTCTATCAAAACACAGAATTTCCATGCTGAAAAATATAAAATGTTAATAAAAAGTCAAAAACGACTTTGCTCTGTCACCAGGCTAGAGTGCAGTGGTATGATCTTGGCTCACTGCAACCTCCGACTCCCTGGTTCAAGCGATTCTCCTGCCTCAGCCTCCCAAGTACCTGGGATTACAGGCACGTGCCACCACGCCCAGCTAATTTTTGTATTTTTAGTAGAGACAGGGTTTCACCATATTGGCCAGGATGGTCTCCGCCCCCTGACTTCGTGATCTGCCGGCCTCAGCCTCCCAAAGTGCTAGGATTACAGGCGTGAGCCACCGCGGCTGGCCAATATACCCAGCTTTCCATGACAAAGATACAAAAATAATTCAATAGAGGAAAAATAGCCTTCCACAAAATGGTGCTGAAGCAATTGGACGTAAATTGGACAAGCAATTGGACCAATAATGAACTTTGACCTAAACCTTACACTTTATATAGAAATGAACTCGAAAGGAATAACAAAGTTAAATGTAAAATATAAAATTATAAAACTTTTAGGAAAAAAATGTCTTTGGGATATAGGGCTAGAGTTTTTAAACCTGAAGCTATAACCATGACTTATAGAAGAAAAAAATAATAAATTAGACTTTATCAATATTAAAAATGTATTCTTTGCATCATATCCTATTAAGAGAATGAAAAAAAACAAGCTACAGACTGAGAGAAAATATTTGCGAAGCATATATTAGGCAAAAGGATTAGTATCTAGGATAAGTAAAGAACTCTCAAAACGTGACTGGAAAATTTTTTTAAAAAAGATGAACCTAAAGAATTTAATTGTAAAATTGGCAAAGGACATGAACAGTTATTTTATTAAAGTGGATACACAGATAACAAATAAGTACATAAAAATGATAAATATCGCTAGCCATCAGGAAAGTGCAAATTAAAAACACACTGAGATATTACAACACACCTATCAGAATGAATACAATTTTAAAATTATAAAAACACTAAATGCTGGTGAGGATGTGGAGAAACTGAATCATTCATATATTTCTGGTGAGAATATGAAATAGCTCAGTCATTCTAGAAAATACATTTGCAGTTTCTAAAAAAAAAAAAATATATATATATATATGTAACTATCCTATGGCACATCCTATGCACCTCTGAGCACTTATCCCAGAGAAATGAAAATTATGTTCACATAGAAACTTGTACATAAATGTTCATAATAGCATTATTTGTAATAGTTTCAAATGGAAAACAACTCAGATGCCCTTCAATTGGAATGGTTAAACAAACTCTGTGAAATACTACTCTGTAATAGCCAAGAATAAACTGTTAATACATGCAACACCTTGAATAAACCTTCAGAGAATTATGAGTGAAAAAAATCCTAAAAATATACACAGTATATGATTCCACTTATATAACATTACTGAAATAACAAAATTATAGAAATGAATAGATGAATGCAATGAAGAGCAGTGATTTTAATTTTTTTTTGAAAAAGCAAAACTTGCATAGGTTGTTCACAAGATTACTGGCCAGCCATTAAAGGAGGGAGGACAATTAGGAAGTCATTATGACACACTGCATGAGGGATTAAAAGAGTCTAAATCTGGAAGCAGAAATGGGAGAACCTACTATGCCCATATTTCAAAGGAAGATTGACAGCACTTGAAGACAGAAGGATGTAGGAATTTGCTTTTCCTCTCAAATAACAGAAGTTCTCGTTTTTCTTGCTGTTTTTCTGTATCTATTAACATAATCCAAATCAACAAAATAGAAAAAATATTTGCTCTAAAAACAACAGCAAAAGAACAACAACTGTCATGTTTTTAAAATCTCATCTTTATTTGAAATTCTTCCTAAAAAGCATTTAATATAACCTAATAGTAAATCGCTGAATTTCTAATCCTGAATTTGCCGCATGACAGATCAAGAAATTTATCTTCATAAAAACACACTGAATCAGTGATATCAACTCAAGTTTTCTATAAGTCTGAAAAAAATATTATTTTTCTTCTTTTGGCATTGACGGAATGCTTGATCATGAAACGATATCGCCCATGACGTCATCAATAAGCAATATCATGTCAGTGAATAACTGTGTGAACAATTCTTTTCTTTTCAATACTTTGAATTTAGTTTCTAAACAACTGTCAGGCATTGTTCTTTTTTCCTTTTTTTCTCATGCTAGTCTAAGATGTCAGGCATTGTTCTAATAAGAACTGGATCTAACAGACATACTCAAACCAGATTCACTTAAACAGTTGTTAAACAAATGTGATATGAAATATAAATTTGGAAGGGAGCAGAACTATTCATTATAGAGAAGCAGTAGTGAAAATCTATATTGTAACTGGTCTTCAGGAGCTCCATAGCCTTGACAGGTATCACCAAACCTCATTATTTGGGACATGCCAACCTCAGAATTTCTCTTATCTTAAAAAGCTTTGAAATTTAAAGTATAATTCAACATGCTCAGATCTTTTATTTTACTCAGCAAATCCCACAAAAATAGTTATCTGAAGTTTCAACAACACATCAAGATTAGTCCAGTGATTATAATTACTGCCTAATCTATCAAATAGTTTTAAAAGTTCATTTTCTGTCCTCTAGATATATTCATGTGCCATAAGCATAGGTAGATCTGAATTGGAGTACCTTTAATTAAAATATACAACTGTGCTAGTCTTTAAAAAAAATTAAAAAGAATATATTCTAAGTGTACATTATTACAAGATGCAAAGGGATCTCCTTTTAGAAGTATCTTTTATTCTGGGAAATAAATAATCTTTTACAGTGAGAAGGTATAGAGGCTAGCATTGACAAATAATTCTAAAACTACATATAAAATTTATCCTGACCTCTACCCATTTCTGTCCTTCCTTTCCCTCAAGGCAACAGTATTTCATACAAAGCTTAAAATGTCAGGCTTTAAAGTCAAGGAATAAATTTGTGCATTTATGGTGAACATATAGTGTAATTTAGAAATTGAATACTTTTGAGCTCTGAAAAATATGCCCCAAAGAACTGAATCGTCTATTTATATACACTAGTAGGATGCATCATTGCTCATGAGAACACCTTCAATAGAAGTCAGTCATTCAAACTGAATTAGAGATGACAACTATGCTATTTGTTTCCACGAGTAAATTCTAATGTCTGTTTTTACTTCTAAAAACATTGTTCAATCAACCTAACTGTATAAAAACCTTTTTAGAAAGGCCAGTTTATTATACTACAAAAGGCTAGTAAACAGTCTTTGAGTATGTCTGAATATGTCACTATCCAAATCAAGCTACCACTGGCTTAATATAATTGGGGAAATAATAGTATGTCATTATCGTGCCCAAGGGTAAATAAGACTAAACTTCCATGTATTTGCATTGGGTTACTGTTAAAATGCTATAACTTCCTGCTTTCAAGAGAAACTTTAAAAAATTATACTTAAAATATTTGAGCACCTATATAACTGTTAACAAAACAAAACAAAAAACCTTTAATTATAGAAGGCTTAAAAAATGTGTTCAGTTCTGAGCTGCACAATTTACCAGAAAGTTCGAGAATTTGAAGCAAGTTTAGAGAAGAGCCACAAGGATGATTAAAAGATTGAAAAATGGGATCTAATAATAAGAGAAACATTTAGACAAAGGGAAACAAGCAAGGACTTAAACTTCAAATTACTCAAGACAGCTGAGCAGCTGTTATCTATTGCCTTCTATCCAAGTCTTCCATTACTCCACTGTGGCTAGGAATAAGAGCAGCAAACCCTTTGTGTTTTCTGCATTTTCAAAGCAGAGGGTCATCTAAGTGCTGTGGAATATACTGTACAAATGTCACTGTGAGACTCCTGTCACTTAATTTCCTAAATTTTTCTTCTAAACGGTTGTTTCCATGGAGCACTGGATTTTAATCCTGAACTCTAGAGCCCCTATAGAGACAAATGCCAAGTAATTGTCATAATGTGTGGAACGTTTGAGACTTCTTCATTTTCTTACTTGACATACAACAAACTTCAATCATTATTATAGCTTCAATATCTGTCCAAATGAAAACTCATTGTATCACCACCACCATTTTTTATTTCCATGGCTACCCATATTTGTTTCAATTCCTAATAAGCTGTACATTTTATTTATTTTTAATAGACATTCTGTGGTGCTGTCTATGGCTTATAATCTTGAGCCCTATCTTCTGATTTCTTAGGGACACCCAGATATTGTGTCTTGCCTGAAGCGTTCTGAGTAAAACTTAAGTAAGTGTTCAATTAATAAATCAAGTTATAAATTTAGAGAATACGTCTCTTCTACCTAAATTCTGGTATCAAATATCACCTTTTATGAGCTCTCTAGTATAGTTATTCTCTAACTGATAACAAATTTATAAAATTTCACATCATGCACGAATACTAAATTTATCACCACCCTCTTCCCTTTCACAAATTGCTGTTTGGCATCTCTTGTATTTGAAAACTTGGTTTGCCCAGACTCTAGAGGATGGGATTTGGGCCAAAGCTGAAGTACCATCTAAAGATCACATTTTATAAAACACACACACACACACACACACACACAAATTCCAAATTGCTTGCCAAATTTCATTGCTGTTAGCTTCCCACAATATTCTAAAAAATATCAGACAAACAGGCGTCAGTATGATTAATTCTGATGATTACTTAGTTTTTTTCCTACGCGCAGTGACCTCTGGAAGCTCTGAGTTCAGTTGACTATGCGTAGAGTCTCTTCAGTTAACTGAAATGTTTGTAAATAAATGATATCTTTTCTCCATTAACATGTCTCCATCTTGACCTACAAGAGTACATTGTATGGCTCATCTCAGATGACTAACTTGCCTTTTCCTTTAACCCACTGCAAGACAGAAAAAAGCTCAGCGAAACATAGAAATATTTTAAAATATATATATATTCAGGCATTGCTGCAGAAAGTGAATTTCTGCTGAATTTAAGCCAAATTTTCCTATGAGTTTCTATTTTTTGTCATGAATACCAAATGCCAATAAATAACAATAACGAATAACATTTAAATTTTGACTTACGGATAAAAAGATAGTTTTATTTGTATCATCTCATTTTACTGTCACAAAAATCTTATAGTCTAGGTATTACTGTTCTCATATTACAAATGAGGAAACTGAGACTCAGGGAGGTAAAGTTAATTGTTCAAGTCTCACAGATAGAAAATGCTTAACTAGATCTCTATCTCTTGTTCTTGGCTCTTGGTCACCATCATTGGGAATGTGCGCATAAATGCATCCAACATGAATCTACACACAACTAGAGATGATGAGATACCTTTTAAATTGTGATAAGAAACTCCAAAAGCACAAGAAACAAAAGCAAAAATAGGCAAATGGAATTGCATCACATTAAAAAGCTTCTGCACAGCTAAGGAAACAATCAACAGAGTGAAGAGACCTACAAAAAGGGGAGGAAAACATCTGCAAAATGTATATCTGATATGGGTTAATATCCAAATTATAAAAGGAACTCAAACAATGAAATGGCAAGAAAACAAATAGCACAATTCAAAAATGGGCAAAAACTTGAATAAACATTTCTCAAAAGAAGACATCCAAAAGACCAACGGGTATATGAAAGGGTCCTCAACATCATTAACCATCAGGGAAATGCAAATTAAAACCACAATAAGATATTACCTTACAGCTGTGAGGGTGGCTTTTATTACAAATAAAAAGATAAATGTTGGTAAGTATGTGATGAAAAGGGAATCCTTGCATTGTTGGTAGGAATATAAATCAGTACAGCCATTATGAAAGGCAATATGGCAGTTCCTCAGAAAATTAACAATAAAGCTACTGTATGATCTAGCAATCCCACCTCTGCATATATATCCAAAGTAAGTAAAATCAATATGTCAAAGAGATATCTTCACTTCCATGTTCACTGCAACATTATTCACAATGGCCAATATATGGAAACAACCTGAGTGTCCATCAACAGATGAATGGCTAAATAAACTGTGACATACATGCATGATGGAATACTATTTAGCCTTAAAAAAAGAAGGAAATCTTGTTCTTTGTGACAATGTGGATGAACTTGGAGGGCATCATGCTTAGTGAAATAAGTCAGGCACAGAAAGACAAATATTACATGATCTCACGTATATGTGGAATCTAAAAATATTGAACTCAGAGAAGCAGAGAGTAGAATGATGGTTATTAGGGGTTGGGAGTTGGAACGTGGGATGGATAATTGAAAGATGTTGGTTAAAGGGTACAATTTGTATTCAATTACACAGAAAGAATAAGCTCTGGAGATCTACTGTACAGCATGGTGACTATAATAATAATACATAGTTACTTAGAAATTGTTTAGAGTAGAGTTTAAATGTTCTCAGCACAAATAAAATATGTATGTGATGTGATGGATATGTTAACTTGTTCATTAGCTTGATTTAATTATTCTACTATGTATACATATACTGAAACATCACATTGTATACCATAAATATATACATTTTCTTATTTGTCAATTAGTTAATTATTTCAAATGTGACAAGATTTCTCCAAATTCCAATTTGCTTAAAGATCACTTCTCTGGTTAATAACATAGTACTGGCAGAAGGTTGTGTTTGTGCATTTCAGAGCAAAATAAAATAGTATCTATATAATTAGAGTTCCATCTATAAACTAGATTAGCTACCAGAAAAGAATCCTTGTTATATATCACTTCCTTAAATAATGAGATAATGCCTATACAACTAGAATTCCATCTACAAATTATATCAACTAGTAAAAAGTAATCTTTTATCCATCATCTCTAAAAAAGGGAAATATGCATTAGCTTATGCAATATTTACAATTTTAAAAATAATTTATTTTCTTTCATAATTTAAAACTTATTTAGGGTATAGTTTTATCTATCATTTAATGATATTAATTCTTTACTTAAATACATGTTCAATTTTATATTAGTTAAATAACACTAGTTGCTATACTAACTCCAAAGTTTCAACAGCCTGCAACAAAAGTTTATTTCTCGGTTATACCACAGTCCGACCTGGGTGTTCCTAGTAGGCTGCTTTTCTTCACAGGGTGATTCAAAGACCTACATGACTTCCACTTTAGGGCTCTCCCCTCACTTGGGGCCTCATTTTACACTATGTTGAGAGAAGGAGAAGAAAACTTAGAGAAAACACACCATTGACCATGCTGCTGCTTATGGCACCATTGGAGAGATCTACTCTCATGCCTCAACTAAATGGAAAGGGAACTGCAATTCCCAACTCAGCAGCTATTCCCAACTAAATGTTACACTATGGCAGACAGTCCTGAATTTGGATGGCTAGCTGGCATCTCTATGTAACTATGAAAATACATGCAATCTGCCTGCCTTTGTCCTATCATGCACAATTCATCGTTTTTTCTCACTTTCTGTTGTATATCTAGTCTGAAGTCCAGGTAAATACACTTCACTTGGTATGTGAATCCAATTTGAATTTCATTGTTAATTGTGAGTGCAGAAAATGAGAAAATCACTTTCTCTCTCAGAGTCAATTTTCTTTCCATAAAATGGGGTTTTGGAGTTCAACATTTATCAAACCATCCCTGAACTGTGATGAATGAATTTTATAAAGCAAAGAAAGATAAACTATGTAATAACAAAATTCTGGATATTTGTTCATTTCAAAGCATTTTGTGTCTAGTATATACTTGTTTACTTTGCATGCTTTGCACAACCATCTAGTGAAGAGGATGAGACCTAGAGTCACTTTTTCCATTTGTGACCTTGAAAAAAGAATGAAATAGTTCTCTTTCATTAAATAGGGACAACAAAACCTATAACATGGAGTTTGCAAGAATTAATGTGACATATTAAATGTCATATATTAATATAAAAATGTATGTGAATTTTTTAACTGTATAGTTCTTTATAAATTTTATTATTTTTATCATTATAACTTATTACAAAAAATATGCAAAAATCTCCTAGCTTTAACATCTTTCTGAGAAAAGACCTCTCTTAAGATGATTGTACTTCAGACATCCTTTATGGAGCGGATATATGTTGACAAGTGTGAAATTCCTATAAACTAGGAGGAACAGGAAAGTATGGAAACACTATCCACAGGTCCAGAAGCTCCAACACTCCTGCATCTGTGGCTAAAAAGCACATATGGTAAGGAAAGAAAATGGCAAGAGGAGATGGATTTATAGTTTTGCTATCAAATCTAGGTAATATATTTATATATGTCTGTGTGTATTTTTTATTTTAAAATATTTTGTAGACTTTTAATCCACAACATGCTAGTTCTCATTTTGAAATCAAGCTTATGTCTTTGACCTCTAGCATTTTAGCAAACATTTCTACTAAAATCTCTCCCTACTCAAATAGTTTCTGGTAGTCAAATAGCTTATTGTGTAGGCGATAAGCACCAGGGAAGAGAAACTCTCAATATAACTATTAGCTTGTCCAGCTGGCACAGATTTAGAGAGATACCAATAGGTTTTTTGAGTAAGTGGTTTATGTTATGGAGTCTCAGATCACCCACACAAAACATTTGTCTGACTGCTAAACCATGTGGAGTGCTTATGTATGTGAGCACTCACAGAGACACAGTTAATATCATATACAATGTGTAACTGGAGACAGGTACAGTCTTTTTTTTTCAGTGGTAGTGTGCTATAGATTGTTATTTCATTGAGACATAAATGCTTATATAATTCAATAATCCCACTATATACATTTATATTTTAATTGGTCACTGGGAAGAAAGTGGAAATATTTTAAATTTCTATCTTTTCCAATCTTGAGTCTTAAAATCTGTCAGGAAATAACCTGGTTTGCATAGGAAATTGTACTGTAATCCAGAGGCCTATGTACTATAACCCAGGGGCCTAGGAGAACAACTATGATCCCATAAATTGAAAAATGCGTTTAAGATTTACAGTTGGAATCAATCAAATCAATGCTTTTTTTTCTAAATCTGATGTCTTATCTACCACATGCAACTAATGACAATCCAAAAGGGAAAATGAAAACAATTGGTTTTAGTAGCACAACTGAATACTACTGTGTCTGAATTTCGAATTTCTGGGTTAGTTGAATATGCAGTTTACCATAAATATCACTGTGTGACTTATAAGAATGAGAATTTTTGGATAATGTTTTTTTAAAAGCTAAAATTTGTTTGTCAGATTTTCTTAAGACACTGTGATACAGTGGGGAAAGTCTTGAATGTGGATTCAGAAGCCATGAATGTTTCATTTCTGTCCCTTGCTCTCCATTTCCTTAGACAAGTCTCTTAGTCTCTCTTAGCCCAACTGACTCACAGAGATATTTTTTCTTCATGGAGTTGTTGTAAAGATGAAATAGAATAATGTTTGTAACGTTTAGTTTCCGGTAGGTATTAGGTCATGCTATGAGGTATCTCAATTTGAGTCTGAGAGTACACTGGACTTTTGGGGGCATGTTTATGAAGTTGGAAAGGTGGACCCTCCAGAAGTCTATTTGCAATGGGACTGGGTGGCCCCCAGAAAATTCTTTTTCTGATGGAAAAGATAGTCTGGAATAATGAGCTTAACGGAAAGCTTTGGTTACTGGAGGTGAGAGGAGATCTGAGTAAACATGGCATCTCTTCCTTGGATTTACCTGTTACTTCAGCCCTGCTGGACTCTCATATAGGACACGTGGAAAATGAAGAAAAAAATCAGAAGAGAACCTTTACTAACATCTTAGTCAAGACTTTAGAAGAGGAGCAGCACTTCTTTGATCACCCTGAAAGAAGCCTTTCCCATTTGAAGCAGAAACCTAAGGAGTTTTAACACATGAAGGCCTCCAGTACCCCAGATGCCATGAGGTTGGAGGGGTCTGGTAGACATTGAGGCACCCAGCAGATGCCGAACCAGGACTGGAAAGCCAACTTGATCATCAGTGTGTGTTGGGCAGTCTGGGGGAGGGAGTTCCCAGGAAAACCAGAGGGATTCTATCCAGAGAGCTGAGCTCTTCTATCAGCAAGCAGGGATGTGGCCAAGGAAATTATTACCATTTATGTGACTGCATCTGTCACTATGTGCCAGTGATGCATGGGGAAAAACTGAAAATACAAAAACATATTGTTATGTCATACCATTAGTCCATTTTTAATTGTTTTTTAAAAATTCATGTTTTGTACTCTCAAAGACTGAAAATTTCTGTGAAATAGGATGTGAAAATTTTCAAATGATGTTGCCACATCATTTTTTTTCTTTTCTCAAAAATAAAAAAGGATGTGAGAAGTCTGGCCAACACACATGTTGGACATAAAATGAGAATTCTTTTTAAAGCCAGAAATACCTATTCATTTCATTCACACATTCACTAAGCTACTAAATCTGATAGCAGTTCTGAAGGATACTAATTAATTATGGTTTTAATAAAGAAAACAATTCAATAAACACACACACACACAACATACACATGGATTGTTGAAGAAGTACTGAAACAAATTTGAAAAACAGGCTTTCAAATGTTTATTTTCTGGTTTTGTTTTTCTCTTTTGTGGCAGTATAGTATAAAGGAAAAATCACAAGCCCTTCAAATCTAACAATTCCTGATCCTTCGGCTTAACTGGTTGTAATCCTTAGAAAACTGACCTCATTTGTAAAATGTTACAGAACAAAATTAGATAATCCTCATGTGGCACCTAGCTCAGTGCCTGTTACATTAAGCAGAAAATGCTGTTTTTCCACCTTCTCAATTCCCTGTCCCCATTCTTCCCAAGCATACCTTTCCATTCCAAGGATCCACAAACAAAGCAGCAAAATGGTTAAGAAACAGCAAAATGGTTAAGAAATGGGTCTGTAAGCTGTTTCTGACAAGTTATGCTACATTCTCAAGGCTTCTGTTTTCTCATCTATAAAATGGGGATGACTGCACTTTCCACGCAGATTTTTATGAGCGGTAAATGGGTTAAGTCATGTGAAGTTCTGAGAAGTGTGAAAGTTCTATGGGAACTTTTTTGTCATTCCTATCTTTAAGACATAGAAGAGTACCTGGAACAAGTAGGTACAAAATAAATATTTCTAATCAACGAATGAACGCTGTGACATGCTTGCTTCTCTTTGTCTAATACAAACTATCCCTTTGTAGACTGTGGGACCTGTGTGGGTGTGTGCAGGGCAGAGGTTTAGAGGCTGAACCTAAATGGAAATAAGGAAGCCTCCCCGTGACTTCTCATGACTCAAACTGTATTTTCTGTGACCCACTATCACATTCCTCCATAGTAGATATGCCTGCCCTGTCTTGCACAGGCACAGATCTGGGTTCAATGCTTGAGCACTGATCTCTGTGCCAGTGTGTCTCCATGCTGCCTTCTGTCCAGGCTGGCTGAGGGTGGAGCTGCTGAAGAGCAGTTTAGTTGCTGTGGTACATTGTGTCACGTAATAAAAGATCCATGGAAAGAATCACTTTCCGCCTTACCTTGTGAATACGTATCTTTATTATAATGAGCTCTCTTTTACACACAAACTTTCAATATTTTCTAGTCTCTCAACAGTAATATTGCAAATTCCGGAGTTATACAAGGAATGTTATAAAATTCCTTTGGTCTGGACCACCGTTTAAGAATACCTGAACAAGTACCTAAGTAGATTAAGTGCTACTGGAATGTGGTGTGTGTCTTGATGATTCTCTTTGATGACTGCTAGCATGCTAGCAGATGGTGCTTACTATATATAATGTAGGTTATGCACTAGGCAATTCAGGCTCAGTGTAATTAAGCTGCTTTAAAAGCAAATTATAAATTCAACATACTATTATTATGTGGCTCCGAACTTTGCTTTATGAAACTCTGTGAGAATCTATATGTCCTGAGTTGTATTATTTTTCTAATATGCTTTTAAGTGCGGTCCCTTTGTACAAGTTGAGTATCCCTAATCCAAAAATCCGAAATCTGAAATGCTCCAAAATCTGAAACTTTTTGAGGGTCAACATGATGTTCAAAGGAAATGTCCACTGGAACATTTCAGATTCCAGATTTTTGGATGAGAAATGCTCAACTGGTAAGTACAATGTAAATATCCCAAAATTTATTTTTAATAATCTTAAATCTGAAGCACTTTGGATAAGGGATATTCAACCTGTAGTTAATTGCAAGCAAACTTAACTATATTAAAATGGTCCTCACTAATCCTCAACATGCCACCCTTTAAGAAGACTAATAGAATGAATCATGAGGGTGGGATAGGAAGGTCATGTGATGTTTTGACTAAGGCAAATGAAGGAAACCCACCCCTTTCAGCCTCTGCGTGCTGCTTTGTTTTCTACTCTTCCTTTGCGATGTGGCAGCAAAATATTTATGATGAGAATCACTGAAAGTGTCAGCCACATGCTGAATGAAAATAGCCAGATCAGCAGCCAGGAGGATGCCATGCCCAACATTGTGGAGGGACTTGGAGTTTAGTAATTAACACGCCATCCCCCAAGTCAAACACGAGATGACAATTGCTTGGGAAAATATTTGAGAGTGTTTATTTTTAGAAAATTGAATTCATTGCTTTCATTGCTTTGATCCCTTCTATACTACAATATGCCTAGTGAAGACTTCTCAAGACAATCATTTTCTTCTTGAAGCTGACCAAACAAGAGATTTTACAGTTCCTCATCTTAGCAATCAAAGAGACCTAGTATAATTCAATCATGAATCACACTCTATTTCTGTAATAAATGTGTCTAATCGTAGATGCTTAAGTGCAAATGCAGGAAACAATCTTATTTGTCATTATGTGTGTGCATGCATATGTACATGTAGGTTAAAATTCCAGATCTAAACTTTTTTTGGTACTTTTCAGGGTTGCAAGCAAAATCATCCTTAAATTGAGAAATAGTGATTGTGATAGTCTTAAAAATACTCTAAAACCTTTACCGTATTCCCTTCCCCGCAAAGAATCTTAGAACTAAGAACTTAAGCTTTCATTTAATCTGTTAGGAAAATACAAACTCTAGTTTGTAAATGCTAAGGGATACATGAATAGAAGCATTTCTTCCCCAAACTGAGAGCCTTGGGACTTATAACTCTGGTTTGTCAGATATCACCAAAAGGTCTATTGAGAGGTTTATTGTTGCAAACACACACACGTGTGCACACACACACACGAGTCAAGTCAGCTGGGAAATAACACAGGAATAATGGGTGATGTGTGGACTTGACTGAGTCAATTATAATAAATAATCGCATTGCTTTAATTTAAGAGATCAAATGATGGTTGAAGTAACACTAAAAATAAGTCCTTTTGGCCAGGCATGGTGGCTCACACCTGTAATCCCAGCACTTTGGGAGGCCAAGGCGGGCAGATCACGAGGTCGGGAGATCGAGACCATCCTGGCTAACATGGTGAAACCTTGTCTCTACTAAAAATACAAAAAATTAGCTGGGCGTGGTGGCAGGCACCTGTAGTCCCAGCTACTCGGGAGGCTGAGGCAGGAGAATGGCGTGAACCCGGGAGGCGAGCTTGCAGTGAGCCAAGATCACCCCACTGCACTCCAGCCTGGGTGACAGCGCGAGGCTCCATCTCAAATAAATAAATAAAATAAAATAAAATAAAATAGTCCTTTAAACTGTTTTACAATGATCAGTCCAGAAGGTGCAGCTCAGTAACAATACCCTGAGGATTCCACAGCTCAGCATATCTTGTGGAGCCCTGAAGCAGTGATTCTTTACCCCTCTTGGGTATCAGACCAGCACTGAGATTCTCACCAAAGCCCTAGATATTCTCATCCGAAAATGCAGAAACACATACAAAATTTTGAATACAATTCCTTTAGTCTGACCACTGTTTAAGAATACCTGAACAAGTACCTCAGGAAGTCTTTTCCCCTGAGGGGTCTTACCCAGCCATCATCTGGACTAATAGTCTTAAATATGGAAGCCAACTATTCTTATGTTTATAAGGTGGCATCAATGAATGCACTTAGCATGCCTGATAAAAATACAGAAATAAAATCCATATATACATACATTACTAAGTGTATCGACATCCATCTGTATTAGAGTATATGCTTTACATTCAACTGTGAGATTTTTAATCAATTTTCCATAATTCCAAATCTCAGATTTTCTTTCCAAATAATTGGAATGTATATTTTTAAAATACCAAGTTTGCTTCTTTTCTTCCCCCAGATCCCCGTCTTCAGAGACCAAGTTTACTACTTAATGACTGAACATTTTATCCGCAAAACCCCTGATCCACTGACTTACTGTGCTAATAAAACTTACTTCCATAATAGCATGTTGTTACGGGTGAGTTTTCGTTCTTAGCACTCCCAAGATGGTGGCGGACCACTCCCAAGATAGTGGCGGCCACTTCCAAGATGGCAGCAAGCCTTTTGTTCCCTGATCTGGGGTTCTTGGCCTCACGGATTCCAAGGAATGGAACCTTGGGCCATGCGGTGAGTGTTATAGCTCTATTAGAAGCCATGGATCACAGAAGAGAACCGTGGAACCCAGCAACTAGTGTTCAGCTCAATTGGGACGAACCCAAGGACTTAGCTGCGCAGGAACAATGGTGAGCCTCTAGTCCTAACGGGAGCCACAGCGGCTGCCTGGCTGGATCAGAAACGCAACGGACACCCTGCCCGATCTGGAGGGGTGGATGGCAGCGAACAGCAGTGGTGGACGGTGAGCGAAAGCTCAGCTTGAGGCAGAACAAACACGGACCAGAAGAGTGTGCAGTTGCAAGATCTAATAGAATGAAAACAGAGCTCCCATACAGTGGGAGGGGACCCAAAGGGGGTTGCCCACTCCTGGCTCAAATGCCTGGGGTTTATATCCCAATCATTGTCCCTCCCCCTGTGCTTTCAGATGACAGATGATTTGATTATTTCTTTACCTCCTGCATTTAGCCTAACTGGTATTTTAGTGAGCCCTCTTTACTACCTGATTGGTCGGGTGTGAGCTGAGTTACAAGCCCCGTGTTTAAAGGTGGGTGCAGTCACCTTCCCCAGCTAGGCTTAGGAATTCTTAGCCTAGAAAATCCAGCTAGTCCTATCTCTCAGTATCACTGAGAAAAGGATGCAAAATATTGACCAATTTTTTCAAATATGGAAGTGTTATTTATAAAGAGGATTGCGATACATAAAAAGGAGAAAATCTGGACTAAAAGAATATTGGTACAAATGTACAGCCACATGTACTCAATTCTACATTGCCTGGCTGGTGGCTAGCATTAACACAAGATCTGAAATCTGTGCAGAACTCTACTGGTATGCCATGGAGGCTCATTTTATAGCTAAAATGTTAACTGGCAAAGCATTGCTTAGAGCACATGGGGCGTGAGAAAACTCATGGACAAACAGGTCATGACAACATAAAATGAAGTATTTAATAGGAAAATATTAAGCCCTCACTTATATATTTGAAATATTCTCTACTTACTTTCTACACAGAAGTTTTAATGATCTGGTTGCTAGTTATAAGGACTCAACCATTGCCTGGGAACTTTAGGTGATTCCTAACAGCCTGGCTACTTGGCAACACCACCTTGCCAGCAAGGAGCCTCTCTAATGAAGCTGACCTTCTAAAGAAGATTCTAGTCCCAGTGCTAGGATCATGCATGGGGATGATTCAGCTTATTTCTCCTTTTTCCACAGCAGCCATCTTTTCTTAGTTTCTGGAGAACTCTCTAAGGCACACAATAAAATGTTCAGCTATGCTCAGATATTTCTGTCACTCTTCAGTGTTTCTTAACGTGTCTACTATGGAATCCTAGTCCTGTAAGATTCCCTATAGAAGGAAGCAGGGGAGGGGCAATTTCTCCTTGGATAAATAACTTTAGAAAACATAGTGTAAAATGTCCCCTCAAGTGAAATTTCATAATACAAATTAGTGCATTAAAGATCTGATACTTTGGGTCTGCACAAAATTATTTTTTAACTAAATTTTTATTTGGTTATTAACCAAAAGCCTGTTAATACCCTGGGGATTAATATCTTGCATACACTTTGGAAAATATTTTATCATATCCTAGAGCTCATTCACACATTTTTTTGCTTCTACTCCTAGCCGTCCCTCCAACCAGAATAGAAGTTCAATTCTCCTTGTCCTCTCTCCTATCTGGAGTTTCTTCTCCAGAAACCATTCTTTCCTTCCCTTCTCCAGAGTCATGATCAGATATGACCTAATCACTGAATTTTTCTTGGAAACTTTTACTACAGATGCTTATTTTTTTCAGAAGTTTAGAAATAGATTGGGGATTAAATGTAAACATGTTTACAGTTTTGTGGTTGCAATGATCCCTCTTAATAGATTACAGGAAAATACATAGGGTATGTAATTTAGCTGCCAACTGAATCAACATTGTTAGTTCTCCTTAACTTTCATGGGATATAAATTTGGAAGAATAAAGATTAGTAAGCAATTTTATTATAATATGTGTTTACTAAACTTATGACTGCATATTTGTATCCAGTTTTAACACAACTAGCTTTAAAAATGGCCTAGGTATTCACTGTGCTAAAGGACTATTGGGTTTTCATGAGTTGCATTGGTTTTTCCATACCTCAGTGAATATGATCATTTTTTTCATAAGCTCTATAAAAGTTATTAACATCTGAAAAGTACAAATATTTATCTTATGTCTAATTTCTGGGGCTCTGAAATCCAACCCCTTGCTGTGAGTCA
The DNA here is from genome assembly GCF_000001405.40 of Homo sapiens. Lineage (NCBI taxonomy): Eukaryota > Metazoa > Chordata > Mammalia > Primates > Hominidae > Homo > Homo sapiens. The sequence goes on along the minus strand of NC_000007.14, from coordinate 17,063,919 downwards.
ACGCTCACCTTTTGCTCTGTGACCTTTGCAAAGTTAACCTTTTTGCCCTTGGTTTTCCAATATGAAAAAATGGTAATAATACTAATATAAACCTCCATAAGACTGCTAAGTGAATTACAGAAAATAAACTCAAAGGGCTTGGAATATTATCCAGAGAATGGTAAGTGCTTAATAAATGTTAGCTATTGTTACTATGAGGAAAGTGGTATAGATAAAATAAAACTCATTCCAATGTCCTCCTGCAAATGCCTTCTCTCTTCTCCTTATTAGAACTGAATGGCCAGAAGTAGCAAGAAGTTGATTCAGAAATGGAGGAAAGCAAAAAGTTTGTCCCAGCACACAGGCACAGATAATCCACTTGCCCAAGTCATTTGAATTAGGCATGATAGCAAATGTCAAGAAATGCAAATACACAAATACACATGTATGGAGAGGCAGGGAGTTATTAGTTTCTATGAAAACTGAGTAACTTACCCATGACATCAATGTCAGTAAGTGTACACTGAGCAAATAACAGGGGACGGATACTCACTAGAGAATTTAATTCTCTCACATCTTTCTCTCTTTGATAAAATGGTACCTTCAAATTAAGACCTTCCCTGATGACTCTATGTACAACTCCAATGCCTCTTACACTTCCACATCTTATTTTTTTATTGCATTAATCACTTTAACAACTATATATATACATATATATCTTATTTATTCTATTTAATGTCTAGCTCCCCCTACTTGAATATTAGCTTCATTGCACAGAGATTTTTTTTCTATTTTTTAAAGCTATACCCCCAGCACTTAGAACAGTTCTTGGTTCATAGCAAGCCCTCAGTGAATATTTGATGAATGAATGAACAGTAAGTCCAGAAGTAGGCTTAATTAAGGCAGTAGCTAAAGAATATTATCAGAGTAGGTCCTTTTCATCTCTGCTTTGCCATTCTTGGTGCTGGCTTCATCCTAAAGTAAAACTTTATGGTCATGTGATAGCTGCAGCAGTTCTAGGCAGCATATCCTGAGAAGACAATGACCAGAAAGAGAGAGCCAGAAAGTCCCTTTCAAAAGAAAGACAACACTCGCAGAAGCTCCTAATAACTTGACCAGAATTTGACCACTTAAACGAATTAGTGTTAAGGAGAAATGAATTTCTTTAAATATTAGACTAATCAGAATTTCCTCTTAAAATGAAGGAAAGGGCCCAGCTCTTGAAGAGGTAAATACTTGAACGAATTTGGGGCTCCATGAGCAAAGAAGAAAGCCTGGATGAGTGGGTAGAGAGTGAGCAAATAACTGTGTCTGCTACCTCCTCAGATCTTCACTTCTGTGTACTACTGAAGTGAGTTGCAGTAAGGCTAAAGGCTAAAAGCTTTTAAAACAATTTCAAATAATACCGCCCTTCACTATAAACCAAAGCAGAGCTACATTCAGGAGGAGTTAACTGGACTACTTCAAATGTGAGCTGATTTAGGGAACATCATTCAACTAAGGGCAAGTAAAGTGAGTTTTCATTAATATTTGTGTCCTACTCTCTGGATGTTGGCTCTGCTTTCAGAAAGAGTGTGAGGGACATTGACCTAAATAAATCCATCTGTGAACTAATCTGTTCCAGGAATGTCCACTTAAATTTCAAAATGTATTTGATACGTTCATGTTATAAAGATTAGTTTGCTTTATCTTGAACATAAACAGCCCCATTTCTGTTGGCTTTTCAAGTGACTGAGACAAAAAATTAAAAATGGGTATTTTTATGGATGTGAGATGTGATGTGTTGAAACATTTTATTGGTTTAGATTCAGCTAGGTAATCTTCTGGCTTCTTTTTTGAAGTTGCATAGCAGAAATGAAAAAAATGAGGTTTATGAAATGTCTTCTATAAAATAAAACAGCATGATTATTTGCTCAAATATGCAAGTAAAACACTGAATTAGGGTTTTTAAGTGGCTGAACTTTATGTTTTTTAAAAATATTAATTTTCAATAATACAGCTTAATTATGAAATTTTCACTTTTTAAGCAATGATGATGTACTTTCTTAACCTCCATCTGCTCTTCGATTTTAGGTATTTTATCTCACTATCGTCATCTGCAAAAGAAGAAAGTTAGCTGCCACAGTGATAAAAGTGAAGTTAGTTCAGTTTACTAAAATGTAATACTTCTGATTCAACTTCCGTACTGGCTAGTATGAAATTGATGAATAACCAAGTCATTTTACATCTACCTGTTAAGGAAATATTGAGTGCTCTCCTAGACAAGTGCAGCCTTTTTATGCACCTGACCAGAGTCTATGAGTAACAGCTTTTACATAGGAACAAACACACACCCTGATATTCTACTAGGAATAACTCAGTATTAGTTACATTTGATGCATTTAATCGTCAAGCTACAATTGGGCCTTTCCTGATGGCTATTTACAAGTACTTTAACATTCCTCCCCACCTTCTAGAGTGCTCTGACTCTCTTGTCTGTTTACCTTTTCCCATTGCACCTATCACCTTTTTACATACTATACAGTTTACTAGTTTATTCTATTTTTTTATAAGTTAAAGTGGAAATTAGATGGGTGCTTTACCTATGTTAGCTATAGGCTGGGCACGGTGGCTCACACCTGTAATCCCAGCACTTTGGGAGGCTGAGGCAGGTGGATTGTTTGAGGTCAGGAGTTTGAGACCAGCCTGGCCAACATGGTGAAACCCCGTCTCTACTAAAAATACAAAAATTAGCTGAGCATGTTGGCACATGCCTGTAGTCCCAGCTACTTGGGAGGAGAATTGCTTGAACCCGGGAGGTGGAGGTTGCAGTGAGCCGAGATCGCGCCACTGCACTCCAGCCTAGGCAAGAGAGCAAGACTCCGTCTAAAAAAATAAATAAATAAAACAAAACAAAATAAAAAAGCTATAAAGGTGACGCATATTTAGTAAACAAAATAATCAAGCAGCAGAAAAAATGCCTCTTAAATATTAAGTTGACCAAAATTTTTGCAACACACAGACAACAACATTTATGTTTTAGGTTATCAGTATTGTGATTTATGTGATAGACTTAATAAATCAGATAGTAACAAATTTCTTGGTTCTACACTACGTGTCCTGAGATTTCCTGCTTGAAACAGAGTACTTCTATTCACTGACCTACATAATGAGGAAATTAAAAAGATGAAGGTGAATGGTCAGATCTGCAGAAGGCCAAGGTTTGAAGACCTCTTCAGGCAATAAAAAGGTGATAGGCGTGCTTTTAAGGACATGCTGCTAATATTACTCCCTAGAGGAGGGCACTCCAGCTCACCGTCACGTTAAAAGGTACCTCTGGGTGGGAAGCTGTCAAACTCTCCAAAAACAGCACGCCTCTTTTGTGCCTACAAAAATTGCTCATTTCATTCAAGTTCATGCTTAACATAATAAATGATAGAAAAAACATGAGCATTCTACATATGATATAGAATGAATTGCTTTATTGAAGATGACACAGTCAAAAGTTTCAGTTGGGAGAGAATGTAAGATCGTATTTCTTATAAGGAAAAGTTATCATAGCAAGAAATGAACACATTATGAGAATCTTCACTAAAACTCTACTTATCATTTGATTGAAAGCTCAAAGAAAATATGAGGATGCCTCATTATTGCATGGCTTAAGTAAAATGCATTGAGTGCATTGAATGCTGGGACACCCTTAAGGCCCTAAGGCAAGGACTTCACTGCTGGTGCCAGGATTAAGGTGTCAGATTCAACATAACCTAGAGCACATAGTGCATTCACACTTAACCTTCTGGTCCTACGTTTCCATAAATGTAATAGAATTATCCAGTTCCCTTTTGTTTTTGATCATTCTATATAAGTAACCACGTAACTTGGATCCATTTCTTCAAGTTCTTATTTACAAACAGAATAGTAGTAAATTTTATCTGAGTAAATATTGATCTTGTTCCTATAGCAAAACATCTAAAGTTGTAATTTTTCAGAGTATTCATTTTCAGATTTAGGGAGAAACGCTCTATAATGAAGAAGGTAAAAAACAGAAAGAGGAAGTAACTGAAATTAACTATGTCTTCTGAATTTTTTTTTTTTTTGAGATGGAGTCTTGCTCTGTTGCCCAGGCTAGAGTGCAGTGGCACGATCTCAGCTCAATGCAACCTCCACCTCCTGAGTTTAAGCGGTTCTCCTGCCTCAGCCTCCCAAGTAGCTGGGATTACAGGAGCATGCCAACGCATCTAAATTTCGTATTTTTAGTAGAGATAGGGTTTCACCATGTTGGCCAGGCTGGTCTCGAACTCCTGACCTCAGGTGATCAGCTGCCTCGGCCTCCCAAAGTGCTGGGATTACAGGTGTGAGCCACCATGCCCAGCCATATTCTAAAATACTTTAATTTTGTCTTTTGGTGACTTCATTTTGTCCTTGAATATAAAAGGGTCCATATGTGTAGGGAACCAACAGACAAGCAAGTTTGCCATGATCTGGTCAAACTGTATTCAGTCAACTAATATAAAATATAATGCTCCGGTGGCAATCAGATAGATAGTTATTCTTTCTGTGAGCCCACCATATGGGATTTAGAGTATTGGTCCCCCAAATCATGAAATATAAGCATGTAATCTCACTCTCAGTAAGTAGTAATCCTTAAAAGTATCATTGACAACAGTAAATAAAATGGAGGAAAATCAGGCATACATATTGTGAAGTTAAACCAACCAAAAAAAAAAAAAAAGATACCATTTAAGGACAGCTGTAAAATAATCTCTCCATATAAAGTAGCCCTCTGTGTGAAAATACAGTAAGTCTTTTAAACTGCAGCAACAGAAGATACTAAGACCTCTGTTATTGGAGGTGTTCAGTAATAGGCTTAGTGACTGATCACTGAGCAGGTATAGAAACAGATTCAAATACATTTAATAACTGGGTATCAGGAATAAACAAGCTTTAAATTCTCTATCTCTTAAGAGATTACAATTTAATGACTATTCAAATTATTTATCAATAATCTCTAATAATTTCCACCTAAATTTGAATAGGCTATTTTTCCCCAAATAAACCCATAAAACAAAACAGCAAAATTGGGGCAACTAAGTACACAATGTTCTATCCCATGAAAAATAAATATGCATACTTTATTTCTTTGATGATTGTTTCAGTTCCCCTAATCCAGCTTCTGTTTCTGAATTTCCTCTATGACTTTTTGGTCACAGAGTCAGTTGGTGACTCATCTCCTCATTTCTTCTTGGAAAAAAAAATAAAAAGTGGTTTATCGTTGTGTGGCTTATATCACCATTTTTTTTCCTCTATTTTCTATGTGTCTTTTTACTTGAAATATATTGAGCTTTCCTTCAATTAAAAAAATTATTTTTACCTGTTCAAAAAATACCAGGTCTGTTGTTTTCCAAAATTGGCCCTTATAATCTCTGTACTTTTTGACATGATTTGTTTAACAGATTCTGAACCTTGATTCTTGCATCCTTTTATAATACAGTATTTCAAAGATTCATAGAATATTACAACCGAAAAGGAGAATTTAGCCCAAATACCACACTTAACACACAAAGAACTCAATACTTGGAAAAGTTAAATAGCTTGGTTAAGCAAACATCTACCAAGAGAAGAAGGAGTACTCAGACTTCTTTACTTTAATTCTAATATTCTTTCCAGGGCACAATATTGCCCTTCATGGTGTGATACTATTAGAACTTTTCAAAAATAAATACTTGAATAATGTATTCCCTAGATCTGCAATCTATAATTATGTGTTAGTTACCAGACATCAAGTTACTATTGTGAACAAAAAATTGGGTTTTTTGCCATGGGGTTCAAGAGCTGGATGGAAGGATGATCTATAATAAAACATTATTTGAACCACTACCAAATAGTTTCCTAATATTTCAAGATAACCACTGAAGCAATGTTATAAGGTAATGTTTAATCAATTGACCTATACAGTTAATAATGATTCTATCTTTAGAATAGAAATAAAGCTCACAGAACGGGGTGATCAGAACAAATTTCATGGAGGAGTAGGTCTTGAAAGCTGCATAGCATTTCTAAAGCTTTTGTTGTTGTTGCTAAATATAACACAGGGATATTAAAATGCATAAAGTGAAAAATCATCAGACAAATATTCACATAACCATCATCCTACCTGCCTCAGCATTCAACAGTATGTTCATTCCTTCATTCTCACCTTACAGATAACTGCTCTATTAAATATGATGGGAATCATAGCTTTGCATTACTTTATTCTTTGGCTATTTGAATATGCATCTCTAAACAAGGTAATTTTTTTCCTATTTTTAAATTTTACAAAATTGGAAACTGGTAGTATATATTCTTCTGTATCTGACTTCTTTGGCACGATGCTGTGTTTTTAGTATTCGTCCATGAGATCCATTGCTTCTTCATTTATTTTCAGTGCTCTGGTTCATTCTATGAATATATAATTGATTAATTTATTCTTTCTTTGATGTGCTTTGAGTTAAACTCCTAATGCATCCCTTGACACTTGTTCCAATTTACCTGAAGAATGGCGATTCCATCCTGCATTTGTTTAGGCCAAAAGCCTTAGGGCTGACCTGACTCTTGCTTTCTCTCATAGCTGCACATCCAGTCTGCCAGGAAATCCTGTCACTACTACCTTCAAAACAGAGCCACAGTTTGACCACTTCAAGACTGGGTTATGTTTGCCTCTTAGCTGGTGTTCCTGCTTCTACCCTTACATCTCCCTTACAATCTGTTCTAAAACCAGCAGCCAGAGTGACTTTTGCCACTCCATAAAACATAAATGGAATCATGTCATGCCTCACTCCCTGCAAAGACCCACCATTTCACTAAAAACAAAGTCAAGGTCCGAACCATGACCTACGTAATCTAGCCCTGGGTTTCTTCTCTCAGCATTATCTTCTACTTCTCTTCCCTTCTTTGCTCTGACCCCATGGGCCTCCTGGCTGTTGTTTGAACATGCCAGGCATGGTTTCCCTTCAAACGTTGGCATTAGCTGTTCCCTCTGTCTGGAATGATTTTTCTGCCCAATAAAGAGATGACTTTCATGGATTGCATAAAAACACGTATGTACAAATGTTTCCTTAACTATAGGTATCAAATAAAGTTCTCTACTATTATGATTTTAATAATAAATATCTATTGGCATTATTCCTTATTTCTTTAGAATGAATTTGATTTACCGATGCATTGGAATCTTGCTAGGATAGCACACGTCATATACACAGTTTTAGTTACAGCATTGATGAAATCACAATCTCTGGAACACTAATCTTTTAGGTATGTGCCATTACTCTCTGCAAGATAATAGTTGCCATTTGTTTAGTACTCACTATGAGCCAGGCCCTGGATTTAAAATGCATTATCTGATTTAATCCTCACCTCGACCCTATGAGATTGGAAATATTTTTTCCCAATTTAACAGATGAGGAAATTAAGCCCCAAAGTATTAAATAACTCTCTTAAGCCCACAGTCAGTAAATGTGCTAGTTTTCAAACATGAGCCTGTCTGACTCCAAAGTCCTATATACCACAAAGTCTTCTTTGCTCCACATATCAAAACTGGAAAAACATCACTGTGAATTTTTTCAGATTTATCTGATATGTAATGCTCTTGAAATTACTTGAACTATTTTGGATGCCAGAGTAATTTAATGATGGGAGAAAATAATTCCATGCTCTAAATTCAATTACTACCCTGTTTCCATTTAGTAATCAAGGAAACATGGAAAACTCCTGATATACAGTAAAACATATAAAAACAAAATGTCAAAATAAATTAAAAGTGCAATAGGGGAAAAGAAACAAATATGAAGCATGTTTGAGAGGACCACGAAGAGTTCATTTAAGGGCAAGGAGTTCCAGAATGTTATACAACATCGAAACACAAAAGAATCAGAAGTAATTTTTTTCTGTAACAACTGAGCTCATGAAGTTGAGCCGTGTGATGGTAAACCCAAGGGTATGGATGATCTAAAATCACATAGATCCATGCTGATATGTTACTAGTTGCCAAGCAAACAAATGGCCACATTGCAGTTCAACGTAAGAGTTTTTGCCATTCTTTCCCTTTGCCTGGCATGTGAAAATGCAATAAGTAGCTTTAGAGCCAAATGGAATATACAAATGTGTAGCAATGTCATCTTTGCTATTCTATTCTGGTCAAGAGAAGGCATATGCTGATTGAGAAGATACCAACATATACAGCTGCTAATAGTTACTCTAACTCAACATGTGTTAAGACCAAAGAATAGTTGTCATCTGGCGCAAGTGCTGAGCCTCTTTCAGATGAGGCAATGGGGTACAAGTCTATTACCTCTAGCTCAGAAACACTATTCACCAACTACCCAATAATAAACACATCTATTCCACTTGTTTTAAGGCTTTTTAGAAATCATTAACTCAAAGTATCTTTGTAATTGATACACATCTGCAGACCACAGGGTAGCTGGGACATAATAGTTATAATGAAAGAATGATCAAGTGCCAACATGGAAGGGTGTCTCATAAGAGCCTAGACATTATAAATATAATGTCATATCTTGCCTTTGGAAGGTCAGGGAAAATATACTTGTCTATTCACTAAATATACTTAAGGCCTTGCTAAATTATTATTCATTTGAAAAAAAAAGCTTTGGAGATAACAGAATATTATAAAATATAAAATAATTGAAATCATGGTTGTTTTCCATCCACACAGAGGGAAAATGTTCATAGTGTTGGGGGAAGAAAAGACCAAATGATTAACGTGGCTAAGAGCTCTTACATCTTGATGAGAAAATATTTAACCTCTCTTGGCCATCAGAAACCTGACTGAGCATGTTCTCAGTTTTGTCTGCCAAAGGCTATTTTGGAATCTGGGAACAATTGTTTTAAAAGGAAAGAAATTGTCTAGTCTAGATTCCAGAGGCGTGTGTTGAGACCTTCCTCTCATTTCTTTCATTTACTCAACAAATATTTAAGGCAGTATTGCATACAATGATGATACAACAATGAACAAGACAGACAAAGCTCCTGCTCTTCAGGATTCTACATGCTACTGGTGGAGGTGAGTGGACTCATAACTGAATAAATAAGATGATTTTATGTAATAATGAAAGCTCTGTATAAAATAAAATAGGAAAGTATTGAGATTGATTAAAAGAAGAAGGAACCTGTGTATTAGGATGTGTTAGGTATTCTGTACTAATAAGCAACCCCAAAGTCTGAATGGTATTTAAAAACCAAGTTATTTTTTCCCATACAGTATTTGTCCATCACAGTGTGGTGCTTAGTTCAGTGTGGTGCTTAGTTCCACGTCCTCTCTCAGGTATGCAGGATGAGGGAGGCTTCACTGTTGAATGTCATCAATTGCAGTGACATAGGTAAGGACATGTGGTAAATTATATACCAGCTTTTAATGGCTTCCACTGAACAGTGTCAGATATGAACATGACAGACCAAAGCAAGTCACATGGCCATGACTAACTTCAAAGAGGTAGGAAAATGTAATCCTCCTGCATGCTTGGCAGAAGGAGAACCACAAATGTTGATGAAGAGCAATAGTAATAATCACTGTCCACTTTAATTAGCCTTGTCTTGGAATGCTTCTCTGAAGTAATGATAAATGAAGTCCCGAATGATAAAGAGCCAGTCATAAATAGATCAGCAGAGAGGAAGCACAAAATTCCAGGAGTGAATAAGCTTGGTGTGTTAGAAAGAAACAAGGACGGAAACTCTGGAACGCAGTTAACCAGCACAGTTAAGAAAACTGCATTGGTTGTTCTAGTTAGCCATTCGTCTAATTTTTTTTCAAGGTTTTTAACTTCTTTGCCATGGGTTCGAACTTCCTCCTTTAGCTCAGAGTAGTTTGATCGTCTGAAACTTTCTTCTCTCAACTTGTCAAAGTCATTCTCCATCCAGCTTTGTTCCATTCCTTTGGAGGAGGAGAGGCGCTCTGATTTTTAGACTTTCCAGTTTTTCTGCTCTGTTTTTTCCCCATCTTTGTGGTTTTATCTACCTTTGGTCTTTGATGATGGTGACGTACAGATGGGGTTTTGGTGTGGATGTCCTTTCTGTTTGTTAGTTTTCCTTCTAACAATCAGGACCCTCAGCTGCAGGTCTGTTGGAGTTTGCTGGAGGTCCACTCCAGACCCTGTTTGCCTGGGTATCAGCAGTGGAGGCTGCAAAACAGCGGATATTGGTGAGCAGCAAATGTTGCTGCCTGATCGTTCCTCTGGAATTTTTGTCTCAGAGGAGTACCCGGCCATGTGAGGTATCAGTCTGCCCCTACTGGGGAGTGCCTCCCAGTTAGGCTACTCAGGGGTCAGGGACCCACTTGAGGAAGCAGTCTGTCCGTTATCAGATCTCCAGCTGCATGCTGGGAGAACCAATACTCTCTTCAAAGCTGTCAGACAGGGACATTTAAGTCTGCAGAGGATTCTGCTGGCTTTTGTTAGGCTATTCCCTGCCCCCATAGGTGGAGTCTACAGAGGAAGGCAGGCCTCCTTGAGCTGCAGTGGGCTCCACCCAGTTCGAGCTTCCTGGCCGCTTTGTTTACCTACTCAAGCCTCGGCAATGGCAGGCGCCCCTCCCCCAGCCTTGCTGCCGCCTTGAAGTTTGATCTCACACTGCTCTGCTAGCAATAAGCAAGGCTCCATGAGCATAGGACCCTCCGAGCCAGGTGCCGGATATAATCTCCTGGTGTGCCGTTTGCTAAGACCACTGGAAAAGCACAGTATTAGGGTGGGAGTGACCCGATTTTCCAGGTGCCATCTGTCACTCCTTTCTTTGACTAGGAAAAGGAATTCCCTGACCCCTTGTGCTTCCTGGGTGACGCGATGCCTCGCCCTGCTTTGGCTCATGCTCTGTGCCCTGCACCCACTGTCCTGCACCCACTTTCTGACACTCCCCAGTGAGATGAGCCCGGTACCTCAGTTGGAAATGCAGAAATCACCCGTCTTCTGTGTCACTCATGCTGGGAGCTCTAGACTGGAGATGTTCCTATTCGGCCATCTTGGTAAACCGAATCCAGCAGCATATCAAAAAGCTTATCCGCGATGATCAAGTGGGCTTCATCCCTGGGATGCAAGGCTGGTTCACCATATGCAAATCAATAAACGTAATCCGGCATATAAACAGAACCAAAGACAAAAACCACATGATTATCTCAATAGATGCAGAAAAAGCCTTTGACAAAATTCAACAACGCTTCATGCTAAAAACTCTCAATAAATTAGGTATTGATGGGACATATCTCAAAATAATAAGAGCTATCTATGACAAACTCACAGCCAATATCGTACTGAATGGGCAAAAACTGGAAGCATTCCCTTTGAAAACTGGCACAAGACACGATGCCCTCTCTCACCACTCCTGTTCAGCATAGTGTTGGAAGTTCTGGCCAGGGCAATCTGGCAGGAGAAGGAAATAAGGGGTATTCAATTAGGAAAAGAGGAAGTCAAATTGTCCCTGTTTGCAGATGACATGATTGTATATCTAGAAAACCCCATCGTCTCAGCCCAAAATCGCCTTAAGCTGATAGGCAAATTCAGCAAAGTCTCAGGATACAAAATCAATGTGCAAAAATCACAAGCATTCTTATACACCAATAACAGACAAACAGAGAGTGAAATCATGAGTGAACTCCCATTCACTATTGCTTTAAAGAGGATGAAATACCTAGGAATCCAACTTACAAGGGATGTGAAGGACCTCTTCAAGGAAAACTACGAACCACTGCTCAATGAAATAAAAGAGGATACAAACAAATGGAAGAACATTCCATGCTCATGGGTAGAAAGAATCAATATCATGAAAAAGGCCATACTGCCCAAGGTAATTTATAGATTCAATGCCATCCCCATCAAGTTACCAATGACTTTCTTCACGGAATTGGAAAAAACTACTTTAAAGTTCATATGGAATCAAAAAAGAGCCCACATCACCAAGTCAATCCTAAGCCAAAAGAACAAAGCTGGAGGCATCACACTACCTGACTTCAAACTACACTACAAGGCTGCAGTAACCAAAACAGCATGGTACTGGTACCAAAACAGAGATATAGACCAACGGAACAGAACAGAGCCCACAGAAATAATGCTGCATATCTACAACCATCTGATCTTTGACAAACCTGACAAAAACAAGAAATGGGGAAATGATTCCCTATTTAATAAATGGTGCTGGGAAAACTGGCTAGCCATATGTAGAAAGCTGAAACGGGATCCCTTCCTTACACCTTATACAAAAATTAATTCAAGATGGATTGAAGACTTAAATATTAGACCTGAAACCATAAAAACCCTAGAAGAAAACCTAGGCAATACCATTCAGGACATAGCCATGGGCAAGGACTTCATGTCTAAAACACCAAAAGCAATGGCAACAAAAGCCAAAATTGACAAATGGGATCTAATTAAACTAAAGAACTTCTGCACAGCAAAAGAAACTACCATCAGAGTGAACAGGCAACCTACAGAATGGGAGAAAATTTTTGCAATCTACTCATCTGACAAAGGGATAATATCCAGAATCTACAATGAACTCAAACAAATTTACAAGAAAAAAAAACAACCCTATCAAAAAGTGGGCAAAGGATATAAACAGACACTTCTCAAAAGAAGACATTTATGCAGCCAAAAGACTCATGAAAAAATGCTCATCATCACTGGCTATCAGAGAAATGCAAATCAAAACCACAATGAGATACCATCTTACACCAGTTAGAATGGCAATCATTAAAAAGTCAGGAAACAACAGGTGCTGGAGAGGATGTGGAGAAATAGGAACACTTTTACACTGTTGGTGGGACTGTAAACTAGTTCAACCATTGTGGAAGTCAGTGTGGTGATTCCTCAGGGATCTAGAACTAGAAATACCATTTGACCCAGCCATCCCATTACTGGGTATATACCCAAAGGACTATAAATCATGCTGCTATAGAGACACATGCACACGTATGTTTATTGCGGCACTATTCACAATAGCAAAGACTTGGAACCAAGCCAAATGTCCAACAATGATAGACTGGATTAAGAAAATGTGGCACATATACACCATGGAATACTATGCAGCCATAAAAAATGATGAGTTCATGTCCTTTGTAGGGACATGGATGAAGCTGGAAACCATCATTCTCAGCAAACAATCACAAGGACAAAAAACCAAACACCGCATGTTCTCACTCATAGGTGGGAATTGAACAATGAGAACACATGGACACAGGAAGGGGAACATCACGCACCCGGGCCTGTTGTGGGGTGGGGGGAGGGGGAGGGATGGCATTAGGAGATATACCTAATGCTAAATGACGAGTTAATGGGTGCAGCACACCAACATGGCACATGTATACATATGTAACTAACCTGCATGTTGTGCACATGTACCCTAAAACTTAAAGTATAATAAAAAAAAAAAAGAAGACTGGAAGATTTCATAGTTGGGATCAGAGAGGCATACAGGAACCACATCATGTAGAAACTTATTGGTAATAGTAGTAAATGCATATTTTATTTTATTTGTAATGGAATCCCATTTATAATTTGGTAAGACTAAAACCAAAACCAGATCAAACATAACTTTTCAATCCACAAAACACACATAACTATATATTAATTTGAATGCTTCATTTGTGGTGTTACTATCCTTTCCTGACAAATTAACCAAAGTCAGCATGCTATAGGATAGTAATATACATTCTTCCCAGAAATATCACTATTTGGTAATATTCCTGAGAAAATACTCATAAATATATGCAGAGATTTAGTAATATGCCATTTTCATTGTGTTGCTTTATAAGATAATATACTCAAGGCTTTTAAATTACATTAAAATGCTTAATCACAAAAGAAAACTTTATAATACTTTATATGCCAAAATGATTTATCTATTTTAAAACCTCATTTAAAACACCAATATTTAGTTTTAGGAGAATGCACACTCATATCCTGTTTTTATTTTCAAACTGATGTGTATCGTAGAGTGCAATTTGCTATACAAAGATATAAATATATGCATACCTTTGGCATCAATAACTATACTTCTGAGAATTTGTCCTAAGGAAATAAAGTTATAGATATGTTTGAAGAATAAATATGTTTCAAGGATGTTCACTGAAGTATTGCTTGTAAAAACAAAAACAAAAAATACTTAAACATCCATTATTGTATTTTAGAAAATCAGCTGTGTATATCCTCCAAGTGGAATTCTATATAGCCATAAATCATGATGGTGCAGAAATAGACCTATTGACATGGAAAGATGATTATAACCTATTGTTATTCTTTAAAAGTAGGTTATAAGATATCCTATAAAATAGATAATCTATTTTGCAAAAAACTGTGTAATTGTTATATACTAGGATTTTGAAAGATTATACCAGAAGATATAAACAATGGTTACTTCTGGGTTGCTGAGAATTTGCATGTATTACATACTTTCTTATTTTATTTTCTGGGTTTTTTGCAATAAACATTTATTTCTCTTATAACAAGAATCATTTTTAAGAAAACAATTTCATAGCACATTAATAAACACTGTATATAAGAACAGTTTTATAATAACAACTATGCATATATGGGTGTGTTTGCTATACATTTGTGGTTTTAAGCACACATATAACACAAGTATACACCATATATGTGTGTGTGTGTGTGTGTATGGTATTGGGCCATGTTTGTGTGTGTATGTATAATGTACATATATACTATATACTATACATACATGTGTACAGTGTATATATATATACACACACACACACACACACACACACCATACATACACACAAACCAATATATGAATGCATCCCCCAAAATTGTGGTGATTAACATTTAAAAAAATTTTCTTTTGTGTTTGTGTTTTTCTGTATCTTAAAAATTTACTATAACAGTCAAATATTGCTTTCACAATAAAAATTTTATTAAATAATATTAATAGGTTTTATCCCTCCCTACTCTCATTTTCCGTTATAATTTTCCCTGAAGATACTTTACACAATGTAGGATTGTATTCTCCACAAGGCATGACCCTCTCATTTTGACTCTCCAATCTGCAGGATATTAATTTGAATAGAGACAGTCTATTTAGCTTGAAAAGATATTCTAGGGCTCTCTTACCATACTGTAATCACCATTTTGGCAATCTTATATTACAATAAAATTCTCACAATTCATTACTTTGTTAAACTCTAAGTGGAGCATAGAAAGCAATAAATCCCCCAAACAAATCTGTCAAACTTTAAGCTCTATGTCGAAATGTATTCATTGAGAACCTATCATATGATGAGACCTGTGAAATATGCATAAGCTCTGCCTTCAAAGACTTAGCGCTCCAACTTGAAAAACAGTTAAAGAACAGTTAAAGACATCATTGTTTGTTAGAATACTTTTTAACTACTCAACATCTGAACCTTGTCCTATTTGGGAAGAAATTCCTCTTTTATTTGTGAGCCTGGGTGGAAGGCCAGGAGATTTCCCTATCCTCTGACAGCCATGGTTTGAGAGTGTGACAGAGAGCGGTTGCATATTTCCACCCAGAACTTTAACATTGAACAACTGATGCAACAACAACAATAACAAACACCAAAAAGAGAGGGAGACAGAGGTTGAGAATTCATGAATGATGAAAGCGTGCAATGAGCAGGTACAACAGTACTCATCACCAACACCTCAAAAACCCATCCAAGAGACAGCAAGCTCTGCTCCATCATGAAATAAGAATGCTATGGCTACTTATCGATGCGCTGTTCCTCAGATGGAGCTAAAATCTGTGTCTATATAATTTCCACTCACTGGTTCTATTCTGCCCTCTCCAGAAACAGAGCTTTAGTTTCCATGTCAGAGTATATTCATTTTAGGCAAGTGCTTTCTGACTAGTGTAAGGATCAATTCCTTAGTATTCTAAACACGTATTGAAGGTTTAATATAATGTTTGGTACTTTACATGCAGTATTACATTTACCGGTCCCAAGAAACCCATGAAGCTGATATATTTATTCTTGGTTTGTCCAGGAAAATAAGTTAAGATTGATTATTAAGTGCCAAACCAAGCTGGCAACTGATTGAAATGAGACTTGAACCTAGGAAGTATGACTTCAAAGTTTAGGCCCTTGACAACTACATAATATCTGCCCTTCTTCCTTGTATAGTTGGGATTATCCATGGGTGTCAATATGAGAAGCAGGTTAAGGAGGCTTTGGATTTCTGTCATAGAGGGCAGAGGAAGAATTTCCATTCATAGAAGAACAAAATGTGTGGGGTAAAGGCCATGATGGGTTTGTGGGTCAGGGAGGCAGAAGGTTTCTATCACAAAATAAGACTGGCTTTGTGCATGAAATCAGAGCATGGAGACCTGTGAAAATCGGTCAGGAGTTTAAGCTGAAAGTGGTTGTCTTAATAGAATAACAGAAAATGTCTAAGCTGCCAACTGGTATAAAAATGCTATTTTATTTAATTGACTAAGATATCATTGAGCTCAAAATATGCAAAATGTGTCATTGTAAAGTGCTTCATTACCATGACTTTGTCAACTGTAAAAGAAGAGCGAATGGCATAGGACTGTCATTTTGATTATCAGTGGTAGACACCGAAGTTCATATCATTCCCTGTTCATAGGTAAAGGCAAATGAACTGATGTTTTCTGCAGTCATGGAGCACAGAGATCTAACAAATCCTTGTACCTCACATACCCAATAACCTCTTCCCACAACAGTCATTTTTAAAAGGCTGGCTGCATGCCTTTAGTAGGCCTTCGAGCTTTGTTCTAATTGCATTATAGTTAATTGACTATTCCAGAGAATGCTTAATTCATGGTCATCATCATCAATATTTATTGAAGTTTTCCCTCTGGACTTTCAAGGTTATAATGATGTACTCTCCTAGAACATAAAAGAAACAAAATTCATTTTATTTTTTCCTTGCATCTTACACACAATTATAGCTAAATTCCCTCTACTACTGCCAATATTATAACCCTTTTAGACATAGAACATAGGACATAGGACATAGACATAGGAAAACTATATTTAGTGGAAAAAAAAAAACACGTCCTCATCGTGTTATGAGAGAGAGAGTGCTTTGGCAAAAATCCCGCCACCGCAAGAGTTCTCCTTTTGCTGGACTATATTCCAACTGGGCTCAAAGCCTACTGGGCAAACAGAACCGTGTAGAAAATGTCTAGGACTTTGAAATAATCCAAGTCTATATTCCAAAATGCAGAGATAATTTGTTTTATCTATGAATTTCTCTAAAGAAGTTTATAGGTGCTCTGAAGAGACCGCATAGACCTCTCTAGAGGTCACCAAATTATTCTTAAAAATAAGAAGAATACACCGGTGTTTATATACTTACAAATAAGGACTGTAAGTCTGAAGTTAAGATTGATAAATTAATTTGCCAAACATACTGGCAACTGTTAACAATCTGTTGTGTGTTTAATCATCTTCAAGGAAAAGGGTCCACACAAAGGCTGTAAACTTCTCAAATGACTAACAGGAAAGGGTCAGTAATGAAAATGAGTGGAGTGGGCTGACTAACTATAGCAAGCCCACTGATAAAGACAGCCATACACAGCATCAGCTGATTGTCATGTGGGAAAGCAACCCAGATTTTCCCTTTTAAAGTTTAACAACTAATTACTTTTTTTTTTTTTAATATTATGAGACAATATAAATGTATACGTAACTCTAAAATCAGCCTGGGCTGCCAGTTAAAACCAATAATCTATAGATAATATAAAATCAGATCTAGCATTTATTTTCAAATCTTTCTCAAATAGAAGTCACACTTGACATTTTCTCTTTATATTGGAAATCGGTCTTCACTTGCTAATACAAAGGAAAACTTCTTTCACCTACTCTGGAGCCTTCTCTCAAAGCTACTGGCTAAGTGGATACCAACCAGTCTATCAGCCATAGAAATATGTGACTGAGGAGGAATCTTAAAGCAGAATATCAAGAAGGCAATATAGAATGATAGAAAAAAAAATGTAAGTTTTGAGTCAGGTAGATCTGTGTTTAATTCCCAGACTTAAACGAAGTTCCTATGTTATCTCTCTGATAACATATTATATTATCATTCATAGTTTGAGCCTGGTACCACCTATGAGGATGAAGTGAAGAAAAACATAGGTAAAATCCCTAGTAAAAGCATAATTTATAGACCTTTCTGAAAAACTATGTTCCTCCACTACTAGGAATGCTAAGTGTCAATCTTAGAAATGGAGACAGGCTGCCTTTAGCCTTCCTATAAGGTGCCCATATTAGTTGGGATTGTGTTTGACTATGAATTGTTTTTAAAATAACAAAATAACGTTACTTAGAGAGGACAAGTATAAAGGAGGCAATTTGGGATGATTATGGCAGCTCCATTCCATGATCTCTTCAGGGACCTAGTTCTTTCCAGCTACCATTCTGTCATAGCTGGACCCCACAGTGCAAGATGGTAGCATCTGCATTCCAGGTAGCAGGATGGAGAAGAAGCCAAAGAGAGGAAGGGCCACGGTGTACATTAGCTGTCTTAAGGAAGTTTCCCAAAAGCTGTCATGGGATAGTTGTCTTCTATCATATTGGTCGTAACTTAAGACACATGGCATCATATTGCTGCAAGGGAGACGGGGCTACGTAGTGGGACTGGGATTCTGAGTGGTCATAAGATAGACTAAAATTTCTGTTAAAATGGAGAAAGGGAAGGTGGATTATTGGGAGACAACTTACAGTTGAAACCAAGGGCTAACCTGATTAGGTCTGCCAAGCTTAACCTGCCTTGCTTGTTTTTAGCTACTTGCCTTTAGTTGATTTTAAAATCTATGTAGCTAAAGGTCATGTGGCTAAGCAATATATAACTGAACTTGCACTAGCTTCCTCACAGATAACATCTCTGACATATAGGTCACCATGGTGATGGTTACTGAAGTTGTTTTTCAGGAACTTAGAGTCAGCTCTAGTCCAGTTCAAGCCATTTGCGACCACTGACCCTGCTTGAGTGTTCGATAGGTACACTTTTGATGTTCTACCTACAGATCATGCTAACACCACCACCATGTGAACATGCATCCTATGAAGAGCCATGAAGCTTGGCTATGCTTGCATAGTTCACTGATAACCTCACTCTTCTTTACTGCCAATGACTTTTCCTCATACTTCAGACTACCTCACTCCTCTGTCTCATAAATATCCTTAAAATCCCATCTTTAGGGAAGCAGATTTGAGACCTGTTCTCCCACCTCCTTGCTTGACTGCCTCATGAATAAACTCTTTCTCCGCTGTAAAACTTACCATCTCAGGGATTGGCATTCCATACGACAGGCAGAATGGACATGGTTTGGCATCACAGTCTGTGTCTCAGAGGCCTTTTTATCTAAGGACAGCAGGGGGGGTAACTTGACATGTGTCCATTCTTATCCTACTGATTGTCCCCACTAAAAACTAAAACAGCTGCTTGCTCTGCCCTTCTGTTCTACCTTCATTAACTCTTTGCAGGGATAAAACTGGAGAGGCTCACTGGGGATAGGTGCCCAGGTTTAAATGCTTTCTAATTTTCATTGTCCACCTTTTGCTGTTTCTGTGGGTGCCTGGTTACTTCCAGCAGCAAATTAAGATATATAATCAATGGAAAAAAGACTTTTGGTTTTCTTTTAAAAATTAATTTCTGAAACAGCATTGCTAGTTTCCTCAGTTTTAATGTGCTCTAAAATTGTCAGTGTTAAGTGGAAAGGAAATAGAGACAAGCCCTTCTCAGTAGAAGGAGTACTGAATGTTTTTCTTCACATAATTAACTATTACTTCTCAATAACAGACTTTTAGGTTTAGAAGCAAAGTATCTGACACACAATAGGACGTTAATACATGTGTGAAGACTGAATGGAAAGAGGGAAAGAGAGAAGGGAAGAAAAGGAAAAAAGAGGGGAGGAAAAAAGGACAGATGACAAACAGAAAAGAGGGCAGAAAACAAGGTCTCTCACCACATAATTAACTCATCACCAACAACTCGAAAACCCATCCAAGAGACAGCAAGCTCTGCTCCATCATGAAATAAGAATGCTATGGCTACTTATCGATGCGCTGTGCCTCAGATGGAGCTAAAATCTGTGTCTATATAATTTCCACTCACTGGTTCTATTCTGCCCTCTCCAGAAACAGAGCTTTAGTTTCCATGTCAGAGTATATTCATTTTAGGCAAGTGCTTTCTGACTAGTGTAAGGATCAATTCCTTAGTATGAATCTGGTGTTTAAGTCGCAGTATTGTTTGTGCATTTTACAAACACAGACAATAATGTATACACAAGTTGCTAAATTAGGTTCAAAGAATGAAAATGGGTCATAGGAAAGCTCCCCACCTCCTCAGAACTCTCTGTCACATTCAGAAATCAAGAAAGAAGGAAAGAAGGAAGGAAGGAAGGAAGGAAGGAAGGAAGGAAGGAAGGAAGGAAGGAAGGAAGGAAGGAAGGAAAGAAAGAAAGAAAGAAAAAGAAAGAAAGAAAGAAAGAGAAAGAGAAAGAAAGATGTTAGCATCTGCAAAGATCCAAAAAAGAAAGCAAATAAAAATAACTCGACTTTGGTTAAGGGGCTGATAAAGTTAAGATACTTCACTGAAACATGTATGTCCATGTTTAGATCTTAATCACTGCTCTCCAAACCTCTCATGACTGCAGAATTAGGTCAGAGATTTCCATCATGCAGTCTTCAGTATGCACTCCAATTGTCCGTGCAGGATTAAAAAAAAAATGTATTTGGAGAAACTAGTCCAGGAAGAGATATGAGTGTAACAGACACTAAGGCATTTGTTTTAACAACAACAACAACAAAAAGCAGACATTGTGAAACTATGCTTCATTTATGCACAGACTGCTAAGAGTAAATCACACTGAAAGTGAGCAATATACTGTGATAACCAGAGCTTTACTGCTTTGTCATGGTGAGATATTAAAACAGAGTTGCTATAATACATTTTGACAAATCAGCTAAGGCTGTAGCTAATTTGAAGGTACCATATACTTTTCTAATTTAGATAATCAAAGTGGACCCAAAAAATAATAAACTGAGTTTTAAAATCTCTTACCTATAATATTTAGAATTTATACAATTATTTTATTATTTTTTCCAGATTTGCTAAATATGCATTCCTTTTAGGAAGTACTCTCCATGCACGTGAATTTTCATTGTAAATAAACTTTGTAGGGCAACATATTTTCTTGATGTAAATTGACTGTGGGAAAAGTAAATAATGTGTGCCTACCACCTCAATCAGAAAAAACAAAATCATAACCAATGATTTTTATATAGACAAACTTCAAGCCATCAAAAGAAACCATTATGTGTCTGCTGCTAAATTCAAGGTTTACAAGGAAGCAAAATTTTGCCTCTTCTCACTTTTAATGTCTTAGGAAAACAGCTCTCTACAAGTTTGGGTGGAGATAGCTGTCTTCCACTCATTTTTTCCAAAGGATATGCAAAACCTGAATATTATGAAAAATAACAGATTAACACATGATACTCTAACTTTAAAGATGCTATCATATATTTGAATTTACAGAGAGTCATCAGAAAGGAATTTCCTCTTTCTCCCAATATACACCTACTTCTTTTTCTATTAATCTGTACTTTTGACAACTACCTGTCTGTATGCAATACATAAACACACACACGGTCATCCACAACAGTTGTAAACACACATGCATATATAGTCATGCAATTGAAGTTTTTTTCTCAGCGATCCATACACAAAGTAAAGTAGTAAATACACTGTAAACATAATCATTCTTCTCTTTTTCATGATTGTAACTGGCTCTAACTTTCCAAATTCCATATTTAAAAATTGTTAAATATAAGTAGAATAAACCCAGAATATGATCCTCATTTCAAAGTGGAGGGCTTAATAGGATGACCCAATGTATTTATTACAGTCACTATTGCTTGAGAAATGTACTTTTAAAATAAAATCCATGGCAAGAAAAATGGTAGATCTTTGTGTTATAGTTAATTATAGAAATTATTTTTCCAGCACAACTGTTCACATTCACCAATTTAATCTGCTTTGAGATGCCCTTGAGAAATTCAGATTGATTCAGTCTCATAAAATTTTAGGGTAATATATCATTGGTTGTTCTGTTTTGATTTTGCTCAGTTGGCATGCAGTAAAGCATTGATTTCAACTTACTTGTGAATAAAATTAAAAAGTCGGTTAGGCATCACTTTGTTTTGATTTGAACTATGCTGCTACCTGGTTTTAATTGTTCAACTACCTTTCTGTTCAGTAGTGATGTGTGTATTTGTGGCTCCTGTCCATTCAGTAGATCCCTCTGAAGGACCCTCTTTTATTGACAGCACATTTTGCTCTATGAAACATACTCTATTTCTGTGCCAAAAGATCTATTTGAAACAGAGCCAGTGTCTCATTCCAGGAAGAGGAAAGGATATCAAGAGTTTCCATGGCAATCAGTTGACGGAACTAAATTAAGCAGGAAACCTCTTCAGAATGCAAAGTAGTCTTGCAAAACAAAGTGGTTTGAAATATTCAGGAAGTGTGTCACAGCACAACGAAAGAAATGGAGATATGAATACCTCCATAATGTAAACTCCCTAACTGTAAAATAAACAATTAAATGCTAGCTTTTGTCCTACAAAAATAAACCCTCAAACAACTGTCATTTCTAATCAAATCTTTTGTTCCAGTTAGTTTTGGTTTTTTTTAGTTCTTATCTCTTATGATCAACATCATGTAAGAATATAACTACAATTGTTTATGTAGGTAGGAAAAATAACTTTTTTATGTTACTGCTGTTAAATTTATTTTGTATGAAATTGTGCAAATTTCATAGCTAGTTCTTTAACAGTGAAATCAGAAGGAATGACCAAAATTTATTTTAGTGAAAAAAAAAATGAAGAAACAGATTCCTTAGTTTAGAGAAAGGAATTGCTTTTAAAAATGGGATTCTTCATGGTAATTTGGATTATTGATAGTTTTAAAAATATCATTCTACTTCCTGGAGTGGAATTAGAAGGAATGAGTCTTGAAATTCCAGGAAATAGAAGAATTAGAATGAACCAGAGGTTTCTTATCTTCTGGTCAATTGCCAAATCGTTATAATAGTTTGCTTGGAAATACGGCTTCAACCTGTATCAGTAACTATTACCAGAAGTCCTTCAGACCACCTAAATGCTTTCCAAATGCTTTCCTCTTCTCTTTAAGGAAAGAGTTCTTGGAGCAAACGTTTCTAAAGCACACGGATTCACAATAAAAAATATTTAAACAATTCCTAAAACCTATTAACCACTCGTTATCCCAGCTTTTTAAGTTAAATCACTGTATTTGTTTGAAGTAAAATTATAGGGTCTCCTTTGAAGATGAACACATAAGAATATACATCTTAGAAGAGGAAGGTCTTATGAATTTTAATCTCAAATATTCTGGCCTCAATTTCAACGTGAACTTTAAAGTGTGATCTAAATGCTTACTGTGTGTAATATAAACATTAAGAGGCACATTTTGATGTCACCTGCGTGATAAAACTTTCCTGGCTTCATTGTGCTAAACTTTTCTCAAATTTTCTGGACCAGAAACATAGTCCAAACATAGCACATCATCATATCACACAGACAAACACACACACACACACTCACACACTACCATACACACAGCAAGAACACAGTACAGCACCAGCATACAGTAAGTGCCATAGGTGTGCCCACCTTGGAATGTTGTTGAAAATTAGATTCTCCTGGTCAATAGCCATCAAGTCCTATAACTGCCACATCTTTCCAAGATATTTTCCCCAATTCCATTACACTCCCCAAAATACTAGTCTCACTAGAGACAAAACATGACAAGAACTCTTTACACAATCTCTTAAAATCTACTTTATTTCACATTGCATGCCTGTTATCAAAACATCTCAGGTACCCCATAAATATATATACCTACTATGTGCCCAAAAATTTTTTTAAAAAATCTATTTTAACTTGGATAAGTTAAGTATATTTCTGTATATTAGGTAGAAAAAATCAGGTGGTTTTCTTAGTTTGGGTTAGCAGACTCTGAGACAATAATCCAAATGCAAATGGTTTATCTAGGCAGTGATCCCAGGAAGAACAGTGAAAGAATAAGGAAGTAAAACAAAGAAGGAAGGAAGTGAATATAGCTAATATTTATATTGTTAATCAGCAAATTACCACTATGGGAATGTAGGCTCAGTCTCACTGAGATTCTCTAAGAAGCTGTACAGAACATTCTTCAGTACTGTACCAGCAATGGCAAGAAAGCTGGAGTGTTTATCCACCAGATCTCATCCCTCACTGGTGAGGGTCACTCCTAAGATTCTGATTTTCCCAGATTCCTGGTCTGCACTTCTTGGACCTACCACATTTCCATGGTCAGAGAATGCTCTCCAACAGAGACGCAGGAAGCTTTATTTATTCTTAAAAGTTGAGCGGCTCAGGCTCATAAATACTAATGATCCAAGTATTTTCTGGTGTTAGCTAGCCATAGTGTGATATCTAGGAATGTCTAGCCAAGCTGACCAAGCCTCCCTCTAGCAATACTCCATTATGAGTACCATTTTTTACCTGGTTGCTAGGGACAACCAAATTTTGCCTATAATGATGAATAGAGGTCCTCCTGACCCAAATATCTGAGTGTATTTGAAAGGAGTTCTTTAATTTAGAGTCATATATAAAGGCAACAAAAAGCAGGAGTTGCAATATAGATTGAGAGCTGGATAATTTTTCTTGTATTTTTTATGTAGATACAAATATGTATACAAAAAATTAAGATTAGTGGAGTCATGATATTAACTTTTAAACTCTTCACAGAGAAGTAGAGAAACTGGTTTGACTGAGAGAATTCTCTCACTCTGGTTGTTTCTGATGTTTCTTGGTTCTTGCTTTCTAATTCTGTCTTCTCCTAAACTGGTACGTTCTATGATGTTTATGTTCCCTCATGGGACCACATCAGAATGATCACTTCCTTGATGCAAGGCTCTTAATTATGACTCCAGAGAAATCCAGAAAAATCTGTTCCCATCGGTTACTGCTGAAAAAAAGTACAAGATCTTGCTCAGCAGCATTCCTAAAGAGATTGCTTTCTTTTGCTCACATTTTTTCAAAATGCCTGCTGTCTGTTTTACCTTAAAAATAGTAATTCTTAATTCATATAGCATTGCAATTCACAACTCTGTTTTTCCAAAATACCCCAAGATGTATCAGTGAGAAAAATTATTTCCCATTTTGGCATTCTCTGGGAAAGGGAAATTTCTAACATTTTACTTCCATGTGCAAAAGTCTTCAAATTCTGGCATATTTCCCATGAATCTTTAATCTGATCTACCTAACAATGCCCTTTGAGTTGATTGCCCTTTGAGTTGAGGTTTTATGGTTTCACAACTTCAATCTCACTGATATATAGGTTAGGCTAGCATCAAAGAAAATAGGTTAAAGAAATAGTTTCACTTATTTTGGCCCACCTAAAACCAGGACTTGAACTTTACCAAAAACTAAATATCTAAGCATAGCACGTTAGAAAGCAGCATATAGTACAAGAACAGTAGGGAGGGCACAAAGCTCAGGTCTGTGGCTTAATAGTGACTGACCACAGGCACACTGGTAACTTCTCTTAACCGTCCTGCCTCATCTGACAAGCAGGGTAAATGTCATCTATGTTACAAAGTGGGTGGTGGTTCTAAATTAGAGAGCCTAGACAAAGTGTCCCCGACTGCTGCATATTATAGGCTCTCAGAAAACATTAACTGCCTTTCTCTTTCCTCCAAAGTTTCAGTTGAGAAAAGTATAAGCTCAAGGAATAGAAGATAAATGTTCAGTAGAATAGGAATGGAATCTAATGCTTTTTCATGCTGTGGTAAATCACTGAAAATGTGTCTTCATGTCACATTCTGTTTGGAGAGCAGTGTCTATTTCCCTTTCTAAATATCATTCATCAGTGCATCCTTTCTTGTATCCAAATAAATGAATCTTAAATCTCTCTTTAAATAGTTATAAGGCATGTGACTGACACAAACCATAAATCTAGATAAAGATTTGAAGGATATACTAACCAGGCTTGAGATTACTAGAAGAGAGAATAAAGAAAATTGCAAATGAACTGCTCTGAAATAAAATGACTACCATGCATTGCAATTAGAAAATCTAGGGGAAAACGACAAGTTGAGCTTCGTCTTCTTACCAGAAACTGTGTTGCTCTCTTTCCATGTTTCCACTACCACTTTTGCCACATGTGGTGAGAAACATGAAATAGCACATGTTAGAAAAGTGAATACTGTCAGGTGGAAAGCGTGCCTCACTCTTTTCTGGGAATTACATTCCGGGGTTTGAATGGCTGATTACCTTTATGCATGAACAATTCAATCAACTCATCTCTGTACTGCTTAGCCCAGCTGGGTCTTGGCAATAATTCAATTTGGGAAGGTTCTTCCAGAAAACCATGCTAATATGTTTAGTTTTTAGAAGAAAAAATAATACACTGTAGAGAATTGATTTGGGGGTTGGCAATGTAGTTGTAGGGAAAGGGATTCAAGTGAGGACTATCATTTTTTTTCCCTCATGTCAGGCAAAGGATTGGAGAGATTAAGGAACTTGATTCAAGTCACGAAGCTACTAAGAGGCAAAACCATGGTTTTAGTGAGACCCGTCTGGTTTCAAGAAGAGTAGTTTAAGTGTATTCAGAGCCCATTATGTACCAGTCACTATGTTCAGAAGTTTATATCTAGACCCCTCACAACAGGTATGTATGGTAAGTATTGTTATAATCAAAAAAGCTGCCTTTTATAATCAAAAAAGCTGCGACCTACCCATTGTCCCCAAACTAGTTACACCGCAAGCCTACATTTAAATTCAAATTTGTTGTATGCAAAATCCTACATTTTCTTTTACTGTACTATATTGCTTCCTAAGAACTACAAGTATTATATCCTAGAAATGTTAGCAGATCAATAAATATTTATTATCTGGTTCTTAAACGGCTTCAATATTTCAACTGATTGTGTTGATGTTTCCATCTTGAATTTATTCTGAGCCCCTCCTTGTAGAAAGGGTAATTCATGATTGTCACTAGATAATGATAGAAATCCTGTCTTTATACCAAAATAACATAAAGTAATGAAGAAATAAAACTGTAGTTATTGAGTTTCAGTTCTGATTTTTACCAATGAATGATGAATGTGACACAATCCATGCAAATGCAATAGTCAGCAATATATTGTGGACGCAGATAATAGCTTACAGAAAAGAATAGCCAATTTGAGATCATAGACAGAGAAAAAGACACACAAAATCGATGCAGAATGATAGTAAGTAAAATAAATTCAGATTTAAATTTCATATTTTATTACTCAGCTCTGTGGCCTACTACTGCCAAGAAGCTTATTTTGAAAAAGTGTGACATACTAAAACATTGAAAGAACATGCAACATAGACAAAATTTTCACAATTTAACGACATGCAATAGTAGTTAGTGGCATGGTTAATTTCAAAGTAATGGATCCATACTTTGGGTGATATCAGATCTTGAACCTGGAGTATGAAGACCTGAACTACCTATGAAAATCAATAATCTTCCAGAGATAGTTTAACTACAACTCTATTGCTAATATTAAAAGTAGAAAATAAATGTTAGTAGCAGTGGCACATTGTTTACCACCACATCGTGGGACTGGAATGAGGTTAATGTTACATAGTCACAATATTCCATTTGTCTAGGACTATTTTATTATCAAAAATACATATCGAAACAATTATTTCTTGGAAAGCATTATTTTAATAAATTTGGGTTATAAAGACTTAAAGTTACTAGGCAACGTTTCCTCCATTGTGTATTTTCTCAGTCTCTTTTCTCTAAAATTTTGGCCATTAACTGAATTATTAAATTTTCCTTTTCTAAGATTATACTAATACATCTTTGAATGATATATTTTAATATAAATTTTAGAATAAGAACAATGTTTATGCTATGGGTATACTTTCTGCTAATCCGGGGGGAAACTTTACCAAGTTAAGAAGGATTTGGAATTCACTTCATGCAACTCTGCATTTTATATATTGGGGCTCAGATTTAAATATAATTGTTTCTGCTATTTTTCAGAAGCTGAAACTACCTCTAGAAGACAAAATAAACTAATGTTTAGCAATATATTCTCATGTTTTCTGTTTCATAGGGTATAATAAAAGTGTAAGTGTGTAAACATAGAGCCATATCCAGAAGTCTGAATTAATGTCTTCTCCACTAGGAGTAAACCAGAATCAACCTACTACACTAAGAGCAGAAAGCCACACTCTTCTCTTGGTAAGCTTAAGTTAGTTCCTCATGTTTTCTATACTGTTTCAAAATTTCAAAAGGATTTTTCCATATTTTATATTTTTAAAATATTATCTTTTCTTCAAAACAATTTAACGAGGCAGGGATTATTTTCTCTGTTTTACAAAGAAATTGAGAACCCCACCATTTACATGTCTTGCCTTGATTCTCACAGCTACTTATGTGTCTTGCCCCAATTCTCACAGTGGATTAAACTTTCAGTCATCATCTTCCTTTCAGTTACCCTCCTTATTTCTCTAATAATATTTGGTAGGAGGAACTCCCAACATAGGTTGAAAAAGCAAATGGACTAGTTGCAGGCTCCACTTATGGCTAATACTCACATTTTAGACAACAGGAAAACCACAGAAAAACCATTGTTTACAGTTTGCCATTCACAATAGCCTAATAATAGTAACATAACAAATCTGGTACAAAATCTTAAAGAAAAACTCAAAATAATAATTTATTCCCTAAAAAGTATGTAGGTCCACTAGATAACAGATCCAATTAGAACTTGACAAAAGCAGAATTGAAAAGCAGACAGATTCCTACAAGGAACATTGGGACACAGTGCTTCGGAGCTGTGTAGGGTGTTAAAAGTTGTAGTCACCTTGCTGATCATTAGCTATTTGCTATGTCTTCCACATAAACATATTATTTCAAATTTACTTTTTATTATTAACATGCAACATAGAATAAGGATTACAAATTCAGATTTTAAACTTTGTACAATTTACTTAACTTCTCTAAGACCCAACTCAAATGTGCTCTTTATAAAGTTGGAATAATGGAGGGGATCGTTGTGTGTGTGAAAAATAAATATTTGTAATCTTCACATATGTGTTGTATATAAAGTCCTTAGTATAATCTTAAACATTATAAGATCTCAATAAATTTTGAGTGGTGGATGTAGTAGTATTAGAGTATGAGTAGTGGTTGAAATAATAGCAACAGTTATGAAAGCTACTTTCTCTTGGGCCCCAAAAGAGCTGGATATTGGTAGTTCCATCATCTGTCCTTTACCTGTTAGAATGTGAGTTCATAGCTCCTTGTACAAGTCTACAACAATTCTGGTGGGGCCAGAGGTAACTACCTGGCCACTGTCTTTCAAACTTTCCCATTGCCACCAGAATCCTAAGGCCCTTCAGCTGATTATTCTCAGCAAAAATAAGAAATTAAATTTCAGCTAATGAATTACCACATCAAGAGAGTATCCCACCACAAGACAGGGAAAAATCAAATAGCGTATAAGAGTAATTCTTATCTCTTTGAGGATTAAATACTGTCTCTACATTATCTTATTTGCCAAAAAACTTTCAAAGTTGGTTAAATAGTACACTGTTAAAAAACAAAATCATAGAAAACCAGAAGAAAATGCAGCTCAGTATTAATCTGATCTTGTGGTGGGGAAGGTCTTTCCAAACACTTTTTTAAATGGCCAAAATCATATGAGAAATTATTGACAAATTTGACTATGTTAAATTTAGCATTATGTGTTAAAATTGAAAGGGAATAAGATAAAATTTACATAAACACACATACACAAAAAAACTTGATATTTTATGTTAATGGCTAGTGCATATTATGTATATATATAAAATGTCAATGAATAAAGTTAATTCAAGTTTAGTCAAAAAATAAAAATTAACTCCACATCATTTTCCTTATAAAATGGGTAAAATAAAAAGAGGCAGGCCGGGCACGGTGGCTCATGCCTGTAATCCCAGGCACTTTGGGAGGCCGAGGTAGGTGGATCACCTGAGGTCGGGAGTTTGAGACAAGCCTGACCAACATGGAGAAACCCCATCTCTACTAAAAATACAAAAATTAGCTGGGGGTGGTGGTGCATGCCTGTAATCCCAGCTACTCCGGAGGCTGAGGCAGGAGAATTGCTTGAACCCGGGAGGTGGAGGTTACAGTCAGCCGAGATCACACCATTGCACTCCAGCCTAGGCAACAAGAGCAAAACTCCGTCTCAAAAAAAAAAAAAAAAAAAAAAAAGTAACATTATCAATACTGTTTATAAGTAAGTTCACATACTGCAGGTAAAAATACATTAAATTATACCCTTCTGAGTTGCACAGCTTAGCTGTGGCATGTACCTGGGGTGGAGGCCTGGCCCTGGCCTGGTCCAGCCTCATGGGGCCTGAATGCTTTGCCCACCACCTGTTCCCACCTCTCGCCCTGTGCCCAGCCTCGGCCAAGCCCTGGTGGCCAGATGCCCAGTGCCTGTCTTGGAGTCGGAGCTGTACTTCCTCATCAGCTGGTACCTGTTGACCAGCCTGTGTCAGAGAGTGGCCTAGGTACCAGTGCTGGAGCTGAAGCAGCACCAGTTGCTGCTGAAGAGGTTGGACTAGGAGGGCAACGAACACAACAGTCTAAAAATTTGAGACATAATTATTAGACTGAATGCAAAGAATTGGTCTTGTCCATTAAGCATGTGGCTCCTGATCACCTGCTGTGGGTCTGCCAGTGCTTCAATCTTATTTTGGTTAAAGAAATTCCACTCGGTATTTCAAGAGTCACTTCTTTCCTTGGTGCAGGAAGGCAGTCTTTGTTACATACAGCAGAACATAGGTTAATGTGGAGATGTGTTCTGCTTTGTGTTAATAGCTTTAAGCATTGTGGAGGAAAGGTGATAATATATGTAAGTCATGCTGTGAACTATACAATTCTCTGCATTTAGCATAGAACATTGAATTCTGCTGTGTGTTTCATGGGCCCTTCTGCGTTTAAAAAATTGATAAAGACACATATGTTAGCTAAAAAGCTTGAATTTATTCTGAGATGTGTTTGAAGTTTTATCACTGTGAATTCTTAATCTTCCACTTTGAAGCTCCCTCATAACTTCATTGAACGTAATTGTATGTGTCTAATAAACTCTTTAAGTGCTAGGAGTATTTCATTTGATATTTAGATTCTGAAAATCCTTTGTTATAAAGGGAAGTGATTTTATAAATTTGGAAGCAGCTTGAAAACACACACCAAAAATGTAAAATTGCATGGTTCTTTTCTTCACCAATTTAATTTTTTTGCAAAGTTATGTGCTAGCAAAATGTTTGGAATTGCTATCCTTTTTCTGTTAGCTTGGTATAAATGACTTAAACTAAGTATGTACATGTGATATGATCCATGTGTACATCTGATTAAACTGTTAATGGGCAAAGATTGTTGGTTCTTTTGATCCTAAGCATACATTAAATTACATCCCATGATTATTTTTTGTTACAAGCTATTGCTGATGTGATGCTACCTCTTCAATGCAGCACTAACATAAAGCTTAACTGAGAAGGAACCACCTTCCCTCTTAGTTCCATGCCAGACTGGTTTGTCAGCCTTAGTTGTTTCTTAGTCCTCTGTAGCAATGCCACACTGTGGCATCAGGAAACCATGTATATTCTTTTTTCTTCTGTTTCCCTATTCACTTTGTAATTATTCTGTTTTAGGTGGTTATATGGTAGTTACTGGGGTAGCATGTTTTCCTTTGTTTTTCTCTACTTGCGTCAAGCTCAATGTCATGGTTTTGTTATGAGCACTGCTTGCTACTGGCAGATCTTAGAAGAGACTTCAGCAAGCAGCTCCAGAGTAGGGGCCATAATTCTCTATTTGTTTTGTACTAGTACCACAAGAGGATGCCTTGTAACTGCTCTTTGGTCATGATAGTGGTAGTGAATCCATTCATGTAAAATGCAATATGTCTGTTGGTTTGGGGGCACTTAAGATTCCACAGAGGTTTAGTATAATGCTCTCCCTTCTTTCTTTTTGAGTGGTGAAGAAACTAAATTTCTAGCACAGCATGACTGCTCATAGCCTGTGTTCTGTTGCTATCTGCTATGGGGGGGCACATATTGTTTTCTTAATGCATTTGCTGGTTGGTCAAGGAGGGATGGGACTTTTGAATTTGTGTCCAGACACATAGATCCTACATATGGGCTCTTCTGCGGAGGATTATCTGAGATCCTAAAATAAAAGGAAAGGTATTTAATTTTAATTTGTCACTACTTCATAAAGAGACTAAAGTATGGCAGTATTGTCCAAATTAATTTTAAAACCGAAGAAGTCAAGAATGTTCATATAAATTAAAGAAATTAAATTTTTCCTTATAAAAGTTTCCATTTTTAAGAAGTTGAATCAAACATAAGACCTTTCATCTTTAATATTGTATAGTGTAATGCTATGTTGAAAAATCAACACTTATTTGGCATTAAATGGGAAATAAATAAATAATAGCTTTCTGGAGACTCTTTGAATATCTATAATCTGATTTGAAAATTCCCTCTTGAGAAATTTACCCTAAGGAAATTCTCAGAGATATCTATAAAATATTAAATGCTAAAATGTTCATTTCAGTCTTATTTATGACAAAAGATTTCAAAACAACATAAATACTCAGAATTAGACCGAATAATAGGATTTTCGTACAATAGAAGAACATATAGTCATATAAGATCTTACTACAGAAGTGTATATTCATGTGAGAAATAGTTAAACTATTATAAAATATACAGAATGATTCCAATTTTACAAAACTAACTACATATATGTGCATAGCAAATGCCAAAGAAAATGTTAAAGATGCTTATCTCTGGGCAATAGGATTATGGGTGTTTTGTTTCACAGTTTCAAAACTGAGTGTGTGTATATATATATATATTATATTATATATATAAAGTTTTATATGTACATAAAGCTTTTTTTCAAAGTAACTAAATGGAGAATATAGAGGAGGAAGCAAGAAGCATGGAATGGAGTCCAACAGTCATGTGGAGAAGAACAGTGAGAAAACTAGTGGTGTTAGCCAGTACATGGCAAGGGGAAGCTGTCCCTCTTCAACCAGTTTTTCAATAACCAAGGATCCAACCGATTAACCTGTGGTCTTCAAGGCTATTTAACTGAGATTGTGCAGTTGCCACACTGTGAACTTCTTTCAGTTTCTGGTCATTTTCATTGAAAAAGACAGGAAAGGGAAGTGGCTGACACAGCTGCTCTTCCCATGGGTAGTCACGTTAATTAGGGGCCAAGGAAGGAGAACAAGGGAAGTTTTCTGATTTTTCCTGAGAAAAAAAACTTACTGTCAGCAGCTGTCTTTCTAATCTCATTCTTTTAGCAAACCCCTCCTTCTCTTTCTGTCCTCTTTGGGATTTTATTGACGAAAAAAATTTGTAATCCCTGCCCTAAAATTGAAATAACTTACCTGCAATGCAAATAACAGGTATTGGTTTTCACAAAAGCAATTTAAAATTGTACCTCGACCAACGTCTCAAAAAATTATAATTCACCAGGCTAATGTTATAAGAAGAAACATTCGGAGTGGAGGAGAACAAGAGACGGCAGAATTAGATAGAATACAAGGTGTAGAGCAAATGCTCTCAGATTCCTAGAAGTGCAGAAAAAGCATTAGG
Source organism: Homo sapiens (assembly GCF_000001405.40). Lineage (NCBI taxonomy): Eukaryota > Metazoa > Chordata > Mammalia > Primates > Hominidae > Homo > Homo sapiens. The sequence continues at coordinate 17,030,270 of NC_000007.14, read as the reverse complement.
TATTCAGAACTTCTGCTACAAGGTGATCAATGTCTACTCTTGGAGGGAAAAGTCATTGGAAGCCTCATCCATGAGAAATCTTGGAATCTTTGAAAATTCTGCCAGCAGGCTGGTGTTTGCCCTTGTGCAGGGATAGAAGCTGTATGCTCATCTCTCTTCTTAATCAGAAAAGCCAGGGAAGCCAGGCAGCCACCTTTCCCTGTCTATTTAATGAATGAGGGTGCTTTTCTTCAGGAGATAAGTCACAGTTGAAGACCTGAGTTCTAAAATGCCAGGGTGGCATTCTCTCTAACGCTGCCTCAGAGCAAGATTCTGTCGTACATTGAAGAGAAAATGACTCTAGAGTTTGGTTGATTAAGACTTCCCTGCAGTCATATTTCAGTCATACTTCCTTTAGGAGACATGGAAACCTTCATGATAATACTCTATTTGCAATATAAATCTAATTATCCTTATTAGCTATTCTGTTTCTCTTGACAAATTAACATTTGATAGTCTTGATAATTCTATTTAGAGACTTTGTTATGGGAAAAACAACCCTCAACAAATGGCTAAATTTCCTAAGCTTACCTCAGATATAATTATTTGATATAAAGTACAGATTGCTTTGATATTTCGGTAAATGGGATTAAAGTTTGTAGGATCCACTTTCTCATTAAGAAAATAGCCGAGGGCAAGTGGGTTGAATCGAAGGCCCTTTGCAATATTAAGTGCCCAGGAGATATCCACCCTGAATCACTGAAAAGTTCCTTTAGGCTTTTCTTTGTGAACCTCAGCTCTACAGCAAAAACGTATTCTGATCTAGAAAGGTCACATTGTTTTTATCATCTTGGACTACATCTCTAAGCAGGGCTAAAACAGAAAAAAATCTAATGCCACTTCCTGTCTCCCTGGGTTAGCTCTGATGCTTCAACAATGACCGCAAAATAGATGATGTAGATTATAAAGCGCTAGCTAGTATAGGGCAGTAGATCCTGTTTCAGTTTGAAACAGCAAAATGCCACTAATCCAATTAAGAAAGTTCAGCTTCCCAGGTCACTGAAGGAAAATGTCTCTCAGGAGAGGTTTGGACATGATAGATTAAGGCCTGCTTCCAATACAATGCTTTGTAGACCTCTCAGTTAGGAAAATAATTAGAGATCAGCAGAAATCCATAGATAAATATATGTATTAATACGTTTGCCAGAAATTTGATAGAGCATTGGTTTCTTCATCATCTTATGAACCAATGAAGACCATTTTCACATATGTATCTTTACTTTCATGGCTTTTCTGCCTTGAGTATCTCTACTCTCTTTACTTTTCTGGTTAAAACTATATGCCAAGGCCTAACCCAGGTCCCACCTCTTCTGTGAAACTTTTCCAAGTTGGGTGAAGATTATTTTCTTTATCTTCATCCCTGTAATAACCACCTATACCATTGTTTAGCTCATAATTTGCTGTCTGGTATTCATTCATTCATTCATCTAACCAACAAATATTTATCCAAACTTATATTGTACCAGGCACTGTATTCACTCCTGAGTATACAATGATGATGAAAACAGAAGTAATACTGCCTTAGTGAAGCTTAGATTTTGGTACGCTCTAAGGAAGAAAAACCCTAGCGAGCTGTGGAGGGAGTGACAAGGGAGACATGCTTTAGTTGGGTGATCAGGTGCGGGAGGTGGTAATGAACATCTGCCATTGGGGGTGCCCAACATCTTTTGAGTACCCTCCCTATGTCGTGGGAGCTTTCTATGTTGTGAAAACAGCCTTCTTAAGGTAGAAACCAAAAACCTGACTATATAGGGTAAAAACGTGGTATGTATCCTTAGATTCCCTTGACTGCCTTCTTCCTTCTAAAGGTGCCACCCATATCTGAACTTTGCCTCACTCTGCTGAGCTTGCAGCCTGGGAGGAGGCTGAGATGAAGTTCTGGGCACATGGTCCACATCCCTCAGCTGTTGAAGCAATCCACCCTGATTTTCCCCTACATTTCCAGACCTAGAGGAAACGCCACAGTACCAGGAGTGGGATTCAACAGTGACCTGAATTACCCAAGTTGAAAGTCTGAGGGAACTAGCCCGTGGTGAGGCCAGTCTAGTAAAACAGGAAATGTATATGGGAGAAAGCTCCATAGATAAATTTCTCCTCCTTTCTCCCTTCTAAAGATTACCCTGAATCAGCTCCTCTTTTTAACTGCTCTGGAGAAGTACGACAGACCAGTGGATACACATCCTGAACACAGGAACCAACACAGAAATGCATCATAGCACCTTTCTCTACTCATGTTCTTCACCCTCACTGCTGGATTTGTACTTCTCAAAGAAAGTGTCAACATGTTAATCCTTGCCTCAGGCTCTGCTTTCTGGAGAACATGTTCTAAGACATGTACATTTCCTAGACTCCTTTGCAGTTGTGGGAGGACAAATGTCCAGGTTTCATTGGTCAGATGAATCTTACCTGACATTTGAATGTAGACAGAAGCAATATGAATGAGTGGCTACCAGTGGGGACATCTTTTGGCATGTGCTGTTGTGAGAATAATATTGTGGAGCTTCTGGAATTCAGATCCAAGATCCACAAATGATCACTGCCAGCCAGGGACAAAAGCAGCTGTTTTTTTTCTAGGGCTTCGAAATATTGCATACTTTACAAAACTGTTGAAAAGAAACTGTGCCAGCATATGTGAATGAGTTGCACAATCTCTGAAGTGTTACATAAATGCCTCTCTTTTTTTCTGTGAATTCAGGATATTGAAATAGATTAGAGATGCCAAAACACCTAATATACTTGCCAACATTCTCTATGCTGGGTCGATGCCTACACAAGTAATCAATTATAGAATTCCTTTTTCCTAATCTACATGCAGTCCCAGAATTCTCAAACAATATTCCACACAACCACTACCACTTCGACGGCATTAACACAAGAAAAGATACCTATTTAAAATCCCAGGTTTAGATGGTTTCTAAGATCTAGTCTATCTACAGCACACTAATTCCAATACTATACTATACATGTGAGTAAGTTACAAATAATTACACACTGTGCTATACCAAAAATTTAGTATAATAGATGTTTAATTTAAGGAATGTGTCTGGTGGAGGATTATTGTATACACTTTTAAATCAGCATGATGCTATTATTAACATGCCTGCTTTAGGAATATGATAGCACAGATTATTTGACAAACTGAAAATCAGTATAATTATTATGCATTCTAAGCCATGTGTTTATTACTTTGATTTATTTTCAAGATGCTTACTACTCTGTATGCCCACCTAACTTTTATTCTTTTCTTTCTTTCCTTCATTACCATAAGCATACTCATATTGATATCAAACACACACACGGATTCATACATATACATAGTTCTTCAAAGTTCTTAAGGTATAAAACAGAACCTACACTAAGACCAAAGGTATAATGAAGTATTTATTTCTATAAATGACATTACACATATCCACAAAGGGAGAATATGGGAATAATTTATAGATAAGGCTCTGTGCTGTATTTGAGATGATAAAATCCAGGAATAAATGTCACTCCAGCTGGGCACCCTCAAAAATCTCTAGAAATTTACAAATAACTCAAAATGCATAGTAGTTTGAAGTTGAAGATCTCTGATCTTCAGATAATAAGTAGTAAACCACAACATTTAACTTCAGACCCAGTGGATGCAACCCAAAAACATCAGATTCACCCACTTAGCCAGGATAGCAACTGAGAGAGGTTTTTCATTCACTTACACAGGAGGAAGGAAGGCTTTAGTTAGCAAGTTCACTTAAGCACTAGACCAAACAGAGACAAGCCGCGGGCTGCCGCCCACTGATCTCAGAGGTTTCCCAAGACACTGAAGGCTTTAGGTACCTGTCCTCCCAAATGAGGCTCTACCTTAAGTAATTATTAGCATACTTCCACATAAAAATACTGTCCATGGGTGTCTGAGTATTTATGACAAGGATATAGCTTTGGTCAAATACAGGTCAGTTGTTGGTTATGTGTTAAGATGTTTTAGCCAAACTTATTGTGAATTAATATTTTTTAGAGATTAATCTCCCCCATTATCCATTTCTTATCTTTTCATCTAATATAAATAATCAATAAGAGCTCAAGTAAAACATTTATTTTTTACTTAATTTCCTACTATCTACACATAGGAGAAGCAGGGAAAATGGGATTTTCCTCTTTCCCCTGCTTCTTCTACAAGAAAAGGAATAAAGGAAGGGCAAAAGATAAAGTAGGGGAAAGGGAATTTTTTCACTTGCCTTCTTATAGTTTTTACCCTCTAATGTTCTACAAAAATAATTTGCTCATTCCAATAGACAAGAGAATGAAAAATGTTCTTGCTATTGAGATAAGAAAATATGGTCATAAAATTAATCTTGAAAACATACAGCTACAGTTATATTGATTAGCACAATCCAAGAACCAGAAATCCATTTGGCCTGGCCCCAAAAGTCAATGTCTGGAAAAACAATAATAATTTAAATTCTAATCTATGTTTTCTGGTGCAGTAAAGCATTTCTTAAGACTGTTTATGCCAATTACATTCAGATGCATCAACATTATGATATTATTAAAAGTGAGAGGAAGAAGACAAGTCAAATCTCATTATCACAAATAAGGTTTTGTGTTTCCACGCTAGAGCAGTTAGCTTGTTCATTACACATAACCATGATTTCAATGATAGGGTAAATTCCAGGACAGAGATGGAGAATCTTAATGGAAGCAGTGATGACCCATTGGAATATTGTGTGTATTGAATCTGGACTATGGAAATTGAGAAGTATCAAGATTCACAATTAAAATATAGCAGAATATTTTGAATAACTAATAAATCATATGAAATATATACTAGTAGAAAATTCAAAATTCAAGCAGAGTTATACTCTGTTTATGCACTGTAGTAAAAAGCAATAATAGAATAATGTTAGATAAAACCTATATCCCTGCAACAGTGAAAAGTTTCAATGGACATGATTTTGTACGGAGTTACAGATATATTTTCATGCAGTGCTTTTTTGAGCAGTGCTGAAACAACAACATTCAATGTCTCCAAAACTCTACCACCTTGACCTGATTCTGTAACGCTCATTCAGTCTTGAGTGAATTTGTGCTGCCTAGATTTCCAGATAGAGTACATGAGTCTTGGCTTTAAACTCCATCTTTATGTAAGGCATATGTTAAAAGTCTCATATTATTGAACTGTATTATATTAGGATAATTTTCAACTACACTAGAACTGTGCACGTGATTCAAACAATTGGAGCATAAAATTATAGTTAGGTATGCTGTGCAAAATAGACTATACATATAAACAAAGAGGGGAAAGAAAATTTAGGAAGTGATGGTACCTGAGTTGGATCTTGAAGGTTAGTTAGAATGTAAAAATGTCTTGCAAAGACAAATTTGGCCCCTTTGTTTAACTTCATTAATATAGATAACCAATCTAATATAAATAATGAATCAACATGATACAGAGAAAAAAATCTATTGGGGTTTAACCAAGTGTAAATTATCCACAGATCACCTGTGATTTCATAATAGCATGACATGTGTATGTATTTTTATTGTCCCCAGTAATCTTTATGCAATTAAGGGTATTCTTTTGCTAAATTCGCTTATAGAAGCATTTAATCCTCAAAGAGCCTATGTTTTCAATGTAACATTTATGTAAACACATTCCCTAAACATCTTTGACAATCTTACCTCTTTTATGAATTTGAGAAATCTTAAGTCTTCTTGCTAATTCATCAGAACCACACACATAGACTGTATTTCTGCTGTTTATAGAGTTTTACTCAATTGAATTGCATGATTACCTTAAAAACACGATAAACACAGCCATATGACTATTACTACATTTATACTTCTTAGAGGAAAGTTGTAGACTGTGCACCTTATATGTACACTATAGTTATCCAATATATTATGCCTTTTTTTCTTTATAATAAAGATGCAAATAAAACATTTTTCTTGGGGTTCAGCCTAAAGGAAAGCTCTACTTCTGAGCAAAAGGTTTTCTTTCAGTATTATAATCACCATGAACCTACAGATGTTTTCCTTTTTGCTACTTAGAAATGAATTGAAGAAAGCCTAAATAGATAATAGATTAGTATGTCAATAAATGGCAGATGATCAAAACATTTTACCCCATCATATTATATTAGAGTGAGTTCAAATTCCATCCAGCTAAACTCTGCTAAGGGGACCCACTCCAAACCACTAATTGCAGAAATGACCTCACTGAATATGGGAAAATCTCTTTTTCTTCCCCTGGTCCTTCAAGATATCCAGAATCTGCCTTGCTAGTAGCCACATTTATAAATTGTCTAGTTAATTAATCTGACATAAACTCCTCACGAATCATCTATCATTGTAGGATGCTGTGGGACCATTAATACTTTTTTATCAAACAATGTCAGAGAATACATATAATTCATTTTTAAAACTACAGCAGCTAATCATTCTTGGGTCACTTATAAGTTGTTATTATTATTATTATGTTAGCAACAAGATCTTGCTACGTTGTCCAGCCTGGAGTGCAGTGGCTATTCACATGCATGATCATAACGTACTGCAGCCTTGAACTCCTGGCCTCAAGTGGTCCTCCCACTTCAGCCTTCCTAGTAGTATATTAATTTTGAGATACCTTTTCTATATAGGCTTTATACTTCTTGGCTTAAGTTTGTGAATCATTTTAATAAGGTAGTTATCTAAGAAGCCTACTAGAAATGCTTTTTGGGCTGAGGATTCAGTGAGACCCATGGGAAAACGATGTTTGGAGATGGAACTCACAGCTGGCTCCCACAGCCTTAATCCTCAAGTAGGACTCTCAGAGTGACAAACCCAGACCAAGGAGCTTGGCTAGGAGAAATGAAAAGACTTGATTTTTTATGTGAAAGATAGCTACCTATGTAAGCTGTCTTCCAACTCAGCCTCTCAAAGACCTGTGACAATTTTTTCAAGAGTGGAGAGATATACTAAAAATGAATCAAGAAATGCACTCTATAACTAAAGGTACAGTAGAAAAACAAGAAAATGAGGTCACCCTGGTTTCTGACTCACTAATAAGATCAATGCATGTGATAAAAGGATATTTACCACAAATCTCTTTATGATCATGGTTTGAGCAGAGTCAAGACAGTGATACAGAAAAGGTGACCTGAATGCAGTCAGCAGAGAGGGATGGCAATGAAAAATGACTAAGAGCAAAGTGTGAGTATATGCTGGGAACTGGAACCACGGTCCCCTTAGCACAAAAGACGACGGAGTCTAAAGTCAGAGAAAGTGAGTTTACATTCATGTTATGACCCTATTCATCATTCATCAGTTGCACCCAAGGACTACTGGGTAACAATCTGTCAAAAAATAGGATTTTATAAGTTAAAAGTATAAGATGCACATAGGTGTTAGAGTTCAAGACACAGATGACAAAGAAGTTCAAAAGAGCAGAGGAAACCAACATAGGAAAAAAAGAATACGGAGTGTTCAGGGCACTTGAGACATCTGCAGTTACTGAATTACAGGATGAATATATTGAAAAGATGGGATTGGAAAGAGAGGTTAGAGTCAGGTTAGGGTTTGAGAACCCTGAAGAATGGGCTAAGGCATTTAGATTTGTTACTAGAAGAATTTGGAATCCATTAAATATTCAAGAACAGGAGAGTACATCTACCATACTTGTGTCTAAAAAGTAAGAACACTGATAGTTTGGTGGATGGAGTCAAGGCTGATGGTAGGCAGGAGATACTGTCTCCTCCAAAGAATGTCATTGGGGATGATGGTGAAAAAGCAGATTTGAAATATATGTGAGTTGATAGAAGCAAAAAGATATAGTGACAGATTAAAGTTAGAGGGCATCAGGAGATGCCAAAAAGAGGTCACTCCTTCAACACCTAAGATGATTTTTTGAGAGCCTTCCATGTGCCAGGGACTGTGCTTATTGCCAAGGATAAAATGGCCAACCAAAATAAAGATGGCTTCTGTGGTTTTGGAAAACAGTGGCAGAAGTTAGAAATATATTTATTTATGTAATAATCATTCAAGTGTTTGTATTGTCAGGGCAGGCAGGTAGATGGGGCTGGAGACTGAAAGCCTGGATTCATGAATGTCCATTTGATACTTTTATTCATGGCTTAGTGAATTTTTCCAGGGAAAGTATGTAGAAACGAAAAAGAAGAGAGTTTGGAATGGAACCCCATGGAAGAAGCAATAATTAAACAATACGTGAAGTAAAAAGAGGGAGTAATAAGACTGGGTAAAAGTTGTCAGAAAGACTAAAAGAGGGACACAAGCATGATGTCATGGGAGCCAATGGCAGCAATTTCTACAGAGAAAATGTTAATTGGGTTGAATTCATAGACTGATCAAGCACCACGTACTGTAAAAAGCCCATGCTTAGTCAAGTCACAGGTCAAAGGTAACTTTCACAAAAGAAGATTCAGTTCAGGATAGAGTCCGGAAAGCTACTGAGGAATGAAAAGAAAGAAAGTTCCAGAAACACTGTAAAACAAAGCAAAAAAAAAAAATCCAGTTTTATTTCTATATTTCTTAGTAACCCTTAATTTTTCCCCCTTAAAAATAGAGACTTTACCACCTTCTCTAAAAACTGAAGTTGCATAGCCAAATTCAGTGGATAGTTAGATGCTTGATATGGGAGAGTTTACAATTTTTAAAACTAGTCTGAGATAATTTGAGCAGAAACAAATCTGATATAATTTGAGAGAAAAATATTTTTATTTTTGTGCTTTCCTTGTAGAATCAGATTTGGTTTGCAAAAAGGTAAAGGTTACATGTGTGTGGGTAGGATATCATCTTAAACACACAGCAGATTCCAAGAAAGCATTCAGTGGTGTGGGTGGTTAGGCAAATAGTTTTCCCTCAGTTCCGGTACTTTCCGCTGGACTTTCGCCTTCTGAGTTTGAACTTGCCTATTGGGAAAGCAAAGAATGTTGTAGAAACATGTGTCTGCAAGTGTATGCTTATTTCAAAACAGTACAAAAGAATTAAGTATGTAGGTTGCAGTGACTTTGTATAAAAAGTAGATGACCCTCACAAAGTGACAGGTTAACACAAATTTAAATAAATTAAAACTTCTTAACAGCTTTATTGAAGCATAACTGATATTATGAAGAAGTACACATATTTAAAGTATACAATTTGATAAGTTTAAACATATGCAAACATTCTTGTTACAATTACCACTATTAACGTAGTAGACAGATCCAGCAATTTCCATAGTTTCTTTTTTGTTTTTGTTTGTTTGTTTGTTTGTTTTGAGACAGAGTCTCACTGTCACCCAGGCTGGAGTGCAGTGGCGTGATCTCAGCTCACTGCAGCCTCCAACTCCTAGTTGAAGCTATTCTCCTGCCTCAGCCTCCTGAGTACCTGGGACTACAGGTGCATGCCACCGTGCCCGGCTAATTTTTTTGTATTTTTAATAGAGACAGATTTGGCCAGGTTGGTCCCGAACTCCTGACCTAAGGTAATCTATCCGCTTCATCCTCCCAAAGTGCTGGGCTTACAGGTGTGAGCCACTGCACCCAGCCCCCATAGTTTCTTTGTGTCTCGTTTTTGTGTTTTTTGTTTATTTTTGTCGTAAGAACACTTAAATTGAGACCTACTCTCTTAACAAATGTTGAAATACACCATACTGTATTGTTTACTATAGGTACAACGTTGTACAGCAGATCTCTAGAACATATTCATCTAGCATACCTGATGAATAACATTGCAGCCCCTGGCAAGCCCTATTGCACTCACTACTTCTATGATGTTGACTATAAAGATCTCTCATACAAGTGGAATCATGCAGTACTTGACCTTTGGTACTGGCTTATTTTGCTTAGCATAATGTCCTCCAGGTTCATCCACATTGTCCATAAATGGCAGGATTTCCTTCCTTTGTAAAGCTGAATAATATCACACTGTACATGTATAGCACATTTTCTTTATCCACTCATCTGTTGATTAACACTTGAGTTGTTCCCACATCTTGCTATTGTGAATAATGCTGTAACAAATAAGGGAATGCAGTGAGCTCTTCAAGATCCTAATTTCAATTATTTTGGATGTATACCCAGAATAAGAAATAAAACTCTACTTCTTCAGCTGGTGAAGAACTTTTATAAAAAGACATTTTTAGACCTGTGTTAAAGCTATATATTACGCTTAATTAACATCTTAGTATAAGTTTATGCAAAATGACCAATTTCCTCCCTATTATCGCCAGGTAGGCAGGCACACACACACACACACACACACACACACACACACACACACACAAACTAAAAGGCAGTACAGAACTCAGATGAACTCCAAGCTAATAATAAAGGATACAGCATGCACTTGATCTCCATATTAACTTTTAAATTAATAACTTCTGGAAAATTTCACTCACATTCCAAAGGAATTCATTATTTAATGCAGAACACAGATGAGCTTGAGAGTGAAAATATATGGCACATAATGAGATATGTATGTCAAATTCAACAAGAAGACTGATTTTATTTTGAGCAGCACACTTTGCTGCATATTGACCCTTAGATTTTATTTCATTCTCTTTCATCTATTAGCAAATCTCACTAAATACTACTTTTATATTATCTTAGCCTAATTTTCAAAACAGTAATCATGATAATAAAACAGCAACAATTTCTCCCATCTTATATGTTGCAGAAAACATGTAGTAGGTGTTTTACGTATTTTTATCCTATTTTATAGACAAACTGATACTTGGCGAGTTAATGTGATTTGTCCAAGGTCCCACAGTTAGTAATTATAAAAGCAGGGATTGAAAACTCAAGTATTAATCTGAAACCCCAACTCTTTCCTTCACCACACTGTAATCCATTATTATGCCAACAGCTGAATGGAAACATCATGAAATGAGAGAAAAAAAAACAACAAACTAATGTGTAGAAAAAAAATCTGTTAAAATATGGGAAGCCAAAGCTTCTTACGTGGTTCAAGCATTTGTTGTTGCAGCTGAAAATGATTAAATTCAGAAATCCAAATCAAGTGTTCACAAAAGGATTTTTATTCTGGAATCTGTTTCCACATTACAACCATTTTTATAACTTTCTTAAGTAGTATATTTGACTTGACCACCCCCGGTTGAAATTCTTTCTCTTAATTCTTTTTTTTTTTTTTTTTTTTTTTTTATTATACTTTAAGTTTTAGGGTACATGTGCACATTGTGCAGGTTAGTTACATATGTATACATGTGCCGTGCTGGTGCGCTGCACCCACTAACTCGTCATCTAGCATTAGGTATATCTCCCAATGCTATCCCTCCCCCCTCCCCCCACCCCACCACAGTCCCCAGAGTGTGATATTCCTCTTCCTGTGTCCATGTGATCTCATTCTTCAATTCCCACCTATGAGTGAGAATATGCGGTGTTTGGTTTTTTGATCTTGCGATAGTTTACTGAGGATGATGATTTCCAATTTCATCCATGTCCCTACAAAGGACACGAACTCATCATTTTTTATGGCTGCATAGTATTCCATGGTGTATATGTGCCACATTTTCTTAATCCAGTCTATCACTGTTGGACATTTGGGTTGGTTCCAAGTCTTTGCTATTGTGAATAATGCCGCAATAAACATACGTGTGCATGTGTCTTTATAGCAGCATGATTTATAGTCATTTGGGTATATACCCAGTAATGGGATGGCTGGGTCAAATGGTATTTCTAGTTCTAGATCCCTGAGGAATCACCATACTGACTTCCACAATGGTTGAACTAGTTTACAGTTCCACCAACAGTGTAAAAGTGTTCCTATTTCTCCACATCCTCTCCAGCACCTGTTGTTTCCTGACTTTTTAATGATTGCCATTCTAACTGGTGTGAGATGGTATCTCATAGTGGTTTTGATTTGCATTTCTCTGATGGCCAGTGATGATGAGCATTTTTTCATGTGTTTTTTGGCTGCATAAATGTCTTCTTTTGAGAAGTGTCTGTTCATGTCCTTTGCCCACTTTTTGATGGGGTTGTTTGTTTTTTTTCTTGTAAATTTGTTTGAGTTCATTGTAGATTCTGGATATTAGCCCTTTGTCAGATGAGTAGGTTGCGAAAATTTTCTCCCATTTTGTAGGTTGCCTGTTCACTCTGATGGTAGTTTCTTTTGCTGTGCAGAAGCTCTTTAGTTTAATTAGATCCCATTTGTCAATTTTGTCTTTTGTTGCCATTGCTTTTGGTGTTTTGGACATGAAGTCCTTGCCCATGCCTATGTCCTGAATAGTGTTGGAAGTTCCGGCCAGGGCAATTAGGCAGGAGAAGGAAATAAAGGGTATTCAATTAGGAAAAGAGGAAGTCAACTTGTCCCTGTTTGCAGACGACATGATTGTATATCTAGAAAACCCCATTGTCTCAGCCCAAAATCTCCTTAAGCTGATAAGCAACTTCTGCAAAGTCTCAGGATACAAAATCAATGTACAAAAATCACAAGCATTCTTATACACCAACAACAGACAAACAGAGAGCCAAATCATGAGTGAACTCCCATTCACAATTGCTTCAAAGAGAATAAAATACCTAGGAATCCACCTTACAAGGGATGTGAAGGACCTCTTCAAGGAGAACTACAAACCACTGCTCAAGGAAATAAAAGAGGATACAAACAAATGGAAGAACATTCCATGCTCATGGGTAGGAAGAATCAATATCGTGAAAATGGCCATACTGCCCAAGGTAATTTACAGATTCAATGCCATCCCCATCAAGCTACCAATGACTTTCTTCACACAATTGGAAAAAACTACTTTAAAGTTCATATGGAACCAAAAAAGAGCCCGCATTGCCAAGTCAATCCTAGGCCAAAAGAACAAAGCTGGAGAAATCACACTACCTGACTTCAAACTATACTACAAGGCTACAGTAACCAAAACAGCATGCTACTGGTACCAAAACAGAGATATAGATCAATGGAACAGAACAGAGCCCTCAGAAATAACGCCGCATACCTACAACTATCTGATCTTTGACAAACCTGAGAAAAACAAGCAATGGGGAAAGGATTCCCTATTTAATAAATGGTGCTGGGAAAACTGGCTAGCCATATGTAGGAAGCTGAAACTGGATCCCTTCCTTACACCTTATACAAAAATCAATTCAAGATGGATTAAAGATTTAAACGTTAGACCTAAAACCATAAAAACCCTAGAAATCTCTTAGTTCTTAAAGTTGGAACAGCATGTTTTCACTATGATCTTCCTTGAAAACCTCCCTACCTTCTTATCTGACTTCTATTGGCGCTCCTAAGACATTCCCCAGGGACCCCACCCCTACATACACTCACTTTATTTTATCTGCCAGCCTAAGCCACTGAAGTTGGAGTAGAAAATCAATGGCTCACTCTGCACAGCCTCGCTGTGCCTTATGGGGCGGGGGGAACAACAAGTGCTTTGCTAAATTAGGCAGTATTCAGAGGCATTCCCAGTGTATTACCAATCTTATTATCCAAACATGCACCCTATGATGTGACATGAACTACTAAACAAGAAAAGGAAAGGAGAAAGAAACCTCTTCAAAAAAGCATTAGAGATATCTGAAATTCTCTCTGTTTGTAGTCTGTGGGTACACTGCTACAACACAGAGGCTGTTCTGTTTTGAGAAAAGCCTAGCTAACCTTGAGACAAAAATGACAACTGGAAATATCATCTGCAGCTACATCAGAACAAACACTCAAGGTGCACAATGTGAAATAACTGCTGGCAACATACCCCCACACAGAGATAGTAATCACTGCCAGGAATGTTATCTTTGAAGGGCAGAAGTCTAAGTGATTGGCAAGCCAGAAAACATAGCATAGACCCTTAGAAATACTGATCAAAGCAAACTGAAGTTCCCTAAAGGAATCAGGATATGAAGTAATATACATGTTTTTAAAATAAGGATACACTCAGATTATGAATGTGTGTGTGTATATATATACATATATTTTAAAATCATATATATTTTTTAAATCATATATTTTTAAATCACATATATTTTTAAATCTATCTATATATTTTTACATCATATATATTTTTAAATCTATATATATTTTTAAATCATATATATTTTTTAAATCTATATATATATTTTTTAATCATATATATTTTTAAATCTATATATATTTTTAAATCATATATATATTTTTAAATCATATATATTCATGTTTATATATACATATATATATATGTATATATATGAAACTCCTGGATATCACCCACAGGCATCCTAGTCCAGACCACACCTTTTGAGCTCCAAAAGAATTTGGAGAAATAAGCCTGGCATGGCTGACCCTCTTGTTCATGGTTTCAAGATTGGGAACATTGAAATTCCTCACATTTCTTCCAAATAAGATATTTAGAATGAAAACCCTTTAATCCAACTAGAAAGAGATATCTGGAATGTCTGAGCTCTCCTCCCAGATTGAGAGTTGTTTTTCAATTAGTAACATGGACTGAGGAATTTTCTGGCATCTGCCACTAAGTGAGTAAACTCAAAAATGATAAAATAAACTTAAAAAGAAAACAAAAAAAACCCCAGCTCATTTTAATTAACTTCCGGTGAGACTTAAAAGACAGCCCAAGCCACAAAAAGTCCGTTTCCAAAAACGCTGCTCTTTTTTATTTTTGCCAGACAGCATGACTCCACTGCCACTTATTAGTACTGATTCTTAAACGCATTGTTTTCTTTTTTTTAAGTAACAGATTCACAAACAGAGAGGATACAATTCTCAGAAGAACTGGGACAATAATGTAATCTCTAAGTTGTTTTAAATTGATTCATCAAAACTAAAATATGAACATATCTCAATATTAACTATCTCAAAAATCTAGGCCAAGACCACACTAAATTTGGACCATTTCCCTTAATAGTGCAATAAAGTACAATGGGTTTTTCAACAAAGAATACTTCTAGCTCTGTGTGTGTGTGTGTGTGTGTGTGTGTGTATCTATATATATAACTACTGCCTCAATTTCCCTCATCCACCACTAGATCCTTACATTTACTGCAATATCCTAACTACAACACTGAAAAGAAAACCTTGTATCTATGAATGACATAAATGTATTGGTATTTTGAGAAAAGCTGCCATCATATTGTCATCGGATTCGATTAATTTTTCTGTTTAATTTTAACTTGTTAAAATTTATTTAATTGTATTCATTTCTTTTATTATCAGTATGTTCTTTGCCCTTTGTTTAACCCTATCAAACTTTTTGACAAGCGGAAAGTTTATAAAAGATGAAACTTTATGTTAGAAACACTTACACTAAGATCTTGCCCAGATTAGAAATCTTATTCACGTGAAAAATCTTTCCTTCATACATAAATGGAACCCAATAAAGTGAGAGCTATTCACAATATCTTAATTCAGTTCTCGTATTTTGCAGAGTTGGCAAAAATCATATTTGTAGACGTTTTACCCCAAGAAAATTGATTGATTGATCTGACGATTTACTCAGTTTCCCAAATTCATCTTGAACTATAATCTTAGCCAAATCTATATCCAATCGCTCTAAACGATGATGTAGTATTGTTTGCCAATTAGCTGTCCGAAGAATTAGCAACTTTTATTTACCATACTATATAGGGTTTACTTGATATAGCTATCTATGTGTGAAAGGTTGATAACTTTTTAAAAGAAGGTGTTGAAAAACATGGTAACGAATAACCTGTATTCATTTCAAAGAATAATAGCTACAAATTCAACATGTGATATGTGAATTCTAATGCTGTAATTCCTCACACTTGAATTCTCTTATGATTCTCTCACTATTCAACTACCACTTGAGAATCATTCTGGAGGCCGTTTGAAAAAACACTGGATTTTTCCTACTCACTTTCTTAGAAACTGTGGTGAGAAAACAAGATAGTATTCTTTCTATAGGGTATCTGCTCAAGTGTCAAAAAAGTTTGACATTTTCCTATGTGTTTTTGAGAGCAAATTTTCCTTTCTTAAAAGACAACTGAATCCCAACACTTTGGGAGGCCAAGGCTGGCAGATCACTTGAGTCCAGGAGTTTGAGACCAGCCTGGGCAACATGGAGAAACCCCATGTCTGCAAAAAATACAAAAATTAGCCCGGCATGGTGGCACACATCTGTGATCCCAGATACTCAGGACGCTGAGGCAGAAGGATCACTTGAGCCCGTGGGGCAGAGGTTGCAGTGAGCTAAGATCATGCCACTGCACTCCAGCCTAGGCAACAGAGTGAGACACTGTCTCAAAAAAAAAAAAAAAAAAAAAGATAGCTGTAAGAAACCAGTTGAAATAACTGTGAATAATTGCCTGTCCCTTAAACTCTTTCCATCTCTTTCAGTCATTGAACCTGAATGGGTTTAAGGCAACTAGACTACTTTGTCCCCACTCTAGTCAGGTCTTGTGGGCAGCCTCAGAATTGATTGTGCTCCTTCAAGAATTTTCACGCCAAAGGTGTTGCATACATGGACGATGCTTCCCCAGGATGCACACCCCTCCTTGTGAGATAGCTGAGTATAGAAGAATCAACTGACCCAAGATAGAGAAACTATCTCCTCCTCCCTGCCAGGCATACAGAAATAAAGGACACCCATTTTGCTGATGTAAAGGACATGAGTGGAGTGAGGCAAAGGGAAGAAATCAGGACCAGTAGCCCAAATTGCAAATAAATCCTCTTAATTAGGCCCTTATTAGTGGAAAACTAGAAAAGTGTAATCTGTTACCAAAAGGAAGAACTTGTTCTAACATAACAAGAACACCAGCATAAACATATTGTTCTGCTCTCAGCAATGCCTATCAGTCCCCACCTCAGATGAGCTGCAGAAAATCCTTCCTCCCTGCTCTCCCATCCTCTGCCACCCTCCTCTATAATCTAACCTCTTTCAGCCACTGGCTCAAGTTCATAGTGAATCATCCACCCACTTTCCCCTTAACACTTGATGTCCTTTACTCCTCAAGTAGGAGAAAAGCATCGAAGGGAACAACCTTTGCTGATCTGGCCTCGGAAAGACACAGCAACAATGCCAACAATTGATGTCTTGATAAGTCTGACCACCTTATCACTAGCATAATTCCAGTGAATTATGACGCACAGTCACTTCATAGCTTCTCCATTTTACCAGACCCTTTTTTTTTTAATTATTAGGAGACAAGGTCTCAGGAAAGGAGTGGGTAAAACACTTATCTCCAGAAAGCCAGCAAGAGGGAAGAAGGAAGAAAACCCCATCCTGCATGGTATGATGCTGAGATTCCTCACATATCTTCAAAGCATCCTAAGAAAGTAAGTTTGAGTATCTGTGGGCACTTGGGCTTCAAAGAACAAACAAGAGAGGCAGAATCAAGGGAGTTCACAACTCTCTTTCATTCTTACATTATAACATTTATACATTCATAGACAGCAAATGAAGAGTCTCACACACATCATGTTTAGGATATAGGTCAGAAAGCTGAGACACAAAGATGTCAACCACTTGCGTATTTCTGACTCTTAGTTCTGATTCTCAGGACTTAATTTTTGTCTTTTGTTAATGCCCCATCCCAGAGTAAGGTCAACTGTTTCTTCAGGGCCAAGGGACTGTGGGTGTCCAGAGAATGCTCAATTGGAATATTTTTTTCAGCTCTTTTATTACACAAATGAAATACTCTTCAACAATTGTTGGGGGGTGGTTTTTTTGTTGTTCTGAAACAACTCCAGTAGGCTTTTTAGCTCTACAAAGTCCCTCCACACAAGTGGTGATGCTTGACATTTCAGCTCCAAGAAGGTAAAATTGCTTGGTGATGAAGTTATTAATGGTGATGTTGAAGTCAGAGCTGCACCTCTGCAGACCAGGTTATATTTGAGGAAAATATGCTTAGCTAAAAAAAGAAGAAGAACAGTGATCAGATACGTCAAGGTGTCTGCCCAACCTCTTGGCCTGGGTCTCATGACGGAGTTGGTGAGATTCAGAAGGCAATGAAACCATTTTCATCGAGTGCATAAGCACAAGTAGATCTGTCCCTGAGCCTGAAGGGCAAGGAAATCATGGGTTTTTACAAATTTAGTTAGTATCTGGCCACTTTAACAAATTTCTACTAATGCTAATAACTCTTCAGTTGATTTTTTAGTGCACAATCATATTATCTTCATTTAAAGATAATGTTACTTTATTCTTTTGAAAAGTTGTACCTCCTATTTCCTGCCTTATTGCTTCAGCTGTAAGTCAAGTCTCTGCATATACTTAGTTTGAATGATGAAAAGGGTGTTGAGATTTTTAAGTTGTTTTGAGAAATATGGATTTGAGTACAAAATGCTGAAGATAGAGAAACTGAAGAACTATTGTAGTAGTTTAGGTGTGGGCCAGGTGAAGTGGCTCACACCTGTAATTCTAGCACTTTGGGAGGAAGAGGGAGGCACATCATGAGGTCAGGAGTTCAAGACCAGCCTGGCCAACACAGTGAAACCCCGTCTCTACTAAAAATTAAAAAAAATTAGCCAGGCGTGGTGGCGGGCACCTGTAGTCCCAGCTACTCAGGAGGCTGAGCCAGGAGAATTGCTTGAACCCGGGACGTGGAGGTTGCAGGGAGTCGAGATCATGCCACTGCAGTCCAGCTTGGGTGACAGAGTGAGACTCTGTCTCAAAAAACAAAAAAAAAGTTGAAGTGATGTGACAATGCATGAAATAGGATGATTGCTAAAAATATACAGAGAAGAAGAAATAGCTATAGAATATTTTAGATTTAAGAAGAAGATCAGCTGGAAAAGATGGGTAGGCAACAAAAAATAACTCCAGATTTTTAACATGCACTATGGTTGACTAATGGAAAATAACCAGGATTGCTATTATTTTTATAGACACTAAAATGTATGACAACATAGAAATCTAAACAGGGAATTTAAAATGTTAAATTAATCTTACTTCTTAGTTTATAAACAGTGTGAAGTATGCAGATCAAGAGAAACATTTAAATATTCTACCCCATCTCCATGATCTCATACAATCTTGCTAATACCATAATATCTCATATTAATGAGATTTGTATAAAGCTTTCACACTATATGAAGTAATTACACATATGTTATATATAAAAATGGTTCCTGAGAGATTGACACTAACACCTCCTAAAAATAGTTACACTTTAAAAAATATTTTCTATGATCTCAGTTGAAAATTGCAATCCATTCTTTATTCTCTGTGCAAACTCCATTCTACCAAACCTGATTTACCAGTGGCTTTTGTATGCAAACATCTTGTTCTCCCCTGTTCTATATATCCTTCCCCTTTCCATTCTTGTACACAAAGTGAAATCCTAATTAACCTTCAAAGCAATCTTTTGCCATTCCCTTGAAGCAGGGGACTAAAGGGCAGAGGAGAAGAAATTGGGGGTACAGACAGCAAGTTTCTATAGAGGAGAAATGTCAGTCACCTTGCCCTTCCTGGGCATGTGGGTAGAGCAGAGGGTCAGGGAGTACACCAGCAGCTCCATTCCACAGCCCTTAAGGCAATCACAGGAAGTCACTATGTCAGTAAGCAAAGCACAGGAAACCGTATCACTGATGATACTAATGCATCTGCCTTGTTTCCATCCCCAAAAACAAAATAAAAATTGTTCCTTCTTCCCTCTCCCTTACTCTCCCCGACCCACAAATCTTTCCCATCAAGCCAAATTCATTTTCCTTATTTAAAGGAGGAAAAAACAGTGGCTTTTATTGCTTGTAAAAGCAAACCACAATGAAAGGTGCAATTCATTTTTCTCCATTCTCAATTTTACTGATGATTCTTTTGGCCAAGAAGAAATTTTAAAGAAAGCAGAAGAAAATTCTATGAAAAAAGTTCAACATAAAATGAGATAAATCACAAGCAATTAAATTCGTAAAATTATATCACTAAAGTTTTAATATCACTTCTATGATGAAGAATGAAGTTATCCAAAAATTTAGCAATTGCTCTTTGTAGGATAGTTTGTTCACTTTAATAAAGTGTATTTAATAGATACAATTTAAGTTCCTTTATGTTTCATCTATTAAAACACTGCTGAGTCTTTAGTGTAAACAAGACTGGTGTGACAAGTATATTTTTCCAAGTTGTATCCCCTCCCTTTCTATTCTTACATTCCATTTCCTTTTTCTAACTAACCTGCTGTTTTCAAATAGTTTTAAATGTTTTCACAACAGTTTGAGTCATTTAAGGTGTTTAAAGCCCAGATACGACATTCTTAGGGAGTACACAAACAAAGAAGGTAAAAGCATCATGTAAGTATGATGGGGAGAGGTGAACAACTAGCTTGTTAAACTGTAGTTTTTGCCTATTGTGAAGTGAGCACAGCATTTCTGACTTTATGGCAGAGGTTTATGGGCCATAAGCAGGAGCTTCTTTGGAATCAGACATTCATGATACTAAAAAAAAGCAGAAGCTCCTGAAAGTTAAGATGGAATTGTTATCACAGAGAGGTAGTCCCTATGATCTTGTTCACTATTAACAATTGCTGCTGACTATCCTACTGTTTTCAAATGGCCAAGGTGTCATTAAGAGAGTGAGGCAGGGAAAAGGAAGAGGATGTAGACCATGTTGATTAGAGTAAAACAGTTTTATGCACCATTTTTAGCAACCAAAGAGGTACCATGTGAAAAATCAATGTCTGTTGCTAGTGATCTTATCCCAGACTCTGATCTAATTTTGGCAATGTTAGAACAAAGCACATGCTGTCTGTATTGTTATTTGCTTACCCCATTCACTATGACAATACCAAAATACAGATTATGAAATAATTTTCCTTGGCATAGATTTTGAGAAGTATTTTTTCCCTTTTTTTAGTTTCGAGACATTGAGCTTGGGTAACTTCTCAGAAACTGTGCTCCCAGGAGTAGCAGCTTATCTGACTGACACGGGGTCCTAATATCCATTCTCACTCATCCTACCCTGTGGGTACTTCTCGACATAGTAAATCACTCATGGTAGGTGACAAAAAAATCCCAGTCATTTACATCTGTTCAACAAACATTACTGATAGTGTTATGATATTTTTAATATAAAAGTAGTGATGCTGTATTCAGCCAACAGTGAACTTATTACATCTAATGTACTGAAATCCCTTAGCTCCCCCTATAGGAAGGGTTGGATTAAAGTAGCAAGTAAGAGACGACAAATTCACATGCAAGCCCAATTTCATGGCAGAAAATAAAAGTTAAGGAGTCTGTTCTTCTTGTCCAACCATGTAAAACCCAAAATGCCAACTAAGAAGATTGGTCTTATCTTTACAGCTGCCTGATCCACTGAGTAAAAGAAAAGCACACCTTTGCTATTTTGCAGAAGAGGCAATTAAAAAAAAAAATCTCATCTGTTATCACCATTCTGTCTATTCCCCTATTCCCTCTACAGCTCAATATTAGCACTAGCAAAGGGTCTCATTGATGAAGTTAATACCCAGCTTGGGTTTCAGTCTCATTTAAGCCATTGCACTAAATCATTCATTCATTCAATGAACATTATTATGCAACTAATATATTTAAGAAACTCATAATTTCTCCTCTCAATGTTGGCTTTGAAATAGAGAGGTAGACTGGTATACACGTGTTCCAAACTCAGTGAGATAAGAGCTATAATCAAAGTGTGTCTAAGATATGGAATACTGTGGCACACATAGAAAATTGCATAGTCAATTCTCTGTGGTTGAGAAAAATGATAGTTTTAAGTTTCAGTAATATATCTGCTGATTTCTTCATCAAGTCAAACTGATCTGAAGAGCTTTTATATCAATATTTCCTTTGCATTCACACTGCCACCACACTAATTCAGACCATTATTACCAAACACCAAAACTATATAGTCTCTTAAGTGTATTCCATGTTATCTTTCTTTTTCTCAGTACTCAGCAGAACTGTGAGTTTATCTTCTTGTATTATTTTTTAATGTCTCGTTGAATAAAATCACGAATGCCCCATCCACATCATACATAATTTGAATATAGAAATGAGGCTAAATACTTGGACTTCAGAGCTGTTACCATTAATCTAGTTCCCTCTTTTATTATTAAGGGTTCCATCATAATAACCCAATTGTTATAAATCCAATTAAAAAGTTACAATGCAATATTTGCTTAATTCAAAATCAAGAGGTATTACAGCACTCCAAAACACCTCCATGCCCATAGTTTACACCTTTTCCATTACAATTTTTCCCTCCTTGCTAGGGATAACCAGCAATGCTGAGTCTGCTATTAGTCATAATCTTGCCTTTTGTGGCAGACACTTTTGGGCTGTGCGTCACAATTCCTCAGTCCGCCTCTAATTGCAATCACAGCTCTGTTGGACAGTTACCTGTAAGCTCAGTTAATGCTGACAATGCTGCACCTGAAGTGCTTGGCTTGCAATCTCAGCTTTTCTGTTCCAAGAAATTTCCAAGACCACCACATATAGGAAGGGGAGTTATCACCCCAGAGTACAACCCCCTCACAATGGTAAATAGGAGCTGATGGATAAATTCCCCAACCTCCTATTCATCAGACCTAATTCTGGAAGGCATCTGTCCAGCCCTCAGAGATCCTGGTGTAATACAACCTGTTGTCTTTATCAGTGGCCTGGAAAATACACACTTATATTGGTCTGCCTTTTTTTTTCTCAGTCTCCCTGCTTCCTAAGATCTCTTCTTACATAAACAATTTGCCATAAGCCTTTGACTCTTGTTCTGCTTTCAGGAAACCCTAAATGAAAACTTTTAAATAATTTTACCACTTATGAATGCAGTCACAACTGACACATTTACACCATTTTGAACTTCATAAAAATGGAACCACATCATATGAGTTCCATTCTATCTTGTGTCTTTAAATCAATATTATATTTGTGAAATTTGTCAATGTTGTGAGTGTATTTGTGTAGATCAGGTGTGTCCAATCTTTTGGCTTCCTTGGGCCACGTTGGAAGAAGATGAATTTTCTTGGGCCACATGTAAAATACACTAACACTGGCCGGGTGCGATGGCTCACCCCTGTAATCCCAGCACTTTGGGAGGCTGAGGCGGGCAGATCACGAGGTCAAGAGATTTCACCATCCTGGCCAACATGGTGAAACCCCGTCTCTACAAAAAATACAAAAATTAGCTGGGTGTGGTGGCGTGTGCCTGTAGTCCCAGCTACTCGGGAGGCTGAGGCAAGAGAATCACTTGAACTCGGGAGGCGGAGTTTGCAATGATCTGAGATTGTGCCACTGTACTCCAGCCTGGTGACAGAGTGACACTCCATATATAAAAACAAACAAACAAACAAACAAACAAAGAAAACTACCTAACACTAATGATAGCTGATAAGCTAAAAACATCATAACAAAATCTCATGTTTTAAGAAAATTTACGAATTTGTGTTGGGCTGCATTCAAAGCCATCCTGAGCCACATGTGGCCCACAGGCCATAGGTTGGACAAGGTCGGTTTCGATTATTCATTTTTTGTCTGTACAGTGGGGGCATTGGAAAATTTTTCTCTCAGGAATCCAACTATCCCCCCAAAAAACCTTAATGATTATAATATCAGGTGTTTCCTCAACAAAAATAACCAAATTATACCCTCCTACTGAGAAGCCTACATTCAACAAGACTCATGAAATTGCCTACAGCTTGCAATCAGCTCCTTAATGATACACTTGTTAACATAAACAGCCAAACCAAAGATTACTAAACTTTAGGCAAAACTCTAACATGAAAGCAACCCAAAATGGAGGTCATTATGACAACGCAGAGGGTAAAAATTTTACAAAATTCGTTATTATTCAGAAAAATGAAGGAAGATATATCTACAAACAAGAATAAAATTTTATTTTAAAATAACAATAGAAGCAAAAATCCAAATTATCTCTTAAAATTTAAAATATGATGGTAAAAATAGAAAACTTTAAAGAAAACATTAGAAAGTGGAAGGAGAGAGGAAGGAAGTGAGAGAATAGAGAGAGAGAAAGACAGAGAGGTACAGAGAGAGAGAGAGAGAAGAAAAGGAGGCCAAAGAAGAGAAAAATAAACCTAAAGAACTTATTTATGATGTCTAACAGGTGAATAATAAGGATTCAGTGAGGAGGGTATACAAATAAGCAGACAAAATTATCAATGAAATAATTCTAAAAATTATTCCAGAATTGAAGGACCCATGTTTTCAGATCAAGATGCTCCAGCTAGTAACCTGAACAATGGAGAAAAAGGAACTCACAGCAGAACATCTACCTGGAAAATGCAACCACTTTGGGAAAAGGGGAAATACTAAAAGTTTCAGAGAACAGAAGTGTGTCACATACAAAAGACCAACAATGAGAATGGCTTTTAACTTTTCAATATCAGCTCTAGATGTTAAAGACAATAAAAGAAAAATGATTTCCAACTACTAATAATCCAGACAAAGTGTAAATTAAATGTGAAAGTAGGCAATCCAATTGGCCATAGAAGTGGATACCTGAATCTAAATCTCTCCACATAATTTCCAAGAAGGAGGAGGAGAAGGGGAGGAACAGGGAAGAAAAGAAAAAGGAGCTCAAATCAAATGAAACTTGACCCACATTTTCAGCATTACTAAGAGACCAAGAATACTATGAACTTCAATTTCCCTTCATATAAAGACACAAACAATTCCAGCAGATTTTCACTGATTGGGAAAGGTAGGGTAGAAAGCCTTTAAACACTTCGTGTAAAAGAAAAAAAATATCAGGGGACTTTTAAATAAAGCAAAGACAAAATTACCCTTAGAAAGAGAAAAGTCCAAAGCTAAATACCAAAATACTGAACACAGGTCTGGAACTGGAAAGTTCACAGCGACAGCTACAGGGAAGGGGTTTACAACTGAGCGAGTTGGAAATTGGCAACATTGAAGCATTGCTTCTGGGGGAAAGGGAAAAAAATAGAGAAGAGGAAATGCCCGTCATAGACTGTCAGTGAAGTGAAAGCAGGAAGCAAGCAGGAAAAATTAAGGAGCATGCAGAAATAAAAACTATCACAGTACATGTAGACCCTTCTTATTTCCTATCTACCACCACTCATCACCAACAAAATCATCTATTAGTGATATTTAACTTTATTACACTCACTGAAGAGAATATGCTCAACCTAAAAAGCCCATCAAGAAAATGCATAAGAATAGAAGCAAAACAAATTAACCCTATACAATGCTATTGTAAAAAAAAAGATATTACATATCATAAAAAATTTCCACCACAAACAACCACAAAGCAGAAGAAACTATAATATAACCTCAAGTCTTAATTAAATATCTTCAAATAAGCATTTAGATATACATATATAATTTCTAATAAAAAATGCAAAAAGTAAGCACAGAAGTATACAAATAAAGAAAGAAATGCAATGAGTTGATAGATCTCAGGAAAGAAATTACACAGATAAAATATCCCTAAAATGAAGAATAAATTATAAGGTATCCAAAGGAAAATAGATTTAAGTGACACATTACTAAGGAATAAATGCGAGAAAGAAGCCAAGAAAATGAAAATAACATAAAGAACTTTTAAAAGTCAGAGAGAAGGAGGTTGGAATCTAAGGTAGACAAATATTCAATATATGTACACTTAGAATCCCTGAAGAAGAAAAACAAGACAATGAAACAGAGCTAATATTTAAACCAATAATCCAAGAAAATCTAAATCTATACATTGAAAGGGCTTCCTGCGTACCTGGAAAATTTTACTGAGGATAATTGAACTTGAGAAATAGCCTTGCAAAATATCAGACTTTTTAAAACAGAAAGAACAAAAATCCACATGCAGGCCCTCCAGACAAAAAAGAGCAAATTAGGTATAAGAGTAAGACAAGCCAACCATAATTCTCAAGAGCAACTTACAAAGAAAGCCAACAATAGAGTGACATTTTCAAGAAACTTAAATGTTGTGGGAAGTCAGGGACCCTGAACAGAGGGACCAGCTGAAGCCACGGCGGAAGAACATAAATTGTGAAGATTTCATGGATATTTATTAGTTCCCCAAATTAGTACTTTTATAATTTCTTATGCCTGTCTTTACTGCAATCTCTGAACATAAATTGTGAAGATTTCATGGACATTTATCACTTCCCCAATCAATACTCTTGTGATTTCCTATGCCTGTCTTTACTTTAATCTCTTAATCCTGTCATCTTCGTGAGCTGAGGAGGATGTATGTCACCTCAGGTATCTGTGATGATTGTGTTAACTGCACAAATTGTTTGTAGAGCATGAGTGTTTGAACAATATCAAATCTGGGCACCTTAAGAATAGGATAACAAAAATGTTCAGGGAACAAGGGAGATAACCTTAAAGTATGCCTGCCTGTGGGCTGGGTGGAACAGAGCCATATTTGCCTTCTTTCAAAAGCAAATGGGAGAAATATCGCTGAATTCTTTTTCTCAGCAAGAAACATCCCTGAGAAAGAGAATGCGTCCCTAAGGTGAGGCCTCTGAAATGGCCACTTTGGGGACGGCTGTCTTTTACAGTCGTAGATAAGGGATGAAATAAGCCCCGGTCTCCTGTAGTGTTCCCAGGCTTATTAGGACAAGGAAATTCCTTCCTAATAAATTTTGGTCAGACCGGTTGTCTGCTCTCAAACCCTGTCTCCTGATAAGGTGTTATCAGTGACAGTGCGTGCCCAAAACTTCATTAGCAATTTTAATTTTGCCCCGGTCCTGTAGTCCTGTGATCTCGCCCTGCCTCCATTTGCCTTGTGATATTTTACTACCTTGTGAAGCATGTGATCTCTGTGACCCACACCCTATTCATACACTCCTTCCCCTTTTGAAAATCACTAATAAAAACTTGCTGGTTTTAAGGCTCAAGGGGCATCATGGAACCTGCCAACATGCGATGTCTTCCCCGGATACTCAGCTTTAAAATTTCTCTCTTCTGTACTCTTTACCATTATTTCTCAGACCCGCTGACACTTACGGAAAATAGAAAAGAAACTATGTGAAATATCAGGCACTGAATTTCCCCCGATACTTAAAGAAAGCAAAACCCAGAGATTTTATATCTAAGCTGAAATTGAAATATCAAGACTATAACAAAATAGTCTTAAAAGTACAGAAACTTAGGAAATAATGAACCTATAAACCTTTGACAAGAAGTCTTCTAGAGGATGATCTTCATGCAACCAAGAAATAATATTAATAGTAGTAACAAGAAAACATACTGGTAGTGAACATTTAATATGTTTAACTAGAAATCTATGAATAAAACAAAATTGAGAGTATAGGTTAAAAAAATAGCATATAAAATCATAAGTTCTGACAAAGTAGAAAGAATGCATCTATAAAATATGTAGAAAAAATATAAATAGGCCGGGTGCAGTGGCTCACGCCTGTAATCCTAGCACTTTGGGAGGCCGAGGCGGGCAGATCACGAGCTCAGGAGATCGAGACCATCCTGGCTAACACGGTGAAACCCCATCTCTACTAAAAATACAAAAAATTAGCTGGGTGTGGTGGTGCATGCCTGTAATCCCAGCTACTAGGGAGGCTGAGACAGGAGAATGGCGTGAACCTGGGAGGTGGAGCTTGCAGTGAGCCAAGATCGTGCCACTGTACTCCAGCCTAGGCAACAGAGCAAGACTCCATCTCAAAAAAAATTAATTAATTAATTAATTAATTTAATTTAATTTAAAATTAAAAAATTAAAAATAAAAATAAAATATAGGCTAATGAAGAATATAATAAATTGTTGTATAGTTAAAAGAGAAAGTCAAATGATGCCATTTAAAACTATCAAGAGGTTAAATAAGAATGAAAAAAGCAAAACTTTTTTTTTTTGAGACAGGGTCTTGCTCTGCCGCCCAGGCTCACTGCAATCTCCGCCTCCCAAGCTCAAGCAATCCTCCCATCTCAGCCTTCTGAATAGCTGGGACCACAGGCATGGGCCACTATGCCTGGCTAATTTTTGTATTTTTAGTAGAGATGGGGTTTCACTGTGCTGCCTAGTCTGGTCTCAAACTCCTGGTCTCAAGCAATCCTCCTGCCTTGGCCTCCCAAAGTGCTGGGATTATAGGCTTGAGCCACTGTGCCCAGCAGAGAAAAATCTTTTTAATTTTGGGTTAGCCCAAGTGTTTTTAAACACCATTAAAACACAATCCAAAAAATAAATAATTGATAAATTGGACTTCATAAACATTAAAACTTTAGCTCTGTGAAATATCCTGGCAGGAGAATAAAAAGACAAACAACAGACAGAAAACATTTACAAATCACATATCTGAAAAAGAACTTTTATCTAGAATACATGAAGAACAAGAACTCTCAAAACTTGACAGTTTGAAACAACCCAATTAAAATATAGCCAAAAGACCTGAACAGACACTTCACCAAGAAGACATACACACAGCAAGTAAAAACATGAAAAGATATTCAACATTATTAGTTATGAAGGAAGTGCAAATTGAAGCCAAGTACTGAGTAACTGGAACTCTCATATATTGCTGGTGAAAAGGCAAAATTGTTTGGCAAATTGTTTGAAAGTTGCTTGAAAAATTAAACATACATTTACCACATGACCTAGCAAGCCACATCTAGGTATTTACCCTGAAGAAATGAAAAGTTATGTTCACACAAAGACTTATGTATAAATGTTTATAGTAGAATTATTCATAATCACTAGAAACTGGAAACAACCCAAATGTTTTTCAATGAATACATGAATTTTTAAAAATTGTGGATGGAATGCTATTGGGCCATAAAAAAGAGTAAAATCCTCTCATTCATGGCAACACAGATGGAACTTTAGAACTCTATGTTAACTGAAATAAGCCAGGAACATAAAGTTAAACACCACATGTTCTCACTCGTATGTGGAAACTAAAAAAAGTTTATCTCATAGAAGTAAAAAGCTCAGTAGAAGTTATTAGAGGCTGGAAAGTGTAGGGAGAATGGGGACAGGAAGAGATTTGTTAAAGGACACAAAATTTCAGCTAAATAGGAGGAACAAGTTCTAGTGTTTTATAGCACTGTAGGATGACTATAGTTAATAACACTATATATTTTCAAATAGCTAGAAGAAAGGATACTGAATGTTCCCAACACAGAAAAATGATAAATGTTTGAGATAACAATATGCTAATTACCTTGATCTCATCACTACCCATTGTATGTATCAAAACATCACTATGTACCCCATAAATATGTACAATTATCATATGTTAACTAAAATAAATAATTTCAAATTGCAGTCTATCTATATAATGGAATATAAAAAAGCAATGAACTATTGATACATACAAAAACATGAATAAAGCGCAAATGCATTATATAAGTGAAAGAAGTGAATTTCAAAAGATTACATACTGTATGATTCCATTTATAAGATGTTCTGTAAAAACCAAACAGTACGATACAGTCACCTACAGGTCATAGTGTTATCAGAATCAATAGGTACCAGAGTTTATGGACAAAAGGAGGAATTGACTTCAAAAGGGACTTTTGAAGAAATGTTTTGAGGTGATAAAACTGTGTCCTGACTGTAGCGATGATTATATGGATCAACATATGTTAAAAGTCACAGAACTATACATCAAAAAAGTTAAGCTGTCTGTAGATAACTTTAAAATATTTTATAGGAAATTGTAAATTAAAAGAACCTAAAAATACATAATTAATTGCAATGCATAAACCTAGATTGGACATTGTTGTTGTTTTTCTTTTTAGCAAAATAGTAAAAAGCCTTTTGGTGATAACTGTGAAAATTTGAATTGAACCTGACACTAGATTTTCATAGGTGTGTAAGGGTACTATGTTTTTGTAATAAATTACGATCACTTTGGGGAGATCTATGTTGACATATTTTGGTGTAAATTTCACAATGTCTACTTATCTTCACATGGAAAAGCAAAAAAAAAAGTGAATATATACGTTTGTAGATGTATGAAACCTAGGTAGATGCAGGTAACTATTTTAGTATTTTTTCAAATATTTGTGTTTGAACAATTTTATAGTAAAAAGTTTAAGAAAAACATATCACAAACAAGTCAAAAAGCAGTTCATTTTGAGAGTGTACAAAAGCTTAGTCATGTAACAAAAAATTACATTTTATAAATTTCTGCTTATATAACATCTATGGAATGAAGCAATAATGATCTTCAATGAAAAAAGAGGTGTACTGGAAGGATGGGGACCAGGTTTATTCATCTCTAGTAAGGTGTGAATAAGAGGAAATACAGGGTGCATTGCATGGTTTGCTCACATTCACTTCTAGGAATCTTCCTACTTCTCAAGCTGAGTTGACTTTTGTGGTTGAGTGGTATGATGAAGGCCCAAGTGAGGCAAACAGTATAAGGAGGAAGGAAATGTGTTAACCTATCATACTTTCAGTAAACACCAATGCTTCCAAGCTAATTAGGTCTTGTGTGCCAATGCACGTACTTTCATTCAGCTCTTCATTCTGTGATATGCTTGTGACACCAATCTGTACTGTCAGTTCTCTTCTCAGCTGATGAATAGAGTGGTATGGAATGAAATGGAATGAAAAAGAAAGGAAAGGGGAGGGAAAGGGAGAGGAGTGGGGGAGAAGAGAAAGGAGAGGAGAGAAAGGGAAAGGGGAAATGAAAGAAAAGAAAAAGAGTAGAACTTCCTTGGGTGATTTCACAGAAACTCAGACACAATTTAATTGAGTAAATGCCTTTTATTTTCAATGCTATCACTTTAAAACAGTTATAATTTTTTCTTACCTGTGAAGTGGGCATACCCATAGCATCTACCTTATCAGGTTGTTGTAAAGGTTATGATTTATACAAAAGTGTTTACTAAAGTGCTTGGCATTTATATAAGTTCTCCTATTATATAACATCTCCATAAAATTACATAACATCTCCTATTAAACATTTAGGAGATGTTAGTTGAGCTGTTGTTATTAAGATTGTGGCAAAGAACTTGAGCTAGGGTAAGATAGGTCTAGCTTTATTAATAGATTCAATCATTCAGGTCTGAAGGAGTAAAAATGAGGCCTGACGCTCCCAGGCACCCACATTATAGCTCTATCAGCACTCGATGAGGTCTTCTGTCCACTAGACCTGTCAACTGGACATAACGAAAAAGAAAAGAACTGTAATTATAACAACCCTCATTTATCAGGCTCTTCTATCTGCCATGAACTCTTTCAAGGGCTTTACTTGTATTAAATTATTTAAAACTTACAGGTCTTATAAAATATAATTAAATCCTATTTGAAGGATTTTATAGATGAGGAAACAGGGGCAGACAGCTTAAGCAACTTGCCTAAAGTCATGGTCATACTTAGTGGCATAGCCTGGGCCCCAGAGTTCATGTTGGTAACTAGAACTAGACTCTCAGGTTCACAATGGTTTCAATTCCACCTTAAGTTCCTAGGTGTCAAGGGAGTGTGGAATGAGAATTTTCTCACTATGTCTTTGAAGAGGCCACTTGTCTCTTGCAAAATTTCCTAAGAATTGGCCTCCTAAGTGCAGACCCAAGACATTTCCTGGAGTCCCAAGTGACAGGGCTCATGGGCTGCCAGCTTCATCAACAGCAGCCCTGCAGATGCTAACTATTTATACTTTGCCACAGCTTGGAGCTACTTATCAGTGGGGAGTGTGACTGGAAAGCTTCAAGGTAAATACAGTCACTAACACATAGTGCTTAAGAATGTAGATTCAAGGTCAAACAAGCACAAATCTCCAGATCTGCCATTTGATAGAAACGGCAAGTACTTAACCCTTTTAACCTCAATGTTTTTATCTGTGAAGTGGGGGTAAGAAAGACAGCTACATGATAAGGCTGCTCTAAATGTGATCATCATAATGACAATAATAATTAAATAATGCACATAAAATGCTTACCACCAGCCTGAAACTGCTCAATAAGGACTATTATTTTCATGATTAAGGTTTTTATCTCCCTTCAACAAAGTAAGCATCAAAGGAACATGCCTCCAAATAATGATAAAACCCATCTATGACAAACCCACAGCCAATATCATACTGAACAGACAAAAGCTTCAAAAATTCCTCTTGAGAACTGGGACAAGACAGGGATGACCACTCTCACTACTCCTATTCAACACAATACTGGAAGTTCTAGCCAGAGCAATCAGGCAAGAGAAACAAATAAAAGGCATCCACATAGGAAAAGAAGAAGTCAAACTACCTCTCTTCACAGGTAATATTATTCTATACCTACAGAACCCTAAAGATCAACCCAAACAGCTCCTGGAACTGATAAACTACTTCAGTAATATTTCAAGATGTACAAAAATCAGTAGAATTTCTACACACCAATAACGTTCAAGCTGAGAGCCAAAACAAGAATGCAATCCCATTTACAATGCCACACAAAAAAAATGAAACTACCTAGGAATACACCTAACAAAGAAGGTAAAAGATCTCTACGAAGAGAACTGCAAAAGCACTACTGAAAGAAATAACAGATGACATAAATAAATGGAAAAACATGCTATGCTCATGGATTGGAAGACTCAATATCAGTAAAATGGCCATAATCCCCATGTGTCACAGGAGGGACCAAGTGGGAGGTAATTGAATCATGGGGGCAGTTTCCCCTATGCCATACCACCCAAAGCAATCTACAGATTCAATGCTACTCTATCAAACTATCAACATTATTTTTCAAGGAATTAGAAAAAAACTATTTTAAAATTCATATAGAACCAAAAAAGAGCCCAAATAGCCTAAGCCATCCTAAGCAAAAAGAACAAAGCTGGAGGCATCACATTATCCAACTTCATACTATGCTATCAGGCCACAGTAACCAAAACAGCATGGTACTGGTACAAAAACAAGACACATAGACCAAAGCAACAGAACAAAGAACGCAGAAACAAGGATGCACACCAACAGGCACCTGAAATTCAACAAAGTCAACAAAAATAAGCAATGGGGAAAGAACTATTCCATAAATGGTGCTGGGATAGACTGCTAGCCATATGCTGAAGAATAAAACTGGACCTCTGCCTTTCACCATGTACAAAAATTTACTCAAGATGGATTAAAGATTTAAATGTAAGACTTCAAACTCTAAGAATCCTAGAAGAAAACCTAGGAAACACCATTCTGGACATCGACCTTAAGAAAGGATTTATGACTAAGTTCTCAAAAGCAATTGCAACAAAAACAAAAACTGAAAAGTGAGACCTAATTAAAAACTAAAGAGCTTCTGCGCAGCAAAAGAAACTCAATAAAATAAACAGACAACCTACACAATGGGAGAAAATATTTACAAACTCTCACAAAAGTCTAATATCCAGAATCTATAAGGAACTTAAACAATTGAACAAACAAAAAACAAATAAACCTATTAAAAAGTGGGCAAAAGACATGAACAGACACTTCTCAAAAGAAGGCATACAAGCAGCCAACAAACACGTGAATAAATGCTCCACATCACTAATTATCAGGAAAATGCAAATCAAAACCACAGTGAGATACCATCTACACCAATCAGAATGGCTATTATCAAAAAGTCAGAAAATAACAGAATAATAACAAGTAACAAATGCTGGCAAATAACAAATAACAAATGCTGGCAAGGCTGCAGAGGGAAAAAGGGAACACTTACACACTGTTGGTGGGAATGAAAATTAGTTCAACCACCATGGAAGGCAGTTTTGGGATTTCTCAAAGAAATTAAAACAGAACTGCCATTGACCTAGCATTCCCATTACTGGGTATATATCTGATATGGTTTGGCTGTGTCCCCACCCAAATCTCATCTTGAATTGTAGTCTCCATAATCCCCATGTGTCACAGGAGGGACCAAGTGGGAGGTAACTGAATCATGGGGGCAGTTTCCCCTATGCTATTCTCAAGATAGTAAGTTCTCACGCAATCTGATGGTTCTATATGGGGCTTCCCTCTTCGCTAGGTTCTCATATTTCTCCTTCCTGCTATCATGTGAAGAAGGACGCGTTTGCTTCCCTTTCTGCCATGACTGTAAGTGTCCTAAGGCCTCCTCAGCCACGCTGAACTGTGAGTCAATTAAACCTCTTTCCTTTTTAAATTACCCAGTCTTGGGTATGTCTTTATTAGCAGCATGAGAATGGACTCATACAATATCCAAAAGAAAATAAGTTGTTCTATGAAAAAGACACTCATGTTCATCACAGAGCTATTCACAATAGCAAAGATATGGAATCAATCCAGGTGCCCATCAATGGTGGATTGGATTAAAAAAAGTGGTACATATATGCCATGGAATACTAAGCAGCCATAACAAAGAGTAAAATCACATCCTTCACAGCAACATGAATGCAGCTGGAGGCCATTATCCTAAGTGAATTAATGCAGGAACAGAAAACCAAATACTGTATGTTCTCACTTAGAGTGGGAACCAACCATTGGGTACCCATAGACATAAAGACGGCAATAACAGACACTGGAAACTACTAGAGGAGGGCAGGAGGGGAGCATAGGTTGAAAAACTATTGGGTACTATGCTCACTACCTGGGTGATGGGATCCAACACACCCCAAACATTAGCATCATGCAATATGCCTATGTAACAAACCTGCACATGTACATCTTGAATCTAAAATAAAAGTTGAAATTATAAAAAATTGTATCTCGTTTTAGTTTCTTGCTATAACTATCTTTCTCTCCCACTTAACCTTATTTTAAGTGTGTTGCATGACACTGGGTTTAATATGATAAATCGCCTCAATTCAGTCCTTTTTACAAGTTAAATAGGATTCAAGTAATTTAAAATTAGGTAGGTTTGTTGCTAGTGATAGAAAAACATGTTTCCAGCAATGGGTAATGTGTTATTATAAGTATATATCGGAGGAAGAGTTGCGCAAAAGATAAAGGAAGCGGAAAACCCAATAACTCAGTCTTACCTTGCCATATAGAAACAAAAATGGTTGCTCAACAGCTGCAGGAAACTCAGCAACAAAATTCAAATATCTCTGTCAATAACAAGACTTAGTTTTCCTCTCCATCTCTACTTTTTGTGTGTTCCTCCTCTCTTCTCATACTACTTTCAGCAGCATCCTCATTTTCTACCCTATGTCTTTTACTCACCTACGCTTCTGTTCATTTATGGTTTCTGCCATCCTCTACTTTTGTCTTATATATGGTCATCATAGTCTGACTCTGACCATTTCTGCTGACTTTAGCTTTAGCTTCCACTGCTAACTGATATCCATCTGGATGTTCTACTTCAAACTGGTGATATAGAGATGCTGATTGACCTAGATCTTCTTTTCATACCGGAACATGTCAATCATAGGCCACTAACCGTTAGTCTATGCATTGACTGCACTGGTTAGTTTCCCACCTTTGGTCTAATTAGTTGTGTTGCAATAGGTAGCGTCATATGGTACAAATAATTGAGCCTACTACTGTCCCTTCAGCAAGATCCCTGATGTATCAATTATTAATATCTTATAGGTCCCAGTGAGTATGACAAGGTACTATGCCCTTATGGACTTAAGATTTTAGAATCTTAGAAATGGTCCAGGCTATGGAGGCATTCATACCAGAAAAAAACTACTCTTTAAACCCATTGTCAAGGTGACTTTTAATGAATAATTTTTACTTTGTTTCTGTTAGAAAGACTGATGCATCCACTCTTTCTGACAAATTTCCTGACTCACAATGTTAAGAATATCCTCATATTTGTATAGTTTTACTTTGTCAAAATTAGTTTCAGCAGCATATGAAAGAAAAGCCAACTTAACAAAGGCTTAAACACAAAAGGCATTATTCTGTCCTATAAAGAAAATATGAAGGCTAGCAGTCCAATGCTGACTTAGCAGATCCACAAATTCATCAGTGTTTTTGTTTTATTTTTATTTTTTTATTTTTTGAGACGGAGTCTAGCGCTGTTGCCCAGGCTGGAGTGCAATGGTGTGATCCCCACTCACTGCAAGCTCCGCCTCCAGGGTTCACACCATTCTCCTGCCTCAGCCTCCCGAGTAGGTGGGACTGCAGGCACCCGCCACCATGCCTGGCTAATATTTTGTATTTTTAGTAGAGACGGGGTTTCACTGTGTTAGCCAGGATGGTCTCGATCTCCTGACCTCGTGATCTGCCCGCCTCGGCCTCCCAAAGTGCTGAGATTGCAGGCGTGAGCCACCGCACCTGGCCAAATTCATCAGTGTTTTGCCTTGTGCAATTTTTCATTCCAATATCCCTACAGTGAGGAGCCTCATCTCCACCATCCAAAATAGCAACTAGAGTGTCAGCCATTACACCCATGTTCCAGTAAGCAGGATTGACGAGAAAAAAAGGAAGAATCTGAATCTTTCCTTTTAAAAAGTATAATACAATACTGCCTCTTACCGCTTATTTGTCAGACTTTGTGACATAGCTGCACAAGGATGCAAGGGACGCTGGGAAATATAATCATTTAGCTGAGTCAATAGGCCCTTAAAGTGAATTTGCAGTTTTATGTTGGAGAAGGAGAAGAACAATGGATTTCTTGAGATAATCAGTGGTCTTTGTGATAGCCTGCGCTTTGGGTTATTCAACTCCTTCCATGTGCATTCCTCTCCTACAAAAAGAACACGCTTCCTCTCCAGCAGAGATGAACCAAAGTCACCCCCAGTTACTGCATCTAGCTCAAAGTCCAGGATCTCTGGGTGATGTACAGTTCTCTCCGTCAGGTCAAAATGTTGGCTGTCATAACCCGGTGATCTGATTACTGAGAAAATCCTGCCTGAGGCAAACTTGCTACACTGTGGCAGAAAAGGAACAGCAAAACAGTAATAAAGCCTCCCAGATGGAAATGAGAAGGATGACCAACACAGCACACTCACTGGCTGAAGCAATTATAAAATCCATCTGGGTAGAGTTGAAAGATGCCCAGCCCTAGCAGTGAGGTTGGTTCCTTGGTTTACCCTTCTTGTAGCCTCTGGTTCTGCCTTCTGGGAAAGCATTCTTAGCCATTTTCTGTAACCCTTTGGCCTTTTCTCCTGGGGGACTTCTCTATGTCCACTATCAGCTATGGACATAGTGAACTAGGTTCTGGAGTGAATGGCCTACTGGGGACAAGCACAGCTTTCACAGCTGCCTTCCAACTGGGACCCAAAGCCCACTCAAAAGGTTTAATTGTCACAGGGCACTGTAGATCAAGTTTGGGGTCTCTTTGCCAATGTTATTCTTCAAATCTTAGTAGGCTTCTATTTGTTTCCAGTCAGTTCCACATACAAATAACCAAGATCTTGTGTGTACTAAGTTTTTCAGCCTGGCAACTCTCATTTTTATTTGCTGTCTTCTCTTCATTATCTATTGCCCTCTCTCTCAAATGAGCGGGAGCCACTAAGACACTATTTGATAAAACAGGCTTGGATGGGAAAATAAGAACCCTAAGCTAATACTTTCAATCTAGTTCCCATTGTCTGCAGAGAGCTCTTGCTATAAGCTTGCTTGCTATAGCTCTTGCTAGAAGCTCTTGCTGGCACTGTATTACCTCCTACTAAGGAGGGCTACTTAGTTTCCATCACCTATAAGTGCTCTGATTTGAGCTACGGGAAAATAAGGCTTTTTCAAAATTTCAGCACCTCAAATTACAGGACACACAAGCAATTTATGCCACAGGATACTCTCAGAGACAGCCTCTGTAAAAAACGATGTGTTTCCTGTCTGGCGTACTGTAGTCCGAGCTCCTCTCTCACTCCTTCAGGACTTTGCTAAAAATGGCAAAAGGTACACAACACCCACCAACATTCTGATGTTTTCCTACCATTTCCCTCCCTTTTGCTTTCACTCTAATTCACATGCGGTTTGACTTCCAAAGGATAAAACGTGAGCATGTGACCAGATATTTTCCTATGCCATATTAAGAGTTATTTGTTGTCCAGCCTTTGTTATCTGAGTACCCACTACCTAAATGCCTCCACACGGCTAGGCCAGCCCACATGTTGTTGAGTTCTGTTATTGCACCCCACCTCCAGATGCCAAATTCTGTATTTGTTAGGATTCAGTTTGTGTACAAATAAAACATCCCAACGTAACAGAGTCTAAACAAGATAGGGTTTGTTTTTCTCTCATATAAAAGAATTTTCGGCCGAGCGCAGTGGCTCATGCCTGTAATCCCAGCACTTTGGGAGGCCGAGGCAGGTGGATCACCTGAGGTCAGGAGTCCAAGACCAGCCTGGCCAACATAGTGAAACCCCATCTCTACTAAAAATACAAAAAAATTAGCCAGGCGTGGTGGCGGGCGCCTATAATCCCAGCTACCTGGGAGGGTGAGGCAGGAGAAGTGCTTGAACCCAGGAGGCGGAGGTTGCAGTGAGCCAAAATTGCGCCACTGCACTCCATCCTGGGCAACAAGAGTGAAACTCCGTCTCAAAAATGGAAAGAAAGGAAAGGAGAGGAGAGGAGAGGAGAGAAGAAAGGAAAGAAAGAAATTTCTGGGGGCAAATATGCTAGGAATCCCCCCAGAGCAAGGAATAAGCATGCTTACTGTTCAGTCTACAAAAAATAATATCCCTCTGCAGAGCAAGGCCAGGCCTTCTGATTTGCCCATTATAAAACACTTTGGTTCCTAGATTTTGGGTTCATCTCATGTAATGCAATTCACTGCTTGTATCTGGCCCTCTTCATGTCGCCCTGTGGGAACTGGAGTTCAAGGGAACACTATAAATGCTGCTACTTAGCAACTGTGGCTGCTATGAGTAACACAGCCTCGTGTTTCTGACCCAGGAGTTGCGTGTCTTCCTTCAGCATCCATAGAACTGTGAGAGGCTAATTTCTTAGCTTAGCACCAATTATTAGGGCGAAATCTCAGACCCATCCCAGTTCTCGTTGGATAAAATAGATAATAAATATTAGTTCTGTTTCCAGGGTGAAAATTATGCTCAGGGAAGTAGTCCGAGTCACCTAAAATCACATAACTTATGAAATTTCTTCTCACCCTCATCCAGCATACATTGCCCCACCCATAGTTGCTTCTGTGGAACCAGAAAATAGTTTTGGTGAAAGTTGTGGAAAGTGGCTATTTGTCTTAGAAGCAGGTCCTGATACTAGGATGAGGCAAAACTGTCTCTCAAGGTGCAAAATGTATCCAGGCACTCAAACTCAGATGCTCAGCCTGCACTTACATGAGGCTGAGAACAAATGCCTCCTTAAATACTATGCCCTACGACATTATGCCAGGAGAAATAAAGCAGCCACAGAAGGACAAATACTGCATGATTCCATTTATATGAGGTATCTGAAACAGCCAAACTCATAGAGGCTGAGAGTAGAATGGTGGCTGTCAGGGGCTGAGGATTAGGGGAAAGAAGAGTTGTTGTTCAACAGATACAAAGTTTCAGTTACGCAAGATGAAAACTTCTAGAGATATGCCGTCCAACGTTGTGCCTATGATTAACAATATTGTATCATACACTTAAAAATTAAGAGGGTAGATCTCAGGTTAAGTGCTTTTACCACTACTATCAGACACACACACACACACACACACACACACACACACACACACAGGCTGACAGCCTCACTTAATCCTGGCCCTGCTTAGGAGTCTTCCAATCCAGTACTTTTTATGTCTTTAGATGGATTTCCTTCTCACCTACAAATATCCTTACGTTTTCCAACCCCACCATATCTGTCCTCAAAATCTGTAATTTGAAACAAATCTAAAACATATTCACCCAGTATAAAATAACTGCCAACCACTTAACACTATACTCCCAGCACTGTTCAATACTGAAAGTAAGCTTTTGCCAAAGAAGGAGCAGTAAGAGTAGAATCTCAAGGATTCTAACTAGAATTCTACGCTTCATGTGAAATACCTGAAAGAGAATTTATGGTTGGGAGGGACACTGATAAAATACTTTTATGACACATAAAAATCAGACCACTCCATATTACCAGATACCAATACCATGTTTATCCCTTAAATCTAGAATCCAATATATCAAGGTTATTAATAGCAAAAAGAATTTTTTAAAGAAATCTTAACAATTAATTTCAGAAGCAGAGATGACCTTATTTGTCCTTTTAAAAATGGATACAAGTGAAGGTTGAAAAGGCACTTCTATTCACAGTCATTCTCCCTTTGGTCCAGCCACGGGAAGAAATGAAAGGATTCTCCATCAGCCAGATGGTGTGAGCGAGAAGTCAAGTGAAGACAAACCTTCGATTCTCCCTCTGCCTGGAAGCTGCTGGCATCTCCGTCCAAGTGCTGAACAAATGGGACTTTGTGTGCTCTCATGAGCGATCTCTTTGATGTTCTGGCATCCCGATTGGCAGCTTTTCATATCTGGCCATCTTAGAGCAGGGGAGATTGAGAAACAGAGAGAGGAAGAACCAGGGAAAGAAGTCTGGCTCCAAGCCCAGTGGGTAAACATGCTGGCTGCCTTCTCACACAGATTACTTTTCAAAAATGAAAAGGGAGTGTCCAGCTTCGTTTGGAATAAAGATGAGGAAATGACTCTCAGCTGTCCACACACAACAAAACAACCAACCACTACAGAGTAGGGGAGCCTTCCATCCAAGGTAGACCAGATGGGATTTGTCTCCCAGACCCAGAATATATGTTCCCCTTCAAGAATGTTTATACTGATAGTATCCTGAGGTTGGGGACATTTTAATGAGATCCATAGTCCTTACTTTCTGCAAAGAATACACAGTCACAAACTTTCCTTCAGGACAAGAGCAGCTTTGCTTTCCTGAGTGCTTTCTAAATCTAATTATATAGATGGAGGCTGTGTGGCCTTTTGTTTTGAGTTCAGAATTATGGGTTTGAAAGTCTGAGGTCCAATTGTAGTTTTATACCTAACTTCTTGTGTGGCCCTTCACAAGCAATTATTTCCTGTCTTATTTTTCTGAACTGTTGATGGGATTAAGCTGGTAATAGTGGAGGGGGAAGGGGTTTATATCTAGTTTTAAATTCTTAGAATTGATTTCAAGACAACAAATTATCAAGCATCTACTCTCAACTTAGTAGTGGGCTAATAGAAAGAAGAAAAATATATAGAAGAAAACTATAGGGACTCTGTATTCAAGAACCTTGTAAATGACTTGACAAAACTTAAGTATCATACATAAGCAAGGCAGTATCCAGTCCAATATATATAATTGGATAACATTAGCTATAAATACTGTAATAATTAGAAAAAAATTAACACATTACTATTAGTGGGGTTATTTGGCATAGGTTTATAAAACAGAATAAATTTCAGATTAACTGTAAGAAGAAAGAAATAATGTATTGACTTGTAAAGAGGAGAGGCAGTCAAAAAAAATCATTCCATCTTTTAGATAAAAAATGAGCACCAAATGGCTTTATCATGGTTAACATCGAGGTTAACCAAAATATGATCTGATTATCCTGAGTAGTTTGGAGACCTATTAAATTAAAAACAAATGCTTATGAAGAGATACTTTGCCAAATTTCTAGTGAGATTATAGCAGGATTACCACAAGGTAAGTGACTTTTTAAGATATTGAGCCACTGTATCTGGTCCCCTGACTCCTAACATCATCCCAAAGTATTTTTTTACCTACTGTTTCTTCATATTTGTATTTTCTGTTTCCCAAAATGACAGTGTGTTTAAGCTTTGCTTAAAAGGCTTAAAGTTGTATGCCTTAAGTTTATACAATAAAAAATCAATTTTAAAAAAAGGTCATTGAAAGTCTCTTTATGTGAAAGATGTAGCAATAATATGACATTTCTCCCATTTTCTTATAACTTTTCTAGAAACTAACACACATCCTTACTTTGTATAGTTGTATGCCTTGTTTGTGAGAAGTCTTTTTCTTCTAAAATTCTTAGGACTTCACCAAATTTGCAGTGTTCCCACTCATGTCATCTGTGCCAGTCATGTTTTCATTTTCAACACATTGTACATACACGGACACACATACCATATTCACTTGCCACAAATAAGTTTTAAGTTTAACACATCTTAAAAGAGCTTTCAATGGAATCAAAAGGAAAGTTAAAGAAAGCATAAAGCCTATTCAATTTGATTGTCTCATCATCTCTCTGTATAGATACTACTCTAATTTCTTCTAAATATGTAGTATATGATCCAGGACCTGTTATTAAAACTGGATAAGGCAAAACATAAAAATAAAAATAAACTGGATAAGGCAAAACACAAGCCTAGAATAAAGTGACCTGCATTTACACTCACAGATCTGCTAATGATTACATATCCTAAAAGTAACCTCTGAGAATATGCAAT
This sequence comes from Homo sapiens, assembly GCF_000001405.40. NCBI lineage: Eukaryota > Metazoa > Chordata > Mammalia > Primates > Hominidae > Homo > Homo sapiens. The sequence continues at coordinate 16,988,222 of NC_000007.14, read as the reverse complement.
CATTATGTGCTCTAGAGATGCAGCTATTCTAAAAGAGAGGAGAGAGAGAAGAGACCTTATAAAATGAAGTCCATAAGTTTAATCTTCAAAGTTAAATTTTATTTTATTTAAATAGAAGTGAAACTCAACACTGGAGCTATTTATCATAGTGATCAACCTGTAACTAACTAATTTTTTAGAGACATCTGTAGTACCATTAAGGAGTCCTGTCAACTCTCTCTGACACTTGACACTCTCTCTTGACAACGTCTTACCCTAAAGCAGAAGATGGTAAACCAACTCACCAGTGTAAAAGATAATATTTGTTTGGAGTCATAGGCAATTTTTAAGAGAGACAGCAATAAAGAATGTTTTCTAATTTAAAATTGACATGGTTATTTCCAGACAAGACAGAGCAAGAGGGACTAAATTTATCCCCTCCCATGAAACAACTAAAAATATGGACGTAATATATGAAACTGTGATTTCCAGACATTGGACATCAGGCAGCATAGGACAGTGACCCAAGAGACAGGAAACAAAAAAAAAAGAAGTGAAGTCCCTGTCATTGACCCCGCTTTCTACCTGGAGAGAGTTTCTGGGCCACAGTTCGGGGAATAGAAACCCAGGAGGAGACTGGTAGAGTCCCAGAGCTGAGGAAACAGAGCTGGGAGGCCAAGACAGCTAGAGTTCATAGGCAGATTCCCAAAAGAAAGCCACACACAAGGGTGTGCAGAGGGTCCCTTTTGAGCCTTCAGCTGAATTCTGATCAGCACACAACTGAGGAGAAACTATGCAAGTCTAGCAAAAGAAGCCCCTCCGGGATCAATATTTGAAGATCACACGGGGACAGGTATAGACTGGGTTCCCACCAGCCCAAGTGGAGAAACTTCATAAGTCACAGGACATCAAATTGAGCATTCAGAAGGATATCACCTCAAGAGGCAGACAAATTAGCTCTAGGCTAAGGGCTGTTCTAATCCCACCTAACAAAACTTAAAATTTACAAGGTTGAGATCATTTATTTCTCATCCTTGGGGAGAACTATCTTTGAGAATCATCTGGTTCTTCAATCAATATTCGTTAAGTATTTAAAGATTGAATAGAGATTTTGACTTTGTCCAAATTTCAGCTCTGATTCCTGTTATACCCGTGCAAAGGAGGATATGGTGAGAATAGCACAGATGTGGAATAAAGTTTGAAGTTTTTTTCCATTTAGCAGGAGATGAATCCAACTCTCTGGATAAAGTCATAGGACCTAATGTCCCCATAAGTTCAACTTGTGATGGCAACATTGTAAACTGTGTACTTCCTCATTTTGAAAGGACAATGTACCCATTGTTCAGTAGTATTATTACATGGTTCTTATGCAATTATCCACATAATATAATTAAGGCACTATATATATATATATACACTATATATATATATAAAATATATATATACTATATACTATATATATATATAATAATATATATATATAATATAACAGAGACCATGCTGTTGATCTTTCCACCCATGACATTTGCTTACAGCTCAATTCACTATTAATGAAACCATGAATTTAATAAACTTAGTAATGTTGCCATCAGATTTGGAAGCTTGGTTTCTGAGGTTGGTCTCATAAACCTTTTGCTGAACAGAAATTTTTTTTTAATTGGAGGATTTCATAGTCTTATTTGGAAAACAAAAAACAAACAAAAAGTTGTGAATTCACTTAGGATTTCCCACCTGTTCTGATAAAAAATTATATATTCCTCAGAAAAACCCTAATGACAAAAATGCTAAATTGTTCACACTTGCCACCTCCAGCAAGCATGGAAGGGTGCAAGATCCTGTAGCAACATGGCTGCTATTCTTTGATTTCTGAACCCAGTTGCTATGGCCATAGAGTAACTTCTGACTTCTCTGTTAGTAGATTCTATTTTGAGAGACTTCTTGAGAAGTGGTTGGCTGTAAGATTTCAGGGGCTGCCTGGGTAATATTGGAGCCAGGTGCTTCTCTTCCCTGCCCTCTCACTACTGGTAATTGCTTAGCCCCCCTCACTGAGGTTTTACACAGATGACAACAAGCCTTTGGATGAAAACATATTCTTCTTTGTTATCTTTAACTCATAGTTATCCTTAGCTTAGGAGAAGTCACCGGGATGACTCTGACCATTATCCAATGGGGAAAACCACAACTTCTTGTGTCATTCCTGAATTCAACCATAAGCCAGATAAAGGCCAAATACAAGGAATATAGGAGGAAAAATCCAGAGATCACCTCTCTCTGGCTTCAGTCCATTTCAGCCCTTATTGAGTGTCTACCACTTTGAGAGTCAATGCAGGGAGGGAAGAATGAATTAGAGTCTGTTTACCCTTATCTGATATGGGCTCTGAAATGTTACTCACACCTGGGTACCTGTTCACAATGCTGGAAAGGTCTGTCTCCTTTTTCCTAGGTGATGCAACTAGCCCTTTTTCTTGCAAAAGGAGAGGCTCATATTAACTCATATCTAGTTAAGAATTCATTCCAAGAACATGAGATAAAAGGAAAAGTTGAGATCGATTCATCAAGCCCAGAGTTTAGAAGAAATTTCCAATTGATTTGAGTTTCTTTCACAGGTAGTTTTGTTTTGTTTATTGTTTTTTGTTTTGTTTTGTTTTTTGAGACGGAGTCTCACTGTTACCAGGCTGGAGTACAGTGGCGTGATCTAGGCTCACTGCAACCTCCTCCTCCAGGGTTCAAGTGATTCTCCTGCCTCAGCCTCCCAAGTAGCTGGTACTACAGGTGGCACACACCACCACGCCCAGCTAATTTTTGTATTTTTAGTAGAGACGGAGTTTCACCATGTTGGCCAGCCTGGTCTCGATCTCTTGACCTCATGATCCACCTGCCTCAGCCTCCCAAAGTGCTGGATTACAGGTGTGAGCCATGCCACCCAGCCCATAGGTAGGTTTTTTAAATGTATTTTTAAAAATCTGAGATTCTTTATAGCATAGTACCTTTTATAGTAAAGAAACTTTTATCTGAAGTGTAGCATTTTCTTCAGTTCCTTTCATTTCTTTCTTCTGTTAAATTGTAGTAAAATTAAATGTAAACTCATTATTTTAAAATAGCACTATAGTATGATCACATTTTTATAGCAAAGTCTCTGCCCATCTGCCGACCCAACTACCCAAATATATATATATATTTTTTTTTACATCTTCAAACTTGAATAGGGTTTTGGGTTTTCCTTGGTTTTTTATTTAGGATGATTTTTATTTATTTATTGATACCTTGCTATTCTCAAATTTCTATTCAAAATACAGCTGTTTCATTTTTTAAAGACAAGCAAAAAAAAAAGTAAAATTTTAAAAAATCCTTGTAAAGACATCAAACTATTTAAGGACTCTTTAGAAAATGTGTCCCTAGATTGCTGGTTCAAGGGCTGCAATATTGAGTGTAGATGTGGGTCTCTAGAAAGGTAAAACTAGCATAAAACCATTTTGAGAGAAGCGGCCACCCTCTCTTCAGATTACATCATTACACTTAGCACACACCAGTCTCAAACATGAGGACTCTCAGGCATTACCCCGTAACTACTGTCAAGCAATCTTTTCTATACATGGCCTAGACTATGATCCTAGCTTTTCCCTTTTAAAGTCCCCTCCACAAATAAAAACAAAAGGCTTTGTACACTACCCACTTATTAATTCCTACATGTCAAACAACAGTTTACTGTCCTAAATGCATGATGAATTAATCTCACAAGACACTGGGTAGCTGTGTCAAGCCTATTGCTATGGCACCCAAGAGACAAAGATTTCTGAGGTTGTCAGTGGTAATGGATATAGCAACAAATAGAAAGCACTTTAGTACTATACTGAGACTTTGAGACAACCAATAGAAAAAGCAGTTAGAAATTCAGACAAGCCTGGAAGCAAGGTGAAGAAATCCTGAGAGAACTATGTAGAAAAACAGAGACTATAATTACAGAATAAAAGGGCTTTTTTTCTGGATCATATTTTATTACCACCCCAAATGAAGCTCATAAAAATACAGAAATTTAGAGAATGTACACAAGCTTAAAGTGTGAAGAAGTGGCAGTATCTATATAATATTACTATATAATCAGGAGGTAGTTGTGGGAATCCTTAAATTTAGAAACTTATTTTGTTAATTCTGAAGATATTTTATTTGAGTGGCTTTCCAGAATTAAAAAAGAATAATAATTAGGAAAAATTGTGGTAAGAAGTGATAAAGAAAAAATATTGGTAAATATTTTATTCACTGGGTTACATTATGAAATTTTTCAAAGAGAAACAAACGTATGTCTGGATTCTGTACTAATAGAACCAAGTCTTGAATCACAGCAACATAAACCAACACCTGAGGACCAAACTATCTTTATAGAGAAGTAGCAGAAAACATGAGACAAAATCTGGATAGAGAAGTCAGATCATATGTTACACTCCAAATAAGAGTCTATTTTCAATGACCAAAAATAAGAAATAGAATAAAGTGATATGGTTCTTAAAACACCGTTAAGCTCTACAGAAAGAGCACCCAATATATTAATGGACTGTTGATTTTAGAACAAACAATTGTTGAAGTCTCCATCTATACAACACACAACTGTCCACAACAGGTACTGCCACCTATTTAATAGTATTAAAAATATGTTGGGTACCTGTCTACTTTGAGCTAGCTCTAAGAAAATTACCCAAAGTCACAGGGCATTCTCTTCCAGTTGCCCAACCTGTTTAAAAGTGGCTGTGAGCAGGTGGGGATAAAATTATGCTCTTACTGAACTCATGCCTCTCTGCATTTCCCACCCAAGTATGATTTCAAAGCATGTGAGAGTTTGTGTCTTTCATTTGCTCTCCTCCCCAGATAATTAAGATTTCGTTATATTTAGGAAAACTGCCTCCTTGGTCCCTTGTAAATTCCAGGAACTCTAATTTAAGATCAAACCTCTAAGGAAAAGTCCACTCATTTGTAAAGCCTTTTTTGTGTGTATGTCTTTGATAAAAAGTCTAATTGGCTCCATTTCTTTTTGAACATTTTGTTTATCCACCTAATTATCCTGGGAAAACTGACATGTTTACCAAGTTAAACTAAACAATTACACAGTAGAACAGACCCATAAAACAAGGACCTCAGGAGGAGCTGAGGATCTATTGGCAACTGGTTTGAGTTTGTCTTATTTTAAAAACATATCATATTCAGAGAATTAAATTCTCATAAAGGAAAGAGTACATCGTTAAGTGCAGCTATTAAGGCAAAGTTTGTTTTATGAAGTACGTGATCATGGTAGGTCCATGTAAATCACCATAATTAAAATGCAGTAGGCATTCATGTATTTAACAACATTTACAAGCTTGTTTTAATCTATCTTCTTTGAATTCAATCAGCAATTTATCTTTTAGATAGTTGATGCCCAGACTTGCTGCAGCATAGTGTCCTCTGCTGGTCACACTGAAACACTGCACCATGAGGAAAACAGAAAGGAAGGTTAAAAAAAAAAAAAAAAAAAAAAAAGAGTGACTGCGAGGGAATGGAAAAAGGAGAGAGGCAGAAAGGGAAGAAAAAAGGAAAGGAAAAGAAAGTAAATAAATATGTTAAATTGAGACATATAATCTTTAACCCCCAGGATACGGCGCACATTAAAAATATAGTGTGTTTGCCTCATAGTTATGGTTGCTTAGTAAATTGAGATTGTGCTTTCATTGGAAAGAAATGTTTGTCAGACTTGAAAGATTAAACAATAATATTGGATTGAAACTGTTCTGAAATTATTTTCTGGTGATGTCAAATTAATTTAGAAGATTTTCAAAGTTAAGGTGCTCAAAAATTACCAATCATCAGAAGATGCAAATCAAAACCACAATGAGATTACCATCTCACACCAGTCCAAATGGCTATTATTAAAAAGTCAGAAAATAACACATTGGCAAGGTTGGGGAGAAAAGGAAACACAACACAACTGTTGAGAATGCAAATCAGCTCAGCAACTGTGGAAAGCATTTTGGAGATTTCTCAGCGAACTAAAAACAGAATTGCCATGTAACCCAGCAATCCCATCACTGGGTATATACCCAAAGGAATATAAATCATTCTACCAAAAAGACACCTACACTCATATGTTTATTGCAGCATTATCACAATAGCAAAGATATGGAATCAACCCAGGTGCTCAGCAGTGGTCACTTGGATAAAGAAAATGTGGTGCATATATACCATGGAATACTACAAAGCCATAAAAAGGAATGAAATCATGTCCTTCACAGCAACATTGATGTAGCTGGAGACTATTATCCTAAGTAAACTAATGCAGAAACAGAAACCAAATACTGCATATTCACATTTATAAGTAGGAGCTAAATATTGGGTACTCACGGACACAAAGATGGGAACTACAGACAATGGAGATTTTAAAAGTGGGGAGGTAGTGACAGGAACAAGGGTTGAAAAGCTACCTATTGGGTACTATATTCACTACTTGGGCAACGAGATTATTAGAAGCCCCAACCTCAGCATCACACAATATACCCAGGTAAAAACCTGCACATGTACCCCCTTGAATCTGAAATAAAAACAAAAATTATATTCAAAAAAAAAAAAGAGGGAAGTTAACTGTCAATGAAATACAGTGACATCCTCTCCTTCCCATCGTGTCAATCCCCTTCCCCCAGACCAAGATTTTCACATTTTAATGGACATCAAGAACCTCCTAGGGAGCTTGTGAAAAATACGAATGACTTTTGCTCTATGGTTAAGGATTCTGATTCACTGTACTATAAACTTCAGAATATTCATTTTAATATTTGCCTTTAGAAGACAATGGTGCAGATATTTTATTCCCCTCAATTAGAATACAAGAGCCACTGTGTACCTGGCCTCTTTGTTCAGGTTACTAAGAACCCCAACCTCAGTGCTCCAGGAGGGTTTATCTTATCCAGGTATTTGCATGTCATCATCATCATCAACAATAACCATATTTGCTATAATTTATCAAATATTTCCTATGTATCAGGCACTATATTACCATTTTCCTTACATATTCATGTTCCTTAGACAGTTATGGCTTTGAAAATGCCTCTGCTTTCTTTAATATCAAATTCTGCATGAAAGAAAGCTAGACCATACCTAGTACATAACTGACCTCAACAAATGTTAGTTTTGCTTCCCTTTCTCCATGTTCGTTGTTATTTTAGATTGAATAATTAACTGTAGATTAACTATATCAAGATCCTTATTAATATTGACAAACTCCTTGTTGTTTTCCATAATTGCTCAAAGGTCAAGTTTCATGGAACACAGACATGATTCCCTGATTTCGGAAGAGATTTTAATTTTCTTCAAAACATTTTGAAAACGTGTTTTGATAGCATTAATAATGTTCAAAGAACAACTGGGAACATACCTGCATTCTCTGAAATGCATTTGTTTGTGCCTCATTCTGCTTTTCCCTCTCTCTGGTACGCAGTTACGTGTCTGGTCAGTTGCCTCTGCATTCTTTGTGTGCTAAGGAGTGACAGCAGACAAACTGATGCAATTGCATTCAAGTTGAACTGAATTCCTTTATTTCATGTCAATATAGAACCTGATTATTTCTCAGTAGCACCATTAAACAGACATCAGCAGGTTTTGGGATAGAATTATTTCATACCACTTTATGTAATTTATCTAGCACATGTAGGGTCATGTGTATCTCATAAAGCTGGTACACTTCAATAAGAAAAAGGAGTTAGCTAGTAGAATGAATAGGAGCCCAGAAGAAGTTACCAAATTGAATTGATGGAGACTCATTTAGGTGCAAGTTGCATAAATTTACTGAAACTGGCTTAAAGGGAGAAAGGTATCTTTATCGGCATGTGTAACACAAAAATCAAGGAGTGATACAGCATTAGGCAGGTTAGATTCAAGTTCTACAAAGATGTCCCCAGAAAAGTTGCTTAATCCATCTATCAGCTTTCTTTTCCTCTGTGTTGGTCTCATTCTAACATAAGCTCTTTTTCTTTCTCTTTGAGGAGTTAGAGATGGCCCCTCAACAATCTCAGAAAAAGAGACAGTCCCCCTTGCAGGGGTTTCAGTAAAAGACGTTGGTTGAGTCATTTGTTTGTCCCTGAAGCAACCATTGAACAGGAAAGGAGAACATACTAACCAGACCAGGGTCCTGTGCTCAGCCCTAGGAGGAAGGGATGGAAGCTGCCAGCAAATCACACTGAAGGAAAATGGGGCGAGAAACTGGCAGGAAAAGAAAATTGCTTACTGGTCAGATACACCCTCGTGAATACTCACAGAAGACATTTGTCAAAAATAAAAAGATTCATAATTCTATGACTTAAGAATCTGGAAGTGAATGTAACTCAACATGGTTGGAGAACCAGCAAAAATGCTGTTCTGGTTGAGTAAGTCTGAATCTCAAAAGAGGAGTAAAGAGAGGGGGAAGCTAAAGACTCCAGTAAAGATACACAGAAACCATTACAAAAAACAAAGCACACTAAGATGCCTAACTTTCAAAATAGAAAGAATGTCAATATACTTTTATAGTCAATAAAATGGACTTATTACTCATGCTTGAAACAAAAAGGTGGTTAAAAACCTAGACTTATTTCTCAAGACGAATGTGTTTTTGAAGGACATAAAAAAGAACTCTTGAACTCCTAGTTAGCTTGTTTTCTCTGAGTTTTAGCAGAGATGGCTCATTGCTACCCAATAGCTATTCTCATCTTCTAAGTAATAGAAATCCATTTTCACTGAGGTTGCAATGCCCCTGGACGAAGGTTGCATTTTACAGCCTCTCTTATAGCTGTCCTTACAAATGATCATTAGAAAGCTGTGGCCATTGAGGAAGTTCTGGTAAGAGAGGGTAAGCAGGGTACTTACAGAAAGCTGGCTTGGTGGTGAGATGTCTTGTTCCTTCCACTTCCAGCTGCCTGGAAGATGGAGGCAATGGAAGGAACTCCAGCAGCATGTTGAACCTTAAGGCTGAAAGCCAAGTCTCTGCAAGCTACGGTAGCCTAAGGGACAGGTTCACCCAACACCTAGGAGTTCAGGTGATTAGAGAGGATAAATGACAGCAGTGAGTGCCAACTGAGATAAGAGATATTTGGGGGATGATCACAAAAGGAAGAGTGACCATGTAAAGCAAAGAGAAGATAGAAGCTGGTTACTACTAAGAAATGTTAGAGTGGGAAAATGAGCAAATGCAGACTAATTGAGGTGGGAAGCCTAGTGACTCAGGGGACAGGCTGTGCAAGTCAGTCTTGTCTAAAAAAGAACTATGTACTGTTAATCTTTCTTTTGTTTGGGCTTTGAAAAAATTAATCTAGGTTCATTTAGTTGTACATTGGTTTTTTGTGATCTAACAGATTAATATCAATATCTTCTTTTGTATTTCCTTTGGGAAGTCCAGGAAGGAAACAAAAATCAACAGCACAGATTTCTGTCAGTGCCTGGAACAACTCTGCTTTTTCCATTTGAAAGCACCAAAAAGCATCCCATAATGAAGAAAAAAACTCTAATTCTGCAAGTATGGGGAATCTAAACTACATGAGATTGGCCCTACGGTCAAACAATAGTACTTTCCTAACAGAAAAGAAAGAGAAATTCCAAAGGCAAATTTGCAAGGAAAAAATGCCCTCTGAGCCTTTACAGTTCAGATCAAAGCCATCAACTTATTCAGCCATCATGAGAACACACACTCCAAGTTTCTAAAGGAGCCAGTAAGCTGAATCATTGCATATTAAATAAACATGCTGAGTTGAATCACAAAGTAAATAAAAGCCTCTTCTGACATAAGTTTGTATTTACAGAAATTCTGTGACTAAAAGCAACTAAATTTGGATCATTAAAAACAAAACAAGTTTCTCCAAGTTTACACTAATTATACAATGCATCCAGAAACCCAGGGCCTGACAGACCATGTAGCAAAGTCTTAAAAATAAGTGAATCAAAAAGTATTTTTAGCAAAAGTGAAGCTATCATTTACAACAGAAATAAGCCTATTCTCAGACTAACTCTACCTATAGATGAAAAAAATTATCATAATGATGGCACTGGTGATTATGATAAAAGTCCATAAAAATAATACAGATGCTGTTTTTTTAGAAATTCAGCATCACCTACGTGAAAACATCTCTGGTTACTTTGCAATCAAAGTACTATAGTGGAATTAAATAATCTATACCTCCAAATAAATTAATTGATAACATCTTCCAATATTTAGGGAACAATTTGATTTCACTCTTCAGTCTTCAACTACTTTTTTTTTAGCCTCAAAAAAATAATAACATGAAGAAAACAAAACCAGCTCTTCAGCAGAATCCTATGAAGAGTCCGTTGGAGAGTCTCAGGTCAGGAAGATTATTAGCTTTAGGCGGGTCTGCCTGTGCTGGGCGACTTGCTGCACTTTGAAGACGTACACATGATAACTAAGCTGTGGTCTTCTCATAAAAAAGGTAATTAATGCTGGAAAAGGTTTCTGGGGAAAAACGAGACATGTTTTTTAAACAACTAGGAGTTAACCAGCAAAATAATTGTGAGGAGAAAAAGAGGATGGGAATTCTAACCGGAGAGCAAAACTGCAGGAGTCCAAGAAAGCAGGGAAAAGGTCTTGTGAAACTCACAGGTAATTCAGTGAAATTGACTGTGGCTGATGGAGAAGCAGAGCAGCAAAAGATGAGACCAGAGAGTTAGGCAAGGGCCAGATCAAGTGCTAAGGGCAGATCAAGTGCTAAGGGTGCCATGCAAAGAAATGTGGACCTCATCCTGAAAGCTGCTGAAAACCACCAACGGGTGCTGATGGTTGCTGTTGCCTTTCCTTTAAGGCAGCAACTTGATCAAATTTGTGTTTCATAAGGCCACGCTACCAGCTATTGGTTAAATGGCAAGGAATGAGCAAGGCGGGAAGCAAGAGATTGTTAATCATAATCCAAGTAGAAAATGTTGAGAGCCTGAAACAAGCCAACTAAAGTAGGAGTGGGGAAAGAGGAAGAGGTGTAAGAAGACACAACCAATTAGACTGGATAGGATTTAGGAACTAGGGGAACATAAGACCCTGATTTTTATTGAGAGACAGTATTTATAACTCGGATTCTGGAGTTATGAATGTCTCTTGGAGTGTAGCTGGATATTAACTCATGGAGGAATTACAGTGTGGGAAATGACATGTCAAATGAAGGGGCAGTGGAGATAGCAAGGAAGACAAAGCTGGGGAGAGAAAACCAGTATGTGGCCTACTGCAGTGCAGGTCAAGCTAGGGAGGGTAAAGCGTCAGGAGAAACACATGGAAACTCCCAGATCTGTGGCTTGGATGCCATAAAAGTACCGGACACATGTTGAGACACAAGCCTTACTTTTTTCTTCCACAATCAGGACAAGTGAATTATATGAAGCCATGCACTTATTCCTTAGAAGTATCAACTGTAGAGACATGAATTTGTCAATCTCCAGAGCTGAGAATTGTTCTAGAAGCATAGTAAGTACTAGGTAAATATTTAGATGCAAATTTGCATTAACACTAAGAGAAAAAAATAGTATTAAAGCAAACTTGAAAGTGTTCAGATATAAATGCACATATTTACCAATCTGTACCCTCAAAAGTGTGTACAAAAGTGTGTTACTGCACGCTTTTGTAACCTTTGAGAATTTCAAGACTCAATCCCTCAAGCTGTTGGAATGCTATTTCCAAGCAAACAACAATCCCAGTCATTTTAAAACTGGTTCCAAGTTGTTAATGCAAACTATTAGCACAATACAACCATCTTTTCTAATTACACAATTTAAGCAATAATAATAATAATTCTTTTGTCTGTAACTCCTGCATCAATGTAAGGAGAATCTTATGTCTACAAAATAATCAAATGTAACTTTCAAGTTAACACTGTTGGCAGTATTCCTGAAGAGTTCTCATTTCTTGCACATTTCTTGGCATAATTGAAATCAAACATTTAAGGTAAATAGATGACCAAAAACAAGGTAGAAAATGTTTTTTCTTTTTATATGTGGACATTTCAAAAACTGCTTGAAGACTACCACCTAATGGTTATCATGCTTATGAAATGAGATCTTATCATTCTTATGAAATATCATTGACAGTGTCAGGGACAATTTTTCAAGTTGCAAGCAGCCTGCAGAGGGAGAGGCATCTTCCCTTGATTCTCTCTTTGAGGAGTTTGAGATGGAATGTCTCTGGCTCCTCTCTCTGATGCCCTTTTTGCTCCTCCAGAAGAAAAGAATGACTAATTTGATTATCCTGAACTTGATGTTCATGGACTACGTTTCACTGTTGGAGGCTTGCAGCAGCTCAAAAGCAAGAATTAGTGCAAGCACTTCCTCTTTCTCTTCTTACCCTTAGGTGAGGTGTGACCTCTTCCTCAAATGCTTCTTTCAAGCAGTTAGCAAATGTGGACTATGCTTTACCCAAAGGCTGGGAGGAGGATGCCATTCACCCCACATCCACTCTCAGAGAGTAGATGTGAGACTGGCCTGTAGACTTACTCCATAAAAGCTGGTTGGGCAACTGGATCTCACAGTCTACTCTACCTACATGATCATAATCCACTCCTCCAACAAGCACCCCTCAGCATTTTCATTCTGAGATTTAGATTTTCAGTATAGGAGGAAGAATACCTCACTTTAACCTCTAGTCTAAGCTACATTTTCTTTAACCAAAAAGCTCATCATTGGATGGCTTTTAGTCCTAGCTCTAAGTAACAGTATGGCATCTTATGGTTCGTGGCTTGTATGCATTCTCTATATGAAAACTCCTGCAAGGAAGAAAATGTGACCAATAGCCTACTCAGAAAATATGTTCCCAAAAATTATTATTAATGAGAATTTTTGATGATTAAATAAGAAGGTGATTTGTAAGGTGAAACTAAGCAGGTTTATTCAGTATGTTCAATTTCTACTTTATATTATAACCTGAATAGTAAACTCCAAGGTACTTAAAAACAGAAAACTTGTCTTGTGTTTTTAATTTTGAAAAATTGTGTGTGTATGTGCATGTACATGTATATGTGTGTGTATAAAATTTGTTTTTAGAAAAATGCATAAGTAGTCCATTACACATACTGGTGTAGATTTTAGTGCAGTCTCTTAAAATTTTTTTATAGTTCCTCTTTTGCCTTTCCCCCTAATAAGAATATAATCTTATTTTTTTCCAACTAGTTATCCCATTTTAATAATCTATTGTTCTTTCTTATTTTTCTTTGTGATAATGTTATTATATGCAATTAAATATATATACATTACTGGTTTTACCAAAATGGGATATTATATACACTTTATACTCACACATTGACACATTCTTCTATTCCTGGGCATTAGCTTTTTGATACAGTTTGGCTCTGTCCACACTCAAATCTCATCTTGAATTATAGCTTCCATAATTCTCACATGTCATGGGAGGGACACCGTGGGAGGTAATTGAATCACAGGAGCGGTTCCCCCATACTATTTTTGTGGTAGTGAATAAATCTCATGAGATCTGATGGTTTTAAAAATGGGAGTTCCTCTGCACAAGCTCTCTTGCCTGCTGCCATGAAAGACGTGACTTTGCTCCTCATTCACCTTCCACCATGATTGTGAGGCCTCCCCAGCCATGTGGAACTTTGAGTCCATTAAACCTCTTTACTTTATAAATTACCCAGTCTCAGGTATGTCTTTATTAGCAGTGAGAGAACAGACTAATACACTTTTCTTTCTTTTTTAGCCATTTCAAGCAGGCTCACTACAAATATCTTGTTCCTATATCATATATACTGGTCTTTTATGAATATTTTTTATTTCTGTGGGCTGAATTCACAGGTGTGAAATTGCTAAAATGAAAGGTATGTGTGTGTCTAAATTTAAGAGGTTCCACTAAATATATTGTCCCAAATGCTGTAACAGTTCATATATCTACCAGTCATTCATGAGTACCCATTTCCTACATTGATTGAGTTTACTCATCTATTAAATTTTTCATATTGTTTGCGTCTTTTCTATTGAATTGTATATTTTCTAATTGTAAATTTGTTGTTGTTTATGTTAAGTCTTTCCATTCAAGAATACAGTGTCTTTTCATTTGTTTGGATCTTTTTTTTTTACATCTTTCATAAGTCAATAAGATGTGATAGTTTCTTCATATATATCCCGTGCTTCTCTTGTTAAATCTATTATATGGTATTCATCTATATATTTTTTCTTTTTTTTTTTTTTTTTTATTTGAGATGGAGTTTTGCTCTTGTTGCCCAGGCTGGAGTGCAATGGCACAATCTTGGCTCATCACAACCTCTGCCTCCCGGATTCAAGCAATTCTCCTGCCTCAGCCTTCTGAGTAGCTGGGTTTACAGGCATGGGCCACCACATCTAGCTAATTTTGTATTTTTAGTAGAGATGGGGTTTCTTCATGTTGGTCAGGCTGGTCTTGAACTCCTGACCTCAGGTGATCCGCCCGCTTCGGCCTCCCAAAGTGTTGGGATTACAGGTGTGAGCCACTGCGCCTGGCTCATCTATATTTTAATACAATTTTTTATATTCCAACTCTAGGTGTGTATAGCTAGTAGAGAAAGTCTATTGATTTTTGTAGATTTATATTGTGCTATGCAACTTATTAAATTTTTGTATTAACTTTAAAATTTTTAAACATAACATCTTGAATTTGTATCATCAGCACAAAGAAAATTTAATTTCTTTCTTTCTGATGCTTATATCAATTATTTCTCATTTTTGTCATAAATATCTTAATTAAATTAATTAGAGAAATTTTCTTCTTTTTCTACGTCCTGGGAGATTTTTAAGTAACACAACACAATATATGGTTTAAACATTTTTTAACTTTGCACATAAAATTTAGTGGTAAGACCATCTGGTCTTGATGAAATTTTTAATGATATTCCTGTATCTTCTAAGGAAATTACTTTGAGTATTGTATTATTTTCTTGGATCAATTTTTGATAATTTGTATTTTGATAGAAATCATCTGTTAAATTCAAATTTTTTAATTTGTGGCTACAGAGTTGAATGTACTCCTTAGTACAGTTTCTTTCCTTTATCCCATTTGAAATTACTTAAGGATAAAATAATATGATGCCTGGGATTAGTTGCAAAATAATCTGCAAAAATGTGTATAGGTGAACCACACTCATTTTCATGCTTATAATTGTTGAAACTGAGTGATGAATCAGCGAAGGTTAATCACTCTATTCATTTATTTTTCTAAAATTTTTACATAATAAAAACAAAAATAAATTTGTGGACAAGTTCTAATGTTTGTTTGGAGTATTTAGTTACTGTATAGACTTAGGCACATCATTTATTCTTTTTCTATGCTAGTGTCAAGAGAGAAATCACAACTAAATGCTTTGCTAGCTAGTAACCTTCTATTAAGAAAATCAAGGCTGGGAGCAGTGGCTTGCACTCGTAATCCCATCACTTTGAGAGACTGAGGCAGGAGGATCGCTTGAGCCCAGGAGTTCAAGACCAGCCTGGGCAATATAGGGAGACCTAATCTCTACAAAGAAAAAGAAAAATTAGCTGGGCATGGTGGTGCATTCCTGTAGTCCCAGCTACTCAGGAGGCCAAGGTGGGAGGATCACTTGAGCCCAAGAGGTTGAGGCTGAAATTTAAAATTTCAGACAGAGAAAGACCCTCTCTTGAAAAAAAAAAGAAAAGGAAAAAGAAAAAAAAGTACTAAAATTAAGATCATCAACTCTGAATTTTCCATTCATCCTTGTGTACTTTAAATACAGTGAGTCCTCATGTAAAGTTTTGGAAATGTCAACTTTTAAGTGAAACGATGTACAACAAAACCAATTTTACTATAGGCTAATTGATATAAAAGACAGCAAATCCTAGGTCATAGTTCTGGTCACAAAAACATTATGCCGCTTCTAAATAAAACCCAAAACACTTCTAATATTAAACATGGAAATAAATGAAAGCTACATTTAAGAAAGATGAATAAAAACAGGCAAAATAATTATTTACCCCATTTTTGGTGAGTCAGTGAGTGACTGTGGTCATAGTGCAGGTGGGTTAAATTAAGGAACAAAAATTTGCAAAGCAAAAATTGTCAGGAACACCTACTACCCACCACAAAGTTCAAAAAGAATCACAAATCTTGTGGACTCGCTGAGGGATTTCCTGCCTTGTTGTTTATTGTCATGTATTTGTACGATTATTGTCCACTTTACAAATTGGTATTTTACAATAATTTGTATTCATTCATTCATTTTTCAACCTACTTATTCCAGTTCAGGGTGGAGGGTGGCTGGAGCCTCTCCCAGCTCTCTCCTGCTTAACCTCTTCCCTGCAGTTAAGCAGGGAACCAGGCCTAAACATGATGCCATTGCATTGCAGGGCACACTCCCACTAACAACCACACTCACTCAGACTGGGACCACTTAGACATGCCAATTCACCCAATGTGCCCAGCTTTGGAATATGACAGGAAACCCACACAGACATGGGGAGAATGTGTCAATTCCACACAGATAGTGGCCCCAGATGGGAATTAATTTTGTTTTTCTCATCCAGGTTATAAGGAGACAAGTCGAATGAAACGATGTTATTCAAGGACCTGCTGCATTTGGTCTGAGTGAGTCTTCTTTGCTTTCTGTTTTGAATAAAGAGTTGTCTGTCCTCTCCTTCAAAACTAACTCCCCTCACTTTTTCCAAGAACCTATCCAATTATCCTTACAGCATTTTATATGTGTTTCATAAATCTCATCTGCACTCAAGTAGGCACAAGCTGACATAGCTTTAAAATATATTTGCAGATTATAGCCACCTAGCAAAAGGATGGCTACAGGACACAATTTCTATTTCTCTCTATTTCTATTTCTCTCTTCTCTATGAAAAGAGGTATCGGAACACCAAGTTGAGATGACTGAAGTCTACTGACTTCTTCTAACCAGCAATGTGTGCATATCCTAGAATCACTACGGGAATCCCCCTCAGAAGGGGAGGAACAGATGTGCGAGATCACCCAGGGCAACCTCCTTTAGAAATGTCGGCAAGTAATCCCCTTATCCAGGGAAAGCATGGCATTCTATACCCATTGTTCTGCACCTTCCCTTTTTTCAGTACCAGTATGTCTTGGAGGTCTTTCTAGGTCAATAGTCAGCTTGCTCATTCTATTTCTTTTTCTTTGCAGATGCAAACAATTCCTTTGGATGGCTGAATCATAATTT
Source organism: Homo sapiens (assembly GCF_000001405.40). NCBI lineage: Eukaryota > Metazoa > Chordata > Mammalia > Primates > Hominidae > Homo > Homo sapiens. The sequence continues at coordinate 16,971,090 of NC_000007.14, read as the reverse complement.
ATTTAACCATATACTTTGTGTTCTGAAGCAAAACAGAAAATTGTTTTATCTTTGGGGGAAGAGGGAAACAAGTGGAATCAGGGATGAACCAGCCAAGTACCATCCCAGTAGGGAGCCCTCCCTGGAAGTCACACAGTGCAGGATGCAGCTTCCACCCCCGACCCTGTGGGTCAGAGACAGCAGTGGCACTTGATTGTTCATACTGCTCAGGGTAGACCGACACCCTGCATGGATTGTGTTAGCCCATGGGAGTCCTGTATAATTGAAGAGGAGGGTGTTGACTTGGAAGGAAGAACCGAAGTACCTACTAAAAAGGCAGGTGAATGCTTGAATAACTTATTAGAAAGGCGAAGAATGCGGCCCTATTAGGTCTAAAGTGGTAGAGTGCTTTCTACAGAAAATAAAAGCACAGTATGACTCTCTCTACAGCCAAATTTCATAAATAATATGTCTCAACCTGCTCCTTCTATTTTCTTGTCACTATCTTTTTAAACCTGCTTCCTGTTATCTACTATAAGATTACTCAAAAAATAATGAATGAATGCATGACTGCTACCTAATGGGCTTTCCTTTGTGTCTATTTGACCTAGTATCTATCTCTACAGCACTTGACATGTGCCTCTGCTAAAACAGCAGTGCAGGCTTCATCATCCATCCTCCTTGAAATTATTATTTCGTAGTTTCATGAATTCCTTTCTAGCCTATTCTCCTACTCCTCTGTCTCTTTTTCTTTCTATCTTCTGCCTCTTTCCTATCTTTGCCTGCTCCTCCTCCTTAAATGTTAGCTTCCCCAACTACGACTATAATTTAAGATTTAATAGATATCTTTATGTATAAGGATATAGAATAGGATAAAAGGAAAGAAAAAATACCTTATCACAAAACTCCAATGAAAAGGAAATTGTAGAGCCATAACGATATTAGAAAAAGCAAACTTTAAGAAATGATACTAAAGATCAGTAGATATATTTTGTACTAGAAAAATCTCATTTTAACAGAAAGATATAACAAGTCTAAATATATCTGCCCCTGACAAGCTTCCAAATCAATAAAGAAAAAAAGAGACAGAACTAACAGAAGAACTAAACAAATTCATGATGATAGTGGGAAAATGTAACATACTCCTCTCATTAACTGAAAGAACAAAAAAGGCATTAAAGAAGCATTGTAGAAGGTCTGAACACTATGATGAACAAACTTGACTTAATTGACATTTATACAACACTGTATTCAACATTCCAGAGTCCATATTCTTTTCCAAAGCAATGGAACATTTACCAAAATAGAAAATTTTCTAGGCCATAAAGCAAGTCGTAGCAAATTTCAAAGGATTGAAATAATACCAAGAACGTTTTCTGGTTTCTGTGGGATTAAGCTAAAATCAATAACAGAAAGCAAATTAGAAAATTTCTAAATTTGTTAAAATTAAGCAACACATTCTGAATAGCCCATGTGTCAAATTAGAAAAGATAACATCTCACAGCCATAAAACTGAGCAAAGAAGACAGACGTGAAGGGGTAGATGCTAGACAACTTCAAGTATGTAAGGTTCCAAATCATCTCTAGTGACAGAGATCAGAATAGTGGCTATCTTTGCAGGAAGAGAATTATGAGAAAAACTTCTAAGATGGTGGTAATAGTCTACATCATAATTTTCTGGGTTATGTGACTGCATCACTTTCTAAAATTTTGCTTAAAATTTGTACATCGTACTATGCTATATTTAAATACAAACTTTACTAAAAGAAGCAATTAAATTTTTGTTAAATAGAGCTTATCTTTAACAACACTCCTTGCTTCTCCTCATCCACTACTACGGTTTCAGTAATTTCCTCTATGCCTTGGCTCTATAACTCTATCATATTTCTGACGTCTAATTTTAGTACCAGTCCTGAGCAATGAAATTTATTCCTATTAGACATGCCATTCATGATCCCATTGTAACAGGTTTAAAACTGAAATCTGCTAGAAGATTTCTTTCTACCGTCTCAACAGTGCTATTATTTGCCCAATTACACAGGCTCACGACAACCAGTTGTCCTTAAATTTTCTATTGTTTTAAGTGTCCATACCTTGTCATGAACACCTGAAGATCTTTTCTTCAAATTATCTCTTGCCTACCCCAACTATTTCCATTTTCACTAATCCGATGAAGGACCCATTTCCCTATAAGAGAGCCCCAGTTATCCTTGACCACGAAACCATGACTTTCTGCCAAGAGTACTGCAACAGTCTCCTCACTGGCCTCAGACTTCAGCTGCTCCTCCTTCCAAAGCCTCCTTTGCACAGCTGCTGCATAAATCTGCTTAAAACGTTATTTTTGTCATATGTTTCTCTAATTAAAACAAAAACTTTTTATTATTTTCCATTAACTGAAAGAAAAATGGAAAGTTTTGAGCCTAATATACAGTTTTACATATTCTGACTCCAACTTGTTTTTCTAGTTTTCCTAAATCTCCCATAGCTAAATCAGCCTTTATTATCTCCATAATCTTCTTTGTGCTTATTTTCCAACCTCACTTGTCCATCTCATTTTTCTCCAGATATTTAAATCTTATCCCTCACTTCAGAGCATTACACCACAAGAGGCCTTAGGATTTGCAACCACATAGACTAAGATGCAAATGCTAGCTTTGCCATTGATTGGCACTGTGACCTTGGGCAAGTTAGTTCACCTCAGACCCTCAGTCTCAGACCCTCATCTGTACTCCACAGATAATTATTAGGTACTTCCCATCTGCCAAAGACTGTACTACGCTTAAGGATGCAAGGGCGACCAAAGGCAGACAAATGCATCTCTGTCATCATGGAACTTCCAGCCCAACAAAAGAGAAACATTAATAAAATCCCGTAAGACCCACGTTGCACAGTGTTAGAACTAAAGTGAATACATGCAAAGCAAGTAACTCAGTGTTGAACACTTTATGGGTAGAAAAAATAATGGTTATTACTAATCCTCCAAAACCCAGCAAAATACCCATCTTCTGTGATAAGTCTAACACTTCAATTTCCTCTCCAAGGACTCTGGAAATTAAGATCACCCTCATGTTACCATGAAGTCTACAAATATCCCCTCATTCTCCAAGTTCTTCTTTTACTGTCTTTACCATGCATCTGACAACTGACCATGTACTTTTCAGAGGTAATTTCTTTTGTTATATTGCCATTAAACAGGGCAAGCATTTTATCTCAGCAACTCAATCTAAGCTTTTTAAGAGTATGGACTGAGTTTTTAAAAGTTTGATATGCACTAAAGCTCCCAGAACATGCTAAATATTTGTTGATTTAGTGAGTCCAGCCCTACAAGTCCAGCTCTATGAATCCCTATGGAGTACTTGAAGTGATTCCAGAGGTTTTCTTCCCCCACATAGAAAAACAATCTGGCCTAGAATATTGGGAAGTGGAAACATCATTACTCATTTACCCTCTTTGAGAGTTTCTCCCACCCATTTTCCTCTTTAGCCTGCCAAAATGTTTCAAATTTCTAGGAGCCCAGGAAAAGGCTGGTTTTGGCAGCAGACAAGAAAAGGATGAAATGTTGATTACGAGGGGAAAAAAGTTAAAATGAGCCAGAGCCAGAATCCCTGAAAAAAAATTTAAATTGAATTTCTAAAAGGAGCCTTGATTCTTGGAGTATGTTTATTTCCCATTGAGCTTGGGAGATTATCCAAAGGAAGTTAAAACCAAAATATTTCCCACTAGGAATAGTAGACATTGGCTTGCCAAGTTTAGAATCTACTAACTCATTGGGCCCTAGATTTTGAAGCAGTCACAAAGAATACCATTTCACTTTTCCCTGGGGAAATGATTTCCAGCTTCATAGTTTTAAAGTGTTTGAAGATGTAAAATTATACTCAAATAATATCTTATGAATGTTAATTTTAAAGAATAAAAAACACAAGTATGTTTGAATGATGAGAAGGCTATTTTGTTAGAATTTGAAATCTTTAATATTAAGACAAAAAGAGAGGACGTGATAATAAATTTTTAAACTATGTGCCTGAATTATAAGCCATAATAATTCTAGCAGTCTGCCTCAAAACATCTGAAACCGGCTAGGCGCGGTGGCTCGCGCCTGTAATCCCAGCACTTTGGGAGGCCAAGGTGGGCGGATCACAAGGTCAGGAGATCGAAACCATCCTGGCTAACACGGTGAAACCCCATCTCTACTAAAAAGTAGAAAAAAATTAGCCAGGCGTGGTGGTGGGCACCTGTAGCCCCAGCCACTCGGGAGGCTGAGGCAGGAAAATGGTGTGAACGCGGGAAGTGGAGCTTGCAGTGAGCCGAGATCACACCACTGCACTACAGCCTAGGCGACAGAATGAGACTCTGTCTCAAAAAAAAAAAAAAAAAAAAATCGGAAATCAATGTTCTAAAATACAGGTTTAAAATAGCCGCCCACACCTCTCTGAGTACCCACTGTTCAGCAACTAATGTCTGTTAACATCAATCATCCAACTGGATTAATTAGCCATATTTTGTTCCCTGCTTGTATAAATTCCACGGATATTTTCCAGATGACAGTGGCCTTCAAAGCACTATGTCAGGTTCTATGGGGACACAAAAATGAATGGCATACTCTCAGCCCTTCAGAATCATATCTTGGTTAGGGAGTCAGACACCTACAATCATAACACAATCATGAAAATGTTACAAAGCAGCCTCTCAGAAACACGATAATAGAGATCCATATGCTGTGCCATGGGAGATGAGACTCATGGACGGGTGGTGGTGGGTCCGGAATTTATTCCTTCCAATGGGTTCTTGGTCTGGCTGACTTCAAGAATGAAGCCGCAGACCTTCACAGTGAGTGTTACAGCTCTTAAAGATGGTGTGTCCAGAGTTTGTTCCTTCAGATGTTCAGATGTGATCCGGAGTTTCTTCCTTCCGGTGGGTTCATGGTCTCGCTGACTTCAAGAATGAAGCTGTGGACCTTCCAGTGAGGGTTACAGCTCTAAAAGGTGGCACATCCAGAGTTGTTTGCTCCTCCCAGAGGGTTCATGGGCTCCTTGACTTCAGGAATGAAGCCACAGACCCACTCGCTGGGAGTGTTACAGCTCATAAAGGTAGTGTGGACCCAAACAGTGAGCAACAGCAAGATTTATTGTGATGAATGAAACAACAAAGCCCCCACGAGGTGGAAGGGCACCCCAGCGGGTTGCTGTTGCTGGCTCCAGTGGTCAGCTTTTATTCCCTTATTTGGCCCCGCCCACATCCAGCTGATTGGTCCATTTTACAGAGCGCTGATTGGTCCACTTTACAGATTGCTGATTGGTCCATTTTACAGAGTACTGATTGGTGCGTTTACAATCCTTTAGCTAGACGCAGAGTGCTGATTGGTGCGTTTTTACAGAGTGCTGATTGGTGCTTTTACAATCCTTTAGCTAGACACAGAGCACTGAATGGTGCATTTACAATCCTCTAGGTAGACATAAAAGTTCTCCAAGTCCCCAGTCGACCCAGGAAGTCCAGCTCGCTTCACCTCTCAGTAGGAACATAGCATATACACATTCAACTGAGGGAATCCAGGAAGGATTCACAGAAAGATGGCCTTTGATCAATTAATCAGTAGAAATTATTTGTTGGGCAGAAGTTTTCCAGACAGAAGGAACAGCTTGAAGAAAAAGTTTACAAAAAGAATATTTTTTAAAAAGACAGAGTGTGTGTGTGTGTGTGTGTGTGTGTGTGTGTGTGTGTGTGTATGTGTAGGGTTTTGGTGCCAGTGTACAAGGTATGCTATAAGAGTATAGGAGAAGCTCAAATGAGAAAGGCCAGTGAATGGCTTACACAAAGTATGAAACAATCAGAGGCTGGGTGCGGTGGCTCACGCCCGTAATCCCAGCACTTTGGGAGGCCAAGGCGGGTGGATCACGAGGTCAAGAGATTGAGACCATCCGGGTCAACATGGTGAAACCTCTTCTCTACTAAAAATACAAAAATTAGCAGGCCATGGTGGCACGTGCCTGTAGTCTCAGCTACTTGGGAGGCTGAGGCAGGAGAATCGCTTGAACCCGGCAGGCAGAGGTTGCAGTGAGCCGAGATTGCTCCACTGCACTCCAGCCTGGGTGACAGAACAAGACTCTGTCTCAAAAACAACAACAACAACAATAGGGAATTCTAGGATTCCCTGGCACCCCAACATGGTTATGGGGCTCAGGCCTAGCCTGGATGCAATGACAGACTGTCACAGAGCAAATACAGATTCTGATTCAGAGAAGACATTGAGGTTCAGTTTTAGAAGAGGCACGGCAGTTGCCACATTCAAGGGACAAGTATAAAGAAAATGAGGAAGAGCTCAGGACCCAAGAGGACAGCAGTGAATAAGTCACAACAGATGGTGAGTGAAGGTGTAAACCTTGGGAACCTCTAGCAGGAGCCACCTCCTGTGTGGAAGGTGACCAGAGGGCAGTGCAGCCAGTGCCATGACCCAGGGCCAAGATGTAATGATTGCAATGCTGCTACCTCCACCATTTGGTAAAGCAGATTTCAGTCAACTAGTTTGGTTTTCTCATCTACAATATGTAAAGCAAGTGGTCTCATTTTGGCTTTGATTTGACTTTTTTTTTTTTTTTTTTTTGAGATGGAGTCTCGCTCTGTCACCCAGGCTGGAGTGTGGAGTGGTGCCATCTCAGCTCGCTGCAACCTCCACCTCCCAGGTTCAAGTAATTCTCCTGCCTCAGCCTCCCAAGTAGCTGGGACTACAGGCAAGCACCACCATGCCCAGCTAATTTTTGTATTTTTTGTAGAGATGGGGTTTCACCATGTTGGCCAGGATGGTCTTAATCTCCTGACCTCATGATCTGCCTGCCTTGGCCTCCCAAAGTGCTGGGGTTACAGGCGTGAGCCACCACACTCAGCCTGATTTGACTAGTTCTTTCAAAATGTTATAGAGCTGGGTCTCCTTTTATGCAGATTTGGGGATGTATAGAAGATGTCACAGCATAGATATTATGGTTATACAACATGATTTCTTCACAGGAATGTATCATCATCACGTATTTTAGATTCTCCAGATGATAGCTCAAGCTTGTTTAATATTAGCATTTTGAAAACTGATGAAACTACTCATAAGTACTGTAATCAATAAGCCATTTGATAATCAGTTTTATATATATGTGGAAAAAAATAGATATTGTATTTCTTAAATATATTCAATGATTGAAGGTGGGGAAATAAGTTGGAACACCAATGTTTTTATTTTATTTTATCCAATATTATTTTGTATCTATCTTATACAGGAATTTTCTTTGGTTGTTTGTCTTAGAGAGCTGTTGACACAAGATTTCTGCTAAATACTCAACTCCTAGTGCCCTTTTGCCACTTTCCAACTCTTTCACTCTGCCTCTAACCCTCTAATTCATTTGCACCATCTCCTTCCTTCCAAAAACTAAAATATACTTTTGTGCATGAATTCATGACACAATCAGCAATGTAATTACAGGACACAAACTAGTCTTTATTTCCCCTTTGTCAATAAATCTTCCAATAGGGAGGGATGACTTTTTTGAAGGGTAGTCTGGTTTCCTTCTAATACCATCCCCCAAAACATTCACTTCTTTCTCTGCAATATTTCTCTGATGAGGAGGAAAAATCATAAGAGAGTAGATAGGAGAAAGTGAGAGAAGAATCAGGAAGACCAAAAATTATACTTCAGGAAGTCCAGCCTACAAAACATAGCCTGCTGAAAGAATACCATGAATCGAAACAGCAAAAGATTTGAATGAATGGACTTAAGACAATATGTATGGAGAATAATGAAACCTGAGACTATGGTAATTGACAGGCTGTGATTACTAGGATAAAGAGTTTAGCCTCTGCCCAAACACTATTAGCCCTGCTGAAAGGTTTTAAGTCAGGAAGTAAGAAATGCAATATGTCTAGCATGAGCTTTATGTTTCTGACGTAAACAAACACTGAGATAAGAAATACCGGAAGAGATAAAGATTTGAGGCCAATGGAGTGGGTTTGATGAGGTAAACATTAGAAGATGAATCAATTAAAATACATGTAGATCACGATTCGAGTTTTGAATCCCTTGCTCCAGGCCTGTGTTAAAATGCCTCTCCTCTATGATCCTGTAATTCTCTACCATAGCATATATCATACTATACCTGAATTGCTCTTATTTATTTCTTTGTTTGCTTGCTTTATTTTGTCTTGTTTTGTCTTCTTTATGGGATTTTTAAAAATTAAGACCATAATAATAACTAGCATTTTTGAACTTATAATGTGCTAGCTACTCTATGCCAGACACTACATATATTTACTCATCTAATGATTAACAAATGAGATAAGTGTCTTTATTATTACCCATTTCATTCAGCAAAAACGGTTAAATTGCCAAAGCCAGCCAAATTAGAAAGTTCTTGAACCAAGCTAGAACCAGGCCTTGAACCTAAGTAGATCCATTTAGTTCCAAAGCTTATACCCTTAGTCTCTTCACTCTGATATGCTCCCAGATATCATTGATTATATGATGTTCAGAGGCAAACATATAGCCTTCATATTCTCCTGACTTTGTTTAATGCCTATAATGTAAGTTCATTGAAGGAAATAATTTCCTTCATTAACTTCAGGAAACTGGCCATAAAGTTATAACACTCTTTTTTAATGCCCTTTTTACTACCTATAATATAAGTTCATTGAAGGAAATTATTTCCTTCATTAACTCCAGGAAACTGGCCACAAAGTTATAACACCCTTTTGTCTACATTGATATATAATAATACAGGTGTTTCATATTTTCTGGTCATCATTTCCTCTGTTTGCAAAAGAAACAGTAAGATGTAACAGAGAAAATAACTTGAGCGTTAGCCCCAACTCTACCACTTGCAGAATGGCCTTGATATTTTAGGCCTCCATTGGATGAAGGCATTTGCACTAGAATCTCCAATGTCTTCCAGCTCTATAATTCTGGCATTTTCTCATGTTCACATTACTCTAAACTTCTACAATGCCTTTATATTATAGGAAGCATTTAATCCAAATGTTTTAGACGGACAAACTTAGGAATCCGCACATTATAACTTCCTTGTTCCAGAAAGGAATAATAAAACTCAGCTATCCCATTAAATACTTATTGTTCCAGAGCGGGGAAAAAATAGACCCTAGCTATTCTCTCTTCTATCCACTAGGTCTTACTAATTCCAAGTCTATGATTTCAACTGCCTTTATTGGCCATCCAAAAGCCTGTGATTCACTACATAGTTTAGCATTTACTTTGTAGACCCAAAATAGAGCTCTACCAGGCCCTTCTCTGCAGCTTTTATGTTTCCTAAATCCAGCCCATCCCCAGGATAGCTATTAGGATAGCCATCTGTTTCTTAAGTGGCTCTGCACACCCCTTCCTGAGTTACATCTCCAGTGTGAGGCAAATGTTTATAAAAAGGCAGAAACAACTGCTTACATTTCACTTCTTCAAAGCACTGCCTACAACACTTTTTCTCCCGTATAACAGCACTTCTTCAAAATACTCTTTCTGCATTGCTGTTGTGGATTTTTAAGAATTTATTTTGCTAACTCTTTTTGCTCTCTTTAGGAGTATATTCCTTAAATTTAGATTTAGAATGCTCTAAATCCCCATGACAAACAGAAGACGTGGCCAAAATCTAGATTCTTACTATTAAAATAAAAAGCATGCAATTTTATAAAAATGTTATGGCAAGCATTCTCAATTACATAATCAATGTTCAATTTGAAAAACTTCCAACACTTTTACTCTTATATGGAAGTGTACATTTTTACAACTTAAAAGCATCCAGTTATCAAAATTTTCCAAATGAGCTAAAAGTTTCTGGCCAATTTAATCCCATCATTTTAGCTTAGAAATAAGAACAATAAGAAGCTAGGGACAAGGTTCTAAGAAAATAAACAGAATCCTTAGGCCACAAAAGGAGCTAAAGATAATTGAGTCCATCATCTTCTATAAACAGATGCCGATTTTACAACCCCTAAACAAACACTAAATAAATATATGTAATAAATAAGCAAATAATATATAATACAAAAATGTAAGCTTAATATATAAATAAGTATATATTATTAAGTTGACAAACAAATAAATAGCAAATTTTCATTTTATATAATCATTTTATATATACAATAAGCATATGGTAAAAAATTATAATTACTTCTAAATACATTTCAGAGTGCATTAGTTGATGAGTTTCAAAACTTGTTAATATTTCAGACATTTCCAAAAAGAGATTCTAATGTTATAATTATCTCATCATTTTATAAGAGATGATTCACAGCTGAATTCTACCAGATGTACAAAGAAGAGCTGGTACCATTCCTATAAAAACTATTCCAAAAATTTGAGGAGGAGGCACTCCTCTCCAACTCATTCTATGAGGCCAGCATCATCTTGATACCAAAACCTGGCAGAGAAAAAACAAAAAACAAGAAAACTTCAGGCCAATATCCTTGATGAACATCAATGCAAAAATCCTCAACAAAGTACTCACAAACCGAATCCAGCAGCATATGAAAAAGCTAATCCACCATAGTCAAGTAGGCTTCATCCCCAGGATGCAAAGCTGGTTTGACATATGCAAATCAATTAGTGTGATTCATCACATAACTAAAGACAAAAGCCACATGATTATCAAAACAGACACAGAAAAGGCCTTAGATAAAATTTAACATCCCTTCATATTAAAAACTCTCAATAAACTAGGTGTTGAAGGAACATACCTAGTTCAAGATAAATTTTAAGTTTTAAGAACAAAATAACAAGAGCCATTTATAATAAACCAAAGGCCATTATGCTGAATGGTCAAAAGCTGGAAGTATTCCCCCTGAAAACTGGCACAAGGCAAGGATGCCCTCTGACTCTACTTCCACTCAACATAATATTGGAAGTCCTAGCCAGAGCAATCAGGCAAGAGAAAGAAATAAAGGGCATCCAAATAAAAAGGGAGGAATTAAAACTATCTCTGTTTGCAGATGAATGATTCTACATCTAAAAAACCCCTTGGCTGGGAGTGGTGGCTCACACCTGTAATCCCAGCACTTTGGGAGGCCAAGGCTGGTGAATCACAAGGTCAGGAGTTCGAGACCAGCCTGGCCAACATGGGGAAACCCCATCTCTACTAAAAATACAAAAATTAGCTGGGTGTGGTGGTGGGCGCCAGTAATCCCAGCTACTCAGGAGGCTGAGGCAGGAGAATTGCTTGAACCCAGGAGGCGGAGGTTGCAGTGAGCCAAGATCATGCCACTGCACTCCAGCCTGGGTGACAGAGCAGGACTCCATCACGAAAAAAAAAAAAAAAAAAAGAGCAGAAAAGAAAACCCCATAGTCTCAGCCCAAAAGCTCCTTCAGCTGGTAAACAACTTCAGCAAAGTTGCAGGATACAAAATCAATGTCCAAAAGAAAAACTAGCATTCCAATACACCAACAATAGCCAAACCAAGAGCTAAACCACAAATGCCACAAAAAGAATAAAATACCTAGGAATACAGCTAACCAGGGAGGTGAAAGATCTCTACAATGAGAATTACAAAACACTGCTCAAAGAAAGCAGAGAAGACACAAACAAATGGAAAAATCATCCCATTCTCATGGATAGGAAGAATCAATGTCACTAAAATGGATATACGGCCCAAGGCAATTTACAGATTCAATGCTATTCCCATCATACTACTAATGACATTCTTCACAGAACTAGAAAAAAATATTTTAAAATTCATATGGAACCAAAAAAGAGCCCAAATAGCCAAGGCAATCCTAAGCAAAAAGAACAAAGCTGGAGACATCAGGTTACCCAACTTCAAATCATACCACAAGGCTACAGTAACCAAAACAACATGGTAGTGGTACAAAAACAGACACATAGACCAATGGAACAGAATAGAGAGCCCAGAAATAAGGCCACACATTTATGACCATCAGACCTTCAACAAAGCTGACAAAAACAAGCAAGGGGGAAAAGATTCCCTTTTCAATACATGGAGCTAGGATAACTGGCTAGCCATATACAGAAGATTGAAGCTGGACCCTTCCTTACACCATATACGAAAATAAACTGAAGATGGATTAAAGGCTTAAATGTAAAACCCAAAACCCTGGAATACAGCCTAGGCAATATCACCCTGGACATAGGAATGGGCAAAGGTTTCATGACAAAGACATCAAAAGCAATTGCAACAAAAGCAAACATTGACAAGTAGGATCTAATTCAACTTAAGAGCTTTTGCACAGCAAAAGAAAAAGTATCAACAGAGTAAACAGACAACCACAGAATGGGAGAAAATATTTGTAATTTATCCATCTGACAGAGGTCTAGTGTCCAATGTCTATAAGGAACTTAAACAACTTTGCAAGAAAAAAAAACAACTCTATTAAAAAGTGGGCAAAGGACAGGAACAGACACTTCTCGAAAGAAGACATACATGTGGCCAGCAAGCATAAAGAAGCTCAATATCACTGATCATTAGAGAAATGAAAATCAAAACCACAATGAGATACCATCTCACACCAGTCAGAATGGCAATTTAAAAAGTCAAAAAAAAATAGCAGATGCCGGTGAAGTTGCGTAGAAAAGGAACACTCATACACTGTTGGTGGGAGTGTAAATTAGTTCAAACATTGTGGAAAGCAGTATGGTGATTCCTCAAAAAGCTAAAAGCAGTACTACTATTTGACCCAGCAATCCCATTGCTGAGTATTTATCCAGAGGATTATAAATCATTCTACTATGAAGGCACCTGCACACGTATGTTTATTGCAGTACTATTTATAATAGCAAAGACATGAAATCAACCTAAATGCCCATCAATGACACATTGGATAAAGAAAATGTGGTACATATATACCATGGAATACTATGCAGCCATAAAAAAGAATGAGATCATGTAGGCCGGACACGGTGGCTCATGCCTGTAATCCCAGCACTTTGGGAGGCCAAGGCAGGTGGATCACAAGGTCAGGAGTTGGAGACCAGCCTGACCAACATGGTGAAACCCCGTCTCTACTGAAAATACAAAAATTCACTGGTTGTGGTGGCAGGCACCTCTAATCCCAGTTACTCAGGAGGCTGAGGCAGGACAATCACTTGAACCTGGGAGGGGGAGGTTGCAGTGAGCTGAGATCACGCCACTGTACTCCAGCCTGGGCGACAGAGGGAGACTCCATCCTAAAAAAAAAAAAAAAAAAAAGATCATGTCTTTTGCGGGAGCATGAATGGAGCTAGAGGCTATCATCCTTAGCAAACTAACAAAGGAACAGTAAGCCAAATACCATATGTTCTCACTTATAAGTGGGAACTAAATAATAAGAACTTACAAACACAAAGAAGGAAACAACACACACCGAGGCCTACTTAAGCGGGGACGGAAGAGGTAGGGAGAGGAGTAGAAAAGATAACTATTGGGTACTGGGCTTAATATCTGGATGATGAAATATTAGATTTGTGCAAAAGTAATTGCGGTTTCAGACCGTGAATTTTACATCATTTTAACTAGGCTCAAACACATCTTTATTAATCAAAATAGCAACCCTTAAAATCAACACATTTTTACCAATGAGAAATAAGTTTGTTTATTCCTGTAGCGTAAAAATCTGTGCTTCAGGATTCGATTAACTCTTGGAAAGCATTTTCTGCATCTTGCTGGTTGTGGAAGCATTTTCCCTGCAAAAAGTTGTCGAGATGCTTCAGGAAGTGGTAGCTGGTTGGCAAGAGGGCAGGTGAATATGGCAGGTGAGGCAAAACTTCGTAACGCAATTCATTCAACTTTTGAAACGTTGGCTGTGCGACACGTAGTCTGGCATTGTTATGGAGAAGAATTGAGCCCTTTCTGTTGACCAATGCCGGATTCAGGCATTGCAGTTTTCAGTGCATCTCATTGATTTGCTGAGCATAATTCTCAGACGTAGTGGATCAGACTGGCAGCAGACCACCAAACAATGACCATGACTTTTTTTTTTTGGTGCAAGTTTGGCTTTGAGAAGGGCTTTGGAGCTTCTTCTAGGTCCAACCACTGAGCTGGTTGTCACTGATTGTTGTATAAAATCCACTTTTTGTTGCACATCACAGTCCAATCCCAGAAATGGTTTGTTGTTGTCGTGTAGAATAAGAGAAGAAGACACTTCAAAATGACAACTTTTTTCTTTGCTCAGCTCATGAGGCACCCACTTATCAAGCTTTTTTACCTTTCCAATTTGCTTCAAATGCCAAATGACCACAGAATGGTTGACACTGAGTTCTCCAGCAACTTCTCCTGCAGTCGTGAAAGGATCAGCTTCGATGATTGCTCTCAGTTGGTCATTGTCAGCTTCCAGTAGTTGGCCACAATGCTCCTTATTATCAAGGCTCTTGTCTCCTTTGCAAAACTTCTTGAACCACCACTGGTGGTTGCAAGTTGTTTCTATTGCTTTATTACCCATTTTGAACTCAAACAAGAAAATTGCTTGAATTTGCTTTTTGTCTAACATCACTTCCATAGTCCAAAATAAACATAAACAGCAAGTAGTAAGCCATTAGAAAAAAAATTAAAGCAAGAAATGTGCATTAAAATGATGCATTAATATAACATAACTATGTTTAAGAGTGTATTCCAATATCAAACAGCAAACTTCAACAATGCAAAAAACCACAATTATTTTGTTACATAGGTAAACATGTGTCACGGGGGTTTGTTGACAAACCCCCAAACCTAAAATAAAAGTTAAAAAGAAAAACACAAGAGACAGGCAGACAGAAAATGAGACAAAGGAACATTACCAAATTTAAAAAAAAAATTAGGAAGATCTCCTCCAAATCCTAAATTCTGAAGCAGTCAAGGCACCAAGATAGCAAACCACATGGGCTGAATTGGATGTACAAGTGGAGCCCTGAGAAATCTATGGGTCAAAGTCAGATGTGTTGGATATTTGAGTGACAGGTCTGAGATAGAGGAGTAGTCACCTACAGTGATGTCAGCTAAGTCCAGTTTTGCATAGAGAATCTGGGCACATGAGACAGGAGAGGCCATGATAAGGCCATTTTTAGTGGGCCTGAGAATACTCAAGGAAGGAACAAGCTGAAGCTTTGGCCACATGCTGAGCTTCAGCATGTGACCCAACAGAAATCTGTTTTCAGAAGGCAAATGGAACCCACTTTAGAAAGTTCTTTCCAAAAGGAAAAGCAGCAGGCAGGTAACAACCTTTATCGAGTTAGAAAACCTTAGTGTCAAAAGAAGTAAAGTGATTCTTTACCTAGACACTAAATGATGGCTGTTACTTCAACCAATACCTCAATGAGCCTGGACACATGTTTGGGTCCTAGTTTAAGAGAGTTTTATGGAGAGACTCGTTTGATGAACCATGTGTGGCCAAGCAGCATTGACTTGGGCTGCTAGTACAGTGTGAGTCTAAGAGAAAAGAGCTTTCTTCCTCACTCCACTGCAAACTACCAGGAAATGTTAACACCTTTAGAACACAAGCAGACATTAAAAGGGAATTGTGTCCGACAAGGAAGCAGGAAAAGCTGATGTAGCCCCTTGTTAAGCAACAATATAGACTGCGCAGATGCTGAAGGAGTACTGCACACATGATTTAGCTGCTTACAAAAATACTTTGAGACAATGATCAGGGGAATGGAGGTTTTGTATTACCAGGTATAAGCATTTAACCAACAAAATTTAAGTATGGCTGTTCTATGATTTTATTTGTACCAATAAGTTAGGGAACATGGATAAATACTAATATTTGTTGCAGCCAATGCTTTAATGTGACATAACTATTAACTACTAGTAAATAATAAAGAGGAAGCTACATTCCTATATTCACCCTTCATGTCTCTGTCCACTTCCCTGGCAGCTTTCCCCCACAAAATAGAAAGAGTTGCTAATCATATTGGTTGGAAACAGAGGTATTTATTGGTCATGGTTACTCTAGCGTAAAGTCCCTGTGCCTTACAAGACACGGACCTGTGAGTCCTCCCACTCTAAAACTACTCTTCCCCTCCTTACAGCAGAATTAGTGAGTGAGGTTGGAACATCCTCTCAGAGACCTGACCCTTTCTCTCTCACAGATTTCATACAGCCCATGTAGGACTGTCCATCCTTCTCTGTATATAGGCACAGCGAAATATACTAGTCCCAAGTTGTAGAAGTGGATGGGAAGAGGGTGGATGGGGGAGGAAGTTCCACTTAAACATCTAGTCTAAGTCATACACTCCAAGCTGACCTGTGACCGAAGCTCTACTTTGCAAAAATAGGTGTTTCTTCAGCTATTAATAATATGGTTATTTAACATCCCTTTTAGCCCACATGAAAGAAAAATGATTCATGACACAGGATTTATGTATATTTATCAAGTATCTTAACACTCTCTGCCTGCATTCCTAACAATGTCTAAATAATTCCATTAAGTTTGAAGGCTGTGAAAATCTATAGGATGATCATTTAGATAGGTACTTTGGGACAACAGGATCACAGAGAACTTTTCCATATCACAAATCTTTATCAAACTCCCCGTTCCCTGTCAGCACAATATTGTGAATGGTAATGTGACCCCTGGATGGATACTTTAGCCGCCAAAAAACAATTCCCCAGTGTGAATTGAATCTATTTATATCAGTGCCTCTGCTGGAAGGAAGGAATCCATTAATGTGATTTCCACAGACTGCGTATGAGCCAGGCATGCTCCTGCCACTGTGTACCTACATCTCAAATGCATCTGTCTTATGTAAAACTATTCAGAGTACATATATATTTTTGACTATGTAATATTAAAGCACAGTCATCCTTTCTTTGCTGTTTGCTATGTGTCAAAAATAGATTTCTGCTTCTGTTAGTATTTTCTAAAAATAAACAGTTAAGCAGTATTTCATGATATTCCTTAAGGTAGCTATTGCTGCCCTGATATCTAAGTGCTATTCTATTTTTGCTCACACTCACTACTGAATTCAGCAAATAGATACTAAGTACCTACTGTGCACCTATAGGCATTCTGCTAAATGTTGTGGAGATGCAAACATGCTTTTAAAGAGATTTTTAACTGACTAATCAGGAATCGCTTAGAAAATATCCTCATCTGGCTGGGCACGGTGGCTCATGCCTATAATCTCAGCACTCGGAGGCCGAGGTAGGCGGGTCATTTGAGTTCAGGAGTTCAACATCAGCCTGGCCAACATGGTGAAACCCCATCTCTACTAAAAAAAATTAAAAATGCAAAAATTAAATGGGCATGGTGGTGCATGCCTGTAATCCCAGCTATTTGGGTGGCTGAGGCAGGAGAATCACTTGAATCCAGGAGGCAGAGCCTGCAGTGAGCCGAGACCACACCACTGCACTCCAGCCTGAGCAACAGAGTGAGACTCCATCTCAAGAAAAAAAAAAATCATGATCCAACCAAGCTGAGTACCAGAGAGCCCTGCTATGGTGGCTGGTTGACACACTGCTATACATAAGGACACATGGATTTGTGATCCTGTCTCTACTTGGCTTTTCACTGTGGCTTCTGGGGGTTATTCTTTAACCATTCCAGATGTTGAAAGTGGTGCCTGTGGCAGACCCAAGAATAGGTGTCACCTGGTATGTTTACCATCACAATATATTGCTAAACTTGAGCTTGGTCTGCAAAAATTGATTCCACTTTGGGATGTTGGCACTCAAATCAGTGTGACAAGGAACAAACAGAACATCCCTTTTTTGGATTCTTAGCTTTTCTTTCATGTCTTCTTGTACAGCTAAGTCATCACAATCTTAATTGCCTCACCAAGGGGTTCACAGTAAGTTTCTAAGGCAAGTTTATAACACTCACCTAATTAACACTGAAGCACACATTATATGTAATCATTTCAGAAGAATATTGCATAGTGACCCAACAGAGATATGCAGCAGAGCATTTAAGATGCATTGAGAAAACTGAAATATTTACAGCTAAAATGAAATGATGTTTTGAATTTGCTTCAAACTAATCTGCATTTATGGAGATTGAGTACAGATCAAATAAGATTGTTTATGTGTAGATAATTGTTGAAGCTGGGTTATAAGTAGATCAGGCTCACTATATACTCTTTTACTCACTTTTGTGTGTGTCTAATTTTCAATGTAAAATGTTTTTTGAAAAATGCAGGTAGTTACTAGGACATCAACTCTAATCTCTATCTCTATAGATATCCAATCAAAAGTTCCCCAATCAAAGAACCAGTTGTTGATTTCTCATAAATATTTCCTTAGTGCTTGTCTAAATGTTGCTATGGGAAGTATCAGTTAATTAATCAATAAATGTTTGAGTGGCTATCATGTGAAGGCAATATTGAGAATTAAAGATAAATCATAGATCCAGCCTCTAAATAGCTTTCAGCCTAATGAAGAAGGTAAACCTTGAATATGTGCAAGGGTAAAACAAGAGAGGAAATGATAAGTACTATGAGAGAAAGTTATATGATATTAATATTATGTTCAAGATGGAGAGAGAAAGCCATTACTGGCTGTCTTTAATAGCCTGATCCATCGCAATGAATCTCCTATGTATTCTAAGTGCGTGCGTGTGTGTGTGTGTGTGTGTGTGTGTGTGTTTGCATGTACACACTCATAAACAAAGAGGAAAAGAAGGACACCCAAAATTTAAAGTAAAGGCTTGGACCCAAATACATACAAAGCTCCTATTCATAGCAAGTTTGTTATATTTAAGAAGCGAAGTTCTCCTTTAGGCTAAAGACAGGCCTAGGTCCATCACCCCTGTCCCTGACAGAGGATGAGGTTCCTTGTCATCCTCTGTTCCCTTGGCCCCATTCCCCTCAGCTCAGACCCTAACCTTGGCCCATAGACTGTACCACTCTGAAAGAGAGAAGAACCCAGAAAAAGTATGCTGAGAAAGAAGGCATTTTTCCCTCAGGCTTTGAACAGTAGTGTAAACTATTCCATCCAGCTGTGCTTTCTGCTGAGCTTTCCATAAGCTGTCTGGGCTGTCTCTGGGAGCAAGAAAGGTGTGGGGGAAAGAAGCCCCTGAGTTCTGTCCAGCTACACAGAAGAAAAACAGAAAGTGAATCTGAAGTAAGAGTTAATCACCAGTGAGACGCCATCACTCCAAGAAGACAGAATCTAATTAACAAGCCATGTATAAACACACTTTTAGCCACTTCCATTTTTATTTAAAATGCCTGTGCCCAGTGCCGTTATCCCACAATGCCCCTAAAGAATCCATTGTGTCCCTGGCCCAGGTCTCTAATACTCCGCTTCTCTTCCTGATTTAGAAATGAAAGAAAGAACAGATGAAGAGAGTTTTGATTTCTCGGGAACACACAGAGCATTGAGCAAGACACTTATCCCCTGTTGGAATCTCTCATGTCTTACAATTGTTTCCTTTGTGCACTTTTATCCTTTTTACAGGAAATTAAAAAGAAAAGTCTTAAGGCTATCACTATGTCTGACTTGATTCAGAATCTTAACTACAATTTAGTTTTATGTACTTTTCATTTTCACACAGACACATACACACATGACCATTATTTTCTCAATGTGCAAGAATGAATCAGTCTCAATGTTTAATCACCCATGACCACATCTGAAAAGTTTATAGCCATCTCAGTATATTTACTGCTTAGACTTAGTGTATTGCCATAAATGTATGAAATGAAGGCATATATTTTTAATTACCCAATTCATGAAGATGCCTTTTCACAGCTTCTTACTGTGAGCTCAGCTGTTTGTTTCATATTAAAGTTCAAGAGCCAAGTTTCAAGGGCAATGAAAGTTTTGCTATGCATCACTGTCTCAAAGACAACCTCAGACCAACTAAGTAAAAACTTGGTATTTTGCAGTCTTTACATAGTTAAATCCTCCACATGTCAAGGGTAACATTTTCAACATTGATAAGGATTACTGAAAAAGTACCATACTTGAGAAGAGTTCCAAATGTTGGATGGAGTTTTTTTTTGGGGGGGGCGGGTGGGTGGCTATAAAATCATGCCATCAGGAAGATATACCTGTCTGAAAAACAGAATGAAGTGGATGGCATGGATTTTGCCATAAGTGTTGGCCAGGCTAGACAATTAAATCCTATTCCTAGTGTACCCAAAAACTTTAAACAGAAAATTCACATTCCCGTTGAAATATACAAGGATGAGAAATTAATTGGTTTTAAGCTTAATGCAGAATTAATTTTACATGCCATTGGTACTTTGAAATGGAGAGAATTAGGATGATTGGCAACCTATTTAGTCTTTGGTCTGCTGCCTTTACAGAAACTGTTCCTACTCCTGCTAATGAAAATCTTCTGAAGTTATGTTTACTCAGCTAGAAGTGGGTATTCATGAGACAAGAGTAGATGGAGACATCAGGAGATAAAGAGAACTTCCACAACCTAAATTTAATATAGGTTACAATGAGCTAGACAATCCAACTGGAACCATCATCCTTTCCCCACACATGTATGCAATTTAATGAAACAAACAGTACAATAAGCCTGCTTAGGGAACACATCAGAAAGGTTCCCCAAGATAAAAGAAGAGTATTCTAAATACCTTCCATAACTTCATAAGAAACACATACATTGCTACATGAGGGAGTTAAAATAACATGCACTGGCTTCCAAGGTCACAGGTACAATGTCAAGTTTACCCATTGATCTCCATATTGAGAAAACATTTGTTATAGAGCCACAGTCAGTAGCTCTGATTTTATCCAATAATGTTAACATTGAGTACCAGAACATTTTATTAAAGTAAATAATACCTAGGAAAATTGTCTTTTATATGACTGAAATTAAATTTGTAATAATCATTCACAATGACCAAACCACCTTAAGTCAGTAACATCCCTGTTGATATTATATATATGAACAAATAAGCAATTAACAATAGCTATGGGTATACAATTTGGTCTTTCTTATTGCTTTAGATTTAAAGTTGCATGTTTCAAAATCTTCTGGCATATGTTCACCCTTCCTCAGCTAAACAATCTTGCGAATTTTTCATAGTCTTTTTCCTGCTCCTGCAGGAAACCTTGTAAATAGCTGTTGGCTTTAGCAGAGTGAAAGTGCAATTTTATCTCCTTGACTTCTTACATGGTCTGGAAGTACACATTCAATTCTATTCTACACCTGTTTTTAAAAAGGATGTTTTCCAATGACAGATTTCCAGTTTTAAACTTCTTGCATTCTCACAAGAGACAAAAGCAAAAAAAATAAAACCATAGAGATTTTTTCTGGCAAATGCACCAAAACTAATGATGTTTCCCTTTACAACATATGACTATAATTCAAGAGTAGATCTAGCTCTTGGTCCAGCTAACCTCCTTTGAATCTTCCTGTTTATATACAAGTTAATATGTTTAGAATGCTAGGGATTTCACTTTACCTAATTTAGCTAAGGAACTAAAACTATATAAACAGGAAGACTGAAAAAAAATTGATTTATTAGCTAGATCCAGGTTAGATATACCAATAAAGAAAGCCTCAGATTTAGAAAAGATGACTAGCTTTTTTGCAGCTATATATATACTTTTTATCTTTATAGACTATTTTAAAACAATGCATTTGTGTAATTGAACTATTTTTTAAATAGAGTAGGTGTATTAGTCAGTTTTCATGCTGCTGATAAAGACATACCTGAGACTGGGCAATTTACAAAAGAAAGAGGCTTAACTGGACTCACAGTTCCATGTGGCTGGAGAGGCCTCACAATCATGGCAGAAGGCAAGGAGGAACAAGTCACGTCTTACATGGATGGCAGCAGGCAAAAAGAGAGTTTGTGCAGGAAAACTCCCATTTTTAAAACCATTAGATCTTGTGAGGCTCATTCACTATAATGGGAATGGCACAGGAAAGACCCACCCCCATAATTCAATCACCTCCCACCAGGTTCCTCCCATGACACCTCAGAATTGTGTGAATTACAATTCAAGATGAGATTTGGGTGGGGACACAGCCAAACCACATCATTCCACCCTTGGCCCCTCCCAAATCTCATGTCCTCACATTTCAAACCAATCATGCCTTCCCAACAGTCCCCCAAAGTCTTAACTCATTTCAGCATTAACTCAAAAGTCCACAGTCCAATGACTCATCTGAGACAAGTCTCTTCTGCCTTTGAGCCTGTAAAATTAAAAGCAAGTTAGTTACTTCCTAGATACAATGGGGGTATAGGCATTGGGTAAATATAGCCATTCCAAATGGGAGAAATTGGCCAAAACAAAGGGGCTACAAGCCCCATGCAAGTCTGAAATCCAGTGAGGCAGTCAAATCTTAAAGCTCCAAAATTATCTCCTTTGACTCCATATCTCACATCCAGGTCATGCTGATTGATGCAAGAGGTGGGCTCCCATGGTCTTGGGCAACTCTTCTCCTGTGACTCTACAGGGTGCAGCCTCCCTCCCAGCTGCTTTCACAGATTGGTGTTGACTTTCTGTGGCTTTTCCAGGAGCACAGTGCAAACTGTTGATGGATCTACCATTCTAGGGTCTGGAGGACATTGGTCCTCTTCTCACAGCTCCACTAGGCAGTGCCCCAGTAAGGACTCTGTGTGGGGGCTCTGACCCCACATTTCCCTTCCACACTGCTCTAGCAGAGTTCTCCATGAAAGCCCCACCACTGCAGCAAACTTCTGCCTGGACATCCAGGCTTTTCCACACATCTTCTGAAATCCAGGCAGAATTTCCCAAACCTCAATTCTTGACTTCTGTGCACCCATAGGCTCAACACCACATGGAAGCTGCCAAGGCTTGGGGCTTGCACCCTCTGAAGCCACAGTCTGAGCTGTACCTTGGCCCCTTTCAGTCACAGCTGGCACATCTGAGACACAGGGCACAAAGTCTCTAGACTGCACACAGCACGGGCATCCTGGGCCTGACCCATGAAACCATTTTTTCCTCCTAGGCCTCTGGGCCTGTGATTGGAGGGGCTGCCATGAAGACCTCTGACGCCCTGGAGACATTTTCCCTATTGTCTTGAGTATTAACATTCGACTCCTCATTACTTATGCAAATTCCTGTAGCCGGCTTGAATTTATCCTGAGAAAATGGGATTTTCTTTTTAATCACATTGTCAGGCTGCAAATTTTCCAAACTTTTATGCTCTGCTTACCTTATAAAACTGAATGCCTTTAACAGCACCCAAGTCACCTCTTGAATGCTTTGCTGCTTAGAAATTTCTTCCACCAGATACCTTAAATCATCTCTTTCAAGTCTAAAGTGCCACAAATCTCTAAGGCAGGGGCAAAATCTCACCAGTCTCTTTGCTAAAACATAACAAGAGTCACCTTCGCTCCAGTTCCCAACAAGTTCGTCATCTCCGTCTGAGACCATCTCAGCCTGAACCTTATTGTTCATATTACTATCAGCATTTTTCTCAAAGCCATTCAACAAGTCTCTAGGAAGTTCCAAACTTTCCCACATTTTCCTGTCTTCTTCTGAGCCTTCCAAACTGTTCAAACCTCTTCCTGTTACCTGGTTCTAAAGTTGCTTCCCATTTTCAAGGATCTTTTTGGCAACGCCCCACTCTACTGGTACCAATTTACTGTATTAGTCAATTTTCATGCTGCTGATTAGACATATCTAAGACTGGGCAATATACAAAAGAAAAAGGTTTATTTGGACTCACAGTTTCACATGGCTGGAAGGCCTCACAATCATGGTGGAAGGCAAGGAGAAGCAAGTGATGTCTTACATGAATGGCAGCAGGCAAAAAGAGAGTTTGTGCAGGGAAACTCCCATTTTCAAAACCATCAGATCTCATAAGACTCATTCACTATTACAAAAACAGTGCAGGAAAGACCCACTCCCATAATAAAATCACCTCCCACCGGGTTCCTCATATGACACATGGGATTTGTGGGAGCTACAATTCAAGATGAGATTTGGGTGGGGACACAGACAAACCATATCAGTAGGGTAGTGATTTCTCACAAATATTATAATACAGATAAGAAAGTAAAGTCAAAATGTCATCTGTCACTAAAAAAAAAAACCTAACCTAACAATTTACTATCATTATAAAACTAAATAATGTCTGATCATCAATGACTCCAATCTACTATTATGTCTATTCTAAACCTATGTCAGGCCAATCAAATTCACTCTAAAACTGACAAGAGTTTTTGAAAATATAACCTCCTTTAGATAGATGCATTACTCTTTTGTTTTTTTGTCATCATTACTCATTTCTTACAATGCCTGACATGTACCCTCCATGACGATGGACAAGCTCAAATATTAGTTGATGATATATTTATGACAGTTGTGATTTACCAGATGATTCCAAATAACAAATTTTAAAATCACAGTGCATAAATAAAAGGTATTCATATTTGGAGGGTGTACAAGATGACTTATCTTTTACAATGCTTTTTTATATTTTGATGAGATTATTTAAAATTCAATATGTAATTTTTTCCTTTCCAAGGTATTTACTTCTTTCACTTTTTTATATTATGAAAAGTTTCCATTTCTAATCTTATGTATATCTGACTAGATCTATTAAAGAGCATTTATGAATTTACTTTTTTCTTTCCAACTAATTTTTCTGGAACTTTGTCTATTTTGTTGTCCTTTACCTTTTTTTAATGGAGGTTTTAATAAGCAGTTAAATAGTAAAGAATGGCAATAACAATAATAATATGCTCCCTTGCAAAACTGCTTCTTGCATATATGATTATATTTGATTATTTCACAAGAGCAGCAACTACCATGTGAGACAAGCAAATACATTTAGTGTTTTTATAAATAAGAAAATCGAGCTTAAGAGAGGTTGGGACTTGCCAAGTTCACTTAGATAAACACATACATTTCTACGGAGACTCTTCTTAAATCTAATCACTTTAAAGATTAAAATAAAGTAATATTATTAGAGCTACTACTATTGGTTGATATTTTTATGTAATAGGTACTGTTTTAGTAGCTTATCTGGAGCTCATTTAATAATAATAAAACAAAACCACTATGGGAGTACACACATTTTTTCCCATTTTTATGGATAAAGAAATGGAGACTCAGGGACTTAGGGTACCTAAGCAACTTGCCTAAGATCCAACATTGTCCATTTTTTGGCTAGACATTCACAAGCATATTATGATTTAAATATATTCTCACAAATATTAGTTATTGCCATTCTGATACATGTAGTAAGTTATCTCACAGTTTAACTTTCATATCTTTGATTATTAGTCTTAACTAGTAAACTAGTTACAACATAGAATGTCTTTAAAAAAATTGTATCCTACATTCTCGGAGGAATGAGTTTTTCTATATAACTTATTTTTCTATGTAAGGAAATGAGAAAATAAAATAGGAGAAAGAAAAATAGAAAAAGGGCCTCTGAGAGTCTATCCACCCTGCCTATACATCAAGCCCTCCACCCAGAGGTCCATAGCTTCATTCCTTTTCTGCCAAACGTGAGCATGGAACTTCTCTCTGTGGCTTCCACACCTAAAGCCAAAATCATTGTCAAGTACCTGGCCAATCAGGCCCTTTCACTCAGCAACAGACTCCTCCCAGCTCCCATCCCAGGATATTTCTGCCTTTTCTCTCGTAGTTTCCCAGAATCTGTAAACAAAAGCGTTGGTGGGGAGCCTTATCGGGAAGGTTTCAGAAACACTGAAAATAGTTAATTTCACCTCAGGCAAGGGAAGACTGGAACAGAGGCCTGGCTGTTCCTCCAGATTTAAGGAATCGAATAATCTTTCACGTCTCTTACAACAGGAAAACAAGATCAGAATGAATATCTCAGCTAATTATCCAGAGGGAGCAATGGGGGAAAAAACAAAAAGAGAGACTATATTTAATAATACTCTGCTGCAAGTAATGCCACTTTTTGTTGTTAAAGAGAAAAATTGTACCAGATGCTTATTGAAAATGGTAAGGAAGACTTTATTCAAGGCTATTGCATTAAGGGTCAAGACTTCAATAGGGAAGAGAGGTTGAACTGTAAAAGAAAAATAGAATCTAGGACCTCAAACTCACTATGCCACAGGGAAAGTTAAGCTCGGGAACTGAGTCACCAAACTGTCTTCCTTTTGTTCCCAAACAGATAGCTGTAATTTCACAACCCCATGTGCAACTCCCTGTGTCATAGCCTCATTTTCTCTACTCCCTCTTTTCACATGTTCACTTTATTTCATGTAAAATGGAGATTTCCTGTCTGAGACAGAATGCATAATCTGACTTTTTCCTCTACTCCCTCTTTCCCCCTGTAAAATGTAGATTTACTGAAACAAATCAAAGCCTCACAAGAATGTAGCCACTTGCCTCACTGCCTACTCTGACTTCTGTTTTCATTCTTCCTTCCCCTCCTGCCTGCTCTTTCCCCTTTAATACTGAAGTTCTCAAAACCCTTTTTGGAAAAAGCACAGATCACAGATGCTCCTGTGATTTGTGTTTTTCCCCGGCTGATTCTCAACCTTGGCAAAATAAACCTCTAATTGACTCAGATCTGCCTATGTCACTTTTTGGTTTACAGAGCTCAACTCCAGAGAGTTTTTAAGTCCTAGGGTGAGCTAGAGTAAGTTTAGGGGTAGGGGAAGCTGGTCAATGTGATCAGGTCACCTGTGTTTGCTAATTGTGCTTAACAAAGTTAAACTTTACCTTCCCATAGACTGGGAAAGAGGGGTCTTATCTTTCTTGATCATTACATTTCAAAGGAATGGTTCCTAGATCTGTAAGAAGGACATTCCCAACTGTAGATTTACATCTCAGAAAGGTAGAAATTTAGAATTTGCAAGTTTTCTAATGTATATTCTCTAAGAAAAACAAGGTCAGGGGCCCACAGTCAGGAGGAAACCTGTCTCAAGTTTAGTCCACCTGAGGGGACATTAAGGCCATGTTGTTCATCTTTATCTAAATCAGACACATCTACCAAAAAACCACATCTACTTGGTTGTCAGGAAATTCTATCATATGTAAAGAGGGAAACTTCCATGGAGTGTTTTGGAAGAATCACACAACTTAGAACATTTGGAGAGAGGCCCCTACCCCAGTCCACATTTGACACCACTGACACTCTCACTGCCTGTTTTCATGGACACTCACTAGAATTTGCATAGTGCCACAGCTTCCTTGCCAATCTGTCACCTGTGAAGTGGTGTTGTGTCTGGAATTGGTGGGTTCTTGGTCTCACTAACTTCAAGAATGAAGCCACGGACCCTCACAGTGAGTGTTACAGTTCTAAAAGATGGTGTGTCCGGAGTTTGTTCCTTCTGATGTTCAGAGATGTTTGGAGTTTCTTCCTTCTGGTGGGTTTGTGGTCTCACTGGCTTCAGGAGTGAAGCCGCAGACCTTCGTGGTGAGTATTACCGCAGTGTGGACCCAAAGAGTAAGCAGCAGCAAGATGTACTGCAAAGAGCAAAAGAACAAAGCTCCCACACTGTGCAAGGGGACCCCAACGGGTTGCCACTGCTGGGTCAGGCAGCCTGCTTTTATTACCTTATCTGGCCCCACCCACATCCTGCTGATTGGTCCATTTTACAGAGAGCTGATTGGTCTGTTTTGACAGGGTGCTGATTGGTGCATTTACAATCCCTGAGCTAGACATAAAAGTTCTCCAAGTCCCTACCAGTTTAGCTAGATACAGAGTGCTGATTGGTGCATTTACAAACCTTGAGCTAGACACAGGGTGCTGACTGGTGCATTTACAAACCTTGAGGTAGACACAGAGTGCTCACTGGTGTATTTACAATCCCTTAGCTAGACATAAAGTTTCTCCAAGTCTCCACTAGACTCAGGAGCCCAGCTGGCTTCACCTAGTGGATCCCGCACTGGGGCCGCAGACGGAGCTGCCCACCAGTCCCGTGCCATGCACCCATACTCCTCAGCCCTTGGGCAGTTGATGGGACCGGGCACTGCAGAGCAGGGGGCAGTGCTTGTCGGGGAGGCCCGGGCCCACAGGAGCCCACAGCAGTGGGGAGGCTCGGGCATGGTGGGCTGCAGGTCCCGAGCCCTGCCCTGCAGGGAAGCAGCTGAGGCCCGGAGAGAATTCAAGCACAGCGCGGGTGGGCCAGCACTGCTGGGGGACCCAGCGCACCCTCCACAGCTGCTAGCCTGGGTGCTAAGCCCCTCACTGCCAGGGGCCGGTGGCGCCGGCCAGCTGCTCTGAGTGCAGGGCCCACTGAGCCCGCACCCACCTGGAACTCGCACTGGCCTGCAAGCACTGTGCTCTGCCCTGGTTCCCGCCAGCTCCTCTCCCTCCACACCTCTCCGCAAGCAGAGGGAGCCGGCTCCAGCCATGGCCAGCCCAGAGAGGGGCTCCCTCGGTGCAGCAGCGGGCTGAAAGGCTCCTCAAGCATGGCCAGAATGGGCACCAAGGCCAAGGAGGTACCAAGAGCAAGCGAGGGCTGCCAGCACGCTGTCACCTCTCAGTGTCGTTGTCTGGGTTAAATCCCCAAAGTTGATTGCCTCAAGCCAAGGAAATCAAGGACACAGACATAGGTAGAGTGAGGTTAAGAGCAGAGGTTTAATAGGCAAAAGAAAGAGAAAGAAGAACAGCTCTCTCTCCTGCAAGAGACAGAGAAGGGCACCTGAGTGGGACTTCCAGCCTGTGGTGGAGTGCACAGGGTTTTATAGACAGGTTTGAGGAGGTGGTGTCTGATTTGCATAGGGCTCAAAGATTGGTTGGATCAGGTGTGATGTTTACATAGGGCGCAAAGAAGCTGCCCACCCCACCGTAATCTTCTTCCGCAAATGGGTCTCTACCTGACTCATGCCATGTTGCCTACTCCTTACTGTGCACGTGGTTGACAAGGAAAAGAGAAGATGGAGCCACCATGTTGGACAGGCCTAGCCCCCACATCGCCATTTCCTATTGGCACAGCTGCTTGCATTCACCAGTGCAAGCTTCCAGCTTGCTTGTCTATATCTGCAGCTCGATTTTACAGGCTGCTCTTTGTTAGAAAAGAAAATGATTTGGGGGTTGCTTTTCATTAAAAGGAAAACCTTACCAAGGACTTCCTTACCCTCACTATCTGCCTAAATAATTTCTTCTTAACTGCTATATCACCTGGAGATTCTTCATTGATTTCCCAAGGCCACAGCTCTTGGCAATCTCTGGGACAATTGCTCTTCATGACCTGCCCTATGACCCATAACTTATCAACAACAACAACAGAAGAAGAAGAAGAAGGAGAAGGAAAAGGAGAAGGAGAAGAAAAAAAGAAAATACCAAGAATCACAAAAAACTACAAGAAATATTTTTCTTCCAAAAGACTGTATGCTTGTGTCTTTCTCACACTAGGTTTTTCCAAAAAGAAAAGTATAGGTGGAGATTATCTTCTGAGTACCTGGAAACTCTTGCTTCTGGCCAGTCAACACAAAAGTCATAAATAAGAATCTTGGAGTACAACACGTGGCTACATCATGGGATGCACAAGAGGTAGTCCTTTACTTTTTTTTCCTGATTCATATGGCAGAGAATAAAAAAGATAATAATGGCCAAGTATCCTGCCATTTATGTTTGTGTGTGTTTACTTAGAAATAAAATGTGGGTATTACAAGCCAAAAGATTACAATGTTTCTTTTTCCACCTGGATAGTAGAGTAACAATAATAGTTAAATTTCAGATTTTACCTTTTCTTTTTACTTGTTTTGATTGTTCTGTATTTTATACAATAGCCAACAAAATATCATGGATTTCTTGTGAAATGAAAAAATTAAAAAAGTTAAATCATTAAAGAAAGAAAGTGGAAAATGCTTCATATCAATAATTTTAGCACTCCTGGAAAATGTCTTTTTTAAAGTAAAACTTGAAACAATGAGTTTAAATGAGATTCAGGCATACCAAGCCTTTTTTCCCCATAATAATCTCAGGGGAAAGTCAATGAACAGTCATGTGTATTTCGATAAACACTTAAACATGCACTAGGACATTCTGGGACTAAAAGTCTCCACTAATAACCTGTATATGTCTCTGATAAGAGAGCATCTGTTACAAGCAAGTTTCCATCATCTAATGTCCACACAATACCAAACCACCACTGCAGCCTCATCTACTGAAATAATCCAGTAAATATTAGCCTATCAGGCTATGCCTTTTCTTTAAAGTTGTACTTCAAATGGTAAAGAAAGCTCTGCACTCTATGTGGAATTTGTCAGATTAAAAAACTGAGAAGAGAACAAAGCTATTATATTATGAAAAAGTTTCTTATCTTCATATTTCCTTTGTGTGTTCCTATTCTTTCTTTCCTATGGCTTGCCTGAGTTCCTGCCACAAAGCTTCCAATTAACTAAAAGGAAGTCCTGTCTAGACTAGATAACATCAGCTGTTTCTTGTCTAAAAGATAACAACTTTTATCTCTTACTAGTGTTACAAATGCATTTGCCTAAATTCTAGCTAGATTGTTACAGTTCTTATATTTCTGTTCCTGAAATCAGTGATCAAGGAAAGCAGCTTTAGAATAACTAGTGTTGCTACAAATAGCTACTTTTTATTTTTACAAATCAAGAAATTTTTGCTTGGAGAATTGATACCAAAATTGCATTCAGTTAACTGGATCACACGCATTGAGTCAATCTAGAATCTGCCTTAAATTGTCAGTATACTAAAAAAGAAATAAAATAAATAGATAGATCAAGAGATTAGACTACTTCCCAATATTAGAATATTAATTATATAGTATTTAATTCTTATAGATAAATGAAGTAAATATATAAGGTCTTTATCTAGTAGCATGCTTTGTTTTCTACATATCAAGTAGTTGTTTGGCAATCATTTATATAGGTAATAACCAACAGATTAAGATTTTGTACAGCAATTAAAAACAAAAAATCATCAAAGTTGATCAAAGTGTGCCAAAAAGCTGGGATCCCTAACCCCATGTTACTGGTACTGGTCCATAGCCTGTTAGAAACCAGCTGCTCCGCAGGAGGTGAGTGAGCAGGTACATCGTATGGCAAAAGCAAGAGCAAGAGAGAGAGCAAGCGAGGTGCCACACACTTTTAAACAGCCAGATCTCATGAGAAGTCACAAACTATCATGAGGACAGCACCAAGGAGACGGTGCTAAACCATTCATGAGAAATTCACTCCCATAATCCAACCTCCTCCCACCAGGTCCCACCTCCAATACTGGGGATTACAATTCAACATGAGACTTGGACTGAGATGCATATCCAAACTATATCACCAGGGATCGGTACAATGGTCTTATCACTGCGTTCATTACATTTACTTTTCCTTGCATCTTGAATCCTTCCTGCACAATATGACTAAACCCATTTTTACTAAAACATAATTTTCCTTTTTCAATTATTTTCTGAAATACCCACTACTCTACCTAAATGTTATCAGTCTTAGATATTCACAGTGCCCCTCCTGAGTAAACCTGCAGTAAAGAAGCTTATTTAGATATGTTTAACCAGCATTTCCTAAACTTATTCGGACTTGGAACTTTTCTTTGTTGTGTGCTTTGAGAAAGAGAGTCTTTTCCGTTTAGCTTAGTTTCATGGATCCCAGTAGCTTTACTTGCTTGGAATAGAGAAGGCAAAAATCAACCAAAGCTGTCTTACTTAAACGGAAAACAAAATTAAGTACATCATATTAGCATAGATGTGGGCATATACATCCTTTTGCTACTTTTCTCTGCATTATTATTTAACTCTTTTTATGAATTAATACACGCTTGCTATTAAGACAATTCAGGCACACATATTTCAACTAGTGATTCCCCATTAAACTTCCTTCCCCAGATGCCTTCAGATGATATCTGCTATGATTGGGCACATTGGGATCTTGGTCCTATCCCCTTTGCTTGAAATAGAGTTACAAGTCCTATTCATGCATGTCTTCCTGAAAACAAACAGCAGGAGAGGCAGAGCTCAGCAACAGCACATCACTGACAGTGACTCACCTGCCACAGGTGAGGGGCCCCATAGCATGATGCAAAAGGTAGATACAGCAACTAGTGAGAATCATTTCCAACACTAATGAAAAACAAAATCTTAGTAACTTTAATTCAAATAGAATGAAGTAGTTTTGATAATCCTTCAGAGTATGAATATCACTAAAGAGGTAAATTTCCTTGAATTTTTTTTTGCTATGAGCAATATCCTTACTTGAAGATTGTGATTAAAAAAAAGAACAGCCTTTTTAATTTTTTTATTAAAACAATACATGTGTATGGTTAAAAAAATCAAGCACTATAAAAGGATCTTAAAATGAAAAGCAAAAATATTGAGCCCAACCTCTACCCACCCACTCCCACCACTTCCTACTTCTGTTTCTGTTTTTATTTCTCATACTGGTTATCTCTTCTACTCAAAAGAATATACCTACAGCATAATTTCTTAAGTATTCAAGGTGTTATCTATTCACTCTGCTCTAAGAAATAGAATTATCATTTTTGGTTGTGTTTTAGTTAATTACACTCCTATATGTTTATAGTATATTTAAATATTTTGTTATTGCATTTACTTTAAACGATGTTAATATTTATGCTTTGTACTAAGGCTACTATTTATGTCTTCCATATTTTGCCTATAGGTCCATTCTAAAAATTGAAAACAAATTTACTATTATCTTTAATAGGGGATTTTGCTTATAGGTACTCCACATATATCCTTAATCTGTTCTAAACTCTGCCCACTCTTGTAGGAGCGGGACGCCTCAAACCACATTTCCTCATCAAAGCATAAGGGCCTTTTCCTTCAGCCATTTACTAAGGCTGTTTTTACCAGCAACCAGATGTTCACCAATCAGTTGTACCCAATTCCCTAATTCACTTCTGGATTGTGATTCCACTTCTGGAATCACTTCTTGGAGCCATCCAAAATGGTGCTCCTATTACTACATTTTGCTTGGCCATGTTATGTGTAAGTTCACATCCTACCTTAAGATCTGCAGTTTTGCAAATCCCTCTGTATTTAGCAAATTTATTTTCTACCTTGATAGCTCAGTGTATTTTTCTCACAAAATAAAGGTATTCCAGTCCCTTAAGTATAGATTATAATATTGTAGCTAGAGGGTTCTAGAATCAATTTAAGAGTCATCCAATGAGATGCACTTCGATAAATGTTAGAAGCCAGAGCGGGAGTGAAGTTATTCTTTCCCAGGCAGAGATAGCAGCAGGCACACCTGGAGTGCAGAAACATGAGTGTT
Source organism: Homo sapiens (assembly GCF_000001405.40). NCBI lineage: Eukaryota > Metazoa > Chordata > Mammalia > Primates > Hominidae > Homo > Homo sapiens. The sequence goes on along the minus strand of NC_000007.14, from coordinate 16,938,087 downwards.
TGCGGCAGCCAGCTAGCTAGATTCTATGTCCCCTGCCAGTCCCTGCCCCAGGGCCAGCAGAGTGCCTTGTGACTTCTGTGAGGATTTCCTGCAGCTTTCTTCCCTAGGAGACAGTTGAAGCTGCCAAACCTCTAAGTCCAAATTGTAAAAGTGGGACCAAAGATCCTACTGGCGGTGCCGTAATCTTCACCCTTCAGCCCCTTCGATGATTATGTAAGTACCTCATCCCCTGCCATAAAATTCATTCTCCTTAAAAGACTATTCAGTGTTTTTTCCACACTGAAACCTGACTGGTACTTGTTTATAAATATTTCCTTCACAGAAGAGCCAAGTAACGTGTTAGGAGTACATTCCTTCTTTGTAGGTCCAATGGCATTACCTCTATGCCATGCAAAAGAAAACATTCACTTACCCCACATCCCTTGCTCAGCATCATGCCCCATTTACGATTCCCTCACACTTGACCCACAGCTTTGCTTTTTATGGAGCTGAACTTTTTATTTTCTTGTTGATGGAAACTAACATACGCTTTTGTCACTGTATCTTTAACCATCCAGCATCTTAACTATATACATTTAAAATTTCTCCTTTAAAATGCTATGACTTACTCTTTGGAACTATAGTTTTTCAGATCTGCTAATACAACTGCTATCCTAAAATTAACACAAACCAAACTCCTGGATTAGTGCCACTGTTTATTATACTCCTTGGATTCATCTTGCTTTCTTTCTTTTCTCTCTTTCTTTCCTTAGCACATATTTTCAAGTAAATTCTTCCAAACATAGGTACATGAAAATTACACTTTCTAAGTCCCTGTGTTTCTGACACATTTTAGTTTGCCTTCCCACTTGATTAATAGTTTTGCTGAGTATACAATTCTAGGTTCAATCCATTTTTCCTCAGAGCTTTTACGCATTAATCTGTTGTTTTCTGGTGTTCAGGATTCCTATGCTGTTGCGATTCTTCCTAATATGTAGAAAGCATTTTCCCTCTCTAGAAGTGTATAAGACCTCTTTATCCTTAGTGCAGGAAATTTTACAAATGTGAATCCAAGTGTTTCTCCTCTTCCTTTGCTCTGGTTGTCAGCAGCTTTTTTACTCTGAAGCCTCAGTTCTCTCTTTAGCTGTGGGAAATTTGCCTTTCTTTTCTTTTGATTTTCACCCCCCGTTTTTCTTTGTTTTCCATTTCTGGACCCTCCATGTTGTAACTCTTAACATTGACTTGTCTCTGTTTTTTCTTTCTAGTTACCTTTACTTCCCTCATTGCTTTATTTTCTAAGAAATTTCATCAGCATTATCTACAAACTCTTCTACAGAATATTTTACTTCAGTAAAGGCATATTTAATGTCTACAAGTTTGTTCTTGTCCTCTAACATTTTATAGTTTCCTAATTTTTTTGTATGACATTATCCTCTGTTTACTGAATTATCTCTGTTTCTATTGGAATGTGTTCTTTTTATCGGTTTTTCTCTTTTATGGTATTGGTGTTCTTCATATATTTTGGATGTTTTCTAAATTTAGAATGACATCTCATATTATGTTGCCAAGTAGCTGGTAGGTTTTCTCTACTCAGTAGGTGTTGAATTCCTTTTCTTGGGTATACAAATATTAGCATTTAGATTTTACCTCTACTACTTTTCTCTCTGTATAAATCTATGTACCTGAGCACGACTTGGAACTGGCTGGCTTTGGTTGGGTCTTCAGGTAGGAAATCTTTGGGTGAGGAAGGCCTCCCAATGCCAGAATGGAGAGGGGTTTAATTTAGGGCCAGAGGACCCACACTGGGAGTCTTACATTTTAGAAGAGGAACCTCATAGTTTTTCTCTATGCTCTGAACACAATGACAGGAGAGGGAGAGGGTCAGGGAATACAGGAAGCTGATGTTTGTAGACAAAATGGAGATCTACCCAGTGAGGGCTCCTAGAGGGGGCTTGGCTTAGAGATAAAACCACACCAAGAGAACTGGAGGCAATATCAGACATCCTCAGTTTGAAAAAATAATAATAATAAGGAAAGAAAAACAGGAAAAAGAACCAGCCTAGGCAACATAGTGAGATCCCATCTCTACATTAAAAAGAAAAAAATTTGCCAGGAGTGGTGGAAAACACCTATGGTCTTAGCTACTTGGGAGGCCGAGGCAGGAGGATTCCTTGAGCTCAGGAGTTTGAGGCTGCAGTGAGCTATGATTGTGCCACTGCACTGCAGCCTAGGCAACAGAGTGAGACCCTTGCTTTACATAAAATAAAAAATAAAACACAGGAAAAGGGAAAGTAGCACCCCAAAGGAATAAAATACACTGAAATGCTCAACCATTTTAAATACTCAGTAAATGCTTGTTGAACACACTCTGTAAATTTAGAGTTATTCAACTGCTGTGTATTCTTTAACTTGATTATTTCATTGTCTACAGATGAGTAATTCTTCATATCTTGTCTACATCTCTCTAAATAGAGCACTTTCTTCCTGCTCCCTGCCTCTCAAGAGACTAAGCATAGGTAAAGTGTAGCCTAAATATGTCCTTACCTGCTGGCATGACCTTGGCACCTGGGAGAGGCAGAATCTTGGCACAGTTAACATTTACATCATCACAGCCCTTACAAGGCTGAACTCTATAAGGAAGTTACAAAAATCAGAGCTAGCCTGAGACTGCTCCTAATTCTGATCATGTTGTGAGTATGTGCATTATTCACATGGTGTCGTTTGGAATTGTTGTAACTTAGCATATAAATTCATTACTTGATTTTTATAATCTTTTATATACACAGGAGGTCTCCGTATTATATTTCCATTTTAAATATATGTCCTTATTGCTTTGCTTACTCTTTAGTCCCTGGGAAATATGATGGATTTTTTATTTTTAATTTTTTTTTTTTTACAAAGTCAAGTTTTCACAAAGTGTGGTCTGTGAGTCAAACACTCAGCGGTGCTTGGTAATAGCGAGTCATCTGGGTGTTACTCCAAACCCAAGCAATTAAAAGTAGGCCTCCCAGGCATCTGCATTTTAACGTGTTCCCCCTTGGTGACAACTGGATCTTGAATATTTGTACATAAGTAAGTACTGTCAGAGATGCAAAATAAATGCCTTGAGCCACCCATGTGCTGGGGGGAGAGGACACTGGGAGGAAGACCCCACTCCATTTCCTTGTCAAATGCAGAGGGAGTGGTGTGGCAGCTGCACACCCTGGCGGATGGAGTGCCTTAGGCCCCTTGAGCGGAGTTACCACTATGGGAGTGTAATCTTGAAGTAGCCCATGGGTTTAAGGGTTGGGTCCAAGTTTTGTCAAGAATATGCCTTAATTAGGGAGTCATTGTTTTCCTTTATAACCTTACTGTAGGATGAACACACACACACACACACACACACACACACACACACACAAAGGGCAAAATCCATTCCTCCCTGCCAGATGGGTTAGCATCCAATGTTTTCTAGAAGGGGCATGGGTGGTTCAGGACTGCAAGTGTACATCCATAGGGAGAATTAATTCACCACACATAAAGGTGAGAAAATCCTCCACAGGATAATGTATATTCGCATTTTTGTTTATCAGAAAATGTTGATTTTCTTCCTTAAGCAGAAAACAAGTTTGTTTTGATGAAGATCTTTATGACTATTGAAGTGTAAACATGCATAAACAACATGCAGCACCACCTTCCCAGCCAAGAGTGCAGCACATCCTCTTACCTTCACACTCGAAAAAGGGATCAACAAAAGTGATAGGTTATTTTAAGGTAGAATCAAATGTGACCGGACATTTTAGTATTTCAACAACAGCTTTATAAATAACTTAAAAGCAGCGGACTCCATAATGGGGAGGGATTCTGATAAAACAAAAATAATATTTTCAAATTTTAACAAAGTGTGAGTATGCTGTCGGTACTTAGCTACACACATTATGGATGGGGGAAGGGAGGAATTACCCTTAGGTAGGGGCACCAGGAGAAAGAGGAAGCTGGATATCAAAAAGGGAAGCAGCTCAGAAGGAATAAAAAGGGTGTGGGAAGAGGTAGTGGAGCAGAGGAAGTGGCTGTGCCTGCCCCCAAACCCACAACAGAGAGACAGGGGAAATAAGCCACCAGCCTCGGAGGAGATGTTTCACAGCACAGATGCTGAAAAGTGCAGTCATCTTCATGCCCCATCTCACAACATCTCAAATGGCTGCTGTGTGCCCCTTTGGTTTTCCACTTGGGAAAATGGCACCATGAAAATGTCCACTGTTCTGACAATGTTTTCTGGCTCAGATGACAACCTAGAAGAGGCCTAATGTAAAGTATTTTAGGCATTTTTTGTTGTTGTTTCATTTTATTGTCAGCAGTGAAGCAAAACCACTTGAGGCTTTGAGTGCACAACTGGCACATTTAGTTCAGTCTCATCACAATGGTACTCGAAGTCGAGACACAACAGAAACCAACATGGGAACGGCAAGAAGGAAAGAAGGATATAAAAAGCCCTGTGGCTCTTAGTACAGAGGAGGCATTTCTCATTTGGTCTCACCATCTTAAGTTGTAGTTAATTTTAAGAAATCAGTTAGTATGACTTTACAAAGCTCTAATCCAGTGAGCATTTTAGTTATTTTTGTTGGCCTTCCAAGGTATGAGCCATGTCCCTTTGTTCTTTTTTATCTTTTGGCTTACAGAGAAACCAACCCACCCTCTGCTCCTTGAGAAATACAAGCCAAATTCCTTCTGAGACAGGTCAAGAAGAAATGAATTCTTTATTTTTAGTTCCTATTTCCAAGGTAATATAATTTGGCAGAAACAAACAAAAAGGTATAGGGCAAAAATTAACCCACAGCAGAGCCTTTGCTGATGCCTGCCATCAATCTAGATCACTGTCCCCACTGGACAGCCTGCACAAACTAGGAGCAATGGTAGCACACTTGTCTTCAAGGTGTTCACTCAGGCTGGGTGCAGTGGCTCACACTTGTAATCCCAGCACTTTGGGAGGGTGAGGCAGGAGGATTGCTTGAGCCTAGGAGTTCGAAACCAGCCTGGGCAATATAGAGAAGCCCTGTCTCTACCAAAAAATAAAATAAAATAAAATAATTAATTAGCTGGGTGTGGTGGCATGCACTTGTGGACCCAGCCACTTGGGAGGCTGAGGTGGGAAGATCACTTGAGCCCGGGAGATTAAGGCTGCAATGAGCCATGATTGCACTACTACATTCCAGCCTGGAAGACACAGGGAAAAAAAAAAAAAAAGAAAAGATGTTCATTCAGCTCAGCCTGAAAATATCCTCTCACTAGTAAGAGTGAAGCAGCTGCAAAGAATACCAGGAGAAATGCAAAGTTCTCTCTAAAAGCAAACAGGCCTAAACCACTCAAAGCACTCTGCACTGAATGGTACTATTTAAATAAAAAATAAATTATATTCTTCATATTGTTTCAAGCATTTATAATCATAACCAACTTATAAACCCAGAAATGTTGATCATTTCTAATGTTGAAAAGTAAACTCAACTAAAGAAGTAAACTAATTCATTTGCTATCTCAACCTATGCCTAAAAATGTTAATACTACTATTTAAATCTTAAGTATACATAATACAGTTAAATTTTGAAAATATTTTAATTTTATGTAAAAAATGTTTGCTTCTTTCATATTACTGACTAGTTCTTTAAAAAAAAATTCTAAATCTTGTGCAAGATACATATCAAGGATCTGGAAAATGTTGTCACAATCAGAAAACTGAGATTCCTATAAGAATCCAAGGGGTTTTTTTGAAGAATAAAAATAAACACCAAAAACTTTTCTTCTCCTTCTTCATGCATTGACTTCCAAGAGGAATCAATTTTGTCTTTCTTAGTAGTTACAGGGTTTAATGATGTTTCTTTCTAGTAAGAGTAAAATAAGTTACGTCAGTTAGATCAAGATTTTTAGGAAAAAATAAAGGATGGGATTCAGAAATAAAATACTCAAATGAGGAAAGGAGAAGGAAAGGCACCTTTAGGACTACAACAGTGGGCTTGGAATGAAGGTAAAAGAGAAGGTAAAAGGTAGAAAAAAACCGGAAAGAGGTTTCTATGCCATATCAGCTATGTCTGACAGTGAGAATCAAATAGGAACATCATGCTGGGAAAGAATATTCGGAAGAGAGGATATAGTTCAGGTGAAAGATCTTGACTAGCCTGAAGAATCAAAATGCCATAAGCAACAAATATAGTAAAGGCATTAATTCTTCAAAGTATTTAAAGAGCAAGTTAAGAAAGTAATACTACAGGCATAACTTGTTTTATTGCACTTTGCTTTATTGTGCTCTGAAGCTACTGTGTTTTCTTACAAATTGAAGATACGTGGCAACTCTACATGAGCAAGGATATCAGTGCCATTTTTCCAACAGCAGGTGTTCACTTTGTGTCCCTGTGTTACATTTTGGTAACTCTCAAAATATTTCAAACTTTTATTATTGTTATTATTAACTGTGATGGTGACCTGTGATCAATACTTCATATTACTATTGTAATTGTTTTAGGGCACCACAAACTACACCCATATAAGACAGCAAACTTAACAAATATTGCTTGTGTTCTGACTGTTCTACTGAACCGCCACTTCCCTGTCTTTCTGCCCTCTTTGGCCCTCCCTATTCCCCAAGCCACCACAACATTGAAATTAGGCCAATTAATAACCCTACAATGACCTCTGAGTATTCAAATGAAGGAAGAGTCCCACATCTCTCACTTTAAACCAAAAGTTACAAATCATTAAGCTTAGTGAGGAAGGCATATCAAAAACCAAGATAGGCCGAAAGGTAGGCCTTTTGCATCATTAGCCAGGTTGTGAATGCAAAGGAAAAGTTCTTCAAAGAGATTAAAAGTGCTACTTCAGTGAATCTACAAATGATAAGAAAGTGAAACAGCCTTATTGCTGATATGCAGAAAGTTTGAGTGGTGTGGATAGAAGATCAAACCAGCCACAATATTCTCTTAAGCCAAAGCCTAATCTAGAGCAAGGCCCTAACACTCTTCAATTCCGTGAAGGCGAAGAGATGAGGCAGCTGCAGAAGCAAAGTTTGAAGCTAGCAGATGTTGGTTCATGAGATTTTAAGGAGAGGAAGCCATTTCCACAACATAAAAAAGCAAGGTGAAACAGCAAGTGCTGATGGAGAAGCTGCAGCGAGTTATGTATATCTAGATAGGTTAATTGATGAAGGTGGCTACACTAAACAACAGTTTTTCAGTGCAGACAAAACAGCCATATATTGGAAAAAGATGTCATCTAGGACTTTCATAGCTAGAGAGAAGTCAATGCCTGGCTTCAAACCCTCAAAGGACAGGCCAACTCTCTTATTAGGAGGGAAAGCAGCTGATGACTTGAAGTCAATGCTCATCTGTGCTGCTGAAAATCCTAGAGTCCTTGGGAATTATACCGAATCTACTCGGCCTGTGCCCGACAAATGGAAAAATAAAGCCTGGATGACAACACATCTGTTTACAACATGGTTTACTGAATATTTCAAATCCACTGTTGAGAGCTACCACTCAGAAAAAGATGATTCTTTTCAAAATATTACTGCTTGTTGACAATGCACCTGATTATCCAGGAGCTCTAATGGAGATACACGAGGAGGTTAATGTTGTTTTCATGCCTGCAAACACAACATCCTATCTGTAGCCCATACGTCAGAGAATCATTTGATTTTCAAGTTTTATTTAAGAAATACATTTTGTAAGCCTGTAGCTCGATAGATAGTGAGTTCTCTGAGGATCTGGGCAAAGTAAATTGAACACCTTCTGGAAAGGATTCAGCATGCTAGATGGCTTTGTAAAACAAAGTGTCTGAGATAGGTCTCAATTAATTTAGAAGTTTATTTTGCTAAGGTTGAGGACATACCTGGGAGAAGACACAAAATCACAATAGGATCTGTGGTTCACACTTTTTATAAAGAGGATTTTGAGGGTTTCAATATTTAAAGGGGAAAGAGCAGGCAGAAGGGGAAGGAAGAAAGAAAAAAAAAGGGAGGGTATAAAGTGAGGTAAGCGGTCACATTGTTGTGAGGCTTTGATAAGTGTTTACCGAATCCACATGTTACATGTGAAAGGAGGAGGGAGAGGAGCAGTCAATTAAACATTTGTCTTATGCATCAGTAAGTCGGCATTTTACACAACATAAAAATAAACAGTAAAGGAAGCCAAGCTGTCAAATATGTCTTTGTCCTATACCTGTCTTTGTTCCATACCTGTGAAGATAAGCTGTTAATTTACCTTGTCAGGCTGAGGAAGGCCACCTGGGAAGATATGTGATCTTCTATCTTGCAGGTTCAGGAACAAAAGGAAAGGCAGTTTTTTTGGAGACTCAGTTTCTAAGCTTAACTTTTCCTTTTGGCATAGTGAGTATGGCATCCCAATATTTTATTTTATTTTCACACCTTTAAGAATATTCATGATTCATGGGAGAAGGTCAAAATATCAGCATTAACAAGAGTGTGAAAGAAGTTGATTCTAACTTTGATGGATGACCTTTGAGGGGTTCAAGACTTCAGTGGAGGAAGTCATAGTATACTACAATATAGTGTATACAATATGCACTGGGAAGCCAAAACATTCATGTGACTGACTTTTTATATTTCCTTATTGCACTGGTCTGGACCTGAAGCTTCAGTATCTCCAAGGTATGCCCATACATCATTTATAAAAGAAGTTCTGGAACTTGTAGAGTCAGACAACAAAATACAAACACTAGACGTTGGCAACCCTGTTCAAGAATGGCAAACTGTGGTCAATAGAACCAGTGAACTGCTTCCTTTTCTGAACTATTTAGCACCTACTTCCTCTTTTGACTCTTCAGCTCCTTCAGTGTTCCACTTAACATGTTTAACTCTCTTTTTGTGGGTATCTGAATGCCCACCAATAGATCTGAAGGTTCTAGGGGGCAAAGAAAGTGTCTTCTTATTCTTCCATCAGTCTTTGCAGAGTAAAAGGAAATGGTATCTGTTTGGTGCTAGCGGTATCCCTTAAAATGTTGATAGAGAAAAGTATATTTTACTTGCCAAGATATCTTTAAGATGAAAAGGAAAATGTTTGATGTTCAACAGATGTCTAGTGACTGAACTTATTACTTATATCAAATCAATTTGAGAGATTTGAAAAACTAAGGGGAAAAAAAATAAAGATGGAGGTATGGACATTGTACCAAGTCCTTGGTAAACATAATCTGATTGGATCATGATAGAAGTACCATATGCATGGTGTCATCTCTCATTCGAAGTACGTAAGACAGAAAGGGAATGCCTTTATATGTATACGAATTGGACTGCAAGGATAAGCAACAAAATAAAATTTAAGTAACAGGATTTCAAAAATTGATGTAGTCCTTTATAAAATTGATTTAACCACAAAATACCATAATTACCATCAATACAGAGTGATAATCACTAATGTGTTGATTGCTAAGATTTCCTGTGTGTATGATTTTGGCAAAGTCTCAAAACACAATTTTTTCACATTTTAAAAATTCATTCCTAGGCTGGGTGCAGTGGCTCACACCTGTAATCCCAGCACTTTGGGAGGCTGAGGTGGGTGGATCATTTGAGGTCAGGAGTTTGAGACTAGCCTGGCCAATATGGTGAAACCCCACCTCTACTAAAAATACAAAAATCAGCTGGGCATGGTGGCAGGCACCTGTAGTCCCAGGTACTTGGGAGGCTGAGGCAGGAGAATCGCTTGAACCCAGGAGGCGGAGGTTGCAGTGAGCTGAGATCACGCCACCTCACTCCAGCCTGGGCAACAGGGCAAGAGTCCTGTCTCAAAAAAAAAAAGAAAAAAGAAAAAATTCATTCCTTTGACAAATATTGACAGAGGACTTTTTGCCAAGAACTATGATTCACGTCAGGAATGTACACATAAGGTAGGCAGGTACAATCCCTGCTTACTTTTTAGAGAGGAAAAATGATGATGGTGATAATGACAATGATTTCTCAATTATTTACTAATGCAACAGATATTCATTGAGTGCATAATATCTGCCTCTACTGGACCCTTGAAATATAGGGTCTTTCATGGAGCTTAAATTATAGTGGGAAAGAGATATCATCAATAAAAACAGATAAATATATACAAAAAATTTTAAATACTGTGGAGATAGATTAAGCAGGGCAATGGGACAGGGAATGGAATACTAGGGGGCCTGGCCTGAGTTTATGAAGCATAGTCAGGGAAGCCCTCCCTAAAGGAAGGAAAAGAGAAGAAGGTGCAATTAGCAAGGGAGGAATGTTCTACCACCCAGATGCAGTGTTGATTAAAATAGCACTAATAATAGTTAATATGCATTGATATTTTATTATGTACTAGGACAGGTTCTACACACTTTGCTTGTTTTCGTGTGTTAATTCTTTATGACAAACAACCCTATCAGGTAAATAGTAAGCTCACTTTCTAGATGAGAAAACTGAGTTTTAGAGAAGTCACATTATTTTCAGAGTCCCTAATTCATAATATTTAGAGTCACAATTTGAATGCAAGCAGATAAAATTCCTTTTAAAAATAAGTAAACAACAACAAAGGACAAACTTTAATGACTGGATAAATACTATGAATAAAACAAATAAAGGTCCAGAAATAACGAGGGAACCACTTAAGATAAGGTCAACGGGAAAGACTTCTATGAGAAGAACACACTTCACCTGAAAACTGGAGGATAAAGAGGATGGTTCAGAGACAGACCTGGGCAAGGCAAACCAGGGAAGAGTGAGGAGCGTGTGTCTACATCCTGCAGCCAGAAGAAGCCAGGCAGGTTGCAGGAGCTTCAAGAAATCAGGACCCTGGAGCCCAGAGAATGGAGAGAAGCATTCTGAGAGATGAAGGCAGAGAAATGAGCAAGAGGCATGTTATGTCAGCCTAATCGAGTCTGGATTTCATCATAAACCATTGGGAAGCCATTTTTTAAGGACATTATCTGGTTTTCCTTTTAAAGAATATCACTTTTGCTTCTGTGTGGTAAAGGAACTAGATTTTCCTGGACAGTTGATAGAAAATGTGTTATTGGGGCATTTTTATGACTCACTGTTTAACTAACAACATAAAGACAGACAAGGTACAGTAAACAGCCCTCAAGGTATGTACAGGTCATACATGATATATAAATCTTGGTGTCCAATGTTTACTTATAAATAAAGCAAAGTTTTTTAAAAAAACTTCCCTGCTGTGCTCATTTCATTTTGTTAAATAGACCCCTCATGCAAAAGGTGTATTTGGCCTGTGTTCCCTAGGATTTCTGGATCCTTGCTGTCATAAATTTACTGAGTGAGGAAGAGAATATGTTCCTTTTCCCTTGTGACCTTCATTCTATAATGTTATCATTTATCTAACAATAGAAGGTCATTAGAATGCTAGTTACGGTTTGCTTGGACTTGACATATCCAAATGCCTTTTAGCCACACATTAGATGTACGATTCTCTGTGAGAAGAGGTTGTTGACAGAAGACTTTTCTGGATCTGTGCAAACAAACTCCACCTCTGTCTGTTTTTGCAGGAATGTTCAATGTTTTATAGCACACTGTGGTTTCGCATTTAGGATCAAATTTGGAATGGAACCGCTTTCTGTTCAGTAAAGCAGAACTAAAATGTTACAACTGTGAAGATTCATATCCTTTGGAAGAGAGCTGCCCTGTCATGAGCACCACCAAGTGGCCTGTACAGCTCCTACAGTCTCCCAAGATGTTACTTGATTGAAAGGTTCTAATCCAAAAACTTGACCAGCTGTTTTATACAGAGTACCTGTTTTTAAGCATACCTTTCAATGACTCAGAGAATCCATTTGTTAGACTTCCACAAAATTTAACCAAAAAATAAGAATTGCTGCTGCCATCTGAAATCCCAAATGTGGGGCCTAAAAAATGCTGTTGGATGCACTACACTATATTATCACACGTGTATACATTGATATAAGGGAACTAAAAATAAGCCAAAAACTTGAGGGCATCTCTGCCTCCATGGATGCAAGCTGGCCCCATTTCACACAGCTGTAGAAATAAATTGCTCTCTGTTCCTGAGATGCAACCCAACTTTACTGAGCAGCTGTAACCTAGGAACAGGAAGGAGATGAATTGCCACTATTCTTACTTTCACATTAAAACATTTCTCATCTCCTATGTGTACAAACACGAGGCTGAAAGATTTTTCACATTGACAACTTGCCTGATTTTTTTTTTTAACTATACAAAAACTAGGTTAGGTACAACACTAGAAAATGTGACCTCTGCCTTTGAGAAGATGAGACTCAAAGGACAATGCTACCACGTCATCATTCCCTTCTCTGGTTACAAATGCAAAATGTGTGCTGTGGGGAAGAGGAGAGGGCTGCTGGATGGCCTTTGGTGAGAAGAGTAAGCTGAAAGTGATACTTCAAAGAACGTCTTCCAGAGCCTCCATCCCTAGCCCTGTCCATCCAAGTCATGGCTCACTCCCATTCTGACAAACAAAAAACAAATTATAATTGGTCAAGATCTGTTCAATATTTTAGGAATTTTAACTTACTTTAGGGTCAAAGAATGTTGACTGGAAATCATTTCTGTAAGTAATAAACAAAGGATTACGATTTCATGAAGCAATTAGTAACAAATGCCATTAGAGTAGAAGAAGCCTGTCATAACGCACTTGAAAGGTATTTAAGAGTCAGAAGTATCACTATTGTTTTTAAAAATACACTTGACAAGCCTTAAAATTTTTTACAAAAGAAAAATATACATACGTAGTCAGTTTAAACAGATTTCTAAATAGACAGTGATTAAAAGTTGCATAAAAATATATATACATAGTCAGTTTAAACAGATTTCTGAATAGGCGGTGATTAAAAGTTGCATAAGCCCTCAGGTAAAGAACTGGAGACCTGACAGGTGCCCAATTTGCCTGAGGACACAGAGCAAGGAAGCAGTAAAGTCCTGTGATGCCACCTTTGCATTCATGTGGTATTCTGCAGTTTACAAAATGCTTTCAGGTCCTTTTGTCCCCTTCATTTGAACCTTACAAAAATGCTGTAATGTAGAGTGCACATCATCCCTTTAAAGTTAGAGACTGTGATTATGCTCTCAGAAAGAGTAAAGATTTGGTAGTGGCTGAGTGGCTGAGGGCTAGAACCAGGCCAGGGTTACCTCATTCTGCAATAATTTGCATTGACTTTATAGTTTTCAACACACTATAGTGTTTCATTTATTTCTCCCATATGGGTAAAGCAAACATCTTTCCTAATTAACAAGTAAAGAAATTGGCCATACAGAGAGAAAGCAATTGGCCCAAGGTGCAGAATAGTTGGAGCTAGGAGTAGAACCATATCTCCTGAATCCTCACTTGCTTTCTTCCTACTATTCTCTACTGCCACCTTCGAGATCCTAAGTCATCTATTGCAAGACTCAAAGCTGAAGTCAGACTTTAAAGCTAGACTTTAGGCCAGGCACGGTGGCTCATGCCTGTAATGCCAGCACTTTGGGAGGCCAAGGCAGGCAGATCACCTGAGGCCAGGAGTTCAAGGCCAGCTTGGCCAACAGGGTGAAACCCCGTCTCTACTAAAAATACAAAAAATTAACGAGGTGTGGTGGCAGGGGCCTGTAATCCCAGCTACCAGGGGGCTGAGGCAGGATAGTCGCCTGAATCTGGGAGGCGGAGGTTGCAATGAGCCGAGATCACGCCATTACACTCCAGCCTGGGCAACGAGAGCAAAATTCCTTCTCAAAAAATAAATAAATAAATAAATAAATACAAAAAATCAGCCAGGCATGGTGGCGTGTGACTGTAGTTCCAGCTACTCGGGAAGCTGAGGCAGGAGAATCACTTGAACCCAGGAGGCAGAGGTTGCAGTGAGCCAAGATCACACCACTGCACTCCAGCCTGGGTGACAGAGTGAGACTTTGTCAAAAAAAAAAAAAAAAAAAAAAAAAAAGGCAGACTTTAAAGAAAAAATGTCTATAAGATTAGTTGGAAAGCAATAAAGAAGGGAGAGGTGGGGATTTCTAAAACTGTATCCATGAACTTAGACAACTGCCACACATCGTGTTAGTCACAAATATTGAACTAAGAAAAAATATGTTGCCCTATAAAATGGCAATGTATCAGAAGATTTTATATCTAGTAGCAAAATGACTTAAGAGAGATAAAAATTCCAGAACTACTTCTTCACAACTGCTGAATGGTCAGTTCTGAAGGTGAGATTTGCACTTTCATATAAGGCAAAGTGTGATGGGTAATCTCGGGCAGCCCTGGACGTGGAAAGAACCTTCAGTGTGAAGCAAACTGCTGAGATCCATGATCACAAAGCTCTTGTAGAAACACATGTCAGAAAACCTGGTTCCAGCTCGATTCTGCTACCTGGGAGTTAATCAATTACTCTCTACATCATATTGTAAAATGATATAAATGATCATAACAGTTACTTCCTTTACGCCAAACAAACCGCTTGCTTACATTCTGTCCAACATTCTTCACACAACCCCATAATGTAAGTATTATACTCATTCCCATTTGACTAACCCAATACCTAGAGAAGTTGTTATACTCAGAGGCATTGTGGTCTGATTCTAAAGGTAATTCCTTTAACCTGCCTTACTGGAAAGTAATTTGTTTTCCTTGGTAAAGTAATAAACTAGTATTCTGGTTTTACATATTTGTCTTTCATGAGTTCTGTTTGTGAATCAGTCCCCTCAAACCCAGCTTCAAGGATAATGCCAAATTTCTGACATTGCAGAGCTGAAGACTACATCCCAAAGCACAGTAACAGTGAAACTTACGTTAAATGGCCAGGAAGCCAGTCACTGGAGACACTCCTCTAGGCCTCTTTCCAGTACAAATGTTGGCAACTATCATGACACTGCCATGACCGCTTATCAACTACAGTGGGTGGGAAGATGAGGTGGGGTTCAAGCTCACTCTCAGGCTAGGTGTTAAAAGCCATGTTTATCAAACAGAGACTGAAAGAGTGAAGAAAGTCAGTGCCTTGAACTTATACTCTGACTGAATATATTTGAGATCTCAAAAAAGATAGTGGCAAAGATAGAAACTGAAAGACTTCTTCACCAGAAATGGAAATTTGAACTTAGATGTGAGATAGACCCCTATTACCAAACTGTATACAGTGAAAAAATAGCTAGGACAGCTTTGGGCTGAAGTGAGGAATGGGCTGAGAGTTTTTCAAAGGGTGATTTGTATTGATTAGGGAGAAATAGATTATAGCCAAAGCAAGGATTTTAAAATGCGGATTTTACAATGAGGCATGCTCAAATTGTTAGCAGGCTGAGGCCACCAGGCCTCATTTGCTTTCATGATGGGGATTAGGAACCCGACCAAATACCCAACCACTTCTCCTATTAGAGCATGTAGAAAGGAAAGTTCTTTCTTTTTTTTTGGGTTTTTTTTTTTTTTTTTTTTTTTTGGTTTTTTTTTTTGAGACCAAGTCTCGCTCTGTCACTCAGGCTGGAGTGCAGTGGTGTGATCTCGGCTCACTGCAACCTCCACTTCCCTGGTTCAAGCAATTCCCTGCCTCAGCCTCCCGAGTAGCTGGGACTATAGGCACGAACCACCATGCCCAGCTAATTTTTATATTTTTAGTAGAGACGGGGTTTCATCATGTTAGCCAGGCTGATTTCAAACTCCTGACCTCAGGTGATCTGCCCACCTCGACCTCCCAAAGGAAAGGAAAGTTCCACATGAACAGGTTTGGGGCTAAGTAGGTGAAGGTGTGATGAGAAGAAATGTGACCGATCACAAAAGAAAGTGTGTGTGTGTGTGTGTGTGTGTGTGTGTGTGTGTGTGTGTTTAAATAATAATAATAATAATAATTTAAAAAAAAACATTTACATTGGGTTAGAAGTCCTGTACTTCCTGGGAATGGGGATGGGGTGATGTATAAGCAGAAATAAAAATTAATGCTTCACTAGAGAAATACTAGTGTTTCATGTAAAAGACATTTCCTGCCTACTCCCTAGGCAAATATTTCAAACAAACAGAAAAAAAAAAGATGTGTTTTAATCTCTCTTGTAGAGACACCCCACCCCATTTCTCTAAGACAGCTTGGCTCTAGAAAAGGTCTAACCAGTCTAACACCTTGGGCAACTGTACAATTTGACCCCATCTCTTCACGGCCTGGGGACTGGGCCTATCTGGTGAAAACAGAAAATCATGTGGGAAATGAATGGCTTAAGAAATGAACTCTCTATGGAAGGTAATTTCTAAGACTAAATACCGCATACTCTTTCAGAAAGAGAGGGCCTTCTAATGTATGCTGCTCTGGAGGAATCCACTGTGCCTCCTGCAGCATGATTTGTTAAATATTAATGAACCCACAAGCTGGAAAGAACCCCTGGAGTGGCCTAATTGCTTTTAGAACTGCTTAATTCCTGTAAGTAATCCACTTCATTAATTTTGCCAAGCAATACTTATTCTGTGTTCGACCTTTCATGGCTCATTTCCAAAATGTTAACATTAAGGCAACAACACTGTTTGCAAACCACAGTCTGATAAATAAAATGCTAAAAGAAATAGCAGAAACTTTCAATTACATTCACTTCTTTGAATTGTTCTATTCAGTGCTTTAAAGACTAAAATCCCTTGACCTAAGCTATTTGGTTTTTTGTTTGTTTGCTTGTTTGTTTGCTTTTTAGTATGCCCTATGGTAGACTAAATAATAACTCCCCCGAAGATGTCCACATCCTAATCCCGAGAACTGGATGTGGTCTTACATGGCAATAGGGACTCTGCTGATGTGGGTAAGTTAAGGATCTGGTGATAGGGAGATTGTCCTGGATTACCCAGGTGGGGCCCTGTAGTCACAGGGGTGTTTATAAAAGGAATACAGGAAGGTCAGGCAGAGGGGAAGGCAATGTGACGATGGAGGCAGAGACTTGGGTGATGAAAGCACAATCCGGGGAACACAGCAGCCTCTAGAACCTGGAAGAGCCAGAAACAGATGCTGCCCTGGAGCCTCCAGAAGGAATCAGATGCCCTACTACCCTGATTTTAACCCTGTAAGACTCATTTCAAGCTTCTTACGTCCAGAACTTTGAGGCAAGAAATTTGTATTGTTTGTAGCCACTAAGTATGGGGCAAACACTTGTTGCAGTAGCAACTTTCTTGCAAATGTATGAAAGTTTGAAATATCACTGCAGACAGCCCATGAAACACCCTCAACATCTGTCTTGCTTTCCACTGCTGTTTGAGCACAGTGATCAGTCGTTCCTCATGAATAAGCTGTCCATCGGCCTGGCTACATCTGATTGGACCCCCTATAGCTACACACACAGGCCTATGGCTATGAGGAAGCCTGTTGCAAAAAGTCCGCCTTGGAAGACACTTCAAGAAGGACAGTGACCAACCAAAGGAATCAGGTTCTCTCCCAGAGACTTTTCAGTGCAAGACATTGACAAGGCAATAAAACTATAAGGAAAAGAACAGGAAGTACAAAAAAGACAGAAAGGGAAAATGGAGAAAAAAGCTAAGGGGCCAATAGGATGGAGTCAGGAGAAGAGGGAGTAAGGGACACCAATTTCTGGGGACCAGGCCGCCACACTTCTCCACGGCTCCAGTGCCTACCATAACCCTGCACAGGGGCCCTCAAATGACTGCTGAACATTTGAACAATAGTAAAGTGCGTTCCATTTCTTCATGAGACACCACTGCGTTACTGCTAAGATTGGTTCTCGTGCTTCCATATTTCCCCATGCAGCCTTATAATAATCACTACACACCTGAGATGACCAGAGTAGGTTTTGATTTTTACAACTCTATTTTATTTTATTTTTGAGACAGAAGTTGTGCTCTGTCACCCAGGCTGGAGTGGAATGGCGTGATCTCAGCTCACTGCAACCTCCACCTTCCGGGTTCAAGCGATTCTTCTGCCTCAGTGTCCAAAGCAGCTGGGACTACAGGCGCCCACCACCACGCCCAGCTAATTTTTTAATAGAGTTGTATTTTTAATAGAGTTGGGGTTTCACCATGTTGGACAGGATGGTCTCAAACTCCTGGCCTCAAGGGATCCTCCCATCTCAGCCTCCCAAAGTGCTGGGATTACAGGCATGAGCCACCGTGCCCGGCCTGTTTTTAACAGCTTTGAAGAGCCTAACCACGATTCTCTCCTCTCAAGTCTTATCCTTATAATGCTATTTTAAAAAATCATTGGGGGCAAAGAACTTGAATAAACATTTCTCCAAAGAAGATCTACAAATGGCCAACAAGCTCATCCAAAGATTATCAAGGTCACTGAGGAAATGCAAATCAAAACTACATGCAGAGACCACTTTAAACCCACGAGGATGGTTATCCTCAAAAGAGCTTTGAGGAAAATGCAGCAAAACTGGAACTCTCATACATTGCTGCTGGGAATGCAAAATAGGGTAGCCACCACAGAAAAGTTTGATGGTTCCTCAGTAAGTTAAACATAGAATTACCACATGACTCAGGAATTTCACTCCTGCATATACACCCCCAAAAATTAAATAACAGGTGTTCAAACAAAAACTTGCACACAAAAGTTTGCAGTGGCACTACTTACAATAGCCAAAAGATGGAGATAACTAAAGCATCTGTAGATGGATGAATAGATAAACAAATTTTAGTATATATGTATATACACACAGTGGAATATTATTTGCCCATAAAAAGGAAGAACTAATACAGGCTACAACATTAATGAACCTAGAAAGTATTATTCTTTGTGAAAGAAGACACAAAAGGCTACATAATGTATGATCCCATTTGTATGGAATATCCATAATAGGCAAATTCATCGAGACATAATGCAGATTCGTGGCTGCCAGGGGTTGAGGGGGAAATGAGGAGTAAATGCTTAACGGGTGCAGGGTTTCTTTTTGGGGTAATGAAAATGTTCTGGAACTAGAGAGTGGTGATGGTTGTACAACATGTTGATGTACTAAATTCTACTGAATTGTACATTTTTTAATGGTTAAAATGGTGAATTTTATACGATGTGAATTTTACCACAATAAAAAAGATGATGGGAAATGTATTTCATGTGAGATCTTCCTTTATTTGCCACATGACTGATAGAGAATTTATTATATAACCATTTCAACTTATGGTTAGATATCCGAAATGCTGCGCTTGCCCCAAGTGGCTTTAGGGCTTGAGTTATCCCTTTGTTAGCAAGGGTACAATCTAGGGTATATAACACACAGATACCTGTATGTGTTCTCAGTGTCACACTCAAAAGTTCTTTCATGTGGGCCTAAAACTTATAGATTGTTTTGTAAAATGGAGTAAAAAGCCAACCAATGTCGTGTCCTGATTAATCTGATTCTGGGCTAAGCGAGAAAAACTATGCAACATTTAGAGTGATGTGAGTCTTTTATTTCAACATTTTAATGTGAGATCAAGATACCTTAAAATAAAGAAACTAATCCCTTGATAATAAGGGTTAGTCACTAAGTGGATTAAGAAGTTAATGATGACATCATTAGGGAATCATTTCTTTAAAGACAGTGACTGATACTTCAAAAGAATGTTACAGGTATTTGTCACCTAGCTCTTCAATAAAATTAAATTTCTCAGTTAAAGAAATGACAGATTGGCCCACCTTTGCTGAAAAAAGTAGAAAAGAACTCATAATTGTATTTCTTGCTTCTCAAAATATTCCAGAAGTGTTTTTATTTTCAACAGCAGGTGGCGCTGCCAACATAACTCTGAAATCTAAAAGCTGCCTGACCATTTTCTTCAAGCCCCTTATTATATAGGAAATACGGAATAATTCACTTTTTGAATCCACTTCATGCTTGAAATACATTTTACTATTCTTGGCATTAGTCGGGTATGTTTAAGGTTCTGAAATCCTAAGAAATTTAATTCAATTAACTCACGGAAACAGCTTTTAAAACATTACCTTCATTATTAACTAACATGGATAGGGTATTTTCTATGGGTAGGCACTTTACTACACCCTCACATCAGCTTTCTCTTTAATCTCGATAAATTTAAAGGGTATTATTTTCATTTTAAAAAGGAGAAAACAGATAAGTTATGTTCTCTGCCCAACTCACACATCTCTGCAAGGAGTAGAACCAGGATCCACTGAGACCTGACTCCCTCCAAGGCCCACATCCTCAGCCATGTCACCCCACATCACACATAGTGCCACAGTGCCCTAGGATTCCCAGCATTTTGGAAAGACATTCAAAGACAGGTTTACTAGATGAATATCAAGGTAGATAACCTGAAACCACTGAACATGCAGGTGGCCCTCATTCAAGCCATTTAGACAGGTAAGTTCATTTAACTCCTAAGCACCAGTTGTATTCAGAATTCAGTCAAAGCTTAAAACAAGTTTGACCTTATTTCTGTATGGGAAAAGTTAAGAGTGAAAGGTGATATTCCATTGAGTCAAACTGTCTAGGACAAAGACTTTGCACAATATTCAGAAAGGCACCCTGCAACACAGAAATCATGCCAACTCCATTTACTGTGTGAAACAAAAGGAAGCTAAACTTCAGCAGCAAAGAAGGGAGAAAGAAATAGGTTATTTGCGTACTTGAAATTTGACCTTTCCATGAACAGATAGTCGTTTGCTGTTATGACACTATTCTGAGTAAACAGTTTGATATATAATGCAAAAGTTGAAGAAAAAGGAAGTACAGCACAGCATTAAGTATTCTAAATCTTTCTGATAGACACATCCTACGTAAGGATCTATAAAGGTTATCTGTTTTTAACAAATTTAACACTATATGAGAGTTTTTTCTTCTCTCTAAAAAAAGTCATTAGCCATCTCACAAGTAAAGATAAATTGAGGACTGGTCAGAACCCATTGCTCCATTTTCTCATTCAGTCATTTGATACCATCACCCTCAGGAGGAGAAGGAACACTTCAAGCACATGATGATGGTTTTAATAAATTCAATAAGATTTTATTCCCAGGCACTTAGGATCAACCGTCATGGACTGGACTAGACTATGTTGTTTCTCTGGCATAATACAAAAACCAGAGTCCCTTTACTGGAAGCCACATCTGAACATTAGCCCTTGTCATTTTACCTTTTCCACAGCAAATCAGGACAGACCTAAGATGAGAGAAAGCTCTCTCAGGCATCCCCAGGACAGAGAGGCCTTCCTAAGCTCCTAAGCATGGCAGATCCCACAGGTCACATGGGAGGGAGCATAAGGACAAAAGCAACCCCAAGAGGCCCCAACACACAAAAGCATCGCTTCCAATTTATTCATTCTTCACACTGCGCTGCCCCCCGCCCAACTCCTAGCACCACGGCCCATCAGTTTTCTTCCCTTTAATACTATTTATGGTGTGTTGACTAAGCACAACTCATGTTGTATGCAAAACACAACTTTATTTTTTGCTTCCTGTCGCCTTTTAAAATATATCCAGTGGGGGTAATCTTTCTTTGCCCCAGGATAAACAGCATGTCCCATGCTTTTTCTGCTCATTCTTAGGTACATACATTTCTACATACATTGGAAGTTGCCAACAGACTAATTTCAAAAAATAAAACTTTCAGTACAAAATATAAATCAAAACTACTTTGATTAAACAGCAAAACCTTCTCCCTTTTCTTGGCTCAGGCTGGCTTCAGGCTAAACCTACAATAGGAGAAAGAGGCACAGATGGATTATTTTGTATTTCTCCTGCTTGTACTTTTCTCCCTCCTGTCTCCTTCCCTGTTTCCTAGCTGGTTTGTTCTTCCTCCTGAATGGAGTGAAGGGCTGGGTACAGGATGAGAAAGAGCAAAGCATTGAAATTAGATGAGAAATATCTTACCTGAAATGGTAGCAAAGACAGCTTGCAACTATCTGGGTCTGGCAGAAGTAAGGATGACTCACTCTTGTAGACATACCATTGTAGGCTCTTCATAGGGGTGCACACTGGGGATTTCTCTTGTAAAGTTTCCTTGACTCGGGCAGATGCTTCTCCAGGCTGGGTGATCACTTGCAACTCCTTCCTTGACCCTTAAGTATTAGGCCTTTTCTTCCAAGTTGCTGCTCCCCTATAGGCAGCACTCTTTAGATACAAATGTCCCTGCTGTAGGAGGGCAGGTCCTCAAGTGGCCTTTTTCGACCCAGCTCTCCCCTCTCCAACTTGTAGTTCTCAGAATTACTGTAGAATTTCTGCAGAATGCATTAACATAAGAAAAAAAGAAACAGGCTAGAATAGCCAGAACTATGTTCCTTCTAGAGCAGGATATTCTGCAAAACTTGAGCTTAGGGAGCAAATGATACCCAAGGCGCAAAATACAAGATGATGTGCTTTGCGGGTACCTCAGCTTCAGTACAATATGGGACACACACAGACAAGACTCTATCCACACTGGAGAGCTTTCCTGAGCCCCGGGGGACCAGCCCACCATGGATCCTAGACTATGTGTTTTTGCTGTCTATCAGTGAATAATAAATTTGCTTTGCCTGACTTGTCGTGAAAGTTCTGTATCTCACTGTCCTCATGCGAATAGTAGAAAACCTTTGCATCTGCCAGTACATTCCACATCTAGACCACAAGAAACAACCATGCATTACTCATCACTCGCAATAAGCCCTGGGGTAACCAACTCTCCTGGCTTCACAATCAGCACTGAAAGCCCATCTAAATACTTTCTATTCATGAAGATACTAGGGTTCTAGTGTTGCAGAACAGGTTCTGGACCATTTTGTACCTGCAGGGTAGGGTGTATGTTACATCACACATTTTGTGATAATGCTTTAACTAGTTCTATAATTCCCCGTAGTAAGTAATTATGGCTTCCTGGAAATTGCTGAAGTAACATATTGAAGACTGAAGCCACTGCGGTTTGCAGGCCCTTATGATTTTTATTTACTTCATAACGCATACCAGCATCTTGGGAATAATAGAAGGAGCATCTTAATTTCAGGTCAAATAATAGTCACTAAAGTCTACATAGGCTAAATACTTTATAATACTTCTCACAGATCTTCTTCCTCAATAATTTAACCCCCTAACAATCAGAATCTTAAAATAGGGACTTGAGAATCGTTGTACCTCAAAAATATCTTCTGGTGATCATAGAATGCTTAAAATGCTAACATAAATAGCGCAAGCCAATGAACACTTGAAAATAGCCAAGTGAGCCTAAGCACACCAGGTCTCTTGATGAGCCACACAGTGCTCAGAGCCAGAGGGCTCCTCCCTGACATCTGACACCAACAGAGGCTATGATCAGGGAGCAAGGTCCGCACAGTTATGAAACAGAGGAGTGATTGCATTGATGTAGCATATTTACCATCACGGATCTAGATGCAGGGTATTGAGCCACATATACACAATGGCAGGGAATCTGTCATCCTAAAATATCAGGAAGAGGAAATTGAAGATTAAAAGAAAGACTGTATTTTTGCTGTTGCCATTTTTACAAGAAACCTTAGTTTTTCACAGTCTTTCATCTATAAACTTAAAGGAGCTTGGACTTGGAGAAATCTACTATCAAGCAATAAATAAAATCCTGTTATTTGTAGAAACATGGATGGAACTGAAGGACACTGTATTAAGCGAAATGAGCTAGGCACAGAAAGGCAAGCAAATATCATATGTTCTCATTCATATGAGAGAGCTGAAAGAGCTGATCTCATAGAAGCAGAGAGTAGAATGACAGTTACCAGAATCTGGGATGGTTACCAGAAACGGGGGAGGCAGAGGATAAAGAGGGGCTGGTTAATAGGTATAGAAATACAGTTAAAGAGAATGAATAAGATCCAGTGTTCTGTAGCATAGTAGGGTAGCTAACAATAACATTGTATATTTCAAAATAACCAGAAGAGTGAAATTGGCATGTTCCTAAAACAACAAAATGATTAATGTTTGAGCTGATGGGTATTCCAATTACTCTGATTGATCATTACACATTGTACGCTTGTATCAAAATAACACATATATCCCCCATAAATACATACAACTCTCTGTATCCATAAAAATTATTTAAAAATTTTTTAAAATAAATAAATCTTTTAAAAAATAAATAAAAGAGGAGGAAGCAGAGCAAGATGGCTTAATACAACTATCGACACAGGGAAACGCATCCTAAGAACCAAAAATCCTGTGAGCACTCACAGTACCTGGTTTTAACTTCATATCACTGAAACAGGCACTGAAGAAGCAGATAAAACAATCCTGAATCTCAGACGTGACCCCTTCCTCTCCCTCAGTAGCAGCAGCAGCAGTGTGGTGCGGAGAGCTCTCTGGGTGCTGGGGGAAGAGAACACAGCAATTGTGAGGCACTGAACTCAGTGCTGTCCTGTCAGAGCAGAAAGAAAAAACAGACCAATCTCAGCTGACACCCACAGAGGGAGCATTTAAACCAGTCCTAGCCAGAGGGGAATTGTTCACCCCAGGGGTCCAAACTTGAGTGCTGGCAAACCTCACCACTGAGGATCAAGGTGTGCTTGGTGTCTAAGTAAACTTGAAAGGCAGTCTGGGCCATAAGGACTGCAACCCTTCGGAGAGTCCTAGGCTGAACTAGGCCCAGAGACTATAGACTGTGGGAGCACGCGACATACTGAGATATCAGCTGGGTCAGCCAAGGAAGTGCTGGCATCATAGCCCCCCCAACCCTAGACTGCACAGCTCACAGCTCCAAAAGAGACCCCTTCCTTCCACTTGAGGAAAGGAGAAGGAAGGCTGGAGATGACTTTGCCTTGCATCTTAGATATCAGCTTAGCCACAACAGGATAGGATATCGGTCAGAGTCGTGAGGCCCCCTTTCCAGGGATCTCATACCCTAGGACAGAAGGGAACCCACTGCCTTGTAGGAAAGGACTTAGTGCTACCAGCATTCATCACCTGCTAACTGAAGAGCCCTTGGACCCTGAATAACCAACAGCGATACCCAGATAGTACATCAACTGCCACGGTGAGCCTCTGGGACTTGCTGGCTTCATGTGAGACTCAGCACATTACCAGCTGTGGAGTTATGGGGCAAAACTCCCCCTGCTTGAGAAAAGCAGAGGGAAAAGTAAAGGGGATTTTGTCTTGCATTTTAGGTATCAATACCACCACAAGGGAGCAGAGCACCAAGTGGGATTTTGGGGTCCCCAATTCCAGGACTTGACTCTTGGATGGCATTTTTGAACCTGCCCGGGGTCAGAGGGGAGCCCATTGCCCTGAAGGGTGAGGCCAAGGCCATGCAGCATTCACCACAAGCTGACTTAAGAGCCCTTGGGCCTTAAGGGAACAGTGGTGGTAGTCTGGCAGTACTCCTCATGGCCTAGGGTGGTGGTGCTATGGGCTGAGACTCCTTTGCCTTTGGAAAGGGAAGGCAAGAGAGGGAAGGACCCCATCTTGTGGTTTAAGTGCCAGCTCACCCACAATACAATAAACCACCAGGTGGACTTCTAAGGTTTTTGACTCTAGTCCCCGACTCGCGGCACTTCTGGACCCACCCAGGGCCTGAGGGACCTCGCCACCCTGGAGGGAAGGACACAGTCCTGGCTGACTTTGCCACTTGCTGATTGTAGAGTCCCAGGACCTTGAACAAACCTGGACAGTAGACAGGGAGTGGTTAGAGCAGGCCTTGGGTAAGACCCAGCACTGTGCTGGCTTCAGGTCTGACCCAGCACAGTCATAGTGGTGGTGGCCACAGTGGTGCTTGTGTCACTCCACCCCTAGCTTTAGATGGCTCACAATAGAGAGAGAAACTCTGTATGTTTAGGAGAAAGTAAGGGAAGAGAATGAGAGTTCCTGCCTGGTA
The DNA here is from genome assembly GCF_000001405.40 of Homo sapiens. Taxonomy (NCBI): domain Eukaryota; kingdom Metazoa; phylum Chordata; class Mammalia; order Primates; family Hominidae; genus Homo; species Homo sapiens. Next base: position 16,912,454 of record NC_000007.14, on the reverse strand, counting down.
ATCCAGAGACTTCTCCTAATTCTTATCTGAGACCATTAAGGTGGCACCACTACAAGTCTGCAAGAACCACAGTGTTACCGGGTTCTTTCAAATATCTGAAAGCCTTCTCAGGGAGGATGGCTACAAATAAGCCCAGACAGTGAAGACTAAAATAAATACCTAATTATTCAATGCCCAGACACTGAAGAACATCTACTGGCATCAACACTATTCAGGAAAACATGACTTCACCAAATGAACTAAATAAGATACCAGGAACTGACCTTGGAGAAACAGAGATATGTGAACTTTCAGACAGAGAATTCAAAGTAACTGTTGAGGAATTCAAAGAAATTCAAGATAACAGAGAGAAGAAATTCAGAATTCTATCAGATAAACTTAACAAAGAGACTGAAATAATTAAAAAGAATCAAGCAGAAATTCTGGAGCTGAAAAATGCTACTGACATACTGAAGAAGGCATCAGAGTCCCTTAATAGCAGAATGGATCAAGCAGAAGAAAGAATTAATGATCTTGAAGACAAACAATTTGAAAATACCCAGTCAGAGGAGACAAGAGAAAAATGAAAAAAAATCATAAAACATGCCTACAGGATTTAGAAAATACCCTCAAAAGAGCAAATCTAAGAGTTATTGGCCTTAAAGAGAAGGTAGAGAAAAAGACAGGGGTAGAAAATTTATTCAAAGGAATAAGAACAGAGAACTTCTCAAGCCTAGAAAAAGATATCAATATCCAAGTACAAGGTTATAGAACACCAAGCAGATTTAACCCAAGGAAGACTATCTCAATGCATTTAATAATCAAACTCCCAAAGGACAAGGATAAATAAAGGATCCTAAAAGCAGCAAGAGAAAAGAAACAAATAACAAACAACAGAGCTCCAACACATCTGGCAGCAGATTTTTCAATGGAAACCTTACTTACTAAAGACTCTCAGGAGAGAGTAGTATGACATATTTGAAGTGCTGAAGGAAAAAAATTTGTTACCCTAGAATAGTTATCCAGCAAAAATGTCCTTCAAACATAAAGGAGAAATACTTTCCCAGAGTAACAAAAGCTAAGGGGTTTCATCAAAACCAAACCCATCCTAAAAGAAATGCTAAAGGGAGTACTTCAATCAGTAAGAAAAGGACATTAATTGGCAATAATAACCAGAAGGTACAAAACTGACTGGTAATAATAAGTGCACAGAAAAACACAGAATACTATAACATTGTAACTGTGTTGTGAAAACTACTCCAACATTCCTAAGTAGAAAGACTGAACAATAAACCAATCAAAAATAATAACTACAGCAACTTTTCAAGACACAGTACAATAAGATACAAATAGAAACAGCAAATGTTAAAAAAGTGGGGGATAGAGTTAAAGTGAGTTTTTATAGTTTTCCTGTTGCTTGTTTGTTTATGCAAGCAGTATTAAACCGTTATCAGGTTAAAATAATGGGTTATTACTTGCAAGCCTCATGGTAACCTCAAACCAAAAAACATACAATGGATACACAAAAAATAAAAAACAAGAAACTAAATCATATCACCAAAGAAAATCATTTTCACTAGAGGAAGACAGGAAAGAAAGAAGGAAGAGAAGACCACAAAACAACCAGAAAACACATAACAAAATAACAGTAGTAAGTCCTCACTTATCAATGATAACATTGAATGCAAATGGCTAAACTCTGTAATCAAAAGACATAGACTGGCTGAATGGATGAAAAAACAAGATCCATTGCTCTGTTGCCTACAAGAAACACACTTTACCTATAAAGACACATACAGACTGAAAATAAAGGGGTAGAAAAAGATATTTCATGCTAAAGGAAAGCAAAAAAGAGCAGGAGTTGCTGTATTTATATCAGAGAAAACAGATTTCAAAACAAAAACTATAAGAAGAAGGGGTCACTATATAATGATAAATGGGTCAATTCAGCAAAAGAATATATCAATTTTAAATACATATGTACCCACCACTGGAGCACCCAGATATATAAAGGAAATATTATTACAGCTAAAGAGAGAGATAGGCCTCAATACAATAATAGCTAGAGACTTCAACACCACACTTTCAGCACTGAACAGAACTTCCAGACAAAAAATCAACAAAGAAACATCAGTCTTAATCTACACTACAGACCAAATGGATCTCAGATATTTACAGAGCATTTCATCCAAGAGCTGCAGAATACATTCTTTTTCTCCACACATGGATCATTCTCAAGGATAGACCACATGTTAGATCACAAATAGGTCTTAAAACATTTGAAAAATTGAAATACTATCAAGTACATTCTCTGACCACAATGGAATAAAACTAGAAATTAATAAGAGGAATTTTAGAAACTATACAAGTATGTGGAAATTAAACAATATGCTCCTGAATGACCAGTGGGTCAATAAAAAAATTAAGAAAGAAATTGAAAAATTTCTTAAAACAAATGACAATGGGAACCAAACATACCAAAACCTGTGGGATACAGCAAAAAATAGTATTAAGAGGGAAGTTCATAGCAGTAAGTGCCTACATCAAAAAAAGAGGAAAAGCTTCAAATAAACAACCTAACAATGTGTCTTAAAGAACTAGAAAAGCAAGAGCAAACCAAACTCAAAATTAGTAGAACAAAAGTAATAATAAAGATCAAAGCAGAAATAAATGAAATTGAAAAAAACAACACAAAAGATCAATGAAACGAAAAGTTGGTTTTCTGAAAAGTTAAACAAAATTGACAAACATTTAGTCAGACTAAATAAGAAAAAAGAGAGGTCTAAATAGATAAAATCAGAAATGAAAAAGGAGACATTACAACTGATATCGAAGAAATTCAAAGCATCATTGGTGGTTACTATGAGCAACCAGTTGTGAAAGACAAACAATGTATGTTATCCCATATTTATATATGGGATCTAAAAATCACAACTGAACTCATGAACATAAAGAGCTGTTTATCTTAATTTTTTCTACCATGAAGACACAGGTAAATTTAGCATAGTTTGACAGATGAATAAAACCTACTATTTGATAGCACAACAGGGTGACTATAGTCAATAATAACTGTACATTTTTCAATAACTTAAAGAGTGTAATTAGATTGCTTGCAACTCAATGGCTAAATGTTTGAGGGGATGGATACTCCATTATTCATGATGTGCTTATTTCACGTTGCACACCTGTGTCAAAACATCTCATGTACCCCATAAATATATACACCTATAATTACCCACAAAAATTTAAAAAACAAATAAATAAATAGTTGAATTTTTTCTTAAAAAGAGGTAAATGCTACCACTCTGTTCTTGCATTCACCTTATCTGAGAGAGCAATTTTATTGAGAGGTGAGAAATTGGCATCTGAAATAAACTATTTTTCTTTTAAAGTCAGAATTTGCAGCACAACAGAGTGATTACAGTCAACAATAATTTATTGTACATGTAAAAATAAAAGTATAATTGGATTGTTTGTAACAATAAACAAAGGATAAATGCTTGAGATGATGGATACCCCATTTGCCCAGATGATTATTACACAATGTATGCCTGTATCAAAATATCTCATGTACCCCATAAGTATATGCACCTACTATGCACACACAAATTCTTTTTTAAAGAATTTGCATTGGTGACACCACTAATCTCTAATTCCGTTTGTTTCCAGCAGTGACTGACCTCTATTCTAAATTCCTGAAATGACAACTGGGAGTAAGACTTCATGACTATCCACTGACGATCCCTGACCAAAAATAAAAGCCTTGGGTGTCTCATGTCAATCCCTCAAATCGGCACCACTTGGTCATTTTTTTCCTCTCTTTGGATATAATCATACACACAATTACAGAAATTAGAGAATATCTAAGAAATAAATCAGAGTTAAATTAATAGCCTGTTGAGGAATGAGAGAAATTAGGAATTTATTCCTTGTTTGATTGCCTCTTTGGTCCTAGATGTTGACAGGTGGATACCAATTGTAGTCACATAAGGAAAATTGAAGCTGAAACTGAAAGAAAATAATCCTGGTGATCAATTTCTGTACAATCCACCACTCATGGCACCATCAATCCAAAATCCAAAGTGTAACATATTAAAGTGCTGCCTGTTTTGAGATGAGATTTTTTGTCCCCCAAAATAATTAGCTAGTACCAGTTTTCTACTAGCAAGAGGCAGAGATAAAGATATTCTCTATTGTCAAACTTGTTTTTCCACGTGGAATTTTGACCTAAAATTTCAGAATCACTATTTTCATCAGTCCAGATTTTACTAACTACACCTAGCACTTACAATACTTGCAAGTTGTAGTATTAACAGCAGAAGCTGCTCCTGATGTCAGTTTTAAACTTTATGAGGAACTTTATTTCTTAAATATGTGGATCTTGAACATTCTAACTACAATCTGTCAAACTATGCTAAAATTTACCCATGTCTTCATAGTAAAAGAAAAGTTAAGGTAAACAAAGTTAAGGAATGCTAAAGCTTCAGGCAACCTGCTACCACCAGCACTAGTTTATGAAGATTCAGAAAGTGGACACTCAAGACAATGTATGTTTTCAGTACTATAAGGCATTGAAGTCAAAATCTTATGTAAAACAGCCAGCTCTGGTGAGACACTGAACTGCTTTGGTAAAGACTTTTCTAAGCCTTTTTTTTTTTTTTTTTTTTTGAGTTCCTTGGTATTTATTACCAAATTTTTTTTTAATTCACTGGTTTTTCTACCTTTTTACTTTTTTATTTTCCCATAGGTTATTGGGATACAGGTGGTATTTGGTTACACAAGTTAAGTTCTTTACTGGTGATTTGTGAGATTTTCATGCAACCATCACCCGAGCAGTATACCCTGCACCCTATTTGTAGTCTTTTATCCCTCTCCCCCTCCCACCCTTCCCCCCAAGTCCCCAAAGTCCATCATTCTTATGCCTTTGCATCCTCATAACTTAGCTCCCACATATCAGTGAGAACAAATGATGTTTGGTTTCCATTCCTGAGTTACTTCACTTAGAATAACAGTCTCTAATTTCACCCAGGTTGCTGCAAATGCATAAATTCGTTCCTTTTTATGGCTGAGTAGTATCCCATCCTGTATATATACTACAGTTTCTTTATTTACTCACTGATTGATGGGCATTTGGGTTGTTTCCACAATTTTGCAATTGTGAATCGTGCTGCTATAAACATGCACATGCAAGTATCTTTTCATATAATGATTTATTTTCCTCTGGGTAGATACCCAATAGTGGGATTGCTGAATCAAACGGCAGTTCTACTTTTAGTTCTTTAAGGAATCTCCACACTGTTTTCCAAAGTGGCTGTACTAGTTTACATTCCCACCAGCAGCGTAGAAGTGTTCCCTGATCACCACATCCATGCCAACATCTACTGTTTTTTTGGTTTTTTGATTATGGCCATTCTTCCGGGAGTAAAGTGGTATCGCACTGTGGTTTTGATTTGCATTTCCCTGATCATTAGTGATGTTGAGCATTTTTTCATATATTTGTTGGCCATTTGTAACTAATGGTGTTTTTGGCCTTTAAATTTGCACCCATATCTTGACCCTTTGCATTTTTCCACTCTATCAGGAAGAATCAAGGATATATAAACTCAAGGAAAATTTCAATAAGAGAAAAACAGAGCTAAGCCAGCTACCACAATCTCCTTGATAAGGCTCTCCCAAGAAAAAAGCACCTTGGGCTGTTTTATCATGTCTGCTTCATGTAAACCCTTTGAGAGGAGTAGCCAAACAGAACACACCATGAAGAAACAGAAGCTTTTAACCTCTTTGAGCTTCACCAAAACATTCACTCCTTTAGTACAATAGCCCAGTGAAAACTTCACCCTTAACCCAAGTCAGAATTTTACTTTGCAAGGAACAAAATAAGCAAAGAGAGTTTTAAACATCTCAAAAAAAGGGATCAGAACTCAGGGAGGCCAGCAGATCACTGTAAAGGAAGGTAGAGTATAATAGCAAAAGGGTAACTCAAGCTTAGTTTTATTCTCACAATTGCATCCAGCCAGGCCAAAGAGATTTAGTAAATACATAATAAAATACCTAGGATAGCATTTTTTCCAAAATTTCAATCAGCTTGAGAAAATCATTTATATACACAAAAAAAGACTCAGAACAATATTACAAAGTAACTTTGACCTGAAGAACCACTGTAGGAAGAGATCATGCCAATAATGCTTGACCAAAAATGAAAAATGAACGAGTCTCATCATGTACCAGGGACCTTTTTGACTAAAAAATTTTAAAGATATTCTTTCCTTATATCTAAGAAAATAACCACATGTGTATATTTATGGAGAAATCTATCATAAACTAGCTGTCCAGACAATTCTTAATAAGTACTTGAAAATTTTAAACCTCAAACATATAAAGAATTACTATAAAGAGCAAAAAAATGTGGTGGGAAATATGTGTAAGATGTGTCCAGTATAGGTAGCAAGTAAGTAAGTAACCAGTAAAACATGTTAGCATAGAATAAATGAAATAAGCAAGTAGCACATATGATATTTTTACATAGATTTAAAAGGATGAGGGGAAAAAAACCCAAGAGCATTATTTAGGAATAAAGAGGAAGAGAAGGATAAGGTAAACATTAACTATGCATAAGGCACAAACCTTCACTTCTTTTCATAAAGGAGTAACTGTTACGAGATTGGACAACAAGACAAGTAGACAAATACTGAAACAACTGTTTTTCATGAATTATACAATAGGCAATATAGGAGGTAATTCCTGAGAGGATAAACAATGAAGTGAGTTCTACGATCACCCGAGCTTTTTGCCTGGAGGTAATTTCTGGACCATAGCACAAGCAAGGATAATATTAACAGAGCTGAGGGGAAAAAGATTCAAGTTCAGGGAGACCACGAGGGTTAGAAATTGTGGACCAGAGGATGGGTTAGGCATAGAAAGGGTTACATACTGAAAGAACTACAGAAATATGCATAGGGTTTTCCTTAAGTCTTTGGCTGAATGCCAATTTACAAACACATAAAGTGACATTCCAGGAGGCCAGAGAAGAACTACTGCTGGGAAAGAACAAATATCAAGAATCTGTAAACTAAACAATTCACTGAGTTCACACAGGGCTGGGAATTGTTTGAGTTTCCACCAGCCAGAGTGAAGAGACCTCATTGAACATACGAACATTCACAAGAAATCCCTTGGGTCACACCTTAATAGTGAGACTAAACTGCCCTAGAATAAAAGCTATACCAGGACCACCTTCAAAAAGCTTAAAAACATGGCCTGTAATAATCAAGACTGTCATGAAAAGATCATACACATTTTAAATAAATTTTTTTTAAATCCCTCAAAAATGTAAAAATTTAAATATTTGTCATCCAATCAAAAATTACCAAACATGTAAGGAAGCAGAAAATTTAACCACTATACAGGAAAAAATCAATCAATATAAACAGATCCAAGAAAGACAGTGATGAAAGAATTTACGAAGAATAATTCTAAACAAGCTTTTATAAATATAAATAGGATAATTTTAAGAATATAAAGAAAAACATAAGTCTAGTAAATAGGGAAATAGAATATATAAAAATAATCAAAGGAAACTGTTGGAGATAAAAAATATAATATCTGAAATAAGAATTTCATGGGGTATGATTAACAGCACATTAGACACTTCAGGAAAAATGAGAAACGACAATATATAACAACAGAAACTATGCATACTGGAGTACAGACAATTCTAAGAAATGCCAAATACAAATATATTTATATATTATATAAACATTCACAAAATGATAGAAGAGAGACAGGAAAGAAAGTGAAAAAAAAAAAGTTGAAGATATAATGGCTGAAAATGTTTCCAAATTTGGTAAAATTTTAAATTCAGTATACAAGAAACTCAATTTATCCCAAGCAGGAAGAACTCAAAGTCAATCACAGCAAGTCAAATTTCTGAAAAATAGTGATAAAAAATTATAAAAACCAGACAGAACTAAAGGAATCAATATTTTAAAAAGAATAAATCTAAGTATTGTCATAAATTTTGTGTCAGAAACGATTTAACACAAAAAACAATGTAATGATATCCTACGGTGCTGAAAGAAAAGAATGTCTATCTAGAATTCTAAATCCACTTTTAAAGAAACAGTCTTTAAAAAACAAAAGGCAAAATAAAGACATTTTTCAAAAGTGGGAGTGAAAAGAATTTATCAGCCACAAACATGCACTCAAGCAAGTAGTTAAGGGCATTCTTTTGGCAAAAGGAAAATGATCACAATGAAAACTTGGTTCTACTCAAAGGAGTGAATAAAGCTTAAAATAGTAAGTATGTAGGATTTTTTAAATCTGTTTTAATTTCTCTAAATAGTAATTGAGAGTATAAAGCAAAAATAATTCAATGTATTATGGGGTTTAAACATGTAGAAATATAATTCAACACATCTGTTCCAACCACTGATAGATCAAGTAGGCAAAATACAAATAAGGACATAGAAAATCTGAACACTATCAACCACTCTAATCTAATTAATATTTATAGACCACCTTACCCAAGAACAACAAAACATATATCTTTTTGTTATATATCTGTGATATATATCTATATGTTTATATATTTATATATATACACACCCAAAAAAGAATAAATCTAAGTATTATCATAGATTTTTTGTCAGAAATAATTCAAAACATCAAAATGAAATTAAAAATCAATAATCAAAATATACCCAAAAAATTCTCAATATTTAGAAATTAACACATTTTACCAACTAATGTGTAAAAAAGGAAAAAAAGATGAGAAATTTAGAAAATATTTTGAACTGAATCAAAATTCTTTGAAAAGGTCAAAATTTGGGGGGATGCAGCTAAAATAGTGTGTAAAGGGAAATCTGTGAATTAAATCTTTTTATTAGAAAAGAAGATGTGAAATCAGTGGCCTAAACTCCTACCTTAAGAAGTCAGAAAATGAAGAGCAAATTAAATAGAAAGGAATCAGAAATAAGGAAATAATAAAGTGTAAACCGGTAAAATATATAACTGAAAATAGAGAAAAATCAATGAAACCAAAGTTGGTTCAATAAAAAGATTAATAAAATTTATAAACTACAACATAGACTTATCTAGAAAAAAGAGAGAAACAAATTGCCAATATTAGAGAAAAAGCGACATTATGGCAGAGATTTTAAGCATAAGAAAATAACTTTATGAAAAACTATATTCCAACAAATTTGAATATATACATGACATAGTCAAATTCCTTAAAATATTCATATTACAATAACTGACCCAAGGAGAAAGAGAAAAGCTGCATAGAATATCAACTTAACTAAACTGAATTCCATAATCAGAAGTTTTTCATTCCACTTCTGCACATATGGAGTAGAAGTAGTACTTTTTTCTACTATTCCCAATAAGTGCAACTAAACAGTCAGGACATTTATATATAAAACTAGCATACGATGACTCTGAAACATGGAGAGAAGAAAGCCGACAAGTTAGAGACCTCTGGTCTTGAAAAAGATTATGCTCGTGAGTTTTGGGAATTTTTTTTATCCTCTTATATCCCAAACTTAGTGTTGAAGAAGGCAGCAAGTCAAAAACACCAGCAGGAGCTGATCAACAAGAAATTTCAACAAAAGTCAGTTAATGTAACCAAAGAGCAGGAAAGGGACAACCTAGAAATACAGAACATTTTTAGACAATATCTACTCTACTCCACCTAAGTACCGTAGAAGAAAAACCCCTACAAATTCACGCTCACTAACACAGGTCAAATAAACAATCTAGATTCCTATCATTGCCAGGCTGGAAGGAATCACCTCAACTTACCTGTCAGAGTGATGTCAAAGAAGGCCAAGGAGAAACCTGGATTTTTATATTCGTGAGGTCACAGTGAGGTCTACTCTCACAGTGTCTGTGAAGACCACACAGGGAGCCTAGACTTCCACACCCACTAGGTGATAACAAAGTACTCTTTTCATTCACCTCCGGGTTAGCGTCAGAAACCTAGTAGAAAGTCGGGACATTCACCGTCACTCAGTGTTAATGAGGTCATCTCCCCTGTGGCCTCATGGAGGCTGAATGGGGAAAAGTGGCAAAGTCCTCCTATTCTTCTCAGGCAGAGTGGTATTAGCAAGGCATAGTGGGGAATCAGTACTCCCGCCCTAGGTGCCAACTGAGGCCATTTGGGGAAACTGGAATTTCATCTTCCCCCAAAAATAAGTGGGCATTATTTCCTAATTCCCTACCCTTACAAGAGTGGAATCAGAGGAGGACAGCTAAAACAGAAAATTTATTAAGATAGTCTCATAACATAACACCAAAAATGTCCAGGTTTCAGTGAATAATCATGCATCATACTAAGACCCAGAAAAGTATCAACCTGCATGAAAATAGACAATCGATAGATGACAGAAATATTAAAATTCTCTGACAAGGATTTTTAAACAGTGATAATAAAAATCCTTTAATGAGCAATTACAAACGTGATAAAAACAAACTTTTTAAAAAAGACAGAAAAGAAAAAGTCTCAATAGATAAATAGAAGCTATTAAAAAATCAAAAGGAAATTTTAGAGCTGAAAAATACAGTAACAAAAATTAAAACTAACTAGATGGGCTCAACAGCAGAATGGAGAAAACAGAAGAAAGAATCAGTGAACTTGAAGATAGAACAAAATAAATGACCCACTCCAAACAACAAAAAGAAAATTGACTGGCAAAAAATAAACAGAGCCTCAGGGACCTGTGAGACCATAACAAAAGATCTAACATCCATGTCATTGGAATTTTGGAAGAGAAGGAAGGTAAGGCTAGAAGAATATTAAAATAAATAATGGCTAACAAATTTCCAAAAATGTAAATGACAGAAATTCACAGATTTAAGATTCTGAGTGAATCTCAAACGGAAAAAAACCCAGAGAACTCCTCCTAGAGACATATCATAATAAAAAATTCTAAATAACTAAATACAAAGAAAAAAATCTAGAGAGAAAAATTATACATTACCTAAAGGGAAAAAATACATTATCAATTAATTTGTGACAACAATTCAAATGACAGCGGATTTATCATCAGACACTATAGTGAACATTTTTCAAGAGCAGAAAGAAAAAAGTTATCAATACAAAATTCCATCCAGTGAAAATACCCTTTAAAAATTAGATGGGGAATCAAAATCAGATAAAGAGAAATTGTTGCCAGCAGACCTACCCTGAAAGAATGGCTAAAGGAAGTTCTTGAAATATAATGGAAATAATAAAAGATAGAATCTGAGAACATCAGGAAGAACAACAGAACGAGTAAGAATATAAGTAAATACAACAGACTTAACTTCTTGAGTTTTCTAAATTATGTTTCAAGGTTGAAGCAAACATTAGAACACTGAAGTAGCTCTTAATTTATATAGAGTAAATTTTTAAGATAATTGTATTATAAGAAGAGGAAGGTTAAAGGCCATAAATGGAGATTAGTGGTTGTCATGGCTTAGAGTTGAAAGAGGGAAGAGGATGGGGTGACTATAAAAGGATAGTATGAGGGAGATTTTTGTGATGATGGAATAGCCCTATATATTAACAGCATAAAAACTGCACAGAACTATATACGCATTTTGTGGCAATACCAGTTTCCTGGCGTTGTTATTGTATTGTAGTTAGGTAAGATATAATCAATAAGGAAAACTGCTGAAGACTATGCAGAACCTCTCTGGACTATCTTTGCAATTCCTTGTGAATATATAATTATTTCAAAATAAAAGCCTTTTTTTTTTTATTTTAAACTTTCCACAAATAAAACTCTAGTTCCAATTGTCTTTATGGTGAATTCTACTACATGTTTAAAATAAAGAAATGGGGGCATGTTTGGACGAGAAAATAGGTGGAGGCAAGATGACTAATTAGAAAGCTAGGGTCCACGGCACTCACAGAGAGGAAAGAAAAGGGATGAGTGAATTCAGTACCTTCAACTGAGGTATCCAGGTTCTTGCATAAATAGGCAAGCAGCTGGACCCATGGAGAACAAAGAGAAGCAGGGAGAGGCAGCGGCCTACCCAGGAGTGGCACAGAACCAAGAGAACTCCCACCCTCAGCCAGGGGAGGTGGTAAGTGATTGTGCAACCCCGCCCAGGAAGCCACACTTCCCCTATGGATCTTTGCAATCTGTGAATCAGGAGATCCCCTTGTGAGCCCAGGCCACCAGGGCCTTGGGTCCAATACACAGAGCTGTATGGAGTCTTGGCAGAGCAGCCACTCAGGCATGCAGAGACCTAGAAGTTTTACATACTCTGACCCCCAGGTCCCTGCCAAGGCGGAAAATCCATCAAACAGAAAACACCACCACCACCAACAACAACAACAAAACACAAAAACCCCATTCAAAGGTCAGCAACCTGAAAGATTGAAGGTAGATAAGCCCATAAAGATGAGAGATAATCAATGAAAAAAAAAGCTGAAAACTCAAAGAGCCAGAATGCCTTTTCTCCTCCAAATGACCACAACACTTTTCCACCAAAGGCACAGAACTGGGCTGAGGGTGAGATGGTTGTATTGACAGAAAGAGGCTTCAGAAGATGGGTAATAACAAACTTCTGAGCTAAAGGAGCATGTTGTAACCCAATGCAAAGAAGCTAAGAATCATGATAAAATAATACAGGACCTTATAGTCAGAAAAGCCAGTTTAGAAAGGAACATAACTGAGCTGATGAAGCTGAAAAACACAACACGAGAACTTCACAATGCAGTCACAACTATCAATAGCAGAATAGACCAAGTGGAGGAAAGAACTTCAGAGCTTGAAGACTATCTTTCTGAAATAAGACAGGCAGATAAGAATAGAGAAAAAAGAATGAAAAGGAATGAACAAAACCTCTGGGAATTATGGGTTATGTAAAGAGACCAAACCCATGACAGATTAGGGTACCTGAAACAAACAAGGAAAATGGAACCGAGTTGGAACACATACCTCAGGATATCATTCAGGAGAACTTCCCCAACCTAGCACAAGAGGCCAACATTCAAACTCGGGAAATGCAGGGAACCCCAGAAAGATACTCCATGAGAAGATCAACCCCAAGACAAATAATTATCAGATTCTCCAAATTGAAATAGATGAAAAAACATTAAGGGCAGTCAGAGACAGAGGCCAGGTCACCTACAAAGGGAAACCCATCAGACTAACAGTGGACCTCTCAATGGAAACCCTATAAGCCAGAGGAATTAGGGAGCCAATATTCAACATTCTTAAAGAAAATAGTTTCCAACCCAGAATTTTAATCCAGCCAAACTAAGCTTCATAAGCAAAAGATAAATAAGATCCTTTTCAGACAAGCAAATGCTGAGGGAAATCATTACCATCAGGCCTGTCTTTCAAGAGCTCCTGAAGGAAGCACTAAATATGGAAAGGAAAGACTGTTACCAGCCACTACAAAAACACACTGAAATATAGAGACCAGTGACACTATGAAGCAGCCACACAAACAAGTCTGCATAATAATCAGCTAGCATCATAATGGCAGGATCAAAGTCATACATAACAATACTAATCTTAAATATAAATGGGCTAAATGCCCGCAATTAAAAGACACAGAATAGCAAGCTGGATAAAGCTCTAAGACTCATCAGTATGCTGTCTTCAAGAGACCCATCTCATCTGCAAAGACACACACAGGCTCAAAATAAAGGAATGGAGAAAAATTTACAAAACAAATGGAAAACAGAAATAAGCAGGGGTTGCAGTCCTGGTTTCTGAAAAAACAGACTTTAAACCAACAAAGGTAAAAAAAAAAAAAAAAAGACAAAGAAGTGCATTACATAATGGTAAAGTGTTCAATTCAACAAGAGGGAACTATCCTAAATATACATGAACCCAATAGAGGAGCACCCAGATTCATAAAGCAAGTTCTTAGAGACCTACAAAGAGACCTAGACTTCCACATAGTAATAGCGGGAGACTTTAACACCCCACTGACAATATTAGACAGATCACCAAGACAAAATTAACAAAGTACCTAAATTCAGCTCTGGATCAAGTGAATCTGATAGATATCTACAGAACCCTCCACCCAAAAACAACAGAATATGCATTCTTCTCATCACTGCATGGCATTTACTCTAAAATCGATCACATAAGCCAAAGTAAAACATGCCTCAGCAAATGCAAAAGAACTGAAATAATAACAGATAGTCTCTCAGACCATAGCATAATCAAATTAGAACTCAAGATTAAGAAATCCACTCAAAATCACACATCTACATGGAAGTTGAACAACCTACTCCTGAATGATTCTTGGCTAAATAATACAATTAAGGCAGACATCAAGAAGTTCTTTGAAACTAATGAGAACAAAGAGACGATGTACCAGAATCCCTGAAAAGCAGCTAAATCAGTGTTAAGAGGAAAATGTATAGCACTAAATGTCCACATTAAAAAGCTAGAAAGATGTCAAGTTGACAACCTAACATTTCAACTGAAAGAACTAGAGAATCAAGACCAAACAAACCCTAAAGCTAGCAGAAAACAAGAAGTAACCAAGATCAAAGCCAAACTGAAGGAGATAGAAACACAAAAAACCCTTCAAAAAATCAGTGAATCCAGGAGCTGGTTTTTTGAAAAAAATATTAATAATAAAATATACCACTAGCCAGACTAATAAATGAGAAAAGAGAAAAGAATCAAATAAGCACAATCAGAAATAAGGGGAATATCACCACTGACCCCACAGAAATACAAACAATCATCAGAGAATACTATAAACACTTCTATGCACATAAACTAGAAAATCTAGAAGAAATGGATAAATTCTTGGACAGTCACACCCTCTAAAGACTGAACCAGGAAGAAATTGAATCCCTGAGAGACCAATAACATGTTCTGAAATTGAGGCAGTAGTAAATAGCCTACTAACCAAAAAAAAAGCCCAGGACCAGACAGACTCACAGTGGAATTCTACCAGAGGTACAAAGAAGAGCTGGTACCATTTCTACTGAAACTATTCCAAAAAATCAAAAAGGAGGGACTTCCCCCCTAACTTATTCTATGAGGCCAGCATCATCCCGATGCCAAAACCTGGCAGAGGTACAACAAAAAAAGAAAACTTCAGCTCAATAACCTTGATGAACATTGATGCAAAAATTGTCAATAGCATACTGGTAAACTGAATCCACAGCATATCAAAAAGCTTAAACATCATGATCAAGTTGACCTCATCCCTGGGATGCAAGGTTAGTTCAACATATACAAATCAATAAACGTAATTCATCACATAAATAGAGCTAAAGATAAAAACCACATGATTATTTCAATAGATGCAGAAAAGGCCATCAATAAAATTGAGCATCCCTTTATGTTTAAAACTCTCAATAAACTAGGTATTGAAGGAACACACATCAAAATAATAAGATCCATTATTGACAAGCTCATAGCCAATATCATACTGAATGGGCAATAGCTGGAAGCATTCCCCTTGAAAATCGACATAAGACAAGGATGCCCTCTCTCATCACTTCTTTTTTTTTTTTTTTTTTTTTTTTTTTTTTTTTTTTTTTTTTTGAGACGGAGTCTCGCTCTGTCGCCCAGGCTGGAGTGGTGCAGTGGCGGGATCTCGGCTCACTGCAAGCTCCGCCTCCCGGGTTCACGCCATTCTCCTGCCTCAGCCTCCCGAGTAGCTGGGACTACAGGCGCCCGCCACTACGCCCGGCTAATTTTTTGTATTTTTAGTAGAGACGGGGTTTCACCGTGTTAGCCGGGATGGTCTCGATCTCCTGACCTCGTGATCCGCCCGCCTCGGCCTCCCAAAGTGCTGGGATTACAGGCGTGAGCCACCGCGCCCGGCCTCTCATCACTTCTATTCAACATAGTATTGAAAGTTCTGGCCAGGGAAGAGAAAAGATAAAGTGTGTTCAAATAGGAATTAAGGAAGTCAAATTATCCTTGTTTGCAGATGACATGACCCTATATCTAGAAAACCCCAAAAGCTTCTTAAGCTGATAAGTAACTTAAGCGAAGTCTCAGGATATAAAATCTATGTGCAAAAATTACTAGCATTTCTATACATCAACAACAAGCAAGCAGACAGCAAAATCATGAATGAACTCCCATGCACAATTGCTACAAAAAGAATAAAATACCTAGGAATACAGCTAACAAAGGAAGTGAAGGACCTCTTCAAGAACTACAAACCACTGCTCAAAGAAATCAGAGGAAACAAACAAATGGGAAAACATTCCATGCTCATGGAAATGAAGAATCAATAGCATTAAAATGGCCATATTGCCCAAAGTAACTTATAGATTTAATGCTATTCCCATTAAATTGCCACTGACATTCTTCACAGAATTAGAAAATACGGTTTTAAAATTCATATGGAACCAAAAAAGAGCCCAAATAGCTAAGACAATGCTAAGCAAGAAGAACAAAGCTGGGGGCATCATGCTATACAACTTCAAACTATACTATAAGGCTACAGTACCCAAAACACTGGTACTGGTATAAGAACAGACACATAGACCAATGGAACAGAATAGAGAAATCAGAAATGAGACCACACACCTACAACCATCTGATCTTCTACAAACCTGACAAAAACAAGCAATGGGGAAAGGATTCCCTATTTAATAAACGGTGCGAGAGAACTGGTTAGCCATATGCAAAAAATTGAATTTGGACCCCTTCCTTATACCATATATAAAAATTAAGTCAAGATGGATTAAAGACTTAGATATAAAACTTAAAACTATAAAAACCCTAGAAGAAAATCTAGGCAGTACCACTCAGGACAACCATGGGCAAAGATTTCATGATGAAAACACCAAAAACAATTGCATGGAAAGTCAAAATTGACAAATGGGATATAATTAAACTAAAGAGCTCCTGCATAGCAAAAGAAACTATCATCAGAGTGAACAGGCAACCTACAGAATGGGAGAAAATTTTTGCAGTTTATCCATCTGACAAAGGTCTAGTATCTAGCATCTATAAGGAACTTAAACAAGTTTACAAGAAAAGAAAAAAACACTAAAAAGTGAGCAAAGAACATGAACAGACACATTTCAAAAGAAGACATACATGCAGCCAACAATCCTTTGGAAAAAAAAATCAGTGACACTGATTATTAGAGAAATGCAAATCAAAACCACAGTGAGATACCATCTCATACCAGTCAGAATGGCTATTTTGAAAAAGTCAAAAAGTAACAGATGCTGGTGAGTTTGTGGAGAAAAAGGAATAGTTAAACACTGTTGGTGTGAGTGTAAATTAGTTCAACCATTGTGGAAGACAGTGTGGCAATTCCTCAAGACCTAAAGACAGAAATACCATTTGATTCAGCAGTACCATTACTGGTTATATACCCAAAGGAATATAAATCATTCTATTATAAAGACACATGCACATGTATGTTCATTGCAGCACTATTCACAATAGCAAAGACATGGAATCAACCTAAATGCCCATCAATAATAGACTGGATAAAGAAAATGTGGTACATATATACCATGAAATACTATGCAGCCACTAAAAAGAATGAGACTATGTCCTTTGCAGGGCCATAGATGGAGCTGGAGGCCTTTATCTTTAGCAAACTAACACAGGAACAGAAAACCAAATACTACATGTTCTCACTTCTAAGTGGGAACTAAATGATGAGAACACATGGACACACAGAGGGGAACAGCATAAACTGGGGCCTATTGGAGGGTGGAGGATGGGAGAAGGGAGAGGAGAGGAAAAAATAACTAAGTCGTACTAGGCTTAATACCTGGGTGATGAAATAATCAGTTCAACAAACCCCCATGACACAAGTTTACCTATGTAACAAACCTCCACACATAACCCTGCACTTAAAATAAAAGTTAAAAAAGTAGAAAAGAAAAAAATCAGAAAAAAAATAGGTGAGTGGCTAAAGAAATTGAGATCTGTTTATATAGTGGAATAACACTCGGCAATAACAAGGAATGAACTACCAATACAAGACATAACATGGATGAATCTCAAAAATGTGGTTAGCATAAGAAGCTAAACACGAAAGACCGCATTCTATATAATTTTATTTAGAAAAGACAAAATTAATCTATACAGACAGAAAGAATAGTGGTTGTCTAGGGTTTAGGGTGGGCCATTGACTACAAAGTGGCACAAGGAAATTTTGGAAACTGATGAAAATATTCTGTATCTTAATTGTGCTAGAAGTTACATAAGACTTTCTTCAAAAGTCTTAGAAATGTAATTTTAAATGAATGCATTTTATTCAAATTAAATATCATTAAAGATGTAAAAGTATATATGTGTAAGTGTGTGTGTATATATATATATATTTGTATATTTTTCTAGATTCAAATCATGCCACCTTCAGTAACATCATAGTTAAGTCAGTCACCTGTTGTTGACACTCATTCTGGCTCCTCATGTTTTCTGCCCCATACAGACAAAAGTCATTGCTATATAAAAATAGCTACTGGTCATTTTGCCCTGTGGTCTCTCAGATATACCAAGGTGACTTTGAGCACCTTCTTTCTGCCGAGCCTCCTTTCCCATGTGCACTCAGTCATCATTTGCCTACCATTAACAGGGAATACTAATGAAGTGGAAAGGGGCAGGATATATGGATAGTATGCAGCTCTAGATTTAAGTATTGTAGTCCCTCCTTCTCATTTGCATCCCATCCAAGTTACATTACTCTTTGTCCTTTGCTTCTCACTGTGTTCTGACTCAATAAGCCACATAGTTTGAGGTCTTAATTTGGTCTATGAGACCTTGGATCCTGACTTCTGAAACAGTAGCATTGTTAGAAGCTATCATGGCATCATGGTAATTTCTCATCTTGACAAGACTACAATCTAACTATACACTGTGAAATTCAAAGATGTACAATGGAATCAACCTTAAGAATTGGAATTTTTAAGACATTTGAACAAAAAAAAATACATGTAACAATGAAATAGAGAGAAAACCCCTAAGTAAAAGTGGCCAAACAATGAGAAATAGTGGAATTAAAAGAAAGTAATTTCACATAATAGTAGAAAAATACAGTTCATCGTGACATCAATATGTCTCTGGTATTGGTGAGACAAGGTCCCCAATCATGATGATAATCAGTGATTGTTACAGTTATAGTGCCAAATATTAATAACATGTTCATATTTTTAAATTGTATGCTCCATTCACACTTTTGTCAGTGAACACTTGGCATAATTAAAACAGCGTGGCACAGACACATTGAGATATACATAGGTAGTAGTCCTCTTTCTTTCCATTATAAAAACAGCAGTTTTAATGCATGCAAAGATTAATATAACCCAGATAATTTAGCTGTAAGTTTCGTTCTGAATCACCAAGAAAATGGTACAAGTATTCAGAAGAACAGCTTAAATAATTACAGTAAATTCAAAACATTACCAAAATCACTGGTCTGAAATCAGTCATAGGTCCGTTTCTTCTCAATGAGAATAATCTACAGAAAACAAAAATATCAATCAAGTATCAAATAAGAATTAGGTAACTACTATGGGCTCAGTAATCTAAGCACTGCATACGATGTGAAAACACCTTGAACATGAAAACTGCCTGCTCTTAGGCCCTTGAAATCCAGTCTTTCTTCTTCAACAAATCTACATGAAACAGTTTACATATATTGCAAACTGGTGCATTAATTCTCATGTAGAGCAAAGGAAAAAAATCAGGACACTTTAAAACAAACTTTGTCACCAATACTGAGAACCCCACTCCTATCCCCAGTATCAGTCTACTAATTCCTGGGATCACCAAGGTAATGTAGTTATGTTAGACACGAGTCTGCCTTTCTGAATCTTCTGAGCTGTATCTGCCTCTTGATGCCCATCAGAATCAAGGCCTTCATCACAGCTTGAAAAAAGAAGATGTAGACATGTAAAGACCAAGCTTCTCTCTGCATATTTCATAAAATTTCCCTCCATGTGGGACCTTCCCATCACTAAAGCAATGTAAAAATTAGCAGCCCAGACCATTATCAAGAGGGTAATGAGAATGAACTTTGATACTTGTACTTGGAACCTAAACCAGAGATCTTGTGGGCTCTTGATAAGCCAAGTTATATATACACAGGCTGATATTCAACCAATAGATACTGGTACAGTCATCCCAGTTATTAATATGTCAAAGTACTTCCCTCAGGAGTTGATAAATAGGTACTGCAGCAGTTGTTCCCCATCAGGTCCTCCCTACACCCATATGGAGCACCCTTATTTTCCCCTGGAAGCCCTAGCCATCGCTAGATTTAATTCATTGGTACCTATGCTGCATCAATTGTTAGATATTCTGAATCTATTCCAATAGTGTGTGCCAGTTCACACACATAAAAAGATATATTTAATATAATATCCCTTGGGAGGATGGACTTTTCAGTTCACCCAGTTGCCTAGCAATAAATGGAAACATTAGTTGGGTCCCCTGCCCTCCAGCTGTTTGTAGATATTTTGCTTAAGTAAACAAATGTGACTGTACCTGGTAATTCTACTCTTAACACACAAATACCAGTAACCTGGGGTTCTTCACATCTTTAAGCAAAGAAACTTTGGAAACACCTGATAAAGTTTATAATTGAAGAATATTTGAAAGACAACTTAAGCTTTAAGCATTAAGCTCATTAGAAGAACTAGACTTAGTGATCTGGTCCAGTAAAATTCTCGTTTAGAACCTATTAGGAATATTCTGCACTGAAAATCCTTGGGGGCCTCTATCAGTTCTATTATCTATTAGGGGAAGAAATACCAAGATGTGCAAAGTGGTTAGGAGTTGTTCCTAGTCAATGTCTTAGGAAAATGAATGCAGCTGTCATACATATATTAAAATTCTCCTTTTTCCCCATGGCAAGGTGGATAGGCAAATCATATCACAAGTTCTTATCCAGGAACTTTGCACCACAATCTAAACATGTCTCTTTCCTCTACCATGTTCAAGTTTCACTTCACTGCTAGGTTGCCCGCTCTGCTTTCCTTTGATTGTAGTGACATCTAATGTCAGAGTCAGAGAGTAGCTCAGCTCAGCTCCTGTTCAGTTTCCAAATTGACTCTTCAGGTTGTAAACCCACCTCCTCGGCAGACAGACAGCTCACTAGGATAATTTGTTGGGCCAAGTAAAACATGAACAAAACTGAATTAAACTTGTTTAAATTGAAATGCAATTAGTACTTGAATCATGAATTTTCAAAACTGGCTCCTTCTCCTCTTGAGAGAAGTCTACCCTCTAAAAAATCATGTTTTGGGAAAATACCTAATACATCAGTCCATCTTATTGCTAAGAGAGTTTTCTCACTAGTTCCTGGGCTTAGTGGGCTCACTTGAATAATAGTTATATAATAAATAAGAGAAGCTAATATTTATTGGGAACTCATCAACTATCATTTTTTAAATACTCATTTATTTTCTCTTCCAAAAAAGGGAGCAACTTGACCTTTGTATTTGCTGTCTTATCTTCATTAACTACCAAAGAGCCTGCTCTAGGGTAGGCCCACATGTTTGGGAAGGTACTGCCTGCTTTCTGTCACTTTTCATGTTCTCTCACATTTCATCATTACAACACTTCTGTGCGATAAATATTATCAACATTTCTATTTGCATTAGTAATTTCTCTGTGGTCATGGTGGCTACTGAGCAGGATTGGAACCCAGACATCCTAGCCCCAGAATAGAAGGACCACTGGAGGCTGGATGCTCAGGGCAAATGGCCCCATGATCACTTCTCCTCGCATAACTAACAAGTCATGACAATTGTTAAGGCAATGACAACAATGTTAGAGGAAGTATCACAAAAGGTGGGATTGAAATCAGTGGTCACACTGTGAAGTAAGGTGTGAAAAGAAAATTCTCTTTTCGTGTTCATGCTTGACTAGAGAATCAATTCCTTGTCATGATCCCCTATGGGCCCACTCCTCCAGATGCCAGAACCTGTCTACTCTCCTTCTCTAGGACTCCCACTCTTAACTACTATGCATACTGACTTCCATAGTGGAAAGAACACAAAATTTGGGTTCAAATGATCTAAGTTTAAGACCAGGCTCTGCTACTTACTGTGAGTTTGGACAACTCACTCAACCTATGTTAGGTTCAATTTAAAGTGGAGTAAATGGTAGCATTCTATACAAGATGCCAAACTCAGCCCACATTCTTCTATTTTGAATATAGTAAGGAGACAATTATACCCACTTGGAAATGACAGATAGATGTACTTAGTCAAACTGAAAATTCAAGAAATCTCTCTAAGACAGCACAGACAGATGTGAGGACTGACATGCCCATAATCTAATACGTATAAAAGACAGCCTGCAGGGCTTAAGGGAAGGGACAGCACCTGCCTCCAAAAGGTTTGCAGTGGGGCCTGAAAATAAAGCTAAGTCATGCAATGATTTGTGGGAGAAATTGTTCATTCTGCTGGCATTTCCAGGAAGTACAATAAAACCTGGAGTCTTCATGCAGTGGGGAGCTACAAAGGCAACCACAGTGTAAACCTGACAAAGGTGCTGGCTTAGGAAATGAGGTCACTCTGGAGGTTTAATAGCTGGCTAAACCCCTTACAGAAGCATCTTATCATACAGATATAAAAACAAGATCTGTAGTCATAAACAAAACAATTTGAAGCTAGAAAAGAGGTTTCAAACTGAAAAGTGTGATTGCTAACTTTTTTACTGTAATGGGAACAATAAAGAATAAACTGACTACTACAAGGATCAAATCGGTTAAAAAAAAAAAAGAGAAATTCAGGCCTCTGTGGAGGCAGACTAAAGAGATGCAAATTATAAAGGACACATAGATAATAATGTCAGATTTCCAATACAGATGGTCTTACTACGGTTTGACTTATAATTTTAACTTTATAATGGTGCAAAAGCCATATGCATTTAGTGGAAATCATACTTTAAATTTTGAATTTTGATCTTTTTCCAGGCTAGTAATATGTAGTAGCAGACTCTCTTGTGCTGGGCAGAGGCAGCGAGCCCCAGCTCCCAGTCAGCCATGAGATCTGGAGGGTAAATCAATACTCTACAGTGCAGTGTGTTGCCAAACGATTTTACCCAGTTGAAGGCTAATGTAAGCGTTCTGAACACATTTAAGGTAGGCTAGGCTAAGCTACAATGTTCAGTAGTTTAGGTATATCAAATGCATTTTCAACTTGCAATATCTTCAACTTATAATGTGTTTATCAAGATGTAACTCCACCGTAAGTCAAGGAACATCTCAAATCTGGAAAACAAGTTTTACAGAAATAAAGAGTTGATCATAATGAAAATCAATAACCAGCTAGATGATAAGAAGAAACACTTCTAGAAACTGAACACAGCCTTGGGTGTTTATAATTAGACACATTTATTGAGTCTTAGGCAAAATTAAGAAGTAGCAATTTATATTTTATAATACCTTGATGAATTTTTTAACCAAAACACTTCTATTTTAGTCTTCGAAGAAACTCTTTTCTTCTTTTCCAAGATAATCATGATTAACTTACAAAAATGGGTATACATCTTCAAAACATTTCCCTTAATAGGAAACTTAGCTTTACAGGATCTAAACACTAAAAGGCAAAAAAAAAAAAAATCTATTTTCTTTTCATTACAAGACAAAACAGAATCCAGCATAAGTCAAGGAAACACATTCATACCTCAGGTCCTCCTCCTCCATGAACCAACATTATTATATTATTTCCGTTTAGCAAAATCTGATCTAATTTAGTATTCTTTCTTCTGGTGGGATTTCAAACTCAGTGATATCTTGCAGTACCATATTGACAAAGTTATCAAATCCTAGAAGAGTATCAACAATTTCCTTATCAGTTTTCATCACAATGAGAATTTTTGATTCTTACATTTGTCTACAAGCTCTAGCAGTAGCAGCTGTAAGGAGCTGGTACTAGTGTTAGCCGCCATAACTGTGATGGAAATGGCCTTGGTTAACATTTTTTTTTTTGGACAGAGTCTTGCTCTGTTGCCCAGGTTGGAATGCAGCGGTGCCATCTTGGCTCACTGCAACCTCCGTCTCCCAGATTCTAACGATTCTCCTGCCTCAGCCTCCTGAGTAGCTGGGATTACAGGTGTGCAACACCATGCCCAGCTAATTTTTGTATTTTTAATAGAGACTGGGTTTTGCCATGTTGGCCAGGCTAGTCTCGAACTCCTGACCTCAGGTGACTCGCCCGCCTCAGCCTCCCAAAGTGCTGGGATTACAGGCGTGAGCCCACCACGCCCGGCCTTGATTAACATTTTTAATTTTAATAACAAGCAAATAATTCTACAAGCTTCTAGACAAGAAAAAAAGATAGGTCACACAATAACGACAGATGGTCCTCAAACCTTTCTTCCATACCAAATAGAAGATGGTGTACACTAAACAGTCAGAACCCTCAACAGCTATATCTAAAATGTACTGAACTATGAATAATCCAACATTCAAGCAAGCTCTCATTCCCATGAGATGAACAAAAAGGCATTTTAGACTTACAAAGATTAATTAATATCACCAATGTACCCTTCTTCTAAAATTATACACACACAAAAATTTTACCCAGCCTATTAGTAAAGTAAAATAAATAATGATAAAGATATGACATAAAAGAAATTTCAATCAAAAATGAAACTAAATGTCAAAAAAGTTTAAATATTTAATTATGAAATAAGCAAATGCTAAATAATGTTATCAATTAAGATGCTGCCTGATAGCTAAAAGTAACAAAAACTCAGCTGGCTTAAACAATACGAAGAAAATTTTTTTCTTAGAAAAAGCCCTAAGATACGACAGTTTCAGGCTGGAGGCTGGTTAAAATGGTGATTCTAATATTTTAACCAGCCTTCAGCCTGACACAGATTCTCTCCATCTTTCTCTCAGTCTCTTTAAGGTACATCAACGTTGTTCTTCCTAAGCATCCTCATGAAACTAAGGTGGCTGTCAGAGTTCAATACATTGCATCCAGATCTGACTATATCAGTGGAAATGGGAGCCATTTTCTTTACATTTATTGATTTTTATTAACGAGAGGAAACTTTCCTTATATTTCCCCTATTTCATCAGCAAGAATTATATCACATGTTTATGCCTAAACCAACAGTGATTTAGAAAGATGACCACCATGATTGGGTAAAAATAGACCAGGGGTTCAGCCTCATCACTAATGACATTTTGGGATGGATAATTCTTTGTTGGAGGGAGCTATTCTGTACATTGTTTAGAATCCTCCTTGCTCTCTACCCACTAGATACCTATAGCACCCTCCCCAATTGAAACAATCAAAAATGTCTCCAGACATTGCCAAATGTACCCTGGTTAAGAACCACTGGAATACACTAATCAATCTAGCCCCTGAGTCTGGCTATGGGGCCCACCTTAAATATAAAACAGCACGGTAGAAAGGGAAAAGCTGAACCAAATCAGTGTTTCAGAAAAGAGAGCTATATGAAAGAAAAATAGTCTTAAGTAAACAACCAACAATATTTTGTACAGTAATTCTTTAAAAACAATATATAGCAATGGTAAAAATATGAACTTAAAATTCTGTATTAATCAACTAAGAGGGGTCAGGTGTAGTGGCTCACACCTGTAATCTCAGCACTTTGGGAGGCTGGGCAACTTAGTGAGACCCTGTCTCTACAAAAAACACAAAAATTAGCTGGGTATGGGTGGCACGTGCTTGTGGTCCCAGCTATTCTGGAGGCTGTGGTGGGAGGATCGCTTGAGCCCAGAAGGTAGAGGCTGCAGTGAACTGTGATCATGCCACTGCACTCCAAGCTGAGAAATAGACTGAGGCCCTGTCTCAATAAATAAATAAATAAATAAATAAATAAATAAATAAATAAATAAAATCAAGAGGGAAATGAATGAAGAGTTTTAGCAGGACTGAGGACTGTCAGTGTATGGTTTAATCATCAAGCACAGAAAATGTCAATTTGTACTTACAAGAATATACAATTTAGTTGACTTTTAGAAATACATCTTTGAAAACTAATTTTCATTGTGGATTTGTATATACAATATTTAGCCCTTAAGAAGAAGATCAACTAGAGGTGCTATATTCTCTTTCAGGAGATAATCTTCTATTAGAATTTTTGAAGCTATCAAAATAAAATGATTCCCTATGGAAAGATTCATAATTTCCCTAGAAACATACTTTATTCTATGGCTTGGTGCTTTTATGTCTGCAACTTATGAATATATTTATTTTTTCATGTTAAAACATAACTTTTAAAACTCGGATCACATTATAACACCTTATTTGCCATCTTAAAAATGTTCTTTATCCTCTAATCTCATGGTAAGACCACATCCATATTCTCCAGCCTGTTGAACGGAGCCAAATGCCCCACACATCACTCAAGAGCCCTACCACTCTTTCCTCCCCACACCCGTTATTGTCTCCCTCCTTTCCCTGCTTCTGTTACTCTCTGGCTCTGCTTTCTTCTTCCCATTTTCTGTATCTATTCTTCATCTACTTGAGAACTATTTGGGGATCTCACTTCAGATTTACCATGGCTGCCTCCCAGCTCTGCACAATCCATTTTAATTTTATTCATGTCTTCCAAAACAGGCCCTCCCTGACCTGGGCTGAGGAAACTGGCCAGGCTGAGTCCCTGATCTCCACCATGGCAGGAAAAAATGATATGCCTGTTTAAGATATAAAAGCATTTTTATGGGAAAAAGTACAAAGTTATCACGACAAGCTACAGGTAAGAGCCTGATTGAAGGACTTGAATCTCTAATCCAAAAGCTACATGCACAATTCTACTTAATCTTACTTAGCTCACAGGGCAAATACCAAGGAATAAATCTCATTTATATTTATATTGTAAAAATACCACAGGTTTATCAAGTGTTTAGATGTAATACCCTGCAAGTTCAGAGACTTTATGCTTAATGGAAATAAAACATTATTGTTTTGCAATGGGAAGTGTAACTAATTTTGACAGAGCAAGAACCTGTAGGTTACAGACATTGATTATGAGAGGCTTATAAAAACACTATGCATTTAAATGTTTGGTATAAAATTGCACAGCTCAATAATGAATTCTGGAGGTATCTATTCCTTTAACCCAAAGAGTCTTTTTTCTCCAAACCCAATATTTTTAAAAATAACTATTTGCCTCTACAGGATTTAGAAAACAGTGATACATAAATGCTCTCTGCAAGACATTATTCTCTTTCATTTACTGAATAGTTTCACAAATACCTGTCCTAATATGGTACAATCTTCAATATTATTACATAAAAAAGAGGTTCAGAAGTATTCATTGAATGGCACCATTTGTGTTAATATACAAACATAAATAGGTAGATGTATAAACCGTTATTGCCTCAAGAAGACCCATAGACTGGGCAAGAGGAATACCTACTTTCCACTGTCAGCCTTTTAAAATGTATATATATTTTCTTAGTAAGAGACTGATAAACTGAAATACAGACAAACAGATGGACACATACACACACACACACACACACACACACACACAAAGTGAATAGGTAATCCTAATCCTATATTTAACCAATGATTTATGTGACCAATTAAACTTGTAAAAATATAGAACAATGCCCTCAAAAGAATCAACTCCAAGAGCAAAACAGCTTGATTTATTATTAAAAGAGTATATAATTAGACACACTTATATTCTGTTCCTGAATAGAATGAAACAGAGAGGCCCTACAATTTTGTAGCTTGGAAATTTAATGAAACATTTAAAATAATTATAAGGCAAGATGACTTATGTTACTTGTTTTATCTTGTAAAATTTTCTGTTGAAGAAGGTACTCTAAGCAGAGGCTAAAAGACAATATTTGAGATAATATTTCAGTAAGATTAAAATTAGAATTAAAACTGTCCTCCAGTGAACTGAACTTTCTCAAATTACTGGGTAACCCATCGGCTATAGAAAAATTATTTTCTTAATTAAAAATAGGATGTAATATGACCTACAGGAAGAGTCAATTGAAGCTGTTGACAATTCCAAATCCATTAACCGTAAGATTGATTTTGAAGATTATTGCAGGCAATTTTATGAAAAAATAAATATGAGGTCACATTGAAAAAATAAAGACAGTTAATGCCAGAAAAATACCAGCCACCTGGTATCAGATAGGTACAGTTAAGAAAATGATTAACATAATTATATACAAAGAATAATTTGTATAATTTGCCATCATGTACATGAATATACTTTAAATAATTTTACTTCTAAGAATAATCTTTCATAGAACCATTTGTGATCTATTACACAATAAAACAAATTTTGGATGACAAATATATATTTCAAAATATTATTTTAAGATGCTATAATTCCAATGACTTTATTACCTCCTTTTACTTTCAAAATTGTCCTGGGTTAGAGGACACATTGCATTATCACCCTAGTGGGAGAGACCAAAAGACACTGATCAGCTCAGACATTATAGGGTCTAGTTTCACTACCCCACAGGTACTCGACTTCCTCTTTCTCACTCTTATCTTATAATTTATTTAAATGAATATTATGTGAGAAGTTTAACAGGGATGCAGAATATTTGGAGATTTTTCCGTAACCACTCTCAGTCAACAAGAAGTTGAAAGCTTTCCCAGACTTTTCACTAACAGAGAAATATAAGGATTATTGCCCAGCCATTTCTTTGCTTTGCAAAGGCTGGCTGGATTTAAAATTAAAATTATATGTCAAGTTTCATAACCTTCAGCAAGAAGGATTCCATTTGAATAGCATGTTCCAGGGAAGGGTCCCTTTGAGAATCCTATGTAAGGAAGAAAGCACAGTTAGACAAGTACACAAATCAGCAGTACAGTTAAAGAATATACAACCTAGCTACATGAAGTTTCTTTCAGGACAATGGAAAGTTTAATTAGGAAAACAGTAAAATTTTCTATAACAAATGAGAAAATCCATATGCCCATCTTTATAGAACAAAATCCAACAGTCCTGCTTTTAAGAGATGTAGTTTAAGAATAATGGTTACCTTCTTAACATGGTCAACTCAGCCAAATCCAGCACTACATCTAAAGTTAAAATACTGGAAGCACACCCGCTTTAACATCAGGAGCAAGACAATCATCACTCCCATTCTTGCACAGTATATTTGTTAATGTATTCAGAGCAATTAGACCCTTCCCCACAAAAAAAAGAAACAAAAAAAGGGTGGGAGAAGGGAGGGATGGAGGGATGGAGGGATGGAGGAAGAGAGGAAGGGAGGAAGAGAGGAAGGGAGGAAGAGAGGAAGGGAGGAAGAGAGGAAGGGAGGGAGGGAGAGAGGAAGAAAGGAAGCAAAGGAAGAAAGGAAGGAAAGAAGGAAGGAAGGAATTTATAAACAATACCCTGGATTAAGGTTCAACAAACATTTTCTGTAAACATTTACTAAAGATAGTAAATATTTTAGGTTTTGCAGATCATACAGTCCCTGTCACAAGCACAGTTGACCCTTAAACAACATAGATTTGAATTGTGTGGGTTCACTTAGAGAAGGATTTTTTTTTAATATATTCCTTCATATGGGCAAGTTCTGTATCCACAACCAAAAGTGGATCAAAAATACTGTGTTCACGGGATGCCAAACCTGCATATGCGGAGGACCAACTTTTCATATCTGTGGGTTACGCAGGGCCAGATATGGGACTTTGAGTGTGCACAGATTTTGGTATCCACTGTCCTGGACTGTACCGGACTTTGCTGTTGCAGTGCAAAAGTAGCCATAGACACTAGTAAGCAAATGCACATGGCTGCATGCCATCCGCCACATCTCTCTCTACTTAAGGACACTGAAATTGAATTTCATATAACTTTCACATGTCACAAAATATGATTCTTTTGGGTTTTTTTCCCCAACCGTTTAAAAATGTCAAAACCGTTCCTGTTTCCTGGGCTGTACAAAAAACAGGTATGCCAAATTTGATGACACACTGCCTTACGTTATTTTAACAGTAATTAAATAATTACTCTCAATTAATTCAACAGTATCTAACTATTAGATAAATTTAAACTTATCTAATGGCCTGTTTTTCTAATTTTTTGTGCAGTAAAGGTTTTATAGAAAAATTGTAAAGAATAATCAAATTATGAAAATGTTCAACTTTAAAACAGAATTTTTATTTCCTTCTCTCTCAAAAAAAAAAGGACCCAATCTCTTTAGCTGTTAATTATATTCCTGTAAACAGAGTAACCCTTAGGAATTTCTATTTGAACAATGGCATGCACACAGTTCTTAAATTCATTCCGTTTTCTTTCTTCCTTTTCTTTTTTTTTTTTGTGCTGAACTTCAGCCAAACATTAAACTACCTTGGGAAATAAAAGGTAAAAGAGAAAGAAGCACAAAGATGGTATTTGACCTTATTTTATGAGGACATTCAATCTTAATTTAGAGAAAAAGAATAGAGCTTTTTTAGTGTGAGAAGCATGAGAACTGGAAAGAAGTACAGAGTTTTTCAGACCAGCCTATTTTTCTAAGTTTGTTTTCCGGTAACTATGCTCTTGTTTCTATGCAGGTGAGGTTGTAGGTCAGGTGTGTGTGTGTGTGTCTATAAATCCACACCCATTTTTAACCAGAAACATCCAGAATACATTTCCAACAAGAGCACTGGCCAAGTCAGGTAAGCAAGCAAATTTTCCAGATTACTTAATCAGTGGTCAAGCTTTGCTATATTTAAATAATCACCTTTTGCTATTTAAAAGTGAAGCTTTCAGTAAAGGGTAGGAAAGTGAAATGAATTTTTATTTTTCTTCTTTTACTGAACTGGATTTCCTTTGCTGGTTTCATAGTTTTATCTCTATTTATATTAATGGTATTAGAATAAATTGACGTCAACCACAAAAACGACTCTTTGAAAAGTATTCTACAAGTAATGATAGCTCTTCTTTATATTCTTTTAAGTCTTGTTTTATTTTAAAATATAGGAACTTATAATATCAGTTACTTACGTTAAATTACTTTTGAAAAATAAAATACTAATGTCATAAAATGCTAATTGACCAATGTTTATACAATCTAATTGCTGACATATGGTTATGTGCCTCCCAAATGCATTTTAAGCTGCTGTAGGCCTGTAACCATGCCACATTTATCTGTGTTCCCCCAAGTAGCTTAACCTTGCAACTGATACTAAAGGACCCTCAGCAGTTTACACTATATTTTACCAAGGAAAGCGTTATTTATTCAAAATCTACAGTGTACAAGTTGTACTGCTTTGTCACAGAATATATTTAATATCTATTTTATAATTTATCAATGTAAAACCAGAAAACCAAGATTTTTATTTTTTAATTAGAAAGTATTTGACAATAATACATAAAGACTTGAAATTTTAAAGAAAAAATGGTTCCCGCTTAACTCTAAGCTTCGCAGCTTTAAAATAGCAAAAATGATGAGGTTATGCTTTTTCTTTTTTAAAATGCAGATTCCACCTGCTTGTCTCTGTAGCTAACATAGAAAAATCTTTCTAAAGATTCCTTCCAGATTGACTTTTCTTAACTCTTCTTTATATCCAAGATCCCTGGAAGAATTTTAATGACGTTTTGGACCCTATTCCCACGGAAAAGGAACAGAGGCAGATAAAATTTTGCACACAATTTCCAGGGGTTTTGAGCCTTCTGTAGCTCAGCCACAGGCCTTCTAGAAGCCTGCTGGATCCAGGTTAAGATCCTGTCCTAGGTGGTTGCTTTAGTTCCTCCACTGCAACTCCCAACCTGTCTAACTAAGGCTGCCTTCCCTGGGTTGAGCTTTGTGTTCCAGAGTCAACTGTCCCTGTCCTGTACTAAAATCCACCCTGTATTTGTTTCAGTCTTTAAAGTACAAGATGACCAAGGCCTTAAGGTACAAGATGACATTCTGAAATGTTTTATGGTTTAATAAGTTATGAGAACTTAAACTGAAATTCTTATCAGGCACCGTGATAATTGTTTAACAGGGTTTTTATATGCCTGGAAAGAAAGGACAGGAAAGGAGGGGAAAGGAGGGGAGAGGAGGGGAAAGGAGGGGAAAGGAGGGGAGAGGAGGGGAGGGGAGGGGAGGGGAGAGGAGGGGAAAGAGGAGGGGAAAGGAGGGGAAAGGAGGGGAAAGGAGGGGAGAGGAAAGGAGTCCGGGCGATGTAGCTCACCCTTGTAATCCCAGCACTTTGGGAGGCCGAAGCAGTTGGATCATTTGAGGTCAGGAGTTTGAGATCAGCCTGGCCAACATGGTGAAACCCCATCTCTACTAAAAATACAAAAATTAGCCGGGCATGATGGTGGACACCTGTAGTCCCACGTACTTGGGAAGCTGAGGCAGGAGAATCGCTTGAACCTGGGAGGCGGAGGTTGCAGTGAGTGGAGATGGCCCCACTGCACTCCAGCCTGGGTGACAAGAGCAAAAAAAAAAAAAAAAGAAAGAAAGGAGAGAGAAAGAAAAGAAAGAAAGAGAGAGAGAAAGAGGAAGGAAGGAAGGAAGGAAAGAAGGAAGGAAGGAAGGAAGGGGAAAGAAGGAAGGGGAAGGAAGGAAGGGGAAGGGAAGGAGGGAGGGACAACTGGGGATTAGGGAGGGAAATAAAGTAAGGTTAACCTGGAGTGGTAACTATTTTCAGTCCATAGAGGGGCTGCAATAGATACACCACTGGGAAGGGGAAAACAGTATAATGGGAGGAATGAGGAAATGTCTGGAGAAATCTAGAATCTGTAAACTTCTTTACCACCAAATTGTTGTTCTCCTCCACGACTGCGGTTGCTACTTTACAATAACTAGGTGATTAAAATTGCCAAATGTTTTACCAATGCCAAAACATTGTGTCTTATATATCTTTTCATTTTCCACAATGCCTACTACAATAAAATATAGCAACATCTTTGTTTGAACAGAATCACTAAAGAATCAGTCACTAGCCATTTTGGCTAAGGAAATTTTACTATTTTGGTGATGAGTTCAATACTAAATAATGTAAGCCAATAGGAAAGACGTCTTAAAGGAACTTCAAATCAATGTGAATGATGTCTGTATATTTATTTTATATTTTGAGGTAAAGTTTCAAAACTGCATGAGTCAACCATTTTCAAATCAGTTTTATATGCTAATGCTGTAACTAAACATCTCACAAGTATTAAAGACTTCCTGTAATATATTTATCAAGTGGTTTATGACCAGATCAGGCCCAACTTTGGACTTCAGTTTTTATCTTAACGTGCAAAGTATAAAAGATGCACATTGAGTTAAGAATCAGTTTGAATTCTAGCTAACCAGGAGAGAATGTAATCATGACAGTCTATTCTTCTCTATACATATGTCTAATTTATAGTAATATGATAGTACTTGATTTTTATAAAGAGCTGTATCATAAACTGAAGGGCAAAAGTCTGAGTAATTGTTGGAAGGATGAGAAAGGTAAGAAACTATAAAGGAACTGAAGGACAAGAATCCTCCATATTCTATTTTTCCTCTGATTTCTATTTTAAGCAATATTTATTCATGTATAATCTTATCTTAGTATAGAGTTAAAATATTTTGACCTATTAGATGAAGGAGAATCAAAAGGCAAAGAATATTTCTGCATGCTAAAAGTCACTTCATAGTTTACAAGACATCAAACAACATGATCTTATTTGAGTTTCGTCTTGTTGGTGTGAACACTACAGGGCGGTTCAGAAGCAGGCTTCGTGTGCCCTGATCCAGCTCTTTTTTAATTATACAGCACCATGCCCAGGAGGCTCAGAACATGACTTCTCACCAACTGAGCATGTACTGAGTTGATTAAGTATTTTAAAAATAAAATGTGAATGAAAGTTCTATGTGGTTGGTTATACCATGTCAAACCAAAAAAGCTGAACAGTCTGTCATCACAGTATTGGTCCAACTCTTAGCAAATATCTTCTAATAATAGCTTGAAGTAATTCACTGGATTCTGAGAATTCCTTTCTGTCATCTAGCTTCTTCTGAGAGAGTCTCTAGAAGACATGATGCTACACTCAGCTTTGGGTCTCTGCCTCTTACTCGTCACAGTTTCTTCCAACCTTGCCATTGCAATAAAAAAGGAAAAGAGGCCTCCTCAGACACTCTCAAGAGGTGCTGTAATCTCATTTTATTTTCTAAACTCAGTCATTTGGATTGCTTTTTAAAATATCTGGTGTCTTCACTCATAGTCTAATTATAAAGCAAATTCAACTAACTGAATGATTTTTGTTGTGTGTGACTTCAAAATGGATTTTTTAAAACAGAAGGAATCAGTTTATTTTAGGCAGTGAATCAAATCAACTAGCAAACAATAACATAAATTTGCATTATCTTTTGCCAAAATAATGGAGAATTGGCTCGCTGTCTATAACTTTGGTAACCAGAGTCCTAGAAAATAATGATTGATTGCTGCGTCATATTGGTGTCCTAATAGCAATTTAAGATTCCTCAAAATTTGCTCAAATTCCCAGTCCTCTATTTCCCAGTCCTCCAAAAAAAAAAAAATTGGAATAATTTTATATAAGCCTTCCCAGAAAATTATACTATACCCCAAACTCTGAGAATTCGGGGTAACTAAGTCTTTGCTATATTGACTCTGGAAGACAGTGGTTTTAGACATAATCAAGGATTGCCGGTGGCTACATGTTTAGAAACATTTCTTTTTGTACTTACTGTTTTACTTGGCCCAAGAAACAAATATATATTCATCTGTAAAGAAACATTTTATTAAAAAAAATTCTCTCTTTTTTTTTTTTTTTGAGACGGAGTCTTGCTCTGTCACCCAGGCTGGAGTGTAGTGGCACGATCTTGGCTCACTGCAAGCTCTGCCTCCCGGGTTCACGCCATTCTCCTGCCTCAGCCTCCCAAGTAGCTGGGACTACAGGCGCCCGCCACCATGCCCGGCTAATTTTTTGTAGTTTTAGTAGAGACGGGGTTTCACCGTGTTAGCCAGGATGGTCTCGATCTCCTGACCTTGTGATCCGCCCGCCTCGGCCTCCCAAAGTGCTGGGATTACAGGCGTGAGCCACCGCGCCCGGCCAAGAAAATATTCTCAAAGTTAGTTTCTATATCTCTAAGTAACAGAAGTAGGAACAGAATTATTTGTCCCCATATAGCTATTCAAAATCAGCAGTATTACCACAAAGTACTTGACCATTTGTTTGCTCCATTCATATTACCACTGCAAATAGTAGTCAAGTGCCTTGGAGTAATACTGCTAGTTTTGAATAACCAAGTGGGAACAAATAATTCTGTTCCTACCTCTGATATATATATAAAATATATATAATTATAACATACAAATTATATATTATATATACTATATATTATATATAATATATATCATAGTATACATTTGTGTTATATTATAATAAATTATATATAAATATATGCTATAATTATAAATATATATTATATAATTTCAAATTCTAAAACACTGACTTGCTTCCCAAGTACATTCATTTCTTAACAGATGTATTGAGTGCCAGCCAAGTGCTCATCAATGTTTACCTAAGCTAATTAACTCTACTTCAGTTTAACAAACACACAATCTATATATACAGAAAGTCAACATATTTTTGCAAAAGAAAGGAATGAAAAAGTTGAAATATTTTCCTAAACATAACTCTATCTCTCTGTATAAGCATAACTGTTGTAAAACAATGAGCTCAGTAGCCCTAAAGTGACAAAGACTAAACTAGTTATTGCCCTTAAAGATTTTCCATGTCTGCATTAAGCAGCACTGTGATAACTATACGTCAAGGCATCAACATTCTGTGTGCTCACTTCTAAATATTTATTTAAAACTCTTGTTGAATGTTTTGAAAAAATATATTACATTTGTATGCCCTATTTTAAACAACTTAAAGGTTCTATTATTTCAATTGATAAGAAACTAATTTAACACAGAAGATGACTGATATTAGCTGAGAACACCATTATTGAGAATTGGTTTATATTTGGCAAAGTCTTTTACCATCTATTGCTACATGGGAGATAATGGAGAGAATGAGGCTCAGAATGAATGAAGATTAAAGGTAGGGGTGAGTGGGAGAAGTCTGGATACAGTATAAAGAGTGGCATATGGAGCCCCTTAGAGCACAGGGCAGCACTAGTTAAGTAGAGAAGGCAGTAAGGAGAAAAGGAAGATTAATTAGAAAAAGGTAGAAGAAGGTTCAGGGAGAAAAAAATACACACACATAGAATGATCCAAAAAAAATCCAATTTCCTTTGAATCAGAATTGCTGAGTACCTAGTCCAGTGATTGGCGGATAGTAAATATTTAATAAATATATGTTAGATAAATGAATAAAATCTCAAAAGACAAGAAAATATAGCCAGAGATAGAGATAGGGCTAGAATTAGAGTAATGAGCAGAAGCCATGAAGTGCATTTAAACTGTGTAACAGCTTTGACCTATTGTGATTATAACAGAGTAAATAAAAAATCATTATAATGCAATATGGCTTTTCTACAGAGCTATGGACAATTTGTTGAGAATAGGGATTATATTGCTCTATGTTTGTATTCCCACTGCTTTGTGGAGTAAGTTATGCAGCAGATGTTCCTTTACTGTTTGTGGAACTAAATTGAGCAGGAGCAGAGAATAGAAATTTTCCCCACTGCTAATGCTCCATCATTGAATGATATTTGCAACAGAAGAGGGAAAATTCAGCAGAGGCCTCGTCTCACTTGCTGTTTTAGAATAACTTTTACTTAATGCAAAATGTGATGTATAGATATTGCATGTGTTCAACCAAAGTTGGAAAGAGAATCTTTCAGGATTATTACAGAGAGCAAGAGTTCCTGTTAAGATGTGGCATTAAACTAACAAGAGATGTTTTTCAATGTTAAGATT
Source organism: Homo sapiens (assembly GCF_000001405.40). NCBI lineage: Eukaryota > Metazoa > Chordata > Mammalia > Primates > Hominidae > Homo > Homo sapiens. Next base: position 16,875,763 of record NC_000007.14, on the reverse strand, counting down.
TTAAATCAGGCAAAAAAAAACAAAAAACAAAAATGTTGCTGGTGAGTATATAAAATGATGCATCTACTTTAGAAAATAACCCGGCAGCTCCTCAAAAAGCTAAATACAGAGTGACCATTTGATCAGCAGTTCCACTCCTAGGTATATACCCAAGATAAATGAAAATATATACCACTGAAAAACTTGTATATGTATGTTCATAGCATCATTATTCATAAAAGACAAAAAGTGGAAACAACCCAAATATCATTAACTGATGAACAGATAAATAAAATATGGTATATTCATACAATGGAATAATATTTGACCATAAAAAATGAATTAAATAATAATACATGGCACTATAAGGATGAACCTTAAAAAGGTTATGCTGAGTGAAAAAATCTAGTCACAAAAGCCTACATATTGTATGATTCCATTTATATGAAATGTCCAGCATAAGCAAATCTATAGAGACAGAAAGTAGATTAGGGGTTTCTTAGGGCTGTGGCATTTGAAGAAAATGGGGAGCAGGTGATAGCTAAATGGTATAGGGTTTCTTTTTGAGGAGATGAAAATGTTCTAAAATTGATGTGATGATGGTTGCACAACTTCGTGGATATACTGAAAAAAGCACACATTTTCTTTTTTTCTTTTTTTTTTTTTTTTTGAGATGGAGTCTCGCTCTGTTACCCAGGCTGGAGAGCAGTGGCGCAATCTTGGCTCACTGCAACATCCACCCCCAGGTTCAAGCGATTCTCCTGCCTCAGCCTCCCGAGTAGCTGGGACTACAGGCACATGCCACCACACCCAGCTAATTTTTGCATTTTTAGTAGAGACAGATTACACTGTATTGACCAGGCTAGTCTTGAACTCCTGACCTCAAATGATCCACCCACCTTGGTCTCACAAAGTGCTAGGATTACAGTCATGAGCCACCATGCCTGGCCAAAAGTATACGTTTTCAATAGGTGAGTTGTATTGGCGTATGAATTTTATTTCAATAAAGCTGTCGCCAGAAAACAAACATGAAAAACAAGCAAAAATCATGGAATCATATTTATCAAATTACTATCATATTTACCATGATATTAAAGCCAGAAACTGTGGTCTGACAACATTTGAAATGTACAAGAAAACCTGGGCCCAAACTGACTTCCAAATATTGCTAATTTTCACATTAATTCAATCTCTCTCATTCGTAGACTGAGACACTTCCTGAAAATACTCAGTAATGTTTTTGGAGGTTCTGCACATTCTTCTACTTGATGATTTTATCTTTAATTGCTTATACACATTCCCAACTATTCATACCATTTCTTTAAGGCTAATGGGTTCTCTCTATATTCATTGCTTTCTGTTTTTTCTCTCCATTCTTTTGGGTGTTTCCAAAACACATGCGTTTTATTATGTCTCTTGGCCATGAAATTCCCACACAAGAATTTTTTCCATGTCAGAATTCAAAGCAAAACTTGGAATTCCCTTATTTCACAACGTATACTGACTTAGAAGAGGTCAACATCTCTTGGGACCCAAAATAGGAGGGCATTGTAGAGTACAGCCGAAAGGATTCCTAATAATATTACAAAGTATGCAAAGATGAACTGTTACTTTCCAAGCGTTCCTAAAGCCACAGCTTTTACATTATCCAAAGATGTCCTTTCAATCAGCTCTAATCATAACAACATGTATTGAGTACTTACTGGGTTCAAGGCCATGGGCCTCGAGGTTTGAAATGCAGTAGCAAAACCTCAGTACTGCAATCTAAAGGGAAATCACCTCCATATCTTGTGAAAATTGTGTGTCCTCTGCACCATATGTCAGCCAACAGCTTGATGGCTTAGTTAAATATCTGTAGGTAGATATCTGATTATTAGATACCCATTTCCGAGCTCTTCTCTAGTTCTGGGTTACTGCATTGATTTCTCTCTTCTATTTCAGGATGGGGAGATGACATCACTTGGGTACAAACTTATGAAGAAGGTCTCTTTTATGCTCAAAAAAGGTAACATGCTTCTCAGCTCATTTTTTTCCTTTTATTTGTAGTAGACTCATAATAATTGTACATATTTATGGAATATAGAGTGATATGCTGATACATGTACACAATGTGTAGTGATCAAATCAGTGTAATTAGCATATGCATCACCTGAAACATATCATTTCTTTCTGGTGGGAACACTCAAAATCCTCTCTACTAGCTTTTTAAATATATACAATAAACTATTGTTAACTGTATGTACCCTATAGTGCTGTAGAATACTACTCAAACTTATTCCTCCTATCTAGCTATATTTTTGCATCTATTAATCAACCTCTCCTTATCCTTCCAGCTCTGAACCCTCCCCAGCTTCTAATAACCAGAGTTCTACTCTCTACTTCTATTAGTACAACTTTTTTTTAAGCTACTCTATATGAGTCAGAATTTGTGGTATTTATCTTTCTATATCTGACTTATTTCACTTAACACATCCTCCAGGCTCATTCATGCTGCTGTGAATGAGAGCATTTCATTATTTTTATGTCTGGGTAGTAGTCCACTGTGAATATATAACATGTTCTCTTTATCCATCCATCCATTGATGGACATTTAGGTTGATTCTATATCTTGGCTATTGTGAATAGTGATTCCATAAATATGGAGATGCAAATATCTCTTTGATATACTGATTTTTTAAATAAATACTCAGTAGTAGGAAAGCTGGATCATATGGTAGTTATATTTTTAGTTTTCTGAGAATCCTCTATATGTTTGCATAATGGCTGTACTAATTTACATTCCTACCAACAGTGTATAAGAATTCCCTCTTCTCTGCATCCTCACCAGCATTTGTTATTTTTTGTCTTTTTGATAATATCAGTTCTAACTGTGGTGGGATAATATCTCATTGTGGTTTTGATCTGCCTTTCCCCGATGATTAGAGATGTTGAGAATTTCTTCATATCCTTGGCCATTTGTGTGTCTTCTTTTGAGAAATGTCTATTCAGATCTTTTGCCCATTTTAAAATCAAATCATTTGGGGTTTTTTGTTGTTGAGTTGTTTGAGTTCCTTGTATATTCTAGATATAGGCCCATGTCGAATGAATAGTTTGCAAATAATTTCTCCTATTCTACAGTTTGTCCCCTTATGCTTTTGTTTCCTTTGCTGTTCAGATGCTTCTCAGGTGACATAGTCCCATTTGTCTATTTTTGTTTTTGTTGCCTGTGCTTTTGAAATCTTACCCATACATTTTTTTGCAGGGAACAATGTCCGAAGGGCTTCCCTTATATTTTCTTCTAGGAGTGTTATAGTTTGGGGTCTTACATTCAAGTCTTTAGTCCATTTTGAATTGATTTCTGCATATGGTAAGAGTTAGGAGTCTAGTTTCATTCTTCTACATATGGATATCCAGGTTTTCCAGCACCATTTATTGAAGAGGGTGTCCTTTCCCCAATGCATGTTCTTGCCACCTTTGTTAAAAATCAGCTGACTTTAAATACGTGGATTTATTTCTGGGTTCTCTATTCTATTCCATTGGTCTAGGTTTCTGTTTTTATACAAATACCATGCTGTTTTGTTTACTATAGCTTTGCAGTATATTTTGAAGTCAAGTAGTATGATGCCTGCAGTTTTGTTCTTTTCACTCAGTATTGCTTTGAACTATTTGGAGTCTGTTGTGGTTCTATACAAATTTGAAGATTTTTTTCTTTCTGTTTCTGTGAAAAATATCATTGGTATTTTGATAGAGATTGCATTGAATCTGTAGATTGCCTTTGGTGGTATGGTCATTTTAGCAAAATTCATTCTTCCAATCCATGGCATGGGATGTCTTTCCATTTTTTGGTGTTCTCTTCAATTTCTTTCATCAATGTTTTATAGTTTTTCTTGTAGGGATCTTTCACCTCCTTGGTTAATATATTCCTAGGTGTGTGTGTGTGGTTTTTGTTTGCTTGTTGTTTTTTTGAGATGGAGTCTTGCTCTGTCACCAGGCTGGAGTACAGTGGCGCGATCTCAGCTCGCTGCAACCTCTGCCTCCCAGGTTCCAGTGATTCACCTGCCTCAGCCTCCTGAGTAGCTGGGATTATAGGCACATGCCACCATGCCCAGCTAATTTTTTATTATTAGTAGAAACAGGGTTTCACCATGTTGGCCAGGCTGGTCTCGAACTCTTGATCTCAGGTGATACGTCCACCTCAACCTCCCAAAGTGCTGGGATTACAGGCGTTAGCCACCACGCCTGGCCTTTTTGTGGTTATTGTAAATAGCATTGCTTTCTTGTTTCTTTTTTTCAGCTAGTTTGTTATTGTTGTATAGAAATGCTACTGGTTTTGCATGTTGATTTTGTATCCTCCACTCTCCGTTAATTTTAACAGATCATATAGATACCTCATTGATGAATCAAAAAAAAGCATTTTAGTTTTCAAAAGGATGCCACAAGTATTTGCTCTGCTATTGTATGCCAAAGGGACTAATAGTTGCTATTAGAATACATTTTATAAACAAAAGCTCTAAATACCTCTGTATTAATGTCTTCATTACTCAATCAAGCTTTTGAGTATGTTGTATAAACAAAGCAGTATTATTTATTAGGCAGTATACAAGCTTAGACAGAAAACTGGTTTAGGGCAGCAGTTCTAAGGCCTGCCTGTTTGAATATTAGAGCAATTTGAGTAGCTTTTTTAAAAATCCAAATTTATAATTAATCAGTCAAGTATTCCTTGAATGTCCACTGCTATGTACCAGACACTGTTCTAGGCTCAATAACCAAGTATACCATTTTTATTCTTAAAGACCTACTAAGTCTTTGGGAATGAAGCTGAGAAACATATTATTAAAAGCTCCCCAAGAATGAATGAAATATCTAAAGAACATTCTATTGCAATACTCTTTAAAGATAAATTAAGATTCCAAATTAACTATTGTTTCAATATTGGACAAGCATTAGAAAAGAAAGAAGTCTACAGAAGAATCTCACTTCCAAATATCGGTGTAACAAACAAACAACATATTAGTAAGGAGCACCAGCAGAACATTTAAAAATATACCCTGACAAATTGAGATTTAGCCTGGGAATGCCAGAGTGGTTTAGGATTAAGAAATGTACTAATTAAAATAATTTAATATTTATAAGGAGACAATTCATACAAGTATGTCTAATCTCCACCAATTCTGAAAATGCATTATAGAATAAAACATCTATATTTGAATTTTTAAGACTTTGTATTTGACAATATTAATTTCTTTAAATTAATCCCAACAACAGCATTCCAACAGTAGCAACAACAACAAAAAACCAACATTATGCTTACTGGGAAAACAAATAGAAGTGTCCCATTAAAGTGTGGATAAGACAAGTATATCTACAACCACAACAATTACTAACATTTTTCTGAAGTACTAACACAATTATAGAAGGAAAAAGTAGAAAATGTAGAAAGGAAAAGTTAAAATTATCTTTATGTGCAAATGATAATTTATATACGTGAAAAACTAAAAAAATTTAAATATTCAGAATAACAAAAATTCTGTTGAATTAGATGAGAATAAATTGATATTTAAAAATTGACTGCATTTATATATAGAAAAACACATCCAAAAAAACTTGTTAAATACCTCATTTACAATGACAAAAAAGAAAATACCCCAGAATAAACTTGACAGAAGATATGCAAAATCTATAAGAACCTAAATACACTGAAAAGAAAAAAGAAATTTCCAAACCAATGGCAGTGCATATTATATTCTTGGATAGAAAGACTTAACATCATAAAAATGCCAATTCTCTCTATACTTAAAAAACTTTTTAAGATGATCACAATAAATTGTGATAAGATTTTTTAAAAAGATAATTCTAAAGTTGAAATGAAAAAATAATAGACATGAGTAGTTAGGATAGTTAGGAACATTCTGAAAAGAGAGCAATAGGGATTAGGCCTTAATCATTATTAAACATTTTACAAAGCAATAATAAACAGTATATTACTTGTAAATAAATAAAATATAATAAAAGTATAGAAATAAAACTTTGAATGTAAATGGATTTGGACCTCCAATCAAAAGACATAGAGTGACTCAATGGATTAAAAAACAGGTTCCCCCTGCCCCCTGCAAAAAAAAAAAAAAAAAAAAACAAACTCACAAGCCCCAACTATAGGCTCAAGCGATCCTCCTGCCTCAGCCTTTCAAGTGGCTAGGACTACAAATGTGTGCCACCACATGGGCCAATTTTTGTACTTTTGGTAGAGACAGGGTTTCATCATGTTGCCCAGACTAGTCTCAAACTCCTAAGCTCAAGCAATCCTCCTACCTTGGCCTCCCAAAGTGCTGGGATTACAGGCATGAGCCACCATGCCAGGCCTCACTTCACCTTGAAGGATGTTTATTAACTGCAATTGAAAGGATCAAAAAATATATACTATATAAATGGAAACAAAACAAAACAAAACAAAGTAGCTATACTTAGATAAAACAGACTTTAAATCAAAAAATGTAAACAGAAACAAAGAAGGTCATTATATAATAACACAGAGATTAATTTACCAAGAAGGTATAACAATTATAAATATATGTTCATCCAACATCACAGTACCTAAATACATAAAGCAGATGTTAATAGATCTGAAAAGAGGAATAGATTACAACACAATAATAGTAAGGGACTTCAACACCCCACTTTCAACAATGAATAGATCATCCAAAAAGTCAATAAGGAAACATTGGACTTGAACTACACTTTAGACCAAATGGACCTAACAAACATATACAGAGCATTTAATCAAACAGCAAGAGAAGATACGTTCTCATAGCGTAGGAATTATTTTTTAGAACAGATCACATGACACATGAAACAAGTCTAACAAATTTAAGAAGACTTAAATTATATCAACTATCTTTTCTGACCATCAACAGATGAATTGATAAAATATGGTATATGTACACAATAAAATACTATTCAGCCATTGAAATGAAGGAAATCCTGAATAGCTATCCAAAGAGCCTATCTCCTTTGATGCTCACAATCCACTTAAAATTAAAGCGGTATTTAAAAATCATTCTATATACCCAGACATTAGTCTGGGCAATGATTTTTTTTCATATGACCTCAAAAACATGAGAAACAAAAGCAAAAATAGGCAAGTGAGATTACATCAAACTAAAAAGCTTCTGTACAGCAAAGGAGACAATAACAGAGTGAAGAAATAACCAACAGAATAGAAGACAATATATGAAAGCCATACATCTGAAAAGAAGCAAATATGCAAGAAACTCAATAACAAAACAAAAATGGAATTTGTGTTTTAAAAATGGACAAAAGACCTAAATAGACATTTCTTAAAAGAAGACATACAGGCTGGGCGCCGTGGCTCATACCTGTAATCCCAGCACTTTGGGAGGCCAAGGTGGGCAGATCACTTGAGGTCGGGAGTTCGAGACTAGCCTGACCAACATGGAGAAACCCCATCTCTACTAAAAATACAAAATTAGCCAGGCATAGTGGTGCATGCCTTTAATCCCAGCTACTCGGGAGTCTGAGGCAGGACAATCACTTGAACCTGGGAGGCGGAGGTTGTGGTGAGCCGAGATCGCACCATTGCACTCCAGCCTGGGCAACAAGAGCGAAACTCCATCTCAAAAAAAAAAGACATACAAAGGGCCAACAGGTAGATGAAAACAATACTTAACATCACTAATCATCAGGGAAATGCAAATTAATACCACAATGAAATACCACCTCACTCCTTTTAGAAAGGCTATTATCAAAAAGATGAATAATAGCAAGTGTTGGCAAGAATGTGGAGAAAAGAGAACCCTTTTACACTGTTGGTGGGAATGTAAATTAGTACAGCCATTATGGAAAGCATAATGTATAGAGATTACTCAAAAAAATTAAAAATAGAACTACCATATGATCCAGCAATTCCCTGCTGGGCATGTATCAAAAAGATAAAATCGGTATGTCTAAGAGATATCTGCACTCCCATGTTCACTGTCATTTGCAACAACATAGAAGAACCTGGAGAACATTATGGTGAGTGAAACAAGCCAGATACAGAAAGACAAATGTCACGTAATCTCACATGTGTAATCTAAAAAAGTCAAACTCATAGAAACAAAGGAAAATGGTGGTTACTAAAGTCTGGGGGTGAGGATGGGGAGTTCTTGCTCAAAGGACACACATTTCAGTTAAGTGAAATAAATTGAAGAGATCTGTTGTACATTGTGGGAATAATAGTTAATAACAATATATTTTATACATGAAAATTGCTGACAGTAAATTTTAAATATTCTCACCACAAAAAATAAGTATGTGAGATGATGAATATGTTAAATAGCTTGATTTAGCCACTGTACAACATATCCATATATCAAAACAGCATACTGTACACCATAAATATATACAACTTTTACTTGTCAAATAAATAAATAGATTATTGATAGGTAGTTGACAAACTCCATAGATAGATAGATACTACAGGAATTTTTTAATACAGGAAGTGGTATTTTAAATCAGGAATAGGGGAGACAGATTATGTAATAATTAGTGTCAGAAGTTGATAGTCATCTGGGAAAAACAAATAAATTTGTATCCATATCTCACATTTATGCAAAAATAAATTAGAAAGATATAATTATGAAAATTAAATCATTAAGGTGCTAGAAGATACCACTGCAAAATTTTATTTCTTTAAATGCTTGGAATAGGGGAGAGCCAAGATTATAGTGAGGCAAGAAAGATACCTGGGGTACAAAAATAAAGCCTCTAATTTTAGTCCTGTAGATGCTCCCCTGGCCTCATGCTAGTGCTGTCTGCTAGGCTTGAGCATAGCCAAACAAAGAAAAGGAGAAGATAAAAGAAAAAGTCTAAAAAGAAATTACTAATATTTTCAATTACACGGAATTTTCTGGATAACCAAAAACTTACAAAGGAAAAATATTCTTTTAAATGGAAAACTGCAGCACATATTAGAAGGGTGACTTTCTCTAATATACAACGTACTCCTATATATTAACAAGAAAAAGGTCAACAAGTCAACAGAAAAAAATGAGCAAAGAATATGGAAGTTCACAGAACAGAAAAATAAGTAACTCAAACATATAAGATTGACTATTTTTTATAAGAAAGACAAACCACATTCGTTTCCCTCTTTTCACCTGTTGGATAAAAAAAATTTAAACTAATAACCAGCTTTAGTGAGAATAGCAAAAACAATTACTGCTCACACTACCAGAGAGAATATGAATTGGTACAGCTTCTATGGAGAGTATATATCAGAATTATAAATGCACACACTCTGACTCAGAAATTCTACTTCTGGAAATGTATTCACAAACATACCCACCTATGTGCAAAATCATTTTTTAAAACAACAGCATGGTCTCTCATTTCAGGAACCTGGCATCTTCAGGGACAGTTACCTGCTTTTTAAAGGAGGTGAATTATAGTTTAATGTACTACAGGTCCTATACTATGGATGGGAACTATTACAGTTTATAATGTCAAAAACTTTTCTTAGACCAAAGATATCTTCCACAAAGGTAACAGACTGGATTGACCCATCATTCAATGATTTTCTAGAGTATAGAGACATCTCTACTATTACTGCCACATCATTAGGTGTGAATAACTCAAGTCATAGAGAAAAAAATGAGCCTTCTACATTAGAAAGTAAGATATTTCCAGCTAGAAAAATAGGAAATCTGTCTTCCTTAGAACAGATATATGGTTTAGAAAATTCAAAAGACTATCTGTCTGAAAATGAACCATGGGTAGATAAATATAAACCAGAAAGTTAGCATGAACTTGGCTGTGCATGAAAAGATAATTGAAGAAGTTGAAACCTGGTAAAAAGCTCAAGTCTTAGAAAGGCAACCAAAACAGGATGGATCTATTTTATTAATAACAGGTCCTCCTGGATGTGGAAAGACAACGACCAAAAAAACGCTATCAAAGGAGAATGGTATTCAAGTACAAGAGTGGATTAATCCAGTTTTACCAGATTTCCAAAAAGATGATTTCAAGGAAATGTTTCATACTGAATCAAGCTTCCATATGTTTCCCTATCAGTCTCAGATAGCAGTTTGCAAAGAGTTTCTACTAAGAGCAACAAAGTATAACAAGTTACAAATGCTTGGAGATCATCTGAGAACTGATAAGAAGATAATTCTGGTTGAAGATTTACCTAACCAGTTTATAGGGATTCTCATACTTTACATGAAGTTCTAAGGAAGTATGTGAAGATTGGTCGATATCCTTTTATATTTATAATCTGTGACAGTCTCAGTGGTAAAAATAATCAAAGTTTCTTGTTCCCCAAAGAAATTCGGGAAGAGCATTCTACCTCAAATATTAGTTTCAACCCTGTGGCACCAACAATTACGATGAAATTTCTTAATCGAATAGTGACTATAGAGGCTAACAAGAATGGAGGAAAAATTACTGTCCCTGACAAAACTTCTCTAGAGGTGCTCTGTCAAGGATGTTCTGGTGATATGAGAAGTGCAATAAACAGCCTCCAGATTTCTTCTTCAAAAGGAGAAAACAACTTATGGCCAAGGAAAAAAAGAATGTCTTTAAAATCAAATGCTACGCTGTCAAAATCAAAACAAAGAAAAAAAACTGATAGGGTTTTTGAAAGTCAAGAGGTCCAAGCTACTGGTGGCAAAGACGTTTCTCTGTTTCTCTTCCGAGCTTTGGGGAAAATTTTATACAGTAAAAGAGCATCTTTAACAGAATCAGACTCATCTTGGTTGCCCTCTCATTTATCAGAATATGAACAGGATACATACTTGTTGAACCTGAGGAGGTAGTAGAAATGTCACACATGCCAGGAGACTTATTTAATTTATATCTTCACCAAAACTACATAGACTTCTTCATGGAAATTGATGATATTGTGAGAGCCAGTGAATTTCTAAGTTTTGCAGGTATCCTCAGTGGTGACTGGAATACACGCTCTTTACTCAGGAAATATAGGACATCTATAGCTACAAGAGGTGTGATACATTCCAACAAAGCCGGAGGATATGCTCATTGCCAAGGAGAAGGATCAAGTTTTTGACCCTCGCACACACCGCAGTGGTTTCTAATACATAAAAAGTATGGGGAAAATTGCCTGGCAGCAAAAGCACTTTTTCCTGACTTCTGCCTACCAGCTTTATGCCTCCAAACTCAGCTACTGCCATACCTTGCTCTAATAACCATTCCAATGAGAAATCAAGCTCAGATTTCTCTTATCCAAGATATTGGAAGGCTCCCTCTGAAGCAACACTTCGGAAGACTGAAAATGGAAGCCCTGACTGACAGGGAACATGGAATGATCGACCCTGACAGTGGAGATGAAGCCCAGCTTAACGGAGGACATTCTGCAGAGGAATCTCTGGGTGAACCCGCACAGGACACAGAGCTGGAAACCTGGTCTCTTCCTCTGAGTCAGAATAGTGCCAGTGAACTGCCTGCCAGCCAGCCTCAGCTCTTTTCAGCCCAAGGAGACGTGGAAGAAAATATAATAATAGAAGACTATGAGAGTGATGGGACATAGAAGCCAGCCTGCTAATCAGATTGCTACTTCACAGATTCATTTTTGTTTCATTCAGTGGTACTTCAGCAGAGTTAATATACTTCTCTGATGAATTACACAACAGTTTGTTAATTCTCCGTTCCTGTAGTCTTTCATCACGAAAAACTAACTCTTCTGTCACCTTGAAGTAAATAGAAGATCAAGCTTTCAAGTAATCTCTGAATGTTTTTCTGTAGGATTTATTAAATCTATGAGTGGTTTAAGGAGAGGTCAGTGTGTATAAAGTGTGTTTGAACATTATGCCAAATATCAAAATGTGAAGGACTAATTCAGAATGCAAAAACTTTATGGGGGGCTGTAAATATGAACTATACAAGAGTTTAGGATGCAATTATGGGTGTAAAGAAACTGCGTGCCTTAAAAAAAAAGCATGTTTAGCAAATAAGTGTACAAATGTAAATGTTTAGGAACAATCTAAACACAAGAGATTGGAAACAATTTAAATATCCATCTTTGGGGAGACTAATAAGATAAAATATTAATATAATAGAATATAATATAAAAGAACAGTGGCATATCTAAGATTTATATTTTAAAAGCAAAATGTAGATACTTGTGTGCTAGTATTTTTGTTTTTTAAAAAGAAATACATACACATAAATGTGAACATGCATCTGGGTATATACAATATATAAACATATTCATATAGATTTTCAGTTATATGACCTGAAAACCTCTGGGAGAAAATATAAGAAAAAGTAATACAGCATAGTTATAGAAGTTAGCAGTAGGAGGAAGAATTTTTATCTTTTTAACTTTTTATGGTTAAAATCAAAATGACCCCCCAAAAATGTATGAAATAGGGAACTCCCACTCAGGTTGTTTGTATATTCTGCAACGTGCAAGAATGAAAGGATGTGAAAATAGCCAAATATTAACAGCTTTTTTGTAAAAACTTTTTAAAAAACTAAATGTAAAAGTCTTTGACTTTCCTGAAATCTTATACTAAGTGTTCATTGGAAATGAATACATTGTTCATAATAACCCTTTATCTCTGGATACAGAATTGATTTTCTCTAACTGCACTATAGAGTACATAAGAATTACCTAATAAGTTTGTTAAGCTACAGATTCCTGAAACCACCCCTAACCCCAGAGATTCTGATTGAGTGGGTCTGGGATGAAGCCTTTGGTTTTTTGTTTGTTTGTCTGTTTGAGACAGAGTCTCGCTCTGTCACCCAGGCTGGAGTGCAGTGGCGCCATCTCGGCTCACCGCAACCTCACCTCCTGGGTTCAAGCGATTCTCATGTCTCAGCCTCCAGAGCAGCTGGGACTACAGGCTCACACCACTGTGCCCAGCTAATTTTGGAATGGAGGCTTTCCTGATTTGGGAACGGAGCCTTTGAATTTAAATTCCTAATAAGCTACCTAGTGATACTGATACTATCAGTTCTGAGGCCACAAATAGAGTAACACTGCTATTGACTATAGTGCTATGATTTGTAAATCTGAGATTACTACTGTAAGCCTTATTGAAGCTAATAAAATTTTAAATCTAACTCTACTGTATATTTTGACCCAAAGTTAATCATTTGACTTAATTCCATACTTTCTTTGTTTAGTAAGAAGCCATTAATGGTTATTCATCACCTGGAGGATTGTCAATACTCTCAAGGTAATTTTAGCCCCTGATATCTTATTATAATATATAATATTTCCAATATAAAATAGGAAAAGTGACCTGGTAATAATAGCTAAGAAGGCGCTCAGCAAATCCCATTAAAAAAAATAGACAACTGCCAGAGTACCATCATTTTACTAAGGTGCTTAAAGACCACAATGATTGTTACCAATCTACTGAATATTTCTATTATATTCCCTTGGGAATTACATATTCCTCTTCTTCCCATGAAAAGAAAGGGGTGAGCTGAGAAGGTGTAGAAACACTGAAAAAAAGTCGTTGTCTTAACCAATGAGTCAATGAGTTACATAAAATTATAAAAACTAGTGTCTTCACTGTGATTATCCTTTGATGTCTCCTTGAACAGACTGTCCCTCATTGCTTTCCAATGAGGGACAAAGTGGCAATAGGCCAATGAACTATTAATATTTACACCTGAGTTATATATGCAAACAAATGCTAAATATTAGCTTTATTTTGCTATGTTACATTAAAGGTCTCTTGATCCTTAAAACTAACTGGCAATTTTGTTTTCCCCTATAGCACTAAAGAAAGTATTTGCCCAAAATGAAGAAATACAAGAAATGGCTCAGAATAAGTTCATCATGCTAAACCTTATGGTACATAAACTTTGTGATGTTTTCTTAATACTATAATTTCATGGAAATTTTGAATCCGTTTTTTTCTTTTTTTTTTTTTTTTTTAGACAGAGTCTCGCTCTGTCACCCAGGCTGGAGTGCAGTGGCGTAATCTGGGCTCACAGCAACCTCAGCCTCCCTGGTTCAAGCAGTTCTCCTGTCTCAGCCTCCCAAGTAGCTGGGACTACAGGCACCTGCCACCATGCCCAGCTAATTTTTGTATTTTTAGTAGAGACAGGGTTTCACCTTGTTGGTTAGGCTGGTCTCAAACTCCTGACCTCAGGTGATCCACCCGCCTCAGCCTCCCAAAGTGCTGGGATTACAGGCATGAGCCACCATGCCCAGCCTCCTTTTTTTCTATTTTTAAAGCACAAAGAGCTAAATATTGGTTAATACAGAAAGTTGTATGGAATTATAAAAGGCCAAAATAGAATTTACTGACAGTCACACAAAATCATCTTGAAACTATCAAAAACAAATGAATCCAATAACATTCTTTTTTTTTCTTCTCCTGCTAGCATGAAACCACTGATAAGAATTTATCACCTGATGGGCAATATGTGCCTAGAATCATGTTTGTAGGTATGTATGTGATCTCATTTCATCAGATCTACAAAATTAGTAGAAATCAGCATTCTTGCTTTTATTTTTAAATGCTAGTTCAAGTACTATTCTTTTTAAAGAGAAGTCATTTCTAATCCAATAATATCAGCTCTTGTTAGTTCTACAATCAAAATCCACTATATCTGTAATTTGAAAATTTTAAATATTTTTTCAAAGCATGTATGCTATTAAATCTATATCCCAATGTACTTTCAACACAGTGCCCCAGACTAGATTGACAGAGACCTATGACACACTAAAAGGAGAATTCAGGTTAATTCATGAACTGACATGTATGAAAACTAATTTTGCTTATAAATTGGTTTGACATTTGTTTTAGATTATAAATTGGTTTGACATTTGTTTTAGATTAAGAAACAAAAATGATTTTAAGAACGTTTTATGGATGTAGCCAGAGGCCATTATCCTAAGCAAATGAACACAGAAACAGAAAACCAAATAGTGAATGTTCACACATATAAATATGAGCTAAACACTGGTTACACATGGACATAAAGAGAGGAAAAATAGACAATAGGAACTCCAAAACGGGGGAAGGAGGGAGGGAGCCAAAGGATGAAAAACTAACTGTTGGCTACTATGTTCACTATTAGGGTGTTGGGTTCAGCTGAAGCCCAAACTTCAGCATCACACAATATATCTGTGTAACAAACTTGTACACATAACCCCCACATATAAAATAATAATTAAGTTTTTACAAGAGTAAAGAAAAGAACATGCTAAATTATACTTTCGTGACTTGGTTTTTTCCTTGACAGACCCTTCTTTAACAGTTAGAGCTGACATAGCTGGAAGATACTCTAACAGATTGTACACATATGAGCCTCGGGATTTACCCCTATGTAAGTATTCACAAATGATCTCAAACAGTGGTCATAGCTGACCCCTGACTATTTGTTAAGGGCTAGTGAAGCCCTACATCAGTGCTTCTACACACCAGTCACTGAGGCTAGTGGTGGTGTTTAAATGCCAACTTCTAGCTCCCACCAAAATCAGAATTTTGGGGGTACCTCAGAATCTATTTTAACAGGGATGTCTAAGGGATTTTAGGATTACTAAATTCTGAGCTCACTAAAAAGAATATAGTACACATTAAAATGACACAAACTTGAGACAGTCCATTCTCCTAGTATCAAAGATCTCATGTGATTTCATCAAATGATAGTAAAATCATTTCATCTTTCTTTAATGCCTATAAGCAAGGAGGTACAGTCTTACCTAGGACTTTAATCCTTTTTTTTTCTTTTTTGTAGAGACAGGGTCTTGGTATGTTGCCCAGGCTGGTCTCAAACTCCTGGCCTCAAGTGATCCTCCCACCTCAGCCTCCCAAAATGCTGGGATTACAAGCATGACCTACCATGCCTGGCCAAATCTATTTTTTACAACATTCATTATCAACTATATTTAATAAGACAACTGTGCCTGTAAGATCTAGCAATACTAATACAAAGTGATGCATTAAAAAAAAAGAGGTACTCCTCAAAACCCCTCTGATGAAATTGTTCAACATAAAGTTGACCAACCAGCTCTCAATGGTCTAATCCCTAAATTTACATGTACACTTTTAGCATATTCTTTAATGTCATAGACGAATTCCCATGTTCAAAGCTATTAATTTAAATGGGCCAATTTCAGGTTCTAGAGTTAATAGATCATAGCATTTGTACTTTCATTTATTAATAGCATAATATATATTAACTCTTATTTCAGTGATAGAAAACATGAAGAAAGCATTAAGACTTATTCAGTCAGAGCTATAAGAGATGATGGAAAAAAGCCTTCACTTCAAAGAAGTCAAATTTCATGAAGAAAACCTCTGGCACATTGACAAATACTAAATGTGCAAGTATATAGATTTTGTAATATTACTATTTAGTTTTTTTAATGTGTTTGCAATAGTCTTATTAAAATAAATGTTTTTTAAATCTGAGACTGACAATATAGTTTTATTTCTGCCTCATCAGTAGCAAAGAAAGCCTGCCAAGAGTTATAGTGGAGACAAGAAGACCTAAATAAGAGGTGCCTATACAGTTTGTCTCTATTTCTTCACCTCTCCTTCACTCCATCAACTAATCTAATTTTATTTTTAATTTTCTAAATTTTTTTTTTTGAGATGCAGTCTCACTATGTTGCCCAGGCTGGTCTCAAACTCCTGGGCTCAAGCAATCCTCCAACCTTGGCCTGCCAGAGTGCTGAGATTATAGGCCTGAGCCACTGTTCCTGGTCTAACCACCAACTAATCTAATTTTAATTCTGTCTCCTCCCCTGTACCATACCTGCTAACCCAGGTCATAAATGATCTCCATGTTACCAAAACAAGTGGATAAATCTCTGTCCACTTGTGACTTTAACTTTTAGCTACATATTTCAGCACTAACCACTTACTTCTTTTCTTACTTTACACTTAGACATTTAAAACCTAATTATATTTTAAAAATTCAACTACATTTATTTATTTATTTGAGACAAAGTTTTGCTCTGTTGCCCAGGCTGGAGTGCAGTGGCGCACTCTTGGCTCACTGCAACCTCCACGTCCCCGCTGCTACCCGTTCAAGCGATTCTCCTGCCTCAGCCTCCCAAGTAGCTGGGATTACAGGTGTGTACCACCACACCTGGCTAATTTTTGTATTTTTAATAGAGACAGGGTTTCACCATGTTGGCCAGGCTGGTCTCGAACTCCTGACCTCAGGTGATCTACCACCTCAGCCTCCCAAAGTGTTGGGATTACAGGCCCGAGCCACTGCATCCAGCTACATGTTCTTCTTAATTATTGGGTAGATACTTTAAAACTTTTAATAATTTTAAGAAAAGTGTAACTACTTCAGGAAAAATGAAGAATTTCTCCAATTAACTGGTAGGAAAGGATTATATTTATTCTGAAATGATCAAATATCCAATCATCAACTCAGTTCTTTACAGGAAGCCTCCAGAGAGTTAATACCATGTCTTCTATTTATTTAAATAACAGCAACAAGAAGAAAAAATCCTGCTAATAGAAATCCTAAAATCAGCTGGGAGTAATTATCAGAAGGTAGAAAATATTTTAGAGGCTGGGTGCGGTGGCTCATACCTGTAATCCCAGCACTTTGGGAGGCTGAGATGGGAGGATCACCTGAGGTCAGGAGTTCGAGACTAACTAGCCCCTGGTCAACATGGTGAAACCCCATCTCTATTAAAAATACGAAAATTAGCCAGGCATGGTGGTGAGCACCTGTAATCCCAGCTACTCAGGAGGCTGAGGCAGGAGAATCACTTGAACCTGGGAGGTGGAGGTTTCAGTGAGCCAAGATCGTTCCATTGCACTCCAGCCTGGGCAACAAGAGTGAAACTCCATCTCAAAAAAAAAAAAAGAAAATGTTTTAGATGGGCAAAAATTTTCCTAACTCATAGGATTTTATTGCATTTAGCAAAATTTGAATTGCTTTGTGATATAAAACTATACTTTTATATGAGATAGATATGCAATGTCTATGATATAGACACCTGTAATTTCAACATTTGATGAGTCAGAGAAAAAAAGGTTTCCTTTGGGTCTTATTTGATCACTATTCTGTTAATTTTAAGCAAGCTTGTAGTAAATTGATCTATTTGGATATAAATAGGTTACATGATTATCAGTACTAGAGACCCATGTATCCTATTTATTTACAAAAGAATATTAAATATCCTATTTTAATTTTTATATTACAGCCTATTTTGATTTTTTAGATAAAAGTCTAGAGCTTTTATTTTAATGAATGCTAAGAGATCAGAATGCACTGGCATTCTCTGATTTAATAGTTTAACATATGAAGACTAAAGAAATATAGCTGATTCCATGGTTGCATAAATAGTTCAGAGGAACAACATGTTAGCAGTTATTTGCAGTGGACTATAAAAGAGATCAGCTGACAATTTAGTTTTTTTAAGAATTAATAAATAACATTGAACATTCACTTATCTTTCTTCAGTTAGCATAAAAATGTTACTAAATGATAAATTGTTCTTTGTAATGAAAATGTATATACCTTTATATTTTAATATGCATATATTTCTATGTTGTTATACATATAATTTTATTATGCATATAATTATATGTATGCCAACATTTAATATGCACATATTTTACATATAAATATTCCATAATCAGTTTTAGTCACTGTAATCTTGTAACCAATTTAGTTTTCCTTCTCTACCCACTTTAACAAACTCTATAATCCTCGCTGGGTGCAGTGGCATGTGCTACTGGGGAAGCTGAGGCAGGAGGATTACTTTAGCCCAAGGGTTTGTGGCTGCAATGAGCTATGATCAAGTCTATGAATAGCCACTGTACTCTGGCTTGGGCAACATAGTGAGACCACAACGTGTTTAAAAAAAAAAAAAAAACCTTTCT
This sequence comes from Homo sapiens, assembly GCF_000001405.40. Classification (NCBI taxonomy): domain Eukaryota; kingdom Metazoa; phylum Chordata; class Mammalia; order Primates; family Hominidae; genus Homo; species Homo sapiens. The sequence goes on along the minus strand of NC_000007.14, from coordinate 16,856,969 downwards.
ATATTGTAGTTGATATTTCTACCGCACATCTTCTCATAAAATTAATTGTTTGGATTCCATTCCTTCTTAGGTTACCCCTACTTTGGAAATGTAGGACTATGCTTAGTGAATGTGTGTGTGTGTGTGTGTGTATACATATAGGTGTGTGTGTGTGTATGTGTGTGTGTATGTGTATAATTTTACTTCCATTTGTTTTTACCCTTATAACCTCTAAGAAATTATTCCTTCCCTAACACAGCCAACATTTTAAAAAAGTTACCAACATCAACTACCTGAAATAGTATGCACAATTCTATGTGCAAAGCATTTTAATGCAGGCTTTCAGAGTTTTCATTTGCATTTCAAAGAGATAACAGTCAAAAAAGTTGTACATTCAAAAGGGATTAATTAGATAAAGTCCAGCGTTGCCACATAAAGTACAGGACATCCAGTTAAATTTAAATAAGGGATAAACAACATTTTCAAAATATAAGCATATCCTGTTTAATATTTGAAACACACTAAAATGTATTGGTTATTTATGTGATATTTTAAAGTAAACTGGGTGACCTGTATTTTTATTTGCTAATATTGTCAATACTAGTTTAGAATTACTGCACTAGATCCTTCACCTCTTCCTTGTCCTCCTTCCCATTTGTTTTCCTAAAATAGCAACATTTCTATTCAGATCAAGCTCTCAATTTCTGAGATCAAAATAAAACCTAAATTATTTTCTAGCATTTAATCTTTCCCAATTATTCAATGATTAATTTTCACTCTGCCAGATACTAACTTTGATATTGTGGATCCAAAGATAGACTGGATAAAAGAAATTCACAGTCTAGTGGTACGATATATCACTGGTGGGAAATAACTCCTTACTAAATAACCTAATAAAATAATGTGAAATCAGTAGAGAAACAGCTCAACCTTCTAGTAGAACCATCAGGCTTTACACAAGATGCAGTACCCATGAATCCTGAATGAAAGGAGAATGTATTTTACCATCATGGAAAACAACATGATAAAATAGAAAATCAGGTATATTATAGGGGATGAAGAAATTATTGTTCATTGGTATAATCTTACAATACATAAGTATACAAAGTTTTCTTGGTAGGATCTTTCAGACTTTTAGATTAGAGTTAATAAGAGTAGGCCAAGCCTCAGGGAAGCGTACTTTTTAAACCCATTGATTTCATACACACATATAGATTACTTGAGTTTACAAGTAGTACTTCTTAAAAAGCAATTATATGCAATATGTATATTCATGAACCTCCTTACTGAGTAAAGAAAGATAAGCATTCTTTTCTTCTTTTAAAATTTGTTTTTTGCGCAACATCTGCCTTTTTCGCTAAATGGAAAGTCCTTGGGAGCAGAAAGTCCCTGTCCCCAGCCCCCTTCTCTTTCACACACCCATGCCCACACACAATCTGACAAAATAAGTTGTGTGAGTGTTAGGAGGGCGACAGAATTGTGGAGAGCACCCACAATAGGAGGCCATTAAACACTTGGCTCCCCTGGTATTAGCAGTGATTCAGTTTCTGAACATCTTTTCTGGAATGAATTCACTTTTCTGGAATGAATTCTAGAAGTTTAGTGATTACTGAAACTTCTAGAAGTATATCATAGTTACTTTCCAGGATAGGATACAGTAACAGGTTGAATTGTGTCCCTTTCACAAAAAAAAATTATAGGTTGAAGTCCTATCCCTCAGTATCTCAGAATGGAGGTATTTCCTATTTGGAAATAAGGTCATTAAAAATGGGAATAAGTTTTAGTGTCCTATAGTACTGTAGGATGACTATAGTAACCAACAATATACAGTTTCAAATAGCTAGAAGATATTGAACGTTCCCAATACAAGGAATGATAAATGTTTGGGATGATCGATATGTGAATTACCCTGATCTAATCACTATACATTATATGTGTCATAACATTATGTACCCCATAGACATGTATGATTATTATGTGTCAATTAAATTTTCTAAAGGAAAATGTTATTAGATGAGGTCATACTGGAGTAGAATGGGCCCCTAACCCAATATGACTGGGTTCCTTATATAAAGAAGAAATTTGGATACAGAGACATGCATACAGAAGGAATGCCATGTGAGCAGGAAGCAGAGTGTGATCGTGCAGCAGAAGCCAAGGAATGCTCAAGGTTGTCAGCAAACACACTGGATGACAGGCACGGAAAAGATTCTCCTTCACAGCCCTCGGAAGGAACCAACCCTGCCAACACCTTGATCTCAGATCTCTACCCTCCAGATCTGTGAGACAATAAATTGACTGTTTAAGCCACTCAATGTGTGGTGCTTTTTATGACAGCTCTAGCAAACCAATACAGATGCTTTTTCCTTGCCTCTCCAATTTACATGATTTCCATGATGGGTGGGGAAACACCAAAACTTCCTATCACACACTTCAAAAGGAGCTATGCTAGAATGGAAGAATCATTTCTCACAATAAGTTTGTCAGGTTTTTGTTCTATCCTCCAAACAAACTTCTGCCCTATTAAGTATTATTTCTGTACCAAAGAGTTTTATTAAGTTAATCAAGTCTAAGAAATACCTAAAGTCAATGCTGTAGTTTTAATCCAAAAGCAACAGTCATTCTCAGAGAAAGAGCTCATTACCATCAGCCGTGGTGGCCCACGCCTGTAATCCCACCACTTTGGGAGGCTGAGGCGGGTGGATTACTTGACGTCAGGAGTTTGAGACTAGCCTGGCCAACATGGCAAAACCCCATCTCTACTAAAAATACAAAAAAAAATTAGCCAGTCGTGGTGGCATGCACCTGTAGTCCCAGCTACTTGGGAGGCTGAGGCATGAGAATCGTTTGAACGAGAGGCAGAGCTTGCAGAGTGCTGAGATCACCATACTGCACTCCAGCCTGGGCAACAGAGCAAAACTCCATCTCAAAAAACAAAGAGCTAATTACTATATTTGGTATTTTTGTTTTTATTAAAGCCAACATATATTGAACCTTTTCTATTGTCCAGTCACTGTGCTGAGGTCTTTGCATGGATTATCTGATTAATATCTTACTATCAATGTGAAATATTGTTATACTCACTTTACTAAGGAGTTAGCTATGGACTGAAGATTTTCAATAACTTGGTAAAAAGGTTGCACAGCTAATGAGTGGAGCCAGGGCTCAAACCCAGCAAGTCTGGCTCCTGAGTTAATACTATTCTGCTTTATTTTACATACTGTGAAAACTAGAAGACAATCAAAATTGACACTGTACAATTGTTACCAACGGGTCTTTGTTCTTAGAGCTCCCAAGATGGGGTGGGCTGCTCCCAAGATGGCGGCAAGCCTTTTGTTCTTTGATCTGGGGTTCTTGGCCTCATGGATTCCAAGGAATAGAACCTTGGCCCCTGCAGTGAGTGTTATAGCTCTATTAGAAGCCATGGGTCACGGAAGAGAACCATGGAACCCAGTGACCAGTGTTCAGCTCAATTAGGACGAACCCAGGCACTTAGCTACTCAGGACAATGGCGAACCTCTAGCCGGATCAGAAGTGGCAATGGGTGCCTTGCTGGAGCAGAAGCGCAGCGGACACCCTGCTGGATCTGGAGAGGTGAAAGTCAATGGCAGGTCTGGGGCAGCGGCGTTCAACAGTGGTGGACTCTGAGTGAAAGCTCAGTTCGAGCCGGAACAAACACTGACCAGAAGAGTGTGCAGTTGCAAGATTTAATAGAGTGAAAACAGAGCTCCCATACAATGGGAGGGGACCCAAAGGGGGTTGCCACTCCCTGATCGAATGTCTGGGTTTATATCCTGATCACTGTCCCTCCCCCTGTGCTCTCAGGTGATAGATGATTTGATTATTTCTTTACCTCCTGCTTTTAGCCTAATTGGTATTTTAATGAGCTTTCTTTTTACTACCTGATTGGTCAGATGTGAGCTGAGTTACAAGCCCTGTGATTAAAGGTGGGTGCAGTCACCTTCCCCAGCTAGGTTTAGGAATTCTTAGTCGGCCTAGGAAATCCAGCTAGTCCTATCTCTCACAATGACTGAAAACCCTTAGAGTATATCCTTTATTAAAGAAAGGCAGTTAACATCGATTTTAATTATGTTTTATAGCAAAATCGTAGGCAATCCTTCTTTCCCCAGCCCCGAGTTTCCACTCTGCTGCCCAACAAACCAAAGGGCAAGGTTCTGTCAGTTTTTGGTGGATCAGTGTAGCTGTGATGTTCAAACTGAGAGACTTGGGGGCCAGGAGGGGAGGGACAAGGTAGTATTGTTTTAATATCACGTACACATGCACCCTCATTTAAAAATCCCTGATCTAAATGCCCCAGTGTTCTTACTCTATAATGCTATGCAATGTTACCCATAAAAAAATTTTTAAGAAGACAGGTGATCTTTGGTGGCACTCTTAACTTTCTTTCAGACCTCTTCCCTAGTCATTCCTTGCCCTCTTAACATCACTCACTACTCAACTCCCTCCCCTCCACACTTGCTCTAGGTAAACTCTTACTTTGGGATCTTTTGCTCTCCTCAGTCTCTTTTGCTTTTCCTCAAGCCTCCTGCCCACCACCCCCCACCGCCCCAATATCTTTCAAAACCTTATCTGCCCTTTGTCTAGATTCCCCTTAGAAATCATTCATGATTAAAGTAGCAAATATCTTCTGTAAGGTATTTGCAATTAACAGTATTCCCACCTGTATTTCCATATTTAACAGTGGAAAGCTGAGGAAATCAAAACTTCAGAAGTTCCAGGCCCCAACAGTAAGTGATGAAAGAGAGTATGTGAGGCGTTCAAGTACCTCTATGATACAGTTTGGCTCTGTGTCCCACCCAAATCTCATGTGGAATTGTAATCCCCACTTGTTGAAGGAGGAGCCTTGTAGGAGGTTATTGGATTATGGGGGCTCAGATTTCCCCCATGCTGTTCTCCAGATAGTGAGCTCTCACCAGATCTGATGGTTTAAAAGTGTGTGCCACTTCCCCTTTCACTCACTGTGCCACCATGTGAAAAAAAGGTGCCTGCTTCCCCTTTGCCTTCTGGCATGATTGTCAGTTTCCTGAGGCCTCCCAGTCATGCTTCCTGATAAGCCTGTGGAACTGTGAGTCAATTAAACTTCTTTTCTTCATAAATTACCCAGTCTCAGGTAGTTCTTTATAGCAGTGTGAAAACGGACTAGTACGCTCTAAAATCACTTCTATCTACCAAAACCTGGATATTGTACCATATTGAGGTCATACTCTTCTGATTTTATTACCTGTATGGAACACTTAAGAATCTTACTAATCCTAATGACAGAACTCTGCTAGCAAAAAAAAAAAAAAAAAAAAATCGTAAGAATTTATGATAAAGACCCCAAAAGCAAATACGATAAAATTAAAAATGAGACTTAAAGATCTCTGCAAAACAAAAGAAATTATCAACAGATTTGAAAACAACCTACAGAATGGGAGAAAATATTTGTGCACTATGTGTCCAACAAAGGACTGAGATACACGATCTACAAGGAACTTAAGCAAATCAACAAGAAAAAAACAAAGGGCGGTCGCCGCTGTAACCGCTTCTACCCCGCCATGCAGGGCACGGCGACACACAGGCCCCTGCAGGAGGCAGCTGCCCACATGGGGAGCTGTGCCCACCTGAGCACGGCAGCCGCGCCTTCTGCCACCACAGACCCGACCGCCTAGGTTCCTTCGGGGCTGGGATTTGCTTTAAGATGTGCCCCAGCAGGAGGCTCTGTGGGGAGAGCCGCGGAAGCCGGTGAGGACGCTTGAGTGGAGCCCGTGCCCTCCGCAGCCGCAGACCCCACTCAGGGCGCGAGGCTGAAGCCACTGGGATTTGACGTTGGAGGTGCGCGCCCGCAAGGGTCATCTGAGGACCTTTCCCGCCCCTCAGGGCCAGCCCTGCTGCCACCTCCCCCGAAACCCCCCAGCCCCCCACGCCGCTTCCTCGTTCTCCATATCTAGGGCCTTATTCTCTCTCTGAGCAGACCCGGCAGCCTCCCTCCCATCTCCAGCTGCCTCCCGCCTCATCAGCACCCCGACTCCTCCCTCAGTGGGGGCACCAGGCTGGAGGGGAGGGATCCCCGTTCCCCGACCCCTCAGCGTGCCCCTGGATCCCCCGCAGTGGCCTAGGTGAGTGCGGCCCTTCAGCAGGATCAGCTCCGAAGTCGTCAGGGCCAGCAATGCCTGACTGTGCGCTTAGCCCTGGAAGAAGAAAACACTAACAGAAAGGAGAAGTGCCACAGCTTTTAGCCCAGATAAAGTCCTGCAAAAACTTTAACCCAGGGAAAGTCCTTCCACTAGCATCACACATGTGCAATTCTGTCATCATTTGTGTGCTCCAATAGGACTCTGCGGATTGACAGCCAGGTAGAACTCGGAAGAGGCCTGCACAGACAGGAGGAGCAGCTTTTCCTATTCAATGATCTGTTAGGTGTGGCCAAACTCAAATACAACATAACTGTAAGATACAAAATAAAATTAGATTAACTGGTATATGGACAGCAAGCTGTCTGGATGAAGTGGCAGAAGGCAACACCAATTCCATGAAATCCTTGGCTCTGGGCTGACTCACAGTGAACTTTGTGGCCACTTTCAGTTCTCCAGATCAGAAGGACAAATAGCTCTCTCTCCTTCAGAGATACATCAATCTAGAGAAAGAGAAGGACGACCCAAAGGGCATTTCCCTCAAAATCTCCACCAAGGACATTGAGAATTATGCCTATTCTAAAACTATAACAGTAATGGATTCACATACAGAAAATGAAGATATCAACATATCATTACCAATGCTAAGGATAGCTGGCCCTGAGAGAGGTTACAAGTTATGGGTCAATTCTGGCAAAGAAGAGGCTTCATGCCTACTCACGGGGCATGAAGATCTATATGGAATTAAAATGAGCCACCTTCGAGACACTGCACTGCTAACACCAGAACCAAAGGACTCTACCACCCTTTTCAACCAACAAGCACCCTTCTTCACAGACCAGCTCTTGGCCTGTGGAGGATGTGGCCAGCCCAGACTCAGGGCCTACAGTGACCTGTAGTCCCAGCTACTCAGGAGGCTGAGGAACGAGAATCGCTTGAACCCGGGAGGCGGGGTTTGCTGTGAGCCGAGATCACACCGCTGCATTCCAGCCCGGGCTGCAGAGCAAGACTCTGTCTCAAATAAATAAATAAATAAATAAATAAATATGTATTTTTTTGTACATGCAGAAACTAGAAGCTACTGCTAACTTTTAAAATTCTTTGGTTTTCAAGGCACTGATAATGTATGTGTATGAAGTCCATGCTGCCTGTTAAATAAAATGCCTTTTGCAGAATTAACCATCACACCAGAAAGAAAAAAAAAAAACTCCATTACAAAGTGGGCAAAGGACATGAACAGAACAAACACTTCTCAAAAGAAGACATACAAGCGGCCAGCAAAAATATGAAAAAATATTCAATATCACGAATCATAAGAGAGATGCAAGTCATAACCACAATGAGATACCATCTCACACCAGTCAGAATGGCTATTTTTAAAAAGTCAAAAAATAACAGATGTGGCTGAAGCTTTGGAAAAAAGGGACAGTTTATACACTGTTGGTGGGAACGCAAATGACTTCAGCTACTGTGGAAAGCAGTTTGGAGATTTCTTAAAGAACTAAAAATGGAATTACCTTGTGACCCAGCAAATCCTATTACTGGGTATATACCCATAGGAGAATAAATCTACTACCAAAAAGACATCTGCACTCATATGTTCATCACAGCACTATTCACAATAGCAAAGACATGGAATCAATCCAGGTGCTCATTAACAGTGGATTGAGTAAAGAAAATGTGGTACATACACACCATAGAATACTACACAACCATAAAAAAGAACAAATCATGTCCTTTGTAGCAACATAGATGCAACTAGAGTCTGTCATCCTGAGCAAATTTATACAGAAACAGAAAACCAAATATTGCGTGTTCTCACTTATAAGTGGGAGCTAAATATTGGGTACACATGGATTTAAAGATGGGAACAATAGATGCTGAGGACTCCAAAAGGTAAGAGAGGCAAGGATTGAAAAACTGTCTATGGGGTACTACGTTTGCTACTTGAATGATGGGATCATTAAAAGCCCAAACCTCTGCATCATGCAACGTTACCCATGTAGCAAATCTGCACATGTACCCCCTGAATCTAAAATAATAAAAAATTGCAGACTAAAGCACTATACCTCAAACGAACAGGTTTTGCTTGATTTGCTTTCATACCTAGATTCGGCAAATAACATGTAGAAATTTGTCTAAATCACCCAGGAGTCTTAGACAACCAACTTTCAAAATCTAAAATACGATAACTAGTGGATTTCTTGCCTTCATTTTGTATTAGGGTTTTCCCAAAGAATAAACTCAGAGGCAAGCCCTTCAGGGGAACGCTTGATGTGTTATGGTGAATCTGAAACTTTTGTCCTCTAAAGAGCCTTTTTTTTTTTTTTTTTTTTTAGAGACAAGGTCTCACTGTCACCCAGACTGTAGTGCAGTGGCACAATCACAGTTCACTGCAGCCTCGACCTCTCAGGCTCAAGCCATCCTCCCACCTCAGCCTCCCTAGTAGCTGGGACCACAGGTGCATAGCCCGATGCCTAGACAATTTTTTATATTTTTGTAAAGACAGGGTCTCGCTATGTTGCCCAGGCTGGTCTCAAACTCCTGGGCTCAAGTCATCCTCCCGCCCCTGCCTCCCAAAGTGCTAGGATTACAGGCATGAGCCACCATGCCCAGCCAGGAGGGCTTCTTTTAAAAGCGATAATAGCTACTTCAGAGAACAAGCCCCCACTACAAATTCATTTTCCAGATTCTATAAGCTTCCTGTTGAGTGGCAAGAACAAATATTTCAGGGAGAATTCTAAGGTATAGTATCAGTCGAATGTCTGTCAGTTTAAAATGGGGACTTACGGTCATTTAAAAGATAAACTAGCATGAGGATGGCTTGAGACCGGGGGAGCAGAGGTTGCAGTGAGCCGAGATCACGCCACTGCACTCCAGCCTGGGAGACAAAGTGAGGGTCCATCTCAAAAAATAAATTAAATAAATCAATAAAAAGTAAAAGATAAACTACTATGAGCAGAGTGTCTTTTTTTCTACCCTGCTTTCAGTACTTGCTAGGAGTAAGGTGATGAAGATCCCTTTCTTGCTCAGTTAATGTGACAGCAGTCATGCCTGCTGACATAACCGCGGAATGCCAAATGACCTATTCATTCATTTCATTCCTTGCACTAGAACATCAGAGCAGAGAATCCACAAATGCACCCACATATCCAAAGCTGATGGCATTTTGGCCTCTTTCTGCCCCCATTACTGTGAAAAGATTTCTCCAAGGGAACCTGAAAGTAATCTTTGTGGGTTGCAGCAAACGTACACACCCTTTTGGAATTTTATCAGGCAATCTTAGCACAGGGCAGCTCAAACAAAGCAGGGCCCCACAGCGTCAGTGGCCTTCACTTAAGCACTAGAGGAACACAATACCAGCCTGTAACCGTCTCCTTACAGGTGGGTGTTGGCTCATTTTAAGCAGATGGTGGATTTATGATTCTAATGTGCCGTATATTGCTCAATGGACAAATATTTGCACTGGACCAGAATAAATAAAAAAAAATTCTTCAGCTTAGCTTCCAAAGAATATCAGAAGTTTTAGGACACCTCAGCATTTGAACATTATAGGAAGTGAGTGAATAAGCCGCGACTCCTATCTTTCCTTTTTCTTCTGCTTCAAACCTGCCCTGAAAAATGAAAGAAAATGTTTGGAAGGCACAAGCATAGTGAGTTATATTCAGGAACTGCTATGTTTCTCCCATTGAGAGAACTCTTAAAAATGTACAGTATAAGCATATTTTAGCTCTAACAAAAAGATTCAAGTTAAATTTCCAACTGGAACCAGAAAATGGAGCCTATCTACTTTCCTTCCTCTAGTAATTTCTGTTGTTTCTTTCCATAGTATGACAGGGGTCATTTTTTTCCCCCAGGTGTGAATGTACTCATGAAGAAATCTGAGTAATGCTCAACAGGTTTAACAAAACATTAGTTTCACATTACACCTTTAGGGCAAGGGTATCTGCTCTGTCTCTTCTTTATGGGCTTTTTCTTTTTGTTTTTCATATACTTGTCGAAGAGCTGGATATTTTTATTTGATCTTGTTTCCCTGCAGAACTTGAAAGGGCTGCACCACTGCCGAGCTATGGGACAGATGGATTTCAACAGAGTGATGACATTATGGGAAGCACATTAACCTTCTCCAAAGCAGCAACAAAAGAAAAGCAAGATTCAATCACTGGAATGAAAAACTATTTCACAAATTCAGTGAATGTTTTAAGTCCTCTAAAATTTGGCATTTTGACTTTTGGAATTAATGAGTAGGAAAATTTATTTAAAATGAATATTCCCCCAAAAAGAGAAGCCATTTGAACCCTAAACTCTCTCATCCAACAGAGCTAGCAAATTAGATTTAAGAAGAAAGATAATTTGATTCCTCTGAGTTTCTCTACAAGGAAACATCAATCAGAGTGAAAGAAGAATACACACTTTCCAAGGAACTTCTTGCATTTCCCTCCAGGAGGAAAGTCCAGAGAAATAATTGGGTCTTTTAATCCTCCGAGAATGGTCTCCAATGGCTGGCACTAGGACCAAAAATCTCAGCAACCACGGGGAGATGGCAGTGTGGTAAGACATGGGGGAAGGTGGAATAAAAGAGAAACAAAAGAGATGGGTATCTGCAAGAGATGTGGGAAAAATATTAGGGACAAACAGACACACACGTGTATACACACACATTCATTGTTCCCCTCTCCCCTCTCTCTTCTACAAATTTGAGAGAATTAAAGGAGAAAAGGAAAGACACTTAAGAGAAATGAGGCTATGAACTATGGCATAGATCTCCATTAATGTTCTTTGAGAACTGCAAGTAAATATGGGAATATTTTCAATTCTTTTTATTGGATAGAGCCTTATAGTGCCTGAGAGTTAGTTGAATTAGAATCATTACTTTGGTAAAATGTTCTGCTTACTTTATTTATTTATTTATTTATTTATTTATTTATTTATTTTTCTCTGAAATATATGGACATATAAATGACATTCTGCTTAATTATGATTCATCATTCATGAAATATTATCTTCAAAGCATAGATATTAGAACATATCTGTCTTAAATATAAAACATGATTAAATTATTCTTTGATTATATACATATCTTTCACTCCCTACTCAAACTCTCATCAGGATTCCACAGTGTTAATACCCCTCTTGAAACAATTCCTCTTTTTGTTACTGTAACTCTCCATCCTCCATTTCCCAACTGCCTTTCTGGCCAATTTTCCCTAATCTCGTCCCAAGCTCTTCTAGTCAACCTCCAAACTTTGAAGTGCATGAGCTCTATCCCAGGCTCTCCTTAACTCTTTATCTACAATCTCTCCATGGATTACTTCATCTCATTTCATTTATTTAAAACCCAATTACATGTTGATGTCTCGCAAACCATATCTTCAGCCTTGATTTCTCCACTGAGTCACACACTCATATATAAAACTATATAATTGGCATATCCTCATCAAAGAAAAACAGTTCTTTTACACTTTAACATATCGGGAACTGAAATCCTTGTTTTCCACCCATGCCCAAACCAGCTACTCCCATTTCAGTAAATGGCATCATCTTAATTTTTTAAACCAAAACCTTCCTACAGTTTTGGGGAGGTCATCCATGATTATTTGTATTCCTCGTTTCCTAAAAACAACCCTTTAACAAGTCCTGTTGGTGCTAGTGCCAAAATATATTTTTTTCTATATGTGTTTTTCTCTATTTGCAATGTCACTAGCCTAGGTTTAATCACTACTCCCTTACATACATTACTACAATGACATCTTACCCTTTCTCCATGCTCTGGTTTTTCCCTTTGTGAGTCAATAGATACCTTTATTATTTAAACTAGAATAAACTTTTTAAAAATGGCACAAGGGCAATGCCATTCCCTGGCATAAAACCATTACTTTTCAATGGACTGTGACTCTACAGGCCAAAACAAGGAAATCCAAATCAAGTTGGCTTAAACAATGAAGGACATTTATTAACTTATATTTTAAAAATCCAGAGCTCAAAATTGTCATCAAAGTCCCGTTTTCTACTTTCTTCTACCATCCACAATGTTGAATTTCTCCCAATGACAGCTCATAAGATGTCTACAAAATGCAATCAGGACAACAAGTTGTTTTCATGTCCAAAAGGAAGGAGAAAGGGTCCTCTAGTTTTCCCTGGAAACAATGTCTTGACCATGGAGTTGAAATACGCTGATAGGCCCAAGCCAACCAGGACCCAATCATGGAAATGGAGAGCAGTCAGCTTCCTCTTGAAGTACATGACCAATGCATAAAGGAAGGTAAAACTCAAAAAGTAGGGAACATCAAATAGAGGAAAACGGAGGTTAAGGAGGCAACTAACAATATCAATGATTCCTAGCAGGTCAAATGCTTATGATCCATTTCTGTTTCCCTGCTCTTCTCTCCATCAGTTGAGTATCAATCTCTCTCTTGCTTACTTGGGATGTCAGGGACACCGGCTGCTTACTTTGTTCTATCACGCTGAGAATCTCTTTCCTACCTCAGATTATTTGCACTTGCTGCTCCTGCCTGAAACACTTTTTCCCAGGCAGCTCTTCAAACGACTAGTTCCTTTTGTTCTCTCATCTAAACTCAGAACACTGCCTCTTTGGCTTTAGTAAACCCTGGCAGTTGTACACACCAACCATCTAACCAGGTAGTCTTAGAAAGCACTACATCTCTTTGGGATTGTATCGCATGCAATATAATTACTTAAAAAGTCATTCTACCTTTAATTACTACAATTTATACATTACGAACTGAAATAGATGCTTCATTTAATCTAAAAACAGTTACTTGCTGTTTTTCCCTTCGAAACAAAAGGAAATTCTCAGAGGAGTATAGAACCAATCTCTTGAAACCTTTCTTCCTCAGCGGACCAGAAAGTCAGTTGTAAGAGCAACAGCCTGACTAAAAGAAAGAATGTAAACCAAAAGATGTGGAGCTATTGAGTCAGGGATTATGGCTACAATGGCCCCAGTAGATCAACCATTTACTACCTGGTTGGTCACTACAATGCTTTCCTTTTATAAGCACTACCTAAAAGAATCCCAACTCTTATTACAATGTGATCATTCTTTTAATGAATATCAGGACCTTGAACTGGCCCGATCCAGCACATGAAAATCACTAAACACATGAAAATCACTAAGTTAAACCTGTAGGAACATGACTGAACTCTGAAAATTGGATACGGTGGATGAAAACAAGAATCAGCAATGTTTAGCACTTTCACCACTACCAATGATGAAAAAAACTGTAAGTTGATACGAAAGCTTGCAAGGTACTCTGATATTTTGGAAAAAGCTAAATATAAGATAATCAATTTAGGAAAAAATATTACAAGAAAAATGTCAGAATAAAATGAGGTACCAGAGAACTTTGATGCAGGAGCTGCCTTTATGTACGGAAGAATAGACTAATTGGCAACACCAGCAGTTCCCCAAGTAAATTGGGCTGGGTTTGGGCTGTATCCCTGTGAAACCTAATTCTAGCAGTGACTTTGTTAAATATTGATTCCCAAGTGTCTGTATGTGAAGACAATTACCCGAGGGAAATGGGCTTTCATACATATACTTTCGAGGTAACAATGGATGCTAACACTGGCCTTATTTTAGAGCCTGCTAGATCTCTGACACTCTTTCACTATTCAGTTTAACATTGCAGCAATGACTTAGGAGGGTTCTTGAATTATTTGTCCTGTCCTTATCTATGCATGCCATTGTTGCAACAATAGTATATGTCAGATAGGTTAAAAATGTATAATATATGCATTTTACCAAAATAAGACAGCATCTATTGTAAGAAGGATCATTATTTTATATATAACACCAAAAATGACTTAAATTCGATGATGAAACATGACCAATTGTAAAAGGCATTCTCATTTCAGAGTTGGCAAAATGTTGAAAAAAATGTGCATCTGAGGATAGAAGAAATATAATTGTAAAAGACAGAACTGAAAGCTAATCTTGATTTCTAAGCTTAGATTTACTAATTCACAGTTTCCTGGATCCCAGAAACTGTGGATTAAGTTACTAAACTGTTAAGCTACTAAAAAAAAGGGATACAACTGTAACTCTAACACTTTGGGAGGCCACAGGGGTGGATCACTTGAACCAAGGTGTTGGAGACCAGGCAGGGCAACATGGCAGAACCCCGTGTCTACAGAATGTTTCTTTTAAAAAACAGCTGGGCATGGTGCCACATACCTGTAGTCCCAGCTACTTGGGAGGCTGAGGTGGAAGGCTCACTTGAGCCCGGGGCGGGTGGAGGTTGCAATGACCTGAGATCGTGCCACTGCACTCCAGCCTGGGTGACAGAGTGAGACCCTATCTCAAAATAAATAAATAAATAAAGTTTTTAGTATATTTGGAATTTAACATTTTCAATCTATACACCTAAAAAGTAAACTGAACTCTCCCTGCCTGGAATTTTAATATTATTTTCACTTACCTCTATACCTTACAATGTTCAAGTGAGGGTTTTGGAGCCAAAGCTTAATAGATATTTGACATTGACAAGTTATACAAATTCTTCATGACTCAGTTTGTTCATTTGTAGGTAGGGAAAATAATACAGGTAATAGTAGTACTCTTGTCGTATTATTGGAAGATTTAAATATATATATACAGTGTTCACAACGAATGGTGCCTAGCACATAGCATGCTCTGAGAAAAGGCAAGCCATTTTGATCACTGCACGTCTATTCAAAATATGCATCTCAGTAATGCAGAATTAAGTTCCATTGACATGCCCGTGGAAGGAGGAACAGAGAAAAGGAAAAGAAAGTGTTCCAGATCTACAGCTAAGTAACAAACCATCTCTAAACACAGTTCTGTATCTTAAAAGAGCGATTTTTTAATGTTCACTGATTTTTGTGGGTCAGTATTTCACACAGAGCACAGCTCCTGATGTCAGAGGCCTCAGCTGGGAAGACTTGAAGGCAAGGAGAGGACGGTGTGACTCAACGGCTGAGGATTAGAATCATCTCCAGCAGTCTTCACTAACATGTCTGGCAGTTGATGCTGGCTGTCAGCAGGGACCTCAGCTGGTCTGTCAGCCAGAAAACATACCTGTGTATTCTCCATGTGGTCTCCCAATGTGGACTAGTTTCGGTTCTCACAGCATGGCAGCTGGGTTCCAAGAGCAGACATCCCAAGAGAGCCAGGCAGAAGTCTTATTGCTTTTATGACCTTGTGTTGGAAGTCACATAGTGTCACACAGTACCACCAGATTTATAAGGAGGACACAAGAAACCCACATTTCAAATGGAAGGAGTGTCAACGTCACATTGAAAGAGGAGCATGTGAAATGAAGGATATTGTTGCAAGCTATTGAGAAAACACAATCTGATGGAGAGTAAGAGAGACAGTGAGAGACAAACTTTTAAGTCAACCTGAAAGATGACTACCTCTAACGGCACAGCCATATGACAAAACAATTTGAGGATGCACTTAATTTTGAAGAGTCAAATAACCATTGCCTAAACACAACAATTCATTCAGAACTATTGAAAGCATGCTAGGCTTCTATACTTTGAAAGAGAATGGACTATCACATATTTTTCAAAGCCACTTCTCAAATTAGGCAGTGCAAAGGTAACAAACAAAATAAAGGTTTTTTCAGATATATAGATAACCAGGACTTATCATAAACTAGGTAAGGAGAATAATTCAGTCAAGCTAGCATGTGCCTAGAAAATGAACAAAAACAACTCTATTTGTAAGCATTCTGTTCTTTTTCAGGACTAAATTGTAAAATTCTTATGATTTAAAAATAGTGGTCCTTTATTGTGCACTCATGTGCAAAGAGCTTTAGTGGAATGTGCACTTTTTAAATATCTGATCCTTGTAACATTATGAAATTAGTATATTTCCCTCCAATTTATAGATAAGAAAGCTAAAGCTCAGTCTAAATAATTTAACCAATTCTACCTGCATCCCAAATTCATGCACATTCTATTATCAAAGGCTACTTTTGGTTTGTTTATAAAATTTTCTTCCAAAGGATACTTAAGTTAAAAATAACCCAGACACTTCTGGCCAGAGTTTGAAATAGGGCCAGGTTAACTTTGAGTATTTTTGTGAGGATTATGAACCAGGAGAAAAAAAATTAATTAATTTGAAACGGGTGGATAGCAGATATCTTAAGATTTCTTAATGTGACAAAACACAAATTTTCAACAAAAAGAAATAAATATTGAGAGGGAGTTCCAGAAATCAATAAAGACAAAAAAGTAATAGATATACACATCTGAAGTAGTCTGCATCGATTGGCTGGAAGAATAAATATAGATGTTAAACCAATGTTTCTGAAGCTTAATATTGCCATTTTAAAAAAATAGACATTTACAGGAAAATGTTTCAGAACTTTTAACGTAGCAGACTTTTTCATTTTTCTTTATTCTTCTTTGACTTCTCCTTAGGTAGTGACCTGAGCCTCCCTCAGGGACATCTTTAGATTTGCGTCTTTCTTTTCTTTTCTTTTCTTTTCTTTTGAGATGGGGTCTCACTCTATCTCCCAGGCTGGAATGCAGTGGCAGGATCACAGATCACTGCAACCGCCCCCTCCGGGCCTCAAAAGATCCTCCCACCTCCGCCTCCGGCGTAGCTGGGACTACAGGCCCATGCCATCACATCCTGTTAATTTTTGTTTTTTGTTTTGTTGTTGTTGTTTTTGTTTGGTAGAGATGAGGTTTCACCATACTGCCTCAGCTAGTCTCAAACTCTTATGATCAAGCAATCTGCCCATTTCAGCCTCATAAAGTGCTTGGGGTTACAGGCGTGAGCCACCAGGTCCAGCCTACATTTTTCATATTGTCTAGATTAACATGCCCTTTCCACTTTCTCTCAGATGATAGAGTATTTTATTGAGCTAGTAAGATTTTGTTATTTAGAAAGTTTTTTTCAGTATAGTCAAATAAAGGGATTTTTGTTGTAGTTTGATATGTAAGCCAGAAGGAATCCTGAGTATTTTAAACATGTGTCACAGCACGAAACAAATTATAAAACTTTATAAAAGATAATCTGATACTGATGCTTCCATCCAAGTAGTGCATAAAGCTCTCTTATGAAGTTGGCTATTTACCTAACATCTTGCTGAAGTTAGGAAAACACTTTTCCTTCTTAAATTGAGAAGCATGACCAACTCTTAATGTACAGACACGCAAGCAGAAAATCCAAAAGCAAATTAAGAATATTAAGCTACATTCTTTCCACAAATAAGCTAGTTCTGACTATTTAAAAGAAGGGAAAAAAACACTCTTTTCTGAAGCCTTACCCAATAAGAGTTTACATAACACTGTCTTATAACAAAATGCCAAAATCACCCTGACTAGTTTTAAAATCAAGTTATTACTTGAATACATTTGAGAGTAATTTTAAATGTGAACAAGTGCACACACATACAAAGTAGAGTGAGCCAAGAAATAAAACAGTGGTGGGTGGTGGGAGTCGTTCTTGTTTTGGGGTTATTTTTTTTAACTGTCTTTCTATATTACCTAAAGCTAGTTACCTTTGGTTTAAATCCTTCCCTATTCCAAAAGCTTCTATATCTGAGACCCTGATTTTTTCTTAACCTTTAGATTCAAAATTTGGAATTAAGAGTGCCAACTTTACCATTTTACCATGGAGTAAATCATAATTTAAAGAAAACCAGCAGTTAAAATATTTCTGCAGCTAGCAACAATTACCAGGAGATCTGTTTCTGCAGTTACCTCTAGATCATCTGACCCAGGATGGATGGACTTAAATAGAATCACCAGAGGCCAATCAAGTGCTACCTGGCTTATTTAAATACACTGGCTGCTTCAGACTAATGCCTGAAAAGGGAAGTAAAAATTTCAGACCCTAACACTGATAAACATTCACCCAGTAGTAAATGATGACTACTCGAAGGTCCATCCTTTATAATCTTCAACTTATCTTCAAAACTAGGAAAAACACTCTCTTTTGGAATAAACATCATTATTCATTTGCACCTAAGTTTCTAAATTCAAATCCATTGTTGAGTAGGAGGTCATCTGAACTAGTTTTCCAATCTCTGATCTGGAACTACAACTAGGACCCCGGGGGAAGGTAACTAGTTAGCAGAAGGCCACCCTCATCTGCTGCTGGGGACAGCTTTATAGAAGGCCAAGAATTTTTTAGACGCTAAAGTATATAGAAAGTCCTTTGGGTTAGAAACACTCCCAGGTCTTCCAATCCATACCCTACTTTTTCGTGTGTGTTGTTCTGTTTGATACTTTCAGAGCTCTCAAAATCTCGCAGACACCAATCAACACCATCAGTCAACCACTGTGCAGACTGCTGAATTGGCTAACAGATCTGGAATTTTCCCTAGATTCTCAGTGAATAGCTCATTTGTACTTCAGGAAGTAATACAAAATGAACTAGTTAAAAATAAGTATAGTTTACCTTCAAGTTTAGACAGTAACTGGATCTAGCTTATCCAATTTCTGTTAGTCTTCACTTTAGTGAATGGATAAAAATGGTCTGTTTTTAATATGTAAGATAAACTGTATGGACAGAGTGATTGCAACCTAATGCTATTTGGTTTTATAACTACTCAAGTTTTTAATTAGTTTGTTGTCTTAAATAAGTAAATGTTCCCACTTGAAATCTTATTTACACCATTTTTTGGCATAGACTCACTTTTCCAAAGGCATTTGATTCTAAACATTAATCAAAGTTTAATGTCAGCTAGCTGGATATATATTATCATAAAGTCCAAAATAATGATAATTGACAGTATGACATCAGAGCAACACAAAAGACACTATTTCAAACTGGCACTTAACTATTTATGGAGTTGCAGCATTAAAAGTGTTCAAACCAAAGTTAACTTTTTTTCCCTCTGCTGTTCCTAAATACTCAGACTCATCAATGACAAAGGTTTGGATTAAAAGAACAAAAGGAACCAGAGAAAAATAATAATATAAATAATGGTATCCTCTCCTCAAGGGTCATGCAGTGACTGTGGAGCTTTCCAGACAGAACTAACACACGAAGATAAATTAGGGGCAAATGTCACTGGATCTTAGTACAAAGACAAAGTACCAACCATTCTAAAAGGGCGAATTTGAAGTATCTACCTAGGTGGCTCTAACCAATAGGTGTCAATTAACAACATACTCTGATTCCTGGCTTCAGTATAGCAGCATTTACAGGAATGTTTCTGCTCTCTGTTGGGCCTATCTCATCTCTGCAGTCAGGCTTCCTCTAATTTCTCTCAGCACTTGTTGGTAGGGTGTGTTGTGTCCAAGAACCCAGGTGTTAGAGAGGGGCTAGATTCAAATTCCAGTTCAGCCATTTTTAACCTATGTTAGATAAATCACCTAATTTGTTTCAAAACCTCCATTGCTTTATGTAAATAATTATATAATTGTATTATTAATAATAGCACCCACTTGACAGATTGTTTTAAGGAAGAGGGATAATGTAGCAAAACCCCAAACTTAGAACCTAACGAGTGTTTGATAAGTAGTAATTATTCATTCAATAAATATTTATCTGATATTACCATTATGAGCTGCAAAGAATCATGAGTTGAATAAATTGAGTTGAATTCCCTCCTAATCTTCATATATTTTGAACTCTTCACCGCAACAACCCCAGTATAAAAAGAGGAAATATTTTAACCACCACTAATAGGAATATTTTCTGACAGCCCATACATGTAGTCCAGCACATGCTATCTGTAAGTGAGGGCATCTTAGAATATTTGTATTGTCATCTCATCATGATAATAGCTTGAAACTTGGGAATAACCACTCTCATTTTTCATCTGCAGGCCCAACCTCCATTCTCCCTGAAACTGCCTTTGCAAAAATTATAACTGAGAAAATTACGATACTAAAAGATATCTGACATAACCAATTCCATCTTGCTTCTAATCTCCAAGCTGTCCTTATTCATTTCTGGGCATAGGCCGAACTAACTTTGAGAGGAACTTAGTTTATAGTTTGACTTTGAAACAAAGATGGTAACAGCCCTTTCCCGAAATAAACCCCCTTCCTGCCTGGGGACTAGACTGCCTTTCCAGGACTAACAAATTAGCTACAAGATAAGAAATTATGGTTTAGGAGTCATGTGGCTGGAGGCTGAAAGATTCTAAACCTCCCAGATTTCTCCTCGGGATAACATCACTGTTGTAAAACCTAACATCGGTGCTTGAGATATTTTGCAGACCTTGCACTGGGTGAATCAACCGCAACACTCACACGGATAAACTGGCTCATCTGATCTTATGATCCTCACCCAGGAACTGACTCAGTAGAAGAGGACAGTTTTGACTCCCTGTGATTTCATTTCTGACCTGACCAAACAGCACTCCCCATGTTCTCACCCCCTATCCACCAAATTATCCTTAAAAACCCCAATCCCTGAGTTTTGGGGGAGAATGGTTTGAGCAACAATAAAACTCTGGTCTCCCGTCCAGCCAGCTGTGTGTGAATTAAACTCTCTATTGCAATTCCCCTGTCTTGATAAATTGGCTCTGTCTAGGCAGTGGGCTAGGTGAACCTGCTGGGTGGTTACACCCACTCATCTTTATATTTTAACTTATGAATAAAAGCTCAGTCTTTAGAATCAGATAGAAGTTTGATTCCTGGTTTCAACATGTAGTCGTTAAGAAATCATGGACAAATTACAAATCTCTATGAACTTATTTACCTCATCTATACAATTGGAATTGTAATAACTGCTTTATAATATTATTGTAAGGATTAGAAATAACTGATTGTACATTTCTGGCACACAGTTGGCATTCAACAGCTTGGAGTAATATTATTAAAGTTCTTTGTGTTATTTCTCCATAATTCTAAACTTTAGTCTTCAACTGAGTTGTTTCCGTCTTTGCAAGGATAAAAATCTCAGAGAAAAACTTTTAGAGTTTTAGACAAGATGGAGTAGATATACTTATTTCTATTCTTCTCACTAAGGACAGCTAAAAATCATGGGTATTATAAATAAAACAAACATAAGAAGACTCTTAGAGATAGAGAAGAAGGCAAACCAGAGACCTTGGGACTGGAGAAATAACACAGTGGTGAGTTCCCTGGGTTTGGTTTTGGTTTTGTTGTTGTTGTTTGCCTCAAATATTCTAAAATCGAGACAGAAGAAGCTGGCAACCTGAAACTTCCAATGGGCACAGACAAAATAAGCTCCAATAAAGTCACGCTCTTTCTAACCAAAGAAACAAGAGAGCACAGCCCAGAAAGACAAAAAAACTTTTGGACAATAACCACACTACTCCAACCAAACGTTGTTGGAAAAGTTATGGCTTTACTACCACTTTTGTCAGCAAAGGCCAAGTGGAAAGCCAGGACATCCACCACCACCTGGGGATAATGAGGCACCACCTCCCACTGGTGATGGTGTCAAGAAGACCAACTGAGAAGCAAGGACTTTCACCACTCTCAGAGTTAATGTCCAGAATATATTCAAAAACAAAAAACATTCATCATACCAAGGAACCATGAAAATCTCAACTTGAACGAGAAAAGCCAATCAACAGATGTCAACACGGGGATGACACAGATGTTGGAATTACCTGGCAAGGATGTTAAAGCAACCATCATAAACGTGCCTCAATGAGCAATTACAGACATGCTTAAAGCAAATTTAACAATTACAAAGTCTCAGCAAATGGAAATTTTGAAGTGGGAAAGTACAACTGAAATTAAAAAAATAATAATAACTCAATAGAGAAATGAAGAAAACAGATGAAAGAATTGGCAAACTTGAAGTAGAAGAAAAAAAATCACTAAATCTAAACAATAGAGAATATGATGAAAAATAAAATGAACACACCTCAGGGGCTTGTGGGATTATAACAAAAGTTTTAGCATTCATGTCATTGGCATCTGTGAAGGAACAGAAAGAGATGTTGGGACTGAAAAAGTATTTGAAAAGAATAATTTGACTGACAGATTCCCAGTTTGACAAAAGATAGAAATCCACACAATCCAGATAGAGAAACCTACAGAAATTTAAGATATGATAATAAAATTTCTGAAAACTAAAGACAAAGACTTAAAAAGCAGGGAGAAAAACAATGTATAACATATAGGGAAAAATAATTGAAAAGACAGCAGATTTCTCATCAGAAACCCTGGAGGACAGGAGCAGGGACAACATTTTTCTAATGTTGAAAGAAAAAACTATGAACCTGGTAGCATCCTGCATCTGGAGACTCAAGGAATCCTCCAGTTAATGAAACTTAAGAGAATTTGTTGTCAGCATCTACACTCGAAAAGAATGGCTACAGAAAATTCTTGAAACAGAATGCAAATGCTAAAAAAGGAATTTTGGAACATCAGGAAGAAAAGACAGCAGCGAGAGTAAGCATATAGGGAAGTACAATATATTTGCCTTCTTCTTTGAGTTTTCCAAATTATGTTTGATAGCTAAAGCAAAAATTATAGTATTATATGACGTGGTGCTCAAGATACAGACAGGAAATATTTAAGACAACTCTATCTTAAAAAGGAGAAGGTAAAGAGACTTAAAGGGAGGTAAATTTTCTACTCTTCACTCAAACTGGTAAAATATCAGTGCCAGTAAACTGTTAAGATTAGATAGATAAATAGATAGATAGAATGTAGTATCTAGAGCAACCACTAGAAAATCTAAACAAAGACATACACTCAAAAATGCTGTAGATAAAGTCAAAATGGAATTCTAAAAATTGTTCACATAACCTATAGGAAGTCAGGAAAAAGGTCTCATTCTTTTAAGTTTAGGTGGAAATTGCTAATGGCTTAGCCATGCTTTCCCCGATGTAAGTTGTATCTCAGCTTCAACCTCCCTCTGTTCTGAGTATTGATTTTAACATGAGTCAATACTCAATGCATCCCCCTAATAGCCATTAGTCTCACACTAAATATTAATCAGAAGGTACACTGAGGAAAATAATACTTATGGCTGATTGTCTGAAGAACAAGGTGCCTATTTTGGCAAAGAATTAATATAGCCCTGGGTCAAGCAAGATCACAAAAGATAAGGCACTTAGACTTCACTGAATTGTACCCCTCTCCTAGCTCCCCCGTACACACACGGGATAGCTTTTATCATATTAATATTTCATTTTGGTACATTAATGTAATTGCTTTTCAAAGAGATAGCCCTGTACCTAATGTTAATAATAATACTGATATCTTCCATTTATTGGGTACCTGTTACATACCAGACATCTTGTAAAAATTAATATTAATTCTTAAAACAAGTTCTGCAAGGCAGAACTGTCTCATTTACAAGTGTCTGGGCCAGAAGGTATGCTCCTACCTGGCTCACCTGAATAAGTCGTCTGGCTCCACTTACTCAGACTGTGACTGTATAGAGAATTTTATTGAGAGAATTTATTACTTCAGTGTTCTCATTAGGAGGAAATGCCAGAAGAAACTGAGTTCAAGAGAGAGAAACATTGCTAACAGGAATTAGATTCACAAGGCCAACAGACAACCCAAAGTCATTAAGCCATGAGAGTGGAATGAATCTATGAAAACTCAATGAAGACAGAACAAGAGAAAAATCTTTTCAGCCACGATGAATTAGGAGAACAAGATGTCAAATTACACTGATGCTGAGTCAAGCTTCTCAAAGCAAGAGATAATCAGGTATGGGAATTCTACAAATTTCAGGATAGCAGGTAATTAAATGTTCCAAGATGTAAGAGGACAATTGAAAGTACAAGTCTTACAGTCAGATTCTGGTACAGAGGCTAGGTTTCTATTCATGTTCTGGAGATTTATTTGCATGTCAAAAGCAATCAGATCTGACCCTGGGAATTCTCCTACTGTCTTTCACTATAACACACAGCATTTATTTTTTTATTTTTATGGGTAAATAATAGGCACACATATTTATGGGGTATGTGCATAGTGGGTGCATATATTTATATGCCTAGTAATAGGATTGGTGGATCCTATGTTAGCTCTATTTTTAGTTGTTTGAGGAATCTCCAAACTGTTCTCTATAGTGGTTGTACTAATTTACATTCCCACCAACAGTGTACGAGGGTTCCCTTTTCTCCACATCCCTGCCAGCATTTGTTATTGCCTGTCTTTTAACGGGGAAAAAAGCCACTTTAACTGGGGTGAGATGATATCTCATTGTAGTTTTGTTTTGCATTTCTCCAATGATCAATGATATTGAGCACCTTTTCATATACCTGTTTGCCATTTGTATGTCTTTTTTTGAGAAATGTCTATCCAGATCTTTTGCCCATTTTTAAAGCAGGTTATTAGATTTTTTTTTCCTATAGAGTTGTTTGAGCTTCTTATATATGCTGTTTATCAATCTCCTATCAAATGGATAGTTTGCAAATATTTTCTCCCACTCTATGGGCTGTCTCTTTGCTTGGTTGATTGTTTTCTTTGCAGTGCAGAAGTATTTTTGCTTGCTGTGATTTCATTTGTCTATTTTTACTTTTGCTGCCTATGCTTTTGAGGTCTTACACAAAAAATCTTTGCCCAGACCAATATCCTGGAGCATTTTCCCAATGTTCTCATTTGGTAGTTTCATAATTTCAGGTCTAGATTTATGTCTTTAATCCATTTTAATTTTATTTTTGGGGCCCTAGTTTCATTCTTCTGCATAAGGATATCCAGTTTTTCCAGCACCATTTATTGAAGAGATTGTCCTTTCCCCAATGGAAGTTCTTGGCACTTTGGTTGAAAATGAGTTCACTGTAGACGTCTGGATTTGTTTCTGGGTTCTCTATTCTGTTCCCTTGGTCTATGTGTCTGTTTTTATGCCAGTACCATGCCATTTTGGTTACTATAGCTCTATAGTATAACTTGAAGTCAGGTAATGTGGTTCCTCCAATTTTGTTCTCTTTGCTCAGGATAGCTTCGGCTCTTCTGGTCTTTTGTGGTTTCATATAAATTTTATGATTGTTTGTTCTATTTATGTGAAAAATATCATTGGTATTTTGATAGAGATTGCATTGAATCTATAGATTGCTCTGGGTAGTATGAACATTTTAACAGTACTGATTCTTTTGGTGCATGAACATGGAGTATCTTTCCATTTCCTTTATATCCTCTTCAATTTCTTACATCAATGTTTTATTATTTTTATTATAGAGATCTTTCACTTCTTTGTCTAAATTTACTCCTATGCATTTTATTTATAGTTATTGTAAATGGAATTACTTCCCTGATTTCTTTCTCAGAGTGTTCACTATTAGTATGTAGAAATGCTACTGGGTCAGGCACAGTGGCTCATGCCTGTAAACCCAACACTTTGGGAGACTGAGGCAGGCGGATGACTTGAGCTCAGGAGTTCAAGACCGGCCTGGACAACTTGAAAGATCTGTCCTGACAAAACCCTGTCTCTACAAAACACACACACGCGCGCGCGCACACACACACACACACACACACACAACATAAACTTAGCCAGGCGTGATGGTGCACATTTGTTGCCCCAGCTACTTGGGAGGCTGAGGTGACAGGATCACTTGAGCCTGGGAGGCGGAGGTGGAGGTTGCAGTGAGCCAAGATCATGCCAGTGAACTCCAGCCTGGGCAACAGAGTGAGAAACTGTCTCAAAAAAAAACAGAGAGAGAGAAATGCTACTGATTTTCGCATGTTGATTTTAGTATCCTGCAAATTTACTGAATTTGTTCATCAGTTCCAATAGTTTTTTGGTGGAGTCTTTAGGTTTTTTCAAATATAATAGCTGCAAACAAAGATAACTTGACTTTTTCCTGTCCTTTTTGGATTCCCTTTCTTCCTCCCATCTGATTGCTCTAGCTAGGACTTCCAGTACTATGTTGAATAACAGTGCAAACATGACAGTGGGCATCCTTGTTATGTTCCAGATCTCAGAGGAAAGGCTTTCAGGTTTTCCCCTTTCAGTATGATACTAGCTGTGGGTCTGCTGAATATGACTTTTATTGTGTTGAGGTATGTACCTTCTATGCCCAGTTTTTTTAGGGTTTTTATCATTAAGGAATGTTGGATCTTATAAAATACTTTTTCAACATCAGTCGAAATGATTATATGATTTTTGTCCTTCATGCTGTTGATATGATGTATCACATTGATTTGTGTATGTTGAACCATTCTCACATCCCTGGAATAAAGCCCACTGGATCATGATGAATGATCTTTTTAATGTGTTGTTGAATTCAGTATTCTTATATTTTGTTGAGGATTTTTGCATCAATATTGATCAGAGATATTGGCCTGTCCTTTTCTTTTTTTGACGTGTCTTTTTTTTGGTTTTGGTATCAGGGTAATATTAGCCTCAGAAAAATGAGTTTGGAAGTATTTCTTCCCTGTTTTTCAGAACAGCTCGATTAAGATTGGTGTTAGTTTCTCTTTAAATGTTTGATAAAATTCAGCAGTGAAGCCATTGGGTGCCGGGCTTTTCCTTACTGGGAAACTTTACATTATGGCTTTGCTCTCATTACATGTCATTGGTCTGTTTGGGTTTTAATTTCTTTTTTTTTTTTTGAGACGGAGTCTCACTCTGTCGCCCAGGCTGGAGTGCAGTGGTGCAATCTCGGCTCACTGCAAGCTCCGCCTCCCGGGTTCACGCCATTCTCCTGCCTCAGCCTCCCGAGTAGCTGGGACTACAGGGGCCTGCCACCACGCCCGGCTAATTTTTTTTTTTTTTTTTTTTTGTATTTTTAGTAGAGACGGGGTTTCACTGTTAGCCAGGATGGTCTCAATCTCCTGACCTCAGGATCCGCCCGCCTCAGCCTCCAAAAGTGCTGGGATTACAGGCTTGAGCCACCACGCCCAGCCGGGTTTTAATTTCTTAATGGTTCAATCTTGGTAGTTTATATGTGTCTAGGAATTTAACCATTTCTTCTAGGTTTTCCAATTAATGGGCATGTAGTTGCTCATAGTAGCCTCTAATGATCCTTTGAAATTCTGTGGTATCAATTGTAAAGTCTCCATTTTCATCTCTGATTTATTTGGGCGTTCCCTGTTTTTCTTAGTTGGGCTAAGGGTTTGTCAATTTTATCTTTTCAAAAACCTACTTTTTGTTTCATTAATCTTTTGTATTTTATTCATTTCAATTTCATTTATTTCTGCTCTGATCTTTATTATTTCTTCTTCTAATTTTGAGTTTGGTTTGCTCTTGCTTTTCTAGTTCTTTAAGTGCATTGTTAGGTTGCTTTTTTGAAGTTTTTCTACTTATTTGAAATAGACACTTATTGCTATAAACTTTCCTCTTAGTACTGCTTTCACTGTATCCCATAGGTTCTGATATGTTATGTTTCCATTTACATTTGTGTCAAGAAATTTTTTAATTTCCGTCTTAATATCTTCATTGACCCACTGATCATTCAAGAGCATATTATTTAATTTCCATGTGTTTGTATAGTTTCCAAAATTCCTCCTGTTGTTGATTTACAGTTTTATTCCATTGTGGTCAGAGAAGATGCTTGATATGATATCAATAATTTGAATTTTTTAAGCCTTGTTTTGTTGTAGCCTAACATACAGTCTATCTTTGATAATAATCCATGTGCTGAGAAGAAAATGTGTATTCTGTAGCCATTGGACGAAATGTTCTAGAAATATCAATTAGATACATTGTTCTATAGTAAAGATTAACTCTGATGTTTCTTTCTCGCTTTTGTCTGGATGATCTTTCCAGTGCTAAAAGTGGGGTGTTGAAGTCTGCAGCTATTATTATATTGAGGTTGATCTCTCTCTTTAGCTCTAATAATATTTGCTTTATATATCTGGGTGCTCCAGTGTTGGGTGCGTATATATTTACTATTGTTATATCCTCTTGCTAAATTTACTCCTTTATCACTACATAATGACCTTCTTTGTCCTTTTTACAGTTTTTGTCTCAAAATCTATTTTGTCTAATATAAGTATAGCTACTCCTGCTCTTTTTGGTTTCCATTTGCATAGATATCTTTTTCCATCCCTTTATTTTTGGTCTATATGTGTCTTTATAGGTGACATGTGTTCTTTGTAGGCAACAGATTGTTGGGTCTTTTTTTTCTTTATCCATTCAGCCACTCTATGTCTTTTGATTGGAGAGTTTAGTCCATTTACAATGTTATTATTGGTAAGTAAGGACTAACTCCTGTTGTTTTGTTTGTTTTCTGGTTGTTTTGTTGTCTTCTTTTCCTTTTTCCCTTTTCTTGCATCTTGCTGTTAGTAAAGGTGATTTTCTCTGGTGGTATTTTTTAATTCCTTGTTTTTTATTTGTTTTGCATCTGTTGTAGTTTTTTTGATTTGAGGCTACCATAAGGCATGCAAATAATATCTTATAAATCATTATTTTTAAACTGATGACAACTTAACACTAATTGCCTTTAAAAAAAAACTAACAAGCAAAAAGAAAACCAATAAAAACTCTACTATTTAACTTCATCCCTTTTCTTTTTAACTTTTTGTTCTTTCTATTTATATCTTATTATACTATGTCTTGAAGAGTTGTTGTAGTTATTATTTTTGTAGGTTTATCTTGTGGTCTTTCTACTCAACATATGAATAGTTTACACTCATATGTTGTTTTTTGACACAAATATTCTGTTTTCCTGTGGACTTACTAGCACCAGTGAGTTTTGTAACTTCAGATGATTTCTTATTGCTCATTAACATTCTTTTCTTTCAGACTGAAGAACTCCCTTTAGCATTTCTTGTAAGACAGATCTAGTGTTGATGAAATCCCTCAGCTTTTGTTTGTCTGAGGAAGCATCTCTCCTTTATATTTGAAAGACATTTTCCGTGGATACACTATCCTAGGATAATTTTTTTTTTCCTTCAGCACTCTAAATATGTCATACCATTCTCTCCTGGCCTATAAAGTTTGCACCGAGAAGTCTGCTGCCAGACTTATTGAAGCTCCTTTGTATGTTATTTGTTTCCTTGGTCTTGTTGGTTTTAGGATCCTTTGTTATCCTTGGCTTTTAGATGTTTTATTATTAAATGTCCTGAGGTAGTCTTATTTGGCTTACATCTGCATACTGTTCTATAACCTTCTTGTACTTGGATATTGATAGCTTTCTCTAGGTTGAGAAAGTTATTCTTATCCCTTTGAATAAACTTTCTACTCTGATCTCTCTCTGCCTCCTCCTTAAGGCCAATAACTCTTAGATTTGCCCTTTTGAGCCATTTTCTAGATCTTGTAGGCATGCTTCATTGTTTTTCCTTTTTTTCTTGTCTCCTCTGATTGTGTATTTTCAAATAGCCTGTTTTTGAGCTCACTAATTATTTCTGCTGTTTGATAAATTCTGCTATTAAGAGACTGATGCATTATTCAGTATGTCAACTGCATTTTTCAGCTCCAGAATTTCTGTTTGGTTCTTTTTAACTATTTCAATCTCTTTGTTAAACGTGTCTGATGGGATTCTGACTTCCTTCTCCATGTTATCTTGGATTTTGTTGAGCTTCCTCAAAACAGCTATTTTGAATTCTCTATCTAAAAGGTCATATAATTCTGTATTTCTGGGATATGTGACTGGTGCCTTATTTGTTTGATAAGGTCGTGTTTTCCCGGATGGTCTTATTGCAGGTGGATGTTTGTCTATGTCTGAGCATTGAAGAGTTAGGTGTTTATTGTAGTCTTCACAGTCTGGGCTTATTTGTATCCATCCTTCTTAGGAAGGCTTTCTAGGTATTCAAAGGGACTTGGGTGTTGTGATCTAGTCTTTCTTCACTGCAGCCATATCTACTTTAGGGCAAACCCCAAGCCCAGTATCACTGTTGCTCTTGCAGACTCATAGAAGTACCACCTTGATTGTCTTGAGTAAGATCCAGAAGAATTCCTTGGATTACCAGGCAGACTCTTGCTCTCATTCCTTAACTTCCCACAAGCAAACAGAGTCTCTCTCTGTGATGAGCTACCTGGAGCTGGAGGAGTATTGAAAGAGCACCCCTGTGTCCAACACCACTACAACTTTTCTGGGTCAGGCCTGAACCAGTACAGCACTGGGCCCAGAGCGAACACTGCCTGGCTACCACCTATGTTCACCCAAGGCCCAAGGGATCTATTATCAGTAGGTTGCAAATCCAGCCAGGCTTGTGTCCTTCTTTTCAGGGCAGAAAGTTTACCTTAGCCCTGGGCAGGTCCAGAGATGCCATCCAGGAGCCAGGGCCTGCAGTAGAGAACCTTAGGGATCTATCCGATGCTCTATTCTACTGCAACTAAGCTGCCATCCAAGTCTCAAGGAAAAGTTCTTCTCACTCTTCCCTCCCCTTTCCTCAAGTGGAAGAATCTCTTCGTATGGTTCTTAGTGCCCCATGCCCACTGTGAGTACTGCCTGGCTACTGCCAATATTCACTCAAGGCCCAAGGGCTCTTCAGTCAGCTTAGAGTGAATGCTGCCAGTCCTGAATCTGTCCCTTCAGGGCTGTGGGCTCCTCTCTCACCCAGGGCAGGTCCAGAAATTCTGTCTAGGTGCTAAGGCCTGAAACTGGAGACTCCAGGAACCCTCTTGTTGCTCTACCCCACTGTGGCTGGGCTGATAGTCACACTGCAAGACAAAGTTCCCTGTACTCTTCCCTCTTCTTTTCTCAAGCAGAAGGAGTTCATCCCCATAGCCACCATAGCTGAGAATATGCTGGGTCACACCTGAGGCTAGCATGGCTCTGAGTCTTACCCAAGGACACAGCAAGTATTTCCCAGCTATCACTGCTGAATATTCAGGGCCCAAGGGCTCTTTAGTCAGCAGATGATGAATCCTCCCAGGACTGGGTCATTCCTTTCAAAGCAGTGCATTACCTTCTGGCCCATGGTATATTTAGAAATGTCATCTTGGAGCTAGAGCCTGGAATGGGGGCCTCAGGACCATGGTGCCCTATCTACTGTGGCTGAACAGGTATCCAAGTTGCAAGACAAAGTCCTCTTTACTCTCCCCTCTCCTCTTCTAAAACAGAGGGAAGGAGTCTCTCCTGGAGCTATGAGCTGCACTGCTGGGGTTGGGGGAGAGGTGGTGCAAGCACTCCCTTGGCCACCCTAGCTGGTATCTCACTAGGTCACGTGTACCCAAGTCCACTCCGCCACAGGAATTGTAGTCCTTATGGCCTAGACTGCCTTTCAAGTTTATTCAAGACCCCAGAGCATTGTAGTCCACTCTGGCAGGACTTGCTAGAACCCAGGTTCTAACTGCTGTGATGGATGATTTGCCTCTGGCTTAGGCTGACCTAAATGCTCCTTCTGTGCGTGCCAAGTGAGTTCTGTCCTGTGTTGCTTTTCACTGTGACAGGGTAGCACTGAGTTCCAAGCAGAGTCCCATAATCACTGCATTCTCCCTCCCCCTACAAGCACACAGATTCTCTGTGCCACATGGCTGCTGTCAGGGAATGGGGAAGGATGATGTCAATGATTCAGGGCTGTCTCCTACCCCTTTCAGTGCTTCCTTCCTTGATATGATGTGAAAACCAAGCACTGTGATCACTAATCTTATTTTTAGTTGTTATGAAGGTGCTTTTTTGTATGGATGGTTGTTCAGTTTGGCATTCCTGCGGGGAAGACAATCACTGGAGGCTTCTATTTGGCCATCTTGCTCCCAAAGTTCCAGGCAGCCTTTTCTTGAAGGGTGAGATGATTTGGGATCTTGTCTAGTTTTGCACTAAAGCACTAAGTATTTGGTAGAGCCCTTAACTCATCTTGGTCTATTTCCTTATTTGTAAAATAAGGGATCTTCATTAACTGATCTGTAAAACCATTCTCAAATGTAAAATCCTATAATTCTATTGAAAAAATTTTAGATACAAACCTCTACACTTACTTGCTTGAAAAACATTGTAATTATAATTCTTGTCGACTTGTGGGCTATTACTCAATGTCCAGTAATTTTTGTGAAAGTTAACACAACTCCATAATAACCAATCTTTATAATTTTTTTCTTACTGTATTTTTTAGTTATTTCAATTCTCTGGAACACAAATTCATACTAATCTTTTCTCATAGAATATTTATTTTTGTATTTTTCTATGACCATAAACTTCTCTTTCCAACGCAGCCAGACGTTACATAAGATGTTTTCCAATGACCGTCAATTGGAATCACCAAAGAGGATGTTGCTAGATCAACATGAACCAGCAACCATTATGAAAAATACAACTCTAAACACAAGTCCCCCCAACCAAGCAAGATCACAAGAGATAAGGTGGTTTGATACATCTGTGAAGCAGTGTCTTGTCATCAACCACCATATCTCTGAGTGTCTGAGTAGCTGGTGATGCTACCCTTTTCAGCCTCATTTTTTCTTACATTAACTGGAATAATATCTGCCCTACTTTCTCAAGTAGTGGTTTTAAGAGTCAAATGATATAATGTACATAAAAGAAATTGTGCACACGGGAGCATTATTGACATTAAAGAGTGGAAGTACTGTATTTTTCTCTGAATAGACTGTACATTATCAACTAAGTTAACTGTACATGTCAACTAAGCTGTGGTCTAAGTCTGTAAAATATCTATTTTAATGAGACTTTTTTTACATTAATTCAAGATTTCTTGAAGTTTGTTCCATGAATGTCAATAGATGTTTTACAAATAATTACAACAATGAAACTCCTTAAAAAATGTTTTACTAAATAGGCTGAATAAATGCTTGGTTAGGCAAAGTTAAATGGCTTCTTTCCTGCAAAACTTCATAAAACCTTTCATATGCCAATGTGCAATCCTCCATGGGATCCTCACTGTGTAATACAGTGATTTCCAGCTTATTTGACCAGAGAACCATTTTTCTAGAGAACATCTCTTAGAAATACTGCCCAGCAAGTATCACTTAGGGAACAGCACTAGTAAATTGTTTTCTCTGGTATAACTTGCTGAATGAAGCAGAACCTATTCAGCATGTACCCCAGAGCTGGAATTTCAGACACACACCTAGAAGGAAGGTAAAGTAGCTAATACTAATTTCAGCTGGGTTAATCACTTTTCTAATAACATTCAAATAAATAGGGTTTCTGAGCAGCAGATATTTTAGAGGAAATGCATCTGTTGATTCCCAGGTTTTAAAGTAAAACCATAGTAAGTGAATGTAATTTGGTGAGCAGCAGATATCTTAGAGAAAATGCGTCTGTTGATTCCCAGGTTTTGAAATAAAACCATACGTAAGTCAATGTCATCTGGTCCAAATTCACCTACCCACATCATTAGAGCTGTCCTCCCTTCTCATTTCCTGACTATATTGTAATAATCCCCTGTTTTTACTATTTTTTTTCTTTCTCCTCAAAACTTAAGGCCCTGAGCTTTCTGGTACATTATTGAGGGAACTGATAAAGGACAGAATAGTCTAGTAAATAAGAACTTATTCTGGAGCTGGACTGCCTGGATCAAAGCTCTGTGTGTGGCCTTTGGCAAGTTACTTCACTTCCATTGGCCTCAGTTTCCTCTTATATAAAGCAAATATAATAATATAAGTATCCTCACTGTCTAAATTTAGGAACAAAATGGATTGGAATAAATATCTTGCTATTTAAACTCCTACTACTTGCTATCTTAAAATGAGGAACTAAATTGATTTGGATAGTATGATATTGTCATTTTCCAATTTTGCTACTCAAACTCAATGATAAAATAGATTTGATAGCAATATTCGCTGTGCTTACATCAAAGAATTGTTATGAGCACTAAATTAAGCACTTATGAGAGTATCTGGCAATAGTGTTTGCTATTTCTATTACTCTAGCTAATATAATATTCCATAAAAATAATAATACTAGACTTCTAGGCATTTTATTCTTATTTAACACAGGTTCTTGCTACTGTAATTTATAGTTTTATTAAAGGACTGATCCTCAAGTTTTATTTACGTATTCATTTGTTTTGTTTTGTTTCTTGTTTTAGGAAAGAAAAAAACATGGGGCTATGAACTAGGAGATCTCATTTCTAGCCCTGTTTCTGCAAAGTACTAATTGTAACACGTTAGGCAGGAAAATAATCTCTTGAAATTTCAGTTTACTCTTCAGAAAAATGGAACTAATACCTACCCTTCATGCTTGGTTAAGCAAAGTTAAGTAGAGACTAGTTAAATAGAGACTACCCTACTAGGGTAGAGACTTCATTTTTTCCACCCTAATAGGGTTGGCAGAGAAAATGAATATAAAAGTATGCTGCAAACAGTAACACGTAACACTCAGGAAAGAGACTGACTGTCCACTTAGATCACTTCTTATTTTATTTGGGGGATGGGATATAACCTCAAAATTACAATCCTCATTCTAAAACCCATATGAAACCCAGAATCATGAACAAATCTATTGTTGCAGAGGAAAGCAGAATGTATTTCACACTGATTAACAGACTGGCGATTAGACAATGGGACATTTTAAAAATAATATTCACTGAAGCAACAAACATTTATTGAACACCTACTAGGCACCAGGAATTGTTCTTGGTGCAAGCCTGCTGGAATCATGGAACATGTGACTTATTACCTACAGAACCAGATGTTAATGTAAATTTCCCCTGTCATCTGCCATCTTGCTGATCCTTATCAAGTCACATATTCTTTGATCAAGCTTCTTTTCTTTGTAAAAATGGCCCCCTGCTTCATGAGACTAAGACTATTTGTAAGATCATGTACTAAAGTGTTTGCATTTCCTCAACAGGAAAGTATAACTGAAAACCAGTCTTCCTTATCAGTAATATACCAGGGGACTGATTTCCAATAGCAATGCCTGCTTTGTTGTTCATTCATGTTCCTCCCTCGGAAATTTAATAAACTTTATCTAAAAGGTCATGAGTCCTTCCTGGATAGCAGCACCAAAGGTATTTGTATAGCATTTAATATTTAGCCAGCCCTTTACAATATCATTGTTTATTTTCCTCCTAGCAACCCAACGTAGTTCATTACTATCATACACTTTTTTAAAATGGAGAGGCTGAGGCCCTAACGCATATACAATTTATCAAACTTAGCGACCAATGTTATTCTCACTCTTTTAGTCAAGTGAGAAGTCATCTAGTTGAATAACACTTTTAGCTTTAAAAAAAAAAATTTTATTCCCTAAGTATAACTAACCATGCAAAGAAAATTTAATTCTAGCAGGAAAAAAAGGCTCAAATAGAATATCACCCCATGCCACGCATTAAAAAAAAAAATTACTGTATTGTTTAATATAACAGGAACTCTCCTTTCTCTAATGTCATTTTCCCCTTATCCCAAATATCTGCTAAATGACCCATAAAATATGCTGTGAACTTATCTCACACTAATATGAAACTGCAAAAAAAAAAAAGAAAACAAAAGGAAAAGTCCCTAAGTGAATGGTAACTCCACAATCTCTACTGTATAATTTCTCTAATTGAAAAGCAATTGATTTTTCTGAAGAAAGGTCATAAACCCTGGCTGTCTGAAGTCAGGCTCTCTGATCTCAGCTACTGTTTCAAGTCTTTTCCTTCTGCAATACCCAACTTTACTTAAGTAGACAAAACCACCTCCCAACTACATGGGTGATGAAAAACAACCATACTGAACCCCATCAGCTTCCCTCCTGCTGTCCTCCAAATTTTTACCTGCTGCTAAAGAAAAGATACTCTACTTTCAGAATGTCAAGGAAAACCTTTCCTCCTAAGTTTTTCCACTGCTTCACCATGGATCGTTGTGTCTCTTCAATTCTTGCAGTCCTTGGAAATCCTTTCCTTGTTATCTCTAACAAGCTCAGATGGCCTCTACTCTAAAATAAACCTTTATCCACCCTGCTACTCCCTCAAAGTATCACCCTCTCTTGCCACCCATTTCTTGAGTTATTGGTATTAGTTTTCCACAAATTACTCTCCACCCAATCACATCTTAAAGCCCTAAAAACTGGCTTTTGCTCCCAGTCACCTACTTTCACATCAAATAAAAGGGCACACATATTCCGTTAGCAAATACTTTTGGAACACATACTATGCTTAGCGCTGGAAGTGCAACAGTGACATAGAGCGTACAACATAGTGGAGGAAACAATGAAGACACAGGTGAACACATTTAAAAAATACTTGCCGATATTGAAGTATCTGTGAAGTATCTATGAAGGAAAGAAATGGGGAAAATGATAGATGATGGCAAGGGAAGCCTACTTTCTTGGATACAATGGCTACAGAAGCTTTTCTGAAATGGTGGCAAAAATAGCCAGTGGTAGCCTAGGCAACACGGCGAGACCCCATCTCTACTAAAAATACAAAAATATAGCCAGGCTTGGTGGCACGTGCCTATAGTCCCAGCTACTCAGGAGGCTGAGGTAGGAGGATCACTTGAGCCCAGGGTGTGGAGGTTGCAGTGAGCCAAGGTCACACCACTGCACTCCATGCCACTGCACTTGAGACTGGGTGACAGAACAAGACCCCGTACCAAAACAAAACAAAGCCAAAATTGCCAGTTGTTCTAAGAAGAAAGTAGAATGACCCTTTAGAACAGAGCAATGAGATCTACAAAGAGTTGAGGCAGGAAAGCACTTGGTGCCTTTGATCCAGTTTCTAATATCCAGAATCTATAGGGAACTTAAGCAAATTGGCAAGCAAAAAAATAATAATCTCATTAAAAAATAGGCAAAGGAAGTGAACAGACACTTCTCAAAAGTAGACACATAACTGGCCAACAAACATGAAAAAATGCTCAGCATCACTAATCATCAGAGAAACGCAAATCAAAACCACAATGAGATACATCTCACACCAATCAGAATGGCTCTTACTAAAAAGTCAAAAAACAACATATGCTGGTGATGCTGCAAAGAAATGGAAACACTTACATACTGCTAGTGGAAATGTAAATTAGTCCAACCACTGTGGAAAGCAGTCTGGAGATTTCTCAAAAAGCTTAAAACAGAGCTACCATTCCACACAACAATCTCATTACTGAGTATATATCCAAAGGAAAATAAATCCTTCTACCTAAAAGGAACATTCACTTGTATGTTCATTGCTGCACTGTTCATAATAGCAAAGCCATGGAATTGACCCAAGTGCCCATCAATGGTAGAATGGATAAAGAAAATGTAGTTCATATACACCATGGAATACTACACAGCCATAAAAAAGAATAAAATCATGTCCTTTGCAGCAATATGGATGCAGTTGGAGGCCATCATCCTAAGCTAATTAACTCAGGAACAGAAAACTAAATGCCACACATTCTCACTTAAATATCCTTTAAACATTGAGCACGCACAGACATAAAGATGGGAATAATAAACACTGTGAACTACAAGAGTGGGGAGGGAGGGAAGAGGGCATGGGTTGAAAACCTACCTATTGGTACTGTGCATACTACCTGAGTGCCAGGATCCATATCCCCAACCTCAGCATCACACAATATTCCCATATAACAAACCTGAACACGTGCCCCCGTTTATAAAAGTCGACATTTTTTACAAATCAGCATCTAAATGTTTTAATTATGATAGTCACAAAAAGGAGTGAAGTACTGAGTTATGCTACAACACGATGACGCTCTGCTAAGTAAAAGAACCTTAAAGATATTGTGCTAAGTCTACATGTGACTATTTATATGAAGTGTCCAGTACAGGAAAATCTAGAGACAAAGTAGGCTACTGGTTGCTTAAGTCTGGAGGAGGAGGGTAGGGAAATAGGAAAGAACAGCTAAAAGAAACAAGGTTTCTTTTGGAGGTGATAAAAATATTCTAAAATAGACTGTGATGTTGCTTGCATGTACATGTGAGTATAATAAAAACACCTTATTATTCACTTGGAATGGGTAAATTGTATGTGAATTACATCTCAACACATTTTTATCTAAAAATTTTAAAACTTTAAAAATTAAAAAAGGTATGTTAAAAACTTTAGGCAAATTTAATAGAGTTTGAGCAAAGAACAATTTAGAAACTGGGTAACACTCAGAAGCAAAAGAGGTTCAGAGAGCTCTGCTCACCAATGGGAGCAGCAAGCTTCTATAGGCTGAACGTGAAAGGAAAGTTGAGAAATCACCTGATTGGCTACAGCTAGGTATCTGCCTTATTGGGGTACAGTGTGATGAGACACTTACCTTATTTGGGCATGGTATGATGAGTTGGCCACCTGTGACTGGCTAAAACCTAGCTATTTGTTACAAAACACATACTCCTAAATTAGGTTTCGGTTTGTTTATATACTAAGTTAGGTTGCAGTTTATTATGTAGAAACTCGAAGTATGAAGACAGCCTCAGGCTAATTTCTTCCTGCTTATGTAATTTTTTTTTTTTTTTTTTTTTTTTTTTGAAACGTAGTCTCGCGCTGTCGCCCAGGCTGGAGTGCAGTGGCACGATCTCGGCTCACTGCAAGCTCCGCCTCGCGGGTTCACGCCATTCTCCTGCCTCAGCCTCCTGAGTAGCTGGGACTACAGGTGCCCGCCACCACACCCGGCTAATTTTTTGTATTTTTAGTAGAGACGGGGTTTCACCGTGTTAGCCAGGATGGTCTCGATCTCCTGACCTCGTGATCCGCCCGCCTCGGCCTCCCAAGGTGCGGGATTACAGGCGTCAACCACCGCGCCCAGCCCCTGCTTACTTAAGAAGTACTTCCCACTACTGACCAAATCAAGTGTAAAACCCCTAGTGCGGCAATCCACGTCTTTCCATGCTTCAGCTGCAGCTGCCTTGTTTGAAATCTTGGTTCCTACTTCTCCCCTAAACATACTCTATGCAGCAACCAAATGGATGGGATGCATTTTTCTATCTCTCTTTATTCACTGAATGCATGTTTGTTGAATTCCTCTTGTGCGAGGCATCATGCAAGGTACTGGCCCTTTCGGGATGGGCAAAGCTAGCAATGAAGAGTTTGGTCTGTAACAGGGGCTTTCAAATGTTTTGCTTCTATAAAAATTTGTTCAAAAGAAGTTTTCACTCAGAAGTCCACTGTGTAAAACAAAAAGTGAGAGTTGTTCTAAATGAGATTTGGGACCGCCTAGTTTTTCTCTTCCTCCACAGGATCCTTCAGAGAATCTGTAAAAGTACCTTAGAAACCCTTGATGTTCATATACTATGCTTTGAAACACACACACACACACACACACACACACACACTCTCTCTCTCTGTCTTACTTCTCATAGATCATATATTTCCCCAATTTTTTGCCAACTACTTTTCATATTTTGTCCTCCCTCAATCATATGTTCCTTTAGAAAAACTCTGAGTCAAGTTCTATTTGGTAGCAGCTATGCCACTACAAAAGACTTATTTTTTTTACAAACTCAAGCATGAATTGGGTGTGCTGTGAGTCAGCTTATTCATAAGCAAGTAGCTTAGTAAATTCTCAGATTACAGATGTGAAGTGTGAGTAGACACACCTACAATAGCTTCTGAACAAATCAAACATTTTTAGCTTCCTTGTATGTCATGAATTACAGATTCTAAGACCTTCGAAAGACCCTTTAAAAATTCTGTACAGATGCAGGTGAGAAAAAATTTCTAAGTTTTAATTTACAAATAACTGGAAAGCACAGAAGTTACTTGTAATTTATATATACACATATTCATGGTTTTAATTATTTTTCTATTTACTAAAACACTTGCTATAAAGAAAAATATATTGAAAGACTGCTAAGTAACATTCATTAAAATTTAATTTTAAAAGCTCACCTATCCAGAAACTCCTGTAACACTGAACAATTATAAAATTTAAGAACTTTGTTCCCCCAGGGTTTATAGGATCTCTCCATGTATTTCTCTCTTGAAAGTCTCCAGATTGCTCCTAATGGAAGAAAAAGTTGTGTTATTTGTTTATGCAAGCATCAATTATTAATAAAAATAAAGCAACTAGCAAGAATTGGTGGCCAGAAAAGAGGAAGAAGAAGTGGGTTTGCTGCTTGGGATACTATATAACATTTGCAGAGGCCTTATGGTGTTCCAAGCACTATTCTTAGTACATGACAGATGTTAACTTGCTTGTTCTTCTAAAACACCCTGTGCAGTAGCTACTATTTTCTTCCTCATTTGCCCATGAGAAAACTGAGCTGCAGAGAGATCAAGAAACTTCCTAAGTTCCCTCAGACAGTAGGCAGGATCAAACCCCAGGCACAGCCCTACCGGCCCAGGCTCTTCCTGCTGCCTCGCACCACCCAACAGTGCTGCAGGCTGTCCAGGCTAAAATAGGGTGCTGAGGATCACAGCAAAACACAAGACCAGCTTTTGCAGTTGCTGGCATCCTTATGTTTTAAAAATTGCAAGTTCTCCCTCCCGAAAAATATCTTCTACACTGGTTGTTAACCGTTTCTGAAGTGCTATCATTAGCAGAAGTTTATGGTTGGTTGTGAAAGTCTCTTTCCTCCCCATCCCTGTCTTACGCATCAAGTTCCCTGGGAGCAGGTATCATGTCTCACCCTCTTTGTATCTCCCTGAGGTACCTAGTACAATGCCACACACACAGTTAAGTACAAAAGTAACTTTCTGTGTGCAAGGAATCAAGTTAAACTATCTTTGAGTCTTAAAGGGTGTTCATCTTCAAGCATCTTAAAGAGGCAAAGTGAGTGACGACCTTAAATCAATGTCAGCCAGGTCCTGGCTGTACAGGGACAAGTTTATCAGGTGACTTTGGAAGCATCACAGCTGAGCACAGGATGCTGAGGGAATGGTGCTGGGAGTCAGGACAAGCTGATCCTGCTGAAGTAGGTAAAACGGGCCTCAGAGAAACGCTTCATGGACTCTGCCTTTCCTGAGGCTGACCCTGGGAACAAAATGTGCCCTCTCTGACACCCACCCGTAATCCCGCATCACCCTTTAATCCAAAGAATCAGTTTACACAGACACTAGAGTTTCTGCCCAGTGTTCTCAGTTCCACAGAGATTGCACTTCAGGCTGTCTGCCGCGCAATGAAATCAGCATCTCTCTGGCTGCATCTTCTACTCCGCCTGCCCCAGCTCATGTGATTCCAGCCAAATGGCCTCCTCCACCCGCAGGGCAGGCTTCTTGCTTTTTCCTCTGCCTGGCTGTCTCCCTTCCCTTAGCACTCCATTTAAAATTGCAGACACCTGTACCAACGCTCCGTGTCCTCCTTATTTGCTTTATTTTTCTCCATCCTTGTTACTTCTATGTAACACACTATGCGTTTCACTAACTTATTTTGTTTATTGTCTGCCTCTCTGTGCAAGAATGTAAATTCCAGGAGCCCAAGAATGTTGCTGTTTTATTTGTTGCTGAATCTTCTGTGCCTAAAAAAGGGCCTGGAAGTAGTGGGCATGTCACAATTACCTTTTGGTTGAATGAAGTTTCCTTCACTGTTACTAATCAGTCATCACCACCAAAAATACTACCTGGTTATATGCACACAGACACATACATATAAGTACGTATACATATATGACACATATATACACACACACACATACACATGCACACAAATATGCAGATACAGACACACACACCCCTGGATAGTATATTAGATATATTAAAAACATGCTTGGTATTAAACACTGAGTTTTCTTAGAATAAAGATGGCACATCCTGGGAAATCTGCCGACTTACCCCCTATCCCATGAGATTACTTTCTTAGATGTTTACACTACAGCACACATATCCTGAATGTTATCATTTCTCATTCCAAGGACAAATACATAAGAGCAGGAAATAGAGGCCTTCTTCCACTTCTACAAGAAGAATGAGGTGCTATTGCCATTTCACCCACCCTAAACCAGGCCTCTCTCTGGGCACCCATCTGCTGCTCACCACCTTTATAGTCACCACCTGACTTGGCCTGGGCTTGCCCCTGGCTGCCCACCTCACCTACTTCCCTTCTTCAATCTCCCTCTCACCAATCAATATGAGTAAAGCCTGGTGCTGGCTCCACCAAAACTTTAAATAAAGCCACTCCCGTGTTACCATAGCAATAATCGCTCCTCAGACAACACTCTTTAAGCTGTCCCCCTGGATCTTCTTGTCCAGGGAGCAGATACTCATTTAAAAAAAATAATCATGAGAGTTCACATTAACACAAATCAATTCAGACCTGGATATTCCAGGAGACAGGGTTTCTTTTATCCCTACTCCCCTCCAACTGACAGTTCCAGGGAACATTCGGAAATGTCAAGTGGGTTCAGAAAAAGTGATTTGGGTTCAAGGAAGGGAGCTAAAGCTGTGAGCTCTGCTGAAACTAGGGACCCTGGGGAAAGAGGGCTAGAAAATACCACCTAATGACTAAGAAACCCAAAAGAGAAACTTGTCTTTTTCAGAGACCTGGTAGAGAAAACCAAAATAAAACATGCTCTTGCGATAAAGCAAAATTCTAAGTCTGTCCTATGTGTGGGTTTGGAAATTAAGTTTATGCCATCCTCATTGTGCTGAAATCTTTTAAGGAAAGTAATTAACATAAAAATGACTGTGGACCAGAGATACTATTCAGGCACCTGCCAGATGCAAACTCAAAAAGGCTCCATAGAAACCTGTCTACAACGCAGCACACCAGATTCCAACAGAAAAATAATCCGCAAGGAAGAGGAGTTCACAAATAAAAAAAAAAATGGACCATTCCAAGAAAAGCATCCCCTCAAGGGAGAGTCAACAAGCAAAACAAATAGGTTTGTTTAGTACTTCCA
The DNA here is from genome assembly GCF_000001405.40 of Homo sapiens. Taxonomy (NCBI): domain Eukaryota; kingdom Metazoa; phylum Chordata; class Mammalia; order Primates; family Hominidae; genus Homo; species Homo sapiens. Next base: position 16,814,425 of record NC_000007.14, on the reverse strand, counting down.
ATTTAAATGTTTATACTTATTAAAGAAATGTTTAAAAGAAACAATAAAGGTAGAAGGCTATAAAAATAAACAGGTAGACTGAGAAATAACCCAACAAAATGTCTATAAATGAAAAATAAAACCACCAAAACATGTAGAGAGTGTACCACGTCAACACCTTGGAGTGGTGAAAGTGGAATATCATCCAGATACTGTCTGAGAGGACTTGAAGTGATTCCATTTGCATTTTATAAAGCGGAAACCTTCCCCAGATGTCAAAGATGGGACAACACTCTGCCCCAATTCTAGCAATGAGATGGCACAATACTTCTCTCTAGAGCCCCAGTGGCATTATGCTAACAAACTCAGTTCTGGTTTACACATTTTTTTTTTTTTTGAGATGGAGTCTCCCTCTGTCGCCCAGGCTGGAGTGCAGTGGCATGATCTTGGCTTACTGCAACCTCCGCCTCCCAGGTTCAAGTGATTCTTCTGCCTCAGCCTCCCGAGTAGCTGGAACTACAGGCACCCACCACCACTCCTGGCTAATTTTTGTATTTTTAGTAGAGACAGGGTTTCACCATATTGGCCAGGCTGGTCTCGAATTCCTGACCCTGTGATCCGCCCTCCTCGGCCTCCCAACGATTTTTTTTTTTTTTCGGTCATAACATAGCACTTTGCCTACCGAATACACAGGCATCCTTGAAAAAGAAGCTTTGAGGATAGCCAGTCTAGCTGCTGGGACAGATGCCAAGGGTGTATAGAGGACCAAGGGGTCTTCCAGGTCTTGTGAGGTGGAGGAAGCACTATCTTATTTATTCTCCTTTTGAAATAAGCACTGAGTCCAGATATGACTCTAGAACTACTTCTTTCTCCGACTTTAGGTAAGACAGACTACACAATGCATTTCTGTGGTCATATCTTTGATGCTGACCTGTGGTTGGAAATAAAATATAAAACTCTTTGTGTGTACCCAGCACCCTAGAATTCTGGCAATTAGCTATTAGCATAAACTGGCCCCCTGGGCACTATTTTTGCATTGGTCACTTCCTTCTTCTGAGCTTAATACGTTTGTGTTGGGTTATTGCCTAACCTGAAATGTTCCTCCAGAGTGCTTACCAAAGTGAAAATGGCCACAAAATCCGAACCTCAGAATAAATATGTGCAAAACTGCCATGTAAAAGCTGTCATTAAAAAGAAATTGTGTGCTAGTCTCAATCTTTAGTTCCACTGAAACCTGCGGTGTTTTCAGGTGACAAGATGCCACAGGATGTACTATTGTTTCTGGTATAATGTGCTTTGGAGACTAGTTTTTATTTAATTTCTCTTGGATCACATATGCCAGAATAAATATTATATTACTTTATACATGGTCTCTGGTTTACTCTGGCTCAGAACATGTAGTTAGTCAATAAAGGAAGGCAGTTTTGCCAAAATTCAGTCGTGTATACTTTTCAAAATAGTTATAAAAGTAACACTCATAACCCATAAAAATATAAATTTCATTTTTACTCATGAGTCATCTTATAGAAAAATATCTTCCAAATTCATATCTTAATAATTTCAAAGCAATCATTTTAGGTCCTTTAATCAACTTTTCCACAGTCTAGTAATACTAAATTATGTAAATGACCCTAATAGGCAAAATTATGCAGAAAAACCTTATGATAAAAAGTTGACAAATAGTGCTGAAAGTGCAGTAACTATGGCAACCAACTCACTACAAATAATTTGAAAAATGCAGAATATAAATGACCGATTACATTTTGAGAGTATCATGGTTAATAAACAAGTACCATAATAAAACTTCAGAAATCATAGCTATAGATATTAATAACAATTTAAAACATATACGAAGGTGTGCTTTCAGAAATTTTTAACACAATTTTCACAGCTTTTCTGCTTTATTTCCTTCCTCTGTGTTCAGGAAGTCCTTAATCTCAGTTTTCTAAACTAATCTGAGCTGAAAATGATACACTTTGGACATGTCACATAAAAGTAATTTGAAAGCACCCTGAGAAAAAATATTTTCATTTAAGAGCAGTATAAAATCAGCCTGAGCCAGGCCAGTAAAAATGAATCTAATGAGATCAGTCTTTAAGTCACAAACAAAATGTCCATATATTCGTTTGAAATTTTTTTAAGTTACTTTCCTATCTATAGTTTGGTGCTTAAAAAACAAAAATTGTCTTAGTGCTAATTCTGGTTTTTTAAACAAAGTGATCTTAATCATGTCATATGGAAATCTCCTTATAAAATATCTACACTTCATGCCTTGGATACATTCAGATATCCCTCAAACCACATTGGCAGCCTCAGAAAATTCACCAAATTCATCAAATAATTTACCATTTATACTAATTAGTTGGTTGAATTGCTTGGACTAAGTGATCCTTTCATTCGGCAAGCCAACATAAACTGGGAATAATAGAAAACTAGTTTAACTGTAACTAAGAGACACGTATAAAGTTACATCATAAGTATTCACTGAATTGAAACCCATTTTCCCCCATTATACAGAGTCTAAAAGCCCATAAATAATGAACAAGTGTGATCTTTCCCTAAAATCACAGGTTAGAAAAAAAAATGGAATGCAGTGAATATAGCAAAGCTTAGTCTTGAAATGATGACGAGGACTTAAAGAAATCAGGAAGAAAGTAAATGTGACAAGTTTCTTCTCTGTTTGCTTTCTAGGCTGACCTATTGCTGAGGACTATGAGAAAAAAGTTATTACAGAATGAGTCATATGGAAAACACTTGCAAACAGAAGAATATTGAGAACATAGTACGTGTTATTCTCTCATTGGTACTTAACATTAAGGATAAAACATAAAAAGCAGGGTAAAGCATCCCAAAATAATCTGTGAAAGCAATAAGTGATTCTGCTTCTTTAAGTAACAATATGGCAGGTTTTTTTTGAAAACCCAAGGTTACCCAAACTCTGACCTTTGAAACCAATTCCTCCATTTGGAGAAACAATACAATAAAACCAACTGGTATAAAAGACAAGCACAAGCCCATTCACTAGAGGCAAGTTTGGAATCATAGATCACAGAAAAAGTAGTTTGGCCTTCCTAGAAATATATTCAATTACATGCACACAAAAGGTGAGGTCTTGGAAAGTTACTTATTACTATTTGAAAGATGAGAAAAATATAATCATAATAGTATTTTCTTTTGAGCCTATTTAATAATAAAGTGTGTATTCTGTTGTGAATTTAAAATATTATAATTTGGGGGGTTTTGCCTGTTAGAAAAAACTTCATAAACTGAAGTATTATATTACATGTTGTAGTATACCACGTGCTATATTTACCAAGTTAATATTGATATGTAATACACTTATTATTTCCATAATATGTTGGTTTTTTATTTACTAATGTTCCTTATGAAACACCTGCCTTTTCAGTATACAGATGACTAGATAATGAGATAGAAAATTCTAGATCTAGTCATGACCACAAGATAACTGTTTACATTTGATAATAACTATGTAATAGTTTTCAAAGGAATAAGGTTTAAAAAAAAAGAATCAGAAGAAATTTCATGGAACTTAGTCAAGGTAAAGCTGTCTTACAAGGTGGAATTAGGCCTTTTTTTTAAGTCACTTCCATGCTTAAGGAAGAATGACATCTTCTGACAGCATCTCTGTTTATTCAGTGCTCCACCCGAAGGAGTGTATTTATCATCTAACAATATTGACTCTAGGGTCAGACTCGAACTGCTAAGGACACGTCGTCTTAATCTGTACAAAATCTGCCTTTCATATATGGTGAAAGTAGTTACTGAACCCAATTTGTTTTTTAATGCACTGTTTGTAGCCTATTCAACCTCATTAGCAGCATATCATTTCGATGGAAAATTCTTATTGACTGAGATTACTCACTGCAAATTCTAAAAGAAAGATCTTAATGTCTGCTTTATAAATACCCATCTTCTAAAAGATAAGAGTTCGTGGGGAAATCACTTAATAACTCTAGGTGTTATTACATTTTAAATTACTTTTTATTCCTCCTCCTCTACAAAGCACACCTCCACCATGATGTAAAAGAATTTTAGGCTGTGGGACTTTATTCAGAGCAAACAAGGGATTTGAATGGCTGTGAGACTAGGATTCCTTCCAGCTTAGTACAGGGTATAAAATTTCTGCTCACCAGGAAGAAAGATTAGATTATGCTGTAAAACAAGTGTGGAGAGTTACATGCCAAATCTCAAGCTGTGGGCTCCTTGAGAATGGCTAAGCATAGAAACTTGAACACAAGAGCAAACGTTTGAGGGTTTATAAATCCCTCAAAGAGATCCTAGGATTGGGTTCAGTATATAAGTGAACCCTCTGAAGTAACTGTAAAATTTTGCATATGCCTATATATGTGTATCTTACCTGCAGATAAATTCAATAGATTTCATCATCCAGATCATGTAACTTATTGTCCAAATCATGGTACTTTTGAGAATGAAAGAAGACATTCTCAATTATTATACCCAGCAACAGGCTTAAACTGAGGCTCTCCTGGGCAAACTGAGAAGTATAATCACCTCATTCATGACCCCAAAAGGTAATACACTACTGCACCAGAACACTTAGCTTTTCATTATTTCAACCCAAGAACCCTTCATGAATTTTCGTTTAAAGCCACTGATTTTTATACAATCAGTGTATTCTCCTAGTGTCTAGTTACAAGTCTCGCCGCATTTGGCACCAGTTGTTGCCTTGAGATTTGTAGCTCCTACTGGACTTGGATCCAGGGCTATGACACTATCCTGCCTGTCCTCACACTTTATACTTTCTGTGCTCTGCAAGTATTTCTTTTCCTCACTCCTAAATGGACAATCATTACCAAAGTTGTATGCTGGTCCTTTTGCTCTATACTTTCCCGCAAGAAACACATCTAATTGTATGACATTAAGTTTAACATATCAATGACTGGTTCTCAGCCTTTGACACATATCATGGTCCCAAACTTTAGACCCAGGAACCTTCATCCACCCAAGCAGTAAATCTGCTCCTCCATCACTAGTCTCAGGAAAGAATACAAAGAAGAGTAAAGCTGATAAGCTTACTCAAAGAAAGGTTTTGCTAATTATGTTTGCAAATCTGCTCTGTTGGGCATTTAGAAAGTTTAAGAGAATTAGATATATAAGTACAGTTTAAACTATTTTTAACAATTTCATTACTGGATATCAATTAAAACTCCAGAAACTCTAAACCATTCTGTGCACAAAAGCCCAATTCAGAAATTAAAATAAATTCAAATGGTAACCAAGTTTTCCTCTGTCAAAACACAAATTTTTATGTGTCCATTTCTCTAAGCTAGAGTTAGGGAGAATTTATTCAGCTATTTGGTCAGCAGTTAGATATGTTTTTGACAAGTCTTCTCTGAGGCAAACCCTTTGAGTACAAGAAGTCATTTGCACTTCCCTCTGCATAAGGCTCATAATAATTCAGTAATGTGGAATTCTATGCATCTACAGGCTTATCTCATTATTTCCTGACATCAGAAGGCAGCCTGATGGACTGAAAGAAATACTGGATTAATTATCACCAACTATGGAAAATTTTAGATCTTCTCTCTGTTCATCAATTTTGTGGCTTTGCGCTAATTATGTCCACTCACCTGAGCCTTTTTACTTTTTTAAAAGAAAATAATGAAGTCTGGTGAGATTGTTATAATGACAAATGAATATTTCCAATGAATATATGTGAAAAGTTTAAGACTTGTGATAGGCTATAATCAAAGGGTAATCCAACAAAGATTCTGCTGTCATAGACTGAGACCTAAATGATCATAATACAGAGAAGTAATACATTCTGTATTACTAACTAATATTTTTGAGTGCTTACTATGTGTTATGTACCATTCTAAGCACTTTATGTCTATTATCTTATGTAATCTTCCACAGATCCTATATAGTAAAAAAGTAGGGATAGGAAGACCTACAAGTGAGACAACTAAAGCACAGAGAAGTTAAGTAAGTTGCCTGGATTAGTAGAGTATGTAACAGTCAGGAAACTTGATTCAAACTCGAACCTATCTGAATCTACAGCTTGCCCTCTTAACCCTCACATGCTTCCTCTTGAGGGTAAAGTCTAAACTTAGAATGGCATTAAAGGCCCAGGCAAATAGCCCCAAAACACCCCTCCAACCCTATTGTCTATGAGCTACCCAGATGTCTCTCACTTCAGCTAGGCTCGTCCTTAAATATCCCACAAATATATTTTGCAAATTCTATATCACCGTCTCTATTTGGAAATCTTGCTTTCTGCCGTCAAGTTGAGCACTCTAGTAGGTAGCAATCTCTACTCTCTCTGAAAAATAATCACACCTGACGTCTATCCCACTTACTTGTTTCTTGTTGCGTGCCATTCTCATGTGAATGGCTAATTTTTAGTGTTGTTCCATCTTAATTCTTCAATCAGATCGTAAGTAACCTTAGAGTAGAAACAGTGTTGTAAACTGCTACATGTTTTCCCCATAGCATGGCCCATCACTCCGAATTGCAATTATCTATGTGTGTGTCTGGCTACCTCAATAACTGACCATCATTTTTTCATTTTTATATATTTAATGCCTGGCACAATATTTGCTACATAAACAGAGTTGATGAATACTTGGTGAAGAAAATAAATGAATGAGTAAATGAAACACAAGAGTTAGCTACTCATGCATGCTAGATTACACAATAATTGCCAGTTATAAGTCTCCTGTTTTAACTCAAAAATAGGATATAATCCACTTTAAAATATGCTTGAATATGGATGCAGCTGGAGGTCATTATCCTAATCAAATTAATGCAGAAATGGAAAACCAAACACCACATGTTCTCACTTAGTAGTAGCTAAACATTAGGTACACATGGGCACAAAGATGGGACCCATAGACACTGTGGACCCCAAAAGGGTAGAGGAAAAGAAGGGAGAAAGGGCTGAAAAACTACCTATTGGGCGCTATGCTCACTACCTGGGTGATGGGATCAATCGTACCCCAAACCTTAGCATCACGCAATATACCCATGTAACAAACCTGCACATGTACCCCCTAAATTTAAAAGTTGAATTTAAAAATATAAAATAAAATATGCTTGAATAAATGCCTCTAAAATTATAATGTAATAAACATTTAAAACACAAAGGTATAATATCCACTTAATTACAACCATTGTTATAGGATCCCTGGTACCAAGCTTAGTTTTACTTACTATAATATTAGACCGGTATATCAAATTATCAAATCCTACTTCAGGAAGTCCTACTCAGGTATTATCCAAAATATCTACCTGATAGCGACATATTTTTACAGTATCAGGCAAACCTGAAGGACTGATCACATGGCATCACTGTTAAAAGTGATGAAGTTTAATAGCATAAAACAAAAACCCCTCCTTTGCTTGTCTCAAAGCATACTATATGTACCATCTACAGAACCCTAGTTACCTCACACCAAGACAGATATGCCAAAGATTCCACAGCCTCAATAGCATGTGTAGGATATCTGCTAATAATTACCTCCTCCTTGCCATCCGTCAGCCACTATGACAAACTCTGGGTTTTTCCCGACATGAGATTAGGCACATGAGTATAGAATAATTATATCACTATAATTAACTGTAACAAATCAAAGACTTTTTTTTTTAAGTTCCGGAGTATGTGTGTAGGATGTGCAGGTTTGTTCCATCAGTAAACGTGTGCCATGGTGGTTTGCTGCACTGATCAACCCAACAACTAGGTCTTAAGCCAGCCTGCATTAGCTACTTTTATCAAATGTTATGGGCTGAATTGTGTCCCCCCCAAAAATTCATATGTTGAAGTCTTAATCCCCAGGACTTCAGAATAGGATCTTTACAGAGGTAATTAAGTTAAAGTAGGTCATTAGGCAGGACCCAAATACAATATGACTGGTGTCCTTATAAGAAAAGGAAAAAAATGACACAGACAGGTACAGAGGGAAAAACCATGTGGCAATACAGGGAAAAGTCATTTAATATTCAAAATGGTCCCGTATGTTAATATTATCCCCATATTATAGATGGAGAAACTGAAGTTTTGGGGATGTTAAATGAGATCTCAGATCATCCTATGAGCAAGCACCAGGATGCAGGATTCAGATGGGAATCTCGTGACTCCAAATCCCATCCACTTGTTACTTTCAGTGGATAAGGGACTGAAGGACTTTGGTCCCAACTCTGCCCTAAACTAGTTGTGAGACCTTCAAAAAGTTATGAATTTTTTGCCATCTTCATTTATTCATCTGTAAAATGAAAGACTGGAATTGAATATTACAAGGGTCTATCTAAGGGCCTGCTAGTTTTAAGAATTTTGCTCAAATCATCGTTTTCAAACTCCTGAAGAAATTACTTCTATAAATTCATTAGAATTGAAAGGAAATTCAGTATTTGGAGAATCACGATTTTGCCCACAGAATTCAAGGATTTATTGGAAAAATATACATACTTGCAAATGTTTTTGAAATATTATGACCTTAACTCATTTTAAAAAGTCATTTATATAGGGCTTGCATCCCATTCATTAACTTTCTGTTGTTAACATTTTCTTCATTCTGAGCTTTTAAAGACTGCACACAACTTCATGAACAAAATACAGGATTAAAATTTTCTGACAGAAAATTTAAATTCCAGTTTTAAAATCTTCAGGGAGTAATTAAATGGTCTTGAGGGGAAAAAAAACTTGGTTGCAGACCTTAGTTTTTAGGTCTGAGAAAATGGAGTAAATGGCTTCCTGCTTGCGTGGCAGGAAAGTTTGCCTTTAAATAAGAGATTATCTGTGAAATACCTTTGAACTCTGTGGAGGGAAGTTGCTGCATACATTCAATGGCAAGGCATTTATTACAAGCTCACGATATTAGGCTGTTTTTTTTTTTTTTTTTTGCCAATACTTCCTCAGTTTTGAAAAATTACGTGGGTTACTTGATTTGTATTTTTTTTCATACCTGTAGAAGTTAGGGTGCATTGTTTTGACAGGAGCAGGGAAGTATTGTAGAAAATAATTTTTATCATAATGGAGTATGGCAGGTTATATGACTGCGAGGATCAGAATTGTGAATCATCTCTTGTGTGTCTTCAAGTAAATAAAGGCAATCTGCCCACGGAGCAGAAAAAAAATCTACAAACTACAAACTCTGTCCAATCATGTAAAGACAAATCAGCCTTCAGGCAAATCAAATGTCTTCATTCAAAGTCTACCTGGATTTGGCACTCTGCCCATCGTTTCAAAACCTCTTAACAATACGTTTCACAAATAGTTAAAAACATGCATACTGAAAAGCATACTTTTGCAATGTTATTTTTAAAAACAAGGAACTCTTTAACCCAGGGAAGATAATCACTTGGGGAAAGGAAGGTTCGTTTCTGAGTTAGCAACAAGTAAATGCAGCACTAGTGGGTGGGATTGAGGTATGCCCTGGTGCATAAATAGAGACTCAGCTGTGCTGGCACACTCAGAAGCTTGGACCGCATCCTAGCCGCCGACTCACACAAGGCAGGTGGGTGAGGAAATCCAGGTAAGGCTCCTGACAGCAGCTTTAGAAGGGTACTTGCTGGAGTGAATTCGGGCCTCTGATTGCTATATAAAGTTGTAGGCAATCAAGCAACAGAGAACTGCAAGTTTCCAAAGGCAATGAAGTAGGATACGGAAGGGAAATCATGGAATTTCCACAAAAGTCTTACTGGGGCCTTTCTTTGGCTAGAGCTGGCACAGTGTGACGTTCCCGAGTTAGTTCAGAGAAATGCTTTCTCTTTTGCGAAACAAAATTTCCAAGAGTAGGTGAATCCTAGGATTTTTCAAGCCTGGGACAGGGTCCAGGGATTTTCGTCTCAGTCACCATCTAAAGCTTTCTTTCCCACGGGCTAAAGCAAAGCCCCATAGGCTTCTCCACTATGACACCTCAGCTCGGATTGCCCGCTTGGAATATATTATTGCAAATCAGAAAACAGTTTTCTTTCTCTTTTTGCTGCAAAGACATTCTTGTTGCCTCTGCAATCTTTAAATTCATGGGATAGGCTATTAGAGGAGAGAGCTGGTTGCTTTCCTGAAGCATCTACAAATAGGGACACTAAAATGTCTTGCAAGTTCATTATTTGCTAAAGACAAGAAGACAGGGATACGGTGATGAGTAAAAAGTGCTGGCTTCACATAATGTGTGTGTGTGTGTGTGTGTGTGTGTGTGTACCTATGTCTGTGTGTGTCTCCAAATTATCAATATTTTCCATGGAATTGTGTTTTGAGGTGGTTTATGCAGGAAATTTGCAGAGCAGAATCTATTCACATTACGAAAACTCAGTGGAGTGAATCTCAGAAAGTCACCCCACAGCAGGATGTTTGTACAGCAGGAGTTATGTTAGCCTTCCTTGAGTCATCCTGCCGTAAAACACAAGCAATATATCAATAGTTCCAACCTGTGATCTTTGGAGATACTGCAAGGTCCTAATAGCTACTTGGAAAACAAGAACTGTAAATGGGCTAAGTAAATAAAAATGCCTTACCATCAATTTACTATTTTTTAGAATATATATAGATGCTGTTATAAATAAAAGATAAAATCAAATGTTTGTTGATAGATTCAAAGAAATTATTTGCCATATGTTTCTGAACCAGCCAGTATTCCAAATGTATAATTATTCTCATGTAAAAGTTCTTGATTTTTTTAACATTACAAAGAAGTCTTTATACAAAGAGGGCTGAGAATTGTTGACTTACAGTGAACACTTAGGTTGTTTTTGCAAAACTCTAGAAGACAAAAGTTATTGGCATTTCCACATCTTTGTAGGTATAGAAAATGAACAAAGTATATCCCTGATTTTTGCTTACATCTTTTCTGAGTAAGACATTTTGTGCTTACATACTATGGATTAGTTAATCATTGGTCAGTTAAATACAAAACATCATTTCGATCTGGTAGCTTAGCAACACTTAAAAAAAAATCAGCTAATGCTTAGCAAAGGTTTCCACTCAAGATATTAGATTATGAAAAACTTCCTGCTTAACAATAGTAATTCCTTGCAGAGTTTATTTGACTTCATTCAAAACCATTCACCAATACTAGAGTTAGGTGCCGGGGTTTCATATTTCCTTTTTAGCACTTTTAGTGTTTGGTTTTATCAGAATCCCAAATCTCCAGCCTTCCATGTTACGGCCCCGTGGACAACCTTAGTGACTTGCTAGAGCAACTCACTTTGCTCCCTCCCTCCCTCCTCACTCACAAAACTTATCTTGCCATGTACTTTCCTTTTCATAGGCTTTAGTTTTTCCTGGGAATCAACTGTGGCATACCAGAAAGAAAAAGTAATTTAACTAAGATATCAGCTAGGCGTGGTGGCTCACTCCTGTAATCCCAGCACTTTCGGAGGCCAAGGCAGGAGGATCACTTGAGGTCAGGAGTTTGAGACCAGCCTGGGCAGCATGACAAAACTCCATCTCTACTAAAAAATACAAAAGCATAGCCAAGTATGCTGGCACGTGCCTGTAGCCCCAGCTCCTTGGGAGGCTGAGGAGGGAGGATCACTTGAACCCAGGAGGTGGAGGTTGCAGTGAGCCACGATTGTGCCACTGTACTCCAGCCTGGGCAACACAGTGAGCCCTTGTCTCCAAAAAAAGTAAATGTAAATTTTCTTAGCTACTAGAGTATGTATATCTATTTTCTCAAAATATATCTCTATTTATCTATTTCTATATAGATATATATATCTATATAGATAACTCTATATCTATAGAGATCTATATCTTTTTGTCTTTATCTATGTGGATCAATAGACAGCTATCCATACTATATACAAACAGTCCCAACTTACAGAAGTTTGACTTAATTTTTTGACTTTATGATGGTGCAAAAGCAATACACATTCAGTAGAAACTGTATTTCAAGTATCCATATAACCATTCTGGTTTTTACTTCCAATAGAGTATTCATAAAAATTACTTGAGATATTTAACACTTTACTATAAAATGGGCTTTGTGTTGGATGGCTTTTCCCAACTTTAGGCTAATGTGAGTGTTCTGAGCACATTTACGGTAGGTTCAGCTGTGGTGTTCAGTGGGTTAGGTGTATTACGGTAGTTCCCCCATTATCTGTGGGGGTTATGGTCCATGACCCTCAGTGGATGCCTGAAACCGCACATTAGTACCAAACACTACATATGCTATGTTTTTTCCTATGCATACATATCTATGATAAAGTTGAAATTATAAATTAAGCACAATAAGAGATTAATAAGAGCTAATAATAAAACAGAACAATTACAACAGTATCTTATAATAAAAGTTAGGTGAATTTGGTCTCTCTCTCAAAATATCTTATTGCACTGTGCTCACTTATTTTGGACGCGGTTGACCGTGGTTAGCTGAAACCGCAGAAAGTAAAACCCTGGGAAAGGAGAGACTACTCTGGATGCATTTTGACTTGCAATATTTTCAGTTTACAATGGGTTTATTGGAACATTACTCAATTGTAAGTCAAAGACCACCTGTATTCTTAGGAAAATCCCATGGAACAGAGCTATTTACGCCAATCTCGTATGTCCAGTCTCAGCAGAGCCTCAGTTTCTGGTATATTCCACCGTTGTGGGGCAACCTGCAGACCCTGAAGACTGCTAGTTCAATTTTGTTTACTGATTTTGGTTGGTTTTCCATACTAGAGTTGCCATGGAGAAAATTCCAGTGTCAGCATTCTTGCTCCTTGTGGCCCTCTCCTACACTCTGGCCAGAGATACCACAGTCAAACCTGGAGCCAAAAAGGACACAAAGGACTCTCGACCCAAACTGCCCCAGACCCTCTCCAGAGGTAGGAGTCAGCTTCTTGTTGGCTTCCAACTGCTACTTAATTGGAAAAGATTTCCTCTCTCTTGGTGCTTAAACCTGGTTCTAACCTGGTGCCAGGTTATTTTTGGTTGTGTTCCTTCTAGACTTATCACTGTTTATAATTATTTCTACTTTCTCCAGGGGTTTTTCTTCTTCTTTAGTATAGGGTCTATTATCCCAGTCTTTACCATTGCTTTTCAACAGCTTTGGGTCTGAATTTATACAAGCTTCAAATATACTGATTCATTTCATTCTAGGTTGGGGTGACCAACTCATCTGGACTCAGACATATGAAGAAGCTCTATATAAATCCAAGACAAGGTAAAGATCAGGATTACTCAGAGCTCCCTCAAAGCTCTCAAGAGCACCACCTAGTGACATCTAGATATATGTGAAATCTTACTCATTAAAATTTGTCTAATCTCTGTCTTTTAAAGCAACAAACCCTTGATGATTATTCATCACTTGGATGAGTGCCCACACAGTCAAGGTAATTTATTCTTCTAAGTATGATTTCCTTTATAGGCTTTTAGCCTTAGGGCCAGGGTTCAGATCACTCATGTTTGTATCTTTAGAACCACAGTTGCATTAAAGAAAGAATATTTTATATAGTAAAAACATATTTAAAAGTGACTTCAAATATCTCCACATTTTGTGATAACCATTGGTACATATTTTGAAAAACTAGTTTTAGGATTCATCTTCAACTTCTTGATTTCTCTTACAGTCCACATTCAATACACCAGCAAATACTGGCTTTATCTTCAAAATATATCCTTAAACCAGCACCAGCTTCACAGGCATGAAGCCTGTGCCATCTCACAGGGCCCCAAGCTTAGAAGGTTCCCAAACTTGGTTTAAACTTGGCTATCATTGTCTTAAAAGTCTTAGTAATTCTTCAACAAGGGGCTCTACCCTTTCATTTTGCACTGGGCCCAAATCCAACCACTTCCTATTGCCTCCATGCTACTGCCCTGGTCCAAGCCCAGATCAGATCTTGTCTAGACTACCATAACAGTCACCTAACTGGCCACCCTACAGCCAGTCCACACAGAAGCCAGAGTGAGGCTGGTAGACATAAATCAGATTCCATCACTCACGTGCTCAAGTGGCTTCTTATCACAGAACTAAATCCAAATTTCTGATCACAACCTATGAGGCTGACATGATCAGGCCAATGGCTATCTCTCCCTTCCTACCACTCTCCTCTTGCTTTCTTCACTCTCTCCAGCCTGGCCTTCGTGCTGTTCCTCCCACAGGTGAGCTCATTCCCACCTCACAGCTAGTGCTTTTGCAGTTCCCCCTGCCCACAGTGGCCTACCCCAAAATGGACCACTCCCTCACTTCAACGTTAGCTCCTCAGGAAGATCTGCCCTGACCACTCACAGTTTTTAAACCCTTTGCTTTGCTTTATTTTTCTTCAAAGTACATATCTCTACCTGAAAGTATCATCTACTTATTTCTTTGTTTATGGTTTGTCTCCCACACAAGTATGTGAGCTCTGTGAAAAAACACATGCTTTTTTTTGTTCACTGCACCATCCCTAGTACAGAACACAGTGCGTAACACATGGCAGCCATTCAATAAATATGAGCTGGAGAAAAAAATGAATTGATGAATGAATGGATGAATGAGTGAATAGAAAGCAGAGGTAGTCAATGCCATAGATATTACTTCACTAATCATTTGCTAAAAGGCCAAAGTAGAATACTGTATTTAAAATGCAATTCAATAAGTAAATAAAATGCAATTTAACTGAAAATTGAACAAAGCTTTTAACCAATGCTAAGATGGATGCTTAATGATTTTTCTTTATATTATAGCTTTAAAGAAAGTGTTTGCTGAAAATAAAGAAATCCAGAAATTGGCAGAGCAGTTTGTCCTCCTCAATCTGGTTGTAAGTTTCCTTTTCATCATTACTAACATTTCTCTATGGCTCATTACTTGAAATGGATGATTCATTTTTCCTATACATCTTAGTTATACTGCATTAACTGGGATTGCTTCCAAATATCCCATCTCATAAATTAGAGAGAAAAAAGATATTTCGTTGTATTAATAATCCATTTGGTGTGTCTGTTTTTATTTAGTAATTAATCATCTTAGTTTGTCTGAAAAATTATCTCCCGTAGTCAGAATTTTTTCTGTTGCTGGAAGGTTTTTGTTACTTGCTGTGCCTGTCCCTCTATAGTCCTGGCTTCTCTACACCCATTCTTAATCCTGGTCATCTCTTGGGAAGAGACAGCTCTCTGGCTTTCCAACTCTAATCATGCCTCTTGTGCTTTAGCTTCATGCATTCCCACCTTACTTCACCACTACCACCCCTCACGGTGCTCAAGCTTTCTGTCTCGGCAAGTTCTTTTTACTGTATACAAATGTTTCATTTTCCTTCTAAAAGCAAGCCAACAAAAAAATGACTCTACCTAATCATATGTCCTTTTGAGCCCTCCGGCCCTTCCTCTTCACAGGTTGGCTTCCTTAAAGACCACTTCGCACCAGTAGTTCTTCCTTGCCTCTCTTCCATGGGCTCTTCCTCTTCCTCTTCCTACTCCTTAATGTGAGTGACATGATGAATCTCTACTTGACCCTTTTCTCTTTCCATATTTTGTATTCAGTGAACAACTCCATCTACAACTGCCTTTAATCAATTCCGACACACTAATAATTCCTACATCTTACCCAAACATGAAACAACTTCCAAATTGTCTATCCAACCATATTCCAGATATCTCATAATCAGCTTAAACTCAGTATGTTCCTCACTGCACATTAATCATCTTGGTTTGCGCTTTTCCAATAGCTCTTCTTTCTCTATTCCCTATTTTACTGAAAGTGGTACTGTGCTAGATTGGACTCTCCTACTTACCTACAGCATGCAATAAGCCCTGTGCTTCTAAATTCCAAGTATTCCTGCTACTAGTCACTTCTCTATAAACTCAGGACCACTATTTTAGTAAGCCTCTTTCACTTTCCCTAGCTTACTGTAATACTGCTAAATGGCTCCTGGTCTACAAGATAAACTCTGTCTAATCCCACATGGCTGTCAGAGAAGTTGCTTTACAGACCAAACTGGGGTCACAGTGCCTCTTCTAACATCCCTCCAGTGGTTCTTAACTATTTCTGAACAAAGGAAAACACTATGGCATGGTGTGCAAAGTCATTCCTAAGCCGGCCCCTGAAGCAGCTCTAGCACCTTCTTTCGCCACTGCCCTCGTGCATCCCCCCAACTCAGTCCTTCCCCAGCACTTGGCCATAGGAGAAAATGCTCCACCTGTCCTCTCCATACTCTTCCCCCTGCATGAAGTGTCTTTCTTTTCCACCTAACTGACTCCTGTTCATTTGTAAAGATTCCTCCTTATCCACTTCAGAAAGTCCTAGTCGGGGTGGAATCTGCATTCTGGGCTAAATGTCTTGCTCAAGGCAATCACCAAACCTGCATATCCTACACCGTAACATTTCACCCACTGCATCCTCAATATTCATTTTCCTACCTGTATCTCTCAATAGAGTGTGCATTCATTAAAGATAAGCACCATGCCTTGCTAAATACAGTTCTAAATAAAAATTGATAAATGGATAAATGAATACTCAAGAAAATCCCGTACTTGTCTCCGTAATTTCTCTAGAAATGACATCTGCTTTTTTCCTTAATAGCCTCTTATTTCATCCCAGATGTCTTCCCCAAACACAGTAACTCCTTCCAAATTCTCCCTTAATTTTTTTGCTCTTTATCACATCCATTCAGCACTTTATCTCATGTTCTGCTCTATCTTATTTATTATTTCATGCTTGTAACTTGTCTCCTCATCTGTACAATAAACTCTGTGTGGAAGAGTTATGATATCTTGAGATGCCTGGCCGGAAATGGACAGATTCTTGTATTAACAAGTTTGAAAACGACTGAAAAGTCAAAGTAAACTAAAAGATGCTTTTCTTTTTATTTTAGTATGAAACAACTGACAAACACCTTTCTCCTGATGGCCAGTATGTCCCCAGGATTATGTTTGTTGGTAAGCGGAAGTGACAGTGAGATAACTCGGAAACACATACTAGTGCTGCCATCCTCCTTCTCTCCTCCCCACTGTCCCTTGCCACGTTGCCATGGCCAATGTCATCACTAAGCTCTAGCAAGGAGCATGACATTCCTTTAAGTTCCGCAACATATTTTCTTTAGAAAATGTGAGCTTTTACCTATTTCCACACAACACTTTCTTTTCTCACATGCTAATTGTAACTTTTCATCTTCTGCTATAATACTTCTGAGAACAAAGCACCCTATTCACTATTTAAACATATTGATAAATTTCCTGAATACGAGAGGCCTGCAAATATTTATTTTTTAATCCAGCAAACTTTCACTTTGTGTGTTAGATTTTTCTGACATTTTTTATCATTATTTTTAAGAAAGTTAGGAATAAGGCTGGGTGGCTCACGCCTGTAATCCTAGCACTTTGGGAGGCCAAGGCCGGCAGATCACTTGAGGTCAGGAGCTCCAAACCAGCCTGGCCAACAAGGTGAAACCCCATCTCTACTAAAAAATACAAAAAAAAAATTAGCCAGGCGTGGTTGCAGGAGCCTGTAATCCCAGCTACCTGGGAGGCTGAGGCACAAGAATTGCTTGAACCCAAGAGGCAGAGGTTGCAGTGAGCCGAGATGGCACCACTGCACTCCAGCCTGGGCAACAGAGCGAGATTCTGTCTCAAAAAAAAAAAAGGAATATGAGGTGGGAAAAAGAAATGAAAGGAGCCACATGCTCCTTCCTGCCACTGGTACTTTTCATATGCTTTCCCCACTTCCTTCTCTGTCCCCCAATTTCACATCATTAACTCCCCAATCATCATTATTCATTGACCGAGTCAAATCCCTACTATGTGCTCTTGTAGTCATACTTTCCTCAGGTATAATTTTGCAGTTTGGGGGTGGTTATGTAATAAATATTTCCCACATTGGACTATAAGCCCCTATGGCAGGGACTGTACCTATTTCTGCTCACCATGATATTCCCAACGTGACCCTGCAGTAGGCTCTCCATCAATATGTGTTTAATTATTGAATGAATGTACTGAGTTTGGCTTTGTTCAAAGTCATACTGATTTAAGGACAATCCATAATGAAATCCATCACTTACAACAATTCATGCTAATCATATGATTCACCTGTGTAATTCATTAAAAGTTTACACTGAATGTACAAAGCAGGGAAAAGAAAAACAAGAAATAGAAAAAAAGGAAGAAGGCTGAACTAAAGCACTAATTTTATAGGTTTAGTTTTGTCAGAATTTAGGACATTTGGAATCCTAACATTAAAAGGGAATTTATAGATGTCTGTTCATACCTTGTACAGGAATTCTTTGTACAGCATCCCTGTGGAAGGGCATTTTAACCCACATTCAATTCCTTCAGTCCTAAGAACCAGCTCCAAGGCAGCTTGCTCTTCTAGCTCCGTAGTAGCCACCCTGACTACATGTTTGAATCACCTGGAGGATTTTAAAGATCAAGTTGCCCAGGCCACACCTCAAACCAATTAAATCAGAATCTCTGGGGGTGGGAGGCAGGCATCCATAGTGTTTACAGCTCTCCAGATGATTCCAATGTGCAGCCAGGTGAGCTGCTAGTTGGGTATTTAAAAAGCCCTTCTTAGGTTAATTTCTTACAAAGATTAGACCGTGTCTTTGTATCCTCTGCACCAAACAGAAGTATAGTTGGTCTTAAATCTGGTGAATAAATGTACATCTGCTTCTTGTAATTTATGTGTCTGGCCTTAGTCCAACATTCTGAAATGACAGATTGCCCACTCCAGTACCAGCGACAGACTTTGCAAACATGCAGATGGTTCTCACATGTCTTCCTTGTCTCATTTTCAGGGCACGTGTCCTAGGTTCTTTCGATTACGTCTCTCAAGGCAAGGTTTCCAGATCTCTCTGTATCCTCACGCTTCCCTTTTGGATGCACCTTAATTTTAAAATACCTCTTTTTCTCATTAATTAGATCACTTCAAGTTAAATACAAAACATGGCAAGATGGATTTAAATTTAGAGGGATATAAGTATACATAAGAGAAGACCAATCTCTACTTTTAAAAATGCAGTTAATTAACAATAAAGTAAAATATAGTGAAGGTACTATATGCTTATTTGAACTTTGCTGTTGTTAAGGACTTGCATTCCTCTATTAACTTTTTTTAAAAAACTCGTTTTGAAAACTAGCATTGGATGTGGGTTTCCAATGATCTAGAAACATGTAAACTACAACATAATCGTTTCAAGAATTTAAAATAATTTTGCAGTAGAGAATGTTAATGTTTTCACCAAAAAAAAAAAAAACACCATGTCACCCCTAAATATATATTATTCTGTTTTCAGGTTGCCATAGATAGAACAGAAGGGTTCATAACCTTTTCCACAAATAGCACTGCACAGCTGTTGATGTTTCCAGCCCTGCATTTGCTACTAACTGCCAGGGGCTGGGTAGTAGAGTGGATGGATCAGAGCTCCTGTGAGTGCAGACACACTCCATTCCCTCACAGGACATGAATACATGAACTTCAGCTCCCCGGGGCAATAAATACAGGTTGTTTGAAAACAAACCATTCCATTCCCTTTTGCTTCATTTATCTTTGCAGACCCATCTCTGACAGTTAGAGCCGATATCACTGGAAGATATTCAAATCGTCTCTATGCTTACGAACCTGCAGATACAGCTCTGTGTAAGTGTGACCTTCAATTCGGATGTTGCCCAAGAGTTGAACACCTCTATTGCTGTAGTGATGGGACTAGAGGCTGCATGGTGAGGTGAGAGAGAGCTAGGCTTAGGGACGCCTCGGACTCAGTTTGACCCTAACTAGCCTTGCATCTTCAGGCAAATCACACTCTTTCCATCTCAGGTTTGTTTGTTTTTAATCTCAATTGAAGATGAATTATTTAGATTAGGTATCTTTTTCTCTAGGAGGATTCTATGACCACATTACCTGATTTTCAGGTTTTCTGTTAGGTACACGAGCACACACTCCTTCTATCACAGAACTGAGTGTAATAATTGTAATAATCTGCATGTCTTAATTTTTTAAATAACAAAAGTGAAAGAATGTGCAGTCCAGCTTAAAATTAAATTCAGGTTCAGTTTAAAGATCAGTTTCAAAGATGATCCAAATGATTGCCAAGAAAATTACCTTCCCTATGGTTGCCATCAATGGAAGAGAGACAGAGAGAGAGAGAGACACTGACTTAAGGCAGATGAGGTACCTCAATGCAACGCTGTAGCTAGCTGTGACATCTGATTAGTCCTCTGGGAAGAAAAGTGGGTTTTATCCTAGGAACCAACTCTGATCAATTAGTAGTGGCTGCCTAGAACTGCACTGTCCAATATGTTAACCATTTGCCACATGTTGCTACTTAAGTTAAAGTTAGAAATTCATTCCTTCAGTCACACTAGCCATATTCCAAGTGCTCAATGCCCGGACACTGAACATTTCCATCATCACAGAAATTTCTATTGGCCAGTGCTGACTTAGAACGTCATGTTGGGAAGAGAAGTGAGGCCGTGTCTAGGAAGCAGGAGAGATCATCATGGTCCATTAGCAATGTTTCCAGTGTGTGCTGGACCAGGGGAAGCACATTCCAAGTACTGTCAGCCATTACTGAGATAATACCATACATTTTAATAAGACTAAGCTCTTAAAAGGCACGTGTCCTACACAAGTAATATCACAATCCCTTGTAGAACAGGCACTTAATAATTAAGATTTGTAGGAAGAGTGAATAAGCGGCTGTTCAATGCCTATCGAGTGGACATCTTATTTTTAGTAGATCACATACCTCATTTTGATGAATTGCTGTTG
The DNA here is from genome assembly GCF_000001405.40 of Homo sapiens. Classification (NCBI taxonomy): domain Eukaryota; kingdom Metazoa; phylum Chordata; class Mammalia; order Primates; family Hominidae; genus Homo; species Homo sapiens. The sequence goes on along the minus strand of NC_000007.14, from coordinate 16,793,804 downwards.
AAGAAACAGTGACCCAGAGTTTGGGCTCTGGAACAGTAGCTCCATTACTTGTTAGCTGTGTGACCTTGAGCAAGCTACTCAGCCTCTCTCTGCCTGTTTCATTATGTATATATAAAGTTCTAATCGTGTTTGTATGAGGATTAAAGAATTCATCTGCATAAAGCACTTGGTTTGCTATTATTTATATTTCCCCTACTTCTAAAACAATTTACACACACCTACTAATAGACATTTCTTTTAAACATGATTTAAATTTACTTCTAAATGAGCCAAAATTATCTTCTGCTGCTAGAGCTTATAAAAGGATTCTTTTGGAAGTGAGGGTTGGAGATGAAGGATCTGGGAAGGAATGACTACACTAGAAAACTAGATTGTCACAAAAGCCATTTCATATAATTTTTTTAAATTACAATAAGATTACCAACTATTCACCTCATGATAAAAAGCATCCTATCAGGCTGGGCACAGTGGCTCACGCCTGTAATCCCAGCACTTTGGGAGGCCGAGGTGTGTGGATCACTTGAGCTCAGGAGTTCGAGACCAGCCTGGCCAGCATACCAAAACCCCATCTCTCCCAAAAATACAAAAATTAGCTGGGCATGGTGGAGCACACCTCTAATCCCAGCTACTCAGGAGGCTAAGGCTGAAGAATCACTTGAACCCAGGAGGCAGAGGTTGCACTGAGTGGAGATTGCACCACTGCATGCCAGCCTGAGTGGGAGTGAGACCTTGTCTCAAAAAAAAAAGCATCCCATTAAATAATGAATTGAGCATCCAAGTTTGGGGTTTATTATATCGATATAACGCACGATGGTGTCTTGACTCTCCTGCTTTTATCCCCCATTAGTGCTTGACAACATGAAGAAAGCTCTCAAGTTGCTGAAGACTGAATTGTAAAGAAAAAAAATCTCCAAGCCCTTCTGTCTGTCAGGCCTTGAGACTTGAAACCAGAAGAAGTGTGAGAAGACTGGCTAGTGTGGAAGCATAGTGAACACACTGATTAGGTTATGGTTTAATGTTACAACAACTATTTTTTAAGAAAAACAAGTTTTAGAAATTTGGTTTCAAGTGTACATGTGTGAAAACAATATTGTATACTACCATAGTGAGCCATGATTTTCTAAAAAAAAAAATAAATGTTTTGGGGGTGTTCTGTTTTCTCCAACTTGGTCTTTCACAGTGGTTCGTTTACCAAATAGGATTAAACACACACAAAATGCTCAAGGAAGGGACAAGACAAAACCAAAACTAGTTCAAATGATGAAGACCAAAGACCAAGTTATCATCTCACCACACCACAGGTTCTCACTAGATGACTGTAAGTAGACACGAGCTTAATCAACAGAAGTATCAAGCCATGTGCTTTAGCATAAAAGAATATTTAGAAAAACATCCCAAGAAAATCACATCACTACCTAGAGTCAACTCTGGCCAGGAACTCTAAGGTACACACTTTCATTTAGTAATTAAATTTTAGTCAGATTTTGCCCAACCTAATGCTCTCAGGGAAAGCCTCTGGCAAGTAGCTTTCTCCTTCAGAGGTCTAATTTAGTAGAAAGGTCATCCAAAGAACATCTGCACTCCTGAACACACCCTGAAGAAATCCTGGGAATTGACCTTGTAATCGATTTGTCTGTCAAGGTCCTAAAGTACTGGAGTGAAATAAATTCAGCCAACATGTGACTAATTGGAAGAAGAGCAAAGGGTGGTGACGTGTTGATGAGGCAGATGGAGATCAGAGGTTACTAGGGTTTAGGAAACGTGAAAGGCTGTGGCATCAGGGTAGGGGAGCATTCTGCCTAACAGAAATTAGAATTGTGTGTTAATGTCTTCACTCTATACTTAATCTCACATTCATTAATATATGGAATTCCTCTACTGCCCAGCCCCTCCTGATTTCTTTGGCCCCTGGACTATGGTGCTGTATATAATGCTTTGCAGTATCTGTTGCTTGTCTTGATTAACTTTTTTGGATAAAACCTTTTTTGAACAGATCTTTTGGCATTATTAATTTTTCCAGGGATATATTTTCAATCTTTTCTATCTCTCCTAGTGACTACTATCATTAGTAGGTGTTGAGCATATACTGCTGATTTAATGACATACAAATCTTCAGCAAAAATATCACAGGTTAATCAGCTCCCTTCTCACAAGTAGATAACTTACATGTGCTGAAAAAGGTAAAACATTCCATTTAAAAAGATCTCTGAGGGATAACAAGAGGAAAAAGAGGTTTCCCTTCCATAAACAAATATTTTAAATGACAAGTTCTAAGTGATTCAAGTTTCTCCTATAGTATAGCAAAATATTTTTTCATTGGGCGGACGTGAAATAAGGTTAACTTCTTAAAATGTATTGAATGGCAAAATATCTTAACACATACAAATACTTTTTAAATATAAATAAATATTTAGGAAATCAAATGTTACAGCTGTAAGGAAAATAAGTCCCCCTTTTAAAAGCATTGAAGAAACACAAAGCATGAGTCATTAATTGACTTTGTCCCATCAGTCTCCTCCACCACTGAGAATTTATCCTAAGGAAATCATTCAACAGAAACAGTTCTGTCAAGATGCCAATGGTAACATTATTTAAACGTACCACAGAAAAGCAACCTCCCAAAAATATAATGGCCACATGGTATATTAAGACAAAATGCAGTTTTTTAATCCTGTCTAGGTGAGTAGTCATAAAAATTCTTCTCTCCCTCCCCCTCCCCCTCCCCCTCCCCCCCCCCCCCCTCTTTCCACGGTCTCCCTCTCCCTCTCCCTCTATTTCCACGGTCTCCCTCTCATGCCGAGCCGAAGCTGGACTGTGCTGCTGCCATCTCGGCTCACTGCAACCTCCCTGCCTGATTCTCCTGCCTCAGCCTGCCCAGTGCCTGCGATTGCAGGCGGGCGCCGCCAGGCCTGACGGGTTTTCGTATTTTTTTGGTGGAGATGGGGTTTCGCTGTGTTGGCCGGGCTGGTCTCCAGCTCCTAACCGCGAGTGATCCGCCAGCCTCGGCCTCCCGAGGTGCCGGGATTGCAGACGGAGTCTCGTTAACTCAGTGCTCAATGGTGCCCAGGCTGGAGTGCAGTGGTGTGATCTCGGCTACAACCTCCACCTCCCAGCCGCCTGCCTTGGCCCCCCAAAGTGCCGAGATTGCAGCCTCTGCCCGGCCGCTACCCCATCTGTGAAGTGAGGTGCGTCTCTGCCTGGCCGCCCATCGTCTGGGATGTGAGGAGCCCCTCTGCCTGGCTGCCCAGTCTGGAAAGTGAGGAGCGTCTCTGCCCGGCCGCCATCCCATCTAGGAAGTGAGGAGCGTCTCTGCCTGGCCGCCATCCCACCTAGGAAGTGAGGAGCGCCTCTTCCCGGCCACCATCCCATCTAGGAAGTGAGGAGCTTCTCTGCCCGGCTGCCCATCGTCTGAGATGTGGGGAGCGCCTCTGCCCCGCCGCCCCGTCTGGGAGGTGAGGAGCGTCTCTGCCCAGCCGCCCCGTCTGAGAAGTGAGGAGACCCTCCGCCTGGCAACCGCCCCATCTGAGAAGTGAGGAGCCCCTCCGCCCGGCTGCCACACCGTCTGGGAAGTGAGGAGCGTCTCCGCCCGGCAGCCGCCCCGTCCGGGAGGGAGGTGGGGGGTCAGCCCCCCACCCGGCCAGCCACCCCGTCCGGGAGGTGAGGGGCGCCTCTGCCCGGCCGCCCCTACTGGGAAGTGAGGAGCCCCTCTGCCCGGCCAGCCGCCCCGTCCGGAAGGGAGGTGGGGGAGTCAGCCCCCCGCCCGGCCAGCCGCCCCGTCCGGGAGGGAGGTGGGGGGGTCAGCCCCCCGCCCGGCCAGCCGCCCCGTCCTGGAGGGAGGTGGGGGGGTCAGCCCCCTGCCCGGCCAGCCGCCCCATCCGGGAGGTGAGGGGCGCCTCGGCCCGGCAGCCCCTACTGGGAAGTGAGGAGCCCCTCTGCCCGGCCAGCCGCCCCGTCCGGGAGGGAGGTGGGGGGGTCAGCCCCCCGCCCGGCCAGCGGCTCCGTCCGGGAGGGAGGTGGGGGGGGTCAGCCCCCCGCCAGGCGAGACGCCCCATCCGGGAGGGAGGTGGGGGGTCAGCCCCCTGCCCGGCTAGCTGCTCCGCCGGGAGGGAGGTGGGGGGCTCAGCCCCCTGCCCGGCCAGCCGCCCCATCCGGGAGGTGAGGGGCGCCTCTGCCCGGCCGCCCCTACTGGGAAGTGAGGAGCCCCTCTGCCCGGCCACCACCCCGTCTGGGAGGTGTACCCAACAGCTCATTGAGAACGGGCCATGATGACAATGGCGGTTTTGTGGAATAGAAAAGGGGGAAAGGTGGGGAAAAGATTGAGAAATCGGATGGTTGCTGTGTCTGTGTAGAAAGAAGTAGACATGGGAGACTTTTCATTTTGTTCTGTACTAAGAAAAATTCTTCTGCCTTGGGATCCTGTTGATCTATGACCTTACCCCCAACCCTGTGCTCTCTGAAACATGTGCTGTGTCCACTCAGGGTTAAATGGATTAAGGGCGGTGCAAGATGTGCTTTGTTAAACAGATGCTTGAAGGCAGCATGCTCGTTAAGAGTCATCACCATTCCCTAATCTCAAGTACCCAGGGACACACACACTCTGCCTAGGAAAACCAGAGACCTTTGTTCACTTGTTTATCTGCTGACCTTCCCTCCACTATTGTCCTATGACCCTGCCAAATCCCCCTCTGCGAGAAACACCCAAGAATGATCAATAAAAAAAAATAAATTAAAAAAAAAAAAAGACAAAATGCACTATGTTGTCATCCATAAAAATAATAAACATAATGGCAAAACAGAAAAGGCCTAAGTAAAAAAGAATTTAAGACCTTCTATGCTATAATTGCAACTACAGGAAATGTGTACATACAAGGTTAAAAACAGAATTGAGGTCAATCGTGGTGGCTCATGCCTGTAATCCCAGCACTTTGGGAGGCGTATCGCTTGAGCCCAGAAGTCCGAGACCAGCCTGGCCAACATGGAGAAACCCCGACTCTACTTGAAATACAAAAAAATTAGCCGGGCACAGTGGCCCATGCCTGTAATCCCAGCTACTCGGGAGGCTGGGGCATGAGAAACCAAGGGAGGCGGAAGTTGCAGTGAGCTGAGACCATACCACTGCAATCCACCCTGGGTGACAAAGAGAGGCTCTGTCTCCAAAAAAAAAAAAAAATAGAAGATACAAACATGGTTGTTCTAAACTCATTGAAATATTAGCAATGTCTGTTCTTTCTACCAAATCCCTCTTCTGTCATCTCACAATCTATCATTTGCATTTAAATAAATTTCAAGTGAAAGTATATCTTGACTACTTCTCTGACTACAGAGAAGTAGAAGAGTACTAGAAGACTGAAGAGTGCTATTTCAAACAGCCAAATAAAAATGTTAATAACATAGTGGGAATATAAAATGGTGCAGCCATTTTTGTTTTGTGGAAAACAATATGGTGGTCTCTCAAAAAATTAAATACAGAACTACCATCCAACCCAGTAATTCCACTCTTGGGTATATGCTTATGAACTAAAAGCAGGGAACAGATATTTATACACCCACGCTCATAGCATTATCCACAATAGCTAAAAGGTGGAAGCAACTCAAGTGTCCATCAATGGATGAATGAACAAACAAAATGTGACATATACATACAATGAAATATTATCCAATCTTGAAGAAAATTCATGGCTGGGCGCAGTGGCTCACGCCTGTAATCCCAGCATTTTGGGAGGTGGAGGTGGGAGAACTGCTTGAGCCCGGGAGTTCAAGACCAGCCTGTCCAACATACCAAGACCCCATGTCAATGGAAAAAAAGAAGAAGAAAGTTCTGGCATATGTAACAACGTGGATGAACCTTGAGGACATTATGCTCAGTAAATAAGCCAGTCACGAAAGGACAGCTACTATACAATTTCACCCATATGGGGTACCCAGAATCGTTTTCATATAGAAAGTGGAGTGCAGGTTGCCAGGGGAAGAGGGGAATGAGGAGTTATTGCTTAATGGGTACAGAAGATTAAACGTTATGGAAATGCATGGTGGTGATGGTTGCATAACAATATGAATGTACTTACTGCCACTGAACTACAAGCTTATGAATGGTTAAAATGATAGCTTTTATGCTATATGTATTTACCACAATAACAAAAATTTCAGTTTTATCTGAGATTCAATAGCTTAGGGAGAAAAAAACAGGAATTAACTGTTAAAAAAATGTAGCTAACATAAATCATCTGTAAACGTCATTTACACAGACGGTCAACATGCCTAATTAAACCATTTTTACCAATTTCGGAACAACAGTCTTCTTCAAGTGATCTTCCATGACTGTCTAAATCTGTTTTCTTTCTTTCTTGAATTCAGCAATTCTAAGTAGTCTACTGAGAACCCTCTAACTAGCAATCACTGATAAGAATACCAGTCAGGAGAAAAATCATTAAAAGCTCTAAGGCAAGAATAGAACTTCCTTCAGTTCAAGGACCTTGACTTCAAAGTCCAAGTCAAGTCAGCTTAACCTATTAAAAGGCTACTTGTCAAGTTATGACTCCCTGATCTATGAAAAGCAAGATCCTAAAAGTAGGCAAAGTGGTTTCACCCCCCAAGTGATGTCAAAGTCCATTCTTTGACATATATTTTAACTCACAGGCCTCAAATCCTCATTTGAAAATGAATTCCAAAAGCTGGTTTTCCTAAGGAGAGTGATGAGAATTGGCCTGCCACATGGCAGAGTTTGATTTTCCCCTTTCTCATATTTTCAAGAGGTATTTCAATGACTACAATTGCTCAGTTATGACATTTAAGAAAAACATCCACATGACAAGCCCCGTTCCCTTCTCTCCCTCTCCTCTTCTCGTGGAGTGGAGGTGTTGGGGAAAGGGTGGATTGCACTCTTAAATTTATTTAGAACACATTCACTAACACATATTGTAATTTCATTTGGCACAGAAAGCCTGGTCTAAAAATTATTTTAGTCCAAAACGTACCAAATACAGAACAAAACTTTACACCAATCCCTTCACTTATCCAGAACCCTGGAAAAGCTGGTTTTTAACTTTATTGTCATCTCTAATAAAACAATTCACACATGAATGATCATGTCTGTACAACCACAGTGACTAAAAGTGTTTTTCTCCTATGAAATACTATGGAAAAATTTGATTCTAACTTTTTTAGTACCAGCTAAAAATTGAAACAGTTTGACGTATTTAGTGTATTTGCAAAATAATGAATAAACTTTAACAGAGTTAAACAAATATTTAGAAAAATTGTAGGAGGAGGTTTTGGCTCAAGGAAACGAAGAACTAAAAGCCACACTTCTGGTTTCCTTTCCTTCTATGAAAGGTTCCATTCAGCAGCATGTAACTTAGGTTGAACATGCGAAACTGGTTTTCATACCAAACACATTGTTGCTTAGATAACAGAGTATCTGAGATGAATTTAAGCTACAACAAGCTCAGATTTTAGAAATTATAGCTGAACTCTTTCTTCCTTTGTATTAGTATTATATTCTCTATATAAAATTTAACCCTTAACATCAAGGCTGACCGGGCAAATGTGCCAAAAAACATTCCTATAAATGGAATGTGCAAATAGAGAAGAGATTTTTTTAAGCAGCACAGTTCCTTTTTAAAGAAATGCTAGGTTTGGGAAGAAAGGACATCTAGGGTCTACCCTGATCTGAAACTCATCCTCCTCTGACACTACGTGTTTATGGCAGCATTTCTGTGCCCTTGGGCAGTGGCCCTCTCTAATCCTGGGATCAGGATGACCTTTGCAGGATCATAGCAGGGCCATCTGGGATTCAGGACTGACTTATTCAGAGGGTTTTCCACTAAATATGCACCCCGACACAAAGATCCCAGGAAGCATCACAGAAGGTGTTAGGTAATCTATCACCTTCAGATCTGCCAGAGAAAACAGAAAGCCCAGACTCATTTGACAAGGACAACCTTGGTGCTTGAAAATGTGTATTTCTTGAGTGGCTAACTGTCATTACCCACTCTTATAATCCCATAGTTTAGTAGTCCTAAATATTCATACTTCCCAGACCCTGGCTTTCTTTTTCATTAACTTATTTTACTAAAATCTTAACATCTTAGATATCTTTACATTTTGTTTTATTTAATATTTAGATATACATGTTTTTCTTAGCCATAATGATTTAAAATCCTAATTTAATGAACTCAATTTCATGAAGCCTTGAGCACGATTAAATGCATTTTGTCAGCACCAGGCTACTTTCAAAAATGTGTTTAGACTTCTCACCCTGACAGCTGTTCTCTTTGCACTTTGCTTTTTAAGTAACACACTTGAGGAAGGCTGACATCAGTCAATCTATATTTGAACAGAAGAAGAGACCTTCCTTTGTTAGAATTTCCAGGATGCATCATTTAACTTCAGCATGAAGCATACTGTGTTGACCCAAATAAGGGCACTGCAATTAGAGCACAAACCAAGGTAAGGGCTGATTCTCTATGGAATAGCCTTTCCACATATAATCATTTGTACCAAGGAAAGTATTACATTAGGAGATTCCAGGGCCTTATAATAATTTCAAAATGTAACAAAACAAACATGGAAAATGCCAAATGCCTTAAAGGAAGACAGAATTTTAAAACTTCCCACCTCGATGGCAGGTTAATAGGTGCAGCAAACCCCCATGGCACATGTGTACCTGTGTAACAACAACCTGCACATTCTGCATTTGTATCACAGAACTTAAAGTATAATAATAAAAAATAATAATAAAATCTCCCTTCATATGTCACTTATAATCCCATCTTATGGTATAAGTGGGGACACTGTTAGGGCTACCCCAGAGCTCATAGGACATTGTGAAAATGGCACAATTCTGTTTCCTTGGAAAATTAGCTAGTGTTGCAAAGTCACGGAAGTGACAAACCTACAAAATGCTCTAAAACTCTACAGATCAACCATTTACCCTCTCTCGGTCTAAAAACCTAGTAAGACAATAAAATACCACATGCTACCTAGAATGTAAAACAAGAAATTAATAATTTTTCGTAATGGGAAAGAACGTATATATTTTTCCCAAATAAATATTAATGGCTTCTCTTTTTAGAAAAACTTTTTCTCACCATGGAGATAATATTAGCCACTGAAACATTTCAAGAAAGGATTTGAGGATGACTACCAATAGACATTAATGCTGGAAATTTATTTCCACAGCTTGATTATACACTAAAATAGCAATACCCAGCTCTAAGTCCAACAGAGAGAAGCTAAAGCAGAAAGAAAAGAATTCCACCTCACTTAATTCATCGATCAATTCTTCCATTACTTTCTTTTAATTCAAACATGCATACACAAAGAAAGGTTTCTGTCCTTTAATTTTTTAACAGAATATACAGAGCCACACAATACGATTTCAATTTCAAATTATGGGAGATCATATTCAAATATGCTTAGGTTTGACAAGTTGCTGTTACAATACTGAGAAATTTCATGAAAACGGTATTTAACAATTTTTAAGATAATCAAATATCTTTTTGCTACGTGGGCCAACGCATTAATACTAACTTGTTTAAAAATGCAGTCTTTTAGACTTCAAATTATTATAAAACAATATCAAGATCATATAGATATACTTCCTGATTACTCAAAACTCGTTCCATTCTGATGGAGGCTGAAGGTAAATGTTATTATACATTAGAACATTTCATGAAACCACTTCTCCTTTGCACTTACCTGTAAAAGTCAAAAATTAAACCACAATTTCCTAAGACATAACTATTTCTAGAATACATTGGTGTAATCATAAAAGACTACAAGTAAATTATCATTTTTATACTAACACTTTTTACCACAACAATCTTTCCTAAAAAGACCAAAAAAAATTGGGAATTTGGATTTCCCTTAACATAACAGGATCTCATACTTTCTGATTTTAATAAATTTCCACTCTTTTTCCAGTAGGAACTATCTACACAGCACAGTGCTACATATAATTATACCAGTGAGATGTACGTTCAGATTCACCATATAACCAACACAGTGGTACCATACAAAGTTTTTCTGCAGGTAAAAATGCTAAGAAAGGCCACAGTGGACAGTGCCCGACAATGAATACAGTAAATTCCAGGTGCCACCGAGCTTCAGAGACCACAAGTTTCAAATATTTTTCAGCAACGGAAAGAAAAAAACATGTAGAGAAACATAGAGTAAAAATATATAATTCCACTATCAATAAGGTACTTTTCCAGATAGTGTTTCCTTCCTTAAACTGGCAAATGGAGCTTAACAGAAAATTACAGAAAGTGAACAAGATCATAATACGAAAGGAAATCTTCCTTGTTTTCTCATCAAAGGAATGCACTAGGATTCGCGCGGGGGTCTTTCTGGTTCCTGTATCTGTAGGTCAGCCAAACACCCAGGATCTGGAATGGGGAAAAAAAAATAAAGTAAAGAAAAAGAAAGTAACATTTATGTATATTTATTCAGTTGATCAATAAAATAACTTTGGACCCTCTCAATCGCTTTGCATCTTTTGTTCAACGGGGAGAGATTTTTTTTCTTTTTGAAATGAAGTAAACCAAATGACGGGCGCTGAGAAAAAATTAAAACGAACACTGTGGTAAACTGAATGACTGGCCCTGAAGGATGTCCATGTCCTAACCCCTACGACCTGCAAATATGTTACCTTACACAGTAACAGGGACTTTGCGGGTGTGGTTAAGGGTCTCAAGATAAAGAGATTATTACCCAGGTGGGCTCAATGATATAATCACAGGGGGACACATATGACGGAGGCAGGAAGGACAGAGTCAGAAACATGGAGAGAAGACACCGTGATGGCAGAAGTAAAGGGAAATAGAAAGAGAAGCTGCAACTCTCCTAGCTTTGAAGATGTAAAAGGAGGGCTGGTGAGCCTGGCCTCCAGAAGGTACCTTTATTTTAAACTTTTGATCTCCAAAACTGTAAGACAATAAGTTTGTGTTGTGTTAAGCAACTATGTGTGTGGTAACCTGTTACAGCAGAAATATGGAAAACTAATACAAAGTCAAAGTAGTCTAAATAGCTAAAATAGCATATATTTTGATAATTCAGGAATAAACTAAGTTCAGTAAAATTTAAGTAACAGCAAAAAATCTTAAAATGAATAAATTTTCCAACACAGAAATTTAAAATGTTATAATTCCTACCTCTCTTGGTAGGAAGAGATGAAGCTGTTACTGTGCCATTTCCCGCACCAAGTTCGCTAAATTGTTAGCCAGTATAGTTTTTTAAATTAAGAAATGTGTGCTCTGTTTCTGTTTCAAAGTTGGTTTATTTTAAATAAATGAAAATTGTAACTCTTTAGGCTAAAAAAGATACAAAATTTTAATAGAATAAAATGAGTTTTAAACTGTATCTCCCACTTTATACGTGTGCCAACTTTTAACCTAAATTTTGTTTATGTGACTTTGTAGCCACCATTAGCCCTTTTAAACTACTTCTAGAGAGTTAGGTAAGTCCCAGATTCTCTCCACTGACCACAATAAGAATCCACAAATTACTGTAAGATTCATAACTGGCAGTGTTTATAGCTGGTGGACTGAGGTCTGCAGGTTGAATCAAGGAAAGGTAAGCCTGATTTGAAGATGTGGAAAGTCATCTGTTTTGGAATCCATCTAATGGGGAAAAAGAAATGTATTTAACAAACATAACAAAGAGTTCTTTATGAAAGGTACCATTCTACAAACTACAAATTCATATAATCCCCCCAATAGCTTTCACAAAATAGATACTATCAATATCGTCATTTTACCAGTGAGGAAACTGAGGCAACAAGAGGTTAAACAAAATAATCACACAGGTCCTCAGTGGTAGAGCCCATGTTCAAACCTGGAGCCCATAAACTACCCCACTTTTGTGGTTTTATTCGGTAATCTGACATGTCACTGGCTGTTCTCAGCCACACTAGCTGTTACAACACGGAAATACTTACATATCTGTAGTTAAACAACTATTTCTTTGAGTCCCCCCGCCCCACCTCAACCTGCCCAAATATCACTTGCCAAAGCTCCCCACCTTGGAAATTTTCAGCACAGGGAGCTTCTGGTCAGAATTTTTGAGGATGTTAACATTTTGACTATCACCCCTGGATATATGCTGAGAGGGTAAATCACAGTCCTTGGGGGAAGAAAGCAATCAAACAAACTAAATACTCATAATCCGGAGCCACATTTTACCAGAATTGTATTCCTCCAACTTGGCTATAAGCGCCAAAAGGGGAAAATCTCTCCCCTTCCTTGCCCGACTGTTCAGAGAGGGATAGAAAGGAAGGCTACATCCAAAATGCAAAAAGATCAAAACTGGATAATTATTGAACTTCAAGCTTACAAAAGTGCTCATGATTAAGAGGGCACTTTTCAAAGGTAACTTTGATTAGATGTCATCAACTCTGCGGTCTCTAGAACCTACACTCAGTGTGCAGTAGGTCACCAAAATATATTGCTCATAACATGAAAATGTATGTAGAAAAATAAAGTACATGTAGAATATGCAATAAGCTGGTACTCATTTTACTAAATATAGAACGGGCAGAAGGAAATATGCCACAATATAAATGATTGTTTCTGAGTAGGTAATTTTAGTAGCTACGTCTAATTTTTCATCTTCATAATTTTTTGTAGTTTCTCAAGTTACTACAAAGAACATATATTAATCATAGCTTTTTTCAGATTCTAAATCAATGTTTCTCTCATGGTTTAGGTTTGTTTAAAGGTATAATAAATAGTTCAAATCAAATCTTTCTATTTCACCTATGAGAAGAAGTTGTCAGCTAAGTAACTGCATCCCTTCAAATTCTGAGAATCTGTGATTCTGTGAATATTGAGCAAAATATAAACTTAAAAAGTGAGAGCCTACCACTATCACTATCTAAAAAACCAGGTTGCATAAGTTATAAAAATCTCTAGCCAGATTTCCAAAGGAGACAGTATGTAAGATATAAAGCAGGATTCCATGAAAGAACACTTTAGAAATCTAAGACTCATGAGTTCTATTTTTAAAGAACTCCTACTTAAAAAATAGCATAACTGAAGGCAGTGTGATCTGATGACAAGAAAACTGGGCTGCTCAAAAGAACTAAATTCTCAAAATAAATTCCAGATATAAAAAAGAAGCCACGTGGCAAAATTCTGATAACTGCTGACTCTAGCTGATGTGTAGAGAGAAATTACTCCAGTTTTTCTCTATCTGTATTTTTAAGTTTTCATAACAAAAATCTATGGTTTTTAAACAAAAGAAGAGAGAAATGCACAGAATTCTTGTCAAGCTGTATATCATTTTTCTAGAATTAATGTCACAACCAACTCACAAGTCAGATAGCTCTTTTCTGAGAAACAGTGAAATGAAAAAATGGTCAGACTAAAGAGGGAAGTCAGAAGGAACTTTAAAAAAATGAATATTGGGCCAGGTGCAATGACTCACACCTGTAACCCCAGCACTTTGTGAGGTTGAGGTTGGCAGATCACTTGAGGCCAGGGGTTCCAGACCAGCCTGGCCAACATGGTGAAACCCTGTCTCTACTAAAAATACAAAAATTAGCTGGGTGTAGTGGTGCATGCCTGTAACCCCAGCTACTCGGGAGGCTGAGGTGGGAGAATCGCTTGAACCCAAGAGGTGGAGCTTGCAGTAAGCCGAGATTGCACCACTACACTCCAGCCTAAGCAACAGAGCAAGACTCTGTCTCAAAATAAATAAATAAAATAAATAAATAAAAATAAAAAATGAATACTAGGCCAGGCACGGTGGCTCATGCCTGTAATCCCAGCACTTTGGGAGGCCGAGGTGGGCAGATCACGAGGTCAGGAGATCCAGACCGTCCTGGCTAACATGGTGAAACCCCGTCTCTACTAAAAATACAAAAAATTAGCTGGGCGTGGTGGCGGGCGCCTGTAGTCCCAGCTACTCAGGAGGCTGAGACAGGAGAATAGCGTGAACCCGGGAGGCGGAGCTTGCAGTGAGCCAAGATTGTGCCACTGCACTCCAGCCTGGGTGACAGAGCAAGACTCCATCTCAAAAAAAAAAAAAGAATATTAATCTTGGTCTTTTTTTTTCCTATGCTGTTAATGACAGCCAAATGTACATATTTCATTCTTGATGAGAAAAAAAGAAACTGAACTTGAATAAAATATATGATAAATACACATACATAAATATTGTACTATATATTAATTGCATATTATACACAATACATTATACACATATAGACATTATGCATAGGTTTTAGAAGGCTAGGAACAGGGGAATGAAAAATGGTGTAGGAAGGCAATTTTTCAAGATATATATAAAAAGATATATAATCTTTTTATATATGTATGTCTGTGTATTATAGACATTAACATACATATTAAACAATGTGAATGTCCTACCTTTTCCAAATTAAATTTAAAATTATAATTCATCACACAACTGTAGAAATAGAAGAGACCCTAGAGATAATTCAATCTAATCTCACTCATTAGTTCATTAAATTTTACATAAGAAGAGACAGATCAAGCCTTTCACCCGGTCCTAAAGTTGGTGCTATTAATAGACTTGTAAGATCTTCTGATTCTAAACCAAGTTTCCTCTTTTTACAGTGCTAGTTCTCAATGAAAATGCTCACTGATAACAAGAATCAAGGCCCTTTGTCATGCAAAACAGGAATCTCTGTGACAAAGGAGGAAAAATATTGTTATTTGCACATACCTCTGTAAAACTGAAGAACAGGCCAATGCCACCAACAAATCTCAAAACCTCTCCAGCATATTCTCCTATGATTGGAGCACATGGCGAGCACGAGTGGTCACTTTTAACACAGCTCTGCACCAATTAAAGTAAAAAAACCTTTATTTCAAAATACATTTATAAAAAGCCCATAAAAACTGCATACACACAAAATTAGTGTCTAAGAGTATTATATCCAATTTGAGGCCTTGGTTTTTTAGTGTGCAAATCTCTAACACAGCCCCCAAGACTCCCACCCTCCCCTCTCAATGGTGTACACACCCTATACAATCACTGCTCTTGAGTATGCGTGGAACTTGTGAATATGATAGGACAGTCACTTCCATGTTACCTTACATCAGATAAGACTCCATTACGCATTACAAAAGACTCCATCTTAACAGAATGGAGAGATTCTCACAGTGACTTTGATGCTGCCACATTGTGAAAGAGTAACATAGGACCTGAGAGCAGCTTCTAGTTGCAGAGAGAGACCTCCAGCCAACAGGCAGCAAAAAAACAGGGGTGGTCCCACAGCCACAAAGACTGAATTCTTCCAACAACCACTGAGCGTGGGGAGAGGACCCCAAGCTTCAGATGAGGCTGCAGCCTCAGATGACACCTTGATTTCAGCCAGGTGAG
Organism: Homo sapiens; assembly: GCF_000001405.40. Classification (NCBI taxonomy): domain Eukaryota; kingdom Metazoa; phylum Chordata; class Mammalia; order Primates; family Hominidae; genus Homo; species Homo sapiens. The sequence continues at coordinate 16,778,456 of NC_000007.14, read as the reverse complement.
CAAAGGACCCAGCCAAGCCTGACCCAGGGAAACTGTGAGATAATAAATGGGTATTTAAAGCCACTAAATGGATATTTAAAGCCAGTGTGTTTCTATTGCTGTGTAATAATGTGTTACGCAGCAACAGAAACATAACACAGACCCCCTACAAGGAGATAATCTCACAAAAGAAGCCTCACTGAGGAAATATTCAGCTTAGGGCTCAGAGATGTGATAACAGGAGTTTCCCCAAAATATGAACACATGAACTGACGTACTATTATTTCTTTCACAACTTGTTCTAGGAAGAGAAGGATGGGAAGAAATTAGGGACAATAAACCATTAGCATCTGTGTCCAATAGGGCCTTGAAATTCTCAACACTCTCTGGAGTGGGTATTTGAGAACAGGCAAATGATATAACAGAGGACATGGAAATATAATGTAAATATATACATAAAATAATCCTGAAAATACAATTCAGCATCAGAAAGTCCATTTCTTCCACATTAATCATTATTTATCTGTAATACATTTCCAAAAACATATATTATACAATGTACTTACAGCCAGACAGGTGTCATTTGGGTTAACACTTCGGAACCCACAGCAGTTTAGATTTCTCTGGATGTCATTTCGAGCACTTGCCGTATTGTTCCAACCAACCTCCAGAAGCTGACCCTAGTAAATGTGTTTAATATATAAAATGTGTCATCCCTGCAGAAAATGTATAAAGCTGGAGCCTGTAACTTTTAGTACTAAGTGTACCTAAAATAATTTTTATTTTAAAAATCCTTAAAACTTTTCAAAGGCTTATTCCTCAGTTTGCAGCAAAAATTAAGGCACTATTTCTATCCCAAGATTGAAAAACTCCTAATTTTTTACATGCATTTAAAAGAATTTACATGCAATTTAAAAGAAGCACTTGGTTCAAAGGCATAATTCTCGGAGTGTTAACAAGGCAAAAGTTCTGTTGCTCCATGACAGAAACCTGGATTTGTCTACGAATTAGAGCTTGAAAACAGTCATTGCTAGACTGGAACCACAAGCATTCTGGAGCAAATGTTTCATTGCATAATAGTGGGAAAAGATTGGGGGAACATCTTTTAGCCATAGCACTTTTTAACCCAGTGAAAGCAAAATCCGATTTAAAAGATACCGAAAATGGCAACACCTGATGGTGTCCGGCTCCAACCTGCTGCACTAATGCAAAGGGAACAAGAGAGTTTTGCTATCCAGAGTGAAGGTGGCATTCTGTGCAAGACGAAATTATTTTATATTCTAATCATTACCCTCCTTTTTTTCATACTCATGCTATGTGGTATAATAAAGTAGAAGAAAAAAGTCTTAGCTTACCTGTTGCTCCTGGTTCAGGGCTAAACAAGCGCAAGATACAGAAAACTGAACAATAAATACAAGTAACAGAATAATCATATACTGAGAGTTAGAAGTTAAGGATACTTCTAAATATTCTTAGAATGGCATAAAACAGAGGTACAGAGGTACTGACAACTTTAGAATGCACAAGAAGTAATTAACCCAGAATACAGAACAGATGGCACTTAGAGAAAGTTCAAAAAGGATACACATATTATTATTTTGGTAATACATAGTTGCATCAAATTTATAAAGAAAAATATTAGTCATAATTACATAACTAAAACTAGATTAGAATTTCATTCAGAATAAAATAAAAATTCTTACATTTACAAAACAGACATAGGTATAGATAAATACATGTAAGCTTTTTTAATATTAAGTCTAAAAAAAACACTGAAATTCTCAACCAAACATTAATGTGTAAAAAAGGGCCTAGAAGTCACCAAATCAATTCAATTTAACTCTGAATTTACAATACATAAATAGGACTACACTGAACTTGCAGAATATATTCTTCAGGGTGTCACAAGGACAGGGTGAGAATATGAAAACGTACAATAACATTACCCTAAGAAATGTTTCTAATAGTTCTTGAACAAATATGCATAAGGCTTGCTTGGAGTTGCTTTCTGGCAATAAATTTCCTAGTGATAATATTAAATTAGTTGTAACCATCAAAATAGTCATCAAGAGTAAAATCTTGATTTTTAAAAAGGATACAAAAAATAGCAACACCTGATGATGTTTTACAGCTCCAATCAGACCCACTAAAGCAATCAGGAACAAGAAGATGCCCACTGCAATGACCACGCCGACCACTCGGAGACTGGAAATCAGCCCGAAGCCAATGCCCCACGCAGCAATTCCAATTAGCAGCAGACTAACCAACTGCAAAAACACCCAGGGGGCAGGGGTAGAGGACGAGAGAGAGGAGAGAGAATGGGGAAAATGCCAGTTAATTAAATATCAACAATATCCTTCAGGCACCTACGTAGTCTCTTACAAATAAGCACTAAAACTTAATACAAGAATACACACAAGATCTCAATAGGCAGTATTGTTTTAACAAATTACATTAATCCCCAGGCGTGCTTTATTCTTGCAAAAGAAAAAAAAAGACTGATAATACGCAAAATTCTCACAGAGCCTCAGAAGTCATCTGTTTACTAAGAGCCTAAATGCATGCTACTGAAGATTTTGAAGAAATCACATACACAAAAACTTCCAGATGCCAAGCTCGGTCCAACATATTGATCTCTTCAAATGGACATCACCTATCTTTCCTTCAAAGCCCAAATGCACTGTAATTTTCTCTGGGAAGCCCTCCTAGTCCCCAGCTGACTAAAGAAATCCCTCCGTTGTCGGGCCGATCTCTGTTACTGGAACACGGTTCTCTTGTTCCCTTCATCACACATTGTGTTTCCAAGCTTGTCTCTCCAGAAGACTGGCAGCAACTTGAGAGTAAGGACCCACATCTTTTCACCTGGCTATACAGCCCCAGAATCTATCACAAGACCGGGTCCCTGGGGAATACTCAAAAACTGCTCATAGAATTGCTGCTGAAATTAACTGCTTTAAATGTCATCATCTATTTTATTAAAAATCATATATAGAGAGATCATTAAAACTTTTAGCAGAATAAAAAGAATGTAAGAGACTTTAGCTATTTAAAGTGAACTAGTATTCTGAGCAAAAAGAAATTCTTTGATATGCCAATTGTTTTATTCATATATTTATAAAACAACACTGGTTGAAGAACACATGCCTAGTGGTTATGACCTGTAAAAGTCAAAATGATATTACTTCTTTAAAATCCCACTTAAAAATAGTATGCCACATAAAGATGGTAATTCACTTATAGAAGATGAAGCTTACATAGGTATTAGGGGAGGAGTGGGGGACAGGTTGTTGAACAGGAAGGAAACAGTATCTTCAATCATGAGTCAACCATTGCCTGGAGCAATCTGACAGCATAATACCCAATTAGGAAAAATCAAAACATAAAAAAATATATTTTCTAGCACCATTTAAAAGCCTGATAAACTTTGCTTAGAAATATAAAAATAAATTACCACTTACTCAAATGCATCTTTTTCTGCTCAAATGTGTAAATTTTCGTATGTAATACAATAGTTTGTCAGGCAAATTTTACATCTACTGGTACAGTAAACCTTACATATGTAGAGATACAAGCAAAACTGCTACATGAGTGTCTATTTGTACTCATAGAAAATATTTTTTTGTATTTTTTTGCCAAAGAGACAAAACTTGAGAATAAAAGGAACCATCTATAGCATAATATAATCAAATTAGAGAGTTATATGAACTTGGTGGGCTCCACTGCAGCTGGTACACCCAGCAAGCTTTTCTTTTCAGAGGGACAAGGAGAGGCAAAAATTTTCACAAATTTTGCCACTCAGAAATTCGTCTAGTCCTTCTCATTTTCCCAACTGCTCCTTATCAGTAGGCCCATTTGCCTCTGTTTCATTTTATCATACTCACTGACAGTCTTCTCACAACTTCAAACAGTCTTGGACTGAGAAAAAGTCCTCTGCCCCTTCACAAGTGAGCTTATTTCTGACTCTGTGGTATTCAAATTTAACACATTTCCCTTCAGGAGCTGTAAAAGACAGAAGCCTGAAGGAGGTGCGAAGGAAGAAGGAGTGCTGGATGATGCGTGGCAGGAGGGCTATGCTTAGCATCCTTGCTGCATCATGGTACCAAACGCTGAAGATGGGCCACATGTGCAAGACATCAGAGCAGCTTGCTGTACTTCTGTTTCCAGAGAAACAGAACCAATAGGAAATACATCTATATCTACATCTATCTATCTATTGAGTGAAAATCCAACAGTGAAACAGAGACAGAGAGATTTTAAAGAATTGGCTCACATGATTGTCGTGACTGGCAAGTCAGAAATTTGTAGAGCTGGCCAGCAGGCTGGAAACTCAAGCAGAATTCCTTCTTCCTCAGAAAACCTTAATCTTTGTTCTTAAGGTCTTCAACTGATGGGATAAGGCCCACTCACATGATGGAAGGTAATAGGATTTAAAGTCAACTGATTGTAAATGTTAGTCACATCTACAAATATTTTTGCGGCAACATCTAGACTAGTGCTTGACCAAACAACTGGGCACCACAGCCTAGCCAAGTTCACATATAAAATCAACCATCACATTTGCCAACACCCAAGTCCTGGGTGTGATGCATATATCCTAATTCAGTTAAATTCACCAGAAGAATTACATTGTATCTTTTAAGTCTTAGAGCCAAAAAAGATAAGAAGCATGAATAAGAGTATTACTAATAAAATTCTTCTAACCCCATAGTTCTTTAAGATCTTTAAAAGATTCTTTAAATCCTTTTGGGAATTATACTACATCCTTACTATATTACTGAAATCCTTAAATATGAGAATATTAAAAGTTACACCTGCTTAAATAGTAAATTAAAAGTTAATTATTCACCGACAAGTACTTGATGCTATGTGCTAAAAGCCAGAGACAAGACATCCCTATTAGAACAGGGCTTGGCAAACTTTCTCTGCAAACGGCCAGATATTTATTATCAGGCTTTGCAGATCACATGGTCTCTGCCACAACTACCCAACTCTGCCCCTGTACACAAAAGCAGTGACAGACAATATGTAAACAAATGAGCAGGCAGGGCTGTGTTCCAATAACTATTTATACATACCAAAATTTGAATTCATATAATTTTAATGCATCACAAAATATCATTCCTCCTTTTTTTTTTTTTTTAACATTCAAAAATGTGAAACCATTCTAAGTTAGCAGGCTGTACAAAAATAGTCAATGAGATGGATCTGGCTGTGGGCTGTAGTTTTCGGACCCCTGCTCTAGAAGTCGGTATAGAAGAGAATGAAAAATTACAATAGGACAAATAATCAAATAATTGCTAACCGCCCCCCCCCAAGATTTTTTATAAGGCGAGTAAGAGTATAGAACAATAATCTCCCCCTGACACACAAAAAAATTCAGATAAACAGAATAGCCCAGCTGACCCCTCTGTGAATATAATCTTCAGTAGTAAAAGAATAAGTATTTATTATTTATTTATTTTTTATTTTATTTTATTTTTTGGAGACAGAGTTTTGCTCTCTCACCCGGGCTGGAGTGCAGTGGCGCAATTTCGGCTCACTGCGACCTCCACCTCCCGCGTTCAAGTGATTCTCCCACCTCAGCCTTCCCAGTAGCTGGGATTACAGGCATATGCCACCACGTCCAGCTAATTTTTGTATTTTTAGTAGAGACGGGGTTTCACCATGTTGGCCAGGCTGGTCTCGAACTCCTGACCTCAGGTGATCCACCTGCCTCGGCCTCCCAAATTGCTGGGATTACAGGCATGAGCCACCGCGCCCGGCCAAGGATAAACATTATCTTATGTGGTAAAAGATGGAACTAAATTAAGGATCTTTAAAGGAGGTGCTTATCCTAGATTATGAGGTGGGCCCTAAATGTCATAACAGGTATCCTTAAGAGAGAGGCACAGGGAAATTAGAGAGAGACACACACAATGTAGAAAGTGACATAAAAAAAAGAGGCAGAGACTAATGCAGCCACAAGGAATGCCAGCAGCCACCAGAAAATGGAAGACGCAAGAACAGATTCTCCCCCAGGTCCCTGAGAGAGCCTGACTCTGTGGACACCTTGATTTTGGACTTCTGGTCTCCAGGACTGTGAGGGGATAAATTTCTGTTATTTTGAGTCACCATGTTCGTGGTAATTTGCTACAGCAGTCCTAGAAAAGAAATACAGAACAATTCACCTATTTGGAGTTTGACAAATCAGGAACCTCTCACTGTTATAGAACCTGCCTGGAATTTTACCATCAGTGGAATCCTTATCATGTAGCTGGGGTGAAGTGTTCTGGTACCCTCATGGGCATCCTCGCCGCAAAGCAAATACATTATCTGCATCATCGTTTCGGCAAAATGAGGAAACTCTTCAATGCTCACTCAGTTGCCAACTAATAGGCTCATTAATAATGAGAATCTATTAATGTAAATGTAAAGAAAAGATCTCTACAACCAAAAAGAGGGGAGAAAACACTATTTAGTTCTCAGATTAGGCTTTATGCTATTATTGAGAATGTTATCTAGAATATTCACAAGTACCTCTGTTCTGGTTTTTTTCTTTTCCTGCAGATAGAGGCAAAAAAGAGGCTGCTTCCTTCTACATAACCCTCTGTCAAGGGCATTCCTCACCAAGTTGATTCTGCTGTGTCTTCAATATAGTTTTCAGTCTACCCTAATTACCACTACCAGGCAGTCCTCTAAAACCATCAAAGAGGGTTTCCTATCGCTGCTTTTGCAAATTAACACAAGTGTAGTGGCTTAAAATAACACAAATGTATTGCCTTACAGTTCTGGAGGCTGTGTTGGTCAGGTTGTACTCCTGAAAGCTCCAGAGGGAGAATCTGTTTCCTTGCTTCGTCTAGTTTCTGAGGGTTTTCTGCATTCCTTGGCATATAACCCCTTCCTCTGTCTTCAAAGCCAGGAGCATATCATGTTCAAACCCCTCAAATATGCACATCATTTTTTGACTCTGACCCTCTTTCCTCCCTCTTCCAAGGACCTGTGTGATTCCATAAAGCTCACCCAGATAATCCAGAATAATCTCCCCATCTCAAGATTCTTCATTTAATCACATCTTCAAAGTCCTTTTAGTTATGTAAAGTAACGTGTTTGTAGGTTTCAAGGATTAGGATATGAACGACTTTTTGGAGTGTGTGGTTATTTAGCCCACCACAGAGGGTTCTTGGAACATGGGCAACTGAGCTACCACAGAATCCTTTCAGCTACAAATATTTTAAAACACTGAAAAGACTGTAACATTTTATTTAAATACGTAAGTGAGCACAGAAAAACTATGGGAAATTCCTACAGGTCAGAAATGAAAGGAGAATCGAAAGCTAGAACTGTAAGCATACAGCTGGTGCTGTGGGGTCCCATGAGCAGGTGGGGAAGGAGTTCCTGGATCAGAACAGTCCCTAACGGGAAAGGATTTAGGTTTCATAGCAGAGCTAGGAAGTGGAACTGAGACCCTTGCATAACTGGGATCTCCAAAAAGCTGTATTTTCAGTGTCAGGGGTTAGAGAAAAACCACAACAACCTATCCAGAAAGAGAGCAAAGACTTTTCAGTCTCTTCAAAAAGTTTTCAAGAAAGAGAAACACGAGCCTATCAAACAAGAGCCTATCATGCCCATGCTTGCAGTCTAAGAGTACACTGCCTCAGGCATGCAGGAATCCTCAAGACAAACAATTCAAATAAAAGCTGATTACAAGAGGTGACGGCATTTGGGGGAGAAAAGCTCATAAACGCATATCCAAAATTTGCTCAGGAGGGACCCTTCCAAATCCCAGCCCTTACAGGATTCCCAAAGAAAAAAATAAAAACATTGCTGCCAATCAAAAAATCACAAAATGACTAAGAAAAAAATTTACCATGAGAGAGATATGACAAATATAACAAAAGAAGGATAAAAGCTCCCAAGAACTTGAGATGACAGAACTAACTGAAGGAGACTAAAACAAAATATTTTAAACTGACTAAAAAGATAAAAGGGGGCTGGGCGCGGTGGCTCACGCCTGTAATCCCAACACTTTGGGAGGCCGAAGCGGGTGGATCACTTGAGGTCAGTTGTTCAAGAGCAGTCTGGCCAACATGGTGAAACTCTGTCTCTACCAAAATATTTTTTAAAAAATAGCCGGGTGTGATGGTGGGCACCTGTAATCCCAGCTACTTGGGAGGCTGAAGCAGGAGAATCACTTGAACCCGAGAGGCAGAGGCTGCAGTGAGCCGAGATTGTGCCACTGCACTCCAGCCTGGGCAACAGAGTGAGACTCCATTTCAAAAATAATAATAATAATAAAATAATAAAATAAAAAATATTAAACAGAAAAATAAAAAGATAAAAGGGGAATAAAAACTATTTTAAAAACCCATATTTTTAAAAATGCAAACTTAAAAAAGAGTCACATAAAACAAACCCAATGGTAGGAGAAAGAAGAGAAACTTACAATAGAAAGAATACATAAAGCTTCATTAAAGGAGAGAAAAGTAACAGCCCTTGGCAAAATTATTTAAGAGAAAGGTTAATAATAAATCCTTCCAAATTTTTAAACTGATAAATACCGATCAAAAAGCCAAAGCAAAAATCACACTCAGTGACAAAAGATAGGAAAGATTATTCTAGCTAATGGTAAGATAAAAATAAATCATAAACATTTTCTCCAAAATTCAGGAATAAGACAGGGTGTGGACTTTCACCACATCTATTCAGCATTGTGGTGGGGTTTTAGACAACTAAGTGTAAATACAAAATAACAATGGGAGGAGAGAAACACAGCTTTCATTATTCAAAAATTATTAGGAGCATCTACAAAGGAAATCCAAAAAATCAAAAAAAAATTAAAATTGGTAAGAACCAGCAAAGTTGCTAGAAACAGAATCAATACACAAAAATCAACAACATGCTGATGCACCAAAAAAAATTTTTTTCACATACTTTTTAGGATATAATTTGTAATATACCCCCAAAATATAAGATATATATGAAGAAATCCAACAAAAGTAGTCCAAGATCTTCATGAAGAAAATTGTGAAATGTATTTGAAGAACATGAAAGAAGACCTAAAATAAACAAAGAGATAAAGAAGATTAAGGAGAAAAGCTTGTATCTGCTGCACTTTTTCTTAGCCCAGCTGCACTGTCACCAGAACCATGAAGAAGAAATGCTCCTGGTGGCAAATCAGTCCTGTCAGTGGTTCAATCTAACTGTCCTGAATGCCACCCTTGTTGTTGTTTTCACCCATGTCTGCAAAACTTGAGCCTGACTCTACATATTTTGGATATATTTCTTTTTTTTAAAGTAAAATTAAATAGATTTTAAAAATTTAAAAACTAAATAAGTTAAAAACCATCTAACAAATATCAGAACCTATTATAATGGCCAGGCACAGTGGCTCATGCGTGTAATCCTAGCACTTTGGGAAGCCAAGGCGGGATGATCACTTGAGGTCAGGAGTTCGAGACCAGCCTGGCCAACATAGTGAAACCCTGTCTCTACTAGAAATACAAAAATCAGCCAGAAATAGCTTGAACCCAGGAGGCAGAGTTTGCAGTGAGCCAAGATCACGCCACTGCACTCCACCCTGGGTGACAGAGCAAGACTCTGTCTCAAAAAAAATAAAATAAGAGATATGACAAATACCTCATTTTAATGGTTCAGTCGTTAAAGCAGGTAACTGATACAGATCTAAATAAGCCAGCAGCATAGTCTTTGAGAGAGGCAAAATTCTAAGTCAGCAGAGAAAGAGTAGACTTTAATAAGTAGCCTTGTGACAACCACCTTCTCATTTTGAAAACTGATATTATTAATCCCTACCTCAAACCATAAACTCTACTTTAAGCACAACTTAAAAGTATAGAAAATATTTTAATGACTTTGTGGGTAAGGAAAAATTTCTTTGAAACAAGTTTCCAAAAATGCGCATATAACACTGACATGGCATTTACTCTGTTTAAGAAAGTATTATAAGGGTTTTACATTTATTAACTAATTTAATCTTCACAAAAACCCTAAGAGGTAGGTACTGTTGCTTCCATTTTCCAGATGGGAAAAGCTGTGCACAGAGTGAGATGTTAAGTAACTTGCCCAAGGTTAGACAGTAAGGAAGGGATAGAGCTGGGATATGAACCCAGGCTACCTGGCTGTAGATCTGTGTTTTTACCTGCCGTACCATCCAACCTGTTACAAATTTAAACTTCTGTACTGTACAGTGAAAAATACGAGACAAATGTGAGAGACACCTAGGACTAGGAGAATATATTTCCAGCACACATATTAAAAAATGCCTACAGGCCAGGTGCGGTGGCTCACGCCTGTAATCCCAGCACTTTGGAAGGCCAAGGCAGGCGGATCACCTTAGGTCAGGAGTTCAAGACCAGCCTGGCTAACATGGTAAAACCCCATTTCTACTAAAAATACAAAAAATTAGCTGGGCGTGGTGGCACCCGCCTGTAATCCCAGCTACTCGGGAGGCTGAGGCAGGAGAATCGCTTGAACCTGGGAGGAGGAGGTTGCAGTGGGCCGAGATGGTGCCACTGCACTTCAGCTTGGGCAACAAGAGCGATACTCCATCTCAAAAGTAAAAATAAAAATAAATAAAAAATAAAAATGAATACAAATGAACTTAAGACAAAAAGCAAACTGAAAAGTGGTGAAAGGTAGTAAGAGTCAATTCACTGAAGAAGAATTTGAAAGGCCAATCAACACATGAAAAATGTTAAATCACATCAAAAATCAGGGAAACAAAAATTAAAACAAGGAAATACCATCTCACATGCACTAGACTGGCAAAAACTAAGCCTGATGACACCAAGAATGTAAAGAACCTAAAACTTGTGTACAAGTAGGAATATAAATTGTTGTAGCTACTTTATATAACAAATTAACACCACCTAGGAAAATTATATGTATCCCTTACTACCCCAGCAATTCTGTTTCTAGGTTAATCCCCAAGAGAACACCTATGTACCCAACTAGATATATACCAGGATTCTACCACAACCTTGTTTGTTACAGTAAAAAATTAAAAACATTTTCAAACATCACGACTAGGGAATTCACAGACTCTGGTGTGATCACACAATAGAATACAAATGATTTTTATCTATTTCTATTAAATTGACAAATTTCAAAAAAATGTAAAGGAAATCAGACAAGTTGCATAAATACAGATAAAACATACCATTTATATAAATTTTCAAACACAAAAAACAATACTATATGTTATTTGTAGATAATTAATGTATATAATATATGACATTGTCATACACATTCATGGAAGTGACAGATCTTGATTTCAGAACAGTGACTACCTTTGAGAGGGGAAAATGGGAAAGGGACTGGAGAGTTGGCCTTTAGCTACAGAGTAACATTTAACTTCTTAAAAGAGAGATTAGCTGGGTTCAGTGGTGTGCCTATAGTCTCAACAGTAGCTGGGACTTGGGAGGCCGAGACAGACTGCTTGAGCCCAGGAGTCCTGGGCTGCAGTGCGTTGTGACTGCACTTGGGAATAGCCACTGCACTCCAGCCTGGGCAACAAAGAGAATCCTCATCTCGAAAGAGAGAGAGAAAAAAAACACTGGCATATGTGAAATGTATAAAGCCAGTGAGTTCACAGGGGTCTACCATATTATTTCCTGAGCATATGAAATTTCCTAATTAAAACTAGCCTTGAAAAATGTAACACCCCCTTCTTACTAAGTCACCAATTCTAAATTCTTCTGCTTTGCATTCCTCTGTAAATTGGTCTAACTTTCCTCATTCAGCCTTAGCTCCCACTATCTCCCAAACCCAGCTACTTAAATCTAGACATTCTCACTTGTCTCTCAGATATTTCACCTCAATCCCCATCTATGCATATTCAAGAGCAGTCCACATTCCCTCCTATAATTTGTTCCAATTTAGGAAAGAGGAGGCTTGGGAATGAAGGTGGTATACAACTGAAGGCAACAGGCAGTAAGTTGCTGATTCTCCACACGTTTGTAACAAAAGGCAATGCTCTAGGTCCATCACACTCAGATGGTTTCAAAAGTGAACCAAGACACTGCCCTATCCCATTTTCATGCCCAACTCCTAGATGCACATATGCACACACATGCACACGCAAATACACATTCTCATTTGTAAGGGCCATTCCCAAAGGTGAAAGAAAACATAGAATCAACTGTCCAATCCAAAACAAATTTTGCACTTATTACAGCAACAGCGAAACTGTACATCATAAACTTGTTTGTGCTAATCAATTTTCTAATGAACACCCAAAAATATGTTGGATTTTTTCATTTAAAAAGCTAAAAACAATGTGTTTTCTTGTGTATGACTGGTGTTTCTAACACATTATTTTAAAAATCCCCCAAATACCCAAGTTAACTTTTAAAATTATAACACCTAAAGACTTATAATATGCCTCTAATGAGATCTGATTATCAGTGTATCCTTAACTTTACTAAAAAGGAGACTTTTAAAGATAATAGTAAAACAATTTATTTCTCAGTAGTGATAATTATGTGTTATGGCTGGTTTGTAATTGTGAAGAGAACAAGATTATATGAGGTCTTCCAAACCAGTGATCTAAAAATTGTTGATTCAAACAGTTAACTCTAACAGCATAATTAAAAAGCCTAGGTTTGTCACTAGAACTTGCTAGACAAAGGAACTCCAAAGAATCTTTTGTTCTATTATAATAACAGTTTCCTTATGAAATCAACTGGAATAGAAAGTAAATGTACACCTATGACAGTTTCCTTCCCTTTGGGAGACAATGCTGATAAAAAGGAATTATGTGTCTGTTAATTCATTGCTGGTAATGTTTTTATAAGCAGTAAGCACCAACCTTTCCTGTTTTCTCCTTAAGACAAAGAAAGGTGAATCATATAAAAAGAGTTTTAAAAAGAGAACTAAAGGAGCTGTAATGGAAAAGGTACACCAAAGCAAGACCATAAAACTGGTCATAAAAAGTGTCTAAAACTGGCATTTCTCCCCCGAGTAAACGCCAAGAGAAAGTGGCAATGGCAAAACTGCAAGTGTACACATGAGTAGAGTCTACTGAAGGGGGAATAAACAGGAAGGTGCTACTGCAAGGAACATAGAAATTCTCAGCCAGGCCAGGCGCAGTGGCTCATGCCTGTAATCCTAGCACTTTGGGATGCCGAGGAAGGAGGATTGCTTGAACCCAGGTAGCTCGAAACCAGCCTGGGCAACATGGGGAGACCTTGTCTCTACCAAAAAAATAAAAAAAATTAGCCAGGTGCAGTGGCAACCAGCTGTGGTCCCAGCTACTTGGGAGACTGACTCAGGATAGCTTCAGCCCAGGAGGTCAAGGTTGCAGGGAGCTGTGTTCATGCCACTGCACTCCAGCCTGGGCAACAGAGCAAGACCCTGTCTCAAAAAGAAAGAAAGAAATTCTTAGCCAGGGCTCACAGCACAAACACAGAACGCTACAGCACAGGTGGGGCATAGTGGTTCACATCTATAATCCTAGCACTTTGGGAGGCCGAGGCAGGATCACTTGAGCCCAGGAGTTTGGAGACCAGCCTGAGCAACATAGCAAGACCTTGTCTCAAAAAAAAAACAAAAACAAAAACAAAACAGAGACAGAGAGAGAACACCATGGCACTAAACTACCTGGCCAGGGATCCTAATCTGTTCCTTTCATTTTATAGGTGAGGAGTAATGTGACTTTTTTTTCTCCCTATAGAACTGCATCATAGTGCCTAGGAAAATAATTAAGAAATTTTTAACACTGAGATGTAATATTAAAGACACTATTACAATGCATAAGAAATTGTAGTTCTTGCTTTATAGGCATATCAACAGGTATGTGAATAGCATCTCTTTAATTTACTTCCTAGGAGACTTGGTCACACAGTGATGTGTTAATAAGGACTCCACTCATATGACCTTTCCATTAGTTAACTACCAAATGTTAAGCTTATTCATTTTGTGCTTGTTTACTTTTATCTAATTCAGAAATTTTGTCACATACACGTACATTCACATACAAGCAGAAGAGCACACTGTGTGTTGCCTAGAGTAGGGGAACAAGAAATTCTACTTGGAATTAGAAACTTAATATATTTGAGATCACTCTAGCAAACAGAATTGTTTTAACATTAAGCACCATGTGTTTATGTGTCTTTCAGATTGATACATACAATAATGGTATTAAAGAACAAAGAGAGCCAGGCGCGGTGGCTCACACCTTTAACCCCAGCACTTTGGGAGGCCAAGGCGGGCAGATCACGAGGTCAGGAGTTTGAGACCAGCCTGGCCAGCATGGTGAAACCCCATCTCTACTAAAAATACAAAAAAAAAAAAAAAATTAGCTGGGCATGGTGGCATGTGCCTGTAATCCCAGCTACTCAGAAGACTGAGGCAGGAGAATCGCTTGAACCCGACAGGCAGAGGTTGCGGTGAGTCAAGACTGCGCCACTGTACTCCAGCCTGGCAACAGAGCGAGACTCCATCTCAAATAAAAATAAAAATAAAGAACAAAGAAAGATATATGCATAATGTTCTTTATAATCTAGCATAAGCGGGTGTTGAAATATTAAACCACTACACTAAGACTTGCAGATGATGAAGAAATTGCTAGGATATGCTAGAATTAAGAACAGAAGAACTGGGGAAGTTGCTGCCCAGAATAAGAATGACCTCTGTCTTAGACACATGTTGTTTTTGCAACCTAACACATATACTTCCAGTACGACCCTTAATGACTGGCCCCTCTGACCATCAGCAGCAGCAGACACACAAAATTCTGGCCCACCAATCATGGCTGCCCATCCTTCTATCAACAGTGATTGATCCAAGGGATAGGTCCATAAGCCAACAGGGTCAATAAGCGTGTCCTGCAAGATCGATAAAGGAATATTGAAAGCAGAAAACAACAGGTTCATCTGACCTAGCAAGGTATAAGGACAACATTGATTCTGCCAGTAGCCATCATGGACAGGGAAAGATCTAGCCCGTAAAAGAAACTGAGCAGAGGCAAGCTAAGCTGAAAAGCGGATGAAAGGGGCGAGCGACTTCGAGCCCCTTGATCCAGCAAAACCTTATGACCCAACTACTGGATGTCCCACTTATATGAGCCAACACATTGCTTCAAGAACATCTATAACCCATGAAGTATCCTGATTCACACAAGCTTCACCTTGTGTTGATCATAAACTTTCAATACCTGCAAAATTGCACTGATCCTATTTACCTTCACCATGGTGATCGCCTTCCCTACCAACACCAAATCTAAATTCTCGCCTTGTCAATAAACTTTTAAAAACATGAGCACTCCTTTTAGCTGAAAAGACGTCCCTAAAGCTTCTTACCCTGCCGTCAAAAGAAGGTAATCAATGAGCCAGAGGAATGTCCCATCTTTTTTCTACAAACATCCTCCTTAGCGTTACTAAATTTAACACCAATGTAAGTTTTACCGCTGAGCAGGTCCATGGTTGCCTGCAGACTAGGTGGGGGGTTTAAGGGTGGGAAAGAGGGATTTCAAAGAAGGATGAGGAGATTTTCAGGGGTCTTGAATGTGGTCATGGGTTCACAGGTGTACACATATGCCCAAACTTATAAAATGTTATACTTTAAGTATATTCACCTTACTGTGTCGATAATATTTCAATAGATCTGTTTCCCCCCAAAAGACAAGGCTTTACAAGGAAAGACATTTTAGACCATCTTCTGCCTGGCCTGGAACAATTCATGGTACCTAGAGTTTTATATGTAATTTGGTGGCATGCCAAGGATAGTTGGGCAGGAAAGCAGATGGAGACTGGGCCCATGACAATATGCTTGAATTATGCACATGCCCTGGGTTACCTGGGTCTTGACTTCTTTTTCCGTGAAAATAATAAAACTTACCATTTTAAGCAGTGATAGCTGGGTTTCTATTACTTCCGGCTAAACTCTATTCCTAACATTGTGGTCTTGGTTTTAAAGCCAATCAGATCAGGTCATTTCTATGCTGGCTGTCCTTTGTTTCTGATCTCGAGAAAAAGTCCATACTCCCAGGCTGACAAATCCCAAGATGGGAAGGGCCTGGATTATCGCCCGAGGTTATTCATTAGCCACCATTCCTCCTCCCAGCCATACTTGGAATTCTGATGGGCCTTCTACACTTTAAGCACCAGACAATCAAGGCCCATGTTATCTTACATTCCTAGCACCTGGCTAAGAGTGTGAAGCATTAAGAGGTGCTCAAAACACACTGCTGAATCAAAGAGCACATGATATTGCTCATTACCCTTTCAGGACAAGGAAACGCTAATTCTCCAATCTATACAATATTTGGAGGGGAAGAAAGTCAGCCTAATGATGTTCCATATTATTCTCTGTCTACATAACCTTCAATCTTTCATCAAATATCCACCACATTTCAAGAACAAGATGAAAAGACAGATTTTAATATTGTGAAAACAACTACCTTTTTTTTTAGTACCAAAATTCTTCCAAGGTAAGTGAATTGCTTTGAGGATGAAAGAATTTAAAACATTTCAAAAAGACAGATTAGATGTTGTAAATTATTCAAAAATGTTTTGTTAGCACTAACGCAACAGAGAAGTTATGATGGTAGTGGAAGGCAAGCAAATTTAAAACAGTAGTAAGATACAGAAGGACTATACCAACAAAATGTAATACAGCATCCACAGACATGTAAAGAAAATAAAGGTAGGCAGGTTCAGTGGCTCTCATCTGTAATCTCAGTACTCTGGGAAGCCAATGCAAGAGGAATGCTTGAAGCCAAGAGTTCAAGACCAACCTGGGCAACACAGCAAGACCCCTGTCTCTACAAAAAAAAAAAAAAAAAAAAAAAATTAATTAGCTGGGTAGGGTGGAGTATGCTTGTAGTTCTAGCTACTCAGAAGGAGAGAAGGTGAGAGGATCGCTTGGGCCCAGGGGTTCAAGGCTGCAGTAAGCTATCATCACACACTGCACTCCAGCCTTAGTGACAGAGTGAGACCCTGCCCCTAAAAAAAAGAAAACAAAGCCCCAGACTATCTTCCTCAATATGCCTCAACATTCATAATGAGGAATTACACGTGAACACTGAACTCTCTTCTGAACTTCTGCTTAATGTGGAAAACTGAAGAGCAATTCAGAAAAGATCAAGCACATGTTTCTACGATGCCAAACAGCTGGATGGAAATATGAAAACTCTATAAATAATCTACATTTTGCTAAATAGCCAGACATTGAGTGTTGAAGCTAAAACCTCAGTTCTTTTATTGCTTTATGATCATTCTTCAAATGACACAGAAGGCCTGAAGTGCTCTTGCGAATATTTTTCTTCATTATGGCTCTCCGTGATGCCACTGCTTTTATACTTACTAGGCAAAAAAATACAAAGTATATGGAAATTATATAAAGGTGATTGAAAGTAAGGGACCTCCACTTGTCATTTTCCAAGGGTAACCAGTTTGAGGTGACATCCACAGCTGCCAACAAAGTTCCAACCCCACTCTACCACTTCCTTCTTTGGAGCATTTCTGGGAGACAAGAAATGAAGTATGGGCAGAAGAACCCTGTACTGATTCCTGCATTCAATTAACTAAATGCCAACCACATGCCAGGGCTGTGCCGGGCACACAGGAAAGCCAGAATGACTGCGACATTGCCTTTATTGTTCAGAGGATTATAAGAAAAATAAAAGGGTAACTGCTCTTTTCAACGACTTCTTCACTGACAAATTCGAGAACCAACTCTCGGTCCCCATCTCCTTGAAATGGTTTGCACTTGACTTCTGAGACACCAACCTCTCTGCAATTTTCCTCCTACCTGACTGGCCATTCCTTTTCAGGCTCCCTTGCTGAATGTTCCTCATCTCCTGAATCTCTTAATGTTTGAAATGCACTACTTCAATCCATGGACCACTGCCCTTCTCCATCTACCCTCACTAACTTGTTGGCAAGTCCTCTCCCCTGAATAACAGTGTGGTTACTGTAAGTGCTACCTGACATTTCCACTTGGGTTTCTTTAGCATCACGTCCAATACTGAATCCTCTCATTCATCCCAAAGTCTGCTCCACCTGCCATCTTCTCCATCCTAGTTAACGGCAAATCTATCCTGCCAATTCCTTGAGCCTGAGCCACAAATCATAGTAATCTGTGACTTGTCCCTTTCAGTAAATCAGGTCGCCCTACCTCCAAAACACTCTCAGAATCTATTTCTTTTAATTCTGTTGCCACCATACTAATCCAAGCCTCCATCATCTCATGTGCAAATTATAGCAATAGCCTTGTAACTAGTCTCAATGCTCCCACCTGTGCCATCTATAATATATTCTTAACTCAAAAGCCATATAGCCTTTTACATAAAAATCAGACTATATCAGTCCTCAAACCTAAACACACCATTGGCTCCCCATTTCACTTGGTATAAAAGCTCATGGCCCTATAGTGCTCTCCTGGGTCCACCCCTGACTTCTCTGACCTCATTTCCTGCATTGTACTGCTTGCTTGCTCTGTCCCACTCATATTTGACTCATCTGTCCCTTGCATAAACCAGCAATACTCCTCCTGGCCAGGCACAGTTGCTCACACCTGTAATCCAAGCAATTTGGGAGGCCAAGGTGGGAGGACTGCTTGAGGCCAGGTATTCAAGGCTAGCCCAGACAACACAGACCCCGTCTCTACAAAATATTTTTTAAAATTAGCTGGGTATGGTGGTACATGCCTGTAGTCCCAGCTACTAGGTAGGCTGATGTGGGAGGATCACTTGAGCCCAGGAGACAGCTCTCTGGCAGTGAGCTGAGATCACGCCACTGCGTGACAGAGCAATACCCTATATCAAAAAAAAAAAAAAAAAGAAAGAAAGAAAAGAAAAAAAAGCAGAAATACTCTTTCATCAGGGTCTTTTCAAAGACGATTCCCTCTACCTGAAACACTTTTCTTAGATAACTGTTCTTCATCTCCTTTAGGCCTTTTGATACAGTTTGGATATTTGCCTCCTCCAAATCTCATGTTGAAATGTAATCCCCAATGTTGGAGGTGGGGCCTGGAGGGAGGTGATTCGTAGGGGTGGATCCCCCATGAATGGTTTGGCACCATCCCCTCAGTGATAAGTGAGTTCTCCCTCTGAGTTCACGTGAGATCTGGTTGTTTAAAAGCGTTTGGCACCTCCCCCTCACTCTCCCCATGTGACACAGGGACTTCCTTTCCCCTTCTGCCATGATTGTAAGCTTCCTGGGGCCCTCACCAGAAGTAGATGCCAGCACTATGCTTCCTGCAGAACCATGAGCCAATTAAACCTCTTTTCTTTATCCAGTCTCAGGTATTTCTTTATAGCAATGCAAGAACAGTCTAACACCTTTCGTACACTGTTTTCTTTCCATGCAGGCCAAGCATGACCACCATATGTGAAGCTGTGTACCCATCCTCCCACATCCGCTCCACTGCCCCACCTATCTTTCCTTTTACTCCGCTTTATTTTTCTCCATAAAACTTGTTTACCTTCTAATACGATATATAATTTACTTACTTATTTATCATCTGTCCACCCCCATAAATATAAACTCCATGAAGGCAAGCCATTGGGATTTTGTTCACTGCTATTGATGCTCAATTAATATTCATTATTAGAATAAAAAACAGAAAATAACTTGGGCACATCTCAAACTTACATTAGACTCACAAATAACCCCAAACAGTTACAATTATAATACAATTTTACAGGAAGTAGATTCATTCAAGAGAAACGGTAGAGGAAACCCACAGACACGTTTGAAAGGTTGGCCAATTATGTAAAAAAAAAAAAGGGTATTACAAGAAATATTCGATTCTACAGTGGATAAATAAAAGTAATTCCTACTTAATATTACTACTTTTTAACCTAATGCCAACTTTCATGCTTTAAAATATTTAGCTGTGCTTCTGCACTTAACCTTGATCATTGCAGACTAAAAGTAACAAAATATTGTTTTATACGAGTTTTCTTTATGCAAGTTTTACCTGTGAAGAATAGCTGGAAAGAAGAAGCCAAGTCTATAAATTCAGCAAAATTCAACTTTTTCCACCTGAAGCTGTAACAACTTAATTTTATTTCTATTATACATCTAAAGCATTTATATACTATCTGATTTTATCCTTACACAGCTTCATGAGGGGACGACTGAAAAATATCATCACCAATTTATATATGAAGAAACTGAAACTCAAAGTAAGCTGTTTGTCTAGTAACAGAGTTGGAAAAGTTTCAGTTTTCTTCATAAATCCAGTGATCTTTCTTCCCATAATTTGTATGGACATATGTTTTTTATCTAACAGATTAAAAACAGAATTTTCTTCCCATAAATTGTATGGTCGTATTTTTTTATCTAACAGATATGGCACACTTTATCTACTATAAAATGCATCCCAGGCCGGGAGCATTTTATAGTAGATAAAGTGCTCATGCTTGTAATCCCAGCACTTTGGGAGACCGAGGCGGGTGGATCGCCTGAGGTCAGGAGTTCAAGACCAGCCTGGCCAACACGGCGAAACCCCGTCTCTACTAAAAATACAAAAAATAAGCTGGACATGGTGGCGGGCACCTGTAATCCCAACTACTCAGGAGGCTGAGGCAGGAGAATCGCTTGAACCCAGGAGGCGGAGGTTGCAGTGAGCCAAGATCGCGCCATTGCACTCCAGCCTGGGCAACGAGAGTGAAACTCCATCTCAAAAATACAAATAGAAACAATAAAATGCATCCCAACTTCAGAGGTGATAAAAATATAAATTAAGGTGTTTATGAAGTAATTCAGTATAATTTTTATGCTGCATGAGAATTTTTCTCAAAACAACCAAAAGTATAAGGAAAAAGAATCACGAAAAAGAGAAAGAAACAAACATGGAAAGATGTTATAAGAATGAACACACACAGGAGAAACAAAACTGCAACTTCTGAAATTTCCCTCCTGATTTTAAAACTGGCAGGGCAACTCTTAAAAAGTCCCAGTAAATATATGTTTGGTCATATTTTTCAGTTTGGTTCTATTTAACAAAGTCAGCTACCTTTTTTTTGGTTGTTTGTTTTTAATAGAGCTTTCTTCTCTGGTTAAGAAGCACAAGGAGACACATTATAAAGCTTCAAAATATTACGTATTTTAATACAAATTTTATTTCATATTTTCTAAAATTTCCCACAAATCACTAAGCATAATTTTCAAAAGTTTTTTTCACTACTTGTCAAAATCTTTTCAGCCTAAAATATTCCTATAAACTATTAAAAATAAGTCATTTTCCCAAATCATTTTCATTTTTATGTATATCCTAAATGGTATCAAAAAGACCCACACACTATTTCTACATTTCCTTGATTCAATCACACCTCCTTTATTCCCCCAACTTCTCTAACCCACAAATATCTGCCACAGTCCTAAATTTTATGGTACCTAAAGTCAGTATATTCCTTATACGCCATTTAATTTTCCCATTCCATGTCTCTCATCTAGATCCTGTCTTCACAATGCATTTGCCTTTATAGGTATTTATTATTTCCCACAGTTCTCAAAAGAGTGCACACAGTAGACAAAAGTTTATTGACTGAATACAATTCCTGAAAACATATGTATAAAAGGTAGTAAATAAAAAAGAGCCTTCATAAAAGCACATTGATTTTTACGCCCTGTTTGGTTTGCTGCTGTATTTCCAAACTGAGAACAGAGCCTGGCACACAGTAGGCACTCAATAATTGTTGAATGAAGAAACTGAAAGTTTCTTTAAATGCAGGAAGCTCTGAGGCAAGTCATTCTCTTAGAATACTGTGAAGGTGAATTCAGGAATGTAGCTTCCCCCTTTTCTTCTATATTTACAAACTGTTAACACATACTACACTAATTTAAGCTTGTCCAGTACTGGCGATCCTATTAACTAAAATAATCAAGCCATAAACAACAAGAAAAATCAACTGTTAACATTTTGCCTAGTGATCAAATTTCCTTGTTTGGGACTTCCAACTTGTTTTTAGTGACATGCTTTCTGAGCTGATCATGAATGTGGCACGAATCTCAGGCTCATCAGCAAGCCACCAGAGCATGTGGACAGTTCAGCTGATACAGTCCTAAGTTCCTCAGTAAAATGCTTCAACACAGCAATGATGATGTTTCAGGCATCTGCCGTTCCCATATGCAATCCTGGTTTAACCAACACTTTTAGAAATGACCTCAAATGTAATCCTGTAGCGTTGAGCACATTTTAGAGGCAGTGACCAGGGTGGGATTAGAACCTACAAAGAATGTTTCTATTCATGACTTATAGAGAAATGTCTCCCAAGTCTTCATGCTCAATCCCATCCCCAACTGCCTCACATTTTTTTCATCTTAAAATGTTGAGAAAGAGATCAGGGGAGAAATAGAAGCTAAATAATGGCCATGGCACATTTTCAGCATCTATCTAAGACTTGATCCAACTTTTACCTGTCACTTGCCTCCACTTTAAACTGCTGCAGTTATTTAAGCCTATTTACAATGTAAAAGAAGCAAGCAGCCACTAATTCATTTTAAGAAATGTCCCTTTGTCTAAAAAGTCTATGATTTAAAAGGGCTAGCCATTTTTATTGTCCCGTGAATTTCCAATTCATTAAGTTTTACTGCATAGCTATTAAAATCAATAGAACACACACTTTGAAGGTCAATAATTTAGAATAGATATTAAATAGTCTTAATATGTCCCTTTAGAATCACCTTTCTTTCGCCTCACTTTCCTGATATACTCTAAATACAACTAAAAATGATGTCTAGAAAGCAAGGAACTTCATTTTAAAATAACTTGCCTTTTTAAAAAAGATTATACATTGATATAGACCCTTCAGTGAAGTAAGTATGCAAAGTAGACATTCCACTCTGTGTAAGCAGGCACTGTAAGACTAAGTGTCTGGCAAACAGATGACTAAATCATTGGCAGAAAAAAAACAGAACTCAGGTCACAAAATAAGGAATTTAAAGTTCCAAGCAGGCCACTCACACTGATTTAAAAAAAAAAAAAAAAACCCTAGAGAACTGGTCAGCATTTACTTAATAAACAGCCAGGGTGATAAGCATACCTCAGGGTGATACAGATGAATTTTGATCTGAAACTTGACATGTATCTCCAAGGAACTGTATCACCAGGTGTTCTAAAATTTTTTTCCCAAGTCTACTATTAATGACCATGTTGACCAGATTCTTACTAACTAGCCATAAAAGCGTACTCAATGCCTGTTTCTGTCTTGCCTTCAAAGCTTGCAGTCATGTTCACATACAAAGGAACAGTAAAGGTAAAATGACCCAACCTCCTTCTCCTGTTGGTGACCACAAGGCAGCCTCTCTATTCCAAGGAGGTAATCTAAGCTTGCACAGATGGCCTAGCTCTCTGCTAATGCAGGGGTGCTGGGTTTGTTTTCAGGGTGGGTGCTGCAAAGCGCCAGGTATATTTATAGAAGGGAGCAAGACTACTATGGAGGGATGATGACAGAAGAGGAAGTTTCTTCCGCCCGGTAGAGACAGCCTGTGGAAAGATCTGGATTCCACAGCCTAGGTTCCACTCCTGACTCGTCAACTACCAGCTATGTAAACTTACTAAAACCTTTTTGGTCTGTTACCTTATGTATAAAATGCAGATAATGCCCCATTCCCTCAGAAGGTTGTCAGAATGATGAACGAGCATTGTGTATGTAAAACCTGGGACGTGATAGGCATTCAATAAATGTCGATCTGTCCTGCCCATCCTCCTGTTCACCCAGAATTGCGCCTCAAAAAATCACAAAGAGAGCCTGCAGCGTTAAAACTAAGAGGCCCAAGCTGGTTGGCAGGGAAAGAAACGACTTGGGTGGGGGCTCGCTTATTTCCTGGAGGACTTGGTTTAAAATGGAGTTAGGATATTGATCATGGACAAGACACACAGAAAAAGCACCAAGTACTAGCAAAACTGACAACAACAAAAACAAAAAGACATCCCTTTACTGTGAGCACGAAACAAACTTCGGAAGCAGCGGACATCCTGTGAACCTACTCAGTGGCCTCAATTAAAATCCCGAGGGTACCAAGAGCTAACCCAGAGGCACACCAGCCATATGCCGCCTCGTCAGTTTCAGGCCACGCCATTCCGCAAAACTGTCCGCAAGCCCTGACGGCTCTCGCGCCTCCACGCCTGGCCCAGATGCGTCTGGATGTCAGGAGCGAGCGGCAGAAGGGTACGGGGTGGGAAAGCGGAGAGGTCCGGTTGAATGTTTGAAAAACAAGGCGGTGGGTGAGGGGGCGGGGTGGAGCAATGTGGCAGAGACGCGGCCAGCGAGCCTGAGAGACCGCGGCTTCACAATGAACGAAAGGAAGAGACTGCGACAAGCGCCGGCGCCCGGTCCCCGGCGGGGACGGATGGTGAGGCCGGGGGCGCGCAGACGTGGGAAGCCGGGAAGGGGGCGCGGGATGCAACGAGTGAGTCGCTGACCAGGCAGGGAAGCCAAAGAGCTCCCAAGCAGGTGCAAAGCCCCCAAGCGAGCAGGAACGGACTGGGGATACTCACGGTGTAAAGCAGGTTGAGGGCGCACAGGCAGTTCTTGGAACACGCGAAGCCCCCGCAAACCATCTTGGAACCTGTGGTTGCCGGCAGCTGCACGTAAATTCGACTCCGGCGGAGGTTCCCTGACAGCTGCTTTGTCCTTGCCTTTGGGGCCTGGCCCAGGCGGGGCAGCAACGCAGACGTGGGTGGGGGGCCGGGGCCTGGGGCTGCAGTGCGCGGCGCGCGCGCGGCGGCGGCTCGGACCCGCTTTGGAACCTGCGGCCGCCGCAGCTGAGCCGGAGCAGGAGCCCGAGCCCCGCCCAGCCCCTTCGTCTCGCCCCGCGCGCTGATTGGCCGCTGGCAGGGAACAAAGGTAGAAATATGCAAATAAATGCGCTCCGCCGACCGGGATCCGGGAGGGGCGGAGCGGTCCCGGGGCGAGGGGGAGAGGGCCAAGGCCGTGTGGGAGGGAGCCCCAGGCCAGAGCGGCGGCCTTGGTGTAGTTTCCCCAGGAGCAGGTGAGGAGGGAGGGCGGGGCTCGGAGGAGATCCACGCTGGCAAGGAGAAATATGACAGCACCTCTGGATTCTTGGCCCTGGCAGATGACGTGGCACCATTTTGAATGAGATTTCAAAACTAAGCACCTGGCCTTGTTTGAGGGAAGGAAGGCAGGAAGCAAGTAATGAATGAAAACATGTGAAAGATTTAAAAGAGAACGAAGTAGAGGCAAATGAAAGGGAGAAAATAAGTGAAACAATAAAAAATAAAATAAAATCCCTGCTTCTCTCAGAAAATAAGATATGTGCCCTATAATTGTGACCTGGACAGGTCAGACTTATCCTACAAAGATTTGCAAAATACTAATAAACTTTATGAATACATGCATGCAAAGGAAAATCAAGAGCGGGAGAAGGTGGGGATGGTTAATAGGTCCAAAAAAATAGAAAGAATGAATAAGACCTACTATTTGATAGCACAATAAAGTGACAATCGTTAATAAGAACTTAATTGTGTATTTTAAAATAACTTAAAGAATGTAATTGGATTGTTTGTAACTCAAAGGATAAATGTTTCAGAGGATGGATACCCTATTCTCCGTGATGTGCTTATTTCACATTGCATGCCTGTATCAAAACATCTCATGTACCCCGTAAATATATACATCTGCTACGTGTCAACAAAAGTTTTTTAAAAAATTTTAAAAAGAAAATCAAGAGAGATTATTTTTGTGTTCTGGTCGTGAATTTCAATAAACTTATTTTTTCACAAAAATAACTGAAAATCTTCAAATAACTCAGACTTCACCTCAATTAATTCATTATCAGTTTACTGCTTCTCTACTATAGAAATGCATCTTGTATCCTTAATTCCTCACCTATAAATTGAGATTTTAGAAGTATGTCAAGCACTTTTTGCATAGTGGCTGGCACAGGGGAAGGCCTCAATAAATGTCAGCTAGTATTCATAGATCTGACATTTTGTAAAGGCCTACTGTGTTCCAGGCACTAAGCGAAGGCAATAAAGGTTTATTTACTTCATAGTAGTTTCTACCAAAGAAAAAGGTTTTATAAAGAGATTTGCAAGTTTACAATACTATATCTAACCTAAAGGTTCATACGGAGTAAATTATGTAATTGCAAATGCTAAATTGTATTAAATTAAATTAAACATTGCAGCTGATTAAAATAATTCGTCTTCTTAGAATTCTCTGCTCCCTCTTCCAGCCTCTCCTTCCCTCCCCTGACCCCACCATACCAACAAGACCTCATTAATTTGTTAGGCTTTCTATTCCACATTAACCTTTTATATACAGCTAGAAATATTTCAAAAACTAACCTGGAAAATGATCCTCAAACACAAACAATGCTTTGATGATGCTCAACTTTCCTTTTTAATAGCCAGAGGTTTACAAAAGATGAGGCATTGGCAGGGAAATCTATTCATTCTCTTCCCATTCCTGGGTGTCACCAACATTAGTACCACTTCAACTATCACTCAACCAACTATTGCAACTCTCTCTTTGGCTTCTGCATAATATCTTCACTATCTCCCTATAGGCTGAATCACTTTGTTTTCCCAGAGAAGTACCACCTATCAGTCAGGGTCCCAGCAAAAAGGAGATGACTCGTTCAAATAGCATAACTGAGAAGAATTTCAAAAAGGGACTATTTTCAAAAGTGTGGACAAAGTTAAAGGAAACCGGCTGGGTGCGGTGGCTCACACCTGTAATCCCAGCACTTTGGGAGGCCGAGGGTAGTGGATCACCTGAGGTCAGGAGTTTGAGACCAGACTGACCAACATGGTGAAACCCCGTCTCTACTAAAACTACAAAAATTAGCCAGGCGTGGTAGCGGGCACCTGTAATCCCAGCTACTTGGGAGGCTGAGGCAGGAGAATCACTTGAACCCAGGAGGTGGAGGTTGCAGTGAGCCAAGATCGCGCCACTGCTCTCCAGCCTGGGTGACAGAGTGAAATTCTGTCTCAAAAAGAAAAGGAAACCAACAAAGCATGATGAGGCAGCTCAGAGATAGTAAGAGCAGGAAGTTCTAATTACCCCTAAGACTAAGGGGGTGATTTAAGGGAACAGTTACAGAAGCCAGGCAAGAGCTATAGTTGTAGGAGAGTTGTCTGATAGGAGATACGGCTTTTGATAGAGGAAACAAAACAATGTCTGAAAATAGGAAAACAAATGGACATGTTGCAATTTCTCCTGATTTGGATATAGAAATTTTCAAAAGACCATTTGTTCCCACCCTAATAAGAACAAGCAGTCTGGACAACATAGTGAGACCCCATCTCTACTAAAAATTGAAAATATTAGCTGGGTGTGGTGGTGCATACCTGTAATCCCAGCTATCCCAGCTACTCAGGAGCCTGAGGGGGAAGGATTGCTGGAGCCCAGGAGATCAAGGCTGCAGTCAGCTATGATGGCGCCACAGCACTCCAGCCTGGGTGCAGACCAAGACCCTGTCTCAAAGTAAGTAAAAACAAGCTAGATAAGCTACCAAATCATACTTACAACAAAAAACTATCGAAGAACTGAGGGGCTAAAGGCACTAGAGGAACTAAAATCCAAGAAGTGATGAGACATTATTAGAGGGGGAAAAAAACTCATAGTCACTTTCATCTCTTATAGACTGGCTGTGGAAGGGAGAAACTACCTTTGAGAGGGATAAGGAGAAACTAAATGACTATTTAACCATCTTCTACTGCCCCTACCTGGACTATGTGACAGTTTATAATCCAGAGCCCCAGCTACAGAATGACTGCAACTATTTGCCAGCTCTAACCCATGGGCTTTCTTTTAAAACAAGACATATAAGCTACAAAGGCCGTGGTCAGGCAAGATTGCTGCATTAGTTCGTTTTCATGCTGCTGATAAAGACGTACCTGAAACTGGGCAGAAAAAGAGGTTTAATTGGACTTATATTTCCACATGGCTGGGGAGGCCTCAGAATCATGGTGGGAGGCGAAAGGCACTTCTTACATAGTGGTGGCAAGAGAAAAATGAGGAAGAAGTAAAAGCAGAAACCCTTGATAAACTCATCAGATGTCATGAGACTTATTCACTATCACGAGAATAGCATGGGAAAGACCGGCCCCCATGATTCAATTACCTACCCTGGGTACCTCCCAAAACATCTGGCAATTCTGGAAGATACAATTCAAGCTGAGATTTGGGTGAGGACACAGCCAAACCATGTCAAGTGCTAATAGATATTCTTCATCTCCAACTATTTCAAGGTGTATAAGCCTTCCCCAAATGCAAGATAGTGGCTAAAAGCTGGGGTAAAGTGAGGAAAAATAAGAAAAATTCCAGCAAAGCAATCTGGTTCTTTAACTCCAGGACTAACGTAGCAGCAGAAAAGAAAACTCTCTCTATGGTACACTGAAAGAGCCCTCCAATGGCTGGAATAGGATTCCACACAGGATAGCAAGAGATCTCACAAGATACAGAAAGCCAAGGATGTGAGTGGAGAGCAAAGACTATTCCCCAGCAAACAAAAAGGTAGCAGGCTGTAAAGCACAAAGATCTCCCAAGGCTCAGATTGCTGGTGGCTAGGCTGCAAAGCACGAAGAAATCTCTATGCAGACCTCCTTTCTGTAAGAGGAAAGTCTTGATCATGCCTTCAAGAATATTTGAAGCCAATAATGAACTGAATCTATTAAACCTATAACAAACCCTAATTCAGCTTAACTATAGTTTAGATGGACTTAGGCAACCACACCAGCAGCCTGACAGAATAAGGGATGTGCCATTTTCTGGGAGTAAATATTATTTACTTCAGGCTCTATTTTTCTTCAAGTTTGCAAGGCCACATTTTGGAAGAGCATATGTGATGAGACGTACTGTGGTGTCTTTAGAAAATAAAATCTGCCATAGGCAATGTCCTTCTTTCATATTATGCCTCCATATTGTTCCTTTGATGAAAAACTGCCTTTTTTTAAGTGAAAAAAAGAATGGGACACTGGACTACAGTTCTTCTCACAGAGTTATACTGGAGACTAAGCTATGAGATTACATATATTTCTGAGTGGAAGGAGAGCTTTTATTTTATTTTATTTTATTTTTAGATGGAGTTTCACTCTTGTTGCCCAAGCTGGAGTGCAACGGCACTATCTTGGCTCACAGCAACCTCCACCTCCCGGGTTCAAGCAATTCTCCTGCCTCAGCCTCCCAAGTAGCTGGGATTACAGGTGCGTGCCACCAAACCCTGCTAATTTTTTGTATTTTTAGTAGAGACGGGGTTTCACCATGTTAGCCAGGCTGGTCTGGAACTCCTGACCTCAGGTGATCCACCCACCTCAGCCTCCCAAAGTGCTGGGATTATAGGCGTGAGACGCCGGGCCTGGCCAAGGTTTTATTTTTATACAATAAAGTTGTCTTTATCCACAAAATCAATAGAATGGATAATTGAATTGTATTTCTTAAAAACTGGCCTTCTAAACTGTTTTAATTTAAGATCTTTAAGATGTAGAGTACTCCTCCAATGATTAGAAGAGACACAAGATGGAAATAAAGGTTTTATTACTTACTGGGTACCTGCATGCCTGGAGGCCACACACAGAGATATCCAGGAGTCTGCGCAGGGGGAGAGAGGGGGGTCTGTGGGCAAGTGCCCTTATTGGTTCCGGGGGTTTCCCGTGGGGAGTTTTAATTAGTGAGTTCATAACAAGCAGGCATGACTGCCAGGAGGTCACACAGTGACTGACAGGTGGTCATTGTGGCATGTCTGCACAGTCCATGCAGGTAGTGAGGCTCAGCGGGCCAGTCAGGCAGGCTGCACTGATTAATAGCCGTCCCACTGGGAGGTGGTCACCAGGAGGAAGCTGTATAAGGTAGATGTGTGGATTGGCCACATTGAGGAACTGGGAAGGTGTAGAACTGGAAACTGAGCCCTGCTTCTGATATGAGTCCAATTTCAAAATGTATGCCGTGGCAGCATAAAATTATAAGAATATACTACAGCCAGGCACGGTGGCTCACGCCTGTAATCCCAGCACTTTGGGAGGCCAAGGCAGGTGGATCAAGAGGTCAAGAGATCAAGACCATCCTGGCCAACATGGTGAAACCCCGTCTCTACTAAAAATACAAAAAATTAGCCGGGCGTGGTGGTGGGCGCCTGTAGTCCCACCTACTCAGGAGGCTGGGGCAGGAGAATCACTTGAACCTGGGAGGTGGAGGTTGCAGTGAGCCAAGATTGCGCCACTGCACTCCAACCTGGTGACAGAGTGAGACTCTGTCTAAAAAAACAAACAAACAGCAAAATATATATATATATATGTATATATACTACATAAGCAAACTATTTTTAACAGTTTTCAATTAGGAATAACAAAGACAAACATCAATTTTTCATATACTTTCTTAGTCTCTGAATAAATCTTTAATGTGAGATGACCTTCTAACAATTTAGGAGATCGGTACGCTTCCTTCCTCCTCCTTCTCCTCCTCTTCCTCCTCTTTTCCCACTCTTCCTCCTTTCCCCCTTCTCCTCCCCTTCCTCCCCTCCTCCTCTTCTTCCTCCTCCTTCTCCTTCTTCTTCCTGCTCGTTTAATATGTTTTTGAGGCCGGGCACAGTGATTCACGCCTGTAATCACAGCACTTTGGGACGCCGAGGTGGGTGGATCACCTGAGGTCAGGAGTTCCAGACCAGCCTGGCCAACATGGTGAAACCCCGTCTCTACTAAGAATACAAAAAATTAACAGGGTGTGGTGGTGGGCACCTGTAATCCCAGCTACTTGGGAGGCTGAGGCAGGAGAATCACTTGAACCCGGGAGGTGGAGGTTGCAGTGAGCCAAGATAGTGCCACTGTAACCCAGCCTGGGCGACAAGAGCAAAACTCTTCTCAAAAAAAAAAAAGTATATATATATATATATATATATATATATACTTTTTAAAAATGTATATACGTATATATACATGTTTTTGAGTCAGGGCAATAACAGAATTCTTGTGCATTAGTCTAGATCTTCTGAGAAGCAGATGCCAAAACTGGGTTAGATGTGCAAGCAATTAATTAGGAGAAATGTCCATGAGGGGAAATAGGGAGGGAACTCTTGGAGGCTGGGAGAGCTAAAAGACCACAGTGCAGGTTTGACATCTGTGAAGGAGAGAGAGAATAAGGCAAGAGAAGAAAGGAAGGGGAGAGAGAGGAGGGAAGGAAGGGTCTATGACTGCAGTGCAGTTTTAAGGAGATTTGGCAAGGCCAACAGGGAGTCCAAGCCAGATGTCAGAGAAATCCCACATGCTCTCCTGGAATGACCCTGCCTTAGTGTTCCTGCCACGCTGTCACAGGCTGGAAATATCAGCACAAATGCTGTGATGGATTTCAGAGTATAACATGGGACTGGCTTCATTTATGCTCCCCACAATAGATCTGAGAAGTACATTTTCTTGAAAAATAATTCTGATTACATTTTTTCCCTGTATTCTACAAAGATTTCTCTAGTCACATTTCAAACCATCTTTCAGTTTTGCAGTCTTCATCATTTTATCAGGGAAGAAAATTCTCTCACTTCACTGGGTAATCAATTTCAGATTTTAATAATTCTTTTCTTTTCTTTATTCTTTTTTTTTTGTGTTGCGGGGGACAGGGTCTCGCCCTGTCGCTCAGGCTAGAATGCAGTGGTGCGATCTCGGCTCACTGCAACTTCCGTCTCCCAGGTTCAAGCAATCCTCCTGCCTAGTTGGGATTACAGGCACGTGCCACCATGCCCA
Organism: Homo sapiens; assembly: GCF_000001405.40. NCBI lineage: Eukaryota > Metazoa > Chordata > Mammalia > Primates > Hominidae > Homo > Homo sapiens. The sequence continues at coordinate 16,746,830 of NC_000007.14, read as the reverse complement.
GCTAATTTTTGTATTTTTAGTAGAGACAGGATTTCACCACTTTGGCCGGGCTGGTCTTGAACTCCTGACCTCAGGTGATTGGCCCGCCTCAGCCTCCCAAAGTGCTGGGATTATAGGCATGAGCCATCGCACCTGGCCAGATTTTTAAAATTCTTATTGTAAAACTCTTTTCATGGTTAAGGTTTAGTTGACATTAACTCAAATTTATGAAATTCTTATTATTCAAACTTAAGGTCAACATTTATTTTTAAATAATTCAACATGGCAGTCAGGTGAAGTGCCACATGCCTGTAGTCCTGGTTAATCAGAGGGCTGAGGTGGGAGGATCACTTGAGCCCAGAAGTTTGAGTCCAGCCTGGGCAACATAGGGAGATCCTTTCTCTAAAAAACAAACACACACAAACAAAAAAAAAATCCCAAATATTATTCAATCCTTTTCAGACAAGACCATAGGAGGAAAAAAATAATAATAATTGAACACTAGGATCTGATCGTCCTCAATAAATCCTAAGCTAAATTACTCCTAAACTGTTATACAGCACTGTTACCGACCCTACCAAAATACTTTCTTGACCTCCAAAATATAAACATGAAATTAGATAAACTTATAATTGCTTATCTAATTGTTTATCATAGATAAGTTATAGCCACATAAAATATCAGTGGTATAGTTAATTTTAAATTGCTTCAACTATAGTCCACATTGCTATAAACTTCAGTGTAATATTTTCTTAGCTAATCAAATATTATTATTAAACAAATTGACCATTTAAAAAATATCTGTCAATGATTTTAAGTGGATTGATTCGGTTAAATTTTTTCTAATGACAGATTTTTTATTACACCTTTTTCCATTTTTCCTCTGATTCTGCTGCTTCCTAAGCAAACAAAGAAAAGAACTGGAAACTTTCCTTTGTAATGATTTGCAATCTTTAGGATTGAATGAAGCATAGGCAGGGAGCTTCTTGGCTGACAATGAGACAAAGAAGCTGATCAACAACAGAAGTCTCTCTCCTTCTAAGTCTACCCTTTGCTCTATTTTCTCTGTGTTATCCTACTCTTTTGAACGTATTGCCAAACATTAGCCATTAAATGCAACACATTCATTGCTCCTACAATAATAGTAAGTTTCCCTTTTGCTATGCAGGATGTGTCACTGTTCACACCAGAGGACTTCAAACCAGAATTCAATTTCAGAAAATGTTTTTCTTCCAACCACAAATTAAACATGAAGTTTTTTTCTGGCTTTTACCAGCCAGATGTTGGATGTAAATTCTTTTTTTCTTTTTCCTTCATATAATGCCAGCAAGAATAAAACATACATATCTATTTGACCATCTGGTTAGATTATATCAGCACTAACATCCCAATTCTAAATTTCTAGAAGTGAGTATTTTTAGTGGTATATTTAGCTACTACGGTATTACATATAATTCCAGAGCCTAAAGAGCAAATCCAGCTCGACAACCAGACAAATCCAGCCTGGCCACTGACAACCTGCCTTCAGTGAGGGGGACAATCAGCTTTAATGACTGAATAATCTACCTACTCTTTGCCTCTTTATTCTCTGCATCCTCCCTTTCCATTGGTCTTTTACTCCCTTTTGGATTCTGAGGCCTGAATCTGTTTCCATTTTGAATATTGTAGGCCAATGTGTTGTATTTATTTGTCCAAAGGCCACTTCAACAGATGCATGTTTGGCTCTGAAAGCTAATAATGCTGATAGTGACAGGAGGCAGGCAGATGCCTAGGCAGATAGGGGAGGGTCCCCGGTGAAACCGAACCTTCAAGCCAAAGACAGTTTAAAGCCCAGCTACAAGTGCAGGGTAAATCCACAGACCAGATTGAGAACCTGTCTTCCTATTTGGCATGCTTTCCTCTGATTGATCTCCACCCTTCACCTATTGTACATATACCTACCCTTTCTGAATTGGTTTTCTCCCCTGCTGTGCCCACCTTTGAGTATTGCCTTTGCTTTAGGCTTTCTCTACATACTCACTCACAAACCAATCAGTACACACTCCCCTATTCTGAAGCCATAGAAGTCCTGCCCTCAGCCACACTGGGAGAGAAACTACCCGACTGTGGGAGTGGGGGACCATTTCCCCCACCACTTCCCCTCTCCACTGAGAGCTGTTCCGTTGCTCAATAAAATTCTTCTCTGCCCATCCTCACCCTTCAATTGTCAGTGTATCCTCATTTTTCTTGGACTTGTGACAAGTGCTCGGGAGCCACTGAACATGGGTACAAGCTATAGAACGGTGGGCCAAGTGGGTGGGGTGCCTCCAGTGGCAGGCCTGGGCCTGAGCAAGGCCCAGGTGAGGGGAGAGGGGCATCAAAAGTTGTGGAGGTCCCTGGTTGGCAAAGTGGCCAAGAAATATCCTGCATCAATACTGCCTCAATTAATACACATAAATCGGAGAGTAATAGGTAAGAATGAACAGGGGAAAGTGCAATTAAAGTGGCCAGCTGAGTTTATTTAAATAAACTGTCATTGTGTTTAAGAAAATGAAAGTAACCCTGGCATTTATAAGGGTGATTAAATGTTCTTAAGTTTTATAAAAACATCTTTCTGTCTCTTATCTATGAAGAATTTATGAGTCCTAAAAGTCAGATTGATCAGTCTAATGCAGCTCCTGGTGTACTGGTAATCCTCCAAACTGGAAACAACTCAAATATTCATTAATAATAGAAATGGATAACTAAATCATGGTACATTCACATAACAGAAACCTATCCAATACTAGAAACAAACAAACAAAAAAATACAGCTACGGCAACAATATGAATGTGTCTTACAAAGATAGAGTTGAGTAAAAGAAACCAGAAATACAAAAATATATATTGTATGATTCTCTTTATAGAACAAAAACATATAAACTTACAGTGTTTAGGGATGAATGTCAAAGAGTGAAATTATGAATAAAAGTGAGGGCTTGATAATCATAAAAGTCAGGGGAGTCACGCATTTTGGGGGTCCAGGGGCGGGAAAATAGTGATTGGAAAGGACCACAGGGTCTGAACCCCTGCATGTTGATAGCATACCCAGATGATTACTTTATGATTAAGCTATAAAAGAGACCAGTGAAGGTAAGATAAATACTTATAGCCTAATGTGCCAGTAATCTGAGTTTTAGATTATATAAACAATGTTATCATAGAAAAAAATAGTAAAACCATCTGTGTATTTTTTCAAACTTAATTTCTTACACACATTTTTCTTTAGAACCATAGCTGTTTATTAGAGAACGCAGATGGTGAAGTGACCTTTCTCATTTCACTTCAGAGGACTTTGCATATTGGCTGTTACTGCCAAAATTTACCAATTGTGTGTTTGTGATATTTCTGACAAAGTCTACTAGATACAACCTACGACAAAGACACAGAGTTTTTGGAAATAAAAGTGTGTCAGAGTTAAGTCATATCCTGTTTACACAAGTGCAAATACACTGGAACACATTGTTTAGTACTTTTCCGAAATAAGGTGAATGGTTGAAATGTTTAAAGCCCTATTATACACCAGTCAGAAAATACTTTTATTCTCTCTCTTTTGATAAAGGGCTTCACAGTGTATTAAATTCTACACCGTTGGAAATTATTTCCTGCTAGAAGTTTGAGGGCTGTTTGCTATTAAATTTTATCTTCCAGTGGTGTAGAAAGGTCCAAAGCCATTTTGATTCTTTGTATGGGGTGATTCGGATTTGGTTTTATTTTTTTTCTTTCCCTTTGGAAGTTTGTAGAATCTTGACTTCGATTGCAGAGCTCTGAAAATTTGCTCAAGCTCTTTTAGGAAAAGAATACAAAGTACAAAATACAAAATTTGGTACAAAAGTGAATATTTACATTTAAAAAACAGCAAATTAAAAATTTTCAAAACAAATGATATGGTGATATATACCACAAGCCTCCTTCACAAAATCCTGAAAAATATTATATAGTTTATACTAATTAACTGCCTTATAATATGCAAATAGCTCTATAATACATTTTTTCCTACCTTTTTTTTTTCTTTTTTTTTTCTTTCTGAGACAGGGTCTAACTCTGTCTCCCAGGCTGGAGTGATAAGATAATGGTCACAGCTCACTGCAACCTCAACCTCCTGGACTTAGGTGACCCTCCCAGCTCAGCCTCTTGAGTAGTGGAACTACAGGTATGTTCCACAATGCCAGGTAATTTTTTTATTTTTTTGCAGAAATTTTTCCCAGGCTGCTCGCCACATTGCCCAGGTTGGTCTCGAACTCCTGGGCTTAAGCGACCCACCTTCCTCAGCCTCCCAAAGTGCTGGGATTACATGCCTGAGCCACCACACCCAGCATTTCCTACTTTTTTGGCTGCTTACTTTTTCATATCTTCTTCATATGACAATAGTTTTGTAATATTTTCCAGAGAGAATAGAAAAATAATTAAGTCTTTCCTCCAGCATGGTTAATTAAAGCTATTTATTATCAATAATTTATGTTAACTATTTTCTTCTTTACAACTTATAGTCACAATTCATTATTAGTGATACTATATAAATTTGGGGAAATTCCTTGTCTCAATTATTTATTTTTATATAATACATTACCCCTAAATTTAGCAACTTAAAATGCTAACCATATTATTATACCTCGCGATTTTGTAGGTAAGGAATTTAAGCAGGGCTTGGGGGTCCAATTCTGCCCCTATGGTGTCACTCTGTGGTATTCAGGTGACACTCAGTCTGGTCTGGAGGGTCCAGCCTCACATGCTGGGGTTCAACCGGGATGTTCTGCCCCTCCTTACAGCCTCAGGACCTCTCCATGTGGTTTCTCCAGCAAGGTTGTTGGACTTCTTACACAGTGGCTCACTGTGCTGAGACAAAGTGGAAGCTGCCAGTACTCTTAAAGACAGGCCTCAGCACTGGCATTGGGTCACTTCTGATGTACTCTTTTGGGCAAAGCAATCACAGGCCAGCACAGGTCCAAGGAGAGAGGAAATAGACTCAACCTCTTGGTAGGAGTCGTAGCAAAGATTTTGTGGCCAGTGATTCAGTTGCAGTTATCTGCTGCTACCTAGCAAACTACCCTCAAAACACAGAATCTTAAAACTACAATTTATTAACATCTTTCACAAGTTTGTGCATTGCCTAGACTCAGCTCAGTGTTTCTCACTTGAGGTTCCTCATTCTGCTCAGTTAGTTGGAGGCTGGGGTTAGAGTCCTCTGAAGGCTCTAGCGGACTGGACATAGAAGATGCCCTCCTCACCACTTCTCTGGAGCCTCAGCTGGGATGGCTGAAATAGCTGAGGTATACTGGCCTTCTCTACATAATTGGCTTAAGCTTCCTCATAGCATGACAATCTCAGGGTAGTTGAACTTCTTACATGATGTCTTGCTTCCCCTACATATTTCAAGAGATCCAGGCAGAAACTCCAAGACTTTTAGGGCTTAGTCTCAGAAGTCAGCCAATCCTTCTCCCACAGTTTTTGGGTAAAAATAAAGTAATACTACCAGTGAAGGTTCAAGAGGAGAAGACTACACAATAACATTAATACCAGGAAGCATTGGGGGCTATCTTTGAGACTGGTTACCACACCCTAACAAATTTCTTTTCCATCTGTGGCACTGCACCATTGTGTTTCACTGCATGAACTGACACAGTGGAAGTACCTTCATACATGGGACCAGCAATGACTTAACTATATATGGAAGTGACTGCAGGCTATATAACTACATTGTACTAAGTCCAATCTAAATATATCCCTAACTCAACTTACCCCTAACTAAATCTCAGTATGTTGATGGCCTCTATAAAGCCACCTGGCAGAGGTGAAGTCGTAATAGAGTCAACAGCCTTAATGGTTTGAAATTTAAATATCTTAAGTTTGCAAATTTTACAAAAAGATAGGACTATGTGAACACATTCCCAGAATCCCTCCCAAGGCCTTGGAAGAGATCTATTTATAATCTTTTAATTCTTTCCTGTTCTCCACCCTCAGTTCCTGCCTATTTCAGGATCGCTTTCTTCTGACATGCTACTATAGCGTCTATAAGTAGTCTTCTTATCTCAGACTTTAGTTGCTTCCATCTATTCTCTACCCTTCAACAAAAGAAATCATTCTAAAAAATAAATTTGACCTGATTGTCACTCTCGCTTAAAATCCTTAATGGCTCTTTGCCATTTTAAAGATTCCTTAACATAGTTTACAAAGTTTTTCAAAGCCTGGACCTTATCTATCTTTCAACCTAATTCTTCTTACTGACCTTCAAGCACTCTTTGATCCAGTCACACTGAACTATTTTTAATTCTCTGATATTCTTTTCACTCTTGGTCGTCTAACTCCTAGGTCTGGGTTAGGCTCTGTATTAGTCAGATATGGTAGACTATGCTGTAACAGAAAGTTTATTCCTCCCACGTGCAAAATTGAGTCAGAGCAGCAGTCCTTCATGCAGTGACCCAGCAGTCTGAGCAGCTTCTATCTTATCATGCCAGAGGGAGAGAGCCTGGAGAACACACACATGCTCGTAAAAACTCCACTCAAAAGTGATTCATGCAACTTGGCTCCCAGTCCTTTGGCCAGAATGAATCAAATGGATGGAATAATTGGTGAGCACCACTAATTATACTAGGAAGGAATTAAAATTAGCTGAACATTATCTTTAAACTATGGCTACTGTATCATGGTGTAAATTACTGGGAAAAATCAAGTTAGTAAAAAATCTTCTCCCAAACCAGAAATCACAACGGTAATAAAGAAAGAAAACAAACCCTTTTATTACTCAATAAACATTAAACCAGAATGTGATGTACATCATAGGCAATCTTCTAAGAGATTGCAAAAACAAAAAGGAATCTCACCCTCTTATATCATCAACCAGATATAATCCACTATATACATGCTTTCAAGATAAGCAATAGCTACTTCTGTTTTGAGACAGGGTCTCACTCTGTCACCCAAGCTCGAGTGCCATGGTGTGATCTTGGCTCACAGTAACCTCGACCTCCAGGGCTCAAGGGAGCCTCCCACCTCAGCCTCCAGGGTAGCTGGGACTATAGGTCTGTGCCACTATGTCCGGCTAATTGTGTTTAGCTTTTGTAGAGATGAGGTCTCGCTATGTTGCCCAGGCTGGTCTCAAACTCCTGCAGTCAAACAACCCTCCCACCTCGGCCTCCCAAAGTGCTGGGATTATAGTGATGAGCCACCATGACTGGCCAATTAGTTTTCAAATAAGAGGACTGCCAACACCATTTGTCACACCATAGTTTATCCTACCTTTACCTAGCTATTGGGGTGACCGTCTGCATTTTTTTCTAGCCTCATACAACAATCAACACAGAATACATCTGTGAACAAATGGGGCAGGGGGTTTCCCACTACACCAAGCAGCAGACACCAGCAGGGTGTCCTCTATGTCCTCTAATTCAATTCTGTTGCTATCTACCTGGAGATAGCCTCACGTCCCATAGGTTGAGGGCTCAGTCCCCAAGATTATCCCCTCCTTACCACTAGTTGCAAGTCCAGGCTTCCAGAACTTCTGATTGACCAGCTTCAAATTGGGTTTCCCATGACCCCCTCTTTGGGTTCGATTAATTTGCTAGAGTGGCTCACAGAACTCAGGGAAACTTACTTGCATTTACTGGTTTATTACAAAAGATATTTTAAAGGATATAAGTGAACAGCCAGATGAAGAGACTCATGGGGTGAAGTCTGGGAGTGTCCTGAGTGCAGGAGCTTCTGTCCCCGTGGAATTGGGGTGCCACATCTTCCTGCACATGCTTGAGTTCTTGTTCACCCTCTTGTAAGCCTCCACATGTTCAGCTGTGGGAAGCTTTCCAAACCCTGTCCTTTTGGGTGTTCATGGAAGTTTCATTACATAGGCATGATTGATTAAACCATTGGCCATTGGTGATCAGCTTAACCTTCAGCCCCTCTCTCCTCCCCAGAGTTTAGGCGGGGGGTGTTGCTGAAAGTCCCAGTCCTCTAGTTGTGTCTTAATATTTCCAGTGACCAACCCCCATCCTGAAGCTACCCAGGGGACCATCAGTCAACTCACTAGCACACAAAAAGACATCACTTCAGAATATCTAAGAATTTTAAGAGTTGTATGTCAGAAAACAAGGAAGAAAACCAAATACATATTTCACCATATCACACTATCTATATTAGTTAATTGACTTTATCCAGAGTGTCATCCAAAAGGCTATCAGGATGGCTAAATAGTAGAAAGGAGAGCTTTTTGGGCAATATTGGTTTGCAAACTTGTAAGAGACATTCTCTGGCATGTGCCAAAGGTGTTCTCTCTTGGAAAAGGGGAAGGACAGGTTGGATTTTATGCCTCACAGGGCCTGTATCACACAATAGAGTCATAGATATTCAACAGGTTGGGGGGAAAAGCTACACGCATTTAGGAGAGGAGCTGAGTGCATGCACAGTGAGTAAATACATATGTCACATACATTCCATGTACACTTTGTGGTGAAGTTTTACCATTAAAATGAAGTGAAATTTGGCTCTTTATCTCAAAAGATGAACTACAGAACACAAAGACAGTTTGTGTGTGTGAAGTCTCCATAAACTGGCTGAAATGGCTTAAAGTCTGCAATAGCTTATCAGAAAAGATGTCTATCCTTTGTCCAGTCAGAGTGTAGTGGTTTGGGTTGTAAATCACGGGAGAGGTCTGACAGTTCCTATTGTTAGGAAGTTTAGAGCCATAAGGATTCAGAAATCTGCCTTGCCAGCCGAGCCTCAACTCCCGCAGGTGATTTTGTTTCCTCAACTGTAGGGTTCCTCTTAGTTGATAAAGGGGAATTTGTTTTGGTGTCTCAGATCGCAAGATGTTTGAATCCCTCTTTAAAAAAAAAAGATCACAGAGGGGCAGGCCAGGCATGGTGGCTCATGCCTGTAATCCCAGTGCTTTGGGAGGCCAAGGCAGGCAGATCACTTTAGGTCATGAGTTTGAGACCAGCTTGGCCAACATGGTGAAACTCTTTCTCTCCTAAAAGTACAAAAATTAGCCAGGCGTGGTGGTGCATACCTGTAATCCCATCTACTAGAGAGGCTGAGGCAAGAGAATCACTTGAACCTAGGACGTGGAGGCTGCAGTGAGCCGAGATCACAGCCTGGGTATCAGAGTGAGATTCCATCTCAAAAAAAAAAAAAAAAAAATCGCGGAGGAAAAACAAACTTCTTCTATCTTTATGAGAAGAGATAGTTGTGCAATTTGAAGCAAGGTGCCCACCTAAATAATCTCCACTGAAACCAGTATGTAGGGTGCTATCTCCCTGATGTTTACATTTCAAAGAGATGGCCCCTAGTTCCTTGAAAAAGGCATTCATATGTCATAAAGCTGGAAACCTCAATCTAGTCTTCAAAAGGATTTATATACATTTCAAAAGAAGAGAGTATCTACAATTACAAGTTTTTTTTAAAGTAAATGCTCAAAATAAGAGGAGAGAAAAAATTCTTCCCTTTTCAACAGGGAGAAATAAGCCTCTTATTTTTCATTTGTATGTTCCCTTTCATTATGCACATATTTTGATAGGTACACAAGACAATTAAATAGGTGAAATTTCATCCAACAAATATTTCTAAGATTGCTTACTATTGTCAACTGAAGAATGATGAGGTTCATACACAAATTTGGAAAGAAGAGCTTTATTTTTCATAAAGAGCTGCAGGCTGCAAGTTGGCCATTCTGACAAGCTGGGAAGCATAACCTCCAACCAGAAGTCAAAAACAAATACTTCGAGGGAGGGACAAGGGGAACAGGAATTTATGCTGAGCAGGGTGGCCAGATATACATATTCAATAAGCCATAAGAGGAGTCCTGAATAGTTATGAAAGGAGAAACATGCATGTGTGCGATTGAGCTTCATGCCCCTTCATGGGTCCAATGTACAAAAAATGGTGGCATTAGCATGATCTGAGGGTAGAGTTTTCTGCCCTCTGACATCAAAAGGTAAAGCAGAGGACTTGAAAATCCTTACTGTATATTCTCTATAGACTGGCCAAAGGAACTCGATTGTTCGTGCTGTCTTATCAGGCAAAAAGTGAGCGACAGTATCAGGTGGTTGGTTGATATCTATAGTGGAATCTTTTGAAAGGGCTGGTTTCTATTTAGCCCTTATGGAAGAAAATCTAATCATAGATTGCAAAAGAAGGGGTATAAGATGTGCGTCTTACCCTTATCCCATCATCGCCAAGAACTCAAGTTTTCAAGGTAGTTCTGGGGTCCTTTGGGCCAAGAAATGGTCTGTTCAGTCAGTTGGAGGCCTTAGAATTTTATTTTTAGTTTATGTTATGTACTAGCCATGCACTTGGCAAATGAAAAATCCTTTATGCTTATTCTAAACTAAAAAGCTCTGAAAATTATACAAATTTTTATATCTAGTGCTGAGATTGTTTTGGTAGCAAAATTTGACCTAAAATGACATGAAACTAAGTATAATCTTTATTTAGTTCACTTGAGGTAAATAATCTTAATACATTTTGCTAAGAATTATCAATGTTCTTGAATCCTGGGCAAGACCCCAAATCCTGCTTTATTAGCTTCAGTTATCATTTTACTTTGATTTTTGAAGGAAAAATGCATTAAAACATGGAGCAGGAGGTAGAATATTAGATTCAATATAGATAAGTGGTATTTAAAAAAATTTAATTTGGGGCCAGGCACTGTGGCTTACGCCTGTAATCCCAACACTTTGGGAGGCCAAGGAGGGTGAATCACCTGAGGTCAGGAGTTTGAGACCAGCCTGGCCAACATGATGAAACCCTATCTCTATTAAAAATACAAAAAGTAGCTGGGTGTGGTGGCAGACACCTGTAATCCCAGCTACTCGGGAGATTGAGGCAGGAGAATTGCCTGAACCTGGGAGGTGGAGTCAGCAGTGAGCTGAGATCATGTCACAGTACTCCAGCCTGGGTGACAGAGTGAGACTCCATCTCAAAAATAGAATAAAATAAAATAATTTAATTTCACATTATATCCAGTTAATGAAGTTGGAAGAGTAGAAAGAAAAAGAGAAAGAAAAAGCAGACAGACTGAAGGAAAGGGGAAATGCAAGCACCATGTATACAAATGAGGGCAAGAATCTTATTTGTTTTATTTCTAGTTAAATATCCAGAATTTAGCACAGAGCCTAATACAAAGTAGAAGCTCAACAAATATTTGTTTATTTGTTTAATGGGAGGGACAGGAGGAAGTACAGCAGGATAGGCACAGAAAATAGAAACAGTCACAGGATAATCACCAAAGGAAAAGAAACAAATATCATATTCCTAAAACTGGAGATGGGGGAAAAGAGAGAAAGAGAGAGACAGAACACAAAGCTACATACAGAGAGAATGAAAAAGACAGGAAAGAGAGAGACTAAGAGTGTCTGAGCTATTAGCCTGGTGACAGCTCTATAGAGATGAGAGGGACTTTAAGAGACCTATTATCTTTGATCCTTGAAATTCTAACTCACTGATTAAAGACTTTCCTCAAATTATTTATACTTAAATTTTTAGAGGCGGCTTCTGAAAGGCCTGGCCACAGCAGTTCACCAAAAGTGAAATTATTCTTTTGGTTGAACTGACACGGAAAGATGACATGATGGGGTTGTATTTGCCTGGTGAGTTCTTCCTGCTCACTGCACAGACAAAATCAATTCACTGAGAATGGGGCATTTCAGCAGAGAAAGAGTTTAATAGACACAAGGCCACCCAACGCAGAAGAATTGGAGTCATCACTCAAATCAGTCTGCCCAAAGGCTTAGAGTTTAGGGTTTTTATGAATAATTTGGAGAACAAGGAGCTAGGGAACGGGTACTGCTGTTTTCTGTTTTGTTTTGTTTTGTTTTGTTTTGAGATGGAGTCTTGTCTTGCACTGTCACCCAGGCTGGAGTGGAGCGGCACGAACTCAGCTCACTGCAATTTATCTCAAATAACAAAGGTTCAGGGTAAGTTAATTCTACTCAAATTTACAGGAAACCCAAATTAGATTCAACAGAGATAAGCAGTTCAAATTTCCCGGTAAGAGTCACTAACGGGGCTTAGGTATTGGCGTTTCCTTGAATCGTCCTCTAAATTGTCTATCTTAAGATTAATTTGTTAGTGATTTTGTTACAGTGAATAAGACTTCTGATCTATATCTTAGCCACATGTAGGAGAATCCTAGCTTTTTTTCTTTTCTTTTTTTTTTCTTTTGAGACGGAGTCTCGCTCTGTCGCCAAGGTTAGAGTGCAGTGGTGCGATCTCGGCTCACTGAAGCCTCCTGAGTGTCCCTGTACCTAACTCCATGCTCACACTTAGTCATCAAGTCCTGTTGCTTTACTTTCAAGAAATGTATCACAAAATCTCCACTGCTTTCACGGTGCCCAATCACCCCTCATATTGTACCTGGGTTCCTGGCATGGCCTCTGACCAGCTTCTCTTCTTCCCCTCTTACTCTCTTGGCACAAAATTTATGATACAATCTTGCTGAAGAGCTTTCAGAAGCTTTTTGAATTCTGGGATAAAATCCAAATTGTGTAACTTGACTGATTAGGCCCAGCCCACTTGTCCACTGCCCTCACTTCCCCTGCTTCCGTCTCTCCACTGACCTCCTCTCCTTTTTCTTGTTCTGAGGCCTCCTCAAATCTCTTGTCTCTTAAAGCATCCTCATGCAGACTCATTGTCCATTCCACCAGAATTGTCCACTCTCAATCCTTCTTCTTCCTCTCCCACCCTAAATGCCAGGTCCCTACACCGCTTTCTTGTCAGTGAGGCCTGACTACATTTCTTTTACCCTTTAGTTCTCAAGTTAATTCTCTAACTCTGCATTTTTTCTTCAAAGCATTCCCAACAATTGCAAATGGAAGAGTTGCCTCTGCATTTATGTGTTCATCTTCCCCCACAAGAATATAAGCTCCATGAGGTCACAGATTAGATATGGTAAATTTCAAAGATAATTTTCATTTTTAAGTTTTTTGTTTGTTTGTTTTTGAGACAGGGTATCACTTTGTTACCCTGGAGTGCAGTGGCACAACTGTGGCTTACTGAACCCTGACCTCCCAGGCTCAAGTGATCCTACCACCTCAGCCTCCTGAGTATCTGGGACTGAAGGTGCGTATGCCACCACACGCAGTTAATTAAAAATTTTTTTTTTTTTTTGTAGAGGTTTCACCATGTTGCCCGGGCTGGTCTTGAATTGTTGGGCTCTAGAGATCCTCCCACCTGGGCCTCCCAAAGTGCTGGGATTACAAGTGTGAGCCACCGCGACTGGCCTATTTTTAAGTTTCTTATTAATACAATAATAGGCTTGCAAAACAAACTTATTAGAATTTGTACTTTGAAAGTTACGGGCCAGCTGCAGTGGCTCACACCTGTAATCCAGGCACATTGGGAGGCCAAGGTGGGCAGATCGCTTGAGCCCAGTAGTTTCAGACCAGCATGGGCAACATGGTGAAACTCCGTCTCTACAAAAAACACAAAAAGTAGCCACTGTAGTAGCATGTGCCTGTAGTCCATCCAGCTACTCCAGAGGTTGAGTTGGGAGCATCATCTGAGCCTGGGGAGGTCAAGGCTCCAATGAGCCATGATCACCCCACTGCATTCTAGCCTGGGCTACAGAGTGAGATTCTGTCTAAAAAAAGAAAAAAGAAAGTTCTGCATTTTCTTTAAGGGTAGTAGAACATATACTTAAGTACCCATGCCTGGAAGTCATGTTTCCGTGACTTATTATCTAAAGATTTGGATGAGTTACTCAGCTTTGCTAAAATGGTTTATCAGCTGCAAAGTTAGATTCATAGCTCAACCTTACACAGTTGTTTTGAAGATAAAAGGAAAATTGATTGTTTGGCCATAGAGAATTTAGAATAATTGCTGAAATGACAATTATATTTGCCCATTCACATTTGCGGAAGCCTATGTATTTATTTCATTAGTATATATTTTAATTTGGCAAATGTTTAAATTATGGCTGAGTGACAAGATTCCTAATATGGAAGCATTATAGAACACAATAGCGCACTGCATATTTAATGGTATCCGTTATATTAATCTGTCTCTAAAAGTAGTTCATGATCAATTTTATGTTGCCCACTTACTAGATATTTTATCATAATTATCTCAAATACTATAAAAACATTTTGACTTATGTCTTATTCTAGTATCTCAAGTACTACAATAAGACATTTTGACTTATTTGACATTTTATCATTATTATCTCAAGTACTATAAAAGACATTATTAACATAAACTTGACTTCAGAAAATCAGCAGGGGCTGAGCATTGGGCCTTAAGTCTGTGATCCCAGCACTTTGAGAGGCCAAGGCAGAAGTATCACTTGAGCCCAGGAGTTCAAGAAAGAAAGAGAAAATAGAAATAAAGAAGGAAAGAAAGGAAGGAAAGAAGGGAGGAAGGAAGGAAGGAAGGAAGGAAGGAAGGAAGGAAGGAAGGAAGGAAGGAAAGAAAGAAAGAAAGAAAGAAAGAAAGAAAGAAAGAAAGAAAGAAAGAAAGAAAGAAAGAAAGAAAGAAAGGGAAAGAAAGAAAGAAAGAAAGAATACTAGCAGAGCTGTTGTGCTTCATGCTCAATCTGGACTTCCCTGTGGGATTCGTAGTGTATTAATTGGCGTCTTGGTATCTTAGCTTCAGCTGCTACAAAAAAAAATCATAAGCAGGGCGCGGTGGCTCACACCTGTAATCCCAGCACTTTGGGAGGCTGAGGCAGGTGGATCACGAGGTCAGAAGATCGAGACCATCATGGCTAACGTGGTGAAACCCTGTCTCTACTAAAAATACAAAAAAATTAGCCAGGCCTGGTGGCAGGCGCCCGTAGTCCCAGCTACTCGGGAGGCTGAGGCAGGAGAATGGTGTGAACCCGGGAGGCGGAGCTTGCAGTGAGCCGAGATCGCGCCACTGCACTCCAGCCTGGGCGACAGAGCGAGACTCTGTCTCAAAAAATAAATAAATAAATAAATAAATAAAATAAAATAAAATAAAATAAAATAAATCATAGACTGGGTGGCTTAAGCAACCAATGTTCATTCTCACAGTTCTGGAGGCTGGGAAGTCCAGGATCAGGGGCCCAGCATGGTTGGATTCTCGGTGACGGCCCCGTCCCCAGTTTGCAAGGGCAGCTTCTCGCTATATCCTCACATGGCAGAGAGAGAACAACCTCTCTGGTACCTTTTTTTTATGTATATAAGGACACTAATCCCATAATGAGGGCCTGTTGGGAATGAAACTTTTGGAGTTTCTCTTCCATTTTGCCACACTAGGTAGTAGCTACTGTCCCCAGCAGCCACTAGAGGTCTAGAGGAAAAATCACCAGCAGCGGATCCACCCGCATGTGCCCCTTCACAATGGCCTTGCCATCAGGGGTTGGATTTCAGGCACGGCTTCAGTGACATAACTACAGTGTGAAGGTTTAAGAGTTTTTACTACCTACAGACTCTGGAAGGCAGATTCCCCCACATGCCTGTAGGCCACGTACGTGGAGGTCAGGGAGTATAGGCAAGGAGAGACAGAGGGACCCATGAGCCAGTGCCCTTATTGGGTCCAGGGCATTTATCCCAACAACTTTCCCATGGGGAGTTTTAATTGGTGGGTTTAGAGCAAGCAGGTAGGACTCTTGAGAGGTCACACAGTGACTGACAGGTGGTCAGGTGATCACTGTGGCATGTCTGCACAGTCCATGGGTGTAGGGGCAGTAGGCCAGTCACCTAGGTTGCTTCTAGCAGTCCCATAGGGCAGTGGTCAGCAGGGAGCAGTTGTATAAGGCAGATGTCTGGATCGGCCACACAGAGACACTGGGAGGAAGTATACAACTGGAAACTGTGTCAAGGGTGACTGAGCCAAGCTTTTGGTACGGGAAAGCCCAACATGTTTCAACATAGGTGCTGAAGCAGCATAAATATAAGCATTCACTACAGGGCCCCGTCTTCATGAACTTATCTAAACCTAATCACCTCCCAAAGGCCCCATCTCCAGACATTATCACATTGGGAGTTAGACTTCGACATTTACATTTTGTGGGGGACACAGACATTCAGTGAGTAACATTTTGCTAGGGCTGCTGGGATCAACAGAATTTATCGTATCACAGTTATGGAGGCTGGGAGTCTGGAATCAATGTGGCAGCAGGGTGGGTTCCTACTGAGGGCTGCATGGGAGAATCTGCTCTCTTGGTTTCTGGTGGTTTGCTGGCAACCTTTGGTGTTCCTTGGCTTCTGCTGAATCATCCGAATCTCTGCCCCCATCAGCATATGTTGTTCTCCCTCTGTGCATGCCTGTGTCCAAATTGTCCCCTTTATAAGGACACAAGTCAGATTAGGAGACCATCCTACTCCATTATAACCTCATTTTTTTTTTTTTTTTTTTTTTGACAGGGTCTTGTTCTGTCACTCTGAGGCTGGAGTGCAGTGGTGTGATCTTGGCTCACTGTAACCTCCACCTCCCGGGCTCAGATGCTCAGGAGATCCTCCCACCTCAGCCTCCTGAGTAGCTGGGACTACAGGTGCATGTCACCATGCCAGGCAATTTTTTAATTTTTTTTGTAGAGATGGGGTTCGCCATATTGCCCAGCCTGGTCTCGAACACTAGGCTTAAGCCATCTGCCTGCCTCTGCCTCCCAAAGTGCTAGGATTAAGGGTGTGAGCCACTGCACCTGGCCCATTATGCCCTCATCTTAACTAATTACATCTACGATATTCCTATTTTCAAGTAAGTTCACATTCTAAGGTGTTGGGGATTACAACACCAACATATAAATTTGGAAGTTGATGTAATTCAACCCATAACACTTAGTTACCTTTAATACCTATACAACTTGGGTAAGGATATGAAACCTAGTTTTTTTAAGCTCTGAAGTGTTCACAGGCTATATTCATTTTGATACAATTATGAAATATGATGTGATCTAACTTTTTTCACTTGATATCTTTCTTCTGTGAGAAGCATTGGTAATATTGAAATAAAATTCGGAGCTGTGTGTAAGGAACATTTATTTATAAAAAGGAACTGAATCCTACATGTAATGCAGGAACACTGCCAGATCAAATTAGCAATGTGCTGAGTTTCCTGGTATGGTACTTCCAGTGTTAAAAAGTGGTCTCTAAATTAGCTATTAAAAAGCATTTAATTTTGCATAAAGCGGCTTTCACTACAGAGCCTTAATTAAAAGCCAGTACTCAATTATTTATGTACCACTCAGGGTATTCAAATGACTTAGAAGAACTAGCAAGTGACATTTTACAGATTTGGGCCCTTTGGCATAAAGGAACTCAGGGTAAATTCAAAGTCTTGTTATGACTTTACTTCTTTGGGTTTGTATTCATTAGCCTTTAGAGAACACTGCCAGCTACTGCAGTCTCTGCTGAGATCAAAAGCCAAGGAGATGCTGGAAGTATTCTGAATATTTCATTAAAAGTTCTGAGAAATTTGAAGCCGTAAAAATTTTGCTAGCTCAAAGGAGAACAATTAGGCTGATAATACAAACAGATTTCTCCCCCCGCCCCCCCTCAAGACGGAGTCTTGCTCTGTCACCCAGAGCTGGAGTGCAACGGTGTGATCTCGGCTCACTGCAACCTCCGCCTCCCGGGTTCAAGCAATTCTCCTGCCTCAGCCTCCCAAGAAGCTGGGATTACAGGCACATGCCACAACACCCGGCTAATTAATTTCTCTGTATTTTTAGAAGAGATGGGGTTTCACCATGCTGGCCAGGCTGGTCTCGAGCTCCTGACCTCGTGATCCGCCTGCCTTGGCATCCCAAAGTGCTGGGATTACAGGCATGAGCCACCGTGCTCAGCCGTACAAACAGATTTTTAAGAGCTAATTAATAACCACAGCCAAAGAAAGAAGACTCGGGTATCTAATGCAACTAGACCTCTGCAGCTCGGTGGTGACTAAGCAGGCTCTGAGGGTGTCGACGTCCCCACTGTGGTGAACTACAGACATGGGCAGCTGCCTGCCTTGAGGATGCCTGAAGGGAGAGGAGTTTAAGAGCATATCCATGCACCTCTAAAACAATGAGCAAAATCAGCAACACGGGCACCCATCCCTCCTCTTTGATACCTTGATGGTGTCCAAGAGGTGTTCTGCCATCAGGACATATACTGCAGGACAGCTTCAGAGGCTGACGCTGCCCATCAAGGGCAGGGAGCTCAGGGATGATTTATAGGAGTTGCATTCCATGTGTCCAAGAAGCAAGTCTAGTGGTTCCAGGTGTGGCTGTTTTGGGGCAGTGCTTGAAACCCAGTGGCTCAGTGGGGACTCAGGCCAGGTATGGCTCCAGCCAGCAAACCTGAATCTCTGATTTTATATACATGGTGTCCCAAAAGTCTTAGTTCAGTTTTAGGTTGTAATATCTTCAGTAGTACAGACGCTGTGAATGTACAAAATGAGCTTACAAACTTACAAAACGAAGAAGACTATTTAAATTTATCTGTACTTAGTTTTGAGATATTTGAAAAATTAATTTTTAAAACATTTTAGTCCCTCTAAAGATGGCAGACACTGACACAACTAAAGATTAAGTTAAAAATGTGTTATTTGGCTAAGTGTATGAAATAATCATTAGAGAAATGCAAAGAAAAAAGACACAATGAGATATCACCGCACACCCATTTGGATGGCTACTATCAAAAAAAGGAAAGAAAAGAAAAGAACAAGTGCTGGCACTGATATGGAGAAAGTGGAACTCTTGTGCACCATTGGTGGGAATGTAAAATAGTGCCACTGCTATAGAAAACATAGTGGTTCTCAAAAAACTAATAATAGAACTACCATATGATCCAGCAATTCCACTTCTACACATATATCTGACAGAATTGAAAATAGGTCTCAAAGAGCTATTTGTACACCCGTGTTCATAGCAGGATTATTCACAATAGCCAAGGGATGGAAGAAACCCTAGTGTCCATCAACAGATGAGTGCATCAACAAATGTAGCATATACATACAAGGGCATATGACTCAGCTTTCAGAAGGAAAAATATTCTGACACATGCAACAACGTGAATGAACATTGAGGACATTATGCAAAGTGAAATAAGCCAGTCACAAAGACAAATACTGTATGATTCCACGTATATGAAATATCTACGGTAGTCAAATATTTAGAAAGTGGAATGGTGGTTTCCAGGGGCTGAGGGGAGAGGTAAATGGGGAGTTACTATTTAATGGGTGTCTTAGTTTGGACTGCTATAACAAAATACCATAGACTGGGTGGTTTATAAGCAACAGAAATGTATTTCACGCAGAGGCTGGAAATCTAAGATCAGGATGCCAACATGCTCAGGTTCTAGTGAGGGCTATCTTGTAGGCTGCAGATTGTTGACTTTTTTTTGTAACCTCACAAGGGGAAAGAGGGCTAGAGAGCTCTCTGGGGGTCTCTTTTATAAGGCCTAATCTCATTCATGAGGGCTTCACCCTTACCACCTCCCAAATTGTCTTCCAAAGACCCTGCCCCCTAATACCTCACATTGGGAGATTTCAACCTATAAATTCTGGGGAGACACAAACATCAGTCCACTGCAATGGATATAGAGTTTCAGTTTTGTAAGATGAAAAAGTTCTGGAGACTGGTTGCACAGCAATGTTAATGTATTTAACGCTACTGAACTATACATTTAGAAATGGTTAAGATGGTAAAGTTTATGTTACATATTTTTTACTACAATAAAAAAGTATTATTGAAACTTTCTCAAGACTTCCTGATTGTGATACATTTAAATCATTACATTTTCACTTTTTAAAATTTTGAAGGACTTATTCTTCTGAAATTACTAAAACTTAAAACTGCAGTAGGACTTTTGAAAGATCCTATGCTTTGGGACTTCTCTCCGTTATGGAGAGAACTCCATTTATGACAGTTGGTGTGCGCTATTAGTGGGCTTTAGGTTTGCAGAAGTGTCATTGCTCTAAAATCCATGTTGCAAATAAAAGCTTCCATATTACTCTGAAATACTTAACGTTTACAAAGTTTGTATGGATTTGAAACCATTTGCATTATCACAGAAATTTCAATATCACATGTGGCAATGAAGGAAGTGAAGTGCCATTAGACTCTTAAAATATAATTTCAAATGTATATTTTTGTTTCTTTTCAAATGTATATTTTTGAAGGGTCATAAGAACAGTTTAAATTGTTTCAATTATAATTATGAAAATTTCAACCCTATAAAAAAAAGAAATGCTGGGAGAATTGGACATCCACATGCAAGGTACAAATGCACTCTATTGAGAAGAGTCAGAAGGATCAGAAGACACATAAACATATTGTGCTACAGAGAATGGGAAGATTTTTTTGTCGTGTTTTAAAAATAACAATTTAAAAAATCAATAAGTATTTATTTGCAAATAAAGTTTTACAAGTAAAAAGGCTATGAGTACATAGCCTTCTTAACTTACATGACTGAACTTTGATTTTTTTAACTGGCTGAATTGATTACAACAGTATCAATGAAATCATAGTCAGTAATGATCACCAGGCTGGTGAGTAAATTCAACCTCCTAAACAAACATTGTTCGCAACTTTAAGTGAACAAACAATTCTCTAAAACAAATATTTTCACAAACATTGTTTTCATAAGACGAAAGGGTTCTAAGGTCAATAGTCCTTACAGCATAACTAATAAAAATAAATTTTAAATATAAATGTAAAAAAAACCCCAAAATTGACATATTAAGGGAAATTTCCCTTCCCCTTTTAGTAAACAGACTAAGATATTCTGTTTTAGGATGATAAGGGACAGACTACATGTAGATTTAACTTATTTTTTATGGCAAATAAAGGCTAAATATCTTTATTCATTCTCTTTCTCCCTTACCTCTCTAAGCACATAGTAATGACTAACCTAGTACCTTTCATTCTCAGTCTATTATTTCAACACCTTTTCATTTTTCCTTACAGGTTTGCTTTTAGAAATCTTTGTCTAGTACCTTTTTTTCCCGCTTAATTTAATCAAGGCTTAATTAAAGTATCTGGGGATTATAATTTCTTTTACCTTATTCAATACTGTGAATGAGCATTATAACAAAACTTCTTTATATTCTGATTCACATTTTGACAGTCATTGTAGGCTGAATAATAGCCCCCAAAGATGTCCTTTTCCTAATCTCTGGAACTTGTGAATATGTTACTTTACATGGCAAAGTATAATTTACAGATGTGATCAAGAAAGGATTTTGAGATGGGGAGAGTAGCCTGCATTATCCAGGTGGGCCCCATAGAATCACAACAGTCCTTTAAGAAGCGGAGTAGGCCCTGTGACCAGAGAGGTAGAAGCTATACTGCTGGCTTTGAGGCTGGAGGAAGGGTCCACTGGCCAAGCAATGTGGACAGCCTGTAGAAGCTAGAAAAGGAAAGGACCTGGATTCCTCCCTAGAGCATCCAGAAGGAATGCAGCAGCTCTGCCTATTGTAAAATAATACATTTGTGTGGTTTTAAGCCACTACATTTGTGGTAATTTGTTTCAATGCCAATAGGAAACAAATGCAGTGATCTGTAATCAGCTATCAGTCATCTCTTTTGTGGGATTTGCACGTTAAGCCTGTGGCGTTGCTTTTAGGTGTTTGTGAGACTAATGCTGTTCGAGTCACTGCCTGCATTTACTGACCAAACTGAAAGGTAGTCGAAGTCTCAGGTGAATTGTGTTGCCTAAGCTGTCTTATAATAAACAGTCGGAAGCTGGTGTGGGGTGGCTCACGCCTGTAATCCCAGCACTTTGGGAGGCCCAGGCGGGCGGATCACTTGAGGTCAGGAGTTTGAGACCAGTCTGGTCAGCATGGTGAAACCCTGTTTCTACTGAAAATACAAAAAGTAGCCGGGTGTGGTGGTGGGCACCTGTAATCCCAGCTATTTGGGAGGCTGAGGCAGGAGAATCGCTTGAACACAGGAGGCAGGGGCTACAGTGAGCCTAGATTGTGCCACTGCACTCCAACCTGGACGACAGAGTGAGACTCCATCTCAAAAGAAAAAGAAGCTAGGATTCTCCTACATGTGGCTAAGATACAGATTAGAAGGCGTATTCACTATAACAAAATCACTAACAAATTAGTCTTAAAATAGACAATTTAGAGGACGATTCAAGGAAACACCAGTACCTAAACTCAGTTAGTGACTCTTATCAGGAAATGTTAACTGCTCATCCCTGCTGAATCTAATTTGGGTTTGCTATAAATTTGAGTAGAATTAACTCACCCTGAACCTTTATTATTTGAGATAAGTCTAGAACCATCAGACCAAATTGATATAAAAAATGTTTCTCCACTGCAATATTTTTATTTTACTTAATTAAATATTGATCTTGGAAATTTCCTCTGACTATCCTCTCACCTATTTGGTTCAGAGCCCAGATTGCCTACTGCTTACTTCTGCCTCCATGTAGAATAAAAATATTATTCCATCCCCCTTCATTCTCTAGGCCAAATTCAGTGCTTGCTCTCTCGTTCCAGCCTCATTTATGTTCTGAGGCAGTAAATGGAGGGCTGTTCTGCTGTGTGTGTCCTCCAGCACTTTCTGCTACAATCCTGCTGAAAGATGGGCTGTGGGAGTTCAAATTTTAAAAAAGACAAGGCACAAAGTTAAATTGAGTTCATTTTGGGTATTGCAATCCTAGGAACTAGCACCACCTCTAACCATGCCAGTCATGTTGCAAAACTGAGATCTTCAACACTGTTTTTCATTTTTTAATTTTGTTTTCAGTGTTTAGGGGAAGAAAAGAAGAATGCATCCAAAAGAAACACTACTAGACCATAATCCTTAATTGATTATTGAACAATTCAAATTTATTACCTGAGTTTTTTGTTTTGTTTTGTTTTGTTTTGTTTTGAGACAGCATCTTGCTTTGTTGCCCAGGCTGGAGTGCAATGGTACAATCACAGCTTACTGCAGCATTGAACTCCCAGGCTCAAGCGATCCTTCCACCCCAGCCTCCCAAGTATCTGTGACTACAGGTATATACCACCCTGCCCGGTTATTTTTTTTTTTTTTTTTTTGAGACGGAGTCTCACTCTGTCACCCAGGCTGGAGTGCAGTGGCACAATCTCGGCTCACTGCAGTCTCCTGCCTCAGCCTCCAGAGCAGCTGGGATTACAAATACAAGCCACCACACCCAGCCAATTTTTTATATTTTTGGTAGAGATGGGGTTTCACCATATTGGCCAGGCTGGTCTCAAACTCCCGACCTCAAGTGATCTGCCCGCCTGGGCCTCCCAAAGTGCTGGGATTACAGGCATGAGCCACCACACCAGGTCCTGGTTATTTTTTTTATTTTTTATACAGACAGGGTCTCACTATGTTGCCCAGGCTGGTCTTGAATTCCTGGGCTCAAGTGATCCACTTGCCTCAGCCTCCCAAAGTGTGGAATTACAGGTGAACCACTGCGCCCCGCCTATTACCTGAGTTTTTAAAAACAAAAATATAATTTGAGTTATCTACTTCATATTTCTTAGAACACGGGCCTTTGCTTTTTTAAATCTTTTCCCCTCAAACAGTATTATGCAGTGTTCTTAGGCTAACTGCTGAGTTGCGAACAGGAGAAAGGGGCCATTGGAGCAGGCACTTCATTATGTCAGCACCAATCGACATACAATTCCTTTTTGTATCTCTCTTACTCTTCACACCGCATTTTCCCCTTTCTTCTTCATTTTTCCATTGTGAGAACATGTCAGAAGGAAGAACAGCCCTCAGGACAAAAATGAGATTCAATTAAGAGACTCTGATATTCAAAATGGCACATACATTTCATCTGGGAGGCAGGCTGTTGGCTATAACTAACTTTCATGAGTTACTTTTGGGAAGCCGACACTAGCTGGGTGCTATTTGTTTTTTTCCTGAGTGCACACATTTTTAGCATATTTTGCAGTCCAATTTTCAAAGGCATCTACTGTATTGCTTCAGTTACAAATCTTTCACTGTTAGAATCATTCTTTACTTTCAGAATGATTTTAAGAACTAGAATATTTTCCCTATATCTAACATAATGCACGAATCATAACAGATTCTGGGGAGTTAATTTGTTTGCTTCCAACTTTGTTGGCCATTGTATATAGAAAATAACTTTTTTTTAATACAAGGGGGGAAATATCAGTGGCTTTTTTGAATTTCATTGATTGTTAAAAAATTGTGATTTGTGGAATTAGAAAATCTTTCAATCTCTCTGGTTTTTTTTCTTTTCTTTTTCTTTTTTTTTTTTTGAGATAGGGTCTCTTTCTTCACCCAGGTTGGAGTGCAGTAGCACAATCATAGCTCATTGTAACCTCAAACTCCTGGACTCAAGTGATCCTCCTGCCTCAGCCTCCTAAGTAGCTAGAACTACAGGCACACACCCCCACATCCAGCTAATTTTTTTATTTTTGTAGAAACAAGTCTCACTATGTTGCCCAGGCTGGTCTCAAACTCCTGCATTCAAGCAATCCTCCCTCCTTGGCCTCCCAAAGTGCTGGGATTACAGGCATGAGCCACCATGCCCGGTCTAATCTTACTCTTATAATCGTTTTTTAGGGTGTCTTGAGAGTGTTGATTCAAAGAGGTCAGAAGGCAGTTCTGGATCATCTCTAAGTCTCAGGTCTTATTTATGGAACTGTGGAATAGTTCTTAGAAAGACTCAGAGAAATACTAGAGGTCATCGTGTCTAACCTCTACATTGCAAGAGAAGGAACTCAAGACAAGAGGAGATAAGAATGAACAACAGAGAAGCTGTGATCTTTTGACTCCCAACCTGATGGACTTGTCTCAAAATTATGCTACTTCAGACTTTGAGCATCAACAAACATGGTTCCCCGCAAACTATTATAAGAATAAAGAGGTTGTAATATCTATTTTAGAGATTTTTCTGGACGGTTTAGGGAAACATAATTTTGATCTGAAGAAAACTTGAATTCATAATATTTTCAGCACTTAAATATAATCTTGTTATCCCCATGTAATGGTGTATAAGTCTGTTCTCACAATGCTATGAAGAAATACCCACAACTGGGTAATTTACAAAGGGAAGAGGCTTAATTGACTCACAGTTCAGCGTTGCTGAGGAGGCCTCAGGAAACTTAGAATCGTGGCAGAAGGCAAAGGAGAAGCAGGCACCTTCCTTACAGGGAGGCAGGATGGAGTGAGTGCAAGCAGGGGAAATGCCAGATGCTTATAAAACTCTCAGATCTTGTGAGACTCACTCATTATCATGAGAACAGCAAGGGGGAAACCGCCCCCGTGATCCAATCACCTCCCACCTGGTCCCACCCTTGACATGTGGAAATTATTACAATTCAAGGAGAGATTTAAGTGGGGACACAGAGTCAAACCATATCAAATGGAATAACCACATAATGGTTAAGAACATGGCTTCTGAAATAAGATTGCATTGGATCCATTTTTATTATCTGTACAACTTGGGTGTGTTCGTTAACTTTTTTATCTTTGTAATATGTGAAAATATAATCAATCACATTGATCTCAAAAAAATTATTTGTGAAGATCAAATAAATAAGGCATACACCATGTTGAACATCATTGCTAGAAATAAAGTCACTCAAATATAAACTATTAATTTTATTGTTGTTAATAAATATAGAAAGACATTAATTTTGCCATCAAGTAAGAATAGCTCTTTAGAGAGATATGTCAGAGAAAATAAGTTTTCTTTTCTTTGTTGCTGTTCATCTACTCTCACCCCTGATGAAATGAATTAAAAAGGAAGCTAATCTGAACTGAAAGTAA
This sequence comes from Homo sapiens, assembly GCF_000001405.40. Lineage (NCBI taxonomy): Eukaryota > Metazoa > Chordata > Mammalia > Primates > Hominidae > Homo > Homo sapiens. The sequence continues at coordinate 16,721,194 of NC_000007.14, read as the reverse complement.
ACTACAGAATTAATAGACCAATAGTTACCAATTTTTTGAAAGGACAATCACTAAAGATACTCACATAGATAGACACACACAACATAATAAGGATCAGTGTTCTCATGCATTAAAATATACTATTCCTAGTCTCCAAGTCTCATTGGCCATAATTAAGATCTGTATGCAACAAAATGTGGAACTTATTTTATTTTTTTAAAACTAGTCAAGTGAGGTGGTGCACGGTGGCTCACACCTGTAATGCCAACACTTTGGGAGGCTGAGGTGCGTGGATCCCTTGAGGTCAGGAGTTCAACACCAGCCCGGCCAACATGGCAAAACCACATCTCTAAAAATACAAAAATTAGCCAGGCATGGTGGTGCACGTCTGTAATTCTAGCTCCTCAGGAGGCCGAGGCAGGAGAATCCCTTCAACCCAGGAGGCGGAGGTTGCAATGAGCCGAGATCACGCCACTGCACTCCAGCCTGGGCAACAGAGAGAGACCACGTCTCAAAAAAAGAAAAAAAAGAGACAGACTCTGATATTCAAAATGGCACATACATTTCACGTGGGAAGCGGGCTGTTGGCTATAACTAACTTCCATGAATTACTTTTGGCAAGCCGGCAAGCCCTCACTACCTGGATGCTAGTGGCTCTGTCTCAAAAAAAAAAAAAAGGAAAAAAGAATTTTTTTTTTAAAAGACTAGTCAAGTGCAGTAGTGAGAAAGGGAAAAAAATATACGGAATTTAAAAAGAGAAAAATGGAAATCTTGTCATTGCTGAGCTTTTCCTACCTACCTCTTCTCATTGTCCTTTTACTGAGCACTAGAATTTAACCTTAAATGAAAACGATCTGTGAGTATACATTTGATTCTAATGTAGAGAAATGTGAAAAATCCATTTCTTTTGCCAAATTTAATTATGCACTAAAAGAAATATTTTAGTAGTATTTTTATGAGATCGTTAGAAATTTGAAATTTTCATAAGAAATAAATTAATTAATTAATAAGAATTTTTAAAAAACAAAAAAGCATTTTAGTAATCTGCCCTGATTTCTTTCTAAGGATATTGTTTGTTTAAATTTTTACTAAAAGTCGAATAGGAGGAGGGGATCGTAAAACTCCCTCTGTCTATACTAAGCCGTGTGTCTGTCCACATTTTACTTATACCTCATCCTTATTTCCAGGGAAGAGAAGCTGCTGATCTCACCATTGTATTTAAAGCCATGGATGAGGAAATAGTTGCTCATGAGGTAGAAACACTGTATGTGTCAGAAAGTGAATATCTCAGTATTGAACCTCTTCCTGCCTCCATGCTGTAAGGACAGATAGCAGGGCCTGCCCTCTGGCCAGCAATTTCTCTTCTTCTTTTTCCATGTGGCTTGTCAGGTAAATAGTATCAGGGTCTCTCTGGGAGCCTGCTAATCTCTTTCTGTCTAAAGATACCTCTAAATATGCTACAACCAAGATATAGACAGATGTGGGGAGGTAAAGGGAAGGAGTAGGCTCAGAGTATCCTCTTGATTTTACCCACACCCCGAAAAAGATATTGCAATATATAGGACATGGTGATATTATTTCTATTTACTCTTGATTCTTGTGTGTATAGTTCTCTTGGGACCCTCATAGGGAGTGAGAGTGGGGAGGAGCAGCAGAGTAATTTATCAGGGGAGGATTTCAGCAGTATTGGGACTTTTGCCATAACAAACAAATCTTATTTTACTTCCTACTAGGCTATACATTCTCCATTTCCAGTAGGTTTGTAACTCAGTTTTTTTTGGTTATTCTATGATTAGTCCTATTTAGTACTTAATGTTCTTAAATATGTAAATATGTGATGGTTTGCTTTGTGTGTCAACTTGGCTAAGGTGTTTCGTAGATGTGGTTAAGATCTACAATAAGGTGACTTTAAGTAAAGGAGATTATCCTCATAATCTGGGTAGGACTTATCCAATCAGTTGAAAGGTTTTAAGAACAAAAATTAGGTTTTTCTGGTTTCCCAAGTCTTCACAGGAAGAAATTCCACCTGTGAACTGCAATCTTAGCTCTTGCCCAAGATTTCTAGCCTGCGTTTTCTGTGGACTTTAAACTTGCCTAGTCACCCCTACAACACATAAACCAATTCTTTGCAATAAATCTCTCTCTCTCTCATACACAGACACAGACACTTATATACATGTACGTGCATCTGCAAATCTGTGTGTGTGTGTGTGTGTGTGTGTGTGTGTGTGTGTGTGTATCCTGCATTCTACTGGTTCTGTTTCTCTGGTAGAATACTAATATAGATTTTAGTATCCTTATATATAGATATTACACTACAGTAAATAATTGAGACATTGAGTAAGCTCTGGAAAGTAATGAAACCCATAATCTGTTTCTAAAATGGTTTATTACCATTATCTCTAAGTGCTTTGAACAAGTTGCTAATGGAGGTGATTCAAAAACTGTCAGGGAATATGGCAAGATTTGTAATTTTGTGTTTTTCCAATCAACTAGAGCATAAAAAGGTATAGTATGGTTTGAAGGTGCTACAAGCCCACAAAACAATCAGAGCCCTGACAGCTGCCGTGCCTCTGACCCCCTGCTCAGATGGTGTGATACTGATGCTCATTCACTGTGTGATATTAATTTTGTGATGTGATAAGCTATGACCTAAAGAAAGTATTCCTTTCCCACATCAACATAAATTCCCAGTTCCTAAGTTTTAATCAAGATTTTTATCCTATAGGACCTAATCAGTACGTAGGTACATAGACATAGATAGACAGATAGATAGATAGATAGATAGATAGATAGATAGATAGATAGATAGATAGACAGATAGATAGAAAGATACATACATACATACATACGTACATACATACATAGTATAGAGAGATAGCTTTTAGCCTGGGGGTAGTTCTAGAACAATGATTTGAAAGCTGCTTGACTTCTCATCAGGAAAAAATGGAGCCATAAGACAGTGGAACAAGATCTTTAAAGTGCTGAAAGATAAAAACTGCAAACCCAGAAGAACACTGTGTCCAATAAAAATATTCTTTAAAAATTAAAGCAAAATAAAGATATTTTCATATAAAAGTAAACAAGATCATTTTTCAGCAGATTTACACTACTAGAAATTCTAAAAGTAGGGTTTTGTTTTTGTTTTATAATTAATTTGTACAATCATTATATGTATATGTAAAAAAAGAAATGATACCAGATGGAAACTCAGATCTTTAGAAAGAGGAACACTAGATACAGTAAATAAATGGATAAATATAAACATATTTTTCTTTTTCTATTTTGTTTTTAAATTTATTTTTAGTTTTTCTAAGTTTCAGGGTCCATTGCAGGATGTGCAGGTTCTAACACGGGTAAACGTGTGTGCCATGGTGGTTTGCTGCACAGATCAACCCATCATCTAGGTCTTAAGCCCAGCATTTATTAGCTATTTTTCCTGATCCAATCCCTCCCCCCACCCCAACAAGCCCCAGTGAAAAACACATTTTTCTTAATTAAAAATGAATAGAACTGTTTAAAACAAAAATTTATAACATTGTATTTTGGAGTCCATAATGTTTACAGATGTAATATATATGACAACTATTATATAAATGATTGAGGAGAGGGTAAATAGACCTGTACAATTACAAGGTATATTTTATGCAACAGGTTACAATAGTAACTCTCACTAGACTGAAAATTGAAGATTGTACAGTGAAATCCCTAGGGCAACCACTACAAAGATAACATAAAGAGGTGTAGCTAAAAGGCAATAGATAAATTAAAATGGAATTCTAAAAAATATTCAATTAATCCAAAAAGAAGGCAGGGAAAGAGGAACAGAGGAGTACAACCAGAAGGAACAAGCAGGAGAAAACTAAAATTATAGACTTAAAGCAACCATATTAATAATGAGCCAAACATACCATTTAGAAGGCTGAAATTATCATAATAATTTTTTTTTAAAGCAAGACTTGGCCCAGTGCAGTGGATCACGCCTGTAATCTCAGCACGTTGGGAAGCTAAGGCAGGATTGCTTGAGTCCAGGAGTTTGAGACCAACCTGGGTAACTAGGGAGACCCTGTCTCTACAAAAAATATACAAATTAGCCAGGCATGGTGAGATGCGCCTGTAGTCCCAGCTACTTGGAGGACTGAGGTGGAAAGATCACTTAAGCCCAGAAGGTCCAGGCTGTAGCTAGTCATGATCACATCACTGCACTCCAGCGTGGGCAACAGAGTGAGACTCTGCCTCAAAAAAAAAAAAAAAAAAAAAAAAAAGAATGCAAGACTTAGTAATGTGCTCTGTGCAGAAGAGTCATACTTTAAATGTAATGACACAGATAGGTTGAATGGAAATGAATGAAAAAGATATGTCATGCAAACAATATGCCTGAAAGGGTGGAGTGGCCATCCCAATGTCAGATAAAGTAGACAAGAGGCCAGGCACGGTGGCTCACGCCTGTAATCCCAGCACTTTGGGAGGACGAGGCGGGAGGATCGCCTGAGGTCAGGAGTTCGAGACCAGCCTGACCAACATGGCAAAACCCCTTCTCTACTAAAAATAGAAAATTAGCTTGGCGTGGTGGTGCACACCTGTAATCCCAGCTACTCAGGAGGCTGAGGCAGGAGAATTGCTTGAACCTGGGAAGCAGAGGTTGCAGTGAGCCGAGTTTATGTCACTGCACTCCAGCCTGGGCGACAGAGCAAGACTCCATTTCAAAAAAAAAAGAAAGTTAAACTGAAGACTGTTAAAGTTGTTTATAAAAATCAGATATCTGTGGATTAAAAAGTAGACAAGACAAAGATTATTACCAGGTAAAGCGGGACATTTCGTTGGACAACTCATGAGAAAGACATAACAATCATAAATCCGTATGCATCTAATAACAGAGCTTCCAGATATATAAAGCAAAATTGGCCAAATTAAACAGAGAAATGTACAGTTTACAGTCATAATCTGAGATTTTAATACCCCTTTCTCAGTAACTGATACAATTACCAGGCAAACAAAAACAAAACAAAAACATTAAAGATGCAGAACTTCTGAACAACACTATCAACCACCAAGACCTCATCCATATTTGTAGAACACTCCACCCAACAACTGTAGAATACACATTGTTTTCAAGTGCAAATGGCATATTCACCAAGATAGACCATATGCTGGGCTATAAAACAAGTCTCAATAAATTTAAAAGCTTTGGAATCTTACCATTTATGTTCTCTTACCACAATGAAATTAAACTAGAAAGTAATTAAAACCACATATTTTAAAACTCAAATATATGAAAATTATACAATGCACTCGTAAATAATTCATTGGCCATTGTCATTGCTCAAAATATTTCAAAGCCATTTAGCAGGTACAAGTTATGACGTGAAACAGGTTGTGATTTGAACAAAACGCTAGAGGCCAAAGTGAACAGTTTTTCTAAAATCCATGAAAAAACTTTAAGGTTGGTCCAAAGCAAGATACATGATCAAATATCTCATCTGCTATTTTATCCTCAGCATCAGAATTTTAAAATCCTTTGTTGCAAGCTAGTTAGCCTGGTACTCTCCTATCTAGGCTGCTAGAAGCATATACACAGAAAATTCATCTTTCCCTACTCTGTAGCACCTGTGTTACTCTCTATTCTCTGAAAGTTTTAGATATGTTGTAAATAGTCATCTCTTAGATTTCCTTGTATTTAGAAAAGTTGTTTTTTGGTACTACAACAAAAATTGTTGTTTGGTTGTAATTGTTGGTGAGCACACTGGAAAAAAGAAAAAAAAAACAAATACATTTTCACTTTATTGCTCACTAAGATAAAAAAATCAAGAAAGACCAGTTTTAGGACTATACTTTTCACTGTGTTCCCACACACTTGGGAATGAGTTCAGATTAGCTGTCATACGGCTATAGGGCACTAACATCTTCTATCCTCTTACATCAGGTAAAACCCACTGAAGGATGCCAGGACATCTTTCTCCAGAGATATTTGCCAGTTTTAATCAGCTTTCAGGAAAAATGAAATCTACCATCTCACTAATCCCTTATCCTGTGCCAAAGCCTGGTCCTGCCTCAGTTCTTGTCTGCTTGCCCTTATGTCCCCTTGGGAATGTGTTCCAAGATGTTTTGACACCTGAAGTTTGGGTTAGGTCAGTGTTCCTAAGCCCAAGCTTGCATCCAAATCACCAGGAGGGCTTGTCAAAATAGATTGCTCAGTCCACCCCCAGAGTTTCTGATTTTGCATGTCTTGGGGGGATCCTGACAGTCTTCATGTCCAGCTAGCCCCCAGGGAATATCAATGCTGCCAGTCTGGAGACTACACTCAGAAAACCATGAGGATTTCCTGCTAAAAAGAAAAGATAATGCTACGAAAAGGTCTAAGATTCCTCAAAGGATTTAGTTGGTTGTAAAACATCAAGGACTGCTTCTTCCCTGGGGACTAAAAAATAATAATAATAAAAAAATCAAGACTATTTGAATTGAGACATTTCCCACTCTCCTGTGCCTCTTAAAATACTTTAAAAGTGTTTTATTTTATTTCATTTTATTTTTTTATTTTGAGACAGAGTCTGGCTCTATCACCCAGAGTGGAGTACAATGGCTCTATCTTGGCTCACTGCAACTTCTGCCTTCCGGGTTCAGGCTATTCTCCTGCCTCAGCCTCCCAAGTAGCTGGGACCACAGGTGTGAGCCACCACACTGGCTAATTTTTGTATTTTTAGTAGAGACGGGGTTTCACCATGTTGGCCAGGCTGGTCTCAAACTCCTGATCTCAGGGGATCCACCCACCTCGGCTTCCCAAAGTGCTGGGATTATAGGCGTGAGCCACTGTGCCCAGCTGAAAAGTATTTTTAAAAATACAAAATAAAAATACTTGAAAATACTTAAAAAGTAAAAAAAAACTTTAGGATTTTATGGGAAAAAACCCTCAGAAGCAGAAAGTCAAATATCACATGTTTTCACTTTCACAAGTGAGAGCTAAACAATGGGCACACAGGGACATAGAGTAGAAGAATAGACACTGGAGACTACGAAAGGCAGGGGTGGGACTGAGGGGTGAGAAATTGCCTGTCGGGTACAATGTATGCTATTTGGGTAGTGAGTACACTAAAAGCCCAGACTTCACCACTGTACAATCTATGCACCTAAGAAATCTGCACTTGTACTCCCTAAATATATAAAAATTTGTAACAACTTTTAAAAAAGAATAATTGGCATTGTTACAGAGCCTGGTTAGACAATCCTCACAGTAAAGTTCTTTTTGCTTCCTTTGAAAACAAATAATAAGAGAAAGTGTCAGGAGTATTTTATAAATAAATTATGGGCCCACAGTGTATTGGCTCTGTTCCAGGGAATGACACAATCAATAATGATGTGTCGTTGTTTAGTGCATTAATCCAAATTCTCATGAAGTAGCAGTCAGGCTGTGGCTCCAATGCTGAACTTGTTAAAGAAGGTATAGGAAAAATTTAGGATGAATTTTTGATCAACTCTTTAAAAAGGATTTCTTTTTTTTTTTTTTTTTTTTTTTTTTTTGAGGCGGAGTCTTACTCTGTCACCCAGGCTGGAGTGCAGTGGCGCAATCTCGGCTCACTGCAAGCTCTGCCTCCCAGGTTCACACTATTCTCCTGCCTCAGCCTGTCGAGTAGCTGGGACCACGGGCAACCGCCACCACACCCGGCTAATTTTTTGTATTTTTAAGAGAGACAGAGTTTCATCATGTTAGCCAGGCTGGTCTCGATATCCTGACCTTGTGATCCGCCCGCCTCAGCCTCCCAAAGTGCTGGGATTACAGGCGTGAGCCACCACCTTTGGCCTAAAAAGGTATTCTTCTTAACGCACATTCACTCACTTAGACATTCGAACTTTACGGGACACCAACTTCCTGCCAAGCTATGTGCTACGCTATATGGCAATTGCAGATACAGAGTTGAACAAAATACAATCTGTCTCCTTAACTGAAGACATAACGGACTTCAGAAAGTCAGCACAGAAATGGAGCTTAGTAACCATTCGGCCCCGCAGTTCTCCAAGTGTGGTTCTGACACAGAATAGTGTCATCCGGGAACTTGTTAGAAATGCAAATCCTTAGACCCCAGCCCTACTGAGTCAGACACAGGCTGGCAGGGGTGCAATCAACTGTAACAAACCCTTGGGTGATCCTGATGCATGCTGAAGTTTGAGGATCAGCAAGGTAGCCCAGTCATATTTTACTTTCCTTAGGTCACAGACCACTGACTATCTGATGAAAACAGAGTTTTGCAGATTACTTTGGGTGGCTCACACTATTGGTTCAAGGCTGAATCCTGTCCAAGCTCTTATTTTTACAATTAAGCAAAGTAAATACCAAGAGTTAAGTGACTAGCTAATTAGTTTAACAGCAAATTAAATGGCAGAATGGGGTCTTCGCACTCAAGCCAATCAATTCCAAGTTCCTATCTCTACCCCTTCACTTACAACAGCAGCAAAAGTCAAATGTGGGAAGAAGTCCAAAGGACTGAAGCCACAGTCGTTTATGATTTCATTAAAAAAAATCTATCTTGCCCATAAAGATGTGACTACTTTTCCAGAGAAGACACGGATGATTTTTTTTTTTTATGATGAGGAAAACCATGTGCTCCAAAGATTATCTCTGAAAAACAGATATGTACCTAGAAATTATTCTCTGCCAAGAACATAGTGCAACATTCAGGCTCATTAAAAAATAATGTTCTCATTTCACCTGTTCCTGCTGAAGGAGCTGGGCATTATTGTTGCTAGGTCAACTGTGGCTACTTAATCACACACCAGAAAACAACTAAACACAAAGAACAACAAAAAAGGTAAAACAAGGTTGAGTAAAAGAAGACATTAACAAAATAATATTAAATGCATCCATTTCAAACACAGGCAAAAATAATCCAGGATCATGATTTCTTGGGTGGAGGCTGGGGTTGGGAGAGGTAGGAGGAGGCTAACGTTCAATTTCTTCACTGGATCGCTGATTACCCAGGTGTGCTATTTCCATTCAAGCCAAAGACTTAGATGCACTTTTCTATATGTTGTATGTCAATAAAATAGTTAAAACGCACATAAAACCAAGATGTAAAGGTTTCAATCATGCAAAGATTAGTTCTAAAAAGGTGTTTTATGTGGAAGAAACATTTTACACCCATTTATTCCACAAGAAAAGGTGTACCAAGGTATATACCGGGTGTAGGGTATACCAGGAGGGACTTTGAAGTCTATCATTTCTCAAAAGTACAGAGAGCAGAAAGGAAATAATTACCATTAGTTCAGAGAAGATGTGGTCAGAAACACTGAATCAGCATGAGCTGGGAGGTGTTTTAGAAATTAGTAATGGGACGCACATTGTCTCAAGCCAAACAATTCTATGACTATGCAAGACATGATATGTTTCACGATTGTTGGTTTCTTGGTTTGCAAATGAAAGATTTTTATTTCCCTCTACCCCAACAAAATTTTGCAAATTGGAAACTGCTGAATTCCAGAAGTTTCGAAGTGTAGCGTTCTATTTTTAGACACTAACATAATTTTAAATTTCTTACTGAAATGATACTGCCTTGAACTATGCCCAAAATGGGAGTAAAATGTATTTAAAAGTATACATGCAAATCCAGAAAGTGACATCACATTGTGTTAAAATGTTCAAACCCTTTAAGCCAAATTCCATGTTTTTTCTAAATAACCATAGATGAAGAAAAATTTATATAAAGGTATATTTTAAATGCTAGTTTTTAAAAGCAAAAAGTTAAAGATACCTTATACAGAATTCTGGAATAATTAAATAAATTGTGACCCTTCTGGACCAAGAACAATGACATGTTCAAAAATCATGTTTTTGAAGAATAGTTATTGATATTGTAAAAATACAGAGTATGATTAAGGAGCAGGATATAAAAATAATATAGAATAAGCACATTAATTTTAAAATTATGAATGTATCAGATACTCTAAAGAAATCTAAATAGGTGTGAAGAGTAAAAAGAAAAATTATTATTTCCCTTTCTTCGTCCCATCACTGTCCAAGATACATGCAGAAATAACATTTATAACAATTATTAGATAATATTTTCTCTTTTATGTATTTATAAGGGTAAGGTATACATACACATAACTTTTTTGATGAAAAAAACATTCTTTAAAACTTGCATTTTTCCTTGAACAATATATTATTAACATCTTTTTTAGTTTACCTTAACTTAAAATCGCTATCTCAAGTTTTGTTTGGGAAAAATACTTCGTGCTAGAAAATGTCAAGTAGTATTCTAAAACTGTTCGAGTCATAGATTAGAAATGCATATCATGGGACCACCCTGCTTAGCTGCTTCCAGATTCCTGACCTACAGAAACTATGGCAGAAAAAATGTTTAAAAAATGTTTATTGTCTAAAGCTGCTAAATGTTAGGGCAATTTGTTTCACAGCAAAAAAAAAAAAAATTTGTTTCATGATATAGATTTATGATAATTTTTAAGGTAGTCGTTTCCTTCCTTCCTTCCTTCCCTCCTTCCTTCCTTCCTTCCTTCCTTCCCTCCTTCCTTCCTTCCCTCCTTCCTTCCTTCCTCCCTCCTTCCCTCCTTCCTTCTTCTCTTCTTCCCTCCCTCCCTCCCCTTCCTTCCTTCCTTCCTTCCTTCCTTCCTTCTTTCCTTCAGTTCTTTCTTGAGGCAGTTTCTCTCTTGTTGCCCAGGCTGGAGTGCAATGGCACAATCTTGGCTCGCCAGGCTGGTCTCAAACTCCTGACCTCAGGTGATCGACCTGCCTTGGCCTCCCAAAGTGCTGGGATCACAGGTGTGAGCCACCATGCCCGGCCAAGTGGCTTTTTTCTTATACACATTTTACATCTACCAGCCTGTCACTAATACAGTGATCAGTGCACATAGGTCTTTGGGTACAACTGTGGAATGATTTCTAGAAATGGAGTGCTGGATCAATGGACATGCATTTTTAAAATCTTGATGTTTATTGCCAGATTGTAACTGTAAAGGCCATATGTGAAAATAACTCACTTTTCATACAACTAACGTTATTGATTTTAGTAATTTTTTCTGACTTTATTATTTTAAGTTGTACATCTCCAATTAACAGTAAGGTTGAGCATCTTTTCATTTTAATTATCCATTTGAATTGACTCATCATACTCTGTATATTTTCAGTTAAATTCTTTATTTTTTCTTATTTATAGAAGCTGTTTATATTTTATTAACTTTTATTTTTATCCATCTGTTGAAACTCTACTGATCCCGTATGCATTTGGTGTTTCTCATTCATATGCCTTTCAGTATAGACACATTTTAAACTTTCTATATTCAGAGCTTTTTTTTTTTTTTTGCTTTTGTGTCTTGTTTTCTCTATGTGAAGGCTATAAAGACATTTCTCTGTTTTTTTAGGGCTTTCATTGTTTTACCATTAGGTGAAAATTTTAATTTTTAATTTTTTTAAGACAAGGTCTCACTCTGTCACCCAGGCTGGAGTGCATAGCATGATCACACCTTATTGCAGCCTCAACCTCCAGGTCTCAAGCAAATCCTCCTGCCCCAGGCTCGAGAGTAGCTGGAACCACAGGTGGTGCCACCATGCCCAGTTTGTTTGTTTAACTTTTGTAGATATGGGGTCTCATTGTGTTGCCTAGGCTGGTGTTGGGCTCAAGGGATCAAGGGCTCCTCCAGCCTCCTGGGCCACCCAAAGTGTTGGGATTACAGGTGTGAGCCACCATGCCTGGCAAGGTGAACATTTTTAATTTATCAGATATTATTTTTGTGTATGTACTACTGTGGTAGCCAGTCTCCAAGTTGGCCTGAAATTATCCTGATGTACTGGTATTCATGCTCTCACTCAGTTCTCATATACATTATACAGGGCTGGTCTACGTGACCAATAGAATATAGTAGAAGTGATGTTATGTCACTTCCCATATTAGGTTATTAAAGGTGACTTCCTTCTTGGGCTCCTTGTCTCTCAGATTACTCAGTCTGGAGGAAGCCAGCTATTATGTCATGAGGTCACTCAGGCAGTTGAGTTGAGGTTCTGGCTAAAAGTCAGCAAGAACTGAGGTCCACCAACAACCTTGTGAGTCACCCTGAAAGCAGATTCTACAGCCCTGGGAAGACAGCGACTCCAGCCCATGGCCTGACGGCAACCTCATGAGGCTGAGCTGAAGCCACCCAGCAAGCCAGTCCCAGATTCCAGATTCCAGACCCACAGAAGCTGTGGCATCACATATGTTTATTGTTTAAAGCTGCCAAATGGCCAAATGTTAGGGTAATTTGTTCTATGGCAATGGATAACTAATTTAACTACTTTTAAAATAGAAACTGGTTTTATTTAAAAACAAACAAAGAAACAAACAAAAAACAGGAAATTGTCTTTCAGAGAAAGACAGGGCTTTTGGTTTGAAGATTCATTACTGAGTCCCTGCTGTTTGAGCATTCCTCTCCCCTCCCCATGCGTGCCGACCTTACAATCACTACTTCAAGTTTTGTTTGGGAAAAATACTCTGCGCTGGAAAACGTTAAGTAGTATTCCATAGACTTCTAGTTCCATGTTGGTTCCATTCTAAGCCCTTGGATAACTGTGCTTTTTGGTTACCTTGGAAATGCTGGAGCCAACAAAGTTGTTGGCTCACATTTTTTACTCATATTCTGCTGAAGTGGAGCAATAACTCTCTTACACATTGACATATAAAAACACATAAAAGTTGACATAACATTTGTAGCATGTTTTCAATATTTTATCTTTAAATTTTGTCAGTATATTAGAGATGCATATTTAACTTATTCAGTTTATAGAATATGCTGGCCATGTATCCTAACTGGCAGTCAGGATGTGTCAACTTAGTTGGCCAAGTTTATTTTTCAGTTAAAATTTTGCATTTTTTCAATTCAAATAAACACATTAATAGACACTCATGGTATAATTATTATTTATCTTCAAAATTACAATTTTTAGATATATGGAAGGGGGCAGGAGCAGTGACTTGCGTCTGTAATCTCAGCACTTTGGGAGGCTGAGGCGGGTGGATCACCTGAGGTCAGGAGTTCGAGACCAGCCTGGCCAACATGGTGAAATCTCCGTCTCTACTAAAAACACAAAAATTAGCTGGGTGTAGTGGTTCACGCCTGTATCCCAGCTACTCCGGAGGCTGAGGCAGGAGAATCGCTTGAACCCGGGAGGCGGAGGTTGCAGTGAGCCAGTATCATGCCACTGCACTCCAGCCTGGACAACAGAGCGAGACTCCATCTCAAAAAAACAACAAAAAAAGATCTATTTAAACAGATATTACTCTGTCCATCGCTGGGGCAGAGAACTTGACAGTGCTCTAACTAGGCAGAAAGAAAGACATTTATCAAATATTTAAAAGATAGGAAGACTGGTCCAGTACAGTGGCTCACACCTGTAATCCTAGCACTTTGGGAGGCTGAGGTGGGCAGGGTGCTTGAGCTCAGGAGTTCAAGACCAGCCTGGGCAACATGGTGAAACCCCATTACTACAAAAAATTTAAAAATTAGCTGGCTGTGGTGGCATGTGCCTGTAGTCCCAGCTACTTGACAGGCTGAAGTAGAAGGATTGCTTGAGCCTGGCTGGGAGGTTGAGGCTGCCATGAGCTGTGATCATGCCACTGCACTTCAGCCTGGACCACAGAGGGCACGAGCCCCTCTCAAAAAAAGAGAAAATGATCTATCATTTTATGAACATAAATAGTGGTCGAGTCATATGGAAAATATTTTTTCTTTTCTGAAGACAAACAGGAAATCAGAAAACCCTCTTTAGATACAGGATGATGATACAACAATGACAATTTTCCTTTTACTTATCTTAATGAGTACATGGGTTACTAATGTACCATCCTTTTGTTTCAAGTCTTAGATAAAATGTTTCCTTCTTAGAGATTACCATCACCCTAGCACCAGGGCAGTACCTTAAGCTTTCCAAAAGTTAAAAAAAAAAAAAAAAAAAAAAGACTTCTGTATAAAGTTTTCCTAAATGTTCAGATGTTTCGTACTGTTATGAATACTACTGAGAGAAGAATAACTTAAAGGATAAAATAACTTAGCCATAAATAAATATAAACAAAGACCTAAACCTATATACATAAATCTTTAGCTCTCCTCTAACTAGGGAGAAAATAGTGCTGAGGAAAACGAGCCATGTGAATCATATATTTATATGCTTAATTATTAATAATATAACCATGGTATTATTAATAAGACCAATGTGCGTGTATTTGGGGGTTAACTTCTCCTTTGCCATGAGGATAACTGAAATGTATTACTCATGAGATGAGAGAAACAGAACAGTTTTCTGTTTTTTTTTTATTTGAGACGGAGTCTCGCTCTGTCGCCCAGGCTGGGGTGCAGTAGCACAATCTTGGCTCACTGCAAGCTCCGCCTCCCGGGTTCACGCCATTCTCCTGCCTCAGCCTCCCGAGTAGCTGAGACTACAGGTGCCCACCACCACACCCGGCTAATTTTTTGTATTTTTAGTAGAGATGGGGTTTCACTGTGTTAGCCAGGATGGTCTCGATCTCCTGGCCTCATGATCTTCCCGCGTTGGCCTCCCAAAGTGCTGGGATTACAGGTGTGAGCAGAATAGTTTTTAATAGATGACAAGAAATATAACCATTCAGTATTGTGGATGGAAAGAGAAAAAACACCAAAATACTATCTGTGTAAGAAGTCACGTACAGGAAAGAAATAAAAGCTCTGACAATATAAGCCCAGATTTTTAAAAAGCCATTTATTTTAAAAAACTGGTTTGTCAAATCACATACATGAGCAGATACACAACTACCAAAGTGGCCTGTAATAGACACCAGTGGGGCGGTCACCACACAGTACCTGAAAAATACAGCTAAAAAAGGAGGAGTCTGTTGAGTATTTAATTTCAGATCTACTTGACTCCTTGTTGAATGGCTTTAAGTTAGCATATAGTGAGTGAGAGGTAGAGTCCCAAGTATAATAGCTGATGCCTCAGGGCTCCATTTAAAAACAAAACAAAAACAAAACCATTTCTCCCTCTGCACAAGGGAAGCCTATCCTATTTTTTTTTTCCTTTGCGAAAACAGAAGCCAAGTTTCTCTTCTCAAATGGTTCAGCATTCCCAATCAAAAAGTGGTGTGTGGTAACCTAGGTATTGTGCTTGTTGAGCCATTTAATTTTCCTCACCTTCCGATTCGGATTCTAGGAGAGAAGAAAGAAGTGAGATATTTCCTCCCAGATTCCTCTAATTAAGGTCAAAAGTTACTACAGTCACCAACCCAGAACCCTGCCATTGCACCAGCATACTTTTACCCTAGGCACCCATTATAAGGTAAAATAGTCACATGAGGGCAGATAGCAAACTCTTGCTCTTTTCTGCTTTCACGTAAATTTTGCCTGTCTAAAAATGCAACATGCATACATATACAAATACCTATAAATGAATACATTTTATATATATTAAATTTATACATATAAATTATATAAAAATTTGAATATATATAAAATTAAACAATATAACTTTTCTTCTTTGGATCACCTAAGATAAACTTTTTATTCTTTTTTTTTTTTTTTTTTGAGATGGAGTCTCACTCTGTTGCCCAGCCTGGAGTGCAGTGCTGTGATCTTGGCTCACTGCAACCTCCGCCTCCTGTGTTCATGCCATTCTCCTGCCTCAGCCTCCCGAGTAGCTGTGACTACAGGTGCCCACCACCATGCCCGGCTAATTTTTTATATTTTTAGTAGAGACACGGTTTCACTGTGTTAGGCAAGATGGTCTCGATCTCCCGACCTCATGATCTGCCCGCCTTGGCCTCCCAAAGTGCTGGGATTACAGGCGTGAGCCACCGTGCCTGGCCTGAACTTTTTATTCTTAATTGAATTCACTTTATTTATTTATTTATCGAGATGGAGTCTTGCTCTGTCATCCAGGCTGGCGTGCAGTGGCGCAATCTTGGCTCACTGCAACCTCTGCCTCCTGGTTCAAGTGGTTCTCCTGCCTCACCCTCCCGAGTACCTGGGACTACAGGCGTGAGCCACCATACCTGGCTAATTTTTTTGTGTTTTTAATAGAGACAGGGTTTCACTATGTTGGCCAGCCTGCTCTCAAACTCCTGACCTCAGGTGATCCACCCACCTCTGCTTCCCAAAGTGCTGGGATTACAGGTGTGAGCCACCACACCTGGCCTGAATTCACTCTTACTCATTATTATCCTTCCACTTTATATTTCCATTATTTAAAATTGCCAGTTAATTGGTAAAGGTGTCATAAAAATCTATAGAATTCCATAATGCGTGATTAAGCTAAATGTATTTTTCTCCTTTCACATCTACTAATCATTTCTTCCTTATTGTCCTCCATCAGAGTGGATAATTTAAGCATTTCATTTCTTTCTTTGTTTTTACATGTAGAGATTTTTATTGCCGTGATTTCAGAAAGGAAAGCTAAGATGTTGGCAAAATGTTTGATACGAAAGATAACTCTAGAATTTTAGTTTTAGAAAATCAAGTAAAATCTGTGGAAGAGGTAAATATTTTGACATATAATGAGACAGTGTTTAAAGGTCATCAATGTTTGTAAACAGAATCATACCTTCTTCTGCATTTTGTAACCACTCAACAAATTTCTTCATCTGGTCAAGAAAAACACTTTTGCCTTTAGCAACATGTGCTTCCTTATACCATTTCAGTATTGCTTCTTCGCTCAGAACATCAGCTGCAATTTTAAATCAAAGATTTCAAAGTTACTATACAAATGTCATGTTTCAAAACAACTTCATGTATTACAGTTTAATAGAAAGCAATCATTTTAAATATAAAGCATTCTGTTACTTATCAGAAGAGAGGAACCAAGTTGATTTTCATGTAGCATAGTGCCATATTTTGATAGCTTACTAAAGGCTTAAGTACTGATGATGATGATATACATCTTCTTAGGCATGATATAATGCAAGCCTATAGCTCACTACTAGGACTTGGAAATCTCTCACAGTGCTAATTTGCTGGTAGGAAATAGAATTGTTTTGTAATTTTGCAAATGAACCAGCAATTCCAGCATTTTAGAACATTTTGGGTCCTGCCAAGTTCAACCATATCTTGATTAAAGAGTAACCTCAAATGACCAGTGTCTTTTAAGGAGATTGGGATTTTCTTTTTTTAGGAGAAAAATGACAAAGGAAAAAAATGTAGATAGTATGCAATAATGATGTTAGCAATTAGATATAAAGAGGAACTTCTGGGCTATGTTGTGGGAGTAATACACACCTAAACTGAAGTTCTACACTTTCTCCATCACTAAATCACGACTTATTTTCCCACAGTATATCCCAAATTACAAGAGTAATATTTTTCCTCTACTACATTAAGACAAAATAGACATATTAGCTAATTTCCTACAGGTTTCTAAAAACAACAAAAAATGTTAACTATCTTTTGTCTAAAACTCTAAATTCCACAAATGTGCCTTGATATTCTCAACATAACATTAATTGAGAGTATTTAATGTTAAGAATAGGAAGGAGAATATAAAAATAAGTGTACATAGTCTCCCAATGTTCTAATGGGTTGTTCTAACATTCTTCTAATGTTCCAATGTTCTAATGGGTTGTTGTTTGGGAATCTGTAGTGGGAAACGAGACAGAAAACAGGTACAAAGCATTTATTATTGTCCCCGAGATGTGCTCAATTCATTACAAATACTGATAAAGCCATATAATGTTAATAAATTACTTTAATGATATCTTTTCAGTTAAAATATAATTTCAACTTATGAAAATGACAGAAACAATTTAATATTGTTTTCATTTAAAACATCACTGGTAGTTTCATAACAAAAACATTGGCTTTTTTTATTTTTAAAGAATTATTGGCTCTTGGAAAATGTTCTTGAATTAAATTGAAGAGGCTGAGCTGACTAAAATGAACATGATTTGTTTATGAAAATAAAAGGTTTTTTAAAAAAACATGTTTATTATCATCACTAAAAACATTACATTTTGCAAAGGAAGCAAGAAGTCTGGATTTACTTATAGAGCCTGGATGTAAGAGCTACAATCAGGGGTCCTGTAGACTTATTCTTAGCTTCTAGTTATTTTAGCTCTTTGTTTCCAGCTCTCCACTGAGATAAAAGAAATTTCTACCAGCCATCAGAGCCTAATTGTCATAGAGCTGAGGAGCAGGCAGTTGTGTCCCGAGGAAGTGACCTGTTATTGTGTAAGACTGCCTTGCAGAGACTTTTAAAGAACATTAACAGGGATTTTAAAAGACCCTTTTATATAACTTGTAAATTATCTTTAAGATGCTTATGATTAGATCAGTAATTATCAAACTGTTTGGATCATGTCTTCCTGCCTGTAGGATAATTTTGAGCATATACACCCAACATATGTATATTTTTGAGTTTATAAATTATATTCATGCACTATTAAACTATCATTATTAATGTTCTGCACAAACAATATAATTTTAAACTGTGACAAACATGGAAAGGAGAATTGTTTTTTTTCTCCACACCTTAATGAATTGAGGATGATACAAAGTACAGGTTGGAAAGCTGATGTAGACTGCAGTTTAGTGATACTATTTGTCTGAGCTTTCCTTTTGAAGGTTGAGAGCACATTCCTGTGTTTTATTGCCTCACAGAGGCTGAAGGAGACCATGCAACTACTAAAATGCTTGTCAATGTCAGTGCTTGTGAAAAGCACACTAAATGATAGGTAAAACCTATCAAATGCATTGTTTATTGCAAATCTTGTGCCTTGATATTCTTAAGTTACCATTAATTGAGAATATTTAATGTTAAGAATAGGAAGGAGAATTTAAAATAAGTCTACATATTAACGGCGCAATGTGGAGTTCTTAGAAGAACCCAGGGTAGTAACAACTACTTGCTGAAAGATCAAACTTCTAGTACCAGAGAATTATTAATTAAAAGCTACTGAAGTATCTACACAGAGCACCATATGAGGCAAAGTATGAACATCGAAGAGTTTAAGAAGAAATTAAACTTCTATTTAGTGAAAGGAAAGGTCTGAAAAGGAAGGAACTCCTTGAGGGACAAAGAATTCAGACAATTTTTTCCCTCACTAAGGATAAAGTAGGGAAAAGAGTTAATTAAAACTGAGAAACCATTTTTGGTGGGATATTTCATAAATGCCTATTAGGAATATAGAATAACAGTAAAAGACAGTAAGAAAGGAAGACATTGTATGATGGCACATAGAGACTGGAATATATGTTTTCCCCTTCTATCTGGCCAACTTCTTCATAATGTCTGGTGAGATACATGTACCTTGAGAGCCTTCACTTCTCCCCCTCCAAATTACCTTTAACAAGTTAGGTGCCCTCCCTCTGTGGTCCTATCCCTTCTGACACCCTCTGTGTGAGGCTTATTTCAGCAATTGACATGGTGAGTGTAATTCTTTGTTTTCTTCTACATCCTGAAATTCAGGAAGTCAGGGACTATATTTTGTTCATCTCATTTCCAGCATTTAATGAAAGACCTGCCCTATAGTATCGATTCAACACACGTTTAAGGAATAAATTTGTTAACTTGATGAGAAAAAATAAATATTTCTCAATTTGTAGAGTTCTAATGTATTCATGAGGATCGAAGAGACAATACTGTAAAAGTGGCTTGAGAACTGCTAAATTTTAGATCATGTTAGTTATTTAGAAACTTAGTCTGAAACTATGTCACTTGAAACTCTTGAAATTCAGAAATTTTTTTATTAGGAATGTCACATAGGGACACAAGTCAAAAATAATTTACCCTAAGAATGCTGGGAATATATGCTGAGAAGGGCACTCACCCTTTTTTAGAACTAGAATAAAAAACTCCTTTTAGAAAAATTTGCATGCAGGATAGAATTTAACCTAAAAAATTTCTGCAAACAAGAAAACCCATGATAGAGATAATAACAGTACTTGACAAGGTAGTTTTACACATTTTAGACCATGCTGAGTCTATGGGACTTATCTTCAGGGAAAAAAGAAGAGAAAATTATTTTTAAAAGTCAATAATGTGATGCTTGAAAGTTAGCAATGGATTTACTGTTTCTTACTACCTTAAAAATATGCAAATCTAGATTTTAATACAGAGAGTCTTTGCAAAATGACCCATCACCACTTTTTTCTTTGCTGACTAGCATTATTTAGTTTATTTGCTTTTATTCCACTGTTATTTATGTAAAAGATTTATAAATCTT
This sequence comes from Homo sapiens, assembly GCF_000001405.40. Lineage (NCBI taxonomy): Eukaryota > Metazoa > Chordata > Mammalia > Primates > Hominidae > Homo > Homo sapiens. The sequence goes on along the minus strand of NC_000007.14, from coordinate 16,701,056 downwards.
TCAATAATGATATTCAATTAAGTAATTAGATTTGCCAAGGGGGACATGGCTAATCATATGCCCAAGTTTCTGCTATCATCAAGTTCTGGACATGTTGGGAAAGGGGAGGTGTGTGTGTGTCCATGTATATGTTTGTGTGTGCTCTGTGTGTCAGAGAGAGATAAAAATGAAAATTAAAATGGAGCAACGGTTTCCATTACATTTTAAAAACTTGTTTTAGAGCACTACGTTCCTTATGACAAACAAAAGGAATCCACAGAAACTTGGTAAAAGAAGCAGAGAAGACACTACTCCATATGTGTAAAATGTGGGTATGTACATGAAATCAAAGGTAAGTATAATCTTGAACATGTCACTGGAGTTCATAGCATCTGTTGCTTCTTGAATGCTATACACTTTACACCAGTGGTCCTGGTACAACAGTCAGAGCATCAGCTTGGAAACTTGTTAAAATGAAAATTCTCAGGCCCAACCCTGGCCCTACTGAATCAGAATCTCTGGGGGAGCTGTGTTTTATAACAAGCTCTCTGGGTAATTCTTAGGCATATTAGGAAAGGAGTGCTTTAACACTCACTGTTTACTAAGTCTCCCTCTAGGCATATAAAACACGGAATGAGAGCATCCAAATCTTTACAGAAACAAATCAAATACATGTCTCCTGGTGCACAAGTGTTTGGTGGACAAAATAAGGTGAAAGTAAAAATCTGGCAAAAAAGAGACAAGATGGTAAACATAGTTAACACAGTAACGCTCTTAACGGTGGTATGGAACAATCATTCCTCAGGGATTGCATGTTCTCCAGAGAAAACATGGAATCATTTCACTTAAGAAAACAGACTATATATATCATTCTGTGGAAAATTACAAAATTACCTAGAAAATGGTATTGAAAATGTTAGTTCAGTGATGTGTTTTAGGTTTACATTTTTAAAAAAGTTTCCCAATTTCATTTCCAAAAATAACTAAGGCAGAAATAAAATTGATGTTGACACTCACCCTTCCTGTGTTCCCTGGGGCCAGGTCATACTTGCCACAGACCTCACTAACTTTAGGTTATTTAAACGCTGATTACCTAGTTAATCAATGAGCCTAAGAGCTCATGCCTCTTCTTTTTACTTCCTAGTGCTTACTTCTTGAGTTATTTTCTAATTTCAGGTCATACTGACCCTTAGCATCTGGGGCTGATGAAGAAGAAAAAACTCAAAGTAGCCAGTTTTACTACCTGTCAGTAGTTGTTATAAGAAGTCTAAGTCTAAAGGAAAAGGAGGTTGGCATTAGTGGTTAAAATGAGAAATCTGAAGGATTTTAATAGTTCATGTGCCACCTAGATGTCATTTCCCGTAACAATGGGTTTGCTGATTCTTTGTGATTTCATTACAATAATACGATAGGGTGCTCCTGAAGATGAGACTCCGACAACGATGTCTCAGTTAAAAAAAAAAATTGGTGAGAAACACTGGTTGGGTTATCTTTTATATGACAAGAAAGCAAACTATGTTCAGGTAACTAACTAGTTTACGAACAGTTTGGTTTTCCGTAGTGGAAAAAATTGACCACCCTCAAAACAAATGTGAAACCTGTCCCATAGGTCTCTCTGCCAGTTTTACAAATGGAGCCAGCTGTGGCCACAGAAGGTTGGGCCCCACTTCTCGTTCTTGGCTGCTGGGTACCATCTATGAATTGGTAACATGGCTTGCAGGTTTGGTTCTGATGGGTGGATCACTTTGGGTATCATTGGGTGGGGCCTAGTTTTAGGACACTGCTATCTTATGACTAAATCCAAGAAGACCCAACTCAGGTCTGGTTGGAGAAAATACCAATTACTGAACTTCAAGTGGCAATGGGTGGCCATCATATTTTCCTCCTGACTATTATAATTGTTGCTGAATACCTCTGTGCCCTGAAAAAGTAAAATATCACCCAAACACTTGTGGACAAGATTCATTCATTTGAGGAATCTACGTGGCCAATAAAAATTCATTGTGAAATGCTATTAAGCATTTTTAAAAGAGCTATTATTTATCTAAAACCTTTATTTTCCAAATTCCCAAGATATAATTCAAAAGAGACAAATTTAGGAACACATGAAAGGGAAAATAAACATTTGGCTGGTATTATTTTAACTTTTCTGATATGATATTTATGAACATAATAACATAAAATAAACATGTTATAATGTTCAAAATGTACCACTTCTTAAGTGTTCCTTTTTCTCCCTCACAAAACTACATAAATGTAGGCCCAAAAAATAGCCTAGGACATTTCTGTATGCTGTAGGTATACAGATTGGGATCGGTTAAAACCTTTAGCATTCATATTTTAGTGCCAGTTGTCATAGCAACCTAATCCTTATAAATACAATGAAAAGACAGTAAATGTGAAAACCTAAAAATAGCCATTCCCTTGGAAAACAGGAGAATGGCTGGGCCAAGTAACTAAAATACAAAGTAAAAAGGCTAATTACTTCAGTAATTTTAAAGTCAGATTTATGGTACCTAAAAGAGTCTGAACATAATATATATACTATTTTGATAATCATTGTTATTAGAGCTAATCCTTACAATTCAAAAACAGGCTCAATTTTATATAATTACATTTTTTTTCCACCAACCCCAAGAAACAATTACCAGTTCATCTACCAATGAGAAGTGCCCAGGGGCCTAAGCAGGGTTTCCAAGGCAACGCATATATGGCGTGTATGCCTCCTCTCTCTACATGGTATGGTTGCCTCAATAAAACTTTCACAAATTAGCATCTTGCTGTCCCTCTCTAAACAGAGCCCCATGACCTCCTCTGCCTCATTGCCTGCTCTGCCTCTCAAAGAGCTTCAGCAAAACACAGAAGCACAGCAGTGGCACGTGGATGGATACCTTTATAAAAGAGAACCACAATCTTCTGAAAGGCTTTCATGAAATGGATGTTGTCGTAGCAGTATTCCTGAACCTTCTGGAGGAGGATCAGCTCTGACTGGCCTTGGGAGCTGAACACGGCCAGCAGGGGAGCATATTGCTAGAACAGAAGTGGAGAGTAAAAGCCGTCACTTGCGTGGGAGGTACAGAGCCGACACTGCTGGAACTATAACAGTAACCTGGAGGGTTGCTTAGAAAAGACTGACTTTCAGGATTGACACCTTTTATCATCATATTGTGCCCAATGGGGTGAGGGGAACAGAACAGTAGGAACAAAGCAGTATAGTCGACCTGTGAGGGAACTGGGAAGAAGATTCACATTTTTTCAATGGCAGAGCCACAGTCCAATAATACAATGGATATTCTATGAGGATATGACCTCATTTTCGAAATATCCCTTAGACATAGCAGGCCAGCAATTATCTTTAATATAGGCAGATTCTCATATTTGGTCTCTTAGTGGGTACAGGGAAGGAATCTTGATGAGCTGCTGGGATAAAAAGCATTCATTTAGAAATATCCTTGACTTTCTGACACTGAGGCATAGCCATTGTTTTTCTGAGACTTACTCAATTCAATACTTATCTCTTCCAAAGGGCCTTCCCTGATCAAAGTAACATGGACAGTTTACTCACTGCTATGTTCTCATGAACGCTGGGTGCAAACTTGGAAAAAAATTAGGAAGTATATGTTTAGTCTGAGTCTAGGGTAATTGTAGTTGGAACCCATTTGTCATACTCTCAATTAAGACAAATTTGGGCCCGGCGTGGTGGCTCATGCCTGCAATCCAACACTTTGGGAGGCCAAGGCAGGAGGATAGCTTGAATGCAGGAGTTCAAGACCAGCCTGGGCAACACAGCGAGACTACATCTCTACCAAAAAATGAAGAAATTAGCCAGACGTGGTGGCACGCGCCTGTAGTCCTAGCTACCTGGGAGGCTGAGGAGGGAGGGTGGCTTGAGCCCAGGAGTTCAAAGTTGCAGTGAGCGCAGATCGTGCCACTGCACTCTCAAACAAACAAACAAACAAACAAAAAAAGCTGCAGTTTGCCCTTGGCTGGGTCAGTTCCTTGCTAAGGGCTGTTACCTTCAGGTGCTTCAGAGCCTGCTCTGCAACAAGTTCTTCCTTCTTGTTCCACTCAACAGCGTTCATTATACATGTCCACAGAAGACCAATCACTGCTGTTTCTGGAAGATCATTCCTCTTCATTTCTTCTTTGACATAAAGCACCACCTACATTACATGGAAATGGGGTCAGAAAGTAACAGGCAGATGGAGGGCTCCCATCTCCCCGCTAGCTGCCCAGTCAATCAAGGTTTTGGGGCAGCTAAGAAACAATCTGCTTAGCTTCTCCTTTCCTTGTCTGCATTCTCAGACTGGAAGAGGGAGAAAAACTATAATGATTTGTTCTCAAAGCAAATTTATTTTTAGTCCCAAAATTAATAGGCTTAGCTCTGGCCAGGAGCTGCTGGATAATGTGGAGTAAGAGAGGATTTTTGTTTCCTCATAGAGAAACCCCTTTGAGTCTAGTAGAGTAGGGATACTTGAGCCAGTTTGACTTTTTGGAGATTTAAAGAAGGCAACAGCGTTGTGAACTTTTATCCCATCCCTAAACTTTAAAACCTCTTGATGGATACCATCTTGGGTTTGTACAGGTCCATTCTCCACAATTTATTCTTCAATGATTACTTTTGATGATCCTTATGCCCCATCTCAGTGAAAAGTTAATTTGTAAATAAATTGTAAGTGCAAAGGCAATTTTTAAATTTCATATACATCAATTCAGCAGTATTCAGCAACTTATTTTCTCCTTTGAATTATGTATAAATATGCAAATTTATACTCAACCCTGAGAGTATGGAATATAGGCTTGCCTAAAATTTATTTGAAAGGCTTTTTCCTTTTAAAATAAAATAATAAATAGAGGTTTGGGCCTCAGAAGTGATTGAAAGTCATCGTATATCTCCAGCATACTACTTTGTGAGTAGTAGTAACACCTTTTTTTTCCCTCCCTTTTCTTTTTTGCTGGAAACACATTGCTTTCTTGACTTCTGGCCTGGAGTGTAGAAATGCCAGCAGTGACTTGAGCAGCCTTCAAAAGCAGAAGGAGCCGGGCAGTCCCAGTCCCTGTGCTGGCTGGAGGAAGCCACATAAAAGTGTGACATCCTGGCATCTACAAGCATCACAAGGCTTTTTATGTTTGCTTCTTTTCCCCATGGAAAATAATGTACAAATTCTTGCTTGGAGAAATATGATTAAATATACTGCTATCCTTAATACCATGAGACTTAAGAATATTTGTCATTCCAACACCTCCACCTGCTGGATAGTATCAGTCCTACATTCTCCAGGCTTCAACCATGTGAGCTGCCAAGCAGGGCTTGGAGCATGGAAGGAGGTGTGGGTCAGGCATTTTAGAGCACGTGGAAAAAAAGAAAGGACGCTTTATATTAATTTTTAAATTGTTGCATGAAAGATTTTAAAACTTCAAATAGAAAGCTCTCTCCAGATACACTAAAAATAAAAAAAAGATATAGTCATTGCTTTGTGAACTATAGCATGTATATATAAACTATGTATATGCGTATTATAAAAAATATAGCTTTTACATTATAGGGAAACACAGCTCTTCCAAGTGTGAGTGGGATTAAACAAGTCACTGATCCAACTAGTCTTTTCCCATGACAGGAATTCAAACTTTTTTCAAATAAAAAGCCTGTTACATATTCATACAGAGTGATGAACAAAAAATCCAGTGTTAATTCCAAACACTAGACAAATGCTTAATCAGGTTAGATAACCTGCAACAAAATTTTAAAACTACCATATAATGGGCTATACTGATAGTGGATGGTCAAATCTCTTTGACAGATGAAATATTTTGAAAATCATAGCAGCCTGGTAAAATAAGTCAGTTGTGTGGAAATCACTATTAATTTCTGGACCATCCTAGAGTGTTAACAAAAATGGAGGATTCTAAATCAATACTTTGAAGCTGAGTTAATTTAAATGGTAGGAATAAGTGGACAAAGTTTACAGCAATAAGCATAGGACAGACTTGTTAAGGAAAGCCTTTGCTACACAGCCCATGTAATTCCTCTCATTCATGTGTATTGAGGTGATGTCTGCCCGTGGTCTCCCACCTCCTTGATCGGGCATTCCTGAGAAAGACGCTCCTGGAGCTCCTTCTGCAGTTCCTTCCTGGTGCCCAGGGACTGCTGGACTCGGAGGAAGTCGGAAAGCTCCTTAAGACCTGCGTCAGTGAAGTATTTAGCAAAATGATCCACACTCTGTCTGTTAACTGGAAAGAGTTCCTGAAAAAGGGAAAAAAGACTGCTATAAAACAAGCCATTCAAATTTCAGCAAGCATAAAGGACAAAAGTCTTCATTTCACTTAGAATATCTCACATTTGGAAGAAAAGAATAAAGACTGTTTTACAAAACAACAAATCTCTGGTATATTTACTGAGCTAAACATCTTCTGAAATCAGGCAGTTTCACAAAGAAAAAGAAAAAAAGGGTAAGCAATTGAGATAAACTTGGACCCTACTGTGGCAATACTGAGAGATGAGGCTTTTAAAGAGTTACTGGATTATAAGGGCTCTGCCCTCATGAATGGATTAATCCATTCATGGATTAGTGGGTTATGTTGGGAGGGGACCTGGTGGCTTTAAAAAAGAGGAGGGGAGACCTGAGCTAGCACACTCAGCCCCCTCGCCATGTGATACTCTGAGCCTTCCTGGGACACTGCAGAGTCCCCACCAGCAAGAAGGCCCTCACCAGATGCAGCCCCTTGACATGGGACTTAGCCTCCATAACTGTTAAGAAATAAGTTCCTTTTCTGTATAAATAACCCAGTTTCAGGTATTCTGTTATAAGTAATAGAAAAGGTCTAAGACACCTACCCTACCAACTCTAGTTTATTACATAATTCTGATGGAAATTTTCAAAAAGAGCAATATACCATAGCTGCTCTCATATTTTCACCTCATTTCCATTTTACCCTACACAGTTTGGCAGAATCTCAGTAACACTTAGTCATGATCTAATCCTGGGTGAGTTCAACTCCCATCTATGAAATTAAGATGATTTTCAAAGTTCTCACATTTTTCAGACTGCTGCAGGGTCTAAAAAATATATCCAAGCTTTTGTATTGGTTAGACTTGCATATATATGGCCAATGGCTATGTGGTTCCAGAAAGAGCCTCAGTAGATCTGCAATGGGTTTGCCACCACCTATAGGAACACAGCTGGAGGGCTCCTATGTCAGGATTCAAATTTCAATGTTCTATCATCCTATTAATTTCCCCTGTTGAGTCATATGTTTCAAAAATGTCAGAAGAGAGCTGGTGGGAGCAGCTATCAAACACGCATTCATAATAAAGCAAACATTTTATACCACACTGAAACTGCGTCACTGATATTTCCTCTACTGCTCCACATCTTCCAAATCTGCAGGGAAGGGAACTAATGTATTTTTATTGAGTTTCTTCTATGAATCAAAATGTACTGGCACTTTCCTCATAATAACTGTGTAAAGCAGACATTTTTCTAGACGGTAAACCAAGTTTCAACAAGGTTAAGCAGCTTGACCCAATTTATGCCACCAAAAATATTTAAGAACAGAGCTGTGTGCCCCCAAGTCAATACTTATTCCATTACTCTGTGCTAGCATTCAATATTCTATTTAGGAAGAGTGTGACTGCAAAGTTTGATTTAAAGTTATGTTCAGAGCAATATGCCATTAAACATATCACTCGTAGTTCACTTATGAACTACATTCCAAATTCTTATGAATAGTATATAATACATTGAAAATCATTATTCAGATTAAGTTGAGGGGAAGCCCGTCTAAATCATACCATGTCATTTTTTGACTTGGAACATGGTTTGTATTTTTTTAGAGAAACCATACCGTGGTACAAATCTGTATCATCTCATCCCTAGATTAAGGTCTCTCTGCTTTTGCTCTTGCTCCTGAGTCTATTCCCAAAGTGACAGCAAGAGTGATCCTGTTGAGAGTCAAAATCACATTACACACCATTCTGCAGAGAATTTCCAAAAGTTTTCTATCTTATTTGGAATACAAGCCAAAGCCCTAGATGATATGGGCCTTGCTACTTCTCTGAGCTTATCTACACTTTTGCTCTCACCTGCTCTCCCCTTGCGGTCCCCAATATCCCATGCCCCAAGGCCTTCCCATTTCCCATTCCCTTTGCCTGGAATGCTCTATGTGGAGATATTTAAACAGTTCACTCCACACCTCCCTCAAGTCTTTACACCAATGTCATCTTATCACAGAGGGCTTTCCACCACTGAAAGTTACAGCCCACATTTGGAAGCTCTTTAACTCTTTCCTACTTAATTTTGTTTTGTTTTGTTTTGAGACGGAGTCTTGCTCTGTCACCCAGGCCGGAGTGAAGTGGCGTGATCTTAGCTCACTGCAGCCTCCACCTCCCGGGTTCAAGCAATTCTCCTGCCTCAGCCTCCCGAGTAACTGAGATTACAGGTGTGCACCATCACGCCCGGCTAATTTTTTGTATTTTTAGTATAGACAAGGTTTCACCATGTTGGTCACGCTGGTCTTGAACTCCTGATCTCAAGATATCCACCTGCCTCAGCCTCCTGAGGTGCTGGGATTACAGGTGTGAGCTACCACACCTGGCCCCTACTTAATTTTTACCTTTATTATAATACATATTTTACGGTTTTTAGTTTATGGCCCACTCTCCTGAAATAGAATATAAGCTTCATGAAGGAAAGGGTCTGTTGGTTTGGTTCCTTTCAATCTCCCCATCTCTTGGAAGTTTCTGGCATATAATATAATCGATACATACTTATTGAATAAATAATGGAAGAGATCAATATCTTTGATTTCTTAATCACTATTCTCTTTGTCAGTAATAAGGGTTGGCTTCTCCCATCCCCTCACCTCTCTGAGTTGCTATAAATTGCTCTTTCTTCTGTATTGTAATAGTGGGTGATAGCTAAAGTCTAGTAATACACAACTTTTCCTAAAATGTAGTAGTTCACAGTTAAAGAGAATTTTGTTGTATATGTTCATAAAACAAAATTTCCTCCTAAAGAGTGGAACTGACTCACTAGTTCCTCATTCTTTTGTTGATTCAACAAATATCAGGCAGGCATAGTGCATAGGCAACTACGCTGTTCTCACCCAGTTTATATGTTTCTCGCAGAAACCACCACCTATGTTCCATATATATACACAAACACACACATATGTACACACACACACACACACACACACAGAACCTAGTAAAAACAGCTAAATGACATGTGTTTCCAAAAAGAAAATGAATTTTATAAATGAAGCCATCTAATTAAGCTAACCAGGCTATAGTTGTGAATATCTTTAAGAAAATTACTGCTTTAAGAAATAACCGGATAGATTGTATCTTTGTTCCCAATCATACACCTTCTCTTCTTCAAAAGAGTATTAAGAGAACCCCCTCCTTGCTATGTCTATCTGCAGAGGTGGAGAAGCAGCCTATTAGTGGATTGGATTTTCCCAATCTATTGCCAGGCATGGCAGCGTCCATAGGTGAGTTTTTAAGGTACTTGAGACGTTCAGTTCAGTCTCTGTGTTCTGGTACTTTGCCATGAAGACAGAATGGCCCAGATGGGAGCTGCTCCCTCAGCCTGTGCCCGAATGAAAAGGCATGTGGAACTAAGCCAGGCTTAGCCAAGATAGAGCTAATCTATAGACAACCCACAGCCTCATGGACAAGAAATATGTTCCCTTCATATGAACCTCCACCTTCCTCAGCAACCTATTCACTTATCTTCTGTGACTTTTGCTTCTGTTTACAGGGATTTGCCCTAAGTCCACTAGAAAGTAGGTTTCACGAGGGCAGGCAACTTTTCTATCCTGTTCTCTACTGGCTCTGCAGCTTGTGGTACCATGCCCAGCACAGGGTAGACATTCAGGAAACATGAGGAATGAAAATTATTATGAACTAGAATCTAGACTTCTGTACCTTTTTTACCATAATCTAAAAACTTTAAACACACAAATCTATTTAAGGTAAACTTCAAGAAACAAAGTATTCTTAAGTGATTTAAATTGCAAGTATTTACATTTAAAATTACTTTCATGTGTTCTTGAGGAAAAGAGATAGTCTTAGAATTATCTCATGGGACTGGACCCTTGCACACTGAAACACATTGGAAGAGAACAACAGAGAACAGGCCAGGTGAAGAGATGGCAGCGCTGTGTCTTATTTTTACACTTCATCCTAGAACTGTAAAAGCAATTCCACCTGGAGAAATCTTGGCATTTCACAGCTGCTGCATCAAGAAGAAAGAAATTGTAGGGAGCAGATAGAAATTACAAGAACAAAATATTTTTCTGGATTTTCTTAGAAAAACACAAAGATGGAGAAATAAAAATATAATCAAGCAATTGTGACACAATTAACTTGTTTAATTTCTGCAACAGCTTAAGTATTTCCAGGGAAATCTTGTTTAAACTTTTATTTTGTTAGCAAACTATTTAACACACATTTGAGATTAGCACAGTCTGACTGCTACTCAAGACAGACATCACAAGTATTTGATTAAGTGAGATTGATGAAATTTTTATCATATTAAAACCTTAAAATGTCTAGAAAGTTATGATTATAGGCTGAGTGTGGTGGCTCACGCCTATAATCCCAGCACTTTGGGAGGCTGAGGTGGGCGGATTACTTGAGGTCAGGAGTTCAAGACTAACCTGGCCAACATGGTGAAACCCCGTCTCTATTAAAAAAAATCCAAAAATTAGCTGGGTGTGGTGGAGAGCACCTGTAATCCCACCTACTCGGGAGGCTGAGGCAGGAGAATTGTTTGAACTCCGGAGGCAGAGGTTGCAGTGAGCGAGATTGTGCCATTGCACTCCAGCCTGGGTGACAGAGCCAGACTCTGTCTCAAAAAAAAAAAAAGTAAAAAAGTTATGGCTATAAAACAAAGTCTTAATTCTGATGAAATGTTAATACTATGTCAACAAACTTACAAATTTGGAAGTCTATATTCTTCACAATTCTTTAATTTTATTGTGCCATTTGTTCACAAAATAAAGATTAAAATGAAATTAGCTTCTACTACCAATTACACAGAAATAAAAGGAACAGTGCTCCAAGTCAACACAGATCCAGGGATCTTACTCATATACTACATTGCAGGCATTGCTTAAGCTCCAAGAAAGGCATCATACATACAACTCTTTAACCAGAAAACACTTACAAGCAGCCTCTTGTCTAAGTTGGCTTTTCTCAAAGACGAGGTAACAGAGTTGGCATCTTTTTCTGCCATCCATGCTTTGAAAAGCTTGACAGCAAATGAGGCCGCAATGCCTGTTGAAAAACAAAAGAGAATTTCATTCCTTTTACGAGCAAAACCAATTGTGATGGTGTGCAAAGCAACCAGGTTTCCTGAAATGTGTAAATAACTAAAAGACTAATTTTGGTACAAATGAAAAGTCAATAGACCTCTAGGCAAATTCTCCTCTTCTCATTACTCAAACTAGAACATTTTCAGGAAAAGGAAAATAAATTAAAATATTTTTCAAATTTGGACTCCTTGAATCCAACCTGGTCTAACTGCAAGTTTATTTTATTTTACCTTGGTCAAAAACATATTTCACACCCAGTATCTTTGGTGTTATTGCCTTTATTTCACCCTCTGGTTCATATGTATTTCATCTTTATAACAGTGATCTTGAGGCACAAGAAAGTAAATTAGGAGACACAAAACTGTAATGTCACCTTTATCAAGTAATTTGCTAATAAAGGATGCCAGTACAAGAACACTGATAGTGATAGATACAATAAGTATTGCTACGAATAGATGAACACATATCATTTACCTTAGTTTTGCTTTTTATAAAAAGCATTTTATTTATTTATTTTTATTTTTATTTTTGGGGGGATGGAGTCTCACTCTGTCGCCCAGGCTGGAGTGAAGTAGCACGATCTCGGCTCACTGCAATCTTCACCTCCTGGGTTCAAGTGATTCTCCTGCCTCAGCCTCCCAAGTAGCTGGGATTACAGGCATGCACCACCACACCCAGCTAATTTTTGTATTTTTAGTAGAGACAGGGTTTCGCCATGTTGGGCAGGCTAGTCCTGAACGCTTGACCTCAGGTGATCCACCTGCCTTGGCCTCCCAAATTGCTGGGATTGCAGGCATGAGCCATTGCACGCAGCCATAAAAAGCATTTTAAAATATTCTTGAGTTAAGCTATAAAAATACCAAGGCTGTTTCAAGTTAAACTCTTCTGGATTTAAAAAAAAATCATTATTAAGCTAGTTATGTTAAATCAGGAAACCATTTAATCACATGTCCACATTTACATTACCACTTATTTCCAAATAGAAATAATCAGATAACAAGAAGACAGTTCTATGAACACTTCAAATTTCTAAATTTATGTTGCGGTTATTTAATGAAGAGTTAAGATGTAACTGAAACATTTAACTGATTTTTCTAAACTGAAGGTTCTACTATTGTTATGAGCTAATGATAATGTGGCCTAAGCAGCCTCTATTCTCTTTACCTCCTTCCTAAAAGAGGTCCCCTTTTATCCAGTCCAGGTGACTACTGATTAGTCTAAGTCCTGGTACCACCCCTTTCTGATGATTAATTTAGTGACCTCGCTTAAGCTCATCTGCCCAAGGCACGCCCCTGGCAATTGCTACTGGACCTGCACTAGTCATGCAGCCTGTGTCAGCCAATCAGCTGAAGGAAAGATAAATTATCCTCTGTTCAGGAGAAGTGTTCTTCCACTGAACCTGAACCAGGAAGAATATGCCATAACTGTGTCAGCAGGCATCTTATAACAACTAGAGGGGGCACCATCCTTGGGATGAAGTTAATGCTATGAATGATAACAGGAGAAAAATACTTAAGTCCTGAATGATACTGCTGTTCAGCCTGAGGTCTGTCCTAATTTTCTATTTATTGTTACATAAGAAATCCATGTCCTTATATACCAATTTGACCCAGGTCTTCCAGCAACTGGAAAGTAAAAGCATTTAATTGGTCTATCATTCATATAGACACCAACTAAACCTGATTTTCTTCCCTTGAATAAGCAAAGAAACTAAGTTAAAAAAAAAACAAAAACGGCTATAACAACAAAACATGCATTACACCTTAACTGAAAGTTCATGTTAAACAACTTAAGATGAATTTTTAGCATTATCATTAGCTCATAAAACCAATATAAAATTTAATATAAATTAACACTAGGCTGTAATCTGTATCGTAAAGAAAAACTACGCTTGAAACTAGGAGCCTAAAACTGAGATTTAACTTTCTTTATAGTTACTCCTCTGAGTAGGATAATCCCATCTCCCTTGGTCATTTATTGGATGAGCTGGGGAAAATGATTAATTTCTTAACCATTTTCTTTATTTCTTTTTTTTTATTTTAGATAGTCTTTCTCTGTTGCCCAGGCTGTAGTAAGATGATGTGATTATAGCTCACTGTAGCCCCAAACTCCTGGGCTCAAGCAATCCTCTTGCCTTAGTCTCCTGAGCAGCTGGGATTGTACAGGTGTGCCAACACACCTGGCTAGTTTTTAAATTTTTTTTTGTAGAGAAGAGAGTCTTGCTTTGTTTCCCAGACTGGTCTCAAACTCCTGGCCTCAAGCAATTTTTTTACCTCAGCTTCCCAAAGTGTTAGGATTACAGGCATGAGTTACCATACCCAGCATTTTCTTAATCCTTTTCCAATTAGGAAGCAAGGGTTTAAACCTCTAGTTTGTAAAAGATGGCAGAGTTTAAGGAAAAGCCATATAACAGAGGTACTATGTTACTTCCATAGCAAAGTTATTTTTCTCCTCACCACCCCCCAAACATTTTACTACAATAATTTCCAGACATACAGAAAAGTTGAACAAATTGAACAATGAACATTCACATGCCCACCATCTAGTTTCTATAACTAATATTTTGCCGTATTTGCTTTATCAGATATCTATCCACCTAATAACGTAATTTTTGGATATATTACAAAGGAAGTTACAGACATCACTTAGGTTTTTAAAAAAACTAGAAAGGCAATTATTTTCTGTTATGTTGGCTAGGATAATTTAAAATAATTAATGATTAACATTTATATTCTATGTTGACTTTCTGTGTGCAAAATGGCTAATAGCAAAAATAAGATGTGTGTTGTATTGTGAATTTTCTTCAGGGAAATACTTTAAAATGTCATAATACTAATAACATCTAACAATTACAGAGTCTGAATTGTCATAAATCTGAGTGATTTTAAGCTAAAAACTAGGAAGAGTCTCTGAATAAGACCAATTGACTCTCAATTTACTATTCTTTCCTTAGCTACAAGAAAACTATGACTCCTTTCTTTCACTATAGGCATGAATGAAGCTAGGACTTCATATATGTAGGAGGAAAACTTTAAGTTCTCAGAAGAAACAGATGTTCTCACAAAAGCTCTTTTAATTTATTTTTAAGGAAAAATAACTGTTTTGTGTTGCATTGTAATTTGACTATCATTATCCTCCTACAAGTAAACAGCCGACTTTTATTTTATTCTATAACCAAACCATGGTATGCATGCCTATCCAACCCTTAATGCCTTAAAATTAAAACAAGACTCCTTCTAATGCAGCAGACTTAAAATTGTTTTCTAAAACTGAGACAATGAGTATCTTAAAAAGTGCAATCAAAATGAATATCTGAGCATCAGTTTCTCTAGACCTTGAGAGGGGAACAGTTTTTGTTCTTATAATAGGGGTGAAAGTTAAAGGCTGCCATTTTGTGTCGAAGGGCAAAAAGATTACCAGATCGATTTCGGGGTATTTGACCTAGGCATCAAGTCTTCCATGAGATTTTAATTTGCTATTAGTCTTTCTTAATATGTCTTTGTACAGGTGTGCATATTTTTTCCTTCAAACTTCCTACAATTAACAAGTCCACTCCTTTTATTATTTGAAAGGCAATATACACCCATACAAAGATATTCTCTTAAATGAAGAATGAGTAATAGAGGACACCAAAAAGAGCCACTGGCATTTTTCTAACTATCTGTGACTTTATTTTTCTTTTGTTGTCTGACAGGCGAGAAAACAGGAGCCTCGTTACCTTCTTTGACTAAGCTGTCGGTGAAGAGACTGGTGAGGATGGTGGCGGGCAGGGTGCCATTGCCCAGCAGAATCCCCGACAGCATCGCCAACTTTGTCTGCTCTGTTTCGGAAAAGGCTTTAAGGAAGAGGAGAAGCTGTGGGTCAAAAAAAAAAAAAAAAAAAGAAAAAGAAAAAGAAAAAAAAAGGAACCATGTCTATGAAGCAAAGGACTGAAGTGGGAAGATAAACTGTGAACATCCATGGCTACGTGGCACACAAACAGAAGGTCATATGCAAAGCATAGTAATTCATTTCATGATAAACTGGATGCTGTGGAAAGTGACTTGAGCAGGCAGAGTTCCTTTCTTCTCAGTTAATTTACTCACAGCTGTAGATAACATTCATGGAAAGGAAAAGAGATATTTGGATGATATGTAAACAGATGGATTTATGTTTGACTATGTGCATGCAAGAGAGTTAAGTATACATGATGGACATGTTTTCTGAAATGTATTGTTTTTCAAGTTTTTCCACTTCCTTGGGCGACTACCTCTTCCCCTGCTACATGTACCCATTTTCTCTGAATAGAATTTGTACGGCAAAAACATAGAAACAAAAAAAAGCCCCACACAAACAAAAAAAAAAAACAGGAAAGAGTCGAAGTTAAGCTTTTGACATTTAATATATACTTTTCTGAGCTCACGGAATACAACAGTCTTCAAAACAAGACTGTTGAGGGAGAAAGGGGTTTTCTAGGTTCTTGATGTTTTTTTGGTAAACTTTTAGATTCTCTTGCCCCAGAGGCAGGGAACTAAAAAAGTAGCAACCCTAGAAAATTTGAATGTAAGCTCAAAGCAAATAAAACGAAAAACCCACTTCCTGTATTAAATTCTAAGAGTAGTCAGCCCTGTGGGATGCCCTTCTCTCTCCTGACTCTCCTCTGCTTTGTGCTTTGACTACATTCTACTGTTACTTTCTCCATTTCAGCAGTTATTAGGCTTGCCATGGAAATTCCTCAGGGGCCACTATCACCACAGGGGCCTTGCTGATTTTCCATTATTTTGCGCCAATGCAAAATTCACTGGCATTGATAGAGACTTAAGTGTCTCCACCCTGATGACATGATTATTCCACTAACTGTGTAGGGGATAAGAAAATATTAACTTACTATTCCCCAAGAATTGAAGGATTATTATATTATAGACTATTTACATTATGTGAAAGTGGCAGAACTGGAAACAAACCAGTCCATTTGCCTCTCAATTTATACCTATTAAATTCTCAACAAATTAAAAAGAAGTTAACATCTAAGTAAGTGCCAGGGAGTGAGGGAATGAGGGATTGAAAGGCTTAAGTTCCAAGGAGCATCAGAAATGGGGAAGAATGAAAGAACTAACATAAATATAGACAGTTCATGTCAATTTGTCCTTTTCCTCCATTATAAAAATAAATAACATTTAAACGAGAATAATAAAAATTAGCCTCTAAAATAAAATTTTAACACCACTTCTTTAAGCTCACACATATAACCATATTCATTTAAAATATACTTAATCACATAGAAATGGTACAAAAATTAGATCATCATAAAAATAATAACCACATTGCTCAATTATATTAATCAACATTAAAACATAATTACATGTATACACACATATTGTTTTTTACTGCATTATATGCTAATGATAGCTAAAACTTGTTGAGTGGACCAGACACTCTTCTGATCCCTTTATGTGTATTAATACCTACAACAGTCTCCATCTCCAATTACAGAAAAGAACACTAAGGTACAAAGATATTAAGTAATTTGCCCCAGGTCAAACTACTACCAAATGGTTGCTTTGCACCTCGCATTTCCACTTAATTTGTCATGGGCATTTTCCCTTATTAATACATGTAGTTATGCCTACAAGTATAAAAGACTGCATAGTATTCCACTGTATAGATAGATTGTAATTTAATTAAACAGTCTTCATCTCCCACCAATGAACATTTAGGCTATTTTTCAATACTGTGGTGACATCTTCATACATATAGCTTTATATATCCATGCTAATGGATTCTTATAAATTCATGACGGCTGGGTCATGGGTCATGTAAGAAACATTTCTTTTAATGACTATTGCCAAATTGCTCTTCAATATTATACACAGAACCACTTTGAACTGGGTGGGGTGGGGTGCAGTTAGGTGGGGAGGAGCGGGGAGAGTAAGTAAGTAGGGAAGAAGTAAGTATATGTTATGGTTACTTTTTTCACTTGGTTTTTTACTTTAGATAGTTATCTAAAATTGGAAGCAATGACAAAGTAACAAACAAATCTGAAACAAGTAAAGGTAGTGGGTGCCATATATAAATACAGGAGTTACAAATTGGAAGAGGGAACATGCAATTACTCAAAAGAGGACATCTTTAAGGAGATGCTACTGTGGATTTCACTGATGAGAAAGAGTATTGAGAATTACACCTATATACTCTATCTCCAAAGAGGTGCTTTTATTCCCTTTGCTAAACTGCATACAATTAAAGAATTTTGCTGAACATTAGCTGCTGTGCTACATTCTTCCATAGGCTTTAACTACTTAAATCACTTTATCTAGTTTTCATTTTAATCTCTGCAAGGTCAGAGGTTATAGCCCGTAAAACTATTCTTACTGAACAAAGCACACTGTCTTACATTAAATATTAATGGAAAAAGTCCAGAATAATCACATATTTCTTCCTATAGCTATTAGCTAATGATCTTTCATACTTATTTACCAAACATGTATTAAAAACTCACTATGTGTTTCACATACATGTTATTACATATATGGCACTTCTGCAATATCATTGTACATGTAAAATTTTATTTTATTTTATTTTTTGAGATGGAGTCTTGCTCTGTTGCCCAGGCTGGAGTGCAGTGGAGTGATCTCGGCTTACTGAAGCCTCTGCTGCCCAGGTTCAAGCAATTCTCCTGCCTCAGCCTCCCAGTTAGCTGGGATTACAGGTGCATGCCACCATGCCCGGGTAATTTTTGTGTTTTTAGTAGAGACAGGGTTTCAGCATCTTGGCCAGGCTGGTCTTAAACTCCTGACCTTGTGACCCACCCGTCTCGGCCTCCCAAAGTGCTGGGATTACAGGCGTGAGCCACCGTGTCCGGCCACTTATAAAATTTTTATCCACCCCCATGTCATTACTATAAAACAGATAGGCATTATATTTGAATTTTTACCTTTTTCATTTCATCTTCAAATGCCTTCTCCAAATACTTATATCTCCTGATGAGTTTATTGAAGACCTAAAAAAAAAACAACCATTAAATATTAGGTCAACCAAAAAGACACAGAAGTAGGTAATAGAAACTCACTATAATGACACCATAGATCTATAATAATAAAAGTGTATAGTTAAACAGGCTCACACTGTAATATAAGAACTATAAGCATTTCAAAGATGCTATCATGACCTAGGGGAACAAATATGATCAAAATGTACACGTAAGATAAAACAAATTCATTCAAGAATATAGCAGGTAGAAAAAAAAATTCGACGAAAATAAAATAAATGTGATTTTTAAACTGTGAGATGCAGAGACTAAAAATCACGGAAATGAAGGTGTTAAAGATATAACCACTTAGACAACGATGTGATGGGGAGGAGAGCAAAGTGCAGGACAGATTCTACTCTAGGTGGACAACAAACATGTTTCTAGCAGATGAGCAAAACGTGTTATAATTTACTGGCAATAAAGGATGACTGGCCCCTACAGTCCTGTTAGAACTCTGAAGCAAAGTTTGCAACTGTATTAGTAAGATTCTAGACAGTTTTCTAAGTGGAATGATGTTTTTATGTAAATGAGGATTTTGTAAATATTGGTTATTTTAATAACTGTGGAAATGATTTCTTAATCTAGTTCCTTTTTCTCCTACACACAGGCTATATTCCTACTTACAACTCTTGGTGTATTCGTTTCCTAATGTAATCAAGATGGAGTCCAAGAGTAAAAAATATGGTTGCCCTTTATGGAGAAAGAATGACTCAGGCAGGGAATTAACACACAATAAGAAAAAGAAATAAATTGCATTAAAATCCCATAAATTTTATTTCCAACTTACACTAATACTTACATATTCCTTAACATGTATACAAGAAAAACGAATTCTCCTGATCCAAGAATAAATATTTAAATTCCCACAAGAGAGGTTAAAAAAAAAGCATTATATTCTTGTAGTTCTTTTTGTTTTGTTTTGAGATGGAATCTCACTCTGTCACCAAGGTTGAGCAGTGGCACGATCTCAGCTCACTGCAACCTCCGCCTTCTGGGTTCAAGTGATCCTCCTGCCTCAGCCTCCCAAGTAGCTGGGATTACAGGCACCCACCACCACACCCAGCTAATTTTTGTATTTTTTAGTAGAGATGGGGTTTCACCATGTTGGCCAGGCTGGTCACAAACTCCTGACCTCAAGTGATCCGCCTGCCATGGCCTCCCAAAGCGCTGGGATTATAGGCTCGAGCCACACTGCTAGGCCTATTTTTGTAGTTTTAATGCCCATTATTTTCATAAGTTTAAAGGCTTTCTAAGATTCCTATTTAAAAAGTGGGTGGACTGTAGAGCTTCTATAGAGTTTTCCTCAGTCCTCTTCAAATGCTTCAGTCTCTCAAACAGGCTCTACCTGAGCATAGTTTCGGATGGTTTCATGATCTTCATTTGCTGAAAACACACAGTGGTTGGTCATCTTGGTCTTGTCACCATCATCTATGCGCGTTCCTCCAGGGGCTAAAAAGAGAAAGGTAATTGTAATTAGGATAATACTGAAATTGAGAACAGCATTTGCAGAACACATCAATTCTGGCAAATGAAAGAAAATAATCAAAGTAGATGTAAAATCTAAGAGTCACATAAAATTTCAAAGAATGACATGTATGTATAGATGTACACACGTTGCTGTACATTTTTTCCTTTTTTTTGAGATGGAGTCACACTCTGTCACCCAGGCTGTGACAATTGTGCAATGGCACAATCTCGGCTCACTGCAACCTCCACCTCCCCGGTTCAAGCGATTCTCCTGCCTTAGCCTCCTGAGTAGCTGGGATTACAGGCATGCACCACCATGCCTGGCTAATTTTTATATTTTTAGTAGAGACGGGGTTTCACCATGTTGGTCAGGCTGGTCTCGAACTCCTGACCTTGTGATCCGCCCACCTCAGCCTCCCAAAGTGCTGGGATTACAGGTGTGAGCCACTGCACCTGGCCTATTTTTTTATTTTTATTTTTTAGACAGGGTTTCGCTCTATTGCTGGAGTGCAGTGGTGCAATTATGGCTCACTGCAGTCTCAACCTCCAGGGTGCTCAAGTGATCCTCCTGCCTCAGCCTCCCAAGTAGCTAGGACCACAGGTGTGTGCCACCATGCCCAGCTTATTTTTTTGTAATTTTTGTAGATACAGGGTTTTCCCATGTTGCCCAGGCTGGTCTTTAACTACTGGGCTCAAGTGGTCCTCCTGCCTCAGCATCCCAAAGTGCTTGGATTACAGACGTAAGCCACTGTAGTTGGCCTTGTATACTTCATGTTTCTAATATAATACAAATTAGTTGTTTCATTCATACTCCCACCATAGTGTACTTCATTTTTGTTCCACATCCTTGCCTTCACTACATCCTGTCACTATAAGTCTGGTTCTTTCCAAAGTATATTCTTAATCATGGAAGCAAAGAACAACATTTATTCAGTAAATTTTTCAGTAAATATTCAGTAATATTCAGTAAATATTCTCAATGCAACTCCAAACACTTCCCACTCCAGGACATAGTTCTTTCTTCAGGCTTGCTAACATTTTGCAAGTATTTTGCAGATACTCTACCTAGATCACCAACTACAGAACTGACCAGATCTGACTCATAGAATCTTTTTGCCTTCTACTTGGGTAGCTATTACAATTGCTCCCTCCTTTGCTAACCCAGTTACCCATGACTGGTTGAATAGCATGGACTCCGATGCTTGCTATTTGAATTTGATCGCCCAGCTGCTATGTTGGCTAGAAGAAATTATTTTATTCTCTCTCATCTTTTTTTCCCCATGGACTCAATAGATTAGATGCCTTTTTCTTCAATAACTTTCCATATTCAAAGGGTCCTCCTGTAAGTTTCAATGGTAGCCATTAGAAGCATTAGTTGATTAGAAGAGCAGAATGAGAACATTAGGAATTTTTATTTTCTAATTTTACTTCGTTGTAATTAAGGTAGAAGGTTTGGGTAGTTAGATTAATATCTTTCATATACACAACAAATGTTTCTAGTGTATATACTTATACCAGCTACTGTGCTAGGCACCAAGGATACAATAATAGTCAAAGCTGAAAAGACAAACACTCTCTACTCATTAGCCACTCCCTTTATTTGTTTGAGTATTAGTGTATAATCACCTTGATTTAACTTGTGATTTCAGATCTCTGGATTAAAAGGGCCACCCATAGCCACCTTTCTTAGCAGGCATAGGCAAATGAGAATTCAATCAAGTTATACTTTCCTTAGCTTATCATCCCCTCTATGGGCTTCAGACTTCAGCATACAGTTTAGTAAGTAAATTAGTTTTTGGAGAAGTCAGCCCCTTCAAGAGTCTATTTTCACTCAATTAATTTATGCATGAGATTTAATTAGCCCTTTTAAATGAATATAACCACCTGGAACTGTTGCGGGAAGTCAGGGAACCTGAACGGAGGGACCGGCTGAAGCCACGGCAGAAGAACATAAATTGTGAAGATTTCATGGACATTTGTTAGTTCCCCAAATTAATACTTTTATAATTTCTTAAGCCTGTCTTTACTGCAATCTCTGAACATAAATTGTGAAGATTTCATGGACATTTATCACTTCCCCAATCAATACTTACGCAGTTGAAGATAAGGGATGAAATACACCCTGGTCTCCTGCAGCACCCCCAGGCTTGTTAGGATTGGGAAATTCCAGCCTGGCAAAATTCTAGTCAGACCAGTTGTGTCTGCTCTCAAACCCTGTTTCCTGTTAAGATATTTATCAATGACAGTGTGTGCCCAGCGGGACATGGACCTTCATCAGTAATTCTAATTTCGCCCTGGCCTTGTGATCTTGCTCTGCCCCCATCTGCCTTGTGATATTTTATTGCCTTTGAAGCATGTGATCTCTGTGACCCACACTCTATTCGTACACTGTCTCCCCTTTGGAAATCGCTAATAAAAACTTGCTGGTTTTGCAGCTCAGGCCGACACGTGATGTCACCCCCCGAGACCCAGCTGTAAAATTTCTTACTTTTGTACTCTTTCTCTATTTCTCACACCGGCCAACACTTAGGGAAAACAGAAAAGAACCCACGTTGAAATATTGGGGGCTGGTTCCCCTGATATGGAACAAACTTAGATAATGATCTTCTAAAAACTCTGGGCTAATTATTGCTATTGCTTTTGATAGAAATTATAAAACTGAAAAGTTTGATATTGAAACTACAGACTTTTGAGAGGTATGTTTTTTAAAGTTACATTGTTTAATGAAAGAAAACACTTATTACATATTAATAATATTGCTACATCTTGCATTAAAATTTTTGCTGATATTAGGACAAAGTATTGTTTGCCATTTCTAACGTTTTTGGAGTGACTGCTGTTTTTCTCAAGGTAGAAGTGAACTTAATACATTTATTGTATTTACTATACGAAGGGTAATATTGAAAGACCAAGATAGCTGCTATTTTAAGAACAATGGGGCCGGGCGTGGTGGCCCATGCTTGTAATCCCAGCACTTTGGGACAGATCACCTGAGGTCAGGAGTTCGAGACCAGCCTAGCCAACATGGTGGAAACCCCATCCCTACTAAAATTACAAAATTAGCTGGGTGTGCCGGCACACGCCTGTAATCCCGGCTACTCGAGATAATTGCCTGATTCCAGGAGGCGGAAGTTGCAGTGAGCCAACACTCCAGCCTGGGCGACAGCATTAAAAAAAAAAAAAAAAAAAAAAAAAGAACAATGGAAGAAGGTAAATTGTGAGTGTCAGGAAAATTTCTACATAATAATTAAACAAAGCATTTATGTAAGAAGAATGCACCTAGCTGGCTTCAGTCCTTACGTCACATGTCCGGACTCAGTAGACATCTGGTGTTGCATAGCTTATACCAAAACGTTTGGCCCTATGTTCTTCTTGAATGTATAGACATGCAGTGAAGAAGTGAAATCTGGGCTGCACTAACCAATGGAAATTACTTAAAACCCTTCACCAAACCTTTCACTTAGGCATTGATAGCACCCAGACGCCCAAATTATTATTTACTGGACCAGGCCTTTTCAAAACTATCAAGCAGATAGTCAGGGCCTGTGAAGTGTGCCAAAGAAATAATCCCCTGCACTGCAGGCCATACATTTCAATCCCTGTATCTTTAACCTCCTTGTTAAGTTTGTCTCTTCCAGAATCGAAGCTGTAAAACTAAAAATGTTCTTCAAATGGAGCCCCAGATGCAGTCCATGAATAAGATCTACCGTGGACCCCTGGACCGGCCTGCTAGCCCATGCTCCAATGTTAATGACATTGAAGGCACCCCTCCCGAGGAAATCTCAACTACACAACCCCTACTACACCTCAATTCAGCAGGAAGAAGTTAGAGCGGTCGTTGGCCAACCTCGCCAACAGCACTTAGGTTTTCCTGTTGAGAGGGGGTACTAAGAGACAGGACTAGCTGGATTTCCTAGGGTGACTAAGAATCCCTAAGCCTAGCTGGGAAGGTGACCACATCCACCTTTAAACATGGGGTTTGCAACTTAGCTCACACCCGACCAATCAGGTAGTAAAGAGAGCTCACTAAAATGCTAATTAGGCAAAAACAGGAGGCAAAGAAATAGCCAATCATCTATTGCCTGAGAGCACAGTGGGAAGGATAATGACTGGGATATAAACCCAGGCATTCAAGCCAGCAATGGCTACCCTCTTTGGGTCCCCTCCCTTTGTATGGGAGCTCTGTTTTCACTCCATTAAATCTTGCAACTGCCAAAAAAAAAAAAAAAAAGAAATCTGGGCTACAGAGATAAATCTGCTGATCATGGTAAAGGAAACTTTAAGAAACTCAACACAAATTATACAGATAATTTTATATGGGGAGGTGGTTAACGATGGAAGCCAGGAGTAATGTAAGAAGTGGCATGCAGAGAGGTAGAAGGAGGTCTAAGTGGTCTCGTGTAAGGGAAGAAAATAAAAGAGTTCAAGAATGACAAAAGGGCCAACAGTGCTGCCTAGAGGTCACTCAGTCTGAAAAGGGTCCATATAAGTGACTACTACAGTCATGTGACTTTGGCAAGAACCAAAACTCGCTGAAGATCACTCTGATAAAAATATATCATAATTAACGAAATACTAGAAGTCAATAATATATTAGGAAATATTCAACTCCACTATTAAAGTTTTAAAATGAAAATACTCATCCCTTACCTAATTGACAGAGATCTAGAGAACTGATGAAATTAGGTAGCTAACATTGTTAAAGGTGTATGTAAATAGGAACTCATAATTTTTGATAAAATATTAAATATAATGTTCCTTTTGAAGATCGCAATGGTGTGATCTCGGCTCACTGCAACCTCCACTTCCTGGATTCAAGAGATTCTCCTGCCTCAGCCCCCTGAGTAGCTGGGATTACAGGCACCCACCACTATGCCCAGCTAATTTGGTATTTTTAGTAGAGACAGGGTTTCTCCACGTTGGTCAGGCTGGTCTCGAACTCCCGATCTCAGGTGATCTGCCTGCCTTGGCTTCCCAAAGTGCTGGGATTACAGGTGTGAGCCACCGTGCCCAGCCCCTAAATATTCTTTAACATCCGTTTGGCTTTAATTCTTTTTAGAATCATCCAGTATAACACTGATGGGTGTGCAAGGCAGCAACATATTGCTGAATAAATACAAATCAGCATGCAGAATATCGTATTTGCATAATGTCACCCAGTCTCAAAATTTTATGAGGTAAAGAGATTTCTTTTTTCTTTTCGAGAGAGAATCTCGCTCTGTCACCCAGGTTGGGGTGCAGAGGCTCGATCTCAGCTCACTGTAACCTCTGCCTTCTAGGTTCAAGTGATTCTCCTGCCTCAGCATCTCTAGTAGCTGGGATTACAGGCAGCCGCCACCACATCCTGTTAAATTTTGTATTTTTTTATAGACACGGGGTTTCACCATGTTGGCCAAGCTGGTCTCGAACTCCTGACCTCAGGTGATCCGCCCGCCTCAGCCTCCCAAAGTGTTGGGATTACAGGCGTGAGCCACCACGCCCGGCTGCTAAAGAGATTTCCAGAAGGGAAGTAACCAAAATGTTAACAATGATTTTTCCCGGGTAATGGGATTTGAGCTCAATATAGATAGCTGTTATACTTAGACTTGAATTATTTACAGTCATAATGTAAGCTCTTCATAAACAATAAGAACAACAAAACTAATTCAGTATGTGGTGAAAACTAGCAAGGCAGAATGACAGAAGGCCTAGTAGTCAATGGGGCCATGTACCAAACAGATTGCTTGAAATAAGAGCTCAGAGAAAAAGGAATTTACGGGCAGTTCCACCTCAAGATGGAGGAATGTATGCACATTCTTTTTCAAAGCCAAGGTAGGCTGGCTTAAGCAGTGTTTTCTCAAGGAAAGGCAATGATGGCACTTTGGGCAAGGCAATCTTTCATTATGTTGCATGTTCTTTGCATAGCAGGTAGACAAATACCTGCCCTCCCCGCTTAAGTCTTTTTAACAACTAAAACACTTGCACACATTTGCAAACTGAAAATTCCTGGCCTAGGAAATTTGACCGTTTCTAGTGATTTACAGCTACGACAGGAACTAACGATAAGAACTCAGATCTAAGAATGACTATGAGAGGAAAAATGGGTGGCTATTATACTTAATAAATATTAGAATCATCTACTTAATAAACTTAAATAGCATTTGAAGCCTACTTTCCTGATGCCTCTGTTCTATAAGGTATAGCTTTTATTTTGTTTTCACCTATCTTTAACAATTTCTAATCTTCTATCTTTAATTTTTCTACTTACTTAAAATTTAAATGATTTTTCAAAAACCAGGTTTAAACTATATTTCTTATATGCTTTATTTATGGATGAAATGGCATTAATTAAACCTTGGAAATTTATACACTAAGTTATAGTATTTTGCAGAAATTACCCCTTTTATGGCCCCACCAAAAACACTGAAAGATTAGGGACATATGAGAAAGGCGGCTTTTAGGAGAAGCAAAGTGGCCAACTTTGTTGTAACGTCAACCAAAGTCCTCCATTCTATGCTTCTATTAACCAATAATCATTTCACATCTGCATTAATACCATTCCAAATCCTAAACCAGGTAAAATTATAGGCTTCCATTTGTATTTTTATTAACTCTAATAAACATAAACTTATAAAGACTCTATCTTATAAGGAAATACTTCAACAGAATTAAAAATATATAAATATACTACAAGAAGCGATAATGCATGGTTTACCAAGCATACTGCCAGCCACCAGGATATCGAAGAGTGTGTCTGCATAGCGACGATAATCTAATCTTGAGCCTGTAGAGTCCAGAAATTTGGCTACAGCTTCAAGGTCATCACCAGCCTCATTAAGCCCCTGGACAAGTGTATCCCTGAAGACTGTGGGTTCGAATTTCTCTTTTTCATCTAAAATAAAACAATTCAAAATAACAGTCAAATAAATAAATAAATACTGAGAGTATAACAATCAAAACTTTAATTCTATTTTATCTAAGATAGGAAAAAAAAATCCACAGAGCATCGCCAAAGAATGTACGAGAATATACAAATATAAACAAACAAATAAAGATGGCATAGGGGAATAAGAAGGGATGTCTCTTTTAAAATAAGTTACTGTAGGCCGGGCGCGGTGGCTCACGCCTGTAATCCCAGCACTTTGGGAGGCCAAGGCAGGTGGATCACCAGAGGTCAGGAATTCGAGACCAGCCTCGCCAAAACAATGAAACTCCGTCTCTATTAAAAATATAAAAAATTAGCTGGGCATGGTGGTGGGTGCCTGTAATCCCAGCTACTGGGAGGCTGAGGCAGGAGAATCACTTGAACCCAGGAGGTGGAGGTTGCGGTGAGCAGAGACAGTGCCATTGCACCCCAGCCTGGGAGACAAGAGTGAAACGCTGTCTCAAAAAAATTAAAAATAATAATAATAACTTATTGCAGAGTACTTAAATATTTAATAGATGTAATGAGCCATATATGTATATCTACAGCTTCAGGACAGATGTGCTAAACTTTTTGGTCTCATGACCTCTTGACACTTAAAATGTACATTTGGAATTAGGATTCCAAAGTATCCTTTGGAAAAAGACTCTGGAATCCTAATTACAAAGGATTAGGATTCTAAACTTTGGAACCCTAATTCCAAAGTTTTGGATCCTAACCCAAAAACTCTTTGGAATCCTAACTCCAAAGCATTCCAAAGGGAGTTTTTGTTTATGGAGGTTCAATCTATGGATATTTATTTTAAGAAATTAAAACAAAACATTTTATAGTATTTATTTAACAAAAAAAAATTAGTGAGAAGGATAGTACTGTTTTATACTCTTGCAAATTCTCTTTAATGCCTGGCTTAATGGCAGACAGATCAATTTTCATATCCACTGCATTCAATTTACTGCAATATCACACATCTTTAAACTCTAGAAAACTCCACTGTAAAAGTATGAGAGAATGTGTGAAAGACGTGAATATCTTGGTATCATTATAAAAATGGTTTTGATTTTGTGGGGCTTCAGAGGACTGACAGGGATATAGATATTATGTAGCTTTTTTTCCTTAGAAAGTGGATAAGACAAGGCCGGGCGTGGTGGCTCACGCCTGTAATCCCAGCACTTTGGGAGGCCGAGGCGGGCGGATCACGAGGTCAGAAGATTGAGACCATCCTGGCTAACGTGGTGAAACCCCGTCTCTACTAAAAATACAAAAAATTAGCCAGGGGTGGTGGCGGGCCCCTGTTAGTCCCAGCTACTCGGGAGGCTGAAGCAGGAGAATCACTTGAACCCGGGAGGCGGAGCTTGCAGTGAGCCAAGATCGCGCCATTGCACTCCAGCCTGGGTGACAGAGCGAGACTCCGTTTCAAAAAAAAAAAGAAAGTGGATAAGACAAACACAGAGCAATCACAAAGGCACACATGAAAAGCATAAATGAGCTGTCACAGTGAAATGGACACATGAGTCTGCAGAAGTAGTTTGGTGTGGTGACTGGAAGTTTGGGTTTGGAAAGAGTTTTGGTTTAGACTCTAGCAAAACCTTGTGGAAGGTCGACTTGGAGCCAGGTCTTGAACAAAGCAGGGATCATATACTGTTGATAAGAAGTGAAGATGACAAACCACATGTCAGATTTGGTGGAAAAGAATGAGTGGATTAAAGGTAAAGGGTCTGTAGTTCAACTCAAAGGACATCACCCTTTTTTTCCAAACCCATGGAGAATAAGTCTGGATGTGAGGAGAGAGGAGCAAAGGATGAACCCAAAACTTCAAAAGAAAAAATTGTATCACAGATCTCTCTAGAGAGAAAGGTGAAAGATACTGCAACAGAAGTGGGAGGGATGGAGGGAAGAGAATACTATAAAAATATTTCATAAATAAAGAGTTCTTGGAAATAAAAAATATGATAGGAAAAGTAAAAAACTCAATGGAAGCATTAAGAGAAACCTAAGATTATCTTTCAGAAAATAGAAAAAAGGTCAAAGACCTAGAAAATAGTAGCAAAAAGAAGAGAAAAAGGGCAGACCTGTCAAATATCCAAAAAAATACATCGAATAGACAGAATGAGAAAACAAAGGAAAGGAAATTTTTTGAAAAATCTCAATAAATCTCCCAGAAATGAAAGATTGTTTCCAAGTACATGGCTGTCTGGGAACCCAGCACAAAGACTGAAAGTGGATTCACACAAAGTACATTGATTACTGTGAGATTTCAGAATACTGGGAACAAAGCAATTATCTGAAGTTTCCGGGGTGATAAAAAAACAAGTGGTATGTAAAACTTATCAAGCAACTAAATTGCTCAACAGAAATACCAGACACAGAAGACATTTCTTCAAAATTCTTATGGAAAAGTATTTCCAGCCTAGAATTCTTGTTAGTGTTCCGATTTTTTTTTTTTTTTTTGAAACAGGGTCTCACTCTGTCACCCAGGCTGGAGGGCAGTGGCGCAATCTTGGCTCACCATAACCTCTGCCTCCTGGGTTCATGTGATTTTCCTGCTTCAGCTTCCCAAGTAGCTGGGACTACAGGTACATGCCACCACACCCAGCTAGCTTTTGTATTTTCAGTACAGACAGGATCTTGCCATGTTGCATAGGCTGGTCTCAAACTCTTGGCCTCAAAAGATCCACCTGCCTTGGCCTCCCAAAGTACTCGGATTACAGGCATGAGCCACTGTGCCTGGCCCAGCCAAACTACTAATCAAGGGTAAGAGCAATACGAACATACATATACTGAAACACCCAAGGCCTCAAAAATGGATAATAACTGAAGAGTAAGTCATGAGATCCCAGGCAAGAGGGAAAAAACAAGACAGGCAATAGTACTCTTGTGGATAATGGTGAAAGGACATTTCAAGCTTTTCCTTAAGTGTTTTGTATTAAGAGATTCGTACAACAAAGGGAAAGGTTAGGGTGGGCTAGTTTTAAGGCACAGAAAACTAAGGCCCCCCAACTCAAGAGATAATTACATTTATTAAATCAAGAGATAACAAAATAACGTTATTTTTTAAAAATGCAGTCATATCATAGTTCAGCTGTGAATAGCATGTACAATGTCACAAAAATATAAACCCTAAACATTGGTGTAGCTGAAACTATATGATACAATGAAAGAATAGAGAAGGACAGGAAGTATGGGGATGGGGGGAAGCAAGCAATGAAAGAGAGCTGAATCATCATTTTCCATAGTAGAAAAGGCATATCTACTATCTCCAACAGAAAAAATCAAGAACTAGCCATACTATGTGCATGCATAACTTTGATAAAATTAAAAACTACATTTTAAAACCATATAGCAACTGCCTAGTTTGTACTGCTTGTAAGTGGTCTAACAGAAGGGCTGGGTTGTAAGTGGTTAACACTAGTCACATAAGCATGAGAACCAGAGAAGAATGGCATTCCCAGTACCAGTCAGAGTCACGCAGCGTGAGATACCATAAAGACACACATAAATTAACTGGGACAATATTCATCATGAACAAGAGATAAAAAGTCCTTTTGATGCTGTAAGCAAAACATTATGCAGTCAAGAACATGCAAATGGTGACTGCAGAAAAAATATAATTAGGGTCTTGTTGTGTAGAGGGGGAGGAAAACGCATAGGAATTCTAGAGGAATACATTAGGTGGAGTGGGAGGAGGGGATAACTGGGTTTCTACACAAAAGGAACCCACTGAAAAGCACAGAAAACTTCACCTCCCACTCAGGGTCTAGCCAACAGGCAATTCTCCTTCCTTGTTGAAAAAAGATATTTTCTTTCCTATAATATGAGAAAGGTGGAAATAAAACAACTACATGCTGTTATATTAAGTCTTGTGACCAGTTTCCAAAATCAAATAAAGTCATTCCCACAAAGGCCCTACCACATGGTTGGATGTTGATTCAGGTGGTAGAACAGATTTTGATGATTTGAAAATTACAAATGGAGGCATTGGGAAATGTAAATGGATAAATGAGGAAAAACCCAGATTATGCCAAGAATCAATGCAGAGGACTTTGTTTTCAATGTAAGACACAACTTAAAAACTTGTTTGTAAAAAGATCTTCATCCTCCCATTCCAAAAGAATTACCAGCAAACAGAAAAAGGAAGATAGCATACTACAGCCAAGGATATTTCAACAGTGAGCAATAAGGGTGGTAGGTCAAAATGATTACTTACAGCTTGGAAATCTTAAAAACTTATGATGGACCGAAAGGACTAATAATTGTTTTGCAGGCTGAAAAAAGCTCCCAGCTGCTAAAACAAAGTGACCATCAAAAGGACTAGAAAATTCCCATATAAGAAAATGGCAAGAACACTAATGAAAACTTGAGAAACAAGACAACTTTGGAACTAAAGAGTCTTTTTCATCTGAAAGTACAGTAAATGTAGTTTGCATTTTATTAGAGGACAGTCTAGCAGAAATACTAACAAAATTCGAATGAAAATATGCCATTGCCTCCTTGGATTTCCATTTGGCAGTTCAAGTCTGCCTTGAAGTGAGAAGGATATAATTAGGGTCTCCAATTTAAACTGTGCTGGTGAATCATAATTGTGATACTCAAGAGTTAGTCATCATAGCCCTTGTACTGACATAGAGAAGAAATGGGCCTAATTCTGACACTCAAATATGCGTATACATTACCTAACTTGCTTACTGTGGGAACTACAGTAACTGGTTAAAAACACATTAGTGAAGTGATATAATAGCAGAACCTACATCCCTTTCTGGATGTCACTGAGATGTAGCAATGAATTTTAAAAATCACATATTTTCTTTTTTCCTGTAAAATCAAATGTATTTTCTAATTATATATATACACATACTCATATTTGCACATATATTTCAAGATTTAAAGGTTTGCTCATTTAGTTATTAACACCACTTACTATAAAGCTAAAAGTGATTTAAAACCAATATTACATGGCTGGGCATGGTGGCTCACGCCTGTAATCCCAGCACTTTGGGAGGCCAAGGTAGATGGATCACTTGAGCCCAGGCGTTCTGAGACGAACCTGAGCAACATGATGAAACTTCAGGTTTACTAAAAAATACAAAACTTAGCTGGGTGTGGTGGTGCACGCCTGTAATCCCAGCTACTCGGGAGGTTGAGGCACAAGAATCACTTGAATCTGGGAGGGAGAGGCTGCAGTGAGCTGAGATTGCGCCACTGAACTCCAGCCTAGATGACAGAGTGAGACTGTCTCCAACAACAAAAACAAAAAACATTATTTACAGAGCTAAAGTCTCAGGGAGAAACCTGAGCACATGGTCATGCTGAATGCCTGCAGTTTGGCCTTTTTTTCTCTCTCTTGTTTTCACTAATTGTAATCCAATTTTTCTAAAAATGTACAGAAAGAACAGTTTGATTATTAAATGTTTCATTTAGCAAAGCATAATCCAATTGCTCATGGGAGAAATTTTCATCTTTTCAGATTTTCACAAGTCACAGGAAAAAACATAATTACTTTGGAGAATATATCATAAGTGAGATGTGTTTCATAAAGGAAAAGAGAATCTGATTAGAGTTCTATTATATAATGTGTCCTGCCATGACGTTTGTATTTTAATGCTAAGCAGTAACGACAATGCAATAAGAAATACATTGTCATACTAACTTGGCATGCAGGAGCACTGGCTTTGCTAGGAAATGTTTCAAAGTGAAGACCTATCTTCAGAAAACAGCCTATCACAAGGACCTTGAAATATCCTCAGTAGTAATTTTCCCCAGCTCTACAAAATTGCTAATCACTTATTTGATGTCAGCCCCTTCATAATAGCAAAGAAAAGTTAAGGATGAGAAATCATCAGGAGGCGTTTCACTACTAAGAAGAGCAGAAAATGAAGTTGACTCAATTTTTATTCCCCCATCAGGAGTTTGGCACAAAATGGCTCAAGTGTTGCTTCAATCCCCAAGAGATATGAGTTATATGAATCTAGATCAACTGGCAAATAATATATATTTCTCAGTGGCTCTCCCTGAGCACTCCAACAGCACAATCTTGACCACCAAGTGATTCAGAGGCAAACCGGTTCTGAAGGAGAGAAAACTTTCTGGTTCTTAACTGAAGACAAACGTAAGGGCCAGTTTACTCGCTGACTCACGTCTGCTGTTGTGCAACACATTCTGAGGCCCTCTCTTGAGCTCAGTTCCAGTGAATTAGCGTCACACTAATAAAGATGCTTGAGGTGGAGATCCAGCTCTGAGATTAACACGATCCCCCAGCGGCAGGCAATAGCCAACGTTTCTGTGCCTCATAGCTGGGCATATATTAGCTATTATCACATTACTAGGCTCCACAATACCTTCACTGTAATTAGGTTTCTGAACTATATTGGTCATTACTGATAAATCCTTTTAAAATCATCCATGTCCTTTTTTCCAAGACTGCTTTAAACAATAAGACAATGAATTCTGGTTAGCACTTTGTGTTTGATATCTGCTTCCAGATGGCAAGGGGCAATGTAGTGGGGCACAATTTGTAAGAGTAAGATGAGGACTAAATAGAGAAGTGGCTCAGGCTATACTTGTACTTATTCTTCTCATGCGGATAGGCCAGAAATGAAAAAAATAGAAAAGGGAGAGTGCAAAACAGAAAAACTGTACAAAGTAACTATTTTCCGGTCACTTGAATTTTTTTTAATTTTTATATTTTACTTTGAACATGAAGCTTCCCAGCAGATAGCACACAGTTAAATTCAGTCTTACTGCTTCCTAGTGACTCTTACAAACTCTTCTGATCCAAATGATCTATTATATTGCAATTTCTTTTCCGTCTACGTGACTAGACTTGTTACTTAAATGGAGACAGCACTGCAAGAGAACACAGGCTGCTTAGCACTGACTGCCAAAGGCATATAAAGTCAGTTATTAAAGAGATAATTTAGTCCTGCAAGATCATTACATGTGATTCTGCTCCAACATCTTTTACCTTTATACATACTTCCTTAAATATTTTTCAGTAATTCCCTTCAACTTTATTTAATTTAATCACTCACATCATGTTTCCTCTTTGAAAAAGTTTCCCTATTGAGTTCCAGTTCAGCGTTTTTTTTTTTGTTTTTTTTTTTTTGAGATGGAGCTTCACTCGTTGCCCAGGCTGCAGTGCAGTGGTGCAATGTCGGCTCACTGACCTCCCAATCCTGGGTTCAAGCGATTCTCCTTGCCTCAGCCTCCAGAATAGCTGGGATTACAGGCATGCGCCACCACGCCTGGCTAATTTTGTACTTTTAGTAGAGACTGGGTTTCTCCATGTTGGTCAGGCTGGTCTCAAACTACCAACCTTAGGTGATCCACTCGCCTCGGCCTCCCAAAGTGTTGGGATTACAGGCATGAGCCACCACGCCTGGCCCCAGTTCAGCTATTCTTACATCCAAGAGGACCTCTATATAATTATGCAAAACTGACTAAATATAAAATCATGTTTAAAATATTCTTGGCTTGGTGTAGTGGCTCATGCCTGTAATCCCATCACTCTGGGAGGCTAAGACATGAACATCGCTTGAACCCAGCTTCAACAACATAGCAAGACCTTGTCTCCACACAAAAGTGGCTCCTTGGGTGGCTGAGGTGGGAGGAGCACTGGAGCCCAGGAGGTTGAGTCTGCAGTAGCTGTCATGGCACCACTGTATTCCAGCCTAGGTGTCAGAGCAAGACCCTATTTCAAAAATAAATAAGCCACTAATTAATTAATAATAAATAAATAGGCGGATCACAAGGTCAGGAGATCGAGACCAGCCTGGCCAATATGGTGAAACCCCGTCTGTACTTAAAATACAAAAATTAGCTGGGTATGATGGCGGTTGCCTGTAATCCCAGCTACTTGGGAGGCTGAGGCAGGAGAATCGCTTGAACCTGGGAGGAGGAGGTTGCAGTGAGCCGAGATGGCGCCACTGCACTCCAGCCTGACGACGGAGCAAGACTCCGTCTCTAAATAAATAAATAAATAAATAAATAAATAAAAGTCTTTTATACAGGCCAGGTGCAGTGGCTCACATCCACAATCTCAGCACTTTGGGAGGCCAAGGGAGGAGGACTGCTTGAGGCCAGGAGTTTGAGACCCTGTCTCTACAAAAAAATTTTTTTAAAACGTAGCCAGGTGTGGTGGTGTGCACCTATAGTCCCAGCTACTTGGGAGGCTGAGGTGAAAGGACCACTTGAGCCCAGGTGTTTGAGGATGCAGTGAGCTATCATCACACCACTGCACTCCAACCTGGGTGACAGTGCAAGACCCTGTCTCTAAAAAAATATATAAAATATTATTTACACAAAAAGAATGCTAAGATGAACATTATAAAAAAACAGTCACTCACACAAATAGAAATTTTACCAGTCATCATCAAAATGGGTCTATAACTACTCTTACCACAATTGAAGACACTTGAAAATATGGTTTTTAAGGGGAATTTAGGGCAGTAGATTTATTTTGACTTCTTCATTTCTGAAAAATTAAAAAACTCTTCAATATCTCACTTCCTAATTTACTTTTCATTTTATCATCTTTGCCATCAACGTTTTCATAAAACGACAAAGAAAGCAAAAACCAAATACAATGCTAATGTCAAAACCAGTAAAATTTATCAATTGCCTTCATAACCTCCTAAGACAACCTGAACAGAGATATCTATCCCATTCTGTAGATGAAAACAAGTAGCACAGGCAAATTAAATAACTTGTCCAACAAGTAACTGGCAGTTCTATGGTTTCACTAAAGCACTTCAGATTCTACACTCAGAGCTCAAATGAGTAGAATCAGTGAGGCTGGGGGAAACAGGGATCATTCAGATTCTTCTCCAATCTTATATTTTGGTTACAACTTTAAACACACACACACACACACACACAACCTACCCCTTTTCCGAGTTTTGAACCGCTGGCCTGTTAGCACTGGCTTCTGATGCTTATTCATAAAATTTCTGAAAACAAAGAAAATAAAGATTATGTATTTCAGATAAGCAGTTTATATGGAAAACATATGGCCAATAAGTTTGGTTGAACATATGTTCAACCTCACTCATTACTGAATATGCCTCTTTTTTTTTTTCAATTGAGACAGAGTCTCGCTGTCGCCCAGGTGGGAGTGCAGTGGTGTGATCTCAGCTCACTGCAACCTCTGCATCCCGGGTTCAAGTGATTATCCTGCCTCAGCCTCCTGAGTAGCTGGGACTACAAGCGTGAGCCACCACGCCCAGCTAATTTTTGTATTTTTAGTAGAGACGGGGTTTCACCATGGTGGCCAGGTCTTGAACTCCAGACCTTGTGATCCACCCACCTTGGCCTCACAAACTGTTGGGATTACAGGCGTGAGCCACGGCGCCCGGCATAAATACACTTTTAAAAATGAGATCTAATTTTAACTTGGACTAGCAAAAATTTTAAAGTTTACTAATACTCAGTGTTGGCAAAGGACATAGGAAAAACAACCACAGACACCAACTTTGATGTAAAGGTTAAACTCCATGAAATACTTTGAGGAAAATTTTGGTGAGTATTTACTATAAACATTTACATGGGCATAACCTTGGTCCAGCAGTACTCTACCAGGAATTTATCCTGTAGCTATATTCACACAAGAATGCAAATATACTTGTATATGTAAAAGGATTTAGTTGCAGCATTGTTGTATACATAAAAAATGGAACATGAAATGTCCTCAAATAAGTTATAATTTAGGCACCAAGTGGAACACCACGAAGCTTTATGAAAGCAAGAATTAGATCTAACTGTACCACATTTCTGATCCTGGCTACCTTTCTGACGGTATATGTATGTTCAATACACATCTCGTCTCATCGCTCATTGAGTTCCAGTCACATTGATCTCTTTGTTGTTCTTCCAATAGGCCAGATAAGGTCTGGCTTCTGAGGCTCTGTTCCTGCCTCTCTTTCAGGAAAGATCGTCCCCAGCTGTCCACATGGCTATCTCCTTGCAATCATTCAAATGCCTCCCTGAAAATGGAGGTCTTCTCTGACCATCTCCACCAAAGTGGCCTGTTGTCACTAGCTCTCCTTACTTGGCTTTGTTTTTCTTTAGCAGTGCCTGCCATTTTATTATTATCTCTTTGTCTGGGGTCTATACCCTCCATGAGTGTAACCTCCACTAGGACAGGAACCTTGTAGGTTTTTATTCCATAGAGCTCCTTTAGCTCCTCCATTCTGTATCTTTTATATTGAGCAAAGTATAAACATATAATAAATACTTTTCAAATAAGTTGCTGGACTGTTATGGAAAGATGCTCAAGGGATATTGATAGTGGAAAAAAGCAAGCTGAATAAAAGAATGTAAAGTACTTGGTTAAAAGGAGGGTGTATAGAATATATGGTTTTCTATGCAATAACAATTTAAGAAGGCTACAAGAAACTGTTAATAGATTTTTTATCTTTTTGGTTTACCTTAATGGACAGGGATTTGAGTACTTTATACTATTTTACTGGATTTAATACACAATTTAAAAATTGCAATATATTATCTTTGAAAAAATGTAAGGCCTGCTCCACAAGACTTCTTAAAAACTGAGAATATGCTTGCTGACTTAAATATTATAAACTGAAAATATGTCTAGATTGCTTCAATTATGAAGTCCAAACATTCAATATAACATGCATTATTCAAGCAAATTATTTAATTACCTTCCAAAGCTTTTAGATATTCACTTGGAAATGTCTAGATTTCCTTAATTACTTATACCATCAAACAATAAAAAATTTACATTATTCAAGTAATTTAATTACTCCCAAAAGTTTTTTTTAAAAAATCCTTAAGAACATGAAAAAATTATTTATGTACCAAATTTTCCTTCTTACACATAAAAGAGAAACTTGTAGCTTCACATAATAAAAAATCTGTTTATTATTGAAAACGTCAAGTTAATCATTATTTTAGAAGAGAAACTAATCAAAAGTCACATAAAACAAAAAAAGTAATTACATGGCTTGAGAAATAATTTTTGCCAACCCTATAAAGTAAAATGAACTTAATACATCACGCTTGGGGATACAAAGGTTATTAAGCCAGAATCCATGCCCTCGAGAAACTCACTAGGAAGGATAAAATTCAAACATTTGCAACACAATGTAATAGTTCAAACAGTAGAAACACAGACCAGTGTAAGAATAAAGTAATTGATTGCTTATGTGTATGGGGGCAACAGCAACATATCGAAATCATTACAAATGCTATAAACTTAATCAATGAATTCCCATTTCATTTGATGGATGTTGAAAATAGAGCTTCTAATGCATCATTTATATTCACTGCAAAAGTTTCATTCAGAAACTTTCCTGCTGGCATTATAAACAGATTCACTCTGAATCAGCCAATACTTTATTGTTGCAAAAGTGATGATGATATACATATTATTGTCTCCATATCTCCCAAACACAAATATTATACAAAATATATTTGTGTTAGCAAAGAAAAATATGTGTCAAGAATTTGGGTGTTGGGTCTTGTACCAAGATGCAAAAAGAATGTAGCTCAACTGGACAGAAATCTCTCCAGCAGACTTCTCTGCCAAAGATGTTTTTCTTCTTTCTTTCCGTCCTTTCTTTTTCTTTCTCTCTCCTTCCTTCCTTCCTTTTTTCTCTCTCTCTACCTCCTTAGAGATGAGGGTGTTACTATGTTGACCAGGGTGACTTCAAACTCCTGGACTCAAGCAATTCTCTCATCTCAGCCTCTTGAGTAACTAGGATTACAGGCGCACACCACTGTGCCAGGCTAAAAATGGTTTTTAATTTGTAATTTCAAAAATTCTAAAGTGTGAGTCCTTCCTAAAAGTTTTGTTTTGGGGTTTAGAACACAAACTCATGGAATTCCCTAATTAACTCTTTGCACCTTGTTTTTCTTTTTTCTGTTAATGGAGAAGTACCACCAAACACAGCATATGAAAGAATTACTCTATTTTCAAATGTTTAGCTTTTATACTTACTTCCTTTCTAAGCATAAAAGTTTGTTTCTTTATAACCCAGGTATGTGGGCTTACTTTTCATACCCTCGATACATTCCATGTGGAGAAACACATGATAACATGTAAACATAAAAATGTATGCAAAGACTTTGGTATAACACCCAAAATTAACACAAACAAACAAAAACTCACCCACTGGTGGTGACAGACTAAATAAAGATATTCTGCTCTCCAAGAGTGTCTATCCTTTAGCTGTTACTATTTGGAGCAGAGGCCCCACTTCCCTCTAAATTTAGCTCTTCATGCTACACTATAATCTGCTCCAGTAAGGGTCAGCCTTTATAAGGTACTCACTAAGCCCTTATAAAAGCCCTGGCCTAAGAGAAGCAAGGACACTTTGAATAAGAAACTGCTCGCTTCAACCTAGGAAGATAACAAAGACAGTTCTATTAGGCCAATGTCAAAGGCTGTTAGTACACTGCCCTACAATGTATTTTCAAATCTAATAACTAAAAATACTTAAGTTTAAAAAAATAAAAGTTTAACAGTATCCTCAGAGACAAATCCCCATGGTGGTACAACCTATGCATCATGACAATTTGGCTTCTGTTTTAAAAACTATAAGCCACACACAAAATACACACATATTCTACCAAAATGGAACAGTTCCATGGTTTAAAATAATATTAAAATTGTATGTGAAATGGTAAACAAAATGGACTTAAGTATTTCACATGTCACCTAAGAGACTACATTTCTTGGATACTCCACAAGGTAAAAGAAGGCGATAAGAATACTAAAATGATCCAATCAATCAAATATTTAGAAACTTGATACTATATTAATGAATCGAACACTTTTGCATAAATTCCTATTTTAAGTGTAAATTGAAAGGTTTTTAGGTCTAACCTATTACATTTATTTCTGTTACCTACCTCAGTCTGTTAATCTTCTAACTGTCCTAGCATCTTTTTCAAATTCGGTCCCTTAACTTGCAATGAGACTCTGGGCCCAGGTGTGACAATGAGCCACACTGGCACAGATGCATCTCATAGCAACTGTGCACTAATCCTTCCAGTTACCCAGCCCACCTTAAGTGGATTAGCACCTTCGATGTAGACTGATCAGTCTTACCTGGGACTCTTCTTTAGTTCTCTCCATTTTGGAAAGAAACTGATCTACCAGAGGACTTACCTTCTAGTTGTCCCTACAAGGGAATGACTGCTCCTGTCTAATTATCCAGCACTTTGGTCTTAGATTCTATTTTTGACTGCTCTGGTATGACTCATCTTTGAACTATGATAACCTGCCTTACGTAACATGCTATATTACTAACATGTGCTATGCATATGTTATTCAAACAACTTTATGAGCATATATACTCTAAAGCAGGGAACACAACATTTTTTGTAAAGAAATAAAAGAAAAATATTTTACTCTCTCTGAGGGATATAAGGTTTCTGTTCCAACCACTCAATTCTGCTGTTACAGTGTGAAAGCAGCCATGGACAATATGCAGACAAATGGTCATGGCTGTATTCCAGTAAAACTTCATATTAACACAACAAGTGGTGGACCAGATTGGACCCCCAGGAGGTCCTTTGTGAACTCCTATTCTAGCGCATTGTATCCAATAGAAGTGTCTGTGATGATGGAAACGTTCTCTATCAGCACTATCTAATATAGTAGCCACTACTGATCCCTTGAAATGCGGCTAGTGACTAGACAAATAAATGTTTAATTTTATTTTATTTCCATTAACTAAATTTAAACAGTGTGGCTAATGGTTACTTATGTTAGGCTGTGCAATTCTTATGTCCCAAAACACTTAAATTTGATACAAAGATAAAAATACATCTAAAGAATAGAAATTTTTAATTAATATTTTTCAAATAAAGTAGCTCGAAGAGTAGTCTGCACAAATTTCAAAGCCAGGTGGCTAGAGTGAGGAAAAAAGAAAAATTACCACATTCCAAAGTAACACTCTGTGTGCAGTCAATACTGTTTAAGACTTTAGGAAAAAAAGACCTTTTTTTTTTTTTTTTTAAATATGGAGTCTCGCTCTGTCACCCAGGCTAAAATGCAGGGGTGTGATATCTGCTCACTGCAGCCCCGACCACGTGGGCTCAAAAGATCCTCCCAAGTAGCTAGGACTACAGGCACACTACCAGGCCCGGCTAATTTTTTATATATTTTGATAGAGACAGGGTTTCCCCATGTTGCCCAAGGTGGAAAAAAGACTTTGGAGTCTAAAAATTATAGGGCAACAACATAAAAAAGGATGAGTTCATGTCCTTTGTAGGGACATGGATGAAGCTGGAAACCATCATTCTCAGCAAACTATCTGAAGGACAAAAAACCAAACACCGCATGTTCTCACTCATAGGTGGGAACTGAACAATGAGAACACGTGGACACAGGAAGGGGCCTGTTGTGGGGTGGGGGAGGGGGAAGGGATAGCATTGGGAGATATACCTAATGTTAATGACGAGTTAATGGGTGCAGCACACCAACATGGCACCTGTATACATATGTAACAAACCTGCACGTTGTGCACATGTACCCTAGAACTTAAAGTATAATAAAAAAAAAAATAAAAAAATAAAAACAAAAATTATAGGGCAACAATATCATTCCCAAAGTATAAAACGTTTCATAAAGATATAATAACAACACACAAAACTCAATAAAATTGAGACACTTCACTGCAGTGTTCTCATGAAGTACTTTGTATTTAATAACAAGTTTCAAGAATTACCTTTTATTCTATATTTTAAATGAGTAAAATTATCTACTATTAAAATAAACTTTAAAAATTACCCATAACTATACAACATTTTCCTTTCCATTAATGCTAAAATTAAAAGAACAAGTAACATAAAATCCTTTACAGAAAATAAAGGAATCTAGGAATCTTTTGGGTTGATAACATTGTATTATCATTCTCTCCAAAGAAACAAAAAATAATTAAGTTGGTTCTAAAAGTTTAAATTATTGACACTCTAAGCAACAAACTAACTATATGCCTATAATAACACTATACAATTTGTTGCCTGAAATAACATTAGCTTGTTTAATATCCTTATCATGATTTTGTAACAGCCTCTGCCTACTCAAAATCACTCAGCCAGTACAAAAAGCTTAATTACTAACAAATACTATGAAAGTTGTAGTATTTATAATAATTGAAAAAAAATTAAAATTCAAAACATGACACGAGTTATTTGGGCTTTAATAACTCTTTATAAGGTAGATAGTTGGCACAAGTAAAGAGTCCACCATTAAAGTTCTTCACTGGAAAATATATACATTTTTGAGGAGAATATACTTTTTTTATTGTTTTTTTTTAGTTTTTAAGAGTTTCGCCATGTTGCCCAGGCTGGTCTCGAACTCTTGAGCTCAAGCAGTCCTCCTGCCTCAGCCTCCCAAATTGCTGGGATTCCTCACCTGATCCTGTTTAATGCTTTTTTTTTTTAAGTTATTTTTATTCTTTTATATTATTCAGGATAAGAATGAAAGGAATAGGGAAATGACAGCAACATATAAATATATATATATATATACATTTTTCTGAGACGGATTCTTGCTCTGTTGCCCAGGCTGGAGTGCAGTGGTGCGATCTTGGCTCACTACAACCTCCACCTCCTGGGTTCAAGTGATTCTCCTGCCTCAGCCTCCCAAGTAGCTGGGATTACAGTTGCACGCCACCATGCCCGGCTAATTTTTGTATTTTTAGTACAGACGGGGTTTCACTATGTTGGACAGGCTGATCTCAATCTCCTGACCTCATGATCTGCCCACCCCGGCCTCCCAAAGTGCTGGGATTACAGGCATAAGCCACTGCGCCTGGCCGACAGCAATATTTTTATATTAGAAAAAAGAGCATTTGACCTTATTTTTCCCTTAGAGCTGTTAATGCAAATCTCCTTTCAGAAAACATAAAGGCACCATGAGAAAGTTTTCATTTTATTATAATACTTCCAAAACTACTTTACACCTTAAACTAATTAGAAGACCTAAGTTGTAAATGCTTGAATGCTTGTTTTTAAAATTTCCTTTTAAATAAAAATAAAAATATTACAAAAATTACATTTTAAATATCCATGTAGAAACAAATTAAGGCAACTACACAATGTCACTTACTTTATCTCAGTGAAGCTATTTTCAAAAACTTTTAAGAAGTATAAATTAATTCCTAAAATCCTTTCATTCTAGGAATCACTTCCTGGTCTCTAGTTACTGCAATTCTACTTTTCTAAGAGGTCCCTTAAGGCATGTGCATTCCTTCCTCTGGGCCCTTGCACTTTCCCCAGATGGGTTATCTCCCAGGCCCTGCCCTTCCCCCAAGGGCTAGCCAGCTCATTCAATCTTCCAGATGGTCTAATTTTACTGATGTCATTCTTAGGTCTTTCAACACTCTGAAGACACAAACACATATACACTACCCACATTGTAGCATACTTTGGCTTTTAGAAAACCCGTCCCTCAAATATAATGTTTCAGGGTACTTTAACAAAATGCCCTAAAACTTCTGCTCTCGATACGTTAAGACCCTTAGGTCTGAAATGTCAGTGAAGTGCTGAGGTTGAGAAACCCTACTGTAGAGAGGAAACAATGGTGAGCAAAGCCAGAGGTGGTCCCTGCTCTCAAGGGCTGAAAATTTTGCACCCAGATCTGAACATACCAGTGGCAACTAAGCACATATTTTATTGAACTACTTACTCGTATTTGCCAAATACTGGTGTCAAATTTTAGAAAAAAAAAAGTTTATCACTAGATAGTCATATCTCAAACCAAAAGTACAGTTAGAATGTACAAAATACATGTTTCCCAGTCTCTGATACTAACAATTTATTTCTGAAATTGGTAATTTTACATCTTATGCAATTTAGTGGAAGGGCAGAGGATAGGCAAGAATATGGGTTTTAAAGAGAGCAGAAAAAGAAGCTCAACACCAGCAGACAAACTTTTTCTACTTTAGGATATTGCATCAATGGAAACAAAAACAAGAAAGAAAAGAGAAATTTTAATATACAATGTGTGACTTAAAAATGTTAATTTCTATGACTTTGAGAAAACAATGACATGCTATGTAGATACAGCAAAATGCAATATTCTATATACATGATGTGATCTTGGCTATGTAAAATACATTTACGTCCAATGGTGGTCAACATGAGTAGTGGGTTCAAGGCACCTCTTATTCTTCTTACCTATACTTGTCTATATTTTCTGTAAAATAAATGCATATCCTTTCTATAATTAGAAAATTGTATATACTTAAGTGAAAACGTTTTAACCTCTTTTGAAGTTCAAACCAATTCTCAAAGAGTCACGAGCAATAATAACATTTTTGCATAAAAAGATATGTGCCACAGGATCTAACTATCATTCCCTACTGAGAGAAACCAAAGTTTCTTGGATAAATGGCTGACTCCAAGGCTGGAGCAGGGGAGATTCACTATGATCCTGGGATGTCTTGTGTTGGCAAATTCAAAAGTGTCTAAAAAAAAATCAAGCTAGATCAAAACAACATAAGAGCCATCTTGAGGACAATTCCACTGGCCTAGCCCAGGGCAATTTGAGGACCCAAATAACTAAGGATAATAGCTAATAACCCATTCAAAAAAATACAAACCCATAGGTCCATGCTCATAACTTTTAGCTTCATTTTAAAGAAAACAAATTTTTCAGTACACAAGGAAAGGGAAGTAAGTGAAAGATTTTCCTTCAGTAGAATGTCAACTAATAAACAGAGAATGAAACATTGAATTAGAAAATCACCATTTTGCAACAATTAAATAAAAAACTGATTCATGCAAGAGTAATCAATGTATGCTAAACCTACTTGTGTGTGTGTGTGTGTGTGTGTGTGTGTGTGTGTGTGTGTGCGCGCGCGCGCTGGGGAGTGCTTGATGATCAACAGGATACTTACATAGCCTCCAAGCATCTTCACATAAATTTTTTTAAAAATATAACTACATATTGGAAAAACAAGACCATACCTTAACCAAAGGACAACATACAATCACTACAACTCCAGATGTTTTACACTTAGAAGG
The DNA here is from genome assembly GCF_000001405.40 of Homo sapiens. Taxonomy (NCBI): domain Eukaryota; kingdom Metazoa; phylum Chordata; class Mammalia; order Primates; family Hominidae; genus Homo; species Homo sapiens. The sequence continues at coordinate 16,656,384 of NC_000007.14, read as the reverse complement.
ACATATTGCTCATGTGGTACCCCAGACAAAAACACATGACCTGAATAGCTAATCATGAGGAAACAGATGTATATCTAGGGACATTCTCCAAAGTAACTGGTCTGTATTCTTCATCAATGATAACGTCTTTCCAAAACAAAGGTTGAAGAACTGTTCCAGGAGAATTAAAGGTGCATTGCTAAATGCAATACACATTCCTGGACTGAATGCTGTACTGGGAAAAAATATTTATGTATATATATATATAGTCATTTATATATATACACACATATATATGTATATATACATACACACACACACACATATATATGACTATTGAGACAACCTAAGAAGTTGGAGTATAAAGATAAAATTATGGTATCTATGTTAAAATTTACTGAATTTTTTTTTGCACTGTGGTTCTGTAAGAAAAGTATCTTATTTTTACAGAATAAATACTGAAGAAATAAGAGATAAAGGCAGAAAGTGTATGCAACCTACTCTCAAATGATTAAGAAATAAAACTGATTATGTACACATAGAACCCTGGAGCAATGGCAAACACAGGAAGCCATATGTATTTTAGGGCATGGCATGGTGGCTCCGATCTGTAATCCCAGCACTTTGGGAGGCAAATATCATATGATCTCACTCATGTAGAATCTAAAAAAGTTGGTATCACAGAAGTAGAGAGTAGAATAGTAGTTTCCTGGAGACAGGAGAATAGGAGTGAGGTGGGGATGGGGAAAGATTGGTGAACAGGTACAGAGTTACAGTTAGGAAGAATAAGCTCTAGTGTTCTATTGCACAATAGAGTTATTATAGTTAACAATAATGTATCATATACTACAAAAGAGCTAGAAGAAAGGATTTTGATTGTTCTTACCAGAAAGAAATGATGAGTGTTCAATGTAATGAATATGCTAATCACCCTGATTTAATTATTACACAATGTATATGTATATGGAAACACCACACTGTACCCCACATATGAAAAATTACTATATGTCAGTTAAAAACAAAAATGTTACATAGTAACTTAAGTAATTTAAAAAAACATTTTCCAGCATTTACCCATCAAAGTAATTTCTTCCTTCAATAAAGAAAAACTATGAACTAATAATGCTTCCATTAAACAAAACCCCTTTTAATTAATAGATTTATGAAACTTTTTTTAGAATTTCCTCTGGAGTCTACAGATCATTCTTTTGACTATACTCAATGATGAGAAATTTCCTTGTTTGATAGAGGATTTAATTTTAGAAAGTCGCCAGAGATCATTCAGAGTCTAATCCATTGAAAAAAGTAGGTGGCCACTTTGAAGCTATCTGGTGTGTCCAACCAGGTTTTTATGACAAAATACTGAACAGAAGCAAAAAAGTAGGTGATTAAGCTGAGAAACAACAGCATCTTTATTTGAAAGTGAGAGGTAACCTTTAAAAATCACTGATTATAAGGTCAGCTCATCATGTATATTATAGAATATTTAAGGAAAAATTAGAAAAAATCTATCAGTCTAACTTTCAGTAATGACCACTGTTCACACTTAAACACAGTATAGTATACAGGCTGGGCACGGTGGCTTATGCCTGTAATCCCAGCACTTTGGGAGGCTGAGGCAGGCGGATCACCTGAGGTCAGGAGTTTGAGACAAGCCTGGGCAACATGGTGAAACCGTGTATCCACTAAAAAAAAAAAAAACAATTAGCCAGGCATGGTGTTGCACGCCTGTAACCCCAGCTACTTGGGAGGCTGAGGCATGAGAATCACTTGAACCCTGGAGGCAGAGGTTGCAGTGAGCCAAGATCATGCCACTGTATCACAGCCTGGCTGACAGAGCAAGACTCCGTCTCATAAATAAATAAATATCATCCGTTTTTTTTTGGGGGGGGGGGGTTATATACAGAAAAAAATTAAAATTAAATTCTACCATCTTTTCTCATATTATGCTAAAATACAATTTAAAAATGATTTGCATTTGGACTTGGAGTTATATAACTTGATTCAGTGATATTCTCTGAATCTTTATTTTAAAAGTCATCTGTTCCATTGCATCACTTTAGGAAAAGCAGAAACTCTTATAGAGAAGGAAATGTCCTTGAAATTTGTTAATAATATTATAATTTTAAGCTTAGAAAAAAGCAAGATGGTCTCTATATTATTATTATTACTTTTTGAGACAGAGTCTTACTCTGTCACCCAGGCTGGAGTGTAGTGGCACAATCTCAGCTCACTGCAAACTCTGCCTCCCTTGGATTCTCGTGCCTCAGTCTCCCAAGTAATTAATTTTTGTATTTTTTTTTTTTTTTTTTTTTTTTTTTTGTAGAGATGGGGTTTTGCCATGTTGGCCAGGCTGGTCTCGAACTCCTGGCCTCAAGTGATCTGCCCACCTTGGCCACCCAAAGCGATGGGATTACAGGCATGAGTCACCATGCCCAGCCAGTCTCTATATTATTTTAACTAGTGATTTAAAACTTTAAAGTAATAACACACTGATGGCAAAAACAAAACAAAATCAAACAAACAAAAAACCCCAACACAGTACAGAAGGGTAGTGCTCTTCCCAATCTTTCACTCTTGACCTTATATCCTAGCCCCACTCCATGGAGATGATAATAATTTAAACCCTTTAACATCATCCTATGTAACCTTTTAGAAAATGCCTATGCATTCGAGATTTTCACCTCCACTGAAGACAAAAGTAATATTTATTATTAATGAGTATTCTCATCTCCAATGTTCCTTCCTCCAGAAAAGTGCTTTTTCACTGGAAGATACCTAAATACATGTTGAGCTTTACATAGTAGAGGAGAAAGATGATTTTATATGAGATTTACTTTCCACCTAGAGGAAAGGAGCTATGGACAGCACACACAACACTGGCCTTGCTAACTGAGGTGAGGAGAACCAGGAGATGAAAATCAGCAAGAAGTGGAGTGGCAATGCCAGAGAGCAAGTTAGTTTAAGACAGACACAAAACTGATGGGAGTGTTGGTGACTATTACTCCAGTGGGAAGTCAGAAGACAAGTTATTAAAGTAAAAGAGTGTTGAAGTGTTTGCCTCTCTTCAGAGGATTTTTAATCATGGAAAAGAGGAAAATAAAATCTTCAGAAAAAAAAGAAATAAAAAGAAAAGTAAGGCCTAGACTGGTAGACAGTGAGAGAATTCTGTTTTGGAGCAATTGCTTAAAAATCGTAATAGTGGACCTTCAGGAAGCTCAAAGGTGGTGGTGGGCATGAGTCCAAATATTGGCTCACTTACTAGTTCTCTCAACCAAGAAACTCCCATCCTCCCAGAAGGGGACCTGCCCAAGCCTGTCTAGCAGGTGAAGCTTTATTTGAAGGGCTACACACACACACACACACACACAAAGTTACTTTCCATATGCATGCTTATTACATAATGAGAGCATGAACTGGATAGAAATGCCAAGCCTAGTCTAGGGCACGCTGATGACATGGGACTGGATTCCCCAACACAACTTTACAGAAGTGGACCATACAAAATTGAATTAAAGGAAATAAAAAAGAACTAGTACAGAGCTACAAGCTCTCTGAATCATACATTTTAAAAAGGTTTAAGCCAGGTATGGTGGCTCATGCCTGTAATCCCAGCACTTTGGGAAGCCAAGGCGGGCGAATCACCTGAGGTCAGGTGTTCGAAACCAGCCTGGCCAACATGGTGAAACCCCGTCTGTACTAAAAATACAAAAATTAGCCAGGCATGGTGGCAGGCGCCTGTAATCCCAGCTACTCGGTAGGCTGAGGCAGGAGAATCACTTGAACCCAGGAGACAGAGGTTACAGTCAGCCAGTCAGCCGAGATCACACCATCGCACTCCAGACTGGGCAACAACAGCGAAACTCCGTCTCAAAAGAAAAAGGTTTAAACCTACAGAGAATCATTCATTTATTTGTTTGCCAAATATACCAGGTCTGGTACTAGTCAATAGGGATGCAGCAAGCACTAAATCAGGCAAATTTCATGGAGGTCACTTTCTAGCAGGTGGAGCTTTGTTCCAAGTATTGCACAATCGGGCAGAACAAGTTAGCAAGCACTGATTGTCTCCAGTATGTTTAAAGACAACATATGATGCATTCGAGATGCAGTTGTGTTTATTAACGTTTTAATAATTAAGTGCGTGTTTTTTTACTTTGTAACTTACAAGTGGCATCCACGCGGAATGGAATACTTTGAAAACCATGGATGTAAGCCCAGTCCCTAAGCTAACCTTCAGATAAGGCACTGAGATGTCAAACCACTTGGCTGAGGTCAGGAATTCCATTCTAGCATTGGTAAGACAGTGGAGATCAAAGCAGAACGATCCCTGCCCATCTGGAGCTTATGTACATGGAAGAGTTGGGGCCAGAACCTGATCCACTGTCTCCACTCAGTGCATTTTCCAAGGAGCCAACTAAAGCTGTTGCAATGTCTTAGAGAATTATTTATATGATTCTCGAAGACAGCTTTTTCATTATTTGCCTCATAAATTTTATAGTTTGGAATAAGATGGAGTAGCGCATAAATATTAATTTAAAGTTGAGTTCAGCACTTGGATAAATTGAATTAGCATATGTTACTTCCAAAATACCAAAGAGTTCTCCATAGAGTTCTATTAAGCGGTGGGGGGGAAAAGGCATTTATCTTTAGAGAGAGAATTTAACAATATTGCCTCTTAGGGACATACGAATATTAGAAAATTTATGGCACCATAATTTCTAGCACTATAGGATACAGTTTTTAAATTGTTTCCTGCAGAAGCTCAACTCTAACACAAACACAATCTTCACACTCCCAAATACTAACACCGCATCCTTTTCCTCCAGCCAGCAGTTTCCTCTGCACCGACAACTAGGGGTTCTCTTTCCTGTTTATAATAGTCCCATTCAATTACCTTGTTCACTGAGAAAAACATATAACATTTCTTTTTTCTTCTTAGAAATGACCATAAATCCAGGTTAGTTTGAAAACCATTAAAGTCTTCTGTGTGGATATATAAAAAGGATGACAGTAGAATATCATCCAATAGTAGCTTATGATATATTCTCTACAGTGCTAAACGTTATTATCCCTTATTATTCATCTCTGCCCCAGGGCTTTTCTTGAGATTTATTTAGAAGTCCTCAAAAATAACAGTACACCTGTTATATTTTTTAAAGTTCTCATCTAGCATAAAAATAAGTTGAGATGTAAAAAGAAAATATAATGCTACATCTGACACAAAAAATAATTCTACATCTTAAGTTATTGTTTTCCTACTAAAATATTAATATTTTCAGAATGGAATTAAAGATAGCCAAAGGATTATACTATCTTAAATATTAATACAGGGCATTATTCTTTCTTTTTGTCATTATACTTTTTTCCTTTAATTTTTGAATAAACTTAAAAAACATCAATGGAAACACCTATTGCTAAAAATCAAGAAAGAATAATGAGAACATTATCTTTTTGGCATTTAACCTTAAAGAATGGTTCATTCAATGAGTTATTCAAATCTTTATTTTCAAAATAGATAGTTTACAAATATGACTACCTGAACAATTTTGGCACTCTTCACTTAATACACGCCAAATTTAGAACGGGGCAAATCATTCCACTCGGCACCTAACTGCCCAAAAGATACTTGCTAAAGAGCGCCATGGCCTCAATACACAGAAATGAGTGAGTTAAGAATGAAAAGTATTCTTGTTTATGACCTGCTAAGATTGGTGGATTTCATATTAATTAAATATTCTTGTAAAATCCCAAAGTCTAGGATGACATGTTATAAAGGACATTTAATATATCTAAAACACAATAAAAAATTGTAAAGATCAAAAAATCAGTTTAAAAAATTGCACAAATTAGAAAGTAGGTGTCAGATTAAGTATTCAGCTAAGCAAACACTGAGTAAGAACCTACCAGTCACACCCTGTCCTGGGCCTGCTCCTGATTTTCCTAGACTAATACTTATCCTATCAGTGCTGACATTGCTCGAAACAGTTTTGGTACTCTTTTTTTTTGGAATGCCTTCTGAGTTGGATTATGACGCACAGAAGAACATCAGTATCTCCACTTCATTCACCTCTTGATTTTCTCAGTTAAACTAAATGTATCTGTACCCCTTCTTCAGAATTTTCTTTTCAAAAAAGATGAAGATTAACTACCAGTAAGATATTCATCAATTTGTTCTACAAGCACTGAGTAATGCCACCAACCTTTTACTTTTTGGAGAAGTTAAAATGTGATGTCAAATGTTTATGGAAACGCATTGTTCACAAGACAGTTCTTTGCAGATTTAGGTGTAACTGTTTTAACACTTAAATGAATAATCACATAAGCGAAACTCCAAGTATAGAAAAAAGAACATTTGTATTTATATTACTTTCTTATGTTGTGTTTAAAAAAAAAAGATTTCTTAGAGGCTGTAATACTTCCAAATTTTCTTTTTAAAAACTTCATTATGGAAAATCTCAAATATATCCAAAAGTAGAGAGAACAGTATAATCAAGTGAATATACTCATCACCCATCTTCAACTGTTAACATAGTCAATTTTATCTCATTTATATTCTCATTCAGTCTCTCTTCCTTTCTGTCACAGAATTATATTAAAGCAAATCTCAGCTGTCTTCTCATCCAGTTCTGAAATAATTCTGTTCCTATCTCTAAAAGATAAGTAATCTTTTAAAAATATAACCGTAATCTACTTCCAACTTAAAAAAATCAAAATTTCTTATTATCAAATATCCAGTCAATAAAGATACCTAAGTCTAAGGAAAAAAAGTCAAATGTCAAGACAAACAGTACCCTGAAAGATGTAATACTCAAAAATGCAACAAAAAGGCAGCATTCTCCTAATGTAGAGAGCTGGAAATCAGGGTCTTTAATGGGGAAATCTAAGAATGGCATGCCAAATTTGTAACATGTGCACAAGAACAATTTTTCTTGGTTGATAGCATTCATCAGAATGTCAAGAAGCTTGAGATCCAAAACATTTAAAGACTTTCTGCCTCTGGTTATGATTGTGCGTGCTTAGTGCCACCTCACCTCACATTGCCAGGAAGGATTAGTCAAGTAGGAAAACAAATCCACCTAAAATAACTTAGAAATCAAACTGAATTCAACTCAGCTTGTACTGAGCATACACTAGGTGCAAGACACTGGGTTAAACCTGAGAAACAAAGATAAATTTGACCTAGTTAATGTATACTGTAGAATGAGAAGGGACCAAACAGATTAATAATAACTATAATAGAATGCGATGAGAAAGTGCTTGTTTTAGGTATTTTCATGGAGATTCAGATGAAGAAGCAATGATGTCAATTTAGGGGGGCGGTAAAAGAGGGGTCGCTAGAATCCATAAGAAGAGAGAATTAAAGGCTGCCAGCAATGATACCAGTAGCCATGTTGCATATCAATATCCTCCATGTACAAAGATTTTACTTATAACCCTTGCCAAGAGACATGAATAAATGTATTTACTAGCATGTATATTTCCCTTACTGGATAGAGAGGGAGAGATGAACACAAAAGCTGAAGAAAAGAGGTTTTGTTTAAATTGTGTCTGGAAAGTTGAATAGTTCATCAGATCTGGAGAGGAGATTCAGTGAAAAGGGAAGGGAAATCATTCAGAGGAGGAGAAAAGCAGGAACAAAGGGGTGGAAATTACCGGCAGGTTGGGGAACAAGCAGAGTGGTGACCTTAGAGCCCAGTGTGTGGGAGGGCCCAGATGACTGGAAATGCCTGCTGAGACCATGGATGGATTGGAACCTTCCAGGCCAGACCCAGCCCTCTATTCTGTGGCCAGCAGAGAGCCATTCAAAGAATGATGGGTGCTCAATGTTTATTGAACTGGTAGTTCCCTGAATTAGCTAGATGGAGACAGGTGAGAGAGAAGCAGGCTACTTAAGATGCATTGCAATAGCTCTAGAGTGGTAGATATGAGAGGACACATACAACATTTCAAACATTTCAGAAATCATTATTCCAATTCTGACTTGACACTTCCTAATATGGGATTGTGGGCAAATTATTTCCCTTACTTTCTGTCCTCTTATTTGCAAAGTGGGTATAATATTGGCTCATTCCTGGGTTGTCATAACACTAGAATAATTCTATGCAAAGCATCTGGTAGAATATCTAGCACAGACTAAATACTCAATATGAAGTAGCTATCTTATTATCAATAAAACTTCTTTGATGTGAATCTGTTTTAATATGCTCATTATCTAATCTTATCCCTACATTAAATATTTACACCATACAAAACTACTAATGTAATCAATCCATCTAATGAACAGTACCCATTATGAATCTGTTTCTAGAAATGTAAACTGAACATGATTTATTTGCATTTCTAGGTAGATGTTAGATTCTCTTTCAACGTTATTGTCTCTAAATTCACTGGTCATGTATTCAGAGAGCACTAAATACCAACCAAGTGTCATAAGGCATCAAGAAAATAGATAGTAAGCTGCTATCCTCGAGGAACTGACAACCCCAGTGAGACAAACAGGTGTGACCTTCAAGTAACCATGGCCCAGATTTGGCACAAGAGATGGAAATACTAGCAATGAAGTACCCAATTATGTGTATGCATCTGCTGGTAAGATGCTAAATCACATGTTCCAGGAGGTTACCACTCAACTGTTTTTTTAGGTTTGTGGGTTTCTTCCGCATGATACTATGTTATAAATCAATTGTAACTCTGAACTAACAGCATTACAAAAGATTGGTCACTCTCAGGAGCCTTACTACTTGCTTGAACAGCCACATCATTATTAAAGCATCATCCAACAAAAGTATCTTTGTTATACACTGAGATGAATAATTTCAAACCATTTTCATGTAAGATGTTCTGGCTCAGATCTGTCCCAGTCTTTAATGCTGAAGCTTTAGGGGGGAAAAACAGCTGGAGTTTAGGAAAGATTTTTGCTAAAGGCAGGAAATAATGATAAACATATTCCAGGAGATTTCAGATGTTAGTGAAAGCTTCACGCAAAATAAATGCCTAAGGCCAGAGGAAAATGCATTTCGCTTTTCGTATGGCGCTATGAGAAGAAACAGTGGTCCTGGGGATGCTTAACAAAAACCACCTACATAATTACTCAAATATTTCTCTTTGACACATACACGTCTCTTTGACACACATATTGAGAGAAACATCAATACTACTCTGTAGGGAAACAACAGTAAAACATAAACACTAATTTCCAAAGAAACTTTCATTGATGATGTAAATATAAATCTGCACCCTGGAGAAATGACTGATTCCCGCATTTTAGCAAGCAAATCTTATTCTGAAATACACACTTGTATTTACCCCCATCTACCTATGGTCGAAGCTCCAGGCTACATATTACAGTTGAATGAAGGTTGGATTAAGAGGCTAATCTAAGGCTATATATAGGCAGCAACACCAATTTAATCTCCGCCCTCTCCAACCTCCCCACCCTCCACTCCCTATTTCCATAAATCTCAAGATCTGAGTTACAAAGAGAACCGAGAACTCTAGCAGAGCAAAGAAGCCCTTCCTTCCCCCTCCCACAGGCTGTCTCTCATAAACGAAGTATTAGTGCAAGTGTAAATTGTTTCCAAACATCTTTAACAAGCAACATTGGGCGATCAGGTTTTCTTCTACAGCTTCCACAGAGGCCAAAGAGATGACAAGTAGTGGGGAGGGCGAGGATCACCAGCGTAAAAACTACCTTCTCCCGAGTCTGTTCTCACTGACTCGCTAGTAATGGGGCGCTGTCCTTGCGACCCCTACCTAGCCCAGAGCCCCGGCCCCAGCCTCCCCGGGAGCCGCATCTGGCGGTGCCACGCACGAGACCATGTGCACCCGCCACTTCCCACCGCGTGGCTGGCCCCCGCCCGCCCGCCCGCGGTCCCAGGGTCTCCCGAGGCGGCCAAACGTTGCGAGTCGGAGGTCTTCATCCCAGGGCACTGATACCCCGTACGCGCCGTGATGATGAGGTGGAGCGGGGGCTTCTCCACCGCGAGGCAGGAAGCCGCCCCAGGAGGCACATGCTTCCTCCCCGCCAGCTCCTGCCCGATGGAAACCCCGGCGGGGCGGCAGTCGCTACTCTCGCAACCCTCACGGCGCCCCTTGCCTCACCTGGGCTGCTTCTCACCTGTCCGAGGAGGTAGCGACGACGCGCAAGGCTGGGGGCTGCGGCGATTCGTGCAGCAGCAGCGGCAGCAGCAGCAGCAGCAGCAGTGGCGGCAGACAATGGAGGAGTGAAGGACAGACACATTGACATAGACACACGGAACCCGGCGCAGCCCCGCCTCCCGTACCGCCCCCGTCTCCTAGACCGCCCCCGCCCAGACTGCGCCACTCCCGGGGGAATGGTGGGGGTACGGCGACAACCTGGGGCCTCTGCATGCCCCAGAAAGCCGTCGCTGAGCACATAACTGCCAGCTGTAGAATTTTCAATATTACATGTGGCGAAATATTTGAACCGGACAGGATAGGGGAGCGGAACGTGTAGGAGGAATTTAATTCCCCCCTCCAGCTTTCTGCATTTGGTTTTGTCCTCCCAGGTTGCTCCAATGGCGATCTCTCGCTACCGCCTCCTGCGGCTCCTCCTCCTCGGCAGGGCCAATGACAGGCGGCAGGCGGTGACCGCCGCAGGGCCTGCGGAGACCGTCCGCCTGGCTCGCCCGAGCTCGCCCGCTGTCCGCCAGCCCGCGGGAGGGAGGAGAGAAGCGAAGCGTTTCCGCGGTTGGCTACTCAGTGTCTTGGTCTCAAGTTGCCTCATTGCGGCTGGCGTTCCCAATACAGACGCATCGTTTCTTTTTTAATACTCCCTAAGAAAGGGAATAACCTTCAAGCTGGCGGGAGCAATGGTTCACATAAAGAAAGGCGAGCTGACCCAGGAGGAGAAGGAGCTACTGGAAGTCATCGGGAAAGGTACGGGTGCTGGGCTGCGACGCGGCCGCGGCCAGCCTGGCCGGGGGGCGTGGCGGAGCCCGGGGGGCGCTCCTGGCCTGGGTGACCTTTGGCTGCGGTTCTGCAAGGTTTGCAGCCTGGAACCGGGAAAGAGCGTTTCTCCCTTTGGTCTGGGAAAGGTTGCAGGGGCGGAGAGGTGGGGAGGCAGAAGCAGTGCTGGGACAAGAGGGGTAGTTACAGAGGCTCGGCCTCTAAATCCGCTTTTGGAAACGTACGGATTTCCACGCCCCGCCTTAGGTTAATGCGAGCTTCCCGGGGTGTGGACCCCAGTGTGTGAATTCTTCACTGCTCCCGAGGGATTTTGACCGCGGTCAGTCCTGGTAGTTTCAGGTTCTTAGGCGGGTGTCTAAATGACCCTTTAGACTTCCGCAGGCCGAATGATCTGGATCCTTTGCCGATCCCCGCCCCCGCTTGGGAGTGGAGGGCGCCCTTAGGGAGAGGGGTTCTTCATAAGGGTACAGAACTAGGTCTGTAATTTGCTGCATTGAGACTTCCGTATCCAGGGCCTCCCTGGCTTCCAGAAGCCCCGACAGCCTCAGGAACCCTAGAGAGACAAGGAAATTGGCGAGGCCTCCACACCCACCCCTCGGCCCACGTTGCACAGATGAGACCTTCTAATCGCGCTCCTTCGCGCTTTCTTGTCCACTCCCCCAAGGCGTGCCCCACTTCCGCAGTGCTGAGTCCCAGCGGGGAGCCCCGAGGACGAGCCAGAAGCCATATTTCCCCGGAGTCCCCGAGTGGACGTCCCAGAGGAGTTCCCTGCCGAGTCCCGTTACCTGGCAGGTGACATCAGCGTGACTGCATGCTTCTTCTGCACCCTCACGGTGCAGGGATGGTGATGCGTGCGACTCCGGGCAATTAATGTGGTGATTTTAAACTCAATAATAATATAGCCATGTTTGTCCTCGAATGGCAGAGATGCCAGTCATTGCAGCATAAGGCTTCCCAGTTTCCAGTTTTATTTACTTAGTAGCCAGGCTGAAATGTGGAATCCTAGAGAATAAGGCAGATTTATTCTTCATAGCGACAAGGAAACTCCACATGCGAAGGAGAAAAAATTCCGGTTTGAACTCAACAGGTGCTGATGAGCTGAGCCCACCCGATCTGATCTCAACTATTCTAAGTCAGTCACAGCTATATCTATCAATGATGTGTTCTTTGCCTGGAATTTGGGGATTTGGGTTAGAGTTTAGATTGTTGTACTGCATGGTTCTTGCTGACCTATTTGGCATTTCAGTCTTTCAGTTCTTCCTGTCTCTAGGTAATTTCTCCCTGCCTTTGATGGCTCTGGGATTCAATTAAGCAAACATGCAAGTTCTAGCTGTGTGCCAGGTACTGTGCTGGGCAAAAAGGAGACAAAGGATCAATTCACAATCCACCAGGGACAAAAATTCTTTTAGGCAGGACAGAGCTAGTACATGTCCTCTCTCTCTCTCGCTCTCGCTGTCTCTTTCTCTCTCTCTCTCGTTTGTTTGAGACAGGATCTCACTCTTCACCCAGGCTGGAGTTGCAGCTCTCTGCAGCCTCCACCTCCCTAGTGGCTGGGACTACAGGTGCGAGCCACCATGCCCGGCTACTTTAGAAAGATTTTTTTTTTTTTTTTGTAGAGATGGGGTGGTGGGGGTCTCCCTATGTTGCCCAGGCTGCTCTCGAACTCCTGGGCTCAAGTGATCCTCCTGCCTCGGCCTCCCTAAGTGCTGGGATTACAGGCATGAGCCACTGGGCCTGGCCCATCATGTGATCTCTTAAAAGTGAAAAATAGTGAGCAGTTTTATAAATTGAGTCTTTGAGAGGGGAGAAGGGATTCCTTGGATACATTCTCAGGTGTCCATCAGTATTTATTTTGAAGATTATATAAACCTGAATTAATGTGCATTTATTCTGGTTAGTGCTGTGATATTTCTGGGCTCACACGGTGCATCAAGTTGCATGAGTGCACTGATGCTTTCATCGCTTTCATTGGACCATGCCAATGAGAAAAGAACTGATGTGGACCTAGTATGTGATGCATTCTTGTCAAATGAAGGTCTGTGGGACATCACTTGCACTCATAAAGAAAAGTAATGGGAGATATGAGAAAAACAACCATAGCCAACGTTTATTGACTGTTATTGCAAGCCACACATAATTTTAAGTACTTTACATATATTAATGCATTTAATTTGGATGAGCTAGGAATTAATTTTAAGCTATGACAGTATGAGAGACAGCATGGGATAGTGGTTAACCATGCAGGTCTGGTTTGAAATTCTAACTCATTTACTGGTGATGTGGCCTTTGGGCAAGTGACTTTTCCTGAGCCTCAAGTCCTCTGTGTGAAAAATAGGAATAATAATAATACCCACCTCACAACGTTGTTATGGGGATGAAAGTAGTTAGTATAGTTAAAGCATTCGAAATACTGCTTGTGTTTGTGATAAATATAGTAATCTTCACTTTATAGGCAAGGCAACTGAGGAACTGGGAAGTTAGGAAACTTAGTGTCAAACAGGTAAGTGGCAGAAAGTGGCAGAGCAGAGGTATCACAGGGCCCATAGGTAATAAACAGGCTGTACCTAAAAACAAACTAAACAAAACATGAAACAGTACCATAGCAGTCCATACAATATTCACTTTGAGAGGTCATTTAGTTCTAGCAAAACAACATCTGTCAAGTTAACTCAGTTTTAAATGTTACTGATTTTGTAGTTCTGTGTGCATTAAATTTAAAGTAAATTTTTATTTTATAGTTGAAGAAAGGCCATAAGCAAAGTTTATATTTGTGCCAAAAAGAGGCATTTTTTTTAAAGTGGGTGAAGTGAGTTTTTTTTTTTTTCTTTCATACGTTTTTCAACTTTGAAAAACTCTAGATGAGACAATAAGTTCTAGTACTTTGAACTAACAACTTTTCAGCAAAGTCTAGCCTGGCATCTTGGTCAATCTGAAATAAACTCGGCAAATATTTAAGTGATTCCCATCTGCCAGCCACTGCTCTCCAGAAAGACAGACTCTAAGTGGGGCTTTTTATTTATTAGAATGCCAAGAAGTTCCAGATGAAAATGAAAATCTGTTTCCAACATACCCATTTAAATCATAGTTAATGACAGCATTCATTTAACAGTATGTAAGAGGAAATTGAAATCACTGAACTGTGTTTAACTGGCTTATATGACTTGTAGAGTTACCCATTCTTCTAAGCTTTGATACCTTTTTCATTAATCTCAGAGCAAGCACTATTATGAAATAAATTAAACCTTTTTTAAGGCTATGAGCTAGATAATTTTCACATTACTTCTCTTATTTAGTACCTGAAATTCCTGGGCTTACTGTTGCTAACAAGAAAGTATTATACTTCCTTTTTTTTTTTCATATCTGTGTAAAGGAGCTATGAAACAAGTTTGGATAATAAGGCTTTTTCTTACCAACTATTGAGATACAATAAATTGCACATATTACAGGTAGTACACACTTTTTAATCAGTTTTGATTTAAACATACATCTGTGAAACCATCAGTAAGATCAACATAATGAACATCTTCATCACCCCCTAAAAAGTCCTTATGCCTCTTTGTGATCTGTCACTAACTTCACCCCCATCTGCAGGCAACCACTAACAGATCTCTGCCTCTGTTGATTAGATTTCTCTATTCTAGAATTTTATATTAGTAGAATCATACAATAAGTATCCTTTTTTTGAGGGGGGGCTGGCTTCTTTCATTCAACATTATGATTTTGGGGTTCATATTTATTATGTGTACCAATAGTATGTAGCTTATTTTCTTCTTTTATTTCCAGTGGAAGGATATACTACTATTTGTGCATCCATTCCCATTGATGCCCAATTGTTGTTTCCAATTTGGGACTATTGAAATAAGATCCTGTTCTAAGGTCCTGTGTCGTTAATAATACTTCTGGTGTCTTTATGGTTGAGAAACATTCAAGTCTGCTTATAACCAATTATAGTACAGAGTTCAAAGAAAAAATTAAAATATATGGTTACCATTAGTTGGATGGCTGGACAGGTTATGCAACCTATATGGGCTTCATTGTCTTCATTTTCACAGCAACAGCTCTTTTAGATACTCCCAATTTTATACAGTGCTCTGTAATACTAATTTAAGATCATTTTTTTACAAAGTCTAAAAATAGATATGAGTAGGAGACCTTTTAGAAACATCGCACAAATTCACGATTTCAAAATGCATGTTATAATTAGAAGTCTCCACTATGTGTGTGTGTGTGTGTGTCTGTGTGTGAGACAGGGTCTCACCCTGTCACCCAGGCTGGAATGCAATGGTGCGCTCTCGGCTCACTGCAACCTCTGCCTCCCAAGTTCAAGCAATTCTCCTGCCTCAGCCTACTGAGTAGCTGGGATTACAGGCGTGCACCACCGCGCCCGGCTAATTTTTGTCTTTTTAGTAGAGATGGGGTTTCACTTTTAAAATATATTTATAGCTTTATATCTATGATTATATCAAAATCTATATCCATATGTTCTTGTTTTAAAATTAAGGCACTTTAAACATTTTTACATGATTTTACTTATACGTAAACACTATAACAACTAACAAAGCCAAATAGATTTCTAAATCCTTAACTTGATTATATATTCCTTAAAATATCCGTTTTCGTGGCTTCCAATAAATAATGATTGCAATCCAGCTGGACATAGTGGCTCATGCCTGTAGAGTGACCCCTCTGCACTTTGGGAGGATCCAAGAGGATCACTTGGACCCAGGAGTTTGCCACCAGCCTGGGTCTCAATATAGTGAGACCCCGTTGTTACAAAAAATGTAAAAATTAGCTGGGTGCGGTGGCGTGCACCTGTAGTCCTAGCACCTCAAGAGTCTGAGGCAGGAGGATTGCTTGAACCCAGGAATTCAAGGCTGCAGTGAGCCATGATCATGCCACTGCACTCCAGCTTGGGCGATGGAGGAAGGCCCTGTATCTATAAAAAATTAAAACAATAATAATGAATAACGATTGAAATCTATACGTGTTTGAATCTCATGGTTGTGTGATGAATTGCTGAAAACAGAATGTTTGTTTCTCCTGTTCTGTTTGTTTTGGCTGCATCTTCTTGTCTTTGGTAGAGACCCGTGTTCCCGATCTAGATATTAGAAATGTTACAATGAATTATATTGTGCTGCTCTGAATACAAAATAAAAAGAAGATCTAATAAAGGCTTATATGTGCTCCACATTAGGACACTCCTCAGATAACTGTGGGATGGATATTGTTATCCTTATTTCATAGATAAGGAAACTGAGAGTTTTACAGGTCTTTTTATTTACTTTTATTTATTTATTTACTTATTTTTTTGAGACAGAGTCTCGCTCTTGTCGCCCAAGCTGGAGTGCAGTGGCGCGATCTTGACTCACTGCAACCTCCTCCTCCTGGGTTCAAGCAATTCTCCTGTCTCAACCTCCTGAGTAGCTAGGACTACGAGCACGCACCACTACACCTGGCTAATTTTTGTATTTTTTTTTTTAGTAGAGATGGGGTTTCACCATGTTGGCCAGGCTGGTCTCAAACTCCTGACCTCAGGTGATCCATCCGCCTTGGCCTCCCAAAGTGCTGTGATTACAGGTGTGAGCCACCATGCCTGGCCAAGTTTTGCAGGTCTTGTTCCACTTTATAGTATTCCTGAAAAAGCTATAATGTAGTAGAAGAGAGAGCAGTAACACTAAGAATATCATTCTCTTTTGAGACAGGGTCTCACTTTATTGCCTAGGCTGGATTACAGTGGCATGATCATAGCTCACTGCAGCCTCAACTTCCTGGGCTCAAGCAATCCTCCCACCTCAGCCTCCTGAGTAGCTGGGACTACAGGTCCATGCCACCACACCTTGCTAATTTTTTAGAAAATTTTTTGTAGAGATGGGGTCTCACTATGTTGTCCATGCTGGGAAAATATTATGTACATAATCTTTTCTCTCCTAAAATGCTTGTTCATCCAGATAAAGTGATCAATTCCACCCTAATGAGGCAGGTTATGCTGTATTTTCTTCTTTGGTTTGAGCAGTTGGAGGAATTCTCTAAAGGGAAATAAATCACTAATTATTACTTTAATTAGTTTAGGTCTGTTGTTTCTTATCTCCAATGAAGGTAAATGTTGGCTCCTTGCACATCCCTTCTTATAGTACTCTATCTTCCACCCCCAGCAGTTTGTTAAATCAGATTTAACATATTTATTTCCCAGAATAAAGCAATTAATCTTTTACACTTACTTGTAAAATATTATTTAAGTCTACTATGGACAGTAGGAATGACATAAAGTAAAAATCCTTCTGTGTGAGCCATGTGTTTCACATTTCCATGCTATTCTGGACCTTCTATAATTTCCGACTAATGTCATTACATTGTGAACACCGAATTGGAAATCATCACAGTTTTTCCTCTTGGAGTGTTTTGCTCATCCATGTTCCAAATCTATTTTTACCCTCTAGAAGCCCAATCTGTTTCAGATTATTTTTCTCATTCCAGCCCCTGCATTTCAAAAGGCTAACCTTAGTGTGATTGTGGGTACGTGTACATGTAGGATATAATAAGAAATATCTATTTGGTCTCTGCCACTGGCTCCTAACACAGAGCTCCTAAAACCCTTATAATCTCCTGAACAATGGGGTGCTAGGTGCATCTATTGTTCTAATATTTGGTCTTTGACCCTGGTACCTGACACAGAGTTTCTAATCCCTTGGAATTTCCTGGGCGTTAGAAATGTCTTTTGTTCTAATGAGGCGACTGTTGGATAGCTTCAGGATGGGGGCTGGTCATGAGAAAGTCCAAGCCATGATTAGAAGGTTGAATTTTTCAACTCCACCCCTCCCCGCATCTTCAGGAAAGGGAGAGGAGCTGAAGACTGACTTAATAATAGGTCACACCTATGTAATCAAGCTTGCATAAATATTACTGAACTACAGGTTGCAGAGAGCTTCCAGATTGCTGAACTCGTGGAAGTTCTTGGAAGAATGAGTGCCTGGAAAGAGCATGGAATCTCTGTGCCAAGTGCCACATACCTTGCTCTTTGCCCCTCTTCCATCTGGCTGTTCATCTTTGTCCTTTGTAATATTATTTGTAATTGATGGGTAAATGTAAGTAGTGTTTCCCTGAGTTCTGTGAGCTGTCCTAGCAAATTATGGAACCTGAGGAGGGGATCATGGGAACCCTGATTTATAGCCAGTCAGAAGTACAGGGGCTTATGATTGGCATCTGAAGTGGGGACGGTCTTGTGGACTGAGCCCTTGACCTGTAAGATCTGACTAACTTTAGATAAACAATGTTAGAAATGAGTTAAATTATAGGATACCCCATTGGTGTCCAATGGAGAATTGCTTGGTGTTTATGGGGGAAACCCCATATATCTGGTGTCAGAAGTGAAGGATTGAGACTATTGAGTGAGAGTTAAGCAGGAGAGAACAGTTTGTTTTCCATTATACATGCATCATCTTTAAAATATATTGTTCCCTTACAGAATATGTTAACTTAGATTGTTGGCTATTTGGCAAACACCTTAGAGAATTATCAGCCTGTTCTCTAATGAGAGCCAAATGTTTATGATCTTAATCCCCATTCTACTCTTCCCATGTAGCAGGTTTTGACATGCTTACAATCACTATAGTATTCTCCCTTTCTTGCAAAAACATCTCTTGGGCAGATAGAAAAAGAAAATAACTTTGGTTCTCAGTAGAGAATGGGATTTGGATGAAGCATCTTCCTCAAGAGAAACTGGGGTGCGGGGTTTTTGTTCTGGTTTTATTCTTCTATAAAGATTTTTGAGAAAGTCTCTGATGAGAAGACACAGATACGAATAAGGTTTCATGTAGAACTGGCTCGCATGCTCACACACACAAGAGCTTTGCCCTTGCATAGCGATTCAGCCAGTGATACTAACTGCTTTCAGATGGAATACAGGGTCAGAAAAATGCATTATTTATAAAAAAAATAGCTGCTATCATACTCCAGGGACGTGTAGATCATTCACTTGACATTTTCCCAACAGAGCTACTTCTCTATCTAGGAGATGTTTCTGTTTTTTCTCTGTTGGTGAGGGGAACTCAGGTGACTTGCTTAAGAAGTGGGTCAGAGAGAAAAAAGCATGCTAATCTTTATTTTGCATTTCACCTTTAACTCTAGAAGGCTAGCAGAGTTTAGCACAGTCTTGCACTACAAGTCTAAATTTAAAGAGAGGAAATAACCTGATTGGGAGACTTACCTATTCTTTTATGTTCTTTTATAGGAGAGGCTTATCTTAGCCTTTCTCCCTCAGCACATTCAATTTCATTCTTCTCTTCCCAGTAAAACCAGAAATTTCTTGGCAAAATGTGTGGCTGGCTTGTACTAATGATAATAGCAACATTCTCTCCTGCAAGTATGCTTCTGTCATTATGCCTTATAGAAGACTGGAAAAACCTGACAACTTTGGCCCAATTATAGCTTCTTTCCAAATTTACAGAGGAGTGACCTTAAGGTTTACATTAGTTGACTTTCAGGGTGGTGAGTACTGATCATAGAGCACTGTAATGTAGTACTAGGCATTGAAGATGTGTTTCACCTAAGTATTTCCAAACCAAGCACTCTATTATAAATATGTCATCAATTCACAAGATGTGGTGCTGACAAATTATATAAATACTGACTGCATTTTGAATTCCAAGTATTACATTGACTGGAATTTAAGCTTCAGATGGTGATTTGGATTAGATACCCTTTAAGATTTTTTTTCAGTATTAAGTCTTATGCTTTGTGGTTATTGTATTACCGCCAAAAGGAAAATGTGGCCAATGTAATATACTTTAAGGTCAGTGAAAATAAAAACAAGATGGAGCTATTTTTAGTTTCTGTAAATCTATTCTACTGGACAATTACTTTGTAAAATAAATAGTATGTGATTGGATGTTTCATTTCTTAGCAACCTACACTGACTAGATGTACTCTTACAGATAACTCCTTAAGGTTTATTTCCTTGATGTTAGATTTTTCTCTTATTCTAGTGACGAATAACCTTACTTTTCATCTTTTTTTTTTTTTTAGGTACTGTCCAAGAAGCTGGAACATTATTATCCAGCAAGAATGTTCGTGTCAACTGTTTGGACGAGGTAAGATTTTAGAAGTTTAATAAAGGATTTTACTTCCTATAAGAAGAGATAATATATCCTTTTTTTTTTTTTTTTTTTTTTTTTTTTTGAGATGGAGTGTTGCTCTTTCGCCCAGGCTGGAATGCAGTGGCACAATTTTGGCTCACTGCAACCTCCGCCTTCTTGTTTCAAGTGATTCTCCTGCCTCAGCCGCCCAAGTAGCTGGGATTACAGTCACCCACCACCACTCCTGAGTAATTTTTCTATTTTTAGTAGAGACAGGGTTTCACTATATTCACCTGGCTGAGCTCGAACCCTGACCTCATGATCCTCCTGCCTTGGCCTCCCAAAGTGCTGGGATTATAGGCATGAGCCACCACGCTCAGCCTTCAAATCTCTTAATACAAGTTTTTTTTCTAGCATTTTTGCTCATATTACACTAATAATTCCTAAACTAAATGTAAGCAAATAGGTCATAAAAGAAAAATAAGCATGTAAAAATAGTTTAGTCTTATTAGTAATCAAATAAGTGCAAATAAAGTCAAAATCATATTATTTCTTGTCAAGCATGGGGAAAAATGGACTTTTAAATGCTAATGGTTAAGTGTAAATTGATGTACTATTCTGTAGAAAATTTTGGAATATGTATCAATTTTAACTGAGTATATTATTTGATCCAGCAACTTCAGTTCTAGGGAAAGTTAAGTGAACCTAAACTCAATTTCCTAGAATAGTTGCTTCTAAAATAAGTTTTGGAAATGGTGGTAACATCTGAGCATTACAGTAGCCATTGGCCATGTGTGACCATTAAACACTTCAAATAAGGGAAGTTTGACTGAGGAAATGGATATTTAGATTCCTTCATTTCTTTCGGTTATTAGCAGCTTTATTGAGGTATAATTAATATATAATAAGCTATACATATTTAAGGTGTAAAATTTGTTAAGCTTGACATATGTATATACCTGTAAAACCATCACTATAATCAAGATAACGTAGATATCCATTACCTCAAAGATTTCCTCATACCCCTTTGTAATCTCTCCTTCCTGCCCTTCCCCACCCACTCCTGCAAAAAGCATTAATTTGCTTTTAGTCACAATATATTAGTTTGCATTTCCAAGAATTTCATATAAATGAGATCACACAATAAGTACTCTTTTTTTAATCTAGCATCTTTTATTTAGCATAGAGATTCACCCATGCTGTAGCATATATTATTCCTTTTTCTTGCTGAGTAGTTTTTTTTGTTGTATGTGTATACCATAATCTTTTTATCCATTCATCAGCTGTTAGAGTTTTGGGTTGTTTCCAGTTTGGGGATGATTACCATAAAGCTTCTATGAACATTTATGTACAAATGTTGGTATGGACATCTGTTTTTATTTCTTTTGAATGATTTATCTTCTCTTTATGGGTTGTATGTTTTTATTCTTTCCATGTTTGATTGTTTTTTATTGGGTGCTAGACATTGTCAATTTTACCTTACTGGGTGCTGTATGATTCTGTATTTTGATAAATACTCCTGAGCTTTTTTTCATGAACACAGTTAAGTTACTTGGAAGCAGTTTGATTATTTCAGTTCTAGTTTTTAATGTTTGTTAGGTGGAACTAGCAAAATGCTCAGTAAAGGATTTTTTTCCTGGTGTTGAACTAAGGCACTTCCTTGTCCTCTATGCAATGTTCTCAGATGCTTGAGGTTTTCAAGCCTGGCTGGTGGGAACAGGCACTCTTCCTGGCCCTGTGTGAGCACTGGATGCTATTCCTTGTAATGCTGTCAGCTAGTTATTTGCCCAGGCTTGGGTAGTTTCCACATACGCGTGTGTTGATCAGTACTCCAGCCAAACACTCTGAAGAAACCCTCTGCAGATCTTTAGAATTCCCTTTCTGTGCAGCTCTCTTCTCTCTTTTACTCTTCCTGGGAACTTAAGCCAACTTGGTGACCCTGGATGCTCAACTCCATCGCCTCAATGCAGTCTGCCAGGCTCAGTCTGGCTGACCTCTCCATATACTGTAACCTATAAACCCTCTTAAGGTTATAAGCTAGGCAATTGCAGGAGCCAATTCAGTTGCTTTCCCTTTCTCAGGGATCATGTGTTTTATTGCCTAACCGACAGTGTCTTGCAAATTGTTATTTTGTCTGTTTTTCTGTTACTCTAGGAAGAAGATAACTCTGGTTTCTGTTACTATATCTTGGCTAGAAGTACCGGTTTCTAATTTTGTTTAATTTTAATTAATTAGAAGTTAAATTTAAATAGCCATATGTGGCTAGTGGCTACTATATTATATAGCACAGTCTAGTGCTAAAAAGTTCATTGAACTTCAATTTCTCATGCAGAAGGGAAAGGGGTTCTGTTAACTCTTTACCCACACATGGGTAGCAAAATTAATATCAGACAAAATAAAGTTTAAAGCAAAAAATAATTATATGGATATTCTGTCTTATATATTAAATTAATAATACACCAAGAACATAATAGCCTTAAGCCTTTTCTTATAAACTTATCAGCTATAGGCATTGAGGTTCATAAAGAAAAAAATGATGGTGCTCAAAGGAGAAATCTGTAAGATCGCAATAGCACCTTTTAGAAACTAACAGATTAAATAGAAAAAAAGTAACATAGGATGTAGAAAATTTGGACAACCCAATTAACAGTACATGGACTGTATATTAGCAGAAAAAAATAGTATATCTTCTTTACATGTAACATTGATAAAAATTAATCCATGTATTATACTATTTTATAACGGAAATTGTAGCTTATTTCAGACAGCTTTGCTAAATGTAGTATAATACATTCGAAAAGAAACAAAAATATAATCCAAATAATGAAGCACATATCTTGGAATTTGTTTTTTTGTCTCTAAATAATTCTCAGGTTAATGAAGATATAGGAATAAAAATTGCTGACTGTTTACAACTGAAAATACAACATTTATCAAAAGCTTTGTTTGCTGGCCAAAGTGATACTCAAAAGAAATTTTGTAGTGTTTATCATTGCACTTTTAATCTTTATGGTGTTCTGAGCTTTCAGTTCATGAAATTATTAAAAGAGTAAGTATACTAAAAAAAGAAATGATTTAGAAAAAACAGAAATAAAAAATTTTAAAAGCAGATAAACATAAGCAACAATATAAAAATAGATAAGCTGGAAATAATCAAAATTAAAAACTTTTGTGTTTCAAAGCGTACCACCGAGAAAGTGAAAAGACAGTCTACAAAATGGGAGAAAAATTTTATAAATTATATCTGATAAGGAACTTGTAACTAGAAAATAATAAGAACTTCTACAACTCAATAATAAAACAATATATAACTCAATTAAAAAATGAGCCAAGGATCTGGATAGATATTGCTCCAAAGAAGATATACAAGTGATCAATACATAATGAAAAAAGGCTCAACATCATTAACCATCAGGGAAATGCAAATAAAAAGCACAATGAAATACCACTTCATATCCACCAGGATAGCTATAATCAGAAAGGTGGTATAGCAGGTATTAGCAAGGATGTAAAGAAATTGGAGCCCTCATACATTGCTGGTGGGAATGTTAAATCGTGTAGCCACTTTGGAAAATAGTCTCGCAGTTCCTCACATGATTAAACATGGAGTTACCATATGACCCAGAAATCCTATATATATACTTAAGAGAAATGAAAACATATATCCACACAAAATTTTGCATATGCAAATGCATGTTTATAACAGCATTATTCATAATAGTCAAAGGTAGATACAACCCAAATGTTCAACTGATGAATACATCAACAAAATATAGTATAATCCTATGATGGGTATTATTCAGTTACAAAGATGAAAGAAATGCTGATACTTGCTACAACATGCATCAACCTTGAAAACATTAATGCTAAGTGAAAGAAGTCAGTCACAAAATATTGCATATTTTAGGATTCCATTTATACAAAATACCAAAAATAGGCAAATTCATAGGAACAGAAAGTAAATTAGTGGATGACTGGGGCTGAGTAAGGGAGTGGGGGTGAAGTGGGAAATGACTGCTAATGGGTATGGAGTTTCTTTCAGGGATTATGAAAATATTCAAAAATTGATTGTGGTGATGGCTGCACAACTCTGTGAGTATAATAAACCGATTTATTTGTACAAATTAATTGAGTAAATTGTATGCTATATGAATTGTATCTCAATAAAACAGGAAAGAAAAAACAGTAAAAATTATCAACTTAAAACCAAAATATAGATACAGCTTGGGAAGTACAAGCAAGAAAACAACATGTATAAACAGTAAGGAGGAAGGAAGGAAAGGAGAAAGGGAGGGAGAGAGGAAGGAAGGAAAGACGGGGGGAAAGAAAGGAGAAAGAGAAGGAGGGAGGGAGGGAGAAAGAAAAACATAACTGCAATTATAAAGAAGATTGTCATAACTTTTTTATTAAGATAACACATTTGGAAACCCATATGATCTTTGTAGAAAATTAAAATGAATATATTCATCTCATATAGAAGTAGAAAAACTGGGCCGGGCACAGTGCCTCACGCCTGTAATCTCAGTACTTTGGGAGGCCGAGGCGGTTGGATCACCTGAGGTCAGGAGTTCGAGACCAGCCTGGCCAACATGGTGAAACCCCTTCTCTACTAAAAATACAAAAATTAGCCAGGCGTGGTGGCGGGCGCCTGTAGTTCTAGCTACTTGGGAGGCTGAGGCAGGAGAATCGCTTGAACCCTGGAGGCGGAAGTTGCAGTGAGCTGAGATTGCACCATTGCACTCTAGCCTGAGTGACAGAGTGAGACTCTGTCTCAAAAAAAAAAAAAAGTAGAAAAACTGGAATAATCAATAATTGGAATAATCAATAATTAAGGAAAATTTGTATAAATATTTTTAAATCTCCTACCACCTTCAAAAGCTGCAAACCAGAGTAAGCTTTATCAAACTTTAAGGACCAGTTAATTCTCATTTTACACTAATTATACCATTAGTTTAGAAAAAGATGGGAAGATACTCAACTCATTTATTTGATAAGGCTAGCATAATGCTGATGCCAAATAGTAAGAAGTTTCACAAAACTATGGACCCAATTCACTTTATAAATACAGAGGCAAAAATTCTAAAAATGTTAGCAGGTTGATGCAGCCATCTGTTAAAAGGATTATAAGATATCATAGCCAAGTAAGGTTTTTCCAAGAATGTTAGGATAGTTCAGTTTTAGAAAACCTTTCAGTGTAATTCACTATATTACAGAATAAAAGAGAAACAAATAGGATCACCACAACAGATGCTAAAATGTATATTATAAAATGTAATAACCTTTGATGGTATAAACTAACAAATTAGGATAGAATGACTCTTCTGTAACCTGATAGGTTTGCAGAAACCTTCCACAAACTTTAGCATCATATTTAATGTTCAAATAGAAGTACCAGAATCAAGACAAGAAGCTTCCTATGTGTTCCTGAAGATTGAGTGGGCTGCAGACAGACTTGGCCTCTGTGATGATCCTTGAACACAGCACAAAGTTTTTTGCACTTTCATTCCCTTTCCCTGGAGCATCCTTCCTGTAGTTATCTGCATTCCTTGCCTCCCTAACTCCTTTCAGGGCTTTGTTCAAGTGCCACCTTTTCAGCGGGACATTCCTTGAATGTCCTCTTTAAAATAATAGTCTTCTCTTTCCCTCTGGCACTACTCTCCTTTGCTTAATGTTATTTTCTTCCAGCACTTGTATCACCATCCATCTAGTCACCTGTACTGTAAGTCCCAGGGACTTAGACTATGGGAGGCATGAAGTTTGCTTATTGCTACCTCCAATGTATAGATCAGTGTCTGACATGTATTAAGCACTCATTAAATATTTGCTGAATGAATGGATGCTGCATTTAATGACATAGAATTCCAATGTAATAACCTAATGTTGATTGATTCTTTGACTTAAGAATTATGGGAGAGGAACTTTATTTTTAAGGGGATTGTATCTAAAGAATTGTAGAAGCTTGTTTCTCATGCTATTCAGTTAAGCAGACTACCTACAAGGTTATCTTTGGGAAATGACAAGGACGTGAGGATTTTTACTCTTGCATATCATTGAGTCTAAGATGTCATAAATTTAAAAATTCATCTAGATATTTTTTAAATGAGGGGAGTGTAAACTGATGGTAATTTGTGAGACTTTAGTAAAGTGAAAATTCTGGAGATTTTAAATATAAAAGTGAGATGCATCTTAGAATTGATGAATTACAATATGATAACATTTTATGAAATTTATCACTACCTTTCTAGTTTGAGTAGAGATGGACATTTAGTATTCTGTCTGATACTAAGTTATTTCATCTTTACAACTGTAATATAATATTTTAAATTAACTTGCATCATGTATTTTGAACATGGGAATATTCTCTTCTACTTCTAGTAGATTAGCAGTATTGTTTCAAATTATTTCCTTTTCTGGATATTTACACTGAAATACTATAAAAACACTAGAATAAATAGAAAATTTATAGCATGGTGGGTTTATATCTCTATGGAGCATCAAAATTTATTAATATTACTTCTTTTTACTTTGCCCATGGGAAAGTTTTTATAAATCACATGGTACTAGAACCAAGATAATGCATAGTAATCATTGCAGTCAAAATTTATAATTTCCTTCATACTGTTCTAAATTCTTATAACACAAAATTGTACTAAGATAGGAAAGTACATGTGATATCCACTTCTTTGAAAAATAAGTGTAAATTTGTTACTTATCACTAGTTTTTTTTCTAATACCCAGGACCATCTACCACAGCACTTAAATTTGGTATCTGAAAATCATATACTGTATTATACACATGACAAAAAGAGCAGTTTCAGAGATTGCACAGCAGATGACATGATTGGGATAGACATTTACCTTTTTTTTTTTGAGACAGAGTCTCACTCTGTCGCCCAGGCTGGAGTGCAGTGGCGCCATCTCGGCTCACTGCAACCTCCACCTCCCAGGTTCAAGTGCTTCTCCTGCTTCAGCTTCCCGAGTAGCTGGGACTGTAGGCACCCACCACCAAGCCCAGCTAATTTTTGTATTTTTAGTGGAGACAGGGTTTTGCCATGTTGGCCAGGCTGGTCTTGAACTCCTGACCTCAAGTGATCTGCCCACCTCAGCCTCCCAAAGTGTTGGGATTACAGGCGTGAGCCACTGTGCCTGGCCGATACTTACCTTTCTGGAAAGAAACTCTCTCATTGGTTTGCTCTAAAAACCAATTTCTGCTAAGGTGACAGCTGGTAAACAGAAAAGAACAAGTGAGAAAGAGAAAAGAGCCAGGAAAATTTTTTTTAAATGAGACGAAAGGGAGTAATAGGAGACACGTAAATGGGCAGAAGTGATTAACACAGATGACAGTGAAAACACAAACACAGGAAAATAAGGACAGTTGGAGATGTGAGATTCAAAAGTTTTGCATATCTCTTTTGCTCTTAAGCAGATTATTACATTCTGTTGAAAGCTTTGTGTTTTGTTTTGTTTTGTTTTGTTTTGTTTTGTTTTGTTTTGTTTAAACTAGAGGCCAGTTCTGTAGTCTGGGGATTATTCATTCTCAGAGCTAGATAACCTCTTGTTGTAGGTTGGATTGCTGGGCAATTGACTGCCCACCTGTTCTGGATAAACAGAAAAAAACAAACTCCATGATGAAGTCGGGGTCCTAAAATCTGCAAAAGAAACAGCTGTTTGCTTCTTTGTGGTGGCCTTTCTGATGGGCCTGTGTCCTTCCCCTACCACCCCTCAGGCTACACACTAGCTTCTTATGGACAGATTCTATCATCCTTTAGGAGATATCACCTTAGTCATGCTCGCGATATGGTATTGCCTTATTTAAAAGCTAAAGGCCATGCAGTCCATTCCTACTCCCTTGAAGCACGGCAATGAGATTTACCCACACCCACCCACCCACTCCCAGCATACTAATATTCCATCTCTGTAGAGACTCCCAGCTAAGGGAGTCTTCAAAGTTATCATCTGCTTATCATTTTTCCATTCTTACTCTCAAGAAATGTCCGTTGCTTCCACGGAGTTGCCTCTTGTGCAACTGAAAGGTCCCAGCCTCTCTATCATTCTCGTCTCCACAACCCTCTGAACATAGTGTGTACTGCATTAACAAGATGATGGCTTACGTTCATAATAATAATCTGGAAGCATCAAGAATAATTTACATTATGTTAGCATTCTAAGCTTCACTAAGGTAACGGATTATATGTTTTACAGAGCGTTTCATCCAAAACAACTTTGATGTTTTGGTACTTACAGCGTTTCGCCTACACTACTGAGAAAATTCACTCACACTAACAGCTCATCCATTTACCTACCAAATAATAGTAGTGCCTAGTACATAAAAGGCTGGATGTTTTGTTGAATATGCACAAAGCATATGGAGACCAAACAGTGTAGCCTAGCGTAAATACTACCAACCATTTTTCCATATATATACAATCACATATAATCAAATCATATGTATGATCAAAATATATGTGTGATTTGACCAAACAATATAGCCTAAATACTACCAACCATTTCTCTATATTTATACAATCACATATAATCAAATCATATGTATGATCAAAATATATGTGTGATTTGACCAAACAATATAGCCTAAATACTACCAACCATTTCTCTATATTTATACAATCACATATAATCAAATCATATGTATGATCAAAATATATGTGTGATTTGGGGAATCATGGTTTTAAAAAATGATACCACTGTAATATGCATTTCCTTCACCTTTTCTCATTGACAATAATTTGTGAAAAATGTTCCAGTTCAGTAGATACAGATGAATCATTCATTTAATAGCTTCATAATATCCCATGTTATGCATATACCATACTTTATTCAACTTTCCCCTTGAGAGGCATTATTTGAGATTTTTCTTCTTTTAAAAAAATATGTTTGTATCTGTTTGTTCATTTGCTTTCTGAGAAAGTAAGTATGTTTGGAAAATGTGGGTTTCAATCCCTGCCCCCACCATTTATTAGTCATGTGAGGTTGAGCAAGTCCTCTCTGAATCTGTTTGCTAATCCGTAAAAAAATCTCCAGTAATAAAACCATCTCTTCCTCAGAAGTTTATGGAAGATCAAAGTGTGGAAGCAAATATAAAAATACATATTATAATGACCATTTTAATTAGTTCATATTCGTTTTATGTTTCTAATTGCAGAAATTGTTCATAGGTACAGAAAAGATAAAACAGTAAAATTAATACTTTTTTCCTCTTTCTATTAAAGAATGGAATGACTCCTCTAATGCATGCAGCATATAAAGGAAAACTCGATATGTGCAAATTACTACTGCGACATGGAGCCGATGTAAATTGTCATCAGCATGAACATGGATACACAGCCCTCATGTTTGCTGCACTTTCTGGTGAAGTTTTAGTATTTATAAATATAAGTTACCTATACAAACTTGTTATAAGTACATATATACTAAAAGATTAAATTCATTTTGATTTTAGTAATTTTATGGTCAAGTTTTATGGAAAGGAATGATGGCAATTGGTTTTTGAAAAGCTATAATGCAGGAAATAAATTATATAGTGAATTTGGTGATTTGTTTCTTTTGTTATTTAGATCAATTGATTCTTTATGTGGACAACATTTTGATGGAATTGAGGAACTGGATCTGTTTTTCTTTCAAGTTACCTCCTTTGATGTTCTATATCTTTATATTTTCAAGTGACATGAAAACTTCTTTCTTCTCTTGATCAAACAGTTGCCATGACAGAGCCGTCTGTTTGCCTCACTGGCACTTATGTACTAAATATGATGATCCCTTTAGAAACTTACTCGGATTTGTATTGTTTATTATTTGCTGAATAAGGACAATTTAGAAATACTGTCTACAATTAAGTGGGATTATCTGTAATTGGTGCAGCTCTTTGAAAAATACAGAAGTAATATCCTTGTACTTTGAAGATAATAATCTATATTTTCATAATCCTGGAACCCAGAAGCACTTCTAAGCATTATATAAACCACAGAATCCAAAAAGGACAATATTGATAAAAATTTAACATTTTCATTTGTAGGATATACCATAAATAGAGTTAAAATACAAATGAAAAACTAAAAATCTGTATTATATGTCTTAAAAGATTATATTGTGAAATATTAAAAGTTCTTTTAGCTGGGCACAGTGGCTCACACCTGTAATCCCAGCACTTTGGGAGGCCAAGGCGGGCTGATTGCTTGAGCCCAGGAGTTCGGACCATCCTAGGCAACACCATGAGACCCCGTCTCTACCAAAATAACAAATATTAGCCAGGGACAGTGGCGCACGTCTGTGGTGCCAGCTACTCAGGAGGCTGTGGCAGGAGGATTTTTGAGCCTGGGAGGCAGAGGTTGCAGTGAGCTGAGATCGTGCCCCTGAACTTGAGCCTGGGTGACACAGTGAGACTCTGTCTCAAAAAAAAAAAAAAAAAAAAGACTTCTTATAAATCAAGTATAAAAAGAAAAATACTACAGTAGAAAATTGGATGGAAAACAAAAGAAATACCACTGGCTGATCAAAATATAAAACATTTTGCGCAGTAATCAAAAAAATGCAAATTAGAACAATAAATTTTATTTTTTAGCTTATTATACTGGCAAATGTTAAGAAAGAGCTATAATGCTCAGGAACTTCTTTACACTATTTGGGGGAGTGCATGTCAGTCCAACCTTGCTGGATGGCAGCCTGGCAAAATGCATTTAAAATATGCATAATCTTTGATCTGGCAATATTTCCCAGGAACTGTTCCTAAGGAAATCATAATTCAAACTTGCGAAAATGAATGGAAAATACTTTTCACTGAGTATAGTTCATAATAGCAAAATACCCATAATGACTACTTTAGTAGAAGAATGTGAATAGAATAATGTGTATGTTTAGATAGAAAAAAGGTGTAGAAAGATAGATGCCCAGTGGTTAATAGTTCTTCCAGAGCCTGTAAGTGTGAGGAATGGGATGGATTAGTCGATATTAAAGGGGAATCCTATTCATTTTATCTCTTTTTAAAAAATTGTTTTGTATGCGTATTTTGATTTTATAGTAAGTGTTACCTCTAGGAAAATATATTTCATTTTGTTTAAAAAGGCAGTATTCAATTCCATACTGCCTTTGCATTGCTTGATTTGTTTTCCAGAAAATAAGGTTAATTTCTAAGGTTCTATAGCATTTTATTCTTTACTGTAGTTAGGATTCATGTTTTAAAAGAATGAAAATATCCACATGACAGAAACCTAAAACTAACTGGGGGAATAAAGGGTATAGAGAGTTTAGAAAGGGATGTTTAAATTGTGTCCTCCTTAACATTAACAAATGTGTTCCCTTTAAAACTCTAGGTAATAAAGACATCACATGGGTAATGTTAGAAGCTGGTGCTGAGACAGATGTTGTCAACTCTGTGGGAAGAACAGCAGCTCAGATGGCAGCCTTTGTGGGTGAGATTTTGCTGCAGTTTTGCATTAGATTATACCCAAAATTTCCCTTGTGGAAAAAAAACCCACTTTGCTTCTCATGGTGAAAATATTATCATGTTGCTTTAAAAAAACTTAAGTATTTACAGTCCACTGTAACTTAATGAAACACCTAGTGACTCTGGAGAAAACAAATGGCTATTTCGAATTTCCACTTTTTCAAATACAAAGAGTAGTGGGGCCATTGTAATTGCTCACAAATGCTTATAACATGTATATTTTATGTCTCTGATGGAAGTAGCTAACCCTAATGTTTAAGAATGCTAACCGAGAAGTCAGTAATCCCAAGTTAAATTTTGGCTGTGCCACGTGATAGCAAAGTACTTAATAATTCTGACCTTCAGTTTCCTCATGGTAAAATGTTACAGGGTTATTGTGAGGATTAAAAGAGGTGATAGACTTGAACTTTCCATGTAACACTAAATAAATGGTATTAGTTACTGTTGTTAATAATTATTACAACAATGACATAACTCTTAGGAAAGAGTACTTGATAATAATATACAACTACTTCGTTATCATTCTCATCAACCACAGACGTTTATTTTGTGTGCCCAATAATTCTTGGCATGTTAATCCTATTGCTTGACATAATGTAAGGAAAGAGTGGGAGTGAATTCTTGTTCTTTGGTATTTTGACACCATTGAATTGGTGGTGAAGAGAGTCCACTGAGAGAAAAGCAAAGAGCAACGTCTGATTTATTGGGAGTGCAGTAAGTGGCCGTATAGGGACTAATAATTCATTAAACAAATAATGTTCACAACCTATAAAGCAAGCATCACTGTAGGTGTCTTGGTTATAGTGACAAGACAGGCTGTTCATACTTTCTTGGCACTTAAAGGGTAATAGCAATGACAAATGGTGCGAAAACACATACTCCAAGGTAGAACTTCAGAGCTCCATAAAAATACATAGAAGAGGAGGATCTGTCCAATTCAAGGGGGTTTTGAGAGAAGTCAGGTTCAGATACAGTGTAAATTAGGTGTGGAGGATAGTAACTGAATATTATGTTAAATTTTATTAGAACATTTTCTTGAAACTACTAATAGAAGCTGCCATTGATTAAGCCAGACACTCAGTTGCTTTATGACAGCTTTTTCTGTTAGAAGAAGTATCCTTATTTTCATTTCAAAAGGACTTGAGAAAGGTATGGCCTTGTGTAAGCTTCGGAGAAATATTTTAACTCCCGTGTGTACAGGCCCCAAGTTGCCCCATCTCAGTTCTGAGCTAATTTTGAGGGTGTCACTGCAGGGGGAAAGAACACTAAAGTAGGAATCTGGAGACTTGAACTTTAGTTCATGTGTGCTGATAATTAGTTATAGGATCACGGGCAAATTCCTTTACCTCCATAGGCCTCAGTTTTCTGATCTGTATGCAAAGAAGCAGGGGAATTAGGTGATCTCTGAACTTCTATTTAACTGTACAAGTTTTCATTATATCCACAATGTAACAAAATATTGCTCAGATACAGGTAAAAAAATTTCCCAAGATCACAGGTCTGGAAATGGAGGAGTCTCTTCTTTCAGGCATTAACACAATGCTCCTTTCTTTTTCTTAACACTACAATACTAACAAAATTTTTACTACAGTAAAAATTGTTTGCAATCCTATCCTAAAATAAGAGTAATGTTTTCATTCCATTTTAATATATTTAACTGATTTCACAGACAGAAAATTACATTGCACCCTTCCAGTTGTTACTGTATTTTCCAAATAATTAGCCTTTAAAAAAGCTCATTCTCCCCTTTTTGTTTCCTTCAAGTGGATCAGTATGTATACATGCGTACATACATACATAAGATTTTTGTCATTTTTTAAAAATGCCACCCATCACACAGCAGATATTCCTTGTAGCTTGTTTTCTTCACTTACTAATACATCATGGAAGTTCCTCCCATCTCAGTAGGTGTAATTCATTTCCTTCAACAGCTATATGATACTCCATGATATAGATGTTCCACAGTTCAGTTAGCTCTCCCTTATTGACAGATTTTACAGTTTTTTAACCACTTTTCTACAAATAATGTAATAATCATCCTTGATTTTCTATGTTTTACAAGTTAGTACTTGAATATTTTTTACATGTTAGAACTTTAATATCTCTAAAGTATTTCTTAGAAGTAAAATTGCTGAGACAAAGGATATAGAGTTTTTATTTTTATTTATTTATTTATTTATTTATTTATTTATTTATTCATTTATTTTTGAGATGGAGTCTCGCCCTGTCGCCCAGGCTGGAGTGCAGTGGCCCAACCTCAGCTCATTGCAACCTCCGCCTCCCGGGTTCAAGTGATTCTCCTGCCTCAGCCTCCCAACTA
Source organism: Homo sapiens (assembly GCF_000001405.40). NCBI lineage: Eukaryota > Metazoa > Chordata > Mammalia > Primates > Hominidae > Homo > Homo sapiens. Next base: position 16,622,627 of record NC_000007.14, on the reverse strand, counting down.
GCTGGGATTATAGGTGTGCGCCACCACGCCTAGCTAATTTTTTTTGTATTTTTAGTAGAGATGGGGTTTCACCATGTTGGTCAGGCTGGTCTTGAACTCCTGACCTTGTGATCTGCCCGCCTCGGCCTCCCAAAGTGCTGGGATTACAGCCACCACGACCAGCCTAGAGTTTTAATTTTAATGTAAGTCTAGATTCCTTTCCAAAAGGGCATAGTAATTCACAGTAATATCCTCATCAGAGCTGAGTATTACCATTCTTTGATTTTTGCCACTCTGATAGTTAAAAAGATGGTACATTGTGAACTTACTTTCCCCTCATTATTTATGAAATTAAGCACTTCTGTTGTTGGTAATTTGTATTTTCACTTTTGTGGATTACCCACTTATACTCTTTATTCATTTTTTTGTGGGGGGATGCCCTTTGTTATTGCTTTGAGGAGCTTTATGCATACAAATCCATTATCTAACAAATGTGTTTCAAATATTTTATGCCAGTCCTCCTCTTCCTCCTCCTCCTCCTTCTTCTTCTTCTTTTTATTCCTCTTCTTCCTCCTCCTCTTCCTCTTCTTCTTCTTCCTTCTTTCTTCTTCTTCTTTTTTAACTTTATGGAGACCTTTACCATAGGAAATTTATTTATTTATTTATTTATTTATTTTTTTGAGATGGAGTCTCACTCTGTCACCCAGGCTGGAGTGCAGTGGCATAATCTCGGCTCACTGCAACCTCCACCTCCTGGGTTCAAACGATTCTCCTGCCTCAGCCTCCCATGTAGCTGGGACTACAGGTATGTGCCACCACACCCAGCTAATTGTTGTATTTTTAGTAGAGATGGGGCTTAGCCATGTTGGCCAGGCTGGTCTCGAACTCTTGACCTTAGGTGATCGTCCCACCTCCCAAAGTCCTTAGGATTACAGGCATGAACCACTGTGCCCGGCAGGAAATTTATTTTTAAGTAGTCATATTTTTTCTTTTATAGCTTCCGTGTTTCTTGTTTTGCTAAAAGTGGGCCTCTTGACCAGGAGTTACATAAGTATTCTCCTAAATATCCTTCAGTTATTTTTTATGATTTTTTTGGTACATCTAGAATTTATTTGTTTAGAGTTCATTTCCCCCCAGATATATAGCTAATTGTGATGGCACCATTTATTACACCAGCTAACATTTTCCTACTAAATTGAAATACCACCTTTGTGGTAAGTTAAATTCTCTTTTACTAAATGATTATATAATTATTTGCAGAGAATTAACATTTGTATGAGGTTAGGACTTTCCATCCAATTACACAGTACACTTTTACATTTCTTTTAGGGGAGGGGACTGACTTTTGGTCTTTCAGTAATATTTAATTGGTTCCTTCATATCAATCCTTTCTTTCAAAATTTATTTCTTAGTAATTTGTGGTTACTGTCCACATGGTAAGAATTTGCACTACCACCTCCACACTCAGTCACTTCCAGCTGGTTATGGATAATAAAGAGAAAAGCTATTGATTTCTGTATTTTTTTCTTATTTTTATTACAGTTTACTGCGTTTTCTAGCTATTAAACTTTATCTTGATTTCTATTTGAATTTGCTTCGGGCCAAGTAAGAAGAAATAATAGTGATAATTGGCATGTCTTTTTCCTGTTTTTAATGAAAATATTTTTAGCTTTTCACTTTTAATATATTGCTATTGGTTTTATCATTGTATAATGTCACTCTTTTTCTTGTTGAATTCTTTTAGTTCTACTTTTACTGATATTACAGCTATTCATAATTCCTTTTTTTGTCAATGATCTGTTTGCTCATCTGTTATTTTCAATCTTTATCATTTCATTTAAGTAGTATAACTTATAAACATATAGGTGGGTTCTGTTTTGTAATCTAAAATGTTAGTTTCCCTCTCTTAACAGGTATTTAGCTTATGTATATTTAATGTAATTACTGATATATGTGGTTGCATTCCTCCTCTTTTACCTCATTTTTACTCTTTATTTTACTTGACTATTGTTTGTGCATGCATCTGTGTGTGTGTGTGTGTGTGTGTGTGTGTGTGTACACATGTATTTCCCTAAAGTGATTGGCTGGTCAAAACTGTACAGTACCACATACCCCATCCCCAAGGCCCCATATTTACCCATTTAGCAACTTTATAAGATGAAATCCTTATACTTCATTTATTTCTCCACATTCTCTGTTTTTGCCTTGTCAGGCCACAGGTCTTTCCTTTCTGCCTTCTCTGATACTTCCTCAAAACCTGTGCCAATCATACCTGTAGCTGTGGACTTTGCTGAGAGAGTCTAGTATTTTTAGCACAAGCTGTAATGAGAGTGTCATTGACAGGGTGTTGCTTCTCTTTCAGTAATCCATACCACCAGCTGTGTGATTTGCCTGTCATCTATCTTCACCCACTCATATGAACTCACTCTCTTACTGTCCTCTCTCTCCTCCCCTTTGTCTCCATTTTTGCATTTTTGTCTTTAGATCTCTGTTCTCATTTAGATTTTGGTTATAGGACCTTTTCAAATGGGTTACGTAGGTTGTATATTCTTTGACACCCATCATGACAAAACTATTAATACCTTTCTTTCTGAAATGTGAGTCATATTTTGCCTAGCTTTCTGACTCATATCAGAGTTCTTTTCTCTCCGACATATAGAAGTTATTCTACAGTTTTCTAAGTTCTGGTTTTGCAAATGAGAATTCAACTTACTTTCCATTGTAAACTTTACATTTCTCATTCTGGAAGAGCATTTGATTTTCAGTTTATCCTTGAAAGTAAAAAATTTGAAAAGGATACGTCTTGTTGTATGTGTGTGTTCCTATTAATCACACTCAGTGAGCCCTGTAAGTCTAGAGGACTCAAATCTAGTGATTGTAATATGGGAGCAAAATGATGTACTGGCTTCTCCACCTGCAGCATTTATTTTCTATATTAGTAGTATTATTTTATTTATGTATATTCAGAATTTATAAATTTAAAACTAGTAAAATATTTAAGAATTTCAATTACAAACATTTAAACCTAAATGATTAAGTATTTACAAAGATAAACTTTAAACATATTATTCAAATATGTTATTAGCAGATTAATTAAAATAAAATATCAAAATAAGCATTACCTAAAATGAAAAACCTTAATCTGGAAAAAAAGGTAAAGTAATACTATTTTTTCTTTTTAAAAAGGTATAATTAGGCCGGGCACAGTAGCTCACGCCTGTAATCCCAGCACTTTGGGAGGCCAAGGCGGGCGGATCACCTGAGGTTGGGAGTTCGAGACCAGCCTGATGAACATGGAGAAACCCCGCCTCTACTAAAAAATACAAAATTAGTTGGGCGTGGTGGCAGGCACCTGTAATCCCAGCTACTCGGGAGGCTGAGGCAGGAGAATCCCTTGAGCCTAGGAGGCGGAGGTTGCGGTGAGCCAAGATCGCGCCATTGCACTCTAGCCTGGGCAAAAAGAGCAAAACTCCATCTCAAAAAAAAAAAAAAAGGTATAATAAAGAAATCCTTAGTCTTGTGACAGTATCTTTGTTATGTAGCAATTATTTTTATGTACAGATATTTCTACCTGCTGCCTGCTTTTCCTAATTGTACTAGTTGGAGGACTGATGAGAAGATACAGTTATAAGCTAATTCCTTATTTTTCTCTGACTCCTTTATCTTCAAGTCTTCATATGTCTGGTTCAGTACTTTTGATGAGCTATTTTGGAACTTTTGTGTGTGTGTGTGGAAACACCTATCTTTTTATTGAAGCTGGATGTAGATTTTGTTTTAAGGAAGCATGTGCGGTTTGTCTTCATCTTCTCTGGTTTCTTCACATACAGTTGTAAATTTCCTCACAATTACTTGGGTTGATTTTGATAACTGTGTTCATAACCCACTTGCATTAGATTTGCTTGGTTGAATGTCATTTTTCTCTCTTGAAGATTCTGGAAGGAGAGGTGATCATTTTCTAAACAGAGCACCTTGGCTCATTTCACATTTTTAATATAGACTGCTACTGTTTGACTTTTCAAGACGTATGTACTGGGGAAAGAAATAAAAGAAATACCCACCTCCCCGAATCCCCCCAAAAAGAAAGAAATTGGGTGTTCTGGTACTTAATAAAAGCATAGAGTACCAAAAATGGTATTGTGATCACTATTAAATTCTCTTTTCAAATCAGGGAAGTTTTCTTTTATCATTTGTTTAATTCTCCATCTATTCCTTTTTTTCCTTTGAGATGTCTGTTAATTTTCACTATTAGATTTCCTGGATTTGTTCTTTAGCTCTTTCATCTGTTGTATAATGATTTCTATATCTGAATTTTTCTGTTTTGAGATATTTCATCCACTCGATCTTTTTTGTTTGTTTTGTTGAAACAGGGTGTCTGTTACCCAGGCTTGAATGCAGTGGTGTGATCAAAACTCACTGCAGCTTTGGCTGGGCATGGTGGCTCACGCCTGTAATCCCAGCACTTTGGGAGGCTAAGGCAGGCAGATCACCTGAGGTCAGGAGTTTGAGACCAGCCTGGCAAACATAGTGAAACCCCATCTGAAAATACAAAATAGATTAGCCAGGTGTGGTGGCACACACCTGTAGTCTCAGCTACTTGGGAAGCTGAGTCAGGAGAATTGCTTGAATCCAGGAGGCAGAGGTTGCAGTGAGCCAAGATCACGTGACTGCACTACAGCCTGGGCAACAGAGCCAGACTCTGTCTCACCCAAAAAAAAAAAAAAAAAAAAAAAACACGCTCACTGTAGCCTCCAACTCCTGGCCCCAAGCAATCCTCCTGCCTTAGTATCCCAAGTAGCTGGGACTACAGGCACATACCACTGTATCCAGCTAATTTTTTAAATTATTTGTAGAAACGGGTTTGTGCTGTGTTACCCAGGCTGGTCTGCACCTCCTGGGCTTAAGCAATCCTCCTGCCTCAGCCTCCCAAAGTGCTGGGATTATAGGCATGAGCCACCATGCCTGCCCTTCATCCTCTGTGTTACTAGTTTAGTTCTCAATAGTAACCAGGATCACCTCTTTCAGTTTGCCTGTTAATTTTTAAAATTTGAATCTCTCTGCGGCTCTTGAAAGTCTATTTATATATTATAATTGAATCTGCTTAAGTGCATTTATTAGCTGTAGTTGTGGTAGTTATTGTTATGGTAAATGTTACCCACACACTTTCAACCCAAGAAGCCCTCTGTTGGAGGCATGGCGTAGTCTTCAGAATTGCTGGATCCCCATACGTACCTTGTTCTGTACCTCCCAGGAAGTCAGGTAAAGCTGATAGGGTCCTGGATCAGTGGAAGAAGAAAATTTAATGTCTCAATTAAGACATTAATTAATTACTTTAGAAAATTATCACTCTCCTTATAGAATCTTCAAGAAGAGAGAAAAATGACATTCAACCAAGCAAATCTAATGCAAGTGGGTTATGAATACAGCATCAAAATCAACACAGGTAACTGTGGGGAAATTTAGAAATGTGTATGAAGAAACCAGGGAAGATGAAGACAAACTGCATATGCTTCCTTAAAACAAAATCTACATCGAGCTTCAATAAAAAGATAGGTGTTCCCATAAAAAAAAAAAGTTCTAAAATGTCTCATCAAAAGTATTCAACCATTTAATTGAGACATTAAGCTGGTTTGGTCAGCAAACCAGCTGAGGCACAAGGATGAAGCCTGCCACTCCTGGGTTCTCCCAGGAACTTTCAGGGACAAGCAGAGCCCTCTGCCAGCCTCAAGCGCCAGCGTCCAGCTGGCCCACAGTGCCATCCCCACGCAGGTCACCTGTTGTCGGCAGGATCAAGCAGGCGCTCCCAGGACCAAGCACAAGCAGGCAGGGGCCATGCAGGCTACCCAGGGGGAACCACTCTCCGGGAGCGGGGGCCATGGCGTCTGCACGCTCTCCCCAGGCGCGCCTCCGCTGGTCCCCCAGCCCTCATCAGGCAGAGCGGAGGAAGAAGTCTCCTCCGGAGATCCAGGAAGAGCCTGCGCCCGCCCTCCTGTGTGCCCTGTGGCTTCTGCCTGCTTGCCCAGAGTGGCCACTGCTTTGCTCCAGAGAGGTAGTGGAGAGGGAGCTAGGGAGGGGGGGGCGCCGCAGGAGCACACTTGCAAACCAGCAGCTTCGCTAGGGAAGAATTTGCTTTCATAGAACCATTTTTAACTAGAGATGGCTTAGAGAAGTGGCTTGGAATTCTATGCAAAGCCACGATGTGGATTCCAAGCTTATGGGAGCGAAAGCCTTTTCTCTACATTTCACAAAGAGGGCAAGCTTTTCTCAAATTTAGGGGGTAGGGGATAAGGGGGAGGGGGTTTAGTTTAATATTATCATTATAGTAAGAACAATACTTTATATGGAGTAAATTTAAATTTTGTGTAAATACAACTGGATGTGATTAGGGAAACATGAGCATCATTTGCGTAGGCTGGGAAGAAGAGACATTTAACTTACAAGCAACTGTTAGAAAATACTTAAGGTCTCTTACAAGTTGAGCAGTGCTTTCTTTTGTAATCCACATAATCTTCGTATGTATTTTGGATTCTGTGTCTTTCAAAGATTGTTTATCAACTTTACAAGGAATGTTTATAAATGTTCTCTAAAATATTTTATCTCTCCTCCTCCTCCTCTACTCTCCTTTCCTGAAAAATAAAGATATTGGTGCATGTTTACATCACAAAAATAGCAACATAATTAATTTTAAAAACCAGATGTGTTATTTTTAATACTAAAACTACAACTTTTCTATTTTTCTATGAAAAGGTCAACATGATTGTGTGACCATAATCAACAATTTCTTTCCTCGAGAGAGACTGGATTATTACACTAAGCCCCAGGGACTGGATAAAGAGCCAAAACTGCCCCCAAAGTTGGCAGGCCCGCTGCACAAAATTATCACCACAACGAATCTTCATCCTGTCAAGGTAGTGTGGTGTCTACCGTATTTGCTTTTTATGTAAATATTGCTTCAGAGTTTAAACTGCTTTTATTATACAGGATCATAATTGTCTTGGGGTGGGTTTTGTAGTTGTAGAGCTTGCAGTGGGCTCTTTTGGCCTGTTAATTTATTGAAGGAACACTCTCCGTTGAAACCTGGAAGTGAGTGAGCGAGAGAGAAACAGACTAAACCATCAGGAAAAGCCACGCAAAGAGATGGGTTTGCTGAAGCCTAGCTTCCACCTCATCCCACCGGGAGCTCTGGAGTGTGAGTGGCTCCAGAGAGGCAAAGGAATTCTTTTGTATTCATCAGTCTGTTGTTGGGTGGGGCCTGTCTCCAGAGGGAAAGGACAGCCTCCCACATAGTACCAAGTGAGGTGGCTCCCTTTCAATGAGGGTAGTCCTCTGGAGAAAAGACCATAGTAGCTGACCCTGAGAGCCCCGGGGGCCTGGTATACAGGCCTGGTAAAAAGGATGTATGTGGGGGCACTAACAGCATCTATTACAATAATTGTCTTTCTAAGAAAGATTCTGAAATGTAATCATGAGCACATTTTTAAACTAAGTGGCTATTTGATGCCTTTAAATAACATAGTTCTTCCAGTAATTCATCAAATCAGATTTTCAAATTTCATAGGCCAACACATAAGTTCAAATGGCTTAACTGGGAAACTTCAAGAGCTATTCTGAAATATTTCACTGCTATTGTCTTCCAGATTTTAAAAATACAGGCTTTTGCTGTTGTTGTTTACACATAATTTTTTCAAAAAAATCCAGCTAAACAAGTATAATTTCCTCAATAATCATCACAGAAAACTACACAGCTACATGTGTGCTACAGTGATGAGGTCCTATTTCAATTTCAGTATCTATCACATGCTTTTACTCATAAAGATTTGATAGTAGTTCAGAGCTGTTTAAGTGAGCAAGATACTAAGTTGTGTCAAAAGTTAAGGTTCTTCCTTAACATAAGGCGTTACTATCATGTAGTAAAATAGATTTCCCCAGAAGTTTATTACGAAAGAAGAATCTGTGGAGTCTGCTGAGCATCATGAAAATGAGTGGACAGTTCTTATAAGGTGACTCTTCTGAAGACTGACACTCACTCAAAGATATAAGATCCAAAATGTGTATAATCTTATTACTTTGTTGATGCATCCCTGTGCATCTTTCTTGAGTACTTGAAGGTTGAGAAACAAACCAAATTTACTCATTGTGTGTTCCTCCACCCAAATTAATTTTCTAGGCCCTTAAGAGAGATGACAAACTAGTAGATACCTTTCCCATCAGACAGAAGAGTGGAATCTGCTATTTTTATTTTAGAAAACTCAGAGTTTTTCTTAATATTCTGGAAGAACTGCCAGAGGCAACACTTGTGATACTAAGTGGGCAAATTCAGTTGTGAACTGCATACTCATGTTTCTAGTGGAGATTACAGAGGGCTTAGAATTTAACCTTTAAAAAATATGTATTTTCTTCTGTGTTACTGTTTCTCTCCCTCCCAGCATACCTAGGGAAAAGAGAACTCCCAAGAGAAGCATTGACCTCTGTCCATGGCACTCTCTCAGGCATGGGCTGGCTGGGATGGGGAGACAGGTTTCTGTCAGGGTACAGTATTTCTCAATGTAGAGAATGTGTGTGGTTCTGTAAGACTCTTGTTCCTCCACTGCCTGAGCAATACAGGATATTCTGGCTTAGACTGACTTGAAGAAGTTCCCTGTACTTTTCTGATTCACTGTCTTTCATATCTATGTTTCTGCCTCTTCAGATTGCAGTAAGGGTTTGTGGAATTTTTTTTTTTTTTTTTTTTGAGATAGGGTCTTGCTCTGTCGCCCAGCCTGGAGTGCAGTGGTACAGATCTCGGCCTTCCAGGTTAAAGCGATTCTCCTGCCTCAGCCTCCTGAGTAGCTGGGATTACAGGTGCCCACCACCACGCCTGGCTAATTTTTGTATTTTGGGTAGAGATGGGGTTTCTCCATGTTGGCCAGGCTTATGGAATAATTTTTTATGTTTACTTGGAACCCAGTCTTTCAGGGTTAAATGTCCTAATAATTATTAATACTCTACCTTCAGTTATCTTTGAAGGTATATATTTTAAGTAAATTAGATTGAGGGCATAATTATGCAGACAATAATTTGTAAAGGTATATAGTCTGAAATAGACTACATAATATTTTTTGGAGTATGAAGGGGGCTATCCTATTATATACCTTCCTCCAGACCAGACCTTGCTTTTTGTAGGTATAAACAATCTATTCGCTCGAAACCTTTTCTTTTATCCACCCTTGGGATCTAAAAGCCACCCAGTTGCTTTTGTTACTGTGGCCCATTTTTATTGCTCTACCCCCTTTTTAAGCTAGCATGGCATTTCCTATGGAGTATTATTTAAAAACTAATAACCACTGTGTAATGTTAAACAGCTTTTAAAACAACCTCGGAAATTCTCCCCAATACACACCTCACTTTTCATTACAGTGCACCTAATATAGCTGTATTTGTGTCTAGATTAAGTGGCTGCCGTAGCAATAAGGATGCATTTGTTTTCAAAAGGGATTTGGAGGATTGTGCTGATGCCCAGAATATGAAGGTTATCTAGGAGAAAAACAAAATCACAGAAAAAAATGTCAGCAGAGCAGGGTCTCTAAGTGTACAGGAGGCAGATGTGCACAGAACAATCATGTCTTTGATTATTGTGATTTTCAAGCCCAGTATTGTAGATTTAGCAGTTTTTAAAAATAGGATTTAAAAAATAAAAAGAATTCAAAATGCCACTACATAAACATATTCTCAGGTAGCAATCCTTTGAATGGTAAAAATTTATCTAGTTTTTAATGCCAATAGAAATATATTTATTTGCTCCTCCTCATTAATTAATAAAAAGGATTTCCTTTATAATATATTACTTCATAATGCTGCAGAGATTAAGGAAGGAAACAAGTACAAATATTATTCTTTTGTGTGCAGCTATGTAGTTGTTTCAATAAGCGCATGTTAATGATGTGGTTATTTGTCATTTTTCTTGGTGTATATTTGTGCTGTGTATTAAAACATAGATAAGGTCTGATGTCTCCAAACAAAAAATTATTAATCTGGGCTCTGTTTGAAATTTTTTGAAAGAATTCTCACTTGTAAGTTTAAGATTCTATAGTTGATTATAAATGCCATATATAAAAATACTGATCAAACAACTTTAAATGATTACAATTAGCAGAAGTATAAACAGATAATTAATGAGTCTTTTCTTCTCCACCATAAATTGTCAAAGTATGTTTTGGTAGAGAGAGTTATCAATAAGGATTCTGATTATACTTACTTCATTAAGTCTAATAACTTATTATTAAGTGCTGGATTTTTGTAAAACACTAGATTGTGTATAAATCTAATAAATGTCAAAAAGTGAAATTCGTTTAATTTTACAAGGACATTTAATCTGTGTTAAATTTCTAATTAGAGGGCTAGCTATGGGCTTTACTAATAGATGATCTTTTTTCATGCCTAAAGAAAAGAATCTAATTCAGGAAATCTACCTGTTGTTCCCTGACATGTATAGTCCCTGGGATATTGATTTAGCTGTAACAGGTAGGTTAGCAAGTACTGACTGGCTGTCTGCTCTGTGCATACAGTTGTGTCCCTGTTACATTTGTTGTGGTCTTTGTGCTCCTTAGTTCAGCTAGATCCAAGTTCTTGTCTTACAACCAGGAAGAATTAGACAGGTGGACACTGGAGAGTGAGTGGAGTAAAATTTATTAAGTGAAAGGAAAGCTCTCAGCAAATAGGAGACGCAGTGCAGGGTGGTTCCCCTACCCAAAGGCGGGAAAGTGCCCCATGTGCCTGGGTCCAGGTCCTTTTATGGACTCAGAAAGGGGAGTGCATGCTGATTGGTTTGTGAGTATGTAAAAAAGGTTAAAGTGAAGACACCACTCAATGGTGGGCACAACAGTGTAGAAAACCAGTTAGGAAAGGGTAGGTGTATGTAAAATAGGTGAAGGGTGGGGATCAATCAGAAGAAATTGAGTCAAACAGGAAGACAAGTTCTCAATCCGGTTCAAGGATTTAATTTGTAGCTTGGCTTTCAGGCTTTAAACTGTCTTTGGCTTGGAAGTGGGGCTTCACCAAGGACCCACCCCTATTCTCTCTAGGCATTTGGCTGCCTCCTGCCACTCTCACATTCATGTTTACATTACTGTTATGCCACCATGGATATTTACAGCAGTCCTTTGCAGACCTACTTCAAATAATCTACCCTACAACAAAGCTAATACAAAAATACTCCATATTACACTAAATTTGAGCATAATCTGTGCATACATAGGAAATGTGGGACTCATAACGTGTAAGATTTGATCATTCTAATATTTCCCCTTTAAAGTTATTTATGGCTTCCTCTTTGACCTGTTCTCATTACTGTAGATGATTGGAAGCATCTTCAGGAAAATTTCCATAGAGAAATATAGTTAATTGGAAAGTAAAGCATATTTCATTTTTAGACTTCATTCTGAAAAAATCTCATTTTCTTGTGCTTAATAAGAATTAATGAGAATTGTAGTTCTCCTAGCCATGAAATTCTAGAGCTGAGTAATGTTAACTAAAAGTGGTTATTGCTCAATGATTTGATTCTTTATGTAAAATGTACAAATTTGTCATGTTTATCTTTAGTAAAAGTGAATTTAACAGAGACTGTAAAATCATGTGCTCTTGAATGGCATACTGGCACTGTGGTGTAGGTAGATGGAAGATCACATTATAACTTTGATATACAGAGTTCAAGAGATTCCACTATTTCAGGGTCTTTCTATATTAGTTCTATAAGTTCTGGGTAATTTGCATTCTAACAAATAACATAATAACTTCATGATCCTAAGGAAGGCTTTCTTTGGTAATCTTTTGAAATCAACTAAATGGACTACCTAATTTGTACATGAACAAGTGTCTCCTTTAATACCTGAGTACACTGGGATTTCCTCTAGATCGTGATGCTTGTAAATGAGAATCCTCTGCTGACAGAAGAAGCAGCCCTGAATAAATGCTACAGAGTGATGGATTTGATTTGTGAGAAATGTATGAAGCAAAGAGACATGAATGAAGTATTGGCTATGAAGATGCATTACATAAGCTGTATCTTTCAGAAATGCATTAACTTCTTAAAAGATGGAGAGAATAAACTGGACACCTTGATCAAAAGGTACTCTTTTTACTATGTCGTTTATAAAATACACTCAAGTGAATATTTTTTTTAATATGAAGCCTCATTATTATGTGTTTCAAAATTAAACATTTTGGCAGCAATTGCTGTTGTTGGACTCACATTTAGTCTTTGACAAACAGAGAATAATATTATACTTATATTGAGTGATTATTCAGTTCTGTATCCTTTACTGTGATGTTTTTGTTGTTACCAGCAATTTACAGATGAGGAATCTGAGGTTTGGAGAGGTTAAATAACATGTGTAAGATCACACCGCGAGAAAGTGGCCCAAGTCCAAATTTGAGAATATTTTATGCCCTAGGTCGCAGCCCTAGGTTTGTAATGGCATCCAGGGTGTCTCTGTTACTGTATCTTGGAGAGCTGTGTGTTATGCTGCTTCTCTGACCACCAGAGATCAAATTCTCTTGCATCCTTACCTAGAAAAGGGAACTAAGTCTGAAGGGTGTGGCTCTATGAGAGTTTTCATTCTTAGTACAAATAACTGACATGGTAATAAGTAACTAGCTAATCTGATAACAGTGTTTAGTGTGTTTTATGGTGGTAGTCACCTTTGCATATTCATTTAATGGGCTGGAAAACCTTATAAGGCCTAGCCTAACATATAGGTTGAACAGCAATTTGAACTGAGCCCGTCATCATGATTTGAAGAGACAAAGAAAATCATAAGTAACAGAAGAAACTACTAAAAACTGTTGGGTTCAACTAGGAGAGAATGCTTAGTGATTCAACTCCAATTACGCTTTAAAAAATATCTTTCAGCTTGTTAAAAGGCCGAGCTTCTGATGGCTTTCCAGTGTATCAAGAAAAGATCATTAGAGAAAGTATCAGAAAATTTCCTTACTGTGAAGCTACACTCCTCCAGCAGCTGGTTCGAAGCATTGCTCCTGTTGAAATTGTAAGGCTCCTCTTACCTAAGTTGACTCTATCAGTAAAACCTAATTCCCACCTATTGTATTGTTAAAGGCAAGTTCTCTTTAATATTTATTTTTATTATTTCAGAATATTTTTAGGAACAAAGGTGGAGATAGGTTTGCCTGCCAAACCTGTTCCTGTTTATTTATTTCCCATCTCACGATCCTCTTCTTACCTTATTATGGTTCATAGTTTCATAAACAGGACGTCGCTATGTTGAAATGTAGATGGTTAGGGTAGAAACTTACATTTTAAGTACATCCACTATGTAATATAGGTACACACATGTACACTTGTAGCTATATGAATTATCAGCACAAAGTCATACACTAGATGCAAGTATGAATTGATCACCTAGGGGGATAGTGTCCAGGCAGTGGGGATGTAGTGGGATAAGCCATGGGAAGGCTCATTGTGGTTCCTGGTAACAATCTCAAAGTATGCCTCAGCTTCCTATAATCCACCTTAATGCCTCTGATTAGAAAATGTCCATACTTACAACCTATTTATACTTACCCACTATATAAGTGTATTTTGTTAACTTTATCTGTTATTTAAATGACTTACTATTCATTTGTCATATATTTTAATTTATTTGGCCTTTTCTATTTTGCGACAGAGTCTGTTTCTGTCGCCTAGGCTGGAGTGCAGTGGCACAATCTCAGCTCACTGCAACCTCCATTTCCCAGGTTCAAGCGATTCTCCTGCTTCAGCCTCCTGAGTGGCTGGGACTATAGGTGCGCGCCACCACGCCCAGCTAATTTTTGTATTTTTAGTAGAGATGGGATTTCACCATGTTGACCAGGTTGGTCTCGAACTCCTGACTCAGGTGATCTACCCACCTCGGCTTCCCAAAGTGCTGGGATTACAGGCATGACCCACTGCGCCCAGCCACCTTTTCTATTTTGAATAGGTTTTTGTTTACCCTATCTATACCCATTCATGCTTTTATACGTTTCAATCAAAAACTTGATCAGCTTTTGTCTATCAGGCAAGAAATTGATCCTAAGACCAGTCCCATCCATGGCTTCCTCCCTCCCTCTGGCAAATCTGGTTCCCTTCTCTGTGCCTTCTCTCTGGGTTGTTATGTCATTCTCAGTGTGGAACATCAGGGCTTCAAGTGGGCTCCAGATGCTCCTTTGTACATTAAGAATTCACCTAGTCTGAGCCATAAAATAAACAAGAAAGACCTGAGCAGAAAAGACCATCTCATAAAGCTCATGCATTAATTTGTTCATGTGTGCTCCCCCTATTTTCAAGAGTTTCTTTACTCATACTTTTTAATATAGTTGGCTATTTAGTGTTTATGCTTTTGGAAGAATAAAGTTAGCAAATTATGATTTGTCAATTACAAATGTGTCTTGGCAGCACATATCAAAGCCCAACCAACCATGAATTAAATAGATGAGGGTTTATGTATTCACATATACATAGATGCCCAAAGGTAGGCAGACTAGGTCTGGCATAGTGACTTAAAAATAGTTTGGGGACCCAAACACTTTCTCATCTTTCCCTTCCAATATTCCTTAGCTGTGTAGGTTCTCATATGCATACTTATGATCTCATGGTTACGAGGCATTTGATGTTCCTCCTCCAGCTCACATTCCTATCCCAGGCAGGCAGGAAGAGCAAAGGGGTCTATATCTGGAAAACATAAGCTCTCCCAGAAGCCCTCTGCCTGTGTCACATGACTTTCCTTAGCTACACAGGAGTCCAGGAAAATTTTTTTTTTTGGCTTTTCTAAACACTCCTCCTCTGAACAAAATTACACTTCTGTTACTGAGGAAGCTGGGAGAATTGATATCAGAGAAGCAACTAGCAGTACCTGTTATGTGGGATTTCCAGCACTCACAAATGGTTGCTGACCTTTTACCTTCCTGGGAAAAAACAGAAAAACTAAAACAGCAACCCAGAGTTCTTTAAAAAAAAAAAAAAAAAAAAAAAGCAGGTCAATATTGTGGTCAACAAGTTATCCTAGCTCCATATAATAGAATAATGTAATTAGAGTTTATAGAGTATAATTATTATTATTTTTATTTATTTATTGAGGGGGGTCTTGTTTTGTTACCCAGGCTGGAGTGCAGTGGCGCAATCTCAGCTCATTACAACCTCAGTCTTCCGGGTTCAAGCGATTCTCATGTCTCAGCCTCCCGAGTAGCTGGGACTACAGGCACACACCACCATGCCCGACTAATGTTTCTGCATTTTTAGTAAAGACGGGTTTTCACCATGTTGGCCAGGCTGATCTTGAACTCCTGACCTCAAGTGATCTGCCCGCCTTGGCCTCCCAAAGTGCTGAGATTACAGGCGTGAGCCACCGTACCCGGCCTAGAGTATAATGATTAATGTTTATCCCAGTGATCTGAGTCATCAAGAAAAGGTTTATAATAAAGTTAAGATAGTATTTAATGCATTTTAGAAAGACTTTTCTTTAAACATTTTTGTTCTTTGAGAGTTTTATGTTCTTCTGTCTGGAAGACTTCATCCCAAATGCCTGTGATTGTGCGTATCACAGCCATTGTTTACTGCCTAATTGGTTTTCATATTCTGCAAGTTCTAACCCTCTGAAGTGATGCCCAACCTTTTCCCCGCATACGATGGTTCTCAGGGCTGGCTGCTGTGAGCTTCACTGTGTTGTTTTCTGACAGTGCTAATGCCTGGGCCCTCCTGCTCAGCTTTTGGTTCCCTCTGCTGCTGTGGAACTCTGGCTTCTGCCTGTCTCAAGGCTCAGCACAAAAGAGAATTCGTAGCACTTTCATGTGAAAGC
Organism: Homo sapiens; assembly: GCF_000001405.40. Classification (NCBI taxonomy): domain Eukaryota; kingdom Metazoa; phylum Chordata; class Mammalia; order Primates; family Hominidae; genus Homo; species Homo sapiens. Next base: position 16,606,845 of record NC_000007.14, on the reverse strand, counting down.
AGACCCAGTCATTATTATTTGTATTCAAGAAGAACATGGTAGTTTCAAAATGAGTGCTACTTTTAAAATACTTCTTGAATCTTTGAATATTTTCTTTGACTATCTTGAGTATACAGAACAGTGTAGGACATTGTTACCAGGTGATATTTTTAAACCTCTATTATGTACAGTTGGTAAGATAATATAAAAACAAATATTCTTAGGAAGAAAAAGCAAATACTCAAATGAAAATGAAAATTATAAAGAGTGTCAAAATGCTGGTTTGGAACAAATGAACAAATTTGAAAAACTCAGAACAAAGAACTATTAGGAGTAGGTAAGAAAAATAGAAACGCTGTGATTATTTTTTGCTAAATAGGTTTTAGTAGCATCGTCTCAGACAGATAAATGCTTACCCTTATAATTTTTTTTTTTTTAAATACAAGGTCTTGCACTGTCACCAAGGCTGGAGTGTAGTGACACGATCTCGGCTTACTGCAACCTCTGCCTCCCGGACTCAGGTGATCCTTCTGCCTCAGCCTCCCAAGTAGCTGGGACTACAGGCGTGCCACCATGCCTGGCTAATTTTTGTATTTTCAGTAGAGTCGGGGCTTCACCAAGTTGGTCAGGCTGCTCTCAAACTCCTAACCTCAAATGATCTGCCTGCCTTGGCCTCGCACAGTACTGGGATTACAGGCGCTAGCCACCACACCCAGCCCCTTATAATTTTCTTTGTAAAAAAAGTTTATAGGCCAGGCGCGGTGGCTCATGCCTGTAGTCCCAGCACTTTGGGAAGCCAAGGCGGGCGAACCACGAGGTCAGGAGTTTGAGACCAGCCTGGCCAACATGGTGAAATCCTGTCTCTACTAAAATTACAAAATATTGGCCAGGTGTGGTGGCTCACACCTGTAATCCCAGCACTTTGGGAGGCCAAGGCAGGCAGATCACAAGGTCAGGAGATCAAGACCATCCTGGCTGACACGGTGAAACCCCATCTCTACTAAAAATACAAAAAAATTAGCCGGGCGTGGTGGCGGGTGCCTGTAGTCCCAGCTAGTTGGGAGGCTGAGGCAGGAGAATGGCATGAAGCCAGGAAGCAAAGCTTGCAGTGAGCAGAGATCACACCACTGCACTCTAGCCTGGGCGACAGAGCGAGGCTCCGTCTCAAAAAAAAAAAAAAAAAAAAAAAAAAGTACAAAAAATTAGCTGGGCGTAGTGGCGGGCGCCTGCAATCCCAGCTACTGAGGAGGCTGAGGCAGGAGAATTGCTTGAACCTGGGAGGCGGAGGTTGCAGTGAGCCAAGATCGAGCCACTGCACCTCCAGCCGGGTGACAGAGACTCCATCTCAAAAAAATAAAAATAGATAAAAATTATAAATATTTTTTAACCTATTTTAATTTTCCATTGCCCACTAGTAGTAAGTTTCACACATTTGGTTTTTCTTAATACTTTGATTCAATTGCTGCATGTGTGTTTCTTAACAAATTTGGAACATACCAATTATAATGGTGATAATTTATTTGAATTACAAGCCAACATCAAGTAAATGAGTTTAAATATATTGTCTTTAAAATACTTAGATTGTACTAAACTTTTCAGAATTAAGACAGTTAAACATTTTTGATGTGCCCTATAATTGTCTCATGGAATATGAATATTTTCTGGATGTCAGTTCTCAGAAAAAAATTCTGCTCTGGAGTTATTGTCCTAAATCTGAAACGCTATGGGCTTACTGAATTATCCTTATTGGAAAAATACTTTTTTTCTAGATTAAGGGTGTTTTTTTCTCTTTAATTATCTGGACATATGACTGACTTTTCATATGTTTTGTACAGAAAATGGTATATTCTAAAAGATTTTTGTCATTTTGTCTTAAAGCCTGTGTAATCTATAGCCTTAATGATTTCTTCCTTTTTGTGTCACATTGTAGGACGGCAGTGTCCGTGGGCTGATACCTCTGTAGTGTTTCCATGGTGATTTCAGAATTTGTTTTTTCTCCTCTTCATGCCCACTCTAGGGTTCTGATCCCACTGCATTCTCCGTCCTTACCCAAGCCATCACTGGCCAGGTGGGTTTTGTGGATGTGGAATTTTGCACTACCTGTGGAGAAAAGGGAGCAAGTAAAAGATGTTCAGTTTGCAAAATGGTAAGAATGGAGTTCTTTTTATTTCATTGACCTCTGGTTTAGATGCAGCCAAGCTGATGATTGAGTTTTAATATTCTGTAAGAGTGGACATTAGTTTTCTAATAAATTCTAGTAACGAAAATATTCTATTTAATACTTAAAAAGTAGTTTTGGAAAAGAATTAATAGGATCAATATAGTTCTTTACTGTGTCTGTCTTCTGCTAAACTGCCAGTCTTCCTTTGCCTCTTTGCTGATCACCTCATGGAAAGAAAGGATATGAATGAATGAATATGAGAAAATAAGAGAAAGGTTTTCCGTGGGGCACGAGACCAAGGCTGGTGCAGATGTGAAACCTAGAATAGGACAGTTCATAAATATACATTCTTTACTCTTCTGATGTTGACTTTAATGACAGTGTCTTCATCAACATATCCTTGTAAAACTATAGTTTCTGACTGTTACCAGTCTTTAATCCCTATGGACTGTACTGCCCCCTTCTGCCAGAATTATCTTTGTAAAAGGCATATCTGATTGTGTTGTTCTCATATCCAGATACTGGACACATGCATGTGTCCGTACATTCACTTAATCCCATAGGTAGCATCAACTGCCTGTTGACTTTAAGGTTGAAATTCTCCAGCATGTTGTATGAAACCCATTATAATCTGCTGTGACCTACTTCTTCAGCTTCATCTTGTTTAATGACTTACTTCTCTGAACCTGTTTCCTGAATTAAATGAAATTCCAGAATTAAATCAAACTATTTATATTGGTTAATTATTACTGCTTATAAAAACACACTCAAACTCAGTGCTTAAAATGATAATCATTTAGTCTTTCTCTCACAGTTGTGGTTGGCTGTTCTCAGCTGGGGCAGTTGTGCTCCATGTGACTCTCATCCTTCTTGTACTAGCAGGCTAGGCTGAGCATGTTGTCATGGCAATAGCAAAGGTACACATGGGCAGGTAGAAACACAGAAGACCTCTCAAGGACTAGCCTTGAAATTGCCATGTTGTTTCATGCTGTTGGTTGAAACAAATTACATGGCCCAATCTGAAGTCAAGTCTCCTCCCCTTCAGTGCAGAGAACTTTGAAATCATGTGAGAAAGTGTATGAATGCAAGGATGAATGAAGAATTGGGGCCAATAATACAATATATGTATAAGGGCCTACCACAGTGCTTGGCATACAGTAAGTGTTTAATAACATTCATTCCCATCTCCTTTCCACCCCTACTTGCAAAAATATAAGGCCATTTACAAAAACTTCTTGCTGTTCTTGAACATATCATTCACTTCCCTGTTCCTGCATTTTTGTACTAGATATTTTCTCCAGTTAGAATTCTTCTTTCCCATTTTTCTGTCTACCTCGACTCACCACAGCTAGAGTGAGTTGCTGCTTCCTCTATGCCTCCATCACTCTTACATCCTGTACTGTGTTAAGAAATTATGTATTTAGGTGCCTGCCTCTCTCCCTTCTTCCATATCTTTCTTTTTCTTGATGCTAGCTACCTTTGGGACAACTCTATCTTCCTTGTCATTGTACTGTACCAATTCTGGCACATAGCGGGTTCATAATAAGCTATTTGCTAAAGTCTTTGGTAGACTGTTTGTTATATATTCATTATTGTTTTAAAGTAAAGCTACAAACTATAAATCTAAATCAATACAAAGATACTGTGTTAGGCCGTTCTTACGTTGCTATAAAGAAATACTTGAGACTGGGTCATTTATAAAGAAAAGAGGTTTAATGGGCTCACGGTTCTGAAGGTATACAGGAAGCATGGCATGGGCATCTGCTCAGCTTCTGGTGAGGTCTCAGGAAGCCTTCAATTATGGTGGAAGGTGAAGGGGGAGCAGGCATGTCACATGGCAGGAGCTGGAGCAAGAGGAGGTGGGGGAGTTGCCACATACTTTTGAACAACCAGATCTTGTAAGAACTCACTCAGTATTGTGAGGACAGCACCAAGGGAAGGGTGCTAAACTGTTCATGAGAAAACCGCCCCCATGATCCTATCACCTCCCACTAGGCCCCACCTCCAACATTTGGGATCACAATTCAGTATGAGATTTAGAGGGGACAACATCCAAACTATATCAACCACATATTATGGTTTTAAAATAAAGTATGGAAAATGACATTTTTATAGCTTAGTTCTTGGTTTAGTCATAGTTAGGAAATCATACAACCCAAGCTCTGGAAATGAAAATAAACCAACAATTGCTTTCAGGTAATATATTGTGATCAAACCTGCCAGAAAACACACTGGTTTACTCATAAGAAAATCTGTAAGAATCTGAAGGACATTTACGAAAAGCAACAGTTGGAGGCTGCCAAAGAAAAGAGACAAGAGGAAAACCGTATGTATATAAAAACCGAGTTCACTCTGCTTTTTAGTGGAGAGAGAGATGATAGGTGATCTTAACACACTGAAACTGCGTCTTCTCTGGAAGCCATAGGAGCTCAGGAGTGACCGATGTAAGAATCACATTTAAATTTTAATGTGTCCCGTTTTTAAGTTCTTAGGATATAGTCAGCCTGGACATCACTGGAAAACAGAGACATCAAATTCTGAGGGATGTAGCTTATTTCATATTTTACATTCTAGCTTAGGTTACTGCCCTGGAACAATGGGACCCTTAATGGGTATTAACTTATATTCTGCTCATGAAGGATTTTAAAGTCTTTGAATAAGGGAATTAATTAAATTTCCACTAATGGCTACCAGAAGATTTTAAGGGTGGAAGCCTTTAAATTCCTTAATTAAATTTCAGAACTACAGGTGAAATTACAGAGTATATTTATAAATCATTCATTAAATTGCAGATCTAATATACAGATCAAATTTCTACAAGTGTCATAGCAGTGAATTTTGTATTTTTTTTTCTCCATCCCTCTTGAGGTTTTGTGACCCATTTTCATCAGAAATAGTGAGTTGCTTCAGCAGTGATTATCAGATTGGAGAGGAGAACTGCCCCCACCCTCATGCCTCATTCCAGAGAATGTATCATATGTTCTGGGGGAGTGCATGTAATTTGAAAAAGATGCCTCGGTTATTCTGATACCAGGCATTTCTGCCTCCATCTCTCAAGGAACCATATCCGCTTTACTACTGGGTTGAGATATACTCTCAGTGGAATTAAATGGTTTGTACACAATTAAACCATTTATCCTTAAGAGAATAGTCAGGCTTTCTGACTGCCATGCCTTCTCTTGTTTTCTTGACCAAACTTTTTTATTCTATGTGCTAAGGACAGAAAGTAACAAATGTTCATTACTAACACACTATTGAGGGAGAATAAGATTGTCAGTAGAATGGGCACTCCCAGTTGTTAAGCATCATTCATGCACCAAACACTGCTCTAAATGTTACAGACAACTTTATTCTTCACCAATGTAGGATAGCCTTTATTACCTGCATATTATAGACAAGGGAAACAACTTCATGCAGGCAATTACCTCTCCAAGGACATCAAATAAATTCACAGAAAAGCTGTATTCAAATACAGGCTTTGTCAAATCCCAAGCAACAATCTTGATTTAGAGATGGCTTTGGAGCCAGCGGCCTGAGTTCAAATGCTGGTTCTGCTGTTTCACTAGCCAGGAAACTTGCAGCAAGCTACCAAACCTCTCTCTTCTCAGTTTTCTCATTTGTAAAATAACGTTAGCGATGACAGTAGAGATACTAATATACCTCATGTAGTTGATAGGAAGATTAAATAATACATGTAAAGCATTGAGAAGAGTGTCTGACACATGGTAGGAACAAAATAACTTCTTCTTTTTTTAATCAGACGGCAAACTTGATGTCAATTCTAACTGTGTTAATGAAGAGCAACCAGAGGCTGAAGTAGGTATCTCTCAAAAGGATTCCAATCCTGAAGATTCCGGGGAAGGAAAGAAAGAATCTCTTGAAAGCGAAGCTGAGTTGGAAGGCTTACAGGATGCTCCTGCAGGGCCACAGGTGTCTGAGGAGTAAAAGCCAGAGCAAGTGCCAGTGTGGATGATCCTCACCCTGCAAGAAGCTGGAAAACTCCTAGGAATGCATTGTCCTCACCTTGTTATACCTGCGTGGCACCATGGCAGGATTCCACATTTCATAGAATACAGGTTTTCAAGCAAACCCCTGTTGACCATGCCCTAATTTCCTATTGATTTCTGTTCTATAATTGAATGGATATTCCTATGGAAAATTTTTTGTTTCAAAATACAGGAAAAACATTCCTATTACCTTTCTGAGGCTGGCTTTCCAGCAATTGTTTCAAAGGAAAATAGATCCCCTTAAAGAAAAAATACAGGCTTTAGGGAACAAAGGGACAAGCAGAACAGGTGTGGAAGAGAGATTTTCAGGAAGGGAAAAATTTATAGCTACAGAGGGTAGTTAGAAAAATCATAACTTATATGTGAATAAAATACATATAAGCAGCATTTACGGTAGTGGCATTCTACTTATTAAGATGCAATGAAATGAAGAAAGGCTTTATGTTCAAGGACCTTTGCCATAGTTCAGCTAATTGTAGTTTTATATAGAAATGATCCTGAACACTCTGAACTTGACGTAGTCCTGCGGTGATATTCTATCTGCAGTATTTGTACCTCCAGAATGGCAGATCCCTCAGCAGGAACAAAGGCATATTGACGGTTCTCTCAGCGTATGCATTAAAAAAGGTACTTCCTGAAACTTTTGATTCAATAATGACTAAACATACTATGTACACAATTACTGTAAGGCTAATTCACGTGCCATACTCCACCTGAAAGCCTGAGTTATCTTGCTATAAGCTTTTCATGGAGCACTTCCTTTCCAGAAACTGATTTGTAACTCATTTAGAGAATGTCCTGGCGTCGGTTTTTAGCATATGTGGTATTTAAACAGAGCTAGAATGTGATGTCTGAAGATAATGCTGCATTTCTGGGTTTCTTGTGTGGATTTTAAAATAAATTGTGCCTACAAATATAAACAACTCATCTTGTTTTATAATTTGCTGGGGAGTGGCAAATATTAGAGAAGTATTAGAGAACTTAAAAAATAATAGGGAACTTGACAAATATTGGAGAACAGCAAAGTAATAATTATTTTAATATGTACAATTGCAGAACAAAATGACTAGAATTCTCACCTCACTTTGCTGATCAAATTCTATCTTGTGGATTTTGTTTGTTTGTTGGTTTGTTTTTGTTTTGAAATGGAGTTTGGCTCTTGTCGCCCACACGGGAGTGAAATGGCACTATCTCAAGCTCACTGTGACCTCCGCCTCTCAGGTTCAAGTGACTCTCCTGCCTCAGCCTCCTGAGTAGCTGGGATTACAGGTGCCCGCCAACACGCCCAGTTAATTTTTGTACTTTTTTTTGTTTGTTTTGAGACAGAGTCTCACTCTGTTGTCCAGACTGGAGTGCGGTGGTGCAATCTCGGCTCACTGCAAGCTCTGCCTCCCCAGTTCACGCCAGCTAATTTTTTGCATTTTTAGTAGAGACGGGGTTTCATCATGTGAGCCAGGATGGTCTCAATCTCCTGACGTCGTGATCCACCCACTTCGGCCTCCCAAAGTGCTGGGATTACAGGCATAAGCCACTGCGCCCGGCCATTTTCGTGTTTTTAGTAGAGATGGGGTTTCACCATATTGGCCAGGCTAGTCTCACACTCCTGACCTTAGGTGATCCACCTGCCTCGGCTTCCCAAAACACTGGGATTACAGGCGTGAGCCACTGTGCCCGGCCTATCTTGTGGATTTTTATCTTCCTGACACTCCATTATTTTTTTCCTAGCCCAAACATATACCCTATACCACACACACCCTATACCATGCTGGCTCTAGGATGACTTTGAGTAAATTCAATGTTGAGGGTTAACTGGTTAGGAATTCAGCAAGCGAATTTAGACTGAATTTGTTAATCATGACAAGCCTCCCTCCGAAAAAAATAAAATCATTCATCCAAGTACTTCATCTATACACACACTGATGAACATTTATCTTTAGGTAGTAAAGGAGCCCTCCCAGCCCTCGCTCTCCCACTGACATGCTTTTTACCTGAGTTCCCGGATTTTAGTGATTTTTTATAATGTTTGTGTTACCATCAATTCTCCTTTTCTTCACCCCACTCTGTCACATGCTGTGGAGGACTCTGGCAAGAGGGCACGGCCCCTGTCTTTGCATACCATGGAGGGTTGTGGAAAAGCAGAAGAAATTGTCAGCCAGTAAACTGAGTTATTTCCCTGCTCTGCATTAGCTGCAAAAAAGAACATACATTTGGGGGAAAAAAGGCAGGCAGGTTTTATTCCTGGCCAGGAATGGAAAAGGAGAGAGCTCTTGCTCTAAAGACACCTTCCTCCCAAGCTGTGGGAAGCTGGGGAACTTTAAGGAGTTAGATGTTGGGTGGAAGATAGGTAAGCATATTCAGAGAGGAACTCCAGATGTACTGGCATACATCATAAACGTGTCTCCATACACCCCACGTTCAGAAAAGGCAGCGATTCTCCTCTGGGTGAGAAGCTTAGCATTATAATGATATGCTAATGATCTAAAGGTAGCAAGGAGTCTCTGCTTCTGGTTTGCTGAGTTTCACTCAGGCCTTATCTTCCTGTAGTAATTGGCGAAGGGTCCTGAAACTCCTGGACCACAAGGAGTCCTTTTAAGCAGGCTTAAAAGGACTTTAAGTAAAAGAGAATAGAAAAAAAGAAAGCTGTTTAAGAAAATAATGAGCTTCCTCAGCTGTATCTCCTGGACCGCCCTGGTAACAGAATTAGGAAAATAAATAGCAGTGGCAAAGTAGAGGTACTTTTCTCCTTTATTGTCATGAATTACTAAATGAATCAGAACTAACAGAGCTGGCATGAATAGGAACTTTAACATTGGACAAAGAGAAATTCAAGCATAAGCCATATCAATATCAAAAATTTCCTTAGATGTATGTTAAGAAAGGGGTGGTCAGAAAATGGGGTTGGTTCTGATTATCATAAATTATCTAAAACAGCATTTTCCATTATGATACCAACAGAACACATGGTCAACTTATTTTTTTCCCATGTTGAATTGCTTTCAATATACTATCAAAAAACTCTTCTCAAACAAAAATAGGACCTAAAGGATTTTGAATACTCTTACTATTCCAATACTTCTGGTACCTAGAGCTGATTGTAATGCAATATTGAATTGGCCAGTTAGTTTAAGAAATCAGATTCTGCTTTTTAATTCAGTAGATAATAATAATAGCTAACAGTGAAAGTTACTCTATCCCTGAAATAATTTTGTATAATATTCACAATGACCCTGTGAATTAGACTTTATCCAGTAGCACAGATGAGGAACTTTAAACAGGTTGCCTAATTTATCCAAAATTGTAGAGCTGGTGCTTGGCGAGGTCTGCAGTTTTAACTAGTACATTGTACATTCTTAACATGTTAACCTCACTGTAGTATCCCTGCAGCCAGAAGATCATACAGGGTTGAAGACAAGCTGTTATTTTACAGGGTGTAATGGATATTCCCAAGGCCCTTAAAAAAAAAAATCACTGTTTTTGCTCAACTTTCATATATATGAGTTTACTTGAGTGTTAATGTTATTGAGTATAAAACATCATAGAAATTCTCTCTCTCTCTCTCTCTTTTTTTTTTTTTTTTTTTTTTTTTTTTTTAGACAGAACCTCACTCTATCCCCCAGGCTGGAGTGCAGTGGCACAATCTCAACTCACTGCAACCTCCGCCTCCTGGGTTCAAGAGATTCTCGTGCCTCAGCCTCCTGAGTAGCTGGGACTATGGGCGCCTGCCACCATGATGGGATAATTTATGTATTTTTTTTAGTAGAGAAGGGGTTTCACTATGTTGGCCAGGCTGGTCTCAAACTCCTGACTTTAGGTGATCCGCCCACCTTGGCCTCCGAAAGTGCGGGGATTACAGGCATGAGCCACCACACCTGGCCAGAAATTCTTATAGTGGATATTCTTGCAGTGTTTTCATCTTCTGGGGATCCTGTCTCCCCCACTTCTGAAGCAAATTAGTGCCCTTCTTGAGTGGAAACTGGCTCTTCCCTTTTAGGTGGTTTTATGGTTGTTGCCAGCAGTGATTGGCCTCCTTGGTCACAATGAAGACAATCAGAGCAATTCCCAGAGATTTTTTTTCATTCCTGAAGTTGAAGAACGGGGGCTTTTATTATTTTTTTTATTTGTTTCTCCTTTGGAGAGATTGTAAAGTACAAGGATTTGGCTTCAGAACTGAGGCCATGACCCCTGACATGTGAAGGCACCTGAAAATGCAGTTATTAAATGGACACCAGCGAGACAGGGATACAGAGAGGAAACGCTTATTTGAGCTGTCGAATCCAGTGGGCTCTGACAGAGTCCACACTTGGGGTTTACAAGGTCTGCTTACATGAGCAAATACATTTCCCATTTGGATTTCTGTCACTTAGAACCAAAGAATCCTTATTAATAACATGGCAACTAGAAAACAAAAGCAAATTTCAAAAGTTAAATACATACAAATACAGGTAAAAGAAAAATGAAGGCATATAACTTGAATTTTATGATTATATTCTCTTAGAAAATTAACAATGGCAGTTCAAATTTCAAATTAGATTTAAGGACTAACCTCTGATTATTTATCTTGTCCAAATTCCTACCCAAGGGGTCTGGGGAGTCATGCCCTACAAATCATGGATTCTCATCAGATGGGTTTTATTTGACCCTGTATATTGTGACTCGCTTTTCAATCTGACTGTGGCATAACATTATGAGACAAGGAAAAAATATTTAACCGCAAAATATATTTTCCTTGCTATGCCTTGAAATTGCCCTGCGAAGTGTTTTGTGGAAAGGATCCACATTCTATAGAGAATCCCCTTCCCCCTTTGTTTTCCTTCCTTTCTTTCCAGATCCAGGAGATAATCAACTAAGAGCCAGGCACCCCTTTAGGTCTGATAAGAAACGTTTTACAACCTGCTCTCTCTCTCTCTGAAGTCTGCTATCTGAGAGATTCCTCCTCACAGCACAATAAAACTTGGTCTCCACAATCCTTTATCTGTAACCTGAACATTCCCTTCTATGGATCCCAGGTCTTTAGACAAACTCAACCAATTGTCAACCAGAAAATGTTTAAGTTTACCTATAGCCTGGAAGTTCCCGGCTTTGAGTTGTCCTGCCTTTCTGAACCAAACCAATGTATTTCTTAAATGTGTTTGATTGAGGTCTCATGCCTCTCTAAAATAAATAAAACCAAGCTGTGCCCCAACCACCTTGGGCACGTGGTCTCAGGACCTCCTGAGGGCTGTGTCACGGGCCATGTTCACTCATATTTGGCTTAGAATAAATCTCTTTAAATATTTTACAGAGTTTGACTCTTTGGGTTGACAGATTGCAGTTGTTTTTGTTGGAAAGAAAATGAACACAAAGTGTTTTTCCACCTATTTACAGATGTTTATTTTGAAAAAAAACTTTATTTAAAATTGGAATAGGGCATGTTTATGTAAACTTTGATAATATCGAAGCATCATTTCTATGGACAAAGACAATATCTTAATTTAGTAAAAAGAAATTTTCTTCTCTCATAATTATTTCAGTAGATGAGCAGATTTTTCCCCCAAAGGTAGCTCTAGCCTGGTTCGAAGTGCTGGTTGTATATATCCTTTAAAGTCCTTGTTTTATAAATAGCCAAAGGCAAATGGTGATCATACTTTGCATAGAATAAATCAGGTAGCTACATAATTGACCATTTCAGAGCAATGTAGCTAGCTAATTCAAGTACTCACACGAAACCACTTTATCTGATGATTCCAAATGGTTAAGATTTTAATGTGAAAAAAATAATCCCAGGAGAAACCATGAGAGAATTCTTTATGACTTTAGCATGAAGGAGGCCTTCATAACTATACTAAACCCAGAAACCACAAAAGGAAACATTCAGCTACATTTAAAACATAATCTGAATACTTCTGCTCCTGGGAAGGTGGAGTAGACACACTTTTCACTATTCTTCTCACTAAGGAAAGCTAAAACCCCAGAAAAAATGTATATAAAACAAATATAAGAAGACTGTGAAAGTTGGAGAGGAGGTAGACTGGCTAGGGATCCTGGACCCAGGGTTCCACGTAGCAACACCTGCTGAGTTCTCTGGGTTTTCTTCCTGCCTCATGTAGCCCAGACTTGGAGCTGAAGAAGCTGGAAACATGGAAACACCAACAGCTACAGACCAAAAAAAGTCCCAACAAAGGCCTGTCAGTCTGCCAGCCTGTTCTGTGGATTTCCAACTCAAGATTGCAGCATCAACTCACACCTGAAGTTCTGGCTTCCCTACAAACTTTGAACTTGCCAGTCCCCACAATGGCATAAGCCAATTCCTTAAAATGAATGTCTAGTTCTAGATAATGTGTGTATTCTACTGGTTCTGTTTCTCTGGAGAAGCCTACTAATAGATCATTTGTCTTAGTCAATTCAAGCTACTGTTACAGATTACCATAGACTGGGTGGTTAAAACTACAAATACTTATTACTCACAGTTTTGGAGTCTGGAAGTCTGAGATCAGGTTTCCAGCAGGATTGAGTTCTTGGTGAACATCCTCTTCCTGGTCTACAGAGTACTGTGTTACTTAAGTGGAAAAAGTAGGGTGAGCTGGTTCTCTGGCCTCTTCTTTTAGGGGACTAATTCATGAGGGCTCCACCCTCATGACCTATTTACCTCCCAAAGGCTCCATCTCCAAATACCATCACAATGGGGATTAGAATTCAACATAGGAGTTTTGGGAGGACACAAACATTCAGTCCATAACACCAAGTACAGTCCACAAGGAGCACAACTGCCCTTGGGATAAGAATAATAGTAATAGCTAACATATATGGAGTACTTAAAGAAAGACAGTCTACCTAGCACTTGACATACATTATCTAACTTAATCTCTGAGACTCTATGAGGTAACTACTATTATTGTTTTAAGTAAAAGGGTATCAAAACCTTGACAGGTCAACTAACTTTTCCAAGTAGCATCTAGTAAATGGAACAGCTAAGCTAGATTTGCTGGATTCCAAAGCCCCAGCTTTTAGCCAAACCCTCTGTAGATCTACATATCATTATTTTTTGTTTCCCAGTCATGAGAAATTCCATTGTAAATAAATATGCTTCCACTTGAGACAGTTTGAATGGTCATCTTGTTGTGTTGTTGTTATTGTTTTTTCTTTTCTCTCTTTCTCTCTCTCTCTCTTTTTTTTTTTTTTTTTTTTTTTTGAGAAAAGGTTTAGCTTTGTCACCCAGGATGGAGTGTAATGGCGCGATCTCAGCTCACTGCAACTTCTGCTTCCCAGGCTCAAGCAATCCTCCCACCTCAGCCTCCCAAGTAGTTGGAACTACAGGTGCATGCCACCATTCCCGGATTTAAATTTTTTTTTTTTTTTTTTTTTTTTTTTGGTAGAGACAGGGTTTCGCCATGTTGCCCAGGCTGGTCTCAGACTCCTGGGCTCAAACAATCCGCCTGCCTTAGCCTCCCAAAGTGCTGAAATTACAGGTGTGAGCCACCCATCCGGATCTCTTGTTTAAAGCAAAGAACTTAATTTAAAATACCCTCTCAATAATGATGTATTCCATTTTGGCAGAGGTTTAGGTAACTTAACGATCATGTCTTCTATTTTGTGTTTCTCCTGAAATGGTATTTCATACAATGTTTCCCATTCACAATAATGAAGGGCCACTCATTAGCCCTTTATTGTTGAATAACATATCCAGTATTGAGGAGTGCGTTCTAAAGCACATCTTTTTTTTCATGCAGGTGACACAGTTTTGTAAAAAGAAAAATAATTTCTACCTCTTACCAGATGAAGTAAAATTTCTTAGACATTTTTAAATTGGAGTAAATGTTTTATTTTCAGTAATTGTGGGATTAAGAATATAATATCAAAGACTACACATTTGAAAATGATTCTTTTAGTGGTTAATCAAGAGATTACATTAGCCCATCCTTAACTTACTTCAATCAGATTGAAAATTAATACTTCTTATGCAACTATGGGCCACCTTAAACCTGATGCCAAATATACTATTTCCATCATGAAATGGCTTGTTGCCACCCAATGTTATTGCTTGGTGGATCTGATAGTACTCAGTTCATGATGAGTAGCTTTGGTCAAACAGCTGCTTGGTCAAGGGTCAGACTTTCGGTTAGTAGTAAAATCTATGCAGCAGCATGCCCAGATGTGCTATTTAAACAGTGACTAGTTCTGTGCTGCAGATGGTGTGGCCTTGTTCAAGAACCCTTGAAACCACTGTGACTCTCCTCTCAGTGCTAGCTGGAGACTCCACCGAAGGACCCTGGATTACGGTGGGATATTGTATTAGTTATCTGTTGCTGTGGAACAAATTATCCCTAAATGCATCAGCTTGAAACAACAGTAAGCATTATCTCAGATGATTTCTGCAGGCCAGAAATCCAGAAGCAGCTCAACTGGGTGGTTCTGGTTTCAGATGTCTTTGGCTTGAAGGTACAGTGAAGCTTACAGCCAGCGCTGTAGTCATCTGCGAGTTTAACTGTGTCTGCAGTATACGTTGGCAGAAGGCCTTGCACTGTACTGGCTTTTGGAAAGAGACATCAGTTCCTCAGAATATGGACCACTCCAGAGGACTGCTTGAATGTTATAATGACATGGCAGTTGGATTCCCGCAATATAAGCGATCCAGGAGAGAAAGAGCAGTGCCAACCATAATTCCCAAAGATGCAATCCCGAATGCCATAATCCCAAATGTTATTACTTCTAAAGATCAAAATCCCTAAAGTTAAAAATCCCTAACATCTAAAACCCCCCAAATCACAATTAGTGCATTTACAGTTGTACACAGGATAGTGCAGCGTATTAGGCAGAACTATTACCTTGTTATTGTCCTTATTTGGAAATAAAGTGTGGTTTAAGGAGATGCATATGGATGCCAAGCTAACAAGGGGTACACTTGTGGACTTAATCTTAGGTGTCAATTTAACTGGATTAAGGAATGCCTAGCGACCTGGTAAAGCATTATTTTCAGTGTACCTGGGAATTTCCAGAGGAGATTAGTGTCTGAGTCTTAATGGATTGGGTGGGGAAGATCTGCCTTCAATGTTTCTAGTTTTTCAAAGGTCATCAAAGAAATGAAAATGCAAGCAAAAAATATGAGGCCGGGTGCGGTGGCTCACTCCTGTAATCCCAGCATTTTGGGAGGCTGAGGCGGACAGATCACTTGAGGTTAGGGGTTTGAGGCCAGCCTGGCCAACATGGTAAAACTCCATCTCTACTAAAAATACAAAAAGTAGCCGGGTGTGGGAATGTGTGCCTGTAATCCCAGCTTCTTGGAAGCCTGAGGCAGGAGAATCACTTGAACCTGGGAGGCAGAGGTTGCAGTGAGCTGACATTGGGCCACTACACTACAGCCTGGACAATAGAGCAAGACTCCATCTCAAAAAAAAAAAAAAAGAAATCTTTCCTGCCAGATTATTCAGTTGTGTACTACTCCTGCCCCTTCACACATAACACCATGCTTGCCTTTTTAAAAATACGCCCTTCATCAGAGAACGAAAAAAATTCAAGTTCAGAGATCTTCTGAACCAAAGATGTTTGCTGATTTTGAGATGCCTCCAGCATTACAAAAAATTAAGGGGTGAGCTATTCTTAGTTAGCGATTTGACTATTGAAGACGATAGACTTTTTCTATTGAAAATATAACATAGAAAAACTAGCAGATGCTTCACTTTGGCTCATGGATGTGTTGACCGAAATTAAGGCTGTTGAGGCAGAAATAATTTGATAAAAATTTATTGGAAACTGAATGTGAGGATGGACATGGGAAGACACCAACAAAGTTAGGCATGTTCCAAAGTCTGTTACAAGTTGGAATGCTTTTAGAAGGAATTTTATGAGAAGGGAGAGGGACTCCTCATATTGGACTTGTCCTTTTTCTTTGGAGGGTACAATACAGAGGTTAACATCATTGGCTACAGATGTCAACATACAGGCTTAAATGTTCTAGGTGCAAGACAATACAACTTCATAATTCAGAAACAAATCAGCAAAACCTTATGATTCAGAAACAAATCAGTGTCCTTGTCAATGTCAGTAAGTTATGCATTAATCAGTATATCAACAGTTTGAGGAACTCATGATAAGATTTGAGGGACTCACGTGAATCACAAGACTTTCCTCAGGCAGTTAATTTGGAAGGCTGCCAAATGTGACCTGTAAGTTATCAAATGGCATATTCAAAACTGTCCTCACTGTTTTTTAATCAGATAGGTACTATTCATGCCCCTATTGGATCTGAAAATTACAGAGCTTATCCATTCATTTATGTATTAATGACTTCAAAAAGTGAAGCACTTTACAAATGCTTATTTGAAGATTTGGTGGAGTTTGCAGAAAAAAAAAAAGAGGATTCCAACTAAATCCTCAAACCATAATGACAGATTTGGAATTAGGTATGATCAAGCCTTCTAAAAGTGAATTTCAAGGTGTTATCAATAAAGTTTGTTTTTTCCAATCAGCCCAATGCTTTGGCAAAAAAAAAAAAAATCAGATAAGTGGATTGGTCGCATAATACAGCAATGACAAAAACTTGAGTTTAGAAATTTGTCTGCGTTGGCATTCTTTCCAACTGTGAAATTCTAGGAGCTTTTAATAGCTTTCTCTGTGTTTGCCTGGAGAAGCCAGTAAAATTACTGACTTGTTCAAAAATAATTCTATGCACAGTAGGACAGGAAAACACTTACACAACAGTTTTCCTGTTCCATCACCAATATCATTTCTGCCAAATTAGTGGTCTGTCTATAAGTGCATACAGAACAGATTCTGAGCACTCCAAACAACATAGAAGCATGGTACAGAATATGGGAAAATTTAAAAGGGAATGCTCCTGTGAATGTATATTGAATCATAGAAGAATTTTAAAAAGAGCAGCACCACGTAGAAAATGAATGGGGGCAGGTGCATTATCATAGTTCACTGCAACCTCGACCTCCCTGGGCTCAGGTGATCCTCCTATCTCAGTCTCCCAAGTAGCTGGGACTAGAGGTATGGATTGAGCCGGGGAGGTAGAGACTGCAATGAGCTGTGATCCTGCCATTGCCCTCCAGCATGGGTGACAGAGGGAGACCCTGTCTCAGAGAGAGAGAGAGACAGACAGACAGACAGAGACAGGCTAAAAAGAAACTTTCTTTAAGTACAATTAATTGTGATCTTAATTACCTTTTACCTTTGCTCACTCCCACTTAGTTGTTTATTGTTATTATTGTTATTATTATTTTTGTTATTGTTTGTTATTATCATTGTTATTGTTTGCTGTTATTCATTTATTTATTTTTTTGAGACAAGATCTCACTCTGTTGCCCAGGCTCCAAGTCCTGGGCTTAAACAATCCTCCCACCTTGGTCTCCCAAACTGCTGGGATTATGTGAGCCATCATGCCCGGCCTGGTCATATTTTTGAGGTGTTGATTATTTCCAGTCCATGTTCCAGTCCGGATGCATAGTGATAATACAAGAATTGAAAACAAAAATTTTGAGACAGATGCATCTCACGAACCTGCCTCTCTTTTCTAGTGGTACAAGCCCCGCTGAGTGAAGTGCTCCTAATCTCTGATGATTTAAAATACTGTAGAAAGCATTGCGGTATTTAACTCTGTGCACTGAAGATTTTTTCTAGTCCTAGAATAGAGATCAATCTAGATGTATGGTCTCGATCAATCACAAGAGGATCAATAAGCTTTTTTCCTCATTCTACTTCCCTTTTTTGAAAGGGCCTTGATTTTCATTTGCTCCCTATAGACAGCAATTTGTCTGATTTTTTTTTTTTTTTTTTTTTTTTTTTTTTAGTATTCAGGGGGTACATGTGCTTGTTTGTTAAATGAGCATACTGCATTCTGGTGGGGAGTGGGCTTTTAGTGTACCTAATACCTACATAGCAAACACTGTATCCCACAGGTAATTTTCCATCCCTTGTCCCCCTCCCAGTCTCCTCACTTCTGGAGTCCCCGAGTATCTATGATTTCCATCTTTATGACCATGTGTACCCACTGTTTTGCTCCCACTTATAAGTGAGAACGTGCAATATTTGCTTTTCTGCTTTGGAGTTAGTTCATTGAGTATAATGGCCTCCAGCTCCATCCATGTTACTACTGTAAAAGGCATAAAATCATTCTTATAGCTGCATCATTGGAGAATTTTAACTTTTTTATTGGTTGGTTTTCCTTTCTCTCTCTCTCTCTTACTCTCTCTTTTTCTTTCTTTTTGCATCTCAGAGGACACAAACCAATGTTTGTTTTTTGAGACAGGGTCTCACTCTGTCACCCAAACTGCAGTGCAGTGGGAATGATCCTAGCTCACTACATCCTCAGACCTCCTGCCCCAGCCTCCCCAGCCTCCTGATGATATAGGTGTTAAGAAGAAATAACTTAGGCAGATAGTGAGAGTAAGGAAGTCCTCAGTAAGGTTTTCCTTTTAATGAAAAGCATCCCCAAATTATTTTATTTTCTAATAAAGAGCAGCCTGTAAAATCGAGCTGCAGACACAGACAAGCAAGCCAGAAGCTTGCAAGGGTGAATGCCGTTAGCTGTGCCAATAGGAAAAGGCCACCTGGGACTAGGAATGTTCAAAATGCTGGCTCCATCTCCCCTTTTCCTTTCCAACCACTTGTGCAGTAGGGAGCAGACAACATGGCACGGCCAAGTGGAAAGTCTATTTGCATAATAAGATTAGGGTGGGTTAGCCAGCTTCCCAAAGCACTATATAAATGTCACACCTGGTCCAACCAATCTGTGGGCCCTATGTAAATCAGACACCTCCTCCTCAAGCCTGTCTGTAAAATCCGGTGCACTCTGCCATGGGCTGGAAATCCCATTCGGAAGCCCCTCTCTCGCAAGACAGAGAGCTGTTCTCCTTTCTCTTTCTTCTGCCTATTAAACGTCTGCTCCTAAATCCACTTCTTGTGTCTGCCTACCGGATTTCCTTGGTGAGACAACGAACCCCAGGTATTTATCCCAGACAACGACATGGCTTCACTGAGCTGGGCTGGGTGTGAAGCCTGGGCCACCCACCCTGCCCGGATTTTATTTCTTTTTTAAGAATTGGGCTAACCCTCCACATGCTGTTGGTCAGGCTGGTCTCCCGGCTTTTTTTTTTTTTTTTTTTTTTTTTTGCTACTGCTACATAGCTGTTCTATGTAGGAGAAATCTGCCCTAACAAGGATAATCCTTGGAAATTTCCCTTTCAAATCTAGCATTTGCTTGTCAAATGATCATCTCATGTAAAAGGGAAAAGATTAAAAAAGACAAATATAAAAATATAAAAAAAAGAAGAATGAATGGAAACATATTGTACAAGGAGAGCCATGCCTAAAAGAAAAAAAAAAGCAGCTCTTCATCAAGATGCAATACTGATAGAGGTCGGATGCAGACAAATGCCTATGCAGATAAAGAAGGGTCCCTGGAGAATCTCTGCTCCACAAGTGTTTATGCCAGATGTTTTTGTGCAGATAAGGGAACCTGCACAGGGTCTTACCTGGGCATGCCCACAAGGAACTGGAGGCCCAAAAGCACTGTGGAATAGAGTGGAGCCACCAGGAATTCGCGCCTTACAGGTGGGAGGAGGCTGACCTCTTCAACTCATGTGTTGTGGCCTGGCATTCAATTTGTGAGGTGGAAACCTGCGTGCATGACCCCTCTTTTTGTTCAAAGCTTTCCTTTCACTTAATAAATTCTGGCCTCCTCACCTTTCAACATGTCTGCATGCCTAATTTTTCCTGGTTGTGAGACGAGAACCTGGATTTAGCTGAACTAAGGAGCAAAAACATCCTGCATCAACATTTCAAAATATAATTAAGAATTGGGGTTCTCTCCACCCGCCCCCGACACCTCGGGGCTCCCCCCGCCTGCCAATGGCAGGCCTGGCTTCCCGATCCCCCTCACTTCCCATGCTCTCCCGCGGGGCCCCAGCCCCGGCCCTTTCTCTCCCTCCCTTCCTTTTAATTCCTCTTCCGGACGCTGCTATCATGTTGAAGCCTCAGCCGCCACAACAGCTGTCCAAGCCCCAGTAGCCGCCCCCTACGCAACAGGCCATGCCTCCTACGCAGCTCCACCGCGACCTCCCGCAGCCTCCTCCGCCTGCCTGGGGCCTTCGGCTGCGGGGAGCGGGCTCCGCTGGGGAGCCGAAAGCATCTTGACCACGCAGCCGCCACCGCAGCAGCAGCACCACGAGAGGCCGGGGGCCGCTGCCATCGGCAGCGCCAGGGGACAGAGCACAGGAAAGGGACCTCCGCAGTCACCTGTGTTTGAAGGCGTCTACAACAATTCCAGAATGCTGCACTTCCTTACAGCTGTTGTGGGCTCCACTTGTGATGTAAAGGTGAAAAATGGCACCACCTATGAAGGTATCTTCAAGACGCTGAGCTCACATTTTGAACTAGCAGAGGATATTGTACACCAGAAAGCATCTGAGCCAGCAGCTGGCCCTCGTCGGGAGGACACTGTAGACACCATGGTGTTTAAGCCAAGTGATGTCATGCTTGTTCACTTCCGAAATGCTGACTTCAACTACGCTACTAAAGACAAGTTCACCGATTCAGCCATCGCCATGAACTCGAAGGGAATGGGGAACACAAAGAGAAGGTGCTTCAGCGCTGGGAGCGGGGTGACAGCAACAGCGACAACTACGACCTCGAGTCCAACATGTCCAATGGATGGGACCCCAATGAAATGTTCAAGTTCAATGAAGAGAACTACGGTGTGAAGACCACCTATGACAGCAGTCTTTCTCCTTATACGGTGCCCTTAGAAAAGGACAACTCGAAAGAGTTTCAGCTGTGAGAGCTGCGTGCAGCCCAGTTGGCTCCAGAGATTGAATCAAGCCCCCAGTACCACCTGCGGATCGCCATGGAGAGCGACGATGGGCGCACTGAAGAGGAGAAGCACAGGGCGGTCCAGCGGCAGGGCTCGGGGCGGGAGAGCCCCAGCTTGGCATCCAGGAAGGGGAAGTATATCATCCCTCTGCCTCAACGAGTCCAGGAAGGTCCCCGGGGAGGAGTTTGACGCAGCAGCCCTCTGGGCAGTCAGCCTGGCCTTAGCAATTTGTCACCTCGTGGCCCTCGCCATCTGGACAATAGCAATCCTGGCCCAGGTTCTGAGGCCCGTGGTATCAATGGAGGCCCTTCCCACATGTCCCCAAAGGCACAGAGGCCTCTGAGAGGTGCCAAGACTCTGTCTTCGCCCACTAATAGGCCTTCCGGAGAAACTTCTGTTCCTCCTCCTGCAGTGGGCCGGATGTATCCCCCGAGTTCTCCCAGGTCTGCTGCCCCTGCCCCAATCTCACCTTCCTGTCCTGAGCTTCCCATCGGCTTAGCAGTGCCAACCTCTTCAGCCTCCATCCCTGTGACCTCATCAGTCTCAGATCCTGGAATGGGCTACATTTCCTCAGCTTCTCCAAAGATCTCCCTGGCCCCCACAGATGTAAAAGAACTCTCTACCACGGAACCTGGGAGAACCCTGGATCCCCAGTAGCTGGCTCAGATAGCTGAGAAAGTCCCTGGTCTTCAGAATGAACAGAAACTATTCCATCTGGAAGAACTGAGAAAGTGTGGGGCCCAGTTTAATCTTCAGCCCAGTAGTTCCCCTGAGAACAGCCTGGATCCTTTTCCTCCCTGGACCTTAAAGGAGGAGGCCAAAGGAAAGGAGAAGGAGGATGATGGTCTGTTGACTTCAGAGCCCATGGGGTCCCCCGTCTCCTCCAAGACAGAGTCTGTATCGGATAAGGAGGACAAACCACCCCTGGCACCAGCAGGAGGCACTGAGGGGCCAGAGCCGCCCCCACCACCTTGCCCAAGCCAAACCGGCAGCCTCCCCTTTGGCCTCATCAAAGGAGAGGACAAGGATGAGGGCCCTATTGCTGAACAAGAAATCAACGTTGAACCCCAATACCAAGGAGTTCAATCCCACAAAGCCTCTGCTGTCTGTGAATAAATCCACCAGTATCCCAACTTCTCCAGGGCCTCAGACTCATTCAACTCCCTCTATCCCAGTGCTGACGGCAGGCCAGAGTGGGCTATACAGCACCCAGTACATCTCCTACACACCTCAGATCCAGATGGGACCAGCTGTGCAGGCACCTCAGATGTATCCATACCCTGTATCCAATTCAGTGTCTGGGCAGCAGGGCAAGTACTGGGGAGCAAAAGGCTCCCTGCTACCACAGCTCTGGGACCAACACCAGCCAGCCTCAGCCCCGCCACGGTGGCTGCTGGCTCACCTCTGGTGGCTGCCACGCCCTATTCTTCCTACATCCCCTACAACCCTCAGCAGCTCCCAGGCCCACCTGCCATGATGCAGCCCATGGCCCACTATCCCTCATAGCCGGTGTTTGCTCCCATGCTTCAAAGCAACCCACGCATGCTGATGTTGGGCAGCCATCCCCAGGTCATCGTGTCATCCTCCACCCCTCAGTACCCTTCTGTGGAGCAGCCCACCCCCCAAGCCCTTTATGTCACTGCTCACCAGGCTTACCCAAACTATGCCACACAGCTTCATGCCCACCAGCTGCAGCCGGCTATCACACCTACTGGGAACCAGCCTGCAGCCCCCAGTCCTGTCCAGCATCAGGCGGGGGTGGCTCCACACCTGGGCAGTGGACAGCCACAGCAGAATCTGTACCACCCAGGGGCCCTGACAGGCATGCTGCCCTCTCTGCCACCGGGACCTTCTGCCCAGTCCCCTCAGAGCGGTTTCCCCCAGCCAGCCACTGTGTATGCCATCCACCACAAGCAGCTGCCCCACGGCTTCACCAACATGGCCCATGTTCCCCAGGCCCATGTCCAAACTGGAATCACAGCAGCCCCACTCGCCCCAGGTGATGCTGCTGCACCCACCCCAGAGTCATGGGCACCCCCCCGCAAAGTGCAGTGCCCCAGAGTGGGGTGCCTGCATTCTCAGCTTCCACACCCTTACCCTACCCCTACATTGGACACCCCCAAGCTCTCAGTGACCCCGACTGTCTCCTGACTTACTGGTGGAGTTCAATCTTATCCCTCCCAGCAGCTCCCCTTCCACTCCACCGGGGAACTGAAGATTTTCCTGGCCGCGATCTGAGACCTCCATGAGTGGAGAGAAGAATGGTCTATGTCTCTTCCCCCAGCAGCTCAGACTACTCCCAGCTCCCCATCCCCCCTTTCCCCAGGGGAGCTGGGGAATTCCTGCCAAGCACCTTGAATAGGAGGGGCCTACAGAGGGCAGCGCCAGGGTCCAGCGGGGTTGAGGGGTTCCTGCTCTGCCCCTGCCTGTCCCCACCCAGTACTGCCCTCCCATCCTCTCATCTATTTCCCTGCTGGACACAGAAGATCTTTTATTTTCTATTATTTATAACCTGAGACTTAGGCCCCCTGTTCTTTATTTCCCATTAACTTGAGTGACCTGTGTGAGAGACAGACAGATGCCCCATGAGGATGGCTGGACAAGAACTTTTACTTTTTATTACATAAAAATATTAAAAGTAAATAAATATATAAAATTTTAAATAATTGTGAAAGTCAGCCAACTCTTATGGCCTAGTTCATCCCAATAGCTTATAACCTATTCCCATAATATACTTTTTCATATGTACAGTTATCTTTTTAGTTTTTTGTCCACGATTTTAAATTGTGAGCATTACTTTTTGTAATTTGCTAACTTATACCTCCATTTCCAATACAGGAATTATGTCAAGACTTAGAGTTATAATTTGTTTTATACATTTTTCAAAAATCTGACTTCACAAAAGTATATTTTTGCAACACTGATTTTGTGTGTAAGCTTTGTGTGTGTGTGCATGAAAACATTGAAACTTCCTCAATAAATGAAGAGATGTCCTTTTTGGATGTCTGCATTTGTGATATACATTTTGCTTTTTGACCTATTTCTTTATGAATATGGTTTGTTTGCTCATAACTGTTATTTACACCTGTGCAACTGTCGTTAGTATACCTGAGTGCTTATGCTTGCAAAAATGTGTATGTCATTATTGCCTATTTTATTGTATAAAGTGGCCTACAAAATGTTCTGTAGATATAATGTTTCTCAAACAAATCCGTTTTAAAAAATGTAAACAAATGTCTTTTAATTTTTTTTTAAATTATTTTTTCCAGAATTACATTTTTGGGACTATGTCTTTTGTCTTTTGGATTATCGCCCAAGCCCGAGCAAGGGAATGCCTCAATTCTTTCTATCACCTAATCTTGGAAGCCACACACAACTACTTTTGTCATGATACCAGCCACTCACCTACATGAATGGTCAAATGTTTGCTTTTTCTTTATTCTAGCTGCAACCTTTTTCCAGGGAACATATCTGAATTTTTAGACTCTGGCCGTGCACAGAATGATAAGTGCCCACAGGTGAATGGAGGCTGTAGATTCTCAATGTCAATTCACTATTCCTTCTAGGCCTTCGTCTCCTGCCTAGTTTGATTCCAGTCCACTTCTACAGTGTGTCTGTGTTTCCCAAGCACCATCAGCTAGAGGGAGATGTCACTCTGCCCTTTGTAAGCCTTTTATCTAGCTCCTTAGGGAAAATCAGTAATGAATTTGAGTTACCTCCAATGTCCACTTTTGTCACTCAGTACTAGGCAACTGCTAAAAGCATTTGGATTTTTTTTTTTCCCTGAGGAGCAAGTTTCTGGCTACACCAAACCCAGACTGTTAGCCAGAACTGGCAAATATCTCCAGAGATGAGAGTCAAAAATAGTACACCAGATAAGTTAATTGTGTTATAGTCTTACAATGAAATATTATATAGCAGTAAGAATGATAGAATCATTGCTTCTAGCAACAACATGGATGTATCTTACAACGTCAAGTGAAAAAAGCCAGACACAAAATATTCATGTTCTATGATTCCATTTATATGCCTTTTGAAATCAGACATGGTAATTTATTGTCTAGAAATCAGGACAATGATTACTTTGGAAGGGTGAGTAGTGACTGGTACAGGAAGGAGGGAGTTTCAGAGTCCTGATAATGTTCTATTTCTTGATCTAGCATGCCAGTTACATAAACATGTTCAATTTTTGAAAATTCATTGAGCTGAACACTTATGAATTTTATACATTTCTGTACACAATTTTACTTAAACAACTTTACATTTAAAAACCTAAAATGTAGGAATTATTTTTCATTATTGGTGTTTCTGTTTACATTTAGATGTCTCAAATAATATCATTGTAAGTATGTAATATGCTAAGTCACAGGGAAGTTTAATATACAACTGAAAACCACTAAGATATCTAGAAATACCAGGGCTTATCTCAGTGTAACTGTGAGCATTTGAGCTGTTTCTGTGCCTTCCTCTTCAAGGTACCTTTCCTCTCGTGTTGGAACTGTGTCCCAGTTCATAGAGGTCAAAGTCATCACTGATCTCTTCATGGACCTCACAAAAACAGCATCTTCTGGGTCATCAAGCACAGTTCTGCAAAAAAAAAGCAATTATGTCAGAAAAAAAGCAATCAAAAATGAAAATTTGACCAAAATGAAATTTTTATTCAAATGAATCAATGCCATGTTTTTCTGTGTTATTTGTAGTATAGTACCACTAACAAATAATTTGCGGGCTCCACTGACAAATGACTTTCAGGCTAAGTGACACTATTTTTATTGTATATATTGTTTATTTTATAAATAAAGTATCTGAACATATTTGGGGATCAACTATTACAGTTTAGATCTCACATACTCATGCAGTCATGTTTTAAAACCAGTTAAATGAGATGGTTAAAATATTTATAGATCTATGCATATTATTATTGTAAGTTCATTGTATTGCTAAGTTTTTTTCTACATTATGCCATATTTTATAAATGTACATGGAGATAATATTCAATACTGTATCCAAAGAAAAACATCTTAAGTGAAAAAATAAAAAAAGAATGATGACTCTAAATTCATCAGTATTCATGAATTTGAAAAGTCTTCCATAGTATTAGTGAGGTGCTTGCTTTTGGAAATGTAAATTCCAATGAATATAAAATGTTAATCTACATGATAACTGCTATGACTGAACATATTTAGAGAATAGCTAAACAAGGAATATAAAACCCCACTTTCAGAATAGCTAATAGTTAAGGTTTATTTTTTATTTTTTTATTTTTTGAAACAGAGTCTCACTCTGTCACCCAGGCTGGAGTTCAGTGGCATGATTTAGGCTCACTGCAACTTCTGCCTCCTGGGTTCAAGTGATTTTCCTGCCTCAGTCTCCTGAGTAGCTGGGATTATAGGCGCCTGCCACCATGCCAGGCCAATATTTTGTATTTTTAGTAGAGGCAGGTTTTCACCATGTTTGCCAGGCTGGTCTCGAACTCCTGACCTGAGGTGATCCACCCACCATGGCCTCCCAAAGTACAGGGATTACAGGCATGAGCCACTGCGCCTGGCGAGGTTTATTTTTTTAAGCATCAAATTATCTTTTTGCTTATTTAGGACTTTGATAGTAATATTAAAAGCCCAAATATGTCAAATATTAATACAGAGCTTGAACTCATTTATCACAGAAAGACCTAGCAATTTTTCTCATCTATTGAAGAGTGAGTCATTTTTTAATTCATTAAAATCTATTTTAGGAAATGGAGATGAAGTAAAGGGACAACACAATTATGAAATAATCTGATAATAAATGTATAGATAAAATTACTTACTTGTCTACATTATTTGCAAATGCAAAATCTAAAAAAAAAATACATTTTAAAGTTAGTATTTTAAAATATTTATCCAGCATTTAAAAACAGTGGAACAATGCTATAAAGGAAAAGTATAAAGCAGGGCTTTCTGTTTTCAAGTTATTCTTTACGCAAATAGTTCAATCTGTCAAAAATGCCTTTTTATCTAACTCCAAAGCAAAACTTTCTCTTAGATATAGTGGGTTTTGCCTTAGGTTTTGGGGCAAATTTTTTTAATACAATACAAATCTCAAAACCCTGAGAACAGAAAGCTTAGTCAATTTATAATGTACCAATGGAATCCAAGTGGGAATTTTTATAATTAAGATATTGAGGCTGATATGCAGAAACCTATCCCTTTTCTTCCGAAAGGCACATGCATCTATAAATGGACTAACAGTCCAAATGAGGGGAAATATTTAGGAACATTTCAACCATTTGGATTCTTAGCATTAACTTTAAAGAAACGGAATAAACAAATACTAGATCACAAGAATCTAGATCTTCCTAGCTTTGAAGCTCCAAGACTAGTCCTCAAAACCTGGATTTCTTACGGTGTCTTCCAGAGACTGTCACTGCTTTGTTGATTTCCCTCCGGAAAGCCTAGGGCCCGTACAGAGATGGATTTTACTAGCACCTGTTGTGCCAGAGAAGCCCACAGTATCACCTCTTGCCATTCCACAAGCAGCAGCGACCACAAAGCCTCTCTGCCTTTGAATTCATAGCATTATTCCCTTCACAAGTGGCTAACGAAAGTCTCTCATGCGTTTCTGATCATCCTAGGCTCTTTCTTTTTCTACATTTTTCTCCCAGCTTTAGTGGTATAATTGACAAATAAAAACTGTATATATTTAAGGTGTACGACTTGATGTTTTAATATACGTATTCATTGTGAAATAATCATCACACTCAATCTAATTAACATATTCATCAGCCAGACAGTTGCCATTTTTTGTGTATACGTGGTGAGAACACTTAAGATCTACTCTCTTAGTAAACTTCAAGTATACAATACGGCTAACTATAGTCACATCATATAAGATCTTTAGAATTTATTCATTTGTGTAATATAATTTAAACTTTGTACCTTTTGACTAACATCTCCCCATTTCCCCTTCCCCACAGCACCTGGCAATCACCATTCTACTCTCTGCTTCTATGAGTTTGACTATTTTAGATTCCATATATAAGTGGGATCATGCAGTATTTGTTCTTCTGTGTCTGTCTTATTTCATTTAGTATAACGCTCTCCAGTGTCATCCATATTGTCAAAAAATGACAGGATTTCCCTGTTCTCGTCTTCATTTTTAATTACAAAAAGCGCATACTTTACTTACAATGAATATAAACAATAAAGAAAATAGTGAGTAAAAAGGGAAATTTCCACTTCCTCTTATTACTATTAAGTATCACTATTAAAAGTTTTGTATGTATGTTTCCAGCCTATATGTCACACGTGTACTCACACACATACATGTATATATACATAGAGATTTGTTTGTTGACAAAATTCTAATTTTGTTATTACTCATAGTATACTATTTTTTCAATGTGTGTGGTTTTGTTTTTTGTTTTCGTTTTGTTTTTGTTTGAGATGGAGTCTCACTCTGTTGCCCAGGCTGGAGTGCAGTGGCACGATCTCGGCTCACTGCAACCTCTGCCTCACTGCAACCTCTGCCTCCTGGGTTCAAGCGATTCTCCTGCCTTAGCCTCCTGAGTAGCTGGGATTACAGGCGCCTGCTACCACGCCTGGCTAATTTTTGTATTTTTAATAGAGACGGGGTTTCACCATGTTAGCCAGGCTGGTCTCAAACTTCTGACATCAGGTGATCTGCCCGCCTTGCCAAGGTGTTTTTAATACCTCCAAATATATTATGGATTAATTCTATAATGGAATAGTTTGTATTATACAAATGTGCCATAGTCTATTTAACATTCTCCTATGAATGACCATTTAAATTGTTTCTACTACTTTTGCTATTATAAAAAATGTTGCAACATGCAGCCTTATACCTATATATTTTTTCTTTGTCCATATGTGCAAGCACTTCTGTAGGGGAGAGATCAAATTTAGTTGCTGTGTCAAATGGTTTGCACATTTTATATGTTGGTGGATACTGCCATATGGTCATCCAAGAGAGTTGAACGAGTTTACATTCCCATCAATAACATGAATTGTGCTCGTTCCCCCCTCATCTTTAACAACCCTTTAAAACTTCTGCCTACTTGTTGGATGAAAATGGTATCTCATTGTTTTTATTTCCATTTATTTGATCGTTAGTGAAGCTGATCATTATTTACATTTCTTTCTTTGTATATATGTCTTGTCCATGTCGTTTATTTTGTTTTCTACTGGGATTTTTAAATTGACTTGGAGATGTCCTTTAGAAATTATGAGTGTTAACTTCTGCCTATTATATATGTTATAAAGACTTCCTCCAATTTTGCATTTTAATTTTCTTCCTATATGATGCTTTTTATTTTTAATTATTATGATACATACTAGTTGTACATATTTATGGGATACATATAATTGTTTTTCATTTTCATGTAGTTAAATCTGTCAACATTTCTCTTTGATGCCCTCTGAGTTTTGTGTGAGGCTTTGATTGGCCTTCACTTTGGGATTATGAAAGTATTTTCTTCCAGAACTTCCTGATTTCATTTACATTTAGATATTCAATCTCTCTGGAATCTATTTTTGTATATGGTATCTCCCTTAGAAAGTAATTCTAGTTTATCTCTTTGGCCCAGGGCTACTTTATGGCACAATTCTTGGGGGGCCTCAGTAAATGTTTTCTGTGCAAAGAGTGTCCACTGGAGTTATGCAACATGGAAGCTCTGTTGACTGCTGATTTTTCCCTTCACAAATTCTTGTACACAACTCCCTCAGTTGCTCAGCCCTATGCCAAACAATCTCTAGATCTCACATTGACCTCTAATACCTACCTGAACCTTCATGCATAGGTAGCAGTTGGCATTTACTCTTCTGGGTGTGCCTGATATGTCATAGCTACCCAAAGTCAGAAATGTCTTCAAGACTTGATTTCCTGAGCCGTTGATCTCCCAGCTCATACCTTTCAATTATCTGTTTTCTCTGGATTGTGTCCTGCCTTGTCTGTACTGGTGCACTCTTTGGTGAATTGCTGTTTGTTAAATAGTCTGCCTGGTCTTCCTTTTTGGCCTTACCCTTCTGTCTTCCCTAGTAGTACATGCCTCACCTGCCAGGCCCAGGCTCTGTGACACTATACCCCAGCTTGGGCTCAGCACCTGGAGCTCTGTCTTGAGCAAACATGGTGGAAATCTGGCAGCTTCACTTTTGGACCACTAATGGACATTTTAAAAGCTTGTTGGTATTTTATTTTAAATACCCCTTAATGTCTTTCTACATTTACATATAGGTAATTGGTGAAAAATCTGCAAATCAGGTTCTTAAAGCCAGGTAGAAGCCCAAAGTGTTTTGGTTCTGAGAATATTGGCTATCATGCAATAAAACCCAGAGACAGTAATGAAAATTGGTACAACCCTTTTAACCATACTTATTTGATAAGGACTGATAGATGGGACTTGAAGAAAACTTAAAATTGATCTTGCTTCTCAAGATATTAGAAATATAATTGGTTTCTTAACTTCAGATGAAGGATAATAAAATCAAAATGTGGCTTTACAATTGCCTCATAAACATTTTTAAGTGTAGTTTCTTTCCAATAAAATAATTCATATTTCTCTTAGAATTACTCTTATAATTTTTTAGAATGTCACCATAAGGTAAGATTTATAAAAAAACAAATATAGAAGCTGCAAAACTATATGGATAAATTTTAAAAATTTACATAGCGCGTTTTATTAGTTTTATTACAAATGTTTGCTTAATTAAGATATGCTAAAATAAGCCATACTCTGGGCTAAAAATACTTTTTAGTTGCTATGATATAGCGGCCTTTTGTGGAAAATGAGTAGATTTATAATAATTGTCCTATCGATTATTAGAGGCTTTAGTCAACATATCTTTTAATTAAGAAGAAAAAGTTTCAAATGCAATAAAATACTCTCCCTATCTTTTCTGCTCCTGATTTTGTTTTTGGAGGTTCAATATGAAAAGGAGTAAAGAGAATTTAAAAAGGATTATAGTTCTTCCAGCAATCTGGTTAAACAAAAGAAATGTAGATCCCTAAAGGTAGGGATCACACCAATAATAATTATAGCACTGAAAAATAGATTGTGGGGGCTGACCTTGCATTGTTTGTTATTGTGTGCATTCGCTGTTTTTAAGAGGGGAGATTTTCTATCTAAAGACTCCTTTCCTACCACAGCATGGTCTACTCCAATAACATTCCATTTGGGCCATCACCTCTCACATGAAGTAAAAGGAAGGACTTTTACATAAACCAAGGAAGTGGCTGATTAACACAATAGTTCAACTTATTGTACACTTGGTATGTGTCAGATCAAGTATCTCAATGTTTTACATATCAAGCATAACAGTCAAAGCAAGATATTATACTCATTTTAAAAATCAGAAATCTAAAGCAAATGTCCAAAATAAAACTTATAATTATTAGCAGATCTGGTATTCAAACCCAAGGGAGTCTAATCCCACACTGGTACTACCACCTCTCTATTGGTTGATCTCTGACTTGAGTGTACATCAGAATCATCTGAAGGGCTTTATAAAACACAGCTTCTCAGGTCCCACACTTGTTTCTAGTTTAGTAAATCTGGTTTGGGGCAAGAATTGGTAACAAGTTTCTAAGTGATATTGATGCTGCTGGATTGGGGACCATACCCTTGTTGATGAAAAGGGTCAAACTCTGTAAAATATTTGAAGGGATTTATTCTGAGCCAAATATGAGTGACCGATGGCCTATCACACAGCCCTCAGGAGATCCTGAGAACATGTGCCCAAGGTGGTTGGGTCACAGCCTGCTCCCTCCCTCCCTCCCTCCCTCCTTTTCTTTCTTTTTCTGAGACAGAGTCTTACTCTGTCACGCAGGCTAAAGTGCAGTGATGCGATCTCACCTCACTGCAACCTCCAACTCCCGGGTCCAACCGATTGTCCTGCCTCAGCCTCCCAAGTAGCTGGAATTACAGGTGCCCGCCATCATGCCTGGCTAAGTTTGTGTTTTTAGTAGAGACGGGGTTTAACCATATTGGCCAGGCTGGTCTGAAACTCCTGACCTCAAATTATCCGCCTGCCTTGGACTCCCAAAGTGCTGGGATTACAAGCGTGAGCCACCATGCCTGGTGAGTTAGACAAGTATAAAATATATATATATATATTTTATTATACTTTAAGTTTTAGGATATATGTGCAGGACGTGCAGGCTTGTTACATAGGTACACATGTGCCATGATGGTTTGCTGCACCCGTCAACCCATCAGTTACTTTAGGTATTTCTCCTAATGCTATCCCTCCCCCAGCCCTCCAGCCCCCGACAGGCCCCAGTGTGTGATGTTCCTCTCCCTGCGTCCATGTGTTCTCATTGTTCAACTCCCACTTATGAGTGAGAACATGCAGTGTTTGGTTTTCTGTTCCTGTGTTAGTTTACTCAGAATGATGGTTTCCAGCTTCATCCACATCCCTGCAAAGGACATGAACTCATCCTTTTTATGGCTGCATAGTATTCCATGGTGTATATGTGCCACATTTTCTTTATCCAGTCTATCATTGATGGGCATTTGGGTTGGTTCCAAGTCTCTGCTATTGTAAATAGTGCTGCAATAAACATATGTGTGCATGTGTCTTTATAGTAGAATGATTTATAATCCTTTGGGTATATACCCAGTAATGGGATTGCTGGGTCAAATTGTATTTCTGGTTCTAGATCCTTGAGGAATCGCCACATTGTCTTCCACAATGGTTGAACTAATTTACACTGCCCCAAGAGTGTAAAAGCATTACTATTTCTCCACATCCTCTCCAGTATCTGTTGTTTCCTGACTTTTTAATGATTGCCATTCTAACTGGCATGAGTTGGTATCTCATTGTTGTTTTTATTTGCATTTCTCTAATAACCAGTGATGATGAGCTTTTTTTCGTATGTTTGTTGGCTGCATAAATGTTTTCTTTTGAGAAGTGCCTGTTCATATGCTTCACTCACTTTTTGATGAGGTTGTGTTTTTCTTGCAAATTTGTTTCAGTTCCTTGTAGATTCCGGATATTAGCCCTTCATCAGATGGATGGATTGAAAAAATTTTCTCCTATTCTGTAGGTTGCCTATTCACTCTGATGACAGTTTCTTTTGCTGTGCAGAAGCTCTTTAGTTTAATTAGATCCCATTTGTCAATATTGGCTTTGGTTTCCATTGCTTTTGGTGTTTTAGTCATGAAGTCTTTGCCCATGCCTATGTCCTGAATGGTATTGCCTAAGTTTTCTTTTAGGGTTTTATGGTTTTAGGTCTCACATTTAAGTCTCTAATCCATCTTGAGTTAATTTTTGTATAAAGTGTAAGGAAGAGGTCCAGTTTCAGTTTTCTGCATATGGCTAGCCAGTTTTCCCAACACCACTTATTAAATAGGGAATCCTTTCCCCATTGCTTGTGTTTGTCAGGTTTGTCAAAGATCAGATGGTTGTAGATGTGTGGCATTATTTCTGAGGCCTCTGTTCTGTTACATTGGTCTATATATCTGTTTTGGTACAAGTACCATGCTGTTTTGGTTACTGTAGGCATGTTGTATAGTTTGAAATCAGGCAGTGTGTTGCCTCCAGCTTTGTTCTTTTTGCTTAGAATTGTCTTGGCTATACAGGCTCTTTTTTGGTTCCATATGAAAT
Organism: Homo sapiens; assembly: GCF_000001405.40. Lineage (NCBI taxonomy): Eukaryota > Metazoa > Chordata > Mammalia > Primates > Hominidae > Homo > Homo sapiens. The sequence continues at coordinate 16,573,308 of NC_000007.14, read as the reverse complement.
TTAAAGTAGTTTTTTTCCAATTCTGTGAAGAAAGTCAATGGTAGCTTGATGAGGATAGCATTGAATCTGTAAATTACTTTGGGCAGTATGGCCATTTTCACGATAGTGATTCTTCCTATCCATGAACATGGAATGTTTTTCCATTTGTTTGTGTCTTCTCTTATTTCCTTGAGCAGTGGTTTATAGTTCTCCTTGAAGAGGTCCTTCACATCCCTTATAATTTGTATTCCTAGGTATTTTATTCTCTTTGTAGCAATTGTGAATGGGAGTCACTCATGATTTGGCTCTCTGTTTGTCTATTATTGGTGTATAGGAATGCTTGTGATTTTTGCACATTGGTTTTGTGTCCTGAGACTTTGCTGAAGTTGTTTATCAGCTTAAGGAGATTTTGGGCTGAGACAATGGGGTTTTCTAAATATGTAATCATGTCATCTGCAAGCAGAGACAGTTTGACTTCCTCTCTTCCTATTTGAATACATTTTATTTCTTTCTCTTGCCTGATTACCCTGGCCAGAACTTTCAATACTATGTTGAATAGGAGTGGTGAGAGAGGGCATCCTTGTCTTGTGCCAGTTTTCAAAGGGAATGCTTCCAGTTTTTGCCCATTCAGTATGATATTGGCTGTGGGTCTGTCATAAATAGCTCTTATTATTTTGATATATGTTCCTTCAATACCTAGTTTATTGAGGATTTTTAGCATGAAGGGGTGTTGAATTTTATTGAAGGCCTTTTTGCATCTATTGAGATAATCATGTGGTTTTTGTCATTGGTTCTGTTTATGCGATGGATTACATTTATTGATTTGCATATGTTGAACCAGCCTTGCATCCCAAGGATGAAGCTGGCTTGATCATGGTGGATAAGCTTTTTGATGTGCTGCTGGATTCAGTTTGCCAGTATTTTATTGAGGATTTTTGCACTGATGTTCGTCAGGGATATTGGCCTGGAATTTTTTGTTGTTGTGTCTCTGCCAGGTTTTGGTATCAGGATGATGCTGGCCTCATAAAATGAGTTAGGGTGGAGTTCCTCTTTTTCTATGGTTTAAAATAGTTCCAGAAGGAATGGTACTAGCTCCTCTTTGTACCTCTGGTAGAACTCAGCTGTGAATACATCTGGTCCTGGGCTTTTGTGGTTGGCAGGCTATTAATTACTGCCTCAATTTCAGAACTTGTTATTGGTCTGTTCAGGGATTTGAGTTCTTCCTGGTTTAGTCCTGAAGTCTGAACTTCCTGGCGGCTTTGTTAACACTGTGAGGGGAAAACCACCTACTCAAGCTTCTGTTTTGGCAGATGCCCCTCCCCCCACCAAGCTCGGGCGACCCAGGTCGACTTCAGACTGTTGTGCTGGCAAGGAGAATTTCAAGCCAGTGGATCTTAGCTTGCTGGGCTCTGTCGGGGTGGGATCCGCTGAGCTAGACCACTTGGCTCCTTGGCTTCAGACTCCTTTTTAGGGGACTGAACAGTTCTGTCTCTCTGGCATTCCAGGTGCCACTGGGGTATGAAAAAAGACCTCCTGCATCTAACTCGGTGTCTGCCCAAATGGCCGCCCAGTTTTGTGCTTGAAACCCAGGGCCCTGGTGGTGTAGGCACCCAAGGGAATGTCCTAGTCTGAGGGTTGTGAAGACCATGGGAAAAGTGTAGTATCTGGGCCGGATAGCTCCGTTCCCCAAGGCACAGTCCCTCATGGCTTCCCTTGGATAGGGGAGGAAGTTCTCCAACCCTTTGCACTTCCCGGGTGAGGCGACACCCCATTCTGCTTTGGCTGTCCCTCCGTGGGCTGCACCCATTGTCTAACCCATCTCAGTGAGGTAAGCCAGGTACCTCGGTTGGAAATGCAGAAATCACTCGCCTTCTGTGTGGATCTCGCTCAGAGTTGCAGACTGGAGCTGTTCCTATTCGGCCATCTTGCCGGCCACCACAACCGTAAATATTTATCAGACTTAATATCTGTGTTGATGTTAATGCTGGTTGGCTTTTCCTGAATTCCAAAAGGGAGGGGGGTATAAGGAGGCATGTCCGGAGCCCCCTTCCCTCACGGCCTGAACAAATTTTTCAGGTTAACTTGGAATGCTCTTGGCCAAGAGGAAGGGTCATTCAGATGATTGACGGGCCTTAGAATTCCATTTTTGTTTTACACTCTGAAAGCCACTGCCTTACACTATGCTCCTCTGCACCTACAACATGTCCTATGGATGTTACTTTCATTCTATGGGAAATACTAGGAATAAAGGAACAAATCGAATGACACCTTAAGGAAGTAATTTAAAATTGAGGCATTCTACAGTATAACTGGCCTGTTCTCTTCAAAAAGTCATGGAAGAAAAAAAAAAAAACAGAAACAAAAACCAGGGAATCTCTTCTAAATTAAAAGACACTGAAGAGCATAAAAAATCTAATTGTGAATCTTGACTAGATTCTGGTTTGAAAAAGCACTGTAGAAACCTTTTTGGAACAATTGAGAAAATGTGAATATGGGTTTTTTGTTTGTTTGTTTGTTTTGAGAGAGGGTCTCGTTCTGTTGGAGTGCAGTGGTGTGATCTTGGCTCACTGCAACCTCCACCTCCTGGGTTCAAGCGATTCTCATACCTCAGCCTCCTGAGTAGCTGGGATTACAGGTGCTCGCCACCAAACCCAGCTAATTTTTGTATTTTTTGGTAGAGATGGGGTTTTGTCATGTTGGCCAGGCTGGTCTCAAACTCCTGACCTCAGGTGATCCGCCCACCTAGCCCTCCCAAAGTGCTGGGATTACAGGTATGAGCCACCACGCCTGGCGAGTTATATTTTAAGTAATATAAACAAACCAGTTTTTTTCTAAGGTGTGAGAGTGACATTATGGTTAACAGGAAAATGTCCTTATTTTTAAACTTTCAGTCTAAATTATTTAAAAGTGTGAAAGTTGCAGATACCAGGATGAAATCACTCTTGTCAGAATCAAACAAATTGGAGCCAGAAGGCAGTAAGGAGAGCTCATGCTTGCATGTCTGATAAGACCTGTCTCAAGGGCATTCCAAAATAACCCCCACAATACATTATTTTGTGTCCTGCACACAACTCATGTTTGTCATAACCTACATTTCTCATGTATGCACACATTTCTATGACCAAGTTTATCACTATACATTCTTTAGGACTCAACAATTCAGATAAGATCCTCTCAAAAGAACATTTGCCTAGTAACAGAATCTCCACCAATGAACTCGTAGCTTTGGGCCTCTGGAATCAATGAACTGTGCTTCCAAGAGGCTTATGTGAATTCTTTTTTTTTTTTCTTTTCTTTTTTGAGAAGGAATCTCCCTCTGTTGCCCAGGCTGGAGTGCAATGGCGTGATCTCGGCTCGCTGCAACCTCCACCTCCCAGGTGCAAGCGATTCTCCTGCCTCAGCCTCCTAAGTAGCTGGAATTACAGGTGCCATCACTGCACCCAGATAATTTTTGCATTTTTAATAGAGACTGGGTTTTGCCATGTTGTCCAGGCTGGTCTCAAACTCCTGACCTCAAATGATCTGCCTGCCTCGGCCTCCCAAAGTGCTGGGATTACAGGCTTGAGCCACCACGCCTGGCCACTTTTTCCCAAATAAAAAGCTTCCTTCCCTTCCCTTCCCTTCCTCTCTTGCACCTGTGGCTTGCCATAGCTGTGCATCCTGGGTTATAATTCTTTTTGCTTACTCCCAAATAAATTCATTATCTTAAGAGATATTTTTCTCTGATGTCTTTTTTTAGGTTGACAGGAGTGAAATGTAATGATGTCTGCTGCTGAAACATTTTAATCCTTTGGCAATACATTGATTTTCCAATTTACACTGTAGTTGGAAATGCCAAATGCAGTGTAAGTCATTCATTTAGGAATGACTTCTAAGGTCTTCTGAGGAGACCTGTCCTTGTTTTTTTGTTTTTTAAGATGGAGTTTCGCTCTTGTTGCCCAGGCTAGAGTGCAATGGCTCACTGCAACCTCCGCCTCCCAGGTTCAAGTGATTCTCCTGCCTCAGCTTCCTGAGTAGCTGGGATTACAGGCATGTGCCACCATGCCTGGCTAATTTTTGTTTTTAGTAGAGATGGGGTTTCTTCATGTTGGTCAGGCTGGTCTTAAACTCCCGACCTCAGGTGATCTGCCCGCCTCGGCCTCCCAAAGTGCTGGGATTACAGGTGTGAACCACCGCACCTGGCCACCTGTCCTTAAATAAAGAGGCAAAGCGTCAGATATGGAGGGCGGTAAATATAGCAGAATATGAACACTTGTTGAATATATGTGGGCATATACCAATATTTATTTTAATATTCTTTAACTTTTCCTGTTAGAAAATTTTCACAATAAAAAGTTCAGGGAAGTCTTAATTTTGTCCTCATTCTTCTTTTTCTTTTCCTTTACCTTTCGCTCATTCTTGAATAATAATTGAGTTGGTTATAAAATTCTTGGTTGGCCATTACTTGTCCTCAGCATTTTAAAAACTTTCGATCACTGTTTTTTGACTTCCACGATTGTAGTTGGAGAGTCTGTTGTGAATCTCTGTGTTATTCTTTTGTAGGTCATCTGGGTTTTCTCTCCGACTGCTTTAAGATGGTTTTGCCTTTGGTGAAGACTCTTGTTGTTGTTGTTGTTGTTATGTGTCTTTTTTGTGTTTGGATTCATTTTGTCTGGTGCATCTAAGAATTCTTTGCCAATTCTGGTAATTGTCTGGTCAGTCTAAGAATTTATTTATCAGTTTGGGAAAATTTCCAGCCATTATCACTTTAAACATTACCTTCTGCTCAATTTCTATCTATAATTTGTTTTTCAGGAACTATTACTGAAGTTATATTGGACCTTCTCTTTCTAATGTCTCTCCTTTTCTCAATATCTAATTCATATCTTCTATTGCTTTCTTTCTCCATTTAGCATTCTGGGTAATTTCTTCCAAACTATTTTTTAATTCAATTTCCCCTTTATTTCTAGATAATTGGTTTGGTTTTTTAAAAATGTATGTTGTCTCTTTGGCGAAGTGTCATAAAGAAAAGGATTTTACCTTTGCACCTTTTCTTATCCACCCTCTCTTCCTTCGTGGAATGGAGATGTGAGGCTTGGGGGTACACCAGCCACCTTGTAATCATAAAGCACACTAAGAGTAGCAGAACAAAAGACAGATATATCCTTGAACAGTGACAACATTGTAGAACTTTATGCTAACCCTAGATACCCTATCTTTCTATTCTTTGCTGTCTGAGAAAACTAAACCCCTATTTTTTTTTGCATTTCTGTTACAAATATGAAATTAAATTCCTACAAATGAAACATCCTGAAAATATTCAAGTTATACTTGCATATAATGACCCTGTATGTGAGTATAATCAAAATATTACCAGTGCTTATTTCTGCATGGTAGAATTGCAGATGATCTTTATTTCTTCTTCATGTTTTTTCTATATTATCAAAAATTATATAGACTTAATTGGTAAAATCATCCATGTTAGTGGTAATAAAAATAACAATGGCTTATTTATTGAGCCCTTTATACTGTGTTAGGTACTGGGATAGAGGCTTCAATGTATTATCTCGTTATTATCACAGCACCCCATTTAATTTCACATGCATGAGTGAGGATGAAAATTGCATACCTACTTTAACTGGACTAAAAGTATTATAAGGTTAGCAAATATATTAGAAATTATTCCATTACATAGATACTTAAGTTTATTGTAAATTGTAGTTGTTATTATTACAATCAAATTACCCAAAAGTTTGAGGAGTTTTAATTTCATTAAATTTGTTTTTTTTTTTTTTTTTACGAAATACCTGAAGGTACTCTCTGGGCTGGTTTTTGCTTAAATGGTGATTTAGGATCCCATGAAGCATCCACTTTTCCTCCGAATGCTATTGATTGAACGATATGAGCCTTTTTATGGTTAAAAATGGTAATCATTGATCTTCTTTCTTTTTCTGTAACTTCTGATAAATGCAAAAAGTAATGTTATTGCATAACATTATAAATAGGCGGAGTGATTCAAAATAGAACTGAACACTTTCAAGAATGTATTTATCTAAACTATGATATATGAGAACATCCTGTCAAAACTGTTTTGTAAAGGGGCTATCACGCTTATTTCCATAATCTTACAAGCACTCAATATACACCCCACATGTCACAAGACAGAGCTTAATCCTTCAATCTAATGCATCCCAAACACCCTTTAACACATCACCAAGGATGATTAAAATTTTAGCATGAAACATCCTTTCATTTCCTCAAGGCTATTAGAAAGGAGAGGTATAACCATAAGTTTCCGATGTATCCTATAGAAAGTGGTTACTCAGTAATAAACTATTAAGAATGTTCAAACCTGCAGAGACAGAAAGGTAAGTAGATAGATAATATAGCATTTGGGGGCAAAATAGGCCTCAAAAAATGTTAAGTGTAATATGCTGAGGTTGATTGTGTGTGTGTGTGCATGTGGCTTATAGAAATCTGACATGCTATCTTGAAGATGTATTCATAAAGAAGTCATCATTCATTGTATGTTTCAATATATATATATTTACAGAATTTTTAAATCACGACTTTTAGAACTTAAACTGGCCTTATGAGATTTATTCCAATTCCCTCACTTTTGAGATAAGAAACTAAGGTGCCAGGAAGTAAACGATTTGGCATCCAACCTGTTAATGTCAAAACCAGGACCAGAAGGAATACTTTCCTCAGCTCAGTTAGAGGGCCTTTCTAATAAAGTAGTAAAGAGACATGAATTTCTAAATTAGGGCAAATTTTAGAGAGCAAGTCTTTCAAAAATAAATAATTGAAAAACTTCCATTAAAAAGACAATTATTCAAAGATATATTTTTTACAAAGACATATTTTCAAAGGTAGTCTTCGTTTTTAAACCGCTGAGCTATAAGACTACTTCTCAAATATTTCTTTGCAAGAAGGAAGGGTCCTTACGATTTCGGTCAAGCAGCTCCACTCCTGGAAGGTGGTAGATGATATATAAACGATACAGGTTATATTGGCACAAAGGATTTTGGTATAGACCTGCAAATGAAGAATCCAAAATAAAAATGTCAGATTTCAAAATCAGTTTCACTTATCACTTATAAAATACAAAAAATTAAGAGATTCGTATAAAACATAAGAACTTGTAAAGCTCTTCTCCATATCAAGCAATAGACCCATTAAACCTTTACTTAGAGCACCAGTTAATTTTTCTATCTGTTAAATTCATTCATTCAACAAATATTTACCAAGTGCTTACTATCCACTAGGAACTGTGCTAAGGGCTATGATCAAATCATTGACCCAAGTCTGCAACAAATGAGGGAAATTTTTAACATGTCCATAAATAAGTTAGTAAATGAAGAACTAGATATCAGCTCTATTGGAGTCTTGAGGCTACTTTTTATTAAAATATCACTTGGTACTCTTCTTTCAGTCTCCAAGTTCACAAGGGTGCATGTGTGAAGATAGGCAGAGACACAACACCCGGCTCTAATAGAACTTACTTCCTCCACACCATTGCTCATAGTTCAGAATGTGTCAATAGTAGCTTCAGATCTCAGCAGGACCAGAGCTGAGCAGAAGTGGCTCTTGCATCTTGTCTACCTCTGGCCAGGCACGTGCAGTTCTGAGATCCTGGTGTGCAGGTGCTAGGATGTGTGATAAACCGCACTTCCTAATGCAGTGGTTGGAAGAAGGGGGCATGTGGATGCAGAAGCAGCCCTGGCACTTTTGACATCATATCCCTTGGGAATCAGCACATAGTTATGTTTTTAAACATCCTCAACTAGAAGTTGTGAGGGCTTTATTTTTAAAAAAAGATATTTTCCCTATTCATCCTAGATGATAATAAACATATTTTTTCAATACAATGTGAAATAAAACTTTAATGATTTTCAGTTGGGCATTTTTTTTTTTTTTTGACAGAGTCTTGTTCTTGTTGCCAGGCTGGAGCGCAATGGCATGATCTTGCTCACTGCAACCTCTGCCTCCCGGGTTCAAGCAATTGTCCTGATTCAGCCTCCTGAGTAGCTGGGATTACAGGCGCCTGCCACCACGCTTGGCTAATTTTTGTATTTTTAGTAGAGACGGAGTTTCGCCATGTTGGCAAGGCTGGTCTCGAACTGCTGACCTCGTGATCCGCCCACCTTGGCCTCCCAAAATACAGGCATCAGCCACCGCACCTGGCCAGTAATCTTTAGTTATTCGGATTCCACCTACCTACATGCAATTTCTAGGAAATTCTTCTGAAAATACACCTAATAAGGAGAACCACTAGATGGCAGTAGTAGAAAGAGCTCCAGCTACCGCACAACTCCTTCACTCAATAAAATGAAGCTCACTTAATGTACATGTGAAATTTAAGAGTACTGTTGTAGACTATTCATAAAATACAGGTTTGATAAAGGCATGAAAATAGTAAGCATTAGAAACTCGGAAAAAACTGATTAATATTTCTAAAGAGCAGTTTGTAACATAAAGAAGATTGGGGTAGGTGCATGCTTAAAAGATAACAAGCTAGATAAAAACTAAAAAAAAAAAATCAATCATCTGGATGTTTTCTCTGTAGTAATAAAGCATTCTGATATTTGTTGTATAAACACAACTTTTTCTGGCTAATAAAAGCGTTATATATAGCTATTCCCTGTGGAAAACGCGAGCTTTAGAGGGACATAAAGCAGGCAATGGAAGACACCTGGTACATAATAAACAAAAGTTACAGGAGTGAGGAAAGGCATACAGGAAAATGTAGAGCCAGGAGCCACAAAGAAATTTAAAAGAAAGGAAATATGTAAGTAATGGAGAAAATGAGAAGAAAAATAAAACTTTTTTTTTTTCAAGATTTCTTAAATGACAGAAAATGGTCTGAATTTTATTCTTGAAAGAGAAGGATTTTAAAGTGGTAACAAATAATTATAACTGCAGGACAGGGAATAGAACAGATGTATATTAAACCACTAATAAAAGAGCCATTGGGATCATGAATTGTAGTTCGAGCCAGAGAAAGTAAAGAAAAGGACCCTCTTCAAGGATATAAAAGCAAAACACAATTGTTTCTAATGAGAACTCAGAAGGAAGAAAAAGTCACAGATGCTTTAGTACAGAAGTCTGCTTTGTGGTTACTGTCTTGGGGAATCACATCTGACACCTCATAACCCTGTTATACATTATAGCATCTGGAAGTAGAGTCTGCCTTTACATATGACGTTAATGGAAAATATACCAACATCTTTCAATGACGTTTTCTCTAGGTGTACCCTTCGTCTTCTCTTTCCCCTCTGAGGACATTACTATCCATTTCATTTCATTTCTTGGGTTTTTCTGCTAATCCTTGGTTAAGTAACTTCTATATGGAAATTTAAAAACTAGCTTCAGCTGAATAAAACACCAAACTTGGATTTACTACTGTTACATTACTTATTAGCAACATATTGATACTAAAAACTCTATGGACTTGTGGTTGACCATTCATCTCATCCTAAAGTAAAAACTGAATGACACGAAATCAGAAAACTGAACTGTTAGCCCATCCTCTGCTTAAATTAACTTTAAAAATTGAGTTAAATAACTTGACAGGCATTTCATCATTATTATTCACTGTTTCCTATCTCTTAAATTTTAGAAGAAGCAATCATATTTTTAACTCTATTTTTTCCTTCTATACTATTAAACATTTAACATTTTGGATTTATGAGTTTTGGATTGATGCTGCTAAAATCAACATAAATTAAATGTCTAAGATGTGAAATCAGTTTCCTGTTTCTGAATGTTCTGAAAGCCTTCTATGATGTATGGGCACATTCTTTTAGAAACCATGAAGAGAAATTGCTTACACTTTCACTTTCAATAGGTTAATACTATTTAATCCACCTTCCCTCTAGGCTACTTACAGAGTATACCTCAGTGGCGCCAGCACTGTCTTGCTTATCTTAATTTGGGATTCTGAGTCTAAGCAATTTACATTTACCCAATGATATATCAAAATGTCTCTACTACCTTACCGCACAAGCTTGGCTTACAGGAGTCACGTGTATGAAGCTACTTATTATCGAGACAGAAGAGGAAAAAAAAAAGCCATCTAAATAATTGGCTCCAGTTATTTTTTTGTAAACTTTTAAAGCAGAATTTAAAATCATTATTTAAATGAACCCCAATGTTTTTAAGGCTGCCTTCGAAGAAAGTTGATGTAATTAATAAGAGACCAACATCCCAATTTTAATATATGGGAAAAAGAAAATGACATGGAGAAGTTAAAAGCCTATAGAGAACGGCCTGTGGAAGGAAGTTCAGCTGTCAATAATCAGATAGGAGGATTGTGAGGCTCCGGGTCAAGGTTACTTAGTAAGGTCAGCATCTCCATTGTTAATCACCATCTTGTTTTAACTAAAAATCTGGTGGCCACCACACACCATGTGCTTTTTACTGAATATGGAAATCACCCCTGATTGTAAAAGGCAAACTACGATAAAGCAGAGGATCGAGAGAGGAGGGATCAGAATATCCTCTTTTTCAGGACAAACAGTGGTGAAAAACACTGTTGGTTCTTTTCCTTTGGTGAATTGTTTTGTCTTTTGGGAGGGGTGGTCCCACCTGGAAGGGCATTATAGGAAAAGAGGCTCAAAGGAAGGGACCCTGGAGATCCTAGTCCCTCCCCGTATCCCAGAATCCCTCTGCTCCCCTGGCTTTTTGCCATGGGCAGTGGATTGGGGCCACTGCTGAAGACAACGGCAGGAAGTGTTTAAAGGCAATACCTGTGGAAACATGGAGACCCTCTCTCGAAAGGAGGAACTCCCTGTTCCCAAGGCTGATTCCTGGAAGCTCCGGTAGGAAGCAGGTCTTAACAATTATGGCATGCAGGAGTCTTAAGCATACTTTCCAACAGTGGAGTTTAATAAAACAGAAAATTAGAAAGAAACGAGAAAACTGAAGGTTTAGAACAGGAGAGTGGATTAAGCATTTTGTTGCTGCGGCTTTTGGTGGCGGTGGTTTTTTTCCCTTAGTACTGGAAAGGGGGCAGGAGTTAATAAAAGCCATCAGCCACAAAGTGGGTCTTTGACACATGTGGATTCTGATTTAGAAAGAGTTTGGAGGAGGGAAGGGAAGAGGAAAACTGAGCTAGAAAGAGAGGGTGTGGAAAGGTAGACTGCCTAGAGAGAAGAGGTGGGGCCCCCTGACTCTGCCTGAAGACAGGAATTCCAGTTCCCAGGACCTCACACTCTGCAGCTGGTTTAGGCCTCCCTGAAGCTCTCAGCCATGCGTCTCCTAGGCAGTCCTTGGCAATTCTCCTCATAAATGCCAATGGAAGGTGCGATGCTGAGAATGGATTAGCGTTTTGCCCTTCAGGCTATTTTCTCACCCTCTGAAGAACTTGTAATTTAAGTGGAATAATAACACTTTATAATTTTATATGGATTTACAACTTAAAAAGACAAAAATGACTACATTTGAAAATACATAGAGTTCTCATTTTAGTTTATCAGCTAAAGCTAATCTGTGATTGCAAATGAGGCTCATAGAAACTTAATCTGAGGACATGACTGCACAAATAACGTTAGTTGTCTAATAAATACAAACTATTTTTCATACAATATCTTTAACCAAAATGGAACATGAGTTCAAAATGTGAATTTTTAGAAAATGCTTTTTGTTTTTTGTAATTGGACATAGCATTTTCTCCATTTCAAACAAATGACCCCACAACAAGATTCTCAACTGGAAAGTTATAGTTATGTAACTTGAAATACGTCACTGTGATTTTAAGTAGTGGTCGTAAACTATTGTGACTGGTAATGATATGGACATTGTACTACCAGGCTGGTATTTAAAAACTAGAAAATTCCCACTCCTCATGCCTGGCACAATTCTACACTCACATACACCCTTGACAAGCAGGGCATGGGCTGGATTTCAGGATCCATTCAGTCCTGGGCTGGGCACCTTTGTTTAGGGTATAACCTTATTTATTACTATGGGCATAACTCTGTTTATTACTGTGGGAGTAAGCTTGTTTACCACTCTCCAAATGTTGTTTTATAACAAGTTTCCTTAAATTATAGAGTTTTTAAAGTAGCAAATTAAATCATTTTGCATTAGACCCCTTCGACTCTAAGAAATATTTAGGCTGAGTGTTACTAATTTGTAAGCCCTATATAGGTATAGACTGGGTCTTTCTTGTTCAAATTTGAGTCCTATTATCTAGAATAGTGTCATGTAGTGAATGTGTGATAAACATTTATTAAATGAATGAATGAATAGATTATAAATATTTATTGAATGAATGAATAAATAAATGATAAGTAAAACAAGGCATGAGTTTATGTTTCAACACTCCTTAGGAGTTTGGTTAAATCTCTGAGCTTTTCATTTCCATGATTAAAGGGAGTAATTCTAATCACATCATAGGATGCTGTAAAGATTTAAATGCGACTATAATAAATCATTTTTTTAACAGGAAAGACATTCAAACATATTACTATATGATTATTATTTAAAATATCGTTTTATTGAGTCTATTAGCAGAATTTCGAGACTGGATGCAATTTATTTCATTATCTGATTTACATAATCCACAATAAAACAATTTTTTTCTTTTTTTAGAATTTCAATTTTTGTTGTTGCTTCAAAATAACATTAATGGTGAGAAACGTTTTCTTAAAAAAAAAAAACAGAGTTATCTTAATGTTTGAAGCAACCCTGAGAGGTAGCTATCAGCCCATTTTATAGAAAAACAAAGGTAAGTGTTCTAGGTCTAGCATAACTAGTCTTTTAATTATAGCAGCATTTTTCCAGCAGACAGGGGCCAGGTGACTCAAATATGCAGGCCAATTCTTTCACAGAAGATCCAAAAGCTGTGAAAAAAACTCCTGACAGCAGGCAGCCTTCTCACGTCTCCAAAATAAGCATAAAATTGCCATGAACTTGGTGTAATTTTGTGATTTTAATACTTGGGTTTAAAGAATCTAACTATAACAAATGAATCATTTTCCCTCAGTACAGTAGATATAACTGATAACACTAACAATATATGGAAACCTTAGTAACTCTCTGTACATTTATCTGATTAGAACTTTCACCATCAATACTAGCTTACAACTGTTCAAAACACTGTCTCAGGCAATTCTGAGAAATGAATAGAAAAGGAATTAAAAAATATATCTATTGCGTTACATTATTATAAAGAGGTCTCTAAACTCTAAAGTCTGAAAACCTACTCGTTGATCTGTAGGTCTTTTACCTCAGTACACCCAGAATCCTTTATCTTGTATTGTGGTTGTATACATGTTTATTTACCCTTCAAGACCATAAGTTTATTGAGAGTAGGAGTGGTGTATTATTTATTTATTTTTGACTCATCTCACACTTCTTTCCAATAGGTTAGTTCCTTACTGGGTGTGATTCAATATATATGAATAAAGTTTGCTGGGCCTCCAGTTGAAAGCTTAAAAAGTCTTTTAGTTTTTTTTTTTTGGTATCAGCTTTATTAATATACTTTATGTATCACACTGTTCACCCAGCTTAAACATATGATTTGTGTGTTTGTGGTTTATTCACAAAGTTATGCAACTTATCACCACAGTCAATTTTAGTATGTTTTATCACCCCCAAAATAACCCCACACCCTTTACTCTCTAGCTGTCACAACTCCCAGTTCCTTGGCCGTTGGCAACACTCATCTATTTAAAAACAGTTACCTCTCGGTGTTGCTGTCCCTATAGATGTGCCTACTTGGACACTTACATAAATGGAATCATATGTGTTAAAACTTACTTTTGAGATAAAACCAAAAACAAATTTAAACATGTAAATCCTCTTGCTACTTTTGTCATTTTCATTAGCCATGTGATAGATAGCATTTCACAAACAAAAATTTTTCTATCTGTTGTTTTTTCAAAAGCGTATCTTAAAAGACAATAAGATCTAGCCTTATTTTCAGGAATATCTAATTTTTTTTTTTTCTGAGACAGGGTCTTGCTCTGTTACCCAGGATAGAGTCCAGTGGCGCGATCTTGGCTCACTGCAACCTCTGCCTCCTGGGTTCAAGTGATCCTCCCGCCTCAGCCTCTCAAGTAGCTGGGATTACAGGCATACGCCACCAGGCCTGGCTAATTTTTGTATTTTTGGTAGAGGCAGGGTTTTGCCATGTTGCTCAGGCTGGTGTTGAACTCCTGGGCTCAAGTGATCCGCCCACCTCAGCCTGCCTAAGCACTGAGATTACAGGCGTGAGTCACAGTGCCCAGCCTAAATATCTTAATTATAAACATTGCCTCTCTAATTTTAAACTTGATAAATGGAAAAATGTCTTATGTTAATACTATTTTAACTTATGGCCATATAAAATTGCAAATTGTTACTTAGGATCTTCAGATTTAGCATTCCCTTTAATTCCTTCACTGTTGCATCAATGTTGGTTAGCTCATTGTGGTGTAGCAGGAGTATATGCAATGAAGGCAAATAATGCAGACCTAAAAAAAACAGAATATTTTTACAAGATTTTAAACATTTTTTTCAGTTTATTTTTTTATTGCAAATAAAAATAAACATTTTTAATGCTAATTAACATGCTAACTAAAAAGGAAAACATATGATAGCTGGTTAAAGAAGGAATAACTATTAATAATATATTATAAATTATTATTAAGAATACAATAAGGCATAATTCATATAATTAATTGTGATGTGGGAATAAAGAGTAAATTTCTTTCCACTGTCATTGTTTTCCTTTTTTTTATTTTTATTTTTTGAGATGGAGTTTCACTCTTGTTGCCCAGGCTGGAGTGCAATGGCACAATCTCGGGTCACTGTAACCTCCGCCTCCTGGGTTCAAGGGATTCTCCTGCCTCAGCCTCCCACGTAGCTGAGATTACAGGCGTCCACCACCATGCCCAGCTCATTTTTGTATTTTTAGTAGAGACGGGGGTTTCACCATGTTGGCCAGGCTGGTCTCGAACTCCCGACCTCAGGTGATCTGCCCGCCTAGGCCTCCCAAACTGCTGGGATTACAGGCATGAGCCACCGCGCCCGGCCTGTTTTACTTTTTAAAATGTAGCAATGATTTTGTTTGTTTGATTGATTTTGGAGGGGTTATTTTCTTCTTTTTGTTTGGTTTTAGTTTTGGGGTTTTTTTTCCTTGTCAATGCTACTTAGATTTATAATGCTAGTCAAGGGAAAAATTACTCATCTCCTCCAAATTGCATAGCTAAGTATTTTCTGTACATAACTGGAAGCCAAATATTCAAATCATTTTCATAGATTGTAAATTGTATATTTTCCCACATTTTTAACATAAATGAAAGTGGGATGTGCCTTTTGATAGCCATGTCGTAGCCTCGTTGGCAAGATGTTCTTTCTTAGCGGTGCATGACATCATGATGGGCCTTAAAATTTAAGACATTTTGATTCTATGATATATGATATTAAAGAAAAGTGTTTTGTACTGTGCTTCTTTGTATTTCATGATCATGGTATGCCACATGCTTTTATAACTGGCTTGAAATGATCAGTTTTGAGAGTGTTTTGCATATAAAATTAATTCAGGGTCAAAGCAGGAATTTGGCTGGTAGAACATATAGCCAATAAAAAATTTTAAGACTATTTATAAAGTTTTTGTATTTATCAATGCTCCCAACTATTGTTAAAATTTGCTTCCACATGCCTAGTTTATGTCTAAAATACCTGTTAAAATTATTTTACATTTTGAATAAGATATATGGCAATATTAAATTAGAAAAGTAATCTAATAGCACATTTCTTAATATCAAATGTACATTAAAACATTTAAAAAATACATTTCTTAATATATTTTCAACAGAAATGTTAAAACAGATTTTTGTCTGTCATTAGCAATTACCATAGTTGAAAGTTATTACTTAATTGAAAATTTATTAAATCAACAGAGAATTTAAGACGTACCTTCTATCTCAAATATTGCATTGTTGTTTAGATATAGTTCTGTCAGACAATAGTTTCTAGTTAGAAATGTTATTCCATGGAGCTAAAAATGAGAGTTAGAGAACAATATACTTTCTATAATAACTGTATATATTACATCAATATAAATAACCTGATATACATAAATAATATATATTTAATTATAATAAGATAATAAAAGTTTGACCTCTGCTATTCTTATTTGTGACCTTTTGGTCTGGCTGTAAGTTACATTTGGATTGTCTTTGAGGAGAATGTGATGAAAAGAATATTTTTATCTAACTTAAACCTCTCTTACCACATCTCAACCAAACTTGCTTGCTAGGCTTTCCAAACCTCTGTAACCTGGCCTAGCCCTTTTGCGCTGACAATATTTCTTCTACTTCTGCTCCATACACTCTCACTAGATCCAGCACCACATATCCACCACCTAATATTATCATGTGCCAAGGGCTCTCCCCTTAGATTATGCCGAGGCCATTTCTGCATCTGTAGGAGTCATGATTTCCCTTTGCCTGTATGTCTTTTCTTCTTGGTACACTCGAAATTATTTTTAAGGATTAGCTGTCGGCCAGCAAGGCATACTAAACCGTGCATGAGTGGCCTGCCGCAGTACGTTTTCACTTGCAGAAATCTGTTGAAACCAAGGGTTGAACTCCTTGTATCTTACTACTTACTGTCTTTTTGCCCTATTGACCCACTTTTTGTTTCTCTAAACTTCTACCTGCTTCAGCACTTTGAGTCAGATTTCCTGGACTCTTTCTTTATGGCCTCATGTATAACCATCTCCTCTTCTCTAGTCCTCTGCCCTTCTAGTAAACAGATCTCAGTTTAGCCATGGGCTCTGTAATCTGAATACACACAGGAGGCAGCTCTGCCAGATCAGGCGCAGTGCTAACAGCTCAACCAGTCACCATCTGCAATTAGAGGGCAAGGCACAGTATAATCCTGTTCATCATTCAGAGTTCATCCTTTTTCACAAAGCCTTTCCTGACAACTCCTATGCTCGTGAACCTCCATTTTCTTGACCATCCCAAATGCTTACTTTGACTTGTACAGTTAATCACTTGAACACTAGAGTTTTGGGTGTTCCTTAAGGAAAGGAACCATGTTTCTTCAGCACCTTATCCTTTCTACCTCCCTACTCTCCTAACAATATAGTGAAGAAGTCGCATCTTACTTTTAAGGTTAGAATCAAAATTCCATATGAATGGAAATAATAAAAAGTACTTTCTCGAATTTCCTCAAATGAACCATTAGGTACTGTATACATAATATGGGGTATTCAATGCTAAACTGTATGTCAGAAATCATTCTGGTACCCTGTAAGGAGAACGCCTATTTTTTTTTTTTAGTATTGACTCTATAACATCCATCAAATTTAAAAGATGTATTTGCATTGTGAAGTTGAGACATGGTAGAGCCATAGAGGAGGAGCAGTTATGTTCTAATAACTGCAAATAAGTTAAATGTAAGAATAATACCTTTACTATTTAACACAGGATCTAGCAGGGAAAAGATTCTCATGAACGAGTTATTGATCAAGTATTTAGTACTTTATGTATACAAGAATATATGTTCCTGACTGTAAATTCTTTGTTTGTGTGTTTTCTAAAGCTTATCATAGGAACTATTAATTTTTTTTTTTTGAGATGGAGTCTCTGTCACCCAGGCTGGAGTGCAGTGGCACGATCTCAGCTCACTGCAACCTCTGCCTCCTGGGTTCTAGGTTCAAGTGATTCTCCCACCTCAGCCTCCCAAGTAGCTGGGACTACAGGCACATGCCGCCATAGCCAGCTAATTTTTTATTTTTAGTAGAGATGGGGTTTCACTATGTTGGCCACGCTGGTCTTGAACTCCTGACCTCAGCTGATCCACCCGCCTTGGCCTCCCGAATTGCTGGGATTATAGGCGTGAGCCACCATGTCCGGCCAGGAACTATTATTATTAGTTAAATAAAAATATTTTGCTCATTGATGAACAGATTCAGAAAAAGGATCCCAACCCATCTGACTTAGTGAGGATTTATTGGACATTTTATTCATGCCCCTCTCAAATCTCAGAAAAGCCTTTTTAGATTTGTATTCGAAGTTTGAAAATTAACTTCTTTGATGAAATTTCTTTACTTTGTTTTTATATTGGCAACATTCACAAATTATGAAGCTATAAAAGGCATATCATGTGCTGTTCATCTGATCGTTCACAGACTCATCTCCACCAAATTATGCCAGCACTCCTCCTGGAAGACCATTAGTAATTTCACCAAATGTTTTGTTATGTCATGAGAGAAGCCGTGTTTCCCCAAGATAGGAGAAACCATTCAAAGCCAGAAGGTGAGTGTCCCTGTTGGCTCCTTATCACTTTCGAACTTTTCCCACTGGCCTCCTGGCAGCAATTCGCTGCCTTCTGTTCTTCCTCTCACCACTCCCTGCTTTAATAATAGCCACACTTGACATCAGCGTAGGAAAACAATGCCAGTGGAAATCAGAACTTTTTCCTCTCTCTTCTTCCAGTTACCTGCCAACCACACATTAATAGAACTCATTAGCTGAGACTTTAATTTCTCTTGCGTTGCTCATTAAAACAAGAAGAACACTAACAAACCTGACAGTTTGACCTTGATTATAGAATCATGGTTTTCCCACGAGCATTAACATCCTTGGACCATGATCATAGGGATTATAGGATTGCGGTGTTTGTGAAGGTAAGGGGGAGTGAAGGGAGATGGAGTGGAGTCAAAGCCAAATCATGAGGACCTTGGGGAGCTATTAAAAGATCTTGTTTAGAAGAATGTTATTGCCCAATTAGATTTTAGAAAGAAAATGGCCGATTTACAGGGGATATTAAATACAATGGCAGAAGATGAATAAGGAGGGCGTTTCCCTAAATCAGAAGAATTTGTGGTGGCCCAAAGTAGAGTAAAGGTTGCAGGAGAAGAAAGAAGTGGAGGAAATTGAGGTAGTATTTCAAGGTAGAATTCAATAGACATTGCAAGATAGCAAGTTGTTAAGGTCAGGAACATTATAAGATATGCTATTGTCCTGATACTCAGCTATTATTAAAATAAAATGCTATTTATTTATTTATTTATTTTGAGATGGAGTCTCACTCTGTCACCCAGGCTGGAGTGCAATGGTGCAATCTCTGCTCACTGCAACCTCCACCTCCCGGGTTCAAGCGATTCTCCTGCCTCAGCCTCCCGAGTAGCTGGGATTACAGGCGTGTGCCACCGCACCCAGCTACTTTTTGTATTTTTAGTAGAGATGGGGGTTTCCCCATGTTGGCCAGGCTGGTCTCGAACCCCTGACCTCAGATAATCTGCCCGCTTCGGCCTCCCGAAGTGCTGGGATTACAGGTGTGAGCCACCGCACCTGGCCGTAAAATGTTATTATTATTATCCATTTAGAGAAATCTATATTACTGATTCCCAGGATTGCTGTAGGATTTATATTAAGTGTGGCATTTCACAAATCATATGTCTTAGCTTAGGCTTGGAGCATAACAAGTGCTCAATAGATGACTATTATTTAACCATTATTATTAATTTTATGGAGCTGGGAGCTTTTATATTTAATGTAAAATACATACAGGTAATCACTAGGGTACTACTAGGTACAAATGTATACCACCATGAATTTAAAATTAAGGAAGAATTCAGGGTTTCTTAATCTCTACAACAACCACATATATGGGACCAAATAATTATTCGTTGGAGTTGATGGGGCAGGGGCTACCCTGGGGGTTGTACATTAGCATCCTTGGCTTCTTACTCAGTAGATGCTAGTAGCATACACGTCCCAATCAGAAATGTCTCTAGACATTGTGAAATGCCCCCTGGGAGGCAAAAACACTCTCAGTTGAGAAATGCTGATTTAGATGCAAGAGAAGAAAATATATTGATTAAGTGCTTATTATGAGCTGGGCATTAAGCTAGATGTTTTCACAGACACTATACAATATAATCCCAACAAAAGCCCAATGTTATTTATTTGACCCCCATATCCCCAGTTTACCTAGGAGAAAACCAAGGCTCAGAGAAGTTAAACAACTTTCTCGAGATCCAGAGATCATAAGTAGTAGCAGAGTGAACATTCAAACCCAAGTCTATCTGACTCCCAAACCAAAGATTGGCAGATATTACATCATAACTGAGCTCTTTAATTTGGGGAGACTTCTGTCTAAACCATCCAGAAGTTACTAATTTGAAAATATTTTGCAGTATATTAGTTTATTAGATTGAGCACTGGAAAATATTCGATGCATCAATTTATTCCTAGTATTTCAACAATAGCCCCAAAAGGTGTCTAAAATGCATCCAAAAATTTTGACCAGAAATGGAAAGAAGAAGAAATGTAATAATCTCTGAAAACTTTCAAATTGTAAAAATAAACAGAATGTAGCCTTACTAATCTTTACTATAAACTCATTAGGAAGGAGCATATTATTATCTTATTTTAAGATGATGAAACTGAGGCACAGAAAGGTTAAGTAATTTACCCACGATTATACAGCTACTACATGGTAGAACTGGGTAGGCTTTGACCCAGGCTTGAGTACCTGCTGGAAACCACTGCACTTTACTAACGTTCAGGACACGAAGCTGAACTGTCCAGCGCAGCTCATTCTCAGACTTGGTTTGAGCCCTGGCCTGCCTTGTTCTACCTACCTGATCTAACTTGACCTCTCAAGTTTTCTGGGTTCTTCTCGACAGTTGCTCTAACTGAGCTGCCATCTCTCAAGCTAGTTTTGAGTTCCAGGAACTGTCCTATGTTTTCCCCACCTCTTAGGTGGTGTTCTTATGTTTTTTAAAGAACTTTTCAGCAGAAGCTAGATAGATTCATATGGTTACCAATCAATCCAAACTAAAAAGAAGATCCAACACCGGCACTAAGCAACATCACACACAAGTAACTGCACTTGTTCTTGACTTCTTCCACTCTTCCTTTCAGCATTCCGTTTTCTCCTCCTGGCATCTTCTTAACCTTGGCCATCCCAATGTCCTCTTTTTCTGCACACACTTCATTTCCTTTCACGTGCTCTGGAGTCCCATTTCTGCGTGTTCCAGAGGTAAACTATTATATTCTCCCTAAAGATTAATATATTAGCCATCTCAGGGTATTTCTTTTAAATTAGAAGATTATAATCAATGTTGCTGTAATTGTTGATTTTAACATCCCTGAATAGATATGTGTGATCTGAGAAAACTTTTGAATGTTCCTGAAATTATGCTTCATAACAACTCATTATTATTAGCTTATGAAATCAGCTTTGGGGACTGAGTTGAAAAAACAGATTTTCTCCTCTGCTCTCACACACAACACAGAAGACTTTTTTTGACCAAATGTGTGGGGCTTTTCCCCACATACCATGCAAGCAATTAATTATGCAGCAGACACCAACTGTGTGTCCTCCAGTTGAATTTCTGCACCATCTCCCTGGAAATCGCATCAGATCTCACAGGTTCGGGGCTCAGTCCCACAAGACTGCTCCCCCACCCCACTTCTGATGCCAATTGCAAGCCCCAGGTTGTTTTACCTGTGCTTCTGACCAACTGGCTGTTAATTGGGGTCCCCATTACCCCCTCCTTGGACTTGAAATTTGCTGGAGTGGCTCACAGACCTCAGTGAAACACTTTCATCTACTTTTTTTTTTTTTTAATAAAGGATATTACAAAGGATACAGATGAAGAGCTGCATAGGGCAAGGTATGGGGGAAGGGATGCAGAGCTTCCATGCCCTCCCCCCGGGTACCACCCTCCAGGAACTTCCATGTGTTCAGCTATCTGGAAACTCTCTGAACCCAGTCTTTTAGGATTTGTATGAAAGCTTTATTACATAGGCATAATTGATTAAATCATTGGCCATTGGTGATCAATTTAACCTTCAGGCCCTCTCCCCTCCCAGAAGTAGGGCTTCCAGGAAGCAGAAGTCCCAACCTTCTAATTTTGCCTTAGTGTTTTTGATGGCCAGCCCCCATCCTGAAGCTGCCTGGGAGCTGCCAACCATCACTCAATTCTTTAGCATACTAAAAGATGCTTATCACTTTGAAGATTCCAAGGATTTGGGGAGTTGTATGCCAGGAAATGAGGACTGGGACTAAACATATATTTCATAACATCACAGGGACTATGTCCGTTAAACCCAAATAGTGTCATCAATATAAAGAATGGCTTCAAAAAGTTTATTATTATTGGCTCGTAGGTGGCCATTTGGTTCTGGTGTCTTCATGTGATCTCTGTCTATGTGCATATGTCTAGTCTCTGGCTCTCTCTGTCCTAGTCTCCTTTTTGTTATAAGGATTTTAGTCATATTGCATTAGGTCCCACCCTAATGACCCATTTTAGCTTAATCACGTCTTTAAATGCCCTGTTTCCACATACAGCCACATTCTGAGGGACTGGGAATTAGGGCTTGAGCATATGAATTTGAGGGAGACACAATTCAGTTCCTAACAAAAAGCTAACAAAAAAGTCAAACAAATATAAACTCCGGGGAATTGAAGGAAGTATAATCAAGGAAAACATAAAGCTGAATACATGGCTTAGCTCTGAATAGCATACTTTGTCATAACAATATACCAGTGAATATTGATTTAACCAAAATTACAATACAACCACATCAGGAGAATGGGCAAAAGAAAGTATGCATGTGTGTGGTAGAAGTGAGGGCAGGAAAGAGAAAGAATTAAATGCTCATTTCCTTAGTGAAAATTCAATAGCTATTTTCTAGAAGAGAAAAATCAAAAAGTAGCAGCAATACCAGCAAGTGACTTAGAGAAAAGCTGATAAGTAACAAAAGATCACTTAAAAGAATTGAAAGTTGTTGCAACTGGGAAATGACAAGTGAGAGCAGATGTGCCCAACCCTTGCTAACTTAGAGAATTAGCCAATTCTTTCAATTCATATTATATGTTTATATAGCTATGTTAAGAACAACATAAAGAAAAGGAGTAAGGAGGTTGGGTCTTATTGTTTATTCTGTGACTACTGTGTGCAAGTTTCTTTGATTAGTACTTTACACTTGTCATCTCATTTATTTTTCATGACAACCCTGGAAGCAGTCAGAAAGAATAAATACCCCATATTGTCTAAGAAGAACATCGATTTAGAGATATTATGTGATTTGCCGTATGTTATTAGCTGGTTAGTGATAGAACCATTGCTATACTTCAGTTCTCAGTTCTACACCTTTTTTTATTTTATTTTTTTGAGATAGGGTCTCACTCTGTTGCCCAGGTTGGAGTGCAGTGGTGCGATCACAGTCACTGCAGCCTCACCCTCCCAGGCTCAAGCATCCTCCCACCTCAGCATCCCAAGTAGCTGGGACTACAGGCACACACCACCATACATGACTAATTTAAAAAATTTTCATAGAGATGTGGTCTGACTATGTTTCTCAGACTGGTCTTAAACTCCTGGACTCAAGCAACCCTCTAATCATGGCCTCCCAAAGTGCTGGGATTACAGGCATGAGCCACCTCACCTGAAAACATCTGTTAATTTAATAACTATCCTTTTCTGGTACTCTAACAGGAATCATTAATGCAGATATATTTCCTTTTATTTTTATCTTTCTAAACATTAATAAAATATGGGACACAGTTATAACTTTTTGGCTGTGTAGCATCTAAAACTCCTCCCCACAATTCAAGGAATTTCTTATCTAATGAGTCTTGGTGGCAATCAGAAACTACACCCCATTAAACAAGATATTTGCTTTTCCAGACTTCTGGCAGGGAGGGCATGGATTCATGACCTTGATGCACCCACTCTGAACTTCTAATCAAGAGCTATTCATGCAAAGAAGCGGAGACAGTTGAAAGTTAATTCTGGTGATGGTAGAGATGTAGAGAAAAAATATTGCTTTCCATAGCAGTGGAAATGGTGGTAGTGGTGACAGCGGATGTGTCCAGTGGCTGGTGCTGGTGACACCAGCAGTACAAGCCACTGCTTCTATTGTTGATTGTTTTTCCACAAACAGTGTTTGTGGAAAGTAGTTCTGTGACATGGTTTTGACCATGGCTCCCTTTGATTTTGAGAACTTTCTGAACTTGATTCTCAAGCTCCATAATATCTATCCAATATCTTTTCGATAAATTATTTTTCTGCTTAAATCGGCCAAAGCATGCTTCTGTCATGGAAATTCTGTTACCTTAACTAGTACTCATGCAAAGAAATATTCTTAGCCATGATGTCCAATAAACAGAAACTGACATTTTCAAATGAACAAAAAGTAAAATACGAAACAAAATATTATCAACTTGCCTTCCTCAAATTTATAACTGGTGACCAATTACATGCCATTTGGATTCACTGACAAAATGAAAATATTGTATTTATGAGAAAATATTAGAGTTTTTATTTACTCATTCTTCCACTCAGCAAACATTTGCTGAGCATCTACTATGTGCCAGACTCCGTGCTAAGTTCGAGGGGAACAGCCATGAAGAAAATAGACAAAATTCTCTGCTCTTATTGTAGTAGGGAAAGATTAAATAAATAATACATACAATGAGTAAACTATATATTATGACCTAAGTTGATAAGTGCTTTGTGAAAAAAATGAAGCTTGGAGATCGTGTTGCGGGATCTTTGGGGTATTGCTTCACCAGCTGGAAACCTCTGTGGCCAGTGGCACCTTTGCCTGAGTTTTGCTCTGGCCTGCTGGGCTGGTTCTGCCCACTCAGCCTGGAAGGCTGTGCTCAGCTCCTGCTACCAGCTTGGATCCCATGCCTGTCAAGAGTGAGCCAGGCACAGAGCACTGAGGGGTGTGTGAGCAAGTGTGGGGTCCAGCCGGCTGTGGCAGGACAGGCAGTTCCAGGGATTGGCATGGGCACCAGCTTCCTGTGAGGCTGTGGCTGGGCCAGGTGTATCAAAAGCAGCTTCCACGACTGACACTGGGGAATGCAGTGTGGTGCCTAGAAGCTTGAAGATGCCAGGAACCACAGAACCCTAAGGAGGGTGTCACAGCCCTGGCTTGGGGAGCTCCTAGGTCTGGGTTCCCCAAAGGGCCTCAGCTCTTCTCTCCTCTCTTCTCCCCTTCTCTCTTCTCTCCTTCTTGTCACCCACAACGTGGCAGGCAAGGGGTGTGTTTTCAGCCCTGTTTGTGTTATGGCTCTTTTAGCCCCGCCATTCAGCAGGTCTCGAGTTCTTGTCCTACATCCAGGAAGAATGAGGTACACAGACAACTGGAGGGTATGCAAGACAAAGGGGAGATTTACTGAGCAATAGAACACCTTAGAGAAGACCTGCAGTGGGCAGCTCCTGTCCATAGCAAGGGTGCCCCAACAAGTGTCCAGCTCTCAGCAGAGAAGATAGCTCCTCTCTGCAGCTGGTCGTCCTGTTGTCTCTTCAAGTCTGGCTGAGTTTAGGGATTTCATGGGCCTTAGAGGGGAGGAAGTGCTTGCTGATTGGTTCATGGGCAGCCACGGGCAGGCCCAGAAAAGGTACCACAAGTTTTCACTCTGGTCCATGGGACTGGCACCCCAGCCCTCAGCCTTTAGGCCCTTTCCAGCTTGAAGGTGGGGCTTCATTGGGGACCTGCCCCCCTCTGCCCAGGAACCTGTGTGCCTCCTGCCGCTGTTCATGGAGCTGAGGTTGTTCATGCCAAGGGGCACCTGCAGGCCAGTGCCGAGCTGCCTTCAGCTCCCCTTTAGCCTCTCTCCCATGCTTCTTGGCGCCCAAAGTCTGGAGGGGGCCAAGGTGGCAGGGGGCTGGCATACCAGCATTGCCTCAAGTGTGTGTACCCCCAGCCAGGTTGTGACAGCGCCCAGGCTTGGGATCAACTTTACTCTGTTATTGGAGTGGGTGCTGACAGCAGGGAGAAGCCAGACAGTAGGAGGAGGCACTTCTGAGCCTGCAGGCATAAGAGGGGCCTTCCTGGGTCCCCGAGAGTGCAGGGAGATGCCTGGGCCCACAGCAGCAGTTTGGGCAGCTGCAGCTGTGCCTAGGAGGATGGGGCTCCTGCCTGCTCCCAGATCCCAAGAGCACAGGGGTGCCCAGGTTGCAGCCATGGCTTGGGCAGCTGTAGTTGTGCCTGGGGAGCTCCTGCTATCTCCGTGGAGCATGGCACCACCTCAGTCCCAGCTCTGCCTTGGGACTCCTCTCTGCCCCCCACTCCGTGCCCAACCACACTGCTCCTCCACCAGTGGGTGACTCGGCCTGGCCCCATTGCAGCAGCTCCCAGGGTGGCAGGCTCTGGTGGGGTCTCTCGGGTGGGCTCCAGGGCCTTTCCACCTCCCCTCCACGTTTTCCTGGCTGTGTCTTCAGCTGGGTAATCACAGGTTCCCAAGACACAGCAAGGAGTGAGGTTAAGGCCACAGTGGAGGCTCTGGGCCTGGGAGCGGGTCCTGCCTGGCTGTGCGAGGGTGGAGGTGGTGCAGTTGGCTGCCTTGGGGATGCAGGGCACAGGGGTCCCACTGCCACCACTGCTGCTCCCAGAGCTGCTCCTGCTGCCACTGTCCATACCTCCCTGCTGCAGCTGGTATAATGGCAGCAACTGCTCCAGACGGTCTGCCACCACCATCAGTTGGAAGTGGTAGAGTGAAGTAGTGTTACATTTTAGTGGGGTTGGACAGAGTAGGCCTTGTGGAGGATGCAATGTTTGAATAGACTGTTGATCACAGGAAGGGAGAGGGCCACTGCAATATTTGTAGGAACAGCACTGGGGACAAGCCAGTGCACAGGTCCAGTGCACACCCCAGTGCCTGGGGTGGCTAAACCAGAATAAGCCAGCAAGAGATGGCAGGTAATAAGGTCAGACAGAGAACCAGAGGCCCAGTGTGTACAGGACCTTGTTGGCTACTGTAAGAACTTGGCTGAATGTAGCAGAAAACCACCAGAGGTTTTGAGCAGAGGAGTGACATGTTTTCACTTAGGTTTCCACAGATCACTCTGTCTGCTGTATTGAATGATTCTCAGTGGAGGTGGGGGGAATTTTGCCCCCCAGGGAGCATTTGACAATATCTGGAAATATTTTTGTTTGCCACTCCTGGGGGGCATCTCCTGGCATTAATGGGTAGAGGCCGAGGATGCTGCTGAGCATCCTGAAATACACAGGACAGACTCTACCACCAAGAATTATCCAGGTCAAAACGCAATAGTAGCAAGGTTGAAAAACCGTAGGGGCAAAGTCCCTTACATAGACCAGTGATTAAACGACATGATGAAATTCTGAAAAATTCTGTACTTATGTGTTAACTAAAACAGTATGTTATTGTATGTTTAGTACTGAAATCCCAATATTTACTAAATTTACATAGAACATGAAACATTAGTTGGGAAGCATTTTAATAATATACCCTAAATTATATAGGAGTAAAAAAGAAACATTTCAATATATTTTAAGAATTTCTAAGTTTATTTTTATGGTGTTCTTATCCAATAAATTAAAACAATGCATTCATTTCTATCTTAGTTTAAAATATAATATACGGTACTTACACAGTCCATACCTTAAAAATATTCAAAAGTAACTATTTTTAACCAATCCAGACTTTCATTCTCATGTTTTTCCCTCTCTTTTCCAACATACTAAAATATTTGTACCTGCTGTTTCGAAAAATAGGTTATATTTTTTGGTTAAATCATTAAAAACATAACTAGATATGTATTGTACATATCTTCAAATTTCACAACCATGCAGTGAAGTGTTATTTAGTTTATTTATATTGATTTGCTTTTTAAAGAAGTTTTAAAATATGGAGCAAAATATAATTTTTTCAACAAAGTTGACACAAAGGATATAATTCATGTTGCCCTAAGGTAACAGAAACACATAAGAGCCCAAAATATATGGAATGTATGCTAATTCATTTTGTTTTTTTAATAGCTCTTACATTCTACAGTGGAGTTTGTACTGCTCTAAATAGTTTTTTGGAACAAGGTATTGTATGTATAAATGAATAAACAAATACATATACCCAAACTTAATATAGAAATAAATCTGATTAAAGAGGCCAACAGAAATTCCATGATACAAAGCACGTTGTAAAGCTACCTGAAAAAGTACAGCCATTCAAAGAATTCTTTATCAAATATTTATAACCGCACATTAAAAATAATTATTTCAATTTCCAAAGTATGATTTGCTAATTTTATAAACCAATATTCCTTCCTAAAATACATAAATTTGTGCTATTTGCTGAATTCTCAATATGCGCTTCATGTCTAGGAGCTAGGAAATCATAACAGTATCGAAGATTGAGCCTAAGATATTTCTTAAAACATTTACTCTTTATTTTTATTTTATTTTACCTTAAGTTCTGGGATACGTGTGCAGAACGTGCAGGTTTGTTACATAGGTATACATGTGCCATGGTGGTTTGCTGCACCTGTCAACCCGTCATCTAGGTTTTAAGTCCTGCATGCATTAGGTATTTGTCCTAATGTTAAAGCATTTATTCCAAATCTGACCATTCTCTAGTCAGTGTGAGTGATGTTATTATAAATATCTCAATTATTCTTTAGATAATGATGTTTATAAACAATGACTTCGCCAGAAGCGTCCTTTTATGTAAACTGAATTTATAAAATGCATTAACCATTGGTTTTTGCTGCACAGCAGAAACCCAGATTCCATTTTGAATACTTGCTTGGTGAGGCATTAGACAGGTTCTTCATCTGAGACAAAATGTAATATACCAAGCTACTGTCGTACTTCCAGAAATAGAAGGATATTAACATTGTGGCACCAATATTATGAATGCATAGTCATTATTGGACATCCATAAAAGAAAATTTTTGAAGTAACGAGCAAAGTCAGAAGATTATATGTATGTGCCATATAAATTGTTGTGTAAAATATAGGTCACTTAGGTAATTTATCTGAGCCTAACTCAACCTTTCATGAGAGGCTGGAAAGAATGAATTTCATGGACCTGAAATTCTCTGGGTCAGACTTGTTAGAGAATGAAACGAGGAAGGGAGACTTTAGACCTAAGAGCAGCTGCCTCCCACTAATTATGTCAGCGGGTGTTAGGAAAACATGATCTCAAAAAGGAGGAGATGCAGCACTAATGAATATCTATGCAATATGAAGCTAAACAAGCCCTCACAGAGCATAATGAAAGAACTAGAGTTGCCAAAGCAAATCTAGGAAAGCTAGGATGTTGGAGGTCCTTAGAAATAAACTTGTGCTTTTTCATCAGCTAGTTCACGTTTGGACCAGAAGCTCAAGTTTTATCACCCACTAGATAATGATTTGAAGAAATATGCACCCTTCCAGCATACTAGGCTTCAAATTTACCAAATTACATTCATTGCCTTCAAAGACAACTGTGTTGTCTCATTCCAGGCAGCTATCAAATACAATGTACTTGCTAGGAGCAGAGCCACTCCCTTTACCCTTCCTAATTTTATCACTAGAGCAGGGGTAATCACATTTATTGTTGTATTGTGTAGCAGCCTAATGCAAGTACAGGATAAGCTATATCCAAATAGGATGCTTTTGGCTCCAAGTAACTTTTAAGCCCAACTCAAATTGGCAAATAAAGAAACATCATTAATTTTCTCTCATATCACCACGTGCAGAAGTTGTGATAGCCTTAGTCTTGGCATCTCCATGAATCTCTGGGCTCTGCCTTTCTCTAAGTGCTGGCTTCATCAAGTTCATAGGATAGTTAGTTCCTGCCTTCACATCCAGGTAAGAAAACATCCAGAAGCAAAAGTACTCTTCTAGTACTCCCTTTTAGGAATAAGAGAGCCTCTCCCAGGAACCTCCCAGCAAATGTGCCCTTATGTGTCTGTTACAATTAGGTTAGATGCCTGTTCAGTGACTAATCACCTGCCAGAAGAGTGGGATTATTCTGGTTGGCTTAGACAGTTCAGGATCCACCCATGGACCTAAGTGGGGCCACCTATTTAGAATGGAGGAGGAGTATGTACCAAAACTCAAATCCGAATTCTGTTGGACAGGAAGAAGGAAAGAATAGACACGAATGGACAACAAATAATGACCTCATATACTTCAATAAATATTGTGGATTGAATAAGTGAATAAACAAAAAAAATGCATTCCCTTTATTTTTCTCCTTTTGCCTTATTTATTCCTAAATAGAGGGTAGCTAAAATATTCACTAATGTCAGAATAATGCTGGTCAGGATTTCAGATCATTCTTAACAATGTGTTGATGTGTTATGACTCTAAATATATTCATATCTCAGGGCAATGTTTTTCACAAATCTCTATATCATTTCTACAGTGGCATAGTTTCCTCTTAGTGGTCAAGCTAGTATAATCTAGATTTTAAAGAAAACTCATAATTAAAATTTTATATGTGAACTTTGATGAAATATTATAATAGTTAATATGCCTGTTAGAGTTTGCGATCTGAATAAGACTTTAATTTTTGATGGAGTATGAACACTTAGGCAGCTTAGCACCCAGTCAATTACTGATCAATAAGAAAACTCACATTAGCTTTTTTACTTATCCCATAACCACTCAGAAGCTGTTTTGGGTATGAAATCCTTTCAGTACTACACGGACTAAACCAGTCTCTTTCATAAAGAACAAATTAAGTGATAGTGATTTTAGAAATGTGAAAGGAAAATAAATCTCAGGATCCCAATAGCACTAAGCCAAAGGGAAAAATCAAACTAGGAACTACTTAGGGCAAACCTCCCTCACATTCTATTCCTAAAAAAGATAGCTACTAAGATAAAAAAGCTACACACCTCTCTCACAATTTGTCCAGAAGGAAATTCTTTGGGGACAAAGGACACACAGGACTCAAAGTCCTTCCTCTGCTCACTGAGATAGATGCATATCTGATTGCTTTCTTTGGAAAGGCTTATCAGGAGCTCAAAAGAATGCAGCCATTTGTCTTTTATCTACCCATGACCTGGAAGCCTCCTTCAGGTCACAGGTGGAAAATTGATCGATGTCTCCTCTCCCTAAAATGCATAAAACCAAGCTGTGCCTGGACCACCTTGGGCCCATGTTGTCAGGACCTCCTGAGGCTTTGTCACGGGCACATGTCCTTAACCTTGGCAAAATAAACTTTCTAAATTGATTGAGACCTGTCTCAGATATTTGGGGTTCACAGAAATAATATAGTTTGTTGCATGTAAATAATCAAGCACGAGAAAAAATTCAGCCTTTTGTTGTATTCCTTTCCTGCCCCACCCCTTCAAAAACAAAAGAAAGTAAAACAGTTGATGGTGCATGCGATCCCTTTCTAAGCGCAGGTGCATCTGCAAGTCCATTTTGTGAATATTCAATGAGTAGTTGGAAGTCAGATGATATCCATTCCCAGAAATATTCCAAAAAAATTATAAAATCCCTAATTATACCTCTCCCTTCTAGACATTGGTACATGCTCTTTCCCTCCAAACTGGACACCACTGAACACCATGGGAACACACAGTAAAAACAGATTAGTCACTTTTGCCATGCCTGATGATTTTCATCTTTTTCTAACAGAAGTCGCGCACTGTGACCGAGGACAAGTTTTGGCTGTGTGTGTGTGTGTGTGTGTGTCTGTCTGTCTGTGTGTGCGTGTATGTGTGTTTTTGAGATGGAGTCTCGCTCTGTCACCCAGGCTGGAATGCAGTGGCACAATCTCGGCTCACTGCAACCTCCACCTCCCGAGTTCAAGCAATTTTCTTCCTCTGCTTCGCGAGTAGCTGGGATTACAGGTACCCGCCACCACAACCAGCTAATTTTTGTATTTTTAGTAGAGACGGAGTTTCACCATGTTGGCCAGGCTGGTCTTGAACTGCTGACATTGTGATCCATTCGCCTCGGCCTCCCAAAGGGCTGGGATTACAGGCATGAGCCACCGTGCCCAGCCAGCAGTATGTTTTTTTAAAAGTGTTTTGAATTTGTATGCCCTAAAGTGGAGTGTGCACTTTCCATTCCAGCTGTTAGCTGCCTGGGCCTTGAAGGTATTTGTGTTTGTTCTCCTAGAAATTATTTCAAGCTTATGAGATTTATGCTTATAGTTAATACCAAAGCACTTTCATTTTCCATTTTCCACTTAGTTGGTGTTTAAAAAGACTAAGAATGAAATAAAATATTGAAATATTGTTATAAACATGGCTGTTTACAGATTCAGTGCTGAGATCTGGACTTACTACTTGACAGGCAGATGACTACTGAAAACTCAAATTATTTCTTTTGTCAGCTAGTGTTTGAAAGTCTACATTCAAAATGCTAAGATTGGGTTATCAATATACTGTATAATGAACAAATACAAGCTGTCGGAAGATGAATTTTTGAAAGTTGCAAACAACCTAGTCACTAGCTTACTGTAGTGATTGTCTGGGTTTGAATTTTAGTTCGGTCTTGCTCTTTTGCTTGGATAAAGCTTTGATTCCAACACTCAGGCCCTTACTGTGAGGGAGGGGTGGGAGAACACTGCCTCCTTAACCCTAGCCTTTAAGAGAAACTTCAACAGCCACACTTGGTGATCTTGAGACATGTTCCCTCATTTGGGGGCATGGTGGCCTGGTGCCTGACACTTCCTGAGGAAGTTAAATCAGCTTGGATAGTGTATTAGTCCATTTTCACACTGCTATAAAGAACTACCCAAGACTGGGTCATTTATAAAGAAAAGAGGTTTAATTAACTCACAGTTCCACATGGCTGGGAAGGCCTCAGGAAGCTTACAGTCATGGTGTAAGGCAAAGGGGAAGCAAGTCACCTCTTACATGGTGGCAGGTGAGAAAGAGCATGAAAGAGGAAGTGCCACTTTTAAAACCATCAGATCTCATGAGAACTCATTCACTATCATGAGAACAGCATGAGGGAAACTGCCCCCATGATCCAATCACCTCCCACCAGGTTCCTCCCCTGACACGTGGGGATTACGATTTCAGATGAGACTCAGGTGGAGACACAGAGCCAAACCATATCATTTTGCCTCTGTCCCCTCCCAAATCTCATGTCTTTCTCACATTTCAAAACATAGTCATGCCTTCCCAACAGTTCCCCAAAGTCTTCACTCATTCCAGCATTAACCCAAAAGTCCAAGTCCAAAGTCTCATTTGAGACAAGGCTAGTCCCTTCCACCTATGAACCTGTAAAATGAAGAGCAATTTAGTTATTTCCAAGATACAATGGAGGTACAGGCATTGGGTAAATGTTCTCATTCTAAATGAGAGAAATTGGCCAAAACAAAGGGTCACAGGCCTCATGCAATTCAGAAACCAGGTGGGGCAGTCAGTCAGTAAATCTTAAAACTCCAATATCTCTTTTGACTTCATGTCTCACATCCAGGGCATGCTGATGCAAAGGGTGGGCTCCTATGGCCTTGGGCAGCTCTGCCCCTGTGGTTTTTCAGGGTACAACCCCCACAGATGCTTTCATGAGCTGGCATTGAGTCCCTGTGGCTTTTCTAGGCACATGGTGCAAGTTGTCGGTGAAGCTACCATTCTGGGGTCTGGAGGATGATGGCCCTCTTCTCACAACTCCACTAGGCAGTGCCCCAGTGGGGACTCTGTGTGGGGG
Source organism: Homo sapiens (assembly GCF_000001405.40). Taxonomy (NCBI): domain Eukaryota; kingdom Metazoa; phylum Chordata; class Mammalia; order Primates; family Hominidae; genus Homo; species Homo sapiens. The sequence continues at coordinate 16,539,973 of NC_000007.14, read as the reverse complement.
CTCCAACCTCACATTTCCCCTCTGCATTGCCCTAGTGGAGGTTCTCCATAAGAGCTCCACCCTTGCAGCAGACTTCTGCCTAGACATTCAGGCATTTCCATATATCCTCTGAAATCTAGGTGGAGGTTTCCAAAGCTCAACAATTGTCTCTTCTGTGCACCTGCAGGCCCAACACCATGTGGAAGCTGCCAAGGCTTGGGGTTTGCACCCTCTGAAGCAACAGCTCAATCTGTACCTTGGCCCCTTTTAGCAGCTGGAGCTGGAGTGGCTGGGAAGCAGGGCATCAAGTCCTGAGGCTGCACAGAGCAGCGGGGCCCTGGGCCTTTGATGCCCTGAAGATCTCTTACATGCCCTGGAGACATTCTCCCCATTGTCTTGGCTATTAACATTTGGCTCCTCCTTACTTACACAAATTTCTGCGGCTGGCTTGAATTTCTCCCCAGAAAATGAGTTTTTCTTTTTTACCTAATGGTCAGGCTGCAAAATTTTCTAAGCTTTTATGTTCTGCTTCCTTTTAAATAAAAGTTTCAGTTTCAGATAATCTCTTTGTGAATGCATATGACTGAATGCTTTCGGAATCAGCCAGGTTATGTCTTGAACACTTTGCTGCTTAGAAATGTCTTCCACCAGATACCCTAAATAATTTTCTTAAGTTCAAAGTTCCACAGGTCTCTAGGGCAGGGGCACAATGCCACCAGTTTCTTTGCTAAAGCATAGCATGAGTGACCTTTACTCCAGTTTCCAATAAGTTCCTCATCTCCATCTGAGATCACCTCAGCCTGGACCTCATTGTCCATATCACTATCAGTATTGTGGTCAAAACCATTCAACAAGTCTCTAGGAAGTTCCAAACTTTCCCATGTCTTCCTGTCTTCTTCTGAGCCCTCCAAACTGTTCCACCAACCTCTGCCTGTTACTCAGTTCCAAAGTTACTTCCACATATTCAGGTTATCTTTGTAGCAGTATCCCACTCTGCCAGTGCCAATTCTCTGTATTCGTCCATTTTCACACTGCTATAAAGAACTCCCCAAGACTGGGTAATTTATAAAGAAGACAGGTTTAATTGACTCACCATTCCACATGGCTGGGGAGGCCTCAGGAAACTTACAGTCATGACAGAAGGTGAAGGGGAAGCAAGGCACATCTTACATGGTGGCAGGTAAGAAAGGGAGCAATGGAGGAAGTGCCACTTTAAAAACCATCAGATATTGTGGGAACTCACTCACTATCATGAGAACAACATGGAGGGAACCATCCCCATGATCCAGTCATCTCCCATCATGTCCGTCCTTCAACATGTGGAAATTACAATTTGAGATGAGATTCGGGTGGAGACACAGAGCCAAACCATATCTGGTAGCAACTGGGATGTACCAACCCTCTTGGCCTCTGATTGCAGGACAAAGATATGTGAGTCTGAGGACTAGGTACGTTGACCTGGGGCACTGTATAAGGGATTCTGCACGTGAGGGTGATTTGCCAAGGCCAAAAGACCCTCAGTTTTAAGTAACCCTGGGATAAAGGTGAGGTGAGCCAGGAGTGGCCAGTGAAGAGGAGTCAGTGTTGGAGAGGCCTAGCAGAGGAACTTCTGAATAAGCTATAACGGGAAGGATCAACTTTGAACATCTGTTAGTACTATAGGGTACAAAGCAAAGAACTTTGCTTCTCCCTTGCCTTTTTGCTACTACAACACCACCCCATTCCATACCAAACCTGGAGAAGGCTGAAGTGGAGATAAGAAGGAAGGAAAACAGCCAACCATGGCTTTCTAGTTAATAAAGAAGGCAGGTGGCCCTCTGCAGTCAGCCATAGCTGGATATAGATGGGGGCATATCTTATTTGTGATTGAAGATTGACAGTTGGCTATTATATTCTCATTTATGAACTGGGACTATGACTATGACTCAATGGGCTGTAAGATTTTGTATTACCTAAGAGAGATGAAAAAGGTTATGGGGCTGCCCAGGTTTTCTTTCAGGAGCCCAAGTAGGAATAGCTTCCACTAAGTGGATTTGATAGGACGTGGGAGACAAAAGTAAAATTGCAATTTGATAGCACCTCACAGATTGCCCTTATTCAATGTATCTCATGTGTGTATATGTGTATGTATACCAAATATATATATATGTACCAGATATATATGTTTTATATGGGTTTCTTAGCTCAATTTAAATTTTAAGCAAAAATTTTAATACTTTTAAAGATTAGCTCTATTAGGAATACAAAATTAAGATAGTAGTTTAATTTTAGTAATTGAAAGATAAAATAAAACACTACCTTGTTATGATGAAGCCATAAGTATTTTAATTTTTTAAACCTAGAAAGATCAATGACCTCTGTCAGTTCCCTGGAAAGAAAAAAAAAATGTGAACATTAGCAACAATTAGTTCACACATAGGTAAGTCTGGGCATGTAGTTAGTATGGCTTCGTAGTAACTAGAAAGGCCTCTCTTTGTCCTTTCAAAATTATTGGCACACTCACCTGCTTATTTCAGAAATTCCATCATTATAACTTCATTCACTTGGATTAAGATTTTGTCAGCTAGTTGAAGCTGATACTTGAAAGGGAGCACTTTATCACATTAGCAAAAATTTACACCTCATTATGGCTGAATTTATTGGAACCTTAATTCAAAACAAGTTTTACTGGGGAGAGGACAAAGGAAAAAAGTGAAGCTGATACTGTACTTTCAAGTAAATGTGGGAAATGTAGCTGGGTCCTGCTTCAATATTGTCTGTGGGGTTATTAGTGTGGGGCAATAACCTTGAAGTATTTGGCCAGACTGGACTCAGATGGAAATTGCAGGACACCAAGAGACAGACACTGTGTGAAGTGCTTTATTCTCCCTTTATTTATTAATTATAGGATTAAAATATTACCCACTTCTCTTGAACTGTGTGAGATTCCACCTATCCAAGTGGTCTTGGTTCTTGTTGCTAAGGCAGCTCACTCATCAAAGGGGCAGATGTGGGTTTGGGAGAGGGCACTGTCTGAGGATAGTTGGTCCATTTGATTGATGTGGCCTGGAGTAGTTGGATCTCTTATTTCTCAGGGCAGAAATTGTGGAACCCAAGTAAGTATACATGTACGTATCTGTTTATTTATCAAATGCTTATAGATCACGTATTGTGTGCCAGGTACTTTTCAAAGCATAAAAATATCAATATTTATTATTATTACAGATATTAATTCATTTATGGCAAAATTTTATCACAATTATTTTTAACCTTGGGACACTGAAGGACTAATATTTTTCTAATTTTTATAAAAACATACATTTTTTGAAAGCATGCAACCATTTCTAAACAAAATAAACCTTTTTTTTGCCAACTTTTTATATTGAAAAATGTCAAACCTGAGAAAAGAAGGAATAGTACAATGACCACTTGTATAACCATCGTAATTTTTAACATATTGTCACATGCTCATACTATCTATCTAATTTATATATTTATTGGTTGATAATTTTCTCGGTGAATCATTTGAAAATAAAGTTGCAGGCTTATTGCAGGTGTCTTAGCTTAAGGAGTTCAGCATGTGTATCTCCTATATCAGGGCATTGTCCTGTGCAACCACCATACCATCCTCACACCTAAGAAGATGAAATTGAATTCAGTAATGTAATCTAATATGCCATTCATGTTCAAATTTTTCCCTGTTGTTCCTACATTTTTTTTGGTTTGTTTAAATCCTGTATCCCATTAACATTCATGCATTGCATTTTGGGGTGGTATAACCTTTGAGTCTTTTTAAAGGTAATCATCTTCTTTCCTTTTTCTCCCTTAACATTAGTTTTTTTGGGCTGGGCATGGTGGCTCATGCCTGTAATCCCAGCACTTTGGGAGGCTGAGGTGGATGGATCACCTAAGGTCAGGAGTTTGAGACCAGCCTAGCCAACATGGTGAAACCCCGTCTCTACTAAAAATACAAAAATTAGCTGGGTGTGGTGGCACATGCCTGTAATCCCAGCTACTTAGGAGACTGAGGCAGGAGAATCACTTGAACCCAGGAGACAGAGGTTGCAGTGAGCCGAGATCGTGCCATGGCACTCCAGCCTGGGTGACAAGAGCAAAACTCCATCTCAAACAAACAAACAAAAAAACCAGAAAACATTAGCTTTTTGGAGAGTCCAGGATAATTGTCTGGTAGAATGTCTCACATTATTGATTTTTTGGATTGTTTCCTATTGATCAAATGCAAGGAAGATCACGTCTACTTCTCAATTACATGGGTGGTAATTACTGAATCACATAAGGATCCAAATGACGTCAGTCTGCCCCACTCTTGATGAAGCTAAATTCAGTCATTTGGTTAAGAGGGTATCTGCCAGTTCTTGCCACTGTAAAAGTACAAATTTTATAATTGGAAAGTCATACATGAGGCAAATATCTGAGATCATGTGTGTATCTTGCTCCCTGACAACTCTTTACTCAATAGCTTTAGCTTCAATTGATGATCCTTACCTGAGCCAATAGATTTGGGATTATAAAAAATGATTTTCCTAATGTTCTTATTCTTTTAACATTTATTAGCTGCTATTCTTCTGTAATGAACATCTGTTCCCTCCTCTTCTATCTCATTCATTCTCCTCCCCACCTTCCCTGAATTTTCAAGAGTTTTTTACTTAATCCTTTATCACTTAAAACAATTATCAAATTCTCCCTTATAAAAGACATTTCAAGCAGAATTGTGTGTCTCTTTGATATGTACCATTAGTTTTTGAGCACTTCCCTGGCACAACTAAGTATTTCAGACTCTTCCAAAACAACTTTTTTTTTCTTTTTTAGAAAGGGTTTGGCTCTGTTGCCCAGGCTGGAGTACAGTGGCTCCATCTCGGCTCACTGCAACCTCCACCTCCTAGGTTCATGCGATCCTCCCACCTCAGCCTCCTAAGTAGCTGGGACCACAGGTGCATGCCACCACACCTAGCTAATTTTTTGTAGAGACAGGGTTTCATATGTTGCCCAGGCTGGTCTCAAACTCCTGGGCTCAGGTGATCCACCTGTCTCAGCCTCTCAACGTGTTGGGATTATAGGCGTAAGCCACCACGTCTGGCCTCAAAGCAATTTTTAGTAGGAAATTTGCACAAATAATAATTCATTCTCCTCTCTCACTGTATATATGTAGCTTATTTCAGGGAAAGAGTACTTGGACCTTGGGGCACCCTAACTATTACATGGGGCGATAGTGAGAGTACATTAACTTCATCTGTTCCTATGATAAATAATAAAGAAATCATTACATGGCTACATCAGAGTATCTCATGCCCCACTCAGAGGATTTCCCATAAAAGTTATTTCATTTTATTTTATTATTTTATTTTATTTTTTGAGACTGAGTCTCGCTCTGTCACCCAGGCTGGAGTGCAGTGGCGCGAAAGTTGTTTTAATACACTAAAACTTTAAAGTATTAACTGTGTCAAGTTACTGTCATTAATTTTTTCTTGTAGCAGTAATATCAATGTTGAATTTTCATTGATTAGGTAATGTAATAAATTCATTTTCATTTTTCTTTTTTAAAATTTAATTTTTAAAAAACTTTTACGAGCCCACATCTGATATCATATAAATTCACTTTTCAAGGGTACTTTAACTCTTTCACGTCAGAAGGGTTTATTCTGCACATAAACCTGTCCTAAATCAATAATGGGCTGTTACATTATAAGGTGAGGCCAGTCAAAGGATAATGAGAGGTAATTCTACTAATGATGGCTATGACTCATGCTGACAATAATTATCAACATCTTGTTACAATGTATGTTCTCCATGATCACTCAAGAACACATCGATAAGATGCTTTCCATTTCCCAGAGTCAAGAGAAACTTGGTAAATAACTCAGTATACCAGTGTATTGGCATCTGGACTGGGAAATAGTTTTTGTCCACAGCTGGATGAAATGGTAACTTAGTGTCCTTAAAATGTAAAAGGTGTTATCCTTCTCACAAGGAGTCGATTAATTATCTACTGTCAGGTGATCAATATCTCAGATTTCTAGTATTTTAAAGCTACTCTTATTATCTACTTACTGTAGTGATCAATAGTATACAATTGTCAAAATCATGAAAGATGCAATCTTTTGACCACATGAAATATTTACTGTTATTTTAAAACTAACTGACCTATATCGAGAGGCTCAAAGCATGACCTTAAATGTGTCAGAATGCTCTACCATACCTGTTCCATACTAAAAAATATATTTTTAAACATTTCAAACTGGTTATCAATTTATTCCTTTACTACCAAGAGATTCAGAGCCATTACAAAGGTAAACACTTTTCTCTGTACTGATAAACATATTTATTTATAATAAAATAAATATGTTTAATAATAAAGGATTTCCCCAAATCACTAGAAATAAGTGATTAAATTTGTTGATAAACTAAGGCATTTTCTTTACAAGAAGCTGAGTTCCAAAGATTACATATGAGCAAAAATACGTCAAGCCTATTTAAAAATAATACACAGAATTCAGAGGCATTAAAAAGCACAAAGTAAGGGGGACAAAATGTAGGAATAGGGTCATTGTGCTTAAAATGCAAACTTCAGTGTCATTTATCGGCCAGTGAGAACTGTGGTATCAGAGTCTAATCTTATTTATAACTCCCTTTTCCTCTCATACCTGGGTTCTATCTCATTCTACTCTATAGAAAAACCCAATTTGTTGTCTGCCACCTTGGGGAGTTCGAGTGGAATCAAAGTGGTCTGTTGATATAAGAGAGGGATTTTTCTACTTACCAGTAAAACTGGTATGGGGATTGGTAGAGGTTGTAGTATAATGGAGTTCATTATCATAGTATGTGGTATAATGATTCCTAATAATAGTAATAATGTTAACCATACTAATACTCATTGAGTGCTTGCTGTGTACCAGTAACTTTGACTAACTTTTACTAACTCACCTAAGCTTCACAACAACCCTGAGAATGAGGTAGTATAATTATGCCCAGGGAATAGCGTTGCCAGATAAAATACAGGATATCGGGCTACATTTGAATTTCACGGAAACAGTGAATTTTCCAACTACTATGTGGGACATATTTATACTAACTAAAATTATATTCGTTGTTTCTATGAAATTCAAATTCAACTGGATGTCCTATATACTTATTTGTTAAATCTGACAATCCTAATAGTGAGGTTATATGACATACCCAAGATCACCCAGCTGGAAGAGACAGAGCTGGGATTCAAACAGCCTGTCTCCATAATTTTTTTTTTTTTAATCAATTTCAGTATCTTGTCTCTCCAATAGAAAACTGTGGATTCCAGGAAGTGGTAAAATAATTGGAGTCCTACCCAGTCCTTGAGGGGGAAAAATGGAAAATAACATTTGAATCTGTGAAACATTTTAACATGATCATGATAACATGATACTCTTTCATTTTTTATGTTAAGTACACTTACTTTTTAGAAAGGAACAGCTCAAAGACATCAGCATCCCTCCTGTGGCCACATATCTTTAGCTGATCTTCAACTGCCTGATAACATATAATTAATCTGTCAAACTACATTCCAATGAACAAAAGTGCTGAGGCACTTGCAGTCAGTAACAATAACGTCTACAAGAAGATCAAAAGAAAGGTGAATATGGAGGTAACCATTCTAAACTGATAAATTCCAAGGCTACAATTATATATTATTTACTCATTTTTGTGGTTGAATTTCATTATCCTTAATCCTGGGCACAGATGTTTAAATAATTTTTAATCAGAGAGAAAAAAATATGTATGTGTACGTATACACCAAAAGCAAGTTTTTTTTATTCTGTATGAGGCAAGGTAATTTGGTCTTTAAAGAACTATTTTTAAATGATTCTTTGAACATGAAGAATTAGTATTTCATAGGTTTCCTATAGAGAATTCATGCAGTATCAGGGTTGGAGGTGGAGAGAGTAGGATAAAATGTATGTTATTATAGGACATTCTTTTTTGTGCCTATCACATTATGCTTGGCACCCAGTAAATTCTCAGAAAATGTGAAATGAATGAATACATGTCATTTTTCTCTGAACAAATGAATAAATACATTTTCCCTTGCTTGGCAAGCAGCAGTGACTTCGTTTCTCATGAGTTGCTAACATACTCATGCTGTGAGAATTTTTGGTGGAGAAGCAGCTTTTATTCCCATAGCTCTGTTTTAAAAATAAAACTTTAGCAACAGCTATTTAAATGCTTTACTTTTTTTTCTTAAAGTCCTTTGCTAAATTATAAAATAATGTTAATAGGCCACATGACCTAAAATAATATGAAAAAAGTAAAGTCTGTCTGTAATTTTCCATGAGAAAGTAGAGCTCACAAGACATGACAAAAGTGAAAAGTATAATCTTTGCAATCCTGGAATCTGACAAACATTGTAATTATCAGAGTCAAAACAATCACCGAATTTTAGCTGGGATTTGTTATGAATGGTGAGGTTATAATGACTTATAAATCTTTCTGGGTGATATATGAAATTTTGACAGTGGTTTTGCTATTTGGTAGAGGACTTTAACAGGAGTTATATTTAGTGCAATGAACATATTTAAAGAAATGAGGAAGATAGGTACGCTAGTGATGGAGAGCAGCTGCAAATGTATAGTCCTGAACTTCCCTTGATGCCTTGTTAATAAGCAAGCTGAATCTAGGGGCTTGGAGCATTCATAGGCTCAGGTTTAGGCATTGCCATCAGGGTGCTTTGTTATCCAGTTACACAAGCCGACCTGGGGCTTGGAAAAACCCATTGGATCAGGCTTAGACATTGTCATCTGGGTTTTGTTTTTTTTGTTTGTTTTTGTTTTTCTTTTTTTTTTTTTTGAGAGAGTTTTGCTCTGTTGCCCAGGCTGGAGTACAGTGGTGTGATTTCAGCTCACTGCAACCTCTGCCTCCCAGGTTCAAGCAATTCTCCTGCCTCCCAAGTAGCTGGGACTACAGGTGCACGCTGCCACACCTGAATAATTTTTTGTAGAGATGGGGTTTCACCATGTTGGCCAGGCTGGTCTCAAACTCCTGAGTTCAGGCAATCTGCCTGCCCTGGCCTCCCAAAGTGCTAGGATTACAGGAGTGAGCCATTGTGCCCAGCCCTCATCTGGGTATTTTAACTTAAAGATGTCAACTATCAGCCTCTACTACGTACAGTCAGTCACATCTTTGCATAGTGTTTGGGGTGGTTATAGCCCAGCCAAAGAAGAATTAAAACTTGGCAGCCATCTGTTAAAATTATAAATGTGCTTTTAAATTGATCCAGCCATTCTACCTCCAGGACTCAGAAACACACAGGTGCATACACCCAGACAAATGTGATTATCACTGCTTATTTCAGCATACATTTTCTGTGGTTGTGAAATAGTCCCCACTAATTGGAATGCAGGTTAAATTGACATGTGACATCACAATGGAATACTGTGAAGTAGTTTCAAAATATAGAGAAGTGGTCTGATGGTTAATTTTATATATAAATTTGACTGGACTAGGGGATGCCCAGAAGCTGGTAAAACATTATTTATGGGTGTGTTTCTGAGGATGTTTTTGGAAGAGATTAGCATTAGTATTAGTGGACTGAGTAAACAAGATCACCCTCGCCAACAGGGGTGGATATTATCCAATCCACTGAGGGCCCCAATAGAACAGAAAAACAGAGGAATGTGAATTCATGCTTGCTTCTGGAGTTAGGACATCCATCTTCTGCCTTCAGACATCAGCATTCCTAGTTCTCAGGTCTCTGGGCTTGGACTAAACTACATTACTGGCTCTCTCCTGGGCTCCAGATTGCAGACAGCAGATTGTGGGACTTCTCAGCCTCCGTAATCAAGTGAGTCAATTCCTCATAATAATAGTCTTTTTCTATATATCTCTATATATCCTATTGTTTTGTTTCTCCCGAGAACTCTAATAATACAGACAGATATCTAGACATCTAAAGATATCGAAAACATATTTATAAATAAAAAGTAATTGGCAGTATAATATGTGTAACAATATTTCTGTTAAAAGTCATATTTATATGAATACAAAATGCACACACTTCAAATTACTAGCAAAAGTCAACACTTGAGATCATGAGGGACTTTCACTTTCTAGGCAATATATATTTTTAGTGATGTTTTAGTATTTCACAATAACCACATATTAATTTGATAATCAGAAAGTAATGCATGTTTTAAAAATTTTAGCCATAGAATGAATATTTAAAAATTTAAATCAAATTTCAAAAAATGTGAGGTGAAAGGGAAATTGAATGTATCAGCATAATATGTAAATCACTATCATAATTATTTATTTACACAAGTTTTTATCACAGCATGTTTCTTTCCAATCAATAATTTTGCATGAATCCAGTACAAAATATTAATATCAAAGTGCCCAGAAACATGAAAATGTTCCAATTCACATTTCAGTGAATCCATGGTGGAACAATTCCAGTTCCCAGTGAACACACAGCTTCACTAGTACTATATGCCCTCATCTAAAGGAATTCAATTAAGTTTGCCATGTTATAGGGGCACAGTTCGTGGTCCCTTAAGCAATTACGATAGTAACATTAAAAAAACCCCAAAAAACAGTATCTGCAAGTACAATACAGTGAAGCACAGTAGAAATGAAGTACACCTGTACTGTTAGCCTGGACACGCTGGAAGATTTCAGGGCACAACCGACAGTCAGGCTGGGCCTTAAGAGGTGAGGTGAAATTAGAAATGGGATGTTGGTGGAAGAGGAGAGTAAGCGCACAAAACAGAAGAAGCAGAAGAATGTATAAGGTATGTGGGGCTGTACAGCCTTTGGCTGAAGTAAAAGGCATGTGGAAGGCAGTTGTGAGAAATAAATTAAGAAAGGTGGGTTGGGGTCATATTATTTATGTCAACTTTGAAATTTAGGCTCAGAAGTGTGTACTTAATCAGTGCCTGGAGAAAACTTCTTCAGGCCTTGAGAACTCTAACTTAACATCATTTAATTTTATATGATATATAAACACATGTATATGTACATATATATGAAATATATATTCTAAGTAACTGTATGGTAAAATTCATGTGAGAAAGTCTAATTCTGATTTTTCCCAGGATAACAATGTCAATGCTTTTACACAATATCCAATATCAAATTGTTTCAGAAACACTTTTCCTCCTTCTCTGTTAGTGCTCTTGCTTTGTTGGTACCCTGAAAGCACAGAACTAACTATTGGGTGATTCAGCATTATGCTCACTTCTGGGGCAATAGGAAGATATTACTGGATTTTTGAACTAGAAAAAACATGTGACAAAGCCAGGCTTCAGGAAGATGACTCTAGCAGTGATGTGTATGGGGGCCTGGTGTGCAGTGAGAACTGCAGACAGGAAGCAAGACTGCCTCTGGGAAACAAAGTCTGCCAGCTAATGAGCCTGCCCCCTCAGGGTGGGGGCAGGTGTGAGTGAGCAGTGAACAGATATGACATGGGGTGTGTTTAGGGAGAATGAATGGGAACTGGCAAGTAAATGGAGGCAGAGAATTAGCACGAGGGAAGTCACAGGTGATGATGATGATGATGTGATGACTTGATGAGAAAGATGATGGGAGGGAAGACAGATGCAGCTGAGAAATGCTGAAATTGAGGCCCTGGTGGAACAGACTGGTCAAGGCGCCCACCAGAAAGCTGCAAGGGTAAATGTGGAACTCATCAGAGATCTCATCAGGGCAGCTGTGCAGATCTGATAAGTCAGTTAACCAGAGGAGAGTGGGATCCAAGGAAGATCACGATGAAGTGTCTACATGGAGAGAAGGGAGAGGGAAACATGATGGAAAGGAGACAGAGGAGGATGATTGTCAAGTGAGGTAGAAGAAGAAAAGGACAGCAGGAGGCAGAGGAGCATTTGAAGAAGGTAGAATTTCAATCTACAACATTGTTTTGGCTGGTGGAGGATGTCACTCAGAAAAGGTACTGAATTTAGAGGCCTGAATTTCAGTAGCTTGAAGAGGGTGAAAAGTCGGATTTTAAATTAGTTGGTTAACCTAAAAGGAGAATAAAAAGAGTCCATCACAAAATTGGGATGTGAACAGTTCTAGCATGGGGAGAACAGCAGCTGCTTCTTCCACCACCCGATGCCTGAGGATCTAGAATCAAAGGGAAAAAAATGTTTGAAAATGGCAGGATTATTAAATCCTAGAAGAATAAGGTCAGTATTAAAACCTATAGAAGAAAATGCCCTCTCTGATGATAAATTCTTATACCTCCATGCAACACGCAGGCACAAGTTAGGACTTAGTGTGAAGAGCTTTCAATTCATTACAGAACTCTCGGCCTCGTTTAATCACAGCAGCCCCCCATCTTTGCAGATGAGTCAGAGAACTCCAGAAAGCCTTGCTAGGTCTTACCTGGCACAATTCTGAGATTTTTTTTTCCCCACCCAAATATCCAAATATTCTTTTAATCATTATCTTAACTGCTCTCGACTCTGCTTGTAGGGCTCATCAAATAACGTTTTCTCTTCAAGGTGTTGATTTGCCCTTGCTGGGAACAATATATTAGGGATACACACCCACACCCACATCCACACACACACACACACCCCTGTTGGAGAATCAAGACTGCGAAATTTACTTAATCTCCGTTTCACTTAATCTGCAAACCACTATAATTATATACGCAGCAGATGCTGAGTGGTAAAAGGTCAGTGTAAGTCTACTGGTGTGGACTGGGAAGTCCTCAAACCCCACCCAGGGGATTAGGACCTCTAGCCCAGGCAGAGATGCTGAGGGGGGTTCGCCACCGCTCGTAGCTGTTCACATCCCAATTTTGTGCTGGATTCTTTGTTCTCCTTTTATGTTAACCAATTAATTTGAAATCTGACCTATCTCCGTCTTCAGGCTACTGAAATTCCCCTCCAAATTCAGTACCTGCCTGGAGTCCTCAGGCAGGAGGTGGGGCCCTGGGGCAGGGGGCCAAAGGGGCTGATGGCTTGGGAAGGCAGGTGCCGCTTACCCGGCGACTGCTCTGTAGGGCAGTTTCGGATGCCCTCCGTAGGCGCCAGCATCGCAAGGTACGGGGCACGGGGTTCGGGTCCCAGGACATCAGGACACATGGGCGGCCGAAGCAGCGGTGATTAATCCGGCCTCGCCCGCCGGTGGCACCGAAGAGAGACTTGGCTTGGTGCACAGCTCGTTGTTCTGTTACCAACAGTTACCGCATTCCCGTTGACTAAAAGCCAGTCCACACTGGGAAATATTTGAAGCCAAACGCTGACTTTTGTGACGTTTGAGCGTGTGGCCCTGCAACACCCACCCTTGTGCCTCGGACACACGCGTGTTACCCCTGCTCATGGTGATGCGTCCGGTGGATGCCGGAGAGCGGGGGTCAGCTATGTCCGGGACCAGGAGGAGGTCAGAGCGCCTCAACGGCAGTCACCCAGTAATCATCACTTTGATTCGAGATATGAATATCAGGAAATTTAGGTTTCTGGAAATTAGACGTGTGTGTGTGTGGACCCCTGGCCTCATGTACGGGCTGGGGGTGAAGAGGTGCGCTGCAGAGTCGCTGTGGATCTTGACGCAAGAGGAAAAAAGACAGTACTACTGATCGTGTCTCTAAAAGTTTGAAATTTTGTTCATTATGCATGTTATTTGCATACATTTTGTTTTTTTTTTTTTAATATTGCATTAAGATATTTATTTTGAGGTCGGGTGCGGTGGCTCAAGCCTGTAATCCCAGTGTTTTGGGAGGCTGAAGCAGGTGGATCACCCAAGGTCAGGAGTTCTAGACCAGCCTGGCCCACATAGAGAAACCCTGTCTCTATTTTAAAAAAACACAAAAATTAGCCGGGCATGGTGGCATGCGCCTGTAATCCCAGCTATTTGGGAGGCTGAAGCAGGAGAATAGTTTGAACCTGGGAGGCAGAGGTTGCAGTGAGACAAGATCCAGCCATTGCACTCCAGCCTGGGTGACAGAAGGACACGCTGTCTCAAAAACAAACAAAAAAAAATATTTATTTTGAATGCTGAGTTTTTGGTGCTTCTTACATCTGGGTCCAAGGCCACTGCCTTACTTGCCTCATCATAGACCCACACCTGGGATGAAGGTGGGGGTGGTAGAATTAAGGCTCCTCAAGAGTCCAGGTGCACAGAAAAATGGAAGGAACTCTCTACTGACTTCATTGGCTAAGAACAAGTACATATTGTTTCAGTAGCTGAGAAATCCTTTCTCTGGCAGAAAATGGACAAATTGAGCCACTATTTGGCCAATCTTTCCAACCTTGTTTTTTGTTTTTGTTTTTTGAAATTTCTGTCTCCTGTAACTGTATTGGAACCTCTAGTATAGATTATCTTGTGACTTTATTTATATGAGGCTTGTTCCCTCTAGCTTGGGTAACTTTGGAGGCAGGATCCTGTTTAAGACATCTCTCTCTTCTGCCAGAGCTTAACGGACTGCGCTTAATTAATGTTGACTGGATTAAACGAGTTGGTTTCTTGGCTCCAAATTTGAACCTGAAATCTAGGAATCAAATGTAGCTTTCTGAAATGGGTCAAGCTACTTGCATTTAAAAAAAAATGCTGGTGTTGAAATGAAGCATTAAAAAATGTCTCAGTGGGGAAATCAAGTACACATTGTTTCAGTAGTTCTAATATGTATTTGGGGCTGAGGTGGGGGTAAAAGCTCTCCAAGTTATTGTGGAGGGATTAATCATCTAAGAACTATTGTTTAAGTAGTTTCTATCCTGGAAATAAAACTCAAATGAGAGAAATGGTCCACTGAGAAGGCATATATAATAATTCATTGGCTCATTTTTGCTGTTGATATGTGTTATAGCATTGCAGATATTATTCACGAATATGCTACATGAAAAAATGGAAATGCACAATACTTGTTCAGTTTTCTACATTACACAAATGTGACTTTATAACCATATGCAAAATAGTTTTAAAGAGCATCTTGCAGATGTAAACTAGTCACCAGTTAATTTCTACTAAAATCACATTAAAAATTTTTATTCTTATTTTTTTAGCATTTTACCCCATATTAAAAAGGTAATTTTGAAAAAAACCTTATTCTTAGGAAAGGAACTCAAAACTCACTTATTATAAGGTCTTAATGTGTTCCTTCTTCAAGAAAAAATTAACTGATCACGAAGGCTAAAATAAAGCAAATTTAATTATGGAATCTCAAGGATGGAGGTTAATGAAGGCACTTTTTGGACAAAAGCTCCTTCCCAGACATTCTCACATTGGTGACATGAAATTTTTACAAAAGAATTACTCCCAGTAGAGTGAGCAGAGAGAACTTTTACCTCCATGGGGTAAGATTATAGCCTGAGGAATCCAGCCTGAAATTTTTAAAATTCATGTAAAATATGCATTCTTCTTTACAATCAATCTTGTTTTAATATAAAAATAAAGCAGTTCCCCAAACTCTCCTCAAATCTTTGTGTAATATTTACATTGAAGCAAGACACCCTGTGTTTATCCTGTGGCTTTACCTCCCTGGCTTGCTGCCATTGCCCGCAGGGGTATGCATATCCCAGTTTGAAAGCTCTATCATATCATGTACATGGATTTGGATAAGAAGAAAGAACCCTCTGCTCCAAGTCAGGGCATGTGGGATTTAGTCTCAGCTCTGACATCAACTAGTTGTTGGCCACCTTCAAATCACTTAATGTCTCTGGGCCTCAGTTTCTTCAACAGTAAAAGCTGGAAGTTCAGTTCAAAAAATTTATTATTTGATTAACTCTCCTAGACAGGTTGTGTGTATTGTTTACAGAGTAAAAGATTCTTGTATTGATATAGAATAAGTTTTTAAGAACAAGTTTTCAGTGAAAAATGTGTGAGAAAAAAATTATGCATGTGATGGCTATCGTTAAAACTACATAATTTAAATAATTCTTTCTAATTTTGTCTTTAATAATTCCAGTTATCAATCTAGATATTGTTTTTCTAAGTGAGTGAAAAATATTTATTAGATACAATGATCATTATCACTCATTTTCTACTGTGTGAAATGAGCATAGAATAAACAATGTATCGGCCGCAATCAACATACATATTCTTATATCACATGTATAAAAAGATATATCTGGCCAGGCACAGTGGCTCATGCCTATAATCCCAGCATTTTGGGAAGCCAAGGCGGGAGAATCACTTGAGGCCAGGAGTTCAAGGCTGTGGTGAGCTATGATCACACACTTTACTCCAGCTTGGGCAACAGAGTGAGACCCCCATCTCTAAAAAAACAAATATTCAAAATTTATAAAAATACATGTTTTTATGATATTCGATGACCAAGCTATCAAAATTTTCATTATTATAATTTTAGGTAAAAGAACATCCCATTTTAATTGATAGCTACAATTCTTTTTTTTGTTTACATAAAATGCAAATAACAATGGAATATTGGGGGAAAATTCTCCAGGAGTCTCTCCTGTTACTGCACATAAGCAAAGGCACTAACTGCCTTTGGTAAGGACTACATTTTCAAGGATATTTGTATAGCAAACAGCCTTTGAAGATACAGTGTCTACCTACAGCCTTGGTAGATATAGCGTCTACCTTCAGAGCAAAAAGTAGGTGTTTTTTTTTTTTTTTTTTCAACTGAGCAGTATAATAAAGATAATGTCTCCCTCATTTATTATAAAGATAAGCTGAGGCAACTTACTGCCCAGTATAAAAGGTCTGGCTTCCTTAAGTTCAAATTTCCTCTTCTGTAACACAACCCACTCTATGTGCTCATATCACCTGGCCCATTTCACATCGCCCTCTGGAAATTGTGGGTAGGAGAACTGGTAGAAATACTAATATTCTATCTATGCTATTACCATGAGTAATAAGCTATCCTTTGTCTCTAAGCCAGAAATATCATCTTTTGCCAGCATCTGTGAAACTGTGGTAGGCTAACTTTTGCTTCTCTGTATATAGGTGGATTTTAAATGAGATTAAACCATGTAATTTGTTCCTCATCCTTCATTTTTCTCTTTACCATCTCATCAACCTCCATCTTTTCAAGTGAGTGTACATAGAATTACAAAATTGAATTGTGGCATTACGTTCCATTGTCATGTATCTTACATTTTACTTACTTACTACTCCATTGATGAACACTTGTGTTGTCCAGGTTTTTACTCTGACAAACAATGTTGTAACAAATGTCTTAGCATACCTGGATTACTATTCCAGTAGCTGAAATTCCTTCATGAGATTATTGGATCATATATGATAATGCCCCTTTCTGGATAGGGTATCTTTCTCTATTTGACATCAATTTTGTTGAACTTTCCAATCTAATTGGAGAAATTTTTAATGTCAATGTTTTGGTTTATATTTATTTAGGGAAGTTTATGATCTTTCCAAATCTTATTGGTCATTTGTATTTTTTTCTGTGACTTGTCTTTTATATTCATTGCTTAACTTTTAATATCCAAATGCCAATGAAAAGCACTGCAAGCTGGATCTATAAAGTGTTTGCCATTTATTTCTTGAAGTCACCAATGGGTAGCCTCAAGTCATCTTGCAGCATCCTGCAAAGCTGTCTTCTCTTTCCCTCCTCTTCCTTGCTAATGTCTGCTGCCCTTCAGACTATTGAAATAAACTTCATTTCTCTAAGCCCAAGTGTCCTCTGCTAGTCTCTAGGATCCATGCCCAGGATGCTATCACCTGATTTTCTAAGTATCAACTTTTTTGTTTTTGATTATTAGAGTGGTGGTGGGTTTTGAGCTGATAGGAGAAACACTGCTTTACTCCAACCCATGTGACATTTTGCCATCAAGGTTCTGAAGAAACACTGTTCACATGCAGTTTTTCTTAAGCTCTTTCAGGAAAGCAGCCACTTCCACTTCTTCCATATGCACCTCAACTCTTTCAAAATTTGCACACAATCTTCCAAATACCTACCTGTATAGGAACAGAAAGTGGTTCAGATTTGTAAACATTCCTACACTGTCTGGAAAAGCTAGATGCTGTTAGACACAACTTCAGCTTACCTAAAATGATAACAATAATAATAATTTTCAATTCCAAACCAGTACAGCTTCAGTGTGATTTCACATTTCCTCCCAAGAATAATGGGTCCCCATGTCTAAGCTCTGTCTATCCTCATAAACAGCCACCATTTGCTTATCCCTTGGGTCTAGGGGAACACATGCCCATCATTTCAGCGTAGGGTAAGATCTCCAGTGGGCACTCCTTCTCCTCCAGTGAGGAGGGCCAGAGCAGCCCTTCTAAATCATGGAGCCAAGGACAGAAACCTCTAGCCTGAAATTAGAGATGGAACAGAATGGAAAAGTCAGATAACTTACAGAAGTTAACTTCCGTTATGCCAGAAGCCACTGAAATTACAAAGCCTTTCCTCACTTCACTTAATTTAGACTTGGTGATAATTATTGACAATTATTCTCTGCCTAAACTGACAGAGAAGTCTTGTGAATGTTAGCAGGAATGTCACATATTATCACACATATGATACAAGAGTCAGGCATTTGAAGCATAAATACTCTAGAAATATATAGATACATGCATGCATAAATATATATGTGTATGTGCACACACATGCATGTGTGTGTATTTAAATGTGAGTGTATGTATGAGTAGGTATACATGATCATATACATGTATATGCATACATGTATGCATGTGCACGTGTGCACAACCTCAACAACGCCCTCAGTAATCTCTGCCTCCTGATTTTCACACTCCTGTGTGATCCTTTTTTCTTGCATGTGGGCTGGATTCTGTTCACATGTAATGGACAGAATACAAAGGATAGGATATAGCTTCTGAGATTAGGTGATAAAAAGACTGTGGTTTCTATCTTGAGCCCCTTCTCTTTGCTCTCTAGCCCATTCTGAGGAAAACCAGTGGCCATGTTTTAAGCTGACCTACAGGGAGACCCACATGGCAAGGTATTGAAGTCTCTGGCCAACAGCCAGAGAGGGCTTGTGGCTTGTCAATAGCCAGATGAGGCAGCTTGGAAGTGGATCTCCCCAAGGGGAACCTTGAGATAACCACAGTATTGCCCTGGATTGTAGCCTGGTGGGGGACTGACCGGAGGCACCCAGCCAAGCAACCCCCAAAGTCCTGACATTCAGAAAGGAGGATAATAAATATTGGTTGTTTTCAGCAGCTATGTTTTGAGATAATTGGCTATGTAGATATCTATATTATATATTATTAGTTATTATATATATATGCTACGTAAATTGAAATTACAAATATACATAAGACCCAAAAAAGACATCTCTCTGGTCAAACTCAGCTTTTCTTAAAATAATCCTTATCCTTGCTAGTCTATGTAGTAAAAATTTGACAAAATTTCTTACCCACCACTTTCTGGGTTACTATTTAAATCTAGAAAGACAGATTTACTCTTGGAATGCCATCTGCATGCAGCCTCCTGTTCAAACGTAAAAATAAATAATTTTTTTTGCCATAAGAGATAATTTAGCAAATATTTTTAATGTTAAATAATCTAAGTTGAATGTTGACTTAAAAAATCATTTGCCAGAATGTATACTATTACCAAGTCAATAAATATTTTTCTCAAAATAATAGATGCTGGAAAGGTTGTGGAGAAAAAGGAACACTTACACACGGTTGATGGGAGTGTAAATTAGTTCAACCATTGTGGAAGACAGTGTGGTGATTCCTCAAACAGCTAAAAACAGAACTACCATTTGACCCAGCAATGCTATTACTGCGTGTATACCCAGAGAAATAGAAACCATTCTACCATAAAGACACACACATGCAAATGTTCATTGCAGCACAATTCACAATAGCAAAGACATGGAATCAACATAAATGCCATTCAATGATAGATTAGATAAAGAAAATGTGGTACATATATACCATGGAATACTATGCAGCCATAAAAAAGAAAGAGATCATGTCTTTTGTCAGAACATGAATGGAGCTGGAAGCCATTATTCTTAGCAAACTAACATAGGAACAGAAAACAGAATACCGCATGTTCTCACTTATAAATGGGAGCTAAATGGTGAGAACTCATGAACACAAAGATGGGAAAAGCAGACACTGGGGCCTACTTCAGGGATGGAGAGTAGGAGGGAGAGGAGCAGAAAAAAAAATAACTATTGGGTACTAGGCTTTGTACCCGGGTGACGAAATAATCTGTACAACAAACCCCCATGACACGAGTTTACCTATATAACAAAGCTGCACTAAAAGTTAAAACAATAAAATATTTTTCTTACCTGTTTATGAAAAGCTTTGCAAATGTGCTACATACTTAAAAGACATGGGGACAGTGTAAAGCACAATCATTACGTGAAATATATCAATTTTTCTTGAGGTCAAACAGCTAGTCAGACTATCTCCAGATATTCCTTCCTTAATGATTATTCACAGGACTTTATTACTTTCTTTCTGGATTATCGTTAATTGTTTTTAAATTTCAATAGTCTTTTGGGTACAAGTGGTTTTTGTTCCATGGGTGAATCGTATAGCGGTGAAGTCTGAGATTTTAGTGCATCTGTCACCCAAGTAGTATACATCGTACTCAGTATGTAGTTTTTTTTTATCCCATACCCCACTCCCATCCTCTCCCTTCTGAATCTCCAAAGTTCATGATATCACTCTGTATGCCTTTGCGTACCCATAGCTTAGCTCCCACTTATAAATGAGAACATACGCTGTTTGGTTTTCCATTCCTGAGTTAGTTCACTTAGAATAATGACCTTCAGCTTCATCTAAGTTGCTGTGAAAGACATCATTTCATTCTTTTTTTTATGGCTGAGTAGTATTCCATGGTGTATATATACCACATTTTCTTTATCCACTCATTGGTCAATGGGCACTTAGGTTGGTTTCATATCTTTGCAATTATGAACTGTGCTGCAATAAACATACACGTGCAGATGTCTTTTTGATATGACTCCTTTTCCTTTGCATAGATACCCAGCAGTGGGATTTGCTGGATTGAATGGTAGATCTACTTTTAGTAGTAGATTATCTTGACTTGGGGGTAGCTTATTTTCTGGAGCTCATTGCCTTTTTATTCCTGTTCCAGTTCCCTTTTTCAAAATCTTTGCAAATCAATCATATTTTGCTACTTTAATTCCCTAAAAGCCATGGCTTCTAGATTTTCTATCAGCATATACTCTCACCAGAAGTTGAACCACTACAGATAGAAAAAGAAAGTTCCATTAACAATGTTTTTAACCAATGTAATATTTAAAGCTTCCAAATATAAGTATTTTTAAAGGTTATATTTTTCAAAGTCACAACAATGATTCTTCCTGTTTTGTCTCATGGAATAGATTGTCTTGGGATAAACAGTGGTCCCTACCTTCTATTTTTCCAAATAAATAAGTAGAAATGGTCTTGGGATTATACTACTAAAGGTTAATTTTCTTAAAAAGATAAAAGAAAGATTTTCATCTGCCAGAGTTTTATGTTAGTACTCAGACTGAGGTAGAAACAGGAGCACGAGGTTTCACATTAGGATGACTCGGATTGTTCTCCTTTAGGCTTGAAGTGCGCCCACCCACCCTTCTGTGAGAGACCCTGTTTTGAATACATAGACTGGATTGGCTGGGTTGTTTAGAACTGAGGATCCCAAAAAGAATAAAAGAGACTTGGAAAGAACTACTAGCTTTGTCATGAATGTTTGCCCCATCACTAATGTGAGTCCACAGGGAAGTTTTCTTTACTTAGGGTTCAGTCTATCATCTCCTGTCTGAGTGTTATTAATTTGTTCCGAGTTATTTTGACTCATTTTGATTATTCTGATAAATGAATTATTTGACTCATTTACTTGGTTATTTTGTCATTTAACCAAGTAAAGGTAATGCGGTTTTTCCTAAAAAAAAATATTGGGATGTTATCTGTGAACACATGGGTTTCACTATCTATTAACAGGTGGGTTTCTCTGATTCTTTTTAACTTCAGCATTTGAGGATACTGGGATTTTCTTCTCCATACTCCCATAATTTTTAAGGTAAATTTCAGAAAGAAGAATCAGCTTGGAAGTCATTTTCCTTGATGTCCTGGAATCGTTTTGCAGCTGATCTCTGTTAGCAGTGGCATTCAGGATTCTTGGTAGCAGAGTCTTTGTTGCTCTCATCTACAAGCTACAGTGGCAGGAAGAGACTACCAAACCAGTTCCAGGAAGCCTGGGTCACCATGTGTGGCCAGACATGGGCCATCAAGTGATTTAAAGTGTTCTAACTGTATGAAGAAACTATTTTAGATAACCTGGCACCCTTCATTTATTATTGATTTAGACAGGCAGGCAGTAAAATGGACTGAGTTCCTACCATAAACCACACACTCTGCCAGGCACTGGGGGATGTGAATAAGACCAGTCTCTAAGGAATGACCATTAGGAAGCAAATAGCCTGAGTACCCATAGCTTTAAACCTACCTTAATTGTATTTGGTCTGTTTGATATAGACTGGCAATCAAATGGATTATTATTATTTCCTCAGAGCCTGAAGTGTTTCAGTTGCCTTCATACATAATTCCAAACTATCTTCCTTGTGCTCCTTGTGGCCTTTATTCCTCTGCTACGTTCTAATTAATGATGTTTTCATTACCACCTTCACACACAAAGCAAATAGCAGAGTAAAGTTCAATAATCATTTTAATTAGAGGCAGTACATGTTGGAAAGTAGTTCAAAAGAAATCTTTTTCATAAAAAATGCAAAGGTATTGAGAGACTTTAGCAGAGCAAGTTCAAGGCTTCTAAAGTTTTAGAAAATAATTTTTGTTTCATAAATTCATCTGTAGTTATAACAAAGAAAGAAAATCTGTTTTCACACTTGCCAAGAACTTGACAATTTTTCATAAATTTGGATAGGTGAGACAGATTAGCAGCGAATGCAGGCTCTATCCAATTATTTACCATTTATCTAGTGTTCTGAATAATTCAGGAAGAAGTAGAAATGAAGTTGAAGGCCACCAGATCACCTAAAACTTGTGTAGGTGATGACTGTGGGTGGCTTTTGTTGGAATGCACTATTAAAAGTGGGCAGAGGGATAAGGAAAGAGAGTGAGAGACAGAGAATAGAACAAAAATGAAGAGAAGGAGGAGAAAGAGAGAAGAAGAAAAAAGGAACAGAAAAGAGGGTTGTAAAGAAGAGACAGAGTGAAGAGAGGAAATGAGAAGATAAGAGGATGAGAAGAGAAGGCAAGGGAAGAGAAAGGAAGTTTAATATAGAGAAGCAGTTGTGAGGGAAAGGAGGGAGAGAAATAAAAAGAAGGGTGGTTAGGAATTATGCTGCCTTTTGATCCCCCTTGTCTTTTGAAAAGAGAATGTCCTCTTTGGGGGCACTGTTTCATCCTCAATTCTGTGTCCCACTTAGGCTGACAAACATAATTTGCTATACTCCTGGCATTAAGGGTAGGCATGCAACCTTTGCCGGTCTAAGCAGAATAATCCCCCCCAGGTTTTTCAAATTGGAACTAAGGAGAAAGGAGCAGTCTATTATTTGCAGTGGAGCTCTGTGGCATAAGGCCTAAAATTAATATCATGTGTTGTTTTGACATGTGAAACAGAGAGGACCTCAAATGGCCTAATTGCAAGTTCCCCTTCCTGTGCTGCTCTTTTATTCTGTTGCCTATCCCTGAGTAGCAGGTTCTGCTTTCTGTCTGTATGAATTTACCTATTCTGGGCATTTTATATTAGTGTGATTATACAATATATGACCTTGTATGCCTATCTTCTTTCATTTGACAAAGTATTTTTGAGGTTCACATACATTGTCACATGTATTGGTACTTCATTCCTTTTCATGACTGAATAATATTCCATTGTATGAGTATATCAGATTTTGTTAATCTGCTCATCAGTTGGTGAACATTTGGGTTGTTTCTACCTTTCGCCTATTATGAATAGTGCTGCTAAGTACATTTGTTTACAAGTCTTCATTTAAATACCTATTTCTATTCTTTTAGGCATATATCTAAGAAACTGTTGAGTTGTATGCTAATTTTATGTTTAGCTTTTTGAGGAGCCCCCAAACTCTTTTCTACAGTGATGGCAATGTTTTACACTCTCACCAGCAATGTGTGAAGGTTCTAACTTCTCAGTTCCTCACCAACACTCATTGCAGTTTCAATTTGCATTTCTCTAGGGACTGATGATGTTGAGCATCTTTTCATTTGTTGGCCATTTACATATCTCCCTTGGAGAAATGTCTATTCAAGACCTTTACCCATTTTTTAGTTGAGTTGTCTTTTAGTTGTTGAGTTGGAAATGTGCTTTATAGATGCTTAATGGTAGACCCTTGTCAGATATGTGACTTGCAAATACTTTCTTCCATTCTACGGGTTGCTTTACAACCTGATGATTTTGTACAGATGTTTCTACTCTTTCTCTAATTAATGCTAATTCAAATTTCTTCTATATGTATTGTTATTCAGTATTCATTTTTCTATCTTATCCATATAATGAGAGGATTTGTTAACTGAGCCAATAAGAATAGGAACTACATGGCCCACCTCCCAGTCACAGTTTCTTGTCTAAAGGTGGGGACTGAAGTGGACCATAAAACTTGAGTCACAACTCTTGGTCAACCACACAAGCTAGGCCATTTAAAATCCTTCCCTAGAATGTTTCCATTGTCTTATCATTAAGCATGGGTCTTCCAGGTTCAGTAGTGCATGAGCCTAGAAGCTGCCATCAGCCATGCATCTTCCAGCATAGAAAGTGGATGGACAGTAGAAGAAAACTAAACTAATGCAGAGAGCAAGAGACGATCAGTTCTCATAGTATTTGAGTCCTTCGTTCTAGTTAGCTCCACACCTTTGTTTACTGTAGTTTAGTTATGCAAGTCAATATACTACCCTTTGGGTTGAAGCTGGTTTGCATTAGATTTTTCTACTTTAAATCGAGAGTCTGACCAAGTCAGTGATGTGGTAACATTATCTTGTGGAAGTAGCTTGCAATATCATTGCATTTTCAAATTTACATGTCATTTTTTGGGTCTATATTCTGCCCATATTGATTCTAATTTTTGTGGTAATACTTGCCCAGAGCTGGCATCTTTTGACCTTTTCCATCATATTAAGGACTAATAGAAAAATTGAAGTTATTTCTGGTGGAATTTTTTTTCCTCATTCTCTTTTTTAAAAATTTTTCATTAAAATTATTGGACAGCTGCCAAAAACTTGAAGAACAGCTGCATTTTGTGAATTAATTAAATGTCATAACCCTGTTTTCAGTTTCTATCAGTAACTGGAATGATATAAAAAGGCCATTTATTGAAAAGAATGTGTTGTATAATTTAATGTATGCTAGCTGTAGGTGGTCTAAAAATATTTTACTGCATTCCTACTTTTACTCATAAACTTTTAACATACTGTCACTAAAGTGTGAATACCATTAGACAAAAGGAAGTCAACTAAGAATTTATATGGCATTATTTTAAATAATCCTTTCTGTGTTTTCTAAGTCAGATTGTATAGTTAGCTAATCCATTTACCTATTGTAATATTAGGTGGTGAAAAATATCATGCATCCTGTCTTTGCTGTAATTACATACATTCCTTTTCAATTTCCTTTTGTTGACTTTTGTTATATTTTGTATCACAGCTTTAGTAACTAGGATGTCTCTTGGGGGAAGAAAATCCCTTATTTCCGATCTTTGTCATTTACAAATTAATGGCTCAAAGAATTACATGTGCACTTCCCTAATTGTTTGTCTTGGTGTGGCCCACAGTGAAAATTATTTCCACTATCAACTTTATGCTGTTCTCTGACATAATCTCTTGGTATTTTTATGTTTTCTCTAAAAGTTCAAGAATTGTCTGTCGGAAGTCGTTTGACAAGAAAATTTACCAAGAACATTATTAGACTGGTAAACTTGACAGTTGCTTTGCTAAGAAATTCTAGCTTCCCCAGCTTCAATTCTTCTTACCCTACAGCTGTTTTTTTTAATCTTGCCTCATTTTTTCATATATTATTCTTATTTGAACAAAATTCTTTTTATTAACTTCATTTTGTTACTTATATAAGGATCACACCTAAACTATATAGCTATGGTAGTAATAAGTTTATGCTTTGTATTAATTATGAACATTTAAGAAACTTCACTGGCTGGGCTCACGCCTGTAATCCCAGTACTTTGGGAGGCTGAGGTGGGCAGATCACGAGGTCAGGAAGTTGAGACCAGCCTGGCCAACATAGTGAAACCCCGTCTCTACTAAAAATACGAAAAAAAAAAAAAATTAGCTCAGTGTGGTGGCCTGCGCCTGTAATCCAAGCTACTCGGGAGGCTGAGGCAGGAGAATTGCTTGAACCCAGGAGGCGGAGGTTGCAGTGAGCCAAGATTGCGCCACTGCACACCAGCCCAGGCAACAGTGCAAGACTCTGTCTCAAAAAAAATAAATAAATAAAAATAAAGAAACTTCCTTTAAGCCAGGTTTGGGGCTCACACGTATAATCTCAGCACTTTGGGAGGTTGAGGTGGGTGGATCACCTGAGGTCAGGAGTTTGAGACCAGCCTGACCAATATGGTGAAACCCCATCTCTACTAAAAATAAAAAATAAAAATAAAAATAAAAAATTAGCCAGGCGTGGTGGGAGGTGCCTGTAGTCCCAGTTACTAGAGAGGCTGAGACAAGACAATTGCTTGAACCCGGGAGGCGGAGGTTGCAGTGAGCCAAGATTGTGCCACTGCACTCCAGCCTGAGTGACAGAGCAAGGCTCCTTTTCAAAAAAAAAAAAAAAAAAGAAAAAGAAAGAAACTTTATTTAACTGGTGGAATGACCCTGAGGCTCTTGTCTGTAGTCCCACATGAGACCCAATGGGAAATCGTAAAGCTGGGCTATGGCTTTCTCCCGGTTAAGAGGAAGCTTCCAAGCTCCGATTTCTACACTGTTTATCTGTAAATAATCCTACCTGTTGTTTCCAATAACCCAGAATATAAGTCTCTCCTATTTACCATGTGCAGAGCTGCTAGCAGACTCACTGGCAATGATATGCGCTAACTTTGGAGTAAAGGTATGTTACCAATTCAAATGTTTTTATTACAATATCAGAACACCAAGATCTACTTGTTTAAATAATAAAGGAGTGTCTTGCCTCCATTAGCAAGTAGTTTAAAGAGAGAGCAGTTTTAGGTTCCGTACAATCATGGCCAGAGCTCTAAATCTCTGCTGTTAATAGTTTTAAATCCTACACTCTTCTAAGTTGGCTCTCTTTTCAGGTTACCTTTCCGCATCACGACATAGCCATCACAGTTCCAGGATTCACATACTGACATGTCACCCTTGAGAGAAAGTAGAGGGCCTACATTCCATGGTCACCTTCTTAGGAGAGTCTGGGCTGTTATAACCAAATACCATAAACCTCGTGGATTATAAAAAATAGAATTTTATTTCCCACCGTTTTGGAAGCTGGAAGTCCGAGATGAGGGTGCCAACGTGATTGGGTTCTTGTGAGGGTCCTCTTGTGGGTTGCAGATGGCCACCTTCTTGTTGGATCCTCACATGGTGGAGAACAGAGAGAGTGCTCTCATGTTGCTTCTGAGAACCCTGAAAAGTTGAGACAGGTCTCAGTTAATTTAGAAAGTTTATTTTGCCAACATTGAGGATGAGCCGGTGACACAGCCTCAGGAAGTCCTGACGGCATGTGCCCATGGTAGTCAGGGCACAGCTTGGTTTCATACATTTAGGGAGACATCAATCGATATGCGTAAGAAGTACATTGGTTTGGTCTGGAAAGGCGGGACAACCTGAAGCAAAGGCAGGAAGTCTCGAAGCCCAGAGGGAGCTTCCAGGTCGCAGACAGGTGATACACAAATGCCTACATTCTTTTCAGTTTCTGATGAGCCTTTCCAAAGGAGGCAAATCAGATAAGCATCTATCTCAGTGAGCAGAGGTGTGACTTTGAATAGAATGGGAGGCAGGTTTGCCCTAAGCAGTTCCCAGCTTGAGTTTTCCTTAGTGATTTTGGGGGCCCAAGATATTTTCCTTTGGCACTTCTTGTAAGAGCACTAATCACACGCACAAAGGCTCCACCCTCATGACCTAATTATCTTCCACAGGCCCCACTTCCTAATGCCATTGTGTTGGGAGTTAGGATTTCAACATATGCATTTTGGGGGCACACAAATATCCAGCTCATCACAACTACATAGAACATGGAGTAATGTGTGCCCACGATGGTTAGCTATCCCTTTTCCCACACCCAGCACGGACCCTGCTTAGTTGTCATCACAGTGCCGTTGAGGTGTGTTCACCCCACTCTAAAGCGATGTTTGAAATCAGATGACAGCACTACACTTTATTATTATTTTTTTAATTAATTAAGGCATGGTGTCTCACCCTTGTGATCGTAGCACTTTGTAGGGCTGAGGGTATCCCCTTTCCATGGATACCCTCCTTACCTTTCTTGGGCTCAAACTTTTTACAACAATCCTGCCCCTGCATGAATACCCACACCCATCTCTCCCTGTGCCTGCTTAGCTTGCATTGCCAAGACATTCCCTTCTTGGTCTATACACCATGCCAGTTTCCTCTGCTAAGCTGATGCTGCCCTCATTCAGGTGGAGTCTGACAGTCCACACTCGTGTGCCTGGACCTCCCTCCTCACCCTGCTATACCCACCGGGATGCCCTGCTTCCACGTGAATGTTCTCCTCACCTGGCTTGAACTCTGACACTGCGCCTGTGCTCCTACTCACTTCCACTCACAGGGTTGCTCCCTGCACCGTGCTGAGGCCCTGAATCCCCAATGTGGACCCACTGCACAGACATTGTCTTCACTCAGCTTAGGCTCTAACATCTGTTCCCTTTTTCATGCCACTGAGACAGACCATTCACCCAACAAGTCTGTTTCATCAAGAGTTAAAACCTTGCTCAGATGCGATTTTTATAGGAGTCTATTTAAAGAAGCAAGTTGATACGGCAAATAGCTATGTACAAAGTAAAAACAACAACAACAATAAAAACCTATGAGATTTTTCCACTCACAGCGAATATAATGGGGTTGTCAGAATAGAAAGCTGTGATGCTGCATGCAGACTGTTGCTATAGTACCTAATACAGCTAATAAATTGTGTGGTTTTCATAAATAAACGTGTGTAGCTATTGCCCCCTTCCATCTTCCATCAGAAGTATCCGAAGTTACAATTGTCATTTTAACCTTTATAACTGTAGTGATACTTACCAATTGGAAAACATAAAAAATAAGAATCTGGCTCTGTTCTGCCAGAGATGAACTTGAAACAGAATAGTTACCTTTTTTAGAGTTAATGTCATGATCCGTCTGAGAAGTCCCTGTAATAATTGCATTGTTCTTGCCACCAGAAGGCCATTTAGAGTGGCAATAGCCCTTTTATATCGGTATATTATCTGCAAGATTTCCAACCTAGACTTATTTTACAGATGAGGAAACTGAAGGACAGAGAGTTAAGAAACTGGTCGAGGGTCACACAACTAGTAAGAGAGACAGGCAGTTACCGCCCCCCTCCGCCCCATTTGACCTGGCTTCCATGCTTTTATCCTCCATACTGTGTGCTGACCCTAGGTAAAAAAACAGAAACAAAAAACCTTATTACAGGATTATCTGTAACAGGAGAAAACCAGGAGAAACTAACCATAGATGAGAAAGACATTAATAATTCATCCTGTGGAATTTAACAGTCACCCTGTGCCTACCTGTCCACCCCAGGTAAATCCTGGGCACAGCCCAAGTCCATGGAGGATCCTCACTAGAAGGAAAAGCTCTAAGGGGTCCAAGAGACCCCTCAGGCATGAATGGTCTACTCAGAACATCCTGACCTGGTTTCTGTTTAATTCTCTTCAGGAGAAGTTTAAGGAAACTCCATCATGAGCTTGGAAGGTGGCTGTTTCTGGGATGTAGAAATGAGACAGCAGGAATGAGGCTCAGCTCTTGGTTTTGGGGGATGAGTGGCCAGGGCTAATCTGCCAGCCTTCTGCCTTTGAGTCTTGCACATGCAACTTTATTTAAGAAGCTATGTTTTCTTTATGACCACAAGAGGCAACCAACATCCAGAATGCAGAGCCCCCTAGGCAAGGCCACAAAACTAGAACTATTCCTGTGGTGATGGCTGCTTCTTTTTTTTTATACCAGTCACCATATGATGTCACTTGTCATCCTGTCTGTAATACTGGGCTTCCTTGCTGGATTCAAACCACACAATGGCCAGATTCTGCCCTTGTGCAGCTCAGACTCTGGGCTCAAGACTCTTGGGGGAAGACTCAGTTTGAACTCCAAGGGCACATCTCTCTAACTGATCACAAGGTCCAGCAGGTAGTTGGGAGGGTCCTGGGGCCTGGTGAAGGGGGAAGGACCTCATGCCTAGAGTCCCCATCGCTACACTCTGAGGGTGGCTCCAGGGTAGGAGAGAATACTGGGCTTTGTATCCTCTCCCATGGTGGCATGGTGATTATCCCCACCTGGTTTTATTTCTTCACAAAATCACCACCAGGTTTCAATGGTCTTGAGCATTTGTGTAGCGGAATCTGGCTATTTAGCAAATGTCAAAGACTTTTTGGGTAAGATTTGGTGACCTATGGAAGTTAGGACTTTGATGAAGTTAAAATAAAAAACTTTCATAAGGAAAATAGTCCTACTGGAATTTTGACCAGAAATGCATTCAATGTATAGATTTAAGGAAAATTCATGTCAACGTAAATGATTAAGACTTCCCATCCGGGTACAGGAGCACAAAATGTTGCTCTATTTATTGCAAGTCTATCTAATAAGGCAAGTCCATCTTCTTTGTACCTCCCCCAAATTTCTTTTTAAATTTCAAGGCTGACTTGGCTACTTGTGGTTAAAATGAAAGAATTTATACTTAATCTGAATTAGGATAAGACTCCTGGAGTGATTTGAGGAAGTGGTGACAGCATCATTTGAATGTAGTTGGTAAATCATTTAGCTATAAAAATTTCTTGCTTGGTGTTTTTTTAAAATTTGAATTTTTATGTGTACATAATAGGTGTATATATTTATAGGGTACAAGAGATGTTTTGATACAGGCATGCAATGCGTAATAATCACATCATGGAAGATGGGGTATCCATCCCCTCAAGCATTTATCCTTTGTGTTACAAACAATCCAATTATACTCTTTTAGTTATTTTTATTTATTTTATTCTATTATTTTTATTTTATTTATTTTAGACAGAGTCTTGCTCTATCCGGGCTACATATGGTGCAATTTTGGCTCACTGAAACCTCTCCCTCCTGGTTCAAGTGATTCTCCTGCCTCAGCCTCCCAAGTAGCTGGGATTACAGGCACCTGCCACCACACCCAGCTAATTTTTTATATTTTTAGTAGAGATGGGGTTTTACCATTTTGGCCAGGCTGGTCTTGAACTCCTGACTTCAGGTAATCTACTGCCTTGGCCTCCCAAAGTGCTGGGATTACAGGTGTGAGCCATTGTACCTGGCCTTTTAGTTATTTTTAAATGTATAATTAAATTATTATTGACTGTAGTCACCCGGTTGTGCTATCAAATATTAGGTTTTATTCATTCATTCTATTTTTTGGTACCCATTAACCTTCCCCGCCTCTCCCTCCCTCCCCCCACAACTATGCTTCCCAGCCTCTAGTACCATCTTCTTACTCTCTATCTCCATGGGTTGAATTGTTTTGATTTTTAGATCCTACAAATAAGTGAGAAAATGTGACATTTGTCTTTCTGTGTTTAGCTTCTTTCACTTAACATAATGGCTTCTAGTTCCATCCATGTTGTTGCAAATGCCTGAATCTCATTCTTTTTTATGGCTGAATAGTACTCCATTACATATAAGTACCACATTTCCTTTATCTATTCATCTGCTGATGGACACTTATGTTGCTTCCAAATCTTGGCTATTTGAACAAGTGCTGCAACAAACATGGGGGTGCATATATTTCTTCAGTATATTGGTTTGCTTTCTTTTGGGTATATATCTAGCAGTGGGATTGCTGGGTCATGTGATAGCTCTATTTTTGTTTTTTTGAGGAACCTGGAATCTGTTCTCCATAGTGATTGTACTAATTTACATTCCCATCAAAAGTGTACAAGTGTTCCCTTTTCTCCACATCCTCGCCAGCATTTGTTATTGCCTGACTTTTGGATAAAAGTCATTTTGACTGGGATGTGATAATATCTCATTGTAGTTTTAATTTGCATTTCTGTCACAATCAATGATGTTGAGTACCTTTTCATATGCCTGTTTGCCATTTGTACGTCTTCTTTTGGAAAATGTCTATTCAAATCTTTTGCCCATTTTAAAATCGGATTATTAGATTTTTTTCCTATGGAGTTGTTTGAGCTCCTTGTATATTCTGGTTATTAATACCATGTCTGACAGGTAGTTTGCAAATATTTTCTCCCATTCTGTGGGTTGTATTTTCACTTTGTTGATTGTTTCCTTTGCTGTGCGGAAGCATTTTAACTTGATGTGATCCCATTTGTCCACTTTTGGTTTGGTTGCCTATGCTTGTGGAGTATTGCTCAAGAAATCTTTGCCAGGCTGGTGTCCTGGAGAGTTTCCCCAACGTTTTCCTGTAGTAGTTTCACAATTTGAGATCTTAGATTTAATTTTTTAATCATTTTGACTTGATTTTTGTATATGGGAACAGATAGGGGTCTAGTTTCATTCTTCTGCATATGGATCTCAAGTTTTGCAAGCACCATTCATTGAAGAGACTGTTTCTTTCCCAGCGTATGTTCTTGGCACCTTTGTTGAAAATGCGTTCACTGTAGGTGTGTGGATTTGTTTATGGGCTCTCTATTCTGTTCCATTGTTACATGGTGATTTTTAACATCATGAATAGTAAGTAATCTATGAATACTTTTTAATATTAATATTAATAGTAATCATTCTGATAAATGATAACATTGTGCCTAGCTCTTTTCTTTTTGTCTGTGCTTACTTTTCACAAGTTTATTTACCCTAAAATATTTGTTTGAACTTTCCTAGGTTAAGCCATAGACATACATGTCAGAAAAAATTATTGCCCTCATGAAGATTACATTTTAGTGGGTAAAAAAATGTTATACAACATGGTATATCTTTATCCATAGATGTTTCCATAAAAAGCAAGAAAAACAAAAAGCTAACTTTTTCTCAATGAAGCATGGTACCATTCGAGCTGCTTGCCATATTTCTGGTCCTTCTCACTTTCTGGCACATAGTTAAGTTGTACTTCTTTGACTCCTTCTGGTTGAGCGGGACCAGGTGACTAGTTGTCACCAGTGAGTTGTAAATAGAAGTAAGTTGGGGCACTTTTGAGCTGGAGCATTTAAATGCCAGTGCAAGACCCTCCAGGACATTTTTATTGCTGTGACATGAAGCTGGACTGCCTTGGAGATGGTGGCTGCTTCATCAGGCTGGGCTCCTGAGTGACTACTGGAAAAAGAGGCCCTTTCCACCTTACCTACTCCCAATGGGCGTGGTCTGTGACTGTGACATTTTGTGGTTTTGCTCCTCTGAAATTTTGTGGGGGAGGCATTATTTGTTACTGCAACATGCTTCATTTTCTTTCTTTTTTTTTTTTGAGACGGAGTCTCGCTCTTATTGCCCAGGCTGGAGTGCAGTGGCGTGATCTCAGCTCACTGCAACCTCCACCTCCCAGGTTCAAGCTTCTCCTGCCTCAGCCTCCTGAGTAGCTGGGATTACAGGTGCCCGCCACCACACCCGGCTAATTTTTTACTTTTAGTAGAGATGGGGTTTCACCATGTTGGTCAGGCTGGTCTCGAACTCCCAACCTCAGGTGATCCTCCCACCTCAGCCCCTCAAGGGTTACAGGCGTGAACCACGCTGCCCAGCTGCTTCATTTTCTATTGTCAGTGGGAAAAATGGCATGGCTGGAGTATTGGAGTAAGCCTATGCTGACTGATACAACGTGCTTGAAAGAAAACAAAATAAACTACCTTTCTTTAGGACTTGTGAACAGCCAGCTACTAAATTATACTTGCACAGCACAAGTGGGCAGATGTAGCTTTGTGCAATATTCTTTGCACTAGAATTAATCGGAGCTATCTAGTACTTGTCTCTTCTTGCCTTTTCTACTTTCTATTCCTGATCATTGGTCCCCATTTCACTGCTATAGTTCTTGTTCCTTCTCTATCCAATGCTTGACATCTTTTCTTCATGTACTTTGTAATACTCTAGAATTGGATCTGGCATTGACTTTCTGTTATGAACACCACACATTTCTGATTTCAGTCTTCCTATGCTCCTTTTCCACATTAAACCAAGTGCAACATAAACATCTTCCTTGCATCCAAAATAGGTCATTCAGTCCAGATGGCTTGTTAATTTATTTGAAAAGTCTAAGGTAATGCTACTTTTTTTCAATGCATACTAATAGACTGGCTCTATCATTTTTAGCTTTATTATTTTATTAGTAAATGGCACTTTAGATACAATATAGCCCACTCCCTCTTCCTGATTTACATGAGTGGAGATTGTTGGATTGAAGTACCACTTAAGCAACCAGAGGTCTGAGAGATGTTATGGTAGCATTTTGTAATCTCTGCTACACAATAAAGTTAGTGAGGAGCTTCAAAAGATCCCAAAGCCCAGGCATCACCACAGCCAGTTGCAATGATATTGCTAAGGACAGGACCTTGGCAACAGTATTTGTTAAAGTCTCATAGTGGACTCTTAGGAGAGGCAGCTGAGATTGAGAATGACTCTTAGATGTGAGTTCTGGGTCAGATGAAGGCGGGTAACCAAAGTAACTAGCAGCAGTCAGACAGGAAGGAGAATGAAACCTAGGAGACAAAATTTCCCAGGTCTTCCCAGCAAGGACTAATCTGCTACAAATCCCATTGTTGATATGCATCATACTTGGGCTTAGACCCCCTTGAAGACCACCAGGCCTCTGTAATTTGTGTCAGCTTCTCCTTTTCTCTTCTGCTCTAGGCACAGCATTAAAGCTACTCCTAGGCTAGCAAATATTTAAAGTCAAAGCCAGGTAAATGGACTCATATTGTAAAGTCCAGTAAGAAAGAAATAAAGATTGTGAAGACACTGGAATGGAGTGTCTGGGGTTGGGAACTACAGCAGAGACAAGAGGGTTTTTCCCTCTTCCATTTTTTGGAAGCACACACACAATGAAGCAAGTAGGCTAGAAGGACCCAGCTCCTTTACTGGGGCAGAGCCATCTTCACACTGCTGGATGGTCCAAGCAGGGGAGAGATGGGAGATGGCATATGACATATTTTGATATAGAAACCAATACCTAAGCAAGTAATGAAAACAAACATCTAACAAAGTGCTTCTACATTTGTTTTTTTGAATAATAGATAATGATATATTACTATATACTTAGGCAAAGAATATTGTTCACTTCTGAGAAAAGAATCCAGTTTAATATCTCATTAAAAAGGTATATCTCAGGGAGAAGGCAACTTGAGTTCACCTTGATGTTATACCTTGATATTATTCTTCCCAAGCTACATTGGTTGTTAGGTGTAAATGTGTTATATATTAAAGATGTACAAATACAAAGGGGCTCTGTAGGCTGGTTCAACACCCACTTTTGTACTTTCTTTCTTTGCTCTTCTCCCCATAACTTCCCTTGTTTTTGCTCCCACCTTCTCTTTTTCCCCCTCATTTTTTCCTTGCCTTCTGCATTTCCTAGGTTCCCTGCCTTCCCTGGCCTCTCCCACCACCAGATCAGCCCACCTGGCAGCTCTCACGCTAGGCCCTCTCTGATTCCACTTCATCAATACCACCTCTTCTTGCGACTTGTATCTGTTCTTCAATTTCCAATCTTCGTCTCTGTTAGGAGGCTTTCCCTAAACTGTGTGACCTCATTTCCCTGCTGTCTCCATAAGACCACCCGCGAAGCTTGAAGCTGTGGCCAGATTTCTCTGGGACTCCTTGCAGTGACCTACCCAGTGAAGCTTTGTTTAACCATTCACAAGAAATGAGTCATTGAAGCCTTCCATGTTTGGGAAAAACTCCTGTTTGTCTAAGGAGGCCGACAGAGTAGCTGAATGCTATCTGAACTTGATGTCTACAAATCCTAATGGAGAGCTTCATTATTTCTTCTCCTTGATTTTCTAGCTTTAGATCTAATAGACCAGCTGCTTATTCTGTGTGCTCTAGCTGATGTCAAGAATCTGTCTGGGCCTGATGACCTTGATGCTTCATTTTCTATGTCTTGTCAGTGGGGAAAATAGCAAGGCTTTGGGTATTGGAGGTTGATGGTAGCTCCTGCATTTATTTCCTTCTGCTTCTCACCCTTTGTTGATATGGGACCTCTTGCTTCTCTGTGTTCAGTCTGCCATTTTATCTATTCCCCCTTAAATGAAGATTCTCACCTTAATGTTAGGGTTTGAGAAGGATGGACAAAGTACAGAACATCTCAGAATCTCTGGAGGTGAATAATAGTTTGGAAACTTTTCCATGATTATAATATTATTATATTGTACAAAAATAAACAAGCAAATCTTACTATTTTCTTTTTGTTAAGTTATGCTCCAGTGACTTAATATTGGTTAACTGCAAAACTTTTAAGATAACTTATTTTTCTCAAAACAGGGTTAATTGCACTACTGTTCAGTGAAAAATTCCTTACTGGATTCACATTTATTACAAAATAAATTACTGAATCCTTAATATGCAATTGAAGG
The DNA here is from genome assembly GCF_000001405.40 of Homo sapiens. Lineage (NCBI taxonomy): Eukaryota > Metazoa > Chordata > Mammalia > Primates > Hominidae > Homo > Homo sapiens. The sequence continues at coordinate 16,503,470 of NC_000007.14, read as the reverse complement.
AACCCCTTGACACACACATACACACACGCATATACACGGTAGGACTCCTACATAATTTTTCAACATTTTCCTATGTGCCAACTTATTTTTTTAAGTAAGTACAGCAGATATTTTAAAGCTTAAGGAAACTTTGCTTATTCTATTCTTTCTCCTCACATGCCTTCTTTATTATCACCAATCTTGATAACATTTTTTCTATTCTTTCTTATTTTAATGCAAAAATTCTAACATGTAAGGGCAGAGAGAATAATACATGGCTAATCTTGTTTTAGCTATCTATCCATATTTTTTTCCTGGAGTATTTTAAGACAAATCCCAAATGCCATATCGTTTTGCTTATAACTCTAAAAGATAAAGATAACTAAATACTAAATACTTGTATTAATCACCCAATATCATTTAATATTTATTTCATGCTCAAATTTTTTCAATTGCTTCAATAATGTCTTTTTACAATTGGTTTGTTTCGGTCAAGATGCAAACAAGGTCCATAATTAGGATTTGGTTAATGTGTTTCTTAAGTCTCTTTTCAACTACTTCCACTTACCACCCTATCCCATTTTAATGTCCTTTAGTTTTTGAATAAATCAGCTCATTGGTCCTGTATAATGTCCTATCTTCTGCATTTGGTTGCTTGATTCCTCATTACTACTTATTATGTCCTTTTTGCCTGTATTTTTGGTATATTGGGAGTTAGACCTCTTCAGAGGCTTGATTTGGATTCTAGCACAATTGTTTCAGGGAGGAATACTTTACAGATAGCCTTGCGTACTACATCATTCAGAAGACCCACAATGTCTTCTGTTCTTCTTTAGTGATATTGAAGCAAGATATTTCCCTGACCCCTTCGTAGGACTAGTGAAGGGGGTACCTCATTTACTAATCCCGCAGCTCTCAAGTCCTCGTGGGAGGGAACGTGCGAGCAAATGAGGTGGGAACTGTAGTGCGCAGGCGCTGGAACTGGCCGGCCACTTCCGCGCTGGCAGGGGCGAACTCCACTCACTCAGACCCGCTGCTCTCCACCCCTCGCTGGAGGGAGAACGCAGGTGAACAGCTGCGGGAGCTGGGGTGAGTGCTTTTGAGCCCCGGCAAGAGCAAACTTTGTGCTGGCCACGCGGCAGCATCTGGGGGGTGCTCGTGACCCCAGAAGCCCCAGAGGGAGTGGTACACCACTCTTTTACTTCAGCCATCCACGGACGGCTTAAGTGTTAACAGCTCAGTGGGCCCTCTGCCTTTTTGCGTGAGGTGGCTGCCTTCCACCAGCGAGGGCAAAGGGCAAGTGTGACAGCCTTTTGCATCCACACTCGTGGTTTCCGAGTTCTTGTCCAATGTCCAGGAGAAATGAGGTCACACGAAGGATGGTAACTGCGGAGGATTTTATTGCCAATAGAGGTGGTTCTCAGCGAGAAGGGGAGCTGAAAAGGGGACAGGGAGGGATGGTAATCTTCCCCTGAGATCCAGCTATCTCTGGCCAGATTATTCTCTGAGGTTATGCTGTCAAGCTGTCCCTTTAAAGTCAAGCTGCTTCTCTCCGACGTCCAGCTATAGTCTCTGACATCCAGCTGCTGCTTCTCTCTCTGCCGCTAAGTTCTGGGGTTTTTATAAGCACAGAATGGGGGGTGGGGCGGGCCATGGGTGGTTTTGGAAAAGGCAACATTCGAGCAGGAAAACAGGGATGTAACTTCTCACTTTGGGCCACGGTTTCAGTTTTTTTGGCTTGCAGGTAGGGCCCTGGCGGGGGCCCTCTTCTGCCCAGAATTTCCCTGCCTCCTGTCCCTATCAATATTAAGATTGATCTGTGGGCTGGTTGTGGTGGCTCACACCTGTAATCCCAGCACTTTGGGAGACCGAGACAGGAGGACCACCTGAGGTAAGGAGTTCGAGACCAGCCTGGCTAACATGGTGAAACCCCATCTCTGCTAAAAATACAAACAAAAATTAGCCGGGGTGGTGGCTCATGCTTGTAATCTCAGCTACTTGGGAGGCTGAGGCACAAGAATCTCTTGAACCGGGGAGGTGGAGGTTGCAGTAAGCTGAGATCTTGCCACTGCACTCCAGCCTGGGTGACAAAGCGAGACTGTCATACACACACACACACACACACACACACACACACACACACACACAAAAGATCAGTGCGTTCAAGAGATTTCAGCCTGATGATCTCATTATAACTTTTCCTATTAACCTTTCTTTCCCTTAAAGGTTTTAGCAGCCTTTGACGTTTGTCTAGTTCCTTTATTTTATTAGGGGTTGTACAATTGTGACTCTTCTTTCATTCTGCCTGCATTTATTAGCTATCATTTTCTAAGAATAACTTTCTCTTGTCTGTGATTTAACTACCCAGAAATACAGTTTGTATAGGAAAAAAGAACAAATGCTTTATTTTTTCCCTTTATGGATTTATTTTCAGAATTATAAGTTGGGACTTAACCAACCTCCAAGAAGACCAGTGAATTTTTGTTAAAGTTTTATTATAAATTCATAAATCCCTTCATGTTTGATGTGTTTTAATCCATTGCAGTCATTATTTTTAATCTGCTATCATTGTAATTCGAACCACAGCATATAAAGCCTGTCTAAATTTTCTTGTCTGGTGGGGATATAAAGCAACATAGCAAAGATTCTCAAGGTAACCTGTGTGTTAGCCTATGGGGAGTAAGCGGTGATGGTTTTATACTAACCAAAATGGGCCTAGATGTGGTAAAGAGGTATTGGTAAGGTTATAGTAAAAGACAATATACATATGGGTGCTCATTGTAAAATTCTTTCAGCTTTGCTATAAGTTTGAAATTTTGCAGTACATAATTGGAAAAACTAAAAAAAGAAACAATGTGGTTTTAAAAGGTGAGACTCCCTTGTGTGAACACATGGAAAGTTATAGCACCACACAGGGAAAAAGGGAGTTAAGGAATTTCTAGATTTTGTATATAAAAGGTGATATATATAGTATCTTTTTATTAGTGCAATAAAATTTTTAACAGTGGCACTCAGACATCTACAATTTCTGTTGACCTCTGATATGTAACATTTTTCTCAAATTAAATCAAGACTATTTAGCTATGTAGGGATAAAAGAATCTTGATTTGTTTGAGAAACACATTGGGAAAAGTTATGATGAACTTTAATGGAAAACACACTTGTATAGAAGCCTGGGCATAAGATTGAAATTGATCATCACGTTGTTTGTTTAGAAAAGAAAACATAACATTGAAAGAATATGTTGGAAGCATTGGATTTCTTCACATGAGAACACACACATTGAAAATGATGAGGCTTGGATAAAGCATAAATTAAGACTACTTTTTTTCTTTCCTTGAAAGTGTTGAGCTTTAAAAATATACATATATTATTGGATATACTAAAAGTTAGTTAGAATACTTCTGCATGGGGAATTCTTTTTGGAAAAAGATACAAAATAATAAAGACTTTAAAAAAATAATACTAATGACCAGACTTTGAAAATAATTCTACAAATGGCAAAATGAAATGACAGACAATTTACAGCAAGCCAAATATGCAGATTTGAGGTGGCAGCCTATCACTGCCAGCATGGGTGGTCTCCCATTTCCCAGAAGAGGGAAATAATGAGCTTCGTGATAAAGTCATGATGTACTCTGCACCCAAGGGGCCTTTGGGGCATGGAGGGAAAGGAAGAAAGGGGGGTAACTTTTTAAAAAGTCATAGACGGGGGTCAAAAATTAATATAGGAAACTTTGTAAAGTTATATAAACCAACCCATTTACCCCCAAGAAAAACCACACCTAAATTCTTCCAGAAAGATTACAATCTTTCCTATTTCTAAAGACCTCCTGAGAAGGAGTTTCCATGGCCTTGCTTTAGTATTTAACAAACTTCATTCTCAGGAATACTGTCGTTGGCTACATTAAATCCTCAGTGATACTGCCAAGACCTTTATTTGTTCTCATAATACTCTCATGGGGAAGGAGGATGGCTGAGGGAGCTGCTTCAAGAGCTCTCTGTCAGTCCCTCGTAGCTTCCCAACCCTACCCCACCCACATGCTCTTTTCTTTATATTTCTTATCTCAGTTTCCTTGTTTCTTTCTTTTTTTTTTCTTTTTGAGACTGAGTCTCGCTCTATTGCCCAGGCTGGAGTGCAGTGGCACAATCTCAGTTCACTGCAATCTCTGCCTCCCGGGTTCAAATGATTCTCCTGCCTCAGCCTCCTGAGTAGCTGGGATTACAGGCACCTGCCACCATGCCTGGCTAATTTTTGTATTTTTAGTAGAGATGGGGTTTCACCATGTTGGCCAGGCTGGTCTCAAACTCCTGACCTCAAATGATCCACCCACCTCAGCCTCCCAAAGTGCTGGGATTACAGGTGTGAGCCACTGCACCTGGCCCTCAGTTTCTTTAAGGCAGAGATTGCAAGTGCCTTTAGGGCTTAGGCAGATAATATACAAGTTGTAGAATTTAAGACTGCAGAGGGTGGTGGCAAAGTAAAGAACCCAATACTATTCTAAAGGCATTTGATTACATATTCATTACTCATTAAATGCACTGATTAGGCCAAGTTGAATCTGACTTTAGGCTGAATTCTGCTTGAAAGCTGCCTATTTCTAGCCTTTGCTTTATACCTTTCCTAAAAGAGTAAGGCAGATCACAAGGTGGCAGTTGCCTGTGTATACAAGTGAAAAACTAAGGCTTAGTTGAGCTCTGTTGAAAGATGGTTCTTGTCTGTATTCTCCAGTGCAATCAGCACTCTTATAATCACAACATAGTTTCTTCTGGATACTATATGTATCTATATTCTGTAGAATATATTAATATATACATTAAATGCAAGATGGCCCCAATGATCTTTGCCTCCCAGTATTCATAGCCTTGTGTGCTAACTCTGTGTGACTAGCAGAATACAATGGAAGTGATGGTGTGTTTCTTCTGACATTAGGTCATATAAGTCATTGCAACTTTCACCTTTGTTTCTTAAATCACTTGCTCTGGAGAAAGCTGGCAATCATGCTGAAAAGACACTCAAACAGCTCTGTGCAGAGCATCTGAGGCCTCCAATAAACTTGCCAGCCTAATGAGTGAGCCACCCTTGAAATGGAGCTTCTTGAACCAATCAAGCCTTCAGATGACTGCAAGACCAGTTAACGTCTGACTGCACCTACATGAGCGACTCCAAGTGAGAACTTGACACAAGAGCCCTTTCAGAGTTCTTGACCAGCAGAAACTTGAGACATAATGAGTGCTTGTTGTTTTAAGCCACTAAGTTTTAGGGGTGAATTATTTGGCAGCAGCAGATGACAAAACAGAATTGATAGATTGAGAGTTGCACATTCATGACTGCAGAGATCTGTCATTTTAACTAAAAAGATCAAACTTGGTGACCTGTTCCTTTCAGTATTTTTTTTTTTTTTTTTTTTAGCAATGGGAAAGGAGATGTGTGTTTCCTCAGGAATGCAGAGCCAGGATTCATACAGAAAATAGGTGATTTTTATATGGATACATGTAACATTAGTTTTTAATGGTAGTTCAACAGTAGCTAATATTGATTAAACTTAATGGTAGTTCAACAATAGCTTAATATTAATATTAGTTTTTAATGGTAGTTCAATAATAGGTATTATTAATTGAACTTTTACTATTTGGCAGCATTATGCTAAGAGCTTTACCTGCATTATCTTCATATGATTCTTATAGTGGCCCTACGAAGTAGCTGTTACTATATCTCATCAGTTCACTGCAAGAAAACTAAGGAGCTGTTGAAATAAGCTGATGTCTAAGCAGCTGTGATTTGAAAAAATGTTATAAAATTTCCCTGCTCCAAAATATCTTTACAAATCAGATATCATAGTTGCTTAAATTTCATGAATATGTGCCTTAAGCATTTTCAAAATTATCTCTAAACAGGGTACTCGGTCCATTAATGAGTGTATGTTTAGCAGGCGTGTTTTTCTGTCTCTCCTGGTGAAAGTTCTTGTCTAGTGGCCAGCCATGAAAGTGAGCCTCACAGATCTGGGACTGCGAGGAGCCCAGCTGTGGTACTACGAACTCCATACCTGTCTGCATGGAGGCCATGCTTCCCATAAGTGGTTCCTAGCCAGTGATGGAGTGGTAGGGTCACTTACCCAGCACAGTTCCTGCAGGCTGCTGGACTCCTGCGAAGGTGGATTCCCCCATGGCTCTGCTCATCTCTCAGATGAACAAGTTCTGGAGATCTAGCGTACAGCACAGTGACTATATCTAATAATACTGTATTGTGTACTTGAAATGTGATAAGAGTAGATTTTAAGTGTTCTCTACACACACACACACACACACAAATGGTAACTATAGGTGGTAACAGAAATGTTAATTAATTTGACTGTAGCAATCATTATATAATGTGTATACATATCAAATCATCATGTTGCACACCTTGAATATATATAATTTTTATTTGTCAATTAAATATTTTAAACTAAAACAACAATAAAAATGACACTTCTACCCTCCCTTTTCCTTTCCTCTCTCATTTACCTGTGATCAGGCTGCATCCTGGTTTGACCAGTCCCCACTCCCCTGCCCCTTCCCATCCCCTCCACAAAGGAGGAGATGTTGTCTGATATAGTTTGGCTGTGTCTCCATCCAAAGCTCATCTTGAATTGTAGTTCCATGAGCCCCACAGGTCATGGGAAGGACCCAGTGGAAGGCAACTGAATCATGGGGGTGGGTTTTTCCCATGGTGTTCTTGTGCTAGTGAGTAAGTCTCATGAGATCTGATGGTTTTATAAAGGGCAGTTCCCCTGCACATGGTTTCTTGCCTGCCACCCTGTAAAATGTGCCTTTGCTCCTACTTCACCTTCTGCCATGATTGTGAGGCTTCCCCAGCCATGTGGAACTGTGAGTGCATTAAACTTCTTTTTCCTTATAAATTACCCAGTCTTGGGTATTTCTTCATAGCAGTATGAAAATGGACTAATACATTGCCTTAATAAATCTCTTGCACAGCTAGTCCTGTCTTGGAACCTGCTTCTTAGAGGGCCTGGACTAACATACTCTGGTAGTGCATGAAGCATCTGTGATCACAGCGTGACAAGAAAATAGCACAAACAAACCTATGAGGACTTGAGAGAATTCAAAAGGTAAGTAACCTGTGATATAATTTGCTTAAGCAAAGCTGGCACTATACAGAATCAAATGAAAAGATTATTATGAGGAGATTGTGTGGAGAACTATTACTAACAATAGAAGTGCTGACTAGAAAAATGAAGATGCATAAGGATGAATATGTGTGGTGTTCTGACTGGTGTAGGTGGTAGATTTATTCTTTATTTAAAATAAAGAATACCCATGGGCAGCAGATGCTTTTGGTTCCCTGCTTCACCTCCCTTCAGGCCACCTCTGATTTTAGCTACAACAGGGGCAGCAAGGTCTGGGCAAGCTCGAACTCATGCTGACAGCACCCCGCCTCAAGCACGTGCCAGGAGTGCTATCTAAAATCCTAATTCAGGCCAGGCATGGTGGCTCATGCCGGTAATCCCAGCACTTTGGGAGGCCGAGGCGGGAGTTCTAGACCAGCCTGGCCAACATGGCAAAACCCCATCTCTATTAAAAATTCAAAAATTAGCCAGGTGGTGGTGCACGCCTGTAGTCCCAGCTACTTGGGAGGCTGAGGCAGGAGAATTGCTTGAACCCGGGAGACAGAGGTTGCGGTGAGCTGAGATCGCACCACTGCACTCCAGCCTGGGTGACAGAGTGAGACTCCGTCTCCAAAAAAATAAAATAAACATAAAATCCGAATTGAATCTGGTTTTGTATTTTACTGGCACTACTAGCCAGAGCTTTTTCTGAAGGCATAGGGGCCTCATCAGCCCTGCAGTGTGAGGGAGTAATTGTGCCCAGGGAACCCTGCATGCACTGAGGGAGGACAGTAGCTGTTCCTCAAGTAGAGAGTGTGGGCATGCTGTTTCTCAGAGGTTCTAGCAGCCTCACCCCTGCTGCCTACAGCAGCCACTGCCATAGTGCATGCCTGTGCTGGCCTGTTGCCTTCTTAACCTCCCCGGTCCTCCACTCCTGCTTCCTGTGAATGCCCTTTAAATAAATCTCATTTCGTATCATGAGATCTATGTTTAGGGGCCAAAATAAGACAATATATTTGTGGATAGAGGCAAGTGTCAGCAATCTCATTCCCCTAAAATAATTTTAAGTAGCCAGAAATTTGAAAAATGAGTTTAGTAATAAATGGTTACCTAATTACACAAAGATATGATTTCAGATTCTAAGTAAATAAAAACGTTAAGTCAATTTACTTTTTGGGAAGGGCCATTTTCCATATTTGACTGTAAACAAAATAAGCTGTTTGCTCATATTAGCTTATGGTAAAAACATTTTCTCATGAAAACAGTAAACCACTAGCGTGTATGAAGTGAGCAACTGAAGCTAATCAAATCTATTTTCTAGTGTGTATATACTTTAAAGGCAATAATAGTTTTGTTTAAGGAAGTAATGAAAACATAGTTTTTATATGGATATCTGTAGTAGATTTGGGGAGTTTGTGATTATTAATTCTCAAGTACTTCTGGTCATCAATATAAATATTGTGATAATATTCAAGAGTTACATTCATTTTTTGGCAGTATTTTGCATTTCGTCTACCACAGATTTCAAGTACCTTTAGACCCTGTGAGGTTCTGCATAAAATAATCAATCATTCCCTCTTGGCTGTTTGGCAGAGGCAGCCAATGACTTGTTCTGTCATGAACTGAATTAATATATATTCATGAAGCGTAGAGAAACACTTCATTGTTTCAGACTGTTTTGTTATTTTAGAATAAATCACAAAGGCAGCATCCCACTCATAGCTGGTAGAGAAATATTTGTCCTGTGATCCTCACCTTTATGGTTGTAATGTTTTAACTTGCACACAGTTTAGCCTACATAACTTTTTTTTTAAAAAAATAGTAAATTGCATGCTTTTAAAAAAGTACCGTGTCTCTGTTACCTTTTATCAGCAAAATTTGAAAACATTAAAAACTAAAATGACATGCGTCCCTAAGTCAGAATGATTTAATTTTCACAGACTGAGGGACTCATGGCAAAATGATGTACAGGTAAGTATTGTTCAAGCTCCCACATTCCATCAATCTCAACCTTTATGGTCCCTCATTTATTTGGGAAGAACTCTCAAGAATCAGTTGTAATTGCAAAATTTTTATCCTGCCAGGATATCTATGTGAACTTCCATAGGGCAACCATAGCATAAGCAGCATGAAAAAGACTTGTTGGGAAAGCTATTTTAGCACCTCTGATAAACAGAAAAAAAAAAGGTGATTATTCCTGTTTCAAGCTATCTAACTTTCTCACTTTGTCTGCCTTTTCTAATCAATGTTATCATGTGCTGGCAAAATCTTGTAAAATTCAGAAAGGTAAAATCCAGGGAAATGAAACCCAGGGACAGCAACTCCCCGAAATGTAAAAGCCATTGAACATTCTCTATCACCACCAAAGTGGTTCTCAGAAAAGGCAGTTTATTGGATCTTCCCTAAGAATTATGTTTTCAGCAACAATACTTAAACATTTACTGTCTCGGATTGTAACAATGGCTATTTGTTTAGGTGGCACTGTGCCTATTTAGAACTTAGTAAAATTCTTGCCATAGGGATCAACAATGTTTAGGAGGACAAACATTAACATAAACACGGCTCCACACGGAGTTGGAGTTAGATTTCTTGGGTTTGAATCCTGGCCCTGAATGCATTAGCTATTCAACTCAGACAATTTATTTGATTTTAACCCTAGGTTTTCTTGTCTGTAAATTATAGATAATAGTGTATACTTCACCATTATGGGAATATGTACTATCATACAGTAATAATCTATAAATTTTAGTTATTTTTATTATCAATCGGTGTGCTTAACTGCAAAAAATAGAACCCACCCCAGCTAGATTAAGCAGAAAAAGAATTTGTCAAAGGAACCAGGTGACTTATAAATCCTAGGGGTAGGAGGGACAGAGAGTCAGACTTAGCAATGACATAAAAAGGACAATGCCTAAGTCATATTGTAGAGGCTGCAGTGACAGAGACAGTGGAGCCCACACAAGAACTACATACACTGTGGGGCCCAGTGCAAAATGAAAATATGAGTCCACTTGTTCAAGTAGAATACTTCCATTGAAGGTACTAAAATATAAAGCTCTTTCCTTTCTTCTGCAGCCTTTCTCAACTTTTCACGAGTGTTTTTTCTTGCCATTTCATGTTGTTCTAAGTAAAGAAAAATTTTAAATTTATGAATTTTTAAATTAAAAAATTCGAGTATGAATTTTATCATTTTTCTTTATATCAGTTTTAAAGATGATATGTCAGTTTTAAATGGAAATATAAAAACATTTAATTACATACAGAATTACAGAAATTACCACAATTCATAGATTATAGCTTGTATGTGCGTATGCATTTTGTTCTTACAAGGAGAGTGTAAACACTGTACAAAACTAACCTAACTGCTTTCATTTCACTTCTTGATATATATGCTCATTCTGCCAACACTCTCTGCCTTTGGCATACTGGTGAGAAAGGAAGAACTACAAAGAAAAGTAGCTAGACTTGCCCAGTCTTTCCATTTCCTTCTGTGTCATCATTTTCAGTGTAAGTGGTTGGTAACACAGGAAGAAAAGATATGATATGATTGTTAGTGTTTCTTAGAAAGACATGGTATTGTTTTCTCTGTTGGAAGTAACTTCGGGTTTAAAAAGCAAAGTGTCAGCTTCCCCCCACTGCCATCCTACTTACTGAGTAACAGACATTACACGTTTACTTTGTACTTTGAGCCTCACTGAACTCCCATACATTGTGGGTTTACTGGAATGCTGTGCTCATGGGTCAGTAAATGTTATATGCAAATGGGCAGTAAGGAATGGGGGCGGATACACTCAGTGTGCAAATTATCACATTCAGCACAATCTGGTTGGGGTATGCCTTGGAAGATTTCATTTTTAACCAAGAAAGGCATATATTTACTGTCTGAATATGTCTTGCCCAAAAAGTAAATGCTAGTGTCCGAAAATGCACATATTTATTCTGCTTAAAGAAATATGTACAGGCTTCGTGAGACTACGTGGAAGAAATATATACTGTATATTAATTTGTCGTTGTCCTGTTAGGCATAAAGAGCCTCAGGATGAAAGTCATCTGATACAGCGTGTTGTATTATCATGATCCAGAATTTTAAAATGCCTATCGGCAAAATTCACAAAAGCTTAAGCCGTCTACGTTATCCCATAAAGTGAATTTGGTAGAGAGCTATACTTTGTCACTCAGTTCCTGAGAACCTTTTCTTGTGACCTATCATCAATATTCACCTTCAACGCACACTGATGGATCCAACAATATCAAGAAAGGCCTTTCCTCAAATAACTGGGGGCGAATGTATAAATTCCCTATGATAGACAGTGTGTTATGAATTTCTGAAGTTCATTTCAAACTCTTTTTTTATTCTATTTTAACTTTGTATTATTCTTATTGTTCTCTATCTTTAAAGACAGGTTTATTCTCACGAAAAACATGTTTCACTTTATCAGACGTTATCCAAATGACTTACGTGAAAAATTTCCTGGCTATAAGATTGTTCGTATATTCATCTATCTTTTTTGTTTTATTTTTGTTTGTAAAAGTAAAGGCCTTACATTCTGAATCTTATAAGAAAATTTAAATTACACAAGTCAGAAATACATAATTATTTTCATGATAGAAATAACATTGGTAAATTGGCTTCTATTTCTTCCTTAATATTTATTGATTCAGATGATTTGGATGAAATTATATGTATAGATAAATGAATATTGAGAGTCTTGTTACTTTTTTTGGATATGTTTTTCAGAATTCATGTAAGCAACTTATTGCTCAATAAATATTTATTTGAATGATGACTTTTGGACCATTCTAATGAATATGTTGGACCAAGTCATGATAGCTAATAGATTCAAGTAAAGAAACTTCACAAAACTTGATTTCCCATTTTGAGTTACTTGCGTTTTCAATTCAATTTTGAGAAGCATTATAAAAGGATTAGATCAACTATTTTAAGGAAAAAAGCAAGAAGCTTCCACTAGAGAAGTGGTTGTTAGGATTCTTTTCTGGACTGAATCATGAGGTTATTGAGCACAGCCTGGGGCAGAGTTCACTCATTCTTCCCTTTGTCCTTAGCAGTAAAATATTCAGCTGGGTTCATGGTGGCCCAGAACAAAGACTACATTTTCCAGACATTCTTACAGCTAGCTGTGGCTGTGGGGCTAGATTATTTTTTTTTAATGTGACTAAATTTTAAGTCCAACGATATGTTAGCACAAGTGATGTCTGCAATTCAGATTGTGTTACTCAAGTCAAGAGAATAAAAATTAACCTTAAACAAGTCACTGTGATTCTGGTTTTGCGTTGCATACAGCTAAACCTTCATTCTAAACCATTAAATTCCCACGATAGAATGTCTTTAGGGACAAAAATATGGTAAAGATTAGTTAATTTTGTAGTGAAATAAATTAGTGTAAGATGAGAATATTTTGTTTACATATATACATACATGCATGTATATATATGTGTGTGGGTGTCTGTATGTGTATTTGTATGAGTTATAATAGTTAAAGACCTTTCTTACAAAGTAATTTGCTTCAACTCTCCTTGGTTTTGGCACCCCAATTGCCTGAGGTATCAAGACCTTGCCTAGTTCAGTTCTGGCCTTCAGGACCACCTGGCTGGCACTCAAGCCCCCTGAAGGGGAATATTACATGTTTAGTATTGCGGTTGCTGCAGTCCCATATGTGGTGGAGACTGCAAACAACTGCAACAAAATGAGGCAGAGCATAATCAAAATAAAAGAGTGTGATACATAGCAAATATACTTCTTTCTCAGACTTGTGATCATAAAGCCAAACTGTCCTTTCCCGGATAGTATGAGATCTGCTCACTACAACTGATCTCTTCAATCTGTTACCATGCAGATTAGAAAAATGTGCCCCTTATCATCGGTTTGAAAATTGTCATAGGAACCTGCTTTTATTACAATGAGGCATTTCTTTGCTATCTACTGGAAAGATGTATGTATGTATGCATGTATATGTAGGTATGTATCTATCTATCTCTGCAGTATAAACGGTAACCCCTAGACTTGTTCAGTGTACTGCATGCACAACTGTACAAGGCAAGCTGTGTGTAACCACAGGTGGAAATTGTGAGTTAAGAAAAGTGATTTATGCGTCTCTTTAATTTGCACTAAAATTAGACAATTATAGAGGAGTGATTAAGTTTGGAACAACTTCTGACATAGAAGTTTCAAGCCATCACTACTACTAAAGAAACCTTACAGGCTTTTAGAAAGCAGTCACAAGATACTGAAGTGTTTGACAAATCAACAAATTGCTCAAGAGTATGCAAATATATGCTAGAGAACATACATAAGAAGAAACATGATTCGATGGAATTTGTGGCAAATAAAAGTTGGATGTCCATTAAAATGAAGTACAATTATGGTAGAGTCCAATTTTAATACAAGTAAGGACATGGAGGCTTGAGGCTAGGCTGAAGTGTTTACATAGAGATAGGAAAAAAATAAAAGAACGAGAAACATTAGCTTAAACATTCCACTCTGCTTGTACTTTATCAGCTATGGAAGTGGCATCCCAGTTTTCTTGAAAAAGAGAACACAAGGTTTCATTTTCCACTTAAATTAATCATGATTTGCACAAAGATCTCAAGACATATTATTGCATAAAGTTAAAAAATGGTTAATACAAATTACATGATCTTACATAGGATATGTAAACAATTCATGTATCTATACATAATGTATAAGATTTATTAAAAGATCTCTAGCCAAAGTTTTAACAGTAGTTACTTAGTGATTTAAAGTATTTTACTTATTTGCCTTTTCTATTTTTCTACAATAAATATATTTTGTTTTGGGATTTAAATAATTTGGGCTATAAAAAGACTACCAAGCAAAATGTCAGTGTGATCATGTATATTGGACCTCAATATTCTCCATTCCTAATGATATAACCAATAGGATACATAATTGGGAATTCTCTGTAATTCCTCATGCCTAGAAACTCTGAGAATTTCCTACTAAATACAAAGTCTGTTTAAAGAGACAGAAACAAATTTGGCAAAAGCAAACTCACAGCCTCTTTTATTTGGTTCAATATTTATTTTCGCCAACTCAGTGAGCAATATATTATTTTTATAATTAAAATACTCGAAGTAGGTTTTTTAGTTAAGAAAAGTTACAAAGTTTCAATATTGTTAAAAACTACATACAATCCAAATATCCATTAGGGTGCTAATTAAATAAATACAGCACAGATACATTATGAGATACAATATAGAACTTAAGGAGAATGAAGTTGACTTTCTTTACATGTTCTATAAAAATTATTCATAGTTGCTACCCCTGGAGAAGGAAGAGTATTTGGAAGGGAGTAAGGTGAAGGTGGAATTTAACTTTTGAGTATATAAGCTTCTTTTTGTTTGAATGGTATACAAAGAATATGCAGTCAGAAATTCCGCGTGGCATTTGTGTGTGTGTGTGTGTGATATATGTGACAAAAGTGTAAGAGAACTTGGGAAAGCACAGTTTGGTTATGTTGCCTGTGAAAAGTGTCTTTAGATTTTTTTCCCCTAGGTTTGACTCCTGGTTCAATAACTTGCTAGCTGTTGATAATGGGTAAGGTGCACACATTCTTTGAAAAGTGTCGTTTATAATGCAGCCTTGCAGGGTGGCTGCTAGGATTATAGATAATATCACCAGAGCATTGATGTGCTGTTGCCCGGTACATTAGAGGTACTCAATAGATTGCTGCTATTGTTATTGAAATTGCTCTCAGAATGTAGAAAGCTGGAATGAAATCGCTTTGATATATGAGGTTTATAATTTCATTATGTCAGGCAAAAGTTATAATAGAGAAAAACAAAGTTTGATAGAAAAAAATATAAACAATATTTTAAATAAGCGTATTTTGTAAGTGAATTCCCTGAAGTTACTGTTAAAATATGTTTTATGGACAGGTGCGGTGGGTCATGCCTGTAATCTCAGCACTTTAGGAGGCTGAGGCGGGTGGAT
Source organism: Homo sapiens (assembly GCF_000001405.40). Classification (NCBI taxonomy): domain Eukaryota; kingdom Metazoa; phylum Chordata; class Mammalia; order Primates; family Hominidae; genus Homo; species Homo sapiens. The sequence continues at coordinate 16,488,410 of NC_000007.14, read as the reverse complement.
CATGAGGTCAGGAGATCGAGACCATCCTGGCTAACACAGTGAAACCCTGTCTCTACTTAAAGAAAAAAAAAAAAAGGGCCGGGCATGGTGGCACGTGCCTGTAGTCCCAGCTACTCGGGAGGCTGAGGCAGGAAAATTGCTTGAATCCGGGAGGCGGAGGTTGCAGTGAGCTGAGATCACACCACTGCACTCCAGCCTGGGTGACAGAGCGAGACTCTGTCTCAAAAAAAAAAAAAAAAGTTTTATTACATAACATTATGGATCACATGGATGACATGACGAAAGAGTTCTATTTATAATGCAGAAACCAATAAAAACCAATATAAAAAAACCAGGAAAACTCTTTAAAAAATCTGTAAACCAGCCAGGCACGATGGCTCATGCCTGTAATCCCACCACTTTGGGAGGCTGAGGTGGGCAGATCACTTGAGGCCAGGAGTTCGAGACCAGCCTGGTCAACATGGCGAAACTCCATCTCTACTTAAAAAAAAAAAAAAATTAGCCGGGCCTAGTGGCAGGCACCTGTAATCTCAGCTACTCGGGAGGCTAAGGCACCAGAATTCCTTGAACCCGGGAGGCAGAGGATGCAGTGAGCCAAGATTGTGCCACTGCACTCCAGCCTGGGCGACAGAGCAAGACTGTCTCAAAAACAAATAAACAAACAAATCTGTAAAACTTATATAAAGCAAGGTTTGCTAAGAAATGTAAAAGAAGATGAATACGTTTAGAGACACTGTATTTCTAAATGGAAAAACTAAGTATTAAAAGAAAGTATCTTTTTAGATAGATAGGTTTGGCACTGTTTAAATTTGTCACAGTTTGAATTCTTCAAAGAAAGAGGTGGAGGTGGAATTTAGGATATAAGACATTGATTAGAGATCGACATCTGAGTAAAGAAGGGGGAAGTCACAGGATTGAGCGGAAGGAAAAGTGAAGTTGAGATGCAGACCCAGCAAAGCCTCGGCCAAACCAGCAAGGAGCTTGGGAACAGGTGTTGCCCACCAGAGTCATCCCAGGTCTACTGAAATGACTGATTCTCTTCACTACCACTTTGCACATTTACTCAAGGGAAGTGGCATTGGAAGTGCGTGACCCTGAAGGAGTCAACAGCTGGAAGTTGTCCATGTGCTCCCAGCAGCTGGGCAACAAGCCCTTCCTTGACGTGGCATCTGGGGGTGCATCTCTGTGTCTACCACGTTTTGGGGTGAACTTGACAACGTGATTTTAAAGTTCAACAAGAGGGATCAGTAAACAAGAAGAGCCAACACATTTTTGAAAAAGGAAAATATTGAGAAGGGATTTGTTCTGTCCATTGGTTTCTTTTTTCTTTTCTCCTTTTTTTTTTTTTTTTAATTTTACTTTAAGTTCTGGGATACATGTGCAGAACGTACAGGTTTGTTACATAGGTGTACATGTGCCATGGTGGTTTGCTGCACCCATCAACCTGTCATCTAGGTTTTTTGTTGTTCCTGGTTTTTTTTTTTTTTTTTTTGTGAGATGGAGTCTTGCTCTCTTGCTCTGTCGACCAGTGCAGTGGCACAATCTCGGCTCACTGCAGTCTCCACCTCCTGGGTTGAAGCAATTCTCCTGCCTCAGCCTCCCAAGTAGCTGGGATTACAGGCACATACCACCACCCCCAGCTAATTTTTGTATTTTTCGTAGAAACAGGGTTTCACCATGTTGTCCCGGCTGGTCTCGAACTCCTGACCTCAGGTGATCCACCCTCTTCTGCCTCCCAAAGTCCTGGTATTACAGGCGTGAGCCACCGCACCCAGGCCCGTCATGTAGGTTTTAAGCCCTGCATGCATTAGGTATTTGTCCTAATGCTTTCCCTCCCCTTGCCCCCCACTGCCTGACAGGCCCCAGTGTGTGATTTTCCCCTCCATGTGTCCATGTGTTCTCATTGTTCAACTCCCACTTATAAGTGAGAACATGCGCTGTTTGGTTTTCTGTTCCTGTGTTAGTTTGCTGAGAATTATGGTTTCCAGCTTCATCCATGTCCCTGCAAAGGACATGAACTCATTGTTTTTTATGGCTGCATAGTATTCCATGGTGTATATGTGCCACATTTTCTTTATCCAGTCTATCATTAATGGGCATTTGGGTTGGTTCCAAGTCTCTGCTATTGTAAATAGTGCAGCAATAAACATACATCTGCATATGTCTTTATTGTAGAATGATTTATAATCCTTTGGGTATATACCCAATAATGGGATTGCTGGCTCAAAAGGTATTTCTGGTTCCAGATCCTTGAGGAACCACTACACTGTCTTCCAAATGATTTAACTAATTTACAGTCCCACCAACAGTATAAAAGCATTCCTATTTCTCCACATCCGTTGTTTCCTGACTTTTCAATGATTGCCATTCTAACTGGTGTGAGGTGGTATCTCATTGTGGTTTTGATTCGCATTTCTCTAATGTGTTCTGTTCAGTGTTAAAACATGTTTTAAAAGCCTCAGTAAATCTCTGGTAGTACCATCACAGGAGTGGATTGAAAGTTCAGTGACACAGATGTGAAGGCCAGAAACAGCTTTCTGTACACGTAAACATTTAGTGCAGGATTGTGGGGCAACAGGTTTATTTATTTATTTAATGAGATATTGGGAAGATTAAGGCAGTGACACCAATCATGAACACTAGTGTACTGTCTGTTTCCTATACCCCATCCTCATGTGGCTGTCACCTTGCTGATAAGTAGGTTTGCTTAATTTTTTCTAAATAAAAAAACTAGATAATTTTGTGTCCCCTAAAAATACCCATAATTTGAAGCAATTACATTGCTGATGCTACTTCTCCTGGAATTAGGATATAACCCCAATTATTTAAGATTTATGGGAAGGCAAGTCCCATTTATGGGAATGGCAATTTACTCTGCTGTGACAGGCCTCTATAGGGAGTGTCACCAGTCGCTGTTAAGTCCAGTTAGTAAACCAAGAAAAAGCGTCTGCTCCTTTACTGTGGATCTTTACATTTACGTATATTTGGCTAATTAAGTCATAATCATAACATGTGTGAAGAAGAGTAGGAAAATGGAGATTAGTCTCTTATAAATCTGTAATTCTCCTGAAACTGAAATGTTAACTGACAAAAATCAGTGAGAAAAGGCCAGATGTTCAATAGGCTTTATTTTAATCTTGCTTAATCGTTTGGGAAATATAACAAAACAGATCATGACCTTGTACTCTATACCAAAAGAATTAAAATGTACATACATATTTATCTGACCCTGGTGACAGAGAAAGCCTTATACCTGTGAAACTATAGTCAGAAACCATAAAATGCATGATTGAGATATGTGATCATACATACCCATGCCCACACAGAGACATAGACAAACCTTATATGTAAAAAGGATACACAACTAAGCCTCAAAGCAAAGTCTAAGACAAAGGTTTATGTGTGAGTAGTTTATTTAGAAATATGATCCCAGACAGCAGGAGTGAGTCACCGAAGGAGGGAGATAGGTTAGCAGAAAAAGTTAACAAAAGGATGCATTGTTCAGTTGGCCACCCTCTGTGCGTCAGGTTACTCTAGCCCTAAGATGTTCTGCGAAGACTCAGAAGATCCACTTGAAGAAATAAAGAAGAAGCTCCATTGTTCCCAGGCCTTAATAGTCAATAGTGGCAGTGACCAAAGGATGTTGATTCCTCCATATTTTCAGGTTGCACCAATGAGTACAAGTGAATTTTGGGAGATATCCTACTGTGGGGTGAGATAAACCCCAGAGCAGAAAGCAGGAGGCTTGGGACAGGGGGCTTAAGCAGATGCACTCAGATTGCACCCAACCGAAACCAGGCAAAGCCAGGAGGAAGCTGAACATTACAGCAGTGGCTGGAATAAGAGGTGAGACTGGACTGGAGGACTAGGGGTGGGCACCAGCATACTCAATATAACAAACCAACAAAAAATTTTATAAGCATAATTAAGCAGCAAATCAAACTGAAAAATTATTTTCTATTTATGATAAAGCATTAATAACTCATAGGCAAAGACCTTTTACACATCCAGAGAAAGAATAAATATGATTTAAAGATGAAGAGGCAAATAAGAAAGAAAAAAAACTCATGATAAACATGAAAAATGATCCCATTCATTAACAATCTCAGAGATGAAAATTAAATATTTAACATATGTACTCTTCACCTACTCAACTGGCAACTCAGTTAAAAAATATTCTCAGTTTTGGGGTGGTTGAAACAAATGAGCACTTTCACATGTGGCTGAAGACTGTCTATTTTGGTATTTCTGAAGAACAGCTTGGCATTATTCACAAATGTGTTAAAATGAGCACATACAATAATCAAGAAGTAATTCTCTATCAAGTTTTTAGAACTCACAGAGAAATCAAAATGTGAAATTAAAATAATAGTGAATTTGCAGAGGAAATACAAATAGCTAATCAGTAAGTGAAAAACTAGCCAAATACAATAATGAGCAAATAAATGAAAATCTAAACATACAACATTTCTTATCTATTATTTATTTATTTTTTTATTTTTATTTTTTTTGAGATAGTGTCTCACTCTGTTAACCAGGCAAGAGTTCAGTGGAGTGATCACGGCTCACTGCAGCCTCAACCTCCCAGGCTCAATCGATGCTCCCACGTCAGCCTCTTGTTTAGCTGGGGCTACAGGCATGCGCCACTATGCCCAGCTAATTTCTGTATGTTTTTGTAGAAATATGGTGTCACTATGTTGCCCAGGCTGGTTTTGAATTCCTGGGCTCAAGCAATCCTCTGTCCTCATCCTCCAAAAGTGCTGAGATTACAGGCCTGAGCCATCTCACCAAGCCCCCAAATTTTTATCAACTAAAATTCTGGGATGTTTTCACACTGGCAATGCTAAATGCTGATAAGAGTGGGACTTACACACTGCAGGTATATGTGTACAGCAAGCACTGAAAACAGTTTGGCACCATGTATCAAGCATCATTACATCCATTTTAAGGAAAATAAATACAAATATTTATACACAAAGATCTTTGCTTAGGTGTAATTTAAATTATCAAGGGAAGAGAGGTAATTAAAAAGTCTATTTGAAACACAACTATGACATCAAAGTTTAAATGAAATACTAGAATCATTCCAAGTTAAGTCAGGAACAACATAAGATAACCCATCATTGCTGATAGATTTTAACATTGATGGAAAACTTTAACCAAAGGGATAAATAACAATATATGAGAGAAACAAAAATATAAATATTGAAAAGGAAAGAACAAAGTTATTATTATTGACAGATGATGTGATTACCACTAAACATTGAGATAACTGAAAAAGTATTAAAAATATTATTACTGTGGTCAGTAGAAAGTCAATTATTGAGTTCAAAAGCAGTTCAACAAACATTTGGAATATGTAATGTAAGAAAATCTGAATTCAGCAGCAAGCTAAAACACAAAATAGCTGTGATTAAACTTACGATGTATATACGATAAAAAGATGTACATACGATATACAGAAAGCTATGAAATTTGATTCAGTAAATGGAATAGTCTGGATATGGTGGCTCAAGCCTATAATCTCAGCACTTTGGGAGGTCGAGGCAGGCAGATCACCTGAGGTCACGAGTTCGAGACCAGCCTGACCAACATGGTGAAACTCTGTCTCTACAAAAATACAAAAATTAGCTGGGTGTCATGGCGGGTACCTGTAATCCCAGCTACTTGGGAGGCTGAGGCAGGGGAATCACTTGAACCTGGGAGGTGGAGATTGCAGTGAGCTGAGATCACACCACTGCACTCCAGCCTGGGCAACAGAGTAAGACTCTGTCTCAAAAAAAGAAAAATACACATAAATAAATAAATGGAATACATGAATAAAAATAATGGATAAAAAGAGTAAATATTGCCAAGGTTTTATTTAAACACTCTTCCTAATTAATCTTTCAATTCAATATCATGTCAACAAAATTTTCAATGATACACCTATGTAACAGTGGTTATCTCTCAGCATATAAAGATGATGTTTAAATTTACTTTGTCCTTAAGTATTTCTGAATTGTCCCATCTCAAAGATGTTATTTCCTTAGAAAAGTTACCATTTTCATGGGAACAGAACTTTGGCTCATTCCAGATTATTTGGAAATCTTAAAAATATTTTAAGTTCTGGTTCAGTTTACTAAACTTTAGTCTAAAACCACTGCTGAATAACTGCCATTTTCGTTTCCATACTAAAGATGTTTACCCTCTAGGATTTAGGCAATGTTTGAATTTCTGTTTGCAAAGTGAAGGGATTGAGCTCTCTGCCATAACGTTTGTAAATAATAATGGTTACTTAGAAACATCAAGCAAAAAAGAAGTGCTATTCAGGGGACAATTCTATTCATCCATTTGCTTATTAATTTAGTCAAGAAATATTGAGCACCGATTTTGTCCCAGGTAATTTCTTCTTCATGTGGGAACCAACACTAAACAAACTAAAGTCCCTCCTTCAGGAGTTTACATCTGGTAGAAGGTGTGAGGTGAGAAGAGACAAAACAAAGGGAACAAAGAAAAATGTGAATGGTGAGGTGTGCTATTTTAATTTAAGATGGCTTCATGAAAACCATTCAGATATAGTGACATTCGGACAACAGATATCCAAGGGAGGGATGTTTTGAGCAGAGTGATGCTGCTAGCGCAGAAGCCCTGGAATAACTGTATTTGTTTGTTTGTTTGTTTGTTTTTTGAGACAGGGTCTTGCTCTGTTGCCCAGGCTGGAGTGCAGTGGTGCAATCTAGGCTCACTGCAACTTCCACCTTCCAGTTTCAAGTGATTTTCATGCCTCAGCTTCCCAAGCAGCTGGGATTACAGGTGCCTGCAATGACACCTGGCTAATTGTTGTATTTTTAGTAGAGACGGGGTTTCACCATTTTGGTCAGGCTGGTCTCGAACTCCTGGCTTCAAGTGATCTGCCCAGCTCGGCCTCCCAAAGTGCTGGAATTACAGGCGTGAGCCACTGCGCCCAGCCCCTGGGATAACTGTACATCTGAGACAAAAGGAAGCCCAGCGTAGCTGGATAAGAGTGAGAAGAGGGGACAGTAGGAGGAGATGGGGACAAATAGGTAGCAAGGGACAAGATCACTCACAGTCTGTAGATTATGATAAGATGATGGAAAGCCACTGGAGGATGATGAATAAAGGAGTGATGCCTACAGGGTGGAAGCAGGTAAGAGGAAGTTTTCAAATTGACCAGTTAAAAGATAATGGTGTCTTGGACCAAGGTAGTAATGAAGATGGTGAGAAGTGTTTGGACCCTGGATATAATTTGAGGGGAGAGCTGATAATAGTTCTTGGTAGATTTAAGACATGTGTGACAGAAAGAGAGCCATCAGGGGTTTTTTGATGAAATCAATTTGATATGTATTCAATCATAATCATGGAAGGTATGAAGAAATTTCTCAAATACCTTTCTATTATTTTGAGAACAGGCTAGATGAGAAAGAGTAACTGATGCAACATTGTTGGCATATTAAGGTGAATAAAAGAATAATTTGTTTCTTTTTTGGAGAAATAGAATGCCATGTAAATATCTTATGTCCTCCCTGGCCCTCTTTCATCTCTGACTGGAGACCTATGATGTACAGTAAGCTTTACTTCTAATGACCTCCACAGTTTTTTCCCTCTTTTTCTCTTCTCCCTCTGGCTCTCCATTCCCCGTATTTTTCTTTCTTTCTTTCCCTTTATCCTTCTCCTTAGTTTTTCTTTCTTTATAATAGTCCTGATCGACAGAAGTAATGGCACAACCTCTGAGCTTTTTGTCCAGCACTGTTTTCAGTGCCAGATAGCTTCTCAGTGCTCCATAATGTGAACTGAAACATGGTCATTCTATGCTAAATATTTTGTCTTTAACTTTCTTCTACAGTTCCTCAGAATTATCTATTTAAGACCCCAAACTGGTCATGTCACATCTTTGCTCAAAATTCTTCTAAGGGACCACATTGACTTTAGAATAAAATTCAAACTTCTTTGGAGGGCAAAAAATGGTGATTTAAAATCTTGGTGTGCTTATCCATCCCTCCTCTTTTCTAGCTACTCCATGGAGGTCTTTCAAGACAAGCAAAGCATTTTTAATTTTCTCTAAAATTGGTCACGTTTTCTCTCACTGCCAGATCTGTGTGCACATACTATTTCTTCTGTCTCTTGAACACCCAACTTACTTCTTTTTGCCATCTGCCCGCTGCTATTATTCCCAATGCTGTGCTCAGCATTCACCTCTACTTGGAATCTGTTTGGCCCTCACCAAAAGGCTTTGGGTCCTACTTCTGTTTTCCCTTGACCCTGTTGTTAAAGCACTACAAAGCATTATCTGCTTAACTGACCGTCTCTGCCTTATGCAGTTTAGGGGAGGTAGTTTAGTTCCATAACTGCAGGGCAGGTCACAGTCTCTAGTACGTAAGAAGCACTCAATGTAAGTTAGTTCAAATGATGAGTAAATGAAGAGAAAAAAAGCATATTATGAATCCCACAGGGAAAAATCTTATTTCTTTGTCACTGATAAGGAAAACTCTTTTTTTTTAGATCGAACATGGAGGGGTTAGCGACGAAGATGAGGATTTAAGATATAAATTCTCGAAAGGCTGTAGGCCTTGTTTTGAATCATACGATGATTTCACTGGATCAAAGGGTGTTTGGCAAGCGGGAATCCTGAAACTGTGCCAACATTTCTGAGCTGATCTGCTCAGGAGTGAATAAATTTTAAGGAACTGTAATTATCATGTGCATTAGCCACCTTTATAATGGGAAAGGCAAAATAGCACTGAAACGGTGCTGTAAATGACAATATTTATGTGCTTAAGGGTTGTCTTTAAAGACTCAATCTTATAAAGATTTCATCTGCAGGGATACAAGCCTTTCAAGTGTTTCAGCCATGGACTTGTATGATATTTGGAGACAGAGTCACCCTCGGATGTGGCTGTGCACAGTTGTATTTTGTTTTGCTTAACTTCTGAAGCTAGCCGGATTCCTGGGACTACCAAGTACGGCAAAAAAACTAGCAGAACAGTTAGATGGTCACTAAACAGCTTGCATTATCCTGGCAGGAGTGGACTTTCTACAGCCTGTTTCAAGTTCTTTGGCTGTTTGTCAGAGAAGCCTGGCCTCCCCAGCACTGGTGGGCCGACAGCCCCCAAGTGCTATATAAACATGCTGGAGAATTAGGTTTGAAAGACCATATAAAGTGTGAGTTGACATCATAAAGTTCTAAGCTATAAGACATTTTAAGTATCCTTTTTTGTCTTTCCTTGTTGAAAACAATTTTAATCAATGCCTCTAAATTAGAGAATAATGGTTAAATTGTTTCCATGAGATTTTTAATTGAGTTAATCTTTTGCCAACTTTAAACAAGATTAAATCCTTCAATAAAGATTGTAAAAGTATCAATTAAAAGTAAAAGTGGCCGGGCGCGGTGGCTCAAGCCTGTAATCCCAGCGCTTTGGTAGGCCAAGGCGGGCGGATCATGAGATCAGGAGATCAAGACCATTCTGGCTAACATGGTGAAACCCCGTCTCTACTAAAAATGCAAAAAAATTAGCCAGGAGTGGTGGCGGACGCCTGTAGTTCCAGCTACTCGGGAGGCTGAGGCAGGAGAATGGCGTGAACCCGGGAGGCGGAGCTTGCAGTGAGCAGAGATGGCGCCACTGCACTCCAGCCTGGGCGACAGAGCGCGACTCCGTCTCAAAGGAAAAAAAAAAAAAAAAAAGTAAAAGCAAGGACAAACAAAAAAGTAAGAGTCTTAATGCAGGCATTACTTCTTCATAAAGCATTTTTTTCTCTTCATAAGAAATTATTAAATCTTGTCTCTTCATATGTGTTTCAGACATTGCTTGATGTCAGTGTGAAAACAAAGTGATCAAAGTGGTATAATAAATCTGACAAGCCTGGCACGGTGGCTCACTCCTGTAATCCCCCCTAACTTTAGGAGGCCAAGGTGGGAGGATCACTTGATGTCAGGGGTTCGAAACCAGCCTGGCCAACATGGGAAATCCCGTCTCTAATAAAAAAACAAAAATTAGCTGGGCGTGGTAGTGCAAGCCTGGAATCCCAGCTACTAGGAGGCTGAGGCATGAGAATCACCTGAACCCAGGAGGCAGAGGTTGCAGTGAACCAAGACTGCGCCACTGCATTCCAGTCTGGGTAACAGAATGAGACTGTCTCAAAAAAAAAAAAAAAATCTAACAACTTGAGACTCTAGTAAAGTTATGGTTTATTTTTGTTGAAATTCTTTTTTAAATAAAAGAATGGATAACCAAAAATTCCACAGGTAACTGTGTCAGCATAAAAGAACACCATTTCAAATGGGCATTTTCTCTTTCTCTCTTTCTTTCTGTCTTTTTGATGGAGTCTCACTCTGTCGCCCAGGCTGGAGTGCAGTGGTGTGATCTTGGCTCACTGCAGTCTCAGCCTCTTAGGTTCAAGTGATTCTCGTGCCTTAGCCTACTGAATAGCTGGGTTCACAGGCACACGCCACCATGCCTTGCTAATTTTTGTATTTTTAGTAGAGATGGGGTTTCACTATGTTGGCCAGGCTGGTCTCAAACTCCTGACCTCAAGTGATCCACCCCACTTGGCCTCCCAAAGTGCTGGGATTACAGATGTGAGCCACCGTGCCCGGCCCACATTTTCTCTTTAATAAATGTAAAAGATTTAGGCTCTTATGGATAAAATGTCTCCAAAATTAAAGTTTGACTTTAAGTATAAAGATATATTAAATAATCTTGGTATCTTGAAAATTGCAAATGTTTATGAAGATGGTATGAATTCCAGTCAAGAAGCTTAGATGTGCAAAATAAATTAACAAAAAACCGAAAACTTGAATTGCATTTCTTTATATTTTAAAATCAATTTCATTTAGAACCCTGACCCTTATTTTCCCCTTCCTCCTTTCCTAGCCACTCTCCAAGAACTTTACAAAGTTTTGTCCAGTAGGACCAAGGCACTGGGGAGGTCCCTACAGACAGTGATCATGAGCAATCATTCCCCATTGGTTACAGCCAAGGTGTCCACACCCAGTCTGCACAGTCCTTTCAGGTCCAGAGGTGCTGGAATTACATATCCTTCTGGGTCCTTGGAATCATCAAGGAATGTGCTTACCATGCCTTTCTGAAGCCTAGTCTTCTGTCTGGACACTGTCAGTAAACAGGCTTGGCTTCTGGTCTTTCATGAAGTGTGCATGCTCACCCCACTCTTCCACTCCCACTCTTTATCTCTCCCCACCTACTTGGATAAAGGAATGGAGAAAACAGGGGGATAACAACCTAATAGTTCAAAACTATTAGGTTTTGAAAATATCCCACCACATTTATAAAGAAGAAAACCTGAAAACACTCTAAATATTCATCAACAGAGAACTGGATAAATAGGCTATGGTACATCCATACAACTCATTCAATGAAGGGGTTAAGAAGAATGGGGTAAATCTGTATGTTCTGATATGGGAAAATACCCAATATAGATTATTAAGTGTAAAACGTAGTTGGAGAAGTTATATGTATAGCATGATCCAGTCCATATAAAAATGTAAAATATATATGTATGTGTACATTTATAAGCATGCATACATTTATAAGCATGTATAAGTATGTACACATTTATAAGCATGTTTAGGTATAAATGTATATGTACCTAAACATGCTTATAAATGCAGACAATATTGGAAAACATCACAAGAAATTCTTAAATGTGATTATCTCTGAAGAATGGCATTGGAAGAAGGATGAGAAGAGGTGGATTTTATCCTTCTACTGAGTAAACTATTTACATTTTTTACAACATGTACATGTTATTTTCCAAAATTTATATAATCTCAGTTTTAAAAAAGGTAGAAATCTGTACCAGTCTTTTTTATAACATAATCACTTTTGCATGTGTTCAATACATTTTTAAATAAGTTTATTGTTCAGTAATCTTTTTAATTTTCTTGTTATTGCTGTGGGAGCATGAAGAAGAATATTTGTTCAGAAAATTTGAAAATTTAAAGCAGTATTCTCTTTCAAGCCTCACAAATTAAATATTCTATGTTAAAAAATCTGCATTTTCCCCATTATCTTAATGTTTCATTTTATTATATTTTAAATTATTTTACTAACCATAAATATGTTTTGCAGTATGTTAGGGTTGGAAAAGTAAATCACACAATTGTATTGAGACTAAAAGAAATGTCGTCACATTATTTTAAATTACAGTACCTAATTCTCATAGATCCATACTCCACATGTTCAGAAAAGCTTCCTTTTGCTCCAGTTGCCCTTGTCTCTCTTTCTCATTGCTTGATTAATTAAGTCTATACATTTAAAAACACTTCAAGGAGCAGAATTTTGAATTATGGTGACAACATTTACAGGAAGGAATGGTGTTCTAGGCAGGAGGAACAATATATGCAGAGGCATGAAAGCATTACATAGAGTCATGAGTATGAGAAACTACTACTGAAGCACAAACTATAAGTAAGAGAGTGGCAAGAAATCAGAGTAGCTGGCTCATGAAGGTGTTTGTTTATTATGCAAGTAAAGGGAACAAACAATTTTTGAATGAGATGTTCAGATATGCATTTTTCAAAGATCATTCTGGTTCTCATTGCAGAGAGTACATTTTAGGATGATGAGACTGGGAAGGCAAGAGATGAGCTAAGAAGTTAGGACAGCAGTTCAGACAAATGATGAAAACTTGGACTAAGCCAATAGGTAAATGGGCAACATAAAAGGAAATTGGAGAAATGTGTATTACCTATGGTTTCATTAAAACACAGGGCATACATTTTATAAGCCTGTACAAATATATCTATACAATAGTTCATCCTACTTGAGAATTACTGAACGTAGGGTGTGAAATTTTAATATCTAGGAGCGTGATTAGGTGACTGTAGATATATAAAGGAAAGTCTTAAACCAGTATAATAGTTTTCTAAACCAAGGTCTATCATAATAATGTTGTAGAAAAGCATCCTCATGAAATTGCTTCAGTAGCTGGACAGATTCTTTTCTTTTATTTTTTTACATTCCGGGGTACATGTACAAGATGTGCAGGTTTGTTACATAGGTAAACGTGTGCCATGGTGGTCTGCTGCACCTACCAACCCATCACCTAGGTATTAAGCCCAGCATGCGTTAGGTCTTTTCCCTAATGCTCTCCCCACCCCGGACAAATTCTTGAGCTCTGTTTTGATATGGTTTGGCTGTGCCCCACCCAAATCTCATCTTGAATTCCCACATGTTGTGGGAGGGACCCAGTGGGAGGTAACTGAATTATGGGACAAGTCTTTCCTATGCTGTTCTTGTGATAGTGAATAAGTCTCACGAGATCTGATGTTTTTAAAAAGAGGAATGCCCCAGCACAAGCTCTCTGTCTTTGCCTGCTGCCATCCAAGTAAGAGGTGGCTTGCTCTTCCTTGCTTTCCACCATGATTGTGAGGCTTCCCCAGCCACGTGCAAATCCAATTAAACCTCTTTCTTTTGTAAATTGCCCAGTCTCGGGTATATCTTTATCAGCAGCATGAAAACAGACTACTACAGTTTCTAGTTGTCTCTTAGACACCTTCTCTTAGATTCCCATCAGCAACCTAACCTCGTCTTAACTCAGCCTACACTCATTATTGTCATCTTTCTCCTGACACTATAGTCTCCCATTCACTCAGGTTTAAAACATCATTTTCACATATGATTCCCTCTCCAATTACCTACCATTCTAAACTACACAGTATCTCTAATCTCTGTCCTAGCCTTTCCTCTCTCCTTCAAGTTCAAGATTGTATTCTTTTTCACCTGGGCTCTCACAATAATGTTTCCCCTGCTTGTGTTCTAATATAACCACACCTAAACCATCTTACACGTTGCAGGTGGATTAAGCGTCCCAAAAATAGTGTTGATGCTGTCCCTGTTTCAAATCTGTCAAGGCTAGTGGAAATTTCAATTATTAAAATTACTTTGGAAAACTCTTTGGTGTTATCTCCTAAAGTTGAACACACACACACCCTATATTGCATCCATTTCACAACTAGATATATATCAAACAAAAATGTATGACCACATACATAAAAGAAAGGTACAGGAGCATTTATAGAAGCATTATCCATAATAGCCTCAATTGGCATCAACGCAGTCTAGTAGACTGGATGAATAAAGTGTGGGGTGTTCATGCAATACAATACTACACAACAGTGAAAAAAAGTTAGCTTTTTTACATCAATTTCTAAAACAGTCAAAAGTAATAACTGGTGTCAGAAATCAGGAGAGTGGTTTATTTTAGGGAGAAGAAAGGAAGTAGTTACTAGAATGGGACAGGAGGGGAACTTCTGGATATTGGAAATTTTCTATATTTTTTTTTTTTTCGAGATGGAGTGTCGCTCTGTCTCCCAGGCTGGAGTGCAGTAGTGTGATCTCGGCTCACCACAACTTCCACCTCCTGGGTTCAAGCAGTTCCCCTGCCTCAGCCTCCTGAGTAGCTGGGATTACAGGCATGCACCACCACACCCGGCTAATTTTGTATTTTTATTAGAGACAGGGTTTTATCACATTGGCCAGGCTGGTCTCAAACTCCTAACCTCAGGTGACCCGCCCGCCTCAGCCTTCCAAAGTGCTGGGATTACAGGCGTGAGCCACTGTGCTCAGCTGATATTGGAAATTTTCTATCACTTGACCTGGGTGGAGGCTATACTCTGCTTTCCCTTTGGGAGAAGAAAAATAAAAGCACACATATACACGTATACATCCTTCAATAGCTCTCCATTATCTAACAAATAATGTCCAAACTTCTCAAATGCAAAGCAAATTGTAGTCAATAATCTGCTCCAACCTAACTTTCCAATCAATGGAGTCAAACTTCCTTCCTTCCCAATGCTGACCCCTTCAGTCCAGCTATGCTGTTGCTGTGAAACCCCCTATGACAGCAGTCCCCAATCTTTTTGGCACCGTGACCCCATTTTGGAAGATGATTTTTCCATGGATGGAGCTGGAGATGAGGATAGTTTCAAGATGAAACTCTTCCACCTCAGATCATCAAGCATTAGTTAGAGTCTTATAAGGAACATGCAACCTAGATCCCCCACACGTGCAGTTCACAGTAGCGTTCGTGCTCCTATTAGAATCTAATGCGCCTCTGATGTGACACGAGGAGGCGCTCAGGTGGTCATGCTCACTCCCTGGCCGCTCACCTCCTGCTGTGTGGTGCAGTTCCTAACAGGCCATGGATCAATACTGGTCCGTAGCCCAAGGGTTGGTGACCCCTGCCCTACACCACAGATTCCACCTGTATATAACTTGGAAGCAAATTATTTTACTTAAAAAAATGAAAATTGAAATTGAAAATTTCTGCAAGGACTTTTTTTTTCCAGGAAAGACTGTGGCATCGTTGGGCCAAATCCTACTAAATTCTTGGGTTTTCCAGCATCCTGACATACCAGGGAACTTCATACGTAAAGTCTCTAAGCCCAAGTATCTACCAGTGATGTAAGATCATAACTGACTTAGGCCTTGCCATGAAGCCTGCTGGTACTTGAATAAGGGACTCCTCAGGGAAGAGTGATGCAACACTGCATGTGGCCAGGGCTAGGAGCCCAATTTGACTGTGGGATGTCATTAAGTCTGGTGGACAATAATCAAAATCACAACGATCCAAGTATTTTACCTAAATCTGGATCAACGCTCACCTCTGAGCAAATCAGAAGTGGCTTCCAGAATTTCTAGTGAGTGATAGTACTACTGTAGGTAGTAATTTTCATGGTTCTCGGTGTCCATTTCTGTGAAACAAAGCATTAATCAGGACCGAGGGACACTGAGAGTATCCAGTCCCTAGGGAGAAATAAATATAGCAGAAGGAAATGGGTTAGGGTTTGGGCCTTGAGGGCAGAGCTTCAGGGCAGGGCTTCCATTTGATTCTGCAAACTGGAAGTATTTGGAGCACAGGCCCAGTTAAATAGACTAGGCAACCCTCATGGGGATCATGAGTCTAGGCCACAGTTATGAGGGCATGCGTGTATCCTATAACAGTTTACTTCAAACTTTAGCATACTTAAGAATCACTTGGAAAGCTTGTTAAAACGCAGATTCCTAGGCTCCAGCCCAAGGGATTCTGACTCAAGTCTGAGGTGAGGCCCAGAATTTGCATATCTAACAGGCTCCCAGTAGAAACATTGTTTTAGACCAATTATTAGGCTGGTGGGACAAAACTAATTCCAATCTGCATTCACCACTGGGGGCAGAATGTTTAATATGCTGCCAGCCTTTGTCAGATTTAGTTTAGGGACTGTTGGACTGAACGCACACAATGAGGGCATTGATTCCTACTGTGCAGTGTAATAAATGGAAGTAAAAAGGACAACTTCCTACTGGCGCTAGTTTGTGCAATCGGATGGAAGCCCTGTCCCTGCTGTCCTCACCTACTCCCTAGTGCTTGCTTGTGAAATTTCTGGGTGGGGGAGGTGCTGTTGGCATCTAGAGGGTACAGCCCAGGGACACTGCTAAACATCCCCCACAACAGAACTTTCCAGCCCGGAGGTCAATAGTGTGGAGACTGGAGGAACCCTATCTAGATCTCTGTCTATTGGATTTGAGATTTTTCACTTGGGTTTTCTATCAGGTTACACAGGGTATTGTAAGCTGGGTTCTCTAAATTAATGTTATTCATGGTGAGGCAGTTTATAATAAATGAAACATTATATTCAACAATTAAGACCAGCAAGCATTCAAACAAAATACAAATAAAGAGACAACTAATGAAGGTGATGAGGGAGAAAGAAAGAAAATTTTACAGGAAGAGTACGTTAAGGGGAGTTCCTTTAGTAAAATTCTAACCAGGAGCTTTCTGGAACAGGAAGAGAGGGTAGGCTTCATGTCTCATTCAGCTTTGCCTGGATGACACCGTATTTAAAAAGACTGGGCACAATACACGCTAGTATGAAATGAATGAAAGTGATTATTTCATTCTCGTTTTAAGGATTTTTATGAATAAAGATTCTATGGTAGTTTGTTGTGTTTTTTCTAAACTTATAATAGCTAATCACTTTTCCATTTAACAGGTGCTATCCTCTTAAGGGGAACTCTCAGAATAGTTTTAAGCCAGAGAGGAGCAGAAATAGTTTATTCTTGTATTCAGTAAATGCTTTTTGTTTATATATTCGGAAATCCCCTTTATCTGTGATATTGCTTTCCTTGGTTTCACTGAAGGGAAAATTCCAGAAATAAACAATTGATAAGTTTGAAATTCCACACAGTTCTGAGTAGCGCGATGAAATCTCATGCCATCTTTGCTCCATCTCACCAAGGGAGTGAATCTTCCCACTGTCCAGCATCTCCACGTTGTCTACACCACCTACTATTAGTCACTTAGTGACCGTCTAGGTTATCAGATCACCTGTTGGGCATCAAAGTGCTGTGTGCTCAAGGAACTCTTATTTTACTTCATAACGGCCCCAAAGCACAAGAGTAGTGATGCTGGCAATTCGGGTTTTCCAAAGAGAAGCCGTAAAGTGTTTCCTTTAAGTGAAAAGGTGAAAGTTTTCAACTTAATAGAGAAAGAAAAAAAATCATATGCCGAGTTTGCTAAGATCTATGGTAAGAAAGAACGTTCGATCCATGAAAGAAGAAAAAAATTCCTGCTAGTTTTGCTGTGGCCCTTCAAACTGCACAAGTTACAGCCGCAGTACATGATAAGCGCTTAATTAGGATGGAAAAGGCATTAAATTTCTGTATGGGAGAGACGAACAGAAACGTGTTCCAAATGATGCCAGTCAGGTTTGGAACTGGTTTCAGGCTTTCACTGGAGATGTTGGAACGTATGCCCTGGAGATAAATGGTACTGTTGTATTCAGACGCATCCCCTGTTAAAAATTAAAAACAATTGATTAGACTAATTTTTTTAAGCCTAATGACATTTATCCATTATCTCTTACTTTGTTGGGCTAAACAAATCTCCCTTCTCTTAACTTTTTGTTCTTTACCTTAAATAGGGTAATCATATTTTCGTTCAGACTTCTCTAGTCTTTCCAAACTCATGTTTATTATTTGAAGGCTATAATATAAAACCATGCTCCTAGATTCATATTAAATGGCTATTTTTTCCACATTTCTTCTGTGCCAGGTTTTGTGTTAGACATTTTCATATATTTTTGTTCCTCTGTGAGGTAGGTAAGCGTGGTCATGTTTTGTAGATGAAGAAACTGACTAGGAGAGTTTCAGAAAGTATAACTGACTTGAACAACACAGAAGTTAGGGAGCTGACCCCTGTACAGTTGAAAATTCACATATAACTTCTCACTCCCCTAAAACTTAACTACTAATAGCCTACTGTCAACTGGAAGCCTTATCAATAACATAAACAGTTGATTAACACATATTTTGTAGGTTTTATATATATATATATATATATATATATATATATATATATATATATATAATATACTCTATTCTTAAGTAAGCTAGAGAAAAGAAGATGTTATTAAGAAAATTGTAAGGAAGAGAAAATATATTTATTCTTCATTGAGTGGAAATGGATCATCATAAGACATGTCTTCATCTCCATTGTCTTCATAGTGAGTAGGCTGAGAAGGAGGAATAAGAGGAAGGGTTGGTCTTGCTGTCTCAGGGGTGGCAGATGTGGAAGAAAATCCAAGTATAAGTGCACCCTCACAGTTCAAACCTGTGTTGTTCAAGGGTCAACTGTATATCCAAGTTCATACATATCGTAAATGGTAGAACTAAGATGCAATTTCAGATCCAAATTCAGATTTTCAAATTCAGTTTCCAAGTCATATGATGACACTATTTAGAAAATCAAAATTAGTTTCCAGCTTTTACAAATCAAGCTGCTAGTAGTAATTCTAATACCATTATATGATTATTAATAATGCCACCACATTGATGGCTCAGCTGAGGACTAGAAAATAAGTCTTTAACAAAATTTCCTATTTGTATTTTATTTTTCTTGCAATGATGCACAGCTGAGAACAGAAAATAAGTCTTAACACTCTCCCAAAGATGGCAAGATGCACAGTCACCATGTCTAATGATTCCACATCTGATGCTCTCAAGGCCCTAGCATTATTCACAAAATGACTTAATTACAAATAACATTGTACTGATTATCTGTTATATAACAAATTATCCCAAAACTTAGTTAAAACAACAAACATTTATTATCTCATAGTTCTTGTGGGTGCCTCTGGTTTGATGTCTCTCCTAAAGTTTGCATTCAGGTTGTAGGACAGGGCTGCAGCCTCATCTGCCTGTGAGAGGATTTGCTTCTAAGCTCACCCATGTCATTGTTGATGGAATTCTCATCTGTTTGGCTGAGGCCCTCATTCAGTTGCTTGTTGGTTATGAGCATCAGTTCCTTGTTACATGGACCTTCCTATGGAGAAGTACACATTATGGTAGCTGGCTTCCACCAAAGCAAACAAGAGAGTGAGAGCAGCCAGAAAGACAGAAGTCATAGTTTTTTGAAAACCTAATCATAGAAGTCACATCTCATCATGTTAGTATGTTATACTAATTAGAAGTTAATCACTAAGTTCTTCCCACACTGAAGAAAAGGGGATTGCTACAAGGATGTGAATATCATGAGAAGGGGATCATTAGGAGCCATCTTAGCGACTGCCTACCACAAATATTAGCCAATCTCTTTTTAATGAAAGAATATTTTTTCTACATTTCCTAAATACTTAATTTAACCACTTATTCCACAATACCCATAAGATAGAAATGGTTCTTCTTTCATAAGTCTTGCCAAGTCATCAGGCAAGTTGCTGCTCTGGCACATGTATGCTGGATTGAGACGAGCAGATAGAGGGAAGAGAGGACAAGGCAAGTTTTCTCAGTGCTATTGCCATCTAAACTGAGACTGGAAGGAAAAGTAGGTGATTAGCCAAGGAAGAGGATGAGGGAAGAGTGTTATAAGCAAAGGGAATAACAGGTACATACTAATGCCTGAAGATGAGAAAGAATCAATTTCAATATTAAACATCTATATCCATTCTTCTTGGGTTATTACAGTTTGTGGTTATCCTTCACTTGATCTGAGCCAAAAGGCCGAGAAGCAATAGTTTGTGGTTATTTTTAATGGAGCTGTTTTAAACTGATCAGAATAACTGTTAAGTATTAAATTTATGATTATTTCTATTTTAGCAAAGTAGTTTTCTTTCTTTTTATTTATTCATTTATTTTGAGACAGGGTCGCACTCTTGCCCAGGCTAGAGTGTTGCGGTGGTATCATGGCTCACTGCAGCCTCAACACCCCAGGCTCAAGCGTTCTTCCTGCCTCAGCCTCCCGAGTAGCTGGGACTACAGGCATGAATCACCATGCTCAGCTAGTTTTTATTTTACTTTTGCAGAGACAAGGTCTTACTATGTTGTCCAGGCTGATCTCGAATTCCTGCGCTCAAGTGATCCTCCTGTCTTGGCCTCTTAGAGTGCACGATTACAGGCAGAAGCCACTGCACCCAGCCTCAAAATAGTTCTCTAGGGGTCTGTCGGGTAAATTGGGCCTAAGAACTCTGAGTTTGTCCTGTCCACATGCACAACGACATTGCCTTCTCTTCTAATTTTGCTTCTGCCTGAGGTGATATCCTAAGGCTGAGCCTTCAGAATACTAGGTGCAGCAGATTTAATAACTGTGCGTGAATTTGGTCAACCTCATTAGCCCAACCCGATAATTAAATTCCAATTAAAATATCTCCTGCTTCTGACACAGAAAAAGAAAAAGTAGTGAGGAACAGATTAGATTATTTTGACCTTTTAATTTCCTTTAGGCATTGGGTCTGTAGGTCAATGATTAATATTAACATGCTTTGTGTAATTAACATCAAGTCCCCTGATAAGTAGGGCAGGAAATTCTTCATAGTTAGTATTTTAGAAGGATGCCTGTAATCTCCATTTGCACAAAATAAACTGACATATGATTTTCCAGGAAGGATGTTAGAATAAATGACTATCCAATCGTAGGATAGAGATATATTGTTAGTAGGAAGTATACGTCCATTAAACTGATTGTCTGACTCTGGTTTTTAAACTTTTTATTATGTAGAATTTGGAACATACACAAGAATAAACAGAATATAATACTTTACCATCCTACTGTAACAACCATCAACTTATAATTAATCTTTTGCCACTCACACCTCTAACCTCCTCATATTATTTTTGAAGCTTATTCTAGCTTATTCCATATAATGTAAAAGATGATATAAAATCATTTCATCTAAGGATATTCCAGTATATACTTCTAATAGAGAAGCAGTCATTGTTTTAAAACAAAACTACGGTACCATTTCTGTCCTAAAAAAGAACAATAATTTCTTGGTATTATAATATTTTTCCTTTATACTTATTTTTACTTTCTTTTATAGTGAGATAGATGAATAGATAATTAGTGGTTAAATTGGGGGTGATTTTACCCTGTAGGGGTCATTTGGCAATGTTTGGAGTTATTTTTGTTACCAACTAGGGGGGTGCTACTGGCGTCTAGTCGTTAGAAGCCAGGGATGCTGATAAACACACAGGATGGTCCCCCAATAATAAAGAACTGTCTCTTCCAAAATGCCAGTAGCGCTGCTATGGAGAAATTCAGGTAGGCAGACATATAGGCAAATGGCAGTTACAAGGGACAAAAGCTTATACAGAAAAGAGATACAAAATTAGGTGATTTAGGTAACCACACAAAGGACAAAAATGGATTTATAATTGAAAAGATGATTCAGAATAGTTATTCCAATTGAGATGTCCCATGATGAAATAGAATTTTATGATTGTTTTAAAGGGATCATCAGTGGCCTATAATTAATTAATGGAACACGTGTTCTGGGTGCCGGTAAAGTAATTCAGAAAAATAGGTTTCTTACTTGGGCAGCAGAGTCAAAGGAAGTAATGAGCAAAATATTTAGTAAATACGAGTAGAATCTGTGTTCTGAAAAAATCTAGAAAAAATTATTTTGAATCCGCTAAAAAGTCTGTCACAAATGGCTTTATGTAAAACAATGCTATGGATATTAATGCTTGTGACACATTTTTAAGACAAAAATGAGTATTACTTACTTTAATGTAGACAGAACTATGCTCATTATTCTCCACACAAAACCCCTGGCAATAATTTACCTAGCAGCACAGTAGTTCTTGTAGATCAAAGCTGCATTATTTAAGCATGTCCAGGGGGCAGGTTTTAGCTCTGTGCCTTTTACTTTAAGGAAAAAAAAATATTGGTTTGCTTCTTGAGAGAAAGCAATGTTTAGCTAACTAGGTGCTTCATGCAAGTCCTGCAATATTTAAACTCACATGAATTCCTCCTGTTATCTGGGAAGAACTCCCTTTCTGACCCAAATACTCTAAAATCTGAGGAAAGTACAGAACAACTGTGGGAAAGCCAGTCTCTTCAAATGAACAGCGATGTATTTTCGTTTAAATTAAACCCGAATGTTAACTAGATTCAGGAAAGGAAATGGCAGAGGAGAGTCTGTCGTTGATATAGAATACGCCTGCCTGCGTCGGCTCACAGACAAGTGATGAAGTCCAACTCTGAAATTTCAGGCAATTTGTATACCAAGCTCCTCCTTTTCTGCAGTCTTCTTTTCCATTGGTAAAATTCTTTTGCAGGGTCATGTAGGGATCCCACCCCTTCTCTGTGTTTTCACTCTGAAGCTCTACACAACTTTACACCTGAATGAACGCCAAACCTCTATGGATATATAAAGGGAAGCTTGAGGAGGAATTTCACAGTTACAGTGCAGAAGCAGAAGCAAAAGAATTAACCAGCTCTTCAGTCAAGCAAATCCTCTACTCACCATGCTTCCTCCTGCCATTCATTTCTATCTCCTTCCCCTTGCATGCATCCTAATGAAAAGCTGTTTGGCTTTTAAAAATGATGCCACAGAAATCCTTTATTCACATGTGGTTAAACCTGTTCCAGCACACCCCAGCAGCAACAGCACGTTGAATCAAGCCAGAAATGGAGGCAGGCATTTCAGTAACACTGGACTGGATCGGAACAGTAAGTGTGTTTTACTTGTACAGTTTTTTTTTTTCTTTTCTGGTAGCATTAGCTCACATTCCTGTAGAATTGTTTTATTGGTAACTAACCTGAACCGTATATATGTTGTGAAACAATTTGGGAGTAATCTGCTGCATGTGCAGGTTGGCATTCTTCCCTAGGTAGTGATTTTAAAGTTAACCTAACTAAAACAGTGGTTTAATAGTGCAAGCACAGACTGAAGTTTTATCAAACATCCACAAAGAAAACATTTCCAGGAATTAAACTATTGTTTTGTCAAAATCATGCAAAATGACCATTTTAAAAAGTATTGTTTTAGATAGCTCAAGTTCCGGTTGTTTTGTCAATTTATTTCAGGGCATATGCAATTTTGGTAAAGTGTATAAACGTAACTAATATATATTATTAGTTACCATCCACAAATAAATATAGGGAATCACAAGGGAAAAAAGGAAGCTTCCAGGAGAAAAAATTTGTTTACATTGGATTTCTAAAATATGTCTAGTGAGATAGTCAAAAGTTTTGATGATGCTCAATGTAAAAGAGGGATAAACTAAAAATGTTGGAGAATCACATTTTTCTAAAATAATTCCTTGTTGTCCCATTCAAAATTTAGATAATTGTGTATTTCTGTGACAGACTGGGGACATTTTTGTAACTTAAGAGATGTAAAACAACAGCTTAGTTGACACACTAATTGACCACTGGTTAGGGGGATTCAAATTACCCCTAACTTTTGTTTCTATCTTTTCCTTTAGAAGAGGCCATATGCTAATAATCAGGTTTTAAGAGAGAGAGAGAGAGAGAGAGAAACACTGCGCAGGAAATCTTACACAAATCTTTTGCCTCTCCTTCTTCACTCCATTCAACTACGAAAAGTAGTTTTGACTTTTGAAAAGTCAAAGCAAATTTGACTGTTAATGTCTAAGAAAGCTAGGATGTTTTAACTTTCACGAAGCTGGTTGCTTTTAAGTACACAGGACATATCTGATTATTATTAGATTACTGAGCAATGTGGTGGGTATTCGTTGTCAATGAACTGTCACTGCAAAAATGCCAAATCTGTATATACACAGGAACAGAAAGCTTGACGAGACAAAATTATTTCTGGCTATTTCCAGGTGCATTCCTGAGGCAGCTGCAGGAAGGTGAGCTGGAGGCAGAATCAGGCACGCTGAGCACACTGTCCAACCAAACAATTTACGCTTTACATTTTAATCCCACAATTCTAGATTTCTATGCATGCATGTCTATATACATAAGTTTTTCCACAACTATCACGTTCCCCTTAAGCTATATCTCTTACCTCAGAAGTACTAGCATACAGAGATGAAGTGAAACTCCTGATTCAGTTCTACTTCGACGTATCTTTCAGTACTTTTTGTGGAACCACTTCAGTGTCCCTTATCATTTTTATTTGTAAAATGTCAGCAGCCTGTACTTTTAAACATCCTTTTTTTTTTTCCTGGTTGGCAAGCCTTGATTTCTTTTCAAGCTTGTTATAGGCAATTCTCCTCAAGTTTAGATAACAAAGCAAGGGTAAGGAAAACTTAAAATATTTAAAGATTAATTTTTGCTTTAATTACATAAGGCATGTAACAAGAAACAGCCAATTAGAGAACATACCTATCAAATCCAAATAACTAAAACAAAAAGTTTGCCATGACCAATATTCAGGAAATGAACACCGTGGTTCCTTTTGCAGTTGTAAATCAGACATGTTAGGCATTTTTCTGCCATAAAATTCATGGAAATGTAGCCAAGTTGTTATGGCAACCATACGTTCCTGATTTAGGGGCTTTTATATTCTTTGAGTCTTGAGTTGTAGTGGCATTTTACATTTCAAACATGTTACTGTTTGTATTTTTTAAAAGATAGTTTGGGAATTTATGTTTAAAACATAGTTATTAAGTTTGATATGCAAAATGTCAGATGTTGTACACATGTATGTCTGAGTCTCTGCAGCTAAAGTCTATAATTGAAATAAAATATTACCGAGAGCATATGCATTATACACAATATTTAAATGGCTATCACATTTTTTCTCAACAGATTTTTAAAAAGCCTAATTAAAAACACTTGCAGACATTAGCCAATATGACCCTTGAGAAAGAGAATATTAAAGTATACTCTTAACTCATTGAATAATGAATATTTACACATAAATGGAAGAGCTGCTAACCCCTTATTGGAGAGTCAGACTAAGGAAATTGGATTTTCAAACACTCTAATAAGCAATTAGCTAATGTTATATATAAAAACAATCAGGCCTACATTTTTTTTCCCAAAAAAGTTATAGCCATGTAAACTGATGATTTTCATGAAAGTGTCCCTATACTATCCAGACAGATTTTTTTCACTGTGAAAATAAAGTAGGTGCTCACTTTCTATTTGGCAATTTGCTATCATTTGCCTATTATTTTTGTCATTGCAGATCACTTTTTAAAAGGTCTTCATTTGCATTTTTTCTCTGATGCACATTCTTTTTTGTTTCCTGCAGCTCGGGTTCAAGTGGGTTGCCGGGAACTGCGTTCCACCAAATACATCTCTGATGGCCAGTGCACCAGCATCAGCCCTCTGAAGGAGCTGGTGTGTGCTGGCGAGTGCTTGCCCCTGCCAGTGCTCCCTAACTGGATTGGAGGAGGCTATGGAACAAAGTACTGGAGCAGGAGGAGCTCCCAGGAGTGGCGGTGTGTCAATGACAAAACCCGTACCCAGAGAATCCAGCTGCAGTGCCAAGATGGCAGCACACGCACCTACAAAATCACAGTAGTCACTGCCTGCAAGTGCAAGAGGTACACCCGGCAGCACAACGAGTCCAGTCACAACTTTGAGAGCATGTCACCTGCCAAGCCAGTCCAGCATCACAGAGAGCGGAAAAGAGCCAGCAAATCCAGCAAGCACAGCATGAGTTAGAACTCAGACTCCCATAACTAGACTTACTAGTAACCATCTGCTTTACAGATTTGATTGCTTGGAAGACTCAAGCCTGCCACTGCTGTTTTCTCACTTGAAAGTATATGCTTTCTGCTTTGATCAAACCCAGCAAGCTGTCTTAAGTATCAGGACCTTCTTTGGGAATAGTTTTTCCTTTTCAAGTTTTTCAAGATGTAGGTATATCCATGAATGCAATTTGCATTTAAATTCCACGTATCCTGTAGTTTTAATTCCTCATTGTTCTTAAAAGACTGTTGATACTATAAACATCAGTGAATCATTATATTTTAAAACAGAAAAGGGCTTCTCAGATACCCTCCATCTACTGGCCCATCCCCTCTCCTAAACAAAACTCCTTCAAAACAGGTTAAAAAAAATATGTTGTCATGAATCTTCACAGTAACATTTCAGAAAGGTGCTTTTTTGGTACTCTTCATGGGAACAGTTTAGCAGCCATGAGTGATCTTCCTTTGAAAGAGAATGAAAGACCCTGTGACATTTCACTTCAAAAATAAGCCCTGTAGCTCTTTACGGTCGCATAGTATGAAATTATACCCTGCATGCTGACCCTCGCTTGGAATGGAATGCCAGAAATGCATGGCAGCAGCTAATAAGTAAAGCTGATTAACTATTTATTTGTCAATGTTATTATTTAATGAGCTTTCACATGTGATTTGTTTCAAAACTTTAATTTTTTAATGTTTTGAAACTTTTTCATGGACCTAAATATTTTCCTATATGATTTGTGGTTGATTAGAAATATGAAATACATGTTGTAGATATGTAAAATGAATATTTTAGTCTCCTTATTACATATATGTTCATGGTGAACTTTATCAATAGTATGGATCTTTTTAAATCAATAAGATGCTTTGTAAAGTTGAAATAAGTAATACTTTCTTGTTTAATCTGTGCAATCAGAAGGTGTCTTGACCTTCAATTCAATTGGTTTCTTTTAACAAAAATAAACACTGCTAAAAGTTATTGTTGTTGCCTCTAACATGTATAAAGGGTGCAAAAATTGTAGAATAAATGTATAAGGGTAATTGCTATTTTTTTTTCTAAGTCACATTCAAGCTTTGACAGAAGTATCATTCTAAGAGAGGAGACAGAGGGAGACAGGGAGTCCATCTCTTCAGTAAATGGGAGGTTGCAAAAGTTGGGTGTCAATCCAGCAATGAGTAGTCATGAGAATATCAAATTTACATACACCAGTGGATGCCAAGTCTGCTGCTCATTATAATCACCCGGAGGAGATATTATGAGACCCAATGCCCAGGTTTTCATCCACATTACATCAGAATTTCTTGGGGTAGAGCTCAAATATCAGCAGGTTTTAAAGTTTTCCAGATGATCTCAATGTACAGCTAAATTTGAGAAAGGAAAGAATTGTGAAGAAATCAGTATCTTATCTTGGAGAACATTGAATACTA
The DNA here is from genome assembly GCF_000001405.40 of Homo sapiens. Taxonomy (NCBI): domain Eukaryota; kingdom Metazoa; phylum Chordata; class Mammalia; order Primates; family Hominidae; genus Homo; species Homo sapiens. The sequence goes on along the minus strand of NC_000007.14, from coordinate 16,461,093 downwards.
TTGTATGGCCCACAAACCAAAAACATGAAAACCAAAAACATGAAAAACAAAGGAAACAAAAGCTAATTTTTGAGTGTTTTCAATTTTGGCATGTTGTTATATTGAGCAACATAGTGTCTTGAAGCAGATTATACAGTTGAAGGACTGTTGTGTCAATTCAATCAAATGATTGATTTCATCACTCCAAATGAAGAAAACCAAAGAGGCTCATGATGTATTGGTAATATTTTCTGGGTTTTCCCTTTTGGGATGCTGAGCACGAAAGACTCCTTAGTAATTATTTTGTAGTAGATTGTTCTTTTTGTAATTGCTAGTCTGAAAATCACATGTAAATTACATATAGTATACTAAGCTAAACAAGAATATTAATATTGTTGCTTCCCTGTGAGAAGCAGAAGCATCTAAAAAAAACTCTAGATTTTATAATAATGCTAACTGTTATACCACCAAATAAAGAAACAAATCATAGCCTACTACTGATTTCTCTTTCAGTCTTAATAAGGATCTTAAATTACTTCATATTATATCATCATATTACTACATGAAAAATTCATAATAAATATAGGTTGAATATACTAAATATGTCTTGTTTCATATGTCTAATTTACCTGTCCATCCTCAATGTGGGATATTTAAGATAACGCAGAAAATTTCAGATACAGACACTTTGGCCATTTCTTCCTTCTCAACAAGACAGCACCTTCTACAGAAGACCTTAGAGATGGCCTCAAGAATTAGTGTGCCCTAAGATCTGAGGCGTAAAAAGGACTTGATCTGACAACAGCTTTTCACAATCAAGAAGACTATGTTGTTGTGCTTTACTAAAACAAAGGTTTTGGTGATAATAAAATGCTGAAATCTTCAGTGATTTGATTCCTAATAGTGTATTAGCAAATGGACCATAAATATACAAGAAAAAAGAAATGTAATAAAAGAAGCTTATAAATAAGACTTCTGTAGTCTCTGCTAAGTCAAAAATTAGATCTATTTCTAACGATCACATGCAATTTACTGATCCGTTTCAGGCCATGTTACATTGATGATGCATTCATTGTATCATCTTTAACATCAAATGACAGGAAAAGGTCAGCAGTCGATAAGAAAGGCCTAGAATAAAATCAGTGTCTCAGTGAAGTAAAAATTAAAAGCCAAAAGAAAGAATAGCTTTCTAGTTATTATTTTAAAATACTAAAAATCATATGTGTCTCAACTGCTAATTATATTTTGTGGTTTATTTCCAGTTAACTCATGCGTTCCAATCTAATAAACTGCATAATTTTACTATCACCTTAGTAACTATCATCTCAAAATGGTAGATTATGATAATCTTAGCACATTCTTACCTCTAGTTTACATTCATAATATCTATCCATGAAATGATAGAAATTTAGAGGTGTTCTTAATTAAACTTAATAAGCATATTAAATTTAATGAATTACTAATTTATTAAATTTACTTTGGCCACTATACATCAAGGACTTCTTCAAATGGTTTCACAGATACATAGACAAATGAATAGACAAATATATTGATATTTATAGATAAGTATACATTGACATATATATCAATAACAAGAATGAAAGAAAAATTAACAGCATATACACAAATGACTAATATATAGTATGCTAGACCTAAGCCAAACATGGACATAAAACCTTTAAAAATATCTGTTTGCAGGCTGGGCATGGTGGCTCACGCCTGTAATCCCAGCACTTTCAGAGACTGAGGCGGGCGGATCACTTGAGGCCAGGATTTTGAGACCAGCCTGACCAACATGGTGAAACCCCATGTCTACTAAAAATACAAAAGTTAGCTAGGCATAGTGGCACATGCCTGTAATCCCAGCTACTTGGGAGGCTGAGGCACAAGAGTCGCTTGAACCTGGGAGGCGGAAGTTGCAGTAAGCCAGGATCGTCACTGCATTCCAGCCTGGGCAACAGAGTGAGACTCATCTCAAAAAAAAAAATCTATTTGCAAAAAAGTTAATATTTTAACTACAGATCATTTATATTTATTAATTTGTGTTAGTTACAACCAACCAATAACTGGCAACATGCTGTTGGCCATGTTTATTTTACTATATATTTTTTGAAAAGCAACCAAAATTAGAATGTGTGTGTTAAATAAAAGACATTGAGCCTTAATTCATCTCTGCTCTATTATCAAATGAGTAAGGTTTTACCAGGAGATCTTGCAGTATCATCCATCCTATAAATCACTACTGAATATCTACTATATTGCTAGAATTTTGTTTTTACTATGTAACATGATCTGTTTACTGAGCATGATGCTTTTAATAGATGCTCAGTGGAACGGTTATACTAAGAAGTTGTGGGTAGAGATAATAATATTTAGCAGCAGCCAAATCAGAAAACCTCCAAATTTCTGAATAAAATTAAAGCTTTTGAAAGCTTAAATTTAGTATGTTGCAACTTTCTCCATTTGCCATCACCATGAAATTTTAGATATCAAAATATAATTCATTATATTTGGAATTAAAACATGATTTAGATTATATTTAACTCTAAAAAGTACTTTTTAATCTTAAAATGGCAATTAACTCCATGCCCTAAATTCAGCATTTATATGCTTTATATGATCATATCATACTGATAAAAAATGAAATGCATGGCAAGGTTTTGATGGAATCCTTGAAGAAACTGAGAAGGAGTTCAGTGGGGAGGTGACTTAGGATGCTCGGTGTGAGAAAGCAGCATTCTCTTGTTAGAATGTTTCCTTCCCTCAAAGGCCGATAGAGATGACTCTCATCTTGGTTTCATTGGAACCTATTAAAATATAGCTCTATGTTGAATGGAAATGAGTCTAGATTTGTGAACTAGGTAGACATTTGGTCACCAGAAAACTCTGTTGCATCTGCAAAGAGACCTACTGAAATAGATATCCCAAAAGACATTGTGTTTGTCAATGTCATTTTCAGTTCCACTGGTGCATCATTCTTAATGTAATAGCTAATTTCACATTTCGTGCATTTTCCTGCATATTTTGCAAATTGTCTTGAAGAGCTATAGGGTGACAACAACTGCAGGAATCTTGAAGTCTCAAAGGGAAAATGTTTTGGTTTCCAGGTTCAAGAATTGATTTAAATGAATTAATACCAAACTGAATGCATAATTATTTCCAGAGCAAATTAAACTGAGTTTATCATCTGCATTTGGCTCACTTGCTGAAGGATTTATTTTTTGTTAACTAGCAAAACAGTTTGGGAGATTTCCTATGAAAAAACTTAAAATATTTTCCTCTAATTTAAGTAACTGCAAATGACTAATATATAGTATGCTAGAACTAAGCCAAACATGGACATAAAACCTTTAAAAATATCTGTTTGCAGGCTGGGCATGGTGGCTCACGCCTGTAATCCCAGCACTTTCGGAGACCGATAGTGTTGTATTACTGATTTCATTTTTAGGAATGGGATTAGGTACTTAAATCTGAGACAGATGTCTAAATTGAATGGCATTATCAGTGGCACAGACATATTAAACCAAAGTTTATTGTTATTAAAACTGATCAAGAGTTTGATATGCATGTCACCTGACTTCAAACTATACTGCAAGGCTACAGTAACAAAACAGTATGTTACTGGTACAAAAACAGGCACATAGACCAATGGAACAGAATAGAGAGCCCAGAAATAAGGTCACACATCTACGACCATCTGATCTTTGATAAAGCTGACAAAAACAAGCAATGGGGAAAAGATTCCCTATTCAGTAAATGGTGGTGGGATAACTGGCTAGCCATATGCAGAAGAGTGAAGAATGGGCCCCTTCCTTACACCATACACAAAAATCAACTTGAGATGGATTAAAGACTTAAATGTAAAACCCAAAACTATAAAAACCCTGGAAGACAACCTAGACAATACCATCCTGGACATAGCAACGGGCAAAGATTTCATGACAAACACACTAAAAGCAATCACAAAAAAGCAAAAATTGACAAGTGAGATCTAATTAAACTTAACAGCATCTGCACAGCAAAAGAAAATGTCAACAGAGTAACCAGACAAAATAGAGAATGGTAAAAATATTTGCAAACTACTCATCTGACAAAGATCTAATATCCAGCATCTATAAGGAACTTAAACAAATTTACAAGAGAAAAACAAACAGCCCCATTAAAATAAATGAACAGACATTTCTCATAGGAAGATGTACATGCAGCCAACAAGCATATGAAAAAAAGCTCAATATCACTGATCATTAGAGAAATGCAAATGAAAACCACAGTGGGATAACATCTCACACCAATCAGAATGGCTATTCTTAAAAAGTTAAAAAATAACAGATTGTTATTTCTGAGGTTGTGGAGAAAAGGGAACACTTATACACTGTTGGTGGGAGTGTAAATTAGTTCAATCATTGTGGAAAGCACTATGATGATTCTGCAAAGAGCTAAAAGCTGAACTACCATTAGACCCAGCAATGCCATTACTGGGTATATACCCAGAGGACTATAAATCATTCTACCATAAAGACACATGCTTGCAAACATTCACTGCAGCACTATGCACAATAGCAAAAACATGGAATCAATCTAAATGCCCATCAATGACAGACTGGATAAAGAAAATGTGGTACATATACACCATGGAATACTATGCAGCCATAAAAAAGAACAAAATCATGTCTTTTGCAGGAACATGGATGGAGCTGTAGGATATTATCCTTAGCAAACTAATGCAGGAACAGAAACCCAAATACTGCATGTTCTCACCTATATGTGGGAGTTAAATGATAAGAACTTATGAACACAAAGAAAGAAACAACGGACACTGCGGTCTGCTTGGGCAGGGAGGGTGGGAGAAGGGAGAGGAGCAGAAAAGATAACTATTGGGTACTTGGCTTAATACCTGGGTGATGAAATAATCTGTACAACAAACCCCTATGACATATGTTTATCTATGTAACAAATCTTCACATGTACTTCCAAACCTAAAATAAATGTCAAACCCCCTCCCCCAAAAGAAAAAACAAATGGACAAAAAAAGAGTTTGATATGGCTTAAACATAAGTTACTATAAAAACATAGGCATCATGATTTTCAGAAGAAATAAATTTCTTTTTAAATATTTGTCATTAAATTCATATAAATTAAAATTTTTTTTAACCTTACAACATTGGCAAATTTGTCACAAAACGATCATTCAATTCCTTTTATTCATTGAGATGTTAACCCAAATTTGGCATTCAATGACAGCCAAAACACTGAACCCAGCCATCCACTAACCAGCACTTTTAAACAATCCTTTACAATCTTTAATCAAAGCTATATTTTATGTTAAATAGTTTACCACTTTTACTGACCTCAACTTCCTGTATAATTGTTTGCTTTACTTCCTCCCTCACTTTTCAAATGTGGTTTATAAATTACAAAATAATTTCTTTGCTTTTTTTGGTTTACTTTCTTAAGCTCAAAGGGCTTTACAAAACTTTCTTGCCTCAAATTTATTTATTGTAAACCTAAGACAAAAAAACTGCAAAATGCATTTAATAATCTAGTGAAGGATTGCAACTTTGCCTGTTCATTGACACTTTCTTTCCTAAGTTGATTAATTTTGTCTACTTTTTTTTTTTTCAGATGGAGTTTCACTCTTGTTGCTCAGGCTGGAGTGCAATGGCACGATCACAACCTCCACCTCCCAGGTTCAAGTGATTCTCCTGCCTCAGCCTCCAGAGTAGCTGGGATTATAGGCATGCGCCACCATGCCTGGCTAATTTTGTATTTTTAGTAGAGACGGAGTTTCTCCATGTTGGTCAAGCTGGTCTCGAACTCCCGACCTCAGGTGATCCGCCCTCCTAGGCCTCCCAAAGTGCTGGGATTACAGGCCTGAGCCACTGTGCCCAGCCTTTGTCTACTTTTTATACTAATAACAGTTTACATTTATTCTTTGACTGAGTTTGACATTTAAAAAATAATAAACAAAGTTTTCAACTGGACTCATCTGCAATTTTGTAATGTAGTAACTTTATACAAGTGACTTTCAAGACATGTGAACTTGGAAACAGATCTGGGATCTGGATTAGACTCTGTGGCTACTAATTTGTTGGGTGAATTTGCACTTGTTTATTCAGCTTCGTAAAGCTTCACTTACTTCATCTGTAAATTAAGAGAGTTGAACTAGATAATGTCTAAAGTATCTTCCCTCTCTGAAATATTCACATTCTATTGTCTTAAACAATATGGTCATATTTACAGTCACAGTGACATACACAAAGGCAGATTTGATTCATGCTACTCTCTACTTTTGATTCTGTCCCCAGCGCACTCAAATGTGAACTTTTGCAATAACATTTTGGTCAAACTTGTTATGGAGGTTGACATGGTCTATCATAACCAATAAGGCAGGCAATATAGAATGAAAGTGGAGACCCAGCTTCAGGAGGGCTAAGACTGTAGCTTGTTATCAGGCATTTCTTACTCTTAGTCCAAACTTGATCCAACACCAGGAAAATGTTAAGGATCTGGGAGAAGGTGAGGAAACTCTGTACAAAACAGATTAGGATTTTTCTCTGTTAAAAAACTCTATTACTACTCTATTACCTCTTCCCTTCTAGAGAAAATACTATAAAGTGGCTGGAACATATAATGAGAATTGGGTTTTATTTTAAAATAATGATGTTATATTTTGTTGAAAGTTTTTATTTTAAAAATTATATTACATATTATAGGTGAGATAGTGATACTTCTAGTCAATATATTTTATAGTATTTGAAATTCATTAATCTACTCCTTTATTTAGTAATTGTTGAAAACCTAGTCTGTATCCTTTAGGTTCTAAGAACACATTGGTGTGCAAAAGGCAATCCAATTAGGAAAAGAACAAATGTCCTGTGGCAAAATGTAAAGGCAAATACATATAATCCCATTATTGAGCAAAATTTATATGTGTCATTGCTGTGATCCATCACCTAAATTGTACTATCTGGACTTAAAACAAGAACAGTATATGTCAGAAGGTATTGCTAATATCCCCACAAACATTTGAGATAAACCACAGCAAATAATAATAAGCATAGTGGAAAAAAACTTTCTTTTTAAAATTAATTTAATTTACTTTAATTCAATTTTAGATTCATGGGGTACATGTACATGTTTGTTACATGTATGTGTATATTGCATATTGCTGGGGACTGGGCTTCCAGGGTAGCCATTATCCAGATAGTGAACACTGTACTCAGTAGGTAGACACCTTTCTTTATGATTGTAAAACTTGTCAAATAGAGCTGAACCTTTATTTGTAAGCAGACAAAATCTTAGCATAACTTCTTGAAAAGGACCTATCTTCTTGTTTCAAATTGTTAGAAATTTTATAGAGATTTTTCCCTTTGATTATTAACTATTCATGTACTCATAAGTTGCTTTTTGCAGCCCGTCTTCTTCTAAGTATTCATATTAAAGATAAAAATTCCTGTTTCATGTTAGTTTCCATGTATTACGTGAAGCCATTTCATTGCTAATGATGGCATGAGTTTAAAGGCAATAGTTGTAGAAAAATTAAACAATCAAAATATGTAGAGACTGGTCCATCTGGGCCACTAAATATTGCTTCTATCCATTATTTAGAAAGATATTTTAAAATAATTATACACATTTCGAATAATGGTATTGTAATCAATTTGCTCTGCAGGGGGGCCTGTGATGATAGAATGATCTGCCTGGCTGCATATGGTAAGGTCTCAGGAAAGCAATCTCCAATAATATGGAAAATTTTATGGATTACATTGGATGATTCCAATGCTATCATGTAAGCCATGCTGTTATTTTATAAGTTAAGCTGGTTCTCAGCTATTAACATATGTTTGAGGGCAATAATTTTTTAAAGACTTGAATTGCATTTGGGTAAATATATATTATTTCCCCATTCCTCAATCCATATAATGGGGGAAAAATCCAAGAAAATGCCTCCAGCAGATGTTGGAGCTGGAACAAGGCTCTTTTTTGATCATTGTGTTCTTTTAGAGTTAAGACATTTATGATTCAGTTAATATTATTAAACCAAAACAGGTGTGGTTACTGAACATTCCAGGTTAAGACTTTTTCTGTTGTGTTTTATTCTCTCTTTCATTATCAGTAGTAATGAAAGGCATGTTCAATGGGAAGATGACCATGATACCAAGTAGCTGTATGTTAAGCTGAAGTGAAGAGCTGGGAAATGCTGATAACAGGGAAAAAAGGCTTGTAAGGATGTACAATCAACATGATAGAATAGCCCTGGAATGAGTTCTGAAAAGCCACAGTCCATGAGGACTGCTGCCCAGACTAGGAGCCTTCAAACCCTATAATTTCAAGGCTATCCGAAGACCTGCTGCTCTCTTTTCCTGGCTAACAAAACAAAACAAAACACCCCTTTGCAGCTCTTCCATAACTACAGATACCTAATTTCTACCATTAAAATATTATTTTTATTATTTAAAATTTTTGATTCCTCTCACATACAAACATCTCTAGAAGAGAAAATATATTAAGACAAGGTTTGCAAACTCAATACCTACTCAGAGCAATAGGTTGGGAGTAAGGCAAGGCAAAATGGTGGAGACTGTAGAAAAGCTGTATTAACAGCTCCAAATCTACTCCCAGACACAGCCAAATACCCTCATAAATCCAAATGTTTTTTATAAATTTTACCAATTTTTAAATGCTAGTCGCAAATTTTAGAAATATCCTGTACCTGCCAAACTGTATATACCTGCCGATTTGCTGGGATAGTTGAAGCTGTCCTATGGGCTGTATGGGGCTTCTTAAATCATCTCTCAGAAGTTAAGAGAGTGGCATGCTAATCTCAAGTCTGCTCTCCTGAATGGCCTTGGAAGATTAAGCTAAAATGTAAGCTTCCTGAAATCTGAGTTGACATCTCTATTTTAGTTAGTATTCCAAAATGAAACAGAAGGCACGCTCAGAATAAGTTAGGGAGGACTTATTTACAAGGAAACTAATCATAAAAGTCTGGATGGGGAAAGCACAGGGCAGAGCACAGAAGCCCAGGGCCAGCAACAGCAAAGCTGTCACCACCCCCAAGCCCAACAAAAATGAGGGATGAGTTGAGGTGATGCCTGGAAGGTGAGAGCACACAGGGAGAGAAGCAGTGAGCTGTGGTCAGTCAGAGGAACCTGCAAAGCGAGGGGGCCAGGGGAGTAATAACTTTGTCACTTTCCTTCCTTCTCCCAATTGACCTCCTGCCAGAGCTCCCCCTTGGCTGGGAGCTGGTGAATGTAACCCTACAGATCAGCCTTGGGCTTACCTTTCTTTGCAACATCTGAAAGAGTGTATTGCATTCAGTTGGCATTGAATTATTATAGAATCTCTTGTTTTATTTTGTTTTTCATTTCAAAAGGTAGATATTAAAATGCCCTCCAAGGTCCCTTTCAACATCAATCTTCTCACTTCATTACTTTATACTTGAGATGAAATCTGAAAGAGAAAATTTGGGAGAAGTTCTGAGAGCTTTGAATGTCTTACACTGAGGTCAGATATCAAGTCCTTCAAGAAACAAATAAACCTAAATTAAAGCCAAAAAAGACATAAAAACCGAGGATTTTTTTTTTCACAGTATCATCATGTAGCCTATGAAAAACAGGAGAATGTTAAGCATAGATCCCTGTATACTCTGAGGATTTTTCACTTGTTTACATTCTAGAGTCGGGATAGGGTTTGGCTGTTTGGGGAGGGTGTTTTTATTTTTGTTTTAGAGATAGGTGTCTTGCTATGTTGTCCAAGCTGGCCTCAAACTCCTAGGCTCAAGTGATCTTCCTGCTTTAGCCTCTCCAGTAGCTGAGACTACAGGTGTGAGCCACCACACCTGGCAGCTGCTTGTTTTTGTTATTAATGTTATTAGAGGTTTTAATAACAACCATGTCATTAGAATGTGCAGTGATTGGTGAATGATTAAATGCACAGTTTCTATTTGAGGGTTTATTTCAAAATGGTCACTCAAGCTTTGGAACAAGACATTAATTGAATAGAAACAATATACTTTATAAATCCATGAAAAATTAACTGAGAACAATGACTCATCAACTATGTTAGTACTCACCAAAAGGCATTATCTAGAACACAAATAAATACTATGCTAGGCTTTTTCCTTATCCTAGAAAAAGAAAGCGTTTGAATCTTGGAGATTTTAAGTTTGGCTGCCATTGCAATCCTTGGTGAGAGTAAAAAGCCAGAACTAAAACGTTAGGGTGGAAGGTTTATAGCTTAGAGGTAGGGTAGCTGCTTAACTCCTACATGATTTCAAAACATGTAACTGTAACCCATTCACTTTGTACCCTCCAGCAATCATCATCATGACCCATGCACCACACAGAGTTGTAGAAGGACATCGCTAGGGTTCCACATGCAGCTGGTCTCCTCCCGTGGGACAGTGATGATCACATCACAGTTTCACAGAGTGGGACAGATGCAGGGAATGATGACAGCAGTGTGCCAAGCCACTTTAGATACACATCAAAGCCAATCTTGAAACTTGGCATAGGTGTAGAATGATGGGAAATGAAGCACGCGGCTTTCAGAATTTCAGATACTCACTCTAAGGGGAAAGTACTGCATAGATAAAAGATGATGAGACAGAATGAACAGCTGTGCCAGGCTTTGCTTCGTGGTTACACTGCCGAGCAGTCTTTAGATGTGCAAAGGAGAAAAAGCACTGCCAACTTTGCAATTTCTTCTTCACCTACATCTGATTGCATAGAAATAACAACTTTGTAACTGGAATAGTTCCCTTTTCCTCTTATTTCACTCCCTTAACTTCAGAGGCCATATGTTAAGCTTAATCCATTTATGGTAATATTACTTGATCAAAATAAAGGCTCTAGAATGCTGGAATCTTAGGAATCAGAACACACACACAAAGTTTAAATGAGGCCGGGCGCGGTGGCTCGCGCCTGTAATCCCAGCACTTTGGGAGGCCGAGGCGGGCAGATCACAAGGTCAGGAGATCAAGACCATCCTGGCTAACACGGTGAAACCCCGTCTCTACTAAAAAATACAAAACATTAGCCGGGCGTGGTGGCGGGCGCCTGTAGTCCCAGCTACTCCGGAGAATGGCGTGAACCCAGGAAGCGGAGCTTGCAGTGAGCTGAGATCGCGCCACTGCACTCCAGCCTGGAAGAGAGAGCCAGACTGTCTCAAAAAAAAAAAAAAAAAAAAAAAAGAAAAGTTTAAATGAGAAATTCATGGAAACCTTACTTGTATTTTATTTGGCATATTACTAGATAGTAGTGCATAGTAGTGAAGAGTATAGGTACTGAAGCCAGATACCTGGATTTGAATCCTGGCCTTGCCACTTAATAGTTGATTACTTTGAGCAATATATGCCTGAATTTCCTCATCTATAAAAGGGATAATTATGTCTACCTTAGAAGAGTTAACATTTGTAAGAGCTCATATCATTAGTTTTTACTGCTGTTATTATTATGTGTCTTAAGTTGAGATTAGCTATTTGAGTGAGGGAAAATGTCCACTTGAATAGGGAGTTTATCTTCTCCAAGTCCTGGCTGCAGAAAGTAGGCTCAGAGAAGGATAGTGAGAAGCAGAGGAAAGAAGGAAGAGTTCAAAAGAAAGGAAGATTTGAGGTGAAATATCGAAGTATCTTTTGGAGGATATTCTGGACTGATCTTTTTAATTTTAAATAAAGATAAAAAGCTTTGGCCTTGTGTTAGTTTTCCAAGAGGGAGTTTTTCTTTTACTGTAACCATGCCTTTATTTATTTTCTTTTTGAATCATCTTAAGCTTTCTTTTCTTGGCTATGTTGTCATTTCCCATTTATTTCATGTATTTGTGTAACACAAAAATTGATATAAGAAACATTTTTACACATTTATTCTTTTACTGTTCTTGCTTACTTTACCAGTATATCACCAGTATATCACTTCAGGGCTCACCCGCTTGTCTGTTTCTTCTACGAAAGAAACAAATGCAGCTTCATTCCTGTTTTTTTATAATGCCAACAAAATATATTAATCCAATCCTAAATGTTCATATTATTGCTTTATTCTGTTTTTTTCCTTTTATTATTGATGTTAACTGATGGGTTGTTGCTCCCTAAGGTCGTGTCTAATTATTTTAAACAAGTTCTTCTCAAGAATAAAGGAATTTTGGGCACCTCTCCCCGTGTATCTTTTATTCATTTATTTATAATTATATAACCATATTAATTTATGTACATTATGAAATACACATTTAAAAACAGATATTGAATGAGACAAAATTGAATACAAATTTTCTCCCTACACTTCAATAGTTTATTAAAGCTTAAAAAATAATAATGATACTGGTGTGGTCTAAATGTCTGTGTCTCCCCAAAATTCATACATTAAAATCGAATCCCCAATGTGATAATATTAGGAAATAGGGCCTATGGAAGGTGATTAGGTTATGAGGGCTCTAACCTCATGAATGGGATTACTGAACTTATAAAACAGACTCCAGAGAGCTAGCTATTCCCTTCAGTCATGTGAGGACAACTAGAGTTTCCATCCGTGGGGAACAGGCCTTCACCAGACATCAAATCTGCTAGTGCAGATTTTATCTTAGACTTCCCAGTCTCCAGAACTGTGAGAAATAAATGTTTATTGTTTATAAGCCACCCAGTTTATGGTATTTTGTTATAGCAGCCTGAATAGATTAAGGCAAACATAAAGGAAGAAGAATATGAAACAAGTAAACTTGGCTACATTATTTGAAAATGATAAACCACATATAATTTTGGAAAATGCATAAGATTTTATAGTGTCTATCTGAACTATATTTCGAAGCATTTCTGGCACATTTCTCAAGTCACTGTTACTACTCCCCTTGAGTGATCTGTGCCATCAGCACTTGAACAGTACAAATTATAGTTTCCTATCATCATGACCTGATTAATCCTTCCCTTATTTACTAGTTTCTTTGACATATATTTTTCTTCTACATGCCAAGATGGTTTTATGGAGTAAAATCCGGAAGAGAATCTGAATGAAAATAAAATATTTAATATCATTCCAAAAGGCAATGGCAAAATTCCAGGAAAATGTTTCCTGCTATATGTGGAAATATATTTTATTCTTGGTATCACAAGAGGCTATTTGGAAGAAGTATAAATAGAGGCTTTGTTGCTAAAGATTCTTTCAGCATAGTTTCCTGGTATAAAGGTAATAAACCATTTTTATACCAGTATACTCTTTATATGCTTGGCAAATTTGCCTGATAGCCTTCAGAAACTTTATATCCTCAATTAATGGCTTCATTTGATATGAATATTAATTCTTCACTCGTGTCTTTTTTATATTGGAAAAGGAAGAAGGCACACTGGGAACATTAAAAGTTTGTGTCTATAGATGAAAAAACTTTGCTTCTTTTTTCTTTTCTATATGAGAAATAAAGTATAATTTCATAATTTTGAAATAGTATCTAGCTTTTTTCTTTCCTGTTTTGTGTTTGTTTCCATAGGAAAACCCATCATTATATAAAGATTAAACCAGGCTTGATTAGTAAGCAGTTGCTATTACAACAGTACATGTAAACCTTAGAATAACAACCAAACTCTGTGGGAATGGAAATAGAAATGTTATTATTATTACTGGATGACCATATCATCTATTGCCTATATTACCTCAGCCACATAATTGAGCTCTTAATTGCACTAGGCTTTAGGTGCAACATTTTTTCCTTTAATTAGATTGGAATTTCTTGGAGGGGTAGACCATGTTGTGTATCATCTGTGCAGCTCTTTAATAATAGGTTGATACCTTCTTAACAAGGAAGAATGTTATTCTTGTTTTTCCAAAGCATAGAATCCTCAAGTAGGTGAGGAAGTTGGGGCTGTTACTTTTGAGACCCTCAGATAGCAAGATGGCCAGAAGTGTGATGTCTTATTCTTCCCACCATGGGAAATGTCCCACAAGCCATGGCAAGAAGGCCCTGGCGCAGCTGCACCTTCCTGTCGATGCTGGGCCATGCAGTCAACTCCTGAGACCTGGTTGGCTGGGATCCCTTTGTAATAGGTGACTGCTAAATAGGCAGTTGTGAATTAATCAATAGAAAGGTTAGGTGTTGGTAAGGTTTGCTAGAAGAGGGAATACAGCATGTGTCGGGGATATCTGAAAAGCCTTTTTCATGTGGATGATATTTTCCCTTATTTTCTTAACATGCTTTCCCAATTTTTTATCAGGATCATTATCTCAACTCAGTGTGGCATTCCCACTTCTCCATTGTATTTCTTAATTCTGTAATTCAGTCCTTTTAAGGAGGTAAAATCAGCATCCCAGGCAGGGTTTTGAAACTCAGACAGATGACAAGTTACAGTGCATACACACTGTCCTTCACACAAAGAATCATTGTCTAATAAAACAGAAAAATCTCAACAATGTGGATAAAACAAAGTAGGTTTTTGTGAAAGTCTCATTGATTCATCTTCTCTTTGATATGGTTCTCATATGTCAAATAGGGTTTTAGGGCTAGTTGAGTCAGGCAGTTATATTATGATTGTTTTACTCCTTTTTTCTTGGTCCTAAACTTCTTTCAATAATGCTCGTAAATTATTTTCCAAGCCACAGCCAAAAAAGGCAACAATATTGACATATTCTTTTAACTTGATGAACCTTGACAGAGCGTAAACAAGCTCTTTACTTTAGCCATGATATAATAATTTAATTTGTTTTTTCTTGAATAAATTGTCTTTTTCCACTCCAAATGGGACCTGAGATTTAATGGCCCCTGGCAATGACCTATGGTGAGTAAACAGTTTACTCTTACACAAAATCTAGCTTAATTCTAGAGACACAGAACATGGCCCATAAAATGTGTCAGCAATAAGATCAGAGAAGCAGAAAGTATTCTCAAATTCTATTCTTAACCCCATCTCTGAGCCACAAAGACTTGATAAAAGTCATTGTTTTACCTCCATTTCTTCATTTTGGTTAAACTGTGTTATTTGTGGAGAAGAATCATGCATATTATTTATTACCATAGGTTATATGATATAGTTATTATGTGACAGGGACTGTCATATTGGCTGTGGTTAAATTGATTCTCTGTAGTATCAACTGAAATAAATAAATCCAAAGGCAAAATATATCAATTGAAATAGAAATATATTCTAAATTTTTCTATTTCAATTGAAAATAGAAATAGAATGAAATAGAAGAGAAACATATTCTATTTCAATTGCATTATATTTTGACTTTGGTTTTATTTATAAAGACTAAGAATCCTGAACCTAATACTGAAGGGGGAGGCATAATCCACAAGAAGAAAAACTTAGTTAAAACCACAGGAAAACGATGTAGAGGTAGCGTACAATGTGCTTATATGAAGTCTGAGTTCTTAAAATCTTTTCTGAGGAAGGACATTGCCCATAGACAAGGGGACTAGGATTGAAAAGAATGCATCCCCTATTACTTAGAGCAGTGGTCCTCAAACTGTGCTTTCCAAATCAGAAGCCTCAGTCTCAAGTAAGAACTTGTTAAATACTCAAATTCTGTGGTCCCTCTCCAGACACACTGAATCAGAAAATGATTCTGAAAAAAATATGCTTTAACAACACCTTCAAGTGATTCTGATGACACTTCAAAGTGAGGCCCACTGGCTTAGTGTAAGGCTGGCTAGATACCATGAGGAGGCACCAAATAAGCCATTCACTGGAGGTCCAGTATGGCATTGCTCTATCATTAAGGAATGTAGACAACCTGCTCAGCCCTGGGTTTTTGTTTGTTTGCATTTTAAAAAATTAATGAACTTTATTTTTTTAAAGAGAAATTTTAGGTTCACAGCAAAATCACGAGGAAAGTACAGATAGTTCCCTTATATTCTCTTTCTCCTACACACACACACAAAACAAAACAAAACAAAAACCAAAAAAACAAAAAAACTCCCCTACTATCAACATCCTGCACCAAAGTGGTACATTTGTTACAATAAATGAAACTGCTGAAACTATATTGACACACTTTACACGAGGATTCACTCTTGGTATTGTACATTCTATCGGTTTTAGCAAATGTATAATGACGTGTCCAAAATTTTAGTATCATACGGAATAGTTTCACTTACCTAAAAATCCTCTGTTTGCTACCTGTTCAGCCCTCTGTCCCACCTAACTCCTAGCAACTACTGATATTTTTACTGTATTCATGCTTTTGCCTTTTTAGCATATAATTGGAAACATAAAGTATGTAGCATTTTTTAATTGGCTTCTTTCACTGAGTAATATGCATTTGTCTCCCCCACATATTTTCATAGCTTCGTACCTCATTTCTTTTCAGCACTAAGTACTGAAGTACTTTTATTGTGCCAGCTTATTTATTCACTTGCCTACTGAGGACCCCTTGGTTGCTTCCAAGTTTTGGTTATTATGATTAAAGCTACTATAAATATCCATGTGCAGCTCTTTGCGTTAACAAAGTTTTCAGTTCATTTGTGTAAATACTAAGGAGTGCGATTAATGGATTTTATGGTAAAAGTATGTTTACTTTTGTAAGAAACTGCCAAACTGTTTTCCAATGTGGTTGTACTATTTTTGCAATCCCACCAGCAATGAATGGGAGTTTCTGTGGTTCTACATCCTTGTCAGCATTTGGTGTTGTCAGTGTTCTGGATTTTGCCCATTCTAATAATGTGTAGTGGTATCTCAGTGTTTTTTTAATTTGCAGTTCCCAAATGATATATGTTGCAAAATATTTTTTCATATGCCAATTTGGCATTTGTATATCTTTTTTAGTGAGTTATCTATTCAGATATCTAATTTTGGCATTTTAAAAATAGTCATTGACTGGGCATGGTGGCTTGTGACTCTAATCCCAGCACTTTGTGCGATGAATGCAGGTGGATTGCTTGAGCTCATTAGTTTGAGACCAGCCTGGGCAACATGGCAAAACCTTGTCTCTACAAAAAAATACAAAAATTAGCCAGGCATGATGGTGTGTGCCTGTAGTCCCAGCTATCTGGGAGGCTGAGGTGGGAGGATGGCCTGAGACCATGAGGTAGAGGTTGCAGTGAGCTGATATCGTGCCACTGCATTCCAGCCTGGGCAATAGAGCCAGATATCATCTCAAAAAAAAAAAAAAAAAAGACTCTGTGGGGGGAGGGGGAATTGTTATGTTTTTTACTGTTGAATTTTAAGAATTCTTTGTACATTTTGGATAACAGCCCTTTATCGTTTTAAAAAACTATCTCCTCATCTGTAACTTGTCTTCTCATTCTCTTGAAATTCTCTTTCACAGATCAGAGGAAGTATTTAATTTTAACAAATTCTAGTTTATCAGTTATTTCTTTATGGATAATACCTTTAATGTTGCATCTGAAAATTCATTACCATACCCTAATTCTCCTAGGTTTTCTCCTATGTTATTATTGTCTAGCAGTTTTATACTTTTTCATTTTGTATTTAGGTCTATGGTACATTTTTTAATTAATTTGTATGAAGGGTGTAAGGTTTGTGTCTAGATTCATTTTTGTCCATGTGGATGTCCAGTTGTTCCAGCATAATTTTTTGAAAATACTATCTTTGCTTCATTTTATTGCTTTTATTCTTTTGTCAAGGATTAGTCAACTATATTTACGTAGTTCTATTTCTGGGATCTCTACTTTGTTCCATTGACCTATTTGTCCATTTTTTTCACCAATACTATGTCGTCTTGATTACTGTAGCTTTATAGTAAGTCTGAAGTAAGGTAGTGTCAGTCCTCCAATTTTGTTCTTTTCCTTCAATATCTTGTTGGTTATTGTAGATCTTTTGCCTTTCCATATAAGCCTTAGAATGAGTCTGTCAATATTCACAAAATAACTCGTTGGGATTTTTTTTTTTTTTATGAGAGGGCGTTTCAGGTTTTGCTCTTGTTGCCCAGGCTGAAGTGCAGTGGTGCTATCTTGGCTCACTGCAACCTCCACCTCCTGGGTTCAAGTGATTCTCCTGCTTAAGCCTCCTGCTGAGGATTACACCTGGGATTGTAGCTGGGATTACAGGTGCCTGCCACCACACCTGGCTAATTTTGTGTATTTTTAGTAGAGACAAGTTTTCACCATGTTGGCCAGACTGGTCTCGAACTCCTGACCTCAGGTGATCCATGCACCTCGGCCTCCCAAAGTGTTGGGATTACAGGCATGAGCCACTGCACCTGGCCTCAGGCAAGTGTTTTTTCCATTTTTTCAGATTTCCTACATAGATGACAATGTTATCTATGAATAAAGACAATTTTATTTCTTCCATCCCAATCTGTATACTTTTTATTTCTTTTTATTGTCTCATTGCATTAGCTAGTATTTTCAGTATAATGTTGAAAGAAGTGGTGAGAAGGGGCATCCTTGTTTTGTTCCTGGTTTTGGTGGGAAGGCTGAGTTTCTCACCATTAAATATTATGTTAGCTGGAGGTGTTCTGTAGATATTCTTAATCAAGTTGGGGAAGCTCACCTCTCCTCCTAGTTTACTGAGAGTTTTTATCATAAATAAATGTTGGATTTTGTCAAATGCTTTTTCTGCATCTATTGATATGATCACGTGTTTTTTTTCGCTTGTTGATGTGATGAATCATATTAATTGATTTTCAAATGTTTAATAAGCCATGGATATGTGTGATAAATCCCACTTGGTTGTGGTATATAAATTTTCTTATACATTGTTGAATTCAATTTTCTATTTTTTTGAGATTTTTTGCATATATGTTCATGACAGCTATTTGGTCTGTAGTTTTCTTATAATATGTTTGTCTGGTTTTGATATTATGGTAATGCTAGCATCATAGAATGAGTTGGGAAGTATTTTCTCTGCTTCTATATTCTAGAAGAGATTGTACAGAACTGTTAAAATATCTTCTTTAAATATAAGCTTTTGGTTGTGTAGATTTTCTCTATTGATTTTCCGTTTTCAATTTCATTGATTTCTGCCCTCACTTCTAATATTTCTTTTCTTCTGCTTACTTTGGATTTAATTTCCTCTTCCTTTTCTAGTTTTCTAAGACAGAAAGTTAGATTATTCATTTTAGATAATTTGTCTTCCCTAAAATATGCATTCAGTGCTGTAAATTTCCCTCTAAGCACTCCTTTCACTGCATCCCACATATTTTGATAAGTTATATTTTTATTTTCATTTAATTTGAAATATTTTTAAAGTTCTCTTGAGATTTCTTCTATGACTTGTGTTGGAAGTATTTTGTTTAATCTTCAACATTTTGGGATTTTTCAGCTATCTTTCTGTTATTCATTTCTAATTTAATTGCATTGTGGTCTGAGAGCAGAATTTTATGGTTTCTATTTTTTAAAAATGTGTTAATGTGTTTTTTATGGCCCCCCATCTGGTCTATATTGGTGAATCTTTCATGTAAGCTTGAGAAAAATGTATAAGCTGCTGCTGTTGGATGAAGCAGTCCAATAAATGGATTAAGTTCATCTATGTCCTCACTGATTTTCTACCTGCTGGATTTTTTTCTGATAAAAGCGTGTTAAAATATCCAATGATAATAGTTTATCTCATTTATATCTCGTTGCAGTTTATCAGTTTTGCCTCATGTATTTCTCTCTCTGTATCTTCTTACTCATTAACTTCTTTTTCTTTCACACTGAAGAAGTCTCTTCAGCATTCCTTGTAGGATAGTTCAGGTATTGATGAAATCCCTCAGGTTTTGTTTGTCTGAGAAGGTCTTTATTTCTCCTTAATGCTTAAAGGATATTTTCACTGGATATACTACTCTAGTTTCCAATTTTTTTTCCTTCAGCACTTTAAATATGTCATGCCACTGTCTCCTGAAGGTGCAAAACTCACTGGTAATAGTCAGCACACAGAAAAATACAGAATATTATAACACTGTAGCTGTGGTGTGTAAATTACTAAACTTCAGTAGAAAGACTAAATGATGAACTAATCAAAAATAATAAACTAAAATAGTTTTCCAAGACATAGACAGTATAATAAGACATAAAGAGAAACAACAAAAAGTTAAAAAGCAAAGGGAAGAAGTTAAAGTGTAGAGTTTTTATTAGTTTTATTTATCCATGTTTGTTTGTTTATGGAATCAGTGTTAAGTTGTCACCAATTAAAAATAATGGGCTACAAGACAGCACTGAAAAGTCTGCTGTCAGACATATTGGACCTCTATTGCATATTGTTTCTTCTCTCTTGTTGCTTGTAGGATCCTTTCTTTATTTTTGACCTTTAGGAGTTTGATCATTAGAGGCCTTGAGGTAGTCTTCTCTGGGTTAAATCTGCCTGGTGTTAAATCTGCTGTTCTCACACTGCTATAAAGAACTACCTGAGACTTAGGCTTAACAGGAAGCATGACTGGGAGGCCTCAGGAAACTTACTATCATGGCAGAAGGCCAAAGGGAAGCACCTTCTTTACATGGCAGTAGGAGAGAGAGAGAGAGAGAGCCGGGGGGAAGTGGTACACACTTTTAAACCATCAGATCTTGTGAGAACTCACTCACTATCACAACAACAGCATGGGGTCAAGCAATTCTCCTGCCTCAGTCTCCTGAGTAGCTGAGACTACAGGTGCTCACCACCATGCCCGGCTAGTTTTTGTATTTTTAGTAGAGACAGGGTTTCACCATGTTGGCCAGGCTGGTCTCAAACTCCTGATCTCAAATGATCCACCCACCTCAGCCTCCCAAAGTGCTAGGATTACAGGCATGAGCCACTGTGCCCAGCCCTCTGTATCCTCAGCTGTATAATGAGGAGGAAGGAGATTTGAGGTTAAAATGCCTTACTGTGCTAACATATGTATGTTCTATTATGTTATCAAATGAATACTGCTTATTCCATTGAGTAAGCCATTTGAGTACAAAAAAAGCTTCAGTGAGGAAGTCTTTTTTTCAAGGTACTAATTATCTAGGGGAAGATTCTGGCAAAATTGTAAATTGGG
This sequence comes from Homo sapiens, assembly GCF_000001405.40. Lineage (NCBI taxonomy): Eukaryota > Metazoa > Chordata > Mammalia > Primates > Hominidae > Homo > Homo sapiens. The sequence goes on along the minus strand of NC_000007.14, from coordinate 16,440,241 downwards.
CTATAAAGTTGTTTTGGCTCCTTACAAGCTTGAAAAGATCAATGAAATGGCCATAGTCATTTAGCCACTGTTGACATATCAATTGAGTTGATTCATCTAAGACTTCTTGAGTGCCTACCATGTACTAAGCACTATGACAAGTACAGAAGATACAATTGTGAAGAAAATAGATATAATCCTTCACACATACACTGACGGCAAAGTGGAAATTGGTTTTACCACTTTGGAAAACGGTTTGGCATATCTACTGAAAGCGAACATACGCATACTCTATGACTCAACAATTCCACTGCTGATACACACCACAGAGATGTATACATATGTTCACCAAAAACAAATCCTTTTAATGAACATATATTTATAGAATTATTTGGAATAATTCTCACTGGAAATTACCCAAATGCACATCAGCAATAGAATGGATAAGTAACTGGGGGTATATTTATACACAGTAATATCACAGAGCATTACGAATGAATGATCTATGACTACCCCAATAATATGAGTCTCCTAAACATTATGTTGAACAAAAGAAGCCAGACACAAAATAGTACGTACTGTATGGTTTCATTTATATTAATTCTAAGAACAGGTGAAAATAGTTTTAGCTGTTAAAAATCAGATAATGCTTATTTTTGGAATATAGCAACTTATGAGATAGCACCAGGAGACTTCTGGGGTGCTGTTTGTTTTCTATTTCTTAATGTAGACTCCAATTATACAGATGTGTTCAATTTGTAAAAATTCACTGAGTTCTACACTAGTGATATGTGTACTTTCCTGTATGAACATTATAATTCAATAAAAATGTATCTCCCTCCCCAAGAAAAATGACAATCTTACCACTTAGAGTAGGAGACAAATAAGCAAATAAGAACATAAATAAATGGTAATGAGTGCAATGAAGGAAATAGAGAGTGTAGCAAATATTATTCAAGTATTTACAATGGGGAAAATACAAACAAGGAAATAATTCCTTGTTTGGCAATCAAAGTCAATATATGTAGAACCCTTGGTGATTCAAAACTGATATTTGTCTTCTGTTTACTGAGGATATTTGTCCAAGGAGGTGCCCCATCTATAGTGGAGGATGTTGTAGACTGGTCAGTTGATCAATGTGATTTTCCAGTAACAGTTATGCAGTGCTCCTTGTATATACTTTCTTTAAGAACTGTAATTATGCTGCCCACCATGCTTATGGTTGCACCACCTGACTCTACTAGCAATCTGTTCTCCCTTTTCATCCACTCTGTCCCAAAGGAAGTACTAATAGTATTTGAAGATTTATAATGGAGATAAGTGACATTAAGAACATCTAGAAATCTGGTACTTTGGCTTCATTCAATTTATTTTATTAATTAAATTTTGGTAGCTGAGATTCAAATATTGCATGAATCTTATTTTATTTTATTTTTTTAGAATGTTGAAAGTGTGTGTGTGTGTGTGTGTGTGTGTGTGTGTGTGTGTGTGTGTGTTTGTGTGTCTGACTATACTCTTAAGCCTCTGGGGAATATTATGCATATATTTAATAATGACAGTAGAATGTGCTGCTTTAAAAAAAAGATTCTCACTGCATTGTTGTAATAAGTGAATATTTACAGATTGAATCTAAATTAAGTTCTACTTAAACCCAAGTTAGCTGTCCATCCAAAAAGAGGTTGAACTACATCAATCTGCCTGTGAAATATCCCGGAAGTCTTAAGAGATGTAATGAATCAATAGTTAAGCCTTCATCATTACTTTTTCCTGTAATTAATTTGTGACCAAAAGAATTCATTTCTATAATTACAATTTTATAAACCACAAAATGTGCTTAACACATGCTGTTAATGTGCAACAGACTGAGAAACCTCTGAAAAATATAATTCCAGTTGATTAGAAAAAGAGTCATCTCTACTTAGTCTGTGCTTCTGAATGTCTTGGCTTGGTCACCAGACCCCTACATGTTGCTAGCTGTCAGGTTACATCAACTGCATGCAACTCAACAGATCTTGACAAATTGAACTCTCCAGTCTGTCAAGGAGACAATAATGGGAAGTTCTTTGTGAAAAGAGCTTTTTTATATCAACTCTTGACTATCGGGGATCTAATTTCCTAGTTCTCTTTAGCTAGGACTTTGTCTCTCCCCATGTCTTACGCCTTGCCTTTTGGACAATTGACCCCTCTGTAAGTGAACCCCAGGAGACAGGCAGGGTGAGAAAAGCAAAAGGAACTTATTTGGTCAATTGAGCAACTGGATATAACTCTGACATCTCAGTATTCTTACCCTATAAGACTTGTGGAGATAATCATCAATTGCTTCAGAAAAGTGCTATTTAGGAGAATGAGAAAAAAAATGCACATAAAATTTGAGTCTTAGGCAAAGCAAATTTAAATAGTGCATGAAATGTGATTATTTTCAAATCTTCAAATTCACAATTTCTGAAAGTAAATATAATGGTACCTTGAATGGTTAAATTTTAAAATTCATTCTATAACCTCTCTAGTTTGTTTGTAAAACACTTTCTTGGGTTATATATTTGGGAAAAAAGCCTAATTAGTCCAAAGAAAGGCACATCTTTGAGAATGGATGTATTTATGCTCAAACACACAGTAATTTTTTTTTATTTTCCTCAAACTAAAATTACAGTCCTCAGAAAAATAGGAACATAAATAAGACTGAGATTTAATCAAAAGGATGTCTATTATTATATACATTTAAAACAAATGTGCATACATACAGACACAGAAGAGAAACTGCAATGTAATCTGAATAAGGAAGAAGCTTAAAACTTTGGAAAATAATTTAACACAAACTCTAGTTTTTTCACTCTTTTTCCAGAAAAAGAAGGAAATTGGGGAAAACTTTTACTGAATTAAATTAAAAGAAGGGTTGGGTAAATCCCTCAAGTTTTTGAATGAGTACACATATCCTTACTTTTAATGGGTTAATTCCTGCATTCACTAAGCATTTGGTAGGCGCTCTTCTGTCACTGAAGATGCTGTAGAGTATGGACAAAGTTCCACAGAGCTTTTATTATGGGACAAAATGACTAAGGACACCATTATGGAACAAACAAAGGATCAACAGTAAAGAATAAAGCACAAAAAGTGCCTTGCTGATTAACTGCCAAATTTCCAACACTTCTGTGGGTGGCAGGTTGATTGCCTAGACAGGTATAAATCAAGCATCCTCTCTAGTTCATGCTTTGCCTTTTTATTGATAAAAAGTGCTTAGGGCTACACAAGTTGATACTTGTTGGAACCCCTCAAACACTACTACCTTTTGCTGAAAAGGAAGGGCAGCTTTGAAAACAGAAGGTGCCCACCACTCCTTAATAAGCTTTTTTTTTTTTTTTTTAAAGATCTCATTCTATATAAAGCTCAATTAGACACTGAGGGGAATGTAATAAAAGCTCAAGGTAGTGAGGGACCCTCCCTTCCAATCAAGTGCAATTCAGCAGGAGAAGATGATATAACTATAAGAAACAATAACCAATGTTAGCATTACATTTTCTTTAGAGGTCATGACAGATTTTCACATACATTTTATTTTGAAAATAACCCTGTCGTGTAGGTAGGACATTAAAATAATATTATGATGCCCAATTTAAGTAAGAAACTGAGCTTGGCAAAAATGAATGACGTTTTTCAAAAATCACAGCACCAGGGATGAAACAAGACTTACTTTGTTCTACTTATAATCATTTACATTTATAACCACATCCTGCTCTTTCCCATAAGAATGTTAATGACAGATAGACCCTCATTCTTTCCTCTATTCATATATTTATTAAACATCTATTTGGTGGCTACTGTGAAAGTGATGCAAAACTCAGTTATTTTCTGCTCTCAAGGTGTCCATACATATTTGAGTCACACTTTATCTCTTACAAAACTCTTCTTAGAAGAATGATAAATCATCACTACATCTTATATAATGTATGTAATGAGGAAACAAAAGCTCAGAGGGATCTCCTCACTGACCTAATACCATAAAGATAGCCTGAGTTCAGGAAGATTCAGTCATTACTTAAGAGCTAAAATGAGCACAGAACTATAGGATATTAGCTATAAACTTTGTTGGACATGCATCTCCATTACTGAAAATTTTGACTCTGTACTAGCAGTATATTTTTAAAAAAGTTTAAGTAGTGTGCATGTGCTACTGTGTGTGCTACACGTATTTAACACTAATGGTAAATACATAACAAAACTCAAAAAATTTAAAAGTTTAAAAGGGATGAAATGCAAAGCACATATAAATAGAAGCTTTACTCCTTACTTCCTGTAGCCTAATGGATTATCTTGCATATACTTGAAAGCATACATATCTTTCTTTGGAGATCACTGTTATAATAGGCAATAAATTTTAAACAAATATTAAAAGAAAGACAGTCAATGTGAGTAGGTATACTTGCAACAAGTTCTGGGTGTCTGTTAAGCTTTGGGTGGATAATCAGCAATCTAGAAAAATCTGATCTTCAGATTCCAATTATGAATGTCTCTATTAAACACTAGTGAGATGCAAGTTTTCATAGTCACTCCTACCAGTCTGTTTCTGGGTTACACTTTTCAGCTTTTTGGACAACCTGACCATCAAAAAGCTTGAATGCCAATGATAAAAGTGAGAACATTTTGAACAAATGAATGTCTGCTCCAGCAGAAAAAATGAGAAACACTTAGATTTTATTTCATTCATGTGACAATCACACAAAACTCAATTAAAAGGGGTAGGCCTTTATAATTTAGAAACATTTTATTTGAATTCTCTATTAGCTATTAATATAATTTGCACTGTCGCAATAACTGCACCACTCTATAAAAACATTTAATTTCCACTTATGAACACGAGATCACTTTTCCCTCCACAATAAACTCTTTAGTTGAGCACAATTTTAATTACTTATTTATACTTTGCCCAAACTCCTCCTCCACAAGGAAACATTTTGTCTTCAAATTTATGGTAATATTGAAATTCAGTTTTTTAGCTGTTAGCTCAATGAGTAGTTTTTACCAAAAAGCAACAACAAATTTTCATTAATCCCTTCTTTGAAGGATCTAAAGCATGGACACCCCCACTCTCAGTCTTCTAAAATTAGTTAACAAGAAGCAACAAAATAATAAATCAAAGTTTCCATTTGTACCATTGTATGACCCAACTTCTGGAAGCACAATTTACAGTATATCTTCTGGACATGGTAACTACTGGAATTTTGCAACACCAGGTCCTTGACCCCCGAGTCTGCCAGGGCAAATTACTAGGGAAATAAAAATATAGTTTTTATAAGAGTAATGATGTTTTTGTGCTATACTAGGGCTCTTTGAAAAACTAATTGAACTTTAAGACTTTAAAAAAGCTTTTCCAAAATTCAACAACAAATTTGATTAAAAATTGAGTTACCATGCAATTTTGGGGAATATTTTTATAATGAAGAGAAAACTTGATTTCAATTTATTTATATTACACTTCTACTGAGGAAAAATTGTGGTGGCTTATGTCGGAAAATTTTTGAGACAATTTTTGAAATAAACATTTTGTAATAATGGAAAATGTTGAAGTAAGGTAATAAAATGAAGAAACAAGTATTTTCAGAAAAAAAGTATTTTATACTTTAGGATGATGTAAGAGCCATTATTCAAGATGAGAAGAAATCTTAATTTCTAAGGAATATTATAGTTTTCAATGCCTTCTTCAGTTGCCTCATCTCAATTCATCCAAGAAAGTTTGCTCAAGGAGACATTGCTCACTGTTCATTGGAGAAGAGTTCATTGTAATATTTTGCTAAAAGAGGCATTAAAGAGGCTGAATCTCACTATGGAGAGAACGGAAACACTGTCCTACCGTTTGGAGACAAGTATAGGTTAGACAGACCTGGGATCACAGCTCATCATTTCCTTTGGCAAATCACTAATTTCAGGTTTCACATCTGTAAAAAAGGAGCAAGAATAACCTTTGTATCACAAAGCATTGTGAACTGAAAGAATTATTGATGTACACATATAATACTGTGCCTAAAATGTGATACATGTAATAAGCTAAAATTATTCAACAAGTCTGTTCACAGAGTAAAATTAGACCTATTCCCTGATTCAGTACTCAGTTCATTATACCACACTCTGTTCACCTTCATCAATTAGAAATTGTTAAATTAGACCAGGTTTTCCAGCTTTGTAGATAATCTAGTATGGTGACTATCAACAAAGGTCTTCATTGGAATAAGCACTTTCACTTTCCTGTCTTGGATTCTGATTTAGCATCTGCAGCTGTAAAAACCCCACAGATGATTCTGATGTGTAGCCTAGCTGAGAACTACTAATCTAGTTTATGTGCCAGCCTCTTACTTTCAAAATCTCTAGCTTATCAACGTAAAACTACTGTTGCCTTAGTTGCTGTTATTACTATATGAGCTTTCTTTGCTTCCATTTGCAGTGGAATCAGAAGCTGGAATACAGCAGGCAATGGCAAAAGTGAAAGTGACACCATGACTCTATCTGATTTCCCCCCATTTGTTGATGGTTTCTTCCATTATTTCTGGCCGACACATTTACTTATGCTCTTCAGAGGATTTGTAAGCAGGGAGAAGTCTCCTATAAGATAGGACTCTTAATCCAGTTCCAGTCCCAAGATATGAAGAAGCAATTAACAGTTCAAATATGGCACCCATGATTTCAAATGAGAGGTCTAACTCAGATAAACAAGTCGTTGAAGTGGGACACCATGTCCACATGATAGAACATTAGGCAAAATACATTGTTTTTCTCCTATTGTTACTGCCAGTGGGTTATTTATCAAAAACTGATAAGCAGGTGACTTCTGTTAAAGAAAGTTTGTACATCTCTAGTAGATATCGAGCTTTTTGGCTCCCTTTCCAACATAGCGTAGTTTTAATGTTCAGAAATTCCTGCTTTGCTCAGTATACAACTGTAGGTAGAGGAAAAAAAGCTCATATCATTTTGTAGACATTTCTCTCTCTTAAAGTAGATGGCCACAAAAAATTATAATACTCAGAGCTTATAACTTTCAGCTTTGAGGTAATAAAAATCACCTTCTATTGTTCATTGGGGCTGGGTGTGGTAGCTCATGCCCGTAATCCCAGCACTTTAGGAGGCTGAGGTGGGTGGATCACGAGGTCAGGAGATGGAGACCATCCTGGCTAACACGGTGAAACCCCGTCTCTACTACAAATACAAAAAATTAGTCAGGCATTGTGGTGTGTGCCTGTAATCCCAGCTACTCAGGAGGCTGAGGCAGGAGAATCGCTTGAACCCGGGAGGTGGAGGTTGCAGTGAGCTGAGATCGCACCACTGCACTCCAGCCTGGGCAACAGAGTGAGATTCCATCTCCAAAAAAGAAAAAAAAATTTTTTTCATTGACTTTCAAAGAAATTAATTGCTTTTAATCTGTTATTGCAAATATTTCTTCATATTTGTAGTTTTGTTGACTTGTAAATTAAGATCATCATGTGACATGGTTTTAACTCTGATTAAAGTTACATTTAATATGTGTGGTTGAAATTAAAAATGGAAAAAATTACAAATATGAAGAATTTCTCACTGCTACCATTTCTCCTTCTAATAATAAAGTGTTAATCCATACAGTATGGTCCTAAGGAGAGCTTCACTTATAAGTGAGACCTAAATGTTGTCACATCTTGAAAATCAGTTCTTTGTATATCACTTGGGATATATAAAAGCAGGGTCATCCGTATCAGAAACAATTTCTTAAACATATACTCTCTTTGCCAATATTTCAACCCTAGTTTTGGGATTTTATGATGGCAAAGGAGGGTTTTTGACAGCTATTGGTACCTTAAAAGTGAACAGCCTGTAGAAATAAATGATCCCAAAGAGCAGATACAGCCATACAGATCACTCTGAATTTCTTTGACATCTCCCTCTCCTGGAAGGCCAAATAATAACCTATTGACTCTTCTGCCCTCCTGTGGCCAGAAATCAATGGAGTCTGTACCTCTTGAGTAGATATTGCTGTGATCTAAAGACAAGTGGATTATTAAAATGGATGTTTGGTGCCTATGTTAGTCAGGGTTCTCTAGAGAAACTGCACCAATAAGAAGATATATATTTATTATAAAGTATTGGCTCAGGCAATTATGGAGGCTGAAAAGTCCCAGGGTAGGTTGATTGCAAACTGGAGACCCAGGAAAGCTGGTCCTGTAGTCTGAAGGGTGGATAGCCCGAGAGCCAATGCTTTAGATTCCAGTCTGTGTCTGAAGGCCTGAGAATCAGGAGGACCTATGTTAGGAGAAGATTAATGTAAAACTTAAGCTGTCAAACAGAGAGGCAATTCAACCTTCTTCCACTTTTTTGTTCTATTCAAGCCCTCCACACATTAGATGATGCCCACGATATTGGAGAGGACTATCTGCTTTACTCAGCTTACAAATTCAAATGCTAATCTCTTCTGGAAACACCCTCACAGACACACCCAGAAATAATGCTCACCCAGCTATCTGAGCATCCTGTGCTTAGTGAAGTTGACACATAAAATTAACCACCTCAATGCCTGTTGAAGATTGTCTGCAAAGATGGCCATTAATAATTCCTTCATTTTCTGTAAAAATTCCTTTCATCATGATGTGCAGCTACTTTCCCTCTTCTTGAATTCTGTCTGGACTTGTGACTTCCTTTGACCAACAGAATGACACAGATTTGACACTGTGCTAGTTTGGGGCATGAAATTTAAGAGGCGTTGGCAGAATCTGTTTGTTTGTTTTTTAAAGAAACCATTCACTATATAAAGAAGATCAGGCTATCCTGCTGGAGAAAAATACCATGTGGAAGAGAACTAAGGTGCCCCAGGCAATATCCAACACCAAGGACCCCAACCTATAAAGGAGTCCATTTTGGATCCTCCTTTAGCTTCATTTGAACTACCTTAGCCAACCCCATGTGAAAGAGAGATGAGCTGCTTCCTTTAGTGCTGCTTAAAATCTGGATCCATAAAACTGTGAGCAATAAGATGGTGTTGTTTTAAGCTGCTAAGTTTTGAAACGGTTTTTTATACAGCAATAGACAATTGAAAAAAGTTGTAAATGTTATAGTTTTTATTCTCCACAACTTAACTGATTTATCAGTTACAGAGCATATTTACCCTTGATCATCCCCTCAAATATAAGGTATGAGTTATTTTCAAGATGAGTCTTTCACTGGCTCATGTGTAAGGTATATTTCTTGACTTCTTGCCATTATTCCCAGGCCTTGGAAATTTCCAGGGTTAGAATATCAAGCCTTTAGATTATAGTCTTAGTGCATTTCTGCTGTTATAACAGAGTAGTACAGGTTTGGTAATTTATAAAGAATAGAAGTTTATATGGCTCACAGTTCTGGAGGCTAGGAAGTCCAAGAACACAGTAACAGCATCTGGTTGATTGTTACTGCATAGCAGCAGGGCAAAAGGCAGAAGTAAGCACGTAAGACAGAAAAGGAATGGGGGCCAAATTTTCATTATTTTATCAGGAGCCCACTCTCATGATGATGGCATTAATTCATTCATGAGGGCAAAGCCTTCATTACCTAATGAACTTTTAAAGGCCTAACCTTTTAATACTGCTGCAATGGCAATTAAGTTTTCAACACATCAACTTTAAGGAACATATTCAAATCATAGCAATTATGGTTCTGATATTTACTAAAGTGGAGACGTCTCAAACAACTATAACTACTTATTCTTGAAGATAAATGAAAAGATTAGATTTTTCTTGACAGCCAGATTAAGTAGGGACAGGAGGGCCTTAGGGTCATAACATGAGCAAGCTCAGATCTTAGCAGCACTGGCTGGTGGGGATGGGAAGTAAGCCAAGGCCAGGCTGTAGAGCATCCCAGGGAGACCCAGGCATCAGAAGTCACAAGAATAACAATTAAAGCCAGTCAAGGGGTGACAACCTGTTTGTATGTGATTAATCCTTTCATAGCAGTTCTTCGGCCAATTAATCAGAAGTCAGCCCTCTGATGACTCAAGCCTAGTCAGTCAAACCGGGGTTGTGTTTTACTTCATGCTAAAGAGATGTGAAATCCCAAGAAGGAGCCAGTTATAAGACCCGGGTCAATGAGGTTAAGTTTGGGAAAAAGGTTGCAAGTGGTGGGTACACCCCATGAATAGTAAGACAGTTTTCTAGGCAATGAGACAAATGCAAGATTCGGCCCATTCACAAAGTGAAGCTGCCTGTCCTGGTCAGGACTAGCAGGATTAAGTTCGTAGATGAAAGACACAAGTGAATTCCGGTTCAGCAGAGCTGATAGTGAGATACCCAATTCAGGAGGTAGTGAGGAAAAATAAAAAGACTATAGAAAGGCAAGAGGCCAGGAGAACCAAGACAAGCATAATGAAATTTGATAACTTGCCCAAGACCAGTGTTGGTTAGTTTCATGTATAGTTTTGTTATTGTACTATAGCAGTTAATAACCATATATTTTTATGAAGTTAAGAGAGAATAATTACTAAGGAAGATTTGACAAAGGGGGAAGTTTCTGATTTTCTTTTTAATCACTTGTCAAGATCTTGAATTCTTTCAAGGATAAGTGGTAGGAGAGGTGAAAAGACATAAGAAGTTGGAGTGAGAGAGTCTTTACAAACTTAAAAACAAAACAAACTTTTTATTTTGTGAATAGTTTCAAGCACTCTAATTTTTCTGAAGAGTAAATGTAAATAGTTCTTTATTGATTTAAGTTTATATTCAATGGTAAGTTTAACGTTCAATTATTCATTTATTCTTTCATTTATGTCTTAAGCCAATTAGTGGTAGCAATGGTCACAAAGGAAAGTACTTAATTTCTATTTAACTTATTTCTATTCACGTACAGTAAAGACAACACAGTGTCCTCATTTATTCCTCTTAACTGTCTGCTGCAAGTTACTTCTACATAAAATATTGTCCTTTTGTCACCACTAAGTACTTATTGTCCAAAACAGTACAGTTTATTGCTCTCCTAAGTAGATGATACAGCATCTTCCCAAACTCTGTATATTCTTTTTTTCTTCTTCTTTTTCGTGGGGGAGGAGGGAGGGTCTATCCCAGTGAGTGTCCCATGCTGGAGAGCAATGAAACATTCTTTTTGCAAAAATCAAAAGCTTGTTTATATCCTTACATCCTTTGGACATCACTGAAGAGACTATATTATTATATGAAAAGACTGTTGCAGTCTTCTCTCTCCCTTCTCCATGTTACCCCTTGTGCTTCTACCCTACCATAGTCCCTTTCAATTTGCTTAAGATAAAGATGTGGTGCCCTCATGGGTAAGGCACTATAAGGCAATGATGTCTGAAATTCAGACTATTGGACAGCTCACTTCCTGTATTTACTCTGTGCTTGGCAAGTTGATGGGGGTGGTGGCTGTGGTCACAAGGAACAACGTCCGCATTCTCTTTTTCTTATCCCTCAGATAAAAGATATGACTTTGAATTCCTTTGGACCATTTTCATCTTAAAGCCAAATTTTTTCTTCTTTAAATCTTCTTTTAGCAATGAGTCAAGGTTAAAATGCATATAAACAGCTGTTGTCAATATGTTTCTTGCAGAAATGACAAATCTACCTTTTCTAGCTGTTGCTTTTCTTTAATGATTCCATATGTTCCTCCCTTCCACAGATTATTAAGGCTGGCCACCACCATCTCTAGATTAGTGATTTGTTTCCTAAACAAAACTTTCAAAGATATTATCTCTGTTACATTGTCCCTTGTGCAAGGGGTCATTACCCTCTTTTGGTTTCTGGAGTAATGTGGCATCCTCAGTTGAACTGCATGCATTAGTTCTGTGCTCAGAGCAGTTTCAGGCAACAATTCCTATTCTATTTAAGCTGTGGTCAAGGATACTGCCTTTGATGGTTCTCAGAGGTGACACTGTGTTTAAATGACAGCTTTTACAAGGCAAAATGAATTCTAAGTGCACACACACACACAGAATGACAGGTCTGTAGAAATACCAGGGGATGATCTGGTTTTCTGTTTCTCTTCCATCATTCTGTTCTGGTACTTAAATATTCTTCCCTTGTGTTTCCCTTCTTACAAATTAACAAGAAAATGAAACAGTTTAATGAATTTCTTATGCAATTTTAAAATAAATTTCTTATGCAATTTTTATATGGTATTTTAATATATTACATGCATTTTGCTTTGGGTACTGAAATTAAATGTATTGAACATAAAGTGAGTTGGGGTATAGTTCTTTTAAATTCAGTGTTTATTTCAGTCTGGCTGATAACTACACTGGAATCTATGGAGGTGTATCAAAACTCAGATTCCTGGTTCTACTCTGGAGGCATTTAATCAAAATTTCTGTCAGTAGATGCCAGGAATATATTTTCTAAGATTATTATATAATATATACTATATAAATTATATTGTATAAAATATATAAAAATACTACATAGAAACAATTGTTCCAGGTGCTTCTTATGAAAAGTTAAACTTTAGTATCATTAATTCAGTCCTAAGGCTAAATATTCACCATTGCTTCCCTTTTCAGCTATACAGGAAAAGCAGAGTGGATGGTAGAGACAACTGACAATAACTTTGCAAGAAATATTATGAAAATAAAAGATAATAATAATGTTGTCACGTGGTATTGTTTAGTCTGCATTATCTGCAGAGAGACCTCAATTCTGAGTGTCACCTTTCTTATGTATAAAAATGAGTTAAAGGTCAGAGGTTAATAGACTGTACCATTTACATAAGATACACAATAGCAAAACAGAAATTAGAATTCATAGGCTGCCAGAAATTATGGGGATGGCCCATGGTAGAATGTTAATTTATTTCTTCTGGCTCTGATTTCAGTGGAGTTAAAGGATGAACCGTTAAGCTGTTCATTAGTACTGATGAGAAACACCCCAACTAATCTCAAGAAAGGGTACTAAAACAATAAGTGTAGCTGGGGAGGAGGGGTATGACTGGTAGTGCTAATTATATTTGAGTTAATACTAAAAAAATTAACCCACTGGAAACTAAAATTTTCTAATAAAAGAAATCTCTAAGACAAGTATTCCAGAGAGGTATACTAACATGTAAAGACAAACAAACAAACAAAAAAGTAAGTTTTGGGTATTTCAGATATAAAGATGAGAGCCACTTCCATTTATTGTGCACTTCTGTGCATACTAAAAAGTAAAGACAACGGCAGGAACTAATAAGTGATTATAGCAGTGCTGTAGGATCCAAGGTTAATACAAAAAAGTCAGTCATTTTCTATATACCAGTAATGAACAAGTGGAATTTGAAATTAAAAACACAGTATTATTTACATTAACCCCCCCATGAAATCCTTAGGTGTACATTTAAGACAACATGTACAAGATCCATATGAGAAAAAGTACAAAACTGATGAAAGATATCACAAAAGAACTAAGTAAAGATGTTCCATGTTTGTGGGTAGAAAGACTCAATGTTGTCAAGATGTCAGTTCTTCCAAAATTAATCTATAAATTCAATGCAATCCCAATCAAAATACCAGCAAGTTATTTTGTGGACATTGACAAACTGATTTTTAAGTTTATATGGAGAGGCAAGAGACCCAGAATAGCCAACACGATATTGAAGAAGAACAAAGTTGGAAGACAGACACTACTGGATCTCAAGACATATAAAAAGCTACAGTAATCAGGACAGTGTGGTATTGACTAAAGGATGTACAAATGAATCAATGGAACATTATAAAGAAACCAGAATTAGACTCAAATAAATACAGTCAACTGATCTTTGACAAAGGAGCAAAGGCAACAAAATGAAGCGAAGACAGTCTTTTCAACAAATGTTGCTGCAACAACTGCATATCTACATGCAAAAACAACAAATAATCTAGACAAACCTTATACCCTTTACAAAATTAACTCAAAACTCACTGACCTAAATGAATCACCGACCTAAAAAAACCCACAAAACTATAAAACTCCTAATAGATAGCATAGCAGAAAACCTAGGTGATCATTTTTTAAAAGCACCACCAAAGGCATGATCCATGAAAAACAATTGATAAGCTGGACTTCATTATCACTAAAAATTTCTGCTCTGCAAAAGACACTGTTGAGAATAAGAAGACAAGCCACAGAGAAAATATTTGCCAAAGTAATATCAGATAAAAAATTGTTCTTCAAAATAAACAAAGAACTCTCAAAACTGAACAATAAAAACACAAATGACCCAACTAAAAAGTGGGCCAAAGACTCTGACACCTCACCAAATATGATACACATGACAAATACGCATATGAACAATGCTCAACATCATATGTCATCAAATAAATACAAATTAAATCAACACTGAGATACCACTACACACCTATTAGAATGGCCAACATCCAGAACACTGACACACCAAATGCTGGTGAGGATGTGAAGCAACAGAAACTCTCATTCATTGCTGGTGGGAATGCAAAATGGTATACCTATTTTGGAGGACCGTTTGGCCGTTTCTTACAAAACTGACCATACTTTTGCCCGTGCAATTCAGCAATCTTTCTCCTTGGTATTTACCCAAAGGAATTGAAAATTTTTGTACACATAAAAACCTGCACAGAGGAACAGAAAACCAAACACCGCATGTTCTCACTTATAAGTGAGAGCTGAATAATCAGAACACGGGGAGGGGAACCACACCGGGACCTGTAGGGAGATGGGGAGTGGGGAGGGAGAACATTAGGAAAAATAGCTAATGCATGCTGGGTTTAATACCTAGGTCAAGGGTTGATAGGTACAGCAAACCACCATGGCATACGTTTACCTTTGTAACAAACCTGCACATCCTGCACATGTACCCCAGAACTTAAAATAAAATTAAAAAAAACCCTACACAGAGATGTTTATTACAGCTTAATCATAATTGCCAAAACTTGGAAGCAAACAAGATGTCTTTCAGTAGGTGAGTGAATAAATACATCACAGTACATCCAGAAAAAAAAAAAAAATCAGTGTTAAAGAGAAAGAAGCTGTCAAGCCATGAAAAGATATGGAGAAAACTTAAATGCATATTACTAAGTGAAAGAAGCCAATCTGAAAAGAATACTGTATGGTTCCAACTATATGATGTTCTGGAAAAGGCAAAAGCATGGAGGCAGTAAAAAGATAATTGGATGCCAGGGATTGGGCAGGGATTAGAGGAGAGGAAGGCATGAATAGACAGAGGATAGAGGATTTTAGGGCAGTGAAATTACTCTGCATGATACTGTAATGGTGGATACACATCACTGTAAATTTATCAATCCTATAGAATGAATGTACAACACCAAGTGTGAACTCTAACGTAAACTAGGGACTGTGGGTTATAATGATGTGTCACTGTAGGTTCATCAGTTGTAACCAATGTACCACTCTGGTGGGAGATGTTAATAATGTGGGAGGCTATGTATGTGTGGGGCAGGGAGCTATTGGAAATTTTTGTACCTTTCTCTCAATTTTGCTGTGAACCTAAAACTACACTTAGTCTACTTTAAAAAATTAAAGGCATGCCAAAGCCAGGTTATGAAATCGTGGTATACATTTAACAAAGTTATGCTTTAAACATTTATAATACATTTTTAAATTCACAAGACAAAGGATTTATTTTAAAAGTCAATACTGGGGTTCTAGTAACGAGACATAAAGTTGAATGAACAGTGCCTTATTTTTTCAATCATATTACTGCATTTCTAACTACGTATAACTTCATTTGCAGATTATAGTCCAAATGAGAATCTTCCTCAGTGTGAAGCCTGTATTAGTTTCCTCTTGCTGCTATAATAAATTACCACAGATTTAGCAGCTTAAAACAACTCAAGTATGTTATCTTACAGTTCTGGATATCAGAAATCTGAAAATGGGGTGGCAGGGCTATATTATTCTGCAGGCTCTAAGAGAAAAACCTGTTTCCTTGCCTTTTCCAGCTTTTAGAGGTTGCCTACATTCCCACCCCTCTGCACTCTGATGGCTGCTTCCATCCTCATACCTCCTTCTCTAACTCTGACCTCTCTCCTATAAGGATGCCAGAGATTACACAGGGCCCACCTGGATAATCCAGGCTACTCCCCTCCATCTTGAGATCCTTCACTTAATCACATCTGCAATGTCTCTTTAGCAGTGTAAGGTAACATATTCATAGCTTCTGGAGATAAGAGCATGGGCATCTTTGGGGAGTCATTATTTTGCCTACTTGGAAGCTCAAAATGGAAACCACTCCAGGAACTTCCAACTCTGCATGCTCTGCCTCATGATTCAGTTGGGGTTTATTTTTTCTAAACTCTTCAAGTGATATCTTAGAATTGTTATTACCAATGGGTCCCAGAGGAGTTCACTTTTCAGGGTATGTACTTTCACATGCCTGATGCAGAGAAGATATTCTCATATTGTGGCTGCTATAACTTGGTATTAAGTAACAAGGAAGCTACATCTGTTACCCCAAAGTATGCAAAACATGGAACTAATTATATTTATATAAAAAGGACAGAGAGAAAAATGTTGCTTCATACTACGTAT
This sequence comes from Homo sapiens, assembly GCF_000001405.40. Lineage (NCBI taxonomy): Eukaryota > Metazoa > Chordata > Mammalia > Primates > Hominidae > Homo > Homo sapiens. The sequence continues at coordinate 16,423,802 of NC_000007.14, read as the reverse complement.
ATGAATGAATACTTTAATGTGCCCTTTTTTCTCTACAAGTTGGTCTGCTAGACATTGTTAATATACAGTATATAAGATCTAAGGATCTAAGGATTCATGGAAGATCTAAATTGATATATCTGCTCTAAGAACAAAACTAAGATTCTAGTTAAAATTTGTCAATGTTTAATTATATAAAATTATTCTATAGCAATTAGTATAACAAGAGCTTTATTACTCTACTTTTCTTCACTCAAGATTAAGTAAAGGAAGAATACCTTTATAACAACTCCACCTTTAGATTAAAAAGGGAGGTTTAAAGATCAATATTAATAGAAATACTAATTCGATTTGCCTTCCTGCTCTCATAGATAGACTCATTTATTTATCCACCCAGTTAGTCAACAGATATTTAAATGCTTGATACAGGTGTGGTAGTGGCGCTATGAAGTCAAGTATTGTGCCAAACTTGTTTAATATAGTTGCTGCCTGGGCATCCATTTTTAGGCCTGATATAAGCTGTTTGAAACCCAGTTGTATCACGTCACCTGTGGCCTACTTAAAACTTCCCCTCCCTGTGATATAGAACACTTATTCCTCATTCCATGACCAAAAACCCAACAGCTGCTAACCATGATAAAACCCAATGGTCAACACCAGAGTCAAGTTCTCCCTTTGCTGGTGTTTTCTTTAAACTAGTCAATCCACAACCCCCTCTGGAAAGCCTAAGGGATAAAGCCTTTGGACCTTAACACAGCCCCACAGGTCCTCTCTCTTGCACCCCACCTGCTGGTTGGGAGTCCTGTTATCTCCAGACTTCCATCAGGCTTATTCTCTGGTGAATCTGTAAGTAATAAAATGCGCCTGTTATTTCACATGTTTTGTGTGCTGCCTCCTCTGGCGTCTCACCTGCACACCAGAACCTAGCTTTCCTCTCTGGGCCAGGGCTCTCCTGAAGAGTGGCTGTTCTGGCTTATGGCCACTCGTAAGAGAGAGACCTCGAGATCAAATTAGAAAGGAACGATAGCAATAAAAATTACAAGGAAGTATATTATGGCACCCACTTTTCAGTTAAGAAACCAACTAGCACAGGACCTAAATGCTAATTATAATAAAAGTAACAAAAGTGAAAGAATGCCTTCAATAAGACTAAACAAAAAGGAAAAGCAGAAAACATATTTTTATATGCTCTCAAGAAAACAGGTAAAAATAAAAATTGTAATACTACAACTAGATAACATTTCCAGTGTTTAAAAAGATTATTTTTTATTAATCATAAGCCACTGGATTAAGACTGAATTACTGATGATTATACACTTTAATGATCATTAATCTATTTAATCAGCAATTCATTCAATACATATTAAGCTTGTGTTACATTCCAGGAGCTGGGCACACACACACAACCCAAGCCAAAAGAAAAATGTTGCTGCTTGCATGGAGTTTACATTCCAGGGACCTAATACAATAGTGCTCTCCTCCAAATTCTCACTATACTTTCATGGTAAACCTCACCAGCAACAAGAGTACTAAATAAGGTAAGATATGCTTTAGGCCTGGAATTCTTCAACTTTGGCCTACTTCTGTATGAGGGCCTTAAGGCTCCTCTGCCATTAGTTGTGCAATCTTACATAAATTAACCATTTTAACGTCTTTTCCCCTTTGTAAAAAGGGAAATGGCAATAGTTGAGTTCTTCTGGGGACTAAATGACATAAGGTGTATCGATTGTTCAGCAATTAGTATTGCTTTGACCCTATGGTTCCAAAACATGCCTGCTCATCAGAATCACCCGAGGATCTTTAAAAACATTCCAAAGTCCGGTGCTCACCAGACCAATTAAATCCCAATCTCTGAGCGTGTCAGGACACGCTCCCCAGGTGGTTCCAAAGTGCAGACAAGTTTGAGAGCCACCACAGTTTGGATTATTGATGTGCCACAATAACACTTGCTAATCCATCTGTCTTTACCCCAGGTGGAACCAGGAAGCCTCCAGAGCTTAATGGAATTCAGATAATCGAGGTGCATACGCACCCTACGTCCCATCCTGTGACTTGAATCCCAATCTCTTCCGAAATTTTAAAGCAGGGAGGGATGGGACAGAGGCCTGACCTCTCCTGCATACTCATGGCCCTTGAGTATCTGCGATCTTTAGATATGTAGGGCGTTCTGACATTTCCACTTGCGGCGACAGCTGGGCCTGCCCGGGGGAAGCGCAGAGCGGGCAAGTCAGCCCTCCCGCAGGCGCTGGGACCGGGTGCGGAGGCCGCAGCCGAGCCGCGAGGGCAGATCGGCAGCCTCAGCTGCTGCCGTAGCTGTCGGGATCGTCCCCTGCGGGGCAGCAACAGCGGGGCTCCGACGGCTGAGGGGGGCGCCTTCTGCTTGCGCGCTCTGCGTCCCTCTCCGTGGTCTGCCCTTCGCCCCGCGACCCCGGCCGAGGGTGGGAGCAGCGCGGGGTCGCATCGGCCCGAGGCTAGCGGGGCTCGCCGTTCCGCCCGCAGCCATGGAGGCCGGGCCGCCGGGCAGCGCCAGGCCGGCGGAGCCGGGTCCTTGCCTGAGTGGTCAGCGCGGCGCGGACCACACGGCTTCCGCCTCCCTGCAGAGCGTGGCCGGGACCGAGCCCGGGCGCCACCCGCAAGCCGTGGCAGCTGTGTTGCCTGCCGGGGGGTGCGGGGAGAGGATGGGGGTCCCCACCCCGAAGCAATTCTGCCCCATCCTGGAGAGGCCGCTCATCAGCTACACCCTACAGGCCCTGGAGAGGTAATGCGGCGCCGGGCGCGCCCCGCGGTTCCCTGGGGCCCGGCCTCCCGCTCCCCGCCCTGCCGCTGCTCTAGCGCTAGCACCTTCACTTGGGGGACTGCCGGGCCGCGCTCAGTTATTCAAGCTTGAGCTCTGTTCCCTCCCGCATTTCAGAGATGGGAAGTTCTGGCCTTTAACAGATGGGCACGAAAGCTGCAGCTCCCCCACAGAGCCCTTTACGTCCCCAAGCAGATGAGGTTGTGGGGAAGGCCCGTCGTGTGGCGCCGATTAGAGAGTGCATGGGTTGGGACTAGGCGATTTGGGGTTCTAGCTGTGGGGCCTGAGGAGAAGCTGTGCGGATAGTCTCGCGGTCCTGGGGCTCTGCCTCCGCGCATGCGTGGATTGAGTTGTACGTGCACACTGAAGTTTCCAGGGCGTGTGTTCGTTTTTTTCATTCATTTACTGAGCACCTTCTGTGAGACAGGCTGCGCTAATTACTAGGTGCTGCAGGAGGGGAGAGGAGCAGAATTTAATAACCTTTCAATGGTGGAAAGGGCTTTAAGCCTGAATTTGAGGTCATACCCCCTTTATCTTAGAAAGGGCACTGAAGTTAACTAGTTGGGGAAATGAAGGAGACAGGGAATGGGATAAGGAGGACTAGGGGAACAGTCGTGAGGAGCTGAGGAAGTGAAATGAAGGGGTATGTTATAATATTAACTTACTTTGCTTTTAGCACTGAGTAATGAGGTGGAGCTTGGGGCGAGGGTGCAGGGGTGGGAAGCAGCGGCATTACAAATATCCACATAATTTTGCTAAGGTGTTTGAACTTCTCTGAAGCCAGTGGGGAGCTGTGGTAGTTTGTGAAGCCTTGAATTGATGCGAACCGTTTGCATTTCCAGATAGATGTCATCCTTTAGCATACATTGCCTTTGCAGGAGGTTTTGAAAACCAAGCTAGTGAGGTTCTAGTCCAAGGGAAGTGGCACGTTCCCCAGAAAGGAGCCCCACGCAAACCCTCACACATGCTTCAAAAGCCAAAAGGTTCAAGTTGTTTTGTAACCGCCCCACGGGTTCACCTTGCCCCTGCCTAAACAGAGCGGATTTATCAAGACAGGGGAATTGCAATGGAGAAAGAGTAATTCACGCAGAGTCGGCTGTGCGGGAGATTGGAGTTTTATTATTACTCAAATCAGTCTCATATCAAATTATTACTCAAAAAATTATTACTCAAAAATTATTACTCAAATCGAGCATTTCGGGATCGGAGTTTTAAAAGATAATTTGGCGGGTAGAGGCTCGGGAAGTGGGGAGTGCGAATTGATGAGTTTGGAGATGGAATCATAGGGGGTCTATGTGAGGTTTTCTTGGTGTCTTCTGTTTCTGGGTGGGATCGCAGAACTGGTTGAGACAGATTACTGGGTTGGGTGGTGTCAGCTGATTCATGGAGTGAAGGGTCTATAAAATATCTCAAGCACTGATCTTAGGTTTTACAATAGTGATGTTATCCCCAGGAGCAATTTGGAGAGGTTCAGACTCTTGCAGCCAGAGGATGCATGACCCCTAAACTGTAATTTCTAATCTTGTAGCTAATTTGTTAGTCCTGTGAAGGCAGACTGGTCCCCAGGCAAGAAAGGGGTCTTTTTGGGAAAGGGCTATTATCAATTTTGTTCCAGAGTCAAACCATAAACTAAATTCCTTCCCAAGGTTAGTTCGGCCTATGCCAAGGAATGAGCTTAATGGTTAGAAGCAAGATGGAGTTAGTTAGGACTGATCTTTCACTGTCCTAATTTCCTCAGTTATAATTTTCACAAAGGCAGTTTCAGGTTCTCATATGACTATTTTACTTTCTGAATATTGGAGTTTGGAAAATGGAAGTGTAAAAAGCCATAATCACTGATTTAGGTAATCTGCCCAATGATTACATCTGAAACTCAAAATTTGAAATGATTCCAGTTGCTAACTTTATTCCATTTCTCTGGGTAGTGGGGAGAGGGGTCCCTGAAACCATTTCATGAACCACTTACCTATAATATTCCAGTGCCATGAACATTGTGACAACATAGCTCATATATGAAGGCATTTCTGTGGGACACAATGGGTCTTGGCCAGCAGGATCTTTATCTGCGTGGTAATTAGCTATGGGGATTATAGTCACTTTTACACTAAACTTTTCTCCCATGGAGAAAACTTTTGCATTAACTTTAATTTTTTGCATCTTCTGAGGCAGTCTAAGATAGGCGGACACTAAAAATCTCACTGATATGGTTTGGCTGTGTCTCCACCCAAAAATCTCATCTTGAATTTTAATCCCCATAACCCCGCATGTTAAAGGAGAGATCAGGTGGAAGTAATTGAATCATGGGACAGAGATCAGGTGGAGGTAATTGAATCATGGGGATTGTTTCCCCCATGCTGGTCTCTTGATAGTGAGTTCTCATGAGATCTGGTAGTTTTGTTAGTGTTTCGTAGTTCCTCCTGTGTTCATTCTCCTTCCTGCTGCCTTGTGAAGAAGGCACCTTCCTTTCCCTTCACCTTCCACCATGCTTGTAAGTTTCCTGAGGCCTCCCCAGCCATGCTGAACTGTGAGTCAATTAAACCTCTTTCCTTTATAAATTACTTAATCTTGGGCAGTTCTTTATAGCAGTGTGAAAACAGACTAATACACTCACTTTTAAAGGAAAATAATGTTTGGAAAGGCCTTGTTTATGGAAAATAAAACGTTTGTCTTCTACTTTTACTTAACTGATAACAGCAGTCAGAAAATCCTAATAGCAATAGTAACTCATCAAAATTTTCATTCTGAAATACTTCATGGCTCATTTTTATCACTATTATGTCTGAAGAGCTTATGGAACATGATTATATTTTGGGTATATCCTAGGAAGTCCTTAGAAAGCTTGCTTTATAGCAGTGTGTGGGTGCTGCTTGGCCATTTGCCAAGTGAAAGCCCTTACTTCCTTCTGTAAAAGATCAGCCCTACAGACTGTTGATAGTTTTCTTAGGGTATGGGGCCAAAAGTCTTAAGTCACTTCATTAAAAAAGATAATTTATACAAATTCAAATAAGGAAAAGGACATGGAAGTATAAAATGCCTTATAAGACTACTTTTTTGCTCTGTTGAGAAATTACGCATGCTTTTTGCTTATTAAAGAGAAAGCACAGTTCTCATTGTCCCAAATAAGAAAAATAATGGGTGTCACCACTGTCAATCATTTAGGTTATTCTAAGAGAATGTCATTTCTTGTTTTTCAAGGGCTGTATGTGATACCCCAAATTTGATTTTTTTTTTTATAACTTCAACTTCTATTTTAGATTCAGAGGGAATGTGTGTGTAGATTTGTTACCTGGGTATATTGTGTGATGCTGAAGTTTAGGGTATGATTGATCCCATCACCCATGTAATGAGTGTAGTACTGAATAGTTTTTCAACCTTTGCCCCCTCCCTCCTCCCTCTAGTGATCCCCAGTGTCTGTTGTTGACATCTTTATGTCCATGAGTACCCATTGTTTAGCTCCGTCTTAGGAGAACTTGTGGTAATTGGTTTTCTGTTCCTCTGTTAATTTGCTTAGAATAATGGCCTCCAGCTGCAATCATGTTGCTGCAAAGGACTTGATTTTGTTCTTTTTATGGCTACATAGTATTCCATAGTGTATACGTACCATATTTTCTTTATCCAATCCACCATTGATGGGCACCTAGGTTGATTCCCTGTGTTTGCTATTGTGAATAGCACTGTGATGAACATGGTGCATGCATCTTTTTGGTAGAAGCATTTGTTTTCTTTTGGATATATACCCACTAATGAGATTGCTGGGTTGAATGGTAGTTCTGTTTTAAGTTCTTTGAGAAATCTCCAAACTTCTTTCCACAGTGATTGAACTAATTGACTTTCCCAGTAACAGTGTATAAGTGTTCCCCTTTTCTCTGCAGCCTTGCTAGCATCTGTTTTTTTTTGGCTTTTTCATAATAGTCATCATGACTGGTGTGAGATGGTATCTGATTGTGGTTTTGATTTGCATTTCTGACTAGTGATGTGGAACGTTTGTTTGTTGGATACTTGGATGTTGTCTTTTGAGAAGTGTTTGTTCATGTCATTTGTGCATTTTTAATGTGGGTATTTGTTTTTTGCTGGTTCAGTTGTTTACAGTTCCTTATAGATTCTGGATATTAGGCCTTTGCTTGAGAGTGCAAAAACTGTTTACTCTGATAGTTTCAATTGCTGTGCAGAAGCTCTATTGTTTTTTTGGAGATAGGGTCTCACTGTGCTACCCAGGCTGGAGTGCAGTGGCAGGATTTCAGCTCACTGCAGCCTCAACCTCCTGGGCTCAAGCGATCCTCCCACTTCAGGCCCTCAAGTAGCTGGGACTACAGTCACGTGCCACCATGCCCAGATAATTTTTTTTTTTGTATTTGTTTGTAGAAATGGGGTTTTGCCATGTTGGGCAGGCTGGTCTTGAGCTCCTGCGCTCAGGTGATCCACCTGCGTCGGCCTCCCAGAGTGCTGGCATTACAAGTGTGAGTGACCACACCTGGCTGCTGTGCAGAAGCTGTTTAGTTTAATTTTCTCTCAGTTGTCAATTTTTGTTTTTGTTGGAATTGCTTTTGAGGACTTAGTCAGAAATTCTTTCCCAAGGCTGATGCCCAGAATGGTGTTTACTAGGTTTTCTTCTACGATTCTTATAGTTGGAGGTCTTCCATTTAAATCTTTAATCTATCTTGAGTTAATTTTTGTGTATGGTGAGAGGTAGGGGTCCAGTTTTATTCCTCTGGATATGGCTAGCCAGCTATCCTACCAACATTTATGGAATAGGGAGTCCTTTTCCCAAAAATTGCTTATTTTTGGCAACTTTATTTCTGGGTTCTCTGTTCTGTTCCATTGGTCTGTGTCTATTGTGTACCAATACTGTGCTGTTTGGGTTACTGTAGCCTTATAGTATAGTTTGAAATTGATGCCCTGAATTTGACTTCAAAATTCATTTTATTTGCCCCTCATAAGTAAGGATATTCTTTGCCCAAACTTTTGCTATCTCACTAATAGAGGGTTGAGAAGTTGTAATTTTTTAATATCTCACCTAAGAAATTCAAACTACCATTGAAAATAACTCTTATGGGTTGATTTGTCTTTTGGAATTTTGAACTAATTGGGGACTGCAAAAGAGAAGGTAGAAACTTCTGAACTTTGGCCCCAAATTCCTAAATTGGGATAGGGAAATGTAAGGAAACATGGCTAGTCTTGCCTCTAGTTAAAGACTGCCACTTACACATACATTTGTTTCCACTACTTCCTTGACCCATCTAAAGGAGCTAAAAATGTATGGCTACAGAAGGGAGAATGAGAGGAAGTGCAGCAGATAAGTACTAATAAACTCAAGAGCTAGGCGCGTGGTAACCTAATCAGATTTAATGAACCCAGGAAAGCTAAAACATAAGCCTTCAGGTAGAACTTCAGTTCAGGTAGAACTTACTTCTCAGGAAGTAAGATGATTAAAGTTATACGACCTTGAAAAAGTATAGACATCAGAGGCACAGGGTATCTCTGGAGGTGGGGTAGAACAATGAAAAGGGGACACCTGATTGAATCCTTCAAAAGGAAGAGTAAAATTCCCAGATCTTTAACAGATACTGAGGCTTATTCTCTGGCTGAGAATTAGCACAGCTAATGACTTGAGTTCGGTACTCTATGGCAGTGGGGAAATTAAGAGAGACTACATTTTGATACAGTGAGATCCTTAGTGCCTGAGATAGATGACTCAAGGAAGTTTTCTGCTTTTCAGACATGCCATATATTAAAGTAGCTATTCTTCTAAAATCAAGGAGTTGGAGGAGACATTGAAAGAAAATCCATTTTGTGAATTGACTGGAACTTCAGATTGCTTGTCCATTTTCCTTTTGTCAAAATCAGAACAGTTTTAGTTTAGCCAAGTTCTACTTTGCGCCATTGAAACTGCTTAGAAAACTACTTATCAGATTAAATGAGATTCAAAAGTACCTCTGAACCCACCAGTATCTGAGGCATGTTGGCTAAAGGCTCTGAGAAAATGGAGATTTACAAGCTAAGTATTTAACATATCAAGATTATGTTGTTTGTGGATATATTTGTATATTATGATTAAACATCATGTACATGTATAGACATATGTATTAGTATACATGAATGTGTGTATAGGTTAATATACTCCAATCTTAAAGAATGGTAGTCCAGAATTGTGCATATGGCTATTACTAGGAAGGATCACATATAACAACTCATTTCTACTTTATGCTGGGAACTAGACCCTTTCAGAAGTTGATTAAAAATGTTCCTAGGATTTCAAAAGTTGTTTTGGCTTTTTAACCAAACTGAAATATAATTGTTGAACCCCAGGTTATAAACTAAAGGGAATCTTAGTTTTCGCCTTTTACTAACAAGAAACTGAGATTAGGGGTACTAATCACTTAGATAACTATCGCTTTGTGACCTGAGTTTCTATAAGGAAATGTTGCTCCAAGAAATCAGATGACAATGGTGTTATTGGCAGGGGCATAAAGCTGACAATTAAACCATAACATTCACTCACAATTTATCAATTGATGTATCTAGATTTTACTGTTTTAAAAAATGTATTCCCTGGATCTGTTGTAGGAGGCAAAAATTCCTGCCAGTAATCTAATTTCTGGTTTAAATATACAAGGAAAGTGTCATGGGGTGTGTGTGTGTGTGTGTGTGTGTGTGTGTGTGTGTGTGTGTGTGTGTGTGTTGGGGTAGGGGGGTGGTCAACCTGGAATAGCTGAAAAATAGACTAAGATGACAACTACAGCAAAAGGGATTAAGAAAGGCAAACTTCGGCCATGCTTATTCAGACTTGGTGATGAGTTGGGTAGGGGTTGGGAATTCCTGACAGTGGATTTGAACAAGGTCTGGCAGGGCTTTCCTCATAGTTCATGAGGTTTTTGAGCTCTCTTAGGTGGAGGACAATGCTTAAGATAACTTTCCTTTAGATGGTTTCATGCTTGTCAAAGTTTGTTATAACTCGGCCTCCCCTATAAATCTTCTACAGGAAAATGTGCTGTTCCACTGATTAAAAAGTATTCTAGACCTTATGATAGTTGTGTGTATCATTGTATGTTAATCTATTGGCACTGATTCATGTTTCAGAATATTTTCAGTTTGGCTAGAGTGAATTAGTCTCCTTGAGTCAGACAACTCCAGGTAAATTTGGGGAGAAAAATCACTTTTGTAGATCTGTATGTGTTTATATTATGGAAACTAAATCTTCAGATTGAGATTGGGCTTGGAAATCAATGAAAGTCTATATTTCATTATTGTTTAAGACTCCATAGTCTGTGTTTCAGTATATTAACTTTGTTTTTTAAAAAAACTTTTGTCCATTTATTCGATTTGTTTTCTTGTGTACTTTTACATATGCTGTCCTAGATTTTGGAAAACCACAGCAAATTCTGTTGAACAAGATACACAAGTAAAGATATAAATGTTAGTCCAGATGAACAAGGTTGATCACTTGAATTAGGCTGAGATAACAGGAATGGAGTAGAGAAGACAGGAGAAATATTTAGTAGCTAGTGTTGATAGCTCTTAGTGATTAACTGTATTAGAGATTCAGAATGAGAAAGGAAAGCTTTTAGTTGTGTGGTTAGATGAATTTGACTTAAAATTTTGTCTCAAGGCTTCCTTAATAAAAGGGTCAAGTCTGAGTCATGGGACTTGTATTTTGTACAGGTCAGATGATTAGAGGTCAGTGTTACATTTCCAAAGGACCGCATGGAACACCTTCAAAATAAGTGGTAAGTCTAAGGCAGGTAGGCTGAGGCCTGACAACCGGGAGCCTTCATGGGCCATAGTAGGAAGGCTTCACATTGCAAAGGTAATCCAAGATTCAGCCCCATCATGCCAGTTCAATATTTTGCTGCTAAAACGTCAGGGTCAGTATGGAGAAATAGAAATCTATGAATTATGTCCATAGTACAATCCAGAGGCCAAGTTTCCGTGAAGGCTGCCATGGAAATGAGCAGCAGCTGCCACTGTCCCCTTGCAGCCAAACTCTGCAGACTAGATGAGAGGGCTTTCAGAGGTGTTAACAGGGCCTGATCTTTCCCATCTGTTTCATAAAGCATTTGTTAAAATGTTCTGTTCCCAATAGATCTGTTAAAACTGTCTGGGCCGAGTATTCCTGTAAGCAATATTTGTTATTCCAGGAGAAAATAACTTTTGAGTTATTATATTTCTTCCTCAATGTCTGTAGGTGTAATAGAGCTTAAGGCTAGGTTCCTATTTGCCTATGGAATGTGCTAGAAAGGAAATATTCAGGAGAACTTGACAGAATTAGGCTGCTGAGGGTTTGGTGTGGACTTGTCCTCAGTTAAGAGGTAAGCTAGATCTCTTTATTCAGCAAATATTTGATCGGTAGACACTGTGTGAGGTACTTAAGGTCTTTTTAAGTCCCATGATTTTACATTATTAAATTTTAATACTATAAAAGACTTTTAGTTCTATAACTAGAAAAGAATGTGAATAAATCCTTAGAAATACAAACAGTACTTATAAAGACTTGCAAGTACTGGGTGTATGCTTGGTTGCTGACCAAAATAGCTTTATAAGCCTATTGTCTCTGAAGAGCGTTCTAAAATAGTGTTTTCCAAACTTTTTTTTGACCTGTTACAAGAATTACGTTTTTGCCTCATGGCTCAGTGACAAATGCATATTTACTTATATACTCACGCACATTTGAAAGAAAATTCATGCAAACAACCTATCTCTGTGCTACGCATTTTAATTTTTCTGTTCTATTTCCATTTCATTTACCCAACAAAGTTGCTTTAAAACTTACTATAAACTGATTTTATGACACTCTAATGGGACCCGAAATTGGCAGTTTGAGAAATACTGGTTTAAAATGCCATTTTCTGTTTAGAGTCTCATACAATTGTTTGAAATAGTGTAAGGCCATAAGTGTCTGTTTGTAATTATTTACATCTACTCTGGCTGTTTTCTGTCTGATGGAATGGAGAATTTGAGTTATTTTAAGGCAATCTAGTAAAATTGGGAGTTAATTCATTGAATAGATACTTGAATGACTACTTTATGTCAAATGTTATCCTATCTGCCTCTTAATTCTTCATCATATTTTAACATTTAAGTCAATGTAAATTTTCTTTAAAAAGTAGCAAACTGATTTCCTTAAAAGTTTAACCATTTTTTTCTGGTAGAATATACTATGAAAAGTGACAGGTGAATAGTTTAGAGGACAAGTTGTAATCTTTCCTTTAAAAATACTACTTATTTAGTTGAACACATACTTATAACTCCTATATTAAAAAGTGAACATGTCACACTAATAAACAGCTGAAGTATATATGAAATACTTTTAGTAGCTTTCTATAAATCTAAGAGCAGTTTTTATGCCTAATTATTCAAGCATTCTCCTCTCTGTTTATTTAACAGATACTTACTGACATGTGGTTGAGAAGTTAGGAATTCTGTCAGTCTTTGTTCATTACTGACTCATCAGTATCTAGTATAGTGCCTGACAAATGCTTGATACATACTTGATGTTTGTTAAATGACTAAAGGAACACATGAAAGAATGCCTACTTCTGCCTGAGTTACAAGAAATTATAAGAAACTTGAGCGCTTTTGACTATAAAAGCAGGAATATTACGTGTTTCAACCTTAATATAAATGAAGTGCTGTAGATGCAATGATCCAAAATGATTTTTTCTCTCCTGGATTTTTCACCTTCCTCTCAGAGACAGTATTGGTGCATTATTTACAGAGGCTAAAGTTATAGGCCCCAGAGTCAGACTGGAGATCACAGCTTGGTCCCTTAGTTTCTGAGCTGTGTGATTATGGGCAGGTTACTGCCTGTGTCCTCATGTGTAAAGCTGAGATGATGATAATGTGCTTTATAGAGCTGATATGGATATTGAGATATTGCAGGCGAAATATTCTACACATTGATTGCCTGGTACCTAGCAAACATTCCATATATCTTAGGTGTTATTTCTACTATGTTACTGAAAGTTGAGTATGTGCTAAGTTCTGGGACATAGTTTTTGCTTTCTATGAGTTGGCAGCCTAGTGAGGAAGATAAAGTTATAAACAGTGCAGTATAGTCCTTAGGACTCTACGTGTATAAGCACTCTGCAAGCTGAGAAGCAGGGATGTTGTATGCAGAATGGCAGTCAGGGAAAGCTTCCTGGAGGGAGCCATCTCTGAAGTCAGAACTGATGAGTATGAAAGACTCGGGCAGGGCTGGCGGGGAGTAGGGGCAGTTAGGGAGGAGAGAGGGATGGGGACAGTGTTGAGAGGCCAGGTAAGCAGCACATGCAAATACCTGAGTATGAGAGATGCCTTCCCTTCAGGGAGTAGTTGGGTATGAGAGTAAGAGGGCATGGAAGAGACCAAGTGATGTGCATGAAGTAGGCTGAGGTCAGGTCTTGAAGGGTCTTGCTCGAGAGCCAGCAGGGGATGACCTCAGATTTGTGCTTGAGAAAGATCATCCAGAAGTGGTGAGAATGGATTGTATTGGGTTAAGAAGAGTAAGAGGAAACAGCTGAGGGGCTAGTGCAGTAAATTATGGTAGAGATGACCGTTTGGGTCACAGCCGTGGCAGTAGAGCCAGAATCTTGGGAAATCCCACATTTAAGAGGGATTGAAGAACTGTCACTCACCACTTGCTAATAACTTTAATTTGAAACTGTGAGTGCAGTCTAAGTTCTGCAGTTGCTAAATTTGCAATGAAAGGCCTAGGAAATGGGCTACAAAACAAAGAACAACCCACGTTTAGTCTTATTCCAGAATCACTTTCATTGCCTGTACAGTTTACTACAGATTGTTCTTTGGAGTTCTGAAGTGAATTATTTTTGATTGTGATAAACATCCTCCCAAGGTGTGTGAAATATGAAAGTAATCCCAGCTCTCAAGGAGCCTTAGGACCTAGAAACCAGAGCAGAGGGTCAAATACCTAGAAACAAAACTATCAACAAAATCACACTGCATAGGGAATGCTGTTTTCATTCTTAGATTTATTTATATATTTGTAGCTAGTCAGGGTAATGAGAGCCTCCTTTGTTTTCACAGTCCTTGAGACTATGCTGTGTTGTAAGATGTTATACTGCCCCCAGTAGATGAGACTGACTAGTCATTTTTTCAACAAATAATGTACTGAGCACCCACTAAGAGTTAGGTGTAAGGCAATGGACAAAACAGACATTGTCTCTATATGGAGCCTACATTCTAGAAGAGGAAATAAAATGAAATGTTGTATTATCTTGAAAAATGGTAAAAATTTCTTATTGCTTCATTTTTAGAATAAGATGGTAGTATAGAAAAAAGTAATGTAATGTCTTTGTATATTCGGATCTTTTTGTCTCTTGTATGAGAGATCGTGTAGAAGTATTGTAAAGATTGCAAGAGCTAAAATATAAAAAATGCTTAAGACATAGTGCTTAATTTATATTGGCTATTATTATGTGATACTTGTATTATTTTGCCACTTTTTCTTCCTGACTCATGTAGATGATTACTTCTAGAATAGACTATCTCTAAAACGCCATATACAAGCTCCACCTGGTACCCAGGCGACCATCATTGCATTGCCCAGATTACAGCAGCCACCTCCTACCTGGTCTCTCTGCATCCTTTCTCTCTTTGCTGAATCCTTTCTCCTCCCTGCAGCCAGAGTAAAATTTATGCTCTTGTGATTCCTATTGCTGCTATAAAAATTACCACAAACTGAATGGCTTAAAACCACATTCTCTTACAATTTTGGAGGTCAGAAGTCTCAATTTAGTTTCACTGAGCTGTGTCAAGGTGTTGGCAAAACTGCATTCCTTCTGGAAGATTTGGGGGAGTATCCATTTCCTCGCCTTTCTCTAAATTCTAGAGGCTGGCCATGCATGGGGTTCACTTCTATAATTCCAGCACTTTGGGAGGTTGAGGTGGGTGGATCACCTGAGGTCAGGAGTTAGAGACCAGCCTGGCCAGTATGGCGAAACCTCATCTCTACTAAAAATACAAAAATTAGCTATGTGTGGTGGCAGGTGCCTGTAATCCCAGCTACTTGGGAGGCTGAGGCAGGAGAATTGCTTGAACTTGGGAGTCAGAGGTTGCAGTGAGCCAAGATTGTGCCACTGCACTCCAGCCTGGGTGACAGAGTGAGACTCTGTCTCAAAAAATAAAATTGTAGAGGCCACTCATGCTCTTTGGCTTGAGGCCCTGCATCAGTCTGACATCTGCTTCTGTCATCACATCTTCTCCAGTGACTCTCCTGCGACCTCCTTTCCTTTATAAGGACTCTTGTGATTACGTTGGATCCACCTAGATAATTCAGGACCATCTCCATATTTCAAAATCCTTAATCACCTCTGCAAAGTCCTGTTTGCCATTTAAGGTAACATAGTCACAGGTTTCATGAGTAAGAAAGTGCACATCTTTCTGGGTTCATTATTATGTTTACCAAAAACTCCTATTAGAATGTGATGAGTGAGTATTGGTTTTTGCCCTGACTGCACTCACCTGCTTAAAGCTTTTCTATGGCTGCCTATCCTCTTTTTAGGATTAAAGTTTAAAACCCCTAGGATACTGCCCACCTCCTGCCTGGGCCTCCAAGGCTCTGCATGGGGCCTTCTCCTTGCTCGGGGAACTCCAGCTCCGCTTCCTCCCAGCCCATGAGGACCTTGCCATGGCCTTTACTTGGACCAGTCCTCTCTCCTTCTCTCCTAGCCTGTTTGCCTGCTTACCTGCCACCCATCCCTTGTGTCTCAGTGCAAACTCCCTTTTCTTGGAGAATGCCCCCAAAGTCTCCTCCAGACTGTTTAGCTACTCAGCCTACATGCTGTCTTGAACGTGGACTTCTTCATTGTGTTTAATCACAGCTTGCAATTGTTGATCGGTGTTTTTGTTTCATGTCTGTAAGTTCTGAGCGCTTATTTCTGTTGTATCCTCGATGCTGATAAGTTATTTTTTTATTTTTTTTTTTTTAAAGACAGAGTCCTGCTCTGTCGCCCAGGCTAGAGTACAGTGGCATGATCTTGGCTCATTTCAACTTCTGCCTCCTGGGTTCAAGTGATTCTCTTGCCTCAGCCTCTCGAGTAGCTGGGATTACAGTTGCGTGCCACTACACCTGGTTGATTTTTTATATTTTTGGTAGAGACGGAGTTTCACTATGTTGGCCAGGCTGGTCTCGAACTCCTGATCTCAAGTGATCCACCTGCCTCAGCCTCCCAAAGTGCTGGGATTACAGGCATGAGCCACCATGCCCGGCCGATGCTGATAATGTCTCAGTGCTCAATAAATATTAAAGAAATGGGCTTAAAATGAAAAGGCAGTATCACCTATAAAGTAGCTCTTGGTTTTGTTCATCAGTGTAGTCTTCTTTTAGCTACAGGCAGAATGGGGTTTTTGGTTGTGGAAAGGGTCTGTTCGATAACAAGAGGTAGGAGACATTACTGGGTGAGGCAACCCAATGTTAACTTCATTTTTCAGTAAAGGTAATCTTTATGCAGTAATTTTCAGGCCCTTCCATATCTTTAAAAATATTCTAAAGACTTAACTGTTTTAGCATGAAAGTATAGGATCTCATAGGCTAAGAATTAAAAATTAAGTCTTTGTTCAGAATTCGTATCATGGGTCAGAGACCGTTGTCTTGGTTTGGGCTTTTGGGCTGTGGTATATTGACTCTACAGTGATGCTTGCCTCCATTAGCAGTGGTGTTCCAGACAAGTCTGCCAGACTCTAATGCAGCAGCAACTCACTAATGTGGACTACTTGCAGTCTAGTATGTCAGTAGGTCCCTCAAGAAAATGTTTTACAGGCTGGGCTTGGTGGCTCATGCCTATAATCCCAACACTTTGGGAGGCTGAGGTGGGTGGGTCACCTGAGGTCAGGAGTTGAAGACTAGCCTGGGCAACATCATGAAACCCTATCTCTACTAAAAAAATACAAACACTAGCTGGGCATGGTGGCGGGTGTCTGTAATCCCAGCTACTTGGAAGGCTGAGGCACGAGAATCGTTTGAACCCAGGAGGCAGAGGTTGCAGTGAACTGAGATGGTGCCACTGTATTCCAGCATGGGGCACAGAGTGAGACTCTGTCTTGAAAATGTTTTACAAGAGAAACATTGCTTTATGCTTTGTATATGACTCAATAGAACAATCCTATTTCATGAATTGTAAGCTTTTCCACTTTACTTAAACCTTATTGCTACAATATTAATTATAACGGTTTCTCCCATTTAAGGTACGTATTTAGCAAGGCTTGTGTTAGCTAAGTTTTCCAGCTTTGTTGGTATTCAAGTGGTTGGCTGCCAACTTGGTGGAATTCTTGAAAGAGACAGTCAACTTTTAGATCTCAAAAGTGCTTTCAATTGTCTCATTGAAGGGAAAAGTATTTGGAAAAATTTAAAAGCATATCCCAACTATAGACTATTTTTTCATACAATCTATATTCTAATTATTCAAATTTAAGTAAAAAATGACATCTGGTAGTACTATATACTATGTACATTTACTATATCATGTAAGATATTCTATGTAATATGAAACACTATCTAGAGCTATAGTGTTAAATGCTCACTGATTCTTTTTCATCAGCCTCTTTACTGGACCTAACGAGAATGCATAAAACTGTTTTATTAACTTGCAGTTTTTAATCTCCCTATTTAAATATACCAATACTAGTGATTCAATTTTCTGTTACTCACTTTAGTTGTCTAAGAATTAATTTACGAATTGTACATATACTTTCCTTTTAGAGTATGTTGGATAAAGGACATTGTTGTGGCAGTAACTGGAGAGAACATGGAAGTAATGAAAAGTATTATTCAGAAGTATCAGCATAAACGCATCTCACTGGTCGAAGCTGGAGTGACCCGCCACAGGTCAATTTTCAATGGACTAAAAGCACTGGCAGAAGATCAGATCAACTCTAAACTCTCTAAGCCAGAAGTAGTGATTATCCATGATGCTGTGAGACCATTTGTTGAGGAAGGTGTCCTTCTTAAAGTTGTCACAGCTGCTAAGGAACACGGGGTAAGTCTTTTTTCTTGAGTCTAGATAGAAGGGACAAGCACTGTAGTGTGGTTCATTTGCTGAATTTTGATTCAATTCTGTTTAAATGTCAAATTATTTAAAATGTGCATGATGACCTAAAGATGTTATGGTGATTTGTTGTAGTAACTTTATAGATTGAGACTGTTCTGGAACATATCTTTTGCTATAGTCATCTACCATAATGTGATATGAGGTATTTGGAGAAGAATGTATTAATGTTATTACAGTATAGATATAAATGAAACTTTAATGAAAATTAAAAGGCAGTTATATTAAAAATGCCAGAGAAATCTCTCAGAAGTAAAGGATATGTATAATATGGTCCATTGTACTCAATTTTGTGTTAGTTTCGAAGTGGTTTGTTTTCTAGTATATACTATATAAGATTTTCATAGACCTTAAAGTAAATCATCTTGAGATGACAATTGTTTCCATTTGCTTCACCAAAATAAACACAGGATAGCAAAAGACCTATTGTAATCTTTGGAGCATGTTTATTTTTTTCCTTCTATTACCAAGTAAAATTATATAAATATGGTAATAGATACTAAACTTTTTTGCAGTCTAAATTGGAGACTTAGTGAAATTTATTGCCAAGCGATGGTATTATATAATAGAAATAGGCTATGAAGTTGGACAGACCTAGGTCCAAATCTGTCTTTTTATTTACTAGTGATGTCGTGTTTTTAACTTTCTGAGTCCATTTTCCCTACCTGTGAAAATATAAAAAATAATACTTGTAAGGTCATTTTAGGATTGGAAATTATGTTAGCTATTAGAATACTAAGTGCTTAAAGGGTATTAATAATAAGTGCTTAAAGGGTATTATTTTAAGATGAATTATAACATCTATGTAATAGTTTCCTCTAAGATTATAGGCCAACAGGAAGCAAGCCTTCCTAGCCATCTGGGTGCCCAGAAGCTTTTTTTTTTTTCCCCTTTAAAACCTATTTAGGAAAGACAGTCTATAACTTCAATAACCCATGTGTATTTGAATTGCCGTAGGAAATTTTCCCTAACTTCATCTCTTCCTTCTGCAACATGAATTTCACTTTAAATTTAAAACTGTGTAAGAATTTCATAGACCAAATGAAATATTTTGATTTGCCTTTAAACAAAAGGATAAATGGTATTTAAGGTAGTGAAACTTGTGGTCCAGGAACCATTAATGACCACAAAACTTTCCCCTGGATCTTGTGCTTCCCCCTTGACTCCTTCCTCTTCTCCAGACAGCTCAATTGTGGTAGAGGCAAGGTAATCAGTTGCAAGGGTGGTGAGAAGGCATAAAGAAGCAGAGGATTTACAACTTAAGAATTTGAGTAAATTTTGCACATTTGGAAGAGTTCTTAGGGATGACAATACAATTTGGTAGATGGGCATTCATTGCAACGCATATTATACACAATTTTTTTTTTTTTTTTGCCTGTGTTACCTTTTGGAAAATTCACTTAAGCTCACTATAACAATTGCACACATTTGCAATTTTTTTTGTTGTTGTTGAGTAATAAGCAGAAAGTATTTCTGAGATATTGTCCATAAAGTGAGTCTTCTGAGAGTATGTTGTAAAAGGCAAAAGAAGTCTTTTATCTTGCTCCAATTAATATGCTAAGTATATCATTGTCTTACATGTGATTTAATAGAACATATTAAAATACATAGCAGTTACTTTTTGCAGATTTGAGGGAGTTCCTATTAGATTGTTTCTTAGAATATAATTTGTAAGATTTAATCACATAATGCATCTTAAATGAAACAAAGTATATTTCAGTGAAATCTGTAATTTTCTGATTAGATTAAGAAGCTGGTTCAGAACAAAACTTTACAACTTGTTTAAGGAAACCTCAGAAATACAGTTTCTTTTAGAAATATTGCCTTGTTTTTGTTGGTGTTAAAACATAAAGGGTAAAATCATGAGTTTTATATACATCCATGTTTAAGAATTTTTTCAAGTTTATTAATGAGAGAACCAGACAGATGTTACAACTGGTTCAAAGTTGAATCCAGAAAAGCACTTATTTATACAAAGTAAAAAGGTATGTTGAAGTGAATTAAAACAGAAAACTGGCTTTTTTATGGTGGAGTCAGTTGAAACTCCAATAGACAAAATTCATTTGCATGTTTATAGGCAAGAATTGTTTTGCATTGCTATTGGTTATCTACAACTTTGAAAGCTGTAAAAGAGCAGCTCAAGGCTAGATTCAGCTAATCTGGAAGAGTCTGCTCTTAGTCATGTAGTTGTCCATTGCAGACATCCTGTAACCTTTTTGGTTTGTTTTAGATTTTCTTAAAACAATTAGGATAGTGTCCCAGTATTCTCAGTTAACTCCAGGCACTATGTCCTGCCAGTTCTCTCACTGTACTGACTTACTATCATAAAAACATAAATGCAGTCACACACCGTTCAGACTGTTTTCCAGGCCTGCTTTTAACTCATTGCCTTTTGTTGTCTTAGATAGTTTTCTACAGACTCCTTAACTGATTATTTTTTCTTCCTAGGTATTAATTTTCAGGTTCTACCTAAAGGTCCCCTTCACACACATTTTCTGAACAAGCTACACTGTGATTATCTTTAGGGGGAGGGGTGGGTTATGTATGCTAACAATAACTCTATTTTAACTGACTTTCCATTTTGCTTAATTAAAAAAACTTAAACTGGTAAAGAGAATGCCTCAAGAGACTCAGATATCCACGATTAAGGCTGGCATTAAGGTTGTAGAGCTCAAAAGCATCACAAGGACCCAGTTTTTCTTTTTGCCTGTATTACATTGTCAGGCCCTACAGGGAGGCAAGATGGCTTCCATAAGTTCGGGAGCAAAATTCCATCAGGGTTATTTCTGTCTTACTTTAATGATGATAGTTTTTCTGGGTATAAAATTCTAAGTCTACAACTGTTTTTTTCCCCCCCTCACTATTTTGAAATTAGGTTATGTCACTGTCTCCTGGCTTTAATATTGCTTTTGGGAAGTCTAACCAACCTAATTGTAATCCTTTGAAAGTAATTTGCCTTTTCTCTCTGAATGCTTAGATAATTTATTTTTCCTATGTGTTGTTTAGTCTCTGTGATGTGTCTGTATAGACTTTTTCCCTTGCTTTGGATTTATTGTCCTTTATGAACATTGATTCATATTTTTATTCTAGAAAAATCTGAATAATTATCTAATTTGAATATTGATTCTGCCCATTTCTGGTCCTGACAACTCTTTTCCCCTTACCTTATGTATACTGTATATATGATACACTCTTATCCAGTCCTCATGTGTCCTAAGTTCTCTTTCATATTGCTGTTTTTGTATGCTGCATCCTAGGTAACTTGTTTCCAATTTCTCATTTTTTTTTTTTTAGCTCTGTCTAATATCCTGTTTAAGGACTTTTAAAACAAACATTTAAAAATTATTTGGAGTCCCATTTTGTCCCTTATCATGTACGATTAATCTCCTTTCTGTTTTTTATCTTCTATTGCCTTTTAAGCTCTGAACATAATACTTTATACACTATAGCCAATAGTACTTCTTGGTCGTTTAATTCACTAACTCTTCATTTCTGTTTACTTTTGTTCATAATTTGTTTCCTCCTTTGTTTTATAATTTGGATTGTAAGCCCATGTTTGGCAAGACTTTATCATCAGGATTTCTGTAAACATGGGATAAGGGTGTGTTTCTGAGGCAAGGATTTTTGTTCCTTCTGCCAGAAATCCCAGGGGCTTTACTAACTTGGAACAACTTTACATTAATTCTTGGCTTGAAGTTTTATAGATTCTGTGGTAATGTTAAATGAAACTCCAAACTCACATGAAACCAAGCTTACTGTTGTAACTTCTCAGGGAAAACTGTCCCTGCCCTTCAAGATCCCAAGCCAAGATAATTTTGCTTGCTGTTTTCCTTCACTTGTGAGTGTCTCTCCTCCCCTGCCCCAGCTACCTTTTAAATGAGGGACTTTCCCTTTTATGGGTCTTAGTGTGGAAATTACAGTTCTAATCAAGTAGCACACGCTCAAGGTCTTAGTCCTCATTCTTCCTCATCTGTTAAAACTAAAGCCTCTTGTTAACTGAAAGCATCTCTGCCATCTTATTTCTCTGATTGCTAACTATCAGGTTGTTTTACTCTTAGGTGATTGTTTGAGTCCAGACATACTCTTAAAAGGCTGTTTGTAAAATTCTCTCCTATATATATATTTTTTTAATGAAAGAGGTGTTTCAAGATACCCAGTCTACCATATTACCAAAATTAGAGGTCCGTAATCTTTTCTAAGTCAGAAGGACTTGTATATTTCTGCGTAATTAAGTCAGATAAAGAAGTGGCAATGAGGACTTTGTTATAAGGGAAATGTTGGAAAGAGTAAAGTAAGTTGGAATGTGGAGAAATCAAAGGTAAGTGAGAATAATTTTAAGAAGGACCAACACGTTAAATATTACATTGACTCTAAGAACACTAACAATAGGATGACTCAAATGAGACTGCATCAACAAAGCAACCTCCTAAGTATTGCTCCTGGTGGAAGAAGGCATTTTCTAAGTTACTGGTATATCCTTCTTACCTCAGCTTTGTACTCCAGCACCTCTAGTCATTTTATGCTCTTGTTGGTGATCAACTTCTTACACACTTCTCACCTTGCATACCCCTAATTTATGTTATAAATCATAGCAGTCTGGCTAATTTTTCCTCTGACCATTCTTTCCAAAATCACCTGTGACTACCTAATTCCCATATTAAAAGTGCATTTCAGTCTGTTGAATAATAAAGAATTTGCTCTTTATTCCAGGTTCCTGGGAGGAAGACTCTAAATCTTTGGGATTGCTGAAGTAACAGGAGAGTCTGTTATTTATGAGCTCCTTGGATTATACCTGAGCTTATGCTAATGAGAAAACATGATTTAGGAAGTGGGCTGGTCACCAGAAAGATGAAGTAATGTGATTAGAGGCTTTGAACCAGCTCAGCCTCTGGGGACAGGAAAGGGGCTGAAGATTGAGTTCAAGCAGGTGGCCAGTGATTGAATTAGTCATGCCTCTATCATGAAACCTCAAACTCTGGACCCTGGTCCAGGAGAGCTACCTGGTTATTGAACACAGGGCTGTGCTGGGAGGGTGGTGTACCCTGATTCCATGGAGACAAGGCATAAAAGCTTTAGGATTCCCCCAGACCTCACCCTGTGTCTCTTCATTTAGCAGTTGTATCCTTTGTAATTAAAACTGTAATTACAAAGGTATAACTTTTATAAATGTCACACACGTGTCAGGCATGTGTTGGGCATATGTTGGGCATGTGTCCACGTCTTCCATCACACATATTGGTCATGTGCCACGTCACAGGTGTTGGTCACGTGTCACAAACGTGTAACGTGTCATACACGAGTTGGTTATGTATCTCACAAGTTGGTTATGGACACGTGTCAGTCACGTGTCAAAAATGACTCGATCACATCATGTCGGTTGTGTTGATCACATGCCAATCGTGTCAATTGTGTGTCACAAATGTGTCAGTCAAGTGTCGATCGTGTCGACGTGTCAGTAGTGTCAATCATGTGCCAGTCGTGTCGTTCGGGTGTTATACATGTTGGTCATGGGTCAATCAGGTGTCGGTCATGTGTCACACAAGTGTTGATCACAAGTCGATCATATGTCAGTCACCTGTTAGTCATGTGCCAGGCCTGTCAACCAGGTCAGTGTGTCACAAACGTGTTGGTCATGTGTCAATCATGTCAATCACGTGTCTATCAGGTGTTGGTCAAGTGTCAATCATGTTCCGTGTCTCATTGGTCATGTCACACAGGTAATCACGTGACAATCACGTGTTGATCATGTGTAGATCTTGTGTCAGCCACGTGTTGGACACATGCCAACCATGTTTCAATCGTGTCAGTCACGTCACAAACGTGTCATCACGTCAATCATGTCAATCACGTGTCAACCATGTTGGTCACGTGTTGGTCATGTATCACACTCCAGTCACGTGACAGTCATGTCATACACGTTGCCGATCACGTGCCAATCACGTGTTGTGTATTCGTCACGTACTAATCATGTCATTCGCGAGTCAGTCACATGTCAAATGCGTCAGTCACGTGTCAATCGTGTCACATGTAAGCCATGTCAGTCACGTGTCACATATGGTCACATAACACGCCTGTCACACACGTGTTGATCACATAACGATCATGAGTCAATGTCACGTGTTAGTCATGTGTCAATCAGGTGTCTGTCATGTGCCACACGTGCTGATCACGTGACGATCAAGTGTCAGTCACGTGTTGGTCACGTGCCAAGCATGTCAGCCACTTGTCACTTGTGAGAAACGTGTCAGTTACATGTCAATCATATGTCAGTCATGTCAGTCATGTTGGTCACGTGTTGCTCACGTGTCACTGGTCATGCGTCGGCCACGTGTCACACGTTGATTACATGTCGATCATGTGTCGATCGGGTCAGTCACGTGTTGGACACATGCCAATCGTGTAAGTCGCTTGTCACATGTCACAAACGTGTCATGTCATTCATGTCAATCTCGTGTCAGTCACGTGTCAATCATGCTCTGGTCACGTTGGTCACGAGTCACATGTGTTGATCAAACGTCTTGTCAATCTCGTATCAGTCACATGTTGGACATGTGCCAATCTTGTCACTTGTCACATGTCACAAAGGTGTCACATGCCAATCACTTCAATCGTGTCACAAATGTGTCACGTCAATCATGTCAGTCATGTGTCAATCACACTCTGGTCACGTGTTGGTCACGTGTCACACGTGTTGATCACACGTCAATCGTATGTGTATCGTGTCAGTCACATGTTGGACCTGTGCGATTCAATCCTGTCAATCACGTGTCTAGTGTCACAAATGTGTTGGTCATGTCAGTCGTGTGAATCGTGTCATGTCACGTGTTCATGTGTCAATCATGCTTTGGTCACACATTGGTGAAATGTCACGTGCTGACCCAAAATGACGATCACGTCTATCATGTGTCAGTCACGTGTTGGTCATGCACCAATTGTGAATCGCTTGTCACCTGTCCTAAACGTGTTGGTCACATGTCAATTGTGTCAGTCAAGTGTCAATCACATTCCGGCCATGGGCTGGTCAGGTGTCACGTGTTGATTACGTGATGATCACGTGTCAGTAACGACTCGATCATGTGTCAGTCACTTGTTGGACATGTGCTGATCACGTGTGAGTCACGTGTTGGACACATGCCAGTTACGTAAATCGCGTCAGTCACGTGTCAAACGTATTGGTCACGTTTCAATCATGTTAATCACGTGTCAGTCAAGTGTCAGTCACGTATCACGTGTTTGTCACATGTCAGGCATTGGTTAAGTGTTGGTCACGTGTCACCCACGTGTTGATTAGATGCCAATCGTGTCAGTCACATGTCACGTGTCACAAAGCTGTCCATGTTTCAGTGATGTTTGTCACGTGTCAGTCATGTTGGTGATGTGTCAATCATGCTGTAGCAACGTCAGTCACGTGCCACACGTGTCGATCACTTGACGATCACGTGTCACTTATGTCGATCATTTGTCACATTTTGGACCTATGCCAATCACGTGCCAATGATATAGGTCATGTGCCAATCATGTCAATCGCACACGTGAGTCACGTGTCACAAACCTCGGTCACGTCAATCATGTGTGAATCACTTATGTTGGTCACGTGTCAGTCACATGTCAATCATGCCCTGGTCTTGCCTCTGTCACATGTCACACGTGTTGATAACGTATTGATCATGTGTTTATCACGTGAATTACCTGTCAGTCACGTGTTTGTCTTGTCAATCATGCACTGGTCACGTGTGAGTCACGTGTTGGTCACGTGTCAGTCACGTTATTACATGTAGATCATGTCTTGATCACGTGTCATGTTGGCAACAGGCCGATCATGTGTCAATTGTGTCATTCACATGTCATGTGTCAGTCAAGTGCGAATAATGTCAATCACCTGTCAGTCATGTCAATAATGTTATTGTTCACGTGTCAATCATGCCCTGGTCATTTCGATCAGCTGTGACACATGTTGATTACGTGTTGATCATGTGTCAATCACATCAGTCACATGTTGGTTAGGTGGTAAGGTCAATGGCATGTAAGTCACATGTCAAACGTGTCAATCACGTGTCAATCACCTGCCAGTTGTGTTGGTCACGTCAAACATGCTTTGGTCACACGTTGGTCACGTGTTACACACGTGTTGATCACGTGATGATTACGTGTTGATCCTTTGTGGATCACGTCAGTCACATGTTAAACACGTGCCAATCATGTCAGTGACGTGTTGGTCACGTGCCAATCACGTGCCAATCGTGTCATTCGCGTCAGTCACATGTCTCAAACGTTGGTCGCATGTCAATCATGTATCACGTGTCAGTCACGTGTTTGTCGGTGACGTCTTAGTCACATGTCAGTCATGTGTCACGTGTCACACACGTGTTGGTCACGTGTCACGTGTCACACGTCAGTAATCTGTCACGTCTCATATGTCAGTCAAATTGGTCACATCACATTTCGTCAATCACATGTTGTGTTGATCATGTCACATGTTCACATGTTATGTGTCAGTCATGTTTCTGTTATGTCAACTATGAGTCACATGTCACGTGTCACGTCTGTTACATCACACGTTACACGTGTCAGTCACGTGTCCATTACGTGTCAGTTGTCACATCTGTCATATGTCACACGTGTTACACACGTCAGTCACCTGTAACACATGTTGGTCATGTCACACGTGTCCATCACGTGTCAGTTACATGTCAGTGACTTGTCACAATTGTGTCACCCTCATGTTGTGTTGGTCATGTGTACATGTCAGTTACATGTTATGTTCGTATCACATACGTGTCAGTCGTGTCACACGTCCATCACGTTTTGATAATGTGTCGTGTCATTGGCATTTTGCTAATGTGTCAGACACGCATCTCTAACTTGTCAGTTGTGTGTCCACGTGTCTTATTTCACACGTGTGTCTTCCATGTCATGTGTTTTCTCCCACCTGTCCCATGTGTCACATGTGTTACACATTTGTTCTGGCACATGTTTCACACGTGTCAGTTCCATGTCAGTCATGTCACACATGTCACCAGTGTCACACGTGTCTTCCATCACATGTCACAGTTGTTTTTTCATTACACATGTCACATTTGTCTTTCACACATGTGTCACATTTTTGTCACATGTGCTTTCAGTCATGTGTCATCTTCCATTACGTGTCACATACGTATAGCGTATTCCATCACACATGCCACACATCTTTAGTTACACACATATCACGTCTTCCTTCACATGTATGTCACACGTTTTCTATCAGTCATGTCATACGAATGTATTCCATCACACATACATCACAATTTTCTCTATCTACTCATTGACTGGTGGGCATTTGGGCTGGTTCCATGTTTTTGCAGTTGCAAGTTGTGCTGCTACATATATGCATGTGTAAGTATCTTTTTCGTACAATGACTTCTTTTCCTCAGACTGGATACCCAGTAGTGGGATTGCTGGATCAAATGGTAGTTCTACTTTTAGATTTTTAAGGAATCTTGTCACCACACTGTTTTCTGTAGTGGTTGTACTATTATATATTCTCACCAGCAGTGTAGAAGTGTTCCGTTTTTAGCATATCCACACCAACATCTACTGTTTTTTTTAGGTTTTGGTTTTGACCATTCTTGCAGGAGTAAGGTGTTACCATATTGTGGTTTTGATTTGCATTTCTCTGATCAGTTGGCAGATTTTTGAACTCTGTATTTGGAAATGTGATATTAAGTAGGATTCACCATGGCTAATAATCACTTGTACTTGTCCATTGTAATCAATATACTTCAGGTCAGGCTTTATTCATGTGTGGGGGTAAGATAATAATTTTTCCTGGCTTCTGCATGGGGATAAGATAATGTTTTTTTCCTGGCTTATTGGATACCATAGTATTGTCTTCTAGAGAAACTTTGATACTTGTTTAAATCCTGGATCTAAAGAAATTTTACTTGTGAGAATGCAGTGAGTTCTGGTTCGTAAGGAAACCCAGGTTTATTTCGACAAAGGGTAAATTGCCTGGACCAAGGACTGACCTATTCTCTGAGGTGCTATGGGAATGAGGTGGAACTTGATCTATTTTTGATGTTGGGGAAGCTACTATGTGAAAAAGCTTTTGCTTTGCTTTAATTATTTCAAATTACCCACTTCTATGTTTCCGTTCTATGAATTACTTTCAAAGGAAGTTGGGAAAAGGGTAGGTGAAAGACAGATGACAGTATCTATGGTTTAACATGAAATAATGTTTAACATCCTAGTATATTCCCAATCATGTTATAATGAGGGTAAATGGTACTATTGAAATTTTAGGAATTTATAGGTAGAATGTAAAATGAAGGCCTCTCTATTCCTTTTTGCTGCATATCCACTTTTAGTGGTGTACTACAGTAATATGAATAAAGATTTTTCTAAGATATCTCTGTTTCTATATTGGACAAATTAGCTTAGTTCAATTTATTTGTCAGAAGGAGATTAGAAGTATTCTATGATTAAATATGTGAAATATTCAATCTTATAATTCCCAATGATTAGCTTTAGAGATGCCGTTCTGCAAACACTGATTAAGCCTTTCAATAAAGACAACTTGCCTAACTAAAATCATAATTATATGGTTGGAGGATTTCTGTTGTACATTGTTATAATTAGCTAGAATGCAGTTGCCTGAGGAGAAATGCATGTTAGTGCCTGCTGTATGGATGCATCATAGTATTATACAATAAAGCAAACAGTAGAGGTGGGGTTTATTATTCCACATTTTATGATTTGTATCAATGATTTCCATACAGTGACATGTGGAAATATGGTGATAGATTAGCTTGAGAGACAAGTAATCACTGAGGCTGGTGCTGAGCCCTTAAGCTTCCATTCAGGGCTTATTACTGGTACTTGAGGAGACATTTGTACTTGATAAGTCAGGAATGATGCCTCCTACAACAAGCTTCTCAGGGAGATGTGCCTTGCAGGCCACTAACCAACTTGTTTATACTTGTCATAATTTTGATACTTTGAATTTCAGAAAACATCACAAAATTGAGGTTTCATTGCATGTTTGTTTGTGAACAGAAGTCTCTTACATAAAGACAGCTGTGGAATATATGCCTTTTAACGTGAGCATTTTCTGTATCTGTTTATAGCAGATGGCAAGGCAAGGGATGGAGTCAGCCAAGAAGTTATTTTCACTTGTGATCTCTTTTCATGGGCCTTTAGTTTAAGATGCCTGAAGCTTTTTGTCACCTTTTGCTTTGATCTCTCTTCTTGTTGTACAACTTTCCCATCTGATATTCTGGCTTTCATAGACAAGAACCTAGTAATTTGTGGAATTTACCAATCCTGCCATAATTGTATCTGAAATATGGATGGTTTCTGCTCTTGAAGCTAGTTTTTGGTAATCAAGGTGGGAACCCATGAATACACATTCTGAATTTTAAAAAACTACTGAAGAACTTTGTATACCTCTGTGTCTACTACTGGTATAGTTAGAACATCACCAGTCACATTGAAACTATCTCCTCCCAAGTCTTATTTAATCCCCCCAATGAATAAACATTACCCAAACTTTGTTTTTCTTGTTGTCTCACTTTTCTCTTTAGTTGTATAACATCTTTTCCTGAAGAATGTTTTGGCTATGTTTATATGATTTTAAAACATGCTTTGCATATATTTTGACAGCATACTTACTTTGCACAGTGTATTTGGGGAAATGTATTCATATAAGTCTACTCAGCTATAGTTTGTTCGTAATCACTACTGTATATACCGTAATTCATTTTACAGGTGATGGACATTTGTTTTCTAATTTTTTGCTGATGTAAACATTACTAGTATGGATATTATTATATATCTTGTGCCCATGTGCAAGGATTTCTCTACAGTTCTGACATGTGTAGGTTATCAGCTTTACTAGATGATGCCAAATTATTTTCCAAACTTGTCTTGAATTATACTCATCAGTAACGTAAAAGAAGTTCAAGTTGCCCTAGTCCTCACCACTACTTGATATAGTTAGACTTTCCTCCAGTCTATTTACTGGAAAATGCTTTCTCTTTGTGGTTTAAATTTAGCATTTTGTTAATAGGTTGGGCATCTTTTTATATTTATAGGCTTTAAATATTCTTATTGAAACGCCTGTGTAAGAATTTACCCTATTTTTATTTTTAAGCTTTTGACTTGTAGGAGTTATATATTCTGGACACTAATACTTTGGCCAGTGCATGCTGTGTTTTATAACTATTTTCTTTCATCCGGAATGCTTAAAAAAATCACAATGTGTTGTGATAAATAAGCATTTTTTAATCTTAATATACTTAAAATCACTAATGTCTTCGTTTATGGTTTTTGTTTTTGCCTGGTTTAAAAATTTTTTTCTTACACTGAAGTCATGAAGATATTCACCATTTTTAAAAAATGTGTTATAATTTTGAATTTTACATGGATATCTCTTTCTGGAGTTTACAGATTGAGTAGGGGTTGATTTCACTTTCATCTTTTGCTACAAAGGTAAGTCTTTGCCTAGCACCATTTATTGAATAATTATCCCCTTTTCCACTGACCTGCACTGCCACTTCTGTCATATATTGAGTTTCTATGTGAGCATGGGTCTGTTGGGACTCTCTTCCACGCTGTTGGTCTGTTTTCGTACCCTGTCTTAGTCACTATTGAGACAGCTCTCTAATAACTTTTCATACTGCTAGATCAAGTCCCTTTCCCTGCTGTTCTTAAGTATACTTCATAAACCACTTCTGTTGTTTAATTTTCTTATATTAATATTGCTGTGTATATATGCATTCTAAACTATTAGGTAATTTTTAATGTTTCCTAAGAAGTAGTTTGTTCAATCACTTATCCATCCAGCAAGTATTTGAGAACCACTCCAGGAGGTTAGAGGCTCCCACCTTGCTCTGGAACTCAGGGCTCTCCACCCCCAATATTTTGCATTATTGTATCTTATAGTTGTTGGCTTCCTAATCTGTCATGTTCATGAGACTTTAAGATCCTTGACAAGATCTATCTTATTTGTTAAAATCCTTAAAACAAGATTGTTTCTTTATACATAGTACAAAAAAAGTGGTCAAGAAATGTTTAAAGAAGTACAAGAATACTTTTTAGAGAAAAGATAGAGTAATTAAGAGATTCTTACTTGGAGTATCCAGGTGGAAAGAGAATATTGTGAGCCTGTCTGCTTTTCACTGTTTGTTGGGTAGGGGAGGAGGCTGGGTGTATGAGAGGGTGTTCAAGTTTTTATTTAAACTACGTAATTCTTTAAAAGTCATAAAAATGAGTGAATATAGTATTGAGAAACTATTAGGAAGTTTTCATAATAGGAAGTGAGGTTAAAATATCAAAAGCAATTTATTAATGGCTTATATTCATCAAGTAACTGAGATGAGGGAAACGAGTTCACAGTGTATTTGTAGCACTTCAGCATTTAATAACTGGTCTCCGGAGGGAGTGCATCTACCCTCTCCCTCCCACCAAAACTGAACCCTTTCAGAGCAAGGATTGCATTTTGCGTATTCCTCATTATGCAAAGCATAATGCTTGGAATATGGTTGTCTAGGTCTTTCAGATAATATAAGTCTATCATATGAACTAGGTAGCTGTGTGAAAGCAGGACAAAAATATGAAGAATGTAAGACTACTGTTTGCCCATGCGCTCTACTGAGATGGATGTTTTCTGCATGGGTGATGATATAATATTCTGCCATTTTGTAAGGCTGACATTTCTATTTTGGTTTGGGAAACTGCCACCACATAACTCTTACTCTGTAGGGGTATGATGGCTATTGAGAGAACTTAGAGTGAATTGTTGGATTGGAAGCTTTGACATGTGGGGGCTTTCCTCATAAAATATTATAGTACTAAAGCTGAAGGGGCCTGAAATAAAATACCTGGTTAAAATTTTTCATTTAATAGAAAAGAATATTAATTAAGCAGAGATGAACTTGTTACAAATAACACAGCTATTAAGTGGCATGAATGAGACTTGCATTGTTGTTCATAGACTACAAATACAGGGTGCTTCTATCGAAGCAAGTTAGGTGTCTTACTGAGGGAGTGGGATTTGGTTTGACCTCATCTTGAAATTTCTTCAGATGCTGCTGCTGTATAAAATATCATGAAGACATATGTGTATTACCTAGTGACACTTTGACTTCTTTGTGTGGCCTAATCAGTATCTCTAAGACCTACAACACTGATTCACTAATGTAACCCTTATTTACTGAGTGCATGCTATGTGTTAGGCACTTTTCTAGGTGCTGGAGAGACAGCAGTCATGGAGTGAACATTCTAGGGCACTGCTGTCCAATAAAACATTCTGCAGTGATGGAAATAGGCTAACTCCACTGTCTAGTACCTAAGCTACTAGTCACATGTGGCTATTGAGTACTTAAAATGCTCCTAGTGGAAATGAGGAACTGAATTTTTTAGCGTTATTTAAGTTGAATTAAATGGAAGGAACTTGACTAGTTCTTTGAGATGGAAAGCTCTTGGAAGATTTTGAACAGAAGAGAGACATGATCTAACTCATCATGAACAGGTTTGTTCTATTGCTTTGTGAAGAATAGGCTGTGGAAGGACAAGAGTGAAAGAGATACCAATTGGGAGGCTACTGGACTAATCTCAGAGGGAGGATGGGTGGCTTGGACTTGGATAGCAGAGACAGTGAGAAGTGGGCAGATTTGGAATACTTTGAAGTTGACAGGGACTGGATTACTGATGGGCTGAATTATAAGAGTGGGGGAGAAATCAAGGACAGCATTCAAGATTTTGGGCAAGAATAACGAGAAGAATAGAGTTCATGTTTGTGTAGATGGCCGTCTGTAGGAACAGGTTTGGAGGCTGTGGAGTGGGTAATACCAAAACTTTGAGTTCAATTTGTTGCAGTAGAGGTATGCATTTTGAACTAAGTGGAAATGTTAAACAGGCATTTGGAAGTGCAAATCCAGAATTCAAGAGAATTCTGGGCTGGATATATAGGTTTGGAAGTTCTCATGTAGATGGTGTTTAAAGTCATGGGACTTCATGTGGTCATTAATAGAATGACTGTAGATTGTGTTAAATAAAATTTATAGGAGGCCATTGACTTCGACTAGGCTCCTGAACTAAGCCTAACAGACCAAACCAATATAGAGTTTAACTTCAGGAGCTGAGCATTAGTTAATTGCAGGAGGACCTGTAACCTTAAATTAAGCTGTTACTTATTAAGTCATCTCTACACAGCACTTCCATTTCCTATAAATGCTGTCAGATTATGTTATTGGAGTTCTCCAAAACTGCTCTGGTTTGGAGGGCCGTGTGATTCACAAGTCATTTTTGTTTTGCTGGTTTTGTTTGCTCAAGCTCGATTAAAATGCAAACTTGTCTAAGTTTTTTCCCATTTAACAATAGAGAAGTATGAGGATGCAGCTCTGGAATACTTTACCATTTACAGTCTGAGAAAGTAAGGACCTAGGAGTTAGTTTGGGAAGATGAGAGGGTGTGGTTGAGAATGATTTCTGAAAACTAAGTGAACAAACACTCAAGAAGACTAAGAACTATTAATTGGATTTGGCAACGTGGGGGTCATTGGTGACCTTGGTTAAATGTATTTTTGTGGTGGTGTGGCGATAATGGCCTGATTGAAATAGATTCCAGAAAGCATAGGAAGACAGAAATTGGAGATGTGCTCTTATACAGATAATTCAGAGTTGGGCTTTATACTTGTGTGAAGAAACTTGTTATTAGCTGGAAGAAGATATATATCGAAAGAATTGATTTAATGATGGCAGAAGTCATGGCATACTTGTATATTAATAAGCATAATTAAATGGAAGTCTGGAAATTGAGGAGGCAGGACAGAAAGAAGAAGACTAAATGTAGAGACGTATTTGAGAGGGAATGGGTAAAAGTAGCTAAGTAGAGACATTGGCCATTAGAAGCCAGGACATTTTTTTGGAGTTTTTGTAGTAACTTCTGAACTTCTTCACTAAATTTACTCTTAAGTGGCCTTCTCAATGCTTTTGTGAGTGAATTTTTTAAATTTCATTTTTGGATTGTTGTATTTCTATATGCTAGCAGTAAACTGATATATATATATATATATATATATATATATTTTTTTTTTTTTTTTGTATACTAGGCTTGTTCTCTGTATCCTTGCTGACAACTCGCTTCTTCTAATAGTTAGAAGACACTTCATTAGTGTCTTCTATATACAGGATCATGCAATCTGCAAATAGAGATAGCTTTACTTCTTTTGGATAGCTTATTACATTTTCTTGCCTAATTATCCTAGCTAGGACTCCCATTACAGTGTTTACTGGAAATGGCCAACAGTGGATTTCCTTGCTTACTCTTGATCATAAAGGGAAAACACTCAGTATTTTACCAGTAAGCATGATCTTAACTGTGGATTTTTCACAAACACTCTTTTTCAGGTTGAGCAAGATCTCTTCTGTTTCTAATTTTTGTGCTTTTCTCACAAAGGGGTGTTGGATTTTGTCAGATGAGTTCTATGCACCTATTGACATGTTCATATGTTTGTCCTTTATTCTATTAACATGGTTTATTACATTGACTTTTTTTTTGATATGTTGAACCGATCTGGTATTCCTGGGATAAATCCCACTTGGTCATGGTGTATAACGCTTTTTTATATGTTGCTGAATTGGGTTTGTAGGTATCTTGTTGAGAATTTTTGCATCTGTTTTTGCATTGTTTACAAACTAATATCCCTAATTGGCTTTCTTTTCTTGTGCAGTCTTTGTTTTTGGTATTAGGATAATACTGGTCTTACAGAATGAGTTGGGAAGCATTCTCTATTTTTTGGACAAGTTTGAGGAATTAGTATTAACTGTTCTTTAAATTTTTGGCATAGTTCATCAGTGGAGCCTTCTGGATCTTGGCTTTTCTTTGTGAAAAATTTCTAAATTACTAATTCAATTCCCTTTTTATAGGTCTATTCAGACTTTCTGTTATCAAGTTAATTTTGGTTAATTGTCTTTCTAGGAATATGTTAATTTTATCACTTTTCTAATTTGCTGGAATATAGTTTGTAGTTTTATGTTCCTTTTTATTTCTCTGAGGTTGATAGAAATGTCACTACCTTCCGATTTTATTAATTTGCCTTTTTTTTTCGTCAAAGGTTGTGAACTGTTTTTGTTGGTTTGAGATGGAGTCTTGCTCTGTCGCCCAGGCTGGAGTGCAGTGGCGCCATCTCAGCTCACTGCATCCATTGCCTCTTGGGTTCAAGTGATTCCCCTGCCTCACCCTCCCGAGTAACTGGGATTACAGCCATGCACCACCATGCCTGGCTAATTTTTTGTATTTTTAGTAGAGACAGGATTTCACCATGTTGGCCAGGCTGGTCTCAAACTCCTGACCTCAAGTGATCCACCTGCCTTGGCCTCCCAAAGTGCTGGGATTACAGGCATGAGCCACCACGCCCAGCCTCAACTGTTATTTTATAAGAGAACCATATTTGGCTTTTTTTCTTTTTCTATTCTCTAATTTATTTCTTTTGTTTACTCTTTGTCTGTTTTAATTTTAGTTCTTCTTTCCCCCAGTGTCTTAAGGTGAAAAATTACACTTGTCTAGAATCTTTTTATATAGGCATTTACAGTTATACATTTTCCTCAAAGGGCTGCTTTAGCTGTACCCCATACATTTTCATATTGTTTGTGTTTTCATTTAAAAGTATTTTCAAGTTTGCTAGTGGTTTCTTTGGCTCATTTTTTTTTTTAGTATTAATTTTCCACATACTTTAAATTCCCAACTTTGGCTGGGCATGGTTGCTCCATGCCCACTTGGGGACTCCAAGGCAGGCAGATTGCTTGAACCCAGGAGTTTGAGACCAGCCTGGGCAACATAGTGAAACCCTGTCTCTATCAAATATTAGCTAGGTGGGGTGGCACATGCCTGTAGTCCCAGCTACTTGGGAGGCTGAGGCTGGCAGGTTGCTTGAGCCCAGGAGGCTGAAGCAGTAGTGAGCTGTGATTGTGCTACCGGACTCCAGCCTGGGGGGACAGAGCAAGACCTTGCCTCCCCCAACAAAGAAA
The DNA here is from genome assembly GCF_000001405.40 of Homo sapiens. Lineage (NCBI taxonomy): Eukaryota > Metazoa > Chordata > Mammalia > Primates > Hominidae > Homo > Homo sapiens. The sequence goes on along the minus strand of NC_000007.14, from coordinate 16,387,986 downwards.
GAAAAGAATAAATTAGTTTCCAACTTTGTGTCTAATTTTATTCTATTCTAAGAGACTATACTTGGTATGATTTTGATCCTCTTATAACTTGTTTTATGGTCCAGCATATGGTCTGTTCTAGAGAATGTTCTATGTGCACTTCAAATAGGTATTCTGCTGTTGTTGGGTGGTATGTTTAATAGATGTCTGTTAGTTTTATTTGGTTTATAGTATTTTTCAAGTCTTTTGTTTCCATGTTGATCTGCCTAGTTCTAGCCACTATCGAAAGTAGAATATTGATGTTTCCAAATATTGTTGGATTGTTTATTTCTTCAGCTTTGTTCATATTTGCTTGTATTTTGGACATCTTTTAAATTCAAACTATTTGTGTCTTTGAATCATAGTTGTCTCTTGTAGACAGCATGTGATAGATTTAAAAAAAAATTTAGTTTGACAGTTGTTGCCTTTTGATCCATTCGTTTTAATATATAATTAGATTTGTCTGCTAGTTTACTTTTTTCATGTCTCCTATTGCTTTCTTTTGTAGTAAGTGAAAATTTTTATTGTAATACTTTATTTCCTTTATATTTTCTAATTTTTTGAGTTTCATTGCTAGTGGTTGCTCTAGGACCTACAGTATACATGCAAACATTTATTTGCTTCAGAATTTACTACCTTAATTCCAGTGAGATATTTAAAAATTACATGGCTCTATTTTCCTCTTTTTTGTTCTGTTATTGTGCATATTATATCTATGTAAGAAACCCAACAATCCATTATATTTTTTGCCATTGAAAGTAATGGTAAAAACTGCAATTACTTTTGTACCAACCTAATAATTATTAGTTTATATTTTGCTATCTATAGAAGATGAAAAGTGAGCAAGTGTGTGTGTGTGTATATACATATATATATGTGTGTATATATATATATATATATATATATATATATATATATATATATCTTTTTTTTATTTTAAATTAAAAATATTTTTGAGATAGTCTCTATCGCCCAGGCTGGAGTGTAATGGCACAATCTCAGCTCACTGTAACCTCTGCTTCCTGGGTTCAAGTGATTCTCCTGCCTCACCCTTCCAAGTAGCTGGGACTACAGGCATTCACCACCATACCATGCTAATTTTTATATTTTTAGTAGAGTCAGGGTTTCCCCTGTTGGCCAGGCTGGTCTCAAACTCCTTATCTCAAGTGATTTGCCTGCTTCTCCCTCCCAGAGTGCTGGGATTACAGGTGTGAGCCACTGTACCCAGCTGCAAGTATGTATTTATAGAGTTTGTTGTATTAACTTCCTTGCCTGTCATTTTTAATTAATTTGTTCCTGTTGGTGCAAGTTGCCATCTGGTGTCATTTCCTTAATCCAGTACACCTTTATCCCTATCCACCTCCTTTTTGCTGTTTTCATCAAATATACACAGTTCAATATGTTATAGACTAATCAGTTATCTATGTATCTATTGTTCAATATAATTTATACAGATAGGAGGCAGGGAAATACTGGGTAGAAGAAGACAGTTCACTGGCAAAGGCCCCATCCTCAAGCCTAGAAACTCATGGTCCTAAATGGGAACAGACTTTCCTGTTTTCACACCCAAATGTTGCCTTTTGGCCTGCCACACCTTCCCTATCCTGTACCTACATAAGCCCCAAACCCCAGGCTCCATGAGCAGAAGAGCAGACAGACAAAAGAGCAGCAGAATGGCAGAACAGCACGGCAGAGAAGAAGAAAAAGAGCATCTGAACGTTGAGAGGAGTTCAGCTGGGGGTGGTCAGAGAGAAGATTGACCACTGGACAGCCAAACTCCAGGAGATCATCTTCCCACCCCATCCCTCTTTTAGCTCCCCATCCATCCTACCGAGACCACCTCCACCACTCAGTAAAACCCCCACATTCACCAACGTTCAAATTCATGTATGATATGATTCTTCCTGGACACTGGACAGGGACCTGGATACCAAGAGGGCACTGAGCTGGTTAACATTTAAGCTGTCTGTGGACGGCAGAGCTAAAGGAGCACTGTAACATGCATGCCCACTGGGGCTTTAGGAGTCATGGGTACCCACCCCTAGACGCTACTGTGCGGCTGGAGCCCAAAAGCGCTCGCTCTGGCTACTGCACCTGCCCATCTGGGTGCTCCCCATCCCATAAGGGGTTTGAGTGTATGGCAGCCAAACAGATGAGCCACACTCCTGTTGCAGGTCCTGTGAGGGGGGGTCAGGGAACTCTCAGGTTCCATAATTGCTTTTAAAAACAATATATAAAGAGAAACATACATTTATATTGTCTTTTATAATTACATTATCTTTACTGGTACACTTTGTTTTTTAATGTGAATTAGAATTACTGTCTTCAAATGTCCTTCAGGCTGAACATTTGTTGCTACTTTTTTCTAAGATGAATCTGTTAGCAAAAATTCTGTGTTTCTTTGGAAGTGTTTTCATTTTGCTTTCATGTGTGAAATACTGGTTTTGCTGGATATGAGATATTTTTCCTATTAGTGACTATTACCCCACTGCCATCTAACTTTTATTGTTTCTGATAAGTCACTTGTTAATATTGATGTTCTCTTGCTAATCATTTTTCTTGAGCTGCTTTCAAGATTTTCTTCCTTGACTTTGGTTTTCAGCACTTTTACTATGATGTGTCTAGATGTGGATTTTTTTCTGATTTTTCTACTTGGACTTCATTGAGCTTCTTGAAGACTAATTTTTCCTTTATTTTGTGAGGTTACCAGTCATTTCCTTGAATTTTTTTTTTCTGCTTCTTTCTCATCTTTCCTTTTGGTACTCCCAATACAAAATTGTTGTGTACTTAATGGTGTCCTTTATTCTGCGGCTCTGTTCATTTATCTTCATCCTTTTTTTCTCATTTGTTTGGATTGTATTACGTCTATTTATCTAAGTGTAAGTTCATTGATTCCTCTCTAGTTCAAGCCTGTCACTGAGCTCCTTTATAAATGTTCATTATAGTTATACTTTTCAATTCTAGAATTTCTGTATTTTTAAACTGCTTAACATTAGTGATATTGTCATACCTTGCCTTACTGCTTTAAGTGTAATTTCCTCTAGTTCTTTGAATGTATTTATAATAGCTGATTCTGATTTGAGGTCTTTATCTGCTAAGTTTGATATATGGGTGGGGCCTTCTCATAGGCAGTTCCTCTTGCCTGCCCTTCCCCTCCCACCCCATCCCTGGAGGATATCACTTTCCTATTTGGATGCATGACTTGTTTGCTTATTTGTTTATGACTTGGTTGGCCTATTTTAGTGATGTCTTTTACTTTCACAGGGAAAAGCTTCTGATGTTGCTTTTTCAGAGGGTGGACACTTGAGTATTATATAGTCATCCTAGAATGATAAAGGTTTCAGTGGGGCTCTCTTTGACTGTCTCCTTCCCTGACCTCTATTATATTGTCTGCCTTTGATATCTCACCTAGCTGTTAAGCTACACTCATTGTGTGCTAATTGCTCACCTTTATTTTTGATAATGCCTTGGGCATATATCCCTTGTAGTCTCAGTTAAATTCTAGCCCCTTTGCAGGGGTAGTTTTTGAGGTTTGTTCCTAATCCCAGGAGAGCTTTTGTTGGCTTTGTTTTCCCGTGGCTTTCACTGGTAAACTGACTGTCCTACAGTTTAGCTTTTTGTGCTCATGTATCTCCAGCATTCTTTTAATTGCTTACCATGATGATCTCTTTTGAGAGTACACTTAGGTTTGAATTTCCAAATAAAGTGAGTTCCCTTTGGGAGAGCTTCATAGCTCTCTACTCTCACATCCTTTGTCTTCTACTTGTGAAAAATCACCACATCAACCCCAGTGGCTAACTGCATCATGAGTGGCCCTAACACGGCTGCAGCCAAGATGGCTGAATAGGAACAGCTCCGGTCTACAGCTCCCAGCCTGAGTGACGCAGAAGACGGGTGATTTCTGCATTTCCATCTGAGGTACTGGGTTCATCTCACTAGGGAGTGCCAGACAGTGGGCGCAGGACAGTGAGTGCAGCGCACCGTGCGCGAGCCAAAGCAGGGCGAGGCATTGCCTCACTCGAGAAGTGCAAGCGGTCAGGGAGTTCCCTTTCCTAGTCAAAGAAAGGGGTGACAGACGGCACCTGGAAAATTGGGTCACTCCCACCCTAATACTGCGCTTTTCCGACGGGCTTAAAAAACGGCACACCAGGAGATTATATCCCGCACATGGCTTGGAGGGTCCTACGCCCATGGAGTCTCGCTGATTGCTAGCGCAGCAGTCTGAGATCAAACTGCAAGGTGGCAGCGAGGCTGGGGGAGGGGCGCCTGCCATTGCCCAGGCTTGCTTAGGTAAACAAAGCAGCCTGGAAGCTCGAACTGGGTGGAGCCCACCACAGCTCAAGGAGGCCTGCCTGCCTCTGTAGGCTCCACCTCTGGGGGCAGGGCACAGACAAACAAAAAGACAGCAGTAACCTCTGCAGACTTAAGTGTTCCTGTCTGACAGCTTTGAAGAGAGCAGTGGTTCTCCCAGCACACAGCTGGAGTATTGAGAATGGGCAGACTGCCTCCTCAAGTGGGTCCCTGACCCCTGACCCCCAAGCAGCCTAACTGGGAGGCACCCCCCAGTAGGGGCAGTCTGACACCTCACACGGCCGGGTACTCCTCTGAGACAAAAATTCCAGAGGAACGATCAGACAGCAGCATTCGCGGTTCATGAAAATCCGCTGTTCTGCAGCCACCGCTGCTGATACCCAGGCAAACAGGGTCTAGAGTGGACCTCTAGCAAACTCCAACAGACCTGCAGCTGAGGGTCCTGTCTGTTAGAAGGAAAACTAAGAAACAGAAAGGACATCCACACCAAAAACCCATCTGTACATCACCATCATCAAAGACCAAAAGTAGATAAAACCACAAAGATGGGGAAAAAACAGAGCAGAAAAACTGGAAACTCTAAAAAGCAGAGCACTTCTCCTCCTCCAAAGGAACGCAGTTCCTCACCAGCAATGGAACAAAGCTAGACGGAGAATGACTTTGACGAGTTGAGAGAAGAAGGCTTCAGATGATCAAACTACTCCGAGGTACAGGAGGAAATTCAAGCCAAAGGCAAAGAAGTTAAAAACTTTGAAAAAAATTTAGACGAATGTATAACTAGAATAACCAATACAGAGAAGTGCTTAAAGGAGCTGATGGAGCTGAAAGCCAAGGCTCGAGAACTACGTGAAGTATGCAGAAGCCTCAGGAGCCGATGCGATCAACTGGAAGAAAGGGTATCAGCGATGGAAGATGAAATGAATGAAATGAAGCCAGAAGGGAAGTTTAGAGAAAAAAGAATAAAAAGAAACGAACAAAGCCTCCAAGAAATATGGGACTATGTGAAAAGACCAAATCTACGTCTGATTGGTGTACCTGAAAGTGACGGGGAGAATGGAACCAAGTTGGAAAACACTCTGCAGGATATTATCCAGGAGAACTTCCCCAATCTAGCAAGGCAGGCCAACGTTCAGATTCAGGAAATACAGAGAATGCCACAAAGATACTCCTCAAGAAGAGCAACTCCAAGATACATAATTGTCAGATTCACCAAAGTTGAAATGAAAGAAAAAATGTTAAGGGCAGCCAGAGAGAAAGGTTGGGTTACCCGCAAAGGGAAGCCCATCAGACTAACAGTGGATCTCTCAGCAGAAACTCTACAAGCCAGAAGAGAGTGGGGGCCAATATTCAACATTCTTAAAGAAAAGAATTTTCAACCCAGAATTTCATATCCAGCTAAACTAAGCTTCATAAGTGAAGGAGAAATAAAATAGTTTACAGACAAGCAAATGCTGAGAGATTTTGTCACCACCAGGCCCGCCCTAAAAGAGCTCCTGAAGGAAGCACTAAACATGGAAAGGAACAACCGGTACCAGCCACTGCAAAATCATGCCAAATTATAAAGACCATCAAGGCTAGGAAGAAACTGCATCAACTAACGAGCAAAATCACCAGCTAACATCATCATGACAGGATCAAATTCACACATAACAATATTAACTTTAAATGTAAATGGACTAAATGCTCCAGTTAAAAGACACAGACTGGCAAATTGGATAAAGAGTGAAGACCCATCAGTGCACTGTATTCAGGAAACCCATCTCATGTGCAGAGACACACATAGGCTCAAAATAAAAGGATGGAGAAAGATTTACCAAGCAAATGGAAAACAAAAAAAGGCAGGGGTTGCAATCCTAGTCTCTGATAAAACAGACTTTAAACCAACAAAGATCGAAAGAGACAAAGAAGGCCATTACATAATGGTAAAGGGATCAATTCAACTAGAAGAGCTAACTATCCTAAATATATATGCACCCAATACAGGAGCACCCAGATTCATAAAGCAAGTCCTGAGTGACCTACAAAGAGACTTAGACTCCCACACAATAATAATGGGAGACTTTAACACCCCACTGTCAACATTAGACAGATCAATGAGACAGAAAGTTAACAAGGATACCCAGGAATTGAACTCAGCTCTGCACCAAGCGGACCTAATAGACATCTACAGAACTCTCCACCCCAAATCAACAGAATATACATTTTTTTCAGCACCACACCAAACCTATTCCAAAATTGACCACATAGTTGGAAGTAAAGCTCTCCTCAGCAAATGTAAAAGAACAGAAATTATAACAAACTGTCTCTCAGACCACAGTGCAATCAAACTAGAACTCAGGATTAAGAAACTCACTCAAAACCACTCAACTACATGGAAACTGAACAACCTGCTCCGGAATGACTACTGGATACATAACGAAATGAAGGCAGAAATAAAGATGTTCTTTGAAACCAACCAGAACAATGAAACAACATACCGGAATCTGTGGGACTCATTCAAAGCAGTGTGTAGAGGGAAATTTATAGCACTAAATGCCCACAAGAGAAAGCAGGAAAGATCCAAAATTGACACCCTAACATCACAATTAAAAGAACTAGAAAAGCAAGAGCAAACACATTCAAAAGCTAGCAGAAGGCAAGAAATAACTAAAATCAGAGCAGAACTGAAGGAAATAGAGACACAAAAAACCCTTCAAAAAATTAATGAATCCAGGAGCTGGTTTTTTGAAAGGATCAACAAAATTGATAGACCGCTAGCAAGACTAATAAAGAAGAAAAGAGAGAAGAATCAAATAGACACAATGAAAAATGATAAAGGGGATATCACCACTGATCCCACAGAAATACGAACTACCATCAGAGAATACCTCAAACACCTCTAGGAAAATAAACTAGAAAATCTAGAAGAAATGGATAAATTCCTCGACACATACACCCTCCCAAGTCTAAACCAGGAAGAAGTTGAATCGCTGAGTAGACCAATAACAGGCTCTGAAATTGTGGCAATAATCAATAGCTTACCAATCAAAAAGAGTCCAGGACCAGATGGATTCACAGCCGAATTCTACCAGAGGTACAAGGAAGAACTGGTACCATTCCTTCTGAAACTACTCCAATCAATAGAAAAAGAGGGAATCCTCCCTAACTCATTTTATGAGGCCAGCATCATTCTGATACCAAAGCCGGGCAGAGACACAACTAAAAAAGAGAATTTTAGACCAATATCCTTGATGAACATTGATGCAAAAATCCTCAATAAAATACCGGCAAACTGAATCCAGCAGCACATCAAAAAGCTTATCCACCATGATCAAGTGGGCTTCATCCCTGGGATGCAAGGCTGGTTCAATATACGCAAATCAATAAATGTAATCCAGCATATAAACAGAGCCAAAGACAAAAACCACATGATTATCTCAATAGATGCAGAAAAGGCCTTTGACAAAATTCAGCAACTCTTCATGCTAAAAACTCTCAATAAATTAGGTATTGATGGGACGTATCTCAAAATAATAAGAGCTGTCTTTGACAAACCCACAGCCAATATCATACTGAATGGGCAAAAACTGGAAGCATTCCCTTTGAAAACTGGCACAAGACAGGGATGCCCTCTCTCACCACTCCTATTCAACGTAGTGTTGGAAGTTCTGGCCAGGGCAATTAGGCAGGAGAAGGAAATAAAGGGTATTCAGTTGGGAAAAGAGGAAGTCAAATTGTCCCTGTTTGCAGATGACATGATTGTATATCTAGAAAACCCCATTGTCTCAGCCCAAAATCTCCTTAAGGTGATAAGCAACTTCAGCAAAGTCTCGGGATATAAAATCAATGTACAAAAATCACAAGCATTCTTATACATCAATAACAGACAAACAGAGAGCCAAATCATGAGTGAACTCCCATTCACAATTGCTTCAAAGGAATAAAATACCTAGGAATCCAACTTACAAGGGATGTGAAGGACCTCTTCAAGGAGAACTACAAACCACTGCTCAATGAAATAAAAGAGGATACAAAGAAATGGAAGAACATTCCATGCTCATGGGTAGGAGGAATCAATATTGTGAAAATGGCCGTACTGCCCAAGGTAATTTATAGATTCAATGCCATCCCCATCAAGCTACCAATGACTTTCTTCATAGAATTGGAAAAAACTACTTTAAAGTTCATGTGGAACCAAAAAAGAGCCCACATTGCCAAGTCAATCCTAAGCCAAAAGAACAAAGCTGGAAGCATCACACTACCTGACTTCAAACTATACTACAAGGCTACAGTAACCAAAACAGCATGGTACTGGTACCGAAACAGAGATATAGATCAATGGAACAGAACAGAGCCCTCAGAAATAATGCCACATATCTACAACTATCTGATCTTTGACAAATTAATTCAAGATGGATTAAAGACTTAAACGTTAGACCTAAAACCATAAAAACCCTAGAAGAAAACCTAGGCATTACCATTCAGGACATAGGCATGGGCAAGAACTTCATGTCTAAAACACCAAAAGCAATGGCAACAAAGGCCAGAATTGACAAATGGGATCTAATTAAACTAAAGAGCTTCTGCACAGCAAAAGAAACTACCATCAGAGCGAACAGGCAACCTACAAAATGTGAGAAAATTTTCGCAACCTACTCATCTGACAAAGGGCTAATATCCAGAATCTACAATGAACTCAAACAAATTTACAAGAAAAAAACAACCCCATCAAAAAGTGGGTGAAGGAGATGAACAGACACTTCTCAAAAGAAGACGTTTATGCAGCCAAAAAACACATGAAAAAATGCTCACCATCACTGGCCATCAGAGAAATGCAAATCAAAACCACAGTGAGATACCATCTCACACAAGTTAGAATGGCAATCATTAAAAAGTCAGGAAACAACAGGTGCTGGAGAGGATGTGGAGAAATAGGAACACTTTTACACTGTTGGTGGGACTGTAAACTAGTTCAACCATTGTGGAAGTCAGTGTGGCGATTCCTCAGGGATCTAGAACTAGAAATACCATTTGACCCAGCCATCCCATTACTGGGTATATACCCAAAGGACTATAAATCATGCTGCTCTAAAGACACATGCACACATATGTTTATTGTGGCACTATTCACAATAGCAAATACTTGGAACCAACCCAAATGTCCAACAATGATAGACTGGATTAAGAAAATGTGGCACATATACACCATAGAATACTATGCAGCCATAAAAAATGATGAGTTCATGTCCTTTGTAGGGACATGGATGAAATTGGAAATCATCATTCTCAGTAAACTATCGCAAGTACAAAAAACCAAACACCGCATGTTCTCACTCATAGGTGGGAATTGAACAATGGGAACACATGGACACAGGAAGGGGAACATCACACTCTGGGGTCTGTTGTGGGGTGGGGGGAGGGGGGAGGGATAGCATTAGGAGATATACCTAATGCTAAATAACAAGTTAATGGGTACAGCGCACCAGCATGGCACATGTATACGTATGTAACTAACCTGCACATTGTGCACATGTACTCTAAAACTTAAAGTATAATAATAATAAAATTTAAAAAAATTAAAAAAAAAGGAAAAATCACCACATCACTGCTTTAAAACTGTGGGTGGGCACAGTGCACTATTTTTTTTGGAGTAAACTCCCTACTCTGTGATCTACATGAGGGCAGTAGAAGACTCTGGTCTTTTATTTCCCCTGGTATGAAAACTGCCGTATGTGTGAGCTGGAAAAAGAGTGATCAGGGCCCCAGTATTCTGGGGCATGGGTGGGAACTATGTGAAAGAGGTGGGCCTCAACCTCGTGTCCACACTTGCATAGATTTTAGCCTCTGTGCCATAGTGCTGAGGGGCATAGGAAATGCTGGCAGTCTGCCCTTCATACTGGGAACTTGGGGTGAGGGGGCCGTATCTTTTTAGCCATACCTACTCTGAGTAGAGCATCCATTACACTGAGCTGGCTGGAGTATAGAAGAAGAAACGGGTCACGGCTTGAGTACTACAGAGTCTGTTCTTACCAAAATGTAGTAGATTTTCTGGAATAAATGTTTCTTCATTTGCTGAATGTCCTTAGGACAATTTTCAGAGGCTTTTAATGGTTCTTAAAATACTTTTCACTAGTTTCAATGAGGACGGAGTCTGCAGAGCTCCTTGCATTGGCATTTTGGATGTCTCATGTTCTCTTAAGTATTTTTTAACTTCATGCCCTGATATAGAATTCCAAAAATATACGTAGTTTCAGTGGAATCTTTTTTCTTAAAGCAGCATGCATGTTTGTGTGTACATGCATTTCCTTCCTGTCTTATCTTCTAGCTCTACTGATAGGTACTGGGCTTGACCAGTTGACCTACCCTTCACCTATTTGGATACTACTTCCTCTTTGTCACCCTGTGTCCTCATTTTTGTTTTTATGCCTAGGTTCCAAATTTCTGCTTGAGGCACTGGAAGGTGTGACACAATTTATAAACCGTCTCTTTGGCTCATACATTTGCTTTGATTTTCAGCCAGTCCCTTGGCTTTTGCAAACCAATGTGTGGACTATCTATCTTGTTCAGATGTTGGTCTCATCAAGAAGACATTTGTTTTACTTGTGCACTAATTTCATATGCTGCAATCATCCCCATGTAGCAATTGTGTGGAAGAAAGGATGTTTTGGAGTAAATATAAGGTTTGGTTAACTGCCCACCATTGAACTATATTTTAAAGCGGTTTCACTAAGGCAGTTCTTCTGGTAATGGCCTTCAAAACTGTCTTACAATGGGACTCCAAAAAAGATAAAGGGAAAAATTGTCAGACATGAAATGTCTCTTCTAAAGTTCAGATGCAACTATTATTGAGAGAACTTTCATCATAGCAATTGAAGTCAATGGGTATTGCCTGAGGAAGCATTGCATGGAGACTGTGTTTGACAGGAACTGTTTTTCCTTGTGAATTAGAGCAAGACACAAATTAGAGCAACCCACATTGTTTGGGTTATTGAGTCTCATCTAGGGGATCTTGGAGAACTTGTTTATTTCCTTAAGTATCTAATATGTAACTCTCCTGAGGGTATACTAATATTAATTTGCAATCCATATCAATTATTTCATGATAGTCTTTCTCTGCCTCCTTCATCTTTAGGGAACACCCAATTGGATCTTAGCATCTTTTTTTTTAGTGTTGACTTCAATGGCCTGTGATCAGAAGGATTTTGAACTTATAATGAAGGAAAATTTCACCTTAATGTATGGAACTGTAATACTACAAAATTGATTTTTTTTACCTGAAATAACCATTTTTGAACCAATCACACTTACTCAGATGTTTTCTTAAGGTAGCTTGTTGAAGGTATGAATAAGATCTGTCAAAAGTGAGATACTGAATTCAGAATTTCACTTTAAAATGGCTTGTAGGTGAAATATATTCTTTGCCTCTTTGTTCTTCAGGCAGCAGGAGCCATTCGACCTCTTGTATCTACTGTCGTCAGTCCATCTGCTGATGGTTGCTTAGACTACTCGCTAGAACGTGCCAGACACAGAGCAAGTGAAATGCCCCAAGCTTTTCTATTTGATGTGATTTATGAAGCATATCAGCAGGTAAGAATTTGGGCTTTTTGAATAAGCTGCTGTTATGTCAGGTTCCCCAAACAACCTCCACATTTGGAGAATTTCCAGAACTGATGGGACTGAGCGTATAGTTATACTCAAGGCTAAGACTTATTACAATGAAGTATTAAGGTTATAGAGCTGGATCAGAAGAGAGAGATGCAGGCAGAATGTTGAGGATCCGTTTGCAGGCTTCTAGATGCTCTTTTCCCTCCCTCTCCTGAAGGATCATGCAAAGCACACCTTCCTTCCAGCAGTGAAAATTCAGCAAATTGTGTGTGACATTTATGCCCAGGGAGGGCTGTTAGAGATACAATGCCCAGGGTGTTCGATTGGTCATCTGGATATCCTCTGCTTGGCACATACAAAAATTCCAGATTTCCAGAAGGAAAGTTGGTGTTCAGCATAAATCATATTGTTGATACCAACAGTCTAGGCAGGCACACTGACTTGCCCTTGTCAGTTAATTCTCAGATGCTGGCTGAGGGCCTGTCTTATAAGCCAGTCTTTTTAAGAACAGCAGTCTCAGATGTACTATGGTAAGTTATCTATACAGCTCCTTAGACATTTTGTTAATCAAAATTTTAGTTAAAAGTAAGTAACTTAAAAATCAAGTAATTTCTTTAATATTACTGGATTGCTTCTGGTTTTCATGTTTTGGAAATGCTGCTGTACTTACATAATTTTATTGTCATTTGTTTGCACATTGAGTAAATAGTTATTGAATATCAGATATTGAGCTTGTCAGAAACTTCCCAATGATGATAAGTTTGAGCAACTAATCTAGTGCTTTAGTCAACTTGCTATAGGAGGTGAGGAAGAATTAGGTAAGGGGATAGAAGAGTGGCCATAAGGATTAGAGGGTAGTATCCCAGAAACTTAATGCAGAAAGTACTTTCTGATTGAGCTGAATCAGATACAAGCTGATCCATGGTCATCGTAGAACATGGCAAAGTAAAAGGAGGTGTGCAGTTTTAGGTTATAGATAACTTTTCCTCTTCAAATGGTACTGGAAGGTCACAGATGTCTAATTGCCATTCTGTTAAATGTTGCCTAGGATTTCTAAAAAGTGAGGACTGAGAACTGTACATCAACATTTGAAATGTGAGATTACCAGTGTTTGATGGGAGTGGTGGATATGAAAATCTTGTTGGAATTGATCTAAGAATAGAAGGGCTGATTTTTGGAGGAACTTTTATACATATTGAGTAGAGAAATGGGAGGAGGTAGCTGAATAGTTATAGATTAAGTTTGATTTTTTTTTCAGGTGGATGATAAAACAGCACACTGTTATGCTGATGGGGGTGATTCCACAGTGAGAAGACAGTGGTAAAGTGAGAGTGGATGGGACCTACTGCATTAGTGGTATTGAAGTTGACCTTGGCTGGGAATATGGATAGTTCATCCATGGGGACAGGAGGAAAGAGTAGGTGAAGAAAGATGCAGATAGACTGGTAGATGTGATGAGAAGACTTGGAATTTGTCCCTTTTGAGGAATGCATGCAGAAAATACATAATAGTGTTGACCATTTGGGAGCTGAGCAGTGCATTAGGGTTCTCCAGAGGAACAGAACTAATAGGATATATGTGTATATGAAAGAGAATTTATTAGGGAGAATTGGCTCACACAGTTACAAGGTGAAGTCCCACAATAGGCCGTCTGCAAGCTGGGGAAGAAAGAAGCTGGTAGTGGTTCAATTCAAGTCCAAAAGCCTCAAAAGTAGAGAAGTTGAGAGTGCAGCCTTCAAAGGCTGAAGAGCCTGTTGTCTGATGTCCAAGGGCAGAGGGAACAGGAGTAAGCATCCAGCACAGGAGAAAGATGATAGCCAGAAGACTTAGCAAGCCAGCTTATCCCACCTTCTTCTGCCTGCTTCGTTCTAGCTGTGCTGGCAACCAATTGAATTGTCCCACCCACATTGAAGGTGGGTTTTCCTCTCCCAGTCCACCGACTCAAATGTCACTCCCCTCTGGCAACACCCTCACAGACACATCCAGAGACAATACCAGCTATTTAGGCATCCTTTAATCTAATCAAGTTAATACCTAATATTAACCATCACAAGCAGATATCTGGCAATTGTAACCAAGGTGTCATATGAAGTTAGTCAGTTAGAAGAAACTCACTGCAAGCTGATCCATGGTCACTGTTGAATGTGGCAAAATAAAAGGTGTGCAGTTTTAGGTTATAGATAACTCTTCCTCTTCAAATGGTGCTGGAAGGTCACAGATGTCTAACTGCCATTCTATATGCTGACTGGCTGGATTGCTTCTTCTCCCTGTTTCTTCTGGCTTATCTCATTTGCCCCCTTATATATGCTCTAGCCATGCTTACTCTAATTCTTCAAATACAAGATTCCCACTATCTAGAACCTTACTTTCTACCTTGCTGCTTATTATTTAGTTATCCTGTAATTATCATTTATTCAAGGAATTCTTTTCTGTCTGGCCACACCAGGTTAGGCTGACCCGTTCTGTGTTCTTTTAGTGCCTGTTTTTCATCTCTCCCCAGCATCAGACTTACAATTGAATAATTACTTGAAGTCATTTGTGAAATGTCAAACTCCTCTGCTAGGCTGTGAGCCCTGTGAAGGCAGGGATGGTATCTGTCTTCTTCTTAGCAATCTGCCTGGTATATTACTAACACCAAGTATATATTTGTTCAAACGAATGATCATAAAAGGCTGTGCATATAAATGTATTAAAAATGGTCCACATGCTTGCTCTTCCTCTGCCTAGGTCACTCTTTCCAGATCTTAAACTGCTTATTTCTATTCTTTTTTTTTTCTGAGATGGAGTTTCGCTCTTGTTGCCCAGGCTAGACTGCAATGGTACAGTCTTGGCTCACTGCAACATCTGCCTCCTGGGTTCAAGCGATTCTCCTGCCTCAGCCTCCCAAATAGCTGGGATTACAGGTGCCCGCCACCATGCCGGGCTAATTTTTTGTATTTTTAGTAAAGATGGGGTTTCACCATGTTGGCCAGGCTGGTCTCAAACTTCTGACCTCAGGTGAACCGTCTGCGTTGGCCTCCCAAAGTGTTGGGATTACAGGCATGAGCCACCACACTTGGCTTATTTCCACTCTCTATTGAGGTCTGTAGCAAACATCACCTCCTCAAAGAAGTCTTACCTGATAATCTTATAATCTTAAAGTAGCAGCATCTATCATGTATCCCTTTTTCTGGTATAAGGATCACTACTCCTGCCCACTTTTGGTTTCCATTTGGTTTGCTTGCAATGTATTTTTCCACCTCTTTACCTTAAGTTTATGTGAGAGTCCTTATGTGTTAGGTAAGTCTCCTGAAGACAGCAGATACTTGGTTGGCTTTATCCATTCTGCCATTCTGTGTCTTTTAATACAGCATATAGGCCATTTACATTCAATGTTACTATTGAGATGTGAGGTACTGTTCTATTTATCATGTTAGCTCTTACCTAGGTCCTTTTTTTCATTATGTTATTGTTTTATAGACCCTGTGAGGTTTATGTGGAGGAGGTTCGATTGTGATATATCAAGCTTTTGTTTCAAGATTTAGAACTCATTTTAGCATTTCTTGTAGTGCTGGTTTGGTAGTGGCAAATTTTCTCAGCATTTGTTTGTGTGAAAAAGATTTTATCTCTCCTTCATTTATGAAGCTTAGTTTGGCTGAATAGAAAATTCTTGGCTGACAATTATTTGTTTCAGGAGGCTAAAGATAGGACCCCAATCCCTCTGGCATGTAAGGTTTCTGCTGAGAAATCTGCTGTTAGTCTAATAGGTTTTCCTTTGTAGGTTACCTGATGCTTTTCTCTCATAGCTCTTAACATTTCTTTCATTTGTCTTGACGTTAGATAGCCTGATGACTATGTGCCTTGGTGATGGTCTTTTTGCAATGAATTTCCCAGGAGTTTTTTGAGCTGCTTGTATTTGGATGTCTAGATCTCTAGCAAGGTTAGGAAGTTTTCCTCAATTATTTCCTCAAATAAGTTTTCCAAACTCTTAGACTTCATTTCTCCCTCAGGCACACCAATTATTCTTAGGTTGGTAATCCAATATTTCTTGGAGACTTTGTTCTTTTTTTAAAATTTTTTTTTTACTTCGTCTGATTGGGTTAATTCAAAAGCTTTGTCTTCAAGCTCTGAAATTCTTTCTTCTGCGTCTTCTAGTCTGTTGTTGAAACTTTCCACTGCATTTTGTATTTCCCTAGGTGTGTCTTTCCTTTTCAGAAGTTCTGATTGTTTTTTCATTATGATATCTATTTCTCTGGAATTTTTTTCATTTATATCATAGATTTAAAAAAAGTCTTTAAGTTGTTTTTCACCTTTCTCTGGTATCTCCTTGAATAGCTTAATAATCAACTTTCTGAATTCTTATATCTGGCATTTCAGAGATTTCATCTTGGTTTGTATCCATTGCTTGGGATCTAGTGTGTTCTTTTATAGGTTGTTATAGAACCCTGTTTTGTCATACTGCCAGAATTACTTTTCTGATTCTTTCTTATTTGGGTAGACTATTTCTTCAAATTGTTCTTGAATTTATTTTTTGATTGGACTGTGGGTTTTTTTTTAATTTATTTTTTTCCCCTTTCAAGGATCTGACTTTAATGTTTATTACAGCCTAATTTGATTTTTGGTGCTTTTAGGGGAGAAGATGCTGCATGAGTTCCTGAGTTATAGAGGATCTTTGTGCACTGGCTTTCCCAGATGCTGATTGTAGGAGTTGGGTACTTGGTGTGTGGGCAAGTTGAATGTCTCCTATGGGGTTTGAATGGCAGGAATCTCTTGAAGCTTATCTCATTCTGTTGTGGTATACAGTTTAATTTTTCTCCAGTATTTTATTTACTGAGTTGATTCAGGCTTCAGGTCAATAGGGAGGTATCCTTTGGTAGGTACCAGTTGTAGCTAAGGCAAGTGAGTAGATGTAATACTCAATGGTGGGCAGAGGTCCTAGCCTTGATAAAGGTGGCTGGGGGAGCTCTCAATTAGACATGCTGAAGATTTATTAGATGAAGGGTGGGAGCTACCTCAGCTCCCCTGCCAGGCCAGCAGGAAAGCGATCTACCTCATAGCCTCACTCCTGTTCCAGTGTTCTGGCTATTCATATCAAACAGGCAGCTCTTTTCATCTGTAGGAATGTTGATGTTCCAAGTAGGGAGGAATTGTGACTCTGCCTCTCATGCAAGCCTGAATCCAGGAGTGCCCCTTCTGTGGGAGTGCAATCACCCTGAATTGTTCCAGGAAGGCTGTTGGTAGGTGCACTCACACTGCATTCCTGTGGGAGAAGCCTCAGCTGTGTCTGCAGTGTGGTGTATGGGGTGGCAGGTGGGGGAGGGCAGAGGACAAGGACCCCTTCTCCAAAACCCTTCATGATTACAGAGGCTGCCTGCCTGTTGGTGTAGAGGTGCAGACTTTCCCTACTGCACAGCACTGCAATTATGTCTCTGCTGTAAGAAACTTCCCACCAGCGGAAAGATCTGGGACTCGAGGCCTGTTGTTTAGATTCTCTTGTCCCACAGGGTGTTTCCTTGATGTAGTGCCCTCTCCCTTTCCCTAGGAATGGGACTTCCTGAGTGCTAGACTGCAGTGATATTGCTCTTCTGGGTCTAGCCACCCAGTGGGGCTACCAGACTCTGGACTGGTGCTGGGGAATGTCTGCAAGGGATCCAATGATGTATTCAAGTCTCCCAGCAGTGGGTTCAGCTCTGATGGAGGTGGCAGGGGACTGACACAGACTCTGAGATTCCTTGGTTGTACATTGGCTTATTTCCCTGCAGAAATAGCAACTATGGCTTTCAGGCCATGTCCCTCCCCATCTCCCCACAAGGCTGGGCACCCAGATCCTGCACTCCTATCTGTGGCACACTTCCAGCTTACCCTTGGGTTCTGTTCAAGGGAGTTTATCCCCACTTGAGATTATATCACAGAATTCAGTTGTGAGCTTCTTTCACCCTGCAACCCCTCCCTGAGTTCATTGGCTAACTTCCCTGAGGGCTTCTCTGAAATATAGTCAGGAATGGCTTCCCTTGGCTAGTGCTGGAGACTGGGAGTGCCTGCAAGGGACTTCCTGCTGTTGCTTCCACTTTTATATTTCACACCACTCCCTAAATCCAGTCCAGCTCTGGGTAGGGTTAAGAGCTTCTGCTGTGGTTTGGATTTTCAGATTCCCCAGTGGGGATGTATGATTGGAGGCAGACTTTCCCCCTCTCACATTCTGGACATTTAGAGTTTTTCATCTGTCTTCACAGAGTAGGCTGCAGCCTGCCACTTCTTTCAAAGGGTCTGTGGATTCTTTTGTATTTTTCCTGTTAAGTTCCTATTGTGGTTCTTGGGGGAAAAAAAAATCACAATGTGAATCTCTACCCCCTATTCTGTCCTTCCAAGTGAGCTAGTCACGCTAATACTGCCTGCTATCTGCCATCTTGGGGGCAAAAAAAAGATCATACTTATTTTGTTCTGCTTTAGTTTTGCTTATTAGATATCACTACCTGATATATCTTTTTTGGTGTGTATCTTTCCTATTAAAACCTCAGTTCTGTGAGGGCAGGTGAAGGAAGAGAAAGACCGTCTCATATTATTTTATACTGTTTTATACTCAGTACCTGTTTTAAGAAAAAACAACAAGGAAGTAAAACCAAAGACAGGCAGCCTGGTGCCAGGCCCGAAACCAGGCCTGGGCCTGCCTGGCTTAAACCCAGTAGTTAAAAATCAACTCATAACTTAGAAACCAATGTTATTCATAGATTCCAGACATTGTATAGAAGAACATTGTGAAACTCCCTGCCCTGTTCTGTTTCTCTCTGACCACCAGTGCATGCAGCCCCTGTCATGTACCCCCTGCTTGCTCAAATCAGTCACGACCCTTTCATGTGAAATCTTTAGTGTTGGGAGCCCTTAAAATGAACAGAAATTGTGCACTCGGGGAGCTCAGATTTTAAGGCAGTAGCTTGCCGATGCTCCCAGCTGAATAAAGCCCTTCCTTCTACAACTTGGTGTCTGAGAGGTTTTGTCTGTGGCTCTTCCTGCTACACAGGGACTTTGTCTTGTTCAGTCTCATTTCTAGCACCTAGAAGAGTTTATGGCATGGATTAGGTTCTTAAATATTGCTGGATGAATTTCATGTGTATACATATATGTAGACACATATTTTATATGTTAACACTAATGCCAGTTATATAAACAGATTTGATGTGAGTTATATATGTGCATATATTAAGTACATACACATTAATGAAATCCCCTTAAATCTCTAAGAAATTCATCTGAAAAATTATTGGAAGTATGGGCAAAGATCCGTGTGTAAGGTTGGTGATTTGCAGCATTTTTATAAGTGTGGTCATTTTTACTGAACCTTTATTTCTAGAGATCAATAAAATTGTGACATTTATTAATAGAAGCTTTAAAGGGTCACTAAAAATTATTTTTGCAGAATTTGATCATGAAATTGTTGATGTTAGAGTGTTACTGAGAAACTAATATATAAAGTTGTAATAACAACTATATAAAATCTATATATGCCTGTTTGTAAGTGTAAGTGCACACACAAAATCAGAAAGGTTGATGGCACTTGTGAAAACCAAAATGCTACTAGTGCCAATGTCTGGATTGATAATTTAAAAGTCAAAATCTATTGTATTTTACTTAAGATACATAAATTCGTATGTGTTTGTTTTCAAAGAATCTTGGGCTTTTCCATGTAACTAGGTATTTGTTCAGTTTTATTTTATTAAGATTGGAGACGAAAACTATTTCATCCTTGAGAATTTTTACTGACACATTAGGAGTTTGCTAAAGGAAAATATTTCTAAAGAAAATAACAAAAGAATAATACAAATTTCAAGAGTGGAAACTATGCGATCTTCAGGAACATGAAGAAAAGCCCACGGATTGGTCCAGTGGATTCTTATTGAATCTTCAAATGTGAAATTCTTTTCTGTGCAATTTGAGGAAAAATAATAAATTATTATACAAAGAAGCTTTTTAAAATTCATTTCCTGTGAAAATTGGTGTTATGCTCACAGATGGTATTCTGAATTTTATTGTTCAGAGACCTGGCCTTGATTCTAACACAAGGTTTTTGTACATAGAGAATTTTAGAAGGTAATTTGTCAATTAGGTTTGAATGAAAATTCATGAAAGATACAGCAGGATTCAGCCAGTGACAGAATCAGTCTCTGGGGTGTTAATTATGTACCTTTTGCTTTGATTTCTTAGACTTGACGATGGAGACATGTAATATTTAAGTGTTAATCTTATAATGGAGATTGAGAAGGTGTATTTTTTAAGTGCCTGTTTAACTTAATTGAAACAACCCCTCCCCGCATTTTTAAAGATTCCCGTCGCTTATCTGTGGGTAGCTGAATATAATAGCTATAAAATTAAAGAAATATGACAGGAATTCCCATTCATAATTCATAGCCTGCCTGTACCCCACATGCTAGAATAAATAAGACTTGTATCTCGTACTGTCAACAAGTTTGGGCTTTAAATACTGAGTTAACAGGAACAAGTCAAAAAGATGAAATTTTATGAAGTGTCTTTTCTTTATATTCACCAATGTACCCCACATGCTAGAATAAATAAGACTTGTATCTCGTACTGTCAACAAGTTTGGGTTTTAAATACTGAGTTAACAGGAACAAGTCAAAAAGATGAAATTTTATGAAGTGTCTTTTCTTTATATTCACCAAGCATTACAACTCTCAGAAGTTTTATTTCAGTTTTTACAGTGTAGTTCCCCATTTCTTCTCCTTTCCTGCCTTCCTCCCTGGCTGTTTTTGCTTAGTTGTTCGGTTGTGCCTGGATTGGATTTGCAGATAAGGAAGAGCCTCAGGGGAAACCTCATGTCACATTGAGTTTTAGGATAGGGGGCACAGTGGGCACAGGGAGCAAGGGGTATAGTAGAAAGAGATAAGAAGGCATAAGTTTTTTTTTTAAATTTTGACAAATGGAGATTTGAGGAAAGGGGCAAGGAATGAAAAGATCCTCAGGAGGGTGAGTGAAAGAACATATGAAGAAAAATGATTTATAAAGAGAAATGAGTAGGGATTTAAAGATGAAGCTTTGAGTCAGAAAGAGCTGACTTGTTACTTTAGTGAAAGTATTTGCAAACCATTGTTTCTTACACAAGTCAGTTGCAAACCACAGTACCAAAGTGGCACATCGCAGTTATTAATGAAAACATGATCTATATGTTTATGGTATTTCATCAGAGGAAGTAAATTGACAATCTTGGTGATGGACTTGGAAAGTGTTTATCTCTTCACGGTCATGCGTCTTCCTATTTGTCATATTTCCCATGTTTTTTTTTTTTTATTTTTCTCCCTCTTGCCTTTTTTTTTTTAATTCTCTCAATTATTCTACTAGGTAGGTTCATATAGTCATGTCATTTTCTTTGGTTCCATTTTGGAAAAATTATGAAGAGCTGTAGAAAAAATGATCTGGTGACTTGGCTGGGATCTTCTTTGAGTATACTCTTTGCTATCCCCAGAAATTTCATTCTCAACCATTAGCCTAAAAGCATAAATTACTTTTATCTGTTTTCAGTTCATATGTATGGCAGTTTAGAAGTGATTCTAGTTCTGTAAGTTTCTGTGAGTTTCTATAAGACTAATAAATATAGTTATATAAGGTTAGCAGTGGTTATAGTTTCAGCCACATCTTCTGTAGCTTTTAATGATCTTTAATTTTCTAGCTTTTGTCAATTTGATGGCTGTATATTGATTTGTGTTTTAATTGAACTACATTGCTAGTGAGGATGCAGCTTTGTATGTTTGTTCATGTTTGTGTTACTTATTGCTATGGTCTGAACGTCTGTGTTTCCCCTAAAATTCCTGTTGAAACCTAACCACCAAGGTGATAGTATTGAGAGGTGGCACCTTTGGGAGGTGATTAGATCATGACGGCTCTGCCTTTATGAATGAGATTAGTACACTTAGAAAAGAGGCCTGAGGGAGCTTGTTTGCCCCTTCTGCCAAGTGATGATGCAACAAGAAGGTGCTATCTATCAGGAATGGGTCCTCATCAAACACAGGGTCTGAAGCCTTGATCTTGGACTTCCCAGCCTCTCGAATTATGAGCAATAAATTCTTTTTATAAACTATGCAGTCTGAGATATTTTGTTTTAGCAGTCTAAGTGGAGTAAAGCACTTACTAACATTTCAATATGCTTTAATGTTTTTTGTCCACTGTCTTCTGGGTGTCTTATCTTTTTCTTGTTGATGTGGTAGGGTTTTGTATACATCCTAGGTACAATTTTTTTCTTGGTCTTACACATTACAAATATATTTGAATCTGTTTGTCAGTGTTGTCTTTAATACATTAATATATTACTTTGTGGCCAAATCTTGAGTTGAAGGTCTTGTTTAAGTTCTTGTCCGTATCATGGTTGTATTTTATTCTATTTTCCATTTCACACTTAGGCCTCAAGTTTGTTTGGAGGTCATTTAAAATATTCTCTGATACAGGGCACCTGCCTTTTTCATCTTTATAAAGAGAGATTTTTCAACATCATTTATAAAATCATCCATTTTTTTGACTAATTTGTGCCTCTATTATGTTGCTTTATGTAGATTTATTTCTGGGTTCATTATTCACTGTCTCCTGTGATACTACCACATTGTTTCATTTTCTGTTAATTACTTTCAAGATTATCGTTTCAGCACAGGTTCCCTAGCAAATAGAGCCTTAGGCAAGGCTTAAGTACTGATGTAAGATGATGATTACAAATCTGGCCATTATTTCACAAACACAGCTGGTCACTTCATCACATGGGGACATATCCAGACAGGCTTATCCAAAAATGTTGTATTGTTACCTCCAATGTCCTGTTCTAAGACTGAGAGTTCATCTGACATCTCCCTCTGTGTTAGCATTTCTCCCAGAGGCAGTGAACTCCTAGCTCCTTCAGTCACAGGGAGAAGCCAGATCCTATGACCTGTATCATGGTTCTCTGTCTCCAGAGGAAGCTATAGGTAGAAATCAGAGACTCTGGCTGCTGTCCTCAGTTAAAGGACCATGAGGGCCCACAAGCAGTTAGTCACTCTGGTGGAGGGAGCCTAGGAGACAGATGAGACCAAGGGAATCTGAGGCAGGGAACAAGATGTGACTGATACACTTGATATTGACCTTTATAACTTTTCTATAAATTTGAAATCTTATGTTAAGTTTCCTCCAGTTGGAAGATTTTACTGGAATTCTTTAATATTATAAATTGATCTAGGTATGTCTCTCACAGTCTGGGAGACACGTCAACAACAGGTTGTTGTTCAACATTTGTTATGTGGGCTGGCTGATGGTTAATAAAAATCAAGCCATGACAAAATTTACTCCCTGATTTGCTTGATGGGCAGATTTTAATTTACCAAAATTTTCAGGAAATAAGCAATCTTGAAACCCAAGAGAATTCATGCTTTAAATCTGGATGTTTTGTGGTGCTTAGGCCACACTGCACATTGATTACATGGCAGATAATGTTGAGCATTAGTTCATCATTGAACATTACCTATCACATCTGTATCATGCCAATTTCACTGAGCAACCTGCAAGTCTGCTGCTTCTACACAACATTTTACACACTGAAAACATTAGTTGAAATAAAGACAAGCATGCAACGCACTGCTGTGGGATTTCCTTCTCAATCAGGACTCATAGAAAATGGAATGGAGAGTTCTTCAGATGCCTCCATTCCTTATCTGCCTGGCACAAAAGGCAATATACACATACCAACTTACAGTGCAACCTTGGGTTTGGATGCTAGAATGTTTTGACTTTTAAGAATTCATTCATCAATTGATCAAACTTATTTTAGATTTGAAATTATTTTTTAAGATATTTGTCTTTTGTGTCCAGTGCTTTTAGGATGGACACTATTATTATGACCTTTTGGGTATAAGTACCTGAGGCTCAGATGCTCACATTTTATGCCTTAATGTAAAAAGACACAACTTTAACTTTCAGGCACGTAAGTGTAAAGGCTGTATTCCAATAATTATTTTCTACCCTCAGTAAATTTTATAACTGAAAAAGATCTTGGGATTAAGTTGATGTCTTTAAATTTTCTTATTTGTGAAGATAGTATAATTCATTCAGATCTGTTACATTCTTTGAAGGATTTTTTACTTTATATTAGTAATTTCTTAGATTAGTTTTTATCTGTTCTAATATGTTATTTTCTATCATGTTTTCTAACTGACATTTGCTCTTACAGTATTTTTCTGTCAGGTATATTGAACTTATAGCAGGCAAATTTATTGAACTCTGGTGTTGTTTCTATTTGAATTGTAAGTTTTCTACTCCCATGATTGTATTGTCTGCAATAACGACATATTTGTGTTTTTTTCCCCACTGGTCCTTATTTATTTATCTTTGTTGCTTTGGTCAGGACCTCCAGTATCATGTTGCAGTAATGGGGTATGTTTTTCTAGATTCCATCACTAAAGAGACTGTTTCATTTCTTAAGTATAATGCTTGATGCAGGTTTTCTTTTTTTGATAAAGACTTTATCAAATTTAATCTACCTTTAATTTTCACTTCTCTAAAAAGGCTTATTTCTCTAAAAAAATCAAATAGATATTGTGCTTTTTGAAATCTCATTCTTTTCCTACATGTAGCTATCATGTTACTTTTTTCTTTTTGTCTAATGTGAATTAGTTTGAAATCAGTAAGTCTATAATGCTATCTTTGTGATTCTGGGGTGAATACTGCTAGCTGCAATGTTTCAGACTATTGGATTTAGCTACCTGATATTTTATTTGGGATATTTTCCCTCTGTGTAAGTGAAATTCTTCTTTTTATAATTTGCTGTCCTTAACTTGCAGTGCAAAACTGTGTCAAACTTATAAAATGAGTTGGGTCATTTTTTGTTTGCTCTTTTTGGGAAAAACTTTTTAAGATATAGTCATATCTCATTATTGAAATTCCAATAGAGCTCCTCATTAAGACTTTCTAAACTTGGAGCTTCTTTAGGGGTTGGTAGGGCAGGGCAGAGGAGCAGCCTTTTGATGGTAGTTGATAATTAACATTTCAATTTCCATAATGGTTATTGAATATCTAGGCTTTCTCTTTTTTCCTGCCTATTTTGACCCTTTGTATATTTTTCTAGAAACTTCTGTTCTTTTATATTTTCAAGTTTATGGGCATAGTATTATGTTTTAATTAAGACGTATCTGTAGGGGATGGGGAAGGGGAGATGAAGTTGGTGTTGGAGGAAGAGAAATGATTATCAAAAGCAGAAAAACTGAGACAAACCTCTGACAAGCCTTATCAAGCCAAAAAAAGGAAGAGTAAAATAAATATATCTCGAGTTAAATGCGCAGATCATTCTTTAAATCTTTCTTAGATTTTAGTAAGTATATTCTAAGCTGCTAATTTCTTAAACTTAATACAATCAGAATTTCTCTAACATGACAAATTGAGATACAGTGTTTCATTATCTTGTAGCCTGTATTTAATAACTTTCTCTCATACCTCAGGTGTCCAGGCAAATAATTCTCTCCTTTGTTTTATAAAGTTAAATATACATATTTTCAAAGCATGGATAATTTCTTCTCTGACTGCTATGGTTTGTATGTGTCCCTCCAAAATTCACATGTTGAACTTAAATCCCAACGTGATGACATTAGGAGTAGGACTCTTTTAGAGGTGATTAAGCCACAAGGGTTCTGTCTTCAATGAGATTAATGTCCCAGGCATCAGAGCTGTTGGGCCCTTCTACCTCTTCTGCCATGTGAGGACACTGTGTGTGTTCCTTTTTGCCCTTCCACCTTTTCTGCCATGGGAAGACACCATGAGAAGATGCTTTCCCCAGACATCAAATCTGCTGGCACAGTGATCTTGGACTTTCCAGCCTCCACGCTGTGAGAATAAGTATTGTTGGTAAACTACCCGGTCTGTGGTATTTTGTTATAGTGGTCTGAGTAGACTGAGACATGCACTCTTTTAAAAAGTTATTTTGTAGGCCGAGCGCGGTGGCTCACGCCTGTAATCCCAGCACTTTGGGAGGCTGAGGCGGGCGGATCACGAGGTCAGGAGATCGAGACCATCCTGGCTAACATGGTGAAACCCCGTCTCTACCAAAAATACAAAAAATTAACTGGGCGTGATGGCAGGTGCCTGTAGTCCCAGCTACTCGGGAGGCTGAGGCAGGAGAATGGCGTGAACCCGGGAGGTGGAGTTTGCAGTGAGCCGAGATAGAGCCACTGCGCTCCAGCCTGGGCGATAGAGCGAGACTCTGTCTAAAGAAAAAAAAAAGTTACTTTGTAAACTTGTGATGAAATATATAACTAAATTTACGATTTTAATTATTAAGCGTGTGGTTCAGTGACATTAAGTACATTCACACTTTTGTGCAACCATCATCTTCAGAATTTATCTTTCAAAACTTTCACTTTGTGCTTATTAAATGGTAACTCCTCTTCCCCTCCCTCCCAGCTCGTGGCAATCCCCATTTTACTTTGACTCTGAGTTTGACTATTCTAGGTACCTCATGTAATCATTGTATGTGACTGCTTATTTCACTTAGCATCATGTCTTTAAGGTTCATCTGTGTTGGAACATGTGTCGGATTTCCATTTTTGGGCTGGCTGAGTAACATTCCATTGTATGTACATACCACATTTTGTTTATCCACTCATCTGTTAATGGACACACTTGGGTTACTTCTACCTCTTGGCTATAGTGGATAATGCTGCTAATGCACATGGGTGTATAAATCTGTTGGAGTCTCGGCTTTCAGTTCTTTTAAGTATATGCCTAGAAGTGGAAATACTGGAAAGTATGACAATCCTGCTTTGAATTGTTTGAGGATTTGCCATACTTTTTCCATAGTGGCTGTACCATTTTTATTTCTATCAGTAGTTCACACGGGTTTCCAATCAGTTTCTACACATCCTTGTCAACAGTTACTTTAAAAAAAACAAAGTAATTGTCCTAATGGGGATGAAATGGTATCTGATTGTGGTTTTGATTTGCATTTCTCTAATGATTAGTGATGTTGAACATCTTTTTATCTACTAATTGGCCATTTTTATATATCTTCTTGGGAGAAATGACTATTCAATTCCTTTTTCCTTTTAAAATTGGGTGGTTATTTTTTGTCGAGTTTAGGAGTTCTTTATGTATTCTAGGTCTTAAACCTTTTCAGGTATGATTTATACATATTCTCTTCTATTCCAGAGATTGCTTTTTTTATTGATACATCTTCTGATGCACAGAATTCTTAAATTTAGATATGGTCTAATTTATTTTCTTTTGTTGCCTATGCTTTTGGTGTTATATCCAAGAAATCACTGCCAAGGTTAGTCATGAAGATTTTGCCCCAATGTTGTCTTCTAAGATTTCTATAATTCTTGCTTTAACTTATATTTAGGTCTTTGGTCCAGTTTGAGTTAACTTTTGTATATGTCACGATGTAAGAGTTCAAATTCATTCATGTGCATATGGATATTCAGTTTTCCCGGCACCATTTGTTGAAGAGTGTTTCTTGTCCATTAAATGGTCTTGGCACCCTTGTCAAAATTATTTGAACATATATGTGGGGGTTCATTTCTGTACTCTATTGGTCTGTAGGTCTGTCTTTATACTGCTACTACTTACTACTACTACTGCTACTACTACACTGTTTCGATTAGTGTGATTTTATAGTAACATTTGAAATGAGGAAGTATAAGACCTCCAACTTTGTACTTTTTCAAGATTGCTTTGGTTATTTGGAGTGATAAAGTACTCCTTAATGTAATTGACTCTGATCATATTTTCTTTCTTCCTTTTGTCTTATTATCTAGCATAGTGTCCCAAATCTAATGGATGTTTAATGAATGTTACTATGAGAATTGATGACTTTTTAATAGTATAAAATACAGCATGCTTTAAAAACAATTTATCTTCCTCATGTACTACAGAATAGAAAACTGAACTTACTGTAGAATCCTTAGAGATCAATACTACTTTCTAAAAAATACTTTTATCCTAGTTCACACTTGTTCCGTAGGAATCATGTCTTAACAAGACGTGAACATCTGTCTTTAGGCTAGACAATTTATAAAAATGCAGTGTGGATGAAGTCCAGTTGTAAACGTCTACAAAACAACAGGAGACAAAAAATAAAATGGAGGACATAGAAGCAGAGGCTAGAGTGGGGACAACAACAATAATAGAGTTGTTACTTCCTTCCTGTGGCTTGTCCTGAGTTCATGGTGTTGTATTGGAAAAGTAGGATTCTGGGGTAAAAAGGCTTTAGTCTGAGAGGTTACTGGAAATCTCAAAGGCACAAAATTACTGTTTGTGCCTTTTTGGTAAGAAAGTTAAAAGTGGAGAATAAAATACTAGAGAAGAGGCATATAAGACTTATTATCTCATAAGCAGTAGTTAAAAGGTCCTCTTGGCACTGTCAAAGGATTTTTGTTTTATCTTCTAAAATCCTGTTTTTTGTTACAGACTTTGGCAAGGGAGGCTCCCTCTCCTGAGTAAATAAAAATTAACTGAAAGGCATATCGTAATCTTTAAGAATCTGCATCTTAAATTAGGTTCTCACTTCTGGAGGATGGTCAGGAGGGGACAAAAGTTAGAACGAAGTTGAGAAGTGACACAGATGGACAGTAAAGAATTAGACATAACAGACAGTTAAAACTGCTGGCTACATGTATATAGCAAGAGCTATGCACACCAGTATCCAGGCAATGCTCTGACATTCTTCCAACGATGACAACTGTTGACTACCAAGCAATTCAATGACGACAGTACTTGTGATCACGCTGTGAATTACATGTGTACTAGTAATGATGCCATTATTTAGGGGGCAGAAATGAAATTTAAAATGAAAAACTTCCATTAGCTGGGTGTGGTGGTGCTCCCAGCTACTCAAGAGGGAGGCTGAGGCAGAGGATCACCTTGAGCCAAGGAGTTCTAGGTTACAGTGAGCTATGATTGCACCACTGCACTCCAGCTTGGGTGACAGAGGGAGACTCTGTCTCAAAAAAACACAAACCAAAAACACAACATCAAGGTTATTAACTACTAATATTAAAGCAAGCATTTTCATTAACTACTTTTGTAGAAATTAGTCAGGTCTGAAATAGTTTTGTTGCATTCATACACTACAAAATTACATGCCCTTCAACAAGAACTTAGACATTATGGATTTAACAAATAAAAATCTATTTTTTTCTTTACATTATTTCAAAGTTGTCATTTTACTGACATTCTTTGTGGGCATTAATATCTTGAAAAAACTTGATGTTTCAGTTTGGGAGCTAAAGATGTAATTTTGCATTGTATGGACAATTTAGAAGAGTCATTTTGAATGCTTTTGACATTAATCAATTTCTTCATTTTTTAGAACTAGTAGAAAGCAGTTTTTTTCAGAATATTTTGGACAAGTGGAATTTATACTGTTGAATGCCAAGATACCTGTACATTTGCCTCAAGTAGTTACTCTGAAATGTGAAATAGTGGGAGTTTTCTGCTTATAGTATTCTTCAGATTCTGTGTCAAGTCATCACTCAAGGTTTTTGATTCCTAGTAATGACAGAATAGCATGCCCAACCCTCTGGATACAAATTATAAACTGTGATATATATTTTGTGGATGGGGTGAATGGGGGTGGCAGGATAGATTTGACCTATTTGTATAAAGGCAGTGAAGAGTAAAAATAGGCAAAAATCAGAAGGGATTTAGCCCGTGAAAGGTAATTGTACTGGGTAAGAGCTACCTTTATATATTGTACCACTTAATCGCTTCCCAGCTCCAAATCCACCCGTCATTGTCTGCTGGACCCTGTAAACATCTCCCTTGCTTAAGACATCTTTTAAGCTTCATCACTGGAGGGTGCCAAAGGGATGCTGTGGGAGGAGGGGGCTTCTGTTCCTGATTCTGGCATGTTTCCATCCCTGCTGGCTCCACAGCTGCCATGGCCATGTGTGTGGCACTCGGTGGTGTTTACTCTCTAGCAGGTTTTCTCTGCCAGTCTGGCCTGCTGTTCTCTGCCTGCCAGCTTCTGCCTGTGTAAACCCTCATGGAGATTTTCCTGCATGCCAGTCCTGGCCTATGGCTCTGTGCCTGCCAGCCTCATTTTGCTGGTACCCCAGCAGTATACTTCCAGCTTGTCAGGCCAGTCTGTCATTCTGTGTTCAGCCTCAGGCTCCTTGGCCATCCATTCGGGGACTCCCAGGTTGCCAGGCATTTGCGGTTTCTGACACAGCCTTGGCCTGCTGACCACGCACCAACTCTGGCCCACCTCAAGCCATGAAACTTCCCTGCCATCCGGTGGGCTGCAGCTCAGATATGGAGAGGGTATGTTCCTTCATTGGGTACTCCCCCTCAGACTTCGGGTATCTCTGAGTTCTGTCTTATTCCTTCTTAGTAATAAAACTACCATAGTTAACACCTTATATGAAATCTTTCCTGTTGAGATTATTGTGGCGTTTATGACTCTTGACTGAATGCTGAATGATAGCTTTTCTCCTGAGGTCATTTCCCAGTTCCTGTAGTGACAAGGCAGACAGCTACTATCTTTTTGTCCTGTGAAGTAGGAGCTTGCAGCTGCCAAGGTAGCGGGGAATTGAGGGGGATATCCTAGAATAGTGGAGCCACAGAGGAGGGCGGCTGCACACATCTATAAAATCACCTAAAGCTGACCAGGGATGGTGGCTCATGCCTGTAATACCAGCACTTTGGGAGGCCAAGAAGGGCAGATCACTTGAGGGTCAGGAGTTTGAGACCAGATTGGCCAACATGGTAAAATCCTGTATCCACTAAAACTACAAAAATTAGCCAGGCATGGTGGTATGCACCTGTAATTCCAGCTACTTGGGAGGCTGAGGCATGAGAATCTCCTAAACCCGAGAGTTGGCGGTTGCAGTGAGCAGAGATTGTGCCTCTGCACTCTAGCCTGGGTGGTAGAGCGAGACTCTGTCTCAAAAATAAATAAATAAATAAATAAATAAATAAATATCCCCTAAAGGCTTTGCTGACTCCTGAACTGTGTACACAGGGGGCGATATCCTGAGGGACCCATGGGAAAGCATCCAGCTCCCATAGGAAGATGGAAAGAGAAAAACAGATACTTCAGCAGTTGCTGAGGTGGAGGAGAAACAGTTTGGAGTTCAAATCCTGCTATATTAATAGGAGTTTGATAAACATCTTTGGCTTTTCATTGATATCCCAGAGAACCACATTTTAGGAGTGAAGACCACTTCTCAGGACACACTCAACATCCTTCAGAGAAAGTTAACAGAATCTCTAAATGTAAAACATCATTTACAGTGCTCAGTATGTAGTTAAAACTTACTAAATATTGTGACTCATGTTAAGAAAATAGGTCAATAGAAAAGGACCCAGATGTTGGAAATGGCAGAGTAGTTTAAAATAACTATGATGAATCTACAGGAAAAGGTTGAGATAATGTATGAGGAAATTTAAGACAGATGTGGAAAGGGTAAAAAATGGCAATCCCAGAACTGAAAAATATCCTGAATATGAAATGTAGTCTCTATTGGCTGTGATTAACAGCAGGTTGAAAAATGAATTGGGGAACTTTATGCAGCGTTCAAAGAGAACAAAGTAGAAGCTGCCTGTCTCCTTATAGCCTGAGCCGGACCTCAGACAGACATCATCACTGCTTTTGTACCACATAAAGCAGAGCAGTCAGAGGCCAGCCTGTGTTTAAAAAGAGGAAAACCAGATACTCCCCCACCTCCAAGAGCATTTGTGGCTATCTTTAATACACCACAGTCATTATAAGAGCAGGAAATGTGGAATCAGACAGCTTTGAGTTTATTTATTGTTGTTGATGTGCTATATTTCTGAGTTGTGGTATTTTACCCAAGAAAGAAGGTAGTACCTTCCTTGCTGGGTTGTTGAGAAGGAAGTATGTAGAGATAGAAAAATTAACACAACTTACATGTTAATAATTTTATTGTTTGGCTTAACTTGTTCAGTGCCTAGTAAAGTATTTCTATGTAGATACTTTTAGATAAGTTTATAAACATACATTTTTTTTTCATGATTTTGGGATAAATTTGAAAGCATTCTAGAATTTTTCTCTGTAATTTTTTTTTTTCCAGTTCCACTTATGCTTCGTTACTTAGCTTAGCTAGGGCATGTAAGTTGTCAAACTAGTAAAAAGGTATTGTCACTACTATCACCGATCAAATCATCTGATCTTTTACAATTACTTACAGTAGTGAAGAGCTTGCAGTGATATGGGGTAATCAGTGAACACAGATCTTTATACTGTAATAATGAATGAGAACCATCAGCAGATGCCTACTCAAGTCACTGTGCTGGTGGGCGGCCCCTTTGCTAGGATAACCTGCCTTGCCACCCTGCTATCTCAACACCCAAACCACTCTAGTTCAAGCCTGTTCTATCAGTCAGTGTTGGTAGATGCCAGAACAAATGAGGATGTTGGGAGTCCAACATGGCTACCTTTTGTTTCTAGCTAAGTGGTCTTAAGCAGTAATGGTCACAGACTTTAATTTCTTTGGGACTACTTCCATACCTGTAACTGAGGAGTTTGGACTAAAACACTTTCTAACTCTGACTTTGAGAAACAAGTAAAGGGCTGGGTAAAGTAATGATTATCCAGAAAGCATCGAGTAGAGACTGAAAAGACATCCAATGGTCATTTGGTTACATGAGCGCAATAGGCATGAGATATGAACAACCAGAACAGACTGTACTGATGGAATGATGCAGTTAAAGTACATGATGAGTTGTAGCGGTGAAGACATTTGCCGGGTCAATCACTGTAATGATGTCTTAAATTATGATGGAGAAGAAACAGTTGCTTTTAAAGAGATATTCTTGATTTATGCCAAGGGAAAGGGAAACTAGTTCATTGAGTATCCACTCAGTAGAAGCAATAGTGATTGGTAAGTGATATTCCCATTTTTAGTTAAGAAGGTAGTTACATGAGGTTAATATATATTAAATGGCAAAAACAAGATAAGTTAGTCGGATTACAATACCTGTTAGGTTTCTTGAAGTTGATTCTTACGACATGGACATGCTTTATTTTGATACATTTTGATACTTGCTTATAAAAGATACAGTTACTCATGTAAATATCTTTTTGATTAGGTTTGGTTACTTAATATGAAAAGGTTAAAGAATATTTTCTTGCTGATTAGTTGGGAGTATATTTGGCTGTACATTTTTATAGCATATTGTCTACCTTTATTTGTGTGGTTTTCATCTTTCTGGTTTAACTTTGCTGTTTAGTTTTAACGTTTAATATGTTTTTTACATACATGCCTTAGGGGAATAAATGTATTTGAAATATATATTAAAAAAGATGACTAACTCTATTATTTTCTGATGGCTGCATTTCAGTGAGGAGGTTCAGGAAACCTCCCATTAAGTATATGTGTTTAATGACACTAAATTCCTTTCTTGGAAACACACCCTTTTCTTAGCCACAGTTGTCTTTGGGGTAATAATAATAATAATAAAAACTGCAAGGAAAAATTTTATGTCCATCATTGCTCAGAAGAGCTAAAATGAACTCCTATTTTTCTCTTCTAAAGTAATCTCAAGTTTCTTTGTAAGTTAAAATTTTTTTAGTGTCCAAAGCCTCATTAGGCTGATTAGTTTACATCATTTTGTGCAGTCTGTGTGTTCCCTACCACAAAATATTAAATGGAATTAAGAGTTTTAGAAAGTCAGACTTTTCTTTTATTAGAAGTAGGCTAGTCTACTTACTGCATACCTGATTCTGATTGTGGAGTGCATAAATGCCCTTTGTTTTCAACCGTATTACAAATCATGTTGTATCATGTTCTGGTGCTAATACAAAGCAGAATAACGTGATAAAAGTGAGCTACATATTGAATGTTGCATTTTCAATAAACCAGTTTTTATTATGGCTTTATTAATACAGATAAAATAATTAAATTATTTTTGATAAAAGGAACATTCTTGCCATCATTTGTTTCCAAGAGAATATTGTCACAATCAAATTGTGTCCTTACAATGTGACCTGACAGTGTTATTTTCAGTAGGACATTTTAAAAACTGAACTCAATTTTTTTTTCTATCAGGTTTAAATGATAAATAGTAAAACAATTTTTTATGGTATAGCTGCTTGATTCCTTTTATAAGTTTGGTTATTTTTTTGATAATTGTATATATATATGTGGTACAATGTGATGTTTTGATGTGTGTATTCATTGTGGAATGATGAAATCAGGCTAATTACTATACCCATCACCTGAATTATTGGTAGTGAGGACAAATTAAATTCTTTTTTATTTTTTTTTTTGTGAGATGGAGTCTCACTTTGTCATCCAGGCTGGAGTGCAGTGGTGTGATCTCAGCTCACTGCAACCTGTGCCTCCCGGGTTCAAGTGATTCTCCTGCCTCAGCCTCCTGAGTAGCTGGGATTACAGGCACGTGTCACCACGCCTGGTTAAATTTTGTATTTTTAGTAGAGACAGGGTTTCACCATGTTGGTCAGGCTGGTCTCAAACTCCTGACCTCAGGTGATCCACCCGCCTTGGCCTCCCAAATTGCTAGGATTACAGGCGTGAGCCACCACACCCTGCCAACAAATTAAATTAAAATTTAAACTGTTTGTTAATATTCAATGTATTATTAACCATCGTCATCATGCTATGCAATAGATCACCAGAAGTTCTTCCTCTTGTCTAGCAAACTTTATACCCTTTGACCAACATCTCACCCTTCCAGCCTCTGGTAACCACCATTCTTTTCTCTGCTTCCATGAATTTGACTTTTGTTTTTATTTTTACTTAATGTTTAGAGACAGGGCTTTGCTCTGCCACCCAGGCTGGAGTACAGTGGCTCAGTCATAGCTCACTGCACCCTCTACTCCTGGGCTCAAGCAATTTTCTCACCTCAGCCTCCTGAGTAACTCGGACCACAGGCAGTGCCACCATGCCTGGCTAATTGTATTTTTTAGTTTAAACAGGGTCTCCCTATATTGTCCAGACTGGTCTCGAACTCCTGGGCTCAAGCAATTCTCTCTGCTTGGCCTTCCAAAGTGCTGGGATTACAGGTGTGAGCCACCACGCCTGGCCAACTGTTTAAGATTACAAATATAAGTGAGATCATACAGCATTTGTCTCTGTCCCTGTCTTATTTTACTTAGCAAAATGTCTTCTAGGTTCATCCGTATTCTTGCTAATGACAATTTCCTGTCTTTTGCAGGCTGAAATAGTACTCCAATGTGTGTGTGTGTGTGTGTGTGTGTGTGTGTGTGTGTGTGTGTGTGCCATGTTACTTAAATCCTTGTGACCTTTGGTCGCTTAAGTTGTTTCCATATCTTGGCTAATGTGACGTCCTGCAGTGAATTTGGGAGTACAGACATCTCTGACATATTAATCGATTTCAATTTCTTTGGATATATACCCAGAAGTGGGATTGCTGGATCATATAATAATTCTATTTTTTGAGGAAACTTCATACTGTTTTCCAAAGTGGCTGTACTAACTTACAATATTACCAACAAAGTACAAGGGTTCCCTTTTTGCCACATCCTCACCAATACTTCTTAGATTGGCTGTTATCAAATGAAATGTAACAGTTGTGAGATGATATCTCATTATGGTTTGAATTTGCATTTCTCTATTTAAAGATGTTGAGCATTTTTCTTTTCAAATATATCTGGACCTTTGTATGTCTTTTGAAAAATGTCTATTCAGGTCCTTTGCACATTTATTTTTTTTTTAAATTTTTTGTTGTATTTATTTTTAAGTTCTGGGATCATATGCAGAATGTGCAGGTTTGTTACATAGGTATACATATGCCATGGTGGTTTGCTGCACCTATCAACCCGCCATCTAAGTTTTTTGTCCTAATGTTCTCCCTCCCCTTGCTCCCCACCCCTCCAACAGGCCATGGTGTGTCATGTTCCCCTCCCCTGTGTCCATGTGTTCTCATTGTTCAACTCCCACTTATGATTGAGAACATGTGGTGTTTGGTTTTCTATTCCTGTGTCAGTTTGCTGAGAATGATGGTTTCCAGTTTCATTCATGTCCCTGCAAAGGACATGAACTCATCCTTTTTTATGGCTTCATAGTATTCCATGGTGTATATGTGCCACATTTTCTTTATCCAGTCTATCATTGATGGGCATTTGGGTTGGTTCCAAGTCTCTGCTATTGTAAATAGTGCTGCAATAAACATACGTATGCATGTGTCTTTATTGTAGAATGATTTGTAATCCTTTGAGTGTATATCCAGTAATGGGATTGTTGGGTCAAATGGTATTTCTGGTTCTAGATTCTTGAGGAGTTGCCACACTGTCTTCCACAATGGTTGAACTAATTTACACACCCTCCAACAATGTAAAAGCTTTCTTCTTTCTCCACATCCTCTCCAGCATCTGTTGTTTCCTGACTTTTTAATGATCGCCATTCTAACTGGCATGAGATGGTATCTCATTGTGGTTTTGATTTGTATTTCTCTAATGACCAGTGATGATGAGCTTTTTTTCATATGTTTGGCCGCATAAATGTCGTCTTTTGAGAAGTGTCTGTTCATATCCTTACCCACTGTTTGATGGGGTTGTTTGTTTGTTTTTTTTTCATGTAAATTTGCTTAAGTTCCTTGTATATTCTGGATATTTGACCTTTGTCAGATGGATAGATTGTAAATATGTTCTCCCATTCTGTAGGTTGCCTGTTCACTCTGATGATAATTTCTTTTGCTGTGCAGAAGCTCTTTAGTTTAATTAGATCCCATTTGTGAAGTCTGGCTTTTGTTGCCATTGCTTTTGGTGTTTTAGTCATGAAGTCTTTGCCCATGCGTATGTCCTGAATGGTATTACCTAGGTTTTCCTCTAGGGTTTTTATGGTTTGAGGACCTAGGTTTAAATCTTTAATCCATCTTGAGTTAATTTTTGTGTAAGGTTTAAAGAAGGGCTTAAGTTTCAGTTTTTCAGCATATGGGTAGCCGGTTTTCCCAGTACCATTTATTAAATACCAGATTTCTGGTATTGAAATCTGTTACTGTGTTACAATTCATTTCCTTTCATATCTCTTAGTGTTTGCTTTATATATTTAGATGCTCTGATATTGGGTGCCTATATATTTAAAATTGTTATATCCTTTTTGATGAATTGTCCCCTTTATCACTATGTAATTGTCGTCTTTGTCTGTTTTTACAGTTTTTGGCCTAATGT
Source organism: Homo sapiens (assembly GCF_000001405.40). Lineage (NCBI taxonomy): Eukaryota > Metazoa > Chordata > Mammalia > Primates > Hominidae > Homo > Homo sapiens. The sequence goes on along the minus strand of NC_000007.14, from coordinate 16,350,968 downwards.
CTGTTTTCTGAAAATAGTACAGCTATTCTTGTTCTCTTTTGGTTTCCATTTGCATGGAATGTATTTTTTCATCCCTTCACTTTCAGTCTGAGTGTTCTTTAAGATGAAATGAGTCTCTCATAGCATATAGTTGGATCTTTTATCCATTAAGCCACACTCTACGCCTTGTGATTAGATCATTCAGTGCATTTAGCTTCAAAGTAATTATTGATAGGTAAGGACTTACTAGTGCCATTCTGTCAATTGGTTTTTGGTTGTTTTACAGGTCCTTGGTTCCTTTCTCTCTTGCTTGCTTCATTTGTGGTTTGATGGTTTTCTGTAGTAGTATGCTTTGGATCACTTTTTAAAAAATCATTTGTATATCTATGATAGGCTTTTGTTGTTACCTTGAGGCTTACATAAAGCATCTTATAACAGGCTATTTTAAGTTGATAATTTTGATTGCATACCCAAACTACACTTTTAGTTCCCTTTTATGTTTTATGTTTTTGATGTCAAAATTTATATTTTTTAATATTTGTAGTCCTTAAGAAATTATTCCAGCTTTAGGTGCTTTGAATAGTTTTGTTTTTTAACATTTGTACTACAGATATAACTGACTTATTGCCATTACCGTATTAGTGTTTTGGATTTGACAATGTACTTCTACCAGTGAGTTTTATGTAGTCATATGTTTTCATGTTACCAATTATTGTCATCTTCCCTAAGCTGAGGAACTCCCTTTAGCATTTTTTATAAGGTAGGTCTACTGGTGATCAACTTTTTCAGCTTTTGTATGACAATGTCTTTATTACCTCTTCATTTTTGAAAGATAGGCTTCCTGGGTATTCTATTCTTGGTTGACATTTTTTTTTTTAAGTTCTTGAAAATATCGTTTAATTCCCTCCTGTCCTGAAAAGTTTCTGCAGAAAAAAATCCACTGATCATTTTATGGGGGCTCACATGTCTCTAACAACTTGGGTTTCCCTTGCTGCTTTCAAGATTCTGTCTTTAACTTTTGGCCATCTGATTCTGATATTTCTTGATATGGTCTCTTTGGATTCATCTTATTTAGTGTCTCTTGGATTTCCTAGATCTGGATTTCTATCTCCTTTTCCAGCCTTGGGAAGTTTGTTATTATTTTTTTTCAATATGTTTTATGTTTCTTCTGTTTTCTCTTCTGGCATGTGGATAATGCATACGTTCTTCCACTTGATGGTGTCCCATAAATCTCATAAGTAATCCGTACTCTTTCTCATTCTCTTTTCCTTTTGCTCCTTAGGTTGTGTGATTTCTGGTGATCTTTGAGTTCACTTTGAGTTTCTTCTGCTCGATCTAGTCTGCTGCTGATTCCATTGACGTTTTCAGTTATTTTCTTCACCTTTAATTTCTGTTTGACCTGTTTTTGTACTTTATCTTTTATTACTGAAATTATCAGTTTTTGCATTGCTTTTCTCACCTTGGTGAGCATGTTTATGACCATTGTTCTAAATTCCCTGTCAGGTAAATCACATATCTTCACTTCACTCAGGTCATTTCCTAGACATTTATCTTGTTCTGTTATTTGGAACGTATATTTCTGCTTTTTCATTTTCTTTGACACTGTTGTTTTCTGCATATTAGGTAAAACATCTGCCTGTCTTGTCAGACTAATTTCATATAGTGAGAGGATTTCTAATTCATCTGACCAAGGATTTTAAGGTACCTCTCAGTCTCATGTTTATGCAGACTGCTGTCTGTTTTTTGTGGACCTTTAGGAGGTTGGGATGTGCCACATCCTGGCAGTACTCTGATACCTGGAAGGTAGAAGCCAAGACCCTCTAGATGTAGCTGAAAAGGTTTAGGTGTTGGATGGTCTTCTAGTTTCTTCTATTTTCATGATGAAGCTAAGCATGCATATTTATCTCCCATTCTCTGCATCAAATTAGGGAGAGGATATGTTACAAATATTGTACTCACATTCAAGCTGCACCCTCTGATACTAGGGAGATAGCTGCTGGAAGGGGTCCTGTTATATGTCCACCTCTTTGTCCTCTGTGGTCTAGGACTATTCAGGAATACAAAGCCCCATTGACTTCCAGAGGTAGGTTGTTAAGGAGACAGTCCCTTGGGTGGGAGCTAGCTCTAGAAGTGTGGCACTTGGTGCATGGATAAACTCTAAGAAGAGTGGGTAGACCTGAAGTAATCACTGGGGTGAACCAGAGGAAAGGCTTTAGGAAATGTGCAGTGCCCTGGCTCAGGCTGCTGAGAGGCTACTGTTTGTCTTCTTTGTTAGCTCCCAGATGCAAGTGGACTAGAAGCCAGACCACTAATTAACCAATGAAAGAGTGTGCAGCAACCACCTTCCAGAGAAAATGAGAGTTTTTTTCTGCACTGTTCCCAAAGGGCGTAGCCCTTATATTTTCATGTCTAAGACTACCTCTTGGTTTGGTCCTCTTCAGGAGACGCTCATATACCTAGTCCCTTCTGCTTCCAGAGCTAGATTTATAGGATGCATTACCTCAGGGCGGCAGCTGTGAAAAATTAGGCACAGAATGTGTGTGTAAACCTCTTCCAGGGTGAAATAGGGAGCAGCAGTTTTTGAGCCCTTTCTCTACTCTCAGGGGATTAAGCCCCTGGACATGCTTGTTTGCTCGTATAAAATTGCTGCTTTTTTCTGTAGTCTAGAGAGACTTGCTTATGTGTGCTCTCCTCTTGAAGAGTTAAGAAGTTTAGGATGCAATTTCTGAAGTGGAAGCAGTAAAAGTTGAGCATTCAATGGACAGACAAATTCTTTTCAGGATAAATTAATAGACTTGGAGTTAATAGCTGGAGTGAGCTGAGGAAGAAGGCTTGGGAAGTGCTGATCTGCTGCTCAGGTTGCCAGCAAGGTATTATCTAGCTGACCCTTTATCTCCTTGATACAAGCTACTTAGAAGCTGGGTTGTGCCAAGTAGCCACTGGAAGAATGTGTCGTAAATCTCCTTCCAGAGAGAAATGGGGAGCTATTTATAGTCCCTTCTCTGCACTGCTCTCAGAGGATGAGGCCCCTGGAAGTGCTTTTGTGCCTGTAGAAAACCACCATTTTTTTTCCTGTGGTCTGGAGAGTCTTTAATCCTCTTCACTCCCTGCATTGGTGAATTAAGAGCCTAGCCATAAGGAAACTTAGGTTAGGGTGCTATATGTGGTTCAAACCCTCTTTTCCACAGGGAGAAGCTGGGTGCTGGGAATTCTTTCAATTTTATGGTACAGTGCCTATGGAAGAATCTGTGCCTGAGTGTGCCTCAGCTTTTTCTGCCCATCCAGTGTGGATGTTTTCTCAGTTGCCTTATTGGGTAGGAGACTTGACTAATGTCTGACTTTATGTAAGGGAATTCATCTGTGAGTAGATGTCTATTCACTGGGTCTATGGGTGAAGGGGGAATCTGGAGCCTCCTGTTCTGCCATATTGCTAATTCTCCTATCCCTGACTGCTTCTTGACTATATTTTCTGAACGATAAAATAGTGGCATTATTTAAAGTGGCATCAAAACATGGTAGAACTCTATTCAGTTTGCACCTGGGTAAAGTGGATCTTGACTGAGGCAGGAACAACTGATAACACAAGTCCTTGGTTTATTTTTTATTCACTCTGTAAGTGGTAGACTTGAAATAGGACAAAGATATACTTACTGATACTAATGTTTTGATAATGCAATAAGACTTTAGTCACTTAGGAAAAAGGGGAATATCACAGTAATAGAGTCATAGAACTCTGAAACTAGACTGGTTGGGCTTTTTGGTTTTCCTGCTTGTTATATAACTGTCAGGAGTCTATTTAAGGTGTCAATCTTAGTTTCCTTGTCTGATAAATGGGGCTGAAAGTCATATCTACCTTATGAGTTTGGTGGAAAGTTTGGATGAGCTAACCTATGTAAAGCATCTAGTATTATGCCTGATATTGGAAGTATTTATTAGTTATTATGGACAAATATTCTCAAAACTCCATGGCATAAAACAGTAATTCTTAATCACTTGTCTGTGGGTTGACTTGGTGTTTGTTGATCTAGGGTGGAGTTGACTGGGTGGCTTTGCTTATAGCTGCAGATCTGGCTGTGCTTGGCCCTTTACTGAGGGTTATACACAGGACTGTTTCTCCTGGATCCTATGCTGAAAGGGAGGTAGCTACGTTGGTGAGGTTTTTATAGTAGTGGAGGTGCAAGAGATTAATTCAACATATGTGGTTTTTCATGAGGACTAGGCATGGAATGTGCACACTGCCACTTCCATTCACATTCCTTTGGGCCAAGTAAGCCTTGTGACAAAGCCAAACATTAGTACAGTAAGCTGGTATACTTCACATCTATGAGACAAGACAAGGGTGTGAGTACATTATTCTACCACAGAGAAATAAAAAAATTATGACAAATAATTCAGCCTGCTGCAGTAGTCAACAAACACTAGCTATTGCCTCTGCTAATTATCTTAGCTTTTCTTATCATTTTTTTTTCTCTTGCTATGAACTTTCTTGCATGAACAGAATGGGTGCTGAACCTGTAACATTCTTGTGGTTTTAGCACATTACAAGCCTGACTGACCGCATCTTTTTCTCAACTGACACAGCTCTTTTCCTTATCCTCTGGCTTAATTTCAACCCTTTAGATCACAGCTTAAATATAAACTTCTTATGGAGCCTTTGTTGTTATTCCTCTTATTTCTTTTCTAATATTCTTTTACTTCCGTCATAGTACTTATTTCTATTTGTAATTATCTAGTTTGTTTTTACTTGTCTGTTACCTTTATCCTTTTTAAATATGCAGTCCACAAAGGCAGGGACTTTATCTTGTTCACTGTGTCATCCTCAGGGCTGAGCAATGGCACCTGGCACATAATAGCCACTCAGTAATTATTTTGTTCTTATAAGAAGGAAACATTTGGAGAAATTATGAAAACAGTTTTATATTTGAGATAAAATTATCTTTTCCAGTGTGTCTGATTTTGGTGTATCAGTTTATTACAGGCGTTTACTAAATAACACCTTAGAACACTTACGTCTACAACGAGACTTTGAGAAATAATGTTTTTATAAGTGAATTCAGCAATGAGTAAACAAAAGCTTTTATAACTTAATGAGGCAAAGAATTAAAGGAAATCATTTGGACTCTGGAGGATAAAACCTGAACAAATGTTCTAGTTGTAGCAGCAGATTTCTATACTTTTATAGAGTCAATTTCCATGTATAAAAAGATAATTGTACCTCTTCAAAAACTCTAAAGGACTGAGAGTGACATTTTAGCAGAGTTGCCAAACTAACAGCTTGAGGGTCAAGTATAGCCTCCAGTATGTCTGTATATCCTACATATTTTTTAACTGAAAATTTTTAGCATAAAAGTTCATTTTTTCATTAAACAATATAAGATTCAGCAATACTGTGTTCTCTTTCCTGTGTGCTGTGTTGTCACATATATTGCATATTTATACACTGTTTACCTTTTAATATTTATATTATTGCTCTCTATAGTTGTCATATAAATCAGGGCAATAAAAGGGTTCAACCAAAAGTACATTTATATGATCATTTATATTTACTTATTTGTATATGTGCTTACTTTTACTGGTCCTCTTTATGTAGATTCAGGTTACTGTCTCATGTCCTTTCATTTTAGCCTCAAGTATTCCGTTTGGTATTTCTTGTAGCACAGGTTGACTAGCAACAGATTCTCAGCTTTTGCTTACCTGGGAATGTCTTAATTTCTACTTCAAATTTGAAGGATTATTTTGCTGGAATAGAATACTTGGTTGACAGTCTTTTATCTTTTAGCTCTTTGAACATCATCCCCCACTGCCTTCTGACCTCCATGACTTCTGATGAGAAGTAAGCTGTTAATCTTATTGGTGAATGTTGTGCATGATGAGTAGCTCTTACTACTTTCAAGATTCCCTTTTTGATTCCTTTGGCTTTTGATGGTTTGATTTTTATGCATTTATATGCGGACCTGATTGTATTTATCCTGCTTGTAGTTTGAGCTTCTTGGATATGTAGATTAACACTTTTTCATCAAAATTGGGCAGTTTTTAGTTATTACTACCAAAAATTATTTCTGCTCCTTTCTCTGTCCTGTCCTTCTGGGTGGTTCTCCCATTATGATTATTTTGGCATGCTTCATTATTATCCACTGATAATCTGAGATCTTTTTTTTTTGTCCTTCTATTCCTCAGTTTGTATAATCTCAGTTAACATATCTTCAGGTGTGCCAATTCTTTCTTTTGACTGAGCAAGCGTGCTGTTGTGCCCATCTAGTGGACTAGTCATTTGCATTGTACTTTGACTCCAGAACTTATACCTTTTTCTTCTTTTTCAAATAATTTATACCTTTTTATTAACATCTTCTAGTTGATAAGGCAACTTTCTCATACTTTTAAGTCCTTAAGTTGACTGAACATATTAGAAAAATACCATAAATAGGCTCATTCTTTTTTTTTGATAGACAAGGTCTCTGTTGCTCAGGTTGGCATGATCATAATTCACTGTAGCCTTGAACTTCCAGGCTCAAGTGATCCACTCAAGTAGGCAGGACTAGGCACATGCCACCATACATAGCTAATTTTTTTTTTTTTTTTTTTTTGGGTAGAGATAGGTTCTTGCTATGTTGTCCAGGTTGGTCTGTAACTCCTGTCCTCAAGTGATCCCACCTGCCTTGGCCTCCCCAAGCCCTGGGATTACAGATGTGAGCCATCACACCTGGCCCACGTTATTTTAAATAAGTCAAAATTCTAGGTTTCTGCAGGACAGTTTCTCTTGACTGCTTTTCCCTCCTCTATATTGGCAATATGTTTCTGCTGCTTTACATACCTCTTGGGTTTTTGTTAAAAACCGAACATTTTCATTAACACAATATGACAACTTTAAAAATCAGATCTCCTCTCCCTAGGATTTAGTGTTAATTTTTTGTTGTTGCTGTTTAACAGCTTTCCTGAGCTAATTCCATAAAGTCTGTTTTCTTTGTTACATATGATTACTGAAATCTCTTCTAGATTAGCTTGATGGTCAGCCATTGGTTAGACAGATTTCCTTTAATAACCGGAACTAATAACTGTCCCATATTTTGCCTAAGGGCTCTATGCATGTGTAGGGTTACACCCTTAAAGCTCAGAGGTGCTATTGATAACTCTTCTTTAGTCCTCACTTTGTACATGTGCAGAGACACGTGGTCATCCAGAGGTGAGAGCATATGGCTTTCTGAGGTCTTTCCTGGGCATGTGCGCAGCCCAATGCACGTATGTGGCATTTTCTAGTTTTCCAGGAATAGGTTTTCAAAGTCTCCCATGAACATCTCATTCCCCAGATTTTCCTTTTAAGTGTTTTGGTAGCTTCTTGTGCGCCTCAACTGTGATCACCATCTAATGCAACTGTGATGTTAAACAATTACCACTGACTGTTTTTGCAAATGCCTCCAAGAAAATGCTGCAGTGGGAAACTGAGTCAGATCAACTAAAAACATATATTGGGAAATAGATTTTGCAGGGAACTTTGAGACAGGTCGAATATGGCAGTTATCTGGGAACTGGGACTTGGAGCAAATCCAACCTTATTTTGCTTTTTTCATTGGCTACTAGGCTTCCGGTTTTACTGTAATTGTACAATGCCAGTTTTCAAGGCTCCCTTCAGATTCAGAAGAGTTGGGGGGTGGAGAGGAAGTGGTTTTGTTATAAGGTTAATTAAACTGCTACAACTTCAACTATTACCAGGATTCAGTGTTTTATACCTGAATAAACATCCCCTAGATGTTGCATGCTTTAGGTTAATTTCAGATTTATTTAAAAAAAAATGATTTTGATCATTTTTCCAAAGTTCTCACGACTTTTATGAATGAATTTTTGGAACTGCTTACTAAGCCATTTCTGCTGATTCAGTCCCCGTAAAATGTAACTTATTATTTGATTTTCACATATTTGGCTTTGTGCATGTGTCATTTACTTATTTATTTTTTTGAGACAGGATTTCACTTTGTCATTCAGGCTGGATTGCAGTGGCATCATCTTGGCTTACTGCAACTTCTACCTCCCAGGCTCAAGCAGTTGTCACACCTCAGCCCCTTAAGTAGGTGGGACTACAGGCACGTACTACGATATCCAGCTAATTTTGTATTTCTGTATATATATCTCTATATATCTATATATGTATATCTATATATCTATATATCTATATATGTATATCTATATATCTATATAGATATATATATATATATTTTTTTTTTTTTTTTTTTTGTGGAGACAGGGTTCATCCTGTTGCCCAGGCTGCTCTTGAACTCTTGGGCTCAGATCACCTCTTGAGGTGATCTGCCCACCTCAGCCTCCCAAAATGCTGGCATTACTGGTGTGATCCACTGTGCCCGGCCTTGTGCATGTTTTTAATTCTCATTTATTCCTGAGATGAGGATTATCAACATGAAATAAGAGCCAAATACACAAAGCTTCGTTATTGACTTTTACATGCCACATCCATTGTTGCTTATTTAAAATTATATTTCAGTACTAAATACAAATATTTTAAATGTCTCTTTCCTTTAGTTGGGAATACCTTTTCCTAAAATATAAGTTTGTGCCTGTTTTGACCTTTTAATTATCATTAGAATAATGATTTACCTGGTCTCTTAACTTAGCATATTTTCTCCCATGTCATTTTCTCAAATGAAATATATTATTTTCACATTAGAGAGAATTAGTGGTTTATTTTTTTGATTTATTAGGTAATGTTTAAGCTCTTATTCACAAGATTTCTGGAAACAGTAACATTGATGTTGAAATAAATTGAAGCATACACCTTCATTTATGGAACTGAAAATAAAATGTTAGGACACATAATCAGAGGGTCACTTGTGAAATATGGGTTGATTATTAATACCTAGATGTTATGGTTCTCATGAAACCCATGATTAGAGTTTTATAAAGTGTGTAGGTGCCTGTGTATGTGGAGGAGGTACAGAAATAGAGTATGTGCAGCAGAGACCAATATGCACAGAGTGAGAAACCAATAGAAAGGTTGCCAGAAAGAAAGACTGTGACACACTCCACAGTGGGGAGCAAAGAGGGAAGGAGGGAAGAAATGACTAGAGAAAGAAATAGAATACAGACAAGGAAAGGGAGGGAAGTTAGACAGCAGATTCTACAGAAATAGTGGAAAAGCTAATTTTTCTAGCTGCTCTTAGGAAGAAAGGTTAAACCATCACTTCCCAGACTGTTACATGGAACACTATTCTCTAAGATATTCATTGTTGAGATAAGTCTTATTGTAAAATATATTTGGGAAGTGGTAGACATAATATCCCACATTTGAGGATTCAGAATACACGTTATTAATTAAAGTCCCTAAAATAAACTTGAAATTTGTTTAACCTAGCATTTCCCCACCTAATATGTATAAACAGTACTTTCTGTGGATTGCAGTTGGTAACACACTGAAAAAATAGGGCAGCTCTGTACAACAAACAGGACTTGTAGGTAATTTTATTCACTTATTTTAATTTTTCATTTCAATTAAATATGAAAGGCAAATATGGATAGGCAAGAAGTAGTGGCAATTAAAAGTCAACATTGTTTATTTTTTAAAGACTTTTTTTAGAGCAATTTTACAGCAAGATGGAGGAGGTACAGAGAGATCCTTTATAGCCCCTTTCCCTCTAGGTGTGCATAGCCTTTCCCATGATCAATATCCCCTACCAGAGTGGTACCTGTTTTTTTTTTAAACCATTGAACTTACATTGATACATTATTATCATTATCACCTAGAGTTCATAGTTTACACTAGGGTTCACTCTTGGTGTTCTATGTTTCAAGGCTTTGAACTAATGTTATAATGACATGTATCTACCATTATAATATTACATAGGATATTTCACTGCCTCAAAAATTTTCTTTGCTGTATTTACCTTCCCTCTCCCCCAACATCTAACAACCCCTGATGATTTTACTGTCTCCGTAGCTTGCCTTTACAGAATATTATAGTTGGAATCACACAGTATATAACCTTTTCAGATTGGATGCTTTCACTCAGTAATATGCATTTAAAGTTTCTCCATGTTTTTGCATGGCTTGATAGTTTCTTTTTAGAAGTAAATGATATTCCATTCTCTGGATGTACCATAGTTTCTATATTCATTCACCTACTGAAGAATGTTTGGTTGCTTCCAAGCTTTAGAAATTATAAATAAAACTGCTGTAAATATCTGTGCAGGTTGTTGAGTGAGTATAAATTTTCAACTCTTTTGGGTAAACATTAAGGAGTAAGATTGCTGGATCATATTGTAAGAGTTTATCTAGTTTCCTGAGGAACTGCAAAACTGTCTTCCAAAGTGGATGTACTATTCTGGATTCTTGCCAACAATGAGAGGTTTTGGTTTTTTCGTTTTTTTTTTCTTTTTTTTTTTTGCTCCACATTATTGCCAGCAATTTGATAGTTAATGTTGTGGATTTTGGCCATTTGTATTATGTGAACTATTATCTTATTGTTTTACTTGGATTTCCTGAATGACCTATGAGCATCATTTTTATGTCCTTATTTAACATTTGTACTTCCTCTTTGGTGAGGTGTCTTTTAAGGTCTTGGGCTCATTATTTTATTTGGGCTGTTTTCTTATTGATGAGTTTTAAGAGTTCTTTGCATGTTTGTGATAAGTCTTTTACCACATATCTTTTGTGCATAGGATCTCCCAGTCTGTGGCATATCTTTTCATTTTCTTTATGGTGTCTTCTACAGAGCAGAAACTTAATCTTTATTTAGTATAGTGTACCAATTTTTTCATGTATCATTCCTTTAGGGTTTTACCTAAAGTTATAGCCATACCTAAGGTCATCTTGGTTTTTCTCCTTTGTTACCTTTTATGAGTTTTATAGTTATGTATTTTATATTTAGATCTGTGATCAGTTTTGAGTTAACTTGGGTGAAAGATGTAAAGTCTTTCTAGACTTTTATTTTTTGCATCTGGATGTCCAGTTTTTCAGCACAATTTGCTGAGAAGATTTTCTTTGCTTTATTATATTGTTTTTGTTCCTTTTCCAAAGTTGACTGTATTCATATGGGTCTATTTCTGGGCTCTCTTTTCCTTTCCTTTGACCTACTTTTTTTTAAACCAATATCACACTATCTTGATTACATTATTTTTGTAACTTTACAGTAACTGTTGAAGTCTGGAAGTGTCAGTCTCTTGACATAATGGCTTACTCCAGTTCTTTTTGTTGATGCATTTACATTTTCTGCATAGACAGTGATGTCACCTGTGAAAATGAGTTTACTTCTTTCCAATCAGAATACTTATTTCTTTTTCTTATCTTATTTCATTAGCTAAGAATTCCAGTATGATGTTGAAAAGGAATGGTGAAAGGGGAAATCCTTGCCCTATTCCTGGTCTTAGCAGGACTGCTTTGAGTTCTCACCATTAAGAATGATGATAGCTGTAGATTTCCTCCAGATGTTCTTTACAAAGTTGAAAAAGTTTCCTTTATTCCTAGGTTGCTGACTTGTTATCATAAGTGGGTGTTGGATTTTTATCAAATACGTTTTCTCCATCTATTGATATGATCATGTGATTTTTTTTCTCCTTCAGCTTATTGTTATTACAGGTTACACTGATGGATTTTTGAATGTTAAATGAGCCTTAAACACCTGAGATAGATCCCCCTTGGTCATGGTGTATAGTACTTCTTATACAGTAGATTTAATTTGCTACTATTCTGTTGAGGATTTTTGAATATATATTCATGAGCTATTGGTCTGTAGTTATTTTTTTTTCTTATAATGTCTTTTTTTGTTTTTGGAATTAGGGTAAGGCTGGCCTCACAGAATGAGTTGGGAAGTATTCCCTCTGCTTTGATAGTCTGAAAGAGATTGTAGAGAATTGGTATAACTTCTTCCTTAAAAGTTTGCTAGAGGCCGGGTACGGTGGCTCACGCCTGTAATCCCAGCACTTTGGGAGGCCGAGGCGGGCGGATCACGAGGTCAGGAGATCGAGACCACGGTGAAGCCCCATCTCTACTAAAAATACAAAAAAAAATTAGCCGGCGTGGTGACGGATGCCTGTAGTCCCAGCTACTCGGGAGGCTGAGGCAGAGGAATGGCGTGAACCTGTGAGGCAGAGCTTGCAGTGAGCCGAGATCATGCCACTGCACTCCAGCCTGGGTGACAGAGCAGCACTCTGTCTCAAAAAAAAAAAAAAAAAAAAGTTTGCTAGAATTCACGATGAACCCATTGGGGGCTGGTGCTTTCTGCTTTGAAAGATAATTGATTTAATTTCCTTAATAGACATTACATCTATTCAGATTTTCTATTCCTGTGAATTTTAGATTATGCCTTTCCAGGAATTGGTACATTTCCTATAGGTTATCAAATTTGTAAGCCTAGAGTTGTTTATAATTCTCCTTTATCATCTTGATGTCCATGAAGTCTGCAGTTATGCCCTTTCTTCCATTTTGGTATTAGTAATTTTTACCCTCTTTTTTTCTTAGCCAGGTTAATAATCTATGTTGAAAGGAAGCAATGAGAGTGGACATTCTTGTCTCATCCCTAATCTTAGAGGAAACACTTTTGACTCTTTGCCATTGAGAATGATGTTAGTTAGCCATTGGCTTGTAATATATAGCCTTTATTGTGTTGAGATATATTCCCTACATACCTAAACCATTGAGTTTTTATCATGGAAGTGTATTTTGTCAAATATTTTTTCTGCATGTATCAAGATCATATGACTTTTATCCTTCATTTTGTTAATGTAGTATATTACGTTTATTGTTTTGCCTATGTTGAACTATCCTTGCATCCCAGGGATAAATCTCACTTGGTCATTGTGAATGCTTTTTAAAAAATGTGTTTTTAATTTGGTTTGCTAATATTTTTTTCTTTGCTCCTCTTACTGTCATTCCCAATTGGTTTGCTAATATTTTGATAATTTTTGTGTCTATGTTCATTAGGGATATTAGCCTGTAACTTTGTTTTCTTGTAGTGTCCTTGTCTGGCTTTGGTATCAGGGTAATCCTAGCTTTGTAAAATGAGTTTGAAAATATCCCCTCTGTTTGGGGTGGGCGGAGTGAGTTTGAGAAGAATTGGTATTAGTTTTCCTCTAAATGTACGGTGGAATTCAACAGTGAAGATATCTGGTTCTGGGCTTTTCTGGGGGAAACTTAGCACTGATTGCAGTGTCCTTAATTGTTATTGGTTTATTTAGATTCAGTTTGGTAGGTTGTCTGTGTTTAGGAATGTATGTTTTTTTGCTAGGTTATCTGATTTGTTGGAGTATAATTGTTTTTAGTAATCTTTTATGATCCTTTGTATTTTGGTGGTATCAGTTATAATGTCCCGTTGTTAATTTCTGATCTTATTTGAGTAGTCTTGGTTTTTCCTAGTCTAGCTAAGGAGTTTTCTAATTTGCAAAAAAACAGTTGTCAATTTTTTTTTCCTGTAGTTTTTCTAGACTCTATTTCAGTTACTTCTGCCTGGATGTTCTTTACTTTTTCTAAATTTTGGTTGTGATCTACCTTGATATAGATGTTTAATGCTATAAATTTGCCACTTAGGACTCTTTGCTGCATGCTATAAGTTTTGGTATGTTGTGTTCCCATTTTCATTAGTCTTAAGGTATTTCTTGATTTTATTTTCTTGATTTTCTTCTGTGACCTGTTGGTTCAGAACATGTTTCTTAATTTCCACATATGTCTAGGTTTTCCATGATTTCAACTGTTACTGACTTTTAGTTTTATGGTTTTGTGACCTGAAAAAATACTTAAGAAGATTTCAAGCCTCTTAAACTTAAGATTTGTGGTGTAACATGTAATCTGTGCTGGAGAATAGTTCTTGTGCACTTGAGAGGAATGTATTCTGCCGTTGGACCGAATGTTCTCTACATGTCCATTATGTCCATTTGATCTAAAGTATAATTAAAGTCCAGTGTTTCTTTTTTCTTTCTCAATGGTCGGTCCATTTTTGAAAGTGGGATATAGAGGTCCCCTACTATTATAGTATTGCAATCTCTCTCTTCATTCAGATTTGTACATAATTGCTGTATGTATTTAGGTGCTCCAAGGTTGAATGCCTATATATGAATTTTATGTGGTCTTGCTATTTTAACCTCTTTATTAATATAGAATGACCTTCTTTGTCTCTTTGTGGGCCTTGACTTTATCTATTTTATAGGTATAGCTACCCTGCTACCCCTCTTTTCTTTTGTTTTTTATTCATGTGGAATGTCTTTTTTCCATCCTTTCATTTTCGGTCTGTGTTCTTAACAGTAAAGTGAATCTCATTTAGGCAGCATATGGTTGGATCCTGTTTAGTTTTTACTCCAACCACTTTTGCCTTTTAGTTGGAGAACTTTCTGTATTTATATTCAAGCTAATTATTATCAGATAGGGATTTGCCACTGCCAGTTTGTAACTTTGTTTTCTGATTGTTTTGTAGGTTCCTTCTTTCCTTTTTTTTTTTTTTGCTCTTTTCCTTTGTGGTTTTATGAAGTTTTTTGTGGTGGTATGCTTTGATACTTTCTTTTTATATTTTGTACAGCTATAATATAGGTTTGGCTTTGTAGTTATAAGGCTTACATAAAATATTTTTATACTAGGCCTACTTTAAGGTGACAACTTGCCTTTAATTACATACAAAAAATCTGTGCGTTCACTCTCCCTTTCTCTTATTTTGATGTCAAAATTTACACTTAAGAATAATTTGTATCTCTTAACAACTTACTGCAGCTACAGTTGTGTTTAATAGTTTTGTCTTTTAACTCTTTTAAAAGGGATTAATTTGGTTTATACATTACCCTTACAATATTAGAGAATTCTAAGTGCAACTACGTACTATCTACACCATTGAGATTTTTAATTTCATGGTTTTTGTTATTAATTCATAGCCTTTTTCCAACTTAAACTTCCTTTAGCAATTTCTGTGAAGCAGGCCTATTAGCAACAAACTCTCTGAGCTTTTATTTTTGTGGGAAAATTTTTAATTATCTTTCAGTTCAGAAGGACAACTTTGCCATGCAAAGTATTCTTGTTTGACAGTATTTTTTCTTCAGCACTTTGAATATATTATCCTACTCTATCCTGGCCTGAGGGGTTTCTGTTAAGAAATCTGCTAAAAGCCATCTTGGGGCTTCTTTGAATAACGTTTCTTACCCGCCCACTGCTTTGAATATTGTTTCTTTTGGTTTTTGATAATTTGATTAAGATGTGTCTTGGCAAATCCCTCTCTGGGTTTGACTGGTAATCTCTGAGCTTCCTGTATATGGTTGTTGTCTTTCCCCAGATTTGGGAATTTTCAACCATTGTTTCTTTAAATATGCTTTCCAGGCCTTTTTCTTTCCTCTTTCAGGAACTCCTATTATGCAAAGATTAGTTTGCTTGATGCTGTCCTGTAATTCTCCTAGGCCTTCTTTATTCTTTTCTCTCTTTGTTGTTATTGTTTTGCTCAACTTCAGATGTCCTCTCTGTGAGTTCACTGTTCTTTTGTTTGATCATGTCTGCTGTTGAAGCTTTCTAACAAATTTTTCGGTTCAGTTATTGTAGTCTTTATCTTGGATTTTGTTTCTATTTCTTTGTCAAACTTCTCATTTTGTTCATGAATTATTTCCCACACTTTAGTAAATTTCAGATCTGTATTTCTTGTAGTTCCCTGAACTCTGTCTGCAGAGGGTGGGGGAAGGAGTCTCACTGTGTCACTCAGGCTTGAATGCAGTGGCACAAATACAGCTCATTGCAGCCTTGACCTCCCACGGTCAAGTTACAGTTATCCTCCTGCCTCAGCCTCCTGAGTAGCTGGGACCATAGTGCATACCACTACACCTGACTCTTTTTTTTTTATTCTTTTTCCTTTTTTTTTTTTTTTTTTTTTTTTGTAGAGATGGGTCTCTTTATGTTGCCAGGCTGGTCTTGAACTCCTGCACTCAAGCAGTTCTCCTGCCTCAGCCTCCCAGATTGCTGGGATTACATGTGTGAGCCACTTCACCTGGCCTGAACGTCTTTAAGAGGATTATTCTGAGTTCTTTTTGAGTCATTTCACACATCTCCATTTCTTTGGGTTCTATTACTGGAGCTTTATTTGTGTACTTTGATGGCATGATATTTCCCTGATTTTTCATAATTCTCATGCCTTTACATTGATGCCTATGTGTTTGAGGAGATAGCCATTTATTTCAGGTGTTCTTTTGTAATAGACCTTTAGTATTTAGGAATTTGGATGGGGCCACTGATGACAACACAGGAGAGGCAGACCTTGGTGTCAGCTTCTCTAATTGGGCTCGGTTGCTTCCTGTGCTCTGAGGTTAAATAGTATTGCTGACTGTGCTCTGGTAAGATCACTGGCTCAACTTTGTCGTCAGTTGAGGCTGTCACCTGAGTTCTGCAATCATCTGTGATTTGGCAGAGTTGTGGATTGTCGTCTTTTTCTGGGCAGTACCAGAATCTGTAGTTAGGCAGGATTGTGTGAAGGACTCCAAGGCTGAGTGAGGTCTTATGGGATTGCCGCATAGGATGGGCAGGACCAGAGGCTATGCTTCAGGTATGTGTGAAGTTTGGCTTGCTTTCTAGGTTAAAATTAAGCAGAGCACTGAAGTTTGGAGTAACAGCTCTGCAGCTAGGGTTAGGTGGGTCCAGATTCTCCCTCTATGGGTATTCCCTAACCTGCTGGTACCTCCTACCTTGGAGGATATAACAAGAACACCAGGGCTTAGTTTGATTACTTCTCTATTACTAGGATTAGGTGGGCCCAAGTGCCCCCTGTGCACATAATCGCTGACCTGTAGTTGCTTCTTGACCTGAACGAGGACACCTGGGCTATGCGGGAAGCTGCCTAAGGATTTCAGATGGGAAGACCCATGGACTGCACTTCAGTTGGCTAGTTTATCTGGTGTGGTGCCACCCTTGGCCAGAATGTAGAGCAACCACCAAGATCCATGAGTTGGTGGCCCTCAACCCCATTTTTTGTTTCTAACTGACTTCAAGTGGTCCAGCCATGTTGGTACTCCCAATGTTTTTTTCTAGACAAGACAGGAGTGAGCCCCTGTGAAGAGTCCTAGAATAGTGAGGAAGGTGGATGTCTGCCACCAACTCATTTTTCCAAACATCATAGAAACCATCGTGCCCAGGGAATTCTGGCTTGGGGCAGTGGTAGTATAGTCAAAGACAGCAGTTCAATTGTGACTTTTCTCATTTTTGTGGTCCACTGCCAAGTTCTGGGATATTCAGGATGGTATTTTTTTGTCTGCAGATAATTGCTAGTTAGATTTCTGTTTGTGAAATTGGGGGAGAAGCTAAAGAAATTCTAATCAGCCATCTTGCTGATGTCACAGATCCATTACATCCATTTTATTTGCTATAATTTTATTGATTTCTTCTACTTACATTTGAATTAATTGACTCTTTTTGGTTTCCCATGGTGGAAGCTTAGATAATTTATTCTTTCTAATACATGCATTTAATTTTATAAACTTCCCACCAAGCACTGCTTTTGTGGCATCCAGAAACTTTACTAAGTTCTGTTTTAATTTTCATTAATTTCAAAAATTCATTTCTTTTACACATGTATTATTTAGAGGTGTTTAATCTCCAAGTGTTTCAGGAATGTTAAGCTATCTTTCTGTTATTGAGATGTTCTTTTAAACTTGTTAAAGGGTTTTTAATGGCCTCAGAAGTGGTTTTTCTTGGTGAATGCTTCATATGAGTCTGAGAAGCACATGTGTTTTGATGATGTTGGATGAAGTAGTCAATAGATATCAATTCTATTCTGTTGATTGGTGCTGTTGAGGTCAACTATGTCTTTATTGCTTTTGTTTTGTGTGTATTTGCATTGAGTATGTCCATTTCTGATAGAAAGGTTTTGAAGTCTCCAATTACAGTTTATTCATCTAGTTATTTTACACATCTATCAGTTTTACCCTGTTTTCACCCTCTCTTGTTAGGTCCAGGCACATTGAAGATTATTATGTCTTCTTAGAGTATTGTCCCCTTTATGATCTTATAATCTTTATCCCTGATAATTCTCATTGTGCTGAATTTGGTTGTGTGTGAAATTAGCTACTCCTACCGTCTTTTGATAATGTTAGCGTGGTTTTTTTTTCCGTCCATTTACTTTCACCTCTGTGTCTTTATATTTAAAGTGAGTTTCTTGTAGATAAGACTTGGGTTTTGTACATTGGTCTGACAATTTTTCTCTTAATTGGTATATTTAGATCATTGAAATTTAATGTGATTATTGATATAATTGGGTTAATATTGACTACATTTTTAAACTATTTTATATATGTTGTCCTTGCTATTTTTGTTTTCCAGTGTTTTTCTGCCTTGTTTTTTAATTTAATTGAACATTTTGTGACTTGTGTTTTCTTCTTTCTCTCTCAGTAATAGCTTTCCCCCATTACATTCTTTCAGTTTTTGCCATAGTTGCTAGTACACATTTACAACTAATTCTATTTTCAAATAACACTATAATAATGTGAGTACTTTATAAGAAAATAGTCTTTATCATTCCCTGCAGCCCTTGTATCATTGCTGTCATTAATTTCACTTATACATAAGCATAGATAAGCATGTATATGTACACATTTAAGAAGAAATACATTTTGCTGTTATTTTGAACAAACTTTCTTATACCAATTAAGAATAATAAAAATGAGTTTTTACCTTTTTTCTCTGAATCTCTTCTTTATGTAAAGTCTCTGACCTGTATCATTTCCCTCTAAATAGCTCCTTTTAACATTGCTAGCAAAGCAGGTTTATTGGCAACAATTTTCCACAATTTTTGTCTGATAAGATGTTTATTCCTCCTTCCCTTTTGAAGTATAGTTTCAGAAGATAGAATTCTAGGTAGGTATTCGTCCCTTCCCACCAAAAAAATAATATTACTCAACAATCCTGCTTGCATGGTTTGTGAGAAGACAGATGTAATTATCCTTGCCCTTCTATAGGTAAGGTGTTGATTCCCCTGGCTTCTTTCTGATTTTCTGTAGTTTGAGTATAATATGCCTAGGTAGAATTGTTTGGCATTTACCTTGCTTGGTGTTCACTGAGCTTCTGGGATCTGTGGTTTGCTATCTTACATTAATTTGGAGAAATTATCAGTCACTGTTGTCTCAAATATTTCTTCAGTTAATTTTTTTCTTTTATAGATATTCCCATTATACTTGTATGTTACACCTTTTATAGCTCTTAATTATTCTATTCTGAATTTTTTGGTCTTCATTATCTTTACTTCTCACTTTCAGAGGTTTCTATTAAGATAACCTCAAGCTCAGAGATTCTTCCTCAGCCATTTTCAGTCTGCTAATGAGCCCATCAAAGGCATTCTTCATTTCTATTAGTGTTTTTGATCTCTAGCATTTCTTTTTGATTCCTTCTTAAGAGTTCCACCTACCTACTTAAATTGCCCATCTTCTTGCATCCTGTCTAACTACTGGAATCCTTTGTATGTAGTTGATCATAGTTCTAAATGTTCTATTAATATCTGGTAATTCCTACATTCTTGCTGTGTGGTTCTTATCTTATTCCTTCTATTTAAGCTGGTTTCTGTGTTTTTTGGCCTTCTAATATGCCTTGTAATTTTTTATTAACAGAAAGATATAGTGTATTGGGTAGAAGGATCTGCAGTAAATATACCCTTAGTAATGTGGCAAGGTGTGGGGGCGGGAAAGCATTCCATAGTCCTATGATTAGATCACAGTGTATTAGTGATCCTATGCCTTGTAAAACACGTTTCTGGCCAGGTGCAGTGGCTCACGCCTGTAATCCCAGCACTTTGGGAGGCCGAGGCAGGCGGATCACGAGGTCAGGAGATCGAGACCATCCTGGCTAACACGGTGAAACCCCTCTCTACTAAAAAATACAAAAAATTAGCCGGGCATGGTGGCGTGCGCCTGTAGTCCCACCTACTCGGGAGGCTGAGGCAGGAGAATGGCGTGAACTCGGGAGGCAGAGTTTGCAGTGAGCCGAGATGGCGCCCCTGCACTCCAGCCTGGGCGTCAGAGCGAGACTCCATCTCAAAAAAACAAAACAAAACAAAACAAAAAAACATGTTTCTTAATTTTTCCTTCATCCTTAAATGGGACAGGATAGCTAGAGTGTGCTGGAGTTGGGTATGTGGGTGTGTCCCTTCTCCCACATGGAGGGCTGGGTGTTTGGAGTTGGGTATTTTGTTTCCCACAGGTTCATTATGTTCTGATAAAACCTTTGGCAGTTTAGGCTCTGGCTCACTAGAGTCTCCTCAGGGTAGACCTTGCTAAGAAGAGCAGCCTCTGGAGTATTTAAAACAATTTTTTTTATTTTCCTTCTCCCTGCTGGAAGCAGGAAGAAATTTCTCTCCCATATTAGTAGTATGAGAACCTGATCAAGCTCCTGGAGGTAAAACTCACAGAAGCATGGGAGCCCTCCTCTGTGACTGGGTTTTCCCGGAGTTTTTAACTCTCAGACTTGCCCACACTAGGTCTCTAGGAATTTGTCAATTACATTTGAGCTTTCCCTATGCAGGCACTTGTTCCTCCAGTGGATTCTGCTTTCATTATGTTGTGATTCTCTGAATCTGCCTGTTTTTCTCTATGATTCTGGGGACAGCAGCTTGACCTATGACCTCACTTCTCTTACGGATATAAGAGGGAGTGGTTCATATTTCAGTAGTTCAGCTTGTTAGGACGAAGCTGCGAGACTTCCAATTTTCTTATATGTAGAAACAAAAAACATATGTCTTGACGATCTTGTTTTAAATATTCTTCTGGAGAATGGAATCCACTCATTTCTGCTAAGCTGTGTCGTACAGTTTGGATAACAATGAAGTGTTCATAAGCTTACAAAATATAAATTCTGTATGTGTCTTAGAACTTTAAGAATACAATTAATTGGTTCTAATTGTTTTGCACAGTCTCTAACATGTCGTAGTTGTTAACGTGTGTGCTATGTAATGAATGAATACATTTCATTGTGATCTTCAAAGTTAGTTCCAGAGAATTTATCACTTACAAGAAAGCAAGCTAGAAGGAAGCGATATACCGTGATTTTCAGCTCCTGATTCTCAGTTACTTAGATTTACCTTTTGAGATAAATTTAGGAAAGATTATTGAAAATGTTTGAAACAATCAATATTATGTGGCCTAATTGGATTTGAAAATCACACAGGGCTTCAGGTAGTATTCTTTTTAGTTGTGACCAACATCATGGTTCCTCTATTCTTTTCCTTTTTATGTCTTTTGTGATTGCAGCCAAAAGAGAACTACATTTTATTTGGGCCTTTTGTAATTAATCAAAGATTACTTATATATAATTTAAGGCCTACTCTGACCATGAATCCTCAGCTTTTTGTGTTTGTGTGTGTAGAAGATTGTTTACGTGTTTGTATTGTAACTGCAATTTACTGATGAGAGGCAAAGATTAGGCAGGGTCTGATACAATACTTGTAAGGAGTCTGTTTTTCACATATGTAGTTTAAAACCTTCAGATTGACGTAAATGTGTCTCCTAATTGTGTTTCTTAGTCAAATATTTGAGTGTGCACACTCTTTGGATAATCAAAGGCCTGATTGTATTCTGAAAGCCAGTTTCAGATGAAAAATTCCTACAGATAATACATTACCAGATAATCTAGAGGGGAATATATTTTGTGGCTTCCAGGGCCATGCACTTCACTTACAATTTTAATAAGAATCTATTTTGATATTTCTGGAATGTAATTTGAATGTGCTGTTTCTTCAAGGGGCAGCCTTTCATTTGTAACTTCCATTTGTCAGGCACAGGTAGAAATGCTAGCAATGAAGTCATCTGTAAAGGAAAAAACTCATTATCTTAGCTCCTATTGCCACCACCAAATTAGTTTTAGTGTGGGGTCTTGAACAAGCCCGACTTGCCTCTTGGATATAATCTGTAACTAAAATTGCCTATGGAAAAATCCCCAAGTTTTATTTCATTTTAAAGTTGTACCTTAAGGACATTTGTGAATAATAAGTTTCCTGGTAAGATTTCTAGTTTCATGAATTTTGCCATTGTGGACTTATAGTATGTTACTTGTCTTAATGATTTAAGTCCAGGTGTTATGTACAGTCAAGAAAGCAATTTTCAAAGGGTCCATGTTTCGTCCTATGGCCCAAACTGTGTGCTGTTATTTGATAGTTGGCAGGCTATCATGTTTAAAAGAAACCCCAAATTGCCATATATTCTCTCTCAAAATGCAGTAGTAAGTATTCCATTATGAAAACTGGAGGTCAGGCATGGTGGCTCATGCTTGTAATCCCAGCACTTTGGGAGGCTGAGGCGGGTGGATCACCTGAGGTCAGGAGTTCAAGACCAGCCTGGCCAACATGGTGAAACCCCATGTCTACTAAAAATACAAAAATTAACCGGGCGTGGTGGCATGTGCCTGTAATCCCAGCTACTTGGGAGGCTGAGGCAGGAGAATCGCTTGAACCTGGGAGGCGGAGGTTGCAGTGAGCCAAGATCACACCACTGCACTCCTGCCTGGGTGACAGAGTGAGACTCTGTCTCAGAAAAACAGAACAAAACAAACCCCCCAAAAACCCTGGAGATAGCTATTTATCTGTGGTTCTTTTAAAGAAAGCAACCATTTATTAATTTATTTCTAACAATATTATGATTTAACATAATTTTAGTGCTTATATAGTGCTTTTCATATACAGAAAATTGAAAGCAAGACTGGTAGTTTTAGAATGTAGTTAACTACTTAGATTGTGTGCTTAGTTATTAGAATTTTTGCGTAATGAAACGTCCAGGTATATAAATCATTTGGGCACAAAGGCAAGATTCTCGACTTTTTCAGAAGACTGAATAAAATAAAAAAATAAAACAACAAACTACAGGAGGAGAAACCATGAAAATAAAAAGACTTAAGTATCCTGGACAAATCAGAAGATGTTATCTCCCTAAAGATTCCGTAATAAATGGACATGTGGTTCATTAATGTCACCTAGTATAAAGTGAAATACATATGTAGATTTTAAAAGCATTAGATATGATGAAAGGAGAAACAAAAACAGGAAATCTCATCTGCATTTCATGGAGAAGTGAGAAAGTAAAATCATGGAGGGTTTTTCTTAGCTTTGGGCAAAGACAATATGTGGTGGTGACTATGTTCTAGCTTTTTGTAGCAAGTTGGTGTTGGGGACACACCTAGATCAGATGTGTATTTCCACTTCCATGCAAAGCAAGCAGAAGGAGTATGTGTTGCATGTTGCCCCTTTATTACTAAAGCAAGGAGCTCCTTCCCCCTTCAGTGCCTATATTGATAGGTTTTCTTAATAAGCATCAATTTTAAGATAAAAGCCACAGTTTAATTTGAACATTTTTAATAAATTGAATGTATGAATGTAGGAATATCTTACCCTGGGAAGAGCATGTGTATCTCCTTGACAGTTGTGGTCTTGGATTTACTCTTTTTTTTTTTTTTTTTTTTTTTTTTTTGAGACGGAGTCTCGCTCTGTCGCCCAGGCCGGACTGCGGACTGCAGTGGCGCAATCTCGGCTCACTGCGAGCTCCGCTTCCCAGGTTCACGCCATTCTCCTGCCTCAGCCTCCAGAGTAGCTGGGACTACAGGCGCCCGCCACCGCGCCCGGCTAATTTTTTTGTATTTTTAGTAGAGACGGGGTTTCACCTTGTTAGCCAGGATGGTCTCGATCTCCTGACCTCATGATCCACCCGCCTCGGCCTCCCAAAGTGCTGGGATTACAGGCGTGAGCCACCGCGCCCGGCCTTGGATTTACTCTTTACCTGTCTGCACAGGATGCATGTTGAACAAAGGGTGAGGGCCAGCCATGTTCCTTAGCTTTTTTTAAGGTTGAGTTCTACTTGAAGATAATCAGTTTTACCTGGAGTGAGTTGAAGATATCTCCATTCTTGAGAAAAGAGAAAGCAAAAGAACTGTTTGTTTGAGGCAGGTGTTGGTAAAGATCCTATGAAATATTTTTACTCTCCTGGGGAAAAATAGAACAAAAAGTTAAGTTGTGGCAAAAACGAGCTAGCATGTCTTACTCCAGACACTAATTTTCACTGTTCTAACATGGAAAGATGGTAAGACCCAATCTCCTACTTTTTTCTTATACATTGCATCAGGACAGCCAGAAAAGGAGTACTGGCTAGTGAAAATACAAATAGCATTTTTGTGATTTGATAGTATTTAGGCTCTTGACAAAATTGCTCCCAAATTGGTCCAATTTGGAATTATATCAGGGAAGGAAGTTTGTTGTACCTTTTTGCTATACATTTGGATGATGAAGAGAGAACATTTGGTCTCTAGTGTAATCATCCTGAGATCTTTCACAAGGATTATAGTTATTGGCGAAAAAGAGAGTCACACAACTACTTAACAAATGCTATAGGATTTGGCAAGAACTAGTAGTAGATAGGTACTGAATCTCTTTAACTTCAGAACATAATATACACAGAATTTTTAAAAAGTTATTTAACATCAACTTCATCACTTTTTTCCAGGAATATTGCTTCAGTTTTTGTTGTGGTCCCAGTGCCTACAAATTAAGATAATTTTAGCTCATAATGAACTTGATGGTTATTAAATCCTCTGCTCACAGGAGGATTCTCTAGAGGAACAGAGCTCTTTGACTGGCTTTGTAGGACAGATGATCTATTTTATTCCATGACATCTACTTTAAGAGGGATTTCCTCCTTCAATATCTACATATGTTTCCTAGCCTTGATATCATCACAGTGAAAGCTAATCAGCAAGCTGGGTTTTATTTTTTCCCCTGTCTTTGTATTTGATCTAGGCTTGTGTCTGTTAGATGTCTGTTTAATATCATGATAATCCTTTGGGAGAGAATATGCTTTTGCTTACATTAAATACCAAGGAATAAATGTCAACACTGAGGAAATATTTATTATCCAGGGAGGGAATATATAGCTCTTTCAGAGGACTTGGAGTTGGAGGTAGATAGGTGTCCTATGTTTCAGCCTTAGTACTGTCACTGAGCTTTTTTTTTTTTTTTGAGATTTTCTTACTTAAAGCATATTTACATATGTTAAAACATTCTAATCTTTTTTAATAAAGCGTATTACTAGACCATGATTGTTATGCATGATGGTTGTTTTTAACAGTAGTTCTTGGATAGCTTATCCCTTTATTGTGTTGCCAATTTTACTACATATAACCAAGATGCTATTCTAAAGTGAATAAATATCATTCCTGTTGATGTTAGTTGTGTGGTGGTGGATTCCATTGTATCAGTGCACTTTAATGTTAAAAATCAAATCCTTTGTTTCATAGGGTATCTTAAGACCATTATGCATATCACAAGATTCCATCACAGTTCAAGCAGATGATGAGCCATTATGGAGATTTTAAATGTCCTGTGAATGGAATATCTAAATGGTATACATACAAACTTTCATTCTGATAATTCCTTGTTTTGTCTTGGAAAAGGTTTTTTGGTACTTTGGCACATTTACAAATGGTTGTCAGTGATGCTGTCAAAGTTATATAGTCATCACTCTTTCAGGAGTGTTTTGAGATGATTGCCTCTGATAGTTCTTATTGTTCCTGAAACAGTCCAATATCCATGGAATCTTCCTGAGTAGCTCTTGTGTTTGCAAGGAAAAGAGACTCCATTTTGAAGAAAGACATGTTATTGGAAAAATATAATTGGCAACTGGCAAGTTGCTGAGACCTGAGTTATTTCTAGGCTTTTTCCTTCCTTATGACAAATCTATTTTTAATTTTCCCAACTGCTTAATCTGTCTAATCTATGGTTTGTTTCCGTGTAATTTCTGCTTTAGTTTCCATCGTTCTCCAGCTCAAAGAAGGAGTACATAGCATTTAAGGTTTGACTTCCTTTCTCAACTTGTGAATTCTTTATGTTGTAGTTCAAATTTCTTGCAGATGGAACATGATTTAGTCATCTTTGCCAACCAGTTCATCCAGATTATAAGTCATTGATTATCTGATGGGTCAGTGCTTAGTTTTGAAATGTGTTTATGAATTCAACAGAAGCAAAAAGTTTGCTGCTTTCAGAATAAGTCTACATCAGTAGCCGAATTAGCAGAAGTGGAGGTGAGTGGCAGGCAGGGAATGACAAGAAACAAGGCTGCACCATCCTTAGCAGGAATTGTCATCTAGACATTTCCTTAAAAAAGGATGAGGACAGGGCGAGTACTCAATATCTGTAGTATAGTCAACTGTAAAACATTACAAGTACATTATCTCATTTGATGTTCCAAGTATGGGAGCAAAAGTGGATAAATTTAGTCAAAGATTGCAGACTCCATGTTTTGGGTATCTTCACTATTGAGATAATTCTGGTTTCATCTCATTTTTGTCAGTGCCTTTTATAGTTGTGTTGTTATGTCATGAGCAGATAATGATGTTAGTGATTTAAAGAGTGTAGTCTCCAGACCTTGTTGATGGTAATGTACAATTTATTTCCCTCCATCTGTACTAGAGGTGCCTTCAAGGTGGCAAGGGCCAAAGTAGTGGCCCTTGAATACAGTGTGTTGTTGCTGAGGTCTAACTGCATCAAAGGCCAGTGCCCAAAGTCAGGTGTGATGGGCCAGAGGAGTTGGTGTTTGCCAATTACATTCTCTGCTGGCCCATGTTAGAATCGACAGAATGTTTAGAGAAACAGCAAACTGGTTCATTAGGCTGTGTGGTTACCCATTTTTTGTAGTTGTTGAAAACAAATGAAATGATCTCAACTTCTTGATGCTGAGGAGGTTTGTTTTCTAGTGTCGTCAGACCATCCTGACCTATTACCTTTAAACAGTGGCTCACCAGTCTGCAGCTGTCTGTAATATGGAGTTCATCTTGACTAGGGGACCACATCTTAGCTCTCAGCCAGTGAGGGAGGGACATGAAGGCCTTAGTCCATTCCCTGTCAGGAAGGCTTTTGTGTGTATGTGTGCAATAACACATTCTTCAGCATGTATCCTATCCATTTGGTCAACTGATTTAAAGACAAATAAGAGGTGTTTCATTTTGTGGTCATGATCCATCTCACAAGATAGAACGTCGCCAGTGCATGGACATCTTCTCTGCTTCCTCCTATTTGCATCCGTGTTACTGATTGTGTTGCCTTCCTTCCTATTTGCTGTCCTTAATTTTCTGTTAATTTCTTTGCTTTTCTCTACAGTTTTACCACGTATGTAGGTGCTTTCAAAGCTGCTTAGTTTCGAATGTGTTTATGAATAGAATAACACTGGTAATATATTTGTGTGATGTGCTTTTTTTTGCACAATGTTTGAGATTGATTTCTATTTCCTGTATCTGTAGTTTTTTACTTTTGTTGATTGCATTAATTTACTATGGATTGTTCATTATGCTTTCTCATTTTTGGCTAATCTTAAACATCTTCTTAAGCAATTATATCAGTTTGCTCTTGTTACACAAAAGGTATGTAATAAAATATACAAAAAGATAGTGGCTTACTGACAAATTATGTTCATGCCTCTGTGGATTAGCTGAGGTTCTCTGATTTGGAGTGGACTTGGCAATAAACGGACTTGGCAGGATGGCTCTGCTTTAGTTTGTTTTCATCCTTCTTTGACCAGCAGATTATCCAACCATGTTCTTCTCATGGAGATAGCAGAGGTACAAGAATAGAAACATACAAGGCCTCTTAGAGCCTAGATTTGCAACTGGTATACTGTCACTTCTTCCTCATTCTATTGACAATCATATGACCAAACCTAAAATCAAGGGGTGGGGAAATTTATTTTACCCCTTAGTAGGGAAAAATGTAAAGTTACCTGGCAAAGGTTATAGATAAGGGCAAGTGTATAGAGTTAGGTCATATCCCTTTGACATTAAATATGCTGCATAATATCCCAGGACCCCTTAAATTCTCATCTAGTCACACCATCATGCTCAGCATCTCTTTATCTGGAGACTTGTGAATTAAAAATGAAGTTTTCTATTTCGTATGGTTTGGCTATGTCCCCACCCAAAAATCTCATCTTGAGTTGTAATCTCCATAATCTCCATGTATCAAGGCCGGTACCAGGTGGAAGTAATTAGATCATAGGGTCGGTTCCCCCATGCTGTTCTCATGATAGTGAGTGAGTCTCATGAGATATGATGGTTTTATGAGCATCTGGCATTTCCCCAGCTTGCTCTCATTCTCTCTCCTGCCACTCTGTGAAGGGGTACCTTCTGCCATAATTGTAAGTTTCCTGAGGCCTCCCCAGTGATGTGGAACTGTGAGTCAATTAAACGTCTTTTCCTTATAAATTCCCAAGTCTCGGGTATTTCTTCATAGCAGCATGAGAACGGACTGATACACTGTTCACTATATACCCAATATACGGTTGTGGAACTTATATGGAATAATCACATTGAATACTCTCCCTCAAATGGGGTAAGAATAGGAAGCAAATACCAATCACTGGTCTGTAGAAATTTTGAAATCCTGCTCAACAAATGTTGTCAGGTTTCCTTACCCTAAAAATAGTGATTATTCCTTAGTTAAGTCCCAGTTCTCTGCTTCCTGGAATTGGCCTCCAGAGCCCTGGATTTCATCTACACCCTCAGGATTTTCTTATTTTGAGAATTGTTTTTGGCGAAAATGGGAGATTAGAGTTCTGTTTTTCTAGGCTGTCATATTCTGGGCTCAAATTCCTTTCAAATTTGTTTACAAACTGGCCAGTTCTTAGGCCTTCTCATTTGTGTGGTACCTTAACATATTCACCTTAAAGATGCCAGTTCATGCTTTCAGGCTTCTTTCTGAAAGCTATCTTGCCCAAGTTAGTAAATTGATTAAATTATCTTCTAAGTCATCACAGGCCCTTCCAAAGTTGTGCCACTACATAACAACGGTTTCCCTTCCGCTTTTATTTCTTTGCCTCCTGGTGCCAGCTTCCAAAGCCAATATTACGTATATTAGATTTGGTATTTTGTGTTCATTTTTGAGGGGTAATATATTAGTTTCCTAGGGCTATTGTAAAAAGATTTCAAAATTGAGTGACTTAAAATCAGGAATGTATTATCTCGCATTTTGGAGGCTAAAAGTCCAAAATTGAGGTGTCATCAGGGCTAGGATCTTTCTGGCTCCAGAGTAGAATGTTCTTGTCTCTTTTAGTTTCTTCTGTTGGCCAGCAGTACTTTGTTTTTTCTTTTACAGTGCCTTTTATTTCATTTGCTTGTATGGTTTTTCCTAAGCCTCACCATCTTTCTCAGGACTTAGTATATTGCCTGGCAAATTTTCCATAAATATTTTCTTCGGAAAAGGATAGACGTTCCTCAGTTTTCCAGTTATTCTTTTTCATGTTTCTCCAATACATACTGGGCATATATTTTTAACTGCCTATGAATACTTTTAGTGGTTGTCCTATGGGTAACTTAAATCCAATTGGTTCCTCCAACTAACCAACAGACCTACTCTTTCTGCTACATCATCCAACTTGAGTAATGATGTCACCAGTCCTGTTGCTAATAAAACAATTTCTGGATCTGGGCCCTCCCTTCCCTATATTTCTTGGACTTATTTCAGATTCTCATAACCTGTTAGTGAGATTATGGCCAACAGCATTGTAATGGTTCTCCTTGTATGAATATAAACCACACCTTTCCTTTGGGGTTGAATGGTGATAGTTTTGATTTTTTTTCCCTAAGTTATTTACATTGGGGTTAGATATGTCACATGTGATATATCTACTCAGTGTTGTCATATAAGGTTAATAATTCGTGTGTTAGGGAAATATTTTAATTTCTTCTTTTGTTGTCTCACTTTTGATGAGTTTATCAAATAAGTTATGATAGGGTAAAGCATTTTAGGGAGATTCTTAGCTTTTAATAGTTTGATATGAAGGTCAGTAGAAATGTCTAAAAAGACAGTTATAGGGTTACTGATAACATTGTTTCCTGTATTACTTCTTTCCCCCAATTATTTGGACTCTGAAAAAGAATTATCTAGGCAGTGTTTGATAGATATGGGTGGTGTTGCCTCTAAGTTTGTAATGGATTTTTGGTTAGGTGGGGCTAGAAAAATTTGAATAAACTGATAAGCTTATTTTTTTCCCCACTGATAGGCATTTGAAAACTTCTCGTGAATATAATTGTCTCTGCCCATTTAAATAATTTTACTCAAAGAAGAAATCTTATCCTTAGCCAGATCATTCATACTGTTTCTGGAAGAGTGATGGTTGTAGCTATATTATCAGCCTCATATGGACTTAGTCTGAAATTGTTTATTTACTCATAAAATGACTGATATGAGAACAAAGCTGCTTGGATAACTGTCTCTCATGAAATCCCAAAATACATTGCATAATTCAAACAATGTAAATATATGCAAAATGCTTAAGTTTGAGTTTTAGGTGATAAATCGGATGCAGGTGTTCATTGTTTACCTAGTTGTAAGATTGTCTATTTTGTTTCTACTTGAAACATTGTGAGCATGGGGCTATAACTGCAGAGTGAGAAACCTGTGCATGCATACCTTTGATTTAGTTTTACTCTAATGTATATATTGTTCTTGGTTGGGCAAACTTCCCAGGCTGCCTAGCAGAAATAATACTGTGAATGATGTTAAGGCTGGAAGGATAGGTAATCAGATTATCTGTAGCCGTGGACCATTATGTGGTTACCATAAAACAACGGTTTCTAACTTTTTTTTGTTATAAAACCTCTGAAAGTTGTAGAATCCCTTCTCAGAAAAATAATTGCATTATATATACATTATTTTTTCAGAAGTTTTCCAGTCCCTCTGAGTCATATTCATTTACCTCATGTTAATAACCCTGCCATATTCTCATACATTGTTTATGCAAACATAAATTGAAACCACTTTTATGGAAGACAATTTGGAATATTTATCTAATTAGAATGCACATTATCTTGTTTCTCTCTTGTTTCTGGGTAGAGATAGCAAACTGAGCAGTTACCTAATTTTGCTCATAACTCAAACCTCATTAAAGCTACTAGAAAGGGATTAAAAATGACAAATCCTCAAAAGAATAGGAGAGGTGACAATGACAAATGAAGAATAGCTGGAAAACAAGTGAATTAGTACTAACAGATGCAGCTTGGAGAAGGCCAAATTACAAGCAAATAGTTGGGGCAAGCTAGGAATTAAAACTGTTTGCTGTAGAATTCTCAAAGTCCAGGACCTAGCAGCACCAGGTACCTCTGGAACGGAATGAAGGGGGACAAAATAAGGAGGGTTGGCTGAAAACTGTTTAAGCAGTCTGATCTCTAAATCTCCTTTCCTAATCTATGACCACCCTAGCAGAGGCAGGTGGTGATGAAGTTCTCTGTCTATACCGGGAGAACATAGGATGCTGTAGAAGGACTGAGTGTGTTGCCAGAAACAGTGACTAACAACCATATGCCTACTGACTGCCGAATAGGAAAGCCCATGGCTGCTTCTCCCACTCAGCCAGCTGCTATCTTCGTGGCTTGGCTTTTTTTTCCAGACTGGAGACTAGAAGAATTTTCTTTGGGCAGTCTGTCCAGTGTAGGAAGAAAGACCTAAAAATACTAACCTCAGAGGTACCCATAAACACCTTAACCCAATCACTCTACAGAAAGCTATTGGAGAATTTGTTCTAACCCTCCAAAATCAGAGTTGCAAAATGAGTCGATCAAGGAAGCAGACTGCACGGGATACAGAAGCTAGGGGATCCATGTTGGGAGAGAGATGAAGACTCTTTCCAAGACGGTGATGTAGGGAGTTCCTAGGATGATGGCTGAATGACTGGCAGAGAAGACAACAAGTCTGTTGGAAAAGATCAGAGGACTTCAAGGGTGACCTTTTCAGGAATATAAAATTGGTGCAATACCTTGTGTCTGAACATCTTGAGAGTAGATTTAAATGAATAGCTAAGTGTTTGGCATTGAATGAGTCATAAGCATACAGAAAACCACATAAAACAAAAGATAAGCTATAATTCCAGGGCAACAGAGTTGTATAGGAAACAAATTTTAATAATATATGACTCAGCTATGAGTTGTGTTTACATAGCCACTGATTTAAACACTCAATACTGATTTAACCAAAATTATGATATTGAAAGGGTGGGGAATGGGAAGTGTTAGGGTATATTGAGATGAAGTTGGGAAGAAGGACAAAAGTCTTCTGTGGATGATAGCCAAGATGGAAAAGTCGAGAGACAGCATCACAAGAATGTAATTTAGAGATACAGAATGAAAGGTAAATTATTAGTCTCAATTCTTCAGTCCTCAGCAATAGTATTCTACTTTTGTGCCCTTGCAGTGGCCTCCTGGTGAATTAAGTTTGTTTCCCTTCTCCTTGATTTGCTTGCCTGACTTGCTTTGGAAGTGAGATTTTTACCAGATGTGATTGATATAGGTGGAGGGCCAAATGTGTGCTTGTGCTGTTGGACTTGCCCTCTTTTGCTACTTTTATTGCCTTAAGGAAGGCATGGTCTGGTTGGTTGCTGCCCCTCCAGTCTGAGCTGCAGAGTAAACCCAAGGAGCAGAGCTCTCACAGCCCTGTAGCTTGGAGCAGAGTTACCTCAGCCATGATACAACTGTGTGAGTGAGAAGTGAAAATTTATTGCTACATGCCACTGAGGTTTTTTTGTACATATTTGTTACTCAGCAAAAATTGTTACATATGGAGAAAAATATAAGAATAGTTAAATATGAACAATGATTGCCTACAGGGAGGACAAAGTGGAGTGAAGGGAGTGGGTTGGACTTTTTTTCATAACTGACCTTGTAGAGATATTTGGGTCTTTAAACCATGTGCATGTGTGACTGATAAAAGCATAAGCTAAAAGTTAAGATAGTAAAACAGATTACGTGATTTTGAGATTAGGGTTTGTAAAGAAGATCTAATGGATGGACAAGAGAGTTGGGGTGCTACTAATAAAATTATTCATGCCATTAACCATAGTCTCCTTGTTGATAAGAGTAGTCTAAGAAAATAGGTTTTCTAACCAAGAGCAATTGGAGGTTTCACGGGGTTGGATGCCTCAGTGAGGTAAAAGGGCTAGGTTAGGAGAAAGTAAGAGAGATGACGGATGGAGCTTCCAGTTAGAGACTGTGTTGACAATGAAAATTCCAGAGGAGCCATGAGAGAAGTAAAGCCAAGTTTCCAGGTTGATTACATAAACCAGTTGTTCAAGTGAAGACAAGGGTCATCTCACAATTGTTAGAATGATTATTATCAAAAAGACTAGAGAAATAACAAATGTTGGTGAGGGTATGGACAAAAGAGAACTTTGATACTCTGTTGGTGGGGATATAAATTGGTATAGCCATTAAAGCAAGCAATGCAGAGGTTCCTCAAACAATTGAAAATAGAACTCACATATAATTTAGCAATTTCACTTCTGGATGTGTCCCAAGGAAATGAAATAAGCACCTCACTCCCATATTCATTGAAACATCATTGATGCATTGTTCACAGTAGTCGAGATATGGAAAAAACCCTGTGTCCATTGATGAATAGATAGAATGTGATCACATGTGCACCCACTGGAATGTTACTTAGCCACAAAAGAAATAAATCCCACTATTTTTAACAACATGAATGAATCTACCCTTTTTCTAAATGGACATTAGATATAAGAAAAAGCAGAAGGAGAAGATGATGCATATTGTCAGAGCAACCCTCAATCTCCCTGCAGAGAAAGTAGAATGCCTCTACACAACCATCAGATGTTACTGATTAGCATCTGGTAACATTTAAACCTCAATTTTTAGGGTTAACAATTTACATTTATAACCAATGATTATTTAGATTTTATCAAGAACTTGTCATAAGCTAGACACTATACCAGGTACATCAGATGTGCTGTTATGTTTGTTTTTTTATAATAACTTTTATCTTCCATTCCCCAATGTGGAAGAAGCTGAGAGGCAGATTGAATAGCTTGTCCAG
Organism: Homo sapiens; assembly: GCF_000001405.40. Classification (NCBI taxonomy): domain Eukaryota; kingdom Metazoa; phylum Chordata; class Mammalia; order Primates; family Hominidae; genus Homo; species Homo sapiens. The sequence continues at coordinate 16,317,211 of NC_000007.14, read as the reverse complement.
AGTCTGACAACTTGTTACATGGCAACACCATGGTTGGAACCCAAGTCTATTTGACTTCTGTGTCCATGCTCTTAATCAATTGGTAATGGTGCCTCATATTCATGAGAATGCATGTACACTTTTATGAAGCAAATCCTATTCAAGGACATATTATGAGTTGTAATGTACAGTTTATACATTGCTTTAAATTACTATTAGAAAAAACTAAGCTGATTGGCATGTAAGAAAACGAATACCCTGTGTTTATCACGATGGTAGCCAGATCTAAAATTTTATAATATAGCAATAATACATAGGTATTATTTTTACAATCGGGTGTTTAGATTTTTAAATAACTTAATATTTTTCTATTAGAGATGGTGTCTCACTCTGCATTGCCCAGGTTGGAATGCAGAGGTGTGATTGTGGTTCACTGCAGCCTCGAACTCCCGGGCTCAAGTGATTCTCCTGGCTCAGCCTTCTGAGTAGCTTGGACTACAGGAACGCACCCCAACACATGACTAATATTTTACCTTTTTTGTAGAGAATCGCTTTGTTGCCCAGGCTGGTCTTGAACTCCTGGCCTCAAGCGATGGTCCCACCTTGGCCTCTCAAAGTACTGAGATTACAGGCATGAAACACCACATCTGGCCAGTTGTTTAAATTTTAAATGATCTGTAACTTAAATACCACCAGAACATGAGACTGATTAAATCTATATGTTCAGGAACAAAACCATATATATGTTCAGGAACAAAACCATAACTCATAAGCATGTTTTTCAGGAATATAACATGTTTTACTACATAAGACATATAATTTAAACATTACATAACATGACAATATAACTTTTTTGGGCAAGAAGTAATAAAAGAATAGTGTGTACATGGCAAAGGGTACAAAAATAAAGTCTTCATGCCAGCCCTGTCCTCTTCTGTCTCCCAGAGATAACTCATTTTTTCTGAGACCTTCCAGAGAGATTTTGTTCATTCTTAACCCCTCCTACCTGGCTTCTTATTCTGCCACCTGCACAGCTATCATCTTGAGGTTTTTCTTCACCACTGTCCTAGCAACTCCCTTTGTTCCTCTTCTGTATAGAATATCTGTATCCTGTGTCATTTTCTCATTTTATCTCTCTCAATTTTATAGATTACCATGTCCTACTATAGTTTCCTGAAAAAGAGTGCATGGGGGACTTCTGGTTTCCTGCATGGCATGTAGGGAGCTTAGGAGTTGTTACTCCTTCCTAACAAGTAAAATATTGAACAATTGAAAAATAAACTTTTCATATCTTTCAGAGGGGTGAGGACACAGGGCAAATTGCTGTCCTCAAAACTGGAGAGACAGACAGGTGACTACAGAAAATCACAATTTACCAGAGCAGAAATCTCCTTGGGAAATAGTGACAGGGTAGGAAAACCTACATTATAATTGAAGAATTGCTAGAGACTCAGTATAGACAAGTGTGAGTTAGCTTCAGGAGGACCCAGTCAAAGGGGAGCCCCCACAGTCTTATGAGTTTTACTTCCAGGAGCTTGACCAGGTTCTTAAAATGGGTACTGGAGAAAAATCTTATTGTGCTTCCTATGGAGGAAGGGAAACAACCATTCTGAAAAATGCTAGAGCATTCTGCTCTTAACGAGGAGGCCCACCCTCAAAAATTGTCTTATAAAGGCCTAAACTATTGTCCTTACCCAACTCCATCCTTTCCCACTCAACTCCATACCACTCTAGTCATCCTCTGGGGAGAGGCAGAGAACTGAGAAAGTGAAAGTACAAGTCCGATTTACCTTGGTTTCTTTTACCCAGTAATCATGTCCAGCTATCAAGGAAAATTTACGAAGTATAAGAAATAGTGAGCATAAGAACCAGACCCAGATATGGCAACATTGAAATTACCCAACTGGGAATTTAAAACAACTATGATTAATATGACAAGGACTCTCATGGTTAAAGTAGATAGCAACAAGAACAGATGTAGGCAGTGTAAGCAGAGAGATGGAAATGGAAAGAACCAAAAAGAAATGCTGGAGATCAGAAACACTATCATAAAAATGAAGAATCCCTTTGATGCCTTATCGGTAGACTAGACATGAATGAGGAAAGACTATCTCAGCTTGAGTATATATCTTCATAGAAATTTGCAAAACTGAAAAGCAAAGAGAAAAAGATGGAGGAAATAACAGAATATCCAAGAATCATGGGCAACTGTAAAACACATAACACACATATAATGAGCATACCAGAAGAAGAAAGGAATGGAAGCAGTATTTGAAGTAACAATGACTGGAAATTTCTCCAAATCAATGTTAGAAACCAACCAAAGATCCAGGAAGCTTCAGGAATACCAGACTGTATAAATTCCAAATAAACTACACCTAAGCATATTATACTCAAGCTACACAAAAGCAAAAGACAAGAAAAATATACTGAAAAGATAAACACCTTACCCATAGAATTACATCTCACTTCTCTTCAGTAGCCATGCAGGCAGGAAGAAAATAAAATATTTAAAGAATGTTTGCATGAAGAAACCTACCACCCTAGAATTCTGTTCCCAGCAAAATTATTTTTCAAAAGTAAAGAAGGAATGGACTTTAGCAGACAAACAAAAATGGAAATTTTTTGCCAGTAGACCTGCCTTGTAAAAAAATGTTCAAAATCTTCTCCAGAAATTTATATAGGTCAGAAACATGGATCTACATAAAGGAAAAACTTCAGTTGAGGAGGCAGTGAAGGTAAAATTTATTTTTCTGAATCTAACAGGTAACTTTGTTCAAAACAATAATAGCAACGATGTATCTGATTGTGTGCTTACATAGTGAAATGAATGACAATGACCTAAGGGATGGGAGGGAGTAATTAGGATTATTTTATAAGACACTTGCCCTATTCACCAAGTGGCACACCATTATTGGAAAGTGGTCACAGATTAGTTGTAAAAGTATATTGCAAAATCTAGGACATTTACTAAAGGGGCATTACATAATGATAGAAGGGTCAATCTTCCAAGGATATAAAACAGTGCTTAATGTGTACACATCTAACAACAGACCATCCTTATATGTGAGGCAAAAACTAATAGAATTGCAAGAAGAGATAGGTAAATCCATTATTATACTTGGAGACTTCAACACCCCTCTGTCAGAAATGGGCAGATCCACAGGCAGAAACTTGGTTAAAGACATACTTGACCCCAGTAACACTATAAATCAACTGAGTAAAATTGACATCTAGTTACTTCATTCACAAACAGCAGATTACACATTATTCTCATGCTCATATGGAACATTCAACAAGATAGACCACTTTCTGGGCCATAAAACACACCTTAACAAAGTTAAAAGAACAGAAATAACACAAGGCCTACTCTCAGACTTCAATGAAATTAAACTAGAAATCAATAACAAAGGTACCTGGAAAATCCAAAAATACTTGTAGACTAAACAACATACTCTTAAATAACACACATAAAAAAGAAATCTCAGAACTATATTTTGAACGAAATAAAATGGAACGCATCAAAATTTTGGAATGCAGCAGGGACAGTGCTTACAGGAAAAACGATAGCATTGAATGCATATGTTAAAAAAGAAAGACCTAAAATCAGTCATGTAGGCTTCCATTTTAGGAAACTAGAAAAAGAACAGCAGATTAAGCAGAAGAAAGCAAATAAAAATTGGAGCAGAAATAGATGAAATTGATAATAGGAAGTCAGTAGAGAAAAATCTACCAGACCAAAATCTGGTTCTTTGACAAGATAAAATAAATCAGCCAGGCTAAGAAAGAATATACAAATTAATACAGAAATGAAAGCACGGACATTATTATAGATCCCATGAACATTAAAAGGATAATAAAGGAGTATAATGAGCAACTCTGTGCCTAAAAACTTAGTAACTTAGGTGAAATGGACCAGTTCATTGAAAGACACAATAGCCCAAAATCATACAGGAAGAACTAGGAAATCTTAATAAGGCAACATCTGTTAAACAAATTGAGTCAATAATTAACCACCTAATATATGAAGTACTAGACTTAGGTGGGTTCACTGGTAATTTCTACCAAACTTTTAAGGAAGAAATTATACTAACTCTATAGTTTTTCCAGAAGATAGAAGCAAAGGGAATACTTCCTTAACTCATTCTGTGATGCTAGAATTACCCTAATTCAATAAACCATACAAAAAAGGTGTTACAAGGAAACTATGATCAATCTCTCTCATCATTGTAGAGATGTCATGGTCCTTATCAAAATATCACCAAGCTGAATTCAACAATGTACAAAAGCAAAACCCCACAACTGACTGGGATTTATCTCAGATACACAAGACTGGTTCAACTTTCAAAATCTAATGTATTTCATCACATCAATAGGCAGAAAGAGAAAAATCATATAATCATATTAATGGATAGAGAAAAAGCATTTGACAAAATACAACACTCATTTATGATACATTTCAGAAAACGAGAAATAGAGATCTTTCTTGATTTAAAAAAATATCCACAGAACACCTGCAGCTAACATTATTAATGGTGAGAAAATCAAGAGCTTTCCTGGTAAGGTCAAGAACAAGGCAAGGATGTGCCTCCTCAGTGCTCTTTTTCAATATTGGCCTGGAATTTCCAGCTAATAAGAGAAGGAAATGAACTAAGTATTGTGATTGGGAAGGAAGAAATAATTTTTCACAGATGACATGATTGTCTGTATGGGAAATCTGAAAGCATTGACAGAAGTTATGGAATTAAGGGACAGTATTAGAAAAGTTGCAGGCTACGAGGGAATAAAAGCCCATTGCTTTCGTTTGTACCAGCATGAACATGTGTAATTTGAAAATAGAAATATATTACTCTTTACGTTAGCAACCCCCAAAATGATACTTGGGCATAAATCTAACAAAATGTACAAAACCTTTTTTGAGGAAAACTGCAAAACTCTGAAAGACTTCAAAGAACTACATAAATGGAGAGGTGTCCCATGTTTGTGGATAAGAAGACTCAAAGTTGTCAAGATGTAATTTCTCCCCAACGTGATCTACAAATTTGATGCAATCCCAATCAAAATTTCAGCAAGCTATTTTGGAGTATTGACAAACTTATTCTAAAGTTTATCTGAAGAGGCACAAGACCTAGAATAGCTAACACAATATTGAAAGCAAAGAATAAAGTTGGAGGACTGACACTACCTGACTTTAAGAGTTAGTATAAAGTTGCAGGAATTGTGGCTGTGTGGTGCTGGCTTAAAGAATAGATAAATGGATCTATGGAATGAAATAAAGACCCCAGAAACAGAATCACATAAATGTAATCAATTGGTCTTTGGCAGAAAAGCAAAGGCAATATACAATATAGCAAAGATTTGCTGTCTTTTCAACCAAATGTTGTTGGAACAACTAGACAACCACATGCCAAAAATAAATCTAGGCACACACTTTCAACCTGTCACAACCATTAACTCAAAATGGATCAGACCTAAATGTAAAACTTAAAATGCAAATGCAAAGTGACAGTCACTTTAGAAGACAGTTTGGCAGCATCTTACAAAACATACTCTTACCATAAGACCCAAATGAGTTATGTCCACATTAAAACCCTGCACGTGAATGTTTATAGCAGCTTTAGTCATAATTGCCAAAACTGGAACCAACATAAATAGCTTAGATGAGGGGATAAACAAACTGTGGTACATCAAGATGATGAAATATTATTCACTCCTAAAAAGAAATTAGCTATAAAGTCACCAAAAGGGAAATTAAATGCATATTTTGGTGTGAGAGAATACAATGTAAAACAGCTAAATATTCTATGATTACAGCTATTTATTTCTGGAAAAGACAAATTATGGAGGCATTAAAAGGATGAGTGGTTGCAAGGGGTTGTGGGGGCCGGAGGTATGTATAGATAGTACACAGATAAATTTCACTGTCGTGTGAAACTACTCTGTACAATAACTACAGTGATGGACGTATATCATTGTACATTTGTGAAAACTCATAGAATGTATAATACAATGCATGGGTCGTAATTAAACTACGGGCTTTGAATGATAATGATGTGTCAATGTAGGTTTATTGATGCTAATACACATACCACTATGTTTACAAGGTTTCAATAGTAGGAGAGGTCGTGTATATGTGGGAGCTTGAGGGTATATGGAAATCTTTGCCTTTTGCTCCATTTTGCTATGAACCTAATATTTAAAGTCTTAAAAAGTGTAGGAAAGAAAACAATGCATGGATAATAAAATTCTTTTGATACTTTGAATGTGAGGAAAAGTTCATATTCTGCCCTCAAACTTGATAGCTCTCCTGGGAGTAGAATTCTATGTTTAAAATCATTACCCCAAGAATTGTGATTAATTTGCTTCTTTGTTCTAAGTTGTATTGTTTCTATGAAGTCCCAACTCATTTGGATTACATCTTGTTTGTAAGATAGTTTTCGTTAAGTGGGCTTGGCATACTTTCACCCCTTAGCTTCCATACTCTATAATTTCTCTTAATCTGGAAATTCAATGTTGTTCATCTTTGGAATATCTGAATTATTTGGTTGTTTTCGTCTATCTTTTTCTGTTTTTCCTGAAATTTCAATATTTTTATTTGGGTATTTGACTTTGTCGATGAGTCACACGACTCTTTCCTTTTCTGCCTTTTTAAATATTACCCCGTCACCTGATTTAAAATTCTTTATCTTCCTAGATCTATTAATAGTTTTTAAAAAATTGCAGTTTCGATTTTCTCGAGTGCTTTATTTTTGCCATTTTGATCTTTCACATTACAATCTTTCCTTGGGTGACAGTTAAATATGGGTTTTCTGCTCATGTTTAGCTGGGGACTGGTTAGACTTGGTGAGTTTTCTACTTGGGGCGTGTTGACTGTGTGTTTCTCTATAGCATAACTGGGCTGGACCTTGCTTTTTGGGGGATCTCTGATAAGTGTCCTTAGGGCTTTTGCCTTGGCAGAAGGCTGTTAGACACTGTTTTCGGGGGGCCAAGTCTAGGGAGGCAGATGGTTTTCAGTGTCTGTCTGTTTGCGTGTGTGTTTCTCATGTGATCAATGATATCATTATAACTATAACCCCCCCATGGTGAATCACAAGTGTCAAAACATTTTGTGCAATACCCTCTCTCGTTCATTAACTTTCTTGTCTAAAATCATCTTGCTACTTGCTTTGTATTTGTTCCACCTGTTCTTGGTTCTTTTTCTCACTTTTCTGTTGGCCTTTGGATTAATATACTATGTTTTATGATTTCATTTTATCACCACTATTGATTTTTTAAACTTAATTTTATTTAGCGATTGACTTGAATTTAGAATATACATCTAATGAGAATCTCCTTCAAATAATATTAGTTATGGGCACCCAATAGGAGATCACAAGAGAGGAGACTGCACATGTTTATGAACTCCTTTTGTGACTGTGGGTCCCAGAGGTTTTATATTCTTTCAGTAGCTTCCATGTAAGGATAATAAAATAGCTTTGGCAAGGGGTGCTTGATGCCATATTCATATTTGTTGCCTTGTGCAATCCTTACATGGATATGCTTTCTAAAATAAGTCTCAGCTGGGCATGGTGGCTCCAGTCTGGGAGACAGAGCAAGAACTCTGTCTCAAAAAAAAAAGAAGAAAAAAAATTAGTCTACCAAATGTCTCAAACCTCCGTAACTTTGCAAAGCACCTTTTGATTTAAACATAATCCTCCTTGTTCAATTTTATTCTGCTGTTGGAGATCAAGCCATTTCCTCTGATAGGCCTTCCTGATGCCGTCACATAGAATTAAGTGTTTTATCCACTGAGCTACCTCTAGACATTCTTCTAGTGCTGCATCTATCAGGTTCTGTTACAAACTGCTTGTTAGATGCCAGCCTCCCCTTCTAGACCTGAGTTCCTTGAGGGCATAATACATGTGTCATTTACCTTTATATATCTGGTACTTAAAATAGAACTTGGAGACAGGATAGGTACCCTGAGTACTGTTCAGCTGAATTGTATTATTACTTGGTTATTTTAGTGGCTCTGCTTAAAATGCCAAAAAATGTTTTATTTTTACTGAATTTATGAGATATGTTTACAGTTTTTCGCACAATGAAAGACTAAATTTTCCATGTTTATAAACAAAATGTAAATAATTAAAAGATATATTGATATTTTAATTACTAAAACAAGAGAACTATGACCTGCAAATGTCCTGATATAAATACAAGATATGAGATTTAGATTTTGTAGATATATATTTATCAACAGTTAAGATATGATAATCCTCAGCCATACCTTCAGGCATTTTATAAACATGTTTGGAAAGGTAACTTATAAGCAAAGGAAACAAAGTATTACATTTTTTTACGCCTAGAACTACTGAGGAATCTCAAAACTCATATGATTGCACTATTCCTATTCACTATTTGTTTTGCTTCACGTGATGGTTGCAGTATTCCTATTCCCTGTTTTGCTTTTAGCTAATGGGGATGTTATAACTCAGTCAGTAGCTGATTAAATAGTTTGAGCCCCCTAGGCCCTTCCTTTGTTTGCAATGGATTATGAAATAAAAGGCTTGGTTTTACTTAAAATCGCATTTTAGCTTAATTGTTGTTGTTGTTGTTTCCACACCAGTGTAGTGACTATGACTTGGAATTTGGAACTGAGTGTTTGCAATTGGCCCTAAAATACTGTTGCACTAAAGCCAAACTTGTAGAAGGATCACCTGACCTCTGGAAGGTAAGAGGGATGATACCTTGCTTGGGTTCTTTTCTGTGCTTTCATGTGTTTGCGTGTGTGTACATTTAAAACCAGTAGTGCATTGAGTAGGAGTTAAGGGAGTCTCACGGGTTTACTGAACCATCAATGTGTAGTATCCCTTCTATTGCTTGGCTTCAAGAAAATTCACTTTGAGATAATTTACTCAGACACATCTCATTTTAACCTGTGAGATTGGTTTATTCACTTTTTTCTTTTTCTTCCTCTCTGTAGATAGCTTTATTAGTCTGTTCTCACACTAATATAAAGAAATACCTGAGACTTGGTAATTTATAAAGGAATGAGGTTTAATTGGCTCATGGTTCTGCAGGCTGCATAGGAAGCATAGTGGCTTCTGCTTCTGGAGAGGCCTCAGGAGGCTTCCAATTATGGCAGAAAGCAAAGGAGGAGTGAGACACTTCGAGACCTCACTCACTTGGAGAACAGCTCCAAGGCGGAAATCTGCCCCCACGATCCAGTCACCTCCCACCAGGTCTCACCTCCATGGTTAGAGCTTACAATTCCCCATGAGATTTGGGCAGGGACACAGATCCAAACCATATCAATAGCCTTTTTTTTTTTTTTTTTTCTTCACTCAGTTTGATTAAAGCTACAACTTTGCCTGCAGTATCAACATTTCCTTTCAGGCCCTGGGTGGTTGCTCCAACTTAACTGGGTTAAAAGGATATCTGCAACAGTTCCAACCCAGTGGGGGTGGTAGCTGGATCCACTTTCTGTCCCACTGTGAGGAATTAGACTGTTTCCTGTGGCAGGGCCCAGTTCTTTTAATGGCTAACTTGCTTCTTTTTTTTTTTTTTTTTTTTTTTTTTTGACAGAGTTTCACTCTTCTGGCCCAGGCTGGAGGGCAATGGTGCAGTCTCATTGTAACCTCCACCTCCAAATTTCAAGCAATTCTCCTGTCCCAGCCTCCCAAGTAGCTGGGATCACAGGTGCCTACCACCACCCGGCTAATTTTTGTATTTTTAGTAGAGACGGGGTTTCACCATGTTGGCCAGCCTAGTCTTGAACTCCTGACCTCAGGCTATCTGCCTGCCTCAGCCTCCCAAAGTGCTGGGATTACAGGTGTGAGCCACCACACCTGGCCTAACCTCTTTTGGAGGGAATAGAATACTTATTGCAAACAAGATAATGGCACTATCATACTGCAGCTTCTTATCAAGGCCAGGGATGGTTTAGAGTGTGATTCTTTGTTTCATTAGTTGAATTGAACAGGACATTTGGAAATAGGAGTCTGGAAATCAGAAATAAGTACATTTGGAAATAAGATTATTTCATAATCTTGAAATACATATTGCTGCTTTTGAAATATTGCTTGCAGTCTTTGGAAATCTTTATGAAACATCCATCAAAATCTGATTAGTAAAGATTCATTCTAATTGAGTCTATAAGCATATTTCCTTACTGATTTTTAAAACAGAAAGCCCTGTAAGTTGATCAGTTATTTTGCACAGTAACATGATCAGCCTCACTGCATGCTAAGATTGTCTCAGGATAATCTTAAATACTTAAAATGTTGAATTCTAAGACTCCAAAATATTGACATGTTTGAAGTATTGCCTGGTAGAGAAAATTTATGCGGTAAAGAAATTTTATGCAATATTACTCTTCATTTAAGGACAACCTAAAATGTCTGCCTCTGCTGGGTTAACTATCATCAACCCAGCAGGCAAACATTTTATTCATCCTTTTCTATATATGGCTCAGTGATATTTATGAGGATTTTTGGCAATTACCAGTTAGATGTTTCATTAAAGGTCCTGACCCACATTTCTTTAGAACTCCTTTGGCTGTCTGGCAGACCTAATTTGAAGACCAAGAAAAAAGGCGGAAACTCTAAGGCGTTTTATTGCTACTGACATGTCAATAATCCCTGGTCTCACTTTTGACATCTTTGGAGCTGTGATTATTTACCTCTTTTGCATGTTCTGAGCCCTCATCAAGTTTGTAAAGCACTCTTGAGATCTGTGGATGAAAAGGAAGCAGCACATTACTCTCTGAATGTTACATTCCATCTTCAGTGTTTCCTTTTTGGTGAGGTGTTTATATTTCTCTGTTCTCTCCAGCAAGAGTGTTAGTCCTCAGGTACATCTTGATGCTCTGCTCCCCTTTTATGTGCAACAAATATCAGTGCACGCTAACCTGATTGGCCTTTCCACACAGTGCTTCTCTTGGTTCCACTGGTGAGTCCCTTTTTAGGGACATTGTTGTGGGTTCAACTGTCCTCTAAAAAAGTATGTTCAAGTCCTAATCCGTGGCACCTGTGAATGTGACCTTATTTGGAAATAGTGTCTTTGCAGATGTAATCAAGTGAAGACGAGGTCCTGCTGGAATAGGGTAGGCCCTAAAGCTAATATGACTAATATCTGTACAAGAATAGAAGAGACACAGATACAGGGAGAAGGCCATGTGATGATGGAGGTGGATATTGGAGTGACACATCTGCAAGCCAAGGAATGGCAGGGGTTGCCAGCCATCACCAGAAGCTAGGAAGAGGCTGGAAAGAATTCTTCCCAAAAGCTTTCAGAGGGTCCTACTTGTATCTTGATTTCGGATGTCTAGTCTCCAGACTGTGAGAGAATATAAATTTTTTTGTTTGTTTGTTTTTGACGGAGTCTTGCTCTGTCATCAGGTTGGAGTGCAGTGGCACAATCTTGGCTCACTGCAACCTCCGACTCCCTGGTTCAAGCAATTCTCCCGCCTCAGTCTCCCGAGTAGCTGGGACTACAGGTGCTTGCCACCACAGGCGCTTGCCACCACACTCAGCTAATTTTTGTATTTTTAGTAGAGACGGGGTTTCACCATGTTGGCCAGGATGGTCTTGATCTCCTGACTTTGTGATCTGCCCGTCTTGGCCTCCCAAAGTGCTGGGATTACAGGCGTGACCCACCACCACCACGCCCAGCCAAATTTCTGTTGTTTGAAGTCTGCCAGTTTGTAGTAATTCACTGTAGCAGTCCTGGGAAACACATGCTGAAAGGGCGATCCCCCCACTAGAAATCAGCATCATAGCATCACTTTCCACATGGAATGGAAGTAGAGAGCTCTACTCTTATGAATGAGATTTGAATAATGCCATGCTTCAAAGGGAGCTTGGACCCTAAAAGTCCTGTCGTGCTCTGGATTGGGGAAAATGTCTTACAGATAGACGTTATAAGCGTTTTTTGTTTGTTTGTTTTTTGGTATCACATTTTTTTCCCTGTTAACTGAGGTGATGCTAGAATGCAAATATTGCTGTTGTTTTCAGGGTCCCTATTTTCTCTTTCTGCCTCTTGTCTCATCTTTGACTTCTTTTTTTGGTATTTTCATAGCTAATTATTTAACCCCTTTTGATAACATTGTAAGATTTGTCATTAGGCTTTTACTTTAATTTTGTGATCTTATTTTGTATGATGAGAGTATTTGTTTTACACAACAATGGAGTTTATGCTTTGAAATTAGTGTCCTAATTCTACACTAACTCCAAAGATGCTGCCTTTTAAAAAAAAATGTATCTGAAAAGTTCTAGTACAATTATGCTAAACTGGTACTGGACTCAGATGGCATGGCCATGTACTTGAAACATGATTCAAAAATCTGACAGTAAAAGACATATTTGGACATAATTGAGGCATTTTATTACCATGTAACAGTGTAAGGCGAAGGAAGATCCTGAAACATGGAACAATACACCTTCCCTTTCCCCTGAAAAGTCAGGGAGTTCACTTCACATTGGTTTAAAGACTGACTTGAAATTTCTGAGGACTGCACGTAGTACTAGAATTTCAGTAGTAGAATTTCAGTTGCCACCAGAAATCCTAGGAGGATTATTTTGTATTTTATTTTCTTTAATTAATTAATTTTTTTGAGATGGAGTCTTGCTCTGTCACCCAGGCTGGAGTGCAGTGGCAAGATCTCAGCTCACTGCAACCTCTGCCTCCTGGGTTCAAGTGATTCTCCTGCCTTAGCCTCCCAAATAGCTAGGACTATAGGTGCCTGCCACCATGCACGGCTGATTTTTGTATTTTTAGTAGAGACGGGGTGTCACTATGTTGGCCAGGCTGGTCTGTATTTTGTATTTTATAAATACGTTTTGGTAAAAGTAAAAGGTAAACATTCTGGCTTGATGTCACCTTCCTGTGCTAGCTCTTCTGGGGTCTGGAGATAATATCAGTTTTTTTTTTCTTTCAACACACCATGCAGGGTAGAAAATGGCCACGGTACCCCACTACCCCCACCAGGGCGATAAGCACTGAGGAGTACAGAACTGGTTCTGGGAGTAGGGATCAGCTGTCATGCTTTCCTGGAGTAGTCTTGCTTTGACAGGCCCAAGTAAACCCTCTTATTTTGATGAGATTTCATCTAGTCTGCATAACAACTTGAGTCCCTTTAATTTAGAGTTGTACCATATTTGTGACCCCATTTACTTTTAATTAACTTGGTCTCTTACTACACTGTACAGGCTTAATTGAACAGACATCTTGTTTCTAAATGTCAAAACCATCTTCAAGCCATACAAGATTGATAACCAGTTACTGAAGAAATTTAACCACTGTGTTCCGTTGTCTGAATGTGCTTTTTTAGGAGTTTCTGAAGTTTTTGTGTAATCACAATATTATTGGAATGAATGACTTTTGAGGATTCCTTTTGTTGGGGAATACATTTTTTTAAGGTCCAAGTATTTCAGCATCTGTTTAAAAACAAAAGAAACAAAGTAGTCTCTATTTGGTTTTTGTAATTTCAAAAACACAATATGGTGACATTGTTTCTCTTCAGATATTTTTATATAGTTATCCAGCATTTTATATAGGTATCCAGAAAAGAATATTTTCTATATGTATATGATTGGTAAGGAAATAAGTTCTGAAAAATCTATACCTAATAAACATTCTATTATCTTTGAAATGTAAGTTTTGCCTATTTATTGTGAAGGGAAAGATGGGAGAACTTTATGTGTCACCTTAAATTATTGGAGATAGTGGCCAACTGGCTGTGTTCTGAAAGTTTTTTTTTTTTTTTTTTTTTTTTTTACTATTTTATGTCTCAACACAGAAACAAGAACAACATGTAGACGTGATAGGAATGAGAAATTCCCACCGTATTATTACCTTACCGTGCCTATGAAATTGGAATTTTTATCCTCCAGATTAGCTAACTACTAGATTTGTACAGAAACTTTGTTTAGTGAAGTGGGCTACTGCACTTCTATCCAAATTAGATTCCTCTGCTATTCCTTTATCCTGGCAGGTAAATCCTGGACCAAAACTATACCTTACTATCCAGAAATAAAGTAGCAGCTAACTTGATAACACAGATAAAAAGTTGTTCAAGCAATTCAACCAATCTATTAAAATGTGAAATGCTATAGTATTTCTAAAACAAGCACATGCCAACCAAAACTAGTGAATTTTAAAGTACTTTTAGCCTTATTTTTTTCCTACATAGCTAACGTACTTCAAAAGCAGTATGACTGGAAAATGTTGTAATTCTCAATTGATGGGTTATTCATTTTTTCCATCTAACTTTTACAGCAATATGGGTTGTCCTTATTTTAATTAAAAAAACCCAACACCCTGACAATGAGTATTGAAGTTCCTTTCGTTCTGTTAGCATGATCAGTAGTCTTCCTTTGACCTTGCACAACACTCTATAATGAAAAATTACTTAAAAAAATCAGTCCTGTAGTGATGAGAAAGAACTTCAATCCTCTAATTTGCTGGTTTTCAGACTGTGCTCACTAGAGCCTCAGGGGCCACCTGAAGAAGAGGAAAGGTTCTGTGTGGGTGAAATTCCAACCCAACACCTGGCACTCACCTAGTTCAGCTCATTTTTTCTCTCTTTTATTTGATTGTGCTTCTGTGTGCTATTTCAGCTGAGTTTAGGCATGGTGAGGTAATAATATGGTAGGAATTTCTCAAAGTGGGTTTTTAGAACACTTGCATCATAAATATCTAGGTGCTTGAATGTAGCTTTTAAGACCTTATAAAAGCTTATTTATACTGTGTCATTATTTACTATGTATTTCAGCTCTGTGATATAGAATTAATTCTGCAACACAATGCACTTACATTTTCTGTACCTGAGCTCACTGGATGGGGGTCTGTGAAGTATCTGCCATAGGACAGACACATGCCATGTTGGCAGGTTACATTACAAGGAACAGATTACAATTATGAGGAGGTTGCATTTTTTTTTTTTTTTTTTTTTTTTTTGAGACAGAGTCTCGCTCTGTAGCCCAGGCTGGAGTGCAGTGGCGCAATCTCGGCACACTGCAAGCTCCGCCTCCCGGGTTCACGCCATTCTCCTGCCTCAGCCTCCCGAGTAGCTGGGACTACAGGCGCCCGCCACCGCGCCTGGCTAATTTTTTGTATTTTTAGTAGAGACGGGGTTTCACCGTGTTATCTAAGATGGTCTCGATCTCCTGACCTCGTGATCCGCCTGCCTTGGCCTCCCAAGAGGTTGCATATTTTTAAGGAAAGATCATCATTGTTCTTAGACACATAGTGGTACCCTATAGGCTCTTTCTATTTTAGCCACATTTTTAATAAAAATCTTACAAGGTGAATCTTATCTAGGTTCATACGGATATATGTAATTCAGAAGGAAGTCCCTCTTAACATAAATTGACCTTTCAGAATTATTTCAGCTAAGAATGTAACTCAGTGACTTTTTTGTTATACAGAGACTTCCACCCTACCTTTTTTTCTCTAGTATAAAACCTCGTTTTTATGCAGTCATGTTAATACTGTTGTTTAAATGCTACCACATTTTCTTTAAGTATAATACTTGAGTTACATTAAGATTTCGGTAACAACTGCCACATAATATCTTAATTTATTCAAAGATTTAAAAACAAATCAGCCATTTGTAGAAATAGAATATATTTTATGTGAATTTGCTGATGCTTTTCTAATTGAGAAAATGTCAGTATTACATGTTTATAGCTTCTGAAAAATCAAGAATTTCCTTGGGGGCATTATTTTATTGCTTGCACATTCCTTCCTGCTCTGTTAAGTCTAATGAAGTTTATCTGTCCTTTAGGTGACCTACAAACGAGATCTCTATGCGGCTGAATCGATTATTAAGGGTATGTTTGGCCTTATGACTGTCAGTTCCTGTGTTTCAAAAATGTAAGCCAGTTCGGAATTTCTCATGACAGTTTAAATCCCAGCAATCTCAAAAGCAGAAAAGCCTGTAGGCCAAGGTCTCTGATTTGTTTTTTGAAAATAATTACATTTTATGTGTTTCATGCTAGAGAAATAGCAGTTACTATGATACCACATTGATTTTAATTTTTATACAGGAAATACTTTATTAACTTGAGGGAAGTATGGGACATTGATACTATTAGAAGGAAAATAGCAAAACCTGATTTTAATAATTTTGTAAAGGTCTCACCTCATTTTTACTATTAAGAGGACTGCCCTCTCCCCTTAACAGTGTCGTGTCGGTACATTAGATAGCATCTTCCATGTGAGAAACATTGTTTTTCCTAACTGGAGAAATTAGGCTGGACAGGGTGATTTTTAAAATTTCTTTTGGGTTCTGACAATGACTGCAATTTTGTAATTGTAGATATCATATGTGTGATAACTCTTTTTTAGTTCTTTTTCATCTCCGACTCAAAGATCCCAGCTAAATAGAGGTAGTTTATTTAATAAGCAACAAGCATTTGTTATTTTGCTTAACACTGTGCAAGGAATGTAATTAAGATGCATTAGGGACAGTCTTTCTGTATTTTTGTAGCCTGTTATTTAAGTCAGCTTTCTCAGTCTTGGCACTATATTGGCATTTTAGTCTGGAAAATTCTAAGCTGTGTGGACTGTTTTGTGCATTACAAGTTGTTTAGCAGCACGCCTGGCCTCTGCTCACAAGCTGCTGGAAGTACCCATCCCTCACTCCCCTTCCCCTGGTTTTGACAGTCAAAGATGTTTCCTGATATTGCCAAATGTTCCCTAGGGATAAAAACATCTCCACTGATAGAGAACCACTATTTTAAAATATGGACTCCTAGCAAAATCGGAGATGTTCACCCCAATCCTGAAACACATGTGATGCTTTACAGTGTGTTAGTAACTGATTTCTTTGAGGATAGATTATGGCTAGAACTACATGCTCAGGTTTTCATTGAGAGGTCAACTTCCAAATTCAAACTTTTTTCGAAGTAGAAAAATGTACTGAACCTGCATTCTGAGTGCATCAATTTATTAAAAAATTTTGGGAAACCCTATTTAACCATCAACAGACTTCACATTCAGAAAATGAAAATCTTTTCTCTGATCATGACAATGTATTTGTTGTTTACCCTCAAGTTCTTTGTCCTTCAAGGATATGTTGTTTTAAACTATTAATGTACTATAACTTATGCATCTGTTTGTGTGTATGTAAACAGACCATTTATAGCTATAAATCAAAATCTTGACATATTTACATATCAACCAAGCAATGTGTAAACATTACTCTGGAAAAGTCGGCTGAATGATGATGTGGTCGGTCGTGTCCTCAACACAAGGAAATATAAAACTCAGTTTGGTTTCTTCACAGAGCTTTGTATGTACTACGTAGGAAAATAGCAATGACTTTTTTTTTGTCAACAATTGGTAGTTCGACTGAGGAATATAATTGTAATACTTGGCCTATATATTATCAGAGGCTTCTTAAAAATGTAAAAACCTATACTGCAAGTGTTATTGCAGGGGCTATGACTTTGGAAATTGTTTGCAGAAATGGCTTTTGTCTATGTAATAGGTTCTGGTCTGCTACTTTTATTTTTTAAGTATTTAAAACATGTTCTACTTTTATTCTTAGGAAAGATAAATCTGACCTGCCTAGTGTAAACAGCTCATTTAGGTCAACAAACTTTTAGTTTCCTTATATTTTAGGGTTTGTATATCTAATAACTTCCCAGGAGATTCTGATGCTTCTGGTACACTTTGAGGATCACTGCTCTGGGGCCTTTCTACTCTCAGTAAATGCTCTAGACCAGCAGCATTGTGATTACCTGAGGACTAGAATCTCAGGCCCCACCTCATTCAGTCAGAATATACATTTTAACAGGAGCTCTGGTTGATTAGTTTGTACATTAAATTCCAGACATCTTCCTCTAGGCTGCTCCTCAGTCTTTTATAGGTTTATTTCTAAATAATATCTTTATTGCATTAAGAGCTTTAAGTCTTACGATGCTCTCCCAGCTGCAAATGCTTGTTTGCTCACCTGAGATTACCCCTTCCATTTATGACTTGTACTCAAGGCTATCTCTGATAGTAGAAATGCCTCTCTGGGCATAGGAAAGAGAGAACTCTTGGATTAAAAAAAATTCCAAAGTGTAATATAGTATATAGCCTACTATGAGAGCTGTATATTTACCTGTAGGCATTTTCCTAGTGTATTAATCAGGGTTGTTTAGAGAAACAGAACCAGTAGGATGTACAGAGATATAGATAAGATGCATACATAGATTTATTATGAGGGATTGGCTCACGTGATGATGGAGGCTAAGTCCCACGATCTGCCAGCTGTAAGCTGGAGGCCCAGGAAAGCCAGTGGTAGAGTTCCAGTACAAACCCAAAGGCCTGAGAACAAGGGAAGTCAAGGGTGTAAATCCCAGTCGGAGTCCCAAGAAGACCCAGAACCTGTCTCTGCTTTAGAAGGGAGAATCTGCCTTTCCTTTGCCTTTTTGTTCTGTTCAGGACCTCAGTGGATTGGATGATGCTCCCACACTTCAGTGAGGATGATCTTCTAAGTCTTCCAATGGAAATGTTAATCTGTTCTGGAAACACCCTCATAGGCACACTCAATAATAATGTTTTACCAGCTAATTGGGGATCCCTTAGCCAGATGTAATTGACACATAAAATTAACCATTTTTATGACACATAATTTATGACACAAAATTAACCATGTTCAAAGTATTTTCCTAGGCACTATTACTATTACACAGCATTAATTGGGCACTTACTTTGTGCTGGGCATTATTTGAAGCATTTTATGTATTTTATCTCTATCTCTTATTTCTTCAAGAACTTGATGTTGTATTATAGTAGTGTTATTGTTTCCATATAATAGGGTATTTGAGAGTTCTAAAGCAAATGCTGACTTGGGAAAGAGAATGTTAACCACAAGTCTCTGCCTTAGGCAGTTTGATCTTTTTATATTTCTATTCCTTTTTTTCCCTCCCTTAAATAGAGATTGTACAAATTCCCTTATCTGAAACCTTTGGGCTATATATGTCTTAGAATTTGGAATAATTTGTACTTCTAGAAGCTACTGCAGTACATCACATGTTATAATATCTTTATTGCATTAAGAGCTTTAAGTCTTACGATGCTCTCCCAGCTGCAAATGCTTGTTTGCTCACCTGAGTTTACCCCCTCCATTTATGACTTGTATTCAAATTGTCTCTGATAGTAGAAATGCCTCTCTGGGCATAGGAAAGAGAGAACTCTTGGATTAAAAAAAAATTCCAAAATATAACAGAGCATATAGCATACTATGAGAGCTGTATATTTACCTGTAGGCATTTTCCTAGTGTATTAATCAGGGTTATTTAGAGAAACAGAACCAGCAGGATATACAGAGATATAGATAGGATGTATACATAGATTTATTTTGAGGGATTGGCTCATGTGATGATGGAGGCTAAGTCCCACGATCTGCCAGCTGCAAGCTGGAGGCCCAGGAAAGCCAGTGGTAGAGTTCCAGTACAAACCCAAAGGTGGGATTTTGTATCCTACCACAAGGTGAAATTTAAGATGCATAAATGTTTATGCTAAATGCAGTAATAAAGGCTATAGAGCTTCTAAGCCAGTTCAAGTTCAGGACTGATTTTGCCTGCAAATTTATATAAAAACAATTGTTTATTATGGTTTTAAGAACTTTTTGGATTTCAGCATTGCCTGCAACACTGTATTACCTGTTTTAGATTGTGATTCAATGAAGGTGGAAAGAATGTCTAATTTTTATGTTGCATCCCCTAACATTTAGTTGAATTGAATTGCATAATAGGCTAACAGATGCAGCTGCAGTTTTTCCCTAGAATCTAAGGGAATTTATGGCCCTTCTCTCCTGCCTTACCACTCTCCCTGCTCCTGACACATGCTTATAGGGAACTAGAATATCTATCACTATATCATTGTTTTTTTCCTTTTAAAACATAGAAATGGTATAGTATTTGAGCATTCTTTGTCAAGATTTAAAACCAAGACTTGGAGGACATTGGACTCATGCTAGGTGCCTTATATGTTATCTCACTTATTCTTTACAATAACGCTGTAAGATATATACATTGCTCTCATTTTGCAGTTGGGAAACCTGACCTAGGTTACTTTCCTCTGGGTCACACGGTTGGTAAGAGCAAGATCCATTATTTAAGCTCAGGTCTACATTGTCTTTAAGTTTGACTCGACTCTAGGATATGTCCATTTTGTACCTCTGATTCACATAGCTACTCCTGCTGCCTGCTAAAGCAGATGCTGGATTCAAGAGCTCTCTCTTGGGTGAGTACATCAGTGGTTTATAAAGCTCAGCTTGCCTAGCTCTGATTCCTCTGAGTTGAAAACTATACCTTCAGCTGGTGTGATGAAGAATAATCCTATAAGTAAGACAGAAAATTTTCTCTCCCAGTGTTTTCCTAAGCACATAGTACAGTCTTCTAGAAAGTGTTTGTTACTGGCATCACAGGTGTGTGAAAAGCATATAATGTTGTAATGACAGATTTCTAGACATGCTCAGAAAAAATAATAAAATTCCAAATCAAAATAATTGTTTTAAAATGATTTGGGGTACTGTTTAATTGTTTTTTTTCTGTTGTTGTTAGTTCTGGTAGTTGATGTTCATTATCTAGACATAACAGATTTCCTTTCTAGGATGGAACTTTTTTTGTTCTGTGATGAGTGCTTCATGTTTGTTTTTTTTTAAGTGTCCTTCCTGAGCTGTTTTTTCTCTCAAATAACAGTTATTCCTGGTCAACAAATTGTATTCTATTAAAGTAACTATTTTGTTGTTTACTTAGTTTGTTTTCAGGTGCTAGAAAACATTTCTAGGATAAATATCATGTCTCATGTTTTGCAAGAACATTTTGTACTCCAAAATTTACTTGTCACCAAAGTAGCCTGTGTGTTTTGGTCCATCTTAATTTATGTTCAAGTCAACATCTTTGGTTTAGTATGGGAATTTTGATGTTAGGAGAAAAACGAATATTCTTTCATTGGTATTTGGTGTAGGTTTGCTAACTTCAAGGCATGCTTTTGACTAGAATCTCCAAATTGTGGTAGATAGCAAGTCTCCAAATCTGATTTTTATCTTATGTTTTTAGGTAATTTTAAAGCTTAATTTATTTTAGCATCAGTGTGTTTATATGTATTTTCATTTATGGTAAACTATTTGAAGAAACATGTATAGAAAGTGGTAGTTTCATTTGTCTTTCAGAGTCTATTAAAATATAATTAATTACAAATTTGTTAAAACTGTATAAAAAAGTATTCGTCATAATCCCTTTTCTTAGGCAGAGGGTTGGATTTGGTTGTTGTTCTTTAATGTTTAACTCATTCAGGCTTCTACTGTGAGTGAAATTTAAAACAATTTTCTACGGAGTAGTATGATTAATTGGTACAACAAGACACTGGACTGACTGATAAGTTTGTAAATATCCACTTAACAAAGAGGTATTGTAGTTTTGTTGCCCAAGCTGGTTGAGCCCACCCAAGTCTGCTCTGCATGCTCAGATGAACCCAAATGATTAAAGTGGTAACAGATGCCAGTGGTAACATACTTTATATAGATTTGCATAAGCCATACAAACGGTTCCAACCCACACTTGATTTAGTATGCTGACCATATCCTGGCATGAAGGTCAGTATTCTAAGAGTTTCTAAGAAAAGCCCCAGTGGAATTTCTAAATAAACTATTGCATTTATTTTCTACCTCCATTCTTCATCTACTTAATATATTCAATATTGTGGCTAAAGAGTACTTTTAACATTTTATTTTATTCTTTCTTGGTTATACTTGTACAAACCCAAGTAAACTTGTGCTACAAAACTGCCTCATGGTGCCTGTTTTCATATATGGTTGTGTGTATTAAAAAAGAGGAAAAATAGGTAAAATTGGAAATCCATTTCATCCCTTTTGGTTTTAACTGGCTTTAGTTAATCTTTTTTCCAGTTATTATGTAATATTTTCCATTTGTTAGGTATTTTAAGGAAATTGAATTGATTTTCTCTGAAATTCTTGTTGGTTCAGAAACTTACATCTTATTCAGATAAGTGATACCGGTAGATTTCTTTCAATAAGTACTTAGCAACTGTCAAGTTATCCTCATGCCATATTTTATTTGTTTCTGAAAAACTATACCGATAGAAGAGCAGTTAAATTCTTTTATATTTATACATTGAAAGTAGCTAAATATACTTTTAATTGGCATTGACTGCAATGAATAAAATCACATGAGAATACCTTTGGTTCAGAATTGCTGAGAACTAGGAATACTGTGTTGGAGTGTGTTTTATGCATATGCAGAAACTAGTCCCTTGATTTCTTAGCGATCCTTTAACTTTTTTACTTAAAATTATGGCATTTGAAGTGCAAGATTGTTTGTTTTTGAATCCCTTGGATCAAGTTGGAAAGATGAGGAACTTTAAATCAGGTTTTCCACATCTGTGACCAGACAACATTCCGCATCTGTGGTATGTTCTCATCAGGCTTTTTCTTGTTAAATACCCAGGGATAACACCATTTATGTTGTTAGTCATGTGTTTTGGACAATGCAAAGTGACAGCTAAGATTATGTATATAGTAACCCCAAGTTTTGATGTTTCTGGCTTTGAGTATGACACTTAATTTTCCGAATTTTCAGAATAACACCATAACTTCTTTATACATAATATTTTTTGTTCTTCACTCTCTCAAAGAATACTGTGACTGTATGTTTTGTGAATCTGTGAGAACATTTGTGTCAAACTTGAATTAGTAAAAGCAGGAAGGCAGCAACAGGATTTAAGAGCAGTTTGTTCCCCTTGAAATCTTACTGTAAAAAAAAAAGTAAATTGGAAAGTTCAATATTTGGGTCAGGATTAGGAAAAGTAGAGTTCACTTGTTTTAGTTTTACCATTTCCTTAATTTGTTGTCAGCAAAATAGTAATTTAAGCATATACAAGTAAATCTGTCGCTTTTGAAGGTCACATTGAGGTATTAAGCAACTAGTTAAATAAGACTTGATATCAGACAAAAGCCAGCCACTGACACTTCACTCTGATGTAGGTAGTTAAAAAAAACCCAAAAAAACCCAAATGATGATATTTATGCTCAAAGCAAATAGTACATTTGGTAAATATCCTCATGAGTCACCAACCTTGGAACTTTGCTTTTCCTTCTAACTTTTCTCTCAACTAACTTAGAGAATATATACTTTGAAAAGAAAAAAAAAGTATGGTATTGATACAGCTCTGATGAGTAGAGAACACCAGGCTTTTCATTTTGAGTTGAATTAGAAAAAATGACATGGACACACGTGGAATAGTTTTAAGGAGCAGGGAGTTTAATAGGCAAGAAAGAAGGGGAAAGAAAGCTATCATTTAGTTAGAAAACAGTCATATGCTTGACTATACCACTTACATGTAAAAACATGTGCCGGAGACAAGATGTCACATGCCTGGTCCTTACTTTTAGTTCTAAGGTAGGAAACTTCATCCTATATTCAGTGACTCACTTAAAAATGTGGTTAAGATCTGATAATATTAAGTGTCTTTTAAAAATCTGCCTATGTGCCATTGTCCTCCAGTTGAAACATGCTCAGTTAGCTTCTGTGTTAGCTTTTCAGAAGACCACTTTGACCTTTCAGTGTGGGCGTGTATGGTTTTCTTGCATGTCTTTATTTGTTGTCTCCGTCCATTTATATTGTAGTAATGCCTTGTTGGTTGTCCTTCCTTTATTTACTGCCTGCCTTCCTTTTCCTAGTCTAATAGCTTCCTATTGCAAGGTGTTCAGACAAACCTTGAGTATCCTTTACAGATGAAACTTAGAGATATCAGGACTCAATAGTGGTGATTCTCTTTAATATTATTTTAAAATTCTTTCATGTGAGACAGAGAATAGACTCTAAGATTGGCTTTTGATTCAAAGAATGCAATAGAATAATGGAAGCCACTGCTCTTACTTTGAATGGTTACAACTTGAAACATCTTTTGGAAATGGCTACTTTTGGATTTGATATGTTTCTTATTTCTGGAGGCACATCTAACTTTGACTCAAGAGGTCAGTACAGTGGACCATGAGGCTCGATGGAAGAATTGCATGGTGTTGAGTGTTTCCAAGAAAATTGGAGACAGATTTCTCGATATTTTGCCCACCTGCTTGAGGATCTACCTTAGTGTTTGTTTGCCTTTCTTCCATTGTTACTGAGTTTCTTGTAAAATACAAATACCATTCTTACTAGAGGTGATTAATTGATACAGGCATATGCATATTCCTTGCTCCTTAATGTGTCGTGGGTCTGTCATATGGTAAAGCAGAAGCTGTGTGTATTAGAAACTTTACGTATTACTGTTTTGTGAAATTAAATCAAAAGACCCCTGATTACATCCATTTTCTGTCTATAGAGGACAGTATACTTTCTATATACCAAGAGATCCAATGTTCAAGGAAAGTAAGGAATTTTTTAAAGATACTTGTGTTACTGATTGGGTTTTGGCCTCTTTTATGAACTTTGAGATTTATACATCATTTTGCTTATGAGAGATTTTAGTTAGAATAACACTGGAATTGAACATTTATGAAACCACATTATATATAACTACATTTTGTTGAATCATGTATTCAAATGAAAAGTGGCTATATTTAGTTTGCAAATAACATTAATCAGGGAGTTGAACCCTGAAGAAATTCTGTTGCACTTACAACTGGACTGAAATTTGAGAAAATTTAAAAGGAGTCTGGCAGATGGATGGATATAGTCAAAACTCTGACATTCAGAATTTCAAACTAGGTATTCCTTAATGCACCCTTCAGGGGAGATGGCTTGAATTCTAATTCTTCCTCCCTCTGTGCTACCATCAACTCCTTGAAAGAAGTAGAGGAAGAGGAAGATATTTTGCTTGGAAAAGCCTCCGTGTCTTCTCTTACTTCCTCCACTTGGACCTAATAGTACATAGCTATAGCATTGAAGAGTCCTGCACAAAAGGACAACTGACCTCCTGAGAAGTTCTGGATTAATATCATATGTGCTTCAATAAATACTAATTGTCTTTGGTATTTGAGGATATTGTCTTCTCTAGTACATTGTGGACCAGTGAAGCAGCCAAAACTTTTAAGTTCTATATCTGTAGCCATCAGATTTAGAGTACGGTTAAGAGAGTATTGTTAACTCATAATTGATTAATATAACTATGCAAATGAGAGACATGTATGACTTTGATTTTGGTACACAATGGCTAATGTTGTGTTAGATAAGCAGCTGTCAATGAGAATTATGTTGCGTGATTAGGGAGGCATGTAACAAGTACATTTCCACCGTGTTTCATCTACCATAAAGTGCATAATTGAAATTTTCTACTTCCAGATGGAAATAAGTAAATGTATGTATATCTATATTCTCAAACAGAAGTAAGGAGAAAATAATGCATGTGCCTATTGCATTAGAGTTCAGGAAAATCTGATTTTTAAAAATTGGTATGTATTTATACATATTTATGGGTACTTTGATACAATGTGTAATCAAATCAGGGTATTGAGGGTATCAATCATCTCAAACATTTTTTTTTTACTTTGAGGACATTTCACGTCCTCTCTTTTAGCTATTGTAAAATATGCAATATATTGTTAACTACGAATAGTCAACCTATTAGGCTATTGAACCTTAAAACTTATTTCTTCTATCTGACTGTATGTTTGTACCCACTAACCTCCCTTTATTTCTTTCTCCACTACACTTCCCAGCTTCTGTTAGTCATCATTCTCTTCTTTATCTTTAAGAAATCAGTTTTCTTTATCTTTCATTATGTGAGTGACAACATGCAATATTTGTCTTTCTCTTCCTGGCCTATATAACTTAAAATAATGACTTCCAGTTCTATCCATGTTACTGCAAATGACAGAATTTCATTCATTTTTATGACTCAGTAGTATTCCATTGTGTAGTATGCCACATTTTCTTCATTCATCCATTGATAGATGCTTAGGTTGATTTTGTATATTGGCTATTATGAAGAGTGCTGCAACAAACATTGGGGTACATATATTCCTTTGATATGCTGAGTAGCATAGTAGTTATATTTTTAGTTTTTTGAGAAATCTCCATACTGTTTTTCATAGAGGTCTTGTACTAATTTAAATTTCCACTAGCAGCGTATAAGAGTTCCCTCTCTTCTGCATCCTCTTGCAGCATTTGTTATTTTTTGTGTTTTTGATAATAGCCCTGTAACTGGGGTGAGTTGATAACTCATGTGGTTTTGATTTACATTTTCCTGAGGATTAGTGATGTTGAACATTTGTTTTAATATACCTGTTGGCCGTTTGTGTGTCATCTTGTAAGAAATGCCTATTCGTGTCCTTTGCCTACTTATTAATGGGATTACTTGTTTTTTTGCTGTTGAGTTCCTTGTATATGCTAAATATTAGTACCTTGTTGAATGAAAGTTTGCAAATATCTTCTTGTATTCAACAGATTGTCTCCTTACTCTGTTGATTTTCTTTGCTGTGCAGAAGCTTTTTCCTTTAGTAAGTACTATTTCTCTATTTTTGTTCTTGTTCGTGCTTTTGGAGTCTTAGCCATAAAATGCTTTTTGACACCAATGTCCTGAAGCATTTCCTCTGCTTTCTTCCAGTTATTTTCATAGTTTTGCATCTTACATTTATATCTTTAACCTATTTTGAGTTTATTTTTGTATATGATGAGAGATAGGAGTTTAGTTTCTTTCTTCTGCATGTGGATGTCCTGTTTTCCCATTTGTCAAAGGTATGTCCTTTTCCCCATGTATATTCCTGGCACCTTTGTTGAAAATCAGTTGACTGTAAATATGTGGATTTATTTCTTGGTTCTCTATTTCATTGTATTGTCTTCTGTGTCTGTTTTAAACTAATGCTGTACTGTTTTGGTTACTATAGCTTTGGTGTATTTTGAAGTCAGGTTAGTATGATGCATCTAGCTTTGTTCTTTTTTTTCAGGATTGCTTTGGCTATTTGGGATCTATTGTGGTTCCATACACATTTCAGGATTGGTTTTTTTTTCTATTTCTGTGAAGGATATCATTGGTATTTTGATAGGGATTGTATTGAATCTGTAGATTGCTTTGGATATAGTGTGGTCATTTTAACAATATTCTTTTGATTCATGAGCATGGATGTCTTCCCATTTTTTAATGTCCTCTTCAGTTTCTTTCATTAGCGTTTTGTAGTTTTTGTTGTAGAGGCCTTTGCCTCCTGGGTATTTTATTTTACTTTTTGTAGCTATTGTAAAAGGGATTGCTTTCCTGATTTCTTTTTCAGCTAGTTATTTGTATATGAAAATATGACTGATTTTTGTATGTTGAATTTTGTTTTCTGCAACCTTACTAAATATCAATTCTAAGAGTTTTTTTGTTGGAGTCATTATGTTTTTCTAAATATAAGATTATGTCATCTATGATAGAACAGCAATTTAATTTCTTTGCCATTTTGGATGTCTTTTATTTCTTTCTCTTGCCTGATTGTTCTGGCTAGGACTTCCAGTACTGTGGTGGATAGGAGTAGAGAAAGTGGGCATCCTCTTCTTGTCCTCTTAGAGGAAAGGCTTTCAGCTTTTCTCCATTCAGTATAATGCTAGCTGTGGGTTTATCACATATAGCTTTTATTGTGTTGAGGTATGTCTCTCTATACCTTATTTGTTGAGAGCTTTTGTGAAAAAGGAATGCTGAATTTTATCAAATGCTTTTTCTATGTCTATTAAGAGGATCATATGGTTTTTGGCCTTTATTCTGTTGATAGTGATGTATCACATTTATGGATTTGCATATGTTGAACCATCTTGCATCCCTGGGAAAAATCCCACTTGACTGTGGTGTTTTATCTTTTGATATGCTGCTAGATTTGGTTTGCTAATGTTTTCTTCGGGGGTTTTGTGTCTCTGCTTTATTTTTATGTTGTATTCTTGTCTGGTTTTGGTATCAGGGTGATGCTTGCCTCAAATAATGAGTTAGGAAGAATTTCCTTCTCTTCAATTTCCTGGAGTAGTTTGAGGAGGATTAGTATCAGTTCTTCTTGATATGTTTGGTAGAGCTCGACAGTGAATCTATCTGGTCCTGGGCTTTTCGTTCTTGAGAGACTTTTTATTACTGATTCAATCTCGTTAATAATTATTCATCTGTTAAGTTTTTCTATTTCCTCCTCTTTCGATCTTGGTAGGTTGTATGTGTCCTGGAATTTAACAACTTCCTCTAAGTGTTCCAATTTATCAGCATATAGTTGTTCATAATAATTTCTCATCATCCTCTGTATTTCTGTAGTATCAGTTATAATGTCTCCTTGTTTGTTTCTCACTTTATTTGGTGGCTCTTTTTTTTGTTTAGTGGTTTATTGATGATGATTATTATTTTTGGGTGGTTTACAACCAAACTTCATTTTGTTGATCTTTGTATTTTTTGGTTTGTTTTTGTTTTTTGTTTTTGGGGATTTTTTTTTTTTTTTTTTTTTTTTGAGGCAGAGTCTCACTCCGTTGCCCAGACTGGAGTGCAGTGGTGCGATATCAGCTCACTGTAACCTCCTCTTCCCCGGTTGAAGCAATTTCCTACCTCAGCCTCCTGAGTAGCTGGGATTACAGGCATGTATAACCATGCCTGGCTAATTTTTGTATGTTTAGCAGAGATGGGGGTCTCACCATGTTGGCCAAGCTGGCCTCAAACTCCTGACCTCAGGTGATGCACCCACCTTGGCCTCCCAAAATGCTGGGATTACAGGTGTGAGCCACTGTGCCCAGCCTGTATTGTGTTTTCAGTCTTTATTTTGTTTAGTTGTGATCTTTCTTTCCTTCTACAAATTTTGGGTTTTTGTTTTTGTAATTCTTTGGGTTGCATCATCAGCTTGTTATGTTACATCCTAATAAAGTTGGAATTACACTATGTTAAAGATATTTTTTAAGGCTTGTTTTATTTTTTTTTTAGAATATATAGATTTAAAATAAATATTTTAGCTTGACTTAATTGATAGTTGTTACTGGCTTGAAAGAAAAATGTTTGTATTTTTTATTTCTCTAAAATAAGAATTCAGTGATAATTTCTTGATCTTTCTACCTCTGTCTTCTTTTTTAAACAGTCATTGTTTAACACCAATTTTTATTTAAATTGATGTAAGGAAATGTATATATTAGTCTGCCTGTGGTGCCATAACAAAGTACCAAGTCTGGGTGGCTCAAACAACCAAAATTTATTTTTTCACAACTTTGGGTGCTAGAAGTCTGAGATCAAGGTTTTGGTAGGTTTCATTTCTTCTAAAGCCTCTCTCCTTGCCTTGTAGGTGGTTTCTTCATCCTTTGTCTATACATAGTCTTCCCTCTGTAGATGTCTGTGTACATATTTATTTCCTTCTTTCCTTCCCTCCCTCCCTCCCTCCCTCCCTCCCTTCCTTCCTTCCTTTCTTTTTTTCACCCAGGCTGGAGTACAGTGGTACAATCTTGGCTCACTGCAACCTCTGCTTCCCAGGTTCAAGTGATTCTCATGCCTCAGTCTTGCAAGTAGCTGGAATTACAGGCACACACCACCACGCTCAGCTAATTTCTGTATTTTTAGTAGAGACAGGGTTTTGCCATATTGGCCAGGCTGGTCTTGAACTTCTGACCTCAAGCAATCCATTCGCTTTGGCCTTCCAAAGTGCTGGGATTACAGGTGTGAGCCACCACATGCCACCGTGCCCAGCCAATATTTCTTTTTCCTATAAGGGCCTACCCTAATGACCTCATCTTAGTTTAATCATCTCCCTAAAGACCATATCTCCAAATAAAGTTACGTTCTGAGGTATACTGGTGGGTAGGATTCCAACATGCTAATTTTGGGGGAAACACAGTTCAATCCATAACAATGTGTGTTACTCATGATCCTAGTACAGAGCCTGGAAAATAAGTCTTGAATATCTTCTTGGTACTGTGTTCCAAAGCTTGGGATGATACTGAGAAATCATAAGCAGAGTTCAGGAGTTTGTGATCTTGTGGAAGAGAAGGACAAAAAATATACTGTAATATAGAAACTATAATCAAAGTAAAATCAAAACACAAAACAGTGTTAGAGGAAAAAAATCTTTCAGGATGCTAACTTCACATAGATTTCAGCTAGAAATCTTAAAGTTGACAATTTTATGCCTGTGAACTTGGGCAATTTACTTGCTTTATAGACACCTTTTATTGATCTATAAAATGGGGAAAATAATTCATACTGCTTTATTGTAATCATTAGGTAAAATATATAAAAGTATCTACCACAATAAAAAGCAAAGGCAGTATTAAAAATATATAGTATGACATGAGCACTAAATAATCATAATGCATCTGCTGACTATTGAAATGATTATTGGCTATAAGGAACTGGTATGGCTCTTTTGGTGCATAATGCATAGATATCAGCTCTGAATAAACTTACAAGGGTTGTATTACATATAGATTTCTTTGTTTTTTTCTGAAACCCTATACTGAAAAGCCTTTCCTCAGGAATACTTAGATTCAATACTGCAGTGATTTCTACCTGAGTAGAAGGAGAATGCTGGGTTTGTGTTGATATATATTTGAGAGAGATACTTTTATGTATTAGAAATAGGAATTTTTGTAGTTTTGAAAGTCTCCTTGATGATTGTTGCCTGTGCATTCCTTTTCCTAGCCAACTCACATACACACCAAAATACATCTAAAACACAGGCTATAGTTATTAAAACAGATGGTACTTGAGGTGGACCTTATTGGAGAATTAGGAAATTGGTTCAGGAAATTGGTAGGAATTGATGAGTAAGGTATAAGTTGATTGCTTTGTATAGCATGAGAAGAGGTAGGAATCCTATGATGAGAACCTGGGAATTATTAGTTATCTGGTGAAGAATGCTTAGACATTTGCCCGTGTAAGTTCTACAGAGAAACACCAAAGAGGAGATATAGATATGAATACAGATAAACATTTGGCTCATGAACTTATGGAGGCTGGTAAGTCCAAAATCTGAAGAGTGGATGTCTCAGGCTTTCATTTGATTGGATGAGGCTTACTATACTGTGAAAAGCCATCTGCTTTATTCATTCTACCTAGTTAAATATTAATCTCATCCCAAAACACCTTCTCAGAAACACTTAATATTTGACCAAATATCTGGGCACCCTGTGGTCCAGTCAAGTTGATACACAAATTAACCATCAGAGCCAGGAAAATTAAGTTGTACATTGTTTCTTTTTGGCATATATATATATATATATATTTTTTTTTTTAAATATTATATATATATATATATATATATATATATATATATATTTATATTTTTTTTTTTTTTTTTTTGAGATGGAGTTTCACTCTTACTGCCTAAGCTGGAGTGCAGTGGTGCAATCTTGGCTCACTGCAATCTCTGCCTCCCAGGTTCAAGCGATTCTCCTGCTCAGCCACCCAAGTAGATGGGATTACAGGCATGCGCCACCATGCCCAGCTAATTTTTTGTATGTTTAGTGGAAATGGGGTTTCACCTTAGCCAGGCTTGTCTTGTACTCCTGACCTCAGGTGATCCACCTACCTCAGCTTCCCAAAGTGCTGGGATTACAGTCGTGAGCTACCGCGCCTGGCCAACATAATTTTAACTGACAATTATATACATACCTTTACCATTTAGAGGTTCTCAGACATTGACTGAGGTATTAACAGAAAAATTTGGGCTTCTTAACTAGTGCTTACGGTTTTCAATATAAGTCTATAGACTTTCTTATATTCTGGCATGAATTTTCTCTCTGTTAAATCACATCAAACTATGTGACCTTTAAATGCTGTAGACAAAAAAAAGAGTTATTCATTATAAATCAGAGTATATGTTGAAATTATTTTGGGGGCACCTTACTTGTTATGACATCAATATTTTGCCATCTGCCACTGGCCTTTTAGGAATTTTTTTAGAAGCTACTTAAAAAATAGGATAGTGTAAAAACTAAAACTCAGAGGCTAATATCAGTCTAATATCAGTCAAGTTGACAGGTCATGTATCATTTAATGTTAAATCTAAATAATTTATAATTTATTCCCAGTCTATTTTCAGGGAGAGACAAAAGACTAGATTATTATATTTGTACAATTCTGGGTTGTAAAATGATTTTGTGGTTCCCCTCAATATTTTTACTTCAACCTCTGAAATTTTCTAGGAAGTGCTTTATTAATAAAACAGAAGATTAAGAATTCTGAAGGCTTCTATTTTTGTTTTGATTTCATTAACCTCAAGGTAGTTGTTATGTACTTTGTTTTCTTTGAGAAAATTATCAGTATTAATCATATGTTTGGAAAGAATTTTGTGCTTCATGAAAAAATTAATTTTAAATATTTTGTGTGCCTTTTCTCCTCTCATTTAGTTTGGGGATCCTCGAATAACTCTGGGATTGAGGAGGTTAAATTAATTTATTGGAGCCCTGCTCCCATAGTTATATATTTTTTCTATTCTGAACTTCCAAACACGTGGTACAAGTACAGTCATTACTGTTTTTTTTGAGACAATCTTAATTGCCATCCACAATTAAGATTGTCAGTGCAGCATGCTTTTCAAATTATCAGTAGCAATTGCATAAAATGCTTCAGCCTAGATCCTAGTAGATAAACTAAGATGTAAACAATGAGAACGAGTGGGCATCTGTTTTAAAGCAAATCAGAGATGCCAACATGGGTGTATTACTCAAAATGTATATTCCATTGTCACATATGATTATGGCACGTTTGGTGAAATTTGAAACAAAGCCTTAGTGGGATGCAGTTGATATGGATTGTTTACCAAACCCTGAAATATTAAGACCATAAGAAAGAGATTAATTTGAAGTCAGAAACTGATCATATTTTGCACGGACAAAGTTATTTCAATTTATGTTCTTATTGAATGTATGTGTCCATAACAGCAATAATTCTGTCATCTATTAGGTGTTTTCTTGTACCAGGCACTAGAAATAGTTTTACACATTATCTAATCCTTATTAAAATCTCCAAGTGTAGTCTTTTACACACATCTCCTGCCTTCCCCTTATATATGTCTATTTTTAAAATGACAATATTTTATTATACTGAGGGATGAATCTTAAAATCATTGTACTAGTTGGAAAATTCACTAATAGCAGAGGTCACTTCTTATTCAATTTTGAGTGGACAATGCCTGACACACTGAAGGCATCAATAAATGAAAAGACTTTTCAAGTCCATCTCCTTGCCCTTGATTTGTCCTTTTACAGATGTGTGCTTCCTAATAATCTTTTAAAAAAGAAAAGAAAAGAAAATTTGACTCTGCATAGAAATCGTTCTTTGGTCTCTTCTCATTTCACATATGCAAAGTGCTGCCAAAGTATCAATATGCTACTTTCAGCATCTGTTCCAATATAGAATTGAAATTGTTTAAAATTTTAAAAATTGTATTTCCCTCAATTTAACAAATATTATTGAATGCCTATCAAGTATCCTATATCTGTAGTTATTAAATATGTTACCTTATTTAATATCACCTTTATAAATGTTAGAGATTGCTTAATTGTAAAACCCAGTGAGACATGCAGATAAGAGTAGTATTTGTGTGGGTTTGGGTTTTTAAAATAGTTTTATATCAGAAATATCAAAGTCTCTGTGCAATGGGCGACTGAATGCAGCTCTATCTCACTAAACTCACCATCCTCCTATTGCCACACAGAAGATTAAAGACAACTGGAAAATTACCCCCAAAATTATTCCATTTCAGGTAATAAGCTATAGTAGGATATGTATGTATCCTACTGTATATAAACACACACACACACACATATATAGTATATCTATAGATATATATATACACATAGATAGTATCATTTTTATATATATAGATCTACGTATCTATACCCATAGATACAGTATCATCTTTATAGTGTCATATATATCATATATGATATATATGTGATATATTAGTGAATCTAGGTAGATAAAAGGGAAGCTATTTGTGTTCTTGTATCTTTTAAGTTGGGAAGTTATTAAATAACTTTCATAACATATAAAATACATATATGATACAATATAGGTATGAATAGGTAGATCTCTATAGATAGTATCATTTATATATATATATATGGTAGATCAGTAGATCCTATCTATTTATACATATATAAAATATAAATGTTGTATCATATATATGAAACCATATTTATAAAGGTTCTATATATGATAGACCCTTTTGTAATCCCCACATCATAAAAAATCAGTGCAATAGCTAAGCAGAGGTTTTTAATCTGGCTATACATCAGAATCACTTTTGGACAAAAATATAGGCTAGTATCTTGTTTGATGTGCACTAGGCATATGTATTTGAAAATATAAAAGGAAAACAAGATATTTATGTTGATTCTGATGTGCAACCAGTTGAAATTGATGATGATTTTGTATGTGGTCTAATCTTTGAATGTAGACAGATTGAGAATTTATCATTAGTAGTAAAGGACATATTGATTGCGTCCATAGACACTGTAAGAAATTGGCCTGTCAGATGCAGACCACTGTGGAATGCAAATAGCTGAGATTAGCTGACAATATAGAAACCAACACAATAACAGATCCACCATATTTCTTATGATGTTATTTTACCTCGAATCTACATCCTTATGTTTTGCTCACTTAAGAGAGGTGAACTTTAAAGTCTCCTATTAATATAGCTTCACATATTTTTTCTTAATTTTTGTTTTTAGGAGAGGGTGCTTTTTTATTTTAATAACTTTCAAACTTAAAAGATACAGGAATAACACAAATAGCTTCCCTGTCTTTTACCTACCTTGTTGTTTACATTTTGCCTCATTTACTTTATCATTTCTGTGCATGTACTCCCTTCTCACCTTTTCCGTCACCCTTTCTTCTCCTTCTCCTCCTCCATCTCTTGACCTGTAGCATTGTGAACTACTTAATGGGGTGGTGTTTAAACCACCAAATTTATAGTAATTTGTTACACAGCATTCTAATAAAAACAATAAAATTCTACATAATCCATAGAGGAAATAAGAAACCACAATAGAAATTAGATGTTTCTAATAATATGATTCTAAATGAAAGCGAGTGAAAAGGAATGAAATATTTTAAACTAAATATGAAGTCATTTAAATTGAGTGAAAATATCACAGTGTTTGAGATACAGCTAAAACTGTTATTAGAGGAAAATTTAGAGCCTTAAATATAAATAGAAAAAAGGAAGAGAGTCAGCAACTTAAACATTTTTAAAAAGAGAAGCAGCAAACAAAACTCAAAAGATAGTGGAAGGAAGAAAATACTGAAGAAAATGTTAAGAACTCATAAACTAGAAAACAAACATATAAGACAGAATCAATCATGATTTCCTCGGATGACAGTAATAAAACTGGTAAGACCTTGGCAAGAGTGATTATGAAAAATATTGAATGCTCAGTCAGTATCAGAAATGAAAAAGAATCAATACAATTGTACAGATATTAAGATGTTACGAACAACGTTATGCTACTGTTAATAAGAATTTAGATGAAATGAACACATCCTTAGGGAAATACACCTTACTAACCTGAGACAGAAAATAGAGAATGTGAATAATCATTCATCAATTTAAGATACTGAATTTTTATTAAAAGCTCTCCCACAAAGAAGCAGTTGGCTTTTACCAGTGAATTCTACAAAACCACTCAAAAGAAGACATGACACCAATCTTGCACACTTTCTAGAGAGTAGGAAAAACACTTACCAACTCATTATGTGCGAATAGTATAATTACTTAATGACAATATGACAGGGCCTTATAAGTAAGTAGAATTACAGGCTAACTTTTTTTTCCATGAGCATAGAGCCAATATTTAAAATTTTTCATTATCAGATAAAATTATAGATTGGAAAGAAATAAAACTTTATCACTCATCAGCATGTTTGTATATACCAAGAAGTTAAAATCTATAAAACATCAGTTTATAAGTAAATGTAGCAAGGTTACTGACTATACAAGGTCTGTATCAAAATGTATTTTTATACATAACAACAAATAGGAAATTAAAAATCAATTTATAAGTGGTGTCAACAAACAAGAATAAATCTAACAAAAGATGAAAGGGGTCTGCACTGGAAACTACAAAGCACTATTGAAACAAAGATTTCAGGACACAGGGGACAAATCATGTTCATTTGGAAGGCTTGTTATTTTAAAGATGTCATTTCTATACCAAACTCAACAGATGTTTTTGTGGAAATGATGGTAAAAATTTATGTGGCAATGAAGGACTCCTAAACAACAAATGTGTTCTATTTAGGGTAACTGAAACATGGCATAGGATAAATGCCAAATAGATTTTTTTTTCCCTTGAAACAGAGTCTCACTCCGTCACTCAGGCTGGAGTGTAGTGGCGTGATCTTGGCTCAGTGCAACCTCTGCCTCCCGAGTTCAAGCGATTCTCCTGCCTCAGCCTCCTGCGTAGCTGGGACTACAGGAGTGCACCATCATGCCCGGCTAATTTTTGTATTTTTAATAGAGATGGGGTTTCACCATGTTGCCCAGGCTGGTCT
The DNA here is from genome assembly GCF_000001405.40 of Homo sapiens. Taxonomy (NCBI): domain Eukaryota; kingdom Metazoa; phylum Chordata; class Mammalia; order Primates; family Hominidae; genus Homo; species Homo sapiens. Next base: position 16,280,818 of record NC_000007.14, on the reverse strand, counting down.
TGAACTCCTGACCTCAAGTGATCTTCCACCTTGGCCTCCCAAAGTGCTGGGATTACAGGCGTGAGCCACTGTGCCTGGCCAGCAAATAGATTTTGAATTCATTTTTTAAAAATATTTCATTTTTGTAAGTTGGTAGTAATATATCAGTTTTATTACTGTACACATGTTGGGTAGCGCTTAGAATTTTATAAAGAGGGATATATGATGAAACAAGGCAAGGAAAACCTACATATGCTGTTTTGTATTTAAAAATTATTCTTAATGTTATGCATTATTTTACAAATTTATATAAATGTTTGTGGCACCATCACATTAATTGTTGCATTTGCAGATTACTTTGTACATTAAATTTCTTGATTGTCCTAATGTTTTCATGAGGAGCTTTCAGAAATAAAACTGTTGGGGCCTTAGCCTAAGATATTACAAAGCCCAGATTTCTCTAAACATGTAATTTCATGATGTATAAGTTTGGGTTAACTCTGTTTTCAAAAGCCACTGCTTTTATGAGTTAACTTCTAAATGAAAGTCCTAGGACACTCTAGTGTCCAAGACAGCAAGGGATCCCTTTGATTTGATCTCACTAAGTATCCCACTTTAGAACTCACTACTAAATCATTTTATGTCTTTTGACATGGTTTGGCTGTGTCCCCACCCAAATCTCATCTTGAATTCTCATGTGTTGTGGGAGGGACCCAGTGGGAGGTAATTGAATCATGGGGGCAGGTCTTTCCCATGCTGTTCTCATGATAGTGAGTAAGTCTCATGAGATCTGATAGTTTTAAAAAGAGGAGTTTCCCTGCACAAGCTCTCTTCTCTTCCCTGCATAAGCAGACGCATGTCTGCTGTCATGTGAGATGTGCCTTTCACCTTCTGCCATGATTGTGAGGCCTCCCCAGCCACATGGAACTGTAAGTCCAATAAAATTCTTTCTTTTGTAAATTGCCCAGTCTCTGGTATATCTTTATCAGGAGTGTGAAAACAAACTAATATAGCTTTCAAGTAATTCTCTTGGTTGTTGGTCACACTACGTTTATGTGACTACCTACCTCAATACACATTAAAATGTTGTTTCCTTCTTATCATTTTGATTGTTTGCAAAGCTCCTTTCTCCCACTCCTAAGCAAAATCTATTCCCCTTTCAAGAGTGAGCTCCTAGCTCATTGTATTATAGAGTTATCTGATCTTGTCTCCAGTTTCTCTCTCCACAATGATGTTCTGTAGCATTTACTGTCTAAAACATTCATTTGTGTTTTTAATTATGTTGACTTTTATTAGCACCACGTAACTTAGAATTACAGATTTATTTTTTTGGATTTGAATCCTTTTTCTACTACTCATGTCCCTGTAGTCTTGGGCAAATTACTTCTCTGAATTCAAGCTTCCTGAACCTGTTACATAGATTCAGAATGATACTGATCTTGTAGGGTCATCATGAGCATTAGTATTCATATATACCATATAGCTCCTGGAATGCATAATATTCTTGTTAAGTAGGAGGTAGTAATAGCAGTGCTATTAACTGGTGGTATTATTTTCAATAACCTATTCTCCCTAGCTTTGCTTGAAATAATTAGTAGCTATTGCTACATCAGTGATTTATATGGGCCCTATTTTACAGAGTTGCTCAGGTAAGAAGCAGTTGGGTCAAAAGTTAATCAAACATACTTTTGATTCAGGAATCCTATCTTAAAATCAGGCTTTGTTTTCTTTATCCATGATATAATGCTATGTAATGGCTCTTTAACTGGCAGCTATATAGGCAATTTCCATATAGGATGCCTGAAACTTTGAAGAACCGCTGTTAATTATAAGACAGAAAGATGTGGATTAAGAAAAATTCTACTCAGATTTCAGCCCATGGTTGAACTTTGTATCATGATAACAAGAGGTCAAGTTACCTTGAATCAGGGTACCTTCTGATTTGCCTGCTATAGAGGAGGACTTCATATCTTTTGGAAGAATGCATCCAGGGTTTCCAGAGGTGACTATCACTGTGTTACATAGTTTATAAATTTTAAATCGGACCATCTCAAGTCTTCCAGATGTGAAGAAAATTCTTTCAGTTGTTTTTACTTGTTAGTGCAATAGTCAAAACAGGAACTTAATTGTACTGAATTGAAAATCTAGAGGAATGTCAAGGAACACAATGTACTTAACCAAGGCACTGGATGGCACATTGAATCTGTGCACAGGAGATAACCTATGGCCTAAAGAGTGAATCTGTTTAAGAAGTGGAAATCTGTTAGGTTCTGGGAGACTCCTTATAAACATGGAAAGATTGAATTGTTGAACTTCAAATGGTTGTCACCTCTACTCCCTTCCGAATGCATCCTAAAATATCTTATTTCTGTTAGTTGCACAATGGCTGGTTCTTCACCCACAAAGTGTTCAATGGATAGGTTTATGGACTTGGGTAGTAAACTGAATCAAGGCCATCTCAGTGTGTACACAGATTACTCCACTTGGCCTGAAATCAAAACCTCCCTATTCTTGGTCAACAGCTAAGAACATCAGGTAAGTTTATGTTTCAGCATCCTAGGGCCTTGTTACATGTTTTGTTTGAAACTTAAAACTTTTTTTTTTTAATTTCAGAGAGAATTTCCCAAGAGATTTGTGTAGTTATGGATACAGAAGAAGATAACAAACATGTAGGTCATCTTCTTGAAGAAGTGCTGAAAAGTGAATTAAATGTAAGTATTCAAAGACTGAGTTTGATAAACTTTGATTGCCAAAAACTTTTATAGTATAAAGATATCTTTCTTGGAAAAAAACCCATAAAAATCCCTTAATCATAATGTTCTTATTATTTTGCCTCAATGAGATCCTTTGGTCTGCCAGCACTTAGGATCTGAAACATACTCCATCCCCCTTTTCATTCCTTTTGTGGATTTTTTTCCAGTGTCCATGTGTGACGACCTTTAGGAAGCCCTGCCTGATGCCTGCATTCCCCAGCATAAGGCTGAGACTTGTCTTAAGAGGCATAGTGGCCAGCACATGCTAGATGCTTAGTAAAGTTTGTAGACTCTGTGAAGATTAGAGAGATTATGAAGAGGGAGGGGGAAATAAGAGACATGATGACAAAAGGTGAAATAATCATGATATTGGAAAAGCGAGTAAATGTGAAGTGACCAACTTCCTAGTTAAACTCATATCTAATATTAGGGCTAGGCAAATAGAAGATGCAATAAGTGTGAGGGTGTCTATAGGAACTCTTTATAATTTTACCACCAAGCACTGCCATTAATCATTTTTATGACAACTTTCAAGTATTTTCTTTGCCACACTTATTTTTGTACATTTTAATTAATTTCTGTTTTCATTAAAATATATAACTTCTAATCCAAGTTTATGTTCAATATGTGATGACCTTTTGACAACGTACATAATTCTCATCAAAAGTAGAGGGTAAAAGTTGATTTTAGCTGTGTAATTTTTTTTTTTTTTTTTTTTTTTTGAGATGGAGTCTCACTCTGTTGCCAAGCTGGAGTATAGTGGTGTGATCTCAGCTCACTGCAACCTCCACCTTCTGGGTTCAAGTGATTCTCCTGCCTCAGCCTCCACCATGCCCATTAGCTGTGTAATTTTATCATGATAGCACAGTTGGAAAGAGAACAGGCTCTGTTATCAGACTGCTTGCACTTTGGATGTTAGCTCTGTTTCCTAATTTCCTTATCTGTAAATTGAAACTGTTAATAACATCTATGTTCTAAAGTTGCTGGGTGAGTTGAATAAAATGAATATATTTAAAGTGCTTAGAGAAGCATCTGGCATGCAGTACGTTTTCAATGCATTTGAACTATAATTAAACTTTCAGTGATAAGTTGGCAGAGTGGTGTGACAGTATTAGATAGTACAGACTGTTAGTTCCCATACTTCAGTGCTGTACTGGATACATGAGTTGTTAAAATTAACAAATTAACCAGTGTCTTCTACCTCCTCCTTTCTAAAGAATCTAATTTGAATTAGTATGCTTTAATTTAAAGTTTATAGCTGAAAGATGACAGTGAACTTTCTTACTGTATATATTCTTACATTCATGTCATTACCTACTATCTCCCTTAAACAATTGTTTATTCTTAGTCATATAAGTAAATATATATGTGATAGCCACTACAATCCTTATGTTGATACCTTAAAAATCATTTTGGTTTTCTGGAACTAATCCTCCAATAGATGCTCTAGTGAGGGCTCATGGGCACAGTATTCCCAAGTTCTTCGATGTGAATAAAATTATTCTTTTGCTCAAAATCTTCAAGGTGGTTTTGGCTAGATTAAAAGCAATCTTAATTCAGTAATTTTTTGTTGAGTATCTTCAATATGCCAGTCTATTTTCTTTTGTCATAAAGTGTTTTGGTCAAGTGTGATGAAAATCTGACTTTCTTTGTCTTATAAGTGATTTAGTCTATTTGCCTGGATGCTCAAATAATTCTTTTCCTTTAAAGTCCATTTGTTTTACTACAGTTTTCTTAATTATAGTCATTTTGGCTGATATTGCTAGGTACATAGTGGATGCTTCTGTGTAGTTTCGAATCTTTTTATTTGACATTATTTCTTTAGTTTTTTTCTGTTTGGTTACTTCAGTTTTCTTCAGAGATTCCTGTTGGATGAAGCTTACATGTTCTTTGGCCATCCACAGCTATTACATTCTCCTGAGTTTTTCTAATCTCTTAATTTCTTTTTAATTTTCTTACTTCCCGTCTTTTATTTCTGTTCAGTCATTACCTTTTGTGTTTTTTCTAATTTAGTCTTCATTTCTGAAATATTTTTTAAATTTTCTCGCCTTGTTTCTAAGTTATTCCAAGTCTGACTTTTATAGTTCTGTCATTTTCTTAATTTCTTTTAGCTTATTAAATATTGGGTTACAGTCTTCATTTATTTTATGACTGGGTCTTTCTGATGTGCATGGGTTTCTGTAGGTACATTATTTTGCTGTTTAGTCTTTTTTTTTCTTTCTTTCTGTCATTCATATATATATATTTTTTGTTTGTTTTTGTTTTTGTTTTTTTCCGAGACAGGGTCTTGGTACTATCATGGCTCATTGCAGCCTTGGCCTTGGCCTGCTGGGCTCAAGCGATCCTCCCATCTCATCTTCCTGAGTAGCTGGGACCACAGGCACACACTGCAATGCCCAGCTAATTTTTTTTTTCCTTTTTGTAGAGACAGGAGTCTCCACATGTTGCCCAGGCTGGTCTCAAACTCCTGGCCTCAAGTGATCCTCTCACGTTGGCCTCCCAAAGGGCGGAAATACAGGCATGACCATTGCACCTAGCCCTATTGTTCCTTTTTAAGTAGAAGAGTTTTATCTAGTTTTAGGAGGAAGGGATGAGTCAAAATAACACCTCCGTGGCCGTCCTTTGCCTGTACTTTCTCTTTCCTTTATTCCTAGTGCACCTCCCTTGGTCCATCTAGACTTCTCAGGCTGGTGCTTTAACATACTACGGTGCTTCTGTTTATTGGTTTTGAATGTGCTTTGGACCCAGACCCCCAGTTATCCCTAGCAGAGAACGTTCATGTGGCTTCCTTGTTTTCAACTTTGAATTAAAGCCTACAAAGGCTTCTCCTAGTTTCTGTTGCTATTCCCAGAATGGAATGGCCTGCTAAGGTATCCAGAAAGTATCTGATGATGATTTTGTTGTTTTCTGTCTTTCTTGGTTTACTCCCATTTTTTTCTACAGTTTCTTAAACTGTGTGTGTCTTTATATGTGCTGCCAATTTATCCCTACCCACTAATATTATTTTTTTTTAGACACTGTCTCACTCAGTTGCCCAGGCTGGAGTGCAGTGGCATGGTCTCAGCTCACCACAACCTACGCCTCCCAGGTTCAAATGATTCTCGTGCCTCAGCCTCCCAAATATTGGTTTTATAGTAGATAATGTCTATAGGTTTTTGGCTTTGATATCCTCCTTGCTTTTTCTGTTTTTATGAAGGGTCTGCAGAGATTCAAAGACTAAAATCATATTTCTAGGTTTCCAGAATCTTTCTCCCCTTTATTGTTCGTGTGCTCTCCTGGCCATTTATAATTTTTAAAGATCACTTAAATTTCTCTTTTAATTTCAAGTATCTAATTCGTCTATAAATATAGACAGACATAGCAAATTTGGAATTTTTAAAAAATTAGGTTTGGCTTGAAGTTAGGGATTTCCTTCATATAATAAAACTAAGAAGTATTCATATATTCAAAAGTAAGAAAATCACCATTCCTCAAAAATTTCTTAATTTAATATCTTCCTTTTTGGAGATAAATTAGACTTTTTATTTTTTTTTAATGAGGAGCTAATGTAGAACTTCTAAAACTGAACTTTGGGTGTCCTGTTATTTTACTCAGAGAATCTTGGTTCACCTTGAAAGGAGATATCGTTCCTGCTAAGCCTTCCCTGACTTCTAAATTTGGTTAAAAAGAATTAAAAGTTTAAAAACCTGTTATGCCACACAAACTTAAGAGAATGCTTTCTCTTAGAAACAGCCACAACAGGCCGGGTGTGGTGGCTCACGTCCGTAATCCCAGCAATTTGGGATCCGAGGTGGGCGGATCACGAAGTCAGGAGATCGAGACCATCCTGGCTAACACGGTGAAACCTGTCTCTACTAAAAATACAAAAAATTAGCTGGGCGTGGTGGTGGGCATCTGTAGTCCCAGCTACTCGGGAGGCTGAGGCAGGAGAATGTCGTGAACCCGGGAGGCAGAGGTTGCAGTGAGCCGAGATCGCGCCGCTGCACTCCAGCCTGGGCGACAGAGCGAGACTCCGTCTCAAAAACAAAACAAAACAAAAACAAAAACAAAAACAGCCACAACACTGATTATGGAGTGTCAGGAGTAGTACTGAAATGGGCAGTTCCCCTGGCCCCTTCGCAGGACTGGCTAAGGGGTTGGCTCATTTAATCAGCCCACAGCTCTCCACCTCTCATGGGACAGGGAGCATGCAGGTGAGCAGGTACAGAGGCCAGGACAAGTCCTTCTGGGCGCGATGGCAGGAATAGAACTTCATGCAGCTCCATGGCTACATCTAGCAGGGTATCCATGACCCCTGAAGCCCCAGAGGACGTGTGTTACATTGTGCTCTTTTACCTTTGCTGTCTACAAACAGCTTAAGTGTTTAACAGCTCAGTGGAGGGTAGGATGACAACCTTTTGCACCAGCCCTCTTGGTACCAGAGTTCTTGTTCGGTGTCCGGGAGGAATCAGGCTGCATCAGTTAATTGAAGGGTGGTGAATGTGGAGGATTTACTGACGAGTGGAAGTGGCTTTCAGTGGGATGCGGTGCTGGAAAGGGGATGGAGTGGAAAGGTGGTCTTCCCCTGGAGTTTGGCTATCCCCTGCTGACCTCTTCTCTGTGGTCCTACCGTCAAGCCGTCCTTCTGAAGTCCCACCTTCAAGCTGTCCCTCTGAAGTCAAACTGCTTCTCTTTGACAGCTGCTGCTTCTCTTCTGGCCCCTGCTGTTCCACTCTGCTGCCCCTCTGCCATCACTCTGCTAGTGGAGCTTGGGGTTTTTTATGGGTACAAGATGGGAGGCAGGGAGAGCCAAAAAGCAGCATTTGAGTGGGAAAACAGGAATGCATGTTCTCACTTTGGGCCACAGTACCCAGGCCTAAGGGTGTGGCCCTCACCAGGGACTGTCCTCTTCTACCCGGGATTTCCGTGTCTCCTGTTTGTATCAGTACTATGCAGTTCTTTTCTCTTTAAAATAACCCTTTGATGGGGGGAGGGGGGAGGGATAGCATTAGGAGATATACCTAATGCTAAATGACGAGTTAATGGGTGCAGCACCCCAGCATGGCACATGTATACATATGTAACTAACCTGCACATTGTGCACATGTACCCTAAAACTTAAAGTATAATAATAATAAAATAAAAAAAAAAGCGACAAAGGATATGAATAGACATTCTTTCAAACAAGATATATAAATGGAAAAAAAATAACCCTATGATTTCCCCCTTTATTTTACAAATGGAAATAGGGAAACTTGCAGTTTGATTTGCCTGAGGTCATGTCAATAGTGAATATAGATGCTAGTTGATTCAAAATGGTCTCTACTAATTAATATTCTTCTAAGGAAAGGTGAGATAAAAGACTGAGATTTTTAAGTTTGACAAAGGGCTAATACCTAATGTCTGAAAGACATCCCCTTAGGAAAGGATTTATGTAGTTTTATATACTTTTTCCCTTCCCTTATAAAGGTAAATTTATCTCATGACATTTTTCAGCTTATAACTTACAAATACAAAATGCAACGTATTCTAACATTTTCACCTCTCAAAGCTTTCATCCTACTTTGAAAGGAATGTGTAAAAAGGATGAAGTCACCACTATTGAAATCCTGGCATCTGTAGGGCAGATCAGTGTGGGTGTGGAGCTGCTCAACACATAATGGGAGGATTGTTTTGTTAACATGAAAAGAAAAAATGTTTTCCTTTGAAATTAAGGGAAAAGATTGGGTATGTTTATTGTAATTATCTGTACTAGAATTTTGCAACATACCTTACAGGTGAACCAAACATCTAACTTTAATGATACCCACCAAATACCTGGAAGAGGTTGTTAAAAAGTTAAGTAAAGAGCTAACTTGGGGAGAGGCACCTCTCCTACTCCCCCCATTCACAGGCACTTTTTACTGATTCTTAAAGGACAAGGCTTTGCTATCAGTCTTGCTATTTTCCTCCTCCGTTTTTCTCAGCAATTTGAAGTATTTCACAGACCTTACCAGCTTTGAAGATAGAGCTCTCCAGAGATAGATCAGGGTGGTAGACAGTTTTAAAGGGACCTCTCTCACTTCTTCCCAGTTTTCAGTAAATATCCAAAAATAGTTTATACTATATACTGAACTGAAGGTAGTAAGGAATTTATAAGTGGGAAGATATGATTAGTCTTTTATTCCTAAATTCTCTAGTTTATTTACCAAATAATAAATGCCTGTCATGATATAGTCACTAGATACAGGGAGTTGAACTGAGCAAGTATGATTTCCTATTTCCAAGGAGCATATTGTCCAGTTGGGGATAAAAAGTAAATGAATGCAAATTAAAATGTCAAATTGTGATGAATATTCTAAGGAAAACATAACTGTGCTTATATAAGAGAGCCAGAGAAAGTGACTTAGATTGGGAGTGGAAGGCAGTAAGTGAAATCTCTTGGCAGATGTGGTATTTAACTTAAGTCTTTAAGGGCAATAAATAATTATCTATTTAAAGAACAAACCAGAAGTAACAGTATGTGAAAGGCACATAAAGAGCTTCATTGGGGCACAGAAAGAAAGCATCTGTGGTTGGAGATGCAAATGGAGTGGAAGTGGGAGTAGCAAGAGACAAGGAAAGAGCCTTGTAGGCTTTTTATGTTGAGTTTACCACTTCTACTGTTACCGTTGCTACTATTATCATTTATATATTGTTTTAAGGGGAAAATGAAGTGAGAGAAGACTTTATTTGAAAATGACATGATCCAGTTTACCTTTACAAGAAGATTATGGTGGCTGCTCCTCTTAAAAGTACAGTTCTACAGAGGAAACCTCTGCAGTACTTGTTTTCATACATCACATTACCTCTAAATGCATATAAGCGTGTTCAACCCAATATTCATTCCTGTAATAAAAGAATGGAACTCCTAAAGAATGCTGATCTATACTCTGAACAAACAGGGACTGTAGGGGCTTTTCATGTATTTTGGTTATCCACTCCTTCCTGTTTCCTGGAGGACGTAATTTAATTATTGTTTTGAGTAATCACAAATGACAAGCAGGGTGTAACTGAAAATCACGTGTAAAGCATGCTCTGATTTTGTTGAGGCTGTTCTATGGTACTTAGTTTCTTTTTTTTTTCCCTTATGCCCTCAAGGTTGTGTCCAGTGTATGGATCCATGCCTTTTGTTATAGACCTCAGTAAATTCACCGTATGACATATTAGTCAAACAACACATCAAAACTAGCACATGCAATAAAGAAAAGCGGAGAGAACATAAACAGAGCAAATTAAGCCACAGCAGCATCCTAAGACCTATCCAAAACAGTTATTTTATGCTTATTTTGATACATATTATATTTTAGCGTGAATATACAGGATTTTCATTTGTTTGCACCTGAATACTGTATAGTTAATAACAATGAAATAACACTGGAAAGCTACTTTTTTCTCTTGCGCCTCTAACTGTGAACAGCACCACATTTATGTGTTACATGCATGTGTATACAAGAATATAGAAACTAGCCAAAAACCATCTCATTAAATCCATTTGATTTATTTGGTATGTTAGCCAGATTTCCTGAGCAATTCTCCAGAGGTGGAAAGAAACTCCAAAATGATAGACCACCTAGTTGAAGAAGATGGTATGAATTATATTGATGTTGTATTAAATAAAATTAACAATTTATATTAATAACTGATTGTCATGGTTTTAAAATATTAATTGAGGGAGCTAGGATAATTTGCTTTAAATGCTATTTTCTCTATTTTTTTCTTTGTGTATTTCACATATCTTCATCTTTTTAATTATTTATATTCTTGAAATACAGGAACCTGTTGAAATATTACTCTTCCTAAAGGAACCAGATGGTTAATCTGTAAAAATGGTCTTTTGCATCTTGTCCGCTTAGAAATGAGGTCATTGCTTACAAGTTCTGGACAACCATTATACTAAGCTTACAAAATAAAAACAGAAACCAGCCACCACCAATTTTTGGGCATGTATTCATAAAGTCAAGTCTTAGCCTTTAACTCAGGAAATTTTTTGATTTTACACATAAAGTAAATATGTTTAGAAGGAAAATCCGTACAAAAAGTTGACAAAGTTGTTTTTGTATGTAGATTATAGTTAACCTTCAACAATTGATTTTGAAGAATGTTGTATACTAAATTGCTTATGCTATTTAAATTGAGATGTAGCTTCAGAACTCAGTCATTTCACTTCATGTCATTAATTTTTTTTCTCCAGTTATAGGATACATGATGTTTGCAAAGCATCATTTTGTGCTTATGTTATCCCTAATAATTGAGTTTGGAAATGTATTTTATGTCAAGTATTTGTGTGTAGTATAATTTTACTTTACAATGCCACAGAGTAGGTTATTCTGTTGTTCTAGTAGCTTTAGCTAAACAATGGTTCCAAGGTTTTGGTGGTTCTGGGAACACTGAATCAAATATACCACTTTGAGCTTATAACCACAGTACATTATCGTGTTATCTTGTTACTGGAAAACTTCTTTCCAAGGCCTACAACTTGTGTTAAAAAAAGTTTACCTTTCTCTCTTACGTTGGCACTGTATACCTTAAATGACTATTCAGTATATGAGGGTAAAAAAAAGTCTATACAGCTTGATCCGTCATTGAAGATCTTCTGCAGTCTACACCGACGTTTTTTGTCACAATGTTATTGCTGTTGTGGCTCAACATGTCTTGAAACGATTAGTCTTCTACCTCTTTTGCACTCTATTCTACTGGATTGCATGCCTTCTCTATTTGTCAATTTTATGTTATAAGGCTTAGTTGATTACTCTTTCCATGAACTTGTCCCCAGTCTTTTTTTTTTTAGTTATTGGATCTCCTAAATTACTCATCAATTGTTGTGTCATTCTACATATCCTGCTTATTATTTATCCATTTGCGCATGTCTTTCACCGTCTCTTATCACTGATCCCTCACACAGTGCTGTGGAGATGGAAGGAGTCAGATAAATAGTTGTGGTTAAAGATGAGAGCATGATGAACCAGCAAGCTTCTGGAGTACCTCTCTACCGGGCCAACAGCCAAATATGTTGCTGGAGATAAAGAGGTCGCCTCTGGGCCATCCATCAATCATCGGAACAGTTGAGAAGAGTTTAAAACACAAAACTCAAGAAGTTCGAACTGATTTTCTAACCAGAAGAAAAAACTATGTTCACAAAAGGAGGCAAGAGAAGGTGCTGGTAGCAGATGTTGCAGAGATTAGATGAGCTGGAGTTAGCAACAGTGATGAAATTGGTGGTGAGCAGCCTTCTGTCAGGAAAGAAAGACAGTGTTGCAGAAATGAGCACTGCAGAGGGGACCTTCTAGTGGAGTGAAGAAAATAAGCCATAAGCAATATTTTTAAAATGTATTCTGTAGACTCTACCGTAAGATTCTATATTACATATTTGAATCTATTTTTCTATATTGTCTAGAAATGTACTGTTTAAAAAATATTATATGGTATATACTTAGTTCTGAAACAAGTCACATGATCGAGTTTTTGTTCAAAATGTAATTTATCCTTAGTATTTTTAAAATATTTTGAACCTCTAAGCTAAACAATGTATATTCAACAGGCTCCTCATAAGTCATAATGGGAAAGTTGTATGAGAGGGAAATTTTATGTATAAATATTGCAAGTATATTTCTCATACAAGAGGAGTATACATTAATGAAAAATAGTTTGCTTATTACATAGGGTTTGATGGCAGTTTTCAGGTTGAACAAATATTGGGATGGTGTCTGAATATTCTTTAAAAGACTATTGCATGATTTTCTTGGGATTACATGTGAAAGGACTCTTCGGTAAGCTATTCATACAAATTATAGCTGATTTTAATTTTCTTTATTTTCTATCATTTTGTAAAAACTAGGTGGAAAATGGAGGTTGTTGAGAACCTTTTTAATATTTCTTATCTAGACATTTGTCTAGATAATATTTCTTATCTAGACAATTGTCACATTTGCAGTACAATATCAATCATGTCATTTAAGTGATTGTCATTTTCTCATCACATGATTTTAATATGGAAACAGGCTGCAATTATACTTCTATATACAGTTGTCCCTCAATTTATATGGGGGTTCCAGGACCTACCTTTCTGCTCTACAAATACCACAATTTATGGGTGCTCTAATCCGTTACATAAAATGAAATAACGTTTACATATAACCTATATACATCTTCCTGTATATGTTAAATCATCTTTAGATTACATACAGTCCCTAATACAATATAAATGCTATATAGTTACACTGTATTTTTATAAATTTGTATTTTTATTGTTTAGTTTTGTTTTTCAAATGTTTTTGACCCACGCTCGAATCCTTAACTGTGGAACCAACAGATTCTGGAGGCAGACTGTACATTTAGACAGAATCTTTATTACTTAGGAAAAATAAAAACTTTATGCATTTAAATTAAATTACGTTGTAAACTTAGCAAGAATTTGAGGGAAAAAAGTTGAATTAATGAATTGTTTAATTTTAGTCATTTATGTTTGCCATACCAATATATGTAATAAAGATAAAGGCAATGGCTTTGGCTCAGTAAGGTTGCAGTTTTCTTTCATTTGCTAGATGAGGACACACTCCTCAGTAAATATCTACTCAAAATGAGAGATGACTTTTAGATTAATGTGGATTCAAATGATAGAACCTTTTGCTGGCTCAAAGTGTGATCCAGGCATCAGTTATATCAGTATCAACTGTAAGCTTCTTAGAAATGTTTATTCTTAGCTTTACCCCAAATCTAAAAGAATTAAAATCTGCATTTATAACAGGATTCTCAGAAATTCCCATAGACATTGAAATTCGAGAAATACACATCTAAAATTTATTTTGTTTTCCCATTAGGCTATAAACTTCTTAAGGGCAGAAACCTGTCTAGTCATTGACATGGTCTCAGTATACAATTTAGTGTCTGGCTTGTAGCTATCAATAAATATTGGTCAAATGAATGAAATTATATTAATCCATCAATGGCTAAGATACTCTGTTCTTTGTGACCTTGTTTTATTTTTAATTAAGACAGATAGGATTTGTTCATTTTAACTTGCCAGTTCTCAGCTTGCAAATGTTTTATGCATTACTAATAAATATAAAGGGATCATATTACTGTTTATATCTTTTTCACATATCATTAGTGATTTCCACTAATAGTTACAGAACATGCCTGCCAAACATGATATATGAGTTAATGCCAGTCGTTTCCCATCTACTACACACTGTCTTTTAGTTATAGTATAATCTGTCATGAAAGCTCGACAGAAAGAAAAGCAGGGTGGTATTTTGCAGCTTTACAATTTGTGTTGATACTATCCAACTTTGGATGCATAATAAAACGGGGCTGGGCACGGTGGCTCGTGCCTGTAATCCCAGCACTTTAGGAGGCCGAGGCGGGTGGATCACCTAAGGTCAGAGGTTCGAGACCAGCCTGGCCAATATGGTGAAAGTCCCATTCTACTAAAAATACAAAAATTAGTCAGGCGTGGTGGTGAGCACCTGTAATCCCAGCTACTTGGTAGGCTGAGGCAGGAGAATTGGTTGAACCCAAGAGGCAGAGGTTGCAGTGAGCCAAGATGATACGACTGCACTCCAGCATGGGTGACAGAGCAAGACTCTGTCTTAAAAAAAAAAAAAAGAAAAACAAAAAACGGGAGCCTTAAATTCTTTGTGTCAGGTGCTCAAGGTTTGTTAAATTTAGAGCTTGTCATTTTCCATTCCATGGTCCTTGTAGTGTTGCATTAGAACAATAGTTGGCTTTCAACATGAGTTTTAACAGTGAGAGATGGATGCACAAAGGAAGACTTACCACAATAATGTCTTCTACCACCAACTGCTCAGCACACGTTTAATGCAGTGGGTCAGAAGCACTTGACATTACTTTGATATCAAATCTGAAGATTGAAATTGGAGGACACTTCTTAAATACTTTCTACACTATCCAGGATCCAGAAACATCACAGTTAAGGGAATGTGTATACTGGCAATTAAGATTGTTAGTACTTAACTGACTTCCTCCAGAATACATGTTCCTCCCCGACACCCCTTCCCCCGGAGTTGACTTTGGGACATGTAGAATTACTCCTCTCTGGGTAAGGGTGTTGTGATGTCTGTGACAAGGTAATAGTACCTAGAGTAACACTGATGTCCAGTGTGCTTTAGAGGTTATGTATGTGGACCTGGGAGTTCCAACAGACCTGAGTCTGAGTGCTAGCCCCTTACTGGCTGTGTAATCTTAGATTATGCAAACTTTTGTGCCTGTACTGCATTATCTATAACATGAGGATGATGATAATACCTGCCCGTGCATAGGTGTACTATGCAGTTTTAACAAGATAATTGTTGAAAGTATTTAGCGTAGATTCTGGCAAGTTATAAAGCCTCAATAAATGTATTAAATGTAAAGGGATAATGGAGATATGTTTTAAAGGGTCCTCTAAAAGTGGAAGTTAAGAAGTGAGTAGAGTTATAACAGCAAGCATTTAATATAGCAGTGTGCATTAGGTGACCCAAAACATGAATGCTACTGGGTCTTTACATATATTCAAAGATGAATGACTTGACAGTACACACATTAGACTTCAGACTTCCTAGAACAGTAGTTGTTGGGAAATGTCCTTGGACTCAGACAGAGGCAGTGTCCACTGCACTATGTAGCACTGCAAATGGATCTTCCGGGCTGAATGTTAGACTCCAGTCTTTGTGCTGTGACTTTTAAGTTGCATAGTGAGGGAAGCACCAGTCCTTTTCCTTGTGTGATAAGAGATAGGGATCCAATAGCAGTGCAATGTCTCAGAACCTTGGTTATAGTACTATTCTGCCTACCCAGCATCTAGGATTGGGAGAGTATCAAACCTGCTTTAGTATGACCAGCTAGCTAGGGTTTAAGTCCTATGGTGGCAGGTCATGAAGTGGAAGGCCACTGTTATGATCCACCAGCTTACCATTCATGGTTAGCAGCCTGTAGCTTATATAACCTAGCCGACTGGTAACCCAATTTATTTATTAGCTTACAACTCTACCAGGATTGACTTCCTTAAAGCCTTCTACGAGGACAAGCTATAGAGAAGACATCTTGGAAAAGTTAACTCTTACCCTTCACATATTAGCTTAGCCAATCCTCATATAAATTCTATGATGTACTCATTTTACTGAGGAGTAAACTGAGCCACAGGACTTACGTAACTTGCCCAAAGTCACACAGCAACGACGTTCTGGAGATAGATTCAAACCCAGGGATCTTGGTACCAGAGTCCATGCTCTTTAGTACACACATGCACACACATACAAAAAGAAAAGCTTAAAAGCTTATTCTAAGAAATAGTAAATGCTGAATGCTAGAAAGGCAAAAAGGGATAATTGTTGGCATGTTCACAGAGTGGAAAGAAAATACATCTCTCTACAAGTCACTTGTGCCATTGTTTGAATGGTAGAGAGGCTAGAAGTTGGAAGATTCAGACTCAGAGATGACCCAGCCAACGTTTTCTGTAAAAAGATGATTGACTTTTCAGAAACACATATTTGAACTTCTGACTCATGGGAATTGAACCAAAACCTTTCAGCCTTAGTTAGGCCTTAATGCTTTTTGAGATGAAAACTTTTTTGACAATCCATCTTTATTCCTAATATCCATGCTTTATATAGTATTAATATTGTGAATACACAGATGTTTGCATTTAGTTTACGGTAAATCTTTCCTAAACTCTTATTTGTTATGATGTAAGGAAAGTTTGATTTTTTGTTGTCGTACTTTAATTTACTGAACACATTGGAAGTTGTTTTAAATTTTGTTTAAATGTCCTTTGAACCAAAATATTTACAGAAGAAACTCTAGCCAGCAGATTGTTTCATTTGTTGTGTTTGAGTGTGGAAACATCAGGAATGACAGCATATGATGATGCTTAGGACTTTTTTTTATATATAAACAACCTAATAGCGTTGTCTATTGTGGTCTTTGTTGATTAAAAGTGTCACAGATACCTTTGCTATATTTAGGTAAAATCTAAGTTTCTTTACTCAAGCATGGAAAATACTGATTGTTTTCTGGTTGGGAGGAAAGCAGTATGACTAAAAGAATTACACTGAGCTGGAAACAATTATTAAGAGTCTCAATTTCAAGAAGAAAAAAAATTGCAGTTTGGTTTTTCAAGAGTACAAAAATACTAATATTTGATAACTTTTATGTAAATATTGTGTATGCATTTCTGTCTTAGTTTATGGGCATTAGCTAAAGAATGACTTTAAGTGCAGTTTTAAATGTATCATGTAACTGAACAAATATATTTTAATTACAATTACAATAACACTATATGGCTGGGCATTGTGCTTTCCATATATCTATATTGTACATTCTTTTTTTTTTTTATTTTGAAATGGAGTTTTACTCTGTCGCCAAGGCTGGAGTGCAGTGGCACGATCTCAGCTCACTGCAACCTCTGCCTCCCAGGTTCAAGCAGTTCTCTGCCTCAGCCTCTCAAGTAGCTGGGATTACAGGTGTCCACCACCATGCCCAGCTAATATTTGTATTTTTAGTAGAGACGGGGGTTTCACCATCTTGGCCAGGCTGGTCTTGAACTCCTGACCTCAGGTGATCCACCCACCTCGGCCTCCCAGAGTGCTGGGATGACAGGCGTGAGCCACTGCGCCTGGCCTACAATTGTATATTCTAAGAGTGTATATCTTACTAACTGTTAAAGTTTAAGAAATACATAATAGCTTTGAAGAAGCAAGTAGATATTGAAGTCAATATGGGCCGAAGTTGTCATAGGTATGAATGAGCCCAGTATTTGTGACAATAGAGAAAAATTTCTTTAGAGTTTAAGAATATTTGTGTTGAAGAGTGGAATGGGTGGCTAGGATTTGAATAGGTAGAATATAAGTAGACTATGAAGGGCTTTAATGTCAAAGTCACTATTTTAGATTTAATCTAATGGGAGTTACACACACAGACATGTAATATGTATATAAAGTTACATGTTTTTAATGAGAAAAATGAAGCTCTTCTAGGAATACTTAAAATACTCTTAATGGTTAGGGAATACTTGCCTTTTGTCTAAAGATGTACAATATAAAAATAAAATAATTCCTTAAAGTACTTAAAAATAGTAGTGACAGCCAGGTAAATATGATAAAGATCATTCATAAAATCTTCCTTCTCCATTGCTTTAAAAACAATAGAAAATAAGCAAAATTAACAGTAGCCAAACAAACATGAGGGGCCCCACTTAATGCATACATTTTTAAAAGTAACAGTCAAGAAAGTAAGTGCAGATGATAATCTGGCTGATGTCTTCTAAACCCTGCCCGTGGATCTCCCAGACCTTGTAATGGGGGCAAAAGTTGATTCATTAAGATAATTCTTTTATTTTTAACTTAGAAGCAGATTGAGAAGCTGAAGTGTGAGAGCCAAGGAGAATCCTTTAAAAGTAGAAAATATCTCAATTTTCTGTGGCATCTCATAGAGACAGAGAAAATTATCAGTGTCTGATTTTGTTTTAACACTCTAATTCATAGAAAATAACCAGGAAAAGTACAATTTGTACTTAAAAAATTATAATGCACATAAGAAGTAAACCTGGATAAAACCTGAGACCTCTTCCTTCTCCCAAATTATACCTTTTTGTTCTGTAGAAGAACTCAGTGAGAATCTGAATTCAAGGTTAAAAATTGAAAACACAACATTGTAAGAGATTAACAGTGATTGAATAGGAAACAAAATTATTATGAAAGCAGCGCTATTAAAGAACTAGTCGCTTAGAGAAACAATACAGCAAGTCAGATAACTGAGGGGAGAAAAGTCAAGATAATTGCAGCATATTCCAATTTAAAAAAATGGTAGCTAAAGTAGAGTAGGTGTTTAGATGACTAAGGCAGCCAATGTGTGGACACTTTTCATGTATCAAGTAGAAAAATAAATAAATTCTTCAGAAAGCTAAAAGAAAGTTTCCTTGAACTAATTCTATTTGATCTAAAAGGGCATATTTTCAGGAAAAGTTGAGAAATAACAATTCGTAATAAAACTTACTGTGGTTGATTTGGAAATTCCCCATGAAGAATACTTCAGGAAGACATCAAGATGCAAAACCCATAAACAAGCAAAACGTAGGATAGTCCAACCTCATATATCTACAGTATTCATTCCAAATATAATGGAGGATTATCTACAAACATCCGAGGGGATGAAGGTGATATCCAAGACTATCACCACGAGCCAAATTTTTCTCTGGTAATAAAGATAAAAGAAAAAAACCTCAAATGTAACAACTATGCGTACTTGGAAGGGCAATGGCGGGGTAGGTGGGGGAAACTGCTTGACATTGAAATCCAAGAAAATGAATGGAAAATGGCTGAATGACAAATGGAATATAAGAAGCAGAAGGAAAACATGTAACAATTAAAAATAGTGGCACAGTGATTGCAGATCTGTGAGGGAAAGTATGAACCAAATTTTTATTCCTAGATAAACTATTCTTAAGCAAAAACTCAAGGAACCTAAAAATGTTACGGCTTTTCTTAAAAAAAAAAATTGCTCCAAAACAACCAACTACTTGCCCATATTCATCTAATAATGTGAATTAAAATGAAAAATTTAGAATTGGGGAAAATTTTGTTAAGTCACTTTCCTTGAAGGTAGATAATGTCTAATGTTAATTATGGCCACAAAATAGAATAAGAATCTAATAAACGTTTTAGATTTAAAACAGCATGATTGACCAGACCTAGACTATGGGTAGAACTTAAAATGTGCTATCTCCTTCTCTCACAGAAGGAAGTCAGTGAATACTGACTTACAAAAAGAAGTGAGTTGTCATTAAGAGTGCAGTGTCTTTATCCTGCTCAAGGCACCTCTTCTTAACCTTTAGAAATTAAACTTCCTGGAAATGAATTATCTAAAATTTAGCAACACTTTTGGTTTTACTACATTTGGTTTTCATTCACTAAAATTACATAATTTAAAATGACATGCATATTATTCTATTGTAATGCAACATTCGTACTTTTAATACTTCATTTGTCTTTCCTGGTTACTACATATATTATTCATAGAGAATTGTTGGAATGATACTTACCTTTCAGAGTAATTATTTATATGTAGTATTTTTTGGTGAGTTTTTATTTTTAAAGAACTTTCCCACATTGTTCATTTTAAGAACATACACTATTTTCTTGACACAAGATATTTTTCTTTAAAAAACTGGTGGCAAAGTTTTGTTTTTGTTTTTAAAATTATTAAACATTTGCTAGTGGTAAAAACATGAATGTTTCTGTCCTCAAAGATCCTAAGCTCTGTCCTAAAGAAATTTATTTTAATACTTCAAAAAAACTGAATCAGAATATCTCTCATGTTTTCATTCTCTACATGCAGAAGGAAATTTTAAAGTAAGATTTTTTTTTTTCTGAGTTCAGAATTCACTTGTGCATCTTTGTTGAAGTTAAGATCTGGTGATATGGTTGCCTTATTTCATATCTGTGAAGTCAGAAACTTGGCAGGATGTGAGACTATACCTTACTTGCATGCAAATAAGTCAGCCTGACACAGTATCATAGATATTGGTGGAAGATCTGAGACTACAGAGTCAGAGAAAAGACCATTTATAACCACAGCAGTAGCAAGAACAAAAATGTAGCACTCGGTTTTTTTCTGAATTCCAATTTCCATGGAGAGATGCAATTAGAGTTAGTTGTTGCTGGGCAGTAGAGTTCTTTAAAAAGAACCTTGATAGTAGGAAACCCTGGCCTTATACAGGCAAATCAGCCCATCTGCTCCTCAAGAGATAACTCTGGAATGCCAAGTAAGCCTAATCCAGAGAGAGAGAGATGTCCCCATCTTACTGGAAAATAAATCTGTTCTAGGAAGAAATATCTCTATCTCTGCAATTTGTACAAACATCCTTGCAAAGGAAGTATGGAACAAGTTAGCTGTTAATGCCTTTGAAAATGTTTGAATACATGAAGGACTTTTGAAAAATTGTCTCCCTGTAATATCTAGATGTTACCACTTGATCAAACTTACTATCGCAGAATGGATACTGGTTTCTTTTTTTATTGTGGTGTTAATATATTGTTGATGACTATGGACTTTTTGGCTTTTTTCTTAAAAATCTTTGAGCTTTATGCTCAATATGAATTTTAAACTGAACTAAAATTTTTAAAATTTAATAGCCAACTAATTTCTAGAGTAAAGCTAAGACCTTGAAAACTTTCCTTTCTCATTCTCCAGTATTTTGTCAAAATTATAGCAAATTAAGCTACTAAATAGATAATGTACAGAGTTACAGAGTTTGATGTTTCACCAAGGAACAGCACTGTATTATTTTTAGAACTATGAAATGTAAAGCATTCTAAATGTAATACCAGTAAGAATCACTGAAATGTGATTTCCTGTGGAATTATTATAGCAAAGATATCACAGATCCCTTGTCTAGTAATTCTTAAGTTTTTGTTCATATTGTGATGATAGAAAAATCTTAAAAGAAGCTAATTAGAATATTAAACTATATGGAATAAAAAATCTTACTAGGAAAGTTTGCATAATATGTGTTCTTCTCTAAATCTAATCTAATCTCGGACTACTTATAGTAGTAGAAGTAAGTTCCCGACAGTTTTAGGAATAGTTTGTGTAGTTTAAGTCTTAATTCTCTCTCACTTATATTGTTGTGATGATTTCTTACTGCTTTCCCCATTTCTAGTTATTTCAGGTTTAGTGAAGTCTATTCCCTGTATTAAAACTGTGTTATGTGCTTCCAGATACCTGCAATCATCACTGCACCCTTTCTCTTTTAGTCCTTCAACATGCTCTTCAATATTTATTTGTATAAGATAAACCAGACTACTAGCCTGTTCCAGAATATATTCTGTTTATGTCCATATTTTTTTCCTATGTGAAACAATTTTCTATATCCTTGTTTGCTAAAATATGCATTATTCATAGCCTAGTTCAAATGACTATTTCTTGATAGCCTGATGAACTTCAGCATGTTTCATTTTTTTAAAAAATATATGGTCCTTGGCTTTATGGGCCTTCTAGCAATTATGTGTTCCTTTGTAACAAAGATGTTTATGTTTGGTCTATCTAATTTGTGAATTCATTTCTGTTTTTTCCTACTAGCATGTAAAAGTCACATCTGAGGCTCTGGGTCATGCTGGCAGACATCTTCAGCAAATCATCTTAGATCAATGCTACAATTTTGTTTGTGTGAATGTAAGTCAATTCAAATGATTGAAGGCACTTAAGGATATGAACAAATGTGGAAGAGAACTAATTTGATTCTTAAATATTTATATATGATATTATGATGAGTTCTTCTACACATTTTTGGAGATTTTATCTTTGAAAGAGAAATAATACTTTCAACAAGCTAATTCCCATAATGAGAAGAGTGGTATTTTGGACAATATTTTCAATTTTGTTTGTACCTGGTCCAAAGTAGGTAATAAGAGGCAGGTTTGACTCAATTAGTAGATAAAAATTTGACATGTATAACTTTATGGATATCCTTTAAAATTGTTTCTAAATTAAAAACTAAGTTTGATAAATATTTTGAATGTTATGCAGAATCTCTCCATTTATTCCTTGAAATAAGTTTTAAGTCATTTAAAAACGTCTTCTCATATCCTTTTATTTTTCTGGTCTTTTAGGTTACAACCTCTGATTTTCAAGAAACCCAGAAGTTACTGAGCATGCTTGAAGAGAGTAGTCTTTGCATTTTATATCCTGTTGTTGTTGTTTCAGTAAGTGAAATTAATGCAGATTTTTCTCAAACTTATGCTTCCTTCTTTGTAACTCAATGTACATATTTTTAAAAACTCATCCAATTGAGAGCATTGACCCATACTCAAAAGAAACTCTTGTTTGTGGATTCCTCTGCTTACTCTCTAGCTATGACTTCTATGACTGAATGCCTTTATTATTGCAATCATTTGGTTGAACTGACAGGTTTGGAAATCTTTTTCAACCCAGCAACCAATTTCATATTTTTTTCCTTCACTAAAATGGCAAAGTATTCGGTTTAAGTCAACTGGTTGTTTGGATATGTAAAACAGCTTTATTTAATATATTATCAGAATACCATTAGGGAAGCATTCCAGATGTTAATGTGAGGAAAAAACCTCGTGGAAGAAAGCTGATTCTTGGGTTGTTTCATTTTCTCTGTTCCACCGAAAGCAAAAGTAGAACACGAATTAAAGAGAATTCCTGGAAGAATGGCCTATGAAAAATTTTGGGAGATTTTTCCATGAAAATCTAAAAGTATACATTTAATGCAGAATTTATTTGATTAGCCCATTAAACTATATAGCAGAGGGGACTATCAGAGAGTAAACTCAGGAAGGAACAAAATCAGAGCCCAAGTCCTCTAAATTGGCTGAGGAGCAGAATGTATAGTTGGTAGCATTTTGCTGTGTGAAGGGGTTCCAGACCATAAATTCTCAGAAGTGCCTAGCAGCTTCGAAGTTCCTAAAGCTCAGGCCCATCCCATACTGTGGGAATTTAATTCTTGTCAGGTAGGATTAGTAATAAAGAATAAAGATAATTTGCAATATAAATAACTCTTGACTGAGTAATGCAAGTAGTAACAAATTAGCAACTATGGGAGATTTAATTAATTCAGTGGCCTCTTTATTTGGTCATATACCATAAAGATAACTTTCATGGTTGCATCTGGTTTTGAAACCCAAGCTTCTTATGTAATTGATCTTCATAGAACACAAGCTTTCATTGAGATTTTTAGAAACAATATGGAATATATCCAATGTTGGAAGCCTCTGAGGCTCTGTAGGATAGAGATAAGTTCAAAGTTCTGTGTTTGGCCTTTTATTCCTCTCTCCACATTTACTTGCTTAGAAATTTCATTTTTCCGTGTTCCCAGATATGGTGATGAGGCCGTCCAATGTAGTGAAAATAACAAAGGCTTTGAACTCAGAACACTTGTTTCTTGGTCTAGTTACTTAATTGTTCTGAGGTTTGGTTTCCTCGACGTAGAAACAAGGCTAATAACTCTACTTCTTAAGTTGTTATAAGGATGAAAGTGAATGAATGCAAAATGTAGTTTCTAGCACACTGCTAGGCCCTGATCAGGCATGTGAAGTTAGTTCTGTTTAATAGTATGGTCCTCTTTTTTTGTCTTTGGATGAGATGACTCCAAATTAACTTCCACAGCTCTAATCTGATTCCTAAGCTTCAGCCATGTATTTCCCAACATTTTTTTAAAATTATACTTTAAGTTCTGGGGTACATGTGCACAATGTGCAGGTTTATTACATAGGTATACATGTGCATGCTGGTATGCTACACCCATCAACTTGTCATTTACATTAGGTATTTCTCCTAATGCTATCCCTCTCCCAGCCCCCCACTCCCCAACAAGCCCCAGTGTGTGATGTTCCCCTCCTTGTGTCCATGTGTTCTCATTGTTCAGCTACCACTTATGAGTGAGAACATGTGGTGTTTGGTTTTCTGTTCTTGTGTTAGATTGCTGAGAATGATGGTTTCTAGTTTCATCTATGTCCCTGCAAAGGACATGAATGCATCCTTTTTTATGGCTGCATAGTATTCCATGGTGTGTATGTGCCATATTTTCTTTATCCAGTCTATCACTGATGGGCATTTGGGTTGGTTCCAAGACTTTGCTATTGTGAACAGAGCTGCAATAAACATACGTGTGCATGTGTCTTTATTGTAGAATGATTTATAATCCTTTGGGTGTATACCCAGTAATGGGATTGCTGGGTCTAATGGTATTTCTGGTTCTAGATTCTTGAGGAATTGCCACACTGTCTTCCACAATGTCACCAACAGTGTAAAAGCGTTCATATTTCTCCACATCCTCTCCAGCATCTGTTGTTTCTTGACTTTTTAATGATTGCCATTCTAACTGGTGTGAGATGGTATCTCATTGTGGTTTTGATATGCATTTCCAGTGATGATGAGCATGTTTTCATGTTTCTTGGCTACATAAGTGTCTTCTTTTGAGAACTGTCTGTTCATATCTTTCACCCATTTTTTATGGGGTTGTTTGATTTTTTCTTGTAAATTTGTTTAAGTTCCTTGTGGATTCTGGATATTCGACCTTTGTCAGATAGATAGATTGCAAACATTTTCTCCCATACTGTAGGTTGCCTGTTCACTCTGATGGTAGTTTCTTTTGCTTTGCAGAAGCACTTCAGTTTAATTAGATCCCATTTGTCAATTTTGGCTTTTGTTGCCATTGCTTTTGGTGTTTTAGTCATGAAGACTTTGCCCATCTTTATGTCCTGAATGGTATTGCTTAGGTTTTCTTCTAGGGTTTTTATGGTTTTAGGTCTTATGTTTAAGTCTTTAATTGATCTTGAGTTAATTTTTGTATAAGGCATAAGGAAGGGATCCAGTTTCAGCTTTCTGCTTATGGCTAGCCAGTTTTCCCAGCACCACTTATTAAATAGGGAATCCTTTCCTCGTTGCTTGTTTTTGTCGGGTTTGTGAAAGATCAGATGGTTGTAGATGTGTGGTATTATTTCTGAGGTCTCTGTTCTGTTCCATTGGTCTATATATCTGTTTTGGTACCCAGTACCATGCTGTTTTGGTTACTGTAGCCTTGCAGTATAGTTTGAAGTCAGGTAGCGTGATGCCTCCAGCTTTGTTCTTTTTGCTTAGGATTGTCTTGGCAATGCAGGCTCTTTTTTGGTTCCATATGAACTTTAAAGTAGTTTTTTCCAATTCTGTGAAGAAAGTCATTGGTAACTTGATGGGGATAGCACTGAATCTATAAATTACTTTGGGCAGCATGGCCATTTTCACAATGTTGACTCTTCCTATCCATGAGCATGGAATGTTCTTCCAATCGTTTGTGTCCTCTTTTATTTCCTTGAGCAGTGGTTTGTAGTTCTCCTTGAAGAGCTCTTTCACATTCCTTGAAAGTTGGATTCCTAGGTATTTTATTCTCTTTGTAGCAATTGTGAATGGGAGTTCACTCATGATTTGGCTCTCTATTTGTCTGATATTGGTATATAGGAATGCTTGTGATTTTTGCACGTTGATTTTGTATCCTGAGACTTTGCTGAAGTTGCTTATCAGCTTAAGGAGATTTGGGGCTGACATGATGGGGTTTTCTAAATATACAATCATGTCATCTGCAAACAGGGACAATTTGACTTCCTCTTTTCCTAATTGAATACCCTTTATTTCTTTCTCTTGCCTGATTGCCCTGGCCAGAACTTCCAATACTATGTTGAATAGGAGTGGTGAGAGGGGGCATCCTTATCTTGTGCCTGCCTCTTTCTTTCTTTCTTTCTTCTTTCTCTTTCTTTCTTTCTTTCTTTCTTTCTTTCTTTCTTTCTTTCTTTCTTTCTTTCCTTCTTTCTTTCTTTCTTTCTGTGTGTCTGTCTTTCTTTCTTTCTGTCTTTCTTTCTTATACTTTAAGATCTAGGGTACCTGTGCACAATGTGCAGGTTTGTTACATAGGTACACATGTGCCATGTTGGTATGCTGTAACCAGTAACTCGTCGTTTACATTAGGTATTTCTCCTAATGCTGTCCCTGCCCACTCCCCTCACCCCACTACAGGCCCCCATGTTTGATGTTCCCCACCCTGTGTCCAAGTGTTCTCATTGTTCAATTCCCACCTATGAGTGAGAACATGCAGTATTTGGTTTTCTGTCCTTGCAATAGTTTGCTCAGAATGATGGTTTCCAGCTTCATCCATGTCCCTACAAAGGACATGAACTCATCATTTTTTATGGCTGCATAGTATTCCATGGTGTATATGTGCCACATTTTCTTAATCCAGTCTATCGTTGATGGGCATTTGGGTTGGTTCCAGGTCTTTGCTATTGTGAATAGTGCCGCAATAAACATAGGTGTGCATGCGTCTTTATAGTAGCATGATTTATAATCTTTTGGGTATATACCCAGTAATGGGATCTCTGGGTTAAATGGTATTTCTGGTTCTAGATCCTTGAGGAATTGCCACACTGTCTTCCACAATGGTTGAACTAGTTTACAGTCCCACCAACAGTGTAAAAGTGTTCCTATTTCTCCACATCCTCTCCGGCATCTGTTGTTTCCTGACTTTTTAATGATCGCCATTCTAACTGCTGTGAGATGGTATCTCATTGTGGTTTTGATTTGCATTTCTCTGATGGCCGGTGATGATGAGCATTTTTTCATGTGTCTGTTGGCTGCATAAATATCTTCTTTTGAGAAGTGTCTGTACCTATCCTTTGCCCACTTTTTGATGGGGTTGTTTGTTTTTTTCTTGTAAATTTGTTTAACTTCTTGGTAGAGTCCGGATATTAGCTCTTTGTCAGATGGGTAGATTGCAAAAATTTTCTCCCGTTCTGTAGGTTGCCTGTTCACTCTGATGGTAGTTTCTTTTGCTGTGCAGAAGCTCTTTAGTTTAATTAGATCCCGTTTGTCAATTTTGGCTTTCGTTGCCATTGCTTTGGTGTTTTAGTCATGAAGTCTTTGCCCATGCCTATGTCCTGAATGGTATTGCCTAACTTGAACTCATCTCTGCACCAAGCGGACCTAATAGACATCTACAGAACTCTCCACCCCAAATCAACAGAATATACATCCTTTTCAGCACCACATCACACTTATTCCAAAATTGACCATATAGTTGGAAGTAAAGTACTCCTCAGCAAATGTAAAAGAACAGAAATCGTAACAGTCTGTCTCTCAGACCACAGTGCAATCAAATTAGAACTCAGGATTAAGAAACCCATTCAAAACTGTACAACTACATGGAAACTGAACAACCTGCTCCTGAATGACTGCTGGGTGAATAAC
The DNA here is from genome assembly GCF_000001405.40 of Homo sapiens. NCBI lineage: Eukaryota > Metazoa > Chordata > Mammalia > Primates > Hominidae > Homo > Homo sapiens. The sequence continues at coordinate 16,253,354 of NC_000007.14, read as the reverse complement.
AAAATGAAGGCAGAAATACAGATGTTCTTTGAAATCAATGAGAACAAAGACACCGCATGCCAGAATATCTGGGACACATTTAAAGCAGTGTGTAGAGGGAAATTTATAGCACTAAATGCCCACAAGAGAAAGCAGGAAAGATCTAAAATTGACACCCTAACATCACAATTAAAAGAACTAGAGAAGCTTGAGCAAACACATTCAAAAGCTAGCAGAAGGCAAGAAATAATTAAGATCAGAGCAGAACTGAAGGAGATAGAGACACAAAAATCCCTTCAAAAAATCAATGAATCCAGGAGCTGGTTTTTTGAAAAGATCAACAAAATAGATAGACCACTAGCAAGACTAATAAAGAAGAAAAGAGAGAAGAATCAAATAGAAGCAATTAAAAATGATAAAGGGGATATCACCAGCGATCCCACAGAAATACAAACTACCATCAGAGAATACTATGAACACCTCTACTCAAATAAACTACAAAACTAGAAGGAATGGATAAATTCTTGAACACATACACCCTCCCAAGGCTAAAGCAGGAAGAAGTTGAATCCCTGAATAGACCAATAACAGAGTCTGAAATTGAGGCAATAATTAATAGCTTACCAACCAAAAAAAATCCAGGACCAGACCGATTCACAGCCGAATTCTACCAGAGGTACAAAGAGGAGCTGGTACCATTCCTTCTGAAACTATTCCAATCAATAGAAAATGAGGGAATCCTCTCTAACTCATTTTATGAGGCCAGCATCATCCTGATACCAAAGCCTGGCAGAGATACAACAAAAAAAGAGAAATTTAGACCAATATCCGTGATGAACAACGATGCAAAAATCCTCAATAAAATACTGGCAAACTGAGTCTTGTGCTAGTTTTCAAAGGGAATGCTTCCAGTTTTTGCCCATTCAGTATGATATTGGCTGTGGGTTTGTCATAAATAGCTCTTATTATTTTGAGATACGTTCCGTCAATACTTAGTTTATTGAGAGTTTTTAGCATGAAGGGCTTGTGAATTTTGTCAAAGGCCTTTTCTGCATCTGTTGAGACAATCATGTGATTTTTGTTGTTGGTTCTGTTTATGTGATGGGTTACATTTATTGATTTGCATATGTTGACCCAGCCTTGCATCCCAGGGATGAAGCCGACTTGATTGCAGTGGATAGGCTTTTTGATGTGCTGCTGGATATCGTTTGCCAGTATTTTATTCAGGATTTTCACATCGATGTTCAACAGGGATATTGGCTTAAAATTTTCTTTTTGTTGAGTCTCTGTCAGGTTTTGGTATCAGGATGATGCTGATGCAGTCGTGATATGCTCTCTATCATTTTTTATTGTGTCTATTTGATTCTTCTCTCTTTTCTTTTTTATTAGTCTGGCTAGCGGTCTGTCTATTTTCTCAATCTTTTCAAAATGTCATCTCCTGGACTCACTGATTTTTTTGAAGGGTTTTCTGTGTCTCTATCTCCTTCAGTTCTGCTCTGATCTTAATTATTTCTTGTCTTCTGGTAGATTTTGAATTTGTTTGCTCTTGCTCCTCTAGTTCTTTTCATTGTGATGTTGGAGTATCAATTTTAGATCTTTCCTGCTTTCTCTTGTGGGTATTTAGTACTATAAATTTCCCTCTACACACTGCTTTAAATATGTCCCAGAGATTCTGGTATGTTGTGTCTTGGTTCCCATTGGTTTCAAAGAACATCTTTATTTCTGTCTTCATTTTGTTATTTACCCAGTAGTCATTCAGGAGTAGGTTGTTCAGTTTCCATGTAGTTGTACAGTTTTGAGTGAGTTTCTTAATCCTGAGTTCTAATTTGATTTCGTTGTGGTCTGAGAGATGGTTTGTTATGATCTCCATTCTTTTACATTTGCTGAGGAGTGTTTTACTTCCAATTATGTGGTCAATTTTAGAGTAAGTGTGATGTGGTGCTGAGAGGAAGGTATATTCTCTTGATTTGGGGTGGAGAGTTCTGTAGATTTCTATTAGGTCCATTTGTATCAGAGCTGAGTTCAAGTCCTCATTATCCTTGTTAATTTTCTGTCTCGTTGAACTGTCTAATATTGACAGTGGGGTGTTAAAGTCTCCCCCTATTATTGGGTGGGAGTCTAATTCTCTTTGTAGGTCTCTAAGAACTTGCTTTATTAATCTGGGTGCTCCTGTATTGGGTGTATATATATTTAGGATAGTTAGCTCTTCTTGTTGCATTGATCCCTTTACCATAGGTAATGCCCTTCCTTGTATTTTTTTATCTTTGTTGGTTTAAAATCTATTTTATCAGAGACTAGGATTGCAACCCCTGCTTTTTTTTTTGCTTTCCATTTTCTTGGTAAATCTTCATCTATCCTTTTATTTTGAGTGTATGTATGTCTTTGCATGTGAGATGGGTCTCCTGAATGTAGCACACTGATGGTTCTTGACTGTTTATCCAATTTGCCAGTCTGTGTCTTTTAAATTGGACATTTATTCCATTTACATTTAAGGTTAATATTGTTATGTGTGAATTTGATCCTATCGTTATGATTCTGGCTGGTTATTTTGCCCGTTAGTTGATGCAGTTTCTTTATAGCATCAATGGTCTTTACAATTTGGCATGTTTTTGCAATGGCTGGTAACCAGTTGTTCCTTTCCATGTTTAGTGCTTCCTTCAGGAGCTCTTGTAAGGCAGGCCTGGTGGTGACAGACTCTCTCAGCATTTGCTTGCCTGTAAAGGATTTTATTTCTCCTTGACTTATGAAGCTTAGTTTGGCTGGATATGAAATTCTGGGTTGAAAATTCTTTTCTTTAAGAATGTTGAATATTGGCCCCCACTCTCTTCTGGCTTGTAGAGTTTCTGCTGAGAGAGCTGCTGTTAGCCTGATGGGCTTCCCTTTGTGGGTAACCTGACCTTTCTCTCCAGCTACCCTTAACCTTTTTTCCTTCATTTCAACCTTGATCAGTCTGACGATTCTGTGTCTTGGGGTTGCTCTTTTCGAGGAATACGTTTGTGGTGGTCTCTGTATTTCCTGAATTTGAATGTTGGCCTGCCTTGCTAGGTTGCAGAAATTCTCCTGATTAATATCCTGCAGAGTGTTTTCCAACTTGGTGTCATTCTCCCCGTCACTTTCAGGTACACCAATCAAACATAGATTTGGTCTTTTCACATAGTCTCGTATTTCTTGGAGGCTTTGTTCATTTCTTTTCACTCTGTTTTCTCTAATCTTGTCTTCTCGCTTTATTTCATTAAGTAATCACTGATATACTTTCTTCTGCCTGATCGATTCAGCTGTGGAAACTTGTGTATGCTTCACGAAGTTCTTGTGCTGCATTTTTCAGCTGTACCAGGTCTTTTATATTCTTCTCTACACTGGTTATTCTAGTTAGCTATTTGTCTAACCTTTTTTAAAGGTTCTTAGCTTCCTTGTGTTGGGTTAGAACATGCTCCCTTAGCTCGGAGGAGTTTGTTATGACCCACCTTCTGAAGCCTACTTCTGTCAGTTTGTCAAACTCATTCTCCATCCAGTTTTGTTCCCTTGCTGGCGAGGAGTTGTGATCCTTTGAAGGAGAAGAGGCATTCTGGTTTTTGGACTTTTCAGCCTTTCTGCACTGGTTTCTCCCCATCTTTGTGGTTTTATCTACCTTTGGTCTTTGATGTTGGTGACCTCCGGATGGGGTTTTTGTGTGGATGTCCTTTTTGTTGATGTTGATGCTATCCTTTCTGTTTGTTAGTTTTCCTTCTAACAATCAGGCCCCTTAGCTGCAGGTTTGTTGGAGTTTGCTGGAAGTCCACTTCAGACCTTGTTTGCCTGGCTATGATCAGCAGAGGCTGCAGAACAGCAACTATTGCTGTCTGATCCTTCCTCTGGAAGCTTTGTCCCAGAGGGGCACCCACCAGATGCCAGCCAGAGCTCTCCTGTATGAGATGTCCATCAGCCCCTACTGGGAGGTATCTCCCAGTCAGGCTACGCGGGTGTCAGGGACCCACTTGAGCAGGCAGTCGGTCCATTATTAGAGCTCGAATGCTGGGCTGGGAGAACCACTGCTCTCTTCAGAGCCATCAGGCGGGGACGTTTAAGTTTGCTGAAGCTGCGCCCACAGCTGCCCCTTCCCCCAGGTGCTCTGTCCCAGGGAGATGGGGGTTTTATCTATAAGCCCCTGACTGGGGCTGCTGCCTTTTGTTCAGAGATGCCCTGCCCAGAGAGGTGGAATCTAGAGAGGCAGAATCTAGAGAGGCGGTCAGCCTCACTGAGCTCTGGTGGGTTGCATCCAGTTCGAACCACCCAGTGCCTTTGTTTACACTGTAAGCATAAAACCGCCTACTTAAGCCTCAGCAATGGTGGACGCCCCCTCCCAGCACCAAACTCAAGCATCCCAGGTCGATCTCAGACTGCTGTACTAGCAGCGAGAATTTCAAGCCAATAGATCTTAGCTTGCTGGGCTCTGTGGGTATGGGTCCCACTGAGCCAAACATTGGAGGGAATCTCTGGGTCTGCCAGTTGCAAAGACCTTGGGAAAAGCACAGTATCTGGGCAAGAGTATACTGTTCCTCCAAGTACAGTCTGTCATGGCTTCCCTTGGCTAGGAAAGGGAAATCCCCTGACCCCTTGCACTTCCCAGGTGAGGCGACGCCCCACCCTTCTTCAGCTCGCCCTCTGTGGGCTGCACCCACTGTCCAACCAGTCCCAATGAGATGAACTAGGTACCTCAGTTGGAAGTGCAGAAATCACCTGCCTTCCGCGTGGATCTTGCTGGGAGCTGCAGACGGGAGCTGTTCCTATTCAGCCATCTTGAGTTGTCTCACTATTTCCCAATATTTTATTAGGTACTTCCATTGGAGTACTCCCCTTTCAAATTTAGCCTATCAGATATATCACAGAAGCGCATTCTCTGTAAGTTGACTTCTTTTCTTAATGGTAGTACAGCTGTGGCTCTACAGGCACCCAAATCGGAATCTGCCACCTGTGAGTTTTCCTTTTATGTTTCTCTCTCTGTCCCCCTCCACCAAATGCACAAAGACAGGCACATAGGCTCTCTTATAATTACTTTTTGAGTTAGAGTCTCACTCTTTTGCCCAGGCTGGATTGCAGTGACATGATTATGGCTCACTGCAGACTCAGCCTTTTGGGCTCAAGTGATCCCTCCAGCTCAGCCACTTGAGTAGCTGAGGCTACAGGTGTATGCCGCCACATTTGGCTAATTTTTTTTTCTATTTTTTGTAGAGATGGGGTCTCACTTTGTTGCTCAGGCTGTTCATGAACTCCTGGCCTCAAGCAATACTCCTGCCTTCCAAAGTGCTGGGATTACGGTCATGAGCCACTGCGCTTAGCCCTCAGTTTTGAACTGTTAGTTCTTCTGTTCATTGCTATTGTGTCTCAATCCTAGGCTTTTTTATTGCCTCTGTAAATATTTGAATTTAGTTTTCTCTTGACTTCTATTGAGTTCCATCTCGTGTGTCCCAGTGAATGGCAGAATTGTCTGGCTCTCTGTTGTTCCTGTACCAAGCTAAGAGAAAAGATAACCCTTTAGTTAGGGTGTACATGTCTCTCACAACTAGTTTTAAAATAGAATTAAAAGTCTGTATGCTAAAATATTGTACAATGTTTATTTTAAATCAGAACATTATCCCTTTATAATACTTGAACGTAGGCATACTTCAGTTTATTTCACTCTGAAGATACATGTTTTACAAATTGAAGTTTTTTGGCAACCCTGTGTCTGGCAAGTCTATTGGTACCATTTTTCCCACAGTGTGTGCTCACTTCCTGTCTCTATCACATTTTGCTAATTCTCACAATATTTTAAACTGTTTCATCTTTATTATATCTGCTATGGGTAGTCTATGATCAGTGATCTCTTATATTACTATTATTGTGTTGGAACACTGCAAATCATATCTGTATAAGGTGGCAAGCTTAACTGATAAATGTTGTGTGTGTTCTGATTGCTCTTTTGACTGTTTTCCTCATCTCTCTCCTTCTCTTTGAGATTCCCTATTCCCTGAAACAAAACAATACTGAAATCAGGCCAATTAATAACCCTACAATGACCCCTGTGTGTTCAAGTGAAAGGAAGAGTCCTGTGTCAGTCACTTTCAATCAAAAGATACAAAGCCTAATTTAGAGGAAGGCCCTAATTCCCTTCAATTCTGTGAAGGCTGCAGAAAGTGAAGAAGTTACAGAAGAAGAGTTTGAAGCTAGCAGTTTATTCATGTGGTTTAAAAAGACAGAATTGTCTTCATAACAGAAAAGTGCAAGGTCAAGCAGCAAGTGCTGATGTTGAGGCTGCGCTAAGTTATCCAGAAGATCTAGCTGAGATAATTGATGAACATAGCAATGCTAAATGACAGATTTTTCAATGTAGATGAGACAGCCTTCTATTGGAAGAACATGCCAGGTAGGGCTTTTATGGACAGAGAAGTCAATGCCTAGCTTCAAATGATAGACTGACACTTATTAGGAGCTAATGCAGCTAGTGACTTTCAGTTGAAGGCAGTGCTCACTTACCATTCTGAAAATCCTAGGACCCTTAAGAATTATGCTAAGTCTACTCTCTGTCTGTGCTCTATAAATGGAAGAACAAAACCTGGATGACAGCACATCTGCTTACAGCATGGTTTACTGAATATTTTAAGCCCACTTTTGAGACTTAATGCTCACAAAGAAAGATTCCTTTCAAAATATTACTGCTTATTGACAATGTACCTAGTTACCCAAGATCTTTGATGGAGTATAAAAAAATTAATGTTACTTTATATCTGCTAACACAACATTTATTCGTCAGCTTATAAATCAAGGAGTCATTTAGATTTTCATGTCTTATTTTTGAAGAAATACCTTGTGTAAGGCTATCACTGCCCTAGATAGATTCCTCTGATGGATCTGAGCAAAGTAAATTGAAAACCTTCTGGAAAGGATTCACCCTGTTAGTTGCCGTTAGGAACATTCGTGATTCATGGGGGGTCATAATCCAAACCTCATGGAAGACTTGGAGCGATGTGACTTCAACAGGGGAAGTAACTGCTGATGTGGTGGCAATAGCAAGAGAATAGAAGTAGAGTCTGAATATATGACTGAATTGCTGCAATTTCATAAAACTTAGATGGATGAGGAGTTGCTTCTTATGGGTGAGCAAAGAGAAAGTGGTTTCTTGAGATGGAATCTACTTCGGGTGAAGATACTGTGAACGTTGTTGGAATGACAATAAAGGATTTACAATATTATATAAACTTAGTTGATAAAGCAGTGGCAGGGTTTGAGAAGATTAAGTCCAACTTTGAAAGAAAGTCTGTTGTGGGTCAAATGCTATCAAACAGTATCCCATTCTACAGAGAAATTTTTTTTATGAAAAGAAGGATCACTCTAGGCAGCGAACTATGTTGTTGTCTTATTTTAAGAAGTTGCCACATCCACCCAACCTTGAGCAACCACCACCGTGAACAGTCAGGAGCCATTATGCAAGCAAAAAGATTAGGACTCGCTGAAGGCTCAAATGTTCATTAGGATTTTTAGCAATACACAGTTTTAATTTAAGATATGTATATTATTGTTTGGTCATAATGCTATTGTGCACGTAACGGATGATAGTATAATGTAAATATGACTTTTATATGACATGGGAAATAAAAAATTTCTTGTGACTCATTTCATTGTGATATTTGCTTTATTGGCTCCAGTAGTCTGGAGGGAAACTCCCAATATTTTTGAGGTATGCTTGTTACTTTCCCATTGCATAGGCTGACTTAGTGTGGTGATATTATGAGCATTATTACCTTAATAGAAAAATGTGTCACTAGATTATGTCTAGAATCTGTATCCATAGGATGGAGCAAATCACTAGAAAGGGTACAGTAAGTAATGCTGGCTTCTTGGATGGAGAGGCAAGTGAATAGTGTCTGGGTGTTTGAATTGTCCTGTCAGTGATTGTGAATATGACTGATCAGGCTTCATCCTTTTTCCTTCTGATACCACCTTCACCAAAAATGGCCAGAAAGCAATTTCAGTTTTCCTATTAATGAAAATTTGGCAGAACATTTCAAATGTGCACCAAATTAATAGATGTATGGAAAATATGATAATTATAAAAGAGTAAAATGAAAGTCTTAAATCTAGATATATCACAGTTTGCTCATTAGTAAGAGGGAAAACTACTGATACACATACATACATAGAGTGTTTGCATGTGCAAATTCATATGCAGACATGTATACATATGTTTGTAATTGGAAAATTGCCTATCAGGCACTTCAGAGGCTATAGTGTTCTCTGTCATTCTGTCTGAATTAACTTTTCTGGAAGATTAAACCAAGAAAGAGGCCCTACCACAAGCTTTTTTTTTTTTTTAAATGTAAGACTTTTGTTAAAAAACTTTAAAATTTGAAAAGAATGGTCAAAAGGAGTGTGATCACTTGCTTCCCTAAACAAGTAGGTTTTATTCATCAGAAAATATATTACAAAATGATATCAAAGTTATAGAAAAATATGTCTGTTCTTATTTTTGAGTTATGTGATTCCACAGATATTCAGTGCATTTATTGTAAATGTTTAAAGGCCATTTTGTCTTGGCTGAGATTTGCAATGGTTTACAACGGTTCTTTTTCTTATACAAGGGTCTTCAAGTTCCAATTTCAGTCCATCTGAAGTAGCCAAGTAAAATTGTGGCTATTAGACATTTATGAGGCTTTTCAATGGAGAGACTAGTTAAGGTTGTCATTTGCAGCGTCATCACTTTTTACTCTACAAGAACAGATATTTAAAGAAAAATGAGGCTGAATGTCAACTTAGGTGGGCATTTGGCAAAAACAACATTGGGTTAGGTTTAAGTGGTAGAAATTTGTTTCAGCATACAATACTGATGAAACCTCCATTGTCTCTTACGTTCTCAAGTATATAAAAATACTTTGGAATTCCCTGGTATCTGTCATTCAATAGATATTCTAAAGGGTCATGTAACTTTGAACCTCATCTATATTATTTCTCCTGGAAGAAGTTAAGCAGTGAGTGGATAGTTAATGGTGCTTGGTTGTTGGTACATTGGTATCTAGCATAATTGGATTTTATTTTTAGGTTCTGCAGAGATCTTGACTACATGAAGATCAACTTTTTGTCTCTAATGAAAGGTGAAATGGGCTAGAGATTATTTAACGTGGGAAATTTTTGTTAGCTAAGATAAATTGGCACTAGTAAGAGGCTACTATTCTAAGATCCACTTACAGAAGGGAACAAATTTTCACCATGAAGAGCAGAAAAAAAAAATTGAGACTTTGTTTTTAAAAGAACTAAGATACTTATTAAAATAGTCTTATCTTCTTAAAATCCTTTAGGTTATGTTTGCAAAATTAAGCTTTTTGTATAATCTTGTAGACATTATATAATAGTATGCTGTGATATGCTTCATTTCAAGTGGTTATTGGTTGATTGATTGACTGAGACAGGATCTCACTCTATTGTCTAAGCTGGAGTATACTGTGATCATAGCTCAATGAAGCCTCCATCTCCCAGGCTCAAGTGATCCTCCTGCCTCAGCCTCCTAAGTAGCTGGGAGTACAGGTGCACACCACTATGCCTGGCTAATTTTTTTAATTTTTGGTAGAGATGAGGTCTTGTTGTGCTGCCCAATCTGGTCTTAAACTCCTGAGCTCAAGCAATCTTTCCACCTTGGCCTCCCAAAGTGTTGGGATTACAGACGTAGCCACTGCACCCAGCTTTGAGGTGGTTATTTTTTCTAAAATATTTTTAGGGTACTTCTAGATTTCTAAAAATATTCATTATTAATCCTTTGATATTAGAAATATTTTTGGACCATCTCTTCAGTCATTATTCTCCTTTATTTTTATATGTTTCATGTAGTCTTCTTTTGAGAAGTTCTCATTTCTATGCTATTTAGCATGATTTAAGGAGTCTGCCAATATTACTTTGACCAACTTAATAAAATACTTATGTTTTGCTAGATGTAACTTTATTTTATTGTAATTATATTGAGTTCTCAGAATTCTACAGATTTTTACCATCATCTGTTAGTCTGTTTTCACACTGCTATAAAGATACTACTCTAGACAGGACAACCTGTAAACAAAGGAGGTTTAATTCTCACAGTTCCACATGGCTGGGGAGGCTTCAGGAAACTTACAATCATGGTGGAAGGAGAAGCAGGCACCTTCTTCAAAAGGCGACAGGTGAGAGAAGAATGAAGGAGGAACTTCCAAACACTTACAAAACAATCAGATCTCAGGAGAACTCACTATCACGAGAACAGCATGGGGGAAACCACCCCCATGTTTCAATTGCCTCCCTCCCTTGACACATCAGGATTATAGGTCCCGCCTTTGACATGTGGGAATTACAATTTGAAATGAGATTTGGGTGGGAACACAGACCCAAACCATTTAGAGACTGGTGGTGATATTGATTACTTGAAGTAAAGCAGATTTCAGCATTAAGTGGCCTGAAATTGTCGTGTGGGTCATATTATAAATGTTCTGTTCTTAATGAATCTGTATGTTAGTATGACATTATGATTCTATGCAGTCTTTTAACTGTGAGCTTTTAGAAATACTTGCCTGATAACACCACATCTTATACTAAGAGAATATCCCTGCTTAGGTGAAAAAAATTTTTTTTTAATTGGAGACTGGTCAGCATAACGGAATTTTACAAGTTTAGATCCCTTATGTCTTAAGAAGAAAAATCTAATGCTACAAACCAGCACTTTCTTTTGTAAAAATAAAATTCTATCAGAATTATGTTTGAAACTTTTTTCATATGTGATTTTTCTAAATGCTTAGTCTATACTCTGTTGTCGAGGAGCTCAATTTTTGCCCTGATTTGACTGAAGTTATTGTTAGCCTTCTGTTCGTTGCATTTACGGGGGTGTGTAGTATTGCTACCACCTCTGTCAGATTGCATTTTTCCAAAAGGATTTTCTAAAAGTTTTTTGGGTGGTGACCTGTCACAAAAGATATGATATGAACATGGGACATATCCAGTTCTCTGTTTTCTACTCTTAAGTGTTTTTGTTCATTAAGTAATGATGAAAACATTCTTAGAAAAAGGAAGTAATATAGTAAATGTGTTGCAGTACTAAAAGGTAAATTCATAAAATTTCTCATGTAAAAATCACTTTAAAAAGATTAGATTTGGCTGGGCGCGGTGTCTCAAGCCTGTAATCCCAACACTTTGGGAGGCAGAGGTGGGCAGATCACGAGGTCAGGAGATTGAGACCATCTTGGCTAACATGGTAAAATCCCATCTCTACTAAAAATACAAAAAATTAGCCGGGTGTGGTGGCGGGTGCCTGTAGTTCCATCCCAGCTACTCAGAAGGCGGAGGCAGAAGAATCGCTGGAACCCGGGGGGCAGTGAACCGAGATCGCACCACTGCATTCCAGCCTGGGTGACAGAGCGAGACTCTATCTCCCCCCAACAAAAAAAAAAAAAAAAAAAAAAGAATAGATTTTTAACTACATTAAACAAGATTTATAGGCCGTAAGAATCTGAACTGTAGGCTGGGTTCCTTGCTTACAAGTTAGTGATCAGAGAGCTGTTTTTTTACCCAGTGATAAAGGAGATTTCAGGAGAAAAAAACGAACTATATGTGTTTTTTAGCGGTATTATGTAAAACCACAAATAATACCTTCCCACATCCAAAAAGTAAAATAAAGTTCCTTATGTATTTGGTTCTGGCAAGGTTTTCCCAAAATATCCTTTTCTACTATTGGATAAAATAGTGGGCAATATTTTGTTATTTAAAGCTTTTTTAAAGAAACACAGCAAGTTCATATAATATGTACCAAATAAGTGTTTAATTGTTAAAAGTGGGAAGAAATTGGCAACAAATCTAAGTTCAAAATATAAAGCACACTCTTTAATTTTACTTGATAAAATAGTTAATCGCATTTTCCATAGCAAAAGTTTTACTGTAATTATCTAGATAATTACATGAGAGCTTTGCTTTTCTCTGCTTGTATATACAATGATTTTATTGGTGTTTTATGAGAGTTAAAAATCTCATGAATTTACTTTAGCTAAAAGCATAAATTACCAGGGGGAATTTTAATACTGTGAGAAACATAACCTTCAAAAGTATTGAATTGAGTTCTAGTTATTAGGAAGTAGTTTATTGACATTACAATAAATTATCTTTAAAATACTTGAAAATATTTAGTATTTGAACAGGTCAGCAAATTAAAAAAAGAAAAGAAAAGAAAGTCATCATCCATTTACACTTGATATTTTCACATCTGGAGAAACTGTCACAGATGTAAATTGTTTCCAGAATGTTCCAAAGCTCACCAGTGGCAGAGCCAGCAACTGAATCAATCTAGTGTATTACTGTGTATCATATATACTTGTTATTTTTATGTTCTCATGAATGTGCTAAGTAATAGCATGGAAAAAGTAAAAATATACACACATATATGTGTTTAATATTCCTTCTTAATAAAAAATGACAATTTAAAAAACATAGTGATTCCTTCTGTGTGCTAATGGCTTCTTACTTTAGCTTCATAGAGGGTACTGAGCCTTACTGAATTTGTTATAAAAATCGATGATGCTGTTAAATTTAATACCAGATCCCAGACATATCTTTCTCATCTTTTACTTACCTGCTTATTCCTCTGTTAACTCTATTATTACTAGACTAGGAAAATGTGTTTTCAAGGCACAAGTTCATATCAAACAAAAGAGCTGGCTATTTTAGTTCTCACTGCATCCATATTGGGTTTACTTTTTATTATCTGTTTCAGGTCCCTGATAGTTTACATTTTTAAATGAATAGTGTGTGTGTGAATGTGTGTGTGTGTGTGTGTGTGTGTGTGTATGTGTAATAACCAATGATTGACTTTAAGAGCAGGCCAGTCCAAATCCCTGTTCCATTCCTGTCTCAACCTTATTGCTACTGTAGCCTATGGATTCTTCCAATTTTTTTTTAATCAGAAAAACTATAGCTTTATTATATACTGAATTTTTATGTTGGCACTTAAGAGATATTAAAATTTTCTCTTTCATAGTTGTACACTGCTCCAGTGGCAGAAATACAATTACTTGTATAAATTCTATAAATTTTTTCATGCGTTTTCTGCTGATGTAGTAAGTCTCAGGTATTTCCTGCCTAAATCAATGAGAAAACCTAAATAAATACTGGTTAAAAATACCTTTGGAACCTTTATCTAGTTGCAGTCATGAATGGATTCATTTCTAACACAAAAATGAGGAATGATGAAATCATTCTAGTAGGAGATGTTGAATAGAAAGAATTGACGGTGTTGTTGTAACTTTTAGGAGATCTTTGCTTATGACTAAATGGTTAATGGAAAGTTTGTGTTATGGGATATAGAATACTCCCTGAGATTAGTTGTGATGGACATGTAACTGATGTGTAAAGAAATGATTCTCATAGGGCATACCTCGCTAGTATTCATTCTTTTAATGGTAAGTTATTTTCAGATAGAATGGAATTCTGAAGCAATGTGTGAATAAAATGAATTCCAGAGGACTTTGTCTAAGTTTTATGAGTAAATTTTTCTTGATTAAGCATAGAGTTTGGCATTGCTATTTATTTCCCTATTTTAAGTAGTTTTGTCAAGTTGGTCAGATGACTGAGATTGGCAAGATTGTGAATTTATTTTCCAGTGCTATTCTAGTAAATCAGTTTATAACATTTAAGATGAAATGCACAGGAGGCAAAATAAATGAAACTAGACTTTGTTAGGCATTTCACATTGATCGTAGCCCTAGGTAAGAAATTTGAACAATTTATGTGGTCATTCAGTTTTTTAAAAAGATGCCTGGCAACTTCTCTCACTAGTTTTTTTTTTTTTTTTTTTTTTTTTGCTATTGACTTCTATTTAAATAATGGAAATAGACTTTAGCTTTAATTCTCACATGCTATTTCTTTACAAAGATGGAACCAAATATTGTATTTTCAATATCATTTATTAAAGTTAATGGTTATATTTTGTAATTAATACCTAAACTTAATGCAATTTAAGTATGCCTTTTAATATGGCTTTGTTATTATAATATTTAAAAGAGCATTACTTCATGTATAAATGTAACTTGTAAAATGAGCATGGTAAGGATACCAAATCTAGAGTTAAGATTTAAGGCACAAGTACTAGGTCTTCAAATAACAAGTGTCTCTTAACCTGTCCAAGTTACTTAATGTTTTTGAATTTAGTTCAAAATCCTGATCTGTAAACAGAGTGGGATGCCTTTGATGGCATCTAAATGGCTTTTTTTTTTTTTTTTTTTTGAGACAGAGTCTTGCTCTGTGGCTCAGGCTGGAATGCAGTGGCATGATCTCAGTTCACTGCAACCTCTGCCTCACAGTTCAAGCAATTCTCCTGCCTCCACCTCCTGAGTAACTAGGATTATAGTCACCTGCCACCACACCTGGCTAATTTTTTGTGTTTTTAGTAGAGACGGGGTTTCACCATTTTGGCCAGGCTGGTCTCGAACTCCTGACTTCAAGTGATCCACCCACCTTGGCCTCCCAGAGTGCTGGGATTACAGGCATGAGCCACTGTGCCCAGACCTAAATGGCTTCTTTTTCTAAAAATATTTTCTATACTAGAACATGCTGTGAAGTCTTTTTGCTTTCATATGCTCTTATGCATGATTTTAATGTGTAGATTTAGCAGAATAATTTAGGTTTTAACAGTCATGTTAAACATGAATCAGGTGATATGGTATTCCTATTTCAAGCCATTTTTGAGACCTTCTATGTTAATTCTTATCACAAGACTCATAGGTTATTTTGATGTTTTCTCTTGTATTTGTCCATTTCTTATCCTCCTTTTTTATGTCCAATTTTTACAGATTAAGTCTAAATTTTCCATTTTTGTGTTTCATTGTTTTTTCTTTCTGCTTAGTAACTGTTACAAAATATTTTTTCATCAGTGAATCTATCCTTTCATGTCTATCCAAGCCCTTCCATCTGAGAATGACTCCATATTGAGTAATGCTCACACTGTTTCTTCTTACCAATTCATTTTAAACTTATTTTATATATACTATCCAGTTAGCACTTGGCAGGGAATGATCTTATTCTCTCCCTTACCTAATAGATTACTTAATATGGATTCACATAGTATTGATTTAATGTCTGTGCGATAGATATTTTGGCCTACATGGAGCTTATTTGATAATATAATCTTTTTTAAAAAAACAGCATCTTACTTTAGATTTCTGAAATATTCTATATAAGCTAATTTTCCAGGTTATTATATATTAAGGAAATAATTGTATTGGTCTGTTTTTTTCTAAAATAAGGATTCATAATAAGAGTTTACTTAAAATGACCAGAGTTAGCCAGGAAAGTACTTTAGTGACTGGGAGTTGACAAATTCCCTGGTCCCTTTCCCTTCTATCTACCATCTAAGGTTTGAGAAATTTAGCTAGGTGTGCTTGAAAAAGAGGCAATTTAGCCTGGAGAAGTCATCTTAAGGATGTGAGAGGAAGCCAAGATTTGGAAGACTGAGCAGGGTCCAACTCTGTGAGGAGTGAGAGGACTGGCATTTCTATATGGACAAAGAAGCACATAGAGTGGTTGGAATTAGAAAGAGCCACTGAGTGTGTCTGAAACTGAAGGAATGGCAGATTGTAAAGTGTTGAGTTTGAGCTGGGCCTTCTAAGTTTGAAGTCTATAAAGCAGCACTGCCTAGTATTAATTGATGTGATCAGATTTCCATTTTATACATCCTGGATGCAGGACAGAAAGTAGATTAAAATAAGCAGAAAAATTTGTGGTTTAGTTGGGAGGCTACTGCAGTACAATAGTACAAGAAATAATAGTGGTAGTGAGGACTAGGTTAGTGTATTGGACTGAATGTTTGTGTCCCCTCAAAATTTATATGGTTAACCCCCATAATGATGGTATTAGGAGGTGGGTCCTTTGGGAGGTGATTAGATCTTGAGAGTAGAGCCCTCATCAATGAGATTAATGCCATTTTAAGAAGAGTCAGGGTTTGTTCTCACCACCTGAGGACACAATGAGAAGTTGGCAGTCTGCAAGCTGGAAGACGGCCCTCATGAGTACCTGATGATGCTGGCAATCTGATCTTGTACTTCCAACTTCCAGAACTGTGAGAAATAAATTTCTGGTGTTAATAAGCCATCTGGTCGATGGTATGTGTTATAGCAGGCAAAACAAAGGCAGATAGTTTTAGTGGGAGTGAACAAAATGAAATCAAGATACATTTAAGAGATTAAAGCATTAAGAATTGAAGCTTAAATAAATGAGAGAAAAGAAGTATAACCTCTAATTTTATGTCTCATAAAACTTGGCGAATGATAGTAAGATACGGAAGATTAGAGAGGGAACTTTGTGGTTTGTTTTTTAAGGTTGAATAGGCAGATGAAGATCCCAGATTTTTTGGCAAAGTATAATTAAAAAGATTTTATTCATATTCAAAAGTTTGTGTGTGTGTGTGTGTGTGTGCGCGCGCACGAAAGCTCTTAAAGCTTACTTTGAAAGGCAAGTTAGACTCCTTTGTGACTTTCTTAATATTGAATTTTAATAGAGTTCCAGGGATAGACACAATTTAAAATATATCTTTTATATTACAATGTCTTTTCCAAGCCTTCTATAGTGTCTGTATGGTAGATGATTTTTTTTAGTGAAATCCTTTTTACTGTAATACTTCATATTCTGAAAAATAAAAACAGAAAAAAACCTTTTCTATTGGTTGAATTATTGGCAGACAGGAAGATGGTAAGAATATTACCAGGCTTATATGCTGTTGCCTTAGGATTAAGATCTGTAGCCACCTAAAAATAGATTACTTTTGCAGGTTTTGGAAAGCCTGAACTGTTCTTGTATGGAAAGTATAGAAAGCTAATGGAATCAGTGCCAGAAACTTCTAGATTCAGATTTTTTTGGCTTGAATCCTGTTAGCAATAAGTTTAAGTGTGATACTTTTGAAAAGTATAATATGATTCAATTTTCTGGGTACCAGAGATTTTGTTTTATGGAATTATGGAACTTAATTTTACTTAAATGCTCAATACTTAAGCTTAATTCTACTTTTACTTGCTAAGGTGGAATGTAGCAAGTGTTGTCAAGGTAGTCCCAGAGTCAATACTGAAAAACTTATTTGGGAACAGTAGGACAGGCTAAAGTCACCAGCATGACTCCTCTGCCTACTGAGTAGTATTTCCACTTCGAGAATATAGTGAGAGGCCTCTAGATTTAAATTTTCTTAGTTAATGTATTTATAGAATGACTGAGTTCTGAGTTGTTTCCTCAACTATCAAAAATCCAACTATGAGCTTGTGTTTCTTGCTCTTACCATTGATATGAGATGGAACTTCAAATACATTTATAATTTCCAGAGCCCTCCCAGCAAATGTGGCCTGCTAATGTATATTATTAGTATAATTAGGTTAATGTTAGTAATAACAGACACTTACTGAAAAGCTTGAAATGATGAGTCACCGTTCTTTTCTTTTAAAATGAATGATCCCAGGGCTTTAGTCTTCAGAGCAACCCTGAGAGTTGATTATCACAGATAGCATTATCCCCAGTTCAAAATTAAGCCTAGTGATCATTTCACTGTATCACATAATGTTCATGAGTAATGCCAATGCTTGCCCTTTTCGAATAGTACAAACCTATTTTGTTACAAGGGAAAAGGATCTTGAAAATCATTTAGTAGAATGCTCTCATTTTAAAGAAGTAACTCAAGCCCTTTCTTTGCCTGGCTCTAAGATACCTTCTTTTACTTTAGGAATAGGCAATTTTTTCCTGTAAAGAAACAGATAGTAAATATTTTAGGCTTTGTGGCCTGTCTACACAGTCTTTGTCACAACTATCAACTCTGCTGTTTTCATGTCAAAGCAGTCATAGACAATATGTAAAAGAATGGGTATGGCTGTATTCCAGGAATACTGTATTACAAAATAGGCAGCAGACCAGGCTTGACCCATACTTTGCTGATTTTTGATATAGATTTTCAATCTGAAATGACCTAGTTTGCCACAGTTATTAGTACCTTTATCCTGCATGTGTTAGGCATTTCTTTAACAGACATGCACTCTCTGGGTCATGAAGCCTCACGATTTAAAGTATTACTCATACACTGACTTACGTGTTTTTATCCCTACATGTCATCCTATCTCAAAGTTTTGATAGAAATGTTCAAATGCATGCAGTTTAAATGTTTGAAAGTCTTTTTCCTTCTCTGAACTATTCATCTCAACTTCTCTCTTTTGTTTCCAAATGAGCTTACCATAGCCACCGTGAGAGATTTTGCTAGTATAAATTTACCAAGTTACTCTCCTTATTGAAAACTTTCAGATGCTTCTCATCTCTTAATGGACAAAACTCAGATCATAAAGCCTTGGCCTGGTCTGGCTCTTCCCTAATTCTACTGTTCTGTCTTTCTCATTTCCTTATTGAGTAGTTTGCCCTCTGGAAATACTAAGTTATTTATAGTTCTCCACATGTACCCTGTGACCTGACTTAGATGTGTTTCCTGCATGAGTTTTTCTTTCTACCTGAAACACCTTCTTTTTTTAATTGTTTACTTGCCAAACTCTCCTTAAAAATTTGAGTGACATTTCCTCTTGCAATCCTTCCCTAATACCTTTGTGCTCATATCCCTTCTCCTTTGAGAAGTCAGCATGTGTAGATATTCAGAAACATTTGTTCATTTGAACATGACTTGATGTTCCAAGTTATGTTGTCTCCTATCGTACCCTGTTCTAGTGCTGTCTTCTACAACGAGGTGCTTTGTGATGACTTGCAGAAAAGAAGGAGGCAGATATGAGGAAATAATAAAAATTGCAACTCAAGTAATGGCTACATTCTATTAAGGAGAATAATAGTAGTTGTGAGTTTTTATGACATTTACAGTATATAAGTTTAAACTTCATGCATTTTACTATCTTGATCTTTTTAGTAGAATTCAATTAAAAAATTTTTCATTTTGCCTTTTAGAAAAACGTTTTTTATTTCAAAATTGTCTAACTTACAAGTGCCTGCTTTTAGTTTTTATGAAGCATCTTATTGTGTCAATAAATGACTGCTTATGTCTTATTTTAAATTGTTTTCTGTATGTGTCCTGAACAGTAGTATTAACCTTTGAAGTATTTCTCATTTCTAAATGGGACTTCATTTTCCTCTTAAAAATTAAATTTGGGGAGTGGTATTCAAACTTTTTGTTGGAGATAGCATCCTTTATTTAACCCAGAATAAATTTTAAATGGATCGCTACTATATTAAGTAAACCAAAAATTACATTATGAACACTAAATTGCTGTTTTAGTTTATATGTGCAACATTTAGAAATGTTAAGTTGAAAACAAAAGTTTGAAATAAAATATTATGAGTGATAATTGTTCTTTTTTCCTGTCTCCTTTTATTTGGATTATATAGTAAACTGGCTGCCCTATTAAATACTGATAATATTAACAGGTACAGAAGCATTTTTTCTTGCAGTTGATCATTTTCAATTAAACGGACCCAGCAGCCTGAAAGTGAATAGCCTCTACCCTTGTCATAAATATAAAGTAGAACAAAAGTTACCTTCAAACTTAAAATAAATGCTAATATTACAGTATGTCAACAGAATTTGATATTTCACTCATTCATTTATTGTTGCAAAGCCAAATCCCCATCTGTGAAGACTGGGATAAGTATCTGCTTCTTCAAATGTGCATTACGATTGTACCCGATTATGAAAGCATGTGCCAAACAGATGCTCCCTTGCTCTGGCTGGCCATTTAATTGAGCTCAGCATCCATGTGCTGAGATGGTATACATCATTGTACTGTCTTATGTGTGCAGACATGCATTGAATTTTAAACAACAGTATTTTTTGTATTAGTCACTGTAGTTTTCCTCTCTAGAAGTTTGATTTAGGTCCTTTTTAATATATTCTCTAATTCTTGAATATATGTGATTTAATTACAAAAACCATTATAATATCTTTGAAGATTCTGATGCCTATCAGTTCTGGGTTAGATTGAAAGGAAGTATGTATCTCCTCATTATGGGTCACAGTGTCTTCCTCCTTTCTTTGCCTAAGATTTTTCTTTTTTGCGTGCATACTTAAGATGTGTTGATATGTGGTTTTAACATTTTCATTCAATTAGGAATGTCTTCAGCATTAATTATTCAAATGTTTTTCTGTTGTTTTCCCAACTTACTGGCAACTCTTATTACCTGTTTATTAGGCTGACTAAATATGATCCATATCTCACTGGTGGTCTGTTTAATTTCCTCTTTTTGCCTTCTTTTTTTTTGCTGTTTAATTTAAAATCGTTTTTATGGCTGTGTCTTCAAGTTTACTAATCTTTAATATCAAATTTTCTGTTAATTATTTCTAGTGGGGGTTTTAAAAATATCACATGTTTTAGTTTTCATCTCTTGAAGTTAGAGTTAGGTCTATTTTACATCTGTGCTTAATATGTTCAGTCTTTCCTATAGTTTTTGAACAAATGGAACATAGTTTTAATAACTGTTTTAATGTTCTTAGTTCTAATATTGGTGTCAGTTGGGTTGGTTTTGTTTGATTTTTCTCCTCATAATCGGCCATATTTTCTGCTTTTTAAAAGGTTTGGTATTTAAGCTATTAGACATTGTGAATTTTATCTTAGGTGATGGATGTTTTTGTATTCTTATAAATATGAGCTTTGTTCCAGATGTAAGTAATTAAAAACAGTTTGATCCATTTAGGTCTTGTTTTTTTGATCTTTCAGCAGGACTAGTATATTTAGTGTAGAGATAATTATTTCCCACAACTGAGGGAAGACCCTTCTTTATACTCAACCTAATGCCCTGTAAATTATTGTCTTACTTACTGTGTTTTCTGGTGTTAGAATAACATGAACTGGGCAATTTATAAAGAAAAGTGATTTATTTGGCTCATGATTCTGGAGACTGGCAAGTCCAAGAGCATGCTACTGACAATTGGTGAAGATCATCCCTTAGTGGAAGGGCAGAAGGTGAGAACAAGTGCACATGGCAGAGAGAAGTGGGCTGAACTCATTCTTTTTGTCAAGAACACATTTCTGCAGTAACTAATCCATTCCCATGATAAAGGCATTAGTCCCTTCATAAGCGCTCATGACCTTATCACCTCTTAAAGGCCCTATCTCTTAATACTGTTACAGTGGCAATTAGGTTTTAATGTGAGTTTTGGTAGGGAAATTTAAACCATATTAATTATGAAGTTTTCTAGTATGGCTCATGGCTATTGCCAATTTTTCCAACCCTGTGTGTGCATTGAGTACTGTTCCTTCTAGGCCTTTGACTAATTTTCTCACATAGGTGCACAGATCAGTTCTCTGCTGTCTGTATGAGGAAGATATTCTGATGTTCTATAGAGCTCTCTCACTGTGAAGCTCTCTCCTCTCTGGTACTCTACCTGTGACTCTATTCTGTCTACCTTGGTCTCCCCAGATTCTTAACTTCATCTCTCAATTAAAAGAAATGAAATCTGGATTCCTCCATGTACCATGTCCTGAAACTCTCTTGCGGGCAGTAGGATGGGGTACATGTACAGCTCACTTTGTTTTGTGTCTCTTAGGGATTATTTCTTCATTGTATCATGTATAATGTCTTTAAAAAACATTGTTTTATATAGTTTGCTTTTTAAAAGTTGGTTGAGGTAGAAAGACAATTTCATCCCTAGTACTCCCCCCTTGGGTAGAAACAGAAACTGGATTCATCTAAATTTTGAGTGTTTAATTTTTACACATTTAATATTCATCCACATTTTTGGAAATTTTTTTATGTAAATAAGAAAAAGTTCAGTCTGTTTTAGCTTAGACTGTGTAATTTTGCCTGTTCAAGATCTAATTTTTCACAGTGGGATTTTAAGTAGTAACGTTAGGTAGGAATAAAAATTCCTTTGCAGTATGGATGTGTAAATTAATGATCAAAAATATTTAATGGGATATATGACCACAAATCATAATATATAAGCACTGCTTTTGTTTAGACAAGCCCTTTCCATTAACACTTTTTACCATGATAACATGTTCTGGATGGGTGGAACAAGATGACAAAGCAGGATTATCCACTGATTGTCACCCCACCACCAGAAACATCAATTTGAACAACTATCCACATGTGAAAATACGTTCACAAGGGCTAAAGAAACCAAGTGAGAGATTTCAGTACCTAGCTGTAGCATGGTAGTAAGAAAATATGCATTGAAGACAGTAGGAAGGACAGTTTGTTACCTGTGTTACTCCTCCCCAACTCTGGCAGCATGGAATAGGGAAGAGACATTGTTCACTTAGGGAAAAAGAAGGAAGTGAGCATAAGATTTTACCTTGAACCCCAACACTTGGCCCACCACAATAATACTCAACACCAGGGTGATCCCCACAGCTTTGTATTTCAAGCCAGTAACTGCAGACTGAGCCTCTAGACCAGCTGCAGCACTAGGTGGGACCCCAGAGCCCCAGGCTTCAGTCTTTCTTGGTAAACTCAATCTCCATCTTATACCACCACCAGACTTGTGTCAGTCCTCTGAACAGCACTCAGCAGCAGCAGGTGGCCCCTCGCTTCTGGCCAGTTCCAGTGCAACAACTGATGTAGTGAGCCCCAGGCTTCTGGCATTGTCACACCTGCTACAGAGCTATACCAGGCAAAGCCAAATCCCTATCTGTGAAGACTTGGATAAGTATCTACTTCTTCAAATGTGCAGACATTGACAAATGACCAAAAGCATCAAGAACAATCAAGAAAACATTACATGACCATATGAAAAAAATGTGGTACAAGTGACTGACCCTAAAGAAATGGAGACATGTGAGCTTTCTGACAAAGAATTCAAAACTTTAAGGAAGCTCAGCAAACTTGAAGAAAATACAGAGAAACAATTCAACACAATGAAGAAAACAGTGACCAGAATGTGAAATATAATCAGATGGAAATAATATTTTTAGCTTCTACTAGATGATGCATGAAACAATTTTCAAAAAATCAAATCCTGGAGGTGAAAATACAATGTAGGGAATGAAAAATGCAATAGAGTGCATCAACAGCAGAATTGGCCAAGCACAAGAAAGAACCTGAACTTGAAGACAGGTTATTTTGAAATAAATAGAAGAAGAAAGAAATAAAGGAATGAAGAAAGGTTATAGGGTTTATGGTACAGCATCCAAAGAGCCAATCTTTGAGTCACAGGCATTAAAGAAGGAGAAAAAGACAGAAAGCTTACTTAAATAGTAACAATTGTTTTTAATTTTGGAGAACAGTGTAAATATCCAGGTACAGAAATGTCAAAGGTCTCCAATCAAATTTAAACCAAATAAGGTGACTCTCCAAGACATATTATAATAATGCTATCAAAAATCAAAGACTAAGAAGATCCTGAAAGCAGCAAGAGAAAGGAAGCAGATAACATAAAGGAATTCAAATATAGCTAGCAGCAGACTTTTTGGCAGAAATCTTGTAGGCCAGGAAAAAACAAAAGGATATATTTAAAATGCTGAAAAGGGGGAAAAAAAACTGTCAGCCAAGAATAGTGTACCCAGCAAAGGTGTCCTTCAGAAATGAAGAAAAGATGAATACTTTCCTGGACAAACAAAAGCTGAGGGAGTATATCACCACCAGACCTGATACACAAGAAATGCTAATGGGAATCCTTTCAGCCAAAAAAAGCACAACACTAATGAATAATATGAAAACATTTGAAAATATAAAACTTATTGGTAAAAGTATACAGTGAAATCCACTATACTCATGCTGTAATGGTTGTGTGTAAATCATTTTTATCACTAGTTTGAAGGCAAAAAGGCAAACCTATTAAAAATAGTAACAAATTTAAGGATATGCAATATGAAAATTGTGACATGAAAAATACTAAATATGGAGGAGTGAGTGAAGTAAATGTGTAGTGTTTTTGTTGTTAAAATCAAAGTGTTCATCACCTTAAAACAATTTAATGTGGTTTTTGTAAGCATCATGGTAACCACAAAGCAAAAACTTATATTAGATACACAGAAAATAAAAAGCAAGAAATTAAAAACATAACACTAAAAAAATTTACTTGGCCACAAAGGAAGATAGAGGAAGAAAGGAACAAAAATTGGCAAAACAACTAGAAAACAATGCACAAAAATGGCAGTTGTAAGTCTGTACCTATCAATAATTATCTTGAATGTAAGTATATTTTTCCAATCAAAAGACATAAAGTAGCTTAATAGATTTTTAAAAATCCAACAATATGCTGCCAAAGAGAGACTAATTTTACCTGTAAGGACACACACAAACTGAAAGTGAAGGGATAGAAAAAGATGTCCCATACAAATTGAAACAACAACAAAAAAGTAGGAGTAGCTGTATTCATGAGGTAAAATATACTTTTAGCAAATAAATATAAAAAGTCATTATATAATGTCAAAGGGATCAAGTAAGAAGATAGGACAGTTGTGATATATGCAACCAATGTTGGAATACCTAAATATATAATATGAAGCAAATATTAATAGATCTGAAGGGAGAGAAAAACTGCAATGCAATAATTGTAGGGTACTTTAACATCTGCTACCAGCAATGAGCAGGTTAACCAGAAAACCAATAAGGGAATGTTGGACTTAAACTATGCTCTTGATCAAATAGACATAACAGACATACATAGGATATTCAGTCCAAGAGTTGAACAGCTGAGGAGTACACACTCTTCTCAACTGCACATGGAATATTCTCCAGGGTAAATCATGTTAGGCTATGAAACAAGTGTTAAAATACTTAAGATTGAAATTATACCAAATAATATTTTCTGACTACAAAATATGAAACTAGAAATGAGGAACTGGAGGACTTTGGAGAATTCACAAATACATGGAAATTAAACATCCTCCTGACCAACCAGAGGGTCAATGAAGAATTTAAAGTTATAATTAAAAAATTCCTTGAGACTAACAAATGGAAACCTAACATACCAAAATCTATGGGATACAGTAAAAGCAGTTCTAACAGGGAAGTTGATAGCAACATACACCTACATCAAAAATGAAGAAATATTTCATTTCACCTACTTTTCACTTGAAGGAACTAGAAAACACAACAAACTAAGCCTGAAGTTAGGAGAAGGAAGGAAACAATATAGAGCAGAAATGAATGAAATAGTGGGAAAATGGTAGAATAGATCTACGAAACTAAGAGTGAGTTTTTTTGAAGGGCTAAAAAAATTGGAAAATCTTTTGCTAGACCCTGAATAGTCAAAACCGTGTTGAGGAAAAAGAACAAAGCTGGAGGGAATCACATTACCTGACTTCAAAATATACTACAAAGATACAGTAACCAAAACAACATAGTACTGGTATATAAATACACATAGACAAATGGAACGTTATAGAATGCCCATAAATCCCATGTTTATAGCCAACGGATTTAGACAAAATTTCCTAGAACACACAATAGAGAATGCACAATCTCTTCAATAAATGTTGTTGGGATAACTGAATATCCACACACAGAAGAATGGAATTAGACCCTTATCTCACACCATATACAAAAACCACTCCAAATGGATTAGGGATTTAAATGTAAGATTAGAATCTATGAAACTACTAGAAGATACATAGGAGAAAATCCTTATGACATTGATCTGGGCAATGACTTATTAGTATGACTCCAAGAGTAATGGCTACGAAAGCAAAAATAGACAAATTGGTGTCACATCAAACTTAAAAGCTTCTGCACAGCTGAGGAAAAATGAAGAGACAACTTACAGAATGAGAGGAACCATACATCTCATATGCGAACTATACATACATCTCATATGCAAACGATACATCTCATAAGGGCTTAATATCAGAATTATGTAAAAAAACTTGGCTCTATATCAAGAAAACAAGATATTAACAAAACAGTAGAAGACCTGAATAGACGTGTCTGAAAAGGAAATAGATGGCCAATAGGTATATGAAAAAATAATATCACTAATCATCAGGGAAGTGTAAATCACAACCACAATGAGATATCACCTCATGCCTATTAGAATGGCTGTTATGAAAAGGACAAAGATAAGTGTTGACAAGAATATGGAGAAAAGGGAACCCATACATTCCCTTGTTAGTGGGAATGTGAATTACCACAGCCATTATAGAAAGCAGTATGGAGATTCCTAACAAATTAAAAATAGAACTAATGTATCATCTACCAACCCCACTACTAGCTACATATACAAAGGAAATGAAATCATTATTTCAAAGAGACATCTGTACTCTTATGTTCATTGCAGCATTTTTCACAATAGCTAGGATATGGAATCAACCTAAGTGTCCACAAATGGATAGATAAAGAAAATGTGATACAAACACAATTAAATACTCTTTGGCCATGAAAAAGAAGGAAATCCTGGCATTTGCAACAACGTGGCTGAATCTGGAGGACATTATATTAAGTGAAGTAAGCCAGGCACAGAAAGACAAATACTGAATGATGTTGCTCATGTGGAATCTGAAAGAGTTGATACTATGGCAGCAGATAGTAGAGGGTTAGGGAAATGTCAAAGATTATAAAATTTCACTTCAATGAGGAATAAAAGATTGATTGTACAGTCTGACTACAATTAATACGTTCTTGAAAAACTCTGAGAGGATATAAAATATTACCACAAAACTGATAACTATGAGGCCATACATATGTATATTGTATAGATTTAGTCATTCCATAACTAATGTATGCTTCAGAACATCACGTTGTGTAAACTTATCAATCTTATCTGCCTATGTGAAAATTAACAAAAAGTTGTATTTCTTTTATATGTGGTAGCCACTATCTAACTGAGGCTATGACCTCTTGAAATATAGCTAAACTGATGACCTGAGTTTTATTTTTAATACTAATAAATTTGAATTTAAATGTAACAGTATATGGCTAATGTCTACTCAAGTGTACAGTGCACTTGTAGACTGTGTTTTATTTGGCCGACCATTGAATTGGGTCTGCTCTATCACATGATGTACCTTCATGGAAAAAAAAATCTGTTCAAAATAAAATGTTAAGTTGGCATTTTATTTTAATCCAGAATATCCCAACAAAGTAAAGCAAAAGTGACCTTCCAGTTTTTCATTGGAAGCACTGTAACTGTAACTTCTTGTTATTATATTTTTTGTCTATGGTCATTCTTTTTACATTTCTTAGCACAGTTCTTCATATATTTTCACATTTTTAATGACAAATTCAGAATAAATATGTATAAGATGTTAATCTTATATATCTACATTGATTTTGATTATTAGATTATCTATTTCCTGGGCTCAAAGAAACCTAAGATTATTTTGCCAAAACATTGTTCCTGAGATTATTAAATAATTACTAATTACCAAGACTTTTAATGATTTGGTTTGCACCTAAGAGAAGGCACAGGATGAATTGGTGGAGGCTTTTCTAATATGACTTGGATACAGTGTATACCTGCCTTACAGGCATCTTGGTCATGTTTTTGAATATTTTTTTTTCTGTGTATTCTGAATACCTCATCTTCTAAAAAGTTTTTTTAAGATTACTTTGCCTTTGGAACACATTAAATATATTTATTTTTAAAAAACTTGCAAAAGTAGGTACATAAAACAGAATCAATTCTTATAGATGAGAAGTAGCATGATGGACTTGTAGTAGTTGGCCTAAATGCAGAAGTCCTCTTTATTTATGAAGTAAACTGTAAAACTGTTTAGTATTTTTTTAAAAAAATGACAAGTAATGCATGCCTACATGGCCTGCAGAGAACCTTAATAATAATTATAGATTGATGCTTAAGCAGTATTAGTTTTTATAATGTAAAATGAAATTTTGACAATTCACTAAAATATGATATTGTAAACTCGGATAAATTTTGGAGAAGCATATACCTGCTTTTTTTGGTAACTTTGGTGATTTATATTCTGACAGTTTTCTTGGAGAAAGTAAATGAACATAGAATTATGTTTTATAGTTAGCTAAACAAATCAATGCTTTATATTAATCAGTGGGATTGTTCTTAACTTTTGATTCTAAAATTTGTTACAGATGTTAATTAAGGTAATTGTAGATGTATGTAATGTTGAGATAATTGTGCCATAATACAACAGTGTTAAAGTATGTTCTTGTAAGAGAGACCACCTTGTAAAATAATTTGAAAAACTATTTATTTTATGACTTAAAATACTTTTGAAGTTAGGTTTTCCTATTAACTGTTTAAAATGTGAGTTTCTGGTTTCATTACTTTGATCTTTTGAATAAGGATTTGAAACAGTGTATACTTATGTAACATTTGTACTGATATTATGAAACTCATTTACTTTTTAATTCTTTGAATCAAAAGAAACATTTAAATATTTTGTATGGTTAATGTTTTAATGCAATGTGTTTTGTTTACTACCTTTTGTTAAATGCCATTATTTCTCCATTTAGTTTTGCCTGTATTTTATTTTGTGAAGATTTACCAGTGACTTGCTAAACATTTGCTTTGAGTTTCCATGATAGTTTATAATTTAGTTTCTATTCATCAGAATTATGAGTTGACTTTGATGATGACTCTGATTTAATTTTGTTCTACAATGAAGTGGTTCACTATTAGAAGCTTATTTTAAGCGTAGCTTATTAAATTAATTAATGGAATCTAATTCTTAAATAGTTGAAATAAGATAGTTTTTCTAAAATCTTTTCTAATCCTTCAGATCAAATATTACTTTGACCTGTTTAGTATCGGCTGGTGTCATCAGTTTTTAGATTCATTATATTTCTTTTGAAAAGTGATGTTTTGAAGATTTTGGGTTTTATTAACACAATTTACTTTTTTATGTACATGTTGATAATTTTGCAGCTATTATGTAGATTCAAAGAATCTCTCTGGTTTATCTACCAATTCTTTCTAACTCATAATAAGAAGTTTCATTTTGACCATCCTTCCTTCCACTTTGGTGGGCATTAAGCAGTGCATTATTTAGGTATATACTTAAGCTTTGGTTCTTAGTGAAATAAACAGAGACTATTTCCCCTCATACCACCAATCCTGACTCCCTTCGCATGCCTTTTATTGTGAACATAGACTCTGCAATGAGACGAAAGTGTTAAATGTGGGGTTTTAAAGACCATCGTGCAGGATACTTACTTATAGTCCTTTAATTAATGTATCCGTTCTCAGAAGTAAAAAATCCCATTTTAAAATATAAAAAGTTAACTGGAATTCATCTGGGACCAGGAATATATTAAATGAATTCTAGACAAACATAAAGCTTGCGTAGAGCTGAGTGTAAAGACACAAAATGCACAGAGGAGCCTTTTCCAAACACCGAGAGCCGGAAACCTCGCCCACCCACAAAGCCATGAGGCTAACCACATGTTAAATGTTTAAGCAGTTTACCAGTTTATATGAGTAAATGTGCTACCTTTCATTAAAATGAAATTAGATATTCTTTTTTGTGGGGGGCAGAAGGATAGGCTTATCTTTTTTATGTATATGTGAGAAAGAACTGTTAGAAATGTCACACTGCATGGGAAATACTGTTTTACTGTAATTCTATTTAGTGAATTAGTGAATGGTACAAAAAGACAAAAAAAAATCTACTTGATGTGTATCTATAAGCAAATCTGCAGTACTCAACCTATATGAAATGTTTGGCTGTATTTAAATGGATGCAAGCCTGTCCAGGCTGTAAGTTTATTTTATTAAGGCAAAAACATTTACATTTCTCTTGAGTTACCATTTTGCAACCCTCTGCTGTGGTTATATAAAACAGCTCTGTTTTTTTAAATTAAAATTGTGATTTTGTACCAACTGAATTTTTTTCCTAGAACACCTAAGTAGTTGGTATATTTTAGAAGTTCAAACTTAGTAGCACTATGTAAAGTATATGCTTAAGTTTCATGGTATTAGGAAGAACATCTGCAGGAGATTGTCTTCTGTTTTCATGTCATCATCACGCCTTTGCATCTGGTAAAGAGAATTTTGAGATGCATCTACTTCTTCATGCTTGAATTTTGTTAACCTAATTATGCATTTCATAAGGTTGAGTTCTGTATCTGTGTTTAAGTTAATTCATGAAAAGAATTTGTAAATACTTCTCCTATGTTTCTTTAATGTCTTAAAGTTTTCCTGTAATTTAAGTAGTTGGTTTGATGGGATAACATAGAAATAAGTCAGTTTGTAGATGGCATCTAAGTAACAAAGGTAATTCTGTAGTTCAAAAAGTTAAATAGTATGTTGAGACTTTTAACATTAAGCAGCGGCATTGTTCCTTAGTCCAGCTGGCATGTGGGTATGTAGTGAGTTACAGGCGCATGCCACCATGCCTGGCTAACTTTTCTATTTTTTGTAGAGACAGCATTTCGCCTTGTTGCCCAGGCTGTTCTCAAACTTCTAGGCTCAAGTGATCTGCCTGCCTCAGCCTCTCAAACTGCTGGGATTACAGGAATGAGCCACCATGCCTGGCCAAGATTGACAAGAGTTAATGTATTGTGTATTTAAAAATAGTTAGAAAAGAGGACTTTAAATGTTCCTAAAACATAGAAATGATAAACGTTCAAGATGATGGTCAGCCTAGATATACTGACTTGATCAATACACATTCTATGCATGTAACAAAATATCACAGTACCCCATAAATATGTAGAAGTATTATGTATCAGTAAAAATTTTTAAAATGTTTTAAAAATGATCAGTAGAATACTTTCAGGAAAAACCTAACTGCTTAAAAATAGTCTCTATAAAAGCCCTCTTAGTTTAAGAAATAATTATATGTTAGAGACGACAATTATTGATCACATTGAAAGAGATTCTTTTAAAAAACTTAATTTACTTAACTGGATAATCACTCTTCTTGAATTTTATTTGTATTATTAATTTCTTAGTAGATGTAATACTGTATTTCTATCTCACCCAGTTAAAAATTACGATTAAGTTGAATGATTTGATGAAAATGCACATACTTTATGTATTTGACTGTAAGCGAAATAGAATATTAGCATTTGGTTTTTCTTTTTTTCTTTTTTTTTTTTAATTATACTTTAAGTTTTAGGGTACATGTGCACATTGTGCAGGTTAGTTACATATGTATACATGTGCCATGCTGGTGCGCTGCACCCACTAACTCGTCATCTAGCATTAGGTATATCTCCCAATGCTATCCCTCCCCCCTCCCCCCACCGCAACACAGTCCCCAGAGTGTGATATTCCCCTTCCTGTGTCCATGTGATCTCATTGTTCAATTCCCACCTATGAGTGAGAATATGCGGTTTGGTTTTTTGTTCTTGCAACAGTTTACTGAGAATGATGATTTCCAATTTCATCTATGCCCCTACAAAGGACATGAACTCATCATTTTTTATGGCTGCATAGTATTCCATGGTGTATATGTGCCACATTTTCTTAATCCAGTCTATCATTGTTGGACATTTGGGTTGGTTCCAAGTCTTTGCTATTGTGAATAATGCCACAATAAACATACGTGTGCATGTGTCTTTATAGCAGCAAGATTTATAGTCCTTTGGGTATGTACCCAGTAATGGGATGGCTGGGTCAAATGGTATTTCTAGTTCTAGATCCCTGAGGAATCGCCACACTGACTTCCACAATGGTTGAACTAGTTTACAGTCCCACCAACAGTGTAAAAGTGTTCCTATTTCTCCACATCCTCTCCAGCACCTGTTGTTTCCTGACTTTTTAATGATCGCCATTCTAACTGGTGTGAGATGGTATCTCATTGTGGTTTTGATTTGCATTTCTCTGATGGCCAGTGATAATGAGCATTTTTTCATGTGTTTTTTGGCTGCATAAATGTCTTCTTTTGAGAAGTGTCTGTTCATGTCCTTCGCCCACTTTCTGATGGGGTTGTTTGTTTTTTTCTTGTAAATTTGTTTGAGTTCATTGTAGATTCTGGATATTAGCCCTTTGTCAGATGAGTAGGTTGTGAAAATCTTCTCCCATTTTGTAGGTTGCCTGTTCACTCTGATGGTAGTTTCTTTTGCTGTGCAGAAGCTCTTTAGTTTGATCAGATCCCATTTGTCAATTTTGGCTTTTGTTGCCATTGCTGTTGGTGTTTTGGACATGAAGTCCTTGCCCATGCCTATGTCCTGAATGGTGATGCCTAGGTTTTCTTCTAGGGTTTTTATGGTTTTAGGTCTAACGTTTAAGTCTTTAATCCATCTTGAATTGATTTTTGTATAAGGTGTAAGGAAGGCATCCAGTTTCAGCTTTCTACATATGGCTAGCCAGTTTTCCCAGCCCCATTTATTAAATAGGGAATCCTTTCCCCATTGCTTGTTTTTCTCAGGTTTGTCAAAGATTAGATAGTTGTAGATATGTGGCGTTATTTCTGAGGGCTCTGTTCTGTTCCATTGATCGATTTCTCTGTTTTGGTACCAGTACCATGCTGTTTTGGTTACTGTAGCCTTGTAGTATAGTTTGAAGTCAGGTAGTGTGATGCCTCCAGCTTTGTTCTTTTGGCTTAGGATTGCCTTGGTGATGCGGGCTCTTTTTTGGTTCCATATGAACTTTAAAGTAGTTTTTTCCAATTCTGTGAAGAAAGTCACTGGTAGCTTGATGGGGATGGCATTGAATCTGTAAATTACCTTGGGCAGTATGGCCGTTTTCACGATTTTGATTCTTCCTACCCATGAGCATGGAATGTTCTTCCATTTGTTTGTATCCTCTTTTATTTCCCTGAGCAGTGGTTTGTAGTTGTCCTTGAAGAGGTCCTTCACATCCCTTGTAAGTTGGATTCCTAGGTATTTTATTCTCTTTGAAGCAATTGTGAATGGGAGTTCACTCATGATTTGGCTCTCTGTTTGTCTGTTATTGGTGTATAAGAATGCTTGTGATTTTTGTACATTGATTTTGTATCCTGAGACTTTGCTGAAGTTGCTTATCAGCTTAAGGAGATTTTGGGCTGAGACAATGGGGTTTTCTAGATATACAATCATGTCATCTGCAAACAGGGACAATTTGACTTCCTCTTTTCCTAATTGAATACCCTTTATTTCCTTCTCCTGCCTAATTGCCCTGGCCAGAACTTCCAACACTATGTTGAATAGGAGTGGTGAGAGAGGGCATCCCTGTCTTGTGCCAGTTTTCAAAGGGAATGCTTCCAGTTTTTGCGCATTCAGTATGATATTGGCTGTGGGTTTGTCATAGATAGCTCTTATTATTTTGAAATACGTCCCATCAATACCTAATTTATTGAGAGTTTTTAGCATGAAGGGTTGTTGAATTTTGTCAAAGGCTTTTTCTGCATCTATTGAGATAATCATGTGGTTTTTGTCTTTGGCTCTGTTTATATGCTGGATTACATTTATTGATTTGCGTATATTGAACCAGCCTTGCATCCCAGGGATGAAGCCCACTTGATCATGGTGGATAAGCTTTTTGATGTGCTGCTGGATTTGTTTTGCCAGTATTTTATTGAGGATTTTTGCATCAATGTTCATCAAGGATATTGGTCTAAAATTCTCTTTTTTGGTTGTGTCTCTGCCCGGCTTTGGTATCAGAATGATGTTGGCCTCATAAAATGAGTTAGGGAGGATTCCCTCTTTTTCTGTTGATTGGAATAGTTTCAGAAGGAATGGTACCAGTTCCTCCTTGTACCTCTGATAGAATTTGGCTGTGAATCCATCTGGTCCTGGACTCTTTTTGGTTGGTAAACTATTGATTATTGCCAGAATTTCAGCTCCTGTTATTGGTCTATTCAGAGATTCAACTTCTTCCTGGTTTAGTCTTGGGAGAGTGTATGTGTCGAGGAATTTATCCATTTCTTCTAGATTTTCTAGTTTATTTGCGTAGAGGTGTTTGTAGTATTCTCTGATGGTAGTTTGTATTTCTGTGGGATGGGTGGTGATATCCCCTTTATCATTTTTTATTGCATCTCTTTGATTCTTCTCTCTTTTCTTCTTTATTAGTCTTGCTAGCGGTCTATCAATTTTGTTGATCCTTTCAAAAAACCAGCTCCTGGATTCATTAATTTTTTGAAGGGTTTTTTGTGTCTCTATTTCCTTCAGTTCTGCTCTGATTTTAGTTATTTCTTGCCTTCTGCTAGCTTTTGAATGTGTTTGCTCTTGCTTTTCTAGTTCTTTTAATTGTGATGTTAGGGTGTCAATTTTGGATCTTTCCTGCTTTCTCTTGTGGGCATTTAGTGCTATAAATTTCCCTCTACACACTGCTTTGAATGCGTCCCAGAGATTCTGGTATGTTGTGTCTTTGTTCTCATTGATTTCAAAGAACATCTTTATTTCTGCCTTCATTTCGTTATGTATCCAGTAGTCATTCAGGAGCAGGTTGTTCAGTTTCCATGTAGTTGAGCGGTTTTGAGTGAGATTCTTAATCCTGAGTTCTAGTTTGATTGCACTGTGGTCTGAGAGATAATTCGTTATAATTTCTGTTCTTTTACATTTGCTGAGGAGAGCCTTACTTCCAAGTATGTGGTAAATTTTGGAATAGGTTTGGTGTGGTGCTGAAAAAAATGTATATTCTGTTGATTTGGGGTGGAGAGTTCTATAGATGTCTATTAGGTCTGCTTGGTGCAGAGCTGAGTTCAATTCCTGAGTATCCTTGTTGACTTTCTGTCTCGTTGATCTGTCTAATGTTGACAGTGGGGTGTTAAAGTCTCCCATTATTAATGTGTGGGAGTCTAAGTCTCTTTGTAGGTCACTCAGGACTTGCTTTATGAATCTGGGTGCTCCTGTATTGGGTGCATATATATTTAGGATAGTTAGCTCTTCTTGTTGAATTGATCCCTTTACCATTATGTAATGGCCTTCTTTGTCTCTTTTGATCTTTGTTGGTTTAAAGTCTGTTTTATCAGAGACTAGGATTGCAACCCCTGCCTTTTTTTGTTTTCCATTTGCTTGGTAGATCTTCCTCCATCCTTTTATTTTGAGCCTATGTGTGTCTCTGCACGTGAGATGGGTTTCCTGAATACAGCACACTGATGGGTCTTGACTCTTTATCCAATTTGCCAGTCTGTGTCTTTTAATTGGAGCATTTAGTCCATTTACATTTAAAGTTAATATTGTTATGTGTGAATTTGATCCTGTCATTATGATGTTAGTTGGTGATTTTGCTCGTTAGTTGATGCAGTTTCTTCCTAGTCTCGATGGTCTTTACATTTTGGCATGATTTTGCAGCGGCTGGTACCGGTTGTTCCTTTCCATGTTTAGCGCTTCCTTCAGGAGCTCTTGTAGGGCAGGCCTGGTGGTGACAAAATCTCTCAGCATTTGCTTGTCTGTAAAGTATTTTATTTCTCCTTCACTTATGAAGCTTAGTTTGGCTGGATATGAAATTCTGGGTTGAAATTTCTTTTCTTTAAGAATGTTGAATATTGGCCCCCACTGTCTTCTGGCTTGTAGGGTTTCTGCGGAGAGATCTGCTGTTAGTCTGATGGGCTTCCCTTTGAGGGTAACCCGACCTTTCTCTCTGGCTGCCCTTAACATTTTTTCCTTCATTTCATCTTTGGTGAATCTGACAATTATGTGTCTTGGAGTTGCTCTTCTCGAGGAGTATCTTTGTGGCGTTCTCTGTATTTCCTGAATCTGAACGTTGGCCTGCCTTGCTAGATTGGGGAAATTCTCCTGGATAATATCCTGCAGAGTTTTTTCCAACTTGGTTCCATTCTCCCCGTCACTTTCAGGTACACCAATCAGACGTAGATTTGGTCTTTTCACATAGTCCCATATTTCTTGGAGGCTTTGCTCATTTCTTTTTATTCTTTTTTCTCTAAACTTCCCTTCTCGCTTCATTTCATTCATTTCATCTTCCATTGCTGATACCCTTTCTTCCAGTTGATCGCATCGGCTCCTGAGGCTTCTGCATTCTTCACGTAGTTCTCGAGCCTTGGCTTTCAGCTCCATCAGCTCCTTTAAGCACTTCTCTGTATTGGTTATTCTAGTTATACATTCTTCTAAATTTTTTTCAAAGTTTTCAACTTCTTTGCCTTTGGTTTGAATGTCCTCCCGTAGCTCAGAGTAATTTGATCGTCTGAAGCCTTCTTCTCTCAGCTCGTCAAAGTCATTCTCCATCCAGCTTTGTTCCGTTGCTGGTGAGGAACTGCGTTCCTTTGGAGGAGGAGAGGTGCTCTGCGTTTTAGAGTTTCCAGTTTTTCTGTTCTGTCTTTTCCCCATCTTTGTGGTTTTATCTACTTTTGGTGTTTGATGATGGTGATGTACAGATGGGTTTTTGGTGTGGATGTCCTTTCTGTTTGTTAGTTTTCCTTCTAACAGACAGGACCCTCAGCTGCAGGTCTGTTGGAATACCCTGCCGTGTGAGGTGTCAGTGTGCCCCTGCTGGGGGGTGCCTCCCAGTTAGGCTGCTCGGGGGTCAGGGGTCAGGGACCCACTTGAGGAGGCAGTCTGCCCGTTCTCAGATCTCCAGCTGCGTGCTGGGAGAACCACTGCTCTCTTCAAAGCTGTCAGACAGGGACATTTAAGTCTGCAGACGTTACTGCTGTCTTTTTGTTTGTCTGTGCCCTGCCCCCAGAGGTGAAGCCTACAGAGGCAGGCAGGCCTCCTTGAGCTGTGGTGGGCTCCACCCAGTTGGAGCTTCCCGGCTGCTTTGTTTACCTAAGCAAGCCTGGGCAATGGCGGGCGCCCCTCCCCCGGCCTCGCTGCCGCCTTGCAGTTTGATCTCAGACTGCTGTGCTAGCAATCAGTGAGACTCCGTGGGCGTAGGACCCTCAGAGCCAGTTGCAGGATATAATCTCGTGGTGCGCCGTTTTTTAAGCTGGTCCGAAAAGCGCAATATTCGGGTGGGAGTGACCCGATTTTCCAGGTGCGTCTGTCACCCCTTTCTTTGACTCGGAAAAGGAACTCCCTGACCCCTTGCGCTTCCCAAGTGAGGCAATGCCTTGCCCTGCTTCCGCTCACGCACGGTGCGCGCACCCACTGACCTGCGCCCACTGTCTGGCGCTCCCTAGTGAGATGAACCCGGTACCTCAGATGGAAATGCAGAAATCACCCGTCTTCTGCGTCGCTCACGCTGGGAGCTGTAGACCGGAGCTGTTCCTACTCGGCCATCTTGGCTCCTCCCCAGCATTTGGTTTTTCAACCTCGTTTTCTCTGAGTGTTTACTACATCTGTGTTTATAAAGGAGGATTCATCGATCTTAAGTATGGCTTGAAGCATAACTAGAGATTAACAAAAGTTAATAAAGATTATTGCAATATTGTAATCATATGGGTTTTGAGCTTCTTTAATGTTTTTTCCCTCCAGAGAAAGTTGAAGGGAATGATATTCTAAATACTGTCTTTTATATTTTGCAGGTTCATTTTCTTGATTTTAAATTAGTACCTCCCAGTCAGAAAATGGAAAACCTAATGCAGATTAGAGAATTTGCAAAGGAAGTAAAAGAAAGAAATATTTTGTTATATGGGCTTCTCATATCTTACCCACAGGTAGGTAAAATGTTTATCTTCCGAATGTATGTTCTGTAGACTAGTTTTAATGGTAGGTATCTGATTTGTTAAAAGCAGGAGGATATTATTGATAAGTGAAATTACAGCTGGAAAGTTACTCATCTATGTGTGTGCTATAATAGTAGAACCTCTTGCCTCTAGGAAAAAAATAGAAACCAATAAAACTATTAGCATTGGGGAAATGCTAATGAGCAAACATCTCATATTAGGTATCCCAAATAGAACTGTCAGGTTTATCAAATAAAAGTATGATTTTCCCAGTTAAAATTGAATTTCAAATATATAATACTTTTTGTTAAGTTTGTTCCAAATATGAAATTTGAATTTCAAATCTAATAAAATTCTTATATTTACGTGGCAACCCTACAAAGCCAGATTCCTTGTCCACTGGTGTAATTTAAGATTATTTACTTTTATGTTATGTTAAAGATATTGGTAGTCAATTGTTTATCTCCCTAAACAGGTTATTTAATCATTTGAAAGCACTGCCTGGCATTCAGATTATAAGAGGGCATGGTACTTAACTAAAGAAATGCATTCATTGTCACTGTCTTTAATAGCTGCATGTTAGTTACACTGAAAGCACAATGAGCTACCATTACAGATTCTTTGTGCAGAGAAATGCTATTTAAAACAAAGAATTTGGAAAATCTATTAAGAAATAGAATTAGGGTTAAAAATTTGGAGAATCTGTGGATTTGTCCTTTGTGCATAGATAGCTTTCATTGGATTTGTGACTACTTTAGAGTTTCTTGGAGGTACCATACAAGAGTCTAGCAAGTTGAACGGTCCACTGCTATTTTTAGTGGTCTCAAAAGTAATTTGGTACTGAATGTCCAGTGAATGACAGGTATTTAAACTTATTTGTGGGTGGCAAATAACAGCTATTGTTTATGAAATTATTTCGGCTGCATTTTTAACCTGTGGGTAACATTTCTTCTGAAACTATACATTTTAATTAAATATAAGGACCATCTTTTAGCTAATCCCTTGGTTTTGTTTTAACTTAAAGGTTGTTGTTTCCTCTGCTTCCAAAATATGCAAGCATGACCTCAGTTATCAAGAACTAGGCAAATTTTAGTTCACGTAGGATAATGGAATTGCAAAATGTTAATGCTGTAGGAGGCTACTGAAGTCAGGACAGCCAAGGCCCAAGGAGTTACATATATTTGCCCGAGGACAGATAACGGGTAGAGTAACAGAACTCAGATCTGTATCCATGGTCAGTAATATTCTCTCTTTGTGGTGGCTCACGCCTGTAATCCTAACACTTTGGGAGGCCAAGATGGGCGGGCGGATCACTTGAGGTTAGGAGTTCAAGACCAGCCTGGCCAACACGGTGAAACCCTTGTCTCTACAAAAAAGTTAAAAAATTAGCCAGGCATGGTTGTGGGTGCCTGTAGTCCCAGCTACCTGGGAGGCTGAGGTGGGAGAATCACTTGAATCTGGGAGGCGGAGGCGGAGGTTGCAGTGAGCAGAGGTTGCCGCCCCTGCACACCAGTCTGGGAAAAAGAGTGAGGCCCTGTCTCAAAAAAAAAATCTTTTTTGTTTGTACTCAGATTATTACAGTGGGAAAAATCTGTTCTTTTTCTCATGTTGTCTAAAGGAGTCATGGACAAACACTACTATTGTCACATAGTGCAGTTAGAAAGTAGAGTTTATTGAGGCAAATCTCAATCAGAAAATGGAGAGTGTAAATAATCCCTGGAACTCTCATTTGGCTAGGGCAAAAGGGTCTGTATGCACTGCACTGTAGTTGACTTTCCAGTAAAGTGTAATGTTGCCAGGTTATATATATGATGCCTAGTTAAATTTGAATTTCACATAAACAATAATTTTTAGCGTATGTCCCAAATGTTACATGGAGCATACTTGAATTAAAAAAACCTTTGATGTTTACTTGAAATTCAGATTTAACATGCAAACTCAAAAAGAAAATTTATCACTTAAAATAACCTCTTTGTAGATAGCTTAAATGTAGACTTATGGATTATATTATTGGCTTGGCCATTTATACGTAGTATAAAGTTTTCTGACTTTATCCAATGCTCAGTAACTCATGTAAAATAATTTGGAATGTTTTAAAATTTTTGCTCTAGATTAGAAGTGTAACATAAAGCTTGCTTTCACAATTTGTTGAACGAATTTAAACCAGGCCTTATCTCTCTTTCTAAAATAATCCTATAGACATGACTATGGATAATTAAAATGAGCTTTCATAGTTTAATACTTAAAATAGACTAAGGGACAAATAAGAAAGTTACCAAAGCAGTTCTGTAATTTTTTTTTTTTTTTGAGCCGAAGTTTTTCTCTTGTTGCCCAGGCTGGAGCGCAATGGCACAATCTCGGCTCATTGCAACCTCCACCTCCTGGGTTCAAGCAATTCTCCTGCCACAGCCTCTCAAGTAGCTGGGATTATGGGTGCCCGCCACCATGCCCAGTTAAATTTTGTATATGTAGTAGAGACAGGGTTTCACCATGTTGACCCGGCTGGTCTTGAAATTCTGATCTCAGGTGATCCACCCACCTCAGCCTCCCAAAGTGCTGGGATTACAGGTGTGAGCCACCGCGCCTGGCCAAATTTTTGTTTTTTAAAAAAAAATTTGTAAAAGATTGTTGAGAATTATTATAAATAAGTCCCCAAAACAGGATATGGAACAATAAAATGAAATTTTTTGGTAACAAAATTAAATTAGACTAAGTCCCTTTAAAGTATAATCTTAAATAATTCTATGTGTAAAATATTATTCACTTTTCATTATTAAGCAAACTTTGCTGTGCAAGTCATCATTAAGATCCATGATACAAAATTATATTTGAGGAACCTGTACTAATCACCTAAAAATCTGTATTTGATGATCTAGCAGTGAACTTACAGAGACAGAATGTTTCTGGCATGAATAGTTCAAGCCAATAGCTTAGAGTGTGTAGTCTTAATTTTGTTGAAATGTGAAAATACCTCTATAATGACTTTTTAATGCAAATATTTGCAACTATATATTTTTCAATTTTGCATGTGAACTTCTGTGACAGTAAAAATTTTAAAGCCTGTAAAATATCTAAAGTGCTGTAAGCAGTTTTATCTTTAACCTGTGCATTTTATATGCTTAGGGATTTAGCAATAGAAGCACATAGGTTCAAAGTTTAAAAGTTTCCCATAAACTATTATAACTGATTGTTTCTTTCACTGAGCTAGTGTCTGTTGCCCTCCACACTGGAAAAACTAGTTATATCACCTCGGACAAGCAGTGTAAGTTTTATAGGCCCCAGGTTCTTCATTTGTAAAATGCAGATGTCAGAACTTCCACATTAAAGCCTATGTTGGATGAGAAAGCGGAGACAGAGGATGGTGGTGCTGGCTGTGTCCAGAGATGCGTTATACATACATATCTCACTCTGACACACAGACATTCTGGAACTGAGCCTGGTTTTTCTTTCCTTTCCATATGTGACCACAAACTTCACCTGAACTATTATTTCCTTTCTTTTCCTGGAGAAATTATTCATTACGGTGTGTATATTTTAGTAGAGTTCAGAGAGGGAACTGTTCTTTTGTCAGACGTCTTGATCAAAGTACAGTGGAAGACAGTGGGGGAGTTAGGATCCATCAGAAGAAGGCTGAGGAGCATATTAAATGTGGCAGCATGGTAAGGAGTGTGTATCGTTTTAGCCCATCATTTTCTCTTATTTCTTCCCCACTAAACTGTCATTTCACTTACTTATAATATAGTGGGAAATAGAACTTTTGAAAGCAATGTAGCTTAGTCAGTATTTTAATTGGATGGGGACATTGGAAAGGATGGCACTAATTGGCAGACCTGCAAAAACCAAGCCACGGAGAAGCCATGGGATAAAGCAGAGGCACTCTCTTACCCTCTCCCTTAGCCTGAATTCTACGTTTTCTTTTGTTCCTACGACTGCAGATCTAGGAGACATACAAATAAGAAAGTTACCAAAGCAGTTCTCTACATTTTTGTTTTTTTAAAAAAAAATTTGTAAAAGATTTGTGAGAATTATTATAAAAATCTCCAAAATAGGATATAGAACAATAAAATAAATATTTTTGGTAACAAAATTAAATTATATAAAGCTGTATGTATTGGTCTTGTATCACAAGTATAAACCATATTGCTCTACTCGATGACGTAAGTACAATTGTTCTTCTCTATTGTCTGGGCTTTGAAGGTTTTCTGTGCACTGTAAAGGACATCCAAGAAACATTCTTGATTGTGAAACTCCTTGTAATTACCTTAGGTCAACTGATAATGATATAGGAACAGTTTTCTATTACAGCTTTGGTCCTAAAGATCTGAATGTATAGGGTACCACTGACATCCATTTTTTCATCTCAAAGGTCCGCATTTACTCTGTGTCCACTAGATAGAGGAATCATCCTTTAAGTATGCATGATCCTTTGGAGAACAAATGGGTGTATGCTGTCGGTTAGCAGAACACTGTTTTTTTTTATGGTAATCATGGGTGAGGTTAGACTTAGAAGTTCAACTTTCTGCAATGAACAATTACTTGGAATTTAAATGGGAATTATTTACTAAACACACAAAACTTTCCATGGCACCGAATCATATGGCAGACGTACCAAACATGCAACACCAAATCTGTTTACAGAAACCCATAATACCCTCTTCAAAGTAATCAGGCTTTTTTGATGTGGGAATGTTTATGAGACCAGATATTTTTCACTTTCAATATTGTTTTGACTTTTATTGTTTAGACTTAGTCATTCTTTGGGAAAATACAAAGGTCATAAAATATGTTTTCAAAAATTTGTAATTTTGAAAAAAATTGTTTTTATAGAGTTTGGTTAGCTTACTTGGCAGACTCATTAGAGAATGGCGGTAAGCTTGTTTTACTTAGATATATGTAAATGAAATGCAATATTAAACACACACCTTCTGCTACAGATTTTTTTGTCAATACAAAATGCACGTATTTTCAGGGTACATTTGGTAATTTGATCCATTCACATCATGTGTAAAAATAAAATTGGGGTAATCAGGATATTCATCACCTTGAATATTTATCTTTTCTTTGTGCTAGGAACATTTTAGTTATGCTCTTCTAGCTATTTTGAAATGTACAGTAGATTGTTAACTATTGTCACCCTACTGATGTATTGAACAGTAGGTTTTATTTCTATCTGACAGTATGTTTGCACCCAGATCTTTCCTTTTTTTTTTTTCTGGATAAAAGAAGCTACTTTCTGTATGTAAATGAAGAGAAGCATCCTCTAACTTAAGGAGGGTACTGCCATGGAAATTTTTAATGAGCGAATTTCTTTAAACAGTGCATTTGTTAGCTATTACTATATAACCCAACATTTATTATCTCGCAGTTTCTGTGGGTCCTCAAGCTCTGGGTCTCCATCAAGGATGCAACCATCTCAAAGCTCTCCTGGAAATTTTCCCAAGTAGCTCACTCACCTGGCTGTTGAAATAATTCATTTCCTCATGAGCTATTGCACTGAGGCCTCAGTTCATGATTTCATGAGCTCCTGGCTGGAGGCTTGCCTCTGTTCTTTGCACAGAGTGTCTGGAAACATCATAGAATGCAAGAGAGAACCAGAAGATGGAAGTCACAGTCTTCTGTGACATCAGCGACTGACATCCCATCCCCTTTGCTGTACTGGGTTCGCCAGAGGCAAATCACTATGCTCCACCCACACTCAGGGGAGGTGACTACACAAGGGTTATCATTGGGAACCATATCAAATGCTGCCTACCACACTAACACTGGAGTGCAGATATTGTAGGCTAAGTATTTCTTGCTACTCACCCCCATTAAGATTAAGGGATTTATAGGGTGAATAGGGCTAGACATGTTTAAATATAAAAAAGCATACAAATTATATACATGTATCTATCCATACACACATGTATATATGTATATGCTTTTTTATTGCATGTAGAGTGATAATATCTGGAAGAGGGCATAGGGTGTTAGAAAGGCAAAACTTATTTTTACATTATCTGTAAAATTGTTTTTAAAGAGCTTGATTTGGATCAGATCCATATCAAACCCATTGGTGCAATTATATCATTTTCTAATTTTTATTAAAGAGAGGGAAATTGCATGTAAGTGAAAAAAATGTGGATGTAATATTGAAATGGGCATCTTCAGCCATAGCTTTAAGTTCTTGTTCTTCAGTAACCTTGTGGCCATTCTCAAGTTACTAAAATTTGTCTTTCTGTATTTGATTATAAAATGGCCATATGCTTTTAGATACCAAACTTAAATTTTTAAAAAATCTAATGAAATGAATATTTTGTTTAGTAGCGTGTTCTTATATACATTCCTAAAAGATCTCATTCTGTAGTGGTTGTATTTCAGATGGTACAACCTAAAATTTTGTGTTTTAGATTTGCTTTCTTTTTTTGTGTGAATCTTTCTTTTTTTGTGTGAATGTAAACTCAAGATTTTATTTTATTCATAATAAAACAAAAGATGACACTTAGGGCTGGGCGCCATGGCTCACGCCTGCAATCCCAACACTTTGGGAAGCTGAGGCTTGCAGATCACCTGAGGTCAGGAGTTCGAGACCAATCTGGCCAACATTGTGAAACCCCGTCTCTACTAAACGTACAAAAATTAGCCGATTGTGGTGGGGAGCACCTGTAATCCCAGCTACTGGGGAGGCTGAAGCAAGACAATCACTTGAATCCCTGGGAAGTAGAGGCTGCAGTGAGCCGAGATTGCCACTGCCCTCCAGCCTGGGCAACAGAGCGAGACTCGTCTCAAAAAAAAAAAAAAAAAGACACTTAGAACCGTATTACTTGGCCGTGTCTCTTCTTACCACCTTCCAGTTCAAAATGCTTGCATCTTTTGATAGCTAGCATTCTCTTAGATCTGCGGTTGGTCTGGGCTTAATGCACTAAGCCTTAGCACAATCTTCTTTGTAGTTTTAGCTTTTT
Source organism: Homo sapiens (assembly GCF_000001405.40). Lineage (NCBI taxonomy): Eukaryota > Metazoa > Chordata > Mammalia > Primates > Hominidae > Homo > Homo sapiens. Next base: position 16,209,115 of record NC_000007.14, on the reverse strand, counting down.
CTGGATAATTGGCTTAGTCTGCCCACCAGAGCCACCCTGCTATCTGTCATAACACCACTTCCCCTGGGCATACAGAAAATCCTTGCCCTTCTTGCCCTGTGTCACTTCATGGGGTTGGTGCTTGCCACACTTCTCACAGAAAATTTGGTGGATTTTAGGAATGTTCACCACGTTTGTGGGAATGCTATTGGCATGGAAAGACTCAAATCTTTCTATTCATTCTAAGTCCAAACATCCAGCTTATTTTCTAAGTGCCCAATGTCATTATATACAACATAATGTGCCAGCCACTAAGGGGTAGTATGAACTTCCAACAAGGTTTCAGTCCTCAAGGAATTCATATACCTGGAGATGATATCCTTCAAAATTACCCAGGCATACATATGAAGAATGGGTGATATACACTTATTCTCTACCTTGTTCTACCAAATTTTTAAGATGAATTAGCCAAAGATAGCCTTCTTTGATAAGGGTGGGACACACAATAGTATAGGAGGAGTTGAGAAGAGGACGGCTAATGTTCACCCCGCCTGCCATGCTCTCTCACCTGGTGCAGGGCAGCTTCTGTGTGTCATAAAGGGAGGTTCCATAGAGACACCATAATTTAGAAGATCTTTATGAAGTGAGAAAATTAAATGCTTTATCTTGAAATTATGAAATTACAGACTGCAATTTTTTTTACCTAATGTATTGTTTTTCCAACTCATGTATTTGAAAGGAGATTCAGTATAGAACACTGCAAAATCAATGAAAGTAGTGTTAAGTATGTAAATAGAGGAGATTGGAGCTTTACTTAAGACATATTAAACTGGCAAAAATAGAGGTATAAGTTATTTTTAAAAAATTATCCCTTATCCCTTGTTTTTGTGAGACTTCCTCACCATCCCAACTCATGTCATAACAAAAGGAATTATTTTTGACACTTTATGAGTTTTATGTTTTAATTAAAGCATCATATTAATGGGGGTGCATAGGTAGGCTATATTATTTTGATTCAGGTTAGTGAAGTCAGTGTTACAAAATAATTGCTAGAAAATAGTGTTGTTGCAATTGAGAAAGTTGAGATGCATACAGTAAAAGCATGTAATACAAAAGGTGCTGTGTCTCAGAGGTTGTAGAAAGGTATTTCCAGGGGATAGTTGTATATTAAGTCAAGAGGAATAGAAACAAAAAGAAGGCAATTTGACAAGTGGAATCCTACTGGTAGTCTTCAGGAAAACATGTTGTGGACTTACGGAAAACACTGATATACTTCATTGATATTGATCTGATTTCCTATAACTATTTACTCAGTAAAACTCCTGCTCTATTACTTATATCAATGAAAAATTTAAAATGGGATTTGATTTTAGTCTTTGTCCAGTTTCTGATATTTTGAGTAATGAAATAGTGAAGAAATAATGGCATGACAAATAGTCTAAAAGAACAAACTGAATAATTAGGCTTTGCAAAACTGAGTGTTTTCTAATGTACATGGCATTATTTTAGTGCATTGAAATAAAATGTGTGTATCCTGCTTGCAGCAGTTTTATGTAGACTTTCCTTGAATAATATGTGAGTGAGGGAGATATCTTTGTTTGTTTTCACTTTATGCAACACTAATTATCCAAACTGCATAAGCAGCTGTACAAGGAACTGTGAAATTGCAGTGTTTAACGGAATCCATTGGAGAGCATCACGTTCATGCTTGAGGACTTGAAAGCATGAAGGGTAGGAAATGAAACTAGGTAGGAGAAATGTGAAGTCAACCTAATTTTAAAGATTTGACATTCTAAGTCAGTGACAATAAGACTGAATGCTTTGAAACATTTGCAGCGTATTGCCTAATAGATGCTGTATATCATTTTAGAGCAAAGGTAAGTGATTTCCAAAATCAGGAGCTATCTGTCCAAGAACCATTTTCCAGGAATGAGAGTGGAAGAGTGGTAGAATTTGGTCATATGCAAAATCCCTTACTTTCTTTCCCACTCAGTAAAGAGAATAGTTTGCAAAATAAGGTCATGTGTTTATAGTCTCTGAGAATCCTATCAATGTTTCTGATTTTGATCACAATGGGATTATAAAAGGACTTTCTTCACGGAGAATCAGAAAGGTGTGTAATGTTTGGCATTTGGTTTTGTTTATAGAAAATAGCAAGATTTATTAGTTTTTCATCCATCTCATTACTCACCTTTGACAACTGGTAAGGAAGTATACTTTAATTAAGATTCAAACTTCCTCTTACTGAATGGAAAGTGACAATGTGCTAATGCTGTTTAGAAATGAGTTGGTTTAATAATAAACATATCTACAGTAATTCCTTTTAGACTCTGGATTTTAATGGACAGGAAAAACACAGATGTTTCACACAGACACTATTCATGATTGTTATGCTTTTATCATTGTTTATATGTATGTTTGTAATCACTGTATCATTCTAAAACACTTTGTAAGGAGGAATATAAAGAAATAGTGTTCAAAAAGAGTACCACAGAGAATTTGCCACTTTTTTCAGCTAAAATTTTACCTTGTAATCATTTAATTTTTACTATGTTCTTTTTTAAAAAAAGGTTCAGAATTTGTACTTATGGCTCAAAACTTTCTAAGTCACAATAAAAATAATTAGGCCACAGATCTTATGTACAGACAAATCTTTCAAAAGAGGGGTTCAGAAACACAAGAAACTAAAAGTTCACTATTGAACATACTGCTTTTTTTTGTTTACCACAAATACTTTTGTATTAGAAGTATTGAAGTTAGGACGCAAGTAAAGGAAGTTTAATTTTGTTCATAGGCTTGCAAGCTGAAATCAGCACAATATAAAATGTATTAAAATATGGACCACTAAACTATATATTACCTACTGGTATGTATTTACATCATTGGTCTGAGCCAACCTTATGCTCCATTCTTACTGTAAAGTAAGGTAACAAAAAAAATATTTTGACCCTCCACTGGGGATATGCTTCTGTGAAAATATACCAGTCACTAAATCTTAAGCCACATACAATTTTTTAATGTATGAAGGTATGCATTTGTGGTTTTAGAATACACCTATCTGCATTATACTATTTATTTCTAGTTGCCTTTCAGTGAAGAGTCAGGTCATTTCTTGCTTGTCTACTGGTTAGGTATCTTGGATTCTGACTTGATCTGTTTGGTTTTTAATTTTAAGTAGGAATAATATGTTTTATTAAATATTACTAAGATTTACATTTAATTGTGCCATATTCACCACCTTAATTCTCTTATCCCTTTATTAAATTTCTGGCTTCGTATTTAAGATGTTTTGATGATATTAAAGGATTTTGGCTCTTTAGGGAGGATCATCTTTTTTTTTTTCTTTTATAGTTTAAAAAAGTCCAGCATTAGCAGACATTTGCTTGTAATTTTCTCACTGTAGTAAGAGGAAATAAGCCAAAGCCCCTAGATAAGAAGTTGCTCAAATCTAGTTACTCACTTCCCAGTTCTAGCCCATGGAGAAAGGAATAAGCATGATCCTTGAGTCTGACTTTTTAGATGAAAATGGTTACATAAGGTTTCTAAAGCATGCTGATTATAGAGCAAACATTAAAACATTCAGTGGCAAATCTTTCTGAACTTTGGTAGCAATTTTAATAATGAAGGTATCGTATTTAGCCTAAAAATTACCAGTTTAAGCAACTGCATAAACACAACTGGTGTGGGGGGTGTAATTTTTAACAAGTGACCTGGCCAATATAATTTCAGAGTCTCATTCGTATTTTTTACAGTTGTACCTTCTATATCATAATTTCAGTTTTTCTAATGAATTGAGAACACCAGGCTTTGCCAGCAACATCATGAGAACATGGATTTTCTTCACCAGTAACTTTCTCAAGTCATGTAAATCAGGGTTACATCAGGTTAATTGGGTGTTAAAAATGCATGCCTTTTGTTATTTAGAGTTTAATTATCTCCTCAGGCCTGTGAGGTTAGCTGAGCAATAGCAAATGTGGCCGTTGTTGTGAATTCAAGAACATAAGTAATGGTGAATAGCTGTTTTGCCTTCTGCTGCCTGTGGGACAGTTGTTTGCAAGCCTCTGTCTTGCCAAGTGCTGTGTATATTGCATTGAGATTAAAGATCTTTTCAGCTGGTCTGTATTTGGGGCTTAATAAGAAAGCATATGTGTTAAGAATCGTGGAGAGATATCTCCTCTAGGTCTTTGAATTATGAATTCTCTGATGTAAAATATACAGTAAAGAAAAATAATCAGTAAGAATCCAAAACGTTACCAAGTTATGATTTTTAAAAAATCTTAGGAAAGTCACAGAAGTTACTACATTTGATTCTACTGTTACAGATGCCTTGGCTTTATCAAAGCTTATGAAGACAGGGAACTATCTCTATATGACTTTTCAGTTTTACTTGGTGCTAAACTTGAATGAATTATCTCAAAATTCTGTAGTTTGACTCAAAATTCCAAAGTTTGACTTAGGTATGGTGGCTAAATGATTGCTGACTCTGTGCCTTCTCAGTTTTGTTTTTTTTGTTGTATAAATTTAAGGGAGAACAAGTGCAATTTTGTTACATGCGTATGTTGTGTAGTGGTGAAGTCTTGGCTTTTAGTGTATCTACCATCTGAATAGTGTACATTCTGCCCATTATGTCGTTTCTCATCAATTTCCCCCTTACCCCACTTCCCTGCTTCCAAGTCTCCAATGTCTATCATTCCCCTCTTTGTTCATGTGTACACGTTATTTAGCTCCCACTAATAACTGAAAACTTGGTATTTGAGTGTCTGTTTGAGTTGTTTCACTTAAGATGATGGCCTCCAGTCCTACTCATATTGCTGCAAAATCTCAGAATTTTAATTGGTTTATATTGTTTGGATATTAATTTGATTCAGATTAACCTTTCCTCAATTCAATTGTCATATAGTTTTCTGATGCTTATGACATTGTAGATGGAAGTGTGTAAAAATTTTTTGTCCAACATGCCAAATTCATTTAAAAATTTAAAAAGGAAAATGTAGACTAAAATGTGTAAATTGCAAAATTATAACTTAGGTGATTAGAGTGACAATTTTTAATGAGCTAGGAAATACATGTTCACCACAGTTTGCTAAATAACATAGATACGCAATTTTTAAATTTCATCTCAATTTTTAACCAGTATCCTTAAAATTTTGAATATAGTGATCTTTGTTTTTGTAACATGAATTAATACGTGTGTCAAATCTTTATGTAGATTTGTTGCTATATGGATTCCAGTATTTTGCTTCCTGAATAAAATTTTATGATGATTTAAAATGCAGCCATGCATGTCAGTTTCAGCTAAATTTACTGGAGGAGGATCCAGGCAGAGTGGTTTTTAAGCCAATTGAATTAATTGATGAGCTAATTGGTTTATCAGTTGGGACTTCTTAATGGCAAATGTCAGAAACACAACACAGAGTGGTTTAAAAATATAACTGAAAAAATTCTAAGATAATGGCTTCAGGCTTTGTCAAACCCAGATGGTAAAAGGGCAATTTCCTCTCTCATCAGTCTCTTCCTCATCCCTATCTATACCCAATAATTTGGTTCTTTATTCTCGGGAGGTTTTCTAAGTAATATCAAGCATGTACTATAAAATATACTGCTCCCACTTTATATTTTATGTTTTGTAAACTCAGTGGAAAGAGAATGCCTCTATCCCAATATTTTCACTAAAAACCATAGTTCTAACTCTGATTAAGCCTGTTGTAAAATATATCTTCATTTTCAGATTCAACTACTGTGGCCCATGTGAGTGTTCTTTCTATCATTCAGGCCTAGTTAACTTGTCCACACCTGGATCCAGGTCAGCTCCACCCAAACTTCATGAACGAGAATAAGGGTGGGGCACATTCCCCACAGGATGGGGAACAGATGCTGGATACGCCCAAACAATAGGTCATTATGTTTATTATTTTTGGCAGCTTTCCTCTTTAGCAAATAAGTAAGATAAAGACACTAAAGATTTGTGTCCAAATTATATAAAATGTGGATATTTGTTTGCTAATTAACTGTGGAATTATAAAGGGTCAGATTTTCAGGGGACCTTAAAGCGCAGCTAGATAAGACCCTTAAAATATTACCAACCTAGTTATTTTTAACCACTTGTGAAATATACTGTAAGTTACATACACTAAAAATAATTCTAAAACTTGGGATTTATTTTAATAAAAATAACTAATAGTAATACCCATTTGTCTCATCTTTTTTCCAGTATATTCCCTAGGCAAGGAAGGAAAGGGTGGGTCACATCATAGACATCATTTCTTATTTTTGTTGCATTAGGAGGGATTGGGCTGAGAACTACTACTCTACCATATCTGTCAGCCTTGACAAAATTGTCTTTTTCACAAAAAATAGTTTGTTTATACTGTTTTCATCATAATGCTTAGCTTTGGCTTCCTTTATCACATTCGTGTCTTTCCAGATGTGCTTCAGTTTGCATTGAGCATGAAATGACCTGCCCATCTTTCACTCAAGTATTCCCTGTCATTCTTCATGCTTTTTCTCTATAACAATTTAACACAATCTGGCACAAAATCCTTTACTTATTCATGCTAATTGTCTGACTTCCTTATCTAGAATAGGAGGCCAAACAAGACAGGATGTTTTTGTCTGGTTTATCACTTTATTTCTAGAACTGGAATGGTGCCTGGTCTAGTGTAGGCCCTCAGTGACTGCTGAGTGACCAGTATGTAATGTGCAAATATGAACAAACACTTATAAGCTGTATAAGGACATCATAGATTTGAGTAGTAGTACTTTTTCATTTAATGTACTACTCTATTGGTTTCTGTTTATACTATAGATAGTGTATTCCTGAAAGTGTGTAAAACATGAACAGAATAGTGGTTAAATTATTTATGTTTTTATAGGTTCAAGTTATAGCGGTAAAAGTTAATAAATTACAAATTGTAGGCTAGTATCATTCATAAACATGAGTACAAACTGATTTATCCCAGGGATTCAGAGATAGTTTATTATTAAAAATTCAACTGTAATAATTTACCATATATTCAAATTAAAAGCTAGTGACATCATCTCTATAGTTGGAGAGGAGATGTGATTAAATTCAGCACCAATCATGATAAACTCTTAGCAAATTATAATGTCTTGGTAAAGTTATACACCAAAAATCTAAATCTAACATCAAACTTAATGTGTTAGGAACATTACCTTTAAATTGAAGAGCAAGAAAAGAATGGCCATAATCACCATTTCTATTCAACCTGGTACTGGGTGCTTTAACTAGCACAGTCAGATGAAAGAGAAGTAAAAGAATAAAGGATGGGAAAGTAAGAAACAAATCAGTCATTATTTGCAAATAATACAATTATTTAAGAGCTCAAAAGTTTTACACATGCAAGCAACATACAGTTGCAGCTGTTTTGCTCCTGTAGTTTAGTGGGCAAGAGTGTTACAGCCCTTTAATTCCCACTGCCCTGCAGCTCAGCGAGCAGGAGTGTTACAACTCTTTCACTCCCACGGTTCGGCAAGTTCCAGGTTCTTTTCCCACACCCAAGAAGAATAAGATACAGGGACACTGGAGACAAAGTAAGGGAGAGTAGAATTTGTTGAGTGAAAGAAAAGCTCTCGACAGCAAGAGGGGACCCAAAAGTGGGTAGCCATCTGTGAGGCTGAGTCCAGGGTTTTTATGGGCTTAGAATAGGGGAATGTGTGCCATTTCGTTTATGGTTGGGCTTGGAAAAGATACCATTTGATTGGCTAAAAGACATCGTTCAAAAAGAACAAATTGAGAGAGAGTAAGACTGCGATGGAGGTTCTCACTCTGGTTTATGAATTCTATCTGTAACTGGTAGCTTGGTTTTCCAGGCTTTAGACTGTCCTTGGCTTGAAGGTAGAGTTTCACTGGGGACCTGCCCCTGTCTGCCTAGGAATTTGTCTGTCTCCTGTCGTGAACAATGCTTATATGTTTTTATTTCAATGTAAATGCAACAAATTTAGAAATTTCAAATGCTATATTTTATGAAATTGAATCAAACTAAATGGTGTGTGTGTGTACCCTTGATCTCTCCTTTCATCTTGTGAAATATGTGACTATTGTTTTAATTTATTTTCCTTGCAGTGAAGTTGATATTTTTATGTATTCATATGTGTGTTGCAATTTTCTTCATTATTAGACATAGCTCAAAAATATTAAGGAAAAATGCTTCTATAAAAAATAACATAAATGAACAAGAATAGGACTCCTTTTGGATTAGAAGAATTCAGTGTATGTGGTAGACTGTTAAGCAAGAACAGTTTTTGATATCTATGTATTAGATATTTGTTTCAGGTTTCTGCATGTTTTCTCACCACATTACCGTGTGAAAATTCATTGTCTGTTAGGTCTGCATTGTTGCTTAAGGGAATTGATGATATGCCAATTTATTACTCTTTCACAATACTAAGCATTTAAATGTACACAATGTTTACACTTTATAAAAAGCCTTGTGAGAAGTTTTGTGACTTTAAATTTCTTGTAAACAGATTTTCATTGACTTGTAAAAAATATTAAAACATTATAAGGTAGCTGCAGCTTGATTAATTATATGTCTAAAAATCAAATTAGGCAGCAACATATATTTTTAATTGAACTTTTATGTGTCACGTCATTCCAATGTTTTGAATTTGTAGGATGTGAATGCCTTGCAGAGAAAGTTTAATTTAGATCATGCATGTAGTACTCCCACATGATCATTGTCGATGTTACTATTATTGTAAATAAATACTACTCTTTGTGTAATACAACTTTTGAAATACTATATAGATTTGAGGTTTGTAGTCTAACATTTCCAATTTCTGGTGTGAGAGAATGTTTTCCAATGGAATCACTTTGATGAAGACTAAGTCACTTAGTATGTAAGCATAACCACTTTGCTTCTTGCACAAGAACTCCTGAGAGGTGATTGAAGTTTATGTTTTTGGAGAAAAGCAGTAACGTCCGTAGAAGCAAAGTCACTTTTAGAAGTCTACAGATCTGGCCGGGCAGAGTGGCTTACGCCTTTAATTCCAGCACTTTGGGAGGCCAAGGTGGATGGATCACCTGAGGTTAGGAGTTTGAGACCAACCTGGCCAACATGGTAAAATCCCATCTCTACTAAAAACACAAAAATTAACTGGGCGTGGTGTTGTCTGTCTCTAATCCCAGCTACTCAGCAGGCAGAGGCAGGAGAATCACTGGAAACCAGGAGGGAGAGCTTGCAGTGAGCTGAGATCGCACCATTGCACCCCAGCCTGGGCGACAAGAGCAAAACTCCATCTCAAAAAAAAAAAAAAAAAAAAGAAAAAGCTTACAGATCTGAAGGCAATAATTTTGGAATAAATTAGAGTGGAATGTCTGATTTTTTTCAGTCCATGTTAGTCACAAAATCTGGAAACCAGAAACACCATTAAGGAATTTGCTGTAGTGAATTCTCTAGCCAGTGTAAAGATACTTCAAGTGAGAGAAAATTCTTTACTGAATTTTTTTTTTAAGTGAACTTATGGTTTGAGCATATGCACAGGAAACATGCAGATTCTACATAGAAATGAGATTCAGGAGAATTTTATTTTGATGGTAATAAAAAATGACTGTGGGGTTAATTTTTTCGAGGAGGGCTCATCCCGCAGAGTTAGTACTTAGAATTCTTCTAAATAGTGTGTGAAAAGCAGTTAGATATTTTAATTCTTTTATTATCCATTTTATTGGGAAAATTTTATTCTTTGATACAGATTTTTTTAAATTAAGGTTTTTGGACATAACCTTTACACATATGAAAGGCATTAACTACTATTAAAGATAAACAAAGGCAGACATTGATTAAAGTGGAGAGAGCAGATTTTATTTAGTAACTACTGATAGGGTAAAGAGTGGAGCTTCCTTCTGAGTTTTGCAGAAGTGACTGATCATTTTTAAGGGAGCATGAAGGGGTAGGTGGGAGGACATTTAAAATCCCCAGGTGATTGTAATGTACAACCAGAGTTGAGAACCACTGGTCCAGTTAGACCCCTCAACTAGCCGTCAGGGGTCCAGGTCAATGCTTCTCAATGTATTGGAAGTCTGGGAGAGAGCAGCACTCCAGTAAAAAATTACAAAGGGTTGGTCAGTGTGAATGTGTTTAGGCTAGTTGTGTATGTTAGCTGGTAATCAAAGAAGTTAAGATTCTGTTTACTCAGAGAGGCTGGAAACAGAGGTTCCTATTCTGCTGATGGAGTTTGGTTGCCTCTAGTGCAGAGATTTGGATGGAGTCATTATGTGTTGGAAGTTCTACAGTTCTTACTACTTTATATTATATAAAATTCAGATGAAAGAATTTACCAATTTTTGCTTAGCATTTTCAGAGGCAGAGGCAGAGGCAGGAAGGATTGCGTGAGCCCAGGAGTTTAAGATTAGCTAGGGCAACATGATGAAACCGTTTCTTAAAAAAAAAAAATGCTGCGCAAGTATGGGAGTGCATACCGGTCATCCTGTAGGGGTGGGTTGCCCCTACACACCTGTGGGTGTTTCTCGTAAGGTGGGACGAGAGATTTGGAAAAGAAAAAGACACAGAGACAAAGTATAGAGAAAGAAATAAGGGGACCCGGGGAACCAGCGTTCAGCATATGGAGGATCCCGCCAGCCTCTGAGTTCCCTTAGTATTTATTGATCATCTGTGGGTGTTTCTCAAAGAGGGGGATGTGTCAGGGTCACAAGACAATTGTGGGGAGAGGGTCAGCAGACAAACACGTGAACAAAGGTCTTGGCATCATAGACAATGTAAAGGATTAAGTGCTGTGCTTTTAGATATGCATACATATAAACATCTCAGTGCTTTACAAAGCAGTATTGCTGCCCGCAGGTCCCACCTCCAGCCCTAAGGCGGTTTTTCCCTATCTCAGTAGATGGAGCATACAATCGGGTTTTATACCGAGACATTCCATTGCCCAGGGACAGGCAGGAGACAGATGCCTTCCTCTTGTCTCAACTGCAAGAGGCATTCCTTCCTCTTTTACTAATCCTCCTCAGCACAGACCCTTTACGGGTGTCGGGCTGGGGGACGGTCAGGTCTTTCCCTTCCCACGAGGCCATATTTCAGACTATCACATGGGGAGAAACCTTGGACAATACCTGGCTTTCCTAGGCAGAGGTCCCTGCGGCCTTCCGCAGTTTTTGTGTCCCTGGGTACTTGAGATTAGGGAGTGGTGATGACTCTTAAGGAGCATGCTGCCTTCAAGCATCTGTTTAACAAAGCACATCCTGCACCGCCCTTAATCCATTTAACTCTGAGTTGACACAGCACACATTTCAGAGAGCACGGGGTTGGGGGTAAGGTCATAGATTAACAGAATCTCAAGGCAGAAGAATTTTTCTTAGTACATAACAAAATGGAGTCTCCTATGTCTACTTCTTTCTACACAGACACAGTAACAATCTGATCTCTCTTGCTTTTCCCCACATTGCCTCTAGTGCAGAGATTTGGATGGAGTCATTATGTGTTGGAAGTTCTACAGTTCTTACTACTTTATATTATATAAAATTCAGATGAAAGAATTTACCAATTTTTGCTTAGCATTTTCAGAGGCAGAGGCAGAGGCAGGAAGGATTGCGTGAGCCCAGGAGTTTCAGATTAGCTAGGGCAACATGATGAAACCGTTTCTTAAAAAAAAAAAAATGCTGCGCAAGTATGGGAGTGCATACCGGTCATCCCAGCTACCCTGGAGGCTGAGGCCAGAGGATCGCTTGAGCCCAGGAATCTGAGGCTGCAGTAAGCCATGATTGATTACACCACCACACTAGCCTGGACAACAGAAGAGACCCTGACTCAAAAAAGAAGAAAAAAATTTACTGATTCTTTTCAGGGTTTCAAGTACATTTGTCTTTTTTAGCTTATTTTTTGAGAAAGTGTATTCACGTGGTTTTAAACTTAAATCACATATACTTGTACACAGTGGAAAGCCATTGTGTCCCTATCAACCTAGTCCTCATTCTCCACCCTGATTCCCAGGTGTGTGGCTTGGTTTCATAACTCGGTTTTCCTTCTTGCCCTCCAGCATTCTTCAGGTTCACACTGGTGTATTCATGATGTAGGTGTGCCATGTTTATCATGTTTACCCTATTCTGTTTGACCTGGGTTTGGGTAGATAGCTTTTTCTTTTTTTAAGGGTTTTTCCCAACATGTTGTCAGATGAACAAAGCACCTGTTGTGTTTCACTAAAACATGAGCGTCAGCATTTGAGTAATCAACAGGGTTTGCTTATTTTGTGTATGAAAATAATATACCTCATTAGGTTATGAAAACACATTAGTATGGAAACGGCAGCAAAACTCTAAGAGTGATCTAGATGGCTTCACTATCTTGGTTATTTAGGGAAAAATGAAACTGAGAGTGATTATTGCTTTCCTGGGACCAGAAAGTTTGATGTGATAGAAATAGGCCTTCTCACCTAATTAGGGAAGGTGGTTCTTTTGTTTTAGACTATGAGTGAGTCCTGTAATTCTGAAGTTTCAAACCTGAGTGTCTTTCTCTAGATACTATAATGTGTTCTAGAAAGTCTAAAAGTTCTCTGACATTGTTTGTCTTTGAATTTGCTAGCTACATTACTCAGAAACACTACATTTCTCTTGAATGCACTTTTGTTAGTATCTACAGTGTGTCTTCTGTCATCCTAGCCGAAGATAACCTCACTATTTCTGATTGTATATTTTATTTTCTTCACATAAGTAGCCTAGTAAAGCTGCTAAATGAAAGGTATTCATGAAAATCAGCCATTCATAGAGTATGGAAAGAAGACATATATTTTTTTGAGCACGGTGTGCACCAGGCACTTTTGTATAAACTCTTATAGAAACTTTAGGATAGCTACATGAAGTGGGAATTGCTAGCTCTGTCATATGCTAGTGAGGAACCCGGGCCCAGAAACTCAACTAACTTCACATGCATAAGCTAATAAGTGACTGAACTAGATTAGGACCTCAGATGCACCACTGTGCTTACATGCTCAGTGAGGCTTTAGCAGAAGAGCTTCTTAAAGTAAAAAAGACAACATATATATGTTCTATATTTCTATACACATGTTTGTATATACACATATACTACATATATACATGTACAAAATAAAATGAAGGCCATGTTCCACTGTCAATATTTAGTGAGCTTTCACTTTATCCTAAGAAGCAAACTTGTTTCTATTAATCTCCAGATTATTTTATGGTCCCATCTTCTCTCTTTGGCTTTTTGGGGATGGGATGCTGTGGGGAAGGGGGGTTGGCAGGGCCTTTCCTCAGCTTTGGATGCAGAGGAACAAAGGAATCTGGCCTGGTTGTGCTTGGAAAACACGACAGTCTTTATTATCAGTTCTTCTGGATGAGTGCAGAGCAAGAAATGGACCTGAGCAGATGGTCTGTAATCATGATGGCAAGAATGGAAGTGCAGGGGTGAGAGGGCACTTGGAGATCAGAGTCTTCTAATGAGATTCCTTGAGAAGAAGTCATATGAAAGGAAAGAAGCTTTTTTTGATGGAGCAGCCACAGCCTGGCCCCAGAGATGGGGAGGAAGGTATTAAAGTTGCTTGATTAGTTCAGGTATTGCTGCACTTTCTTAGACTCTATCTTCTGGCCAGAGGGAAGCTAAGGATTCCCAGGACTTCTAAATGGGGGAAGCTGAGGCCCTTCCCAGCTCTTCTGGGAAATGCCTGTCTCAGTGCAGTTAGATCTAATATTGGCTGCAGTATCATTAAGTTACAGATAGATTGTTTCCTGGGCTACCTCAATCAGCTACAGTGGTGTGAGGAAGAGAGGGGCAGATCTTTCAGTGAAGTATTAAGAGAGTGAGTCAACTTAAATATCAACCCTTTTTAAAAAAAGGCAAAATCTCAATGGAAATACTTGGTTTTAGGAGGAATAGTTCTTTGACACTTGCTTTGTTTCACTGCCAGAATTGGCTTGGTGGGATACATTCCAGAGGGAACTAGAAAGCTGTAACACTGCTTTTCTGATAATGCCCACCTTAATTATCTGCACATCTTAATTACTTTTGCTTCAAGGCATCATTGTGTGGTTTACTTTGATTTGGGTTGGGCTCTGAATTGTATATTATAAAAAGAACATTGTAAACAGAGTTTTTCATGCTTTTAAAAAAATTACCACCATGATTCTTGGTGGGATGAGGCAATAATGGTGGTATTGCAGGAACCTATCAGAATGATCTGGGGAATTGTTTCAAGCTGCAAAAGTCTCCACTCCACTCTCTTATGCTAGTGATTCCAAGAAGCCACCTCCCAACAATATCCATCCAAATGTCACATTCTTCATGTTAAGAGAAAAAAAAAAACCAAAAGACCAAAAACAAGGTTTTAAACTCACCGGAGCATAATTTCCAAAGTTCACACAGGTTTCCAGAGTATTAATATAGATCCTACTACTCTATCATTCAGTTTGGTCTTTGTCTTCATTACCTTCCATCTTGACCCTTAATTGAGAGTATAATTTATACACTGCAATTCAATTGGTTTGTGTAAGAAAAATCTTACCATTAAAGCAATACAGCAAAATAAAACATAATACAAGGTGTAAATCCAAAGTTAGCTTTCTTTGGCACTCAGATTGTTCTGGGTCTAGGGAAATACTTTCCATAGGTTTTCTCTTTTCCGATACATGTTTAGTAACTTTGTGTTGACAGATTTTAGTTTCTTGCCATGCTACTTTGTTAGAGGCTTTATAGTCAAATTTAGGGGACAGTTAAGAGACAAAGGCATATGGATATTAAGTAAGGGAGTATGAAACTTGGAACATAAGTGGTAACAAAAGTATCTGTGTGTGTAAAAGCTCTGAGGAAGCAGAGTAGGTTTCAGGTCATAAGGGAGCCAAAGATGGCACCATGTCTCATCTACTCGTATAAGGCTACCTTATCTTTCAGTGTTCTAGGGCAATAGTGTTATGTCTAATGAATTAAAATCTCAGTTCACATTCTCCCCTGCCCACAATATGGACTAAAAGGCCTAGATTAGGTTTCCTCCGGGACTAGCAGAGGAATCTTCATGTGATTTAAAAGCCTCTTTGTCTCATCTGTCACTCTAGTTTTTCATCTGTTTTGCAAATAATTTTTTTTGTCTTAGGTAAGTGTGTTTAATTCTATGTTAAGTATTAAATGGTCTGGTCCTGGTAAACTTTCACCATTGGTGTTTTCAATTTTCGTGATATCAGCCAAAATGTATAAAAAATGAGAGTCACAGCTATTTGGTTGAAGAAGGTTGCTGATGAAATGGTCTGGAAAGTCCTGGATTCCTTAAGAGTTGAGGGAAATCATCCTGCCTAAGTAAAGGAAACAATACCCATTGAATTGGCCCTGTTTACACTGCAGGGGATAAGCGCACGGAGGAGTTGTGCCTTGAGGTATTTTTGTCCCGCTTCAGCAAAAGCAGTGCTGTCTCTTTGATTTGTAAAGACTTTTATATATATGCCTGAGTGTGTGTATACATACCTATATGTACACACACACAGACACACAGATAAAATTGACATTTAATCCCTTTTATATTTATGGTATTTATACTTAAGTATTTATTTGATTTCTTCCCAAGCTTATATGAGCAGAAACTTAAAATATGGTGAAATTATTATCTCAATATTTATATTTTTTAAACTACAGGAGACTGAGAGCAAGAGTGTATCACTAATGTAAATGAAGACTTGTTTATTGAAGCAAATTTACCTTAGAAGTAATTTATGTAAAATGTTAATTTCACAAGTGTTTAGTAAGAATTTTATGAAAAAGTCCCATAGTTAACTAATTTTAGAGAAATTGCTTTCTTAAATATAAGGTCAATATAAAAAATTTATATACTACAAACAAATATTGGAAATTAAAGGTAAACAATCTCACTTATAGTAGCATAATAAAACATAAAAGAGGAATATAAGTGTAGAGAAATGTTCAAGATCTCTATACTTAAAAGTATGAAATACCATTGAGAGGAATTAAATAACACCTAAATAAATGGATACGTATATCATGTTCATGGATTGACAGGATAACAGTTCTCCACCAAGTGAGCTGTAATTCAATGCAAGTCTAATTAAAATGCCAACAGGCATTTATTTTTGAAAATGACAAGCTGATTTTCAAATTTGCATGGAAATGCAAAGAGTGTAGGATAGCTGTAATTTTTAAAAGAATGAAAAAATTAGGTGACTCATACCAACTGATTTAAAGACTTGTAAAGCTACAGATTCAAGACTGTGTAGAATTGGTGTGAGAAAAATAAGTAGAGGAATTAAAATAGTCTAGAAATAGACCCACACATATATAGACAACTGATTTTTGACAAAGGTGTCAAGGTGATTCAATAGGAAAAGGAAAGTCATTTCAGCAAATTGTTATAGAATTGGAAACGTTTGTTAGAGGGTATTGAGCTTCCATCTCTACCTATCACCTAATGCAAAAGTAAACTCAAGATGATCAGAAATACAAATATGGAGGTTAAACAAATCTACAGACATACGACAACAAAGTTGAATCTCAAACATGTTCAGCGATGGAAACCATTTAAGAAAGATTTGTATTATTCCTTTGAAGTTCTAGAACAGGCAAAACTAAGGTAATAGAAATCAGAATAGTGGAAAAGGGCAAGAGAGATGATGGAAATGTTCTACATTTTAATCAGCATGGCAGATATACAGTTGTATGTATTTGTCAAAATCATTAAGCTTTACACTTGAAATGTGCAATTTGTAGTGTCAATAATACCTCAGTAGAAACTAGATTCCTTAAGAAATCACATCAGATTGTGCATGTTATCTGTGCATCTCTAAGCAGCCATGTCGCTAACATTGTGTTTTACAACTTAGGCTGCCTCAGAACCTTACATATCACTCAGGGTTCTCCAGAGACACAGAACCAATAGAATATATATATTCTTAAGGGGTGAACTATCACGTCCACCCAAACAGTAAGCATCTAGCAGAGAGAGGATGCCTCTGTTCTCTTACCTTATCACCCGCACCATCCCATGTGGAAAAGTTACAAGTATAAATTTAAGAACTATCATTGGATTTCATTTACTAATGAGAAATCCACTTGTTTTTTGAACCACTCTGAGCTGAGCAGGGAAGACTTCATCCCTTTTTTATAGAGAAAGATCAGAAACACCAAGATGGAATGATTTGTCAAAGATTAAATCGTTAAAAAATTCACTATGCCAGGCATTGTTTTAGAAGCTTGGACTGCACCAGTGAACAAATCATACAATCTCTGCATTTGTACATCTTGCATTCTGTAAGTGGGAGACAGAGTAAAAATAGTACAAAAGAAACTTATATGGTAAGAGAATTACTGTGATAACTTCTAGGGGGAAAAATAAAGTGGAATAAGGTAAGGGAGGAGGCATTGAGGATCCCAGATGTGGATTTGCCTCATTAGGAAGATGTCATTTAGCCAAATATTTGAAGGAGCTGAGGGAAATAGCCATGCAGATACCTTGGGGTAGCACATTTCACTAAAGGAAGCAACCGGTACAAAGCCTCAAAGTCCAATATAGCTAAGACTAGTACTCTGATATTCACTAGTTCATTCTTTTAGCAAATAAGTATCAAGCGCACTCTGTGCAAGCACTGTGCTATCCTTCGGAGCTACAACAGTAAAAACACAGTGCCGAGGCAATTC
Organism: Homo sapiens; assembly: GCF_000001405.40. Lineage (NCBI taxonomy): Eukaryota > Metazoa > Chordata > Mammalia > Primates > Hominidae > Homo > Homo sapiens. The sequence goes on along the minus strand of NC_000007.14, from coordinate 16,191,518 downwards.
TTAATTCCTTCCTCTTTCACCTTAGGAGTGCTTCCTACACCATGAGCCACACCACCATTATCAAAGTCTGCAAATCTATTTTACTCTCAGAATTCTCTGTAAGGAATAAATAATTATGTTCAAATATATGGGTGTTATAACTGATGAAGATAATTTAAAGGTATTTCTAAATTCATAATTACGCATTTTTCAACTGATAAATCCTGGAAGTTCAGCTTAGTGGTATGGTCTGCGAGCATTTCAGAAGTTGAAAGGGGGTCTTCATTCTAGAACATACTCGGCAAACCTCTGCTTTACACTATGAGAGTAAGATTGCTGGTTCTTCTAAAAGTAGATCTGCCATTAAATCCAGAAATCCCACTCCTGGGTATCTACCCAGAGAAAAAGAAGTCATTATACAAAAAAGATACTTGCACGTGTATGTTTATAGCAACACAATTAACAATTGGATAATTTTCCAATTATGGAACCAGCACAAATGCCCATCAATCAATGAGTGGGTAAAGAAAATGTGACATATATACATATACACACATACATACCATGGAATTCTGCTCAGCCATAAAAAGGAACAAAATAATGGCATTCATGGCAACCTGGGTGGAACTGGAGACTATTATTCTATGTGAAAAAACTGGGGAGTGGAAAACCAAACGTCATGTTTTCACTCATAAATGGGAGCTAAGCTATAAGGATGCAAAGGCATAAGAATCATACAATGGATTTCGGGGACTTGGGGGAAAGGGTGGGAGAGAGATGAGGGATAAAAGACTACGCATTGGATGCAGTGTACACTGCTTGGGTGATGGGTGCACTAAAATCTCAGAAATCACCGCTAAAGAACTTACTCATGTAACCAAATACCACCTGTTCTGCAAAAAATCTATTGAAAAAAAATTACTAGTTCCGAAAGCCACATTAAAATATGCTCTTTCTAAAGACAAGGGAGATCTTTGAAAATTCAACGGGAGGAATAGCATAATCAGACCTGTGTTGTTTGGAAGATTACTTTTTATTTTCAGTTATACAGCGAAGCCAAATGGAATAAATCTATTGATGAATGCGTATTGTTACGTTATAGTTACTCTTTTCATTTTGTAACACGGTGACCTAATTTACCATACTTAATTCGTTTGTTCCTATTACCTAAAACAGCTTCAAGTCTCAATTTTTGTGCATTACACATTAAATAAAGCAATGTTTTTAAGTTAACTGTCTTCTATTAAAAGTTAGCAATTGAAAATAGCTTTCTAGTTTAGCTCTGCCTGGACAACTTCAAATGAAACCTTGGGAAAAATTAAGGCAGACACTTGTGCAGGTATAGGCACATGCTAGTAGATATCTGGTTTATGTGTCTGCAAGCTGGCTTGACACTTGTAAATCTGGATGAATTTTCATTGTAGTCTCATGTTTGAAAGTGTAGCCTTTTGTGTTTGAAGTTTTAAATTTGATCTTGTAAGACTATGGTGAACCAAAGAGTTATTGTATGAGAGATTTCAAAATATTTACTATCAGTAAATGTCCCTCTACTATTATCTAATATTGGATTTTTTAGAGCTGAGATAAATACTTGTTAAGAGAATTGAGAAAAAGAAAGATGGGTATCAACATATTCAGTTTTAAAAGACTAAAGCAATGACATATTTGTAGAGGATTTCTCAAACCTGCTATTTACCTTGGATATTTTCACCTGGGATTCTCTGTGTGGTCTGTATTCTATTTCTGTACAATATTCTTTCCCACTCAGAAGAACTATTCCTCTGTGATTACTGCTAGTCTCTAACTCATTTCTTAATACTAACTAAATACACATTCACAATGAATTAGCCTATATCATGTTCTATTTTGATCTTTGATGTTGCTGTCAGGCAGAATAACAGTATGAAATTATAACAGTTGTATTTAATGTAACCTGTGTGGTACTTGGCAACATCATGAATATTCATTCTTTGGTAAGACTTAGCCTTTGGCTTTGTTCCTGATTCAGATTTTCCTCACATGTGGCTATGTGGTAGCTCTTGCTCAACTATCTAGATGCTTGCTGGCTAATGCTTTTCACTTGTCAAATGGTAAATATGCAGCCATCACTTTCCAGATAATATTGCCATCTGGGTAGAAATCACCGTACATTCTGAATTTTTCTTGTGTACTTTTTAGCTCTGTGAATATCAAATGAGATTGGGTTACAGCAAAATGGCTCTGCTGTGCCCAACCCAGTTCTGTGATGCCTCAGACTGCTAGAGTTGCAGTAATTTTATTCATGCTTAAGGGAATACTTCCTTTGTTAATATACCAGTTGCCAATGAAGGTTGTAAGATAGCCTGAGTCACACTCTTGCTGAGATTTATTCTAGTCCTGATGATCTACATGTAACAATCAGAGAGAGGAAATTGGAAACTTTGAAATGTGCATGAGGTTTTTTTTAATGTGTGTTTATATCTACCAGAGTCTTCAGAGACATCGAATGATGTTGGAACATACTAAATGTTTGCATGAGTATGGATCATCCAATCTGCATTTAAGTTATTTTTTTCTTCTATGTTTTTTGTTATTTTCAATTATTCTGACTAGAAGAGCTGAAAACATGGCTGTTTTATATTTTGGAACTTGTTAAGCAACTTCTCAAGGAGCTAGAGACCTGCTGTATACTAGTCAGTTATTAATAAAATACATTTGGATTGGAATGATGACAGAGTTCCCATGCTGCTCTTCAAATTATTGTATATGCACATTTCTTTTGAAAGCCACATAAAAGTAAATACATTTAATATGGATTATACTGCTTTTGAAAGGTTGGGTTGTTGATGAGTATTATTTACTGAGGGCCTACTGTGTTCCTGAAATGAACTGACTTCTCTAGGTTAACCTGATATTATGCTTACAGTGGACATGTTGGGGAATTATTATTTTATAGGTGAGAAAAACAAGGCTCTGAGAGTTTCTGTTGTATGTCCAATCTCACACTGCTAGCAGAGGCAGACATTGAATAGAATCCCAAGCCAGTCTGATTTCTAAGTCTTTGATATTAATAACTACAATACTATGTGATGCATTGTTTAAAAATACTCTCCAAATAGTTTTGCACCTGTTTCAATCAGTAATTATGGTTTGAAACTATACTGCTATCTTTATCATTGAACTATGTATTTAATAGTCATCTATTTAATGTACTCCCTCACCTCATCTCTTTGCTCACACCATACATTTGTTCTCGTTGTTCTGACTATAAAATAGGACAAAGTTATTTAGGAATTGAAATAAAGAATTCACCCTTTGGGAGGCCGATGTGGGTGGATCATGAGGTCAGGAAATCGAGACCATCCTGGCTAACACAGTGAAACCCCGTCTCTACTAAAAATACAAAAAAATTAGTGAACCCAGGAGGCAGAGCTTGCAGTGAGCTGAGATCGCACCACTGCACTCCAGCCTGGGTGACAGAACAGGACTCCGTCTCAAAAAAAAAAAAAAAAAAAAAATTCACCCAAATTCATACAAACTGTCCTGGCATTGGTTCAGGTCCTCATTTATGTAAGACCACAAACTAGATCACCTTACAGCCTGAAACACTCTTCCTGGGTATTAGCACTTCCTAATCTTTAAGGATGTTTTATTCATCATCAATGTAATTCTCTGTTTAAACCACACAAATCTCTAGACTCTTCGTTACATTATTCCTGCTTCTGCTTCAGTAAGGGAGATTTGCCTTCCCATCATCTCAAATCCATGTCTCCTCCCCATCAACTCCCTTTTTCCCAAGGAATTATTTAATTCTTACCAATCCCATATTCCCTCAAAATTACCAAATTTGAGTTTGGATCTACAAAGTCACAGTCATTTTTCTTCACATGAAGCCTTCGATGTTTTTCTTTTACTACATTTTTATTTCCTTCAGGACATTTATAATTGTGTTATACACATTGTCGATACATGCTCTTTGTTGAGAAACTCTTGAGTTGCCTTGGATCTCTTAAGGTTAACAGAAAAATGAAATAGCAAGAATATTTTATTGACAAGCAAAAGTTAGACTTGAAAAGGATTCCGAAAAATGTCCCAGTTCCTTTGTTTTCTCTGTTATGATACTTGTGCTAGCATGGATTATTGAAATGCTAATAAAATGTCTTTTTGTCTAAACAGAAAACTGTAAATATACATATTGTTACACAATTCAGAAATATTCAAGTTTTAGGAACAGAAAATCCCCTAGAAATTTGTCTAAAGACTGAGTTTATGTTTTTAGTGTACCATGACTAATTAAATGCATATGAGTGGAACAGACAGGAACAATGTAGTACATATGCTTAATGGGCCTAAGTATTTTGATAGGCAATAATTTAGGTATCATGGGGGTAATACTTGAGGAAAGAAAACCTTATCTTTGTTTCAGTTTTTAGTGAATAATATTGGATACTAAAAATATTTTCTTTTTCATGAAGCATACATGAGACTTTTAATAAAAATAAAATTATTAAAATGGAGACTATGAATCTGAAAGAGGAACTTTCACTTAAATACTTAATTTTCATCTTTGCACATGAGCAAAGATTAAAATTATATGCCTAAAATGTGAATGTTAATCTTAGATCTTGTCTGATTCTTTCAGCAAACTTTCCACGTAGGTTAACAAACGTTGAATGCATTGAATCCATTGATGGTGGGACAAAATCCTCTCCTTGGTATTTTTCCTCCTCTGAGTTTTCTAGATTTTGCTCTGTTATATCTGCTATATCCTCTGTGTATATTTGGGAACTCTGGGAACAAATTCTATTTTTGAGCTTACAAAAAATCAGGACTCAAACTATTTAAAACATATAAATTGTGTAGTACTATATCCTGAGGCTAAGACTTCTTTTTGATAGTCTATTATTTTGATTTGACTAAGTAGCCTATCATTTGTAACATTTATTTTTCTTGAAAAATAATAAATGTATCAACCAGTAAATTCCTTTCAATTCTATTCCCCCTCTGTCTTACTCATTTTAGGTTGCTATAACAAATTTCCATAGATTAGGTGGCTTATAAACAGCAGAAAATTATCTTTCACAGTTGTGGAGGGTGGATGTCTAAGATAGGGTGCCAGCATGGTTGGATTCTGGTGAGGGCCTTCTTGCAGGTTGCTAAGACTGACTTCTTGTACACGCACGTGGCGGAAAAGAGCTAGCTAGCTCTCTAGCCTCTTACAAGGGTACTATTCTCCCTTTTAGGAAGGTCATGAGGACTCTACCCTTCTGACCTAATTACCTTCCAAAAGACCCATCTCCAAATACCATAGGATTAGCTGAACTCTAATACATTGGGATTAGGGTTTCAATATTTAAACTGGGTATAGGGAGCACATACATTCAGTCCATAATATCCTCCAAAGAAAGTAACTGCTAACATTTTAGTAGATATCTACCTAGATAAATTTACTTGCATTATCAAATCTGTCTATATATGTATGTATGCATATGGATTTGTATGTCCTGGAGGACTTTCAATGCCAGTTTATCTAAATTTATCATTTATTTTAGCTGCTATAAACTATATTATGGTCTATTGGTACTGCTCTGAACATTAAGATGTGTGAATATGTACAGTCATGCTTATGTGTGTTTATTTCTGCAAAACAGAAATCTAAGAAATGGAATTCTTAGGTAAACGTTCTTTTACAGTTGCCTCCTTATTCATTTCTATCATAGGTAAGTCACTATTTGACTGCCACTTTTTTCCCTTGTTCACTTTTCCAATCAGTGCCTCCTGACCATGCTGCTAAATTATACAGTGGTATTTCTGTTAGAACTTGATACCTAGAAAATTTATTTTTGCCTGACTTTCAACCCCTAGTGGAATATAAAATACATATTTCAAGTGGTTCTCATATTGCAATTACTATTATTCTCTTAATCATCAGTTGACTTCAGACAAAACTAAAGAAATGGTCATCCAAAGTATAAACTTGGTTATCCAGATTAGGAGAAGCCAGGCAGGAGCCACACACAAAAATATTGGAGTTTTCTTTCTATGCCTATTGCCACCACCGTTGTTATGCCTTGTTATAATAACACTACTATAAACATGATGGTGTGGGTTAGTAAAATGAGCCATGGTGATATGGTTTGGCTGTGTCCCCCACCCAAATCTCATCTTGAATTGTAGCTCCCATGATTCCCAAGTGTTGTGGGAGGGTCCTGGTGGGAGATAATGGAATCATGTGGGTGGTTTCCCCCATACTGTTCTCATGGTAGTGAATAAGTCTCATGAGATCTGAAATCTGAATGGTTTTATAAAGGGGAGTTTCCCTGCACAAGCTCTCTTCTCTTGTCTGCTGCCATGTGTGACACGCCTTTCACTTTCTGCCATGATTGTGAGTCCTCCCTAGCCATGTGGAACTGTAAGTCCAATTAAACCTCTTTCTTTTGTAAATTTCCCAGTCTTGGGTATGTTTTTATCAGCAGAATGAAAATGGACTAATACACATGGAGAGATATGTCTGTCTTAAAATAGTCTATGGTACCTAGAACCACTTAGTTTACTTTTGCCAGTCTATCCCATTTAAGTTTTCATAAAAATCCACAAAAATGTCCAAAACAACATTGTAAATCACTTAAAAGATTCTATAGGAATGGTGAAATAAGCTGATGTATACCCTCAGTGGTAGAGTATGAGTTTATTAAAAATCACTAACGACGATTATGAGAAACATGGGAAATATTTGTTAAATAAACAAACAAAATTATACCAAAACTATAAAAACCCAATCTGCCTAAACATTTGGAGGAAACAAAAGATAACATAAGTAAAATTACTGAGAATGCCTATAGGAAGTATGATGAGGCACTGTAGGACTTTCCCTTTGTGTGCCTTTCAAGGAAACTCTATTTGTTTTATAATAAAATGTTCAATAAACAGCATGTGCCTTTGAATTATATTGCCCTGGGGTGTCTCTGCCATTGAGAAGCAGCAAAAAATGTATTTCTCAAACAGTATCTTCTGAGTTTTTATTAAGAATAATATGACTTTCTATTCATGTTAGATATTTAGTTCATAGTGAAGTCATTTACTTTATTTACTAAATGTGATACTTGTCAGACAGGTGGGATATCAATAAAATATGAAAAGCAGATTTGTTCTACAAAATAAATATGAAATATGAGAAGAAGCAGTATGAGAGTATTTTATATTTTCTTTGCTAATTAGAATATTGTATGTTTCCATGAAATGCATTTATAAAAATTTACTGAAAAAATGGATTATGTTTGGTGTAGTAGTCCATTTTCATACTGCTATGAAGAAATACCAGGCCGGGCGTGGTGGCTCATGCCTGTAATCCCAGCACTTTGAGAGGCCAAGGTGGGCAGATCATGAGGTCAGGAGATTGAGACCATCCTGGCTAACATGGTGAAACTCCATCTCTACTAGAAATACAAAAAATTAGCGGGGCGTGGTGGTGTGCGCCTGTAGTCCCAGCTACTCAGGAGGCTGAGGCAGGAGAATCGCTTGAACCAGGGAGGCGGAGCTTGCAGTGAGACGAGTTCACGCCACTACAGTCCAGCCTGGATGACAGAGCAAAACTCTGTCTCAAAAACAAACAAAAAAACTACCCAAGACTGGGTAATTTATAAAGAAAAACAGTTTAATTTTGTACCTTAAACTAAAATTAGTGCTGGCAATGTTCATCAGTTTGGGTATTTTTCAGGAAATAATACCAAACCTTTTCAGGGAAAAGACCAAACCTAACCTTATTGGCTTCTCTTAGGCACCTTCCTTTGAGCATTCTCTGTTCTATCAACGGGGCAGAATTGTATGTAATAAATGAAATTTGGGGTCATCTTTTCAATTGCCTATACCATAGGCCATTACACTGAGGATGGTAGAATAGACAAGTTTAGAGCCCTATGCCTGTGAAACACTAGAGTGTCCAGAGTCTAGAAGGACTCTAAAGCAACTCACTAGTTATAGTTATAAGGCCATAGATTTGACTAGATTCAGACATACTAGAAGCTTCCTGAATTTTTATGAGAAATCTGTATCCAAAGAAATGCTAATCCTGGTAACAGCCTGAGACTGTTCAGTCCATAAGGCAAGTTCTCAGGCTTTCCATCTCTGACAAAATGAGCTGATAACTGTGTGGCTCCCAGAAAAGGCATTCTCCACAGTACTTTTCTCAGTATGGCCATGGGGGAAAACAAACAAGAGACAGCCCTTCAGAAAGCAGAAACTTGGGCTATGCAGGAACATGGTCTTTTCCCAGACCTGGAAACCTGCACTTTCCCATGTTAGGAACATCAACTATGAGCATGTTACGGACTAGAGATGACTTTGGATTGCTTTTCATTTACTCCTTTGCTGGCATTGTTTTTGCCATTATTCCTATTTTGTTTTTTTTCTCTACCACTTATTGACATGTGAATGTGAAGAGCTAGCTACCTTATCATTTAGTTACAGTTCCCTGGGGTCTTTAGTTACCCCAGATCTTTGAGGTGAGAAACTGGTGCTCTGATTGTAAAGAACTTGAATTTTGAAATAGATGTAGTCATTTTTAGCCTTGAGTCAGCCCTTGTGATTTAGTATTTTCTGTTACTCAAAGTGCAAAGGTCTTTACAGATAGACTTTTCTTGGGCCTTTGCAGAAAGTAGCTTAATTGCATTTTTGTTACTTCAACTCAGCGTCATTGGCGCATTCTATGAGGGTACACTCAAAGTGGAGGGGCACAGGTTAGGTAAAAGAAATCCAAAAAGGTAAGATGATGACAAACTTGGCACAAGTCATAATTAAACTTTGGGTGGATTCTAACTGATTGGTTAAAATTGCTGTGGGGGAGCAGTGCCTCAAAGTGAGAATTGGGGAATCAGGGCTGATAACTTGGTTATGAAGAAAACAAATACAGTTATTTGGGCTCCAGTTTCTCTTATTATAATAAGAGGATTGTGTAGATGCTCTGTACAGACCTATCTAGGTTCCTCGTTCTTAACTGATTTTGTTGAGGTTAACACTGGAGTTTTGTTTTGGATAATTTATGAAATACTTCACTTATTTAACACTTTGGATATAAAGCACCTTTGTAACAATGGACCAAGATGTTATTATAGGATGCTCTTGAAATGATGCTTACAAACTACGGTGACAATCTATATTTTTGTGATTTTAAAAATTCATTTTCTGTTAAACAAGGAATTTTACTGTGGCTTATTTACCAACATCCCCAGCCCTCCCCAAATTCCTAATAAATCTTTTTATATTTCATAAACTTTACTAATTAAAATTATTAGTAAAATTATTACTATTAAAATTATATAATAGTTGATATAGTTTCTCTAGGACAAAATATTTTTCTTATCCCTATTAATGCTGCCTGGCATCAATTAGTTGGGTAGTTATAGAACAATGTTAAACAACGTATTTCAGCCAGATGCAAAGAGATATTTTATAAAGCAAATGCAGACTACGTATTACATATGTTTTTATTTATTGCTCACTGGTAAATATTTACTAACCTTTCTAGCAATTACATATTAGGTTTATAAATTTAGAAATAAATATTGATGATATAGCTATAATGGTTCTGTTGCTCATTACAGATTAATTACATTGTTTATATGTATATATATGAACTATATATTAAACAGCTTAAAAACCTGTAACCTATTTACTGTTAAAAGATTGTATTTAAGAAACAATTTATAATTGTTGAAGAATATAGTCCTTTTTTGTTTCTCATATTCAGTATTTATAATATCACCAAATATTTCTATTTTAAAGCATAAAAGTGTCTTAGAGGCTGTTATATATGTGGAGAGAAATAATTACACATATGTTGTGAAATATCCTTGAATTAATTTAATAATTTATGCTGTTTTTTAAGTTGAGAAAAGTGCTCTGTTATTTTCAAAGAGAATGTGATTTTGGAAAAAATGTGCTCTGACAGGATGATTAGGATTATAGCAATGAAAATAATCAATTTCATGTCATTAGGTTTGCGTCTTTGTTTGTTTTGGTATACTCGATACTACATATGTGTTTTGTTTATACCTTGAAGCTGGAGATTTGATAAATGAGTCACGTAAAGAGTAACAAAATTCAATAATTTGACCTGTTTAACATCATGAAAATATTCTTTCACCTGTTCAATTTGATTGTGGTGATAGCTAATGAATGATAAAACAGATTCTAATCTTATTAGAACATTTTAATGAACACTGATTATGGATATTGATGTATTTTAAATTCATTTGGAAAGGAAGTAGTTTTCAAAGGTTTATAATTAGTATATAATTTTTTTCCTAAAAGTCCTAAATACATTTTCTTAAAATAATTACATTGTATCACATTCCAGTGGTACATATAAAATAAAAATTATTTAATCGTATAGTTGTGTTTTCAAAATTTTCAATAGAATTAAAATTAGAATTTTAAAAATTTTGACTGTAGTAGAGATAAAAACGTTATGAGGAAAAAATATTATCAATTTAAAGTCTTCATCTTTATATCATGGCTTTTTTTACAAACATTGTACCTAAAATTACAGTGTAGCTTTTCTAATCATGTATATCACATCTGTTTGCCATTCTGTGAAACACACAATCATAACAGATTTTCCTTTTTATATAAAAGCACAAGAATAAGGCACCATAGCAGTTTGGAGATGCAAGTTCAGCCATCTTAGTCACATACAGCTTTGATATTTTTCAATAAAATATTAGTTTTATGAATGTTTCGATTTTGACTTTCATTAGATAACATACGTAGACATAATTCCAATAAGCTATATTTATATTTTATAAAGGACTTCTTTCCTTAAATATTTACCATAGAATTTATGGCTTTCTGTTTTTCTTGACAAAAAGCTGACTGTAACAATTGGAGAATTGGCATTTCACAGTGAAACCTCAGTCAATTCCAGAATAAAATTGTAGAAAATATTGTTAGATGAATATATTCCATTGTATGATTTCGAAATTAATGAACAACATAATGCTTGCCACATGCGCATGTAATGAGATTAGAGAAATTAGCAACCACTTATGCCTAGATCGATGAAACTACCATTACATTATCTATAAAGGATAGCATCTTATTAAAAAAGTGTAACAAATACACTCATATAATATATTTGTTGCTTTTCTTATATTATGTATTATAACTTAACATTTTGACTCCGTCAAGTAAGTTTTGTTACTAATTAAGAGTTATGGAAAATATAGTGTAGTATATATTTTTAAATTGTACCTATATTTCTGGTTCCCGGCCCTATCTGTATATTAGCATTACCAAAAGGGCTTTTAACAAATACTGATGCCTGGGTCCCACCACAAACCAATTAAATCAGAATCTCTCAGAGTAGGATTGGGCAACAGAGTTTGTTTCTAGAATTATCCTGGTAATTCTAACATGCAACTTGGGTTGAGGACCTCTTGTCTGTATCGTACAAGAATATATACAAAATTATCATCATAGCATACCACTGAAATAAAATTTTATTTATCTCCGTGACTTATAGAGTTCTAACAAACCTAGCAAATTAGGAAAAAACCTTTTCTTGACTTACAACCTTATGATGTTATTGCTGATGCTCAGAAAACAGATTTCTTCATTAAATACATGTTAAAATGAATGTAATGTAACAAAATATAATGGATGCTCCTGCTATTGCTGGTCATTCTTTGGAAAATCATCTGCTGACATAAATGAACATCATGGTTTGTTGACTATAACTAAGAAAAGACTTCTGCAGACACCCTTGGGTGTTCTTTACTGCACAAATAACGTATGCCACAGTGTATCAGTTTCGTGTTGCTGTTGTAACAAATTGCCACAAACCCAGTGGCTTCAAACAACAGATTTATTATTTTATAGTTCTAGGAGGTCACAAGTTCTAAAATCCAGGGTGTCAGCCAGGTTGCATTCCTTCTCAAGTCTCTAGTGGAGGATTCCATACCTTATTTTCCTGGATTCTGAAGGCTGCCTGCATTACTTTGCTTGTGACCCTTTTCTCTGCAAAGCACAAGACTTCAGTCTCTGCCTCCATTGTTACACCTCTCTCTCTTACCCATCTACCTCCCTTTTATAAGGAATCCTGTGATTATGTTGGGCCCCACTCAGATAAAGATAATCCAGGATAACCTTCTCATTTCAAGATCTTTAACTTAATCATACCTGCAAAACTTCTTTTGCTGTGCGTGACAACATTTTCATGGATTCTAGAATTTAAGAATGGACATCTTTAGAGAGGCTTTATTTTGTCTATCATTTATAAAGTTGAACTACTTTTTAAAAATGCAGCATTTTAAAATTTTTATAGGATAGAATGCCTGTGAAGAATAGAACAAAAAGAAATTCAATGCTAGAGTTTCAGAGAGCAGGACAAAAAATACTTGATACTTGTTAAGGAAACTGTAAAATATATGGACATATTTGAATTATGTAAAAATATTTTAGTTCATTATTCTGTATTACTTTTCTGATTGCTTTACCATGAAATTAGAATTTGATTTTCCAACAGTGTCTAAATTGAGATAAGATTCGTGTGTGCCTGAAACACTCCAAAGGCATACACAGTTTGCTCTATTTCTTTATCTCTCCATGTCTTTGTATTTCTTGCTAGTAAATAGAGCCTCAACCAAATTTATGGGGGTTTGATACTGAAGCGATGAAGTGCACTCAGTGTTTTTCACACAGGGATAGGAACATAATAAAGACACAATTAATACATGATGTTCGTATACTAGATTTATCTTTTAAAAAATGCTTATGTTGACACTATTAACATTTAATTATTGTCTGACTTGGTAGATTTATGTATCTTCTATACATTCATTGAATGTTTTTATGTATCCATACTCTTAAGATCCTGAGGTAGCTATAATGATATAAAAATAAGTCACTGATAGTCTGCCCTCAACTGAATATATAATATCCTATTTAGCAAGGAAACTTAAAAGCAGTCTAAGAGAGATACAGTGAAATGATTTTAGTTCAGAGGATAAAACGTTTTTGATAATAATATATAAATACTACATTTGTTTCTTGAAACTGAACCAACATGGTTTATCCCACCATTTCTCAGTAATTCATGTAAGAATTTGTGCAGGCATAAATGTTTCTTTAATCTTAATGTTTTACTAGTTCTTTATTTTAAATTCTGAAGCATTATGGACATAAATCTTTAGAAGTTCTGCTCAACAACTGTACTTCATATGGTACTGGAATCGCTAATAACTCACTTTTACCAATCTCCAGATGCCAGCAGATGAATCACAGTAATTGCTGTATGGTCATTTGTGTATGTCATTTCCATCTGTCACTGTCCTGCAATACATCTGACTGAGCTAGGGCCAGAATCTTACAAATAAGCACTCCCCCTGTAAATTCAGCATCCAGAACTCTCTATCAATCAGGAAAAGACCACGTAGTTGCCTTTAAAAATATTCCAGTGTCTTAAATTCTAGTCAAACTTTCCATTTTTCTCTTTTTTTTTTTTTGCCTTCTTTTAGACAACAGCCAAGAAATCTTCATTAATCTCTCTGGTGTTTATACTTTATTGAAGCTATCTTCTTCCTCTTGATTTTCTGGAAGAAGTTGGTACAGAGGGTGTACAGAAAGATAGAAATAGAATTTGCTTAATAATTCTCAAGCTTGGAAGAACCACAGTGGTTATATTAGGCTCACAGAAATTCCAGAGGGAAAATAGCCATCCATTTGGTGGCCTATGTAAGAAGATAGTTGGTTTTATAAAATGATAATGTATATAATTATTGCTGTTTGCTCCTGTGTACTTCCGTTTAAAAAGAAAACTGGAATTGTGAAGAAAAATGTTAATTAGAATATTTTGTTTCTAGAGAATTATTTTTTCCTACAATTAATTGCTCTTAGTACTATAACAAGATGCCTTAGAAATAGTAAAAATAAAAATAATTCCTCTTGGTATTTTAATCATTTTCCTTCAAACTTTTTAGTTTTGTATAGTGTTTGGTAGAAACATATACGTATGTTCTTTTGTTCTCTGGGTTATTACATTTATTCTCTTCATCTACATGGAGATGACCCCCCAGGTGAATATCTCTAGTCCTACCTGATTATCTGATCTCCGCAACCTTGATTGTGACTGTTTCACAAAATTACGATTCTGTATGTTGCACTGTTTTACAAAAAGTTGAATTAATGAATTTATATCAAATAGGACATATTATATACTTCATTCCTTTTCAGTTATTTTATATGTAATACTTTTTTTTAGTTTTAAAACTCACATATAATAATCTACCTATCTAGAATACCATTCCATTAGTTTCAACAAATGTATTGAGCAACCACCAGCACAACTAGGGTACAAAACAGTTCCTCCACTACAAAAATTCTGTCATCATGTTTCTTTTTGGTCATACTTTCTCCCCACCCCTAAAGCCTGCCAACTATTGATTTCTCTTCTGTCATTATAGTTTTGGCTTTTCAACAATGTCATATAAATGCATTGAAACCATGTGTAACTTACTGAGTTGAGTCTCACTTTTTTCACTTAGCATATGCATTTGAGCTTAATTTGTGTTGCTGCGTATATCAATAGGTTTTTCTTAATGCTGAATAGTATTCTTATGGATATACCATATAATGATTTACTCAACCCATAGGAGGATATTTTGTTTCAAGATTTTGTGACTATAAATAATACTTGTAGCAGCATTCATGTTCCGTTATTAAATATTTTATATGATCATATGTTTCCATTTTTCTAGAGTAAGCACTTGGGAGGGTCAGTGGAGAATAATATGAAAAGTGCACATTTAACTTTAGGAGAATAATTTTGCCAGGTATGGTGGTGCATGCCTATAGTCCCAGCTACTGCGGAGGCTGAGGTGAGAGGACTGCTTGAGCCCAGGAGTTAGAGTACAGTGTGAACAACATAGTGAGAACCCATCTCTTAAGAAAAACTCCTAAACTGTTTTACTTTTTCAGAATAATTTTACTATTTTGCATTATGCTAGAAATGTATAATTGAGAGTTGCTTCATGCCTACAATAGCACTTACTATTCTTGTTTTTATATTAGCCATTCTCATAGGTGTGTAATGGTACCTCATGTGGTTTCAATTTGTATTTCCCTAAAATTACTAACGAGATTGAACATCTCTTTATGTCCTTGTTTGCTATCTATGTAGCTACTTTGGTGAATCGCTTTGGTTGGTGTCAGAGTTCAGAGGCATTGGGACTGATAAGAAAACATTCAACAAATTTTAAGTGTAGAATGACGCATAATGTTTAGGAAAAATAATTTCCTCTAGGATATTAAACTGACATTTGGTCTTCTCTCTTTAAATATTTTGTTATTTTAATGGCATTTTTATTACTGAAGAAGATAGTTGGAACCATATTCTCTTAATACAATGTAGCTTTGAAGGGCAGTCGGATTTAAGGTTGTTTGTAGAGAAGATGGAATATAGAGCTTAATATCTTCAGGGTGTGTATCATCTGTAACTTCTTCTAACCACAGTTCTTCATAAGAGAAAAAGATTGGCAATTTAGGGGCCTACTATTCCCACAATAAATAAGAAGCTTTTCGCCAGTGTCTTTTAAGGCTACATTTAGATATTCATGACTCCTAAATATTTCCACCATTTTCTGAAATGCTTAGTAATGTCATCAATAGGAGAGACATTTATACAGTTTAATTTCAGATAAAAGCTCAGAGATCCAATAGAAATGCCAAAATCTTTGGGCCTCTGCATTCCATAATAATCTTTTTCAAGCACAATTTATCTTTCCTTTTCCCTGCTTCATTTGTAAAATTAAATTTCAAATTTTTATATAATTAATACATAATTTGCATAATTATTAAGACATTGTTTTCTCATTATTGCCACTTTGTAGACTAGCATAGAAATATACTTAAAAGAATAATATAATGGGGAAAGACTGGAGAGCTTACAAAGCAAACAAAGGTAGGTGTGGAGATTCTGTGCAGAAACAAATTGTTCTCACAGTTCTCTGGCCCTTCAGTGGTTATAGTCACAGCGACACAAGATGGAGAAGAGTGTGAATCTGTGCATCTGGCATTTTTAACTTTTTCATTAGAGATGAAGAGTGAGCTGGAATAATGCATGCACTTAAAATAGATATTCACTCCCTTGAAAGATTATTTATTTTAAAAACAAGTAATGTATATAAAAATGTAGTTAAAAGTGGAATCACTTTAACTGAAACAAACAGTATAGTGAGAGATTGTGACTTTTAATCTACTGTATTTATAGTAGTTAATATTAATATTTTGCTTATTTTAAGGTAGAATACTTTAGAGAGTACTGTGATTTGGGTTTATATTATGTTTAAAGCTGATCAGTTTAAGTCTTCTAACCAGCATACTTTCAAATTTGTCCAGTTTTAAAACTTTATGTATATGTGCAAATTTATTTAACTTTAATATTAAGACTTTGCCTCTAAGAACCATTTTCATTGGTTCCCATGGACTGCCTAAAGTACAGTACATTTCCACTGAGCCATATGAGTGTATAACTATGACGAATTTCCAGATGTTGCTCAAAAACCAACAAAATCTTACCCTTCTCTCAGTTGGAGACCTGAGGTATATCTTCTAGTTGGTGAAAATAATGTGTGGAAATATCTGCAGGTTAGTGGTTTAACCCCTTCTCTCTGACAAAGAGTAGGATGGAAATTATAGATTATTTTGATCTTAAATTGAGCTCTTTGCTGAATAATGTAAGGGTTCCTTTGAAGCTCTGCTTGGAATATATTAACTGAAAGATATAATTCTTCTAAATAATTCAGAATCCATTGACTTATCTTTACAGAATTCCATGTAAATATCCATGTGCTACTTTGAAAAAATGGAAATTATGACAGCTAAGTATTTTGTAGTTGATTAGGTACTTTCTGCCAAAAAAAAAATTAGAACTGGGTACTTCCTCTAATTCTGTAACTCAGTTTCTCTGTCTTCATCATTTAATGCTTTTTCCTTATGAATATGCTTAAAAGACCAGCGACTATTAATTTGTAATTATTCTTTAATTGGAAGTGGATTTTTTGCATGGGTCAGCAAACTACACCCATGGTCCAAGTCTGCCATTTGCTTATTTCTCTAACGAGTTTTATTAGAATACAGCCAATCTCGTTTGTGTTGTCTATGGGGCTGCTTTTATGCTACAACAGCAAAATTGAGTAGTTGTGACACAAACCATCTGGTCCACAAATACTATCTACCTCTTACCGAAAAGATTTGTTGACCCTGACTTCATAAAATGAAGACTGGCAATCCTGAACCTTGCATTTTCCCCCCATCCTTGAGGTTTTTCTAGAGCCCAGTTCTGAGTTACATCAGGATGATGCTATTGGGCCATCACCTATTTGCACTGAAAGCATGTTTGCAATGTGTCTTGTAAATGGAATCATACAGTTTGTGGCCTTTTTGGTCTGGCTTCTTGTAGTTAATTTTTTTTTGAAGTGTTTAAAGAAGTTGTTCCTCACAGATCACAAAGGCAATGTATTCTCCTACATTATTATATATGTTATCATTTATTTACCTTCCACATTTGGAAATTTTAACCCATCAGGTGTCCAATTTTTATGTTGTTTTAGGTAAGAATTCAGTTTTTTCTCAATATAGTAAGCTACTTATTTCAATGCCATCTATAAATCAGTGTTTTTAAACAAATACAGTTTACATTTTTATTCAGATTATATTAAATATACAAGCACAGTTTAACTTGTAGATCATGGCTGTTAATATTCTATTCAGTGGCGTGGTATATCTCAATCTATTCTCTGTTCCTTATGCCTTTTAAAAGGCTTGTAACCATTTTTTCTGTAGGGATCAATGAATACTTTGTTAACTAATTCCTACATAGCTTCTTACTTTTGTGAGTGCTCTCTCATTTTATCATATTCTATAAATATATATTGCTAAATTAGAGTACCATTGATTCTTATAAATTGCTGTTTTATTGGGCATCTTGTTATACTCTCTGATTAGTTTTAACGGTTTATTTATTAGTTTTTCTAAGTGGTCCACGTAGTAGGTTGCAAAGAGTAACAATCTCATTCATCCTTCAACATGTTCCATATGTTATTTCATTTTCCTTTCTTATAGCATTGACTAGGACTTGCTCAACTACCTTAAATGTAGTGGTGAGAGTAGCAATACTTGTCATATTCTCTCTCACTAAAAGAATGCTTGCCATATTATTAAGTATAGTGATTGTTCTAGGTTTAGGTCTCAAACATAAAACAATGGAATACTTTTTTCCAGAATACCAATTAGCATATTCCCTAGAAGGGGTAGATATGGCACTTGATTAATGAATTTACTCCTAGCCTGCACTAGAACCACCTGGATGAACTTAGTGAAATCTGGGCTTTAACCCTGGAATTTTTCATTGAATTGGTCTGGGTTAGGACTCAGGCATCAGCAAGATTCTCAGATAATGCTTACATGAAACGACCTTGATAATCACTGGAGCAGGTCATTAAATTAATTAACCATGAAAGAATATGTGTCTAAATTAGTTTAAAATGTTAAATATTGACTACACATTTAAAATTGTAGTGATAAAACTATAGAGAACTGTGGATTTCTCCAGTTGAAAACAAAGTATGTTTCATGGAATGCTTCATGGGTATCATGGATTTTAATATGTAAGAAGACAGTTTTAGTTTCTTAGGGAGAAAGGCATTCCTATTATATTTTGTGTGTGTTGATGGCTTCTTGATACTTAAATTGATTTTTCTTAAAAGATCTATCCCACCCCAGGATCCCTCATGTCCTATTCAAATGTTCCTGAAATGAGTTAGGATTGAAAGTACCATGTTAAGTATCTTGTCAATTACCTACATGCCTATTCTAGAACTATTTAAGGATCACATAGGAGAGAGAGTAGTTTCACAGTTTGAGTATTTATGATCACACATGAATAATTTATGAAAAGCACGCCCACTAAGAAGTCTTTATTCATGTATATTATCAGCATGCATTTATTCAGTACTCCAATACTGGCAACCCTCTGTTTAAATAACCTGACAGACATGACATATAACCAAATGTTGTCTCTTCAAGGCTCATATTCTTGGCTGATTGGACTGTAACTACAGCAAGAAATTTCCTTCTAGACTCCCTGTATTGCAGGACACACGGGCCCTCTGCTCTTTACCATTTTTTCCTTTGCCACCCAATCCTCATGCCACTTTGCTTTTGACTGTTCCTGCTGTGAGGATGGAGCCCACCCCAGCAGCTGACTGATAGCTGCACTTTCCCCTCTAGATGCAGACCCAACTTCAGAACAATGAACACCAAGCTCCTTAGTTTGTACTTTGCTCAGTCTTCTTGTATGATGGCAAAGGGGAAACTCTGCAGTGTCTCTACTGCCTTATCTATGGTGGGCAAGTAATCGGGAAAGAATTTCTTGTAATTACCAAGTAAAGAATGTGTAGGAGGTAGAACAGCAGTCACATTGCTTGTTTGAGGAAGGAAGCAAAGAAAGCGTGCTTTCGTAAGCTGAGGTGAACCATAGGGAACTGAAATGACATTTTCAATAGAAAATGAGGAAAAATATAGCTACTTGTAGGATAGCTTGCCTTTATTACATGTCTAAACCACTGGAAAATATTTATATCACAATTATCAAAAAGATTGGTCGAAGAGGGATATCAGTGAGCAAGTGTACCTGCTAAAATATATACTGGAAGTGTCAATGTGCAGAACCTCTGAGAGAAAGCACTTATTTTTATTTTATTTATTTACTTATTTTTGAGACAGAGTCTCACTCTGTTGCCCAGGCTGAGTGCAGTGGCACAGTCTCGGCTCACTGCAAGCTCCGCCTCCTGGGTTCACGCAGTTCTCCTGCCTCAGCCTCCTGAGTAGCTGGGACTACAGGCACCCGCCACCATGCCCAGCTAATTTTTGTTTTTTGTTTTTTTGGTTTGTTTGTTTTTTGTTTTAGTAGAGACGGGGTTTCACCTTGTTAGCCAGGATGGTCTCGATTTCCTGACCTCGTGATCCACCCGCCTTGGCCTCCCAAAGTGCTGGGATTACAGGCCTGAGAGAAAGCACTTATTTTTAAGAGAAAATGCATTCTTTGTTCTAAACAAATTTTCTTGGAAAATACTTTTAGACCTATTTAGTGAGTTGGAAAAATTTTGAGTTTAAAAATCAACAAGATACATTTAAAAGCACACAAGATAGGTGAAAAGAAAGAGAAGTAGTATTAAAAAAAGTAACGTTTATATTTTATTGTGTAAATTTTAATACGAATTAGCTTTTTAATCATAAAGGGATGAGCAGTCAATGTTGAGTTACATAAAAGGTTGGAGAAACATTTTAAATGTTTGCTATACAGGTGCTTCTACTAAGAGATTTAAAAATAATGTCTTTCTGCCAAAAATCTATCCTTTAATAATTTTCACAAGATACTGGTGAGAGATAACAACGTGCTGGCAGCCCTCACTCGCTCTCAGTGCCTCCTTGGCCTTGGCGTCCACTCTGACCACGCTTGAGGAGCCCTTCAGCCTGCTGCTGCACTGTGGGAGCCCCTCTCTGGGCTGGCTAAGGCTGGAGCCGGCTTCCCTCTTCTTGTGGGGAGGTGTGGAGGGAGAGGCGCAGGCAGGAACCGGGGCTAAGCGGGGCGCTCGCAGGCCAGTGCAAGTTCCGGGTGGGCCTGGGCTGAAGGGACCCCCACACTCGGAGCGGCTGCCGGCGCTGCGCAATGAGGGGCTTAGCACCTGGGCCAGTAGCTGCATAGGGTGCACCAGGTCCCCCAGCACTGCTGGCCCACCTGTACCCCGCTTGAATTCTCACGGGGCCTCAGCTGCCTCCCTGCAGGGCAGGGCTCGGGACCTGCAGCCCACCATGCCCATGCTCCGAGCCTGCTCCCTCTCTCCCCCGCCCCCTGTGTGACAGATAAGGTAATAAAAGCAAGCTGCCCTAGCCAGCAATGGCAACCCACTTGGGTTCTCTTCCACACTGTGAAAGGTTTGTTCTTTCGCTCTTTGCAATAAATCTTGCTGCTGCTCACTCTTTGGGTCAGCACTGCGTTTTATGAGCTGTAATACTCACTGCAAAGGTCTGCAGCTTCACTCCTGAAGTCAGCGAGACCACAAACCCACCAGAAGGAAGAAACTCCGAACATCAGAAGGAATAAACTCTAGACACACCATCTTTAAGAACTGTAACACTCACCGCGAGGGTCTGCGGCTTAATTCTTGCAAGTCAGTGAAACCAAGAGCCCACCAATTCTGAACACACTGGGTTCCAATATTTCTCCTCTGGCAGCTCATTTCTAAATTTGCTGATCAATTATGTGTAATTGTAATCGTTTACTCTCTGCCCTTGGAAGAGAAACAGAAGAATATGGGCAAATAACACTGTTAAGGAGCTATGACAGTCAATTCTATAAATTAAAAAAAATCACATCCTACTTTTGGATTATGATTTATACTTCTATATTTTATTTGTTTATAATCGTCTTTTATTTAGGGCCTAAAAATTCACTTTAATATGTATTAAAACCGCAATTACTTTTGCACCAACCTAATAGATTAATTAGAAATGCTAGCTGCTGGTCACAGAAAAATATAGAGCTTCCTAAACTCAGTATATTATATCAACAGGAATATCTAAATTATTTATAGTTTAATATTATCATTTGTGTTCCTCTTCCTTTTCCTTCAATACAGTGAGTGCTTCTTGTTTTCTGGATCTAAGGGGAATTGTTTTCCATTGTCTAAGTAGTCAAAACAACTGTTGTTGGAAATAACCTCATTTTAGCCAGTTGTCCAGAAGTGGTGTATGACTTTCTTTCCTGATATAGTCGATGAGAGAGGCACTAGTGAAATGGTGATACAGCATAGCACAAAAAGAACTTCATTTCAAGTACAGTTATTCCTGGGCAACAGACTCACGCTGTGAGTTAGCTGGACAATGTCTCATTAAATGCATATATTTTTTTCTTGAATTTAAAGCCTTACAATTTCATGCTTAAGCTGCCTACATTCTTGTCCAAGAGCATTCTCCTATGAATACTTAATATGTTGTAAAACGATAAAACAGGACAATCACTTCACCAGTTTGAGAAATATTCCATTTTGGTATTCACCTTTCTGGCACACAGTTTTAGATTATGATTAGCAATGTTTAATTGTGAGCCTTTATTAGACAGAATGTAAAGGTAAACAAATGTATAGCTGGAGCTTTTTCTGTTTTTATTTCTTCAAGTGGAACAATTTTTTGACTTCATCATTTCTTGTTCTTAATTTCCATTTATTAGTGTAGTACATGTACTTTTTAAACTTCCCCTGTCATATTTTCTTCCCTTTTAATTATATCTTACCTTTTATAGGTTAAGGAAGATGTAAGCTGGGTATTGGAAGATATAAGCTAGGTATTGGAGTGGAAATAATATGTAATTTCCATGATATTTTTTATTTATGTAAGACAGGTGTGATGTTTCAATTCTGCCAGCTAAGGAGAATGAAGTTCTTGTTTCTTACAGTTGGATTTCAGTTTCCTAAAAATCTTACATTCATAAACTTTCCTAACAAAATTTCCCATAGAGTTTGACATTGACTACAATTCCTTAAGAGTGTAGGGTTGTGATTTTGAGAAGCCCCTTCAGGGACCATTGGTTTTTCAGGTACACTCAGCCAAATCTAATTGTAATTGCTTGAGTAGTTATCATCACCTCATTTGTTGAGAGACTTTACTTTCATTAATGCTTGTGTAAATAAAGCCATATAGTATACATTTCTTTTTCTTTTAGCATGTGTATTTGTTAACGTAACCGTCAGTCTGGCTAACATTGAACAAGACAATTTATTTGTACAGCCATTGAGTTTCCCTTTTTTAGAATTCTAGATAGATACCCTAATATTTCTGGTTGAATGGAGTTGGAATTCTTGTTTTGGCCATAAATGTATTGTTACCATGAGAATATCAATGTCCATTCTCTCTTCAATGGTATGTTAATGGTGTGTGTGTGTGTGTGTGTGTGTGTGTGTGTGTGTGTGTGTGTTTTACTTCACTCAGTGTCTTATGTCATTTTAGGTTCTAATTTATTCAGACTTAATTAGACTGAAAACACTGATGCTAGGTATGAAAATATGGACTATAAATTTAATAGTTTTATCCATCATATAAATCTATTTCAATTTAGTACCATTAATACTGGTTTGTGTATAAAGGATTCCAGATATGTCATATTCCTTATATGTCCCTATGCACTTAATTTAACATTAACTATTTAAAAAACACATTTATAGCAAACCAAGTTGTAAGAAGTATTTATTGGTATCAAAGTGAGCAACTAACTTGGCAATGAACATGAATTATCTATTTAGCCAGTTCACACAAAGGAAATATTGACCCATGTTTGTATTTTTTGGCTGATTTTGTCACTTTTCTTATGTAACTTAAAAACATTTTTATACATCAAGTTATTACATAGTGATTGGTGACCATAATCAATTGCCAAGAAACACATCAAAGAATAAGAAAAGTCACTTAACAGGATTTAGGCTAAAAGTAAATCATACATAAAAAGAAGAAAGGGGAAGGGAAAAAATATTCAGTAACAAGTATTTGCGTATTTACACAGAGCGCAGGATAATACAATGAGGAATAAGACAAAGTGTTCTGTTTTTTCTAGCATGTTACAGTCTCTACTAGGAAAGAAGTTCATTAGATAAATAGGGTGGGATGAGAGAGGAGTCAGGACAACTTCGTTAAGAATAGATTGATAGGGATTAACTAGGTAAATAGATGGGAAAGAAATATTTAGGCAGAGGGAAGAGCCCTGAGGCGGAGTATGCATAATACATTCAAAGAAATCAAAGAAGTCCGTGAAATGTAAATATTATTATCCTTGGTTTTTTTCCAAGGTGTCAGTGGCTCAGAGATTGACTTGTGTGCCTAAATAAGACAGCTGATAAGCAGAAAGTTGGAATATTCACAAGCCCATTTCTTTTATACTGTACTACACTGACCAGGGTAATGGAGACACATTTATAAGAAATGGACCTGGCAATTTGGACCCAAGGCCTTTATTCCAGACTGGATAGACCATCTCGGAAAACCTGGGGCAGATATTTTAATTTCTTAATATATTTGAATGTACTGATCACCTTCTTATATATAGGCACCTTCTGACAGAAAATATCCAAAGAAAGTATGAGATTTTTCCTGAGCTTTGCAGAGTTTATGAATTAGATGACAAGATTGGATCAGCTCAACCCAAACAGGTAGGAAATAGTGTATAAATAAGTGCCAATTTGTGTTATGGCCTTACAAATTTGGAGAAGTTGGTGATGAAAGTAGCTTGGAAAGGCTGGGCGCGGTGGCTCACGCCTGTAATCCCAGCACTCTGAGAGGCTGAGGCAGGCTGATCACGAGATCAGGAGATCGAGACCATCCTGGCTAACATGGTGAAACCCCGTCTCTACTAAGTACAAAAAATTAGCCGGGCATGGTGGCAGGCCCCTGTAGTCCCAGCTACTCGGGAGGCTGAGGCAGGACAATGGTGTGAACCCGGGAGGCAGAGCTTGCAGTGAGTGGAGATCGCACCACTGCACTCCAGCCTGGGCGAAAGCACGAGACTCCATCTCAAAAAAAAAAAAAAAAGTAGGTTGGAAAAGAAGGGGAAAGCTTTCTTGAAGAGGTTGCACACAAGCTTAGGATGGTATTGTTATGTAGGAAGAAAGCAAGAAGAAGGGCATTGGCATGGGTGAAGGGGTAGGCAGAAGTAGGATGTTTTTACAGAGTAGTGCTGGGCTCATATTGAGAGCAGTGGAAACCTGGCAAGATCGTGATGTAAGAGTCCTGAAAAGTCATCAGGAGAATTTACACTTGGCACAGTAGCTGGTAAGAAGGCTCTGGAGACTCTCGAGTAGGACAATGTATTTTTAACCAATTGATAACAAATGAGAATTAAGAATGTGCTTCCGTTATAGCCTGTTAAAAGTAGTTTAGGCTGGCCAGGTGTGGTGACTCATACTTGTAATCCTAGCATTTTGAGAGATTGAGGGGGGTGGATTACCTGAGGTCAGGAGTTCGAGACTAGCCTGGCCAACAAGGTGAAACCTTGTCTCTACTAAAAATACAAATATTAGCTGGGCGTGGTGATGCCAGCCTGTAATCCCAGCTACCTGGGAGGCTGAGGCAGGAGAATCGCTGGAACCTGGAAGACAGAGGTTGCAGTGAGCTGAGATCATGCCACTGCACTCTAGCCTGGGCAGCAGAGCAAGACTCTATCTCAAAAAAAAAAAAGTTTAGGCTGTACCAGTAGTGTTAGGAATCTTCATGCAACTATCTAATCCTAATGCTGTCACAAAGAACCATTTAAATAAATATTTATCAGCTACATCACCTTTAGTCTAAGACTGTACAAATGAAAACAGGTTAAACTGGTGTAATTAACAAAGTCTGCTGGAAAAAAACCCTCACAGGTTTGACTTTGTGTACCAACAATGGTGTTATAACATTTAAGAGGTAAGGAATAAAGGGGTAGCCATAAAATGTTCATGTTTAGACAGAATGTGATCAGAGGAATTCTGTCCTTTCTTTCAAATAAGGAAAACTTAATGTAGGCTTTTGGAGCTATTCAAGTGAAGCAAGAGTGAAGAAAAAGTAGCTAGAGCTCCACAGTCTTTTCATCCGGAAGATTTTACAGGTTGAAAAGGGTTATGAAGTGTTATAGTACACCAAGCCATGATCTCTGTAGAAGTGCATCTGACCAGTTGTACCAACATAAGCTATGTCACCTTTTTATAATATTTGGGTGCTGATAATTTTTATAACAGTGTAACTGGGAGTGGGTGGGGGAGAAAAGAGAAAGCAAGGTGGAAGAAGGGAATTATGGTGTTTTTACAATCTTGTTCTAAGTATTTTATAAGGAAAAGGCTGTTTTTGAATTTGCATTTGCATGTGGGTTCCATCTGACAATGAATATATGAGAGTTAGTTAATTGTTGACTTCTCCTCATGTGTGGTGTTTCCATACAGACATAGCTGCTGAAGCATATATGGTCTTATATTATTTTCCAATGACAAGAACATGTGTCTGTTATTGACCTAGTTCCTAGAACTGATGATAACTGAACATATTTTATAAATGTGGCTGCTTTCTCCCAGATGCCAAAATTTAAGTATCTGGGTTTAGTTTGTGAGACAAATGTAAATATATTAAGCTTCTAGTATTGTTGCTAGTTTGCTTGTTTTATAATCTAAACAGATCATTTCATCTCTTAGTATTTCTCCTTTATCATATGTAATCATAAATATTTACAGGTGATATTAATTTAAAATGTCCAAAATGTTTTTTTTTTTTCTTGGAGGAGGTTGGGAGAGATGTGTAGAGAAAAATTATAAATATTAAATTTAGGTATGGAAGAGAATGTGTAAGAAAATAGACTTATAAAATTAAAGAAAGGTGACTTTTAGGGGGAAGGGGCAGCTGTGGGCACACCTTAGCAGACTTAAACGTTCCTACCTGCCAGCTGTGAAGGTAGCAGCGGATCTCCCAGCACAATGCTTGAGCTCTGCTAAGGGACAGACTGCCTCCTCAAGTGGGTCCCTGACGCCCCTGACAGGGAGACACCTCCCAGCAGGAGTCGACATACACCTCCTACAGGAGGGCTCTGGCTGGCATCTGGCAGGTGCCCCTCTGGGAAGAAGCTTCCAGAGGAAGGAGCAAGTAGCAATCTTTGCTGTTCTGCAGCCTCTGCTGGCAATACGTGGGCAAACAGTGTCTGTAGTGGACTCCCAGCAAGCTCCAGCAGACCTGCAGAAGAGGGGCCTGTTAGAAGGAAAACTAACAAACAGAAAACAATAGCATCAACATCAACAGAAAGGATGACCACACAAAAACCCCATCCGAAAGTCACCAACATCAAAAACCAAAGGTAGATATATCCATGAAGATGAGGAAAAACCAGTGCAAAAAGGCTGAAAAGTCCGAAAACCAGAATGCCTCTTCTCCTCCAAAGGATCACAATTCCTCGCCAGCAAGGGAACAAAACTGGACGGAGAATGAGTTTGATGAACTGACAGAAGTAGGCTTCAGAAGGTGGGTAATAAACTCCTCTGAGCTAAAGGAGCAGGTTCTAACTCAACGCAAGGAAGCTTAGAACCTTGAAAAAAGGTTAGAGGAACTGCTAGCTAGAATAACCAGTTTACAGAAGAACATAAATGACCTGATGGAGCTGAAAAACGCAGCACAAGAACTTCATGAATCATACACAAGTATCTTTAGCCAAATGGATCAAGTGGAAGAAAGAATATCAGAGACTGAAGATCAACTTAATGAAATAAAGCATGAAGACAAGATTAGAGAACAAAGAATGAAAAGTAAGGAACAAAGCCTCCAAGAAATATGGGGCTATGTGAAAACATCAAAGCTGCATTTGATTGGTGTACCTGAAAGTGATGGGGAGAATGGAACCAAGTTGGAAAACACATTTCAGGATATTATCCAGGAGAACTTCCCCAACCTAACATGAGAGGCCAACATCCAGATTCAGGAAATACGGAGAACACCATAAAGATACTCTAGAAGAGCAACCCCAAGACACGTAATTGTCAGATTCATCAAGGTTGAAATGAAGAAAAAAATGCTAAGCCAGAGAGAAAGGTCAGGTTACCCACAAAGGAAAGCCCATCAGACTAACAGCAGATCTCTCAGCAGAAACTCTACAAGCCAGAAGAGAGTGGGGGTCAACATTCAACAATCTTAAAGAAAATAATTTTCAACCCAGAATTTCATAAGCAGCCAAACAAAGCTTCATAAGTGAAGAAGAAATAAAATCCTTTACAGACCAGCAAATGCCGAGGGATGTTGTCACCACCAGGCCTGCCTTACAAGAGCTCCTGAAGGAAGCACTAAATATGGAAAGGAAAAACTGGTACCAGCCACTGCACAAACAAACCAAAATGTAAAGACCATTGACACTATGAAGAAACTGCATCAACTAATGGGCAAAATAACCAGCTAGTATCATAATGACAGGATCAAATTCACACATAACAATATTAACCTTAAATGTAAACAGGATTAATGCCTGAATTAAAAGACACAGACTGGCAAATTGGATAAAGAGTCAAGACCCATCAGTGTGCTGTATTAAGGAGACCCATCTCATGTGCAAAGACACACATAGGCTCAAAATAAAGTGATGGAGGAATATTTACCAAGCAAATGGAAAGAAAAAAAAAAAGCAGGGGTTGCAATCCTGGTCTCTGATAAAACAGACTTTAAACCAACAAAGATCAAAAAAGACAAGCGGCCCAGGTGCAGTGGCTCCCACCTGTAATCCCAGCACTTTGGGAGGCTGAGGCAGGCAGATCACGAGATCAGGAGATCAAGACCATCCTGGCTAACATGGTGAAACCCTGTCTCTACTAAAAAATACAAAAAATTAGCTGAGTGTGGTGGCAGGCGCCTGTAGTCCCAGCTACTTGGGAAGCTGAGGCAGGAGAATGGTGTGAACCCGGGAGGTGGAGCTTGCAGTGAGCTGAGATCGCACCACTGCACTCCAGCCTGGGCAACAGAGCGAGACTCCGTCTCAAAAAAAAAAAAAAAAAAGAGAAAGAAAAAGAAAAAGAAAAAAAAAGACAAAGAAGGGCATTACCTAATGGTAAAGGGATCAATGCAACAGGAAGAGCTAACTCTCCTAAATATATATGCACCCAATACAGGAGCACCCAGATTCATAAAGCAAGTTCTT
Source organism: Homo sapiens (assembly GCF_000001405.40). NCBI lineage: Eukaryota > Metazoa > Chordata > Mammalia > Primates > Hominidae > Homo > Homo sapiens. Next base: position 16,162,831 of record NC_000007.14, on the reverse strand, counting down.
AGAGACCTACAAAGAGACTTAGACTCCCACACAATAATAGTGGGAGACTTTAACACCCCACTGTCAATATTAGACAGATCAATGAGACAGAAAATTAACAAGGATATTCAGGAATTAAACTCAGCTCTGGACAAAGCAGACCTGATAGACATTTAAAGAACTCTGCACCCCAAGTCAACAGAATATACATTCTTCTCAGCACCACATCACACGTATTCTAAAATTGACCACATAATTGGAAGTAAAACACTCCTCAGCAAATGCAAAAGAATGGAAATCATAACAAACAATCTCTCAGACCACAGTGCAATCAAATTAGAACTCAGGATTAAGAAACTCACTCAAAACCACACAACTACGTGGAAACTGAACAACCTGCTCCTGAATGACTCCTGTGTAGATAACAAAATTAAGGCAGAAATCAGTAAGTTCTTTGAAACCAATGAGAGCAAAGACACAACATACTAGAATATCTGGGACACAGCTAAAGCAGTGTTTAGAGGGAAATTTATAGCACTGAATGCCCACAGGAGAAAGTAGGAAAGATCTAAAATTGACACCCTCATATCACAATTAAAAGAACTAGAGAAGCAAGAGCAAACAAATGCAAAAGCTAGCAGAACAAAAGAAATGACTAAGATCAGAACAGAACTGAAGGAGAGACACGAAAAACCCTTCAAAAAATCAGTGAATCTAGGAGCTGGTTTTTGGAAAAGATTAAGAAAATAGACCAGTAGCCATACCAATAAAGAAGAAAAGAGAAGAATCAAATAGACACAATAAAAAATGATAAAGGGGAGATCACCACTGATCCTATAGAAATACAAACTACCATCAGAGAATACTATAAACTCCTCTATGCAAATAAACTAGAAAGTCTAGAAGAAACGGATACATTCCTGGACACATAGCACCCTCCCAAGACTAAACCAGGAAGAAATTGAATCCCTAAATAGACCAATAACAATTTCTGAAATTGAGGCAGTAATTAATAGCCTACCAACCAAAAAAAGCCCAGGACCAGACGGAGTCACAGCTGATTTCTACCAGGGGTACAAATAGGAGCTGGTACCATTCTGTCTGAAACCATTCCAAACAATAGAAAAAGAGGGACTCCTCCCTACTGATTTTGTGAGTCCAGCATCATCTTGATACTAAAACTTGGCAGAGACACACACAAAAAAAACAAAATTTCAGGCCAATATCCCTGATGAACATTGATGCAAAAATCCTCAATAAAATACTGGCAAACAGAATCCAGCAGCACATTAAAAAACTTATCCACCATGATCAAGTTGGCTTCATCCCTGGGATACAAAGCTGATTCAATATATGCAAACCAATAAATGTAATCCATCACATAAACAGAACCAATGACAAAAACCACATGATTATGTCAATAGATGCAGAAAAGGCCTTCGACAAAATTCAACACCTCTTCATGCTAGAAACACTCAATAAACTAGGTATTGGTGGAACATATCTCAAAATAATAAGAGCTATTTATGACAGATCCATAGCCAATATCATACTGAATGGGCAAAAGCTGGAAGCATTCCTTTTGAAAACCGGCAGAAGACAAGGATACCCTCTCTCACCACTCCTATTCAGCATAGTTTTGGAAGTTCTGGCCAGGGCAAAGAGGCAAGAGAAAGAAATAAAGCGTATTTAAATAGGAAGAGAGGAAGTCAAATTGTCTCTGTTTGTAGATGACATGATTGTATGTGTATATTGTATATGAGACAATGGAGAAAACACCATTATCTCAGCCCAAAAACTCCTTAAGCTGATAAGCAATTTCAGCAAAGTCTCAGGATACAAAATCAATGTGCAAAAATCACAAGCTTTCCTATACATCAACAATAGACAAATAGAGAGCCAAAACATGAGCAAACTCCCATTCACAATTGCTGCAAAGAGAATAAAATACCTAGGAATACAACTCACAAGAGATGTGAAGGACCTCTTCAAGGAGAACTACAAGCCACTGCTCAAAGAAATGAGAGGTTACAAACAAATGGAAAAACATTCCGTGCTCATTGATAGGAATAATCAATATCGTGAAAATGGCCATACTGCGCAAAGTAGTTTATAGACTCAATGCTATTCCCATCAAGCTACCACTGACTTTCTTCACAGAATTAGACAAAACTACGTAAAATTTCATATTGAACCAAAAAAGAGCTCGTGTAGCCAAGAAAATCCTAAGCAAAAAGAACAAAGCTGTAGGCATCATGCTACCTGACTTCAATCTATACTACAAGGCTACAGTAACAAAAGCAGCACGGTACTGCTATCAAAACATACAGACCAGTGGAACAGAACAGAGGCCTCAGAAATAACACCACACCTCTACAACCATCTAATCTTTGACAAACCTGAGAAAAACAAGCAATGGGGAAAGGATTCCCTATTTAATAAATGGTGTTGGGAAAACTGGCTAGCCATATGCAGAAAACTGAAATTGGACCCCTTCCTTATACCTTATTCAAAAGTTAACTGAAAATGGATTAAAGATTTAAGTGTTACTACCTAAAGCCATAAAAACCCTAGAAGAAAACCTAGGCAGTACTATTCAGGACATAGGCATAGGCAGAGACTTCATGACTAAAACACCAAAAGCAATGGCAAGAAAAGCCAATATTGACAAATGGGATCTAATTAAACCAAAGAGCTTCTGCACAGCAAAATAAACTATCATCAGAGTGAACAGGCAACCTACAGAATGGGAGAAGATTTTTGCAATCTATCCATCTGACAAAGCGCTAATATCCAGAATCTACAAAGAACTTAAATTTACAAGAAAAAAAAACATCAAAAAGTGGGCAAAGGATATGAACAGACACTTTTCAAAAGAAGACGGTTATGCAGCCAACAAACGTGCTCATCATCACTGGTCACTATAGAAATGCAAATCAAAACCACAATGAGAATGGCGATCATTAAAACGTCAGGAAACAACAAATCCTGGAGAGGATGTGGAGAAATAGGAACACTTTTACACTGTTGGTGGGAGTGTAAGTTAGTTCAACCATTGTGGAAAACAGTGTGGCGATTCCTCAAGGATCTAAAAGTAGAAATAGCATTTGACCCAGCAATCCCATTACTGTGTATATATCCAAAGGATTATAAATTATTCTGCTATGAAGACACATGCATACTTATGTTTATTGCAGCACCTTTCACAATAGCAAAGACTTGGAACCAACCCAAATGCCCATCAATGATAGACTGGATAAAGAAAATGTTGTGCATATATACCATGGAATACTATGTAGCCATAAAAAGGAATGAGTTCATGTCCTTTGCAGGGACATAGATGAAGCTGGAAACCATCTATGTGGAAACCATCATTCTCAGCAAGCTAACACAGGAACAGAAAACCAAACACCGCCTGTCCTCATAAGTGGGAGTTGAACAATGAGAACATATGGGCACAGGGAGGGGAACACAATAATAGAGGGATACTTTCAAATATAACAAACAAGCGTTCCTTAATCTCAGTTTGGGAAGCACTGCTATCCAGGATATGGCAGGGAGGGGAACATCACACACCAGGGCTAATTTGTGTATTTTTAGTAGAGAGAAGATTTCACCATGTTGGCCAGGCTGGTCTCAAACTCCTGACCTTAGGTGATCTGCCCACCTCAGCCTCCCAAAGTGCTGGGATTACAGGTGTGAGCCACCGCACCCGGCCACTCTCCCAATTTTTAATGCATAACTTTCAAAGTCATTGGTTGTAACCACTCTAAGTGGTGGTGAAAAGAACAGAAGCCTTGGCCACGGATATCCTCTTAGGCAAGTTAAATGGAAATTGTCACGTATTTTATGGAAATCAGTTCGGTTTATAGACAATTGCAAAATAAGTATAGCTAAAAAACAAATAAAAACAAAACACAAAAGAAGAAGTTAGTCACATAATTCTTGCTTGGATTCTATTAGCAATGAGGGATTAATTACATGACCACACTTGTGCCAGAGGGGACTGGGAAGTACAATCCCCAGCCAGCAGCCATGTCTCAACCACCCTTTACTGTTATGGAGAAGGGTGAAGAAAAGTCTTTAGCTGATAGCTAACAAATGCCAGCATAGATACTATTGGATATATAAGGAAAGCTATGCTGTTTTAAGAGTATCTTTATACCCATTAAGATACTTTTGAAAAGTAAAATTTTGGGTTGTCACATTAATAATATACTAGTTTACTCTGTGCAGTTGTAGATTCAATTACAATACATGAAGTTCATATAGCATCTTTTAGATATAAAAAACATCTCTTAAGGGAGAGAATACTAGTGTAAAATTGTGTAAAAGTCCAGTGGGTAGAAAATTTCCACCTGTCCCTGTTCTATTAATATTTTCTAATATCTTGAGTTATTTTCCTAAAGTAACTGTATTCCATTTAGAAATTTCATTAGAAATTTCATTAGAAATTTATTCATAAATATTTGCTGCTACATATTGTGTTTGGAATCGGGGTTCCTACTTCCTAGAAACAGAATTCAGAAGGGGAAATGTATATAATGACAATAATGTATAATATATGAAATAAAAGGGTGGTACAAAGGAAAAATGTTTTAGAGAAGGCCTCATAATATAGGTGATTCCTACTCTGGGATGTAAAGAATGAACAGAAATATCTACATTTGGCCAGGCACGGTGGCTCACGCCTGTAATCCCAGCACTTTGGGAGGCCGAAGTGGGCGGATCACGAGGTCAGGAGATCAAGATCAGCCTGGCCAACATGGTGAAACCCCGTCTCTACTAAAATACAAAAAAAAAAAAAAAAATTAGCTGGGCGTGGTGGCACGTGCCTGTAGTCCCAGCTACTCAGGAGGCTGAGGCAGGGGAATCGCTTGATTCCCCGAGGTGGAGGTTGCAGTGGGCCAAGATTGCACTGCTCTATTCCAGCCTGGGCGACAGAGTGAGACTCGGTCTCAAAAAAAATAAAAAAAAAAAGAAATATCTACATTTAGAAAAAGGGAAATCAGAGTGACACAACAGGAAGCAAGCATGGTATGTTCAAGGGCATGGGAAACTGCAAATTAGTTGATTTAAGTAGAGTGAGGGACAGAGAGGGGGCAGAATGTTTAAGGTAGACCTTCGTGCTATGCTGGCCAGTCAGTAGGACCTATTTGGCAGTTTAAAACCCCTGGAGTAGGTGAAGGTATTTCTGGGATGTATGTCACTATGGAAAAGTCCTTGCAAATGGAATTATATAATAGTCCCTTTTTTCTTAGCTTTTAAACATAAGGCATATCATTATTAAAAAAATACTAGCTGATTTATTAACCTCAAAATATGAAATTCAAATTTCAGGATACAGTAATTTTTATGCAATTGTAATAGCTCAAAATAGTGAAAAAAGCTATTTTTCACTTTTCATTTTTTGATTTAGAAATTTAATATTTCGTTAATATAATTGCAATAATGTTCGGGATGACTTGGTTTTATCCTAATCAATACGGACTTGTTGCAGAATCATATTGTTTCCATATGAGAACCTTCTCCCAGCTCTCAGATGTCCTTCCAGGTACTTTCTTTAACTCCAGTTGCTTATCTTCCTCACTTTTGTCCTTCCAAATCAGAATAGCAATAAGCTTATGAATTTCATTTCTTGGCTCTTTAGGGCAAAAAAAAAAAAAAAATTGCAGCATTTGTGTTCCGAAAGATTTCCCAATGCCTCAAAAACACAATAAATATTTCTTCTCCTTCTGAAAAACTTCCTGCAACTTACTTTGAAGTCTTTGTTACCAAAGGAATTAAGTTAAGGGCTTTCTTCAGGCCATTAGATTGGGAGTAACAAAACAAAAAACAAAAAACAACAATAACAAAAAAACTATGTTATTGCTGCTCACATGCTCTGCTGTGTTAGGCAAAAGATGTCACCTCTTTGGAGCTGTATTTTGCTATTTATATTGAATCAAAAATTTCCTGGGGTTGCTGGCTTGATTTCAGGTGATCTATGAGCCCCCTAAAATGTATGAAAAATTGTCTCTACTAATGCAAATACTTTTCCACAACAACATCCACAGCTTTCAGCAGATTCTTAGGGTTATGGGACCCCCAAAAAGGTTTCTTAAGATATGCTATTATGATCGTTTAACATGAAGACTGGATTTCTTGCCATGAAACCTCTGTATTTTGATGGAGGTGAAAATATTCAGCATAACGTAGAATGGAATTTTCTTAGATGTAGACCTATTATTTTACAAATTTGTTTATAAGTTGTGCCTTGTCTTTTAGTTTTTCTCTGATCTTCTGAGATGCCATAGATAAAATTCCAGCATCTGGTCCCTGTGGGAGAGGCAGAAGTATGGAGCAAAGTTACAGAGATGTCACCAGAGGGAAATTCTGAGTTTGGTCAAAATTTCTGCCACCTGACCTTTAAGACTAGGAGCCTATTTAGATTTTCTTCCCTTTACTCATGAACACTATCAGAAAAGACGTTAACCCTTTGGCACAGCCCTTTGAAAAAGCTGCCAATGTCTGTACCAGACACAAAAATTGACTGCAAAGTAGAAGTGTGGCCAAAACTTGAGAAAGTCTTGTCTAAGATAGAACAGTGACAGTTATTAGCTAAAGCAAGTGAAATAAAATGAGTGTTGCCCCTAGAGCTATTTTTAAGTCTGAACCTTGGCCAATTATCCAAACACACTTCTTTTTAAGATTCTAGATAGTGTAATTAAATAGCGTATTTTTTTTTTTTTTTTTTTGCTTTTGAATAACTCAGTAAGTCTATACAGGGTTTAGCTGCATTTGTGTTGGCTTAATATATATATAAAAAAGATGTAGTCCTCATGAAATGTATCCAGTATCCATATTGGCCTTAATCATGTTTGTTTATGCTGACCCCTCCCGTTGACTTCCCCTTATATCCCTGCCATATCCTGGATAGCAGTGCTTCCCAAACTGAGATTAAGGAACCCTTGTTTGTTATATTTGAAAGTATCCCTCTATTATTGTGTTTCTTTTGTACATGCCTAGTAAGGAGTTTGTACAGTTGACCCTTGACTAATGTGGGAATTGACGTGCTGACCCACTGCACAGTTAAAAATCCACATAAAATTTTGGACTCCCCCAAAACTTGACTACTAATAGCATAATGTTGAATGCAAGCCTTATCGATAACACAAACAGTCTATTAATGGATATTTTGTATATGTGTCATATACTATATTTTTACAATAACGTAAGTTAAAGAAAATGTTATTAAGAAAATCACAAGGAAGAGAAAATATGTCGTATTCCTCAAATGGAAGCAGATCATCATAAAGGTCTTTATCCTCATCATCTTCATGCTGAGTGGGCAGAAGAGGAGAGTTGGTCTTACTGTGTTGGGTGGCAGAGGCAGAAGGGAGGCAAGAGAGGCGAGTTCACTCGGTGTAACTTGTATTGAAAAAACATCCTTGGGTAAGTGGACCTGCATAGACTTATGTTGTCCATGAATTAACTGCAAATAAGACCCACCAGAGTTAATGTCTGAACCAGTGTGTAGCCTGTTCAGTGATGTCAGCCCACTGATCTCTTGCTTGAATATGGGGGAATATGATATGCAGAAATTTTTGCACCTCTAAAATAAGACAATTGATGTATGTAGACTATTTATGACACTGATAGCTGGCCCACAGCTGTGGTAAAAGGAATAAATAAAACAATACAGACAAAGTGGCAGTACTGATGTATTCAAATGTAATAAGGACTCATTTTGAGGCCTGGGGTGGCGGCTAACCCCTGGCTCATCCCAGCATTTTGGGAGGCCAAGGCAGGCGGATCATTTGAGGTCAGGAGTTGAAGACAGCCTAACCAACATGGTGAAACCCTGTCTCTACTAAAAATCCAAAAAAAAAAAAAAAAAGAAAAAATTAGCTGGGTGTGTGGTGCATGTCCCAGCTACTCGGGAGGGTGAGGCAGGAGAATTGCTTGAACCTGGGGGACAGAGGTTGTGGTGAGTCGAGATTGTGCCACTGCGCTCCAGCCTGGGCAGCAGAGTGAGATTCTGTCTTAAAAAAAAAAAAAAAAGACCCATCTTGAATATTGACGATATTTGTCAAACTTTGAAGATTGAATCACCTGTAAAATAAAATTAATAGTATTTAAAAGCATTAATCAAGGATAACTATTGGAAAGACTCATGTTTTGTTGTACAGTCAAGAACAAGACAAGATCAAATGTAATTTTCATTTCTAATCTGGGAAATAAGTCCAAGAAGACATAAATTTAACAGTGATGACTTTTATAACTAATACTTGGGCACACATTTTTTATTCTTAGAATTGTGTAACAGAAGTTTAGTTTTATTACTCGGAGTATATATGATATACTCTTCTCTGTAAGCATTTCCTCACATTTAACATATAATTCATGAGGGAAATCAAGTCCTTAAAATGTACCCAGTGTTCCTCATAAGTGGGAGTTGAACAATGAGAACACATGGACACAGAGAGGGGAACACACACACCAGGGTCTGTTGGGGGGTTGGAGGTGAGGAAGGGAACTTAGAGGACAGGTCAATAAGTGCAGCAAACCACCGTGGCACACGTATACCTCTGTAACAAACCTGCACGCTCTGCCCATGTGTCCCATTTTTTAAGAAGAAATAACAAAAATTGAAAACTTACTCAGTGTTCAATAAATGTATTTATATTTAAATTTCTTGAAACAAAAACTGCATTTTTGTTTACCACATTACAAGGAGTGGGAGGCAGGCCACAACCGCTGCTAACGTCAGGTTATTTATTTAATACTACTGCCTATTAGTAGTTTACTTGACCATACGAGATGACCTGAGAGCCACAAGCCATTACAAACAATTTGTTCAATGAAAGGCTTTCCTGATACACTTGTTTCTAATGAAAGTCTGTAATTGTAGTTTTGGATTAAGTAGTTAAATGTCTATGGTCTGCTACATAAAACACAAAACAAATTATTTTCATTAAAAAATTAAAATACAACACTTGATTCTGCCTTTCCTAAAGTTTATCTCAAGGGAAGAGGTAGAAAGATAATGCTGCTTATGAAAAAAAAAAGTGAACAGTTTAGTTTTCTAAAGAAAAGTTACTCTCACAGAGGTTTAGTTTCCTTCTTTGTAAAATGGACCTCATGATATCAGTGACATGAGATTATTTGAGATATTAAGTTAATGTGAAACATTTTATGTAATACCTGCCTGCTTCATGTGATATATTGAAAAAAATTAGGTCACTTCATGTGACAAAAGTATAGGAAATAGGACTTGGTAGATATTTATGTTTGTGTGTTTACCTGCAGTTTGCTTTGCTTTGTTCAGTAAATACATTCTGAAAGTTAGTTCAAGCTTTTGAATTAAAAATATATAGTAAATTATTTAAACTAGGGAAGCAAGCCTTTTCTCTAAAAGGTAATATTGTAAATAGTTTAGAGTTCATAGGCTACTGATACTCTATCATATATTCTTATTTCTTTTTTTAAAAAAACTTTTAGAAATGTGAAAAAAGTTATTAGCTCATGAGCTGAATAGAAATAAGCCACAGGGAAAGACTTTGCTCACAGATTGTGGTTTGTTGACCCTTGATTTATGTTGTGTTGATGTCATAATAATAGTTTAAATACCTCATAGGTAATTTATATATAAATTGTGAAAAGAAATTGGCAGTGAATCTTTCTGATAGGGTAATAATCTTTAATTTTTATTCAATTTGATAAGCCAAAATTGGCATTGTTAGTTTTATGTAAAGCTAAGCATAAATAAAAGACAAGCTGTGAGCAACATGGTTCTTTGCCCTAAAAGTTGGAATTCCAAATATAGAAAATCCCAAATATTCATTTTTTATCAATTAAGGATATCACAGTTAGGCTAATCATAATATGCAGAGTAAAATTTATGCTGAACAACATACAACATTGGCTTTCTTTCTGAAAAATACATTGAGCCCCCTAAGAAGTGTACATTAGAAACTAAAAACTCATGTAAGAGAAAAAATGGAACAAATTCACATTTCTTAAGATATTTTGAGAACTTTATATATTACAGGATTTTTGAGTTCATTGTATTGGTGCTACAGAAAAAAAGTCCTATTTTACATTGCGAACCGCCTAAAGGCTTTGGGAATAATCTTAAAATCATATTCATAACTTTAAACCAAGACCCTGCCTTTCATGTTGAAATACTAAGGGCAAAATCAGTATATAATTGCTTTATTAGGAACTATAAAAAGAAAAACAGCGATTAAAGTATTTTCTGTTGTTTTAACCTCAGTTTCACAACATTTCAGTCCTAATACTAATTCATTTTATAAATACTTATGGAAAATAATAAGATAATTAGCAGAAAATCTTTTAAACAATGGGAATGACACTTTTAATTCACAGTAAGGCAAATTAAGTATTCGTCCAACAGAAGTCCCAATATAACATTTTTATACCCTCACTGGGGGGTAGTTACCGTTTTCTTGAGTGTGTTATAGTTCAAATGGAAAATTACTGTTTTTTTCTATTAAAATAAAGTCGTTTATCTTATGTAACTTATAAATTCATATAAAGTATATTTTATAATACTCTGTACACATTTAATGTACATCAAATTAACATCTCACATATTTGTTAATTTTATTCCCAGTTTTATCTTGATTGTAAAATACTTATCTGCTTATACATAAAATGCTAGAATTACATGGTCTCACATTTCCATCATATTTTCTTACACTTTTAAAATGCAGAGTTCCTTTTATTTACCACATTCACATTGATTATATATAATCATTCTCTATTTGTGGTGATTTAAAAATTATTTATGGAGGAATGGGACATAGATTCTTTGCCATTCTGAGTTTCTTCAGAATCTCAAATGTTTGAAGAATATGTTGTTCAACTTCGTTAAAATTTTAATTTCATGAAATTTTGGAGTGAATTTTTTTATTTGCTCACTATGTTTTCAGTCAGGGATAACTTTATTGTGTATAATTTGCACATAGTTTTAACCCAAGACATGGTAGTATATTGTAATTTCCTACAATATTTACTAGTATTTTTCTAGAAAAATTACGTTGAAAATGTTTTATGTTATACTTTTCTTAAAATAGAGTCTTATAAAATAATCTAACTAATATATGGTAAACTAGAAGATCAGTCAATATGTACAATATTTTTTCAATTTGTAAAGTATGTACATGAATGTAAATATATTAATAGAAAGCGTATGGAAGAAATACACTTCAAAATGTCTAGGAAGAAGATAATCAATTTTATTTTTTTAAAATATACTTTAAAATGTTTTTCTACCCATCTACAATGAATGTTTTGGAATTAGGAATATAATAATCATTGAGATGGGCATAATAACTATAGTGTTATCTTCTGATTGTAGCAAGGAACAGGCAACATAGTATTTCTGCTCCTCTGTGAACAGAGTGCCTTTGTTTACTATTGCTTGAAAAAACAAATCATCACAACCTACATTTCCTTTATATAATTATCTCAATTTTGAGCCTGAGGTCAATTTTGAATAAGTACTTTTTCTAAGAAATAGATTTTGCTAAATTGATGATTTCAGGTGATGGTTTCTAGTTTGAAGCTCCTTTGTCTTATGTTTGTCATTAACTGAAATATTACCTGCTTTAGAAGAGGCAACACACTAATGAATAATGATTTATTATCTTTGACTCATTTAGTCATTGAGGTACATAGTACCCATCTCATCTACATTGTCTCATTTTATCAGTCTACCAGTGAATCCTACTGGTGTGTTAACAAAATTCTGACAAAGAAACTATTTGATTTTTTAATTAGTGACTGCAAAACAGGCATGCTATGGTTTGAATGTGTCCTCCAAAAAACCTATGTTGGGAACTTAATCTTCAATGCAACAGCATTGGGAGGTGGAGCCTAATGATAGGTGATTAGTCCATAAAGCTACCCTTATGAATGGATTAATGCCATTTGCCAGAGAGGGTTTATTATCATGGGAGTGGGTTTCTTATAAAAAACTCGTTTGGTATCCCACTCTGTCACTTGCCCTCCTGCCATAGGATGACACAGCAAAAAGACCCTTCCCAGTTGCTGGCATCTCAGTACTGGACTTCCCAGCCCCTAGGACTGAAATAATTTTTTCTTTATAAATCACCCAGTCTCTGGTATTCTGTTAAGCAGCACAAAATGGACTAAGACAAGGCATCTTTCATATTTTCTTATAGCAGATGGTGCTCAGTAAATGTTGCTGACTTATCGGCTTAACTCTTACTCATTTTTTCTTATATCGTGGTAGTGTTTTTTAATTCTAAAAATAGCAAAATAGCATGGATTTCCTGTTTCATATCACATTTTTGATGTGGGATGAAAACAATCATTAAAAAGCCATGCTTCATATTTTCAAAGTGTCATGGGTTTCTTTCAAATTCAGTCCTATCATTTAGCATCCTCAAAATGATGATTTATCCCCAGCATCCCTTTAACATCTTCCAATGCATAGCTGTTCGGTTAATGTTGAGGATATCTATTCTTCTTAATTAGACAGGAAATGTTATATTTTAATAGTTAAAATAAATTTTAAAAACTAGAAAGTAAGAAAGTTGCTGATTATTCTTACATTGAGGAAAAATAAAACTAATAAATCCTATTCCACTAAATATTCAGTTATAGTTTCTGATAAATCTAACATTATTACAAAGGCATTTTGCTCATTTAAAATCTTTGTTCAATTATAAGAATAAAAGGGTTAAGTAATGATTTTACAAAAATACTATGACTATGTAAAATGAGGAATACCAGTTTCGTTGTACACATAATGTCTCAATGAGGTTAAAAAAATAAGCTGTATCTATCAGGAGGTAAATGATAGTTTCTTTTTTTCTTTTCTCTCTCTTTTTTTTTTTTAATGACTCTCGCTGTGTCACCCAGGCTGGAGTGCAGTGGTGCGATCTCGGCTCACTGCAACTTCCGCCTCCCGAGTTCAATCAGTTCTCCTGCCTCAGCCTCCCGAGTAGTTGGGACTGCAGGTGACCGCTGCCACGCTCGGCTAATATTTTGTATTTTAGTAGAGACGGGGTTTCACCGTGTTGCCCAGGCTGGTCGCAAACTCCTGAGCTTAGGCAGTCTGCTCGCCTCAGCCTCCCAAATTGCTGGGATTACAGGCGTGAGCCCCCGCTCCTGGCCAATAGTTTTTATCAATTATATAGACGTAATTAGAACTTAACTGTAATTTTTATGAATCAACTTGCTAGTTACCTTCAGAATTTAGCTTAGAGGCATGCTACATAATATCTCTTTAAATATAAGTGATAGTATGCTTGAATGCTAAATTTTGTAGAAATAGTACAAGATAATGGCCTTCATTTCCTCATGTTTCCAATGTGTATTGTTAGAATTTCTCAGACCGTAATGAGAAATTAATGGTCATGGCAGGAAAAGGACATATGCATGTTTCCTGTCCTTTCTTTCTAGAACGCTTTTCTAGATAGTGCATTCTGTAATATTATCATGGAATTGGTCTGTCTTTCCATGCAGTGGCAGGATAAAGTGAAAATGTTTCAACGTCCTCACTATTCAAATCTGTTACATGTGAACTTGACCAAGAGGAGCCAAAACTGTTTACTTATAGCTCCTCTGAAAAGTATTTTAAAATATAGATTCCTGGGATCCATAGAATCTGAGTCAACCCAGTTCCTTCCAAAGCACTAATAACTTGGCTTATGGTGACTTGGTGAAACAAACCATATGTATATTCATAGTACCCTACTTTTACTTTGTAATCATACTCTAAATATGTTTATTGGCTAGGATTCATGAATATTTTATTGTTGATAAAAACAAAATAAATTCAATGAAAATACAAATTACATTTCAGAGTAGAAAACATATTTTTTGTAAGTTTTTGTGGAGGTTTTATACAGTTTCTTCATATTTAGTTAATACATAATGTACATATTTATGAAATAGAGTGATATTTTGGTACACATATAGAATGTGTAAAGATAAAATCAGGGCAATTAGCATATCCATCAGCTCAGCCTTTTATCTATTCTTTGTGTTGGGAACATTTAAAATCCACCTAACTTTATAAATATATGCAAAAATTATAATAGCTAATGCATTCCATAATATTATCACGGACTTGGTCTGTCTTATTGACTCTATTTACCCTACTATAGAACTCATTCTCCCATCTAGTTGTAATTTTCTATACATTAACCATTTCCCTGTTTTCCCCTGGCCATTACCTTCCTTAGCCTCTAATAACCAAAATTCCACTCTCTACTTGTTATATGAGCTCATTGTTTTAGCTCTCACTTACAAGTGAGAGCATATAGTTTTTCCTTTTTTTGTGCCTGACTTATTTCACTTAACATAATGTCCTCGAGGTTCATCCATGCTTCTGCAAATGACAGGATTTCAATGTTTTTTAAAGGCTGGATAGTATTCCATTGTGTATATGTACCACATTTTTTTATCCATTCGTCTGTTGAAGGACATTTAGGTTATTTCCACATGTTAGCTGTTGTGAATAGTGCTGCATTAAACATAGGAGTGCAGATATCTAACAATACTGATTTCCTTTCTTTTGGATAAATAGTAGTGTGGTTGGTAGTTCATGTCACAGTTGTATTTTTGATTTTTTGAGAAATTGGAGGTTGTACTTTTAAGAGGAAGAGAAAATTATGTCTAGTTATGCTGAAATTATTTTATGAATATGTATAGTATGTATACATGTTTGTTTATATGTAAAACAATTTTTAACATCCTATATAAGATTACATTGGGAGAAATAAGGTATGTATATAAATAACAGCTGTATGAGGCAGTTCAGGGATAGACAATATTGAGGGCTGGAAGAGACTGATTATTATAGTTTGAGGTGATTAAGAAATACTTCATGGAATATATTTCAACATCAAATTTGTTAAGGCTGAAAAATCTGAAATATTACAAGTTGTAAGAATGAGGGTAGGAACCAAATCATCATTGTATTAATAAACAGGATGAAAATCCTGACACATAGTTGGTACTAGAATATTTATAAAATATGGATGAATATCAAGTTTTATAGGAGGTTAGGCAAGTCAGAATAAAAATGGTAGAATGCTTGGGATACCTGTTAATATGCCTTTATTTATCCTTTGAACAAATATTGTTTGAATCCATAATATGTGCCAAGACCTTGTGATAGGCACTGAAAATGTCAGACATGTTTTAATTCCTCAAAGAGCTTAGAGTACAACTTACTTTAAGTAGCAAAACATCCTTTTCAAATTTTTCTTAAAAGGGAGGAAGTTCATTTACTTGAACTTACTGATTTTCTTCAATAAGTTATTTTACTTATTGAACAAAGATAAGTAAGTGCATAAATGACATCAGTTATAAGAAGACTGTGCTTGGTAGAGGCATTCAACAAAGGATTTGTTTGTGACTGATAAGTTAAACTGAAGGTATTATAACCACACATAATTATATCAGGCTACTGATGGGAGATTTGATTTTGGGGGTTAATCCCTGGGAGTGTATAGAAGGGATAGAGGTAAAGCATGTGGCCTGCATCAGGGAAATGCGTTCCTTGAAGCCAGGGATTTTGCATCTTTGAAAGGTAAGGTGAGGGTATTAGTCCATCCTCATGTTGCTAATAAAGATATACCCAAGACTGAGTAATTTATAAAGGAAAGAGGTTTAATGGACTCACAGCTCTGCAGGGCTGGGGAGGCCTCACAATCATAGTGGAAGGCAAAGGAAGAGCAAAGGCACAACTTACATGGCAGCAGGCAGGCAAGAGAGCTTGTGCAGAGGAACTCCCATTTTCAAAACTACCAGATCTTTTCACTTTCACCCTGAAAATGAGTTCCTAAATGAGTTTCTTGCAGGCAGCGTAGAATTGGATCTTATTTTTAAAATCTGTGTAGCCCCTATGTCTTTTGATTAGATAATTTAATCTCTTTACACTTAAAGTTGTTACAGACTGGTAGGAACTTACTACTGCAATTTGTCTATTGTTTTCTGACTTGATTTGTAATTCCTTTGTTCCTCTCTCCCTGACTTGTCTTCCTTTGTGATCTGATGAGTTTTTATAGTGGTATGCTTGCCTTCCTTTTTCTTTATCTTTTGTGTGTCTATTATACATTTTATCTTTGTGATTACCATGAGGCTTACATAAAACATCTTATAGGTATAACAGTCTCTTTTAAGATAACATTTCGCTTTGGATTAATACAAAATTCTACACTTTTATACATCTTCTCATGCATTTTAGGTTATTGATGTTACAGTTTATATCTTTTATATATTGTATCCATTAACAAATTATTATAGCTATAGTTAATTTTAATATTTTTGTTTTTAACTGTATACTGTAGTTGAAAGTGATTTGTGTTATCACCATTACAATATTAATATTCTGAGTTTGATTATATACTTATCTTTACCAGTGAGTTTTATACTTTCATTTGTTTTTATCTTGCTAACTAGTGTCTTTTGTTTCAAGTTGGAGAACTCCCTTTAGCATTTCTTGTCAGGCAGGTCTAGTAGTGATGAACTTCCTCAGTTTTTATTTGTCTGGAAAGAACAAATAAAGAGATAAAGAGATAAAGGAAAGTCTTTATCTCTCCACTCTCGAATGACAGCTTTGCTGCATATAATATTTTTGGTTGGTAGGTTTTTTTTTTTTGGTTTGTTGGAGGTTTAAAAATTTATTTTCTCAGTACTTTGATTACATTTTCCCGTTTTCTCTTGGCTTGAAAGGTTTCTGCTGAGAAATCCAGTCATAGTCATATGGATGTTTGTATTTAACTACTCACTTTTCTCTTGCTGCTTTCAAAATTCTCTCATTGTCTTTGACTTCTCACAATTTGATGGTAATGTGACTGGGTGAAGACCTCTTAATTCCACTTACTTGAGGTTCTTTTTACATTGAAGAGCTGGATGTTCAATTCCCTTCCGAGACATTGGGAGTTTTCTGTCATTATTTCTTTGAAAAAGCTAATTACCATTTCTCATTCTCTGCTTCTTTTGGTGCTCCCTTAATGAATATGCTGCTTAATTTGATGATGTTTCATTAATCAAATTGGAAAAGAAAAAATCTTTTTCTTTTCTTTTTTTCCTGTGAGTAATTTTAAATGACTTGTCTTTGAGCTCACTGATTATTTCTTCTGCTGGAGTCTGCTGTTAAAGATCTCTGTTTGTTTATTTCAGGGATTATATTCTTCAGCTACAAGGTTTCTGTTTTTTTTTTTATGATAGTTTTTATTTATAAGTTAAACTTCTAATTCTCCTCATATCTTGTTTTCCTAGTTTTATTAAGTTGTTTATCCACATTCTCTTGTAGCTTATTGAGCTTTTTAAAGATTTTGAATTCTTTGTCAAGTCATTCATGAATTTTCATTTTGTTATCATTGGTTACTGAGGGTTTATTAATTTCTTTCGATGGTGTCATATTTGCCTCATTCTTCATGTTTTGTATAACCTTGCACTGGTGTTTGTGCTTTCATTTTTTATAGACTGTTTTCAGCAGGTACAGGCCTTCTCTAACCTGGTAGGACTGTTTCTGGAATTGTACTTGGGTGAGATGGAGTGGGGTCCTATGGTTGTGCCAGGTTCCTCACTCATATCTGCATTTGGCAGGCCTATTACTAGGGGCACAGATTAGTGTAGCTTCCTTCAGGTTTGTGAGCATGCTTCTGCCTGGGCATGTCCCTAAATAGGTAGAACTGCTTCCAGACTATGGTAGAACAGGGATGGAGCCTAGGTCACTATGCTGCTTCAGGGACAGCAGTCAGGTCTGAGGTTGGCAGGCCAATTCCTGGGGCACTTATGGTTTTGACTCCTGCTGGATAACTGGGTGGGTAGAACAGCCTCCTGGCCAAGATAAGCCTGGAGGCTTGTTCTACTTCAGAGGTTAAAGTTGGATCTGAGATTGGCACATCTGTTACCTGGAATGCCTATAGGTATCACTGCCGAGTCTGTCCCACAGAGTCTGGCCGAGCAACAGATGAAAGAAGTACACTGACACAGGTATTTTACCTGACAGCGCAGCTAGAGGACCACACTGCTTAGCTCTGCACTGTTGACGGGAGAGTCCAGCAGCCGCTGAGAGAGTGCAGCTGCTGAGAATGCAGCCCCCATCAGCCAGCCCCGCTCGCATTTATTTAGTACAGATTTAATGACAAAGGCTTGGAGCAAACACAATTTGTGGGGAATAAATATCATTGACTCCCCCCACCCAGTAGAGAGCAGTCCTGCATGTGAATGATCAAAGGTCGGTTTTAGGACAACTTGAGTAAACAAGCTATTTAGATAAACTCCTCTACATTCCATTGTACCTACGCCCTAAGCCCCAGGGTAAGAACAGCTGCCTTCAGCTCATCCTTCCCTGAAGCTTTGCAAAACCTTCTGGCCTTCCAAGAAGGCTTGCATCTTTCCCTAAAACTTTTTCTTACAACTTTTCCCACCACCCTGACTGAACTCCTGCATATGACTTCTCCCAGCTCCCTTGGGCATGTCTCTAGACAGGTAGGACTGCCTTGGACTGAAGTAGAATGGAGCTGGAAGTCAGGTCACAGTACTGCTTCAGGAACTTCAGTTGGGCCTAAGGTTTGCAGGCCCTGTTACTGCAGGCATGAATGGGCATGGCGCATCCCTGGATTTTTGGTGAAAGGGGCTCTTGGCAGGACTGGGGAGGAGTGGGGCTGGAGCCTGCTCCATACAGGAACAACATTGTTTCTATTCTGAAGCTGGTATCAAGGTCTGTGGGCTTGTCATCAATGTATAAGCCTGTCTTCTTAAAGCAGTCCTCCTGGGTCTTTGGCTCCACTAGAATTTCCTTCCCTCTACCTGAATTCCAAAGCTTTACATAGGCACTTTGGTCTGTAGATACCTGTCAAATATTTGTTTCTGTAGACGAATTCAGCGTGAGGACCTCCTGTTCCCCCATCTTGTTAATATACCCCTTCAAATGTTCTGGATTCTAATTCCGTTTTTTTGACATTACCCACCTTTCTTTTATTTTGTTGTTGTTTTTGTTGTGACCAATGTAGTTGAGGTGTTGGTTACCACTTGGCAGGACAACTGCCATACTTTTCCAGATGGTACCCCTCTAGAAGTGTCTTTTCTGAAAATTGCCCTGCATTTTACAGTTTAAACATCTAACCGTATCTTCTTATTCCATTGCTCTTTCCATTGCTAATGTGTTGTGCTACCATTGAGAGAGAGTGATACTTGGTACACTAGTGCTTTATACATAACTACAGAAACCAATATCTCCATCATTCCCCTGTCAGAGAGCAATAGACTTTATTAATATTTCTTCAGTCAGAATTAGGTATCCAGCATTTTAGGATTCCTTTGAGGAATGAGTAGCAGTTGTACAGGCAGTGACCTTGTTGGTACCTCATTCCAGGTGATCATAAACTGGTCTCTATGGATACTTATTATCCTACTTACCCTTGGCTTAAATACATCTCTTCATAGATTTCACTGCCTCCCTTTCTTTGCCCTGTATTTCCACTGACTTTAATATTGACATTGTTGTGCCAAAGGTAAGTTTTTTATTCCTTGAGTGTCTTGTGATAAACCTTTCCTGAATGGTGGAAATGTTCACCTTGTAAATCTCCAGAAACATATGGTCTCATCTCTTGTACTCTCAACTGCTTCACTCCCAGAGAGGAAAATTGTCTGCAGGTGAGGTTTTCTGTTTTTGTTTTATTTCTAAGATGTGATAATAATGGTGATGGTGGTAATGATTGTGATGCAGACTTTGGGTACTGCCTACTCTGTGCCAGGAACTGTTCTCAGTACCTTGTTTGCAATAACTCAGCCAAATACAAGACGATAAAATATATTTTTCTTTTTCCAACATTGTCAACTGTGAGCTTTGAATACAGTATAAAACTGCCAACCCTACCTAGTTACAAGTCTTTACTATAATTATTTTGTTCTTGATTTATTTCTGGCATTTATTATTCACCTTTAAATCATCTTGGTGAATTGTTATTACAAACTTTATTTGGACATGAAGAAAGTAAGTTATAGGTGAACTAGCATTGAGATTCATTACTCTTTGTGCCATTTATTTTATAACGCATTAGTGTTCTAAAAATGCAAAATTGATTAATACCTCATTAGAATTTAACACAGGACAGAATTTTAAATTATATATTATTCTCATGGGGAGAATTATTACAGATCTATACTACAGTTTAGGTGTTGCATTTTCAATAGGCTATGAAAGTGTCCAAATGAATTTAAAATAATAGTGTGTAAATACAAACCTAGGAAAACCCTTATCACAGATTTTACTTAAAGAAGTGGGAACTACTTTGGAAGATCTATTTGACCAAGAATAACTCAACATCTAAAAGTTTTATCAGCATTTATATTCAAATTACCAAGCAACTCAAATTGTAAATAAAGTTTTTCTCTTCCTGCACAATCTCTTTAATACAATAATGTAGAACTTTATTCTTGAAAGAGGAAACTGTTTCACATTAAGTGTGGTCCATTATTTAAATTAATGTACAAGTTAGGTGGGCAGAGAGAGGGAAGCAGAAAAAAATGATTGAGTACTAGGCTTAGTACCTAGGGGATGAAATAACGTACAACAAACCTCTGTGACACAAGTTTACCTATGTAACAAACCTGCACATGTAGCCCTGAACCTAAAATTAAAACTAAAGAAAAGAAGAAAATTATTTTGCTTTAGTTCAAATGTAGAAGCCAGTCCGTATCTGTGGCAGAGCTCTTAGATGCCCCTTTATATCCGTTCTTGTTTATGTCTCTTAGGTAACAGAACTTGTGGAGCTAGCTATGCCATTTGATTTAAATTCTGTTCACGTGTACATATAATGTGTATAATTTCTTGGTGGTTTTCTTAAAGAGAAAGGTGATTCTCCTTCCCCTTCCCCTATTTCCTCTCTCTCACAGGCTGAAATTCAGCCATGAGGGTGGGCCATCTATGACAGTGTGTGTGAGGACAATGATCTGGGATAGTAGGGTGACAGGATAGAGGACAGTCTGACCCAAGGAGCACCACAGGAGCGCTTGACACCCAGCCTCTGAAAATAAACTTCTCTTTTCTTTAAGCCAGAAAAAGAATAATGTACAAGTTGAATGTTTGACATTGGTAGATGAGTACATGCATATATTATACTGAGTGGAAGATCAAGGCTTGCATAAAATCACTCATACAGATGTTTGGCTTGAGTTTGTCTTATGCAGTTTCAAATGTAGTGATTAAAGAATCCTTCTAACACACTGATGATTACTAGCTTGAGAAGGATAAGAATTACAGCGAATGATAGAATAATATGATGCCTTCTTGATATGCCCTTTAAAATGAAATGTTTTAATAGTCATATTAGCTCACATAAATTATCTTGTGTTTAATATTTCAGATTTTTTAGTTTTGTTGAACACTAAATCAAAATTTCTGAACAGCTGTTATCTTAATTAGGATCTATTTTTTAGTTTATTTGCATAAATTACAGAAGAATAGATGGAAAAAATGGTTCTTGATAATTTATATACAAATCAGATGCTGAGTGTTGATTAAATATTTCAGAATGTGTATATTAAAACCTAGTTTTCAAAATAATTTATTTATAAATTGGTGTTTTCTTTTTCCTATAAAGGATTTAGGAAGATATAGGGGTTTTGGGGTGCTCAAATACAATTGCAGTGATAAAGCAGCCATAGAAAAATCATAAATGAATGGACAGCTGTGTCCCAATGGCACTTGAATTATAAAAAACAGGAGGCAGCCTGGATTTGGTCAGAGGGCAATAGTTTCTTGACCTCTGGTCCAAGATGCCAATCAACATGGAAAGAAGAAGACACAGGAAACGAGATCTTAGACAAGTGGGGAAGGTTTACTCTAGGCAAGGTTCTTAATATCAGGTCCATTAGTCAGTTTTAGGCATTCACAAGCACGTGTTGTGCTTTGGTTTCTTTTTCATATGAAATGTTCCATGCTTATCCTTAGTGCTTGGGGCATACTGGGTGCTCAAAAAAGAGTTCGATAAACAATAAATGAATGAATAGTTCTTAGTATTTCATGACCCGTTAAAAGGTATTTTATTGGTAAGAAATGGCAGAAATTTATAAATATCATTCTGGACTACTGGAAAAGATATACAGGAGATGCTGGGGAATTTTTGATACCCATTGAAACTGCTGTCTGCAAAAAATTCAAACCTGATGAAAGTCTCCTGTGAATTAGAAAGGGCTTTCTATACAAGATTGAGATAAAAAGGATTATATAATGCCATAGTTTGCAAACTGCTCTGCAGAAGTATTTCACAGATCACATCTGGGGCTTCTGTTGATTCAACTTTTTATGTTATATCCATATGTGTCTGTGTAATAATTTGTATGACTAAAGCATATACCGCCATACTTCTTAAAAATCAGTAGTATAGGACTGGGCGCAGTGGGTCACACCTGTAATCCTAGCACTCTGGGAGGCCAAGGCCAGTGGATTGCCTGAGCTTAGGAGTTTGAGACCAGCCTGGGCAACATGGTGAAACCCCATCTCTACTAAAATACAAAAAAAAAAAAATTAGCCTGGCATTGCCTGGCATGGTGGTGCATGCCTGTAGTCCCAGCTACTCAGGAGCCTGAGGCACAAGAATCACTTGATCCCCGGAGGTGGACATTGTAGTGAACTGAGATCACACCACTGCAGTCCAGCCTGGGCAACAGAGTGAGACTCTTGTCTCTAAATGAATAATTAACTAAAAATTAGAAACCAGTAGTATTTATAATAACATAAATATTGTACTTACATTTTCATTTTTCCTCTATCTTGTATAGTATTCCTTTGAGTATATTTAATCAAAAAGAATAATTTTACTTGACTTTTTTTTAACAGAAATATTAATGGTGGCAAGATACTAGTAATCTTAAATTTAATTATGTCTGTGGGAAGTATGGCTAACTAGATAGAGTATATCAAACAAGATACTTTTCTGCATCTTGCAGCAGATTATCTGCTCTGGAAAAGTGATGGAATTCTAGGTGGTTAATCTTTAAATACCAAAAATAGAAATAAAGTATCTATGTTGGGAATATTTAAATTGTGTTAATTCTTAAATCATGTGGCAGAGTTGAGCCTGGGTAATTCAAGAGACACATTTCTTTTCCTTTCTTCCTTTATTGATCGATTTTTCTTGGGTTTACTATATACCAGGCAAAAGGGATCTGAAGGCAAGTATAATCAAGTTGAAAGAGAAAGATAGAAGCTTCTGGTTTCTAGATAGCATTTCTATTTTAAATTATTAGGTTAGTGCAAAAGTAATCACAGTTTTTAACATTAAAATTAATCACAAAAACCACAGTAACTTTTGCACCAACCTAATATTTTAGTGTTAATATTATTTAGATATGAAAAACTCATTATATAAAGTTTTAAATTTACCTTTACCCCCCGTAATATCAAATGAATCAGTCATAAAATGTGTATGAGAATTAACTTCATAAAATGTTATATTTGATGAGGACTTTCTTAGACTTTTCATTTAAACCTTAGACAAATTCTGGCATGAACAGGTAGGTTCAGGGATGTACAGGTCAAGTTTTGTTACCTCTGCTGTGCAAAGGAAAAAAGAAAATTAAGAAGCTTAATGATTTGCCCAAAGTCACAATGTTCTTAAGTCTCAGATCTTTGACTAGACTACTGTTTCCACCTCGTTGGATTCCTCCAAATACTCCACGCTGCCTCTTCCTCAATTATTAGTTTTAATGGCTCTCTCATTTGAAGTGAGCTCATAAAGGGGGTAAATTGGCCAGGCGTGGTAGCTCATACCTGTAATCCCAGCACTTTGGGAGGCTGAGGTGGGTGGATCACTTGAGGTCAGGAGTTTGAGACCAACCTGACCAACATGGTGAAAACCTGTATCTACTAAAAATACAAAAATTAGCTGGGTGTGGTGGCGGGCACCTGTAATCCCAGCTACTCAGGAGGCCAAGGCAGGAGAATTGCTTGAACCTGGGAGGCAGATGTTGCAGTGAGCCGAGATCGTGCCATTGCACTCTTGCCTGGGCGACAGGAGTGAAACTCCATCTCAAAACAAACAAACAAACAGACAAAAAAATAATGTGTGGGGGGGTAAATGGGCCCTTTACAATGTTTAATAGCTATTTTAACTCATTCTTACTCTCTACCATTGGTCAAAGTATAAGATAATTTTAAAGAAAATTACACTATTCTTTAATTTTATAAGATGTAGACATTTTTATATAATGAGAAAAGTATATCAAAGCCATCAAATTACATTTTTTCCCTGTTTTTATGCTTTGGAGCTTGTATAGGATTGCAGTTACAACAAGCTCACTTCTAATTGATGGTAGATAAAACATGAAACATAGGTTAATATAGGTAAATGTAGACTTGCAGTATAATTTGGATATCCTCTCATGTTCACTTAAAAGCTTTTAAATGATTCTAAAATATTCTTGGTATACAGTTTTTGAAGGTATTTCAAATTTTCTACATTTCACAGGCCATACTAAAAGATAATTTTAGCTTTTCCCCTTTACTTTGAGATGTAGTACCTTTGCCAGTGCTATCCTTGCACAGACAAATTCTCTTCTTGAGGCATTGTAGATAATTCAGCTGTAAATCAATTGTTCTACCTGAAATTTTATTATTGTAGGTGGTAAGTAAACAGCATACATTCTTTAGAAATGATTATCTTGTTTTCACATAAATATCTTTAGCTATAAAGCCTTCGGATGGAGAAATAAGTCACATATATGTACATATAAATTGTTGACATAGTTTATGATCTTTTAACTTCGCTGACTTTCACAGCATGCTGGTTTTATTGTTGTCTTAATATTTATGTTATCTATTTCTTGTCACTTCAAAAAAGAATAAAGCTTATGCTGTAAAATATTTTCCTATAGGACATTTTCTTAGGTTTTAATGAAGCATTACTAGTTTAATGAACACTCAGTGCTCATATTTTGTATAAAATTATAATTACAAGCATTTATTGTACAATTCATCATGGTTTGTGTACTGCATACACTGTGGTAATAAAAAAGCAAAGGTTATAGTTGTCTTTAAGTCTGGTGCTGAATTGTTTATTAAGTTTATTCCCAAGATAGTTTTCTGTAGGAAATGCTTAGAAAAAAACAAAACCATCAAAATATTGGATATTCTAATAAAAACTAAAATATAGGATCAGTCTAATTGAAAGAAAAGTTAAACGTCTTGTTGGGATCAGATAATTGAAAATCAGTTTAAATATTATATAGTATTCTTAATCATATGCTAATAAAAGATTTTGTGTAGCTGTCTCTAAAATTCAACCCTCCTTTGAATGTTTAATTTTGAATGCTGCCTTTGTTGCTATTATCATTTTTAAAAAAGTTAATACATGAGCCCATTTTTTAGAGAATAATTTTCAAAATACAGCAATATATCAAATAAAGATAAAATATTTTCCTTCATCCATTTATTCTACTTCTTTCCTGAGGTGTCTTAGTCTTTTCGGGCTGTTGAAAGCTATACACTAGGTAGCTTATAAACAACAGAAATTTATTTCTTGTAGTTTTGGAAGCTGGGAAGTTCAAGGTCAAGCACTGGCATGTTCAGTGTTTGGTGAGGACCTGATTCCTGGTTCATAGACAGTGGCTCCTGCCTATTTACTCACATGGAAGATAAGCGAGGCAGCTTTCTGGAGCTTCTTTAAGCAGCATACTAATCCCATTCATGAAGTCTCTACCCTTATAACCTAATCACCTTCCAAAGGTCCTGCCTCTGGGGGCTTAGGATTTCAACATATGAATTTTGGGCAACACAAATATTGAGCCCATAGCTCGTGGTTAACCACATCAAAAAGGTTGAAATATTAGATTGCAAGAGTTGAGCATCTCAGTTCTACTTTCTGAAATATGACCTTGATTTTGTTGTTTTTAATATAGTTTCTAAAAAATTATCTTAATGGGTTTAAACTTGGCCCACATTATAGAGCTCAAAGCTATCAGATATAGGGAATACTTTTAGATATCATAATCTAGACATAAATTTTAAAAGATACATATCTCATTTTTAAGAGATCTATGTGTACAAAATGTTTGTGTATGCGTGTATATGTGTATAAACTTCCTACTACTCTCACCTCACCCCAATAAACAGTGGGCACCTTCTTTCTCTCAGGAAATCATCTTAGTGAAGATCTTATATCCACATACTTAACGTAATGGAGACAGCTGGAAATAAAGATGTTTGTGCCCAACAGTAACTATGAGTTCCTTAAGAATGTGTGATATTTAGCAATTGTTGGCAATAATTTGTATTGTAACTCTGTTTCAGGATCTATGTATTTGAAGTCAGTCTAGTTTGTAATTGGGTCCTTCTTGAACTTCAAAATGGATACAACATTGTCACAAAAAGAATAGTTTTCTGAATTCAGATGGAACTGATTGTAATACTCAGGACCATTATTTTTTAAACTTGGATGAGATACTTAATCTTTGTGAAGTTTATTTTCCTCATCCACAAAACTGAAACAATGTTCTTATCTCATGGTTATTAAGTATATTAAATGAGTTAATTTACAAACTTGATAAAAAGCATGCAAGAAATCTTAGTTCAGATCTACATTTAAATACCTTGAATGGATTTTTAAACTTTTAAAATATCAATTTCCAATTTGTAGTAAAAGATGTAATACTTGATTTTATATTTATGTGGTCAAAGTGAATTATGAACTTCATTTTGCATTTCATCTACTCTTCCAAATTAGTTGGTTTCAAGTATTACACAATTGTACTTTTTAGCTAAGAAGGGAAAATTGAAAAGCTGTTAAGAAGTAGTCCCAATAATGTGAGAATTTGGGAGACAGAATAGAAGCCAATTGTAAAGAAAGCAACATGGCTCTCTACTTTTGTTCCTGGGAGGAAGATGTGAATCTTCCATCTGCCAAGGACATGGAAGGGAAAATGGTACATAAATACATAATAAAGGACACTGTAAGAATTTTCATGCTCCAGAGATAAACAGATAATCACTACCATATGCAAGTTAAAAATAGTATGGAAATAGTTTTTCATGGGAGATTAACAACTGAAGCCCCAACTGTTTGTGGTTGCTCATATGGAAATTGCTTTGTTAGATGAATGTACTGACTGGGCAAGAAGTAGTCAATAATTTGTGTGAGCTGTTATTTTCAAAGTACAGAATTCTGCATAAGGTGGCTCTGATTTCAGATAAAGTTGCATACCTTGGTAGAATTATTTCTTTTTGGCTTTTGAATCATTTATAAGCATAATTTTTCTTTTTTAAGGGAAAAGAATAACCTTCCCTCTGGCCTTTTTATCAGAATGTAATGTTTCTGTTTGCTTCTTTAAGTGTTCATAACAAGTTTGTGGATTCCAAAAGGGATTGAAGAATTATTTCTGGTGGTCTTTGGGTCTAATTGCTGCCAGCTGAGGAAGCAAAATTCCAAATAAGTTGAAGAAACTTTCACAAAAAAACACTTAACATAATTATAAGGCATAAAGGCTCAATATACAGTTTATGTAATAAAATCTTACCTAACCACAAAACATCCAAGGACCAGTCAAGCAGAGGTCTTCAAAAAGGTATATGTTAACATTTTGCTTGACACTATACTTGCTTAGATTTATTAAAAACCTTCTGGCTATGCATTTTAGATTAATCCTGTTTTAAAAACCTTTGCAAAGTTTTTCTGTTTTGTTGTGAGCAATTCAAAGAGCATGTAACAATTGATGTAAACATGATCTTCAAAAGTTAGAATATCATTCATCCTTCCCCATTGCTTCCTCCAGGAATACTGGAATAATATGGCTTTGAGATATTGGCCAAGGATTCCTAGTGTTAGTTATTTATGAATTTAATATAGTGTGTTCCACTTAAAGGAAACATGATACAAAAATCCAGACAACAAAACAGGTATATGAGTAAGTGATCATAATATAAAATGTTTCTGTATTTTTCAGAAAAAAATTACATAGTATTCACTTAAGTCTTTTCACACTACCTTTGCTTTATGATTAGATTTAGTTGTGTGCACTTTTTAGGAGCATTTCTAATATTTTGACAATTAATAAATTTGTACATGATCTGGCTGTGATTCAATTATAATTTACAAAAGCAAGTCTTAGAAATATCAGGGTTGCCCATATTTTTAGGTCATTTCTGTCATCATTTAATCTTATTTTTGTTTTTACTTATCTGTTGAAACTTCAGCAAGTGTTCTTGATCATTGATTATTGATTATTATACCCTTGAACAACATTGGGTTGGGGCATTGAACCTCATGCAGTCAAATGTATGTAAAACTTTTGACTCTCCAAAAACTTGACTACTAACCTACTGTTGACCGGATGCCTTACTGGTAACATAATTGATTAATACATATTTTGTATGCCAGCAATCCCCAACCTTTTTGTCACCAGGGACCAGTTTCATGGAAGACAATTTTTCCATGGACAGAGGTCGGTGGGAGGATGGTTTCAGGATGATTCAAGTGTATTACATTTATCATTAGGTTCTAACAGGCTATGGGCTGGTAGTGGTCTGTAGCCTGGGGGTTGCAGACCCCTGCTGTATGCTGTATGTATTATATACTGCATTCTTACAATAAAGTAAGCTAGGGAAAAGATGTGAAGAAAATCATAAGGTCCGTGTGTGGCGTCTCACGCCTGTAATCCCAGCACTTTAGGGGGCCGAGGCGGGCGGATCACGAGGTCAGGGGATTGAGACCATCCTGACTAACATGGTGAAACCCCGTCTCTGCTAAAAATACAAAAAATTAGCCGGGCGTGGTGGCGGGCGCCTGTAGTCCCAGCTGCTCGGGAGGCTGAGGCAGGAGAATGGCGTGAACCCGGGAAGCGGAGCTTACAGTGAGCCGAGATTGCGCCACTGCACTCCAGCCTGGGCAACAGAGCGAGACTCCATCTCGGAAAAAAAAAGAAAATCATAAGGATGATGTTAAGAAGATGTTAAGAAAATCATAAGGACATTTACAATACTGTATTTGTTGATATGGTAAGTTTACCTCATCTCTTTCTTTACAAGATGAATCCTCTGAAATGGAAGGCATCCTCAGCTGCAGACCTAAATCTGTGGTACATATCAAGCATTTCAGCTTTTTTGTTTGGTAATGCCATGACTTTTCTTAACTTTTTGAGAGCACTTCCAGCATCATCAGTGGTACTTTGTATGGCTCCCATGGTGTTATGCAAGGTTTACAGTATTAGACTAAACATGATGAAAAATACCTAAGAACCATGGGAGATCACTTTTTACTATCATAACACATTTTACTAGAGAGATGAACTGCTCATGTGGAGATGATTAGCATCACACAGCATTTTAAGCAGATACTTGCAACATTCGAGCCCACTGAAATAGCAACAGGAGGTGGCTATGAAATTATTACAGTAGTATACTATGTATTACACTTAATTTTATGCAGTTGTAGCTTAATACTATAAATTTGTTTACATTTCTCTTGACTGCAAGTGGTGCTGTGTATTGTCTGTAAGTGGTTGTGTGCATTGAGTTTTGATAAATTTTACCTTTTTTTTTTTTGAGACAGATGCTCACTCTGTCACCCAGGGTTGAGTGCAGTGGTGTGATTTCAGCTCACTGCAACCTCCACCTCCTGGGTTCAAGCAATTCTCATGCATCAGTTTCCCAAGTAGCTGGGACTACAGTAATGCACCACCATACCCAACTAACTTTTTTTTATTTTTAGTAGAGATGGGATTTCACCATGTTGTCCAGGCTAGTCTTGAACTCCTGACCTCAAGTGCTTTGACATCCCAAGCTCAAGTGATCCCCCCACCTCAGTATCCCAAGTAGCTGGAACTACAGACACAGGCCACTATGCCTGACTAATTTTTGTATTTTTTGTAGAGACATGGTCTCACTATGTTTCCCAGACTAGTCTCAAACTCCTGAGCTCAGGCAGTCCTCCCACCTCAGCGTCTCAGAGTGCTGGGACTTCAGGCATGAACCACCATGCCCAGCCAAATATTAACTTTTTACAATAGATTTGGGCATATTTTATTATAGTAAATGATGAAAGAGACTAGCATCTACATATATTTTGTGCATTCATGACATACCTAACTTTTTATTTTTTTGGTATTTCTAGGCTACAATGTTTGCCAATTTTTACAAGTTGTTGCAAATCTCCAAAAAAATTTTCAGTAAATTTCCTTTTTAAAAATTTGCATGTAAGTAAACCCATGCAGTTCAAGCTTATGTGGTTCAAGAGTCAATGGTATTATAAAACCTACTATAGACTTTAGTTTCATATGAAGAAATCATTTACTCAATCTCTTTTTCCACTTTCTACCTCTTTCTAACCTCATTAAAACATATACTTCTCTAATTTTACTTTTTTGAGTACTATTTTCCCTTTACAAAGTCCTGAGTCATTCTTAATCCTTTCTATTCTCTTTCAACGAGAGAATTCTATATATGCTTTCTTCATTATGTATCTAAGACTCATTTGTTTAGATCCTGTCTTCATCACTGTAGTCAAGGTCTCCTGAGGCAAATTGTTCTCTAGCTGGGAACCTGTGAAACAAACATGTTATATGTTTCCAAAATACAATAATGTTACAGGCATACGATGGACATCACCACTCTGAAAGCGGATAATAGAAAAGAAGAAAGGAGTAACCAGTCCTATGTAAGTTCAAAACCTAAGGCAAATGCCATTAGTTCATAAGGCTCAAGATCACTCTTTGGTTCCATATTCTTTTCTCTAGGCCCATGGAGCTGGCAGTCTTACCCCTATAGCTTTGCCAGGCAGGAGGTGGTTCCCCAAGGCTCTCGGTATTCCCACCCACTGCATCTCTGCTAGGCATTGCCCTAATGGAAGCTGTTTGCAGTACCTCTTCCCCTATAGTGGTTCACTGCCTAGGCTTTGCCCTACTGGCTTCGGTCCTATACCGTGACTCTCCATGGGTGGGATCCCAAGCCTGAAGCTCTGCCTGATGACCTTTGAAATTTAAGTGGTGGCTGGGTGCAGTGGCTCACTCACACCTGCACTTTGAGAGGCCAAGATGGGCAGATCACTTGAGTTCGAGAGCTCGAGAACAGCCTGGGCAACATGGTGAGACTCCATCTTTACAAAAACTACAAAAATTAGCTGGGCATGGTAGTGCGGCCTGTAGTTCCAGTTACCTGGGGGCTGAGGCAGGAGGATTGCTTGAACCCAGGAGGTTGAGGCTGCAGTGAGCCAAGATTGTGCTACTGCACTCCAACCTAGGGGATAAAGTGAGACCCTGTTCAAAAAAGAAAAATCTAGGTGGAGAAAGCCTTGACACCTGGGCACTCTGCACATGGCTGTCAAAATGTGCTAGCTTTGTACTCCAAAGTGGGCTTCCACCAGAGCCCAGGTCACATTTCAGCCCACTGGAGCTGTACCTGGGGCAGCCACTTTATAACAAGAATCACCTTTCCTCCAGTTTCCAATAACATGTTTCTAATTTCTATCTCAGACTTCATTAGAATTACTTTTCCCTTCCTTATTATTATCAACATTGTATTCAGGAACACTTATTCTGTAAGAAAATTAAAGCTTTCTCTATAGCTTTCCTCTTTTCCTTCTAAAATTGCCTCTAATGGTCTGTTCATGGCAATGTATGCTTTTTCTTGTATGCACCTCAAAACTCAGTCTCTACCCATTATCCAGTTTCAAAGTCTCTTCCACTTTTTTTGGTTTTGTTACAGCAGCCCCCACTTTGTGATGCCAATTTTCTTTTAGTCTGTTTAGGCTGCTATAACAGTACAATAGACTTGGTGGTTTTAGAAACAACATAAATTTGTTTTTTCACAGTTGTAGAAACTGGCAAGTTCAAGGTGAAGGTACTGGCAGACCCTGTGTCTGGTGAGGGCCTGCCTCCTGGTTCATACATGGTCATCTTCTCAGTGTGTCCTCACATGGTGGAAGGGTGTGGGAACTTGCTGGGGTCACTTGTATAAGGGCACTAATCCCAGTAATGATGGCTCTGTCCTTATGACCTAATCACCCCCCAAAGGCCTTACCTCCAAAAACCATCTCACTGAGCATGAAGCTTCAACACAGGAATTTTGGGGGACACAGATATTCAGTCTACAGAAGGAAACTTCATCATCTTTAAAGCCCAAACTTCTAGGAATACTTTCCAAGTGATATTCATCTGGACCTAATTTTAAAAATAGGATATAGACACTAATTACTCATTACTTGCCATAAATAAATGTACTACTTAGTGTACAAAAGGAAAAGAGAACATTCCAGGAAGCCTTCCAAATCCTGCAATTTGACAGAAGGAGGGGTGGAGTCAGTGTTACAGAGTTGACTCTTGCCCTTTGGAAATCCATTCCTCAATTTAGGAATGGATAGTATAGAACAGAGGAATGAAATTTTTCCTTTTATTGTTTAATTCTGTTTTAAGAATTAAATAAAACTCAAGACACAGTCTGCTGGGTTATTCTCTTTTTCTTCACTATAGAAACTCAGTTTTTATTTGGAATAGCATTTCCCAGCCAGCCTTGTAGCTTGACGTGGCTTCTGTGATATAACTAAAGATTTTCTGGAGACTTTATTTAGAGATACTCTTTGTTCTCACTTTTGCTTACTTCTTCCTGCCTGGAAAATATCCAGTATTGTATGATTAAAGAAACAAATTATGAAGTCTTGCTTTAAAAAGCAGAATGTCATCTATTCCCATTAACAAAAAATTATAAAATGTGTACTCTTTTTAACATCCTAGTGTTATTGTTTACACATAACTCCTATCAAGAGTTTGGTCAGGACAATGGATTTTCTTGAGGGGTGTGATAGGCATGCTATGGATGGAATCTGAGATGATCCCAGGTAGAATGGGAACAAGTTTTTAAAAAATTCGATAGTTATTTATTTGTGTGCTTCCTCATTCTTGTGAAGCTAGGGCACCAACCAGGAAAGAATGAATCCTGTGAGTTGGAATGTTTATGTGTCAGAAGGGTTGGAACCCATAAATAGAAATGTCTTTTCTGGTCATTATAATTGGATACCAATGAGGAAAGGAAAAGGTGGGAGGAAGGGAGATGAATTGAAAACATTAAAGGAAAAGACAAAAAAGTTGCATCCTGAAACACTTGCAGAAACTCAGCAACAAATAGTTCCAGAAACCGAGGTTCTATTCCTTATACTTTTACTTATTCAAAATCTGTACAAATCTTGCTTAGCTCCCCTCTCCTTGACAATAAAATATGTACTGAGCAGCTCCTCAGGTTTCAGTAACATGACACATATTCAGGATGGAATTCTGAGCAAAAACAGATGATGTAACATGATATCTGGTATTGTGGCATAAAGCTTCAGGCAAGAAGAGAATCACTAACACATAAAATTGGGACAAAGACGTGCTAAAAAGGAGAGAGACAATGAGAGCCTAAGATGGATGGATTTGACCAACGCAGGAGATCAAAGACTTTCTTGAGGAGGAGGAATGGAATGAATACCAAATTTTCCATCCAAACACAAAAAATTGGGACACAGATGTGCTAAAAAGGAGAGATATAATGAGGATTGATTTGACCTAGGCAGGAGATGAAAGACTTTGCTGAGGCAGAGGAACAGAATGAATAGCAACTTTTGTATCCAAGCAGAGATCTGAAGGTAGAAGAGAGCATTCAAGAGAGGAGGCAACATACATGAGGACATGTTAAATTCAAAGGACTGAAAATGAGCTAATTAGGTTAGATGAGAGAAAGGGAGAGCATGATGTGTGATGTGGCAAGAGAAATCAATGTCATTTTCCCCTGAAAATAGTGGGTGTGATAATACTAATTAAAATTGGATGGATTACTGAAATTTTGAATCTTTCGCTCATATGCTTTTACTCTTAGGATTTAGCTACAATACTTGAAGCAATACATACCAACATTTCTTGTTTGGAACAGAACTGTAAGACTGAAATAATTTATATATTATGCATTTAATCATGAAGTAAAAATAATTTTCTGTTATTGGGATCATTTGCTTCTGTTATTATATTCTTCTTTCTTTTCTTCTACTCATTTTATACCTTAGCCCTAGTAACTTTGCTTTCTGTTTCCATAATTATCATAATCTGTTATAATTGCAACATATTTGGCTTTTTCTAACTTTGTCCATTACAGAATTCTACTGAAGTGGTTTGTTATTAGGGACAAATTTTTCCATCTGGCCAACAACTTGGAAATGGTATGGATGATTCTTTTACTGTCACCCACTGCCTTTCTACCTCATATCACTAATAACTCCCATGTTTTATATTCTGGCCAAAGTTCAGCTTTCTTGTCAAGTTATTTCTTTGGCTTTGTTACCTATCTTCTGGTTTATCCTTCTTCTATTAGAAGCCCTATGTTCTCTGAATGTTCTTCTTACCTGAAAGTCACAGATTATCTCTAACCCAGATTAGCAGGTTTTTCATTTAAAAACTCTTCAGATTTCCCTAACTACAGGCATCCTTTCTTTGAAAAAAGAAGAAAAAATAGGACTTTTGATCACTGGTATTATTTGGGGAGGTTGAGATGAATTTTTTTAAATTATAAAATTACATCTTTATTTTTTTTCTCAAGTAATACTTTTTAAATTTTAATTTTCAAGTTTTATTTTAAGGTTGAGGGTACATATGCAGGTTTGCTATATAGGTAAACGTGTGCCATGGTGGTTTGCTGTACAGATTATCCCATCACCTAAGTATTAAGCCCAGTATACATTCAGTTCTTCCTGGTGTTCTCCCTCCTCCACCCTCCAGCAGGGCCCAGTGTGTGTTCACTTTTACACTGTTGGCGGGAGTAAAAATTAGCTCAACCATTGTGGAAGACAGTGTGGTTACTTCTCAAAGACCCACATAATACTTGAGAACACTAAAATTTATTCCGTTGTAGCTGTAGTCAAAGAATATGGCAGCCTCAAAAATTGCATGAACTAATTACTTCCTTAGTGTAAATTGGGACCAAAATTAACATAACATTTGACGTTTAATCAGTCAACAAAAATTCATTGTAAGAATACTAATAACATTAGCTATTAAAATGCTGAATAAGATTTACCATTAGAGTAGCTTTTTGTGATTTATTATTTTTGTATCTCCAAAACTATAGTCAGGTTACTTGTCTTGAGATGCAATTATTAATTTTTATTGGTGATTTATGTGTTTTAATTTGGCAATATCCATGCTTTACCTGACACCTTTCCATACTTCATTATGACTATTTTATGGGTTTTTGTTTTGTTTTGGCTATTGTGATTATGATTTTTTATATTTTATAACTAGTTATTTGCAGTGTTTTCAAAGCTACCAAATTTTGTGAATGGAAATTTTTAGGACATTAAAGTTTATAATAGGTTATTCTCTTTACATAGGAAAGCTCACATTGTTTTGTGAGTTGATTTTTTTTCTTACCCAACTACTTATTATACTCTATTAGTACTTATTTTATACCTTTTTATGTTTGAAAAGGAGGTTACATTTAATTCTTATTTTCTAATATTTAACCTTCTTATTTATTTTTCTTTTCTTGTTACATTAGCCTACAACTCAAGTACAAGGATACATTCAATAGTGACACCAGTCATCATTTTTCTTTCTCTAACTTTAAGGGAAACTCTTGATAAAACAGTGATTCTCATCCCTCTTTTCCTTTATTTAGTTTTTGTTTGTTTTCATAGGGATGGTTGTTGAATAATGCAAAATGCTTTTTGGCATCTAATTAAAAGTTTATATTATTTGGTTTTTAATTTCATAATGTGTTAAATCACATTGATTGATTTTTATATGTGAATGAAACTTGAAAGCCTAGTATACATACTTCTTTCTCACAATGTAGTGCTGTGAGAGAACATTGTCTGCATATTATTACAACTTTTACTTAACACAGTATTCACTGTTCACATTATTTTCATTGTATAAATGGCATTTACTTCTGAGTCTTGTAGCATACTATTTTTTCTTTGTACAAATTTGGGAATCAATCATTAGTTCAAATTTCTTTGCCTTTTGTTGCTCATTTTTCTATGACAAAACTCTGATGTTCCTTTCATTCATAAGCACATCATGTAAGTTATCAGTCATTTTTGGAACTCTTGTATCTGTCATCTGTATTTCTGTCTTCCTTTTTGTCTGTATTCTGGAAGAACTCCTGGAGTCAGTTGTCCAGCTCACTAATTTTATCTTCACCTGTACTCATTCTGCTATGTAGTCTTCTATTGAGTTTTTCAGTGATTATATTTTTAGTTTTCAGTATCTCCAAATGCAATTCTAGATATTTTAGACATGAAAGACTTTTAATTCTCATTTGGATATGGACCTTATATTAGGAACATTTTTTAATTTTTTGAAATACCAACACTTTCTTTGAATATTTGTTAAATTCACTGACTTCCTTTCATGGTATTGGCCTTTTATACACATTTGATTGTTGTTAATCTTTGAAATTAGCCAAAGTATATCTCAGTGGTTCTGGGGTGAGAGAACAAACAACATGTGAGACATTTGGGCCTTGCATCCTGATAGTTTGTTTCCTTTATATGGGAATCCTTTTTCCTTCTAGGATTTCCCAGAAACCTAAGACACTGGTATTTCTCTGGACAAAGTGCCCACATGATTTCATTAGACAGTAGATAAACATACTTGTTGCCAGTTCTTTAATGCAGGTAGGGAATGGGGGAAGAGCCTATTGACTGCTAAGAATATAGCTTTATTGGTACTTACTTCGAAGACTGGCACAGGATATTTTTCTGCTTCTTGATTCCTGCCCGCCTCTCCAAAGCTTAAATAAACCCAGTATTGGCTTTTATAGAGCCCTACCTTGTGCATGTTTTTGTCTGTGTTTTCTGTTTCCAGTCTAATTTTATTTTTTTCTATTTCTCAGAAATTCTACAATTCTTAGTCACATCATAGAATTCACCTTTCTTTTCTAGTATCATTATGTATGTATTTGTGTGTGTGTGTGTGTGTGTGTGTGTGTGTGTGTGTGTGTGTGTGTAGGCAAGCTTCTATTGTACATCTAACACTGCTACCACCAATACATATTTGTAGGGATTTAAAATGACAAAGGCATGTGTCCTGAGGTTACCATCTTGATCGAGCTTCTTGAAAATTTTTTAAAATAAATTCTTACAACAATAAAATACTGGCCTTTTGATAAATTTTGAACTCATCACCCATTAGACAACCTGTTTCATACAATTAAAAAATAATTGATTTCTTTTTCAAAGATATACTTAGGATTTGTGACACTTGCTTATTTACGAGGGGGGTCCATTACTATAATTTTACTTATGATCTAGTCAATTGAGAGTATACCATGTCTTGGCTATTAGCTTTCCTACATTATCTTCAAATTTATGGTGATTACTCTCTAGTTGACTCATTGAATTTATTTTTAGTCAGCTTCTAAACTATTCTATTGGGTTGCATTAAAGAAACAAGCTGTTTTTAGATAAATTGTATGCTATATAAATGGCCCCATAGTAAATGACAGAGACTATGCTTGGTACTGTTTATGACTGGGGGGCAAGGGAGAAATTGAGAACTTATTATATTTAAAGGAACAAAAATTCTGCTTTGTGTTTATTTGCAGTTGTTGTTGGTTTTTTTTTTTTTTTTTTTTTTTTGAGACAGTCTCCATCTGTCACCCAGGCTGGAGTGCAGTGGTATGATCTCGGCTCACTGCAGCCTCTGCCTCCCAGGTTCCAACAATTCTTCTGCCTCAGCCTCCCAGGTAGCTGGGATTGCAGGCGTGCGCCACCATGCCTGGCTAATTTTTGTATTTTTAGTAGAGATGGGGGTTCACTATGTTGGCCAGGCTGGTCTCAAACTCCTGACCTCAGGTGATCTGCCCACCTCTGCCTCCCAAAGTGCTGGGATTACAGGCGTGAGCCACTGCACCTGGCCTATTCACAGTTTTAAAGTAGCGTGATTTGGTTTCAAAAAAGCTATTCTTTCTTTTTTGTCTTCCTCTTTCCACTCCTCAATGAAAATAGGAGATTATATATATTTTTTTATTTTAAAATTATTTTAATTGACATTTAATTGTACATATTTATGGGTACAATGTGACATTTTGATACATGTATACAATGTGTTATAATTAAATCAAGGTAATTAGCATATCCAGCACTTCAAACATGTATCATTTTTTTGTGTGTTGGAATATTCAAAATTCTCTCTTACAGCTATTTGAAAATATACAATAGATTATTGTTAGTTATAGTTACCCTGTAGTGCTATAGAACACTAGAACTCATTCCCTCTGTCTAGCTGTAATTTTGTATCTACTAACCAACCTTTGTAGATCCCAGCCACTAGTAACCACTATTCTACTCTTTATTTCTATGAAATCAACATATTTAGCTTCCACATATGAGTGAGAACATGTAGCATTTATCTCTTTATGCCTGACTTATTCCACTTAATATTCTCCAGGATCATCCATGTTATCCACAAGTGACAGAATTTCATTCTTTTTTTATGGCTAAATAGTATCCCATTGCATATATATATACTACAAATTAATCTGAAAGTCACTTCTCAAAATAATACAAATGGCCAACAAATTACATGGAAAAATGTGCAAACTTGCTAATCATTAGCAAATCTAAACCACAATGAGCTATTTCATCCCAGTTAGAATGGCTATTATCAAAAAGACAATAACAAGGATGCAGAGAAAATGGAACTCGTACACACCATTGGTGGGAATGTAAATTGGTACAGCCATTATGGAAAACAGTATGGAGGTTCCTCAAAAAAAAAATAAAAAAAGAAAGAAATTGAGCCTATATGATCCAGCAATCCAACTACTGGTTATTTATCCAAAGGAAGGGAAATGAGTATGTGATAGGGATATCTGCACTTCCATGTTTATTGCAGCTCTATTCACAATAGCCAAGATAGGAAATCAACCTAAGGCATTTTATTTTAAATGTCAATATGGATGTCTGAGTGGGTTTTGAAAAGCGATGAGTAGCAATTAAGAAATAGGATGAATGTTGTTTAAGTTAAATTTAATTCACATTTTTAAATGAAATTTTATTTTGTAAAATGGCTGGTGTTGGAGAAAACCTTTCCATATTTTTGTTTGTTTAGCTGTTTTTCTAAAATATGAAAAGTTGTAAGTAAAGCGGTTAAACAATCACGAATTTAGAATCTCCCTTAAATCCTCGACTCACGGATTTCCAGAGTTTAATGTGCTGTAATGACCTCTTCCCATGCCTCTTAGGCACCATACAATTTGGCATACAACCCATATCTTAGAGTTTATCATCACTATTACATGCTATTTACTGGGTGGCCTAGCATGTTGGGTGGTCCCCTGCTAAGAGCTATAAAATAGTTATTTTTTGAAAGCTATCCTTGGCTTCTTGTGGTTAATGTGAAAATGAATGTTGCTGGACAGAACTTAAGTTACTGGAGTTTTTGGATTTTGTTTCCTGACATGACAAATTCTCATGATTCTAACATAGTTTGCCTTTGGACTTATCTGAAATTTGAGTCTCTTATGGCTTATCTATATTTGATATTCCTCTTCTCCAAGTTAAATGGATTTCCTGCTGTTTTATGTACCCTGGAAATTAGCAACACATTAGACCTAAGGAAATGAAAACTATTTTGTTTTGAAGGGAAGAAAAATGAGCACTTATAAGCTTAATGTCATGTCTTAGGGTGTTTAAATTTCAAGCATATTAAACTATAGCAAATATCAATTATATTTATAATTTCTCATAGCTTTTTTGATTAACAAGCCTATTATAAGCAGCCAAACTATAAGATATTAAAAGTTCTTTGCATCGGCTTTTGTGCCCCTATAACCTCATACCTAAAATGTGCCTAGGTAAAACTAAGACACTTTTTACTATTCTTTTAAACAAATCTATTTTGCTTCCTTCTGAAAACACCTACTTGATTCCTTCTATATGCCATATAACTCATGAGTGGCAGAAAGGTTAACATGCTATAAAGGGGTGTACAAAGTAGTTATCACCTCATGTTGAAAATAATTATTGTAAATTAGTATATTCTTCCTGCTTTGATTATTGAAAATAAGAAGAGCAAGCCCTCCGGCTTCTTCCATACCAATTAGACAAACTTCTCCCACCCTTTCTTCCTAAACTCTTACCATTGTTTTAAAAAGGAGTATAATAGCATAAATAATGTCAGTGTAAGCTACAGTTTTCATAGATAATCTAGATGAGTTTATGTTTTTACTTCATTTTTGTCCCTGCCATGATGACTTATTTCCAAGTAAGACATTAAAACAAAACAAATCTGAGTGGGATAGGTTTCTCAGTTCAAGTTGTCCTTTCATTTTTCATGTTATAGAAATAAATATTTTATTCTGTAAGAGGAGTATGTTTTTATAAGAATGATGTGTGTAATTATAAGAACTTCCTATGAACATGTTGACTTTTAATTGTCTTATAACATGTTCTTATAAAGATTATCAATTGTTTTTTTCTTTTCTAAGTTTAGTATTCAGTGGTGTCTCTCATTCTTTTCATTGGAAATGTGTATAATCAAGATGGACTCTTTCTTTCTTGTAATTATTATTGCTCTTTGCTAGTATTTTAATTATTTATAGCTGCCAGATATTTGTCTTTTAAAGGCCTTCCAATCCCAATCAGAATGAATAAACAATTAAAAGGAAGAAAGATTTTGTTAGCCCTAGCCCTTCTTTTCCTTTTGATTGTGCGTGTTCTATATAACAGCTAAATTATTCTTTATGAAATTAGTATATCCAGCAAACTGGAGAATTATGCTCTAGGCTGAGTGAATGGTAAACATGTTAACATTTCCTTTGTAGGGTTTCCAGGGTGCCACAGGAGATTTGTAATGTGCTGCTTATTTGTATTTTCCCCAGATCTCTTTCAGTTTATTATAATGCTGGAGCAATAATTAAATGTTCCTTAGCGTTTCCTATGTCCTACACCTCACTGAAAACATGTCGGCAGAGAAAGCAAATGTTCATCATTTCTCAATATAAAACAGATCCTGCCAGGGATCATGCCAAACCTGACCAACCATGACAGTCAAATCAATGTATGTTTTGGTTTAAATTTTTATTTTTGCCTTTGCTTTAGCAACTTGATTCTGGTATTTGTTTTTCCCTGTGGCTTATCATTTTATGGCATGACAGTTCCTGAAATTGACAAGGCTTCCTGCTTACCTTTGTAATGCATATGTGTGACAATATAAACTATAAGAGAAAATGACATTTTGACTCAATAAATATTTGCTTTATGTCCATTACATCTGTTTTACGAAGTCTTTTTTTATTCCTCCATCAATATTCACTAAAAAAGAACGCTTACTTCTACCTTTTGTCTGGATATTGCAAATTCGGGAATCATTAGTGTCCCAATTTTCAAGTTAAGGTTTTTATTATTATTGATCCAAGAGATTTGATTCTCTCATTAGTCTGTATTCACATTGTAAACATAAATTAACTAGGTAATTTTTTTTATTTTTTGGGAGGTGGAGGGGTTATTCCTGAAAGCAAGTTATACATGCTATGGAGGTGTGAATGTGTATTAGACCACACAGCCAATTTTCTGCTGCCAAATCATTTAAAATCTCAAGACAGGGATTCTATTTTTAAATTTGATATAAAATTGCATAAAATAACAAATAAATCTAAACTTCAAATAATCATTTAAAAGCATGTTTTCTCAGATAAGTATATTTCTAATGTAGCTATGAAGTGGTCGGACTCTCTAGATTTCAATTCTGGTTTGGACTCTGAGTTTTTCAGTCATTACCTATGTGAGTTTGGACAAGTTATTCAAATTTTATTACCTTTTATCCCTAGTGATTTTGTAAGACATAAGCTTGTTTTATACTATTGCTGATTGTTTTTGTTCTCTATGTACATTTTTTTCTTAAGATCAGTGATGATTTAATATATATTGGCTTGTCTTTGTGTAAAATGAGAAATCCAGTACCACTTTCAACCTTATCATTATCTCTTTACATTCCCAGGTTCTGTGATACACTTTAAATAATGTATTTTTTAAATCCTTATCTTTTCAGAATTATTAGTCATGTTGCTTTGCTTCATCATCTAT
Organism: Homo sapiens; assembly: GCF_000001405.40. NCBI lineage: Eukaryota > Metazoa > Chordata > Mammalia > Primates > Hominidae > Homo > Homo sapiens. The sequence continues at coordinate 16,120,808 of NC_000007.14, read as the reverse complement.
TAAGAACAATTGTCTATCTCTTTATAACCAATTCTTTTTTCTGTAATGTTAAATATTATTTTAATACTTGTTAAAGATAGTAAAGAAGACTTTATTCAAGGGATGACTTCAATGAGGTTTTGCAGTAGGAGAGAGAGACTGGCCTCAACTTTGAATACAGCAAGGAAAAGTAGAGATTTATAGCCAAGGAACAAGACGAGGAGCCAGTGGGTGGAAATAAAGATTTGGAGAACAATGATGTTATAGCTTTTTCTATCATTCTTTGAGAAATTACAAAATCCTCATAAATTTGATTCTAAAAGCCTACCATAAATTTGTTTACCCTTCTCTAAGTACTGACATCTATATAGTACAATGATGGGATTTAATGTTTTACAGTCACTAAGAGAAACATTAGGGGTAAGGGGTGATTCTGGTTAAACTCACTTGATGGGATTCTTATTGAAGGCAGACCAGGGTGATGAGATAGCACCTGGAAGATGGTGGGGGATGAGAAATTTGATCAGATATTGAGGTTGATAAGACATTGAGGGTGGAGAATTTTTGCTAAATTAATTTAACAAGATTCCTGATAAAACCGGATGATACAGACCTGACCAAGGTCAACACCTGAAGGGCTTAAAGGAGCCTGATTACAGTTTGATCAAGGAGAAGGGCTTTGTTAGTAATACTCTGTAAATACTAATGGTTAACAAGGTACCATTTTCTTCTTTATGGCTTTTTAATCTCAGGTTCCATTACACAACAGTGTCCTGATTTCTTTCTATAAAATGTGTCTGTTCCTTGTTGCACTCCTTGCCAGCTTGACTTCCACTAGATTCCTAAATGCTGAAGATTCTTAAGACACTCCTGTGTGATCCTTAGGAATTCTTGCACACTTCTAAGGATTTAAACACCTTTTATTTGCAAATGACTCTTTTCCACGTTCCAGACTCAACATATACAGCTGTCTACTTGATACCTTCTCTTAGTTGTCTTCCTGGCATTTCAGATTTATCCAAAGCATACTTCATTGCTCCTAACATCCAAAACCGGCCTCTGGTGAATTAAACTTTTTATAACTTTTGTAGTGACACTCTATAATACTGCTTTTTGTTTTGAAGTCTATATTTTCTGGTGAATATAGTGAACCAAAGTTTCTTTTGGTGCAAACCTGGTCTGGCATATCCTTTTAAATTACGTTCAGACTTTTGGGTCCTTGTGTTTTAGGTATGACTGTTATAAAGGTCATAGAGTTACATTTGGTTTTTAATCCATCTTGACAATCTCTGTGTTTTCACTTCAAGTTTTGTCTGTTTACATTTATTGAAATTGGAAAATTATTTGGACTTGTATATCTCACCTTATTTTTTGCTTTCTTTTTTGTTTGTTTTTTTATTTCTTAGCTGTTTAAGGATTTTGGTGTTTTGCATTTTTTTTAATTTTTTTTTCAGATTTTTAGATTTAATGGAAACACTGAAAATGAACATGGTCTACCAATGAGATGTGTGATTCAATTCAGCACCCACTTTCTATGATCCTACTGTGTGCCTGCCCAGGGCTGGGCAAAGGACCCACATGATACGGAGGGCACAGTCCTTGTCTTACCATCTGTGCACATAGTAGCCTTCCCTGTAATTAGAAATTGTTTTGAGTCTTATCAAGCAGTTAAGTGATGAATCTAGGACGGTCAAGGGTTGGAAAATGTGGGTTTTAATCAAGGCTGGAAGTTGGGGACAGGAATGAGCATGGAGCTGGCTGTGGGGCTGGGGCACCAAGAAAGACTCCTTCGGAGACCGGGCAAAACAAGTGAGTGAATGGGGCAGAGGTTGTCTGAGGATGAGGGCAGCCTCATCCTCCTCCTATCTCTGATCTGTTTTCACAGGTTCCCTCCTTTCTCCCTCAGCTGAGTAAGGGCCACTGAGGACACAACTACTGCCCAGGCTTCGTATCCCTAAACCAAGGAGGTCTTTAGGTTAGAATAATCAATGTCTTAAAAACAAAAGCTTGTCCATTTGAGCTCCATGATGCTAGGATTTATACTTCAGATTTAGTTTTCCTTAGCCAACTTCTTCAGAGCTGACATGGTAGAAAGCAATGCCTTGGGAAACTTTGTTTCCAGTCATCCTCAGACACTGCAGACGTCACAGCTAACAGTCATGAATTCATCTTAACTATCAATGAAAAGGAATCCCAGGCAGTCCTAGTTCTTTCCTTTGTCCAACATTTTATTGATTCACAGATTATCTCACTTGTGCTGACTCTCAGGAAGCAGGCTACACACTGGGATTGGTATTTGTGCCTCTGTACTTTCTTTTAAAGACAAGCAGTCAAAGAAGAGATGCTAAGTGACTGTTCAAGAGCACAATTTTTAAGTAGCAGGGCTTGGATGCATGTTTTCTGGCTCCTTGTCTAGGGTTCAGATCAGTCTAACTCAATGCCAGCAGTCACGTGTAGGAGCAGTGCAGGCACAGTATGTCCCATAGGCCAAGTAAGATGTGTTCTTGGTTGGCTGGCTTTCTTCCCTGTGAGAAAAGGCTACACAAGTCGGCCCCATCTTGGTAAGACCACCACCTTCCACAGTCTGTACCTCAGAGAGACAGAAGTAAAACTTCTCCTTGGGTGGTGCGCCCAAAATTGGCTGGATTCAGAGACCAATTCATGAAGAGTTGATATAGAACAGTGGTTGGCATGGAGCCGAGACCTTGTAAGTACTTAATGAATGGATACATTCTAAGAGCCAATTCAAAAACCTGATGAAGATTTATTGAGGAAAGGAAGTTAGTTGGATGATCTTAATGGCATGATTTTGGGATATGTAATTACATTAGAACACAGAAGCTTCTTACCATCTTGACACTGACCTGTTATGTTTTAAAGCTTACTCATGTCTTGGTACATTTAGGAGACAGTCACTCTAGGACTCAAAGGTGGGGAAGTAAGTTACAATAACACAAGTGCAATGTTGCATATTTGGAGGAGCAAGGCTGAGGACTCTGGAACTGACGTGTATGGGCAATAGTAACCTGAGTAACTGCAGCATGAATGGATTCTGGTCAAACACGTGAGGCCTTTCTTACAAGGAAGATGGTGGGAATGCAGATGAGGTTGGTAGGAAATGTTAGAGGATTCCTCTTTGGATTGTACAACCTGGATTAGAAAGAGGGAAAGGAAGTTGTGAAGCTGCCAAAGCCACTTCCAAGTGGCAAGGATGTGCTCCCTGGTTCTGATGATGTACTGGGGTGCACGTAGCTCCCGCAAGGTGTGTGCAGTTTTGCAGCAGAGCCTAGAGGTTTCCAGCCAGGGCTGCTGGAGGGAGGCTTGCTCTTCCATCCTTCCTGACAGCAAGATGGCCTGGCCAAGGTCTAGAGGCCAAAGAACTCCTGCCTCACTCAGCCTCTGTAACAGAAGACAAGGAAAAGCAAATGCCTGAAGGAAAGAAAAGGAAGGCTCGTCTACCCAGAGTTCCACATGTAGATATGACTACGTGCTCAGTTCAGAGTCGCTTCCAAAGAGAACTCACCCCTGATGCTGCAGATTTGGCCTGGAACAGATTCACACTACCTGGTTTCACTTGAGACATGAAAACCAGCTCACAGTGGGAATAAAGAGAGAGAAACAACCGATTCACATGGAAGATACAACAAAAGGAATACTGAAAGCATGTTTCTTAATGGTTAACCCATTTTAAAATCCATCATTTTCCAAGTTGACATCTTTTTAAGGGAAAAATCTGTATATAAGGTCTATATCAGAAAAATACATGTGGAAGTCTGCAGCCCAGGTCTGAGAGAGCTCTAGATGCTAAAAAAGCAGCAGGGCCTGGTTTTCAGTGCTGATGATGATTCTTTACAACAAACAGGAAAACATGGTCTCTAGAGTGACACATAAAGACTTTCAGCCAGATTGCTTTGTATGGTACCTGGGCGGAGTCCCTGTCAGGTGGTTAACATTGATTAACTCGGTTATGTAAGCTACAAATCTTATTCATGTTTTGTTCTTGTTCCTCTGATACGCTTTTTCTGATCCAGGATTCAATCCGGGAACACATGTTGCATTTTGTTGTCATGTCTTCTTGGTCTCCTTTATTCTGGAATGTTTGTTTGTTTGTTTCTCTCTCTCTCTCCCTTCCCTTTCCCTTCCCTTTCCTTTCCTTTTTTTTTTTTTTTTCGACCGAGTCTCGCTGTATTGCCCAGGCTGGGTGCAGTGGTGCAATCTTGGCTCACTGCAACCTCCATCTCCTGGGTTCAAGCAATTCTGCCTCAGCTTCCCAAGTAGCTGGGATTACAGGCAAGTGCCACCAGGCCTGGCTAATGTTTGTATTTTTAGTAGAGATGGGGTTTCGCCATGTTGGCCAGGCTGGTCTTGAATGCCTGACCTCAGGTGATCCACCTGCCTAGGCCTCCTAAATTGCTGGGATTACAGATGTGAGCCACTGCGCCCGACCACTCATTCTTTCTTTGTCTTTCATGACTTTGTACTTTTGGCAAATACTGATTTGTTTTGTATAATGTCCCTCATTTAGATTTCTCTGCTGTTTTCTCATGAATAAATGCATTTAGGCAAGAATACCACTGAATTAGTGTTATATCCTTCTCAGTGCATCATATCAGGGATCACATGATATCTGTCTCACTGCTGATATTAACCTAGATCACTTGGTTAAAGTGGCATCTGCTGGGTTTCTCCACTGAAAATATATTACTACCTTTATAATTAATAATTATGGTAAAATATTTGGAAACTATGTAAATATCCCGATTTTTAATCATACCATTACACGATAATTTTATCATGCATCAATGATTCTTGTTGGAAACCTTTATATAGTGTTGCTTGTCACTTAGTGGTTTTTTATTCCCATCATTCTTTCCAAATGTATTAATTGGAATTTTCCAATAAAGATCTTTACCTTTTGTGCCATCTATGTCTTTCTGCTCTTTTTCCCTTTCTATCTATCTAATCTATCTGAATGAACTCATTAGTATTAGTCTTATTTTATGGATTCTGTTCCATACTCTCATGATTTTGTTGCTCCAGTTTTCCCACATGTGGTGAATGGGAGCTCCTTCATGTTGCCTTATGTTGTCCTTCACAATGTTCTCATCAGATTTTGAGGGTGTCCCTACATTCTGGCACCAAAGGATATTTCAGACTCATCTTATTCTTCATTCAGGCTTGAAATGAGCAATTTCTCCAAGAAACCTAAATTTCTTTTTTTAAAAATTGGTATTTAGAAACCAAGATCCTGAGCACTAAGGGTGCTCATTGCACCTTGCATGTCACAATTTGTAAGCCCTTTCAAAGTGAACAGGACTAGGAAATATATCTATTTCTAGACACAGAAACACTCTTCTATACCTATTTCTACATTTGTAACTGAGTGTATTCGTATGTAATTTATAATCTAGCTAAAAGAAACCATTTGTTGATATCTCGATTTTTCAGTCCAACATCATAGAATTTTCTAGCTCTCCTTTTTCTTATATGTAATCCATCTCTCTAACATATATCTTACTCAACATAGCATACACATAGTATACTTTCAGAATTGCTAACCCATATCTCTTAGAAAACAATAGTACTAATGAGTATGATAGTTTTATATATAGTTCTTTGTCTTAGAATATTGAATCAAAATACTAATTTCCAAATTTAGTTAGGGCCACCCTCTTCAGTTTGGTTCTTTATTTATAGTACATTTTGGTTCATTTCATATTGTTAATCGATTTTGGAGTATCCCTACCCCATCCTGCTTGATTCTAATTATTTTTTTGGAGTGCGTGAAACATTAACATAGTTTTGAAAGTCAGATAGTCAAAGGCTATTCAGTTTGGAGTGTTACCTTAGTCTTTTGCCTCATTATTTTTTGGAGAGCAGGGGAGTCATTAACTGAGGTAACTGAATTTTATTTTATGTAATAACTATACATTTATTAAGTTCTCTCTTATTAATTTCTTGTGGATTTGACTAGGGTTTACACGATACCTAATTCAATGCTGCTCTCTTCTGTCACTGTAGCAGAATCTGGCTTCTTTAGTTAATCTTATTTAATGGTGGAGAAAGGAGTTATGTGTCCTCCAGTTGTTTGGTTGTCTTTCATATTTCAGGAACCTAATTTTTTTTCTTTTCCTCTTCATTACTCTGTTGCCAAATATTTCTTCTCCCTTGTTGTGTGTGTGTGTTTTCCCCAGGAGAAGTCTGCCAAATCAAGCATAATTTTAAGTCCCTTCCTTGAAGTCTTGCTGGTTATTCACACGTTTTAGTATTTTCACATTTAAGTCAGAATTACTGTTTTTGGTGGTGATTTTAAATAAACTTTATACTCATCAGTAGCTCCCTTCTTTCTTTTCATATTTTTTCAGTTTGCCCTTAGTTGCCACACAAACATTTATGGCAGAACAGGAGAAGGAGAAATTGCTTATTGAGATTTGCTGGTTTTCTCTTATTTTCTTTAACTTGCAGTTACTTTGAAGTTTGGGGATTTTTTTTTGTCTTAAATGGTATCAAAGGTGTGTGTGTGTGTGTGTGTGTATGTGTGCGTGTCTACTTTGATCTCGTTCAGTACTATTTTTGGAGAAAGTATTCAGAGTCTCCATTTGCTTTAGCCACCTGAGATCCCCTTTGTTTTTACTCCAATTTCTCTCTGCTTGTTAGAAGTTTCACATCCTATTTTTATACATTAAGCAGTCTCTTAAAATTTTTCTTTGCCCATTTATTTGAAAATCTGAAGTCAGTATTTTACTTTCCCAACACTTTTATGAATCTTAGAGCATTTCAAGTTTGATCAGTTACCTCCTAACTTTTATGCTACTGTTCTTACCCAGTATTTTGATTTTGTTCTTTTAAATATCCTTTATATTTAGATGTTACTTATTTATAATTTTCTAGAGACTACTGTGTTTAGATTTATGTACTTATTTTAAAATCATTTTTAAATTTTCCATGCCTTCCTGCTCTTTAGACCTTGATTCAGAGATTATTTTCCTTCCATGTGAGTTACAGACTTTAGTGTAAGAAGGGATTTTAAGGATATACTTTCATATTTTATTTGAAGGAGGCAGTATTTTATTTCTAATCTTGAAAAATAATGTTGGTGTGTGGAGGGGGGAGTGTTGTAAACATTCTAGTTTGATAGCTTTGTTGAGGGGGGTGTAGTTTTTGCTGTTGATTTTAGCACTTTAAAAATACTGTCCTTGTGTTCTTGCTACCATTATTTTTGGGAGAGACGCTGCCAGGCTAATTGTTGGTCTGTTTTGATGTATTCCTTCTAGTTGCTTTAAGATTGTCTCTACTTAGTATTTCAGTTTCCTTACAATTTATCTACTTTTTGTGATTTTTTTAATCCACCTTGAAATTCGTTAGGTTTCCTTGATGAATTTTTGTTCTGTAGTTGGTGGAAAATTTACAACCATAAATTATTATTTTTTTGCCTGTTGTTTTTATTCTCCCTTTATGGGATTCTGATTAAATATATATTTGACATTCTTATTGTATCTACCAAATCTTTTAACTTCCTACTCTGTTTTCCATTTCATTGTCTAATATATATTCTGAGTAATTTCCTTAATTATTTCTCCAGTTTCAGTAATTCTCTCTGCAACTGAATCTAATCTATTGCTTTTGAGATTCTTTTTTCTTTATGTTCAACAATGCTTTTCATTTACAAAAATTCTGTCTTTTGTATTTCAGGTCTCATTTCTGTTTGTTATTTTATGTTTCAAGACTCTCATTGAGAGAGACTTGTCTTGCTTTCTTATTTTCCTGATTTTATATTTATTTATTTAAATATTTTACGTAGTTTAAAAGGTATTTTGTGCCTGAAAATTCTAATGCTGTATTTATTTTGATGCTAATGGGTCTGTTTTTCATAGATTTTTATTATGAATGCATTTCTGTATTTATGTATTTGTCTGTCTTGCCTAACTACATATTCCATCAGGGGAAAAAAAAGTCTATATATTCATATCTTTATATATAGCTTAGAGTCTGGCATCAGGTAAGTTCCTGAAATATAGTCATTGAATGAATAAAGGAGTTCCCATTCTTCTCCCTGCTCCTACAACCTTACTTATTTCATCATTGGACAAATTAAGTTTCTAGTTTCTAAACAGTTCCCCCCTACCAAGAAAGGTTCCATTAATTGCACTACTTTCAAAGTCCTTGCACATAGTACAATGTCTCTTTTTTTGTTTCTCTGACAGCCAGGAGTCTTAGGTAACTACTTTTCCCATATTCCATTGTTTTTTGTTACTTAGTATTCTAGAAAAGTTACACATCAGTCATTCTTGTCTGTTAAAAGCAATCTGTATCATCTGCTGGAGGTTATTGAATTTTTTCTTTAAATTTGAAGGTATCTTCTAAATATGACTTCTTTTTTGCTGTTCTTTTATTAATTTTGTAAGGCACCCAAATGATAGCTATCTATCTGCAGATCCTTAACTTAGTTCAACTAATGGTATTTTGTTTCTTAAAAAAAGGTTTAAGTAAATTGACTTTTTTTTTTTCCTTTTGAGAGACACCATCTCACTCTGTTGCCCAAGATGTAGTGCAGTGGCACAATCTCGGCTTACTGCAACCTCTGCCTCCCAGGTTTAAGAAATTCTTCTACCTCAGCCTCCTGATTAGCTGAGATTACAGGCACATGCCACCACACCTGGCTAATTTTTGTATTTTTAGTAGAGATGGGGTTTCACCATGTTGGTCAGGCTGGTCTCAAACCCCTGAGCTCAGGCAATCTTCCCGCCTTAGCCTCCCAAAGTGCTGGGATTACAGGCATCAGCCACGGCAATTTTTAATTATATAAGTTTATGGGGTAAAAAGTGATATTATAATTTATGAATACAATATGAAATAATTAAATCAATCTAGTTAACATATACATCTCTTCAAGTACTTAATTTTTTGTGGTGAGAACATTTGGAATTTACTCAGCAGTTTTGAAATGTACAATATTCCCATTATTAACTATATTCACCACATTGCAATAGAACTAAAAAATAAAAAGGAAAACATATTTCTCGTGTCTGAGATTTCTATACCTTGTGTTTGTTATTTCCCCATTCCCCTAACCCCATCTTTTGGAACCACAATTCTACTCTGCTTCTAATTCAGTTGTTTAGATTCCATATATAAGTAAGGACCTGTGATATTTGTCTTCTGTGTCAGGCTTATTTTATTTAGCATAATGTTCTCCACTTCCATCCATGTGGTTGCAAATGACAGTTACTTTTTTAAAGGTTGATAGTATTCTGTTCTGTATATGTACTGCATCTTCTTAAACAATAAATCTGTTGATGGACTCTTATATTAATCCCATAACTTGGCTATTGTGAATAGTGCTGCAATGACCATGGGAGTGAGTGCAGACATCTCTTTGAAAAACTGATTTTAAATCTTTTGGTAGATATCCAGAAGTGGGATTTCAGAATTACGTGGTATTTCTAGTTTTAGATTTTGAGAAACAACCATACAGTTTCCCACAGTGTACTAATTCATGTTCCTACCAACAGTGCACAAGAGTTTTTTTCTTCACATCCTGCCAACATTTCTTATCTTTTATCTTCTTGGTAGTAGCCATTCTGACAGGTGTGAGATGATATCTTATTGTAGGTTAAATTTGCATTTCTCTAGTGATTACGGATGTTAAGCATTTTTTCATACACTTGTTGGCCGTTTGTATTTTTTCTTTTGAGAAATGTTTATTCAGGTCCCTTGCCGTTTTTAATTTTTTTTTAATTGTTTGCTTTGTTTTCTTGCCATTGAAATGTTTGAGCTACTTAAATATTTTAAATATTAACCTCTTATTGGGTATATGGCATGCACAGATTTTCTCCCAATCTGTAGATTGTCTCTTCCTACTGTTGCTTCCTTTTGAGTTTGATCTAATCACACTTGTCTACTTTCGCTTTTGTTTCCTGTACTTATGTAGTCCAATCTGAGAAATCATTGCCCATGTTGTGCAGTTTTTCTTCTGTCTTCTTCTAATAGTTTTATAGCTTTTGGTCTTGTATTTAAGTCTTTAGTGCATTTCAAGTTGATTTTTATATATGGTGTGAGATTAGGGCCCAATTTCATTCTTCTGAATGTGGATATCTAGGTTTCCCAGCACCATTTATTGAAAAAAATTATCCGTTTCACATTATGTGTTCTTGGCACCTTTGTCAAAAATCAATTGACTGTATATGCATGTATTCCTTTCTGAGCTTTCTACTCTGTTTTGTTGGTCTTTGTGTGTGTTTGTGTATGTCTCTCTCTCCCTCTTTTTAACCAGTACCATGCTGTTTTGATTACTATAGCTCTGTAGTATAGTTTGAAATCAGGTATTGTGATGCCTTCAGCTTGGCTCTTTTCGCTCGTGGCTGCCTTGGCTATTCAAGGTTTTTTGCAGTTCCATATGAACTTAACAATATTTTTTATTTGTATGAAAAATGACATTAGAATATTGTTAGGAATGGTGTTAAGTTTATAGATTGCTCTGAGTAGAAGGGGTATTTTAACAATACTAATTCTTCCAATATGTGAACATGAGATATCTTTCTATATATTAGTGTTGTCTTCAATTTTTTTATCAGTGTTTTACAGTTTTCACTATATAGGTCTTTACCTTGTTGATTAAATTTATTCCCAAATATTTTTACAGCTATCATGAATGTGACTGTCCTCTTGATTTCCTTTTCACAGGTTTGTTGCTAGTATATAAAAATGCTACTGAGTTTTGTGTACTGATTTTGTATTTTGCAACCTTACTGTATATGTGTATTTTTTTCAACTGTTAACAGCTTTCTATATATATATAAGATCATGTCATCCGCAAACAGTGAGAATTTCACTTCTTTTCTGTTTGGATGTCTTTTATTTCTTTCTCTTGGCTAGTTGCTATGGGAGGGACTTCCAATATTCTATAAAATAGAAGTGGTAAGTGTGGGCATGTTGTCTTGTTTTGGAACTTAGTAGAAAGGCTTCAGCATTAACTATACTGTTAGCTGTGGCATAATGTTTCCCATATATGGCCTTTATTGTGTTGAAGTAAGTTTATTCTATACCTAATGTGAGAGTTTTAACATGAAAGGATGCTGAATTTTGTCAAGTGCTTTTTTTGCATCTGGATGAGATTATATGGTTTTTTCCTTCATTCTGTTAATATGAGGTACAGCACTTGTTGATTTGTATATGTTGAATCATCCTTGCATCTGTCATAGTAGATTATCCTTTTAATTTGTTGTTCGGTTTGCTAGTATTTTGTTGAGGACTTTGGCATCTATGTTCCTGAAAGATATTGGTCTGCAATTTTCTTTTCTTGTAAGTGTAATGTTTTTGTAATACAGTTTATTTTCTTGTAGTTTTTTAAATATTTGGTAGAATTCAGCCAAGAAACCCTCAGGTCCTAGACTTTTCCTTGGTGGGAGACTTTTTATTCTTGATTCACTCTCCTTACTTGTTATTGGTCTTTTCTTATTTTCCGTTTCTTCATGGTTCAATTTCGGTAGTTTGTAGGTATCTAGGAATTTATGCATTTATTCTGGGTTACTCAATTCATTGACTTATAATTGTTTGAGGTAGTCTCTTACCCTTTGTATTTTTGTGTTATCAGTTGTAATGTGTCCTTTTTCATTTATATTTTATTTGAGTCTTCTCTTTTCTCTTACTCTGCCTAAAGGTTTGTTAATTATCTTTCCCAAAGACCAACTCTTAGTTTTATTTATGTTTTATGTTGTCCTCTAATCTCTTATATTTACTTTTGCTCTTATCTTTATTATCACCACTTTTTTTCTGCTAACTTAAGGCCGAGTTTGTCTTTTTCTAGTTTCTTGAGATGTAACACTAGATTGTTCACTTGAAATGTTTTTTTCTTTTTTTGATGTAGGCATTTATCATTACAAACTTTCTCCTAAGGCCTGCTGTTGTGTTCTCATTTCTATTTGTCGCAAAATATTTAACAAATTTTTCTTTTCTTTATTGATTCATTGGTCTTTCAGTAGCATGTTGTTTAATTTTCATGCATTTATAATTTTTCTGCCATTTCTCCTGTTATTGATGTCTAATTATATATTACACTATGTGGTCAGAAAAGAGACTTAATATAATTTTAGTATTTTAAATTTTCTGAGGCTTATTTTGTGCTCTAACATGTGAGATCTATCCCGGAGAATATTTCATCTGCTTGAGAAGAATATGTATTCTATTGCTGTTGGACAGAATGTTCTGTATAAGTCTGTGAGGTCCATATGGTCTAAAGTATTGTTCAAGTATAATATATCCTTGTTAATTTTCTGTCTGGATGATCTTTTCATTGTTGAAAGTGGGATATTGTTGTCCCCTACTATTATTGTATTCTCATGTATATCTCCTTTCAGATCTTTAATATTTGTTTCATATACTTAAGTGCTCTGTTGTTGGGTGCATATGTATTTATAATTGTTATATTATGTTGACCCTTTATTATTTATAATATCCTTTGTCTCTTTATGATGTATTTGGTGTAAAGTCTATTTTGTCTAAGTATAGCTACTGTTGCTATCTTTTGGTTTCCTTTTGCAAAAAATATCCTTTCCATCCCTTCATTTACAGTCTATGTATGTCATTAAAAGTGAAGTAAGTCTCTAGTAGGCCTATAATTGGATCTTGTTTTATTACACATTTAGTTACTTTGTGTCTCAGAGAATTCAATTCATTTATGTTCTTGGCAATTATTGATAGGTAAGGATTTACTACTGCCATTTTTGTTGTTTTCTGTTATTTTGTAGATACTGTATTTTTTTCTTCTCTTGTGATTTAATGGTTTTCTGTGCTAGCATGCTTTGAATCCTTTTATTTTTGTTTTGTATTTCCACTGAATATTTTTTCTTTGTGGTTACCATGAGGCTTATGTAGAACATCTTATAACTGTCTATTTCCAGTTATTTCAAAGTGAAAAACTAACTTTGATTGCATATAACTCTACTTTGTACTTATCCTCTCCTCTACATTTTATATTTTTGATGTCAGAATTTTCATATTGTATAATATGTATCCCTGACAATTTTAGCTATATTTATTAGTAGTGTTTTTTTAAACTCTCATACTAGTATAAAACCCTCATACTAGGTCTTACCATCATTACAGTTTTAGAGTATTCTGAATATGACTGTTTTACTTATACAATTGATTTTTTTTGCTTTTTTATAGTTCATATTATTAATTAACAGCTTTTTGTTTCAGTTTAAAAAACTTGCTTTACCAGTTCCTATGAGTATGCCAGTGATGAACTCCCTTTGCTTTTATTTTATGAGAAACTTCTTATTTCTCCTTCATTTCTGAAATATAGCTTTGCTGAATAAAGTATTCTTTGTTGTTTGTCTTTTTTTTTATTTAAGACTTTGAATATATCATCCCATTTTCTCCTGGCATACAAGGTTTCTGCTGAGAAATCTGCTTATAGTCACATTGTCATTCCTTTGTATGTGATATGTTTCTTATGTCTTGCTGCTCTCAGAATTTTATTTATTTTTTGATTTTGATAGTTCATTATGTGCCTTGATGAACTTCTTTCTGGGTTGCATTGATTAGAGACCGCTATGCTTTCTGTCCTTGGGTGTTGGCATGCATCCCCAGAAAGTCATTTCTCAGCCATTATTTCTTTGAAGATGTTTTTGTTTTTTTTTGGCCCTTCTGCTTTCTATTCCGTCTGCAGTTCCCCATTATGTGAATGTTCGGTCCTTTGCTGCTGTCCCTTAATTCCTATAGCCTTCTTTCTTCTTTTGTGTTCTTCTTCACTAACTGTATAATTTTAAATGTTCTGTCTTCCAGCTAATTGATTCTTCTGCTTAATTGAGTCTGCTGTTGAAGGTTTCTTTTGAGTTTTTCAGATCAGTCACTGTATTTTTTATTTCTAGGATTTTTATCTAATTTTTAAAAATTATTTTTATTTCTTTGTCAAGTCTTTGTTTTCCAAATTCCATGAAATTTCCTATCTGTATATTCTTATAGTTCACTGAACTTTTTTGAGTATTATTCTGAATTCTCTTCTTCAGTCATTTCATAAATGTACATTCCTTTGAGGTAGACTATTGGGGCTTTATTACTTTCTTTTAGAGGTGTCACGATTCCCTTATTCTTCATAATTATTAAATTATTATGTCTTTGCATTGTTGTCTGTACATTTGAGACAGCAGCCCCCTCTTCTAGCCTAAGAGGTGTTCTTTAGCAGGGATAGATCTTCACTATGTAGCCTAGACTGTGATTCTGGAAGGGCCAGCTGGTAACAACCCCAGACGGGTAGAACTTGTTGTGAGTTCTCCAGTTGGCTGAGTCACCACCTTTTGCTCAAATGTCAGGTGGGGCTACTGGTTGGGCTCTGCTGTCTGGTGGCTGGGATCTGCTATTAGGCATAGTTTCTGGCTGGATACTGTAGTAGCTTCTGGTCAGACTAGTCACAAGATACACTCCCTGGATGGCCAATTCAACTCTTTGGGATCTATAGCTGGGCAAGGCTGCAGGCTGGACTCCAAGTTTAGGCAGAATTGCTGCTCAGCACAGGTCAGAAGAGAGGCTATGCTCTTTAGAAATGCGTGGTTGACAATTGACTACTTGTCAAGGTGGAGCCACAGGATGGGTTTTTTTTGCAGAATTGAGTGGCTGTTTGACTTCCGTGGTCAAGCAGGTCTAGCTCTTATGGTTCTCCAAATTTTTGGAAATGGGAAAGTTATTGGGTGGGCTTTTAGGCTGGGTGGAACCCCTGAGTTTTGGGTTACAGTGAGTGGAATCACTGCTTGACTTTCTGGGTCAAGCTGGCTACACTTCTCTGAGATGTGCAGATGTGGAAGTCTCCCTGCCTGTGCAAAGTTGTTGGGAGGGCTTATTGGCTTACTGGAGCCACTGTTTGACTTTCTGGGTCAAACTGGTGTAGTCCATTCATTTCTCTAAAATCTAAAGAAGTAGGATTCTTCTTTCCTGAATGGGGTCATTGGGTAGGACTTTTAGCTTCATAGAGGTGCTGCTTGGCTTCCTGGGTCAAGCCAATTTAGCCTCTTCATTGTTTCTGAAATGGAAGGAAGTGGGCACCTTTCTGCCTGTACAGGATCTTTGGGGTGGTCTCTGAGGTTGGGCAGGATGACTTACGATGTCTAGGACTCAAGTTTTGTTGAACATCCCATCAGGCTTCTGAAGGCAACCAGCTCAGCTTTGTGGGTGGGTTATGAGGTTGACTGATATCTGCAATTGGATACCATCAGTGGTAGGAACACAGAGGTACCACCAAGATCTGTGACATGATCACTAGGACCTCTGCCTCCTTTGTTTCTACCTGATCCCAAGTGGTGTAGTCATGACATTTTCACTACTGTTTTCTATGAAATAATAAAACCAAAGTGGGCTTTCTAGGAAGCATGCCAGAATGGTAGGGATGGGTATGACTGTCTCTATTTCACACCCCTGCCATCAACTCATAGAAACTGTGGGGACCCAGGGAAATTCTTTTCATCTGGCATTGTGCCATCTTAGAGGAGGATGAGGGATGTCATAGTTGGAGTGAGATCATTCTTCTTACCTTTCTCATTGTAACTTCATTCGTTTCTATGGACCACATTGGTGTCTCAGTCTTGTTTCCAAGTGTTGGGGTTTAAAAAAAGATATTCTTCCAGTCTGCGGATAGTTGCTAGTTGAACTTTCTCTGGAGGTTGGTGGAGGAGAAGACTTCCCATTTTGCCATCTTGCTGACCTCACCTATTCTACACCTGTATAATGACTTCCACAAAATCTGTTGTGTTTTCTCTCCAGGATTCCCTTATATTTTAAATTAATGCCTTGATGTTTCTGTCACTGTTTTCACTGTTTTCTCCTGAGTTCTAGACATTTCAAGTCTGTCTTCTATGTATATAATACAGTTTTGATGATAAAATAAGTTGTACACTACCTCTAATAAGATTTTTTTTTTCTTTTTTTTTTTTCTTTGAGATGGAGTCTCACTCTGTTGCCCAGGCTGGAGTGCAGTGGCGTGATCTCGGCTCACTGCAGCCTCCGCCTCCCAGGTTCAAGCAATTCTTCTGCCTCAGCCTCCTGAGTAGCTGGGACTACAGGCGCACGCCACCATGCCTGGCTAATTGTTTGTATTTTTTGTAGAGATGGGATTTCATCATGTTGACCAGGTTGGTCTTGATCCCCTGACCTCGTGATCTGCCCACCTTGGCCTCCTAGAGTGCTGGGATTACAGGCGTGAGCCACTGCACCCAGCCTCTAATGAGATTTTTAATTCAAAATACATTTAATATCCACATGAACTCTTCTGACACAAGATTATTCCTACTTTGTGCCCACCTCTATAGTTGAAACATCTTCTTTAGTCTTCCTGAGACTGAAAATCAGAAAATATGTAACATGTTTTCTAGTTGTACTCAAAAGCATCATTTCAGAGAGACATTTAATTGTAATGATTCTTAAAAGTTCTTTCCACCTGGAGAATGACTTCATCTATATGTTGATTTTTGTTCTACCTCCCTATTGGGAAGAATCTCTATAGGCAATAATTCTACCATCTGTGACCTTGAGAAAGGATTGCTTCTGCTCTTGATTCTGGGAGGGAGCTTTGCCAGGCTAGGATTTTGCTAACTAAGGCTGATAAAAATTGGCACTACTCTATTCAGAACAGAAGTATTTTTGCAGGTTGTAATTCATGGCCACCTTCTTGGAAGGAAATAATTTCTAACATAATGGTAAACAACTGTGAAACTTTGAGATTAACACTTTGGATACTAACTATCTACCCATTAACCAATATTCAAAAGCCTAATAGTCATTAACCAGGGGTCTTTTTAACTAGTCAAAAATATCCTTTAAATGATCCTTTTCTTTGCCCCATGTTTCTGCCAAGAAGGTATGTTTGAATTGGCCCATTTTATTCTTTTTTTTGCATTAAGTTTATAATTTAAAATTTTGAAACTAAATGTTATGTGAACAAATCTAACCAGTCTTTCTGCTTCTTGAGAAATTATCAATATTATTCTACTGACACCTGGACCATTAACTAGAGAAGTAACTCTAGGATAAGCTTTCTATCCCTCCTATAAGTTATCATATGTTCTGGAAATTGTATCCATTGCCTAACAACAGCTGGTATATAGCTTTCTATTTATGCAGCCACCCCATTTAAGAGAATGCCTGCCTCATTGTCTGCCCTTATCCCCCAGACTTGGGTGTGTTAGTATAGATTTATCAGTGTCCCTTACACTTACTTCTTAGACTGGGTGTTTTTTCATAGGAGGAAGA
The DNA here is from genome assembly GCF_000001405.40 of Homo sapiens. Classification (NCBI taxonomy): domain Eukaryota; kingdom Metazoa; phylum Chordata; class Mammalia; order Primates; family Hominidae; genus Homo; species Homo sapiens. Next base: position 16,103,588 of record NC_000007.14, on the reverse strand, counting down.
ATCATGGAGTACAAATTCCTAGTTTTTGACACTGTTTCCAGTTCCCAAGTACAAATATAAGGTTTTTATTTTTATGGTGTTATTTTCATGACAATGTAGCCTTCATCTAAAACCTTTGATATTTCTTTTTTTAAAATTATACTTTAAGTTCTGGGATACATGTGCAGAATGTTGAGGTTTGTTACAAAGGTATAAACGTGTCATGATGGTTTGCTGCACCCATCAACCCGTCATCTATATTAGGTATTTCTCCTAATGCTATCCCTCCCCTAGTCCCACACCCACCAACAGGCCCTGATGTGTGATGTTCCCCTTCCTGTGTCCATGTGTCCTCATTGTTCAACTCCCACTTATGAGTGAGAACATGCGGTGTTTTGTTTTCTCTTGCTGTGTTAGTCTGCTGAGAATGATGGTTTCCAGCTTCATCCATGTCCCTGCAAAGGACATAATATCATTCTTTTTATGGCTGCATAGTATTCCATGGTGTACATGTGCCACATTTTCTTTATCCAGTCTATAATTGATGGGCATCTGGGTTGGTTCCAAGTCTTTCCTATTGTGAACAGTGCTACAATAAATATATGTGTGCATCTGTCTTTATGGTAGAATGATTTATAATCCTTTGGGTATATACCCAATAATGGGATTCCTGGGTCAAATGGTATTTCTAGTTCTAGATCCTTGAGGAATTGCCACACTGTCTTCCACAATGGTTGAACTAATTTACACACCCATCAACAGTGTAAAAGTGTTCCTATTTCTCCACATCCTCTCCAGCATCTGTTGTTTCCTGACTTTTTAATGGTCGCCATTCTAACTGGCGTGAGATGGCATCTCATTGTGGTTTTGATTTGCATTTCTCTACTGACCAGTGATGAGCTTTTTTTCACATGTTTGTTGGTCACGTAAATGTCTTCTGTTGAGAAGTGTCTGTTTATATCCTTTGCCCACGTTTTAATGCAGTTGTTTGTTTTTTTTCTTGTAAATTTGTTTAAGTTCCTTGTAGATTCTGGATATTAGCCCTTTGTCAGACAGATAGATGGCAAAAATTTTCTCCCATTCTGTAGGTTGCCTGTATATTTTGATGATCATTTCTGTTGCTGTGCAGAAGTGCTTTAGTTAATTAGATCCCATTTGTCAATTTTGGCTCTGGTTGCCATTGCTTTTGGTGTTTTAGTCATGAAGCCTTTGCCCATGCCTGTGTCCTGAATGGTATTGCCTCAGTTTTCTTCTAGGATTTTTATGGTTTTATGTCTTACGTTGAAGTTTTTAATCCATCTTGAGTTAATTTTTGTATAAGGTATAAGGAAGGGGTCCAGTTTCAGTTTTCTGTATATGGATAGCCAGTTTTCCTAACACCATTTATTAAATAGGGAATCCTTTCCCCATTGATTGTTTTTGTCAGGTTGGTGAAAGATCAGATGGCTGTAGACGTGTGGTGTTATTTCTGAGGTCTCTGTTTTGTTCCATTGGTCTATATATCTGTTTTGGTACCAGTACCATGCTGTTTTGGTTACAGTAGCCTTGTAGTATAGTTTAAAGTCAGGTACCATGATGCCTCCAGCTTTGTTCTTTTTGCTTAGGATTGTCTTGGCTGTATGGGCTCTTTTTTGGTTCCATATGAAATTTAAGGTAGTTTTTTCTAATTCTGTGAAAAAATTCAATGGTAGCTTGAGGGGGATAGCACTGAATCTATAAATTACGTTGGGCAATATGGCCATTTTCATGTTATTGGTTCTTCCTATCCATGAGCATGGAATGTTTTTTCATCTGTTTGTGTCCTCTCTTATTTCCGTGAGCAGTGGATTGTAGTTCTCCTTGAAGAGGTATTTCACATCCCTTCTGAGTTGTATTCTATTCTCTTTGAAGCAATTGTGAATGAGAGTTAACTCATGATTTGGCTCTCTGTCTATTATTGGTGTATAGGAATGCTTGTGATTTTTGCACATTGATTTTCTATCCCGAGACTTTGCTCAATCCAGGAGCTGTTTTTTTTTTAAAAGATTAACAAACTAGATAGACCACTAGCCAGAATAATAAAGAAGAAAAGAGAGAAGAATCATATAGATGCAATAAAAAAATGATAAAGGGGATATCACCACTGATCCCAAAGAAATATAAAGTACCATCAGAGAATACTATAAACACACCTACACAAATAAACTAGAAAATCTAGAAGAAATGGATAAATTCCTGGACACATACACTCTCCCAAGACTAAACTAACCAGGAAGTAGTTGAATCACTGAGTAGCAAGTTCTGAAATTGAGGCAATAATTGGTAGCCTACCAACCAAAAAAAGCCCAGGACCAGACAGATTCACAGCCGAATTCTACCAGAGGTACAAAGAGGAGCTGGTACCATTTATTCTGAAACTCTTCTAAACAATAGAAAAAGAGAGATTCCTCCCTAACTGATTTTATGAGGCCAGCATCATCCTGATACAAACACCTGGCAGAGACACAACAAAAAAAGTTGTGTCTCAGGCCAATATCCCTGATGAACATCGATGCAAAAATCCTCAATAAAATACTGGCAAGCCAATTCCAGCAGCACATCAAAAAGCTTATCCACCATGATCAAATTGGCTTCATCCCTGGGATGCAAGGCTGTTTCAACATACACAAATCAATAAATGTAATCCATCACATAAATGGAACCAATGACAAAAACCACATGATTATCTCAATAGATGCAGAAAAGGCCCTCAATAATATTCAACACCCCTTCATGCTAAAAACACTCAATAAACTAGGTGTTTATGGAACATATCTCAAAATAATAAGAGCTACGTATGACAAACCCACAGCCAATATCATACTGAATGGGCAAAAGCTGGAAGCATTCCCTTTGAAAACTGGCACAAGACAAGGATGCCCTCTCTCACCACTCCTATTCAACATAGTATTGGAAGTTCTGGCCAGGGCAATCAGGCAAGGGAAGGAAATAAAGGATATTCAAATAGGAAGAGAGGAAGTCAAATTGTCTCTGTTTGCAGATGACATGATTGTATATTTAGAAAACTCCATTGTCTCAGCCTAAAACGTTCGATATTTCAAAGATATCTTAAGGTAAGCTAAAAGGTCACCTCTTTATAGAGTTAATTAGCCAATTATTCTAACTAATAAATATTTACCGAGTGCCTACTGTGGACATAGTACTATGTTTGAGTTTAGAATTTGGAAAAGTTATCTTTTAGTATCTTACGATTTAGCTGAGAAATTAAGTCCTGTAGATTGCAAACCAAATAAAAACATTAGGGATTTTGAGAAAAACTATGATAACATAAATTACTGATATGCAATAAAAAATAGATGACATCTTAAGAGGTAGTCATTACAGCTGAGTCTTTAAAAATTGATGTCAATTAGACAGTTACTGGGAAACCATTTTTCTGGGGGCAGAAATAATAATGATTATACTGGGATGGCAACAAAAGTGGATTCTGAACAGTAAAAGAAAGAGAATTGCAGTTAGAAGGGTTGATTAGGTTGATAGTGGATGACCTTGAAAGCTAACAGGAGTAGCTGAAAATTGTGAGTTTGATAGAGTGAAGGTGGCTATTTTAGGGAGGTTGGAGCAGTAGCCAAAAACAGACAGAAGTGACCAGTTAGAGCATCCTGGAGGAGTCCAGGCATAGGATGGTGTTAATGTAGGCTTACAGTGGTTGGAGCATGACAATAGAAAACTAGCAGGTGTTGGTAATTGCTGGGTGAGTTGTGTAGGATCAAAACATTTTTTGCTAATTAAAAAGGATGTTGTATATGACACTGCTTTTTCAATTTTATTAAGTTGTGGAATTTACTTTATGATTGATTTAAGAAAATAAAATGTAACAGTGTCACAAGTCCCAGATCTAGAAATATTGGATGCAATAATGAACTGTTTGTTCTTCAGGCCAGATGTCTGATGCCTTTTGGCTGTCTACATTTTTCCTCACTGCAATCTGGCTCTGAGCACTGTAGTTTGTGTCTTTCCTACTCTCTGTTCCTGCTCCGTAAAGTATCGGTGCTGCCTTACAGGGTTTTACTGAATTTTATTGACCAACCTTTCCCTTCCCTTCTCCTTCCCTCTTTCCTTCCCTTTTCCCTTCCCTTCCCTTCCCTCTTCCCTTCTCCTTATGTTTTTCCTGCCCTTTTCCCTCCCTCCTTTTTCCCTCCCCTTCCCTCCCCTCCCCTTCCCTCCCCTTCCTTCTCCCCTCCCCTTCCCTCTGCCTTCCTCTACACTCCCCTTCCCTCCCCTTCCTGTCCCTTCCCTTTTTTCCTTTGTTTTTTCCTTCCCTTTCCTTTTTTTCTTTCCTTTTTTTTTCTGCCCCTCTCCCTCTCCTCTTTTTAAAGAGATAGGGTCTTGCTCTGTCACCTAGGCTGCAGTGCAGTGGCACAATCATTGCTCACTGCGGCCTTGAACTCCTGGGTTCAAGTGATCCTCCCCACTCAGCCACCTTCGTAGCAGGAACTACAGGCTTGAGCCATGGCACCTGGCTTCCCAATCCTTTTTTCTTAATTATCTCTTTCCAAAACAGTTATTGAATTCCTACTGTATTGTAAGGCCCTGTTTCTAGACACAGAAAATAAAAAAGACTAAAACTGTTGTGCGATGATTATGTTAATCAGTAAACCCAAGTGCATTTTCATTAGTATTATCTAAGTTTTTGAGAGGCATTTGTTATCACTCACAGGAGCAAGAGGAAAATGTTTCTCATTCGGAGGAGGCTGTTTTGTTTTTCTCACACCCTATCAGTAGGTGATCGCTTTTTCCTGCAGTTTTGGCAATTGACATACACTGAAAAGTTATTTTCATCTCCACTAGGGGACAGTGTGCCCCCGTTAGGTTTTTTCTTCCATATCAGCAAAATGTTTACAAAAAGAAAATTTAGCTTCAAATTATTTTGATTTGATATTAATGATCTTATAACAAGTCTGTTGAAGGTTTAGTAAGTCTAACACTTGTGGTTTTTGTATATTGTATATGGTACAGAGATAGGGATGTGTATATTTATGACTAGATGTAAATATAGCTAGTACATTTTTGTTTAGTGTTTGAAATTTTGTGACATTTAAATAATAATTTTTGCATAAGTTCTCCAAAACAAGGATGGAAGAAGGGTATTAATATCAAACTATGAGCAACCTGAATTTCAGGAGATTTTGTAACTCATGGAAATTGAATTAGGTTTTAGGTATGGAATTTGCTGAGACAATGTAAATGTTTACCCTTAAAGAAACATTGTGTAATCTCTTGAGACATCTAAAGCCTAAATACATATGCATACATTTTAACTTTATAGTTTTCCTTTTAGCAGAGTACATTGTGTTCTTTAGAAGTGATGTGTATAGAGGATAGGTATCTCCAAGAGATTTCCTTTCAGCTTGTCCATAAAGATTTAGAGGAGAATTACATCATAGCTTTTCCTGCTATTCTTTGAGATGGCATTCCACCAAATCCACATAAATTTGATTCTAACAGCCTACTATAAGTTTGTTTACACTTTTTAAATTCAAATGCTGATATGTGTGTAGTTCAATTATGGGATTTATTGTTTCAAAATATACTTTTTAAAAAAGCTTGTCAATATTAAGTACTCTGGGAATAGTTTCTCCCGAAGTTATCCTTTGAGAAAATTGAAAGGGACAGTTAGTAAGTAAGGATTTTTGAGGACATGGGCATCATATAAAGTTGACCACTTATACACTTGCAAGGTGCTACATATTAGTAATTTACATTACTTCAGCCTTTCCTTGCTCAAATTTTGAGGTGGGAGGTGGAGAAGGATGTAACTGAAGAGCCACTATGAGTTATAGAGGTGCCACTGTCATTTCCAATCTTCTGTGAAAATCTCCTGCTTTTCCTGATTTCCCACAAGTTTGCCAAAGGCTTAGGAGTCCCATCAAAGTTTCATCAAGACTTCACTTGATGCTGGATATAGTCATCACAAAAGAACCAAGTCAACAACAAAAAGACAAACGCACACAAAGACTGGCATGTGGGACTTTATTGACACGACTTCATTACTATGACTAAATTTAGAATTACCTTGTATGTTTAAAAGATAATGGTAATTAGAGCTCTTCTTTTGTGCATCTTTCACCCAAACATGGTGTATTTCATCCTAAACTTGAAATTATAGGTGGTAGAGAAATAGCTAAATATAAGTTTCTAGGTAAAACTCATGGTGAATTTTAATCCTAAATAATTCAGTCTGATAATTTAGAAAATTAAAAATGCATATATTATATTGCGTTTTTGTCTTCTAATAGTCTTAAAACACAGCTATTATGAAACTCTTTAAGATCTCAGTGAACAATTGTTACATGCTGGGTAAAATTAAGTACACTTTTTTTGTTATTACTTTTAGATAGTTTTCTTAATATCTAAGAAGAAAGCTAAGACTTTGTGAATTATTAATATGATTCCTTTAGGGGCCTTTTACTGAAGCCTTGAATTTTCAAGCAAAAAAGGTTTTCTTTGTATAGATTTTGAAAATATTTATGGAGAGAAATGCTCCCGGAATTTGGACAACGTTCAGTACTATTGATTTTCTATGACAACAAATCAAGTTTAGCTCCCTGAATTTAACAGTCTTAAAACTAAATTTTAAAATAATTTGTTTTTCCTCCAAGAATAAAATGTGTTCATTGTGGGGGTTTTGAAAATATAGCAAAGCAGAAAGAAGAAATAATATTGTCATAAAGCCATCATCCAAAAATAACTTCTGTCAACATGTTTATATTTTCCCGCCCAGTATGTTAAGAAAGCGGACTACTGAAGAGTATACTGTTTTCCCCCTTTTTAGCTGGTCTCTATTTTTGCTATAATATAGTTGTAACCAAGAAAAAGAGTGAAGCTGGCTGTAATAGTTCACACCTATAAGCCTGGTACTTTGGGAGGATGAGGTAGAAGGATTGCTTAAGCCTAGGAGTTTGAGATCAACCTGGGCAACCTGCACTCTACCCTGGGCAACAAAATTTTCTAAAACAAAATTGACACTGTTATGAAGTGAACAAGATGATAAAACAAATTTTTTTTTTACTATCTTCAAGATTGCTTGTACTGTGTTCTGCTCTGCCTATTCATTATAAAACTAGTCCAATTAATTCTTAATTTCAAGCATTTTATAATTGTAAAATTCTCTTTATTATAGATTCTATGTTGAAAATTTCCATTTTTCATCAACATTTTTATCTCTAGTTCTATTTTTTAGTGTCTTAGGCATAGTTATTTTGAAATCCTTGCATGATGATTCCAATGTATGTCTCATTTCTGGGTCTGCTTAAATTATTTTTTTCTCCTGATTATGGGTGTTTTTTTTTCTGCATCTTTGCTTTCTGCTTCTTTGCCTATCTAGTGATATTTGATACCACACTTTGAGTGCAAAACATTATAAAAGCTCAAGATTATTTTAATGTCCTCTAAGGAATATGAAATTTGTTCTAGCAAGCAGTTGTATTGCTGAATCAATTTGATCCTGTGGACGTTGTTGAAGCTTTCTTAGGGCTGGTCGGATTCAGTTTTGCCTTATACCCAGGCTGTAGTCATGGCTTTTCAGATATCCCAGCTGAAAGCCATGGGTGTTCACCAAGGCGTCTTCATTCTAGCTGGACTCAGATTTAACCTCCTGCTCCTTGGCACAGTGGGGCCTCAAAAATCTCTCCTCAGCTCTCCAACTTTCCAGCAGTTATTCTCTGCTAGGCCTCGTTGAGTTTCTCCTTGGGCATGCACAGTTAGGAGCTGGCCAAGGACTGAAGGAATTTTTAGCAGATTTTTAGGAGTTCTCAGCAATTCCTTCCTGTCAGGCATGCTGCCTGCAGAAATACAAGCCACTTTGACAGCTTTAAATTGTTAATCTATGTCTTTTCTACCCAGAGAGATTGCTATGCTCTCCTTGGGTTCTGTTTCTCTTCTTTGTAGATTGGAAAAAAGCTCTCAGCATGACAGCTGGGGAGAATGTTAGGAGGCTCTTCTTTCAAGGATTATAGACATGCATATGTTACTGTCCAAGACCTGCAAAAAATATTCTCACATAAGTTTTCCAGATTTAATGGCTATATATGGTGAGAGGGTGATATACCCTACTCTATCATAGCTGAAATTAGTTTACTTCATAAAGGTAATAATTCTAACTGCTATTATTATTGAATATTTACTAGGTATCAGTGCTTTACATGTCTTATCTAAGTTCCCACAAAAAATGTTATCCCATTTTTAGATGAAAAAAATGGAGAGCTGTACAACTTCAGCTGTTTGCTCAAAGATCACTTAAGTTGTCAAGGCTGTATATAAATAGCAGCAATCTGACTTCCCAACTGCATAGTTTATTAAAGGAATATTGTACGTTTTTCAAGGAATATATAAATGGTCCAGTGTGCAAAAATAAATTGCCTTTGTAACTCAGGTTTTGTAATCCGGAACATAACATTTGTAAATAGTCATCAATTAAAAAATATCTTTTTGAAAGGAGTATGCTTCAGTTTATAGATATACAGACAAATTCAGAGGATGCCGCAGAGAGTTCCCATATACTCACACCCAGGTTCTCCCATTATTAATATGTGTTCGTTACAATTTATGTACCAACATTGATGTATTATTATTAACAAAGTGCATAGTTTAGTGAGATTTCCATAGTTCTACCTAATGTGTTTTTCTGTTCCAGTACCCCATGTTACTTTTAGTTCTCTTCAGACACCTCTTGGCTGTGACAGTTTCTCACACTTTCCTTGTTTTTTGATGACCTGTACAGTTTTGAGGAGCACTTGTCAGGTATATTGTAGAATGTCCCTCCAACAGGAACTTTTCCGATGTCTTCCTCATGATTAGCCTGGAGGTACAGGTTTTTGGGAGGAATACATAAATGCTATTTTCACATAATTTCAAGAATGTATACTATCAGCATGATTTTTCACTGTTCATATGGACCCTGCTTACCTGAGTTTAATAAACATTTTAAATGTTTATTATATAATATTTGGAACTCACAAAATAATGTGTATATACACACACACATACACACACACACACTTATGTATGTGAATAATAAAATGATCTCCTGTATTGCACCTCTGCTCCCCACTCTCCTCAAGGATTAAAACCATTTTTTTTGTATGTTTGCTGGAGGCAAGAAGTGCTTTTATAAGATACATTGGGTTTGCATTTTTTTCCTGTGTTAATACTGTTCTAGAGATAGGAAATTTTGAGATGAGTTTGATATCCATGAATTGTGTGACTATCTAATCTTTTCACATACTAGAGTTTCCTGAATATATGTGTGTCTAACCATCTTAATCAGTTTTTAAATTTCCATGTTTCATAAGGGTAGAATGATCAAATGAGTTCAGGCAGAGAGGGAAAACAAATGTTCAGTAGAATGACATAGATTCTTGTCCTTCAATTCTAATCTTTGAAAATGAAGCCTGTAAAAAATTGAAGAAGTAAATTAATCTTTAAAAGGACATCTTAAATTCTTTACTAAAAATATGTACATTATGGAGCTATCAAAATGAACATAGATGATTTATTGTAAGATATAGAAATGTGATTTTTCTAGCCCTGGGATCCTAAACAGTTTTTCCTTAATTTCTTCATTTGTTACTGTGCTGCCTTCATTATAACAAGTATAAACTGGTTTCAACGGGGTGATAGAGACAGACTTGTTCTGTTTATTTTTGAAAGAGGAACCTTAATTATCATCATCTGTGTTATGTCTCAATTTAATAAATGAGACTTAGGAATAGATGTGTGTTATAGACCCTGCAGCACTATAATTAATTGATCATTAAGAATGACAAATGCATATCAATAGTTGGTTTGTATTTGCTCATTTTAGAATATTTATTTATATGTTTATGAATGATGTGACACAGATGAAATCTCTCATATAAATCAATCATATTTTAAGTCCAAACATATATAGTTTTTTGATTTGTTTAGATGTGGTTTAGGTATCGTGATATTCTGGAAACCAAAATGGTGTTTGAATCCAATTTTAAAATGTCGTATAAAACCCGCTTTCAAGAAGTGAAGTAGCTGACATTCAGCATCTTGCAGATCTTCTCCAGCTCCACCCCTCAGAACACAATCAAGGAAATTGATAGAAAAGAGCACTTTAAGCAGAGATGGCCTCTCACCGTCATCCTCATAGCTGAGGAACCCAGACATAGGGTGGTGGGAGCATGTAATGGTTGTGGTGAGGCTTCAATAATATATTTATTTTGTACTATTGCCAGGCTTTAGGCTAAATATGCAAATAGGAGTGAAGAAGGTAAGCAATTGCAGTCCGTGTCAACAACTGAGCTCAACTAAAAGGGTGATATGTCTATCATAATCAGAACCTCTTTTGCTTTGAATTTGTTATAATTTATGGAGTGCTACCATGTGTTAGGCATTGAGCAAAGTGTTCCATATTCATAGATAAAATGAAAAATTCTTTACATCAAAAAATGCATCATCTGGTAAAATAGATGGTCAACTAAAAAAGACTATAAAATTCGGTGTGCTAGAGGAATTCACAGCTGTGGAAACATAGAGTCACTTCACCCAAACTGGACTGGAGGATAGAGTCAGGGTAGATTTCAAGAATCTCTGATACCTAGGTTGAACCATGAAGAGTAATTAGGGTCAGCTAAGCTAGAAAGGGTGTGGGAAAGCTTTTCTGGCAAAGGAATTAGCTGGCCCAAAGATATTCAAGCTCAGAAAAACAGCTTGTTTGGACAATCTTAAGCAGTTCTATGTGGCTTGGAGAATTGAGTAATTTTAGGGGAATATCAAGAAGAGGCCGAGAGGATAAGAGACATTTTATTACCAGGTAATGGGATCAGACTTTATCCTGAGGTTTAAAAGTAGTCTTCAAAGGATTTTAGTCAGGATACTGATGTGATCAGATCTATATTTTAAAATAAGTATTTTGACTTCCCTGTGGGAAATGAAGTATAAGAGGGCAAGACTTTAGAGGGACTATCTGTGAGAATATTCCAGTAATTGAGGACAGAAGGTGCTATGCTGGCAGTGGCAGTTTGAGCGGCATTATCGCTAATGCCTTATCTCAATGTATATGGATGCAAGAAACAATAGGAAGGAGCTACAATAGGTCCTAGTAATATATTGGATATTGGGATAAGGCATTAAGGATGATTCTGGAGTTTAGAGATTGGTTACCACATCCCTCTTTTAAAAGATAGCACAATTCACAACACAGAGACCTGAAAGATATTAGCTCTGTTTCTATTTTCCCTTCACATTATAATCTTCTCATAAATAATTAGAATAAATGGATTCTTACAGGCAATATGATTTCAAAGGCAAAACCACTTTTTAGCAACTTGTAAAATAACTCATTTCTTGAATTTTCCCGATTCTTACTTTACAAACAGCAAGCAGGGTTTTCCCCCCTATACCGGTACTCACAAACAGTTCATAACAAAGTTGGAGAACACTCAGAAACAAGATGAAGAAAAGGATTGCATCATTGATGAAATATTCACACTTCAGTGAAGAGCCAAAGGTTGTCAGAAATTGGATTAAGGGGAAATAATCTTTTCTTTCTGTTAGCATTTGAAATTGTGTCAGTGTTTTTCCTTGCATCTTAAGCAAATATTTTTTGGTCTATAATGAAAAGTGTTTGTGAAAGTATTTCCTCTTTATTCGGGGAACCGTGTCCATGACAGTGGCTAGAGTCTGAGTTTCTAAAATGCCAAATCCAGACCGCAGCAGATCTTGAAAAGTGGCTTTTTATCAAACTTAACACATGGCATATGTTTTTTCTAAAATATTACTGGTTTATCCTTTCTTTTCAGGATGATCAGAAGCTACAGGAGAGTTTAAGGCAAGGTGCTATCATTATTGCTTCATTAATCAAGGAAAGAAATTCTGGACTCATTGGTCAGCTTCTGATAGCATGAAGAACACAAAAAATTACCTATTTTCTAAAACATCTATTTGCGTATCTTAATTGTGCTTTGTGCCCCCGCTGCTGTGTGTGGTAGAATGTTTCAGTTGTCTTTTATATCTTCTCTATAATTTGTAGGATGTGATGCTTAGATTATAAAGCAGATTAATGTTTATATCTGTGAAATAAAGAATACTTTTGTGTATGACAAATATTAATTGCCTGAACCAGAAAAAAATAGTAGATAAGTGGAAAATAATAGCCTTCAAATGAATCTTTCCACAGAGACATGAACGGTCAAATAGAAATAATGATGGGGTGAGCTATTCTTTCAAGGAATGAGAATTTAGAAAACTTCAGTTATTATCCTAACTGTTAATTAATAATTTACACTATTATGAAGCTAATGGATAAACTTCAGAATTATTCTCACTTCTATAATTGTCCTGTCACCAGGTGATATTTTGTCTTTTTGTCTTGTGTTAAAAATGTCTACACTTTAATAAAAAAGGGTGAGTGGGATACCAGGGAACGGAACTGTTTGTTTCTAGCATTTTCCCCATTTGCCACATATTACTCAAGATCCCTAAAACAGATGTCATTTCCTTCTTTTCTGTTTTTAAATTGTATGTTATTTTTGGTTTATGAACTATAATTATGACTTACATTATTTTAAAGGGTCTCTAGTTTTTCTGAATGAACTTAAAAGTGTCTGGAAAGTTTCGTAGGTGATTCTGGTCAATCCCTGGTTAGTTATCTTCTATAAGGTAGAGAATCTATTGTACATCATAGAGTTAAATTAGTTATTTCAATTCAGATACTGCTACCTTTTAAAATCAAGTTCTTATTTCCAGTTTTCATTGGTATATACATCTGAAATATTAATATTTTCCCTTGCATGTTATAATTATGGGTGTCCTTTAATTCATTAGAGGTGACTTTTAATCTATACATACACTTACTCTATTTATTTTATTTTTTATTGTTTTGAAATGCAGTCGCCCTCTGTCAGGCTGGAGTGCAGTGGCACAATCTCAGCTGACTGCAACCTCTGCCTCCTGGGTTTAAGCAATTATCCTCCCTCAGCCTCCCGAGTAGCTGGGATTACAGGCACCTGCCACCACACCTGGCTAATTTTTTTTTTTTTTTTTTTTTTTTGTATTTTTAGTAGAGAAGGGTTTTCGCCATGTAGGCCAGGCTGGTCTTGAACTCCTGACCTCAAGTGATCTGCCTGCCTCGGCCTCCCAAAATGCTGGGATTATAGGTGTGAGCCACCATACCCAGCCAACATACATTTATTTTATTGAAACAGATTAGGGCTTAGGCTGCACGTGGAAACTATAAAAGTTGCATGAAGTGTTTTCAGTTAAAGATACACTATACAATATCTACCTTGTGGAATTTTTATTTAACATGTTGGGTGATTTTCCCTCTAGTGTTCAAGTATATATATAGTAGGAGAGTTTATATTTTACATTCTCCTAATTGAAATGTGTTATTTGAATGTAGGCTTGTATCTAAATTCCTGGGCCTGCCCTTTTTCTCTCTCTAGGAATATTAAGAAATTTAAAATCCATTAATTTAAGTTTTTGAGGATGGAAATAGGTAAGCAATGTGTGGATTGTGGTTAGGAATGTCTGTGCCTTTGTTCAGATGTCGGCTGTGTGTGTGACGAAAACCACAGCTGCCAAGTCCCCAACATGCACCTGTTGAAGTCATCAGGTGAAAATGTTTAAGACTTTGAAAGTGCTCATAAAGGAAGAAGGGGAAATGTTATCAAGGCTTTAAAGAGAGGGTAAGTGCCTTGAAGAAGAATGCAGTAAACTGGGCATATTTGTGGCACAGCAAAATCACCCTGATCGCTGGAGTGCTGGCTGAGTTAACATAGACTTCAGCTTAAGGAATCCTACAGCAGACAAGAATTTATCTCAGAGTACTTACTATGACATTACCCTAGGCAACTGGTAACATTTAGTATAATTTAGTTAATAAAATATTAAGTTGTGCCTGGAAAAAATAGCATTTGGTCCTTCATAGCAGGCAAAGCAATTCACAGCATTGGGAAAAAAAAATACATACATACATATACATGTATGTATACCCATATATATGTATATACATGCATGTATACCCATATATATGTATATACTTACATGTATATACATATATATGTATGTACGTACATATATACCCATATCTATGTATGTACGTACATATATACCCGTATATATGTACGTACATATATACACATATATGTATGCACGTACATATATACACATATATGTATGTACGTACATATATACACATTATGTACATACATATATACGTATATATGTACATGCATGTATGTATGTATATACGTACGCATACACACATATATTTATATACGTACGCATACACACATATATGTATATACGTACGCATACACACATATATGTATATACGTACGCATACACACATATATGTATATACGTACGCATACACACATATATGTATATACGTACGTATATACACACATATATGTATATACGTACGTATATATGTATTTTTATGTTTTATGTATATGTATTTTATATGTATATATATCTGCACATCCTTCACTATTTTCATGAGGAAATTGGAGCTCAGGGATCTTAGTTACCTTGCCAAAATCATGTGACTGAATAGTAACAAAAGTTTGGGCTTAAAATAAGGAAGACTGATAATAAGTGTTAAGCTTATATTCCTGTCTAACAATGACCCCTGGCAAAGACATCTGATATATAAGCCACGTCTGATATATAAGACGTGATATATAAGCCAGAGGCACTGAATGAACATTGGCGAAATGGACAAGAAGGGTGGGACACTTATGTCCAGGGACTAGGTGAAAGTCCTGGAGCTTTTGGCTTTCCAGCCACCTTCCCAGCATAAAGAAATTGTAGCTAAAGTTAAGGGAATGAATAGAAGTATTGGCCAAAAGAGAAATTATTTTGTTGTTTAAGAGATCTGGCCGGGCGCGATGGCTCACGCCTGAAATCCCAGCACTTTGGGAGGCCGAGGCAGGCAGATTACGAGGTCAGGAGATCCAGACCATCCTGGCTAATGCGGTGAAACCCCGTCTCTAGTAAAAATACAAAAAAAATAGCCAGGCATCGTGGCGGGCGCCTGTAGTCCCAGCTACTCAGGAGGCTTAGGCAGGAGAATGGCGTCAACCTGGGAGGCGGAGCTTGCAGTGAGCCGACATAGCGCCACTGCACTCCAGCCTGGGCAACAGAGCAAGACTCCGTCTCAAAAAAAAAAAAAAAAAAAAAAAGAGAGATCCAGAGGTAACTTTACAGTTACATTTTCATCACTGCTTCTGTAAATTTACTTTAGTAAAAGCTGTCTATTCTCACTTTATTTTCCAAAATCTCTTAAAAAATAATAGTGATTATGCTTCAAGGTTTCTGAAAATGCTTCCACTTGTGGGAAATTTTGTTGCAAAATGGTTTTCTTTCTAAACTTACGCTAGTTAGTTAAATGCAAATTAAAGTTAGTCGTCTTAGGAGTTCATCATAGCGTGAGTAATGGTTTGATTAATGACATTTTGGTAGAGGTCCTATTTTTTTTCATAAAAGTGCTCAATTTGAGATGACTTGTTGCAAGTATACTCATTTACAGGTAAGAGTCAGCTCCCTATATTCTCTCAGAGTCATTGTTATGGTTATTATTGTAAGTATTTTACATTAATTTAACAGAAATTTTTTCTTCCCTAACTTATAACTCAACTTTATGTAAATACAGTGATCATCTTATAAAAATCAAATTACAGAATGTCTTAAAATCTGTAAATTTGACTTTGTTTTAATGTTGAAACTACAAATTCACAGAGGCATAAATCTAACATCTTAATTAAAATGTCAACCATATGCAAGAAGAAAGATAGAAGTTATTTAGAAAGTTTAATTTGAAAACAGAATAATGAAGCATTTTAATTGATATAGGATTTGTTAGTATGGCTTAAAATCAGTGGACTAGAAGTAGCTGTGTAGGTGGTGGTTGGCATTATAGTTGCATTTATATATGTTCTTATTAATTTCAGTTTCAAAATTGTAAGAAGCATATGCATATTTTTAAGGTGACATTGAAAAGTACTATAAAGATTCTAAATATGTTGTTTTTACAAAACAAAATGTAAATAAATTATTGATTTAAAATCTAATGGCATTTTCTTTTTTTTTAGTTTATACATGTTTTTTCAAACTCAGTCACAATTGAATCACTAAATGTAACATTCTCAGAATATAACGTTGTGATGGTTTATATTATATAAAGATATAATTTGAAGTCCAGATCTATATTCTCTAAATATATATATATATACACATATATACCTATGTATGTAAATATATATATTTTATAGTACTCACATATATATATAAAATTACATGTATAAACATATATATATAACCATATATATATATATTTGATTATGAAACCAGAAGTCTTAAATAGATTTCCTCTTCTTCTCCTAGTTGTTAGCAATTATAGTGGCTGCTAAGGATATAAAACCTATACTTGGGCACAGTGGAGAGAAGTATTGTGATTACTTAATCTCTGTAATGAGTTGAATTATTGCTCAGAAATAATCTTTTCTTCCCATTGCCTTCTGGAGAAATATTTGTTCAGGACTTTGGTATTCATCATGTGACCTGCTTTGGCCAGTACAGTGGGTCAGAAATGTCAGTGTGCCACTGAGACTAGACCTGCAGAGACCTTTTGTATTTCTACTGTCTCTCCTGCTTCCACCCCCACCACCATGAGAAGAACATGCCCAGCCTAGCCTGCTGCCTCCGGAAGGAAGTCAAGAGCCAACATCAGCTGAACTCCAGATAACCCATAAATGGATGAAGGGCCCAGCTAAGATCAGCAGAGCCACCTAGCCCAGTTAGGTTGACCTCCAGCAGATGTGTGAGCCAAATAAATGCTCATACATTTTGCTAGTACTGAGTTTTGAGTAGTTTTATTGCACACCAATTGGTAACAAAAGAAAATCTTTGGCAATGTGAGGTATATTTGCCTTCACAAATCTAGGACATATCCAGAGACACACATTTGCTAAAGCAGAATGCTTATAAAAGAATTGTTAGAGCAATGATCCCAAAGTACTAGAAGGTTCTGAGGATCACTCATTTCCTACTCAATAGTTTTTAAAGGAGAAAGATAGACCTGAGTGTTTGTGAAAAGGTTTTGAAAGAGGTGAAACTTTCTTGGATATGAGATTATATTGAGTTAAATATATGGGCATTTAAAATAATAAGTAATAGAAATAGCAAACTTGCTGAATGATTACTATGTTCCCAAAACTGTTCTTAGTATTTTACTTGCACATAACTTCTGTATTCTTCATAATTACTTTATGTGGTAGGTAGTACACCTATAACCATTTAAAAGGTGTCAAAACCGGCTGGACGCAGTGGCTCACGCCTGTAATACCAGCACTTTGGGAGGCCGAGGCAGGCAGATCACAAGATCAGGAGTTCGAGACCAGCCTGACCAACATGGTGAAACCCCGTCTCTACTAAAAATACAAAAATTTGCCGGGTGTGGTGGTGTGTGCCTGTAATCCCATCTACCCAGGAGGCTGAGGCAGAAGAATTGCTTGAACCTGGGAGGCGGAGGTTGCAGTGAGCCGAGATTGCACCACTGCATTCCAGCCTGGGCAACAGAGCGAGACTCTCTCAAAAAAAAAAAAAAAAAAAAAAGATGTGAAAACAAAGGTACATACATTTTGAATAACTTATTCAGAGTTAGCCAAGCAGCACGTGGGAGGAATGAGATTCAAATTTGGTTATTGAGCCCCAGAGCCTATATTTGTGAGCAGTATGCTATGCAATATTTAAAAACATACTTTTTTAAGATCCCTTAAACTAATGACTCTCAAAGATGAGACCTTTTTTTTCTTTAATAACAAGAGAAATAAAATGAGTAAAGCCCATTACTTTTCAGTGTTTCAGTACTCTTCCTTTCCCCATCTCCATCCCCAAAAGACATATTTTAGAACATCCTTGGATCTGTATGTGCTGGTGAAACCAATGAAGACTGATAATGTACATAAGATTATTATCAGTGCTATCTCTGTGAGCTCTGAAGTTGTTGGGATTTCCTCAGGCAATGAATGATGAGATACAGTTGGATAGTGAAAGTGGAAGATGAAAACATGGAAGCAAGCACTTTCTTGATGGACAAGAGATGCATGTAGCCATTTGTGCCTCAGCACCACAGCAAGACATGAAAGAGAGTTGAAATCTTTTTATCCTTACAGGAGAAAGAAAGGTTCAGAGAAGTGCCTAGGAATGAGAAGGTATAACGTCTTTCTTTGTCTTGGGATTCTCTTAATCACATATGTTACCAATGTTTGGTCAGCAGGAAAATTTTGGGGTGAATGGTGCCTAGTTTGATGAGAGGCCAGAGTGGAGCCAGGTTGTTTTCCCTTATCTGAAACATTGGAATCATTTAACAATGTCTTCACAGCTGAGATGTATTATGCAAATTAATTCTCTACTTAGGATGCTACCAAATAATCTGAACAGTTGTTAAAACATCTGGGTCTGTTTAGCAGCATTGATGAAGCCTGGCTTGTCAAATGCATTTTTTTCTTTCGATTTAATCTTAATTAATCCTTGCAGGATCTCTACGAGGTAGGTCTGTATCAACCTTTTGATATGACAGTTGCAAAAAGGCAGATGCAGAGATTAAGAACTCGTGATCGCTGGGCACACTGGAAGCCAAACTGGAATTCTAACATTTCTAACATAGGACAATTTTGGACCAATAATAGTCCATCTACTTTGAATAATTTTTTAGGGAATTGGATCACATATAGGAAGGACTGTTCTTAAGGATTAAAAAGCTCGATTTAAATCTATATCCAGAATTTTACCTGGATGCATTCACTTATTTTCCATTTTGCAAAATTGCAGTTAAGCCCAGAGGCAAAAGCTTCAACAAGACAATCGCAGAGATGGTTGTGACTCGAGTTGGAGACATGATTTGGGATTCTAGATAGAGGCCAATTTTGTAAGAATTTCCACTAGTCTGCAGACTGTAATAATTGTGTTATTTGGATAAGGTTTGGCAAAGCAACTAGTAAGATTAACTGAATGAGTTTTCTGGAGCTTTGCCATTTGGCGCTATCCATTATGTTCTTTGTTCTACCTCATTATAAAATGGGCTATTGAAACTGAAATTGGTTGGTTTATTGGTATGTCAGGTTTTTATTTCCTTTTTTTTCCTTTCCTATTCTTCACATCTGAGCTCTTAATTTGGTTGAAAGCAAGCTCTTCAGCCTAAGTGGATAAAAAACATCCCTTTGAGGATGAGGAAATAGACGATAAAATCTGTGTTCCTAATTTTCTTCAATAGTTCGGAGGATTTTTTTTTCATCCTGTGTGTGTTTTTAAGACCTTGTTAAGTTCATAGTTCTTTTTTCTTTTATTGTTTGAATAGAGCACCATTCTCTTTAATCCCACCTGAGTTTCAAAAATGTATTATTGAACTGCCCAGTTCAGGAATTCAGTTGCCTGTTTTACTGAATGGAGGTATGTATGACCCGATGGTAAAAGAATGTTATTCAAAGACATTTCCGCCTGTTTGTTTCTTGGATCAGTTACTATTCACATAAATCTGGAAAGAAGCCAAAATATGTAAACAAATTAAGAGTTTGAGGATCCCAGTGGGAATATCTATAAGTTCTGCTATAATACAGGAATTTAAGATAAATGAAGATAAATGCAGTATGTTATAATAAGATAGCCAGGAGAAGCAACTATAGACCAATTATTCTTGGCTCTGGTTTGGGAATCTTAATGAATATTAAAAGATTTGGGTTAATCATGGGGTTATGCATAATGTTACTCCTTCCCAAGCCTATATATGTTGCCTAAAGAGAATTTCATTTTCATTTTACTAGCTTTTAATTGTTGCTTAATATCAAACAACTATTCAACTTAGAAGCTATATTCTCAAACCCTATTACATATTTAAAATATGCAAATTATTTTTATCATTAATCTCTTTATATATTACATAAATCAATGAATACAGTAAAGTGTAGTTTGAAAGACTGGAGATTTTCCTCCAAGAGCTTTTTTGATGCACTGTCTTCTTGAAACTGTCAGTCTCAGCCTGTGAACGAAAAGCTGTGTTAGAAGAGATACAAAGTAATGTGGTGTTCTCTGGTCGTTTTATTACCTTTGACCCAGGGCTACAACTTAAATGTAAAACTCCCTCTTAAAAAAGATAGCACAAAAATTTAATTTTACCAGTATGACATGTCGATTAATTTTCGTGTGAGTGTAGAGAAGGAAAAGTGTATTTTTTTGGTAAACATTTTCTAGAAAGAGTTGGAAAACAATTTTATTGTGAGTTTGTGCTTTGTATGCATATACAATAACTTCTAGAGACTGGGTGTCACTGATTTGGCAAAGCAGGAAAACAGTCAATGAATATTTCTAGTGCATATGTATACATAAGAAATACGTGTTTATACCTAATAATTATACATACACAATTAACGATACTCATTGGCAATGCAGGTTAAACACATTTTTTTTTTTGAGACGGAATCTCGCTCTGTCCCCTAGGCTGGAGTGCAGTGGCGCGATCTCGGCTCACTGCAAGCTCCGCCTCCCAGGTTGATGCCATTCTCCTGCCTAAGCCTCCTGAGTAGCTGGGACTACAGGCGCCCGCCACCACGCCCGGCTAATTTTTTTTTGTATTTTTTAGTGGAGACGGGGTTTCACCGTGTTAGCCAGGATGGTCTCGATCTCCTGACCTCGTGATCTGCCCCCCTCGGCCTCACAAAGTGCTGGGATTACAGGCGTGAGCCACTGTGCCCGGCGGTTAAACACATTTTTAAAGCAATGGCATGTCTTTTATGTTGGCAGCCTCATGACTTAAAAAGCCTATGACATAAAAATGAGATTACACTTTCATTTTTTTAACCCAAATTATTATAACATCAGCCCATATTATTACTGCTAGAAACTAACCTGACTCACAGTATTCTTAGCAATTTCATGAATGCTCTAGAATAAGCCCCTCGATTTCTTATACCTTTAATTTTTCATCTTGTCACCATGCTGTTACCCCTGATGCTGATGATCCTCATGAGAAAGCCACTCTACCTGGCACTGCTGCCTCCAGTCTTAACTATCCCTGTGCATCCCACCAAGAGGAAGACTTTCCTTGCATCGAAGGTATCAGTTTGGGATGCTCTTCCAGCTCGATCTCAGATGCATGCAATGAAGGAGGTAGAAGCTAGACTTTCCCTGAAACTTCAATAACCTTTCTGAACAACATAAACATGTACTACAATCAGAAGCAAAGGTGGCTTTGCCACTCATATCAGGCCTGTCTCCACCTGCCTATCAGTAACACTTCAGATCCCTGGATGTTAGACCCCAGCTACTCCTGAACCAGAGGGCAAGCAATGGCTACCCCATCCAAAGGATGTGCCTTATTGGTTATATGAAGATTAGATACTCCTAGAATGGGTGATACTACTATCATCCATTCTCTTCAAGAAAAATGCTCGTGTCCAACAAGTGAAACACAAAATAGTGTGGATATTGATACATTTCCCTGAGTCTGGATTGTTTTAGCCACAGTCAACTGTAACATTGTAATTTTAGAAAATGATTTTTTTCAAAAATATGTTTAACTGGGAGAAATATTTTGTGACTTGAATAAATTCATACGACTTCACCAAGGAACACAAGCATGGGCAACATATGTAAAATACAGACTCTGCTTTTTTCTTTATAAAACCTCTGTGATCTTTATTATGGTAAAAAAAGTATCTTGGAGACAAATGAGTTATTTAACCATAATTACCAGTAAGTTGTGTCTTACTTTTTACCAAATAATTTTCACATTATCTGATGTAACTTTCTTGAGAACTTACAGTTACCCATATATTACAGAAAAGCCTGAGCCTCATGGAAGCCAAGTGAAGATCCTGAAATTACATGGCTAGTAAGTTGCATGGCCAGTACCCAAAGCCCCTATTTTTTGTATTCTCCCTACACTGCTTCATATCAATTAGGATATAAAAGTGATTCTAAAAAATAAGAAAATAATCTGATGACAAAATATATATTTAGAGTCTACATATTCAATTGTGTTCCAGTTTTTTTTTATTTTGGTTCTCATGCTTCTATGGGCTTCAGGCCAGTTGGCAGTGTCATTAGCAAGAGATGTGTGCCTCTTGGTCATTAAGATGAGAACTGCGTAGCAGACCAAATCCTGGTTCCTAATTATTTATTGAGCATCTCTTATGATCAATACCTCTAGGTTACATGGAAATTCTATAAAGCAATTAAAGTCAGGATTCCCATTCTCCTTGATATGTTTTCTGGAAAAGTGATAAATACACAATTTATGACAATGGAAAGTGGTATATGCTAAGAGTGAAGTAAATGGTATTGTTACATAGCCATAGAAGCTCAGAGGAGAGAACTTTCCAGAATCTGATGTGCAGAGAATACTCTATCTCTTTATGGCCTTAGTATTCAAGGTGTGGTTTAGGCTTCTACTAAATTCCTTCCCTAAACTTTCCTAGAGGGCGACATATCCTCTTGATATTCACATAGCACCAGTGGACACCTCCACTTTGCTGATTACATTCCAAATTTCTCTCTTTATGTATCTCTGTTCACTTTTAAGATGTAATCTCCTTCAGGCTAAGCATTAAGTTGTACCTATGTGGTTAACTCCAGCTTTCATTAAAAGTCACTTGCCTCTTTTCCCTTACCCAAGTATCGTTTGTATAATCTAATGGATTTTGTCTTTTACACCAGAACCAGCAGCACCTGTAAATTTAGGCTTTTCCTGCTCTCTTTCTGTATTAGTCAGTTCTCATGATGCTAATAAAGACATCCTCAAGACTGGGTAATTTATTTTAAAAAAAAAAAAAAAGGTGTAATGGACTCACAATTCCACATGGCTGGGGAGGCCTCACAATCATGGCAGAAGGCTAAGGAGGAGCATCATGTTAGGCAAGAGAGCTTGTTGGGGAACTTCCCCTTTATAAAACCATCAGATCTGTGAGACTTATTCACAATCATTGAGAATGGCAGGGGAAAGACCTGCCCCCATGATTTAATTACCTCCCACTGGGTCCCTCCCATGACACATGGGAATTCTGGGAGCTACGATTCAAGATGAGATTTGGGTGGGGACACAGCCAAACCATATCACCTTCCTTCTGAAATCTCTGAGGCAAAGAACTGTAAAACCAGGCTACAAGCTTTCAGTAGAAGGGGGAGGATAAAGAACAGGGCAAAATAAATGAGTAATCAAAGTAGTCCTGCCTTCTGTATATTGCGTAGTAAATGAGAGGTACAGATAATGAATGCCTCTGTTTTCAGTGCAGTTTTCTCTTCCCTCCCAGACCCACACTGCCTCCTAATGACTATTGCATGATCTCCAGTCCTGTATCTTTGTCTACTGAAAAACATGCTTATACTTGCATATCTTTTCAGTTAGAAAGAGACTATGTTTTCTCCCCCAAGCTTGACTTGTTCCCCACATTCTTGTCTTTGTTGATGTTACTGGTGCTCACTCTTGCTCTGCTGCTTTTAGAGTTTCGGACCCTTTTCTATTTTCCTTCTTCCCTATCCAACCACCTAGTTTTCTTTGAGCTATCCCTCAAATCTAGGCTGGCTTCTTCACTTCTCCTTCCATCATTTCCATCTACACACTCATCGCAAGCCACTCATGCCCTACATGCTTCACACTCCAGCAAACCACTTGCCATTTCCTGACCAACACTGTCTTTTTTGCCTTGTGCCCTTGAATGTGCTGTGGCTGTCTGATGTGGCCTGTTGTTATCTTTTTACACACATTTGTTTCTTCTTTATACTTATGTCATATTTTATTATAGAACTTACAGTATTTTAACACTAGACAACTTAAGAGGGCATATCGATGCCATACAGATGTTCTTTATTTTCTTTGAATCTAGAAGCATAAACGTTGGTGACAGGTATAAAAGAAGTTACACATGCAGGATCAATATGAAATAAGCCTCCCCAATTTTTTTCCCTTCATAAGCTCCACAAATAATGCTCCCCTCACTCTACATTCCTATTCCATGATCTTCAGTAACTCTCTACTTATTTCTCTAGCAAGTAAACCCATCATTTTTCCTTTACTGTATATTTCATCATTGTAGTCCACCTCTATATTTGCATTCTAGTGCTACCTATAAGGCCAACATTAGTCCTGCACCTTCAGTGGAATCAGACCAGTTGCCTTCCTGACCACATACCCACGCATCCCCTTCTTCCGGTTGCACTTTGACTGATGGCCTTGCTCTTACTGGGAACACATCACCTGCCCTCTCTTTATTCAATTCCTATGCTTCCTACAGTATTTATTCCTGTTGCTGCTCAACTAGCATACCTTCTCGGACCTTTCCATTATTTTGATATTTAAAGGCTGTAAACTCACAAATCCACACTGTATACATGCTGACTTGGGATATACTAATTAAATGTAGCATCATTTCTCCTCAATTTAAGAACAAACAACATGTTTTGGTTTACAACAGGTTTTCTGCAAGGCCCTGCCATGTTTGAACACACAATGAGCATTCATATATATGCAGAACATTGATTTGGTAGGAATGAATCATTAAATGATTATCATCTTTGAGAATATGGTGGAAGACACTTTTACTACCAGCTGACTCTTATTTCAGGTGCTGTGCCTAGATGCTTTCTGTACTGTATTTCATCTAATGGCATTCATTTCATCTAATGTTCTGCTGTGTGAATTAGAATCAATATTTACATAATGTGAATTATTTACAATAAAATTCACAATATTTACATAATATGTAAATATTTACACAATATGTAAATATTTACACAATATGTAAATATTTACACAATATGTAAATATTTACACAATATGTAAATATTTACATAATATGTAAAATATGTAAATATTTGTAAAATACTGTGTAAAATATGTAAATATTTACATAATATGTAAAAATTCACAATATTTACATAATATTGTGAATTAGAGTCAATATTTACATAATATAGCTGATTTGTTTTGGTAATTTTACTTCTTAGGCTCTGTTATTGTGATAATCTGTGATTTTTATTTAAAGTTGGGCACTTAAATGTATGGGAATTTAACATTCTCATACAAAGAAAGGGAAAAGGACAGAAAGGAAGGAAGTCAGTTGTCAAGCCATTCATGAATGGCCCCCAGCACCTGATCAAATGAGTACTGATGAAAAATACTTAAAGCCCTGTGGCAACTGGCGTTTGTGACAGGCTTTTAAAATACACACTCTCCTTTGAAGTTCACCTTTTTTCTTCAGGTCTTTCCTGAGGGACACAAAGAATTCAAACAAACACTAGAAATCCTCTTCATGTATCTGCTGCTTTAATGGAAACTAAGCTCCACCTGGTGGTAGAATGGGTTTTTTGTCTTTGGACTTCGGCATGTCCACTGAGATGCATTCAGCAGGGAAACAAAATCTGTATACATCTAAACATACGCATACATTGATGTGTTATGTATGTGTGATTTTCAGATGTTGTCACAAAAGTTGTGAATTATGCTTATTCTTGTGCTTTATTGGCATTTAAAGCAAGGCATTCAGCATTTGCTTACTATCAATGTCTCATGATGTTCAGGCTCTCAGCAGTGACCAGAATGATCTTACTGTGATAATCACAAAATCTTGCCTCTGTTTCATGTTAAGATTGTTTTCAAAAGGATTTGACTTACACTTTGATAGTAATAGTAGTTTATGACTAATAAAAATGGAGAAATGCTTGAAAATATTAACTCAAGTAATAGTGCTGGTTAGTACAACTCTTAATACGTGACTATGTCTTTTCTCTCTCTCATATAAGAGCATTATTGTGTTGAGTGACAGAAGTTTGTAACATTTAGCTTTATAGGAACTAGAAGCCCTCCAGCTGGATTTAGCCCACAGATCTGTTGTCAGATCTGTGTTAAAAATACAAAATAGGTGTTTACATTTGCAAATTGGGGCATTTCATAAAAATGCAGCCATCTAGCAATGACGGGCCTTTTTCTTTTACTGAAACACTGTCTGTTCTGTCACACAGGCTGGAGTGCACTGGTGTGATCTCAGCTCTCTGAAGCCTCAACCTCCTGGAGCTCAAATGATCCTCCCACCTCAGGCTCCCAAGTGTCTGGGACTACAGGAGCCTGTCATTACACCTGGCTAATTTTTGTATTTTTTATAGAGACAAGGTTTTGCCGTGTCGCCAGGCTGGTTTCAAGCGACCCTCCTACCTTTGCCTCTCAAACTGCTGGGATTACAGGCATGTGCCAATGCGCCCGGCCAGGGGATCTTTTTCCTTCAAGGCAAGTGACCTCAACCTGAAGAGTAGCTAGCCTTTTAAGAAGCGGCACTGATATGGTCAGGTTTTTTGTCCCCATCCAAATCTCATCTTGAATTGTAATCCCCATAATCCCTACAGGTCAAGGGAGAGACCAGGTGGAGGCAATTGAATCATAGCCCAGGTGGAGGCAATTGAATCATAGCCCAGGTGGAGGCAATTGAATCACAGACCAGGTGGAGGCAATTGAGTCACAGGCGTGGTTCCCCCCAGTCTGTTCTCACGATAGTGAGTTCTCACGAGATTGACGGTTTTATAAGGGGTTCTTTCCCATTTCACTCAGCGCTTCTCCTTCTTGCCGCCTTCTGAAGGAGGTGTCTGCTTTGCTTTCCGCCATGATTGTAAGTTTCCTGAGGCCTCCCCAGCCATGCTGACTGTGAGTCAATTAAGCCTCTTTCCTTTATAAATTATCCAGTCTCAGGCAGTTCTTACAGCAGTGTGAGAATGGACTAATACAGGCACAAACTCTTATTATCCGCAGGCCCATCTACCCCTTGAGGTAACACACACTGCCTTCTTCACTCATTATTGCCTGATTTCTGTAGTCACTCACATTTATGACCACTGTATTTTATTTATAATGTCTCTCTGAGAAATTTTTAGTTTAGCACAAGGAGAAAATGAAATGAGTTAATAACCATCAAAAATATGAAAGAAAACCACCCAAATGGTATTCAATTGCTTTCTCTATAGTTTTTCACAACGGCCCAGTGGTGCAGTAGGTATATTTCAAATAGTATGATAGATATTTAATTAAATTTGTATTGTTTTAAGCCACCAGGTTTGTGGTAATTTGTTATGGCAATAATAATAATAATAAACTAATACACCAGCAAAGAGAAGTTTTGAAGTTTGCTTCCTGAAGTTCTTATGAGAATATTTTTTCAATATGTAAAATTATAATACTAAGCATGCAAACTGCCTACCATTCCCTTCCTTGTGCTACCTATTCCCTTGAGAATTACTTTTCTAATCCTTCCCTACCCCTGTATAGCAGGGAGAGAAGGTCATGGTTAAAGAACTGTACTTCTGTAGCATGGCAAGGAGGGCAGGCCATGGCAAATAGGAGAACTGTGGTAAGAGCTAATCATAGGGAGGAGGTTTCAAAAGATAAACTTTCTTTTTCCTGAAGATTGCCATAGTCTCTGGATAGATTAAGTAGATGTTTAAAATGACATATGGATATGTTCTCGAAGTAGTAGAAGTGATTTTGCTCATAGTTTTTCTAGTGTGATAGAAAGGCCATATCTACTGGTGTCCAGGTTCAGACTCATAGTATGTAGATTATTGAGAATAAAGTAGGTTAAAGGGATTGAGGAGAAAGCATAGTTAATTGATCTGTAGTGGGGAAGTGGGAATTAATTGAGAGAGTTTAGATATCAAGATACTGAGAATTTGTAAATAGAACTGGATTTAAATGTATATCAAATATTTACATGTAAATACATTGCAGAATGTTCTCTCCAATTTGGAAATGCTCCTTTTATAGCAAAAAGCAGTCTGAGTCAATACTCTTCCAGCTTTATTATGGATATAATATTTAGAAAATAAAAGCATAAATTTGTGTAGCCTTTCCAGGCCCCTGCAGATGACCACCTTAAGAAGAGAGAGTACATTTTAACCATAATCACTTTGTTCACATTATTGCTGTTTCTTCTCTGAGATGCATGATATTTGTTAGCAAGACCTTTCTGTTGCTTTTGAATGACAGAAAACTACTGAACCACCTTGCAACCTACTAAGAGAATGATACTTTAAAATGTTTCCATGAGATTATGGCACTGTAAGACCCCTTTGCCGTCTGTATACTATCACTGATAAGCACACTGACTGTCAGGTATGTGATGGTGTAGGGGGGATGATGCAGTTACACATATTCACAGTCAAGCCTCCAGATGCAGAAATTCATGGAAATAGACCTCACAGTTGGCTACTCCTGAGAATATGCCGGATTTGCACAGAGAAGTCCAGGGATACTAACTATGCTGCATTTAAATACCATCAGCTGAATAGGTCAGTAAACTGATACTCTAAAATGAACACTTAAATACAGCTTTCCTATAGAAAAAAAAGTTCATGTTTGAATAGAGACAGGGTTTTACTCTGTCTCCTAGGCTGCAGTGCAGTGGTGCTATCACAGCTCACTGTAACTATGAACTCCTAGGCACAAGTGATCTTGCCGCCTCAGCCTCCTGAGCAGCTAGGACTACAGGCACGTGCCATCATGCTTGAATAATTTTTAAATTTTTTGTAGAGGCTGGATCATGCTGTCGTCCCCAGGCTGGTCTCTAACTCCTGGCCTCAAGTGATCCTCTTGCCTTGGCCTCCCAAAGTACTGGGATTACAGGTATGAGCCACTACCTCTTGGCTGTTTTCTTTTTGTTATCAACCCATGAATAATTGAAACCTGTCTCTAAACCTCTATCTGGTTGTCCTTATGGATTTTTTTTTTCACTTAACTAGAATACTTAGTGTGTTTTAAAATATCAACCTGACAATACAATCTAGGATGGAAAGTTCTCACATTATGTTTTTAATTTTTTACCATATTTTTTTTTGGAAGCACAACAAATGCCAGTGTCACCATTTATCTTGGTATTCATGTCATTAAACATAGTAGTTGCTCAATATATGGGTGAATGAAGTAATAAATGGATACATCCATCTTTTCCATTTATTGGCACATATTCTCACTTAACCAAAGGATCTAAAGTTGCTGCCACTTTAGCTGGTCTCAGTTTTACCCTGGGCTTCTCAGAGTGTAACTTCCCTAAGCTCAAAATGGTTCTAGAATTTAAAGATAAATATTTTTCAATATGGCCTCTAAACGTTAGCCAACTTATGTAATCTAGTGCTCAAAGAAGAAAAATTCTTTTTCCACACAGAAGGAAAATAAAATTGAGGAATGGTATATTAGTCTTCAGATGTCAATTTTTAAGAGATTTGTAAAGATTTATGCGTGATTTCCCTCATGATGGCTGATATTTTAAAGCCTGAAGTTTCCCATACCACTATTCCCTCCCAACACATGGAAAATATTTTTTAAGTTCTTGGTGCTATAATTCATATTATTAATACTTGCTTTTCTATATAGAAAATCAGCTGGGAAGTTTGTTAAATATGTTGCTTATCAGGTAGCACCCGTAGGAATACAGATTGAGTAGCCTCTGGGCTGCAAGTGTTTATAAAAATTGCAGGTCAATGTCAAAGTTTTGATCCAAGGCCATGCTGTGAGAAATGTTGCCTTAGATTGCTTGGTGCACTTACGTTGTTGTTTAGTTGTACAATCTTCAATAGGTGCCTAAGCAATCTAATCTACAAGTAAATTTGCTGCCATGTAGTGGTCCCTGTCCCGATACCTCTCCTCTGCCTCACGACTCCCACCCCCAATAATTGTGCAATGATTTTACAAAGTCATGCTTCTGAGGAGACCTAGGGCAGATAGAATTACTGCAGAAAAGTCCTTTAATTCTCTGGCATAGGTAGCACTTTGCTTTCAAAAAAGGTTAAGCTTTCTTTTCTGTGGCATAGCAGATCCGAGCTGGCACTTGATAGGTTTGTATCTTTGGTATCTCTACCACTCTCTCTCAAATACCATCTCATCCTATGTTGATAGTGTTCTGCCTGCCAAGATTTCCCCACTGTCACACACCACAAGGCTTGTCCAGGATCACATGGATCTCCGTACATTTTCTGACTCCCTCTTCCCACAAAAACACTTCTTTCAGCAGCAGATAATCCAAAAGACAATAATTGTCATATGGTACAAATGGGAATTAATACATGTTGGCAAGCCCAAGCATTCATTCTGGGGCTTCATCTTCATCAACAATAAGCATGGCTTAAGTATCAACTTAGTTGTAGGTTCTGTGCCAACTCAGAGAGACAGGAAGATTTTTTCTGCTCAAAGGGTATATAATATAATGGTAGGAATTTGAGGAAAAAAAGTCTTTATCCTATTTTTCAGCTTTTTTGAGGTATAAATGACAGAAGTTGTATATATTGAAAGTGTACAGTGTGATGTTTTGAGATACATTGTGAAATGATTACTGTAATCAAGTTAATATCTGTATCAGCTCAGAAATTTACCTTTTGTGTGTATGGTAAGAAGACTTAAGATCTACTCACTTAGCAAATATTAAGTATATATTAGGTTGGTGCAAAAGTAAGATTAGTAACAATATTATTAACTACAGTCAGCACAGTGTACATTAGGCCTCCAGAAATACTCATAACTGCAAGTTTGTGACTTTTGACTAATGTATCCTTGTCCCCACCCCTGCCTGACCACTGGTAACCACTCATCTACTCTGTTTCTATGAGTTAAACTTTTTTTTTTTAGTTCCATATATAAGTAAGATCATGCAGTATTTTTCTTTCCATTTCTGGCTTATTTCACTTAGTATAATGTCCTCCAGGTCCATCCACATTGTCACAGATGGCAGGATTTCCTTCTTTTTGAAGGATGAATAATATTCCATTGTATACACATACCATATTGTCTTCATTCATTGATGGACACAGGTTATTTACATATCTTGGCTATTGTGAATAACACTGTAATGAACATGGGAGTACATATGATACTTCAAGGTGGAGATTTTATTGCCTTTGGATATATACCCAGAGTGGGATTGCTAGATTATATGATAGTTCTATTTTTAATTTTTTGAGGAACCTCCAGTTATGAACCCTTTTATTTTTATTTTTTTGAGACAGAGTCTTGCTCTGTTGTGCAGACTGGAGTGCAGTGGCGCAATCTGGGCTCACTGCAACCTCAGCGTCCCGGGTTCAAGCAATTCTCATGCCTGAGTTCCCCCGAGTAGCTGGGGCTACAAGTGTGTGCCACCACACCTGGCTAATTTTTGTATTTTTGGTAGAGATGCGGTTTCTCTGTGTTAGCCAGGCTGGTCTTGAACTCCTGGCCTCAAGATGATCCGCCCACCTTGGTCTCCCAAAGTGCTAGGATTACAGGTGTGAGCCACTATGCCTGGTAGTATGAACCCTTTTAAATTGGGAAGATGAATTCGACCATCTGGTGAGATAGACATACCTTGAGTCACTTTACTCTGACAAAATCTTGCTGTTTTTTACACATATTTTTGCTTCACCCTTTGAGCGGTGAGTCTTCTGAGGCCTTTTAGGCTTCACACAGGGCTCTCCTGCTGCTGTGGGCTAGCAAAAATAATAAGTTGCTCGAGATCTTCCATGAAATAGAAATTAATTATATAGTTTCATACAAAGAGAAAAACATTTTAAAATTTGAATTAAACATTGTTGGGGCATATTTTCTACGCTCAAACTAGTGTCTATGGGATTCAACACGCAGTTTTGGTTGTGATTGGCAATGGCATATATAATGGCAAAGAATATAACCATTTGATGTTTCTAATTTCATGGATTATTAATAATGCATTCTTATTTTGTTACCCCTGCCTGAAACAACCTATTTTAAAATGGCTTCTTAATGTTACTGATTTTCACATTTTTAGTAGCTACTCTCGTTCTGAGATATTTTAAAAATATACCATGAGGATTGGCAGAATGGGAAAGAGAGTATACTCTTCCCAGTTTCTTCATGAGGCCCAAGAATTACATGGTACAAAGAGTGGAATTTGGATTTATTATAGACGTAATTTCCTAACAATACTTATATTAAGATAGAAACGGTAGCTTTCCTGAGGGAACGACACTTAGGCAAATCATAAGCTGATTTACTCTAGAATTTCTCCATCACAGGGTAACCTGCAAAGAACCTTCCCATTCAGGAGGGTGAGAATCATGAAACTCAAAATGCACTGGCGCCTGCAGGGAGGTTGCTGAACTTTCCATTTAAAAAATGCCCACTAGAGGGAGTATAACATCATAAATTCCTTTTGCTTGTTGCCTTGCTTCTGGTAAACTGGCAGGAAAGCAAGATTCGAGTGCAAATATCTAGAATCTTTTATATTCTAACTTTTTCTCATTCACATTTTATTAAATATTCTGATGAGCAAAGAAAAACTGACAGGAAAAATTAGTATATACTATGTAACATTAATATGTTTATATGTGAAAATTCAGAATTTAAAATCATTGTCTCGAAATGAAATATAGATTATTTGCATCTAACAATGTAAAGCATCTTGGAGTAGGAGAACGCTTCATCAAATTATGGGGGGTTTGTTGTTGTTTTTATTTGCCATGGATATGATTAAAATATTTACCTGTTAGTCTGTCATTTTCTGTTACAGTGTTCCCAGATAAACTTTTTTACTGGGCAACTGTTTTGTTTACATAGTAGCAAAATCAAATGTTTAATTCTCAAGTTTAAAGCAACAATCTGCTACCTGCCTTAGGAAAAATAACAGTTAGTATTTCTCAAGAGTAAAAGCACTTCTCCTAGAATGAATGGCCTGTATTTTAACTTTTTTTTGTATTTTCATTAAATATTTTATATGTTTTTCCTGGTTTCCGTAAATTGAAATACGGTCAAATTCTAACATAAGACTCCAAGTTCGATTTTGGATTGCACTTTTTGTGTTTGATCATTTGGAGATAAACTAAAAATAATTTCTATAATTCATTCTGAAACATTGAGCAATGAAACAGCATTTTCAAAGTTCGAAAGGAAAGTCTTTATGAAAAATCGAGATGCTATTAGCTCCTTATATATTAAAGTACATTTTAAATTTGAATTTACATAATTTTCAGCAAGGAAAAAAGCACATGTATGGTTATTTCAAATTTATTTTTAATGAAAAAACTTAATTTCTTATGATCTTAGCTGTTTGAAAACCATTTCTAACTGATTTCTTTTTTTAGTTACCTATTGTTATTATCAGTGGCCACAAGAGTTTTTCACTAACTCCTCCAGTTACTGAATATTGCTTCTTCTATTTAAATGAAAACATTTTTGTTCTCTTTTCCATTGCAATAACACACACACACACACACACACACACACACAGACACACACACACACCTTTGCAATTGATGTGTCAACAGGGAAACAACAAAGTTATTTTGATTGTACATTGCCGTTTAATAAGTGACTTGGGATATGGCTGCTCTTCACATACTTTTTTTACATCTGCCTCTCCTTTCCTGAATGATTTTAGGACTAGGTCGGCTCCTTCGTTACTCCCCTTTGTAAGTAAAACCATACCTCCAACCTACCTCAAAAGCCAGGCTTACCCGTCACATTTTATTTTACTTATGTTTAGAAAAGTTCAGTATGAAATTAGCACATATTGGTTGTAGATAAATAAAAACATGTAAATTGTACTGAAGGATAACGATTAAAAGGTAAACAAATATTTTTTCTCCTTCCCTTTGACCTTGCTGTTCTCTGTGCAGGTTGAAATCTCTTCCAATATTTTCTAGCACATGCAATCCTGTATATAAACAGGTTATTATATATGCATATTTCCTTAATTTTTTTATAAAAATTGGGTCATATGAAAAATATTCTTCAGTGGCTTGACTGTATTTTTAAGATGTTTCCGTGTCAGTACTTACAGAAGTACTTCATTTTTATGGTTGCATAAAATCCTATCTTTTATTCAGACTCCAGACTTCTATTAATATATATTAAAATTGTTTCCAGTATTTCATTATATCAAATAGTGCTGCAGTGTAGAAACTTGAATAAACACCTTTGGATTTTGTGCTTTTTCTACATTTTTATAAATAAAATCTGACAGATATTGAAAACACAGCTGGCTTGTTATTATTTAGATTTTATTCATGGCCTGACTACCTCCACAAAGCTTTTAAGATGTCTGTGTTTTATGTTGTTCAGTGTCTCTGAAAGATATTTACTTTTATCAAGAAAACATGTTGGTTGCCAACAATCAGATTTCAAAACAAAAAAATGCTAATTTCTCTAAGTGCATCTTTACTAGAAAGTGAAAGAATTATTTGTCTCGATAATTCAGGTGGAAAACTCTTACATAAAAGATTGGAGGGAAAAAGTTCCCTTGCTGAATTAACCAGAATCACTGTGACTTTAGATCAGGTTGATGGAATATGAGGTTAACTATTGGATGTTAATATTTTTGTATATGGCAAGCATTGAGTGGTTAGGTAAAAATGCAGTAGGCACATACTCTGGAGTATTCTGGAGTAATTAAAAGCAACAAATGACATGTAGACAAAATAACACGCATATATTATAAGAACACTGTTGAGAGCTTAAAAGTAACAATGAATAACAATCTGTATGAATCAATAAGCTTCATTGATTATTAGGTTATAAATCAGTGCACTTTACACTAAAATACAAAATGCTACATATTCTATAAGAATTCATAGAAATTCAATGATATCAAATACAGTAGCATGGTTCTGGAAGGGAAAGCGAATGGGGATTGGGGAATAGGCGTCAAAGATCTTTTACAAAAAATAAAACACAAAGATGGTGTTCTTGTGTTTTTGGGGACATTGAAGTGTCGTTTTCTAGAAATAAATGGTTCATTTGCAATGAACACTTTCTAAATTGTCTTGTGATGAGAATTTTTTTTTTTCTGTCAAGTTGACGTTTGTTGGACTAGGGCAGAAAAGATGCAATGCAAATGTTCTTCAAATACAGAGATGGGAAGTAGTGTCCAGCAACACTCTTGTGGCAGCGAATGATGGTGTATTTTGGAGACAACTACAGTTGAGAGTTACTTGTGTTCTGCATCCATCTGGGGCATTGTTCAAGGTGGTTACACTTCTGGAAATATGAGAGGTACATGACTGTATTACAGCTTTCTTACAACGTGACCTCAAAGTAAAGGCACAAGGATAGCCCAGGTAGCTAGCTCTCTGAACCTTCATCCAGACTATATGAAGAGATGTTCCAATGGCTAGGAGCTGGACCTGAGACTGGGTAAAACTGTCCAACAGGCAAGGCTTAGAGCCAGGGGGAACTAAAGCCTGCATCCTGAGTGAGTGATAAAAACCAACAGCTAAAACTTACGTAGCACTTATTATGTATCTGTCACAGTTGTAAGCACTTTAAACATAATTGTTGAGTCTTCACAACAAAGGTATGGGGTTATGAATGAGGAAAATGAGCAATGGAAAAGTTATTTGCTGAAGATCATCCTATTATTTAATAGTAAACAGTTGAACTGGGATCAAAATTCAGACAGATTGCTAATGTCTATGTTCTTACCCAATATCGCCTCTGAAGAAGATTGGGGAGGGGCTGAAATAATACCACCTGCTTAATGTCTTAGGCTCTAATGGACTTGCAGAGACATTGTGGAATTAAATCCAAGGATCTGCAGGAAAGGCTGTTAGGCTGTGGGTAATAGGGTCAGAAAAAAGGAGTTGGTAGAAATTCCTCGAGGTGCCACTCTGTGGAGGGAGGAGCTCTGAGAGCCCTCCAGTCTATTTATATATTACCACGGTTTCAATCCACGGCGTTACTGGAGCCATAGAGTGGATTTTGGAATAATAAGGGCACCAGTGTGAAGGCAGCCAAATCAGGATTCTCGAAACGTGATACTCTTTGTTTTGGTGAGGTTGGCACCCCTCTCTGCTTCTCCTTTCTGGATGAATAAAAACCCCAAACATCATGAGCCGGATGTTTGAATGTTTTTAAACCTTGTAATTTTGTAAATTGTCTGTTCCTGGCCCCTTCCCCACCCTCCCACCCCAGCTGAATGTCACGATGTTCTTCCTTTCTGTTGACTTTCGAATGAAGAAACTGTGGTTTGAGTTTGTTTTCTCAGCAAGGTGATGGCAAAAGGATACTTATGGTGTTGAAGAATTTTAATTTTCCCTCAGACAACTAGGATGTATAGTATATTTTAAATCCTACTCTCCAGGATATCTGCCTTCTGCCCAGATAATAAAATTGATCAGATGTTTTGAGGTTAAATAAACTGTTGTAATAATCTGGCAGCTGCCTGCTGGTTGTGGTTTTCAAAAGCAATTACTCACTCTGGAGTCAACTTTGAACTCTACATTTTAATTGAAAAAGCTAATTGTAGGGTATTGCTCCTGATTTAGCATTTGATTTGGCAGATTAGGAAGTAAAAAGACATGTGGAGGGGAGGGGAGGGGAGAGGAAGAGAAAGTAAGCAGGGGTGTTGCTGAGCTCAAATTCCTGTTTACTTGTGAGTGTTTTCACACAGGGTACATTGTATGCTAACCGGAGAGAATGCAGTTGGACTAAAAATCTCTGAGGCATTCATCTGAGGCTTGTCTGCAAAATCCTTATTTTTGGCTTATTTGCTCACTCTCTCTCACCCACACATAGAGAGAGACATGCTACATATGTTAGTGTCTTAACTGTAATTCAAATCTGAAAAGAATTTTTAAGAATATTATCAGACCATCTCTGATGAGAAGCTTATTTCCTAAAATGTTGGAGATGCGAATGGACAGAGATGGCTACTCACTTTCCCTAAAACGCATCTAACGATTTTACTAAAATTCAGCACAATATAGGAATTGTTCATTTGGATGCGCAAAAGAACAAATCAAGCCTCTATTGGAATCATTAAGATTCTGAATAATTAGAAAAAAAGAGACAGCTACACTCATATTTTCCATCCAGGTCAATTAGTAGCATCCTTAAAATAGCCAGAAAATAGCTGTGAGTGCCAAGCTGAGAAGAGTGAGAATTTGCATTTCTGCAGTTTTTTTTTTCCTCATCGAAAAGCAAACTCAGTACTGTTAGGTTGACCTAGCACAGATGATATTGTGCATTTTAGAGATACACATTCTTTAAATTTAAAAAAGGCATATGTGTATGTATGTGACTGCTTCAGACTTTCTGCTCTGAGATCGATTGACAAACTCCTAGGAATTTCCTGTGAATGTGATAAAATGTTGACAGTCCAAATTAGAGCTGAAGTGAACAGCATAGATACAGGAATACATTAATTTTATAAGATGTTTTCAAATACTAGTTATGTGTCATTTGGAAACTCAGATTAATTTTAGACCTTTTATGGAATGCAGATTTGGCTCATCACAGTTCTGTTAATATTTTATTGACTTCATAAATATACTTTAATCCCTATACATCAGCTTTCTGATCTGTAAGAAGATAAATATTCTTCCCACATGTTTTGCACCCAGAGCTCCTCTGTTGAAATAATAAGCAGTGTTGTAATACATGAATTTGAGCATGGCTTCAGAATCTAATGTTCTCTTTATCAACAAAGAGTGGCTGAGATTTATTTGGTGTTTTAGTATCACCAAATTTGAAGATATTACAGTTAATGAAAAAAAGAAACATCTGTGTTGATATTATAAGAATTATTCTGAAATATGAATATCCCTGGAAATGTCAGCTGCCTACTACATAATTTCCAAGAGTCATTTTTGTGATCTTAATATTCAGAAGTCCTCAACTAAAAATGACTCATAAAAAGAAAGAAAGAGACCTTACAGATATGAAGACTCTGATTGAAAACATTTACTTCATTCAGAATACATTTTTCACCTATTTACTTACATATTATTTACCCATAGATCTCTACTTTTGGCAAAGTTCATCAGTTTAGAATGCAGGGGCAAAATGACTTCCGTGGTGAGATTTTAAAACTTTTTTTCCTGTGGGAGGAAAAAAGGTTGAAGAAAAAGTTAAGCTTTTTAGATAATATTATTAGTGGCAGAAATCAGAGACAATGGATTAATGTTTTAGTCATGGGAAATCTTCAGATCTGAAGAAAGGAAAAATAGTTACATAATGGTTTTTAAAAGTGCTATGAAATTGTCGAGGTAGATAGAATTTTCCCTTTTGATGGTCTTAAAATAGAAAGAAGACATGTTTAAAATGACAATTCTAGAGTCTGAATGTCAAGAACCAAACCAAACCAAAAACCTTTTATCATGATGGTATAATAGACATTTCAGAATGCTGGCTCTGGAAAAGCAAGGTGGGGTTGCATCTCCGGTATATTGCTTACTTTTGACCTTGAACAAATTACAAAATCCTGATAAATCTCAGTTTCTTCATCTGTAAAATACCAGGGTAATAACACCTATCTTTTTTGGTTATGGTTAAGATTAAATGAGTTGCTATTAACTGATACAAGATGAAACTACCAATGTATACTAACTGCTATTTTATTACACAGTATCTTTGTTTTTATAAGTAATGATAACCAAGTTTCCTCCAAATTGTCACAAAGGAATTATAGAAATCAAAATGCAAAGTCACGTTTGACATAAAAAATGAAGCTAATTTTCAGGAAACTTAAGAACCACAATCATATAAATTTCAAATTGATATTTAGGTATATGGATAGAATTTTCTTTAGTTGTCTGCACTTCTAGAGAAAGAAAAGTGAAGGATGAGAAGAAGCCAGAGTTTAAGGAATTCTTGCACCTCGTTAACATACACCATTATGATCAAATTATTAGAAATGAAAAAATACAAGCAAGGATAACCTCTTGAGGTATTTTCCCATGTTATTTCTATACAACATATCTTGATTTTAGACTTAGTGGGAAATTTATTCCTTTTCAAGGAAGATAAAAGATCAAAATTTTACCATTGACATAAATTAAA
This sequence comes from Homo sapiens, assembly GCF_000001405.40. NCBI lineage: Eukaryota > Metazoa > Chordata > Mammalia > Primates > Hominidae > Homo > Homo sapiens. The sequence goes on along the minus strand of NC_000007.14, from coordinate 16,064,788 downwards.
ATTTTGTAACTACTGATGGTTAATGGGGTTTTGTTGTAAAGCCCATGCTGTAAGCTTCTATAGCTGTACTTATCCTTTTCTCTTGTCTGGCATAGAGACATTTCAAATATCTCACTGCCAGTTCTCCAATGTCACCTGAATTATTTCTCCTCACTAAAAAACTGTATATGTGTGTGTGTGTAGTATGCTGTATGGATGTGTGGTGCGTCTCCCTTGAGAAACTTCACAGAATGACGTGCAGGTCACTAGCTACTACTACCTGTGGGAAGATCAGGTTCACCGAGAGTGCTAGCCGAAGCAGAGGCATGACTCTTGGCGTCTCCGGTTACTTGGTCCATCTGCGCTCAGCTCTGGTGGAGGTTTGATTATGAAGACTGCATTTTGCCTTACAGACGTACACTTGAGTCTTATTGAGATAATTTGCTGCAAAGAAACTCTGGCTACTGCTCAGGTGAAACAGCTTTCTTTCCATAAGGTTTCACTTTACTGGAAGTGAGATTCAAGAATGCTGTTTAATGGGAAAAGAAGGATTTGTCCAAGGTGACTTGCTAGGATTTCTTTGTTCAGTCTATTTTCTTTCATTTCGAGTTGATTGAGGGACGTCAGATAGGATTCTTGTTTCACCCTGCATGCTTCTTGTCAACTATCTTGCCTTTCACAGCCTGACTACACAGGGACGTTTACAGCCTTCCAATGGTGTCTGCCAGACCTAGGTGTTATGCACCATACCTCCAGGGATCATTACCATATGGTATTTTAGGAGACGACACAGTTCATTTCAATGCAATTCAAATGAGCAGATTTCTTTTCTTTATTACACCATTGCATTTGGCGGCAATCCACCAGAGGCAGAGCCTAACTCTCAAAGGAATACTCTGCCCACTCTGTCCATTTAACTTGAAAATCTAGTCGGTTGATCACACATGTGCAACAGATGTGTGAGCATGCGTAGCGAAAATAAAAAATAAAAAATCCCAGCAGTGTACTGTGGGAAATGTAGCAGAACTACTGGAAAACAGGGACACAAAAAAGTCTGGTACTAAAACTTTGATTTTTGTTGTTGGAAGGGCAGTGCTTTTTATTAATCTTTCCTGCCTTTCTTGGGCGGAAAAGGTATACATTTCCATTATTATTTTGCAGTGATTACTCATGTAACGCTGGTAAGGAAAGTTTGTTCATTTTCACAGACTTCATCTTGTATCGAAATAATTCTAAATATTTTGACCAGATTTTCTTGGGCCCCTGCCTCTCAGGAACTGAGTGTTGGCACACTTCCACTGAAAAAACCACCCATTTACAAGAGAGGATATCAGAAATATACATCCTTTCATCCGTGCCCCACAGGCTTACATGGAAGGAGAGAGCACCAGCTGTTTTTCTCATGGTGAATAAGGGTTACTTGGGGAAATCTCTCTTCCTGTTTTTATATGGACAACTAAATTGTTGCAGAGCCAGTTAATTTTGGTTAGGTCAACAGCACAAGGTTAATTATTGGAACCTTCCTCTTTTTGCCTCTGTGAGAGTACAATATTAACATGAAATAGAAGAAAATGTAATATAGTGACTTATTCTAGAAGTGCTGTTTATTTGGAAAGTGTTTTTATTATACTTTCAAAGATTTTGCACATACTCAACTTTGTCTTCTAGGAAATAGTGGAAGAAGATTTTGATATGAAATTAGATTCAGAAAAAATTTTAGAATATGTTAACACATTTAGAAAAAAATGTATCACTTTTACTTTATAATGGGAGTATGTTTTAAAAGATAGAACAATTGGCTAACCTATGAGAGAACTTTGAAGTTATGTTTTCCTGCTCTCTGTTACACCTCAATTTGGCTTGCATGATTTTATACCTTTATCTAAAGGTATGTTACAATGTCACATTTTCTTTCTAACCTTGGATTTAATTAATGCATCAAAGGGTACATGGGTTGATTTATTTTCATGTATTATAGAATATTTTTATCCAGCTGTATAGTATTATAGAATTGCTTTAGAATAAAGCAATGATATCACTGTTGATATATTTCACTTCTGACTTTGGATTTGGTCAACATTACATATGGAAGGAGAAACCTACCCTGTATTGTTACGAGGATGGTTTTTCATTCATATCCTTATTGCTCTTAATAAACGTCCCAAAGAAAAATATTCTGCAGCAGCCACTCATAAAGAAGCAGAAAATGGCAAAACCACAGCATAGGAGGAAACCTATGTGAAAACAGTGGTTGTGTCTTCCTGGATACAGAAAACAAATAGAGCTTTTGAAAAAGCTTGCCAATAGATGCCTGCCAAATAAAATATTGTTTTATGAAGTCAGGAAAAAACTAATTTTAAAGGTTATTGTAGGTTATTTGTGGTCACTTCTGGTGTGCATACAGCATGATGTCATCCTGAACTCTTCTCTATTTATATTTCAGTCTTAGAGGTCTTTTGTCTAAGACTTGATCTCAGCTACTAGAGACATCTAAAATGCTCTTATTATTTGATACTCATAAAAATCTAGTCTGAAAAAATTAGACTAGGAAGAGAGTCCTGGCCAAGTCCAGACAAGAAATCATTCAGGCAGATCCATCTTCTGAAATCATACCTACACTGTAGACATCTTCACGGGACTCATTTGCTAGAGAACTTCTCAAGTGATTGTAAAGTAGCCATGTGTCCAAATGGCTCCACTAGTGAATTATTGCCTTTGAACGGGAGTAGATGGAACCTATGCCAGAGACATCTCATTTGAGGAAGGGGACCAGGGGATCCCGTGGGCAGTCCATTTTCTTTCTCCTTCTGAGTAGATGTAACCTATATCTCTGGTATCTTTCAATTTGCTTATGTGACCTCTTGCAGCAAGTTCTCTTCACCCTTGTAGTGGGGCCAATTCTTTTTTCTCTATGGGATTTTTTTTTTTTTTTTTTTTTTTGTCTTGGAAAACCCCTCTTTGTTGAGGTAGTTCTCAGTAAACCAGGAAATGTCAAACACTGGTTGAGGACAGACTAGATAGCCAGTGAGATGTTAGCAGTTGGAAATGGAGGAAGCAGAAGAGTGTCTTGAGGGGGAAAGAACCCACAGCATTTGGGTATTAGAAAAAACATAAAATGTAAAAGAAAATGCATGTTTTTAGTGGAAAGATGACACATTAATAGCCATACCTAGATAGACAGCTGACATCATTTGCATCATCCTCAAGTGTATTCATTCATTCAAAAAATGTTTTCACACGCATCTAGATGTACCAGGTGTATTGGTGTTAGAGAACAGAACAAAATGTTATATTTAATATAAATATATAAAATAAAAAATAAGTCATACAGTAGAAGGCATTAAGTGCTATGGGAAAAAAATGAAACAGAGAAGGGTATGGAGTCCTGGGATGGTGGGGTTGTAATTTAAAATTTGGTGGTCCAGTGACACCTCACTAAGAAGTTGACAGTTGAGCAATGCATAAAGTTGTGAAAGGAACAAACCATATAGTCACCTTCAGGGGAGTATTGCAGGCAGAGAAAAAGTAAACAAAAGAGACCTGAGCCCAGGGGACACGTGGTGTGTTGGAGGAACAGCACACCATATGTACTATGCCGGCCAGCATACGTACACCACAGTACTATGCTGGCCAGCATAAGTACGCATCACATACACACATGTGCAGACACACCTCTCCCCTTCGTACATGTAGGTGCTTCAAAATACCAGAGAGATTTAGAGCAAATACTTCTTCAATAACACAATTTTTGTCACTGAATGCAAAGGGATACCATTCATAATTTAGGTTTAGCTAAACTTTGGAAAATCTGCTTTTTGCATGAGAATGGAGCATTCAGCAAACCCAGTGAGCTGAAAGGTGATTCTCAAGTCACCGCCCTAAGTCAGCAACTGTCAGGTTAGAGAACATATTGGTGTGTTTGTAGTTATTTGATCATTACAGTGATTATATTGTGCTAATGTTTAACAGTATATTAAGCACTCCAAACCTATAAACAGATTTTATCATAAGATTGGCAGTGATTCCTTACTAATCCTTTCTTTTTGGGGAGCCTAGCCTGAGAAATTATTTCCTCATCTCTCTTTGCATAGCTTTGTAAATGACATAAACACAAGATTCATTCAGTTCTGATGAAGTAAGACTGCAGAGAATAAGTAGGACAGGACATAGGAATACATGGTGAGTCAGCAAACAAGATATAGGAAAATCAACAGTGGGACATTAATTATCCCTTTCATGCAATTCTCCATCACACTGAACACTTATCCACCAACATGGGATAATTTTAGGAAGATGTGATTTGGGGTTTCTGTGTTCCTGGGTTGCAATGTGCTGGGGAGTAATCTCTTGAAAAGAAAGAAGAAAGAATGAATTAACTCTGGCAAGAAGGCCAGACGCAGTGGCTTACAACTGTAATCCCAGCACTTTGGGAGGCCGAGGTGGGTGGATCACCTGAGGTCAGGAGTTCGCGACCAGCCTGACCAACATGGTGAAACCTCGTCTCTACTAAATACAAAAAATTAGCCAGGCATGGTGGTGCATGCCTGTAATCCCAGCTACTTGGGAGGCTGAGGCAAGAGAATCACTTGAACCTGGGAGGCAGAGGTTGCAGTGAGCCAAGATTGTGCCATTGCACTCCAGCCTGGGCAACAAGAGTGAAACTCTGTCCCCTAGCCCCCCAACCCCGCCCCACCAAAAAAACAAAAAACAAAAAAAAAAACAGCTAGCAATAAGAAGACAAAGATTGGAACTTTCCTTCTTTCCTCTTTTAATTGCAAGAGGAAGAGAATACATTTTGGCCCCTTGATGAGATTCCGCATTCTCTTTGACGGCATCTAGGGAGCTGTGTTGATAGCATAGGTAGCTAACAGCAAACCACCCAATGAACTGAGCGAGCATCAGCCACCTACCTCAGTAGGGGACAAATTTGCAATTTGTAGTTCCTGCTCCTATGGGAAGAGAGCAAAAAGATAATATTTTGACTCCAATATTTTCTTCAGTTTTAAAGCTTGAAAAAAAAAGGCAAACCAAGTACACTTTGTACAGGGGTAACTAGAGACAGAATGGGACCAACTCGTCAGAGGAGCCACAACTCTGCTGGCTGGTCCTATGTCACTGTAAGGTTAATTGAGTGATTCTCAGACCAACAGCATTATTGCATCTATTTAGGTGTGTTTGGATTAAGGGGCAGTGCTGTTCAGAGGGCTGAGCAACCATCTGTGCAACCCTGTGGGATCTCTAAATTCCAGTTGTGCTCTGGCTATATGTTACCTTGAAAGATTTCAGGAACTCTTTGATTGCTTCTTTCTGTTCCTCCTCCATGACTGACACTGACAATTCAGCTCACTTATCAGGATGATTATAAAATATTTTACAAGCTATTGACAAAACTTCCTGCAATTCATCTCTAGGTTTTATTTAGGTTCTTTTCATGCAAACAAGATAGGTATCATGATATGGGCTAGTGCATCTTGACACAGGAGTAAAAATAGTCTTGCGTGGAGGATGTAAGATAAGGCTGTGTCATCCACTAGTTAACAGTTGTTCAATGATAAAAGTTCTGCACAAGTCATTTTATTTTGGTGTTGTGTTATCATTTATTCATTATTTACTCACTTATTTAGATGAAAGTGGTTCATTCAAATAGGAGAAAGATTACCTAGCAGAGGAGATCTGCTAATGAAACACAATAGTTCTCTGACCCATACATCTTTCTACCCACAGTTCTATTCCCAAAAGGCAGCCACTTGGAATTTTAAATTTTTGTTCTGCTACTTGGTTTTCTTATTTTTTTAAAAAAAACTCCTATTAATATCATTATAACGATGTTTTTGTTTTATGAAATATTAACTATGGATTTTCCAATCTGACAAATGCTGGTATAGTTTATCCACAGCAGCAGGGACAAAATGTCCTTGTTTTCAAGGTTCAACAATTACAATACTATTTCTTTATTGTATTGGTTTTATTGAGTTAAAACTCAGACAATCTTTCTAATTTCAACAAATACCAGTTTCTTGCCATTCCCAATGATAAAAAAAATTAGAATATTCATACTACAAACTTCTGTCCCTCTTTCCTCCATCTCCTAACTTTGTTCATTTGTACCTTTTGCATTTTCAAAATTGGTAAGATTTACATGCTGCATTAGAATCTTAAGCACAGAATGCTTTAAATTTTGTCTCTTAGATTACTCGATAGTATAATCTTAAATTTTTTTAAATTATGATTATTATAAATAATAATTATACAAAACCAAAAATTGTGCTGGAAATATATACTCTCATTTAATTCTAAAAGCATCAAATGTCATAACCTACTTGTAAGAAAAAGAATTTTAGAACAGTCTCAAAGGGATTCTTTCTTAATGCTGTCTAGCTCAATGCTTCATATTTTTAGTTCATTATGTTTCAGTAATTTTTTTCATCTTTTTCTGAAACATTTCCAGTTACTATTTCCTATTTACACTTCTGTGTCCTATTGAGAGACAAAAGATATATTTCTGCTGTATTATTTTCTTTCATCTGTTTATTCATTTTTCTTTCTAGTTGCATATTTATATGTTTATTTTAAAATAACTTCTAGGAACACAGAGTTAAAATAATTATAATTCTTGTTTTATGACATTGCCATCACTGATCCATATATTAATATATTTATATTATTAATATAATGAACTCTCACAACAATAACCAAGGATTAGAAAACTAATATCAGTTTTGTTTTTGAGTTTTATAAAAAGGGTATCACACAGTATATAATCTTTTGAGACTATTTTTCTTATGTTTCTAACATTCATTCAATGTTGGCACATGTGGCTTTGATAAACTGATTTTTACTATAGTATAATTCTCCCTTGTGTGAATATACTATAACTTGTCATCCTGGTGATATACATTTAATAGTTTCATTATTTTATATTACAAAGAGTGCTAAAATGAATATTGTTAAACATGTTTTATGATTCATATTTGTAAGAGTTAACTTGAATATGCTCAATATGGTAAAATTATTGGCTATGGAGTATACGGTTATCCAATTTCAAAAGTTAATACAAAAATGTTTTCTAATGTATTGCAACCAGAAGATACTTCCACTTGTAATGCACAAAATACTGCATTTAGCCACATATTCTCTAATGCTTGGTATTTAATGATTTCTTCATTTTTTTTTCCATTTAAATTGGCTCAAAATGGAATCATGTTAAGGGGTTGACTTGCTTTCACCTGATTATTCTTTTGCCACTGGTTTAAAAATACTGGTTTTGTTGAAGTATAATTGCATGGAGTATAGTCATCAATGTTAAAAGCATAAATTAATGAGTTTGAAAATGTGTATAGTCATATAATCACCACTGCATCAAGATATAGATAATTTCCATTTCCAACAATTCCATTCTCTCATGCTGCTTTGTCACCAACCCTTTCTCCAATCCAGCCCCTGGGAAAACACTGATCTTCTTCTGTCACTACACTTGTATCTTTTCTAAAATTTTATGTAAAATGGTATCATGAAGTCTGTAGCCTTCTATGTCTGCTTCTTTCACATAGAGTGCTTTTGAGATTCAACCACATTGTTCATATTAGTAGTTCATTCCATCTTGTTGCTATATAGCATTCCATTACATAGATAAAACATAATTTATTATACATTAAATGAAGAGTGGACATTTGCGTTGTTTCCCATTTTTGGCTCCTGTAAGTAAAGCTTCTATAAACGTTGGCTTACGAATCTTTGGTGGGGATGTATGTTTTCATTTTTCTTGGGTAAATATGAAGCAGTGAGATTTCTGGGTGATTTGTTTATGTTTAACTTTATCAGAAAGTACCAGAACGTTTTCCAAAGTGGTTATACCATTTCACATTCCCATTAGAAATGTATGAGAGTCCCAGCTGCTTTACATCCTCATTAATTTTTTGTATGACCAATCTTTATAATTTTAGCCATTCCAGAGGATGATAGTGATATCTCATTTTGTGTGTGTGTGTGTGTGTGTGTGTGTGTGTGTGTGCGTGTGTGTATAACATGTCCAGATAGTTTTTCTTATTTTCTATCATGTTGCTTATATTCTTTATATATTCTGCATACAAGTCTTTTACTAATTATATGTTTTACATTTTTTTCCAAGTCTACGGCTTACCTTTTATTTTTTTGATGATGTCTAGTGATGAATAAATATTTTAAAATTCAATTATCAATTAATTTTTCTGTTACTGTTTTTACTTTTTCTGCTCCAAGGAATCTTTTCCTGACCACAGCTTGTGAAGGTCTTTCCCTATATTTTCTTTAGAAGTTTTATATTTAACTTTTATTTTGATAATGTTTTTCAAAATAAATTTTGTATATGCCATAGGATAAGGGTTACGGTGAATTTTTCCCTTATATATTCAATTGTTCAGCACACTTTTGTTAGAAAGACTAGTGATACAGTTAAGCTTGGTGTTCCCACCCAAATCTCAACTTGAATTGTTGTAATCCCAATAATCCCCATGTGTCCAGGGAGAGATCAGGTGGAGGTAATTGAATCATGGCGGCAGTTTCCCCCATGCTGTTCTTGTGATAGTGAGAGAGCGCTCACAAGATCTGATATAAGGGGCTCTTTCCCCTTTGCTTGGCACTTCTTCCTGCCACCTTGTGAAGAAGGTGCCTTGCTTCCCCTTCACCTTCCACCATCACTGTAAGTTTCCTGAGGCCTCCCTAGCCATGCTGAACTGTGAGTTAATTAAACCTCTTTCCTTTACAAATTACCCTTTATAAATTACTCAGGCAGTTCTTTATCGCAGTGTGAAAATGGACTAATACAACTATTGTTAAACTAAATTTGGCCTGAGAAAGCCTTTTTACTTGCATACTTCAATTCTCATGAATTGCAACCTAACTTAGCACATAAATAAACTGAAAACCCAACTTAGGAGTATGTGTCTGTAAAAATAGGTGAGCCTCAGTCAACCACAGCAGCTGTGCCTCAGCCAATCACAGACAAGCAACTGTTCAAACTGTGTTCAAATAAAGCAACTGCTGAGCTGTAACCAAATCAGCAGTTTCTGTATCTCACTTCCATTTTCTGTACGTCACTTTTCTTTTTCTGCTCAGAAATATTATGCAACCATGCAGCAACCCCAGTTTCTCTAAGCATGTTCTGGTTCTGAGAGCTGCCTGATTTGCAAATCATTTTTTTTTTCTCAGTTAAGACTCTGCTAAATTTAATTTGTCAAAAGTTTTTCTTTTATTACCCTTTTCCTATTGCATTATCTTGGATTCTCTGGTTTCTCTTCAGAACACATAAATCTTTCACCTTTTAATATTGCATTATCTTGGTATATTTGTTAAAAATTAACCACATGTGTAGAGGTCCATTTCTAGACTCTTCTCTTCCGTTGATCTTATACCAATACTGTGTTGTCTTGGTTATTGTACCATTAAAGCAAGTCTAGAAATCATGTAGTATAAGTCATTCAAACTTGTTCTTCATTTTCAAAGGTTTATTATTGTATTTGCATATAAATCTCAAAATCAACTTATTAATTTTTATTTTAAAAAGCCTATCAAATTCAAATTGAGTTGAATTTAAAAATCAAACTGACAGAATTGACATTTTAACAATACTGAGTCTTCTGACTCACGCAATAGTATATCTTTTCATGTATTTAGTGCTTTTTTTATGCATTATTTTGTAATTTTCAATGTAGAAGTCTTCAACATAATTTTTAAAATTTATCTCTAAGTATTCCACTTTATTGGTCATGTTGTAAATGGTATTATTTTAAAAACTTTTAATCTAATTATTTGTCATTCACATACAGAAATACTATAGATTTTTGTATATTGAACTTATGTCCTGTAGTCTTCCTATTTTACTTGGTAGTTGTGGTAGTTTTTTTGAGGTAGAGGAGTAGATTCCATAGGATTTTCTACATAGATGGCCAGATGGTTGGCAAATACAGACAGATTTACTTTCTCCTCTTCAATGTGTATATATTTTAATGCATATATGTATGTATACATTTATGTGTTGTTGTACTGGCTGGAGCTTCCAGCACAATGTTAAATAAAATTTGTTTGAGAGAATATCCTTGTCTTTTTTTCAATTATAATGGGTAGGTATTAGTCTTTCATTATTAACTATGATTTTGGTTGTATGAAGTATGATTTTTGATTGATTTTGCATGTAGGTTAGACATATATGCTTTTTATCAGGACAATGAGGTTTCCCTCTAAGTTAGCTGAGAGTTTTGTTTCTTTTTTTGCCATGCATTGTTGTTACATTTATCAGATAATTTGCATCATCAATTAGTGATGAATTATCAATTAAGATAATCTTTTTTGTTATATAAAATGTAAAATATATATATATATATATATATATATATATATACGAAACCTTTATATATAAATCTTTGAAGGTTGTTTTCTATACCCCATGTATTATGAGTTGTTGTTTTTTTTGAGCTATATAAAGCACTATTCTCATTTTTGTGTGAGCTCCAGAGATTGTTTGGCCTAAAGGTTTCCTGGTTTTTATTTCTACTATCTCAGGCAATTTTATCTCACATATGTGCAGATCAGTATTCCAACAAATACTTGCTCTCTGGAGCTTTTTCTTTATGCAGCTCCCTCCTATTTAGTAGCCATCTAACAAATACTAGCTGTTTTAACCTCTCCAAATTTCAGTCTCTCTGTATTCAACTCATTCACACCACTGGGCTCTGCATGGTTCCCCTGCCTGTGTTGATAATCAGAACTCTCCTCATTACTTCTCCTTTTCTCTAGGATCCAAATTCTGGTGTATAATGTCTGAAAACTATAATTTCATATATTTGTCAATTTTTTGTTACTTTAAGGCAGAAAGATAAAGCTGGTTCCTGATATTTTAATTTGACCAGAAGCAAAAGTTAGCCACTGAGTTATTCATTTTTTATTACTAAAAACGTTAAATTTGATTATTTTCCAATCTGAGTTACTTTAGAGTCTTTTGCTCTTTACTCACATATCCGATTCTTTCTTTGAATTTTGATTTATCCAGGATAATATAAATATATTGGTTAGAAAAACTATATTAATTTTTAATGAGTTACTTGACACATCAAGAATCTGACTCTACTGTGTTGATTTTTCTCGTACACCATCATGGTGCTTGACTTCCTACATGTTTTGTAATGTTGTTTATGAGTTCATATTTCTTGGAAACTTGTCTGTTATTTCCTTAAGGTCTTGGTTTACCACTGGTGTCCCCGAGCAAGGATATTCAGTTTTTTCTGTCAGAGCCTAGAGTTACTACTAATCTAGAACCACTTCAAAATAAATTCATGGCTTAACATTTTCAGACATTCCAGGTAGTATAGCATTGGTTTGCAAAACTCATTGAGAACCTACTTGTATTTGCAAATGCTTAGGAGAGTTATTTTTTTTTCCCTCTACCAGCACTAAGTTTCAAGATGAGCAATTAATTCTTTTTATCATTAGCAGCAGAGGTGTGGGTAGGGGTGGGAGGTGGAGGGGCGGGATGAGGATGGGGAAGTAGGAGATTATAGGGAGCAGAGTTTACCTGTATTCCAACCAAGAATATGTTACCATATCCTCTCCAGTTTATGCAGAAAAATTATCCATAGGTTGGATTAGTTCTAGGGCTTATCTCATATTTCTTGTGACCTGTGAATCCTTGACAGGCAGTCAAGGTTACCTAGGTTTGGTAAATACCCTGAAGGTGAAAACAATTTTATTGCTTAGTTCTTGTCATTTACTTTTAGGCTTCAAATAACTCTTAAGCACATTCGCAAATTTAAACTGATGCTAAGTGTGTTGTATCCAGCAATTTTAGTTATTTTCAGGGCAGATTATGTTAGGCTGCCACACTGCCAGAAAAAGAATTTTCCTCATCTATTTTTTTTGTTGTTGTTCTTAAGTTCTCTAGCATGCTATTCATTCTTCCATTTCTTCTATCATAATGAGTGTATTCTTTAATTTTATTGTTGTTATTACTGTCATTTTAAGTGAACTGCCATAGGAAAGGAAGACAAATATAGTCAAATTCAAGTTATAAATTATGAAAAGTCTTCTAAGTTACTTCTTTTAAAATGCTAATTTTTAAAATAGAAGACAGCAGGGAGTTAAAAAATAAATATCTGATATTCTTCATTTTTTATTATTTTGAAAGACTGGAGTAGATTAGTGAAAAAGGATTTTATATTGGACTGGATATATAAAAGTTTAGACAATCACAATTAACATGCTAATGTGACATTTTATATAATTATATGTCTAATTTGCTCTTGCAGTAAATTCAGTCTTTTTGAGCATGTACTGTATGCCATATGCCCAGTAAAAATATTCACAGAAAGAATTAGGATATTTTCCTTAGATTTGTACTAAAGAAATAAGAATATTCTTCTATTTTTGAATATTATGCATATTTTAAATATTATTTGAGGCTAGTTATATAAATGTAGATTTTACAAACGTGTTAAGTCAAAATATCTGGATATAATATAAAACCTTTTTTTTTTTTTAACTATTCTTTTAAAAGCTGGTATGGCAGAGATTTCAGGCCTCTGATCAGAACACATATATTAACATTTCATAAAGAAAGGGAAATTTGGATCAAATTTATGATATGCCAAATAGTAAAATAAATATACACTAGATAAGAATATTTCTGTGGTTTGGCCCACACAGACTCATTCCCTGGCCAGCTGACAACGACTCTCTTGGGGATTGTGAACATCAAAAAAAATTTTCTTTGGCACTGTCTTCTCTAGAATGGGCTTAGCTAGGGCTGTTGAGTGTAGCAGCTGCCAGGGTTGGTAACCTTCAGTAGATAAGACTAGACAGAGAAATTAGAAGGTATTACTTTTGGATTGATGTAAATCTGAGTTTGGCAAAGTTTTCTCAGATTCTAAGATCTGGGGGAGCCTGAGCTGTGTCAGTTCCACAGAAAACTGATCCGTGTCGGTTCCATGGATCTTTGTATTTAAATTTGCATCACTGTTAAGAGGACATGTATTGTGTTAGATGAGGAAGAAATGTCTTCAACAAGATATTCCTCTGTTAAATTAATACCACAATAACTGATATGACGCAAGACTAAACTTCAGTAGACTTGATTCTTACTGTTGAAATTAAAAGGCATTTCAAATTATGAAATACCTTGAAAATCAAACTGGCTAATCTTTGGATATGTATTATTATCTATCCCAGTTGTGGATTATCTTAATTACTGGAATAAAGTTCCTTTGGAAAGTTTTTCTAAACCAGTGGATAGCAGTACAAACCCATAAACAGAAATAAATGTTCCTGTCTCTTCAATTTGAGTGTTGTTTTCAAATTATCAACACAAAGCTGAGATTTTTGCAGTGGAGGTTTGAGGATTCTACCACAACCAAAAGTTGTTTCGCTGCCATTGTCCAATCAATATGGAGTCCTGTCAAGAGTTTATTGGTTACGTTTCATAGAAATACTTTGTATATTTAGTAGGACATAGAAGGCAAATTTGTAACTTCCTCCATTTCCTTATTATTGTTTTTGACAATTAGAATCAGTACCAGGCTATCACTCAGTTTCTTAACAGTGATTTAGGTGAACAATTTGAAAATGTTATGTTTGTGGTATTACTATGCTAAAGCACTGACTACATTATGGAATAATATATTTCCTTATCACTTTTAATGCAGTTATACATTAGCTGCCCCCTTTTTTTTTTTTCCATTTTAATGGACTGAAGTTGGCTTTATTTCCTCGTGGAGTTACACCGTTAAGCACATCCAATTTAAGACATGAAACAAGGAAGGTAGAGTTCCACTGTTACAAAACTTTTATTAGCATAAAAGAGTAGGTCCTTTCATTTTACTCTAAGCTCATGTTGAAAATAATCACAATTACAGTGTTGCAATATACCACATTGCAATTAACATACTACAAAAACTTAATGGATTCAAGTTTAAGAATGATCTAGATTTTTCTCTGCATTTTAGCAGGCTTAAGGATATCCTTAGAATACTATCACCCTTATTTATTTTTACTCCCAAAAACTTTCTGACAAGAGAAAGTTTAAGTTGATTTAAACAAAATGTTCAGTGAATTGTGCTTGATCTTAGTATGCCCATGAAAATGTGTTTTTCTAAATTCTTTTACAGAATCCTGTATTTTCAATATTGTAGCATTGATTATGTTTGACTTTAATTTTAATTTTTGTTTGTCTCTCAAGAAATTATAAGCTTCATGAAGGTACATATCATATTTATCTGGTTAATATCATATCCCACCATTTATTACAGTGTCTTTCTCAGAATAAACTCTCAAAATACATATATATTGAATGGATAACTGAATGAGCAAATTACTTCTTGGTTTGAGAGAAGGTTTAACATTTTTGCTCTAATGTATAAACTCAGAATACTCCTCTCCTACAAAGATGTCCAAGAAAAACAGAAAATAAATGAAGAAAAAATACAGGTACACGATTTTTAAGCTGTATCTACTTACACCCTCACCTGCAAAGTTTGTTTTTATTTCTTTAGGCCATAAGTGTGCTTATTCAACCTTAATTTGTAGTTGTGCTAAGCTGATTATCATAGCTACAGATAGAGCTAAAATTGAGTAGGAAATGGAAGAACAGAAGAGAGAAACTAAATTTTTTGCCACCAATTTTCAGCCTTTGCTAACCTTACGGACCATTTCCCAATACTGTGCCAATGTAAGTTTCCTTAAAAATAGCTTATGAGATAGGGCAACAAAGAAAACAAGCCAATTGTCCTCTAAATTTCAGAGCAACAATCTTCTGATCCAAGCAGAGGTTGTTATGACATCCTGTACCTGGCTTCGCAACATTTCCTAAGGTAAACACATAATTCAGGCAAAGGATACCTCTGGAAATACTTGTCAGTTGTTCAGCTTTTAAAAATGGCTTTGTATTAGATTTGCAATGAATGACATTGAATATTATAGTTTTGGTAAATGGCCTAATTGTTGACAGTAACATGATGTAATTTGCTTATTTCAAAAGGACATTTTTCTATGCCGTAGTACCTTCTTAAGCTTTCACCAATAATAATTCCATTTGGAGATATTTACTGAATGTCTCCTTTCAATGGGAGATAATTCTCTTTTATGGGTCACGTCGTTCCTAGTTGATGGGACAAAAGTACCCATTTCCCAAGTTACAATAGAAGGAAGGTGCAGGAGAGTGGGTGAAGAACTGGACTAGGAAGCTGAATCCTGGATTCCAGGCTTGGGTCCTTCCCTTACTATAAATGTATCTAAGTTATATAAATAGCTGAACTGATCCCCAGTCTCCAAATTTATATTTGTAACACTCCATACCTGACCTACCTCATCAAAAACAAGATAACAAACATGAAATCTCATTATACTCTTAAGATGCCATACACATTTGAGATATTACACTTATAGATCGATATTAGTGTCAAAAAACTCAAGAATGCTATCATTTAGAAATGAGATTTGAAAGGTTAATAGATATGAAAATAAAAAGGAAAAGAGAAAGGTGATTGCAAGGGCAAAAGAAGCACTTAAGATAGCAGATCGAGAAGTCCTAACCTGAAAATCTGCCTCTGGGAAGAGAAAAAGATGAGAATGCGAGAAACACCTAAGACTTTTGTTCCTATGGCCAAGAACTATGGTATATTTCTTAAACTGTTGTTGTTTAAGATTGCCAGTGAGTGGCATGTAGCCTCAGGAAGATCTATCCTAAAATGTTTTGTTGGCTGAATTTTCTGGGATGGTAATTCATCGAAAATATTTTCCCTTCTGCCTTTGAATGACATGCTTTTTCTAAGCCAAGGAGTGGTTTAGATGGAAAACCAAATCGTATGAAACATCTCAGGTTTTTGCTCATCATGGCAACTTGTTTTCTCCTGTGGGAGGTAACTCCCTCAAAGAAATAATGCCTGACAATTCAGCAACTGAATTGAGCTAAGACTTCTGAAATGAAATAATGCAATTGGCAGGGAGAAATTGCTGAAAAAAGTACAGGTTTTTCATAAGTTCTGTTAACTAAGAAAACAGAAAATCTCTTAAAAATTCACTTTTTGTGTTAAAGGGGCATTTTGACAATATGCTTTTAACTTTATGATGTTAAAGATTATGTATACCTTATCTTAAGCAATGATGTAGGCTCATTTTAGAATAAATCAGATGAAAGCCTCCTTTTCCTTTCATTTTTCTTTGCATGGAGAAAGGAAACAAGAATTATTAAAAGCAAAGGGTAGCTTTCATTTATTCTCTTATATATAAGGCTATGATTTAAAAGTAGAAACAAAACCAGAAACTCCAGACTGATAGGTCCTCAGGTTCAGTGGTATATCTTTTGAAGTGATTTTTGTTTGACAACCACCTATCCTTTTCTTAGAACTATGCCCTAGACATTTCCTTGAGTTTCAAAAGAGTGGCTAATATACCCAAAGAATAAAGTATCCTCAAGTCTTCCTTTTTTAAATTCCTACTTTTCTACTCCTCTGCTAGTGAAGTTGTTTGGAGAGGTCTCAGGGAATAGTGAATAAGCATTGACCACCTCCCTATGTTTTAGTAGCCCACAAAATTGAAAAGTTTCTAACTATATCGAACAATTAGGCTTTGCCTAATTTTTTTTTTTTGAGACGGAGTCTCGCTCTGTCTCCCAGGCTGGAAGGCTGGAGCGCAGTGGCGCGACCTCAGCCCACTGCAAGCTCCGCCTCCCGGGTTCACGCCATTCTCCTGCCTCAGCCTCCCGAGTAGCTGGGACTACAGGTGCCCGCCACCACGCCTGGCTAATTTTTTGTATTTTTAGTAGAGATGGGGTTTCACCATGTTAGCCAGGATGATCTCGATCTCCCGACCTCGTGATCCACCCACCTCGGCCTCCCAAAGTGCTGGGATTACAGGCGTGAGCCACCATGCCAGGCCAGGCTTTGCTTATTCTGTGGCCATTGAAAGATGATCACTTGCTGTGATGAATTAAAAATTTTTAAGTAGGTTAAAGATTTTGTTTTTTTTTTTTTGTTTTCTGTATTTCTGAGGTAGCTGCCTAATGTAATGAGAATAAACCTCAGAAGAAGAATATTTATTTGAGTTGTGAAATAATGTTCTCTTGGTCAAACAATGACAAAACTTTTTTAAAGACAAAAATGAAGAATGTTAATATATGAGTCTGGGTTGTAAAGTATAACAAGCTTAGATGATTTCTGCATGGATAGGTTTTTATATGTGAAAAGTTGTAATTGCAGATTGAGAAGTCAAGGGTTTCAGGAACACACTTAAAATCATGAAATAAGACATAGACTTTACCTTGATTCTTATGGTCACCTCAGTAAAGGAAAGTGTTCACAGCAAGGATAAGGTAAGTGGGCTTGTTGGTTTCCTGAGAAGATAGTTATACTGGAAACACTTCTAGTTATTCACTTAATTTTAAAAGCACTTATATAGAAACAGAGAAAGCACATGAATTTGGCAGGAAAAACAGAAGAGTAAAGCAAGAAATGAGAACAAAGAAAGAGGTGTGGAAAAGAAGTCCTTGGGAGAAGCAATCCAAGTGAGATGCAAG
Organism: Homo sapiens; assembly: GCF_000001405.40. Taxonomy (NCBI): domain Eukaryota; kingdom Metazoa; phylum Chordata; class Mammalia; order Primates; family Hominidae; genus Homo; species Homo sapiens. Next base: position 16,047,276 of record NC_000007.14, on the reverse strand, counting down.
TGTACTTTTACCATTTGTTTTACCATTTGTGCTCTCTAAAATTTTAATGATTAGTCTTCAGTTCTGTTTATCAGATCAGTGTGTAATTCTATGGATTTGAGAATTACACACTGATGTGATAAACAGAACTGAAATATAGCAAGTATATTTAAAATATAGCAAGTATAATATAGCAAGCATATTTAAAAATACTGGCTAATGCCCTCACTTCCTTCAAGTGTTTGTTCGAATGTCACCTTATCAAAGAATATATAGATAACTCAGATTCTCTGACCTGCCCTCCTTCTCCAATCCCTGCACTTGGGAAGCTCCCTTCCCCTACTCCACCTGTTCATCTTTTCATTGTACTTACTATGTTCCCATAAGCTTTGTAATTTACTTGTTATTTTCTTTGTTCCTGTCTGCTCCCTGCCACCCATCCTGCCCCCCAACCCTTTTTGGACAGAAACTCCTTGAAGTCAAGCCCCTTAGACCTTGATTAATTCCACAAATCTAGAGCAGTGTCTGGCATATCATAGGTGCCCTTTTTTTTTTTTTTAACAAATGCATTTTCTTTACAATTAATAATCTGTTGTGATATTTTCAGGATTTTAAAAATCATTCATCTTATATTTTATATGCATGTGTAATCCTTGCATGTTGAGCTAAGATTTTTATGGCTTGTGTATTCCCATTTTATCTCTTGAGGTAAAATTATATATGGTTAAAAAGGATTTGTTGTTGCTTGACCTGATGTTTGCCTCCTGAAAAATCTCTCTAACATAGTTTAGCAAGATGCTAACAAGTCCCAATGAAATACATCTGCTCTACTGTTGTCTCCATCTTCAAACTTTTAAAACTGTCGTAGATTACTGGAAACACAACTGCATTTGAAATTAATTCAATAAAACAGTAGTTGCAGGGTTTAAAACAAAATTGTCAGCCAAAGAAAATGGCTTGTAAATGTCTAGCCATCACTCCAGTGTTGCAGAAGTAAGTTTTCTGGCAATGAGGGAAGTGGGGCTCCCTGCTTGCTGACACATAAATGACTAAACTGGAGAGATTTCTTAGTCTGTCTGCTAAGCAGTGGTGTGGATGTGTAACTGGATGCTGGTATTGCGGTGCAGTTGTAGGTGAAAATCCTGAACGTGATGAAAGACAATCTTTGGTAATAGAATTGCAGGAAAGCAAGGGTTTGAATCAACCAGGTACAGTCTTGCTGCTTTCTCTTTCTCATTTGTATAAGATTTTTTCTATAATCTAGAAAGCATAAGGGCAATGACTTCCAATTTAATTGATGGCTCAGTCTGACATAATTGATTCCACATGGTGGGTGACAAATGACTCTTGGGTTAACCCCTCTTCCTATTCAAGAAATAGATAAATCTACTAGGATTTTCTCTTTTCTCACAAAACTATCACTTGGGCATCAATCTATCTATCTTTGATGAAATTTTAAGTATTTCATAAACTGGTGAAACCTCTTATTTTTGGTTTTTGGGGGAAGGTGGAAAATAATAGAATTTTCTTACATTCTGTCATTGAGTTGATGGATGGCTGAAGGAAAAGCAGCATCCTAGGTTTTTCAGAGACATGTCTATGCTGAAGTCAGATTATATGGTGACTTGCAGTGTAACTATACTAGTATCTCTTTACATCTGTACACAAGAAAAATTTCTGTTAAATAACAATATCAGTTTGGAATTGCTCAAGGGACTTAATAGAACAGCTTGGAATATGGCCATGGTAATACACATTCAGAAGGTCAAAATTTCTCAGCTAGAGAATGGTTCAGTATGCTCATTCATCACTTTCTACTTTTGCTTATATGAAACAAAAACATACAGCTACATGCAAGTTGAACTGTAGCATCCGCACAATCAGACTTAAAAACAAAGTACTAGATCCCAACCTACTGCTGTGAATTCGCAGGATTCATCCTGATATAATCTTTATGATACAGATGTTTATTTTCAAAACTCACGCAAAGAAATTAGCTGAATGACAAACAGTGCTGATATCTTTTATGTATATAACAAATTTCATCCAAAAATTGCAGTGCACTATATAATTAGCCAGTTAATAATTTTATATAAAATCCTGAGTAAAATATTCTCAACTTCTCAAGAATCAGATGACTGAGAGAAGACAAAGTTCAATTTTTCCTCAATCTATTGGATAGGGTAGATGAGAAAGATGGCTTTTGCAGCATTCCTGGAAAGTTCACAGTTTAGGATTCACAGCCTCTGATTCTTAGATGAGGACAGCTGATGCTATACATATTACTGAAGCCAAGTGGTGGGATGATATATTCTATCCAAGCTGTTTCCATGAGTGAGTAGGCTCTGGCCTTTCTAGCTTGGTTTCTCAATGCTGGAGAAGACAACACACATTCTTTGGAAGTTGAGTCCAAACCAAAACTCTACTTCATCTGCAGTTCTGCCTCTGGGTGGTCCTGGGTGACCCAGTTTAGCTTGGGGAAGCCCTGGGAAATTTGATATGGCCACATCCAGTTTAAGCCCTACTCCTGGGTGGTCTTCAGCAGTTAATAGAGTTCAGTTGTGTGGCCATTATAAGAGCTTCAGAGAAGTCCAGGAATCTGGGCTTGGTCAAGGTCCAGACTATTAAGTGATGATTACTCCTGAGCATATCAGTATAATAAACTGGAAGGACTAGAGTAGTTCTGGGAGGACTAGGTAGTTCATGCCAAACACACCTCAGCAATTCTATGCTGCTGACATGGTTGGCATCTTCCAATGCCAAAACTCAAGGCACCATGTTGTCAGATTGAACAATAACTGGGCTGCCTCAAGGCAAGGGTTCAGAACTTCCCAGGCATTGCTTTACGGCAAGGAAGACACAGAGAAATTTGCTTTGATAAATTTAAGTCCTGTAAATTTGCTAAATAATACCAACCCTTAATTAGATAGATAGATATGAATATATATATATATATAGATATAGATAGATAAAGGGGAACTGAGTTGAGTTGATAAGAATATCAACCCTTAATCATATATATATTGACAAAGGGGAACTGAGGCTTAGTCAATCCAAAATCATTTGTATTTCGCTATAGAAAATGGTATAGTATAGTGAAAACATATGCTTTGGAGACAGCCACTCCTGGATTCTAAGGTCCACTCCACCGTTTATTGTCAGAGAAACTGGCTGAGAGATGTGGAACATTATCCCAAAAGACAGTCATGCAGGCCGGGCACTGTGGCTCATGCCTGTAATCCCAGCACCTTGGGAGGCTGAGGCAGGTGGATCACCTGAGGAGTTCAAGACCAGCCTGACCAACGTGGCAAAAACCCATCTTTACTTAAAAAAAAAAAAAAAAAAAAAAAAATTAGCTAGGCATGGTGGTGAGGGCCTGTAATCCCAGCTACTTGGGAGGCTGAGAATTGAGGCAGGAGAATTGCTTGAACCCGGGAGGCAGAGGTTGCAGTGAGCCGAGATCATGCCACTGCACTCTAGTCTGGGTGACAGAGCAAGACTCTGTCTAAAAAAAAAAAAAAGATAGTACATGCAGAAAATATAAAAAATATTTAATTAAAATATGTTCACACATACTTATGTGTGTCAGTCTGTTGAGATAAGTAATGATATTTCAAGGGTAAAAATAGTTAAATGGCGAAACCGTGGGGCTTGGGTTCAGACAGACTTGCATTGACACTGAGTGATCCTGAGAAATTTCTTATCTTCTCTCTGAATCAGGGTTCTTCATACATAAATGAAATTAATATGATCTACCTTGTGGAAGAGTTACAAGGATTAGATAAGATGGAAGTTCCTAGCCTGATGCGTGACACATTCTAGGTGCTAAATCAATGCTAGCTTACATTTCCTCCTTTTCTTACTTTAAGATATCCCACAGAGGTTTGGAACCTCTGTTTCCCTCTTCCCCAAAAAGGAACAAAATTTTGAGCAGATAAAGTGTGGGTCTGGACTGGGACCATTCTGACAGTTCTTTTTTTTTTTTTTTTTTTTTTTTTTTTTTGAGAAGCAGTCTCGCTCTGTAGCTCAGGCTGGAGTGCAGTGGCGCGATGATCTTGGCTCACTGTAAGCTCCGCCTCCTGGGTTCACGCCATTCTCCTGCCTCAGCTTCCCGAGTAGCTGGGACTATGGGTGCCCACCACCACGACCGGCTAATATTTTGTATTTTTAGTAGAGATGGGGTTTCACCATGTTAGCCAGGATAGTCTGGATCTCCTGACCTCGTGATTCGCCAGCCTCAGCCTCCCAAGGTGCTGGGATTACAGGCGTGATTTTTTTTTTTTTTAAATGCAAGAACGAGCAAGTGCACGCTTTCAGTCCTCAGTATGGATGCCATGGGTAGAAGTCCAGGGTAACAATGAGACAATGGAAGATTTTCTCTCTATTTCCTTTTTTTTCTGAGCCACAGGTTTTGCTATGTTGCTCAGGCTGGTCTTGAATTGCTGGCCCCGGGATATTCTCCCACCTCAGGGTCAGCTGGTGATCCTGCATCTCTTGTCCCTGCAGGGCAGTTTTCTGGGTGGTCTTGCACGGACCCAGTTCTTCACCTACTTCCTGCATGCAGCTTTCAGAATAACCATAGAATGTGCTGGGAATACAATATCTTAAGATAGTAAGGAATTGCCTGAAATGGCTTGGGACTTGTTCCTGTCCCTCCTAGGGAATGTAATATCTTCAGTTAGGGAGGAGATGCCCAGGGAATCTGAGGCTTTGTTCCTTTCTCCCCTGGAAAGAAAATGTCCTTCAAAGCTTTTCCCAGTGGGTCATGTAGCCCAGGAGTCTCCAATCCCTGGGCGGCAGACCGGTACTGATCCGTGACCTGTTGGGAGCCAGACCAAACAGCAGGAGGTGAGCAGCGGGCAAATGACCATAACCACCTGAGTTCTGCCTCCTATCAGATCAGCAGCTGCATGAGATTCCACAGAAGCGCGAACCCTACTGTGACCTGTGCACGTGAGGGATCAAGGTTGTGCATTCCTTGTGAGAATCTAACTAATGCCTGATGATCTGAGGTGGAACAGTTGCGGTTTCATCCTGAAACCATCCCTTCCCCACACCCCACTGGTTCATGGAAAAATTGTCTTCCGTGAAACCGGTCCCTGGTGCCAAAAAGTTTGGGGACCACTAATGTAGCCCCTGAGGTGTATAAGCTGGGCAGACTGTCTTTAAGTTCCCTCAGCTATGGCACAAGCAAAGCAAGTTCAGTAGACTCTATCTATCCCAGGCAGTTGAGTGACTGGCTCACAATGGATCTGAAACTTCTTCTTTCCCTTTACTGCCTGTCTGTAAGTAATAAATCTGCTCGTATAACTTGTTGCATGTGAGTGAGATCTGTCTCACTGGACTCAGGCAATTAGTAAAACTGTAGCCCAAAATGCAGTGGGCAGAGGTGTTTGGATTCATATTCCTGGTGGTTCCGTAGCGATGATCTTCGCCATCCTACATTGAGTGGGTGTCTTCCCTTAGGATTGGTAATTGGTGAACCTGCTTTGCAGCCCCAATAAGGGTTCTTGGTTTTTATGACCCCCTACTTTCATCACCTTGTGACTACACTTTATTATGACTTAACTCTTCGCTTACTCTGCTTTAACCCCATTGGCCTCCTTATTTCTTTAACATGCCAGGTATTCTTCCTCCTTCTGGGACTTTCTTTCCCTCTCTATTAACATATCTTGCTTTCTTCCCTCCTTTAATCTATTCGATATTGCAAACCTCCTTTGCTTTGTGTCTTGATAGCAATCATCAGCCTCCAACATAATATATATTTTACATATTTACCTTTCTCTCTCCCTGACTCTCATCCCCACTCTACTCCTAAAAGTAAAGTTTTGTTACTACAGAAACTTGTTTGTTTTGTTCACTATTGCATCCTCAGGAATTACAGTAGAACCTGATACATAGTTTTGGTTGTTTCCTGGTCGTAGCACAAGTGGCCAATTTCTGATGGGTCATTTCTCCAGTTGCCTGGGAGTCAATCCTGCAGGCCAATTCAGAGGCTGTTTCACCATGTATTAGTTCTTTCTCATATTGCTATAAAGAATGACCCGAGACTGGGTAATTTATAAAGAAAAGAGGTTTAATTGGCTCATGCTTCCACAAGCTGTACAGGAAAATGGCTGGGAGGCCTAGGAAACTTACAATCATGGTGCAGGACGAAGTGGAAGCAGACAGATCCTACATGGCTGGAGCAGGAGAAAGAGGGTGAAGGGGGAGGTGCTACACACTTTAAAACCAGATCTCCTGAGAACTCACTCACTATCATGAGAACAGCAAGAGGGAAATCTGCTGCCATGATCCAGTCACCTCCCACCAGGCCCCTCCTCCAACACTGAGGATTACAAGTCAACATGAGATTTGAGCGGGGACATAAATCCAAACCATATCACCACCTTGCCAAAATTTGGTAAGCAGTAATTAAATAAATTGATCCTTTTTCTACTTATAACTGCTAGAGTCATTTCAGTTTTCTGAGACTGAACTGCTATTATAACTTAGAGAGTGAAACTGTTTGGAAATAGCTGTGCTGTGAGTACAAGATAAAAAAGCAGAGGGTGGGAATGTGCTTTATTCTTCACTTCAGATCTAAAGGAAGAGCTTTAGAGCTGAGAGCTTGATGGGAATCCATGGCAGATTAGGGGAGACACAATAGACTGGCTTCTGGGTGCAATCTGTTAAATCTAAGGGTCACAATTGAGTGACTGGCTGCAGCTGATAGATGAGTCAGGGAGAGGGAACATGGGAGTGGCTCTTGTCTTCAGAGGTTCTCAAAGCAAAGGGCGCACTGGTTGAGTCCGCACACAGGATAAGTGCCATGCGTGAGGGAAAGCCCGCATGGGATCATCTCAGTTCCTGTCAGTCTCAGGACTCCCCGAAGGGGAAATGTAATCTCAAAGGATGTGTGATTTGAGAAGCACAAAAAAGAAGTCTGGTTAAAAGAACATACAAGAGAGGGAATGAAATATGAGGTATAACTAGAGAAATGCAATTAAAGAAGATTCTTTGGCAACAAATTTGAAAACCTAGATAAAATATGTTTTTCTAACATAATGTACATTTCCAAAATGATCCAAAAGAAAGTTAAAAAAACCCCAATAATCATAAAAGTGATTGAGAAAGTTAAAAATCTATCACTAACAAAAGTAACAAGGACTACAGATTGTCACAGCTGAGTTCTATCAAAACTTTAAAAGCTAGATAATTTCCAAGTTACTTATGCTATTACAGACTATTCAGAAAAAATTTAATATAAAGCCTTATGAAGTTAGAAAACACCCAAAAGTATAGCTTAACTTCACATATAAGTACAAATGTGAAAATAGTTGTAAAATAAAAGATTTCCAAATAATCAGAATTTATCAGTAAAATTGTTTGTATCGATCTATAAAAATCAAAACCATATGATATCAACTAATCCTGAAAAGATTATGTAATATTTAATAAGCATGTTAAATAAAAATTCTAGGGATAAAAATGTACTACAGAATCCACCAAAATAATTTACCACAAATCAAATCTAGTTATGGTTCTAAATCACAGAACTCTCATTTTAATTAATATGAAAAATAGGTTAGAATTTCCACTACCACCATTACTTTGATATGGTGAACTAAGAAAATTAAAGTCAGTGTAAACATTGGAAAATTAGATTTTTTTCTTATAATAACACTGTATGTCTAAACTCCCAAGATTCTTGTTAAAATCAATACCAGTGAATAAAACCTTGAATATGTGAATTTGTTAGGATAGAAACATGACAAATAAGTACAGATCAACCATTTTGTCTATATTATCTGTAAGCAAATAACAATGAAAATTGAAAAACACTCTATTTACAATAAACAACATAATATCCTTATAGATAATTTAAAAAAGGAAACAGGATCTATGCAGAAGTGTCTGAGAAATCTTATTGATGAACATAATATAACATCTGAACTATGGAAAAACATACTGTGATCTTGGATAAGAAGAATTAATACAGTAAAAATGCCAATTCTTAAACAAATTGTTCTATAAATTCAAGACACTTCCGAATAGAACTTCATCAAGTGTTGATTTTAGAATTGGATACAATGATATTAAAGTTCACTTGGAAAAATATATGTCCGAGAACAGCCAAGAAAAGTTTGATATAGGAGAATGAGAAGCTGGGAAACTTGCTTTACACATTATTTGTCAGACTATAAAGTCAACCATAATCAAATCAATATGGTTTTTAGCCATATGGATCCATGAAAAAACAAACAATCTGGAAAATAGATGTCTGTATATAAAAACTTTATATATGGCAACATTCATACTTCTATTCAGTGGGAAAAGAATGACTTACTTAATACTCAAGGCTGACAATTAGCTATTTATCTCGAGAGAAACAAAGCTGGACCCACTCTCACTATGTCTGTGCTGTCCAATATAGTAGCCACTAGCAAGCAGCACTATTTACATTTAAATGTAAGTTGATTAAAATTGAATAAAAATTAAAAATTCTGCTCCTCAGTGACATTAACCATCTTTTAAAGTGCTCAAAACTACATGTGGCTAGTGTCTAATTTATCAGGCAATGCAGATTATAAAACTTTTCCATCATTGCAAAATGTTCAATTGGACAGAAGCCTCTCTCTTTGTCTCATTCCCCCTCTATATAGTATTTAGCTATATTTATGTATAATTTACATACGTATATGTCAATTAAACATAAATGTATATACATAAATATAAAATATATTTTTATTATATAATATATCTTATATACAATAGTTCTCAATTGATAAAAAATTTAAATATAAAACAATGAAATCATCAAAGCGACATAAACAATATAGGGGTGGAGGGAAACCTCTTAACTAGATATCCACAAAAAATAGAGATTTGTTTGACATAAAAAAGTTAAAGTGATATACAAGGCAGGCATGGTGGCTCAAACCTGTAATCCCAACACTTTGGGAGGCCAAGGCAGGAGGATTGCTTGAGCTCTGGAGTTTGAGACCAGCTTGGAAAACATAGTGAGATCCCCATCTCTAAAAAGAAAATAATTATAATAAAAGCTTCAAATTAAAACATAAAAATGATATACAAAAAGTATGTGTATCAAAACATCACTTTGTACACCTTAAATACACAATTCTTATGTATCAATTATACCTCAATAAAGCTGGAAAAATATAGATGTTGATATCCTAGAATACGTTATAAAGGGAATAAGCTGTATGATGAGTCAGGAAATAATTCAGCTAATTTAGAACGGGTGGTTTGGGATTGCCCCTCTCAAGAGGGTATTTGAGCTGAGACCTGAAGGATAACAACAACCTTTATTGTGGAGAGCTGGGCAAAAAACACTCTAAGCTGAGTCCATAGACCTAATAGCTCTTTTGAATGACAGAGAAGCCAGGGTGCCCTCTGTGTTCAGGGGCAAAAGAATGGGTTGTATAAATTAAGATCAGAGTAAAATTGGTTTGTGGACCGCTTCTGGTCATGAAAGTTAAAAACCTTTACGTTAACTTTTCACATTGCTGAGACTCCAGCACTTGATCACTGGACTCATTTCAGGACATAGAAAAGTTCAGGTGTTTCAAACTTGCATGGTATATCTCATTGCTAACTGCTTTTAACCATGTGCAAATAGGTCCACAGTGGAATAGAAAAACAAAAGTAAAACAAACTCATCTCTTTACAGATAGGTAGAGAAACACTGTTGTAAGTCCTGGAGAGATATTTGGTTGCTATTCATAGAGCAAAGAAACTCACCAAAATGTTTTATAAAGAAGTGAATTTTTACGTATGTTTTCCAAAAGAACTCTAGTTTAAAGCCAGAGTTACCCTAGATTATATTGTGCAGAATGGATTACAAAGGTACAGGAGTTAAATTAAGAAGGTATTAGGAGGCTGTTGTTGTGGTCCAGGGAGGAGCTGATGGTGGCTTGGACAGGGTGGCTTGGACAGGGGTGAGGAAAAGGGAAGAGTAACAAGGAGCCATAAAAGATTTCTAGTTTTCTTTGCTTTAGTTTATTTTGCCATAATTACTGATGACATCTGTGGAGATAGAACATAAGGAGAAAAGAGTTTGAAGGCAAAAATCAAGTTCTGTCTTGAAAAAATTTAAGTCTGAAATGAATATTACCAATCCAAGCAGATCTAAAACTCATCAGAGATGTCTGGATTGGGAACATAATCTTGGGAGTTATCAGCATGTAGATCTAGGGTGATCAGACTTCCTGGTTTGCTCAGGACACTCCTGCTTTAGCACTGAAAGTCCCAAGTCCCGGGAAACTTCTCAGTCCTTGGCAAACCAGGACAGTTGGGTACCCTAAAGAAATGTTATGTATGAGAGCAACCAAGAAGATCACACAGAAGGACTGAGTCAGGCAACTATTCAGAAGAAAGAGAAACCTAGAAATTATAGCCAGTGACGTAGGAGGAAGATGAGATAGGAAAGTGTCAGATTTTTCAGAAACCAAAGGGAAAGAGTGTTTCAAGAAAGAGAGAATGCCAACCATAGGATGCCAGGGAATGTCAAGGAAGAGGAGAATCAAAAAGTAGATTTGACAAGATGGTGGTCACAAATTACCTAAAGAAGAGAAGATTTTGAGGAGTGATGAGGAAAGAAGCCACAGTGTAGTATGTTGAAGAGTAAAGAGTAGGAAAAAAGATCAGTGAGTGTGAAAAAAATCATCCCAGTATCTTTGCATTGAAGGGGAGCGGAGTGATGTGCAGTAGTTTGAAGAGAAGAGAAAATACAAAAGGGTTTTATTTTTATTTTTTATTTTTATTCTGTTGCAGGACTTTTCCTTAGTTCAGCTAAAGGCAGGGTTCATTGTCCCACGGCCACAAAAATTCAGGCTCGCAGACAATTTGGTGAATAAGGCGGGTTTGTTTGTTTGTTTGTTTCTGAGTCTCACTCTGTCTCCAGGCTGGAGTGCAGTGGCATAATCTCCGCTCACTGCAGCAACCTCTGCCTCCCAGGTTCAAGCGATTCTCCTGCCTCAGCCTCCCGACTGAGGGGCTGCAGTCGTGCGCCACCATGCCCAGCTAATTTTTTTTATTTTTAGTAAAGATGGGATTTCACGGTGTTAGCCAGGATGGTCTCGTCTCTTGACCTCGTGATCAGCCCGCCTCGGACTCCCAAAGTGCTGGGATTACAGGCGTGAGCCACCGTGCCTGCCCAAGGCAGGGTTTTATTGGGTGAAAAGGAAAAGAAGGAGGAAACGGACTCTAGCTAGGCCGGGGTCCCTGCTAGAGAGCTTATAGCCTGGCCATTGGAATCTCAGGTTCCACACAGGAAGAGGAGGGGCCAGGCTCCTCCCCTCTGCAAACAGGGTGAACTTCCTGAGGCTCCACCCCAGTGGGCAGGCTGGTTGGAGTTTCTCCAGGAACCCCCTCCCACCTGGCTGTCTCAATTCTACTGGGGAGAATATGCTTGTCAGGCAGTGTTAATTATGTATTGGATATTTTAGCATAAATTTAATGTGATTTTATTCTTCGTAGTGTGTGACTTTCTACAGTTACATTCAGCTTCTCAGGCATTGGCATGAAAAAGAGTTTTTGAATGGTTTTTAATCAGTGTTTGGGTTTCCAGGGGAGGATGCTAGGGAAGAGCAGCAAGTTAAAATAATTAAAAGATAATTACTTCAATTAGGAAACATGGATTAAAAGCCAGGTAAAGGGGGAAGAGGAAACAGAAGCACATAGGAAGATAATGAAAAGCAAAGTCAGCGTTTTAGAGGTTTCATTTAAGTTTGAAGAATTATTGCTAAATGAGTACTTGAGAATGAAAACAAAGAACAAACAGCAAGTGGCAGCCAGAGGAGAGAGGGATTAATTTTAAGCTTTTGAGGTATGGTGAGTTAGTGCTGATGCAGTGTCAAGGGTGTGACCACTGGCTGGGGATTGGTGGAGGAAAAGGTGATTGGCAGTGAGGAAGGAAAGTCTCTGACAGGCAGGGTTTGAATGGTTCATCCTATGAATTCTTAAGTTATCAAGAATGATGATGCAGGGGCCAAGGGAAAGCTTTCCACTTGGCCAGCCGAAGGTTCATTGAAAAATCAGCTTGCAAAGGCATATTAATAGGACTAAAGGCATACAAATGTATTTAACAAGTATACATGGGAGCCTTCAGAATGAAGACCTAACCGCCAATAAGAAACAGAAGCTTATATGCCATCTTGAGGTTATAAAAAGAAATGAGGGCTCAGAGCATGGCCAAAAACAAGTTATGGTGGTAGACCAGGTTTTAGTGGCAAGACAGGTTATGGGAGGAAGAAAGGAAGAGGCCTGGCTAGCAAAGGTTTCCTTGTTATGTAGTTGAAGCTTCATAGGTAACAGTCTTCAGAGAGAATAGATGGCAAATGTTACTTTTCAGACCTTTAAAGGTGTCAGATTCTCAATCTCTTCTAGATTTAGGAAAGGCCTGGATTAATGGAGATTCTCTGCAGATGCAAATTTCCCCCACAAAAAACTTTCAGGGCTATTTTAGTAGGCTGGTGTCAGCCAACTGGGAGGGTCTTCAGGGATTATAGGAATTTAATCAATTTGAGCAATCAGCCTGTTTTACGCCTCCTGCCCTGCAGCCTGTTTCTTCCTAAACTGTGGATTGCAGTCACCTAGTTGGTTAGAAGTAGTTACTGACAGATCCCAACAATTTGTAGATGAACCCTAGTGAACTTTCCTCATTACCCTGGAAAGAGCTGTGTCTTCTTTACCATAACATGCAAACTATGAGCTGGCATAATGACTCACTACGTCTGCACAACTGGGACTCCTCCTCTACATGAGATGATGCACCCTTTCCCCTCTCCATCACCCCATAAAACCCTCCTGTCACCTTCCCTCCAGGAGACACTGCTTTGGAGAATACACCCAGTGCTCTCCTTACTTGTGCCAAGTAATAAAACTCCTATTTGATCAAAACCTGCATTCTCTTGGAGAGTTATTTGTTATTCACCAGGAGAACAAACCCTGGGTTTTTTTTTGGGTAACCCCTGCTGCAGCCATTTCAAAATATGTCAAAGAAATAAGAGATGAAGATAAAGAGGAAGGAAATGAATCCAGCAAATTTGAGAATGAATGGGTCAGTGTATGACAGTAGGAAGGAGGTACAATGTGTAGTTTAGTAGTTCAAGCTTCAAATGGGTGGGGGTGATAAAGAAAATTGGAAGCAGAAGGTATCCCAACTTCTCGGCTTGTGATACTATGATATATAGGGTATAAAGAAAAAATATCCTCCATTTTATACTGTTTGTTGTAGGGAACATAGTGTCAGCAGGACTCAAATTAAGAAGCTAATGAGAATATCCAGAGAAGAGTGAGTTTGAAGTTATAAGGGTATCTCTTGATGACATGTTGTTTAGGATCTGCTACATAATTTCTGGGGCCCATTAAAAAATGAAAATGCAGGATATCATGTTTAAAATTAAGAATTGCAAGATGTGGACAGATAACCATTATACCAAGTGTGGACCCTTCTAAGTGTGAGATCCTGTGTGTGACTGTAAAGATCACATACCCGTGAAGCTGGCCTTACGTATTCTGGAATTTCATAGACCTAGGACAAAGATTTGAGATCGAGGGCAGGCTTGAGTCACATTAGGGGATATACTATATTTATTTAGTTAATAAATACTTACATGGAAATACTATGTGTCAGCTATTGTTCTAAATGATTAATGAATGTTATAATTTAATCCTTCCAACATCCTTATGATATTATTTCCCCATTTTACAGAGAAAAAACCTGAAATGCTGGAAATTTAAGCAACTTACCCAGGGTCATAGTAGCAATTGGGTTCTAGAATCTGTGTCCAGGCTACGTGGCCTCTCAGCAGTTCTAGAGATAATAATAGTTTGGGAGATTTAAAATTAGGGTTGACCAAAATAAACAGGAATGTGAGTCCTGATAGGATTAGTCCTGATTAGGTCTCTAGAGGGAAAAGAGTAATCAGTTCCAGGGATAGTTTTGAATCCATAACATACAAACAGTCTCAGCCTTCTCTCATTTCTACCTTCTAGAGAGGAAGGATACTTTAGGAAGTTTCTGGGTGTGGAATTTTTTTTTTTTCCTGGCCGAAATGCAAAGTGGATGAAGTAGAGGCCTTAGGGCACCTGTCCTCTGTGGCAGCTCAAAGGCTGAAGCTGTCTGCTGTGAGCTTCTTGTGAGCAACACAATTCAGTTTTATTCTTGGTGCTCAAGATGGCAGGAGTGCTTGGGAAGGAACTACACAGAGGCAGCTCTCCTCTACTTCCCCCTTCACCTTCATAGAACTCTTCAGAATTAGCAAAGTTTGTTCACAATCATCATCCCAATTTCATGGAGTACAGTGAAGTGTTATCTACAACTTACATATTCTTATTTCACACAGTCAACCCTAGAAACTGTGTTATATTTGAAAATATAACCCATATTTCAAAGGGTTATAATCAGAAATAATTGGATTAAATTGATGAGTCTAAGAAACATAAGTAAATAAAACAACTGTTTATGGAAATGCCACAAAAGGAATAAAACCCATATATGTATATATATGAATTTTCACACATTGAAAAATATTTATCTTCTTTGGGAAAACTTGCATTCTAATTTCTTAGTACTCTGATTTGTTTGACTGTAGACATATTAACTCAATGATTCTATGATTCTATTATGTATTACTTGTTATGCATGCTGAATAATTTTGTAATATATTGTTATAATTATGACAAAATCTTATATTTATTTTTTGCATGCAGATGCTTTCACACTGCTGAGTATAGGGGTGTGTAGAACGGATGCAATTAATTTCAGTCCAACTGATTATTTACCAATGCTTTAAAAAAAAGACACAGCTGCTTGCATGATTTATTGGCCAATGTAATCTGTGTACTTATTGAAATTGAACTGATTAATGTTCTCTTTCTAAACTTTGCTTTTGCTTTAATGGATTAATTATAAATATAAGTTTTTATAAGTTTGATGTAATCCAAAATTGAAAACAAAGACCAACTAATGACATAGGCCTCCTAATTTCTTTAAGGCATTCTCTGGAGTATGCCATTTCCTTTCCAGTTATGTGGTCTTGATGAATGTAACTGTTAGTACATTCAGTTAGTACTGTATATGCTACACCTTAGAAAGGCAGAGCTTGATTAAAAATTAAGGAAACACATTTCGCTTCTTTCCATTATTCAGCATTATTGAAAACAGAAATTTTTAATTAATTATACTTCCTGGTTAATAAAGTTATATAGTCACTTTTAAAATAATTATAATAAAAAAAGTGCTCAAGAGATACATAAAATGTATCTTTTTCATTATTTTGATATCTACCTTATGAAATTTAGTAAAATGAAAGCTTTTATTTTTACTTAATAAAGTATATTTTAGTTAAAAACAGTTGTATCTCTTAGAATTCACTGCTAAAAAAACCTCATATTTGCTTTTGGAACTATTGGCATATGTGATTTTACATGAATGCCAATTGGAGGTTTTTTAAAAAGTCAGTTTGTATAAAATTAAATGTACTTTTTTTTTCTCTGAGTGTTACATGCTACTATTAAGACTGTAAAGATGAAGAAAAGAGGCAAGAGAGAAGAAACAGCAATTCTAGAAAATAGTTTTGGAAAGCTTTAATAGAGAATCAGAGAGATTGGGAGCAGCTGCCACATTGTAATGACTAGGATTTTAGGGAAGACAACTACATGAGGGTTTTTAGTTCTGCTTATGGATATAACTAGAATTTCCCATTCAAAAGTCTTTTTGAAAAATATCAGAAATACAATTTTTTTACTGTTTTTGAATATTGAATTAAAAGGTTTTCTTTAAAATAAAAAGAACTGCCATTTATTTGTATTATACATACAACAGAGGATGAACATATTTGCAGCTCAATCCTCAAATACATCCATAATTACTATATAAAGTGCTTGGTAAAGGGTGAGGAAAATTTAAATGTTTTGATTCACATTTTGAAATTGCTGCTTAGGAAATTAGTGTCTCTAGACCCATCAACGCTATTTTAAAATGCTTGTTTCCTGTTTTCTTACTATCCCTTCAGCTGTCACAATCTGATCATGAATAATGATACCAAGTTATTTTAACTTTTATTTTTATTAAATGTGCTTGGATATTCTACTGATTATCTATCTATCATTTATCCATATTGTGAATGAATGGTTTCATACATTTCCCTTTTATTAAAGATTGGATATTATTTCATAAAATGTATGTTATCCAATATTTATCAAATTTATAGTACAATATCTTCACTTTTAAGTGAAATACTAAGCTGATATATTACATTTAAAAAGTCAATTTCAGGTGGTAGTACAGACATAACATTTTCTAAAACTATACAAATTTTGTACTTACAACTTGAGGAAATACTGTTTTCCGTTATTCTTTCTATGTAGGTGTGCCATCTTTTAGATTCTTATGAAGTATAGTCTCTCTTTGTCTATCCCTTGTTTTAGATACATAATATCTGGCAGATTCTAAAACTCTTATCAAGTTTCAGAAAAAAGTGAGGATAAACTCATTTATATTTTCATTTTTTTTCTTGTATCATCTGTAGTTTCAGGAGTAAAATCCTATATCTCCAACTGTAACTTTAAACTTTTCCTCCTACTTCTCTTCCTTCTTCTTCCAACAGTTTAATGAGGCTGTCCTTATATTCTGGGCTCCATTGTTTCTGATGAGAAATCAGTGGAAGTTTAATCATTGTTCCAAGCTGAAGACAGTTTAAAGCCTGAAAGCCATGCTACAAGTTAAATCTTTGGACTAGATTGAGAACTTGTCTTCTTCTGGGGCGCACTTTCCTCTGATTGATCCCCACCCTTCACCTATTTGACATATAGCTACTCTTTCCTAATTGGGATAGAGCAACACGATGTGAGACAGTGAGAATCTAAACTAATGAAGGTTAGCTGGGCAGTTCTCTTCTATCTATAAAACTAACAATTCTCATTTTTAAAATCAATTATTACACACAAATGCACATACAAAGTGCAATGCAACCTATTTTATCTTTAAAATATTTGTTAAAATTTTGTTTTCTCCAACTTAACTGTAAATTCCTTGAAGATAAAAACTTGTGTCTGGTATTATTTTTAGATGCCACACACATAATACAGTGGTTATGCTCCAGATATTTACCTGATAATTAATATTTTTTCCTCAGTAAACATTACTGAGAAATGAGTTAATAAGCCATTAATGCATAGTTAACATACATACCTTAGCAATTGTCTTTTACCTTACCAAGTTGGGTAAACAGCTACAAGGAGCTAATGGCACTTTTCCCTCTCATTTGCATCATTTTTAGCACTATGTAAGGAGGACAAATGGAAGGGGAAAAAAAAATCTTCATTTTTTACACTTGGGAGATTACATGCCTCTGAACCTTAGGTTCCTTGCATTCAGGGACTGTGACTCAATATTTTATCTCTAGTATCTGGCACATAGTAGGTGCTTAATGCATGTTTAAATTAATTAACTAAAAAGAAAACTCTAGGTCACTGACTTAAGAAACATTCTTAATAATTAAATGGAAAGAACAGAATCTGGGGTGAGGATTCCAATCAATGAGCACCAGCAAATAAAAACTAAATTTTATATTGGAACCAGAAATAACTTCCCCTTGATGGGTTGAAATTTAGTTAGAGCTAAGAAAGTTTCAGATCACATCTGTCACTTGATTTGGGGTCTTGAAAAAGTGATAAAAGACTGGCATTCAATGATAAAATAGAGAAAATGGATTTCTCCATCCTATCTTTTTGGTATAGGTCATTTAATTCTTTGTTTGCTTCCCATTCTTAAATGTTTTCAAATTGTGAGAAGCAAAATCTCCCAGTATCATAACCAGACATGGGGTGGCCATTCTAACTCCAACCATAATTACCTATAGGATACTTCTAGGGCAGTCTGGTAGGTGCATCAGACATGGCAGCTTTGGCACCTTTAAACAATGATGGTGTGATACAGTTGTATATATATAGCACAGAGCTAAGCCTGTTGGCTGGAGAAACTGAGACAAACATTTGAGGTTTAAGTTGAGACATATAGTTGAATAAATACTAATGTTGACTTTAGAGTTGCACCAAAATGAGGAATTTGCTTGAATTATCTAGTATGACATTCATCTTCTTATTGCTGAGTGAAGGAAGTTAGAAAAGAATAGTTTTGCTGAATTGCGCCTATCACTTTGAAATTCAGCCCTCATCAACCAATGCATGAAGCAGGGAACACAGGAATTTTATGATGAGTATTCCTGAAAATAAAGGAAATGTAGTTTGTACTGTTCAGAAGCCAGGGAATCCAACTAGTCCCCTCGTTTGCTTTTCAAGTTTTGCTTAAATTGGCTTACAGATTTATCTACAATGCATTGCACATGGATATTTTTGTCACCACATATTTTACAACAGCTGTGATCCTGATGGGGATTTAGTTAACCAAAGGCCCCTCTGCATGCAAGCGGTCACCAGGCAGCTAATGGGTTGAGGGCTGAAACGACAATAAAGTCGGTACAACCATGCAGCTGTGGACCAAATGTAGAATAATAACTAGCAGTTGGCCATTACGGGGTTAACTACTGGTGTTCTGGTAAGTGTAAAAAAATGTGGAGGTCCTGCTCAAAAACACAGCCAAATTTGAACATTTCCATTGGGTCAAAGTAAAAAATGCCTCTGCTTCCTTTTAAACTGATGATTATTTTTAGGATGCCAATCTTGTTGGAGTGCCTAACACATATATTATTATAATTATAATTTTTTTGATAATGATGTTGTACTTTTCCAACATGCTTTTAATCTAAATAAGGGATCCTTGCAGAATATCAGCGTCTTAGTCTCTGGGGTTTCAGCCACCGGTGCCTGTGACTTTATAATTTCCAGACTTGTTACACTTACCCTGGGAAGAATTTTTACCTACATTTGTTGAGTTAAAGAGCCATTCCTTCTGTTGTTTTAAACAAATGAAATAGTATCACTACAATGTCAGTCCAAACATGTGTAATTAACATGGAAAATATGTCTGAGTCAGATTGGTCAAGATAGATGACTTCCTTGCATGACTTATAAACAGTCAGAGGCATAAAGCCAGGATGTCACAACCAAGTTGTATACCACAAAGGTTTATCTGGGAGGACTTTCACATTACAAAGGAAAAAGAAAGACAAAAGCAGGCTGCCATACTTTCTTAACAAGTAGAGAAGTTTTCTGCTATCTGAAGAAAAATAAGCCTTCTGTCCTGCTTTTCGACATGTGTTACTCACACTGCAAAAGTCAAAACAGACATCTCGTTCTTCTGGAAATGTTCATCAAACAATCTCATGGTACATGTCAGGCCTTTCAAATTATTCTGGATGGAAATAGGTCTCTAATCTCCTTTTAAATTTTAGTGGTGTCTGTGCACAGAACTCTCTTTGGAATTCTCTGATTAGTGGCCTAGGCCCTAATGGAAAGAGGTCCAACTCTGTCTCATTTGTATTTTTCTGAGTATGCTGAAGGCCAGCAGCCCTCTTCTTGTGTTGTTTTTCTAGATAATTATCCAATCATGCTACCAGCTAGGTAATAGACTTGCAGCCCATGGGAACAAAGAGGACTTACATGCAGCTGCTCTGTTTCTTAGCTGGGTAAAATGAGCTTATTCTGAGTATACCAGAAAATGCTTTGTGTTTTCAAGTTTACCTCTGTCCTTGTTTTATGTCATCAGTGGCATCAGTTAGAAACTAAGTATGCCAAACAGCTTTGAGAAAATCCTGCTTGTGACTGAACCGTATCCTTATCCAAAGAGGTTTTGTTACCGAGGCACCATAAGTAACTCAGGATGAGGAAAATCCAGCTTGACTGTGGCTCTGCAGAAAGAGCTCTTTCTTGTTCCAGGAGCTGCAAAAATAATGTCATTGGAAAGTCTTCCTCTGAGAAAAGTCCCTGATCCCATGCTGGTGCTATACTTATACTACGAAGGTTCTTATTTTTCTTTCTTTCCTTTTTTTTTTTTTTTTTTTTTTGAGACAGAGTCTCACTTTGTCACCCAGGCTGGAGTGCGTGGGATTATAGGTGTGTGCCACCATGCCAGGCTAATTTTTGTATTTT
Source organism: Homo sapiens (assembly GCF_000001405.40). Taxonomy (NCBI): domain Eukaryota; kingdom Metazoa; phylum Chordata; class Mammalia; order Primates; family Hominidae; genus Homo; species Homo sapiens. Next base: position 16,027,239 of record NC_000007.14, on the reverse strand, counting down.
TAGTAGAGACAGGGTTTCACCATGTTGGCCAGGCTGGTCTCGAACTCCTGACCTCAAGTGATCTGCCCACCTGGACTTCCCAAACTGCTGGGATTACAGGCACAAGCCACCACTCCCGGCCTAGGTTCTTGAAACAAAAGGAAGAAGCAGAGGGAAAGACCTAACAATATTTTGCTATGCTGTTCCAGAGGGGAAAACTCTCCTTGGTTCTGAGATTGCTTGAGGCAGGGTGCTCTTGAAATAGGACTGCTGCCAAGATCCATTTCGCTATGAGTTCCAAGAACAAGATAGGTGCATTTTTTTTTTATATCTGTGAAGAAAGGGAGGTTCACGTGCTGCCAATGACACATACTCATGTGGGAAGGGAAGGAAGATATACTGAAGCACATGCGCTGCCCAGGAGCTGAACAAAACTGTGAGGCCTTCACCCGTCCTTGGGAATGTGGTAAAGCAATGAAAGCAACAGCGCGTCTCCAGTCTTGTCTTTCTTAGCATTAGCCACATGCCAGGATTCTACAAAGCCTTCTCTACCCGTCTTTCTCTGCATTCCACTTCAGTGATAAGATCTAAAAATATTGGCAGGATAAAGTTGAATAAATCATGGAAAAGAGATGGCTTCCCTTCCCATCTTTACCATAGTGGGTACTTTACATAGGATTCAAGAATGAACAGCTGTTTATTAGGTCCTGTTCCTCATCTCTGTCTAAGGAAAAGCCTAACTGGAGGATGTTGGCTGCTGTCTTTTACATAACGGGCTAGTGTTCCCAGGGTCAACTGGCCAGGCCCCAGCAGTTAGATAGTTTCACCGTGTCTATTTATCTAAGCTGAGCTCACTTCTGAATAATGTAGCTTAGAAGTACTCACTTCTATCCGGATGGAAGACCTTTAAAAATAGAGTGGAAAAAGTATTAGGCATCTTTAGAAACAAAACTAAAGAACTTATCAAAACAGGAAGAAAATTTCAAACTTGTAGCCATAAACCTAATTTTATTTTTTAAGTACATGGTTTAATGCCATCATTAATGTGAGCAACTACCAACAAATCTATAATTATAGTCCAAGAGATTTATTCTTGATTTGAAAAAGTTGAAGGTGTAAGGTAGTAAATTTCTGCAAGATATATTTTTAGCCAAAGGAAACCTGGGGATGTGTTATATAAACAACATGGTATATACCCGTGGGCATATTGTCACATATATATACATCAAGAGATTAATCTGTCACCATGAATATATTCAATCCCTTATGAAATACTGGACACTGGAAGTTGGTAGCTGCAGCAACCACAGCATATGCTATAAGCATTTCAACTATTAAAGTCTGACACTTGGCAGGTGCATTCAAGAATGACAACTCTTGGCAAGTTCATCTTATCCTCACACATGAATAATAAAGAGAAAAGAATATTTTCAGCCTGGCAGAAAGAAGCAACAGGTGCTGAAGGCATTGTGATGAAGTTTAACAGAAGGGAGTATATTAAACAGTGTGAAATAAGCAAACATAATTATAACAGGCTTATAATGAACATGATGACTCCTAGTTAATTCTGGGCTAGACTGGTTCAAAGACCCTACGGCCAACACACCTTAGGAGGGATTACACCCTTTAAAAATAACAGAATGCATAAAATATTTAATAGTGTACGTTTCAATAGTAAAGGTCCTTTAGGGATTCTAAAGTTTAAGAGCTATTTTTTTCCGACATGAAGCTTTAAGGGCTATCCCATATGTTCAAGTCTGTGGAGCCTCTAGTATATCCTTATCTAGAGCCTATATGTGCTTTCTTTAGTCTAACGAGGTGAATCCATCAAGTACTTTATCCACATCTTTTATTCATTCTGGTTCTTGCAATTGATTATTTACTGCATTGAGGTTCCTATTCATCATGCATTTACAATCTCTAATGTTAAGAGCAGTTATTTCCAGGGGACTCCCATTTTAGAAGCTAGCAATGATAGTGGTGTCTTCTAAAGTTCTTACATAACTATATCCCTTACAGTACCTTTTGTATCTAGTTCTTTGTTTGCAACTGAGCAAAGAACTCATTCAAGAATGCCTTGATAATTGTAGTCACATTGACTAAGATATTTAGGTTCTGGGGTCAGATGTGTCTGATTCAGAATTCTGCTTCTAAATCCTGTATATGTGGCCTTGACACCATTAACTAAATTCTCTAAGCTGAAGTTCCTCTTTCTGTCAAGTGGGGATAATAAAACTATTTACTTCACAGGCTGTTTGAGAGTTAGATTAAATAATTTGTTCACCTTAGTAAAATGTCATGCTGTGATTGTTTTAAAATGTTAGCTACTTTTATATGTTTTAGAGTGAGTTCCTTTGAAAGGAAAAGAATGGGAGAGGCAGAAGGAGTTTTTTAGAGTTTTTTTTTTTTTTAATGTTTTTTAGTGAGTTCCATTGAAAGGAAAATAATTGGTGAGAAAGATCATTGGATATTCAGACTTCCCTGGATGCAATTTCTAGGATAAATCTTGTCTCCTTTGTCATGACCTGGGGCTTTGCTTCTTAAAATGCAGTCTGCAGGCCAGCAGCATCAGCATTGCCTGGGGAGTTAGAAGTGTAGAATCTGGGGTGCCATCCCACACCTGCTGACTGGGAATGTGTATTTTAATGAGATCTTAGGTGATTTGTGTGCATTTTAAAGTTTGAAAAGCCCTGGTCTATACAGCTGAGGTCCTTATGTATCCTTTCAGGTTTTTGTGACCTTCCCCGTAATGTAATAATGTCTATCATTTTTCCTGTATATTTTCTTTAACCCAAGAATGGCTATACAGGTCCTAAAGTATAAGCGATACTTTACTTATTAACATTATTTTAATGTTTTCTAATACATACGAGGCCCCAAATAGGCAATATTGATAGCAGTTACTCTTTCCTGTCTCACTCTGAAACAGCTTACTCCTTTCATCATCTGAATCCTAGATTTTGACTTTGAGTTGCCTGTTTCTAGAGAAACTACTAAGATAGATTTTTTCACTTTCCTCTCCTGATCTGGAAGCTGAAATAATATCTATGTTGGATTTTATAGGAGGAAAGTAAGAAGAGAGGTATGGATAATTTCAAAAGTCTATAAATTATTTTTCTTTTGTGTTTATTAAATTCTTGAGAAATTTAATTCTGTCTTGAAGCTTAGAAAAAAAGAAAAATGTAATTATGCCCAATAGAAGACAAATGCATTAAAATGAATTGGAATTAATTAATTCATTCAAATGAGTCTTTTAAAAGAACAGCAGGTAAATATTTTGGGGAAAATATGATTGTAAGTTTCTGCTAAATTGACTTACTTTTCCACTTCAAATAGCACTTCAGAGCTCCATTTTGTCCTTTGTCTTTCTGATGTTTAAGACTGTCATGATTTCAATTAACTGAGGTGTTTTCTATACTGATTATTTTTTCACTTACAACATGAGCGCTATCTCGTAACAAAGACAGCTTGAGAATGTGTGTTAACAAATTCAAACACTGCAAATGAATTTTACAGTCCTCTGCATGGCTCATTCTCAGCTCATGAATCCAGAAGTGTCTATGAATTTGAAAGATTGCTGTTGGTAGATGATCTCATCTTCTATACTTACATCGTCTCTGGTTATGTTGTTTCCCCTGTAAATGGTTCCCTATACTTGGGGATGCAGTGCCAAACTTTCTAGACAGGTGTAAATTACTACTACTTCTTCCTTTCCTTTTTTCTTAATTTGTGTTTTATACTGTGTGACAAATTAAAACAATGGTGCCAATGGCCAGTGACTTTTTATTGCATTTTCTTCATATTTGGGGCATTTTATGTGTTTCAAATACTGAATTGTATGACACTGAATAATATCAATCATATGAGATCAAACAAGAGGACTTCACAATTTTCATTTGTGGGAGAGTTTTATAAAGGCAGCTGCAAATTAGATTTTAATTGCTAACTGAAAGGAATGGTTGTAATACGTATCCAGGCAAAATATGAAAAATATAGAAAGGTCAAAGTTGTAAAGTACACATTTCCTCTTACAAAGAGCACAAAATCATTTACTGAACTGACATTCCTGCCAAAAACTCATTCAGTCTCATAGAAAAATATATATATTTGTTCATTTTGGGAGAGAGAAAGACGACTGTCATTCTATGCATAATACCTAACCCATCTTAACAGGAGGGCAACACAGCAAATACCTTCTCCTACTTTGTTCCTTTTAAATTTATAGACCTTTTAACTGCGTAACTAACTTCCTTCCTCCTGTCCTTCCTTTTTTTTTTTTTTTTTCTCCCAGATAATCTTAAATTTTTTCTCAAGGGAAATACCAGTTTTCTCCTCACTGCTCATAAGGTAAAAGCACTCTTCCAGTTTGTATTTTTACCCTAAAGAAGATACAGGCTATCTTATGCTCTAAAACAGACTTGATGCCAATTTAAAAAAAAAAAGTTACAAAACAGCCAATAGTGGTAAAACTAGATAATTTCTTTCCCAAGTGGTTTTTACCCAAATTAAGGAGCCAAAGGCTTGATGTGATATTGGAACTGAAATACCCAAGTTAAAAGAAGGAAGGAAATCAACATTTATTGAGGGTCTACTGTGTGCCAGAAATTTTCCATACATGTTTTCTTTCAATCCTCATAACAACATTGTGTGAGAGCTGTTATTCTCTCTAATTTGCAGTTTAACAACTGAAATTCACAGGGATTCAGTAGCTTGCCCAATGTCATATAGTTACTAAGTTTGTATGACTCTAAAATGTTGAATCTTTTCCACTCTGTTCCATGCTTATATCTTCCTAATTTTGCATATAAGAGCCATGAGGTATAACGAAGTTAAGGGGCTAAATTGATGTCTGTGTTTGGACTGGAGACAGGTCTTGTGACTCAGTTTACTTCACTATGTCATTGGAAACCCAAAGATGGGGGAAATAACCAATAAAATTGGCCATAAAATTAAGTCACATTTAAAAATCTGTAAGAAAATTTACCATGTTCATATTTTGAGGAATGGAATCTATTAAGATATTTCCTGTCTATTACTGGGGAAAAACCCCACAAACTCTGGTGATTCCTTGCTTCTCTTTTTATCTCCTTCCTCTCTTCAATGCCATGAGTTGATCAGACCTCAGAGATGATAACTGTTATTCCTAAGGAATTTTGTGTGTATGTTTATAGGCAAGACAGTTTTCCCTGTCTCCATGGGGCTGGAGCATAGGTCAGATTATGCTGTGCCAAATTCCAAATCTTCAGCATGGAGTTTCTATTTTCTAATTGTTAAGGCAGACTGTCCTAACTAATAAATTTGTACAGCTGTCCAAAGAGTGAGCTTTATCTTATTAATATTTCCCCTGTCTCTGCCTCCTCCCCCCACCTCCAGAATTGGAACACGATAGGGACTTGCACAACAGTGAATGTTTTTGCATATTTATGTAAGTCCTTTTTTCTTCCTACCATAATTTACACAGAACAAGAACTCAAAAGATGCTAATGGATAGAGATAGATGTTCTGTATAGTTCTTACTATACTTGCAGATGAAAATACAAGCTTTGGTAGCTAAGAGTTAAATTACGGGAAAAAGGATTGAAAAAAGCATTTCAATATTGTGTTAATTCTTATACCCATTGTTGCTAAAGATTTGTTTTCAGAAAAGACTACAACAGTAACGAAGTCTGAACACCTTTTGGCCCCAGGACACCTGCCTTAGAGGTGTGCAGAAAGTAGGCTTAGGCTCTAACTCCTGTATACTCAGGCTAACTCGTACTCCTCACTGTTCCCCAAATATATCTTGTGTTTTCACTGCTCTATTCTTGCAAAATGTCACTCTTAATTAACTGCCCTTTTTTCCTTTCCTTCTACCTTTCACTTTTCCATCCATCTCTCAACATTGGGCTTTAATACTACCTACTTCAAGCAGCCATCTCCTGAACTGAGTGGCATGAAGTTCCTCCCTTGTACAACTGGAGCACTTCTACTAAGGGTTTTTTGTTGCACTTACCACTTACTATACTACGTTTTAAATATTGTTTTATATCATCTTATTTTCTTTACTTGTTTCTACATAATTACAAAGTATAATCTTCATTTTATTTCACTATTTTTTCTTGGCACCCAGGACATGATACTTTCCTAACTTCCACCCCCATCTGCTTCCCCTAGGCTCCTACATGGCAATTTCTTTTTGGTCTCTCATCTCTAGTCCCCTGCCTCTGTTTTTTGTCTTTTTTTCCCCCTTTGGTTTTGGCTCCTTAATCTGGACTCTTAACCATGTGGTAAGGCTTGGTTTTTGGACTTGATCAATATCCACTCCCTCCCTAAGTGATCTCAATGAATTTTATGACTTTAGATACCGTCTATATACTGAAGACTACCAAATGTATATCTCTATCCTGAACCTCACCCCTGAACTCCAGATGGATATATCTACCTGCATGCCACATCATCTTTGCTTGTATCTTTACTTGGCACCTCAATTGAAATGTGTCAAAATGGAAATCCCAATTCCAACCCCCCACCCCCACTACAAAATTTATTTTACTTCCTTAGTCAATGTAGGTACCTTTTTATTTACCTTTAGTAAATGGCAACCAGTATCTTAGAATCACCATTAATTCGTTTTTCTCTAATATGGTACATCCACTCTTTCAACAAGTTCTGCTGGTTCTACCTTCAAAGTATACCCAGAAGCAGGCAACTTTTCTCCATTTCACATCATCACCTGGTTCCAGCAGTCATAATAATCTCTTACCTGGGGTATACTCAATGGCTTACTAAGTGGTTTCTCTGTTTGTATACTCACACTCTACTGTATATATGCAACAAAGCAACCATACTGTTTTTGGCATTGTTATTTTACTAATAAAACAGAAATTAGATACTGTTTCCCCTTATTCAGGCTCTCCAAAAGCTCCCATCTCACCACAGTAAAAAAACAAAGTTTTTCTAATGGCTTACGGACCATGTATAATTTTCCCTGTTATTCCTACAAACTTGTCTCTTACCACTTCACACGCCAGACATTCACATACAGCATCACTAGCCTTCTGTATTTTCGAAAGTGTCCAGGACTTCCCACCTGAAGGCCTTGATGGCTCCCTCTGTGGGGGGCAGTCTCCTCCAAAAGACCTACATTGCTTACACCCTTCCTTCCTTCAATCTTTCTTAGAATTTCCCTACTATCATTTTATTTTCCCAAATAGCATATTCCTGATCATCCTATTTAAAAGTCAACCTACCTCCAGCACTCTGTCTTCCTTCCCTGCTTGTTACTCTTTTTGTTTGTTTGTATAGCTTACCTTTTATAGTCTGCAAGAGGGCCTGACCCAAAGTGGCTGTTCAATAAACATTTTCAGATTTCTTGGACTCCATGGAGGCTGCCTTGCATGGAGTAGGTGTCCCCTATTTTTTTCTTCTAATTGACAGTGCGAAGTTCCAAATTATATTTAACTCCAGAATGGGAAATGCAGATTTTTTTTACATTTCATGAATTTTTCACAGTTAAGAATGAAAAGTGGTTGTATATCAGAAACAGGTGTATTTCATCTGTGTAGTAAAACATGAGGTTTCAAAGAATGGAAAATTTTGGTCGTCCATAGCAGAAGGAACTATTGAATCAATAACAAGGACATTGAGCCAATGGCTATATTCTTATATAGACTGTGCCATATAACTAGGAAAATGCTCATTCAAGTGCTCTGAGGGCACCTTTGATCGTATTTAATTAAATAAAATATAAAATGCGCTTTTCACTTGAAGTTTTCTTGCCCAACCACAATTAGGCAAAATCTTTCAAGCATAGAAGCCCAACAAAAATAAGGCATGGTGACCTTCTACTCCCAAGCACCATAAATAATTTTATTCCCCCCAAATAAAGCATTTAAAAAGTTTTAAAAAGATGTTTCTCTGAGTTAAAGGAAAATAACTTTAAGAATCACTCATACTGTGAAAGTTGTTTTGCTTCAGCTTTACTCTTCATTTGTTTTTTCCCTTTAACTTTTCCTCTCATTGAGAAGTATATGGCAGGAAATTTTATTCCAAAGATTTAAAATAGAACACGGAATTTCAGGCAGAGTTGAGATCCATTGTTAGAGCAATCTCTTGTGGGTTTTGTGGCTCTTACCATACATGTATTTCCCTGGGACCGTAACATATACAGCATCCATAATTTCCCTGGGATCAGGATATTTTTATTCCTACCCTGGTCCAGTGCCCCTGCACATGATCATCCTCCTTGCCCAGGAATAATGGCATAATTGAAATAGATAGCACTCAAATTGAAAGAGTCTGTGAATTCTAGTCCAGTGAAAACCACTAGGATTTCTTAGAGGTCATTGACCTTAGAATTAAGAGAAAGACATTCCCATCTTCACTTGACAGAGCATTGTTCTGCTGAAAGTTCTAGAAATGATTTCTGAGCTACCTGAACAATTTTCAGCACTGCCAATGTAAGCAAAGAGATGATTTATTGACTTAAGTATGCTGTGCATGTATTTTTTTTTTAAAGCAGTAGATTGGCAAAAAATACTCTGAATATTTGAGCATAATCTCCTTTGTCTCTTATCCTTAGCCCAGCAAGATCTAAGATATATGCCAGAGGCCGGGCGCAGTGGCTCACGCCTGTAAACCCAGCACTTTGGGAGACCAAAGCAGGGGAATAAGGAGATCAGGAGTTCAAGACCAGCCTGGCCAACATGGTGAAACCCCATCTCTACTAAAAATACAAAAATTAGCTGGGCGTGGTGGCATGCGCCTGTAATCCCAGCTGCTCGGGAGGCTGAGGCAGGAGAATTGCTTGAACTTGGGAGGCGGGGGTTGCAGTGAGCTGAGATCACACCACTGCACTCCAGCCTGGGTGACAGAGCAAGACTCCCTCTTGGGGGGTTGTGGGGAGGGGAAGATATATGCCAGAAAGAAGCCCCATCTGCCTGTATCCATGATGAATGATTTGGGAAAAGTCCAAGTAGTGAGAGAGGGATTTAGCCCAGTTTCCTTGACTCTAGCTCCATTTACTTATGACAAGGTTGAGAGAAGATTTACAGGGAAAGTGAAAAAAAATTCCATAATGTGGCTTTTCATTCAAACTTTTGTTTAAGCGTAATCATTGCCGTTACCTCTACAGGGTGGGTAGGGGGGCAGGGTATGGCGAGGGAGGGACTTCTGCAACCCATGTAGTGCAAAAAAGGGAAAAAATGCAACAAAGTAATTGCAATTTATTAGAAGTTCTGTAGTTTGATACTTTCTTTCCAGCTCCTTATTTTATCATTACAACTCTGGCTCAAATGTACTTTTCTTTAAATTCTGTCAAATTTATTTTCTTCTTTTCTGTTTTCTTCTTCAGTTTTGTATGTGTGTGTGTGTGGGTGTGTGTGTGTGTTTGTGTGATAGTAGTTGTTAATACCCACGTTACTTTGTTATTCCTCAGAAGGCCTCTTAAGGGTACATGCCAATAATTTGCTCATTTGGTAAATGACGAAACCAATACTCAGAAAGTTTCAATAATATTTACAGAGAAACAAAGCTAAAGAGGGGGTGAGCCCAGTTCAAACTTAGATGCTCCTGACTTCAAGCCCTCGAGATTAAAACACCATGACTTTTGCCCGTTATGTATTGAGGAAGAGCGTATGCCATTTGCTCATCGGCACGATGTAAGTCTGTGAGCAGGCAGCCACATACCAGGCTTGTTCATTCCCTGGCCAACACACTTCTACATTGGTTTCCATGCCCTTCATTTTGAGAATGGTGTCCTTTTAGGTAAGAAAATCATTCCTTTGTATGTTAAATACAAAATTCCCTTGTTAAATCACACGATGTTGATTTAAACCGAATAGCAAGCAGAACATGAAAGACTTCTATTTAAATTAGACAGCTATATTCAATATTTCTCTTGCTGTTTTCATTTCAACTTTTAGTTTTCAGGAGCAATCCTAAAAAAGTTCATCTGCATGATCTGTTTCCTACTATTTTATCATGGCAATTTCCAAACATACAGAAAATTGGAAAGGCTTACAAAGTGAACATTCACATACTCAGCTCCCAGCATCTATAATTTTGCTGGCTTTACATTTCATTTATCCATTCATCAATCTATCTCTCATAAAGTGGACATGTAGGACAGATAGAATTCTACACTGAGCCATGGGATTTATGACACAATTCAATCAACTGATCTTATGTTTCTAATGCAATTCAAGTTAACTGCAGATATTGGTACTCATTACCCCTAAACACTTAGTATGCATGTCATCAACTAGAGTTTAATATTTATTGACTTTTTTTGTTTAGGTAAATTTTATATAAGGCAAGATGCACAAATCTTGCGTATCATATGATGGTTTTTTGGTGATATATATATATATAAATATGTATGTATATGTATGAATATAAGTACCTATATATGTATATACACATATATGTATACATATATATACATTATATGTATACGTATATATACATATACAAATATATACGTATATATATACGTATACGTACTTATATACTTACATACATATACATAAGTATATATATAAGTATATAAGTACATACTTAAGTATATAAGTACATATATGAGTATATAAGTACATAAGTATATATATATATACTTGTATAACTAAAACTACTTTCAAGATGCAGAATGTTACTACTCCAAATTCACAACTTCATCTTCACCTCCTAGCCTTCTGCTCACCAAAACCAAGACACTCAGTTTCAGTTTTTAGGTCATACATTAGTTTTACCCATTTTAGACTTCACGGTCATTCAAAGGAATCAGATAATGTCCAACTCATTTGTGTAAGACTTCTTCTACTCAGCATAATGTTGTTGAGATATATCCAAGTTGTTGTCATGATTTGTTCCTTTTTATTTCTGAGTAATATTCCATTGTATGAACATATCCCAGTTTGTTTATCCATTCTTCTGCTGATGAAAACTTCAGCTAGTTTTCAGCTTAGGGTTTTACCAATAAAGTTGCTATGGTTATTTTTGCACAAAGCTTTTCAATTTACACATGTTTTCACTTTTCTTAGGTAAATATCTAAGAGTAGAATTGATGGATCATGAGGTAGGCATTTGCCTAGTTTCATAAAGAAACTGCCAGACCTTTACCCAAAGGGTTTGCATCATTTTACATTCTCATCAACAATGTATGAACATTCTGATGACTCCATAAGCTTGGCAACATTTGGTATTTTCTGTCTTTTAAAGTTTAGATTTTCTGGAGTATACCTAGTGGTGTCTCATTTTTGGTTTTAATTTTAATTTCCCTGATGATTAATGACACTGAATAATTTTTCATGTGCAAATTAGCCATTTGAATAGCTTTTAACTAAACAGTTGTAAACTGTTCAATATTTCTGCCCAACGTAAAAAATTGGATTGCTTGTTTTTTCTTGCCTGATTTTGAAAACTGAGCAATATTGAATTCAAGTGAAATCACTGTTATTTAATTAGTTGCCTGAAAAACTCAATCATATAAAACCATCCAAATTGTACTAGTGGTTGTAGATAAAGCAGCTTAAGGGCTATTAGGTATGGTCTACAATTGACAAGAAAAAAAATATGATTTTAATTGCAATTACTCCAGGGCTGATGTGGAGCTGTCCTATCTGGAGCAGAGCATGACAGGACAAATTAGTCTGGGATCTGTCAGCCTATTTTTGAGTTTTATTTTAACTCTTGGAAATCTTAAGATGACCATCTGATTTGGTTAATGCTTCTCTGAAACTGTCCTTCAAATCTGCCACTCTTTCTGCCTCATTCATTATTTCCTTGTAAAACTCAACTGGCCTTCTCATTCATTACCCTGCATATTATTTAACAATTCTATAATATCAGTGGCCAACTGCTGAACTTAACAGTAGAGGATCAACTTGAGAAGGAGCAGAGGAGTGATAAATGCATTCCCCTTATTATCATAAAGTTGGAAAATTATGACCATATGCATGGACTGAGCCAGAAGGGCAGAGATTTCCTTTTGTCTCTTTATTATTCACCTATTGTGCTGTTCTAAGTTCCTTTAGTGGTCAAAGGGTGACAGAAGCAATACATTAAGCCTTTGCTGTAAAATGTTATCTAAAGGCAAAAAGTGGACCTGTAGGACAGATAGAATTCTACACTGAGCCATGGGATTTATGATACGATTCTATAACCAAATAAAAAATATCTGTGACTACATTTATGTGAAGCAATGGTGCCATTCTTTGGCTGGTTTAGGTAATCACAGGTGCACATTCTTTGTCATACTAGAGATATATCCCAGTAGACATTTTGGGATCTGTTTTAAATTTAAAGTGGAAGTTCCAAGACAGATTTGGCAATTCTTTTCAAATTTTATTTTTCAGAGGAAAATACACATTGTGGAAAAAAACTAAAAAAAAAATATTGCCACTCAAAAATAGTGCGCTACATGTATAAATACAAAAACATACGCTTTTGGTTTTTATATATTACTTTTTTCGATGCTGTGTGTGTGCACTGGGCCCATGTAAAGAGAAACATACAAATAAAATTCAAACTATGAAAAAGGAAGTTTAGCAATGTGCACATGTGGCAGACAAAGCTTAAGTACAGAAGATCAGAGGGTTTGAAGTTGAAATTCAATATTGGATAAGTTACACCATGATAAAATGGTTGCAATACTATTTTTAAACATGCAAATTGATTATCTGGATATATCAACTATTCCTGTTTCAAAGAAAAACACTTTGGGTGTTTTGACCAAAGTTGAGAAATAATTTTTCTTCCTTTATCATTTCAATTAGTATGCCTGCCTTTCCATCAATGTGAATTTTCTACCATTACCTAATGCAGGCAATGACACTGTGCTGTCCGAATTTATTTTTTCATTTCCACGAGGTAGGACAGAAAGAATTTGGAGTTATTTCTATATTACCCAGAAAGAGGCCAGCCAGTGAAATATTATAAAGATTAGCCAGCTATATAGCCTAATGAAGAAAAAATTCAACATTCCTCATGGGAAACCAGTCATTTAGCTTTTCTCCTCGCTTCCACTTCTTTCCCCTCTCCCTCTGGCCTGCTAGGCATGAGTGTATCAGGGAACTTCTAGCTTATACCCCTATTGCAGCAACTTGGTCAAGATGACTATCTTCAACAGGAAGCCAGTAGTTGAGGTGGACTTTTGCTTGTGTTATTCCTGAGAGCTGTGCTGTCTAATACAGTGGCCACTAGCCACAAGTGGCCACTGATAATTGAATGGTGCTAAAAGAAATCATAGATGACACAAACAAATGGAAACACATCCCATGGTCATGGATGGGAAGAATCAATATTGTGAAAATGACCATACTGCCCAAAGCAATCTGCAGTTTCAATGTAATTCCCATCAAAAATACCATCATCATTCTTCACAGAACTAGAATAAAAAATCCTGAAATTCATATGAAACAAAAAAAGAGCCCAAATAGCCAAAGCAATTCTAAGCAAAAAGAACAAACCTGGAGGCATCATATTACCTGATTTCAAATTATACTACAAGGCTGTAGTTCCCAAAACAGCATGGTACCTGGTATAAAAACAGGTATGTAGACCAGTGGGAGAGAATAGAGAACACAGAAATAAAGCCAAATACTTACAGCCAACTGATTTTCAACAAAGCATACAAAAATATAAAATGGAAAAAGACACCCTATTCAATAAATGGTGCTGGGAAACTGGCAAGCCACATGTAGAAGAATGAAACTTCATTCCTATCTCATATTATACAAAAATCAAACCAAGATAGACCAAAGACTTAAATTTAAGACCCAAAACCATAAAAATTCTGGAGGATAACATTGGAAAAACTCTTCTGGACATTGGCGTAGGCAAAGAATTCATGACTAAGACCCCAAAGAAAATACAACAAAAACAAAAGTAAATAAATCTCAATAATCTAAAAAGCTTCTGCACAGCAAAAGAAATAGCAGGGTAAACAGACATGCCACAGAGTAGGAGAAAACATTCACAAACTATGCAACCAAGAAAGGAGTAGTATCTAGAATTTACAAGGAATTCAAACAATCGGCAATAAAAAACAGAGTCCCATCAAAAAGTGGGCAAAGGACATGAACAGACATTTCTCAACAGAAGATAGACAAGCAGCCAACAAACGTGAAAAAAATGCCCAACATCACTAATCATCAGGGAAATGCAAATTAAACCCACAATGAGATACCACCTTACTTCTACAGGAATGACCATAATTAAAAAGTAAAAAAGCAATAGAGGTTGGCATGGATGTGGTGAAGCAGGAACGCTTTTACACTGCTGGTGGGAATGTAAATGAGTGCAATCTCTATAGAAAACAGCATGGAGATTCCTTAAAGAATTAAAAGTAGGCTGGGTGCGGTGGCTCACGCCTGTATTCCCAGCACTTTGGGAGACCGAGGTGGGTGGATGACAAGGTCAGGAGTTCAAGACCAGCCTGGCCAATATGGTGAAACCCAGCTCTACTAAGAATACAAAAATTAGCCGGCCATGGTCGTGGGTACCTGGAGTCCCAGGTACTCGGGAGGCTAAGGCAGAGAATTGCTTGAACCCGGGAGGTGAAGTTTGCAGTGAGCCAAGATGGTGCCACTGCACTCCAGCCTGGACAACAGAGTAAGACTCCATGTCAAACAAAACAAAACAAAAAAAGAATTAAAAGTAGAACTATCTTTTGATCCAGCAGTCCCATTACTTGGTATCTACTCAAAGGAAAAGAAGTCATTTGAAAAAGACACACGCACACACGTGTTTATAACAGCACAATTCACAATCACAAAGATATGGAACCAACCTAAGTGCCCATTGACCAACAAGTGGATAAAGAAAATATAATATATATATATATATATATATATATATATATATATATATATATATATACACACACACCATAGAATACTACTCAGCCATAAAAAGAGACAAAATAATATATTTTCCAGCAACTTGGATGGAGCTGGAGGCCATTATTCTAAGTAAAGTAATTCAGGAATGGAAAACCATTTATTATTATGTTCTCACTTACAAGTGGGAGTTAAGCCATGGAGATACAAAGGCATGAGTGATATAATAGACTTTGGGGTCCTGTGGAGGAGGGTTAGGAGGAGGGTGAGGGATAAAAGGCTACATATTGGGTAGTGTGTACACTGCTTGAGTGACAGGTGCAGTAAAATCTTAGAAATCACTACTAAACAACTTATCCGTGTAGCAAAAAGCCACCTATACCCCCAAAACTATTGAAATAAAAAAATTGAATGGTGGCTAGTTTGATTTGAGATGTGCTATAGATGATTGGGCTTCTGAAGACTCTGTATGAAAGAATGGATATAAAATATTTCTTAAATAATTTTAAAAAATATTGACTATATTTTGAAATGTTAACATTTTAGATATATTGGGTTAAAAATAAAGTATATTATTAAATTTAATTTCACCTTTTTTCAGTTTTTAAAATGTGGCTACTAAAATTTTTTTAATTTTAAATTATGTATGTGGCTAATATTATATTGCTGTCAGACAGTATTGCCTTAGAATACAGTGTAGTAATTTCTCTTTTTACCTAATTAGTAAGAATGGAGTCCTCTCTTGCCCCAGTTTTTATTCTTGTATTAGACAAATCTTTAAAACTCACACTCAACATTCAGGGCTTGGATGCATTCCTTTATACTGTGCACATAGGTAACAGAATGCTCTACTTACCCCCTTTGGTCTATCTAACTCTCCAAGTCTTCCTTTAAGAGCAATTAGTTGCTAAAATAGAAATCTGCTCTAATATTTTATTAAAAGTTAGATTTATAAACCTGTGACCAAATGTTTTCTGCATATAAATTACACATTCTGAAGAAGGCATATGCCCTGGTTCCACAAGTGTCCTGTGAAGCAGAACTTTCCAACAAGTAACCTCAGCAATGAGTTGTAGATTTGCAGCCCCCAGGAGTCCAGGAAGGGCCTAGGGTGGCTGACATCCTGGTTCAGTAACTTCTAGTTACGAGCAATATTCAGATGATCCATGTGTAGATGGCCTGAAAGCACCCAAATATGAGAGAAGGCCCAATAATGCCTGCAGCCATCAGACAATCTGAATAATCTTTCTTCCTGGGTAAGGAAGTGTTCTACACATGGTCATCTATTCAGGACTTAGGTTCAGATTGTGCTAGTTGTACTAGAAAAGCAGATCAGGTCTCCAACACCCAAAAATCATGGCACACAGCCTTTAGGGGGAGGATATTTTTACAAGAACTCTTAGTAGACCTGGCTGTGACTAGCAGCCTCACTCTCTGTCTTCACATATATGGATACTTATATCTATTTTTGATATGTATATTCTTCTAATAATGTTTAAGCTTCATCTTAGTCCATTTTGTGCTACAATAACAGAATAGCAGGGCTGGGTAATTTATAAAGAAAATAAATTTATTTGGCTCATGATTCTGGAGGCTGGGAAGTCCAAAGTTGAGGTGATGAATCTGGTGAGAGCCTTCTTGCTGCATCATAACACGGTGAAAGGCATCACATGGGCGAGAGAGAGCAGAGGCAGAATTTGTTTTTATAGCAAACCCAATCTTCAAACAACTAATGCATCCCCTCAATAATGACATTAATCCTTCTGCCCTTACGACCTACTCATCTCTCAAAGTTCCCACCTCTCAACACTATTGCATTGGGGATTCAGTTTCCAACATATGAACTTTGAGGACACATTCAAACCATAGCAAGATTCTTGTATGTTAACTGCTTTAATAATGCGTACTCATTCTGAGTTCTAGTTTGAAATATTTTATATAAAAAAGCTAAATTGGATTAAAAAATGTTTTGCCTTTAGAAATGCCAATAATACATTTATCAGTGAAAGACAAGAATGAGTTCTTCAAGCTTAAAAGCTAGTATAAAATTTAACTGAAGTGTTTCACTGGAAATTTGAAAAGAATTCATTTACAAATTCAACATTAAATATTTTCCCTAATGCTTCGTATTATTATAACTATATAATGTTAAGAGAATGTAATGCTTTTTTTCCAAAAGCAGTTTTATAGACACTCTTAAATCCCTCTGGATTCTAGTGAGCCATGCAGATATTGTCATTTTCTCTGTATGCTATGACTAGAAAAGCATGGGGAAACCCTGAAGCAAGGCATGTTTGTTACTTGCCTTATGTCTATAGTATCAGCTACTGATATCTTATGGACCAACATTGCTCATCTCACTTCATTTACTAATGAATTAAAGCTTCTTTCTCCCATGAGAAATTATAAAATAATAAATGAGCCAGTAAGTACCAAAAACAATTATAAGTAAGATATAGGAATAAGTATCTACTATTATCTATCAACTGCTCCTCCCAGAACCCTGGCCCTAGGAATGCTGGGATACTAGACTTTAGCATTTTTGTCTGATAGACAGTCACTCCTTTGCCCACCTCTCATTTCTCTTGTCTGCTCTTCTGCCATATGCTTATGTCTTCTCTTTTCAGTCGGATATTTATTGCAGAGAGTCTCCAGAGTCTCTTTTCAAATGCTTAAAAGAACTTTAATATAGAGAAACTTTCTTAGTTTATACAAACTACAGAGTCCAGGAATGCATGATATTTGTGAAAATCATAATAAGCAAGAATATGTACAAGAGAATTTACAGTTCTTTCTAAAACTCTCCCCAGTGTCATACCCATTGCCCAGGTAATCTCCCCCTGACCTTTATTTCTGATAATAATAAAATTTTATGTTAGCTGCTCAGATTTCATCAACTGCAATTTATTGAACAATGGATATGTAACCCCACAGGTGCGAAAAATATTTGAAACAACTTTAGAAATAAACTTCTCATGAAAAATTCATGTTTTTTACTAGTTCTGTACTTACCTCATTTAAATAGTTTCTTAACTATATTTCATCAATATAAAGAGTGTAATGTTAAAAGAAACCAATTTTCTGATTGGAGAGTTGAGGCTAGAATTTCATTTACTGGAACACTTCAAGCAGAAGGTTGGGCCACTGTATAAACAAGGACTGAAGGATTAAGAGAGCCTTTCAGAATTTCTTTGGGAACTTGATGCATGTAGACAGATTACTTTCATTTCTGCCATCACCCTAGTCCAAACCACTATCATGTTGGACAACCACAATATTGACTTAGCCTGTCTTCTTGCTTCTGTTCTTTTCGATGTATCACCTATTTTTCACAGAATAGCCAGTTACAACATGCTGTTCTTCTCCTTAATGTGATACACAGTCTTACATCTTCAGTCCTGATCATCTTCTATTCTTGTCCCTGCTCACTATGGTTCAGCCACATTGTGCTTCTTGCTCTTTCTCAACCACTCTTAGTTCTGTACAGACTTAGGATCTTTGCACTGGCTATTATTATCATCTATCAGATCTTTTCCATCTACCTTGATCTATACAAGGCTATCTTTTTCATATTGACCATATGCCAGCTCAGATGTCACCTGACCATCCTACTCGCAATAGCACTCCTATGCAAAAACCCTCTCAGCCTCCTATTTCTATTCTTTATAGCACTATAATATTCTATATTTGTTTATATACATGTGTGCATTTATGTGCATTTTCCCATAAAGACAGGAATGCTATCTCTTATTTCAGTATTATATTTGCAGCATTACAGCAATAAGTAGCACTAATTGATTAATAATTCTTACAAAAAACAAATAATGGTTCTAATATATATCTAAAAACCAACGAGAAAATGATTTTCCATTTTAAGCATATGAGTTGTTATCAAGTAAAAGTACCAAGATAACTGAAAATCTGTGTTTGGCAACTGTCTACCTCATCTAATTCTTCCTCTTCTCTACCTCCCAGGCACTGGAGCTATTTTTGTGTTAGGGCAAATCTAGCTTGGTAACACTTCAGCCAAATCTTTGCTATAAAATATCTCATGGCCCAATATTTCTTTTCTTTTCTTCTCCACTTAATAAAAATATCCATTTAATCAGTACCCATAATTTACAGCAAAGGGGAAGGAGGAAAGCAAACTGATTAAACCTCACCCTTCATGGGCATGTCACATTTAAAAAAGAAACTTATTGATACAGATATTTTCCCTAATAGGATAAATATTTGGATGAGTATTTTTGAGTGTGCTTGATTCCCACATGTCTTAGTCTTGAGTTAGAAGTAAAGGATTTAGGAATTTGGCATCTTGCATCTGAAAGATCGCCAAGATCTTGCTTAAAGCATACCAACCTACATTAATCCCTAATGAAAGTATCATGCAAGATTTCACTCTTCCTTTTAAATTAGTCATGCATGCCTTACCAATCTTCCCTTTCTATAACAATTATATTGGTAAGTTTGATCTGTAAAACACATACACTATATTAAATAATCAGTTGATCAAAAGCAACGTTGGTTGTATATTAACATTTTGTTCAGATGCATTATGCCTATGCAACCTTGGCATGTTTGTATCAGAATTCCACTAGCAGAGTTTTGCTTTTGATCTGTGACCTATTAGAAGCACTGTTACTACAGATGAAAGGAGTTAGAAAGTTCTATATCATAACACAGTGCGATCAGTAATTCACAGAGCAGGTAATTTGCAATGACTTGCCAAGCCTTTGATTGCACAGGGTTTATGGCTATTAGCAGTTTCCTCTTTCAAATTTGTATGGTTCCATACTTCCTTTTTGACCTCTTTTTCATCATTTATGGTCCAATTTGGTAGTGAAAAAACATAACTGCTTGCTTAGCGCATGGCTGTCATTCAAACCCCGGTGACTTACTGAGTACTTTGACATTTGTGATGATGAAAAAAACATTAAGCAGGTGTACAGAACACTAACCAGGTTCCTGAAACAATGCTTTATGGGATTCACAATGTACCTCTTGACTATAAAATGATTCAGACTTGATTTTCTTTATCAATTTAATCTCAGTGTTCAAATTCTCATTCAAGGAAGGTGGCACAGTTTTCACTAAAATTGAACTTAAATAAAATTCCCAATAATAATATTAATATAGGATCTCATAGGAACAATGGGAAGGGCAGTGATTGCTTGCCACTAAAATAATATGAAAGTAGGGCTCATATGTCTACTTTGAAGTCATGCAATTAGGGGTACTACTTGATACCGGACTATATAAAATTTAAGCCCTATAAAATGTCTTTAGCAATGAAAACTTACAGCTAAATGGCATGATTCAGCCCCTTAGCTGTCTGAGTTGTATGTACACCATGTGAAGTAACATCATATTATTTTGTGGAGGTTTGTCTTTGCACAGTAAAATTGGTCATCTGTTGTACAGGTGTGCAGCACATCTTGGCGTGAGTTAGTCTGCCCTCATGTGCAATTTGTCTGGAAGATGTGGAAACCTGCAAAATTCAACATAATCCAGGTCCCCAATTAGTGTTTGAGGAAGCACTCTAAGTTGGTACCACTGAGCACAGGGAACAAGCTTTCAGTGATTTCCTTGTTACCAGCATCCAAACCTGGTTACTGTTAGATGCTGCAGAATCCATCATTCAGGCTCAGAATCATTTTTAATTTAAAATAGCAAAAATGTTACAGACTCACACATACTTAACAAAATCAAGACTGTTTTTGGGATCATCCATTTCCTGTCATCATTACAGTGTTACTGACAAAAAAAAATACCTTTGTCAATAATACAGGTCAGACAAAACATTGTACTTTTATCTTCTGGATATTTAACATAATCAGGAAATCATTTGAAAAATTCTAAACCTAGAATAGACAATTTTGAATGAGTTTATGTTTGAAAGTGATGACTTCGAATAGACAGCATAAAAGTTGCACCCATTTACATATAATGCAGAAATACTTTCTTGGCATAGGAGTTCTGGAAGAGTAGCTGGAAATAGAAGCTAAATCGGAAGATATGATAATGGTAGCTTCACTTGTCCTTACCATCTTGTTATTTTATTGTAACATTTTTATCTCCTTTCTATACCTACCCATTTCATATTCAATACCATGAGCATTTACCATCTTCTTTCCCTGTGTCAAATGTGTGGGGCAGAGAGCAATGATATGAATGAGACTAAGACAGGAAGTTCGGTTTAAAAACAAGACAACAGTGATGCTTTATGAGTTTTACAGTGATGGCAAGAAATTTTATATCTGCTGTGTCCCTCAGGCCGGTTGTAATTTCAGTGTAGAGTGGAGCTGTTCCTGAGAAATTATTGATCTTGACTTTTACCAGGCCTGCAGTAAAGCAAAGGTAACAAATAATGTCATGCTTGAAGTTAGTGAAAAAATATTTGCAGTCATGGTTGTAAGTTGGGACGAAACTTGGAAGCACTGAACCCAAACCCAAAAGCACCCTGACTTTTTTCAGTTTCACGTCATATTTTTATTTGTTTAGTTTTACTGATGAGATTTTTAGGTTAGTTAACTAGTACTTCCTCCTAGCCTATCTTGATATTTTACCAAGTCCTACCTAAAAACCCAGCCTTGTTTTGTGTACACGTGCTGACAACTACTTAGATGCAGCACTGCTTATTTATTGCAACCTTTGCCTGTACTTTCATCTTTCAAAGACTTTGTGTGATCCCTTGGTATAGGTTATTTAGAAAAATGAATGAATTGATGAGGTATAACTTTGTAGGAAAAAGCATAAGTGTCTCATAAAAGAAGTGCAAATGTAAACCAAACAAAGAAGAGACAACAGAGTTTCTTTGTGTGTGTGTGTGTGTGTACAAAACTGTTGTATTATATTTCTTTTCTTTACAAGCTCATGCATCTTTGGCTACAGTTATATATTTGCATTATAATGTGGGGTCTGAATGAATTCTTTCCAAAAGTGGAAATACCAAGGAAAATCATTTCAGTTTATGAAATTACACTTAGCAGGTTTATTTGTTCTCTCTCAACTTGAAACCCACAAGTTTTTATTAAGGCTATGGTTCATATTTCAAAAAGCAAGAAATCTTCAGGTCTCTCCCTTTTCTTCCCCCTCAAAATAAATCTACAAAGCACCTGGATTTAGAAGAACAACATGGATATATTGCCCATTAACTCTGAAAACTAGCAAACACTTCCATAATAAAAATAAATAGCGTGTACTGTAATCGATGAGGAGGCAACATCCCACATTGTTTATTGATTCATAAGGTTAAGATTAAAGTGGGATTCTTGCCTATGTTTATCAACAGTTTGTTTTTTTTTTTTTTAAGCAGTAAGTGAACCTGGAATCTTACAAACCAATCAATAAAGTTTAAAAGCTTCAGTGAATCTAACCCATAACAGGTCCTTGTTTGGAGAACATGCTCAAGAAACACATGTGCCTTTAAGAGGTCTTGAAAGACTTTACACTCATGGACCATTACCATTTCCAAACACCCTGCAGCATTACCAGCCCAACATATGCTGAATGTATATCACCGTGACCCTCTCACTAAAGCTCTTTTGACTGGAGTGCTTTTAATACCCACTTTCTCAGCTGAGCTCAGGAGTGATTTGTTTTACATGCCACATTAATCCTTTCCACATTTTCTGGATGAGGCAACCACAATTCCACTTGTGAGGTGTTTCTAAAACACAGTTATAGGAATAAAGCAGCAGGGTCCCAGACTTGACAACTTCCCTCTAGGCAGCTGACAAAGTGGGCTATCGTGCCTTGGTTTAACTCTTCAAACAAGTAGTGGTGCCCAGCCACTAGGGTGGGCCAGCCTTCTAGGCCGGTAGGAGGCCCCTTTTATCGTAGGCAATTTACTCTCAATTAAAACGCTGTAGGAATCTTCATAGACCTAATGCTTTATTGATACTAATACATATTAGTAAAATTAAAATCAAGAATAAACTAAAAAGAGCAGTAGAACCAAAAATACATAAAACACAGCTCAGTAAAACCAAAGAAAGTTCATCCATCAAACCTTCACAATAGTAGGAAGAGAGCTTTTTCTTACTTAATGCATGGGCAATTAGTGTTCAAAGCATAGGCTTTTATTATGTGGTAATTTTACAGTTTTAACTTTAAAGGTAACTTCCCCCCGCCTCCAATATATTCCAAAACCAGTGAATTTCCGATGCATGCGTTTATGAACTTTTCTACGTTTTTAATTTCATTTAGTATAAGTAATGTAGGTTTTTAAAATTTCAAGTTGTCAACAAGGCTGATTGAACCCACCAATTGTTTAAAGAAATGTTTTTACATGTCAGCACTCAGCTGATTTTATTAACTTGTTAGTATTATGCTCCCAATTTTATGTGTTAAAATCTAACTGTACAAGCAACTTGAGGCCTAAAATTATGCCTTTATCCAATCCTAATTTATTGTTCTTCCCTCATAAATTTTATTTGCAGCTTCTATGGTCTGAAAAAAGCAATAAATCAGAATGAGGTGAGTTTTACATAGTTTAGATTGAGTTCCTTATTTTTGTTTGAAATTAATCCAATCCATTCCTCCTGGTGTCATCGTCATATGGCTAATAGTATGTCTCAAAGCAAGAGATGACTTGAGTCAAAGAGATCTTTTTCTTCTAAAGCAGAGGATGGCAGTTCCACATGCTCAGGTGATAAATCATCTACATAAATTATGTGGGATTGATGTAATGCTTAGAAAATATTCAGAAATCTGTAAATGAAACAGTACTCTTCAATTTATCTCTTGTTTCAGATTGTCTTCCTAAGATAATCAGGAATACGATTCTAGCTGTTTTTCTGTAGAAGCATTTTGGAGGACCAATGCACCGTATTTACATTACCACGGTTAAAATCCTAGTTGTTAGACTGCCTGACACTGCATACCATAGTGCTCATTAAATATTTGTAAAATGGATGGTGGATTCAAACACACACCTTCACATTCTAAATAACAGTGTAATTTTAAAACAAAAACCACCAACATTTATTTTAGCACTGGAATGCTTACTAAAAATTTTGCTAATTTCACTCAATTATTTAAATTCCTGGTATCCTTTAAAATTAAAAAAAAATAAGTGAAAGAAAAAAGACGCTGATAATAATCTTTCTCTCTATACACACACTCTCTCTCACACACACACTCCTCACACTTACAAGAGACCCTGCTTTAAGAAAATAATGTATTCTCAAATGTAGAAAACAGAACTGATACTTAACAGATCATTTGCAGAAGTGAGGCCATGTTACACATATATTTAAGCAAAATTGTTTTAAAATTATATGTGTTTAGGACTTCAAAATGTTGAGTTTAAATAAATTTCTCAACAGTTGATAGAGAACTGTGAATCCATTTAATCTATCTTTGTGTTAAAATAGTTTTATGAAAGTGAATTTTAGTTTTGGGAGCTCTTGTCTCACTATCTAGAATCATCTCAAATGAGAGAATACTTTTAAGGAAAAAAGTGCCTGAGTATAAAGTTGACTTCTGCCTTAAACTTTATTTTAAATATGCTGTTTTCAGTATCTTTAAAGAAACCTTTCTAGATTACTTTCTTTCTCTAAATTTATGTTTCTTTAACGGGATCTAGAATTCCTTGGCCGGCTCAGAGAATTGTAAAAACACTGTTTTATACTCTGCTTGGACAGTTGCTCAGATGAGTTTGGGTTCAAATTTAGTTTTATCCACTAAAATTGCCTATTCCTCTCTTGCCATTGGGCATTTTTTCAATCTTAACAAAACCAAGTCCATATTATAGGCCTGCTGGCCAACATTCCAGGTAAATGAACGGTTTTAAAGAAAAATGGTGCTATTTTTCAAAAGCCTGACATTTAAAAAATACAAGTCCAGAATTGAAACCTTAAATAATTTTTCCATGCCTATATGCTGCAAGAAGCAAATAGTTACGCAAATGAATACATCTGGGATTATTTTCAAGCTGTTATTCCCCACCAGGGAAAATATTTAGAAATAAGGCTCAGTCTTTGTGCTGGAACTACAAAGAGGCCAGCCATCTTGATACTTTTCCAGATCGTTTAATGATTTTCCTCATATTGTGTGGTGGCTTTACTGCCCTGTTTCTTATGCCTTCCCATTCGCTGTTGGTAACCATTTATGTTGGGTGCGTTCCAATTTCCAAATCTGTTTTGTGGCATTTATAGCTTGCAGCTAATAAGGCCATTCAGTATTTTAAAAATATAAATATTAAAAAATATATTTTGCCATGCAAATCTAGAGGAAATGATTCAAAATTTAAAAACAGCCTTATTAAAGAATGGCATACCCTACTCTTTAAACTGTTAAGTGAGTGTGATTGTGCTGGAGAGATGGCAATTTGATTCTAGAGTCCAGGAGGTGCATGATTAGGCATGTATGTGTATGTGCGTGCATGCTATATATATGTAGACATACACATTATATATATGTAAACACATAAAATGCAGTATGTGTGTGTATATGTTTGTATACATGCACATGTGAAATTATGTATATGATTAAATAATTGGTACAAAAGGAATGGTAATCCATATATCTTACTTTGCAACCTTTGACTTTTGTAACATAAAACCTCCAAAAAGTTTCCCTCTTGTTGCCCAGGAAAATAATTTGAGGCATCCCTACTTATGAACATCACCTGAGTTATTGCTGTGATGTATGTAATACCCATTACCACCTTTTTTTTTTTTTGAGACAGAGTTTCTCTCTTGTTGCTCAGGCTGGAGTGCAATGGTGCGGTCTTGACTTGCTGCAACTTCCACCTCCTGGGTTCAGGCGATGCGCCACCACGCCCAGCTAATTTTTGTATGTTTAGTAGAGACAGGTTTTTATCATGTTGGTCAGGTTGTTCTCGAAATCCTGATCTTGGGTGATCCAACCACCTTGGCCTCCCAAAGTGCTGGGATTAGCTACTGTGCCCAGATTCCTGGTGTTATTTGTATTATCAGCATGGATTTTAGAGTTTTTGAAGTTTTAGAGTTTTTGCCTTCCTGTGTGACTTTGTGTAAAATAAAAATTAGTTCGGCTTTTAAGGTGCGTAATTATTACATGTCTAGGATACCTAAAATCTCGAGAACTAACTCCAAATTAAACAATAAAACATAAATATTATTAAGGTAGTCTTTTCACTAAACATATATTCAAAGAGATCATGTTAAATAGGCATTTATAGCCCATTTTAAATTAATTCTAAATTAAATATTTAACATTAGCTATTTAACACTTTGATTTAAATGATGTATGTCTCAACCTCAATTAGATTTAGTTCATAGTTTTACTTTAATTTCTTATATTTAAAGTGTACCTTACCAAACTAAAAATTTTTATATTATTTTTTCTTTAACTCAAAGTAAAAATGATTAGATATTTTCATTATGGCCAAAGTTTGAGATAAGATAATATAAAATTTTCTTTTTTAATATTATGCTCAAGTATTTCAGATTAAATGTCATAAAATCATATGAGAACAAGGTTTCTTTTTTAACATTTTTAATTGGTACATAATTGTACATATTTATGGGTTACATGTGATATTTTGATGTGTGCATACAATGTGTAAAAATCAAATCAGGATAATTAAGATATTCATCACCTCAAATATGTATTATTTGTTTGTGTTGGAAACATTTCAGATAACTAGCATAGAAGATTTGAAATTCAGAACCGTTTCTTCCCAGAAAATCTGAGCAATTAATGTTTAAGAGTGTGCCAATAATGCATACGGTGAAAAATATGGGTTGGTTAACACTATTGTAGCTCATTTATTTTCACATTTGAAGTTCTGTGAAAAGAAAATTCTCAACCATAGCCAAGGGAGGTAAGGGTGAAAAACCTTGTCATTCTATTTTTATGTTACTGAATGAGAAAACAATACCAACTTTAGGACCTGGGCATCAATGAAATTGTTTACAGTGATATTGCACAGAGCTACAGAGAAATAAAGTAATTTCCTTGAAAATAATTTCAGGCATATCTACTTATGAATGTCACCTGAGTTATTGCTGTGGTGTGTGTAAATAGACAATATTTAAGCTCGTGGATATTTATATTTGAACAGAAATTATGTCGTATTCATAGGTATTCACATATATTAGAATAACTTTGATTTGCTTTATGGCAAAGACACCATACTTAATTTCACCAGTCAAGTTACCCTTCCTGTTAGTAATGTGTTTGTATAGACATCCAAACTAAAAAGAGGTGTTTTTAAATTATCATTTATAATACAGCTTCATTTTTCTGATTATAAGAGTAATAAATGCTCATTAGAATTTATCAATATGAGAGCAGAAATTCAGGGCACCCCTTTAATGTTACCCTTCAAATATAACAGAGGTTTATATATATGTAAACAGATTAGTGTATACTAATGCTGATTTTTTATTATACATTAACAAAGTAGAGACTGATAGTTCTCATTGTTATGTAAATAATGTTACTATTATCAATTTACAGAAATGATCAAATTTTAAGTCAGGTCCTCCAATTTCTTGCTTTTGCTTAATAATTCATGGGCCACTTCTGCTAATACACAGAAATATGCTTTAATACTTTAAATATTGCAGTATATCCTTTTAATAAATAAACTTACTATAATTTGTTTAACCAATTCTTTACTGGTCAAATATTTAGATTGTTTCTAAATTTTAAATATTAAAAACCATTATTTAATGAGCATTCTTTCAAACAGTTTTGTTCACTTGGGCCTATATAGCTATTGTGTAATTTTTGAATATATCATGATTGGCTCAATGTGTATGAACATTACTCAATTCATGGATGCTACCAAACGCTTTCCAAAAAATTCTAACAACTTACATTGTTATAAAATTGTCAGAGGATGCCTGGTTTTTTACTCTTATACAAACATAGGTATTATAGCAACCCCTCTCATTTTTCTTCTTTTCTTTTTAAAATAATGCAAATAGTACATATTCATACAAAAAAACTTCTAGCAACCCAGAACTATATCGAAAAAGATTACAAGGCCATTTTCATCATCCTTCTCTTTGCTCCGCCATGCCCCACACTCACACACTGATCTCACTCTCCTCTCTACTATGCATGCTGTGGATTTCCAAGCATTTCTGTTTGAGCATGTTTCCTTAATATAAATACTACTAATTAGTCATAAATACAATCTTATTCTATATTTTATTCTTCAACATTGTTTTCTTCACTTGAAAATGTATCATATATATCTTCATGTTACTTTTAATATCTGTGTATTATGTAGTACATATGCTAATTTATTTAGTTCTTTCCTTATTGAACAATGTTTAGGTTATTTTTAGGTTTTATAAATATTTTATTCTTCTCTACCAACAATATAAAATCACTACCTATTATAAAATCTGTACATATTAAGTACATATAGAAATCTTTGCACCTGTGTATTTGTA
The DNA here is from genome assembly GCF_000001405.40 of Homo sapiens. NCBI lineage: Eukaryota > Metazoa > Chordata > Mammalia > Primates > Hominidae > Homo > Homo sapiens. Next base: position 15,999,047 of record NC_000007.14, on the reverse strand, counting down.
AAGAATATTTAGAATTGGAATTAGGGGGTCAAAATATGCACAATTGAAGTTTTGATAAATTCTGCCAAGTTTTCTTATTATTTAAAAACATTTTCCAGCCATAGTGCCACAATATTTTATTGTTTGTACTCATAATATTGTTGTATTGTTGAAATAAGTAATCTGATCATATGTTTTTAGGTCATCAAAAGTCTTTGACTCTAAAATGCCATGTCAGGAAATTTGCTAAATTTTCTTTTGTGTTGTTCTTTGCTTACTTTATGAGTCATGGGATGTTTTTTCTCGATTGTAATTATTGACCATTTGGCTATCATATTTTTTTCTTTCAAACTTTTTAAGTCTTTACAATTTTGTTTTGCTTGCATAATTTATATTTTAAAATTGTTTTTTTCTTGTGTTTTTGAATTTTGTAACATGCTTAAAAAAGCTTCCCTACCTCAAAGATGAAAGATATTTACAAATGATTTTTTTAGTATGTTTGTTGTTTTTTACATGTGTAACACTTTGAAGTCAATTTGAGATTTATTTTAGTGAAAGTAAAAGTAGGTGTTCAGATTTATTTTCCAAGTTTATTTTATTTTTTTCCAAATGCAAGCCAGTTGGCCCACTGTCATTTGATGAATGATCTAGACTACTTAGAAATGTCAACTTTTATGTATATGAATTTCCCATGTGTGCTTGCATCTATTTTTAGATTCTCTATTGTATGCCATTGATATGTTTGTTTCTGTATCAATATCAAATGTTTCCAATCACTTTAACTTTAAAGTAAAATTTAATGTTACATAGGATTTGTCACACTCATTGCTTTTATTTCAAATAATTTTCTTAGCTTTACTCATGTTTGATTTGAGACCAGAGACAAATGTCTGCTTTCATTAGGAATGCATTGAGTTTTTACATTAACTTAGGAATAACTGATATTTTGAAATCTTGTAAAAAATATACTATTACTATTTGAGATACAATATGTATCTCCATTCAAGATCTCTTTACTGTTCTTCAGTAGATTTTTTATAATCACATTCATATGGGTATTAGCTATTTTCTAAAATGTTTACTTATAAGTATGCTGTATTTTTACCAATTTTATAGATGAAATATATATTTTACATTTGGTTACTGTTGGTAGAGAAGAATAATTTATTTTGCTAGTGGCTACTGTATTGAAATGTGTTATAATTTTTAACCTGCATAGTAATTATACTTTTGTATAGATACTATTATACAATCTATAAATAATTAAAATTCTGTTTCATCCTTTCTTTGTTGGTTTTTTATGCATTTACTGATTTGTTGACTTCTTATGGAAAAATAAAATAATAGTGATGATAACTGATACCCTTATGCTAATTCTAACTCTAGTACTCCTTAAAATTAAACTTTTACCCTAAAGTATATTCTTATTGGTTTGTGATAGGAAAATTATTTTGACTTGTTAAAGACTTTTTACATATTTCTGATTTAGTAATGGGTATTGAATCTTATCAGATGATTATCCATTTATATTAAGGTGCATGTGCCGTTTTTATTATTTAACATATTAATGTAGCGAAGCTTATTAATAAATTTCCTAATACCAAATATCCTTACTCTTTATGAAAGAAATTCTTAAGTTATTGAAATATATTGTTGGATTTTGTATATCACAGTTAGATTATAATATTTTTATTATATGCTATTTTATTAGATTGGATAAACTAAGTCATATTGGAATTTAATTTCCTTTTGGTATGATATAGGCTTCTTTTATGCTTTGAGATACTCACATGACAAGTGATTTTTCCTGTTGTTCCTAAGGGTTTCTACAAACTGTACTTAGGTTCCTTGTGAGCTAGTTCTTTTTTTTTTTTTTTTTTTAAACTTTAAGTTCTGGGATACATGTGCAAAACGTGCAGGTTTGTTACATAGTTATATATGTACCAGGGTGGTTTGCTGCACCTATCTACCGGCCATCTAGGTTTTAAGCCCCACATGAATTAGCTATTTGTCCTGATGTGAGCTAGTTCTTTAATAAACTTTTTTGTTTGTTTGTTTGTTAGTTTTTTGAGATGGAGTCTCGCTCTTTCGCCCAGGCTGGAGTGCAGTGGTGCAACCTCGGCTTACTGCAAGCTCCGCCTCCCGGGTTCACGCCATTCTCCTGCCTCAGCCTCCCAAGTAGCTGGGACTACAGGCGCCCGCCACCACGCCTGGCTAATTTTTTGTATTTTTAGTAGAGATGGGGTTTCACCCTGTTAGCCAGGATGGTCTCAATCTCCTGACTTAGTGATCTGCCCGCCTCAGCCTCCCAAAGTGCTGGGATTACAGGTGTGAGCCACCTTTAATAAACTTTTTAAGTTCTTTCATAGATATTGTCTCATTCAATTCTTTATATCTTTAATCAATTTGGTAATTTATACTTTTCATAAAATAATCAATTGATCCATGGTTTCAAAATAATTTTTATGTTACACTGAATTTTCTGTTAGAATTTTAAATATTCTATTTAGAAATAATTTTATTCCTTCTCAATATGTGTTCTTATTTTTCTTGATATTTCTAGTTAATATTTAATCCATTTTATTATGCCCCCACAAAAGAACCAGAGTTTTTTTGTGTATTCAATTCTATTGTTTTTCTTATTTCTGAATAATTAACTCGGCTTTTGTTTTATTACATCTTCACTTCATTTTCCCTTAGTTTTATTTCAAAGGTCCATTCAAATTTATTCTTATATCCTGCAAACAAAGCTAAATTTCGGTCGATATATTGTTGCTCAGCTAAAAGACTATTTCTCCTCTGAAACAGAAATATAGAGGTATTAGTTCTATTGCCTGCAAGAGAAAATTTCAATAGATTTGTTCTTAGAAAAGAATTTTCTATTGCCATGCAAATAGAAAAGGCTTAGAAAGGGTAACATTTAATAATCTAATAATCTTTATTTACATAACATTTCTTTGCAGCAATTGTTGCTAAACTTAAAATACTTATTTTATAGAACAAATTTTCTATAATGACTATAAGGTGACAAGATATATAAAAGCACATATATTTTGTATCCTATACAACTGTAGTGAATTTACCAATTCTAATAGTTTCTTTTAAGTGGAATCTTTAGGTTTTTCTACATCTAAGACCATATAGTCAGCAAATGAGGATAATTTGACTTCTTTCATTCCAATTGGGTGCTCTATTTCTTCCTCTTGTTGAAGTGCTTTAGCTAGGAATTCTAGTACTGTGTTAATTACAGTAGTGAAAGTCATGATTTTGTTCCAGATTTTAGGGAAAAGTCTTTCAGTTTTTTCTCACTCAGTATATTATATGTGGGTCTGTCATATATATGGCTTTTATCATGTTGAGGCATGTTCCTTCTATGCCCAGTTTTTTGAGTTTTTAATCATGAAGAGGTGCTAAATTTCATTGAATACTTTTCCACCATCAATTGAAATGGTCATACATAAATTACTGGCATTTCTTTATGCCAGCAGTCAACAATCTGAAAAAGAAATCAAGAAAGTAATCTCATTTACTATAGTTACAGATAAAATAAAGCACCTAGAATAAATTTAACTAAAAAAGTGAAAGATCTCTACAATGAAATCTATAAAACGCTGACGAAGTAAATTGAAGGGGACACAAAAAATGGAAAGCCATTCCATGTTCATGGATGGGAAGAATCAATATTGTTAAAATGTCCATACTACCCAAAGCAATCTACAGATTAAATTCAATCCCTATTAAAATGCCAATGACATTCTTCATACCCCAGTGGCACCTGGAACCCCAGCAAGACAGGAGAACTGCCTCACACAGGAGAGCTCCAGCTGGCATCAGGCCAGTGCCCCTCTGGGATGAAGCTTACAGAGGAAGGAGCAGGCAGCAATCTTTGCTGATCTGCAGCCTCCACTGGTGACACCCAGGTGAATGGAGTCTGGAGTGGACCTCCAATGAACTGCAGCAGACCTGCAGAAGAGGGGCCTGGCTGTAAGAAGAAAAACTGACAAACAGAAAGCAACAACAGCAGCAGCCGCATCAACAAAAAAGACCCCCCCTCAACAAAAACCCCATCCAAAGGTCATCATCCTCAAAGATCAAAGGTAGATAAATCCATGAAGATGAGGAAAAAGCAGCACAAAAGTGCTGAAAATTCCAAAAGCCAGAATGCTTCTTCTCCACCAAATGATCACAACTCCTCTCCAGCAAGGAAACAAAACTGGACGGAGAATGAGGCTGATGAATTGACAGAAGTAGGCTTCAGAAGGTGGGTAATAACAAACTCCTCTGAGCTAAAGGAGCGTGTTCTAACCCAATGCAAGGAAGCTAAGAACCTTGATAAAAGGCTATAGGAACTGCTGACTAGAATAATCAGTTTAGAGAGTAACATAAATGACCTGATGGAGAGGAAAAACACAACACGAGAACTTCGTGAAGCATACACAAATGTCAGTAGCCAAACAGATCAAGCGGAAGAAAGAATATCACAGATTGAAAACCACCTAGCTGAAAAAAAGGCATGCAGACAAGATTAGAGAAAAAAAGAATGAAAAGGAATGAACAAAGCCTACAAGAAATATGGGACTATGTGAAAAGACCAAATGATTATGCCTATGATTGATTGGTATACCTGAAAGTGACGGGGAGAATGGAACCAAGTTGGAAAACACACTTCAGGATATTATCCAGGAGAACTTCCCCAACCTAGCAAGACAGGCCAACATTCAAATTCAGGAAATATGGAGAACTCTAAGATACTCCATGAGAAGATCAACCCCAAGACACCTAATCTTCAGATTTTCCAAGGTTGAAATGAAGGAAAAAATGTTAAGCACTGTCAGAAGAATCAGGTCACCTACAAAGGGAAGCCAGTCAGACTAACAGCAGATCACTCTGCAGAAATCCTACAAGCCACAAGAGAGTGGGGGCCAGTATTCAATGTTCTTAAAGAATTTTCAATCCAGAATTTCAAATCCAGTCAAACTAAGCTTCATAAGCAAATGAGGAGTAAAATCCTTTCCAGACAAGAAATGCTGAGGGATTTTGTTGCCACCAGGCCTGTCTTACAAGAGCTCCTAAGGGAAGCACTAAATATGGAAAGGAAAAACTGTTATCAGTCACTGCAAAACACACCAAAATATAAAGACCAATGACATTAGGAAGAAACTGCGTCAACTAATGTGCAAAATAACCAGCTAGCATCATGATGACAGGATCAAATTCATATATAACAATATTAAAATGTAAATGGGCTAAATGTCCCAATTAAAAGATAGACTGGCAAATTGAATAAAGAGTCAAGATCCAGCAGTGTGCTGTATTCAGGAGACCCATCTCACGTGCAAAGACATACATAAGCTCAAAATGAAGAGATTGAAGAATATTTGCCAAACAAATGGAAAGCAAAAAATAGCATGGGTTGCAATGCTAGTCTCTGATAAAAAAGACTTTAAACCAACAAAGATAAAAAAAGACAAAGAAGGGCATTACATAATGGTAAAGGTATCAATGCAACAGGAAGAGCTAACTATCCTAAATATATATGCACTCAATACAGGAGCACCCAGATTAATAAAGCAAGTTTTTAGAGACCTACGAAGAGACTTAGACTCCCACACAATAATAGTGGGAGACTTTAACACCCCACCGTCAATAATAGATCAATGAGACAGAAAATTAACAAGGATATTCAGGACTTGAACTCAGCTATGGATAAAGTGGACTTAATAGACATCTGCAGAACTCTCCACCCCAAATCTACAGAATATACATTCTTCTCAGTGCCACATGGCACTTATTCTAAAATTGACCACATAATTGTAAATAAAACACTCCTCAGCAAATGCAAAAGTATGGAAACCATAACAGTCTCTCAGACCACAGTGCAATTAAATTAGAACTCAAGATTAAGAAATTCACTCAAAACCACACAACTACATGGAAATTGAACAACCTGCTCATGAATAACTCCTGAGTAAATATGAAATTTAAGCAGAAATCAAGAATTTCTTTGAAATCAATGAGACCAAAGAGACAGTGTGCCAGAATCTCTGGGACACAGCTAAAGCAGTGTTAAGAGGGAAATTTATAGCACTAAATGCCAACATCAGAAAGTGAGGAACACCTAAAATCGACTCCCTAACATCACAATTGAAAGAACTAGAGAAGCAAGCACAAACAAATTCAAAAGCTAGCAGAAGACAAGAAATAACTGAGATCAGAGCAGAACTGAAGGAGATAGAGACACAACAAACCCTTCGAAAAATCAATCCAGGAGGTGGTTATTGAAAAAATTAATAAAATAGATAGACTGCTAGCTAGACTAATAAGAAAAGAGAGAAGAATCAAATAGACACAATAAAAAGTGATAAAGGGGATATCACCACTGATCCCACAGAAATATATACTACCATCAGATAATACTATAAACACCTATACACAAATAAACTAGAAAATCTAGAAGAAATGGATAAGTTCCTGGACACATACACCCTCCCAGGACTAAACCAGGAAGAAGTCAAATCCCTGAATAGACCAATAACAAGTTCTGAAATTAAGGCAGTGATTAATAGCCTACCAACCAAAAAAAGCCCAGGACCAGATGAATTAGCAGCCAAATTCTACCACAAGTACAAAGAGGAGCTGGTGCCATTCCTTCTGAAACTTTTCCAAACAATTGAGAAAGAAAGACTCCTCCCTAACTCATTTTATGAGGCCAGCATCATCCTGATATCAAAACCTGGAAGAGACACAACAAAAAAAGAAAACGTCAGGTCAATATCCCTGATGACACATCGATGCGAAAATCCTCAATAAAATACTGGTGAACCAAATCCAGCAGCATATCAAAAAGCCTATCTACCACAGTCAAGTCGGCTTCTTTCCTGGGATGCAAGGCTGGTTCAACATACACAAATCAATAAACGTAATCCATCACATAAGCAGAATCAATGGCAAAAACCACAGGATCATCTCAATAGATGGAGAAAAGGCCTTTGATAAAATTCAACATCTCTTCATATTAAAAACTCTCAATAAACTAGGCATTGATGGAGCATATCTGAAAATAATGAGAGCTATTTGTAACAAACCCATAGCCAATGTCATACTGAATGGGCAAAAGCTGGAAGCATTCCCTTTGAAAACTAGCACAAGACAAGGATGCCCTCTCTCACTACTCCTATTTAACATAGTATTGGAAGTTCTGGCCAGGGCAATCAGACAAGAGAAAGAAATAAAGAATATTCATATAGGAAGAGAGAAAGTCAAATTATCTCTGTTTGCAGATTACATGATTTATATTTAGAAAACCCCATCGTCTCAGCCCAAATACTCCTTAAGCTGATAAGCAACTTCAGCAAAGTCTCAGGATACAAAATCAATGTGCAGAAATCACAAGCATTCCTATACACCAACAATAGACAAGCAGAGACCCCAATCATGAATGAACTCCCATTCACAATTGCTGCGAAGAGAATAAAATACCTAGTAATACATCTTCCAAGGGATGTGAAGGACCTCTTCAAGAAGAACTGCAAACCACATCTCAAAGAAATAAGAGGACACAAATGGAAAAACATTCCATGCTCATGAATAGGAAAAATCAATATCATGAAAATGGCCATACTACCCAAAGTAATTTATAGATTCAATGCTATCTCCATCAAGCTACAATAGTAGCTTTTTTTTTTGTAGTAATAGTAGTTTTTTTTTCTAATCGCGGGATTAGAAAAAACTACTTAAAATTTCATATGAAACCAAAAGAGAGCCTGTATAACCAAGAAAATCCTAAGAAAAAAGAACAAAGCTGCAGATATCATGCTACCTGACTTCAAACTATAGTACAAGTTTACAAGGCAACAGTAACCAAAACAGCATTATACTGGTACCAAAACAGACATATAGACCAATGGAACAGAACAGAGAACTCAGAAATAGCACCACACATCTACAACCATCTGATCTTTGGCAAACCTGACAGAAACAAGCAATGGAGAAATGATTCCCTGTTTAATTAAAGGTGCTGGGAAAACTGGCTAGCCATATGTAGAAAACTGAAACTGGACCCCTTCCTTACACTTTATACAAAAATTAACTCAAGATGGATTAAAGACTTAAATATAAAACCCCAAACCATAAAAACCCTAGAGGAAAACCTAGGCAATACCATTCAGGACATAGGCGTGGACAAGGACTTCCTACTAAAACACCAAAAGCAATGGCAACAAAAGCCAAAATTGACAAATGGGATTTAATTAAACTAAAGAGCTTCTGCTCAGAAAACAAACTATCATCAGAGTGAATAGGCAACCTACAGAATGGGAGAAAATTTTTGCAATCTACCCATCTGACAAAAGTTTAATATCCAGAATCTACAAGGAACTTAAACAAATTTATAAGAAAAAACAAAACCCCATCAAAAAGTGGGCATATGAAAAAAAGCTCAACATCACTGAGTATTAGAGAAATGCAAATCAAAGCCACAATCAGATGCAATCTCATGTCAGTCAGAATGGTGATTATTAAAAAGTCAGGAAACAATAGATGTTGGTGAGGCTGTTGAGAAATAGGAACACTTATACACTGTTGGTAAAAGCATAAGTTAGTTCACCCATTGTGGAAGACAGTGTGGCGATTTCTCAAGGATCTAGAACCAGAAATACCATTGACCCAGCAATCCCGTTACTGGGTATATACCCAAAGGGTTATAAATCATTCTACTATAAAGACACATGCATATGTATGTTTATTGCAGCACTATTTGCAATAGCAAAGACTTGCAACCAACCCAAATGCCCATCAATGACAGACTGGATAAAGAAAATGAGTCGCATATATACCATGGAATACTTTGCAGCCATAAAAAGAATACTATGTCCTTTGCAGGGACATGGATGAAGCTGGAAGCCATGATTCTCAGCAAATTAATACACAAACAATAAACCAAACACCACATGTTCTCACTCATAAGTGGGAGTCGAACAATGAGAACACACGAACACAGGGAAGGGAACCTCACACACCAGGGCCTGTTGGGGGTTGGGGGTCCAGGAGAGGGAGAGCATTAGGAGAAATACTGAATGCATGTGGAGTTTAAAACCCAGATGACAGATCGACAGGTTCAGCAAACCATCATGGCACATGTATACCTGTGTAACAAACCTGCACATTCTGCATGTGCATCCCTGAACTTAAAAAAAAAAATGATGCTATATGCATTTCAGACCCATGTCATAAAGAAAAGCACTCCCCCAGCCCATATCAGAAGTAAACATTAATATTTTATATGCTGATTTCTCTGCCCTATATCAACATCTCTGCTTTGATACATTACAACAAGCAGTGTCTAGTCACTTGTGATTACTATTTTTTTTGGATGACTCTTTCTCTTAATTATATCAACTTGAGCACATCCTTACTACCAGAGAAATTTAATAGGCCAGCCTACACATCCTCTTGGTATCTAATCCCAAGAATGTGTTCCAGGCTTTGAGGTTTTCGCTACCTATTCTTAAATGCATTGGCACTCAAGGCACTTAAACACGCATCAACAAAGGTGCCTGTCTTCTTTGAAGTTATTTTCTGCGGAAATCACAGCCACTGACCAAATGATTTGAAAAGATTAAATTGTGCTTATTTTATGACATTCTAAAACAGCAGGGTTAAATGCTGGGCTGGCTGCCAGCACCACAGCACCCACACTTTCATGTTTGGCTGCCAGATACATCCACCAGAATTGCTCTGGAGGAGAAATGTGCAATGGTGCCATTCTGGAGAGAAGAAATAAGTTTTTTGAGTTTTACGCTTTGACAAATGGATAATTCAAATATGTTTTACATGCGTATGAACTATTTTTAAAAATTAAATTGAATGTCAGTTGTTGGAGGGATTGTTTTTCCCTTCTGTTGGAGGAAAGACATTGCCTCTACCAGGTAAATTACTACTTTCTTTGTTTCAGGGTAATGTGGGATCCTTTTCTCTAACTCTGTGAAAGATTAGGACATGTGCTTAGCCATTGTACTTATAATAGGCACTTTAATAGCTTTATGTATAAAAAACACCTATGTATATATTAATAGAACACATTTAAAAATAGCATTATGTGAAAATTATAAATGAATCAAATGGCTGTATTTAGACATAAGAGTGCAACTTATTTTATGTTAACACCGGAGACATTTTCATCTCTAAACTCTCTGCTATAGTCACCAGACTATGGTGTAATGTGTGGCTGTTCATTCATTTCATATCTCTTAATGGGAGGAAAAGAGGAGAGTTTCACAGGCTATGCAGAGCTCTGAGTGGGGGCATACAAAGAATCATAGCCTCATACTCAAAGTTTACAGTCTAGTTGGGGAGGCTATAGACACAGAGGTAAAACTTAATAATATGAATGATTTTAAAATGTCAGACAATACCAAGAAGTCTAAAGCAAGTATATATTTTAAAGAAACAATGAATGGTTACAGACAAGCAAAGCTGGGAGTTTTTGGACGAAAGAAGCCACTGCCTCTAAAAAGAAAGTTGTAAAGCACATTTGGGAGAAGGCAGGCACTGACCTGAACTTAGAGAATATTGGGGATTTCCCCAGATTTAGAAAGAGAATCTACTATATCCTAGAGAACTAACTTTCATAAAAATAGGGAGATGGGGAGATCTATAGGTTGCATGGAGGGCAACCTGAGGGTTTGCCTAGATTCATTGGGGTTTTGTTTTTTGTTTTAAAAGAGATGGAAAAACAATGTTGGATTTAGATGCTAGCAGATTGGAAATTACCAAGCTGAATTGCATGAACTTAATCCTATTGGCAACGGAGAAAGAGTTAATACTTTTGGGCAGGACCACAGCAAGCAAAACTAGTGTTGTCGAGAGACTCATGTGATGTGCAGATGGAATGTGTGGAAATCTGCATGTAGGCAGGCAGATTTTTCAAGAGAAGGTTCTGGATAAAGTGGTATGAGACAACCAAAACACCATAAATGCCTCTTCAAAGAAATTAGTGAACAATAGTAGAATCAAGAGGACCTGGTAACTGAGTTTCTAGTGAGCAAAGTATCACCGGTTGACTTGTGAAGGAATGCATCTATGACAGAACCCAGCTTACATCAATAAATGTTCCGGAAACATTGAGAGTCAGGAAGTACAAGATGTACCACTTCTGAGGAATTACCTTGGCAGTGCAATTGCCAATTCACAGAAGATGAGAGAGGAGAAATGATTGGATGGAAGGAGGTTGAAGAGGGAAATCTAGTGAATAATGAAGCCAATTCTAATTTGAGTTCAAAGGAAAATGAACAAAAGTGACAGGAAAAAAATTGTATCATGTGTTTGAAGATTTCTTAGAATGGTTGCGTTGATGGGACAAGACAAAATATCTTGTGGATTTAGGCTTAGGTTATATTAAAATTAAAGTCTACTGACAAGCTTTTCACTATTCTTTATTTACTCTTGTGGCAGCATTTTATTTTCGTATTAAATAGCTTTTATGCTCCCTACATATTTCCCTATCCCTTTGCTCTAAGCTGGTAGTTAATCTTTGTCATTTCTTTCCTTAGGGGTATTTTGCAGCAGAAAATAGAAGCTGTATAAGGTAGACACCTCCTAAAATCAGTGACAGTATTATGTTAGAGTCGGGTGAGGGCAGGACAAAGAGGTGTGCTTTGGAGAAGCAGAACATTTGGAGGTTTTTCTGTGATCCGAGGGAGGGAAATCCATAAGTCACACAAGCCTCTGGAAATTCGTGGAGAAGGCTCCAGAATCCCAGCTTTTTCAGCGATGCCTAAAAGGGAGCAGCACCAGAGTTTCTGAGAGCGATGAAATATCAGGCCTCCCTGCAGTAGCCAGTATCAACTGTAGATATTCGACCAGAGATAATTCCCATTTCTTAACACTAGCAGCTTTGTACCACTATATCAGGGGAGCCCCAAGGATAAGGTTGAATCTTCCATCAGTCTTACAGGATGGAACTCAGTTTTAAAACTAGTTTGATTAAATAAAAAGATAAATGCAGTATTTTTTGTATTGTGATTTATTATCATTTATCAGTGAAAATTGGCAAGCTGAATTAATGATCCAAAATTGTAGTATTTTTATTTTTAGTTCTTTTTTTCTACCTCTCCATAGTCGGATATAGTAGGCATCTCCCAATTTCTTTCAGTCTTGGAATTTGTGTTACAATACTCTGCTACATCAAGGGCCAAGTACGGACATAGCTTGCAAGTATTTACTAATCAGTGGTTCCAACACTTTGGATGTTCTGTCAGGCTCCATCATTCTCCCACACTATGAACGAGGTGGTTAAATTACGCAGAACAATTGCCCACAGGCATTTCTTGCTCAGGTTCTGTGTAGCACGGTCTTAGGGAAGAATAGTTGAATATTTTGGTATTGGATCTGATATCACATGAGTTTTCAGGCAATGGCAGTTCTCTTTTTGAGCAAAAAACAGTTGAAGAAATATCACTTTTATACTAAGGCCAAAGTACTCGAGATTCTCCTCTTCTAAATGAGTCTTGATTATTTACATTAAAAATTAACATGTTTTGCATTGTGCTTAGGCCAGCCATCTCAAATCCTTTGTAACGGCAATTGATATATAAGCTACAAATTCAGTAACAAAAACAGTATATGATATTTTTCCTTTATATAAAAAATGTTAATTTTCTGTCTTCTTGAAATCAAGAAGGCCTTGTGGAATCAATCTCTCTGTTTTATAAATCATTCACTGACTTTTCCAATTATCTACAGTATTACCAAGTGACTAATAAAATTTGTATGGCATTATAATTGAAACTGCACTGGAAAAATTTGCATATGTCAAGTTGTGTGAAGTGATGTTGAAATCTTGCCGTAAGTGGTCCCTGTCAAGCTTGAAAAACTATTATTATTTCTTTTCATTTGTGGCTAAGTAATCTGCATTTTTGATAACTTCAGTAAGCCCCGTGACTGTCAGCATTTGCCATCTACTTTCATTTTCCTCCAAATTGTTTTCCACATTTTGCTTTCCATTTAACAAGTAAGTGGTTTTTATTCTTTGAGATGTTACTTAATAGATACCACATGTACAATACCATAAATAAACAACATTTACCATAAAACTGGTTAATAATACAGTGCAAATATTGTTCCTACAGCCCTATATTATTGAAATAAGAAAAAAACTATTTTGTAGCAATTATCTGAACTTGCCAAAAACCAACAGAGGCCATCATGCCTCAGGTGGAAATTAACACAAATTTAAATTTGTATTAGTTTTCCTTTGAGGAAGGAAGCATTAGCAAATGCTTAGAGGCAGCTGCTCATTTGACTGTACAGCCAAATGCTACCAACAGGAGGGAATACTTAGGAGACCAATTTGAATTAACACTTGAAAAGTTAGTGAAAGTATAAACACATATGAGGTTAAGAAAATGGAGAGGACCATACATAATAATTCTTTCTTGGAGCCACACATTTCAGATTTTTCCTGATATCTCTAGAAATTCTACTTAGGCCCATAATCGGATGCAGTTCCCTACAATGACAGTTCATCAGTATATCAATTTAAAACATCTTAGCTTTATGTGATGAAGGATTACAAACAAAATATGATCACTTTTCTTGACAAAGTTGAAGTACACCTCTTGAAACTGATCCAAAATAATACTGACTCCAGACTATTAACTCAAAAGGAGGCAAAGAAGGAAGCTATTATATGCCCCAGTTTAGTCTGCAAGGATCCGAGATTTGGACTACAAAAGGATGACTGGGGAAGGCAGACTGGGGAAAGGGCTTCATTACAGTTTTTGAGGCCAGAATTAGGAAGTCGTGTAAAGAGGATACTAGGAAACTGGCTTTATCAGACTATGAAGTCTGTGGTACTTAAACTAATACTAAAAGTTGAAAAAATTGTTTCTAGACAGTAAATGTTTGAAAACAAGTATTTTGTTGTTGTAGCTTTGTTTCTTTATTAGAGGATCTCAGAAAAACTTTGGTTTCTGGAGTTTATTTCCCAGGTAGCATTATAATTTTTGTTTAACCTATGTATGCTCCACATGCAACACACATTAAGCACCAGTGTGTAGCAGATACTGCACAAGGCTCTCAGGATACTCTTGCAGTTCCAGCTTGCAAAGATTTTACAGTACATTAATTTGTTTGAAGAATGCCTTTATTTACTTTTAATTGTAATAATATTCTGTTTCTTGGTATAATCTTAGGCCAGTATAACCTAGGTATTTATGGTTATACATTTTGAAAAGTGTGAGTGATTTTTCAAATATAAGGAATTATATTAATAATATAATGATGACTGCCTTAGTCTGCTTCGGCTGCCATAACAAAATATCATAGGCTAGGTGCCTTCAACAACAGAGTTCTAGATGGTGGAATTCTGAGATCAGGGTGCCAGCCAGGTCAGATTCTGGTGAGGGCTCCCTTCTTGGTTTGCAGACGGAGATGGTCACCTTCTCACTTGTCCTCATATGGTAGAGAGACAGTCAGAGAGACAGCAACCTTTGGTTATGAGAGCCCCACGCTACTGGACTTCATGGTAACATAATTACCTTCCAAAGGTCCAGCTCCAATTACCATCACATTGGGTGTTAGGGCTTCAACATATGAATTTTTTGGGGGGACACAATTCAGTTCATAGCTTTGACTCAGTGCTTCATTTGACAAGTATAGTTTTTTGTCATATTTGCTTCAGATTTTTTATTTTTTTAAAAATAAAAAGTTTAAAATTGAAGGCTCCTTTATATTTCTATTACCTTGCCTATCTAAAAATAACAATTTCCTTGCATTTTTGTGTAGCCTTTCAGTGTCGTTTAATACCTTACTACTTATCTATATATCCATAACAATATTTAATATTGCAATGTGTGCTTTTATATGTTACGTAAAATGGTACAATAAATGTATAGTTCATTCTTTAATTTGTGTTTTACTACTATACTCAAGATACCCGGAGATAGAAAAATATGTGTGTGTAGATACACATTTGGAGTGGTTTGTTTTATATATTTGTAGTATTTGTTTTATGTATTTGTAGTGCATTTGATACATTTCTAGTAGTTTGTTTTCTAAAATATTGTGAAAAATGTTGTTCCTATTTTCTACCCATTTCCCTAGTTGGTGGCCTTTTCCATTGAATTGCAGGTACTCTTTATGAATTCTATGTAGCTCTTTGTCACATTTAGGAGTGGCATATGTTCTTAAATTATTTGCCATTTTACTTCTCTGAATAGTATTTTGATGAACAAAATTCTCTAAATCTCTCTGATACATAAATATCAGAGAATCTAAAAAATAGTAAGAGTAAAGCACAAGTTAAAGAATGAGCTATGACTATGTGAATAATATACATGCATTTTAAAACTCTTAATAATCTATTGTAAGAACATACCATTATCTATTCTTTCTCCTATCTGAAAGACATTTAGGTTGTTTCCTCCTCTTTACGCACATAGATAAGAATTTTCCTAAGGTATTCTTCCCTAAGTTAGGAATAGAAATCTTGGTCCAAAGGGTTTTATGCATCATCAACTTTACTAAATGTTTAAAGTATCAAATTACCCTTCTTCTAAGTACTTTGCCACACATAGTACTAAAAAAATGAAAAACTTTGCTATTCTAAGAGGTAGGCGTAACATGGTATTTCATTTTAGAATTTGTATTTCCCCAATTAGACATGTAGTAAACACATTTTCATATGATTTTTAGTTATTTACATTTTTAAAGAATTTATTGTTTGTATTCTTTGTTCATTTTCTATTGGATTATTTTTCATGTGTGAAAAATTTAATTTTAGAAGTTATCTCTATATTCTAGGTAATACTACTTTGCCAAGTATGTGAACTGTGAATATTTTCTCCCAAAAGTACATTTCACACCCCTTCCCCAAAATATCCTTATGTTAATATTAAGTAATCATTTTGTCTATTTTTAAAATGTTTACTAACTGAATAAAAATGTTGCAGTTAATATTGTTTTGTGCAATTGACTTATGTTGTTCTATGTAGCCATAGTTTGTTTTGCTGCTGTTTGATTCCATTATATTCATATACTACATTTTATTTATTCATTCTACTGTGATGGGCATTTGACATATTTCTAGTAGTTTGTTTTCTAAAATATTGTGAAAAATCTTGTTCCTGTTTTCTAACCATTTGCCTATTTGGTGTGGTGGCCTGTCTTTTTCATTGAATTGCAGGTATTCTTTATGTATTCTATGTAGCTCTTTGTCACATTTAGGAGTGGCATATGTTCTTAAATTATTTGCCATTTTTCTTCTCTGAATAGTATTTTGATGATCAAAGTTCTTAATTTTAATGCAGCCCACATTTTCAGTCTTTTACTTTTGACATTAATGGTGTGTGTGTGTGTGTGTTCTCTTGAAAGCTCCTAAACTAAGGCCGTGACAGTATTTCCCTATATAATTCTTAAAAACGTTAATGTTGTATCTTTTACGTTTAGACTGAAATTTACATGGAATTTAATTAATTTTTGAGTATGGTAAAAAAGAGAAACTACTTTCCTTTCTTGTTTTCTTGTTATTGTTTTTAATATTAATATATAACTGACTGAATGAAATTTATTGAAAACATTATGATGACTTCTGTCATTGTCCAATGGGTCACGAACATAGTAGCCCATAGTGGCAGGGATGGAGGTCATGCATGGGCTCAGAAACATGGACTTCCACTCACCAAAGCTGACCTGGCTACAGACCCTGCTGAGTGCCCAGTCTGTCATCAGCAGAGATCAACAGTGAGCACCTGCTATGCCATCATTTCCCAGGGGTGACCAGCTAGTTACCTGGTGGCAGGTTGAGTAGATTGGACCACTTCCATTTCTAAAGGGGCAGTGTTTTGGTTTTTACTGGAGTAGACACTCTAGATAGGGATTTGCCTTCCCTGCACAAGATGCTTTTGCCCAAATTATCATCATGGACTTACAGAATGCCTTCTCCACCATCACGGTATCCCAGGCAGCATTACTTCTGATAAAAGAACTCACTTAACAGCATATGAAGTATGGCAATGGGCCCATGCTCTTGGAATTAACTGGTCTTATCATGTTCTCCACCACCCTAAGAAACTGGCTTGACAGAATGGGGGAATGGCCTTTTGAAGATTCAATTACATTGCCGGATAGGTAGTGATACCTTGCAGGGCTGAAACAAAGTTTTCCGGCAGGCTATGTATGTCCTATATATCAGTGCCCAGCATATGCTGCTCTTTCTCTCATAGCCAGGATTCATGGATTTATTCAAGGGATAGAAATGAAGTGGCACCACTCACTATTACCCGTAGTGATTCACTAGCAACATTTTTACTTCCTGTTCTCATGACCTTATCTATGCTGATATAGAGGTTATAGTTGCAAAGAAAAGGATGTTTTCACCGAGAGACATCCATGATTCCATGGAAATGGAAGTTAAAACTGCCATCTGGGCCACTTTGGGATCCTCATGTCTCTGAATCAATTGGGAAGGAAAGGAGTTACTATACTGGTTGGGATGATTAATCCTGAGTACCCAGAAGAAATTGAGTTCCTATATATAATGGAGATAAGGAAGAGTACAGGAGATCCCTTAGGGCATCCGTTAGTACTATGATGCTTGTGATTAAAGCCACTGGAAAACTACAACAACTCAATCTAGGCAGAACTACTAATGACCCAGATCCTTAAGGAATGAAGGTTTGGGTCACCCCAGCAACTGAGATGCTGACTGACCTCAACACCACAAACTGACCAGCGGGGTGCTTTCTGAGGTCACAGAACAAAAAGAAAAGGTAGTTATAAATATTAGCTATGGCCGGGCACGGTGGCTCACGCCTGTAGTCCCAACACTTTGGGAGGTCAAGGCTGGTGGATCACGAGGTCAGGGGTTCGAGACCAGCCTGACCAACATGGTGAAACCCCGTCTCTACTAAAAATACAAAAAATTAGCTGGGCATGGTGGCAGATGCCTGTAATCCCAGCTACTCAGGAGGCTGAGGCAGGAGAATTGCTTGAACCCGGGAGGCAGAGGTTGCAGTGAGCCGAGATCATGCCACTGTACTCCAGCCTGGGCAACAGAGCAAGACTCTGTCTCAAAATAAATAAATAAATAAATAAATAAAAAATAAATAAATATTAGCTATGAGCATGTGACCAGCTGCAGAAATGAGGACTGTAATTGCTAGGAGTGTTTATTCCTTATTTTGTCATGAATATATTTATGTGTGTGTGTAATATTTTGATTTCTTTCCTCTCTGCTCCTTGTCATGAAACATAAGATGTATTAACTTCACATCATAGTATTTAAGTTTTGTTAACGTTACATCATTGTATTTAAGTTACAGGATATCAAGGAGATGAGTGTTTATCACCCAAGGACTTTGCATCCTCTTCTGGTAAAAAGGTTACTGTGTTTTTGGTTGTACACAGGTTACATTGTATCATGTTAGGCAGAAGTATGACTCTGTGATTGTCTTTAGACATTAAATACTGTTTAAGGAGATGTCTATGGGTTCCAAGTTGACATGGGGTGAACTGTGATGGTTAATTTTATGTTTCAAGTTGGCTAAGCTATAGCGCCCAGTTGTTTGACCAAACACTAGTCAAGATGTTGTTGTGAAGGTGTTTTAAAAAGTGATTAACCGTTGAATTATTAGACTTTGAGTAAAGCAGGTTACCTTACACAATGTGAGCTGCATTCAATCACAGATGCCTTAAGATTGCAGCATAGAAACCCTGCCTGTTGGCTTGCCCTGCAGGTTTCAAACTCAGAAATGCAATATCAACTCTTACCTGAATTTCCAGCCTACTGGCCGACCTTACATATTTCAGACTTGCCAGCCCCCAAAACTGTGTGAGCCATTTTATTTAAATCAATCTCTCTTGACTCTCTTTCTCTGAAGAACGCTGACTAGTACAATCTTGTATCCAGCAAGCATCTTGTACCCACTTATTAATTATAATAATTCATATGTAGCTTATTTTGGGTTTTCTAACTGTGAAGAATAAGCATTTTATTTATTTCCATTCGTTATATATTTTATTTCCTTTCTTGTCTTTTTAAATGGCTAGGGAAAACCTACACAAATAAACATATATTAGAAAAAGGAGAGAGAGAGAAAAAAAAGCATGCTTACATTTTATAGCTGCGTATGTAAACTCATAATACAAACCATTGGAAAGAAATATGTTCTAACAACATATTTTAAATGTTTGCTTACAAAGATGTTTCTCTGTCAAACTCTTCCATTCACTGAAAGACAGCAGTTTATGATGCATATTAAATAAACTTGCTTACAAAATAATGGTTTGGGGCCGGACGCTGTGGCTCACACCTGTAATCCCAGCGCTTTGGAAGGCCAAGGCAGGCGAATCATGAGGTCAGGAGTTCGAGACCATCCTGGCCAATATGGTGAAACCCTGTCTCTACTAAAAATACAAAAATTAGCCGGGCATGGTGGTGCTTGCCTGTAGTCCCAGCTACTTGGGAGGCTGAGGCAGAAGAATCGCTTGAACTCAGGAGGCAGAGGTTGCAGTGAGCCGAGATCATGACACTGCACTCCAGCCTGGGCGACAGAGTGAGACTCCGTCTTAAATAAATAAATAAATAAATGGCTTGGGAATCTAGTAGAATGTTGAATTGCAGAATTGATAATAAAATATTCAGGTGGGAAGCTTTTAATATTTTATAATTCTGTATTCTGCCACGGATTTTTATAGATATACTTTATTACAGAAGGAAGATTTTTAAAATTCAGTTTTATTAAAGTGTTTGTAAGTAATACATGTTGATGTTTGGCTAATTCTTTTTCTGCACGTAAAAACAAAATCGCTTGAATTTTAAAATTCTATTAAGGTAACTAAACACACTGATTGGTTTTGAAATGTTGAACAAACCTACCATTACTGGAATGATCTCATCCTGACTGGAACACTTTACTGTTGTTATATTTTGTTAGATTCTGTTTGTACATCTTTTCTTTAGAATTTTCACATTGTGGTTTTTATGATTTTTAATCCTTGCTTTCTAGCCCAGTGTGGGGTAAAAATTTGTAAAATATTCCATATTTATTTTTCTATTTTCCTTGTTTTTCTGTTAATTTTGTATCATAAAATGAAGGCTATGTAATTAAGCATTTAGAAGTGTCGAATTTTTGCAGTCATTTGCACCTTTTATCACTATAAAATGTTACTTTTTATCTAGACTCATAGCTCTGCTTTATAAAACTCTTTGATATCAACATCATTATAGTAGCTTTTTCTTTTTAGTTTGGTTTCAGCTATTTATATTCTCTTATTTGTTACTTTTAACTATTTTCTTAGCTTTATTTTTAGATGTTCTCTTGTAACAAGCATAAATTTATTGCTGTTCTTGTTAAATTCAGTCTGACAATCTTTGACTTTAATAGGGTATTTAATCCATTAAATATTATTGGATTGAATTTTACTGAAATTACTAACGTTTGTGTTTAACCCTACATTTTACTATGTGCTTACAATATTATTCACATTTTACGTCCATATCTTTGCTCTACTTTATACCTTCTTTTAGTTTGAATTTTTTATTTACTATGAGCCCATTAACTTGAAAAATCCGATTATATCGAAGCCAGAGCTTACTCTTTGCACGTGTAACTTTTTACTGCCATTCAAGATTTAAACATCAAACTCTCTCTGGCTTAAAACTCAGTTATTATTGAGGCAAATGGCACATGCCAATGAGTAAAGAACCCTAGGCCATGAGAGTAGAATTGACAGAAGTCACTATAACAATAAAATTTTCTAGAAACTTCATCTTTTACCTTACAAATTTACACATTTTTCCTCACAGTGTACTTTAATACACTATTTGCTTTAATATTTAAAAAGTATATGTAAAGTGCCCACTAATAAAAAATAAACAAGTCCTCTTATTAGTTATTTTACGTAATGCTATATCGTTGGCTCAATCAATTCCTAAAAGCTGGGGTGAATGGAAAGAGATTTGATCCTGCATATTGAGATCACCTGCATGATTTTTCTTTTCTGTCTCAGTATTGCAGTATTTAAAAGAGCTAGATGTTTACAAAAGAGCCAGAAGTGGATGTTTACAAATTGTGTGTGTGTGTGTGTGTGTGTGCGTGTGTGTTTTAATTTACTGCTTTTTAAGTTGTCAGAGTAATCACAAAATATTACCAGAAATGTGCTGGGTTTGGCAGAGATAAAAGTATAATTTTCAGAATGCCTCTGTCTTAGTCACTTCCTATCTGAGTAACCAACCACATTGCTTGACAGAATCTAGGTACTCAGGAAATGTATGTTGTAGTGGTGGTGGCCGTTATGAGGATGTCTAGGTTTGAACTGTTCTCATCTTAATGATGCCCAATATCTCAGAGTCGGAAGGAATAGGATGCAACTTTGAGGACAGTTCCTTGATTTAGAAAAACTAATATCTACTCTAAGATTAAATTGTCTTTTTTAAAAAATTACTTTACACTTCTAAAACCACAGTTAGGATATGAAAAGGCAAGTCATAGCCTAGTGGAAACTTCACAGTGTATTTATTAGACAAAAGATTTATATCAGTAACATATAGAGTTCTTACAAGTCTCTTTCAAAAGAGACAACCCAAATAATAAACAAAGTATTTGAACAGTCACCTCGCAAAAGATTACAAATGGTGAATAAGCATATGAAAATATGCTCAATATTAGAGAAGTTAAAATTAAATCCACAATGTGATACCACTGCACACCTATTAGAATGGCTAAAATTAAAGAGATTGTATTATGTTTGGAAAATATGGAGCAACTGGAACTCTCATACAATGCTCAAAGGAATGTAAAATGGTAGAAATACTTTGGAAAACAGCTTAGCAATTTGGAAAACAGCTTAGCAATTTCTTAAAAAGTAAAAAAAATACACTTTCCTATGACTTAATCATTCCACTTCTAGGTATATATCCAAGAGAAATGAAAACATGTCCATACAAAGATTTGCCCCTATATGTTCAAAGCATCTCTATTTATAGTAGCCCCAAACTGTAAACAATCCAAATGTCCATCAACAGAGGAACTGCAGTATATCCATAC
Source organism: Homo sapiens (assembly GCF_000001405.40). Lineage (NCBI taxonomy): Eukaryota > Metazoa > Chordata > Mammalia > Primates > Hominidae > Homo > Homo sapiens. Next base: position 15,977,022 of record NC_000007.14, on the reverse strand, counting down.
AATATGATGCCATGCAGAAATAAAAAGGAATTAGTTATTGAGACACAATTAAGAATCAGTGAGTAATCTGGCATTCATGGGTAACTTAATGCTTAGAGAGAATGACTACAAATAAAAGTGCAATTAATTATAATGCCATTGACGTCTCAGAATGAAATAGACAAACTGAACTGTAGCTGCTGGCATAGAGTCCTCAAAGTAAAATTGAGCTATCCATATTAGTGAATCCAGAGAATACTTACAATACACTTACCTAAACATGCATAGAAACTTGTATACATAAACCTTAGTGTATGTACATTTCAAATTTCAACTATTTTTAATTCAGGTTAATTAACCTGGTTTTGTTCATTGTAATACCCCACAAACATAAATGTATGCAGTATTTTTGGTGACAGTCTTCTCATGAACAATCTTGATTATTTTATGTGATTTTAAAGTATATCTGCATTAAAATAATGGACTCTAATTAAAACAATGTAATTTTAAGCAAAATTGATATGAACAAAGTTGCATAGTAAATTGGTCTCCCTCTTTCATTTTTCCATTTCTAACACCTGTTTTTGCTTCCAAATAAACAGGGTCCTCTCCTTCTGACTTCCATCCCATGAAGCCTCTCAATCCAATGGGGCTTGTTCTACTTTCCCTCTGTTCACTCAGCACTTTACAATTTGCTGGTAAAAAGGAAAATGCTGTTTTCAAAATCAGAAGTCCTTCTTTGAGGTAACTGTTGGTAGTCATTAGAGCTCTTGGCAAAAGCTTTTATATTCCCCAAATTCAGACACATATTAAATGCACTTGGTGGCCCATTTGCAGTTGTAGGGATTAGGACTGGCAAATGAGTTGTAGGAAGAAGTGATAGGTGTCACTCTGGAGGGTTGAACACCCAGTTGTTACTGCAAGACTCTCTCAGGAATCCTTTTTTCCTTTAGAATGATGATAAGGAAAGTCCCTGAGTGACTGTGCTGAACAGAAGCCCTCTGTTGCACTAATAGAGATGTAATCTGAACCAGCAAAAAGAAAAACCTTGGTTGTATTGTTATTGTGACTTGAAGGTTGTTTGTTAGAATAGCATAAGCTAGCCTATGCTGACTGCTGTAATAGCATGCATTAGATAGTCACAGTGGCATTCTAAGGGCATTGATTTAATCTTTGGTATGGAATCTATAAGAATGACTCTGATGGTAAAATTTCTGCCATGATAAAGGGAGCAAGAATTGCCATGCTGAAGAATAATTGGGGCAAATAGAATTTTTATGTGCTCCTTAAAGTATGTAATATAAGCAGCTACACTTCAGTCTACTTACAAGGTTAATTGCTGATGGTAGTTTAACTAATCAATACTTTTATGTTTTGAGTTTCTGGTTAGAAATGAAAATACAGGGTACCTATTTAAGGTCATATCTGTCTCCAGTCTCCTTCTCACACAGTTTCTTAGCATTTTGATTCTCAGATATTACCTAAAATACATGAGTAGCTGATGGAAGACATTGACTACAGAATTCACTTACTTTAAAGCACAACATTATCAGAAGGCTTCTTTCCTCTCACTTTAACAACTGTGATTTATGTAAAATTAAGAAATCAGAGAAACCTACTTTGCAATTACCAAAATGCTTAGGGAAAAAAAACCCCGGCACTTGTATTGATAACATTGCCTAAGGCTCCTTGAAAAAAATTTCTGAAGCTTAAGTAGGAAAAATGCATTGTAAGGGTGATGACAGCGGCTCACCAATAATTCTGTAAAAATATGACTAATAGTATTGGAACAAGAATAAAGATTTTAGATTTTTTGGGAGGGAACACACACGAACAAAGACTGGTGTTTTGTTATAGACAGATCAGATATAACTCCTTAACTAAAGTCAGCTACCTGCCAGAAACTCAAAAACATTTTTTTGTGAATAATTTTTCAAAGACAGTGTCAAGTCTTACCCAAGATAAAGCAAAATGTCAAATCAGCAGATAATTAAAATATATATATATATTTTTAATGCAGGCAAAGGGCATCTGATGTTTTACAGACATTCCAACACCTTCAGGAAATTTGAACTCACACCAAAGGGTCTGATAGTCATTTGAGTCTCCATCTGTATTGGAACACATGTGCACACACCAGGCACATTGAATCACTCCAGTGGAAAAAAACCCCTCTGGTCTTAAATTATAGAAGCCTTCTACCATTCTTCTTACCACAAATTCTTTGGCAGTTTGAAACATCAGAGTGACTTAGGGTGATATGGTCACAAAGCTGCTTTTGGTACCATAAGCTGCAATGCTGACTATAAGTAACTGCTGCTCCAGGGACACAGCAACTATACACTACAAGGTCTAGAAGAAACCTAAGAGTGAAGGACATATTGGGGTGCAAACTCTTAGTTTCCCCTTAAGGAGGCATTATTTGTTCTGATGTGTCTAAGATAGCCACTTCTCACTGTCTTCTTAATTTAACTATTTGCTTCATTCATATCATCAGATTGTTGTCAAAAATTTGGATGTACTAAAAATAATTTTCATATCCCTTAAAACCAAGAACATCCCTGCCATTCTCAAATTCTTGGCAGTCTACAGAAAACAATCTTTTAAGGTATATTTTGAGAGTAAAATAAGTGGAAAATTTAGATTTTATTGGGGTGAGTTCACTAATAGGTTGCTTGGGGGCAGTGTATATAAAAGACATTAAAGTAATTGCTAAAATTTACTATAATGTTATTACATTAGTTGTATGTTATCTAATATGTATCATCTCATTTAACTTTACAGTAATCTTCTTATTGCTCCCATACTACAGATAGGAAAACTGAGTCTTAAGGAGGTTCCTTCTTGTTCAAGTCTGCTTGGAAACAGGCAGAAGACAGAATTCAAATTCAGTTTCAATTCTTAAGCACTGTTCTGTGTTACCTTCTTAAATACTGCTTCCTTTTCTACTTTACTGAAGTGTTAGTTCCTCTTGTGTATGTACACAGTTTTGAAAATTATCACTAGCGTTCATATCAGAGATTTTATTGGAAAAGTGAAGCAGATGGTTTATTACTTGTGAACACCAGCTCTGGAACCATCATGGTTTATTACTTGTGAACACCAGCTCTGGAACCATCATCAAATCCCAGGACTACCATTTCCTAGCTGTGGGACCACGGATTAGTTACATGCATTTCCTGTGTTCAGTTTTCAGGCCATATAGCCATGCTGTTGAGGTTAAATGAGTTAGTATTTATAAAACCCAAACAGTGCCCAGTAAACCATATGCAAAATAGGTGTTTTATGATTATTACATATGTCTGTCAATATCATATTTACATATTTAAATAAATCATAGCCCATTGATAAGCTAGTCCAGCTCAGCCACCCAAATGGTGCAGAAAGTCCTTTTCAGAAGGGTAAATACTAAAAAGCCTCCCTGCAGCTGACTCAGAGAAGTCTCAGTCCAGAGCAGGACACAACAAAAAAAGTGATGGTGTGTCCCATTGACTCATAAACGTTTAATTCAAACTTTGACTCCCTTCTCTCTCCTCCAAAAAGAAATTCAAATTCATATTCTTGACATAGTAGTCCCATTCTGAACTTCATCTTACATTTCAACAGCTCTTTGGGCCATCTCAGTTGATACAGTTCAAATTTCCTGCTGGCCAGGTAGCACTAATATCTGCGTTTCCCATTTATTCCCTCCACATCATCTCAGCGCTTTCTTCGCTGAGGAGGCATTTCCAGATTTGGAGTGAAAATTGAAACTATAGAGCAGTAGTTGGGGGTAGAAAGGCCAAGAGCGCGGAAGGGCTCATTAATCAGGATCCAGAACTGCCACTGATTAGAACTCGGGGAAGTGGGGCACATTCTTCCTCCAGTGTGAATGTGGAAGTGCTTGGCCTCTCTCATCTTTCTCTTTTCCTGTGGTGACTCAAAAAATGTGCAAGCTTTGGCTCCTTGCCAGTGGGGTGAATTTTTTTTGTTGTTGTTTAAGGAAAAGTGTAAAGTATTTTCACATTAAATGAAGAACTTCAGACATCTCCAGGAATCTGTGCATTGATGGCTTGTTAAAATTCAACAAAGACCCATTTATACTTTAAGAGAACCTCTTCTTCCTTTGCTGGGTTGCCTTGGGGATTTTCATTTCTTTCTGCAACACTACTCATTTTGTCTTAGCTGCTCCTAAGAGGAATCATGGCCAAATGCATTTTTTTAAACCCTCAGGTCTCTCTTGTTTTTATTTAATCTTATCTGTGTTCTTAGTATTCATACTTTTTCTTTTTAAAAAAGATATATGAGTTGATTTTAATCACCTAGTCCCCATGTCAGGGGTGACACAAACATTTATTTCTGACTTTCAAAATCACAGGAGATTTACCTAGAAGCTGATTTTCTCTGAGTTTATTTGATTCTTCATTTCAAGTGTTGTAAGACCTCCTACATATATTCAATTTTCTCAAGAGTTTTCAGGAAATACATAGGAGAACATATTCAAATGAAAATTATTCTCACCCCCCTATATTTATGTGCCTTTTTTGGTGGTGAATAAATCTTATTCTTCATAAGAGCAAGAAGATTGTAAACTGTCACAAGCTAAGTTTCCATTTGCTACTCTACTGGCCAGCAAAGTGCCTTGCCTATGTGAGGCACTCAAAACATGTTCTTTGAGGGAATAAATGAAAAAATAAAAGATGACAAAATATTCAGCCTCAAAAAGCAGTTTTGAATTGGGTCTTTCATCTTTTATAATTAAGCACTTGACTTTTTCTCTGGCCCTGTTCGTACAATTAACTATATACCACACACCTTACAGGAAAGAAACAAATGTAATATTTCTTATTAATATGGTAGACTAACACCAAATTTCTAGATAATCTTGGGTAGAGTGCCTGGAAGATTGAGATCATGGCTGCAGCACAGGCGTTTAGTGCCACATGGCAGGCTGGCTTGTCTGTAATTGTGCCAACAGTAATCTCCCACTGGTGCCACACTCGACTCCCAGGCTTCAAAGCAACACGTAAAAGAGGATTTATCTTTTTTTTTTTTTTTTTTTTGAGACGGAGTCTCGCTCTTTTGCCCAGGCTGGAGTGCAGTGGCGTGATCTCAGCTCACTGCAACCTCTGCCTCCCGGGTTCAAGCAATTCTCCTGCCTCAGCCTCCCGAGTAGCTGGGACTACAGGTGTGCACCACCACAGCTGGCTAATTTTTTTGTATTTTTAGTAGAGACGGGGTTTCACCATGTAGCCAAGATGGTCTTGGTCTCCTGACCTTGTGATCTGCCCGCCTCGGCCTCCCAAAGTGCTGGGATTACAGGCGTCAGCCATCGTGCCTGGTCCCAGGAGGATTTATCTTTATTATTGTTTGAGAGTTCCAACTTAAAAACCAAAAGAATATTTAAGTGAGTTTGTTTTCTGTCCATTGACATTTGATTAATTCATCTGGAATAATGTAAACTTTATGTGCATGACTATGGGCAGTTTTTTAGCTATATAATAGAGGATGTCAATAATACTAATCATATAATTTAATTGTCTGAAAAATTAGGTTAAATTATATGGCAGGCCTCGTACGAGAACTTTAAACTATAAAAATGAAAATGCTTTTTAAAAGTATTTTTAAATACTCGGCCTGGTGATGAAGCAGATGCACTTGTTGCTCATTGACACTTCTAGGTAATCTGTTCTCTTTCACTTGTACATATTTGCAGCTTTAAAGCTCATGCTGGGAGACTATACATTACCCTTCCTTCCTTTTTTCGCTCATTTACTGGCCTCCAGGTCACTCTCTCTTTTTCCTTCAGGAGTTTAGTTTTTAGGTGAAAGTTGCTCTTCTCCAAACTATTCCTGATTTAATTCTTTGTGATTTCAAAACCTATTTTCAATCAGTTTCTCAGTTCTTTGACATCCTCTTCTCTTAAATTATCACCTTCCATCTACATAAGACAATTCGTACTATGGCTGCACAGTATAGTTTCTTGTTTTTACCAATGATTGTTAACTTCTTTAAAGATGTCGATTTCAGGCATTTCTCTCTATGACCACCACTTGTCTTTCCAGTTCACTCCCACTGTATCCCACTGGGGCTGAAATCAATTGCTCATACCACTTTTTCCTTGTCCATTACTGTAACTTTTGGTCCTCTTATTTACTCACCTTACATTCCATGTTCTATCATTATAATAATCTTCTCTCCTTATTGTCTTGTATCTGTCTTGACATTTTCATCCCTGGCTAACCTGTGATGAAATCCATCTCTCTACCTACTCCACATCTGCTTTTGTACTGGTAGACATGGCTGTAGAAAAACACAACCATAATGATTGTCTTCTTTCAACTTTATGACCTCTAATTTCAAGTGGGTCCTTAATGCCACCTGACAATCTTATTTCTTCACATCATTCATTCTCCCACTCCCCCTGAAAAATATTTCATACTTTTTATTCTCTCTTCTAACTTCTAATACTTTCTCCTAAACCCTAACTCCTAGCTGATGACCTTGCTTCCAGAGAAAATAGAAACACTCAAAAGAGAGTTTCCACAAGCTCCTGCCATCATAACAAACCACATACTTGCATGTGTTTCTTGGACAGTGGATGACTTAAGGGTGTTCCTATCCAATGACAATCTCTCCATGTGGCAGGAGACTGCTTGCTTTCTCTCCTACTTCAAGACATTCTTCTCCTTCCTGTATCATTTCCACCTACTTTCTACTGAATTGTTTATGTCAACCTATAAACATGCTCTTATTCCTCCCGTCTGAAAAGAGGATATTATTGCTTCCATCCTCCCACTCAGCTACCATTGATTTTCCTCATTTCCTTTTACAGAAAAACCTTTCAAAATATTGTCTAAATTCATCCCCAATTCTACTCCTACCTTCTTTTTTAAACCTTCTCCAAATAAGCTTTTGAACTCACTACTCTAATATAATTTTCTTACCAAAAGTACCAGCAGCCTCCATATCACTAAATCCAATGGTAGGTTCTTATTTTTTCACCATCTTACTTAAACTTTTACCAGATTTTGATACAGTTGATCACTCCCTCCTCTCTAGAAGTTGCCTTATGTGGCTTCCAGGATACTACACTCTCCAATTTTTTTCTATTTCACTGGCTGCTCCTTCTTGGTCTCCTTTGAGGATTTCTCTTAATCTCTCAGAACACAAATTGTCAAAGTACCACAAGGCTCAGTCCTTAGACTCTGCTCTTTTCTCCCTATACTCACTATTTTGACAACCTCATCTTTTTCATAATTTTAAAAATCATTTGATTTTTAAATGGCTTATGCCTCTCTTCTCAACTTCAGCTCTCTTTTCTTAGATATTCAATAAGCATCTGCAATTTAGCAAGTCCAAAGTTACACTCCATCTTTCTCTTCAAACCTGCTTCTCAATGAGTCTTCCCCATTTCCATAAATGGCAACTCCACATTTTCATTTTCTCAGACCTAAATCCTGGGATTCATATGTGACCTTTCTCCTTCTTTCATAACCTGTATCCAGTCTGTCACCAAGTGCTGCTCACTGTACCTTTAAAATACATCTATAATCCAACCAGTCTGTACTCTCTTCATGGCTCTTAGTTCATTCCAGATCATTATCAATTTTGGTCTAAGGAATTGCAATAACCTCCTAACTCGTATCCTTGTTTCTGCCTTTGTTATCCCAACAGTTTATCATCGATATAAGAGATTTATAAAGCATAAATTCATACATGTCACTCTTTTACACAAACTCTCCAATGTCTTCTCATCTTAAACAGAGTAGGAATGAGTTTACAGTGTTCTACATAATATGGTCTGTTCAGGGCTCTGTGATCATCATCTACTTGTTAATCTATTTCGGCCACATTCACCACCTTGCTCTTCCTCGCATGCTTCACTCATAATCTATCTTCAAAACTGTTGTACTTGTTTCCTTTACAGAACAATTCTCTATCACAAGTCCATCTAACTGTATTTCTGTCTTTCTTTATAGATGCATTTAACTATCCTTCTCTGTGAAACATTTCTTGGTCACAATATTTGATATTCCATTCTGTTTGTTTATATATTCATTTCTTAATTTTTTTCCATGACATCTATTCATATATCTAGCTTATTATACACTTTACTTGTTTATTTTACCTATTATCTACCTCTATTGGGTAGAATTTTTGCTCCATTCTGTTTTATGAACTACTGTACTTCCTAGAATAATTCCTGGAACATAGTTGGCATTCAGTAAATATTTGCTGAATGGATAACTGAATGAATTGATGAGTAAGTATAGCAATGCTTCTGATTACCTAATGGCAAAAGCCAGTATTGAGATTCTGGGGGAAAAATGACTGCAACAGACAAAAAAGAAGAAAAATTCTCTTTGAGTGTTTAAAAAGATGACACTGAAATAGAAGGGTGTACCTGGTAATTGTGTTAGTATATTAAAGAGCTAAAACATATGTACAAATTATGTAAGATTCTTTCCTATATTTACAGCTATATAGCTTACATGATAAATTATGAAGAACATTTGTTCTTCATAAGAGTTTGACAGACTATTAAGGTGAAGTTCATTAAACATCAATTTTACAGGACAGAAGATTTGTAAGGCTCTTCTGGCAATAACAGAAATAAAATAAGATGACTTGGAACATCGTATATAGAGATTTTCATTAACTTGTTGGTGTTATTCCTTTAAGTATTACAATTAACTAACTTCACATTTAGAGCCAAAATGAAGTACCATATGAGGTGGGAGATTTGTGCCCTATGATACAGATTTTGCGCTTGGATTTTATGTAGACTCCAAGATAATTTAGTTAGTCCTTAAAAGTTATTTTACTATAATCGGCTATTAGCACTTTATATACTTGCAGAGTTTTGTACCACATTATTAATCAGTCTATGCTCCCTCTCCTGCCAGTAAGTCTTGAGTTCCTTTAGAAGGTTGAATCTTCTTTCTTTCAGGGAGTGAAAAGGAACCAGAGACAGACTGAAGAATTCCAAAAGCTGTCCAAAAAAAGAAAATTTTCATAGTGAATTAGCAGAAGGAGGAGAAGGGAAGTGGAAAAGAGCGGCCGCATGAGTTCATGGGCCTGGCTTTTTATCATGCCTACTCTTGGGGCCACATCAGTGGCCTTGCTTTCATGCCAGAAGCAGTGCAAATCATAATTAGAATATAGAATATTGCAAAGAAAGGGGAAAAGGCCCCATCTGTGCAGCCACTTTAACTACAAGCCCAGAATCTGTTTTACAGCTGAGGCACAAAGACGGTATTAATACATGTGGTTAGTTCCTTCTCTATATATACTGTAGATTCATTGTGTCTGCTTTTCCTAGGTGGAGCAAACACAGACATACAATATTTTGTTCTCTTTTTGTTGTTACACTTCCTTTCTTGCCAGATGCGGCAAACCCCTTCCTAAGCCATTCTGTCTGTACTGCTCTGCACGTTGACACCCATCAGCTTGCAAGTGAGCAGGGCTGTCAGCACTGGATATTTTCTCCTCCATTGTCACTGGTCTAATGACATCCTCTGGTTTATGCACTTTTCTCTCCAACACCACCATAAGCTAGAATAACTCACTCAGTCTGGGTGTTAGGCACTTCTCCTATAATTCATGCCAAGTAAAGGAAATCCGTAGACTTAAGGACAAATAGTGTAGCATATGTACAAAGTACTGGGCAGTCTCCATGTGTAAACTTTCTATTAAATGTAATGAAACAAAGCATCTCAATGTGCATGGTTTTTTTTTTTTTTTTGCAGATAAGTAATTAGAGATGAGAGATCTTCAAACAATAGGGCCATTATTCCCAAAATCACCATGGGAATGAGTGAAAGTTTCATATATTTAGGTTGATTTCAGAGTCTAGAGTGCTATGGGAGCTTAACAAATGATTGTTAATTATTATTTAAGCACCAGTTTTGACCGAATCATAATGCTAATGGATCTCTTTGGGAATATTCTTTAGATAGCCATCATTTATCTAGACTTGATATCAGGCTTTGATTAAATGTGTTTATTCCAGTATCAGCAAGAAAATGTCTTACACATTTTTATACTTACAGAAGACAATAGGGCTCAGCACATAGCAGGGGGTTCAAAAATATGTTTTAAACAGTTGAACTAAATTTGTGGGATTTTTACAACTCTTTGGGTTTTATTTTGGCAGCTAAAGCCAACTGAGAGCTGTGTTCTTGCTGCTCTAAGAATGATTGCATAAGAACAATGTTTTAGGATTTTTTTTTTAGGACTTTCGAAGTACTGCTATCTGTCTTTAGCAGTACTTGCTCTTTTTGGGAATTTTTCTTTGTTTGGATGGGTCAAGTCAATAGATACAGTGAGGAACAACCTTCAGGACATAGTGTTATGGATGAAATGTTTTCAGCGTGTTCAGTTTTTTTTTTTTTTTGGCAGTCAAGTTTATATATATATAAAGTTCTGGGATACATGTGCAGAACTTGAAGGTTTGTTACATAGGTATACATGTGCCATGGTGGTTTGCTGCACCCATCAACCCGTCATCCACATTAGGTATTTCTCCTAATGCTATCCCTCCCCTAGACCCCCTACCCCCTGACAGGCCCTGGTATGTGATGTTCCCTTCCCTGCGTCCGTGTGTTCTCATTGTTCAACACCCACTTATGACTGAGAACTTGCAGTGTTTGCTTTTCTGTTCCTGTGTTAGTTTGCTAAGAATGATGGTTTCCAGCTTCATCCATGTCCCTGCAAAGGACAGGAACTCATCTTTTTTTATGGCTGCATAGCATTAGTGCAGTATTTTGGTTTTACCTTCAATAATGATAATTCTGTAACTGAGATGATTGTTTAAACCCAGGTACGGTATATTTTAAGGTTGATACTATTCTTGTGTTTCTGGTTAATGACAATGCAATGGAAAAACTGGGCCATGACCGACCGACCTTCCTTCCTTCCTTCCTTCCTTCCTTCCTTCCTTCCTTCCTTCCTTCCCTCCCTCCCTCCCTCCCTCCCTCCCTCCCTCCCTCCCTCCTTCCTTCCCTCCTTCCTTCCTTCCTTCCTTCCTTCCTTCCTTCCTTCCTTCCTTCCTTCCTTCCTTCCTTCATGAGTCTCACTCTTTCGCCCAGACTGGAGTGCAGTGGCGCCATCTCGGCTCACTGCAAGCTCCGCCTCCTGGGTTCACACCATTCTCCTGCCTCAGCCTCCCGAGTAGCTGGGACTACAGGTGCCCGCCACCACTCCCAGCTAATTTTTTGTATTTTTAGTGGAGACGGAGTTTCACCGTGTTAGCCAGAATGGTCTCCATCTCCTGACCTCGTGATCCGCCCACCTCGGCTTCCCAAAGTGCTGCGATTACAGGCTTGAGCCACCGCGCCGGGCCTGAACCATCTTTATTATAATCACATAGCATAGTAGTTCTGTATGCATTAATGTGAAAATCACCATATGAGTAGCATAATTACATGAAAATGGAGCCAATTAACAAAAAAGAGAGGAAAACGTGGAATAAAACACAATCAAGATTGAAAGAAAATCTGTTAAGAAATTTCTACAAAGTTATAGGTAGAACAATCTCTGAAAAGGATCAGACTATGTCTGTAATGATGTTGAATTTTAAAAAATGCTTTGTGTTCTTCACTTGAATTAGAAATGTGGTTGATTTGGGCTTGAAGGCTGAGTTTAGGTTTCTCTTACATGTCTGAATCACAACTGGATCATTTATGTCTTAAGGTTCTTTTAAAACAAATTTTGTTATTATAAAAAAAGAAATTCTTAAGAGCTTAACATTGTCATACATGAAAATTATTTTGTGCTTGCTAAGGAATCACTTTCTTATTTTGGTTTTAGGTAATATAAATGTCAAAATAAATATCTATCAAGAACTTGTTTTGTGCAGGCATTGTGCTGAGCAACTTCCTTCATTTACATTAATAAATGTATAATTTTAAATCAGTGGTCAACATTTTTCTCTAAGGCTAATACATCAAAAGCCTTTTCTACTAAAAGAAGAAAATAATTAGCCTTCTTTAAGTTGATTTCCTATGCTTTTTGAAACTACTGTTGAAATCTGCATTTTAGTCCATATTCTTTTATTAGACATAATAGTATAATACTTATCTGATATATAAAACACACACTCATCCTTTGATCAATAAAGAATTTATATCAATATTGATATTGTTCATTGTTCTGTTCATTTTTGCAATCACTAGAAAGATGAACGGAGCTAACTGTCAACCTTCAGTCTTATAACTAAGCTATTGCAGTGTTCTCTGCTTACATCACATAGCCTCGTACATGGCAGACTCAACACCACATGTTTACTACAAAATTTACTCTTCATGAGGACAATTCTTTCTTTTTAGCTTCCTTGAATTTTGTTACAATTTGGAGCAGACACTATTGTTGCCCTGCCCAGTCCCTCAGATCTCCCTGTAACCAGTCTGTGTGCCAGATTGCTGCTAATGGTTGGAACCTTCACCTTTAGATGTTTCCTCCAGGTGCTGATGCTGCCTCATCTTTAAGATGTGGAAATGCCTGAGTTTTATATCTGTGTGTTCATTTCACCACATCCAGTGGCATATCCATAGATAATGACTGAAATTGCCTCCTTGCTTAGGTTTCATATCTTGTGTTTCTCATTCACTATTGATTTCTCCCAGTATTACTTGTGAAATAAACCACTTGGATGTAAATCGTTGGCTGAGTCTGCTTCACAGAGTAACCAACTAAAGGCCGGTATTACTGAATTCTGACAAATAGTAAATGAAATGACAGGTCATTTTTGCTCTGAGATATTTAAGAGCCAATGTGCCTCTTCCATCTCTTTTCTCCTTTGACAGCAACTTTGGAAGCCATGTTTTAGAAGCATCCTGTGGTCTTGGGTCATGATGTGATGCAACATCATTCTGGAGAACCAATTTACCTCCTTAAGACTTTGGTGAATGATAAATAAACCTTTATTATGGGAAGCCACTGATGTATCAGGTTGTTTTTGTTATTTACTATAGTGTAGCCTAGCCTATTCTTGCAAGTAAGAGCCTTTTTTTATATTTATATATTAATATTTTATTCCCTCCCACTAGATTTAAAGAAGTATGCATGTGACTTGTATAACTTTATATACTTCTTAATGCCTAGGGCATAGTAAATGTCCTGTATTTACAGAACATTTGTTGAATGGTTGAATGCTTAAATGGATTAACAGGAAAAAAAAGAATTGAAGCTACTAAATCTACATATACATACTTATAAGTATATGAGTATGTGTGTGTGTGTGTGTTTATCTTTAAAGTAGAATAAGCATTTTCATAATCCAGGTAGATTAGCTCTTTCTTCCAATATGTTAGAAATAGCTCATATAATTTACCAAAGTAAATATAACCATGTAAATATAACTTCATAATTGTTATGGTTTTAGGATAGAATTAATACCCAGACTTCTTTCATAAGTGGTCCTTAGAACTAAACAGTACAGTTCCAAAGAGGTGAGTTAGAAAGTTCTGCGAGAATCTAACCAAATTTATTTTTCAGATATTATGCTATTTTCTTGGCCTCTGATCTTGGGGAAGTGTTGGCACATGGCTCCAGTTCCTGCTCTTTAGATTTGTTTCCTGAATGGAGAAACCCTGGGCACTGTTTTCTTTTGTTCTGGTGGTTAATTATATTTCAGGGTGGTACTTACAGGGCAGAACACTTTTATAGCTATTTACCTCGATCTGGCCTGCTCTGCAAATCCTTGTTTCACTTGTGGTCAGTGAACCCAAACTCTGGAGAGGTTAGCTTCCTACCCAAACTGCCCACCCAGGCCGGGAGCTTGAAATTACCATTTGCTTTTCCTGTCAATTTCATCTTTTTCCATTTGCTTTTACCCTCCTCTGGTTCTCATTGAGTCAAACCCAGCATGGTTTTCCCTTAGTTAACTGCTGTGTTGTTCTAGGCATTAATATCATTGTCAGCACAGTTGTGTGAACAAGTTTTATTGGTTATTTTGGATTTTTTTCTGCCAGTAGGAAGACTAAGCCTATTCTAATAGCAATCAAATGCCTTGGAGAACCATTCATTTCATATTTGTCACTTTCCAATTCCATTGAAGAGGGTTGCAGCTTGCTGTTTAGAATGATTACTACTTCTGAATAAACGTATTAGTAGAACATGAGTAGAAAAAATAGAAATCTCACTCTTAATTCCATCACCCAGAAATAAGCACAGTTAAATTTTTTGTATAATTTTTAGCCTTTTCTTCTTAACATTTGTGTATAATTGTATACACATAAAACACACGCATCCATGCTCAAACATGTTTATATTGGGATTGTACCACATATGTAATTTTCTATTGAGTTATTTAATTTACACATTATTATAGAAATTTCCAAAATTTTAAATTATTGTTAGTATGATTTCTCATGGCTAAAACAACTTCTTAAGTAGATAAATCACCTTATATGCAAACCATTCAGTTTTGATACACATATGGAATGTTTCTCACTTTTTAATGAAACTCACTTTATTTTCACTTTATTATGAAAACATCCAGATTGTTCTTATATATTGGTTTGTGCATGTATAATTATTTTCTTAAGATCATTTTCTAGAACTGGGTTTTCTGGGCAAAAATATTATGAATGTCAGCTTTAATGTCTCTTCCTTTACTGTTTCAGATTTCTTTCCTAGATGGTTTTGGCAATTCCCATTTCCCCCCTTTTATAGCAATACATTATAATAATTATTGTATTTAACCTTTATTAAACAGATTAAAATTAGGTGTCATTGTGGATGTAATTTGCATTTCTTTAATAGTCATCAAATAATTTTTTCATAGCTTTTTGGTCATTTGTAATTCTTTCTGAGCAACCAGTCTGTGTGCCCATCACATAAACCTGAGCAAACCTCAATATTTTGCCCTTTGCCCCCTATTATGCCCCATGTAATTTTAATTTGCTTCTAAGAACTTCTGCATATTAAGGATATTAAATTTCTGTCATATATATTCACAATGTTCCCCTCCTCTTCTAAGTTTGTCATTTCTTTTTAAATTTTATTTATTTTTTACATAAAGCATTTAGGTACTATTTACATTCTGCTTTTTGAGTCTGCCTTCACCTGCACATGTAGAAGCATAATCCTCAAAATGAGACTATATAAATATTCTCATATTCTTCCTTGAAAATTGAGAAAATTTACCACCATAACGATTTGGCTCCAATTTCTTCCACAGTTTACTGAGATTTTTCTTCCTGTTGGTTCAATTCTAGTAATACGTTTTCCTTAAAACATGAATTTTATCTAGATAGTTAAATATAGCACACAAATTCATTATTTTTATTTTACTTTAAGTTCTGGGATACATGTGCAGAACATGTAGGTTTGTTACATAGGTATATATATATGCCATGGTGGTTTGCTGCGCCTATCAACCCATCATCTAGGTTTTAAGCCCTGCATGCACTCGATATTTCTCCTAATGCTCTCCTTCCCCTTGCCCGCCATTCCTCAACAGGCTTTGGTGTGTGATGTTCCCCTCCCTGCGCCCATAAGTTCTCATTGTTCAACTCCCACTTATGAGTGAGAACATGTGGTGTTTGGTTTTCTGTTCCTGTGTTAGTTTGCTGAGAATGATGGATTTCCAGCTTCATCCATGTCCCTGCAAAGGACAGGAACTCATTCTTTTTATGGCTGCATAGTATTCCATCATGTATATGTGACACATTTTCTTTATCCAGTCTATCATTGATGGTCATTTGGGTTGGTTCCAAGTCTTTGCTATTGTTAATAGTGCTATAATAAACATACATGTGCATGTGTCTTTATAGCTGAATGATTTATAGTCCTTTGGATACATACTCAGTAATGGGATTGCTGGGTCAAATGGTATTTAGGGTTCTAGATCCTTGAGGAATGGCCACACTATCTTCCATAATGGTTGATCTAATTACACTCCCACCAACAGTGTAAAAGCATTCCTATTTCTCCACATCCTCCACAGCATCTGTTGTCTCCTGACTTTTTAATGATCGCCATTCTCATTGTGGTTTTGATTTACATTTCTCTAATGACCAGTGACAATGAGCTTTTTTTTCATATGCTTGTTGGCCACATAAATGTCTTCTTTTGAGAAGTGTCTGTTTATATCCTTTGCCCAGTTTTTGATGGGGTTGTTTGTTTTTTTCTTGTAAATTTGTCTAAGTTCCTTGTAGATTCTGGATATTATACCTTTGTCAGATGGGTAGCTTGCAAAAATTTTCTCCCATTCTGTACATTGCCTGTTCACTCTGACGATAGTTTCTTTTGCTGTGCAGAAGCTCTTTAGTTTGATTAGATCTCATTTGTCAATCGTGGCTCTTGTTGCAAATACTTTTGGTGTTTTAGTCATGAAGTCTTTGCCCATGCATATGTCCTGAATGGTATTGCCTAGGTTTTCTCCTAGAGTTTTTATGGTTTTGGGTTTTACATTTAAGTCTTTGATTCATCTTGAGTTAATTTTTGTATAAGGTATAAAGAGGGGGTCCAGTTTCTGTTTTCTGCATATAGCCAGACAGTTTCCCCAGCGCTATTTATTAAATAAGGAATCCTTTCTCCATTGCTTGTTTTTGTCAGGTTTGTCGAAGATCAGATGGCTATAGATGTCTGGTGTTATTTCTGAGGTCTCTGTTCTGTTCCATTGGTCTATATGTCTGTTTTGGTACCATTACCAGGCTGTTTTGGTAACTGTAGCCTTGTAGTATAGTTTAAAGTCAGGTAGCATGATGCCTCCAGCTTTGTTCTTTTTGCTTAGGATTGTCTTGGCTATACAGGCTCTTTCTTGGTTCCATATGAAATTTAAAGTAGTTTTTTCTAATTCTGCAAAGAAAGTCACTGGTAACTTGATGGAAATAGCATTGAATCTATAAATTACCTTGGGCAGTATGGCCATTTTCATGATACTGATTCCTCCTATCCATGAGCATGGAATGTGTTTTCATTTGTTTGTGTCTTCTCTTATTTCCTTGAGCAGTGGTTTGCAGTTCTCCTTGAAGAGTTCCTTCACATGCCTTGTAAGTTGTATTCCTAGGTATTTTATTCTCTTTGTAGTAATTGTGAATGGGAGTTCACTCATGATTTGGCTCTCTGCTTGTCTATTGTTGGTGCATAGGAATGCTTGTGATTTTTGCACATTGGTTTTTGTATCTTGAGACTTTGCTGAAGTTGCTTATCAGCTTAAGGAGTTTTTGGGCTGAGACGATGGGGTTTTCTAATATAGAATCATGTCATCTTCAAACAGAGACAATTTGACTTCCTCTTTTCCTATTTGATGAATACCCTTTATTTGTTTCTCTTGTCTGATTGTCTTAGCCAGAACTTCCAATACTATGTTGAATAGGAGTGGTGAGAGAGGGCATCCTTGTCTTGTGCCAGTTTTCAAAGGGAATGCTTCCATCTTTTGCCCATTCAGCATGATATTGCTTATGGGTTTGTCATAAATAGTTCTTAGTATTAATTTTTTTGTCATATTCTCTGTGTATTTATTTTGTCAAGGTCAAGTTTCCCATGACAATTTTATGTCCATCAATTTCCAGATAGCATTTGCTTCATGAATTCTGATGTGAGTTATCAGTATGCATTAACATATCACAACACATGTAGCATATTAAAGACTATTATATTTTCATCGTGGGCTGTACACTTTATCAAGACAGAATGATTCTCCTTTTCATGGCCTCACAATATACTTTATCTGTAATATTCCTCGTCTGATTTTTTTTTTTAGATTTCTTGTTTTTATCATTGGTTTGGCATATTTTGGTAAGCTTTTGCCCTTCCTCTTATTTCATTTTTTTCAAGGATTTTTACAAAATTATATCAACCACTGTGAATCCAAATGAATATGAAATATTAGTATGATGATTAGCACTCCACAAGCCTAAGAAAAGGGCAATAGTTGTATTATTAGACAAACGTTTTCTGAAGAAGGTAAGTTGAACCAAGATTTTACAGAGTGATTTCAAGGTTATCTTTTGAGAAAGCCAGAGCCTGTGGCCTAGAGTAGGTGTCAAAACACAAGGATCACAAAGATCACTGCTGTCCAGTTGTCTGGCAGAGCTGTGGCCTGGGACAGGTACCAGGCATCCCATAGGGACATGGAAGAGAGTTTGGGGCTGCTTTGCATGTTCTGCCTCTAAAATTACTATAGTTTACCTCTAGCTCCTACAAGTACAGCAAAGAAGAAATTTTTTTATGGCATGAAGGAGAGAATAAAACTTTTCTCAGCACATGGTTAAATCAACACAATAATGAATAAGAATCTGGGCCAGCTTCACTAGATATTTTGTCCATCTGGAATTCAACTGTTACCATGAAATTTCCTGTCATCATCCTCATAGAGATTCCTTTACTCCATTGTTAGATTTTTGTGTTTTCTATATTCTCATATCTTCTTTTTTTCTCTCATTGATTTTGGTGTGTCATATTCTACAACATATTTCTATAAATGACAGGTGAATATTTTGAGACATTGGTGGTCAGAAGATAGCTCAAATTTATCTTGACACTTCGTTGATATTTCGGCTGCAGTAAAATTCTGCTCGGTTGATCATTATTTCTTTTCAGAATTTTGAAGGCATGACTTCATAGCTTGGTTCTTTGTGTTGCTATTTAGAAGGAAGACATTCTTATTTTTGATTTTATATGAGCCTTCCTGTACTCCCCTTTCTGTAAGTCTATAGAATTTCTTTTCTCTATTATTTGGAAATGTCATAGTGATGTACCTTAGAGTACAACTTTTTTAACTCCATTGTCTTGGGCACTAGATAGAAACCTAAGTCCTTTAATTCTGGAAAACGTTCTTAAATTACATCATTCATTATTTATTATTTTCTCAATTCTTTCTTTCTTTATTTTATTTTATTTTGAGACAGAGTCTGGCTCTATCGCCCAGGCTGGAGTGCACTGGTGCGATCTCGGCTTACTGCAAGTTCTGCCTCCTGGGTTCACGCCATTCTCCTGCCTCAGCCTCCCGAGTAGCTGGGACTACAGATGCCCACCACCATGCCTGGCTAATTTTTTGTAGTTTTAGTAGAGACGGGGTTTCACTGTGTTAGCCAGGCTGGTCTCGATCTCCTGACCCCGTGATCCACCCGCCTCGGCCTCCCAAAGTGCTGGGATTATAAGCGTGAGCAACCGTGCCCGGCCTCTTTTCTTAAATCCATTTACTCAGACATTAAATCTCTTGCATAGATTTCTAATTTTCTTACTCTTACCAGTTGTTTTTCGTCTTTGTATTAACTTTTTTTGTAATCAAAGCTTATATCATTTTTTCTTAGCTTTCATGGCATTATTAATTCCAAGGCTTAAAAAAATTCTCTAAATAGTTATTTCTTTTTAAAAAGATTCTGTATATACTTTAATCACAGATTCAGTATCTCTCTTAGGTTATTAATGATATGGTTTTTTCCCTTCTTTTAAAATTATTTTCTCTTCCTCCAGATTGTCTTCTTTTTCTGTTTGTTTTGGCCTGTTAGCTTTTATATGAGACACTTTCCTAAAACACCTGGTAACTTTGGGTCCTTTAGTGTGTTTAGGAGTGAAAGAT
Organism: Homo sapiens; assembly: GCF_000001405.40. Classification (NCBI taxonomy): domain Eukaryota; kingdom Metazoa; phylum Chordata; class Mammalia; order Primates; family Hominidae; genus Homo; species Homo sapiens. The sequence goes on along the minus strand of NC_000007.14, from coordinate 15,957,527 downwards.
CTGAGGTGTAAGGAACGGATCCAGTTCAGCTTTCTACATATGGCTATCCAGTTTTCCCAGCACCATTTATTAAATAGGGAATCCTTTCCTCATTTCTTGTTTTTTGTCAGGTTTGTCAAAGATCAGATGGTTGTAGATGTGTGGTATTATTTCTGAGGGCTCTGTTCTGTTCCATTGGTCTATATCTCTGTTTTGGTACCAGTACCATGCTGTTTTTGTTATTGTAGCCTTGTAGTATAGTTTGAAGTCAGGTAGCGTGATGCCTCCAGCTTTGTTCTTTTGTCTTAGGATTGTCTTGGCAATGCAGGCTCTTTTTTGGTTCCATATTTACTTTAAAGTAGTTTTTTCTATTTCTATGAAGAAAGTCATTTGTAGCTTGATGGGGATGGCATTGAATCTATAAATGACCTTGGGCAGTATAGCCATTTTCATGATATTGATTCTTCCTATCCATGAGCATGGAAAGTTCTTCCATTTGTTTGTGTCCTCTTTTATTTCATTGAGCAGTGGTTTGTAGTTCTCCTTGAAGAGGTCCTTCACATCCCTTGTAAGTTGTATTCCTAGGTATTTTATTCTCTTTGAAGCAATTGTGAATGGGAGTTCACTCATGATTTGGCTCTCTGTTTGTCTGTTATTGGTGTATAAGAATGCTTGTGATTTTTGCACATTGATTTGTATCCTGAGACTTGGCTAAAGTTGTTTATCAGCTGAAGGAGATTTGGGGCTGAGACTATGGGGTTTTCTAAATATACAATCATGTCATCTGCAAACAGGGACAATTTGACTTTCTCTTTTCCTAACTGAATATCCTTTATTTCTTTCATTTGCCTGATTGCCCTGGCCAGAACTTCCAACACTGTTGAATAGGAGTGGTGAGAGAGGGCATCCCTGTCTTGTGCCAGTTTTCAAAGGGAATGCTTCCAGTTTTTGCCCATTCAGTATGATATTGGCTGTGGGTTTGTCATAGATAGCTCTTATTATTTTGAGATACATCCCATCAATACCTAATTTATTGAGAGTTTTTAGCATGAAGGGCTGTTGAATTTTGTCAAAGGCCTTTTCTGCATCTATTGAGATAATCATGTGGTTTTTGTCTTTTCTGTTTATATTCTGGATTACATTTGTTGATTTGTGTATGTTGAACCAGCCTTGCATCCCAGGGATGAAGCCCACTTGATCATGGTGGATAAGTTTTTTGATGTGCTGCTGGATTCAGTTTGCCAGTATTTTATTGTGGCACTATTCACAATAGCAAAGATTTGGAACCAACCCAATTGTCCGTCAATGACAGACTGGATTAAGAAAATGTGGCACATATACACCATGGAATACTATGCAGCCATAAAAAAGGATGAGTTCATGTCCTTTGTAGGGACATGGATGAAGCTGGAAACCATCATTCTCAGCAAACTATTGCAAGGACAAAAAACCAAACACTGCATGTTCTCAGTCATAGGTGGGAACTGAACAATGAGAACACCTGGACACAGGAAGGGGAACATCACACACCGGGGCCTGTCATGGGGTTGGGGGGAAAGGGGAGGGATAGCATTAGGAGATATAGCTAATGTAAAGGATGAGTTAATGGGTGCAGCACACCAACATGGCACATGTATGCATATGTAACAAACCTGCGCATTGTGCACATGTACCGTAGAACTTAAAGTATTAAAAAAAAAAAAAGAATTACATAGGGAATATGAGTTCATCCAATATGGAGACGTGTTTCAAATCATTAAATCTGGCACTCTTAAATTATTTGCTGAATATATCCTCAGTAATTCAACTTTTGAGATTCTGTTAATATTAATATCCATCTCTAGACTTCCTTAAATAAAGGACTAAGTGAAGAAAAAAAAGAGTGAAAGGTCTGAAAATCTAATTTTAAACTCTGTGCATGAGAATGGGACCCACTGATCTTGGGATTCACAGTAAGGCACAGTAAGATTATCTGAGACATTTGTTGGGGCTTCCTCGGTGTGAGTCTCTTAAGTCCTCTCCTTCTTGGGCTGGTAGTATTTCCTAGGAAAAATCCCTCTAGCCTCTTGTCTAGAAGTTAAGTCCTGGCTGCAGCATTCTGGTAAAAGGCAGGGATAATTAAGTAGAAAGTCTCATCACTCAGTTTGCAGATGTTCTCTTAATATTCCTTTCATTTTTGTTTGTTTATTTTGTTACAGCACATGTGCTTTCAACTTTTCCTGGTGTCCCTCTGTCCAGAGACCCTCTCTTTCAAGTTTCCAGAGAATAAAATTTTAGACATCTATTATGCTAGGTCAGGGAGGGGCAGCCACTAAGGGCACAGAGTGGGAGAGAGCTAGGCAAATAACACTCCTCAAGCAGCTCTCAACCAACCTCCTTTCTCAACACCAGCCCCACTACAGAGTCTCTGTGGACATCCATTTCTGAGCCTTTGGAAGATTTGGCAGTGCAAATCAGAACAAAGCCACTTATTCACATGCTTTCCAGGCTTCAGGATTCTGTTGGTGTGTCTCTACTTTCATTTTCTTCCATTTTTCAGTTTGTGTCTTTTAAAATAACATCTTTATTGATGTTACAATGGGGTTTCAGGAGAGAGCCTGAATATTGGATGGCTCAGAGCCATGTTCGATTTTAGGCATTACTCTTATTACAGCCTGTGAATGAATTATTTTTTTAAATGCAAATGGAGAGTTTTGTTACTTAAGAGGGAGTTTAACTCATTAATATTATCACATGCAATATGACTAATCCTACTTGAGTAACTGTTTAATGCATTCTGCTATTTGCCTTTTCTTTGTATTTTTTTAGTTTGTCCTTTCATTTTCTTTCATTAAAATATATTTACGATGTTTTACAATGTTTTCTAACTTTTGCAATGATGGGGCTATTTGGTGGTTCTATAGAGTATTTTGGCTCAGTATAGAATTGGAGGCTATCAATTTTCCTCTGAAAAACTTTCATTCTTTCCTTTTTTATGGTATTCAGTTATGGTAGGTATTACTCTTGATTCACAAATTCTGTCGTGTCAGAAAATAAAACTTTATTCTTGGTCATTCCTTTTTAAATTCTGACTCTGAATCTCTAGTGCTTAGGAAAAAGTTAGAAGGTTTAACTTCATTTCTTGAAATATCCATCCTTCTTGGACTAGTGCCGCAGACAAAGAATGGGATGGGGAAATGACAAATGTTGGTTTGCACGGAACTGAAGGATTTTTCCTAGATATGCGTCTCTCAGTGCTAACACCTGGAAAGTCCTGGGCTACCAAGATCATTGGTCACTCAAGATGTAGACCATTGTGATTTGTTCCTGTGATTTGCCTTCATGATGTCCATTGTGGAGCCCTTCTAGGCTCTTCAGGTTCAGTTGCTCCCTGCTGCTTCCCTGACATGCTTGGTCTAGAGGGCTTGTTAATTTTAGTTGTGAACTTGACTGAGTTAAGAGACACCCAGATAGATGAGAAAGCATTATTTCTGGGTGTATCTGTTAGGGTGTTTCTGGAAGAGATTGGCATTTGAATAAGTGAACTTGAATAAGGAAGATCTGCCCTTACCCAGTGTGAGAGGGCAACATCCAATTGACTGAGAGTCCAGATAGAATAAAAAGGCTGAAAAAAGGCAAATTCGCTCTTTCTTCCGAAGGTGGGACATCATTCTCATCATTCTTCTCTTTCCCTTGTATATAAGAACTCTAGGTCTTAGGCCTTTAGACTTCCAGACTTACACCAGTAGTCTCCCCATTTCTCAGGCTTTTAACCTCAGACGGAGAGATATACTTTTGGCTCTCTGTTTCTTAGGCTATCAGACTCAGAGTGATTTGAACAAGCAGCTTCCCTGGTTCTCCAGCTTGCAGATCATGGGACTTCTCAGCCTCTATAATCACACACACACACACACACACACACACACACACACACACACAGAGAGAGAGAGAGAGAGAGAGAGAGAGAGAGAGAGAGAGACAGATCCTATTGATTTTGTTTCTCTGGAGAACCCTGACCAGTGTAGGATGCAAGGATCCCGGGTACTGAGCTGCACAACACAGTCAAGCCATTTTTTTGTCTGCCATCTTGTTAGCTCCCCAGAGGAATGGCTAGAAAATCAGATATAGTTCTCCCTGTCTCTAATCTATACCCTCCTTCTATATGTCCCTGTTTACATACTGCAGGCATATTTTTCTAGTCTGGAGATAATTCTTCTCCCTCTGCATTCAGAAGCTTATGCCCAAGAAACCAAAGAATCTTGGCTTCATCATAAAATCTTCCAGCTTTTCCTAAGATCTTAAAAGACTTGTGGCCAGTTCCGCTTTTTTGTCCTGCCATGTCTTTCTTGAAATGATTGAATATAGAGCTAAATACCTCCTTGAAGGGGAGAGGAGAAAATAAGTTAACATCTCAACATGGCATCCACCACCACAGCTTTGGAGACAAATGGGATCCCTGGCAACATTAATTCTTTACAAGAAGCCTGTTTATTTATCTTCAAATCATTGGTAATTTTGACATCATATGTATAGATATTCATATATATAGATATGTCTATCTGTCGAGAGAGGAATTCATTTGCATGCCTTCCTTTTTTGATATTGACTGTTTTTTGTCCACTTTTTTGACTTGCACTAGTTCCATTACGCCTACCTTAACAGATTTATGGACAGTTAAAAAGTAAATCCAATAATAAATCTAAATTGACTTTTAAAATAGTTAAATAAACTTTGTCAGTTGTGATGTAGCTATATAGTCAGACTCTGTTACTTTTGCTCTCCTGCCTGAAGCCTTCCAAGAGATGAGAAACTAGCTCTCTGCTGAGATACCCATTCTTTTTTTTTTTGGCGGGGGGGGGATACTTCTAATACTTACACTTATCTTTCTTTATGTTGAGCTAATATGTTATTCCTAAGAATTACCATTTAGAAAGTCTGGCTTTCCCTTTTAGTTAATCAAAATGATGCCTCACTAAAGACTATTTCAGGGCTGCCCTTAAGATAGTTGGAGAAAACTCTTCCAATTGCAGTTTTCTCTTATGCAGTCTTTGTATATTCCCTTGTTATTCTTCTGTGGAATGTCTTGGAGTCCCTTTACCCTTCATACAGTTCTACAGGCAGAAGTTCTGGAGGTCTTTTAAAGAATGAGGCTATGACTTTTGCCCAAAGCCTCCAGTATACTTTGACTATCATAGAGCAAGGACATATATATCAGCTCTGCCATTCAGAACATTTACCCACTCATTGATGGAAATCAGATTAGCATTCTTGACAGTCTTGTTGCAATGTTGATATACCAATTTTATATGAATAGGAAAGAAGGACTAGAATACTGACTTTGAATCTTGTGATACATAGGGGTTTATTTTATCACTCCACAGTAAGGGGGTAGATAATGGAATGTTATGGACTGAGGAGTTTCTCCTGGCTTTCTGTCCTTCAACAATGCTACCTATGAATAACCCTACCCTTTCAAGTGCTCCTTTGCAAACAGCATTGACATATGGGATCAACTGTTTGAGTGAGAGAAATAGTGTGGCCGCAGAGGGAGGCAATTAGCCAAAACAAATTGGGGGAGAGATGAGAGACTGTAAGACTGAAAGGCTCTTGTTTGAACTTGGACTTGAATGAGACCTGCCTGGGACAAAACCAGAGCATGAGACAAATAAAGAGAATAAAATATTTGGAAATGTACTCTTGGAATAATAGGAGACTTCGAGGTCTGGCTTTTACCCAGAGCCTGGAATTGGTGGATCTTTGGCCTAAATGAAACATTCAGTCATTATGAACTTCACAAATATGGTAAGTCAAGTTCAAAAGGAGAATTTGACTCATTCTTAAGCTCCTAATTCTCTGAAGACAAGAGTTATACAATTTTCTGACAATGTGATTTTAATACTGGGGTGAGATTTTTTTCAATTTTGAAAACATTCTTAACAATTAAACTGATAGAATCTTTAAACAATTTTTACAGAAAAATGTCCATGTTGGGTCAGAAAATCTAGAATTATATCTCAGCTATGTTACTAGATATGTAATATCTCTCTATCCCAGCTATGTCACTATATATGTAATTTCTCTCTGCTTTAATTTCTTCATATATAAATTGGGATTGTTATATTTATTTCATAGATTTAAAAGCAATATTTCACAGAAAGATCCTTGTAAAATAAAACATACTAAAATGTTAGTGATTGCAATTAATATTTATGACAGTACTCATATTTCTTTAAGAGCCTTTTCTATGTATGAAGTGCATCAACATTGTAAATAAATGTTAGGTTGAGAATCTCCTATAGTGCTCCTTATTCTTGCATCACAGGCTGATAGCCAACCACCAAAATCTTTCTTCCCTTCTTCTACAGCACTAGAATTGTAACTGATACCATTTCCAGACTTCCTTACAGTTAGATGTGGCCAAATATCTCAGTTTATGTGGGCTAAAGTGATGTGTGCTATATATAGGGAAATTTCTTAAGACCAGGCAGTACCTAGATATTTTGATGTTTCCCTATGATTACAGAAAACACACAGGAGGAAATTAGAAATTATCCTAAATTTAAAAAAATCTCAAATTGGCATCCTGTAATGAATACATTGACAACCTACTGGTTGAATGATCAAGGAATTTAACTCTTCAATATTGAAATAATTTTACAGTGATAAAATAATTCCAAAAATAGTACAGAGAGTTCCATCTACCCTTAATCCATCTTACCCTTATGTTTGTATATTATATAACTATAAAACATTTATCAAAAGAAATTACCCTTCATTCAATAGTATTAACCAAAGCACAAGATTTATTCAATTTCCCCAATTCTCCTATTAATGTACTTTTTCTATTCCACATCTAATCTCAAATCCCACATTGCTCTTAATTGTCAAGCCTCTGTGGTCTTCTTCAGTCTGTGACAATCATCAGTCTTGACCTTGACATTTGAAGAGAATGGATCAGAGAACGGGTCAGTGGAAGCATCACATATTTATATATACTTTCAACCTAAGCTTGTCTAATGTTTTTTGATTATTAGATTGAGGTTATGCATTTATGAGATGAATGTCACGGATAATGTGCTTGTCTCCAGGCATCACGTCAGAGTATTGAAGATGATACAATTTGAATGACAGGTTATGTTAACCTTAATCACTTGACTATGGTAGTGTCTGTGAAGAGTTTCCACTCTAAATTTCTATTTTCCTTGTTGTAATCTTCTTGTTGCAAATATCTGGTTTCAGCTTAAACTTTAGCCCATTCATTTTAGCATCTATCTCTGGATCATGCCTGTGGCAATTTTTACTGTGGTATTCTAATTGTGATTTTCCATTGATAAATATATAAAGAAGAACCATCACGCATGCCCCACTGAGTAAGTCCATTTTCATGCTGCCAATAAAGACATACCTGAGACCAGGTAATTTATAAAGAAAAAGAGGTTTAATGGACTCACACTTCCACATAGCTGAGGAGGCCTCACAATTATGGCAGAAGGCGAAAGGCACATCAGACACGGCAGCAGACAAGACAGAATGAGAGCCAAGTGAAAAGGGAAACCTCGTGTAAAACCATCAGATGTTGTGAGACTTACTCACTACCATGAGAACAGTATGGGGGAAACCACCCCCATGATTCATTCCCACTGTGTCTTTCCCACAACACCTGGGATTTATGGGAGTTATAATTCAAGATGAGATTTGGGTGGGGACACAGCCAAACCATATCACCCCATTTATTTATGTTAGTATGAACTGAAATTTTTATTGTTAGGAGTTTATCTCAAATATCAGTTACTTATTTTTTGTTCATGCTATTCCAGCTTTAGCCATTGGGAGACTTTTCAGTTTGGCTCCTGTGATTATTCAGTATTCCTCCATCCTTTGTTTTCTTTATTTATTATTTTACCCCAGTTTCTTATTTTCTGGCATTATGAAGATACTTCAGGCTCACTTTAAACTTTCCTGTCTCAATCCTGGAATCAATCATTTCTCACAGGAGTCCTGGTTCCATTTATTGGAGAGTGGTATTTAGAAACAAATGTGTGGGTTCTAGGTGTGCTATTTTGTTACAGGGGTCTTACTGACTCTGGCCCCATTCAGGGATAAAAGTAGGAAATATATGTAGCATACTAATTCATGCTTACACTCATTTTCATAGCTATTTTTGTATATGTTTACATGTCCATATATATGTGTGTGTGTACACATATACATACTTAAAAATAAGGTAATATTGATGCCATTTACTACAATCCAGCACCATAGGAGCCATTCTAATCTTCCCTCCTCACCTTTTACAACTTCTTTCTCTGGTAGCAGGAAACCTGGCTTTTATTATGTACAATACATTTATTTATTTATTTAATCCTAATATAAAAATGTAATTCTTTTAGGATTCCTGATCCATATCCCTGAAAGAAACAAAGTCACAAACTAGAGCATATTCTTTCACTCAGCAAAATGTATTTAAGATTCATGCATGTTGTCGTTTGAACCATTAGTTTGCTCTGTTTATTGCTAATACTACATTTGAGCTATGTGCCACAGTTTGTTTATATCTTTACTGGTTGAAGGACATCTAGGTTGTTTCTAATTGTTAAGAATTATAAACAAAGCTGATGTAAATACTTGTGAATAGGTTTTTGTGTAAATATAATGTTTCATTTCTTCTGAGTAGATACCTAGGAGTGGACTTCCTGGATTTTATGGGTAGATATAGATTGAACTTTATAAGAAACTGCCAAACTGTTTTCCAGAGCGGCTGCGGCATTTTCTAAAATTCCACCAGCAATGTATGGGGTGCCTCATTGCTCAGCAAGCTAACCATTATTCAGTATTGCTAGTTGTTTGCATTTCAGAATATAGAACCTGAAAGAGACTTTGGCAGCTAGAGCATCTTCTTCATGTAACAGATGTGTCAAGATGCCCAGAAATATAAAGTCATTTGCGTAGGAACATACAACAAGCTAGGGATAATCTGGACTACAAGAAAATATCTCTTGCCTGGCTCTCAGTCTTATGTGATTTTTTTTCCTGCCAATTTTTCATATACCATTTGTTTCCATATTTGGTCTTTACCCGACACAATATAAGCCATTCTTAAGCCTTATCGCTTGGAATGGTAAAATGATATCGATACATCTTTTAGGTCTTTTTAATCTCTGGAGATGATAAAATGTACAGGGAGAGGGGGCAGTATATTAGCCTATTCAGCAGCTGAGATTATAAACAACTTGTATTCATTCATCTGGTAAATATTTATCAAGCATCTAGTCTGTGTCAGACTCTAACCTGGGCACTGAGTTGAGTATAATAATAAAAGTGTTTTCTTGCTGCCAGTGACCTTTACGTTTAATTCATTAAAAAATATATGCTACAAGGGAAATATAGAGGTATGTTTCTTTTCAAGAGTGTATTATTAGCATTTCTCAACACAGCACACACCCATAGCTAGGGTGTGTGTTGGATGACACAGGGCACCTATGATGGTTTCTTTAAGGAGAAAAAGATAATAATCACTTTTGATTTTCACTTTCTGGGTGAACAGATGCAAATATTTTCAGCAAATTGTTGAGATATTTCCTGTGGTAAAGCAGTTCTTGGAGACTTGGAAGAGTTATTTGCTTACATCAGTTTTTAGGAGTAATTCATAGAAGAACAATTCAATTGCAAAACCTAATATCGTTCCTCAAGCTACACCCTCTCTTCTTGTAGAAAAACACTGCCCAGGCTTCCTATTAAATACAAATCTTTTCCTAAAAGAAGGTGAGTGGCATCGAGTTTGAAACAATGGAGTGCCATCTGGAATGACAATTTATAGAAGCTACAAAAAGCTAGCTACAAAAAAAATGAGCATTATCCTTAAGGAATGATAATACATGCTAAAGATGTACAGTATTGAATTAGATTTCAATCTCATGAAACTTATAATCTTATTGAAAAACATAGGTTTTGAATCAAAACTCAAGGTAAAACGGAAATACACAGATAAATATTCTCCAAAGTGTGTGTGTGTGAATACACACATATACATATGTGTACATATTACACATATATTTATGTAATGTATGTATGTTTTTTAAATGTTTTAAAATCTTTAAACATGATTCCATATTCTATATAGATGACATGAGAAATCAGAAATAAGAGAGAAAAATAATTTCAAACACTGTAAAATAATTCAATATTAATTTTGAGAAAATTACCAACTGCTAACTTTTTAAATTATTAATAAAATGTAGTTTCCAACTTGGTGAAAATATTTCCTCGTTACTTTTGTAAGTTTTCATGAATTGCATTTATAAGATTTGCTTTAAGATTATATTTTAAAGCATAAAGATATTTTAAAATTGCACATGTAAAATAGACTGGAGAAATATTAGATTAAAAAGATAGAGGACTTGATAATTCTCATATACACCACTAACAACTGTGTGTTCATGTACGTTCAAAGACATCAGTCATTACTATTTTTTTAATCCAAATCTATTTTAGGCAAAACCATTATTTTTATATACATTTAAATTCTGATAGTTATCTTTTGTGTTTTACTATAATATGCATGACTATTGTATGCCATCTTGATCTCTGACCATCATCAGGGTTTAGAAATATGCTGTTCTAGTGGCAATATATTGAATCTCATAGCACACCTTCTCATGACAAGAAACTATGATCCCTATTCTATGTAATGAGTGAGAGGGTTTTATATTTGGAAGTCTCAGGAAATAGAACTAGCAGGGGACATTTGGGTCATAGTTTGAAGGACCATAATATAAAAAATAAGATAGATGAGTAGAGGTGTGAGTTAAAAAAAAAAAAAAAAACCATAGAAATAGGAGTCATTTTAATGGTATGCAGTTTAGAAGGAACTTCACGTATATATTCTCACATGGTCACTTTTTGATCTCTATGGAAACATCAACTAAAATCATTTAGTAAAAAGCTGATGATTTTAGGCAAAAATGAGGGTATGCTGTGACTGAGATTTCAAGAAAACAATTGTTTCTGAGAAATGTACACGTGTCTTCCTATTATGTTCTGGATGAAGCCATTCAAAACATGTTAATTAATAATGTAACTTTTTCTTTCTCTTTCTCTCTCTCCGCCCCTCCCCACCACCCTCTTCTCTCTTTCTTTCTTTCCTTCTTTCACGGAGTTTTGCTATTGCTGCCCAGGCTGGAATGCAGTGGTGCGATCTTGGCTGTCTGCAACCTCCGCGCCTCCCGGGTTCAAGCGTTTCTCCTGCCTCAGCCTCTTGAGTAGCTGGGATTACAGGCGCATGCCACCACATCCAGCTAATTTTTTTTATTTATTATTTTTTTTAATTAAACTTTAAGTTTTAGGGTACATGTGCGCATTGTGCAGGTTAGTTACATATGTATACATGTGCCATGCTGGTGCACTGCACCCACTAACTCGTCATCTAGCATTAGGTATATCTCCCAATGCTATCCCTCCCCCCTCCCCCCACCCCACAACAGTCCCCAGAGTGTGATATTCCCCTTCCTGTGTCCGTGTGATCTCATTGTTCAATTCCCACCTATGAGTGAGAATATGCGGTGTTTGGTTTTTTGTTCTTGCGATAGTTTACTGAGAATGATGTTTTCCAATTTCATCCATGTCCCTACAAAGGACATGAACTCATCATTTTTTATGGCTGCATAGTATTCCATGGTGTATATGTGCCACATTTTCTTAATCCACTCTATCATTGTTGGACATTTGGGTTGGTTCCAAGTCTTTGCTATTGTGAATAATGCCGCAATAAACATACGTGTGCATGTGTCTTTATAGCAGCATGATTTATAGTCCTTTGGGTATATATCCAGTAATGGGATGGCTGGGTCAAATGGTATTTCCAGTTCTATATCCCTGAGGAATCGCCACACTGACTTCCACCATGGTTGAACTAGTTTACAGTCCCACCAACAGTGTAAAAGTGTTCCTATTTCTCCACATCCTCTCCAGCACCTGTTGTTTCCTGACTTTTTAATGATTGCCATTCTAACTGGTGTGAGATGGTATCTCATTGTGGTTTTGATTTGCATCTCTCTGATGGCCAGTGATGATGAGCATTTTTTCATGTGTGTTTTGGCTGCATAAATGTCTTCTTTAGAGAAGTGTCTGTTCATGTCCTTCGCCCACTTTTTGATGGGGTTGTTTGTTTTTTTCTTGTAAATTTGTTTGAGTTCATTGTAGATTCTGGATATTAGCCCTTTGTCAGATAAGTAGGTTGCAAAAATTTTCTCCCATTTTGTAGGTTGCCTCTTCACTCTGATGGTAGTTTCTTTTGCTGTGCAGAAGCTCTTTAGTTTAATTAGATCCCATTTGTCAATTTTGTCTTTTGTTGCCATTGCTTTTGGTGTTTTAGACATGAAGTCCTTGCCCATGTCTATGTCCTGAATGGTAATGCCTAGGTTTTCTTCTAGGGTTTTTATGGTTTTAGGTCTAACGTTTAAGTCTTTAATCCATCTTGAATTGATTTTTGTATAAGGTGTAAGGAAGGGATCCAGTTTCAGCTTTCTACATATGGCTAGCCAGTTTTCCCAGCACCATTTATTAAATAGGGAATCCTTTCCCCATTGCTTGTTTTTCTCAGGTTTGTCAAAGATCAGATAGTTGTAGATATGTGGCGTTATTTCTGAGGGCTCTGTTCTGTTCCATTGATCTATATCTCTGTTTTGGTACCAGTACCGTGCTGTTTTGGTTACTGTAGACTTGTAGTATAGTTTGAAGTCAGGTAGTGTGATGCCTCCAGCTTTGTTCTTTTGGCTTAGGATTGACTTGGCGATGAGGGCTCTTTTTTGGTTCCATATGAACTTTAAAGTAGTTTTTTCCAATTCTGTGAAGAAAGGCATTGGTAGCTTGATGGGGATGGCATTGAATCTGTAAATTACCTTGGGCAGTATGGCCATTTTCACAATATTGATTCTTCCTACCCATGAGCATGGAATGTTCTTCCATTTGTTTGTATCCTCTTTTATTTCCTTGAGCAGTGGTTTGTAGTTCTCCTTGAAGAGGTCCTTCACATCCCGTGTAAGTTGGATTCCTAGGTATTTTATTCTCTTTGAAGCAATTGTGAATGGGAGTTCACTCATGATTTGGCTCTCTGTTTGTCTGTTGTTGGTGTATAAGAATGCTTGTGATTTTTGTACATTGATTTTGTATCCTGAGACTTTGCTGAAGTTGCTTATCAGCTTAAGGAGATTTTGGGCTGAGACAATGGGGTTTTCTAAATATACAATCATGTCATCTGCAAACAGGGACAATTTGACTTCCTCTTTTCCTAATTGAATACCCTTTATTTCCTTCTCCTGCCTAATTGCCCTGGCCAGAACTTCCAACACTATGTTGAATAGGAGTGGTGAGAGAGGGCATCCCTGTCTTGTGCCAGTTTTCAAAGGGAATGCTTCCAGTTTTTGCCCATTCAGTATGATATTGGCTGCGGGTTTGTCATAGATAGCTCTTATTATTTTGAAATACGTCCCATCAATACCTAATTTATTGAGAGTTTTTAGCATGAAGGGTTGTTGAATTTTGTCAAAGGCTTTTTCTGCATCTATTGAGATAATCATGTGGTTTTTGTCTTTGGCTCTGTTTATATGCTGGTTTACATTTATTGATTAGCGTATATTGAACCAGCCTTGCATCCCAGGGATGAAGCCCACTTGATCATGGTGGACAAGCTTTTTGATGTGCTGCTGGATTCATTTTGCCAGTATTTTATTGAGGATTTTTGCATCAATGTTCATCAAGGATATTGGTCTAAAATTCTGTTTTTTTGTTGTGTCTCTGCCTGGCTTTGGTATCAGAATGATGCTGGCCTCATAAAATGAGTTAGGGAGGATTCCCTCTTTTTCTATTGATTGGAATAGTTTCAGAAGGAATGGTACCAGTTCCTCCTTGTACCTCTGGTAGAATTCAGCTGTGAATCCATCTGGTCCTGGACTCTTTTTGGTTGGTAAGCTATTGATTATTGCCACAATTTCAGCTCCTGTTATTGGTCTATTCAGAGATTCAACTTCTTCCTGGTTTTAGTCTTGGGAGAGTGTATGTGTCGAGGAATTTATCCATTTCTTCTAGATTTTCTAGTTTATTTGCGTAGAGGTGTTTGTAGTATTCTCTGATAGTTTGTATTTCTGTGGGATGGGTGGTGATATCCCCTTTATCATTTTTTATTGCGTCTGTTAGAGTCTTCTCTCTTTTTTTCTTTATTAGTCTTGCTAGTGGTCTATCAATTTTGTTGATCCTTTCAAAAAACCAGCTCCTGGATTCATTAATTTTTTGAAGGGTTTTTTTGTGTCTCTATTTCCTTCAGTTCTGCTCTGATTTTAGTTATTTCTTGCCTTCTGCTAGCTTTTGAATGTGTTTGCTCTTGCTTTTCTAGTTCTTTTAATTGTGATGTTAGGGTGTCAATTTTGGATCTTTCCTGCTTTCTCTTGTGGGCATTTAGTGCTATAAATTTCCCTCTACACACTGCTTTGAATGCATCCCAGAGATTCTGGTATGTTGTGTCTTTGTTCTCGTTGATTTCAAAGAACATCTTTATTTCTGCCTTCATTTCGTTATGTACCCAGTAGTCATTCAGGAGCAGGTTGTTCAGTTTCCATATAGTTGAGCAGTTTTGAGTGAGATTCTTAATCCTGAGTTCTAGTTTGATTGCACTGTGGTCTGAGAGATAGTTTGTTATAATTTCTGTTCTTTTACATTTGCTGAGGAGAGCTTTACTTCCAACTATGTGGTCAATTTTGGAATAGGTGTGGTGCGGTGCTGAAAAAAATGTATACTCTGTTGATTTGGGGTGGAGAGTTCTGTAGATGTCTATTAGGTCCGCTTGGTGCAGAGCTGAGTTCAATTCCTAGGTATCCTTGTTTACTTTCTGTCTCATTGATCTGTCTAATGTTGACAGTGGGGTGTTAAAGTCTCCCATTATTAATGTGTGGGAGTCTAAGTCTCTTTGTAGGTCACTCAGGACTTGCTTTATGAATCTGGGTGCTCCTGTATTGGGTGCATATATATTTGGGATAGTTAGCTCTTCTTGTTGAATTGATCCCTTTACCATTATGTAATGGCCTTCTTTGTCTCTTTTGATCTTTGTTGGTTTAAAGTCTGTTTTATCAGAGACTAGGATTGCAACCCCTGCCTTTTTTTGTTTTCCATTTGCTTGGTAGATCTTCCTCCATCCTTTTATTTTGAGCCCATGTGTGTCTCTGCACGTGAGATGGGTTTCCTGAATACAGCACACTGATGGGTCTTGACTCTTTATCCAATTTGCCAGTCTGTGTCTTTTAATTGGAGCATTTAGTCCATTTACATTTAAAGTTAATATTGTTATGTGTGAATTTGATCCTGTCATGATGATATTAGCTGGTGATTTTGCTCGTTAGTTGATGCAGTTTCTTCCTAGTCTTGATGGTCTTTACTTTTTGGCATGATTTTGCAGAGGCTGGTACCAGTTGTTCCTTTCCATGTTTAGCGCTTCCTTCAGGAGCTCTTGTAGGGCAGGCCTGGTGGTGACAAAATCTCTCAGCATTTGCTTGTTCGTAAAGTATTTTATTTCTCCTTCGCTTATGAAGCTTAGTTTGGCTGGATATGAAATTCTGGGTTGAAAATTCTTGTCTTTAAGAATGTTGAATATTGGCCCCCACTCTCTTCTGGCTTGTAGGGTTTCTGCCGAGAGATCCGCTGTTAGTCTGATGGGCTTCCCTTTGAGGGTAACCCGACCTTTCTCTCTGGCTGCCCTTAACATTTTTTCCTTCATTTCAACTTTGGTGAATCTCACAATTATGTGTCTTGGAGTTGCTCTTCTCGAGGAGTATCTTTGTGGCGTTCTCTGTATTTCCTGAATCTGAACGTTGGCCTGCCTTGCTAGATTGGGGAAATTCTCCTGGATAATATCCTGCAGAGTGTTTTCCAACTTGGTTCCATTCTCCCCATCACTTTCAGGCACACCAATCAGACGTAGATTTGGTCTTTTCACATAGTCCCATATTTCTTGGAGGCTTTGCTCATTTCTTTTTATTCTTTTTTCTCTCAACTTCCCTTCTCGCTTCATTTCATTCATTTCATCTTCCATTGCTGATACCCTTTCTTCCAGTTGATCGCATTGGCTCCTGAGGCTTCTGCATTCTTCATGTAGTTCTCAAGCCTTGGTTTTCAGCTCCATCAGCTCCTTTAAGCACTTCTCTGTATTGGTTATTCTAGTTATACATTCTTCTAAATTTTTTTCAAAGTTTTCAACTTCTTTGCCTTTGGTTTGAATGTCCTCCCATAGCTCAGAGTAATTTGATCGTCTGAAGCCTTCTTCTCTCAGCTCGTCAAAGTCATTCTCCATCCAGCTTTGTTCCGTTGCTGGTGAGGAACTGCGTTCCTTTGGAAGAGGAGAGGCGCTCTGCGTTTTAGAGTTTCCAGTTTTTCTGTTCTGTCTTTTCCCCATCTTTGTGGTTTTATCTACTTTTGGTGTTTGATGATGGTGATGTACAGATGGGTTTTTGGTGTGGATGTCCTTTCTGTTTGTTAGTTTTCCTTCTAACAGACAGGACCCTCAGCTGCAGGTCTGTTGGAATACCCTGCCGTGTGAGGTGTCAGTGTGCCCCTGCTGGGAGGTGCCTCCCAGTTAGGCTGCTCGGGGGTCAGGGGTCAGGGACCCACTTGAGGAGGCAGTCTGCCCCTTCTCAGATCTCCAGCTGCGTGCTGGGAGAACCACTGCTCTCTTCAAAGCTGTCAGACAGGGACATTTAAGTCTGCAGAGGTTACTGCTGTCTTTTTGTTTGTCTGTGCCCTGCCCCCAGAGGTGGAGCCTACAGAGGCAGGCAGGCCTCCTTGAGCTGTGGTGGGCTCCACCCAGTTCGAGCTTCCAGGCTGCTCTGTTTACCTAATCAAGCCTGGGCAATGGTGGGCGCCCCTCCCCCAGCCTGGCTGCCGCCTTGCAGTTTGATCTCAGACTGCTGTGCTAGCAATCAGCGAGACTCCGTGGGCGTAGGACCCTCCAAGACAGGTGCAGGATATAATCTCGTGGTGCGCCGTTTTTTAAGCCCCTCGGAAAAGCGCAGTATTCGGGTGGGAGTGACCCGATTTTCCAGGTGCCATCCGTCACCCCTTTCTTTGACTCAGAAAGGGAACTCCCTGACCCTTGCGCTTCCCAAGTGAGGCAATGCCTCGCCCTGCTTCGGCTCGCGCATGGTGCGTGCACCCACTGACCTGCGCCCACTATCTGGCACTCCCTAGTGAGATGAACCCGGTACCTCAGATGGAAATGCAGAAATCACGGTCTTCTGCGTCGCTCACGTTGGGAGCTGTAGACCGGAGCTCTTTCTATTCGGCCATCTTGGCTCCTCCCCCAATTTTTTTATTTTTAATAGAGATGGGGTTTCACCATGTTGGCCAGGATGGTGTTGATCTCTTGACCTCATTATCTGCCCACCTCAGCCTCCCAAAGTGCTGGAACTACAGGCTTGAGCCACCGCGCCCAGCCTAATGTGCATTTTTTAAAAACACTTTTGTCTTTCTTGCCTTTCTCTCTCTGTGTGTGTGTGTGTGTGTGTGTGTGTGTGTGTGTATAGGATTCACGAATATTTCTTTAAGAAGGCTAATATACTGTTGAGTTCTATAGGCTACATGCATTTTTGTACACAACCATATAAAACTTGTCATTTAGACATTCTTTTATGGACCTTGTAGATGTCAATTTCTGAATGCTTGGCATTTTCCAAAAGCATTTCCTGTTGTACCTGCTATATGGTCACTTTGTTGGATGGCTGAGAGGATATACTTTTTGTTACTAAAAAGGACTAAATACTGTCATTGAAAAATATGAAAAGGTTTCCCTTGTCCAAAAAATTATTATCTATTGTAATACTTAAATGATTTGTTCTCATTGGTAAGCCATATTTTTGTGTTTAAATTTTAATTGGTTAGCAGAACAGAGATTAATGTTCACATTCAATTAATACTACATATTTTATCTCATGATTATTAATAATGTGACTAGATGTATGAAATAGAGTATATTTGTGCATTTTTATAAATTTACAAATGTATAAATTTTACTTTTAATAGTGACTAAAGAAGAATCAAGGTAATATGTATTATGTTGTTCACATTTCCATGCTTTACTGACTATAGGAAACAAAATTCTAGATTTTTGATGCCTGACCCTGGATATGTCCATGCATGGGAACATCAATTGCTAGGGAAACTAATACAGAAAAAATATCTGTAATTTAAGTAAATTAGGATAATCTTGAAGAAGATGCAGGTTACATACTTTTACCCTAACACATTGATTTTTTTAAGCTAAAGCTTTCCTTTGTCAAGTGTGACTCTGTGGAACAAGCACTAAGTCACCTTGATTCACCTTATATATTTGATGCTTTTAGAGGTAAAAGGAGGCCTACTCTCTCTTTATCCCTTTTGCCTCAATTTATTACTGTTTGCTCTGCTCTGTCAGAAACTTTTGCAGCTGCAAATCTTATCGTGACATCTTTGACATTTTTTTTTCAACACCATGAAAGCTCTAAAATGAAGCTATCAGATGCCAGAATCAAGCTCTGGCATGAGACTGGCAAGAATTAGAACCTGGAAATTAGACCTGCTGGTGGGACCTGCTGCTTTGGGCCAGGTCCCATTTTGGTGACAAGGGATACAATGATGAACATGGCTCTTTGGCTTTGAGGATTTTTCACACTTGGGGACAAGATAAAAAAATTCATCTTCCACATTACTTCAATAATCTTTAAAATTAATGATTTTCTCCATTTTTTAACATGGCAAATATAACGGCTTATGTTACAAAGCATCGCACTGCTATGAGAATAAACAGGTTTATAAATATTTCCATTCCACTAGTTATTAGTTGTAATTCCAAAGGGATGGTTTTTAATCATAGGAGTCCAGAATAGATTTATGACTGGATATGCTGGAAGCCAGCAATAAAAGATACCAAACCAGTAGCAAGTACTAGAACTAGACTCCAGTCACTGCAGAAATGTAGCTAAAGCAAACAAGACTAAACATTCTGGGAGGAACTGAGGTATTACATCAGTTATTGAGAGAAGTACTCAGGCATGGCAGAATAAACTATGAACCCACCTACTAAAACTGATAATACAGCTCAAGGACTTGGTCTTAAACCTGATACTGAATCTCTGAATTTAGAACTACAATTTATGGTCAGAAAGGGCCTCATGGACCCAGTGATTTGAAAATGAGTCATGGCTTAGAACTCCCCTTAACTAAGGGCAAGACTGATTGAGGACCTCAGGGGACACTTGAGACCCTTAGATGAGACAATATGCACCCAGCTTATAGTCTGGCACTTGGGCAAAATAAATACTTACCTCCTTCCTAAATGCCAGGAATTCTTAAGTCCAGGAATCACTGAGATCCTTCACAACCATTTCAGGATAGGTCAGTAAATAAATAATTTATATTATTATCTTCTAAATCAGGAGAAATGTAATCTAGGGAGGATTTTTTAAATGCAATCTATATTATGCTTTCTCCTATGCTAGAGCAATAGAGCAGTCACATCAGCCCTCTATGAAAATGAATTGCTTTCTTAACACTAATATATTGATGGAGAAACTAAAACAGATTTTAATGAAATGTTGTTAAGGAATTGCTTTAAACAATATCAATTGTAGGTGACCCTTAAAATATTTAGTTTGAGAAATTCTTCCCACTGCATTCCTTTTGTAGAACTATAAACTGTGAGAAATAAAACAAGGGCATCTTCAACTTGAAACTCTGCATGGGAAACCATCATCTCACAAAACTGAGTCATGGGTCAAGAAGACAATTTGCAAGCCCCTTTTCTATACTGAATTTCAAATGTTTGGCACAAAGCAGCAGCCATCAGCATTATCTGACTCCCTGTGAACTGCCAGTAAGATAAGGCTAAAATATTTCAACCACAGATTTTTTTCTCCAGAAAGAATACCATTTAAACTTCATGTCTCAGGGTTTATATTCAGTATATAACCACTTGAATATCACTCTTGTTTTATGTGTATATTTTAATAACTCATTATATTGACGTGCTTTCAAGAAAAATCTTCCTTAGAAATCTGAACAAGATGTTCAAAAATGCAAAACTGGTTTTTCGTAAATTTAGTTGAACTTAAAAGTGATGCTGTGAGGAAAAGAGCAACAAAATGTTTCCTTGTGGTTATGTACGATTGTTTTATTAGGTTTGCTAAGACTAAACAGTCCAAAGGTATGACAGTCCTGACACCTGGCATATGAAAATTGGAATTCCTGAATGGAAATTATTCTTATTGAACCTCTCTGAAGAGTTTTGGCTGGAAAGAGGTATCTTTTCCAAAGCCAGTACATTCTCGGCGCTCCTTCAACTGGCTGAAAAATGAGGTACTGAATTCTTTGCTTAATGGGAAATCTACTGTTGTTTTAATACATATTTTTTGGAACCCCTTTTTTTAAAAAAATGTTTCTGTCATCACTTTTCCTTTGTGGAAATAAATATGACACCATGTGGAAAAAAATGTTATAGCTCCCTGTGTATAGAATAATGGTTTAAATTTAAAGATGAACTAACACTAAACTCCACTGAGTGATTAGAGATTACTGAAAATAAACACACATACAAGTTTATATGTTGCATGGTTTCTATGCAAAACACTAGGGTAGTATGAACACTGTGTACTTGGCTGTGTTTAGGTAAAATCAAAGGTGTTTATAATAAGCATAATAAGGTATTTTTATGCGGCTACATTATTTATCTTTCTGGTTCTACTGTGTGATGCACGACAGACTCGTTATTGTATTTCAGCTCAGATATTTATATACGATTCATTTCAAAGAATGGATTCCTATCCCTCCACCTACTAAAAAATGTAAGACAGAGAACCAAATAAAAAGAGGTCATAAATCACAATAGTACAGATGTTGAAAAAGGAAAGTGCTTTTCTTTTTTTGGGCTGTCAATGTAGCATATGAATTTTTAAGTTATGAAATCCATAAAGAATAGTTTTATGGTTGAAAACAAAAAATGGAGGGTATAAATTAATTGAACAACAAAATACAGGATTTTAAAGAGTAGATTTAGAGCTTGTTAGAGGAAGCTGACCATTTTGAAAGGGCTAAAACACAAAAGTATTTTGTGACTCTGAATTACTTGCTCTGTTCTGCCCAAGGCCCAAAAGTAGGAGTCAATATGGGGCCCTACTCGGGGCAGGGAGTCAACTGGTATCTCTCTACTTTACCTCTAACCCATTTGAATATGTCCCATATGAGTTTAATGTGATATTAGGTGATGAAACAGTATGAATACTCTTTATGAATGAGCCAAGTCAAATTCCATCCTAGACATGATTCAAATCACCTATCTGACCACCTCAGATTGTAGACAACTCGCTTCCTTCTGAGATATCCCATTCTATCTATGATCCAAACATGATCTCCCTCTACCTTTTTCTCATTCCTCTCTGGCACCTAAAGAAACATTTATCTCCTGTTCCACATAGCTGTTTTAAACATGTGAAGATAGTTCTTATGTTTCTCAGTGTAGCTGTTCAATTGAATGCTGTATTCTCCAGAGAAAACATTCCTGGTTCTTCCTGTCATTTGAAACATAATTGGGGTCATGTTTGTTCCACAACTTTAATGAATCATTGTTTATTCCGTGTGCTTAAGATACACTTTTAAATGTGTCACTAAGCATGTCCCACACAGATTTTAATTATTGTAAATATAGGAACATTATCACCTCCTTATTTATGTTACCTGTGGCCAGAAAATACCGTATGTCCTGCAACAATTACAATGAACCATTCTTTCTCCTGTGTTGCCACTCTTGACTCATCAACTGAATAAACTATCTGTCTCCATATGTGTATGTGTATATATGTGTATGTGTGTATAGGTGTGTATGTGTGTGTACACATACACATATATACACAGAGAAAAATTCTTATCACAATCTAATACAACGAGGAATGAGAAAATAATTTTGAATAGACCCAGAAAAATGTTCAAGGTTCATCATATTTGGAGGGAGATAGACGGCATTATTAGTCATTAGACAGTTGAAAAATTTCTTTCCTTGTAAATACTGTAATCTTATTCAATAATTTATGTGTAAGACAGCAAAGCAATACCTTCATCTGTAGCAGAGTTCTTTTCCACGTGACCTTTTTCATGCTTGCCAGATTTCAAATGTGTATTATTTTTCTGAAGTGTGAAATAATTGACAACATAGTCATTTTTTATATCCTCCTCTATTCCAATACTTGGTTCAATTTCAAACACTTGTTAAAATGCAGGTATTAAGGTTTACCTCTGGGACCTCAGACAATTGTTTCAGTATGGTCCTTATCTTTTTCTTCTGTTAATTAAAAAAAAATGGCTCATCAGTTGTGAGGAGGCTCCTCTTTTGTGATCCTTCATTGCATTATTTATATTTCTGCACACAAATAAGACATACATGCTCACTCGATATCAAAAGAAAAAAGAGGGAAAAATCTAGAGGTGAACAATCTTCTCTCTCATCTGTCAGAATATCTCTGGGAATACTAAGAAGTTGTTTATTAGGATTATTGATTTTGATATTTTCACCCTCAGTGAAAGTTTTAAAAGTTTCTTTTGAACGTACTTGGCATGTCTAAGGAGTGTTTCAGTAGCAATTAGAGATTTCTCATTCATCACAAATGCTGTCAGAGCTTTCAAATGCATTCAATATTTGGATAGTAAAATTTAAAACCACATATATACATGTGTATATTTATACATGTATTCTTTACTCTGAGGAAATTACATATAATGTATATCAATATATAAAACATATATAATTTTCCAGCGGTAACTGATCTTTGTAGATCATGAGAAACCCTTGCAGTTCTTTCATTATTCATATAGTGGGATCAATTCATAAGAAAAAAATAAAATTGGTCTGAGCATCTTATTTATCCACTCCAATCCAAGAATGGAGGATTTAAAAGCCAATTTAAATTGAGGAGAAATTGTGTGTTTTTCTAGAGATCAATGAAAGAGAAAGAAGTAGCAATATTATAGGAAAGTCTGGGAGCCTGCCCCAAACTGGAAATGCTGCGGTTTTGGCAGATGATACTGCTATGACAGGGTGTTAGGAGACTCAGGTTGACTCCATTTCAAATATGCTACCATAAGAGAGACTGGGATACCAGAGTGGATATGAGGCATATCTTTATATGCAGTATATATTTATATAAAATATCTTGAGTTCCATCTTCACCACTCCAAGAACTCTCAGCAGATGAAGAATATACAAAAGTTTGAAATGTGGAGACAGCAGATTTCTGAGGACAATGTCTTTGGGAAAATGGTATTGTGAGCTCTGTGACCAATTTGGCACCCTCCACACAATGTACCTGGGTCTGTGGCACTTCCTTAAGCCTGGTAAGGAAGGCTTTCACAAGATAAGTCAGAAAGCCATGTGTGTCTCTGCAGTTTGGGGTCACATTGACAGCAGTAGTGGGCAGAAGACAGACAAGCCAATTGCCTGGTGACAGAGCCCACAGAGCATTGCAGCATTGCAAACATCCTGCACCCTCAGAGTTTGTCAGAGCAAACGATGTGAGAGTGTGATTGGTAGGTCAGTGGCTGGTCACGTGGAATAGAGAGTTGGCTTGAGGTAATCTAAGATCATGACGAAGAGGGTGACTAGAGGACTGTGAATATCCCATCAGAGAGAGGCTAGTTAGAGTTTATCACTAGATTCTGAAAGAAAAATTCAGAGTATCTGCTTAGAACAGCAGATGGCCGTGGGACTTCAGGATAGAAGTTTCTAGAGGTGAGCGTCTCTGAAAAGCCTATGCAAGTGCCTCACAAGAGTCAAGTTTAATCATGTGCTAAGAGCAGTGAGAACAGCTGACTTAAAATATCTGATTCCCACTGTCCTGATGCCTTTTGCAGGCTCCAGAATAAAGCTGGTCCAAACTAGAAGAGAGATTTATACTTAAACAAATTCAAAGTTCTAATTAAAATCTTGTTCTGGACATGCTAATTATTGAAATAACACAATGATTGTGACTTACGGCAACCAATCCCATAAGAATGTGCAGAAAATCACAGGGCCTAAGTTTTCGTCCAAGAATGAAGAAAAATTACCCATTGAATAAAGCCTAAAAAGTCTGTGGGAAACAAAAATAAAGTCACATTTTGATTAGTTACAATTCATGATTTATGCTATTTCGGAAGACTCACTTCCAGCTTCTTTGCAAACCTCTGAGGAAGTGGAAGAACTTTGGAGGGTAATAACTTTAGGGTGATCCTAGAAAGGCTAGATCCAGCACACTGAGGCTGCCAGTCTGGGCAAAATTTCCCCTCTTAAGCCTGGTGAGAGACAAGTGGTGACTCCTACCCTCAGAAGACCATTCCCACTTGATCCACGAATAATGGAAAACAAAATTTAAAAAAAACCCCAAACTGGTGGTCCTTTTCAATTGTTCTGAATTATATACAATCCTTGGGACCTGGGGTTTTGCAGTATAAGAGATAGAATTTCTCACTAGTGACTCAGAGTTGGACTTCCTTTGATTTGGAAATAT
Source organism: Homo sapiens (assembly GCF_000001405.40). Lineage (NCBI taxonomy): Eukaryota > Metazoa > Chordata > Mammalia > Primates > Hominidae > Homo > Homo sapiens. Next base: position 15,933,027 of record NC_000007.14, on the reverse strand, counting down.
ATATGCTTTTATACCTAAATGTTGTGGATTTATTTAAAAAAATAGTGCTTGCCTCATTCTGAAAAGTTTGTGGAAGAGGAGAAAATTCATGGCAGTAATTGAATCAGGACACATACTGGTGAAACACCCCATGTATGGGCATGTGTCAGTAGTGGGTAAGTATTGAGGCAGTATTGTCTAAAGACAATTCACAGGTCTCTCTGTCCGCTATGCAGTTGTATATAGTACAAATCCTGGAATGGTGTTTTTGAAGATTTCTACTCCTGCTTTACTTTCCTTCCTGGCAAATTCTCTGTCCCTGGTTATTTTTGATCCTTAACAGGTAGGGGGTTTATGTCTTTAGAAATGTACTGCAATTTTATGACTCTCCTTGATGAGTGAATTTTTCAGCAACCATATGGTGTGGCTGCCTCTGACTCTATCAAACTCTAATAACCTTCAGAGTCTGTGGAGCAGCTTATTCATTTCTAATCTTTCTTAAGCTTTGCTATGTTGATTGCAGTCTTTGATAAGTAAAGTGGTTGAGTTTTCAGTCTCTGCCAGAAGGTTTGAATAAGAAAGCTTGAAAGACATCCTTTGGTTGAGCTTTATTTTACGAAGTTTACTTTCTCCAATGGCATAGGCACAATAGATTAACAGAAAACCTTTGTTTTTTAGATATTTCAGAAAATATTTCTCAAGCCTCTACATGTGAAGTGATTGAGTTTCCTGGGTTAGTCTTACTGTCTCTTCTCATTTTATATATATTACAATATGTTATTTCTACTGTAACCTCCCAGAGTATACTTACCTCAATTCTTTCAAGTGGCTTAATTTGCACAATTATTTCAGAGTTTAAAGAAGTGAATTAGTTTGCTTGATAAGGTAGAGCTCTACTATTTTATATCCAAGTAACAATTATTTAATTAATATGTACTGAATACTTAGCATAGCACCTGCCCTGGAGAAATTTAATGTATAAAATGAAATACTACTATTAATAATAATGAATACAGCTACAATTTGTTGAGTGATTTCTATTTGCCAGACACCATCACAGGATTTTGCAGGTCTGATGTCAAGTCTCATACATACCCAGATGAATACTATTATTATTTTAACATTAAGGGAAACTGAGACCTGGGAAAATTCAGTCTCTAGCTCCATACAAATAAACATCACATGGATAGCAAACCACGTGACTCAAATTTAGGCAGCAAGACTCTGCTGAATTATACTGCCTTTCTAGACAAGACAGAGAAGGCATAACTACAATAGAGTATCTCTGGTGAGAGAGAAGTTTAGTTCATGAAAGTTTTAGTGAGCTTTGCAAACAAAATGGGGCCTTATCTTGAGGACAATAAAGATCATTGAGGGGACTTAAGCAAGGGGCCTACATAACTGGGTACAATTTTAGAAAGTTTCATCTCATAGTTGTGTGGTGAGTTAGAGACAGGAGAGATGAGAAAAAGTCAAATATTAGTCTCAAGTTCCTGGTTTGTTTTGCTGGATGAATGGAACAATAGAGAGGATGGAGGAAGATAATGAACTCACAGTTAGAACTGTGGGATTGCACTGAGTAGAGTAAGGGGTGGAGCAGGATCTGACACTGAAAATAGAGATTTGCATTAGAGTTATGGATGGAGTAAATAAGACCAAAAAACTGAATGGTATTACCTTCTGATTATTATAAAACCTTGAAGAAAGAGCCAAGAACTCCAGAAAAACTCCAACAATTTTGGAAGTTGCAGAACACTGTTGACAAAGTTGGCTGAGAACAATTTTGAACAATGATGGGAGGAATACAAAGCTAGCAGGTGTGTAAAAGCCAAGAAAGGTCATTTCAGGAGACAGGACAACTGTTATATAACCTTAAGATAGGCTTTGCAATCAGACGTTGGAATCTAGGTATGGATAATTTTAGAAGGATAATGGATTCAACAAAGCTGGTTGAAGCTAACTGAGGAGAGAACTGGGAAGAAAAGAAGCCGAAATAGTAAATGTAACAACACTTTAAGAAGCTCAATTGCAAAGGATATGAGACCCCTATCTCTTACCATATAGAAAAATTAAGTCAAGCTGGATTAACAAGTTAGATGTAAGACCTGAAACTATAGAAACACTGGAAGAAGACCTTTTTCAACCCTTTCCCTTACCCCCAGCCTCCTTCCTTTGGAGTCCCTGGTGTCTTTTATTTTCTTCTTTATGACCTTGTGTACCCATTATTTAGCTCTCACTCATAACTGACAACCTGCACTATTTGGTTTTCTGTTTCTGAGTTAGGAAACATTTCACTTAAGGATAATGAAATCGATTTTCACTTAAGATAATGGCCTCCAGCTACTTCCATGCTGCTACAAAGGACATGATTTCATTCTTTTTACAGCTACTTAGTATTTCATGGTGTATATGTACCACATACTACATAGTATTTCATGGTGTATATGTACCACATTTTCTTTGCCCAGTCAAACATTCATGGACACTTAACTTGGTTCCATGACTTTGCTATTGTGAATAGTGCCAGGCATTTTTGTCCCTATCTCAGAGACAGTATAGCCTCTAGCAAATGACCATTTCCAGTGAAAGATGAAACTGTGGGTAGTCAATAGCGAATATTTCTAGCAGTTTATGTTACAACTGAAAAAGGATGAGGATAGAGGATGGAGTATTTGTTATGAGAGGACTCAAGATGAGGCTTTTTATTTTGTGGATGAAATATATAGATTAAACCATAAAAATGCAATAGAAAAGAGTTGGAGAATAGCATTTCAGGCAGAAGGAAGACCATGTGTGAAGGTTCTGAATTTAGAAATAAGCATGTCCTTCAAATGAACATAAAGATGTCCACTGTGAAGTGGACCAAACAAGGGAAAGAGGGGCTCAAGATGTGTTTGGAGAGAGAGGAAGAGTGAGATCAGGTAGTTCCTTCAGCTCCTGTTAGGGATTTTGAATTTTAATGTAACATAATGAGAAGCCTTAGAAGAATCCTGAGTTAAAAAGTTTAAAAAGTCAAAGTAACATCATCAACTCCTATTTAAAAAAAATGTTTTTCTGGGAGCAAAACTGAGAATGACTTGGGCTTAGAAAGCAACCAGAATACAACCTGTGACCCCTGTTAGTGATTACAGAGACTTGATAGTAGATTATTTATGGACATATATATTTGTTTGAGCTCCTTATATATTTTGATTATTCATTCCTTGACAGATGGGCATTTTGCAAGTATTTTCTCCCATTCTGTGGGTTGTCTCTTCACTTTGTTGATTATTTCCTTTGCTATGCAGAAGCTTTGAACTTGATGTGATCTCATTTATCCATTTTTGCTTTGGTTGCCTGTGCCTGTGGGTATTGCTCAATAAATCTTTGCCCACTCCAATGTCCTGGAGAGTTTTCCTAATATTTTCTTGTAGGAGTTTTATAGTTTGAGGTCTTAGATTTAAGTCTTTAATCCGCTTAAGTCTTTAATCCATTAAGTCCTTTAATCCATATCCTTGATAGTTTTATATATAGAAGAGATAGGGGTCTAGTTTCATTCTTTTGCATGTGGATATCCAGTTTTCCTACCACCATTTATTGAAAAGACTGTCCTTTCTCCAATTTATGTTCTTGGCACCTTTGTCTAACACAAGTTCACTGTAGATGTATGGATTTATTTCTCGGTTCTCTATTCTGTTCCACTGAAATATGTGTCTTTTTTTTTTTTTTTTTTTTTTTGAGACAGTCTCTTGCTCTGTCACCCAGGCTGGAGTATAGTGGCGCATTCTCAGCTCACTGCAACCTCTGCCTCCTGGGTTCAAGCAATTCTCCTGCCTCAGCCTCCTGAGTAGCTGGGATTACAGGCACGTGCCACCACACCTGGCTAATTTTTTTTTTTTTGTATTTTAATAGAGACGGGGTTTCACCATGTTGGTCAGGCTGGTCTTGAACTCCTGACCTGATGATCCACCTGCCTCGGCCTCCCAAAGTTCTGGGATTACAGGCATGAGCCACCGTGCCTGGTCTGTTTTTATGCCAGTACCACGATATTTTGGTTACTTTAGCTCTGTAGTATAGTTTGAAGTCAGGTAATGTGATTCCTGCAGTTTTCTTCTTTCTACTCCAGGTGACTTTGGCTATTGAAATCTTTTGTGGTTTCACATACATTTTAGACTTTTTTCTATTTCTGTGAAGAATATAATTGGTAGTTTGATAGGGATTGCATTAAATCTATAGAATGCTTTGAGTATTATAATATTTTAACAATACTGATTCTTCCAATCAATGAACATGGAATATCTTCCCATTTTTTGGTGTTCTCTTCAATTTCTTGCATCAGTGTTTTATAGTTTTTATTGTAGAGATCTTCCACTGCTTTGGTTAATTCCTAGGTCTTTTATTTGTAGCTATTGTAAATGGGATTTACTTTCTTGATTCATTTTTCAGATTGTTGCTGTAGGTATATAAAAATGCTCCTGGCCAGGCACGGTGGCTCATGTTTGTAATCCCAAAACTTTGGGAGGCCGAGGTGGGCAGATCACGAGGTAAGGAGATTGAGACCATCCTGGCTAACAAGGTGAAACCCCATCTCTGCTAAAAATACAAAAAAAAAAAAAATTAGCCAGGCGTAGTGGCGGGTGCCTGCAGTTCCAGCTACTCGGGAGGCTAAGGCAGGAGAATGGCGTGAACCCGGGAGGCAGAGCTTGCAGTGAGCTGAGATCATGCCACTGCACTCCAGCCTGGGCAACAGAGCAAAACTCTGTCTCAAAAAAAAAAAAAAAGCTCCTGATTTTTGTATGTTGATTTTGTGTTCTGTAACTTTACTGAAATTGTTTATCAGTTCTACTAGGATTTTTTTGTGTGTGTGGAATCTTTAGGTTTTTTCCAAATATAAGTTCATATCATCTTCAAATAATAACTTTTACTTCTTCCTTTCCAATTTGGATGCCCTATTTCTTTGTCTTGTCTGATTGCTCTAGCTATGACTTCCAGTGCTTTGTTGAATAACGGTGAAAATGGGTATCCTTGTCATGTTTCCAGTCTTAGAGAAAAAACTGTTTTTCTCCATTTAGTATGATACTAGCTGTGGGTCTGTTGTATATAACTTTTATTGTGTTATGTTCATTCTATACCCAGTTTTTTTAGGGTTTTTGTTTTGAAAGGATGGTGAATTTTATCAAATGCTTTTTTCATCATGAATTGAAATAATCAGAAGGTTTTTGTTCTTCATTCTGTTGATATGATGCATCACATTGATTGATTTGTATATTTTAGACAACAGATCCTTGGGTCTTGTTTTTTGATCCATTCATTCACTCTATGTCTTTTGATTGGAGAGTTTAGTCCATTTATATTTAATGTTACTATTGACAAGTAAGGACTTACTCCTGTGATTTTGTTATATGTCTTCTTGTTGTTTGGTGGTCTTTTCCTTCTTTCTTTCCTTCCTGTCTTCCTTTTAGTTAAGGTGATTTTCTCTGGAAATACGATTTAGCTTCTTCCTTTTTATTTATTATAAATCCATTGTATGTTTTTTTGATTTGAGATTACCATGAGGCTTGCAAATATTGTCTTATAACCCATTATTTTAAGCTGACAACAACTTAACAGTGTTTGCATAAACACACACACTAATAAAAAGTCTACACCTTAACTTTTTACCTCCACTTTTAAACTTTTTGCTTTTTTCTATTCATATCTTATTGTATTCTCTATGTATTAAAAAGTTGTTGTAGTTATTGCTTGTTTTTAATTGGATCAACATTTATCCTTTATATTTAAGATAAAAGTAGTTTACAAACCATAGTTACAATACTATAATATTCTGTGTTTTTCTGTGTACTTACTATTATCAGTGAATTTCGTACCTTCAAATGATTTCTTATTGCTCATTAATGTCCTTTTCTTTACTGTTGAGGTCTCCCTATAACATTTCTTGTAGGACAGGTCTGGTGTTGATGAAATCTCTCAGCTTTTGTATGTCTGGAAAAGTCTTTATTTTTCCTTTATGTGTGAAAGTTATTTTTGCCAGAAATGCTATTCTATGGTAAAAGTTTTCTTTTTTTGCCTTCAGCACTTCAATATGTCATGCCACTATCTCCTGACCTATAACATTTACACTGAAAAAGTCTGCTGCCAGACATATTGGAGCTCTATTGTATGTTACTTTTTCTTTTCTCTTGATGGTTTTAGGAACCTTTATTTATCCTTGACCTTTGGGAGTTTGATTATTAGATGCCTTGATGTAGTCTTCTTTGGATTAAATCTGCTTGGTATTTTATAACCTTCTTATACATGGATATTGAGATCTTTCTCTAGGTTTGGGAAGTTCTCTGTAATTATCCCTTTGAAAAAAATGTTCTATCTCCATCTTTCTCTCTAGCTCCTCTTCAAAGCCAATCACTCTTAGATTTGTCCTTTGGAGACTATTTTTTAGATCCTATAGATGTGCTTCATTGTTTTTTATTCTTTTTTCTTTTGTCTCCTCTGTATATTTTCAAATAGCCTGTCTTCAAGCTCACTAATTCTTTCTTCTGCTTGATTCATTCTGCTACTAAGACTGATGAATTTTTCAGTATATCAGTTGCATTTTTCAGCTCCAGAATTTCTGCTTGATTCATTTTAATTATTTCAATCTCTTCATTAAATTTATCTAAGAGAATTTTGAATTCCTTCTCGGTGTTATCTTGAATTTCTTTGAGGTTTCTCTAAACAGTTATTTTGAATTCACTATCTGAAAGGACACAAATCTCTTTCTGTAAGATTAGTCCCTGGTCCCTTATTTAGTTCATTTGGTGAAGTCATGTTTTCCTGGATTATCTTGATGCTTGTGGATATTTGTCTGTGACTGGGCCTTAAGGAGCTAGATATTTATTGTAGTCTTTGCAGTCTGAACTTGTTTGTACCTGAGCTTTTGGTAGGCTTTCCAGATAATTGAAAGGACTTGGGTGTTGTGATCTAGCTGTATCTGCACTGGGGGTACCCCAAGCCCAGTAATGCTGTGGTTCTGGTTCTTGCAGACTTGCAGAGGTACCACCTTGGGGATCTTAGACAAGACCTGGAAGAATTCGCTGGGTTACCATGCAGAGGCTCTTGTTCTCTTCCCTTACTTTTCCCAAATAAATAGCTCTCTCTCTCTCTCTCTCTCTGTCTCTCTCTCTCTCTCTCTCTCTCTTATTATCTGTCTCTCTGTTCTGAGTCACATGGAGATGGGAGTGGAATGACACAAACACCCCATGTAGCCACTACCACTATTACTGTGCTGGGTCAGACCTGAAACCAGCACAGTGCTGGGTCTTTCCCAAGGTCTGCTCTAACCACTCCCTGGCTACTGCCTATGTTCAGTTAAGGCCCTGGGGTTCTACAATCATCAGGTGGAAAATCCAGCCAAGTCTGTGTCCTTTTCTTCAGAGCAGTGAGTTCCTCCAGGCCCTGGGTGGGTCCACAGGTGTCATCTAGGAGTCTAGAGTCAAAAACCTTAGAAGTCTACCTGGTGTTCTCTTGTACTGTGGCTGAGCTGGCCTTCAAACTATGAAATGCAGTCCTTCCCATTTTCCCTCCCCTCTCCAAAGGCAGACGAACCTCACTCTGTGGCCACTGGCTCCACAGGCCCATGGGGAGGCTACTGCTGATGTTCCCTTTTGGCTCATGGGCTTTTCAGTTGGCTTATGGTAAATGCTATCTGGTCTTGGACTCACCCTTCAAAGCAGTGGGCTCCTTTATGGCCCAGAGCCGGTCCAGAAATGTCATCCAAGAGCCAAGGGCTAGAATTGGGGACCCCAAGGGCCCACTTAGTGTTCTACCCCACTGTGGTCAAGCTGGTGTCTAAGGTACAAGATAAATTTCCCTTTACTTTTGTCTCTGCTTTTCTGAAGCAAAATGAGTCTTGCCCACTATCCATCACAGATGCCAATGTGCTGAGTCTCATCTGAAGCCAACAAGTCTCAGAGCCTCACCTAAGGGCCCACAGCATACTTCCTGGATATTGCTGCTTGTTATTCAGGGCTCAAGGGCTCATCAGGTAGCAGGTGATGAATCCTGCCAGGACTGGATCCTTCCCTTTAAGGCAGTGGGTTTCCTTCTTGCCCCAGGTGTGTCTAGAAATGTCATCTGAGAGCTAGGGCCTAGAAAGGAGACCTCGCTACTCTGGTGTCCTATCCTCCTGTAGCAGAGATGATACCCAAGATGCAAGACACAGTCCTTTTCACTCTTCTGACTCCTCTCCTCAAGTGAATGAAGGGTTCTCTTTTGGAGCCATGAGCTTTGCAGGCTGGGGCTAGGGGAGGTGTGGTGCCAGCACTTTTGTCTTAGTAAGTGGTGCACCCGTTCAGTTCCCTGTCTCTGAGCCCAGTTCAGCGCTAGGACTTGCCTAGGAGTTGCAGTCCTGTGGCCTAGACTACCCTTCAAACTCATTTAGGGCCATGGTGCCCTTTAGCCCATGGTAGTGAGGCTTGCAGTTACTTAAGATCCAACTGCTGGGATGGGCAATTCCCCTCTGGCTAGGGTTGGTTTAAATGCTTCCTCCGTGGGTGGGTATCAACTGAGTTCATTCTGATTTTGCTTTCTGCTATTAACAGGGAAGCTCCGAGTTCAATGCAAGTCTCACAATTGCTGTACTCTTCCTCTTTTAAGCACTCAGATTTCCTTTCCACACCATGCCACCACTGCTAAGGGATAGAGGAGGGGTGGTGTTGGCAATTCAAGACTGCTTTTCCTATCTTTTTAGTGACTCTTTCAGGGATATGAAGTTAAAACCAGGTAGAGTGCTCATCTGGTTTTTGGTTTTTATGAAGGTGCTTTTTTGGTATAGAGAGTTGTTAAATTGGTATCCCTGCAGAAAGGATGATGAGTGGAGATTTCTATTCTGCTATCGTGCTCCATCACCACTCCCAACAACATTTGTTGAAGAAACTACCCTTTTCTCATTGTGTATTCTTGACACCCTTGTTGAAGATCAGTTGGCCATATTGTGTGTTTATTTTCAAACTCTTTATTCTGTTCCATTGGTCTATATGTTTTTCCTTATACTAGTACCACACTATTTTGATTACAGTTGCTTTGTAACATATGTTGAGATCAGGACATGTGATGCCCCCAGCTTTGTTCTTTCTCAAGATTGCTTTGGCTGTTTGGAGTCTTTTGTAGTTTCATTTGGATTTTAGGATTGTTTTTTCTTTTTCTGTAAAAAATGTCAATGGGATTTTGATGGAGGTTGCATTAAATGTGTAGATTGCTTTGGATGGTATGAACACTTTTAACAATATTTATTCTTCCAATTCATGAACATGGGATGTCTTTCCATTTATTTTTATTTTATTTTATTTATTTATTTATTTTGAGACAGAGTCTCCCTCTGTTTCCCAGGCTGGAGTGCAATGGCGTGATCTCAGCTCAATGCAACCTCCGCCTCCCAAGTTCAAGTGATTCTCCTGACTCAGCCTCCCAAGTAGCTGGGATTATATGTGCCCACCACCAAGTCCAGCTAATTTTTTTTTTTTTTTAAATAGAGACAGGGTTTGACCATGTTGGCCAGACTGGTCTCAAACTCCTGACCTCAGGTGATCTACCCACCTCAGCCTCCCAAAGTGCTGGGATTACAGATGTGAGTCACCACGCCCAGCCGTCTTTCCATTTATTTGTGTTTTAATTTTTTTCATCAATATTTTCTAGTTTCATGTGTACAAGGACTTCCACTTCCTTCGTTAAGTTTGTTCATAAATTTGCATTCTTTTTGAGGGTATTGTAAATAGGATTGCTTTCTTATTTTGTTGTTGTTGTTTTTTTTGAGACGGAGTCTCGCTTTGTCACCCAGGCTGGAGTGCAGTGGTGCAATCTCGGCTCACTGCAAGCTCCGCCTCCCATGTTCATGCCATTCTCCTGCCTCAGCCTCCCAAGTAGCTGGGACTACAGGTGCCCGCCACCACGCCCAGCTAATTTTTTGTATTTTTTTAGTAGAGACAGGGTTTCACCATGTTAGCCAGGATGGTCTCCATCTCCTGACCTCGTGATCCACCCACCTCGGTCTCCCAAAGTGCTGGGATTACAGGTGTGAGCCACCGTGCCTGACCAGGATTGCTTTCTTAATCTCTTTTTTGAACAGTTCTTTGATAGTGTGCGGAAATGCAACTGATACTTGTATGTTGATTTTGAATCAACAACTTTGCTGCATTTCTTAATTCTAACAGGTTTTTTTTTTTTGGTGGAGTCTTTGACATTTTCAATGTGTAAGGTCATGTCATCTGCAAACAGAGATAATTTTGCTTTTTCCTTTTCAATTTGGATGACTTTTATTTCTTTTTTGCCTGATTGTTATATCGAGGACTTCCAGTACTCTGTTGAATAGAAGTGGTGGAGAATGGGGCAATCATGCCTTATTTCTCATAGGAAAATCTTTCAGTTTTTCACCATTGAGTATGATATCAGCTGTGAGATATATGTATGTATGTGTGTATATGTATATATATATACACACATATATATTTAATACATGACCTTTTTAATGTTGAGGTAAAGTCCTTCTCTACCTACTTTGTTGAGGGATTTTCATGTAAAAGGATTTTGAATTTTGTCAAAAGCTAGAAAGCCTGGTGTTCAAATCCAAATATTTGCTCCCAATCTAAAATGTTTCAGAACCTTCTTTTCTTTCCAAAGCTCTCTTGTTTATACTTTTACTTTTTTTTCCAATTATGCTTATGTCACAGAAGGACATTGTTACTCCCATTTTTCTTGTCTATAAACACTCTTTGAACAAAGACAGCCCTCAGGATGTGTGAGCTACTTGAATGTATTAACAATGTATTAAACTAATAGTTAACAATGTTTAACTCAGTGCATGGCAAAAAAGTAGTGGTCAAGAGATATTTATTGAATAAATAAATAAAAACTGAATAGATGACTAGGAAGTTGGTATGGGTCAGGGGTCAAATTATTATAACAGCAGAAAAAGGAAGCAATGACTATAATCCAAATCATTAGAAAATTATTGTAACAGGACAGTGTTCTGTATAGCCTCCCCTGACTCCTGGGAATGGCAATGGCTTCAGAGATGCTGTTATTTATACCACATTAAAATATTAATTAAATATTTAAAAATAGGCATGTTTCATAACACTATAAAAGTCTACATACTAGGATTCTAGTGGGGATTCTTTTTTAACATCTGCAAGATAAATTTAGTGACACCACTAAGAATGCCTGAGGCTACAAAAAAAAGGCAGAGAAGAAATGAATCACTTGGCATAGTAATGACTAAGAAAATAAGGAAATATTTTTCTATTAGTCAAACATCAAAATGTGTAGCAAAAAAAAATCAAAAAGCTTCAAAACAACAAAACCAAAGTAACATTGCTACGGGCAGGAAAAAAATATCAACCAAGTGATACAGGTTATTTCAAAGGGATTTCAGCTCTTTTCCATGTTCAACAGCAAGGTGGCGGCAATTCAGGTTTCAATGATTTACTTTACCAACGATGATAAATGTGTTACAAATTATTATTATAAACAGTGAGGAAGAGAAGAATGAAAAAGCGGGAGACTGAAGTGAGAGGTGTTGGGAGGCACTGAGTGGAGCCTCCTGGGGAACTAAGATGCTGTGTTTGAGCAATCTGTGCTTTCTGAAAACCAAAAGTTCAATTTTTTGTATCATTCTTTTAATAAATGACATTTCTTGTAGGCATAATATATATGTTTATCAATAAGAAATCAAACTGTGTAATGCCAGCTTGAGCAAAGCAAGTTTCCGTTGCAGGGTTTCGTGTGTTGCAAACCATTTGAAATTGTAAATAAAACTTTCATGTTTTTCTTTCCTATCCAATATTTTGGGGGCATTTTGAAGGGAACTTTTTTTATTATTCAAAAAGGAAATGATTAATCTGCCTGTGTCCATTGCCAGCCAGATGGTGACATGAATTTGCAGTTTATTTAAGGATTGCCAAAAGTGGGGGAAGGGGAATCCTTCCTATTTGTGGTATACCAATAATTTGAGAATAAACGAAATTATTTACCGTGAGGTTGCATATCAGATAATGTTTCATGTATCTTCTCTGAAGTCACCACGAAAAAATGCAGCCGAAATCATATTATATGCTGACAGCTTTATGAGACTATTCAAATATTTCGTCTTGCAACTTTCTTATAGTATATATTTTATACTAACTTTTTAATAGTAATATATTAACTGTTTGTAGTAATATATATGGAGATATATATATGTGAAGAGAGATATGTATAATATAATATAATTACATAATAATATATATATATATGGAGGCAGAGCGAGAGAGAGAGAAGCAACTTAGGCAATGTAAAGGTCTGAAGCTGCTTAATTCACACAGATTTTTAGGGTATTAGGTATTTTAGGGGTATCAAAAATTCTGATTTGACATGAGATTAAAACGACTTTCAGTTTACATTTATAACGTAGTTATTTAAAAAATATGTTGGCCGGGTGCAGTGGCTCACACCTGCAATCCCAGCACTTTGGGAGGCCGAGATGGGTGGATCACTTGCGGCCAGGAGTTCGAGACCAGCCTGGCCAACATGGTGAAACCTCGTCTCTACTAAAAATACAAAAATTAGCCGGGCATGGTAGTGTGCCACCTGTAATTCCAGCTATTTGGGGGGCTGAGGCACTAGAATCGCTTGAACCTGGGAGGCAGAAGTTGCGATGAGCTGAGATCGGACCACTGCACTCCAGCCTGAGTGACTGAGCGAGACTCTGTCTCAACAACAATGACAATAACAATAACAACAAATTATGTTGACATTCTTTTTATCAGTATTTTATAAAATGAGTTTTCTTAACTATGGAAAAATTCAAACATATACAAATGTAGAGAATATAATAAACTTTCTTATCTCTGTTACTCAGCTTCAACAGTTATCATCTTGGGACCAATCTTTTTCCTTTTCCCATAAGACCTCTCAAAATTATTTTGAATTCTCTATTTGGTATAATTTCATTCATAAATATTAAGTGCTACTGAAAGTTAATCTTTTCAACAAAAAAGAGGGTGAGATAAAAGGGTAACTGAAGCAAATCCTCTGATCTCAGCCATTCAGCTATAGGACAGAGAAATGATATTACTCAGCCTGAAATTGTGCCCTGAAGAAGCTTCATAAGTATTACATGTTTTTTACCTTTTAACTGTTTTTAAAATTGACAACAAAACTCAACAGTAATGAAACTCAAAGTACTGTGAATCTGTGAAGATGAATTATACACTTCCTAGCAGTTTAAGGCGATTTCTGATGTGGCCAGGAGTCATTTAGGTATACCGACTTTTTCAGTTCAGTTTATTCCTTTGGCCTTGGGATCTAACACAAACCAGTTCAATGCAAGCCAGAACCCAGAATGAACCTAGAAATCCTGAGTGACATCCATTGCGTGCTTTCAGTGACAGCAAGAAAATAATATAGTCACTTTAGTCGTTTTATAGGATTGCATACTTTCACTTTATATTCAATAAGTCATTAAAACTCGTTCACTGTTTATTCAGTCATTCATCCATGTATATGTATCTACTTGTGTATCTATTAATTTAATGAACATTTATGTAATACTCTGAGCGATGTGGTAAGGCTACAAAGGTGAAATACAAATCTATGGCCTCTTATACAATGGAAGATTATTCAGTGATTTTTAAAAAATGAGCTATCAAACAAACAAGGGACATGAAGAAAACGTAAACGCTGATACGGTAACAAGTCAATCTGAACATGCTACATACTGTATGATTCCAACTATATGGCTTTCTGGAAAAGGCAGGTGGAGACAGTAAAAAAGATCAGCAGTTTCCAAGGTTTGGGAGAAGGGAAGAATAAATAGGTGGAACACAGGATTTTTAGGGCAGTGAAACTATTCTGTATGATACTGTAATGGTGGTTCCATGTCATTAACATTTGCCTAGACCCACAGAATATACAATACAAAGAGTGAACCTTAATGTAAACTATGGACTTCAGTCAAGAATAACGTATCACTGTTGGCTCATTAACTGTAGCAACTGTACATCACTAATGCAAGCTGTTAATAATAAGGGAAATGGGAAGGGGTATATGAGAATGCTCTGTACTTGGAGCTCAATTTTTCTGTAAAGTGAAAACTGCTCAAGAAATAAAGTCTATTAATTTAAAAACAATGTGGGACATCTGCCCTGCAGAATTTTAAGATATAGTTAGGAGTGAATGTATAAATAGCTACCTACATTAGTTTCCTAGGGTTGCCATAACAACTTCCCACAAACTCGGTGGATTTAAGTAATGGAAGGTTAACCTTTCACGGTTTGGAGGCCAGCAGTCTGAAGTCAAGGTGTCTACAGGGCTTACTCTTCCCAAAGGCTCTAATGGGGCAATCCTGCCTTGCCTCTTCCATGTGGCTCCAGAGTTTCTTGGGTTTTGGTCAATCCAATCTCTCCCTCCATCTTTACATGGTCTCCTGTTTTCCCTGTGTGGCTCTGCTCTGTGTGTCTCTTATTGGTTCACTTGTATTGGATTTAAAGCCCACACATATAATCCAGGATGATCTCATCCTCAGATTCTTAATTATATCTGCGAAGAGTGTTTTGCCTAGTAAGGTCACATTCAGAGGTTCAGGGATTATGATGAGATGTACCTTTTAGGGAGGCCACCATTCAACCCACTGCACCATCCATAATATGATTTGCACTTTATTAATAGATTAGGAATGCAGTGCTCTGTGAGGAAATTGAGGATGCCTCATAGGGAAGGTGACATGAGAAGATTAAAGGTTGAGTGGAGTTTTTTAGACTAGAGCAGGAGTGTTGTGGTGTGAGAGGTAATGGAATTCCATCTCTTGGGAGATATTCCATGCAAAGATAGACAAATAACAAGGAGACATGATTAGGGAATGGTAAGAAAGTCAGTGCGGCTAAAAGAAAGTCGATAAAGGCTAAAGGAAATAATAACATATGAGTCTGAGATGTCAGACTGAGGCTGGGTTATAAACGAGCTGACAATCATAAGAAAAAAGCATTTGTTTTTCATCTTATTCAAGAATTTATTAAAGACAAAATCAGATTCCTACTTTAGTTGGCAGCGGAATCAGGACTTTAGGTAAGCAAAGACTAATGGCAGGGAGATGAACAGGCTAGAATCAATGAAATCCTACTATGAGGCCTCACGAGTGGGGAGTGAACAGACAGATGAGAAATAAGAGATATTTTGAATTTAGAATTGCCAGCGTGTGATGAATAACTGGATTTGTCTAGCAGAGAAGGGTGACTCTGGTTTATGGCTTTAACACTTAGCTCGATGCCATTATCCAAAACAGGGATTTTTAGAGGAAGGAAGTGGCTTTATGGGGAGTGTAGAAAATTATGAGTTCACTTTTGGATATGTTTAATTTTGTCATACTTGTACTCAAGTTTTAAGTTTGGTTTATCAATTTTTTTTTTTTTTTTTTTTGCTTCCGATCAGTAAAGGGCTCTGAAAAAAACAGGCAAGCTTTTGGGGAAATTTTCAAAAGTACCTTTAGAATTTCCCACATGGGTCCCTCCCAGTCAATTCCTGTCACACATGACAAGCTCCAACAGACAACATGGCTTTGGAAACATAAGAGGACTGAGGGAATCACTAAGTATTAAGAAGGATTACTGATTCACAGAGGCGAGAAAATAGTTTCTCTTTCTGACGAATAGAAGAAGGCTGCAATTACTGCTATGAAGTAGCAGGCCAATCTTATTATAAAGAGATTGTAAAAAGAATTAGAGCCTACACATTCTCCAGGGAAGAGGTCCTCAAACCCATAGCATTCTGCTTCATTACCTCTTATTTTTATCTTTGCAGAGCTGGTGCAAAGAAAGAAAAAATCTACATTCCAGCATAAAAATAAACATAATATCACTGTGACAGGGACTGATTCAGTATGGAAACATTGACTGTAGAAGCATTCTGGTTTACTTCAAAAGACTTTCAATAACTGCCAAAAGAGTTTATTTGGATAGTTTCAGTTTCATGTGTTTAATCAACGAAAAACTCAATCCAGAGTTGAAAGTTTGGCACAGCAAGTGTTCGGAAAAGGGGTGCATGTGTTCTTATTTTGGGGAGCGTAAGTATGTTTCTGTGTGTGAATGTTTGAGTATGAGCAAAGGTGTGTGTCTATGTGTGTGTGAGTGTGTGTCTGTGTGCTATATTCTACTTTATGTGATTCATCTCTTTAACAGGGCCCACACTTATAATCTTCAAAGCTGGCATCATCTCAAGCCTACATTTCCGTGATTTCTACAACATTTCACCATGTTCTACATCTTACAATAGTAAATGTTGCAAAGAAATTCTGTAACTACAGATAAGACTACAGGCTAGAAAAGTACAAGTGATTTCCCTCTGGTTAACAGCTGAATGCTTGATGTCACAGGCCTTTATTCTAAGGACTCATGTTCGCTCCGTTGGTTTCAATGCACAGTATGTGTGAGTGAATCTATATTTGGCCATTTAGTTATACCATAAAAGCAAAACAATGTGTCCTTAAAGGAAATGATCTCTTAGATTTGTTTGTTGTTGTTGCAACAGGCAAATCTCTCACCGTAGCCATTCATGTAGGAATGTGTTAACAATAATGTAATGATGACCCCCTCCTATACTACTGACTTTTTACGGTTAGGGTGGGGAGGTCAAACAACACTTCATCCAGTGTTATCCAATTTTTCTTATCATATCAGTTACTTGGAGTATTTGCTAAAATTGTAGTTCATAGGCTCCATTCCTGCTAAATAGCAATGTACAGGAACAGGGAACTGTCATATCAGGCAGTACTTGGTGAACTTATTAACATTGAACAAGTTTGGAAACAATGAACTACTCAAATCCCTTGTTTTGCAGATACCAAGATTAAGGCCAGTGAAAATTACTTATCTAAAGGATGATTTATTTAAGTCTAGAAGTCAGGTCTCTTTCTTCTAAACCACTGTTCTAGTCCACCCACCCACTAGGCACATGATACTCATAAAAATTCTGATTTGTGTTTCTCAACAACAGTGAATCTAAAATTAGTCTAAGATGTCACAGTAAATTTGCTCTCGGTTCAAATATACATAGTGGCGTGCAGTTTAGCAATTGTGGAGAATACAGTGTTAATAATGCCAAGGGTATGATATTTATCCCTTTAGTTTCCTACGTATGACCAAAGCTAGTGTTATGCTCATGCAGCTTGCAGCCATGATTCCAGCCAGCTGCCTTGCAAATGTTTGCTGCTGATCAAAAGGGGATCAAGAGACAGAGTATGGGTGACTCAACACTACCATCTACATTTGCAAACACATAACTTTAAGTGCATGTGTTGCTGACAATGCCTCAGTAGCATCTCTGCAGGTGAAGAACATTTTTTTTTTTTTTTCTCGAGACGGAGTCTTGCTCTGTCGCCCAGGCCGGAGTGCAATGGCGCAATCTCGGCTCACTGCAACCTCTGCCTCCTGGGTTCAAGTAATTCTCCTGCCTCTGTCTCCCGAATAGCTGGGATTACAGGCACCCACCACCATGCCCAGCTAATTTTTTGTATTTTTAGTAGACACGGGGTTTCACCATGTTGACCAGGCTGGAGAACAATTTCTTTATAGAACCAATGTCATTATGTTCTCATTCTGCATTAGTTTTAGAAACACTGGCTGGGAAAAAGGCAAAGAAACAGCCAAAGCTAGGAAATGTGATGGGGAGACAAGAGATAAAATATTCTAAGGGACTTTGGACAATCAGTGATATATCTGTGTAAGAAATCAGAAAAGTGTAGTATGCCTTGGTGTACTGTCCAATGAAGGACTATATGATTCTCATGCATATTTTTGCTCCATTATAACCTATTCTTATGGTGGTTATAATATGACAGAGTAGCTATTTACTTTGTAGAGTTATTCTTCAAGTATAAATGTATATTTTCTCATTACAAAAGTAAAACACATTTACAAAATAAAAATTGTAGAAAAGTTACACACCAAAAAGGAAAGAGTAAACAACCATATTACCAGCACCCATCAGTAAATTCTGCAATAATTCAGTGTGTAAACTCTCAATTCCTCTTTCAAGTATACATTGCACATATATGTATACACACAGATCTGTCTCTGATAGATCATACTGTGTCCTTCTTTAATTATATTTATGATCTTTTTTCCATATTAATAAAAATAAATATTTATAATATATTATCTGATTGACTCATTTATCACTTAGCGTGACTGCTTGGTGGAGACTGAGAAGTTAAGAGACTGTGTCTTCACAATAAATAACCATAGTGACTCACAGAGACTTGACCTCTTTAATGACTGCTTTCCTCTGCTTGTCCCAGGTTAAAACCACCACCACCACTCCGTGTCTTGTCCTTTCCCTGGAAAAAAAGATTGCTACAGTTAACTCTCTTTAGTTCATCTACTTAATTCAGATTATTTTCCCACTCACTGCTTTATTTACTTATTTATTTTTAAAATTTTATTTTTCCATAAGTTATTGGGGTACAGGTAGTATTTGGTTACATGAGTACCCTCTTTAGTGGAGATTTGTGAGAACCTGGTGCACACATCAACCAAGCAGTATATACTGGACCACATTTATTGTCTTTTGTCCCTGGCTCCCCTCCCACTCTTCCCCTCAAGTCCCCAAAGTCCACTGTATAATTCTTATGCCTTTGCGTCCTCATAGCTTAGCTCTCACATATCATTGAGAACATATGATGTTTGGTTTTCCATTCCTGAGTTACTTCACTTAGAATAATAGTCTATAATCTCATCTAGGTCATTGCAAATGCTGTTAATTCGTTCCTTTTATGGCTGAGTAGTATTTCATCACATATATACACACACTGGAGTTTCTTTATCCACTCATTGATGGACATTTGGGTTCCACTATTTTGCAATTGTGAATTGTGCTGCTATAAACGTGCATGTGCAAGTATCTTTTTCAAATAATGACCTGTTTTCCTCTGAGTAGATACCCAGTAGTGAGATTGCTGTATCAAATGGTAGTTCTACTTTTAGTTCTTTAAGGAATCTCCACACTGTTTTCCATAGTGGCTGTACTAGTTTACATTCCCACCAGCAGTGTAGAAGTGTTCCCTGATTGCCGCATCCATGACAACATCTACTGTTTTTTGATTCTTTGATTATGGCTATCCTTGCAGGAGTAAGGTGGTATTGCATTGTAGTTTTGATTTGCATTTCCATGATCATTAGTGATGTTGAGCATTTTTCCATATGTTTGTTGGCCATTTGTGTATCTTCTTTTGAGAATTTTCTATTCATGTCCTTAGCCCACTTTTTGATGGGATTGATTGTTTTTTTTCTTACTAATTTGTTTGCCACTCACTGCTTTGGACTTCTCTCTCTCTCTCTCTCTCTCTCAACGATCTAGTCCCTTTGGGTTGACAACATCCTAGGGTGGATTACCTGACCATCTCCTCAAGACTTTGATTTTGAAGTCATCAGCCTTTGTACTCTGCCTCTAGCTTCCTATGAACCAGTAAGATTCTCGAATCCTGACTTCAACTAAGTATTCATGAATTCATGCTTCCATTTGGACCGATTTCCCAAGCTTCTAATTCTTCATGAGACATAGTTATGGCTTACTACACATTATTTGTTCATGTATACTTTATTTGGTAATAACCGTTCTTAGCAGAAGGGTAAGTCATGGCCCCTATATTTAAAGAACTTAAAATGTAGGTGGAGAACAAAGATTGACACAAAAACAAGAGACACAGGCCAGAATAAACCTGTGCATAGACTTGTCATTTTGAACCAGGGATATGACACTGATAAGTTCCCTCTCAATCTTCACTTCACTTGCATGGAAGTGATATGTTATGCCAATCGCTCAAGAAAATATTGTGGATTTTTTTTTTTTTACATTAACAGTCACTTTTATATTATACTGGCATCGGTCTTTTGAATTATACATTCTTTTTTGAAGAAAACAACTCAGTAAATATATATGCAGCTACTTATCTTTCTTTGGCAATGTCTCTAAAATAATGAGCAAGGAATTAACAGCTATTGTATTTCCCTTTTATAGAAAGCATGGACAAGACTCACCTCCTCCTCTTAAACATTTTGTGAATTCATGTAAACTGCTCACATTTTCCATATTTCAATTTTCTCCATCCTTAACTTTTTTTTTTTTTGAGTCTGAGTCTCGCTGTGTCACCCAGGCTGGAGTGCAATGGTGCAGTCTCAGCTCACTGCAACCTCCGCCTCCCAGGTTCAAGCGATTCTCCTGCCTCAGCCTCCCAAGTAGCTGGATTACAGGAATGTGCCACCATGCCCGGCTAATTTTTCTTTTTTTTTTTTTTTTGTATTTTTAGTAGAGACGGGGTTCTCCATGTTGATCATGGTTGGTCTTGAACTCCCGACCTCAGGTGATCCTCCCACCTCGGCCTCCCAAAGTGCTGGGATTACAGGTATGAGCCACGAAACTTGGCCCTTCTCCATCCTTAATTGTGATGAAGAGCAACTGGTGTAACAGATATGGTCTCACTTGGGACACTGTAAGCCACATGCTCATCTGCCCAACCTTATGCTGCAGTTTTAACAGCATAAGAAGCCATTGTACTAACAGACATTTACCATTCTGTAGCTTGCCACCCTCTCTGGCAGCTCAGAATGCCCATTTTGCTCTGAGTTTAGTAGAGCTGGCAACTGACACAGTTGGCTTGCAAGGAGAAGTGGTAAGATAAGGATGGACCCATATTAAATGTTATCAACATTTTCCCATTATGAGAAAGTTAGCAAATGGTGTTAGTATGCCATTAATCAATGCATTTTCCCTCTGCTCCTTACCTTCAGCCTCATCTTTAACACCTGGGGAATAATGTAACAAATCTTACCATGTGCCAGAGTCTAAAATAAACATTTTGCTTGCATCAATCTTATTTGATCCTCTCTACTACCTGATGATGTAGGTTAACATTTATTCAAGTTTTCCAGGGTAAATTAAAGCTCAGAGAGGGCTCATCATTTTCCCAAGTGCACAAGACTTTAAAACCCTGGCATTTGAACACTTTCAACATGGTTCTAGGGCCAAAGCATTTAGCCACTTGACTACACTCTCTTCCAGAGAAAAGCTATGGGACTAGAAACAACTGGAAGCATCAACCCAAGTGAGGCACTGTGGCCTATCTCAAAGACAGAAAGTAAATGCTCAACATTTAGTAGCTTCCTCTCCTCTTTCTCCTCATTCCTTGGGTAAAACCTTTTTTACATTGCTGTATGAAGGATTAACTAAGGCAAATTACACAGGAAGACAAATACTTTTGAGTAATTTACAGAGAATAGACCACTAACTACTCAGGGAAAGAAAGAGAAGGGGCATTCATTGAGTGTCAGGCATAAATGTTTTCACTTATGACACATCCCTACTGCGATATGGCATTGGCCTGTTTTACAGATAAGTCATTTGAATTTTTCACATTTACAAGTTGCATTGCTTTTGATACTAAAGATACAAAGGTACTGTCCCTGTTCTTCTGATTGTCCCTCTGCCTACTGGGAAGTCAGATATGAATATCTTAATTAAAATAGAGAGGAATAAATGTGATTAAAGGAATGTATACTATAAAATATAATTCCTGAGTCTTTTGATTTACTCAGCCAAAAGCTGCAAATAAAGATAATACAGATATTTTCCTGAGAATTCACGGAATTTCGGACTTCTCATTTGGAGAATAGGTCAATTAAGTCTAGGTTTGAATTTAATTGATGTTAAGGTAGTCAAAAGTCATTTTTAATTTTGAACTTATACAAACAATCTAAGGAAACATCAAAATGACTGTTTTTTGTGTTCCTGGATAACTTCCTCCACAAACCTCCATGGATGGCGCTGAACACAGGACTGCTCACAGAGTTACGCAGGTAAAACTTGAACAGACAATTTTGTGTAGTATGAGGCAGTAAAATTATAGCTATGACATTTTTTTCTCATCAAGTTTTTCCAGATACAAGTTCTACCTTTTGACGAGATGCCAAGAAGTTAACCATTAAAGTAATGTATCTGGCACCACAATATCTGGCTTTTTAAATACTCTTTATAATAAAACATAACAACATTGTACTTGAGTTTTCAATTGCTTTTTCTTTTTGATTGTCTCTGCAGAGACATGTACTTGATTCACAAGATGCACTTAAGTTTAATGTCTCCAAAACCACAGACAGAATTTTGAGCTATTTTAAATTGGTATTTTAATAGAAAGTATGGATAAAAGTAAGAAACACAGTAAAACCTGGTGGCTTCCCAATACATCTATAAACTGTTGGCTGTTTTAGAAAAATGTAAAAACAATGCACAAAGAAACCCACTTCCAAAAATCAAGTCTCAAACGTTCTCAAATCAAATATAATTAGAAGGAGCAGTTGAAACTAAGAAACATACTTCTATGTTGAAAACCTGTGATGAAAAAATTATTAAAGTCAGTCTCAAATGTTAATAAAACAAAAATACTCGGAGATGAACAACTGTCGTTTTGAAAAGACGTTATCAATACTGAACAGAGTTGTATAAATGATAACCTAATTAATAATCATAGTGAAGATTTCAAAGTATTATAAAACAAAAAATATATGTATATAGTATACATAAGGAATAAATGCATATAACAGAAGTGAATTCTTTTTTAAATAATATTACAAATGTATATGTTTTATTACATTTGCTTTGTTTTATAGAGACATGTAATAATACTTTTTGTCTTCAGTTTCCATACAGTAAAATAAAAATTATATATGCTCCCCCACCCCCTTGCTTCCAAAGCAAGAAAATGAGCCCATTCTTTCCACTGGCATTACAAGTCACTATTTTCCCCCCCAACATATCACCTTTTTTATTGTGTTCAGATCGAGGATCTCAAAAATGCAAACCAGCCCTCCTGTTTTAGAAACATACATAAGAACTCTTTCTTTAAAAAAAAATAATAAAAAAAAGTAAATGCTTTTCATATTGGGATCTGGGGTACTGTAAGAAAGGTATTCCAATTGATGGCAGAAAGCCATTATGAGGAAACCAACTGTATATAAGCGTGGGGACATAGCCTTTGTAGCTCTGAAATAGCTTACACAAAGAGCTCATATATAAATTTGGCTCACCTCAGCAATGCTTTTTCTTTAAATTACAGAGAAATCTGAAATGCATTGGGTGTATGTAAGGGCAAACTGTGGCCCTGAGTAAAAAATGTGTGTTTAAAAGGGGAAATGTGGAAGTAATTATTACCTTGATGTATTTACCAGAATGCACAGAATATATTCAGCATGTCTTGCCTGGGCATTGAGGGTTTCTTAGCACACCTATGACTAAAAATCCAGCATTTAGCTTCATACGATCAAGGAGTGAATGATAAACCACCCTTACCCGGGTATTGTTGCCTTGGAAAGCCTCAAGGAGCCAGGCTGCTGAGATGGACCGAAATAACCATTTTAAATGAATAAGTCTCACTTTTGCTTGCTTCAGCTATTCTCTGGTTCAAAATGAACAAATCAGTGTTGCAGGCAGGCACTTTAGAGAAATAAACAGGAACTTTTGTTTCCTTCCATTTAGAGGCTAAAACACAAGACTTAGGAAGAAGTGCTAAGTAACTGAAAAAAAAAAAAATCTGGGGCTGGATTTCATGATCACTGTTGGCCCTTTAAAAGTGTGCTCATGGCTAAGCTAACATCCATATTTCTTGTTAACCAGACTTAAAAGGAGGCTCTGGTCAGTAATAAGAAGTGGGGAAATGTACAAGGAGAGAGTTCCAGTGGGTTGGCTACAATAGATAAACTCTACAAAGTATCTTGAAATGGAGACAGCCAGCAAAAGGTATCCATGCCAGAGACCTTGAGGAAATGCCCAAAACAAGACGCTTGTGAAAACACAGGAAAATCCCTAATTTTTTTTTGTAACAAAGTTACCAGTTGGGCCCTAGGAAAGAAGTTATACAGAAGGGGGCAGGCCTTAAACAACATGGAGTGTCCTCTACGATTTCAGCAAATGCCAGTGCATATTTAGGGCTTCTATTATAGAACGAGTGGGTAATCCATGGATATATTGAGCCAATGAAATAGTACAGGATCAAAAGATTTAAATTTTTGCATTTGCCTTGGCTTCCAGAACAATAGATAATAAACATTGCCTCTTTACAGCAAAGTTCTTGGACACATTACTACTTCCTGTTCCCTTGTGACATACCTCACTGATTTTCCAAGTGAATTTAAGAAAAAGGGTACAAATAGAATGCTAAGCTTCTAAAGTAGAAGGACTGAGGATTTTTAGATAATATAGAACCTTAAACAAATCTACGGGAAGGAAACAAAGCTCAGCTGAGTCTCAGAAGGCACATAATTTTCTGATAGGGCCGAATGTTGACAAGGTCATTCCAGGTAAAGCAGAAACATTATATGCAAACAACTAGCGTGTCCAAGGAACAGAGATAATTTGTTATGGATGGAACACAGATTATATGCATGGTAGTAGTGGCAGGAGACTGGGTTAGAAGTGTGGAGTCTGAAGCAAAGCTATAAAGGAGCTATGGATATACTATGTAATTAGAACTTTATCTTTTAGGCAGTAACGGGCTATTGAAATTGTTTATGTGGGTGTCACCCGTTTAAATGTACACTTTAGAAATTTCACTCTGGCAACAACTGAAATACAGTTGGAAGTGGGAAAAACTGGAGGTAGGGGAGAGCAATTAGGAAAAGATTATTGCAGTAGGTTAGCCAAAAAAATATTGAGATTATATATTAAGCAGCAAGAGTGGAAGAACAGAGGAGAGGATGGGTTCAGGCATTTTCAAGTGAATGTGTGGCAGTACTTACGTAAGCAAAATGTCAGTGGGAGTGTTTTTTGTTTTTTGTTTGTTTGTTGGTGACATGGAATATGGGAGAGGAAAACAAGTTTATTTTTTAAGATGTTGTACTTATGAGACATCTGTGTGGATTTGCCAGGCGTCAGATGGAACTGTTGCTTTCAGAATGAAATGCTATTTTCCAGTCACTTTTTTTGCAAGTGACACAAATCCAATTCACACTAATTTAAGCCAAATCAAAGAATTTATTGACCTTTGCAAATGGACATAGCTGGATTCAGAAATCTAAACATTGTCGTTAGAACTTTATCTCTCATCTCTCCCTGCTTCTCTTTGGCTTCAATTTCAGAAAGGTTTTTTCCACAAGTCAACAAGATGGCAGCTGACAGCCCTAATTCTACATACATTTGATTCTTGAGGAAGAGAACATAACTTTTCTCAGTATCTCTGTCAGATTAACTTAGTTTGTCATGAACCAATCATGCTACCAGGGCATGAAATACTCAGGTTGTCCAATCCTTGGTCACATTCCCATCCCAGGTGCCAGTGCCCAGGTAAAGCTCCACGACTGACCGTCCCAAGAGAACTGCATGAAATGGAGAGGGGTGAATCTCTACTGGAAAGGGGAACTCTGAGTGGCACATTCTGTTCTTTCCAAAGCTCAATCTAACCATAAAGAGGTAATAAGATGCTCTGCCTTTCTCTCAGATCTGCTCTACAGCATTGCACCTATAGTCAACAAGACTGTATTGTACACTTAAAAATTTGCTAAGATGGTAGATCTTATGTTGTCTTCTTATCCCAATAAAATAAAACATAAAAAAGATACTCTAAAACTTAAAAAAAAAGATTTGAAAGGCTTTAGAACAAATACTGCATGAGAAACAATACAACTGCATTTGAAATGACAGTTAGTCAATTATATGTCTCTCTTGCAGATGTGATTGAATTGCCAGACTTGCTTCCACTAGAGAAAATTAATGAAGATAATATTAAAATATAAGCAAAGGGAATCTCCTAGAATCTGTCCAGCCTTCAGAGGAGCAATGCATATCCCAAACACGAAAATACAATGACTTTTTTCTTTTTGATTTTTTAAGGAAAATTTTTGAAAGTCTGATAACTGGTTGTGTAAACAGAATTATTTGGGAAGAATGTTTGAAACCAAATCTCGACCTCTAGATAGAGGATGTAGAGCTGAGAGAAATCTGTATGCCTGTGTGTGTACGCACACGTGCACAGGGGGAGTAGAGAGAAGGGTGAGCAGAGAAGGGGAGAAAATCACACCCTCTGCCCTGGAGGACAAGGGAAAGGATCTGCTTTTGTTTTAGGCTGACTGCCCCCACATCACCCAAAGTGAGGTTTAGTCAGACTAGATTTTTCATAACTGAATTCCACCTCTCCCTGTGCAGGGGGTGGTTTAACTTTGGATGTGATTAGAATGGCCTAGAAATCTTGAGTTGGAAAGGTGAGGAGAGTGGGAGGAGACTCTGCCCCTGTGGCTCTCTAGGGAGCCTGAGTGGGTCAGTCCCATTCTGAGTTCTGGCAACTGCAGTGAGAGCTGGGCATTCTGGGCACTGGACTGGTCTTTGCCTTGGCCTGTGCCAGCAGATCCAGGTTGCTAATCAAGTTTTCAGGGAGTGGTGCAGCCCAGGGGAGAGCAATACCTCTTGAGCATCAACTTCAAGGGTTAGTACAGAAATAGGCTTCAAGAGGCCTAGTGAGAACCAGGCAGGGCCACAACGCCAGCTTGATTAATAGCTTTAAAATAGTCTCACAGGCAACATGCAGGTCTCAGGCCCTGCAGACCTTAAGAGCAAGCCTGTCTCTGGCATTTACCAATTCAAAAGCTTTCAAAGTTTTTAATACATAGCAAATTTATAATAAACCTAATTTCGATCCTGGTGCAAAGAGAAATGTCTGTATTCTTAAAGGTTGACACTGAAAGAATATACACTCCTAATTTCACTGGGCTTGCCTTCTAAGTAGGTTTGCTATTTCTGCTTTTGTATCATCCACCATAAAGGGCATTTACAAAGTGGTTTTATATTCTACTTGATTTACTTACTTAGTAAGTATTTTTAAAGCATATATTTGTGCTTTGTTTTTGTAAGTTTTTTCTTTTGGTAATTATGAGGTATGGGATGGTTTTCCCAAGAAAGTAGGTGAAATTTATGATATTTCATCTAGAGGAAAAAATAGACTGACCTATGAGAAACCACTGAGCAGGAACAGATTAGGTTCTTGGTTGGGGGTCAGCTTCCAGTTACCTTTTATAGTGCTTTTTGTAAGCAGTCGCTTGCCTGCCCTACCCCTTAGCCAATTTGTAACTTAGCACAGAGCTCCAGGAGCTTCTGGAGCTCCACCACCTCGGGAAGCTGAATTTCTGACACATCCCTTTCTGTTACAAGATTCTGGACTATCTTCAAAGACTTTTGTCCTGGTTTTTGTCAAAGCTTGAACATGTGAAAGGACAAGTATGCAATCTTGCTCAATTTGTAATGTTATTTTAGCTCTAAGGAGCATCCCCAGGTACAGTAAATATACTCAGTGCTAGACAAATGGATAATGGAATAATTGTCCAAATAATATATGGAAGAAGAAAAGGTTGCTTTAAGATAATATATTTTGACTGGTATTAGTTTCCAATATGGCAGATTCCGTTAAATTTTACAAAGTTATTTGAAGTCTGTAGATGTTTTCGGATTTTGTAACCTCAAAAACAGATGTCTGAAAAGTTATTGTGCTTTTCCACAAATGGCGTATAGGAAGAGTGTTTGCAAAGCACAGATTACATCAACCCTGTTCTGTGAGTCTGTGTCTTCGGTTGTATTCTTTATGGTCTGTGGTACATAAACTTTTTATGGCGAGTGGGAGGAGACAGTAGCTGAAGTAAAATTAAGTGTCTTTCCATGAGAGAACTTTTATTACAACTTCCTCTGTGACTGAGCAGAACCCAAAAAGAATACAAAACCCTTAGCCACAGAATGCTCTTGAGGCATTTCTAACCAATAGAAATGCTTAATTTTGATAAGCTTCGGGGTGAAAAACAATCTTTTCTGTTAACTATTCCACACACCTAAGTGTTGTCAAAACCACATAGAGTTTGGGTTCAGATCAAACTGGATCCTTACTAGCTGTTTGTGCTCGAGGGAATTAGTTAGAGCTTCATCTATAGATTAGGGAAGAAATACTTACCCAGCAGGTATATCCTGAGGAAGAACTAGAGGAAATACCACAGAGTCTGACATATAATGGATGATCACTGTAATAAACTGTATATAGGTATGTATGACCATAATTTTTTGCTTCTTTGGTAGTTCAGCATTAATACTATTCTACTTAATAATACTTGACACCTGACATATGAGCTCACTTTTATGAAGTAGCAATTCATCTTAAGCATTAGAAAAATGAAAAATATAAGTAATATATTATAAATTCATAACACATATTGCCTATGCTTTAATAGAAGCACTGGCAGAAATTACTAAATTACTGTTAAAATGCAGAATTTGCTCTACCCATTCCATTAAAATTTTAGTCTTTCTTTAATATTGTGTTAATAGAAATATACATATTTATGCCTTAAAAATCTTGGCAGTTTTACTCCAGTTATTTTGGAATTTAGATGTTGCTTTCCTCCCCAATTATTTTATTATGCATTACTAATCTTTCACTTCTGACTACCTAAATTTCCTTCCTGGGGATCCATTTAGTAAATCAAATGTAACATGTTCCAAAATAAACCTGAATTCGTTGTACTACCTTGTCTCCTATTCCCAAATAAGTACTTCTTTTGATTTTGCTATTTTTGCTCATCATGCCATTTCCTCCATGTCACTTAAGCTTGAATTCTTTTCCTGTAACTCTTTATTCAAACGTCTGCTGTTATTAAAATGCTAATTCAAACCATTGTGCTTTATACACATTATACATATTAATATATGTAAATATACGTATATACATATATGTTACCTAACATATATGTGAATAATTAGCATATATGTAAGAGTTAATGCATATGTATGTATGTCCACACATATGCTAGCTCTTCATACATGTGCTATCATACACACATATACACAATTTTTTTCTATTACTATATTAGTGTTCCCCAGAGAAATAGAACCAGCAGGATGTGTATGTGAACGTGTGTGTGTGTGTGGTGTGTATTATTCAACAAATTGGGAACTTACGCATCCTGAAAACCCCTCATTGTTTCCCATATTCTGCCTTTCCCATGCTATTTTCTTTTACTAAACAGCATACTCCTATCTCTAATCTTATCATTCACTAAAAGGCATGTTGAATGAATAAAAAGTTAAATGTAAGAAAATGAAAATTAGCACTCAGTATTAAAGTAAGTATTGCCTTAAATCATAATTGAATAAAGCTTTCAACAAATGTTAACCCAACCAAGGAGAAACGATATTAGAAGCTCTCTTCCCACCAGGACTATAGCTTGAAGTCATTTGCTACTTCTATGCCTGATGCTCTTTCGATGAATATAGACTCTCTGTCTATTGTTCTCAGAGTATGGTCTCTGTATCAGCAGCATGTACATCATCCGAGGAGAGCTTATTAGAAATGCCATTTTCAGACTCCATCTCAGACCTACTGAATCAGAATCTCTGATGGCAGGGCGCAACGCTCTATGCTTCTGCACCCTCCAAGTGATGCTCATGCTCACTGAAGTTTGAGAACCACTGGTCTGGGGATCATGTCCTTCAAATTGCATTGAGGAACAAAACACATGGAAAATAAACACATCAAGGGGGAAATGAAAGAGAGGTAATATGGGTTCAAGAACTGGAGGGGCCGGGTGCAGTGGCTCATGCCTGTAATCCCAGCACTTTGGGAGGCCGAGGTGGGCGGATCAAGAGGTCAAGCGATCGAGACCAACCTGGCTAACACGGTGAAATCCCATCTCTACTAAAAATACAAAAAATTAGCCGGGCGTGGTGGCGGGTGCCTGTAGTCCCAGCTACTCAGTAGGCTGAGGCAGGAGAATGGCGTGAACCCAGGAGGTGGAGGTTGCAGTGAGCTGAGATGGGGCCACTGCACTCCAGCCTGGGTGTCAGAGCAAAAAAAAAAAAAAAAAAAAAAAAAAAAGAACTGGAGGGATAGTGTGATTAGGAGAGATGAATTAGATGTGAGACGCAATAGGTGGTTAAGCAAGTATGTACTGGAGTCAGACTGATCTGGTTATGAAGCCTCAACTCATTTTTTTATTTTTATTTTTATTTTTTTTTTTACCATTTCTGGGGACCAAAATAAGGTCCAGAAACTCTTATCTGGAACTTAATTGGGTGAGATCCATTTGTTTGTGGGACCATCTTTCCTTTTGGTTTTCACAGGTCAGTAGCAGAGGCAAAGAGGAGAAAACTCCCCTCAGGCCTTTTCCCTCATCGGGAGGGGGCAGTTTTTTTCAGAAAATAATTGTCTTGGGAATAGTTTGGAAAACAATTCTATGGAGAAATTGTGTATTCCAAGAGAAAGAGTCTGCAGATGTTACACTTGGGGTCCCCCATGAACCAGGCCAGTCAGAGCCCCCACTGACGTGCACCCATGTGCAGCCTCTGCTTCTTGATCAGTTTTTCATGCTACGCCTACCACGTAAGATCACAGCTGAGGATCACTACACGGTTCAGAAAAAGCCCCTAAGAGAAAGGAAGGCAACTAAAACAAAAAAAAAGACAATAAAAACTTGGATGATACAGAAGCAAAGAAGGAAACAAACTTAAAATAACTGAAATGTCTACAGTAAAGGGTAAGAGATAAAATCTAAGTTTCTTCAATCTCTCTCAGGAGATACCCTGAATGGTGGAAAAGGATGGAAAGGGAGGGTTAAAATGAAAGATTCTGCATCTTCAAATGTTATAATCATGTCGGGACTTAACCCCACACCCAAGCTACTCCATGCAATCCAGCCCTCTGGTTTATATCCTAGGAGATGAACGTATTCACATATATGCGAGGTGTATTCATAAGATGTTACATCTGTCAGAGTCCTTTAGCTATAACACTGATTTTATACCTGTGAAAATTAAGGCCCAAGAGTCTTACATGGCTTGTGGTCATTTGTGAGCCATTGGATCCAGATTTCCTGACTCTCAAGTTGCTGCATGTTCTGGTATTTTAAACAAGCCCTTAGATAATCACAGCGTTGCGCTTCATCTTTCCCACCTGTGAACCAGAATTTAGCATTTTTTTTTTCAGGAGAACATTGTAAGGAAAGTTTAATCACTAAATCATTTTTAATCCTTGCTGGTAAACTAATATGAATTACAATGCAGTAGTACCAGTATTACTGCAAAGCTCCTATGTAGTGTTATTTAAAATCAGCTATAATTACTACAGGGAAAATAGGCACTCACATGATCCTCCATGTTAACATTAAATAAGTAAAGAGAAAAAACCTTTTTGGTCTCAATCATAATGTCTTGACCTATATGTTTGCAGTTGTTTACATGAAGTTTTAGAACCAGATGAAAATATGTAGATTTAGGTATAGAGAAAAAATTACTAATTACAGATGGTCCTGACTTACGACGGTTCCATGTATGATTTTTTGATTTTGTGATGGTGCAGCAGCAATATGCATTCAGTAGAAATCTTACCTTAAGTATCAATATAACCATTCTGTTTTGCGCTTCCAATATAGTATTCAATGAGACATTAAATGCTTGTCATAAAATGCGCTCTATGATAGATGATTTTGCCCAACTGTAGGCTAATGTAAGGCTTCTGAGCATGTTTAAGGTAGATGAGGCTGAGCTCTGGTATTCAGTAGGTTAGCTGTATTAAATATATTTTGACTTAGAATATTTTCAACTTACAATTGGTTTATCTAGATGTAAACCCATTGTAAAATGAGGAGCATCTGCACATGAAGGTATTTTGAGGATCCAAGCACTGTGAGAATTACAGTTTAAAACAATTTGAGAATTATTTTCTCATATACAAAATACATTGATAGTTTTAATTTTTAACTTTATTATTTCAGTATAATTAAATGAATCACTTTATTTTATCACAACATGGATATTTGTAAAGCATTCAGTATTAAATTGTTACCACTTAAAAATAAGAGGTAAATTCTTACAGGTGTATGTATTTAGGGAAAAAAATTCATTAATGTTTCATAGCCCTTTTTTTAAGATTATGAAGCAGTTTAATGAGAAACATGCTATTTTAGCCGGTGAATACTACCTTTGCCATCAATCCTATAATTTATGATAAAATTATAAAAGTGTTATTTCTCACTCACTTTGGTATGTCATAAACAGGAAATGCATTTCTGGCAGTTTTTCCTATAATTGTTTACCAAAGTTTTTGCTCACATAAAACTTATTTGGGGACAGTGTGGTGTGGTGACGAGAGCAGGATGAGAAAGCACATCAAGAGAGGTTTTGTTATGTGACTCTGGGCTTTTGTTTTTTCATCTGAAATGTAGTAAGGACTAGAGCAGTACTGTTCAATGGAACTGTCTGTGATAAGGGAAATACTGTATAATCTGCATTGTCCAATATGGTAGTCATAAGCCACATGTGGCTATTAAACCCTTGAAACATGTGACTAATGAATGAATTGTTCTCAATTCACTTAGTTTTAATAAATTTGTAAAGACTTTACTTTTTTAGAGTAATTTTAGGATCACAAAAAAATGAGAGAAAGGTGCAGACATTTCCCATATACTCCCTGCCCCTGCACATGTACAGCCTCCCTCGTTATCAACGTCCCCCATCACAGTGGTCATTTGTTACAATTGACAAACCTATGTTGACAGATCATAATTGTCCA
The DNA here is from genome assembly GCF_000001405.40 of Homo sapiens. Classification (NCBI taxonomy): domain Eukaryota; kingdom Metazoa; phylum Chordata; class Mammalia; order Primates; family Hominidae; genus Homo; species Homo sapiens. The sequence goes on along the minus strand of NC_000007.14, from coordinate 15,900,488 downwards.
AAGTCCATGGTTTATATTAGGGTTCGCTCTTGGTGGTATACATTTTATGGGTTTGGACAAATGTGTAATGACATGTATCTACCATTATAGTATCATACAGAGGATTTTCACTGCCCTGAAATTTTCTCTTCTCTACCTGTTTATCCTTTCCTCCCACTTAACCTCTTCCAACCAGATATTTTTACTGTATCCATAGTTTTGCCTTTTCCACAATGTCATGTAATTGGAATTATACAGTATGTAGCATTTTCAGATTGTCTTCTTTCAGTTAAAAGGCATGTAAGTTCCCTCCATTTTTTTCAAGGCTTGACAACTTATTTCTTTTAACTCTGAATAATGTTTCATTGTTTGAGTGTACCATAGTTTATCCATTCTGCTATGGAAGGACATCTTGGTTGCTTCCAGGTTTTGGCAATTATGAATAAAACTGCTATAAACATTTATGTGCATGTTTTTGCATGGACATAAGTTTTCAACTACTCTGGGTAAATACCAAGGAATATAATTAATGGGTCATATGATAAAAGTATGTTTGGTTTTTCTAAAAAACTGCAGAACTGTCTTCTAAGGTGACTGTAACATTTTGCATTCCCCACAGCAATGAATGAGAGTTCCTGTTCCTTCACATTCTTGCCAATCTTTGGTGTTGTCAGTGTTCTAGATATGGGCTATTCTGGCAGGTGTGTAGTGGTATCTTGTTTTAATTTGAATTTCTCTAATATTATATGGTGCAGAACATCTTTTCATATACTTATTTGCCATCTGTATATCTTTTTGATTTCTGAGTCAAGATCTTTGGCCCATTTTCTTTTTCCATTGGGTTGTTTTCTTATTGTTGAGTTTTAAGAGGGTTTTTTTTTTTGTATATTTTAGATAACACTACTTTATCAGATGTATCTTTTGCAAATATTTTCTCTTACGTTGTGGCTCATCTTTTTTATTTTCTTGGCATTGTCTTTCACAGAGCATAATTTTTAATTTTAATAAAGTCTAACTTACAAATTATTTATTTCATGAATTATGTCTTTGGTTTTGTATGTAGACATGACTGTACCCAAGGTCATGTATATTTTCTCCTACCTAGTCTTCTAAGAGTTTTGTAATTTTGCATTTTACATTTTGGTCTGTGATCTATTTTTAATTCCTTTTTGTGAAGGGTAAAATGTCTGTGTCTAGATTAATTTTTTTTGTATGTGGATGTCTAGTTGTTCCAGCACCATTTGTTGAAAAGGCTGTCTTTGCTCCCTGTATTGCCTTCACTCTTTGTCGAAGGTCAGTGAACTATATTTATGTGGGTTTGTTTCTGGGCTCTCTGTTTTGTTCTACTGATCTATTGACCTGTTCTTTTGCCACTGTCACACTGTCTTGATTACCATAGCTCATTGTGAGTATTGAATTTGGGTAGTTTCAATTCTCCAACTTTGTTCTTCTCCTTCAATATTGTGTTGACTGTTCTGGATCTTTTGCCTCCCTACATAAACATAAGAATTACTTTGTCAATATCTAAAGAATAACTTTCTGAGATTTTGATTGGGATTACATTGAATCTATGTATCAAGTTGGAAAGAACTGACATCTTGACAATATTTTGTTTTCCTCTTTATGAAGATGGACTACCTATTTAGTTTTTTTTTATTTTTTTATAAGAGTTTTTATAGTTTTCCTCATACACACACACACACACACGCAAACACACATATACACATATAATTTATACCTAAGTTTTTCATTTTGGGGGTGTTAATATAAATAATATTGTGTTTTTAATTTCAAATTTCACTTGTTTATTTTTGCTATATAGGAAAGTGATTGACTTTTGCAAATTAATCTTGTATACTGAAACCTTGTTATAATTGCTGATTCATTTCACAGTGTTTTTTTGTTAATTATTTTGGATTTTTTGCATAAACAATCATGTTATCTGTCAACAAGCCCTATTTTATTTCTTCCTTCCCATTTGGTATACTTTTTAATTCCTTTTTTTGTCTTATCACATTAGCTAGTACTTCTAGTACAACGTTGAAAGGGGATAGCATCTTCTCTGGTTCCTGATCTTAGCAGAAATGCTTCTAGTTTCTCACCATAAAGTATGTTAGCTATATAGGGTTCTATTTGTTTTTTGGTAAATATCTGTATCAAGTTGAGAAAGTTTCCCTCTATTCCTAGTGTACTGAAAGTTTTTATCATGAGTGGATATTGAATTTTGTGAAATGCTTTTCTTGTATCTATTTATATGATTATGTGACTTTCATTTTTAGCCTATTGATGTGATAAATTACATTAATTGATATTCATATGTGAAACCGGTCTTGCATATCTTGGATAAGTCCTAATTGGTCATGAGGTATAATTCTCTTTATACATTGTATGATTCATTTGCTAATACTTTTTTGAGGATTTTTACATCTGTGTTCATGAGAGACACTGGTCTGCAGTTTTCTTTTCTTATATTGTCATTGTCTAGTTTTGGTATTATGGTGATTTTGGCCTTCTAGAATGATTTAGGAACTACTCTTTCTACTTCTATCCTTTGAGAGAGAGACTGCAGATAATTGATATAATTTCTTTCTTAAATGTTTATGAAAATTCACCAGTGAACCCATCTGGGCTTGGTGGGTGCTTTCTGTTTTGGAAGGTTATTAATTGTTGATTAAATTTATTCACTAGATAACAGGCCTATTCATATTGTGGATTGCTTCTTGCGTGAGTTTTAGCAAATTTTGCTTTTTCAAGGAATTGATCCATTTTATTTAGCTTATCAAATTTGTGGGCATGGTGTTGTCCCTAGTTTTTGTTTATTATCATTCTAATATCCGTGGATTAGTAATCATGTCTCCTCTTTTATTTTTGCTATTAGTAATTCATGTCTTCTCTCCTTTTCTCTTAGTTAGCCTGGCTAGAGACTTATTGATTTTATTGGTCTTTTTAAAGAAGCAACTATTGGTTTTGTTGATTTTTACTATCAATTTCCATTTTATTGATTTCTTCTCTAATTTTTATAATTTATTTTGTTTGCTTTTTATTCTTGTGTCCTAAGATAAAACTTAGAATATTGATTTTAGATCTTTCTTTCTAATATTCGCAGTCAATGGTATAAATTTTCCTTTAAGCACTACTTTTGATGCATCTCAAAGATTTTGATAAATTATATGTTAATTTTCATTTAGTTGATTTTTAAAAACAATTTACCTTGAGATTTCTTCTTTGATGTATGTGTTATTTAGAAGTGTGTTTTTTAATCTCCATGTATTTTGGAATTCTTCAGTTATCCTTCTCTTATTGATCTCAAGTTAATTCCATTGTGGTCTGAGAGTGGACATTGTATGTTTTCTAATCTTTTAAATTTGTTAAAGTGTGTTTTATGACCCAGAATGTGGTCTGTCTTCGTGCATGTTCTATATGAGCTTCAGAAGAATGTGCATTTTCTTGTTGCTGGATGAAGCCATCTATAGATATTAGTTATATCCAGTTAATTGATGATATTATTTATTTCAATTAATGTCTTTCCTGATTTTCTGCCTGTTGGAGCTGTTTATGTAGATAGAGGAGTATTAATAGAGAAGTATTAAAGTCTATAATTATGACAGAAAAGTAATCTATTAATTTTTACAGTTCTATCAGTTTTGCCTCATGTAGTTTGATACTCTGTTAGGCACATACACATTAAGGATTGTTATGTCTTCCTGGATAATTGACCCCCTTATCATTATATAATGTTCTTCTTTATGGCCTGTTTACTCTAAAATTATAACATCTACTCCTGCTTTATTTTGATTAATGTTAGACTGGTGTAATTTTCTCCATTCATTTATTTCTAATCTATCTGTCGATCTATCTCTCTATATATATATCTTCATATTTAAAGTGGGTTTTTTTGTAGAGAATATAAATTTGGGTCTATTTTTGGTGAAACCTGACAATCTCTGTCTTTTAATGGGTGCATTTAGAATATCATTGTTTAGAATAATTATTGATGTAATTTGATTAATATCTACCATATTTCTTCCTGTTTTCTATTTGTTGCCCTTTTTGTCTTTCATTCTTTTTCTGCCATTTATAGTTTTAGTTTAGTACTTTAAATGATTCCATTTTCTCTCCTTTCTTAGTATATCATTAAAAAAAACTTTTTTAGTGTTTGCCCTAGAGTTTACAATATACATTTACAACTAATCCAAGTCCACTTTCTAATAACACTATACTACTTCATAGGCTAACAAAATAATCCTAATTCCTTCCTCCTGTCCTTTGTATCATTGCTGTCAGTTATTTCACTTATGTGTGAATATACATAGGCATATACACAGACACAGACACACACATGCACACACAAACAGCCCACAATATTTACATAAGCACACCTAGTCAAACACATTATTGCTATTATTATTTTCAACAACCTCTTAGTGTTAGACTAATTGAGTAAGAAAAAAATTTGTATATGTGTGTGTGTATATATATATATATATATATATATATATATATTTTTTTTTTTTTTTTTTTTTTTTTTTTTTTTTTTGAGATGAAGTCTCATTCTGTTGCCCAGGCTGGAGTGCACTGGTGTGACCTCATCTCACTACACTCTATCTCTGCCTTCCAGGTTCAAGTGATTCTCTTGCCTCAGCCTCCCGAGTAGCTGGGATTACAGGCGCACATCACCACACCCAACTAATTTTGGGATTTTTAGTAGAGATGGGGTTTCATCATGTTGGCCAGGCTGGTCTTGAACTCCTGCCCTCAACTGATCCACCCGCCTTGACCTCCCAAAGCGCTGGGATTACAGGCATGAGCCACCAAGCCAGGCCTATCTTCACTTATTTCTTTTTAAATGCTCTTCCTTTCTTTATATCAATACAAGTTTCTGACCTATTTATTTTTCCTTCTTTCTAAATAACTTGTTTTAACATTTCAGATCTACTGGCAACAGATTTCTTCAGTTTTTGTTCATCTGAGAAAGTCTTCATTTCTCTTTCACTTTAGAGGAATAATTTTGCAGGGTACAAAATTCTAGATTTATGGAGTTTTTTTCCTCTCAACACTTTAAATATTTTACCTTAATTTCTTTTTACTTAAATGCTTTTTGAGGAGAAGTAAGATGTAATTTTTATCTTTTTTCCTTTATAAGTAAGATGTTTCATCTCCACCCCTACTCCTCAGGCTCCTTTCAGGATTTTTTCTTTATCTTTGATTTTCTGCAGTTTTTTCTTCATTTTTGATTTTCTGTAGTTTTTTGTATTCCTAGATGTAGGGTTTCTTTTTGTTTTGTTTTGTTTTTTGGTATTTATCTTGCTTGGTGTTCTCTACATTTCCTGGGTCTGTGGTTTTCTGTTTGACATTAATTTGGGGGAATCCTCAGTTCACTATTGTTTAAAATATTCCTTCTCCTCCTCCACCTTCTCCTCCTTCTTTCCCTTTCTCTTCTTCTTCTGTTATCCCATTATGCATATGTTACACCTTTTGTAGTTGTTTCATAGTCCTTGAATATTCTGTATTTGTTTTTAATATTTAGTGTTTGTTCTCTTTTCAGTTTTGGAGGTTTCTATTGATATATCCTCAAACTCAGAGATTCTTTCCCCACTTGTATCCAGCATATTAATAAACCCATCAAAGTCATCATATCTGTTACAGTGTTTTTGACATCTAGTATTTCTTTTTTGGTTCTTTCTTATGATTTCCATTGCTCTGCTTACTTTGCTCATCTGTTCTTACATGCTGTCTACTTTATACCTTATAGCCCTCAGTATGTTAATCACAGTTGTTTTGAATTATCAGTCTGTTAATTCCAATATCTCTGCCATATCTGGTTCTGATGCTTGCTCATCTCTTCAAATGGTGTTTTTTGCCTTTTGGTGTGCTTTGTAATTATTTTCTTGATAGTGGGATGTGATGTGCTGGATAAAAGGAATTTCTGTAAATAGCCCTTTAAAAATGTGGTGGTAAGGTGTGTGGGAAGGGGAAGCATTCTCTACTTATTATTAGCTGTCAGTCTTCTAGTTAGTCTATGTCTCCGAACTATGAACTTCATGTGTGCTACTAAGTCCACCCACTTTAGATAGGACAGGATAGCTACAGTAGGCTGAAATTGAGTGTTTCTCTTCCTCCAGGTTAGTTAGGTTTTAATAAAAACCCAGCATGTTAGGCTGTGGTTAACTAGTTTCTTCTGAGGGCAGGCCTTATTAAGGACAGGATGCTTTGGCAAATTTCAGAATGGTTTATTTTCCTCTTCCTATGGAAACCATGAAGGGATTTTTCTCTGATATTTATTGTGAGAACCTGGTCAATCTCCTGGACGTAAATCTTACAAAATTGTGAGGGCCCCCAAATCACTGCGTTCCCCTGGAGTTTTTAGCTCTCGGAGTTTTCCACACTAAGCCTTCAGCAATTTGTTCATTACAGTTAGGTTTCTTACTCCAGCCTGGGTTGCCTTGGAGGTTTCTGCTTGTGAGGCAGTTGTGCTAAGCTGTGACTGCTGGTATTCCAACTGTCTTTCCAATCTTGGGGCAGCAGTTTGTTGTGTGTCCTGCCTCTCTCTTTTGGATTCAAGAAGAGTTACTGATTTTTCTGATTGTATAGCTTTTTACGTGTTGTTAGAATGGGGTGGCAATTTCCAAGCTTCTTACATGTGGAACCAGAAACCAGAAGTCAGTTTTAATTCATTTAAATTTAAATGGCCACATGTGGCTAGTGATGACCATGGACATTGCAGAACAGGACATTCCCTAGGTAGTCTTGTAATTTAATTATTTTTTGATTCTGTGTAATAATGTTCAATTTGAATCATGTAACCAGATAGGTTGAAAACATATCTCTAAGAAATCCTGTTAAAATAAAATTATACAATTGACAATGGAGATTTCTGGAAAATACCTAAATTCATATTTTGTATAAGATATTCTTATGTGACAAAATTAGTAATTAAAAATGAGGAGAAAATGTATGCAATTTGCTTTATAGTGTGGTAACACAGAATGGATTTCTTTGTCAAACAAAGGTAGAGCTGAAGTTTGAGTTCCTAAAATCACATTTGTGGCTGGATGACTATGAGCTTGTCAGTTTACTTCATTGTACCTTAAATTCTACATCAACAAGACAGAGATAAAAATAAATATTTTATCAGTTTAATTATGAGAACCAAATGAAATAATTTGTTAAACACTTAACCTACTGTCTAGCACATAGCAGATTCTTAAGATATTGTATGTCCTTCCATAAAATGTTTTAAAGTTCATTAGAAATACCCTCTGCATAACTTTATTAAAATCTGGAAGGTAATCGTCTATTGTCATTTCCTATTGGATGTGGTTTTGTTTCTTAAAGAAAAAAAGCCACAAACAACAGCAATAAAAAACACAGTACACTATAAATCACAAATCAAAGCAGGACAGAATTCAATCACTGAACAATAGAAAAATATTCTTCACCTTGAATGCCCCTGTTTCCAAACTACCAAGTTAAAGGATTTCTTCACCCACTGTTGATGCCGGCTAAGAGACTGCAATGTGTTTGTTTTCCTTCTCATCTCCTTTTGCTCCAAGAATTTATTTCTAAGCTTTGCCACTGGAGATGTTGGCTTGCATACTTCCAAGGAGACCCTCTCATTTAGGGAAGGACTTGGGGCAGCCAGGTTGCCCATGGCTCCATGCCCCAGCAGGACTGCCAAATATGTGAGAGTAGCTTCCTGCTATGTGTGGGCTGTGCCCAGGCTTTGGTACCAAAAGCTGTGTGGGGTCCATTCTCACCATGTGCCTCCCATTCATTGCTGAAGCAATCTTGGAAAGTCAAGTTCCAAAAGCTAACCAAACAGCACAGATAAATCTTGTGACGATATACATTGACATTTATAATACGGTTGAGAGAAACACATCCATTAATAGTCACACAGAACAGCAACAATGTTGGCATGCTTAGTAAACGTAGACCCATACTGATACTGCATTCTCAATTGGAGAGATGTTACAGACATTTCTATTTTAATATTTCTTCTTCTTCTTCTTCTTTTTTTTTTTTTTTTTTTGAAACAGAGTTTTGCTCTTGTTGCCCAGGCTGGAGTGCAGTGGCACAATTTCGGCTCACTGCAACCTCCGCCTCCGTGGTTCAAGCGATTCTCCTCTCTCAGCCTCCCAAACAGCTGGAATTACAGGCATGCGCCACCACGTCCGGCTAATTTTTTTGTATTTTTAGTAGACACGGGGTTTCGCCATGTTGGTCAGGCTAGTCTTGAAGTGCTGACCTCTGGTGATCCGCCCGCCTCGGCCTCTCAAAGTTCTGGGATTACAGGCGAGAGCCACTGCGCCCTGCCAGAGAGACTTTTCTATTTTAAAAGAGTCATGGAGTTACCTATGATTGTATTTGCTTTTCTTTTTCTAATCACCAGCCCTTAAATGCTACTGGCAATTCCCATTTGTGGAACTACTTTCTTTTTAGAACTTCCAGGATTTCAAGATCTGTGAAAAGTGGATTTTTTTTTGTGAAGACCCTGAAGCATAATTTAACCACAATAATTAGTTAATGAATGTTTCTTCGAGTAAGACCCACTATTATAAAAGTAGGGCATTGTGAGTATGGTTGCAAGCATAAAAGTCTCTCCATTTTATGCTTAAATGTGCAGATATTTCTCTATTTAGGAACAGAGAGTGCAATGGTTCCTTTAAGAAATTTTTCTGTTTCAATTCCTCTTATATTCAAGAAGCACATGCTTAATTCAGTGGCAACTTGGAAACATGTGACAAATGTACAATAAAACACCACACCTATGCTCACACTAAAGGCTCAAAAGGAAAATTAAATCTAAGTAGAAGAACACAGGCAGTCATTTTTTCCATACTTTCCTGCATGTGCTCCAAGCTCTGGAATGTACTGAGGAATGCATATTGAAAGATTTGGTGTAGATATTTTTTCTTTGGTTTCCATCAGATTTTATTGCATTCACAGGGAAATATGAAATCACTAAGTTATCTTATCCATAGATTTACATAGAAATGAAATAGTGTTTGATACTTAATGGATATATTTCTTTCTATGTCTAAGAAGATTTTTTTTCTCCTGGAGAAAAATCAAGTACATTTAAAGCCAGTTGTAATGCACCCTTCAAAACCCCAGGTTTGGTGTTGGCTATAGACTGGAAATTAAATCACATCTCCCCTGTGTGTAGTGAGGTATGGTAATGACTCATTTATCAGGCATTGTTAAAGGACAAGGAGCACCATGGGAAAAAAAAAAAAAAAAAAGCTCAGATACTTGAATCCTATTCCTTGATGTGTAAATCAAAAATGAAAAGAAAATTATTTTTAATTCTTTAAAATATTACATGTTGCCTTCATAGGCAATGTGTCCTGAACATAATTTAATCAAGTTTTAAAACCGAGCTCAGCCACTTATTAGTTATATAACTTTGGCAAGTTAGTAAAATCCAGCTTAGCCATTTACTAGTTTTATAATTTTGGCAAATTAGTTAACCTCTGTTTTCTCATCTGTCAAGCAGAGATAATTATACCTATGTCACAGTTTGAATTAGCTAATCTATATAAAACACCTCATAAAATGCCTAACACATAGTAGACCTACCCAGCATAGCCTCCTGGCCAGGCCTGTGGACTCCACTGCCAGACTGTCTGGATTTGAATGTTGCCTATGCCACTCCCTAGCAAGTAAATGTAACAATCTTTTTACCCTAATCTCTCTGATCCTCAGTTTCCACATCTCTAAAATGGAGATGAAAATGGCCGGCGCAGTGGCTCACTCCTGTAATCCCTTTGGAGGATTACAGCACTTTGGGAGGCCAAGGCGGGTGGATCACCTGAGGTCAGGAGTTCGAGACCAGCCTGGCCAGTATGGTGAAACCCCATCTCTACTAAAAATACAAAAAAAAAAAAAAAAAAAAAAAAAAAAGCTAGCCAGGTGTGGTGGTGCATGCCTGCAATCCCAGCTACTTGGGAGGCTGAGACACGAGAATCACTTGAACCTGGGAGGTGGAGGTTACAGTGAGCCGAGATAGCGCCACTGTACTCCAGCCTGGGTAACAGAGCAAGACTCTGTCTCAAAAAAAGAAAAAAAAAAGAAAAGAAAATGACATGTAAGCATTAAATAACTCATGTAGAGCCCTTAGAGCAGTGACTACTGGATATAGTGTTTTATAAATTTAACCATTATGAATAAATGTTTTCTGAAGCATTTCTAATTCAACTGTATATAATTTTGGTAGGGGTGTGTGTGTGTGCCTGCTTGTGGGAGTATGTGTTCTTTTCCTCTTGTTATTTAGGTTTTGACTGTTTCACTAATATATTTCTACACGTTAGCCATAAAACATTATCTGAGATAGATCAACATCCATTTCTATGCTTTTGCAATCTGTTTGTTAGTTTTGTTGTTCCTTTTTTGTTTCCTTGTGAAAATATCACATTCATCTCAGCCAAGTGCTGGGGGAACACAAGGTGGCTGAGGAAATAAGAGGTTCGTTCAGGATCTGCCACTATTGCAACCATGGTGGCCCCGTACAAAATTCATGTCTCTAAGGCAAGTAGTGAAATGAAACTTCAGTAGCGAATAAAATGGGTGTGCCCACTCTACTATGCTCAGATTTACTTAAAGGAGTCTGTGCCTCTGGCCACATTTCTTCCAAAGAGCAAGGATTTGGGTGGGGCTGAAACAACACGCCCACCAAAGTCCACCTTTTGGCTCACCCTCCAGATGATCACACTGACATGTTCCTCACTAGACCCAAGGATGGCTCAGGGGAAGCTGCGTATGGAAATAGGAACAAAGCTCAGATGCCTTATCTGGACAGTCCACAAGGGTGTGCACTGGGTAACCTTCTGGTGGGTGGAGAGGAGCCAGACTGGGAATCTGGAGGTCAGAAGGCTTTGGCTTGGCCTCCTCACACATCTACACTCGGGTGTGAACTGTGAGTTTGCCCTCCTAGATCACTCTGCAGATAGATATATTAAGGTAAGAGGATAAAACCTGTTACATAAGAGTTTGCCAGCTCAAGTTAGAACTTTTAAATATTAGACTGTCATATGTTGATTTCCATTTATACTCCTTTTCCAGCCCTTGCAAGCAGTAGGAGTAGGCATGTATATGCATCTTTTCCCAAGTTGATTGCTTCTTTCAAGTTATTGATTTAAAACTTGGATACACAAGAGATGGTTTCATTATTGCTTAATGTTGAAGTTAATAATACTAAGAAGCACTGAAATATATGAGACAAGAATGACTTTAAGCCACAATGAGATGCTTTACACACCCAGTATAAAGGTTAAAGCTATATAGACCGACAACACCAGATGTGGATGGAGATATGGAGCTACTCATTTTTTAGTCAGAATGTAAAATGGTGCAACCGCTTTTGAAAATGTTTTGGCAATTTCTTATAGAATTGAACATGTACCTACCCAGTGACCCTACAATGCCACCCCAATACATTTAGCTAAAAAACAATTTAAGTTTACAAATACACTTTTCATAGTAGTTTAAAACTGCTGATCACCTAATTGTCAATTAACAGGAGAATGACTAAAACTTGGTATATGCATATCATGGAATACCACTATAGCAGTATCAAAAGGAATGACTTTCTGATGCAAATAGTATGGATGAATCATGACGTGTTGCTGAGTGAAAGAAGCCTTCCACAAACATACAGTACATTTCATATGATTCTACGTACACGGTTGTATTTACACAAATTTTGGAGTAGGCAAAACTATTCTATGATTAAAAAAAAATCAGAGCAGTGACTGCCTCTGGAGGATGGCAGTAGGAACTGATTGGAAAGAATGTGAGGAAACATCATGGCATGAAGATAATTGGTGTGCATGTGCTTGTATATAAGGTCACATTTGTTGGAGGTGGGGAAGCAGAAATCTAGCTGGGATTGCTTCCTCAATAGTAGGAAGAGGGCCATGACATGGCTCTGTCAATAGCAGAGATTCCCAAGGTGCGACGTTCCAGGGCAGTGGCGGAATGTCAGAGTAAAATGACCTGGTGCAACTAGAGAGCTCCTACAATATAAGCACCAGGCCTGTGAGCTATGGCAAGGATGCCAGGTTCTCCACTTTGCACAGGAGTAGCCTCTTTCAAGGGATGGGTTGGTCTTAAATAGTGAGTAAATTAGAAGAGACAAATATGAACTAAAGACCAGAAAGCACTCCCTGAATAGGCTTTTGTAAGACTCTGGGGTTTTCACAAGACTTGGAAAGGGCAAGCACTCAAACTGACTGAGATGGAATTTTATGCTGTTCTGGCAAGCGAAGTCTAAGCCAGAATAGAAAATTAAGTCATGTTCTGGGTCTTCTACTTTGAGTTTATATGTAAAAATTTAGCCCTACTTTAGAAGGATTAAGTTCATGTGTGTGGCCCAGAAGGCAAAAACCATGACAAATGCATAGAAGTTTTATAGAAGTTTGTGTCAGCTCAATACAAAGGATATTTCATGTGTTCATCAGCTAATTTACATGGTCTAGTCTACTTCAAATTGGATATTCTCTTTGCAGATTAATAAATGGTATTCCGAGACATTAATACAAACATAAAAACAGAATGGCCTGCTGTTGTGAATCTACCTAAATGAATTTCAGAAAGATTGGGTTCCTTTGGTTAGATATCTACAGCCTGCAGCACCCTGCTACCATTTGGTGTGTTACAATAAAAGCAACTCCCAGGCTGAATTCTGCCACACATGTATTTATTAGCAAGCACACACAAATCAGGCATTCGACCTTCATCAGCAAACCTGATGAAGTTTTTTTTTTTTTTTGCGTGGGGGGGCACTCTTACAATGAGCTTAAATGAAAGTACCATGTGGTAAATGGGACAATATTCCAGTAGCAGAATTATGTTAGTTTGCTAGTCAGCATGGGAGATTATAACCTGAAACGTAAGACACTATTTTGAAGGATTCAACCAAGGTTGGTATGTCCTATTCAATCAGTAGGAGAAGTGATAAGTCCATGTCATCTGAGGCAATACTCATTTTATCACAGAAAAAGCACTACTAACTTTCCTTAGACTGATTAGCATACCATCTTACACTGAGCAGGGATAATGACTCAAGACAATTGAATTGATTATGACCATAATTCTACAGTGTGAGATTCTGATTAGGATTTTCCAGGTAGTAGTTAATCATCCGTAGAGTGTGAAGTTTTGTTTGTTTGTTTGTTTGTTTTTCAGTAAGAGAGAGAGTCTTGCACTGTCACTCAGGCTGGAGTGGTGCAACCCTAGCTCACTGCAGCCTCGAACTCCTGCACTCAAAGGGATCCTCCTGCCTCAGCCTCCAGAGTAGTTAGGGCTACAGCTATATGCCATCACGCCTAGCTATTTTTTTTTTTTTTTTTTTTTTTTTTTTTTAGAAAACTTTGTAGAGATGGGGATCTGGACCTCCTGGCTTCAAGCTATCTTCCCGCCTCATCCCCACAAAATGCTGGAATTATAGGAGTAAACCACTGTGCCTGGCCCAGGGTGTATGGTCTTGATTAGGATTCTTCCAGTTAACTAATTATCCATAGGAGACAGGCACATTTATATGACTGTATTTAAACTGAAGTAATCACAGGTAATTTATAGAAAACACTGTCTGCTTCATGAAGGAGTGAGTTTTTGTCAACATAAGTGTGAAAGCAGAGGCTGTAAGATCAGCTGTTACGGTCCTCTCTATTGGAGAAAATGTCTTCACTGAGGCCTTTGAGTCCTCATCTCATTCTAAAGTTCTCTATTTTTACCCAAGACCACACATCTAATTAGTGGTAAAACCAGGAATGGAAACTGGGTTCTTCTTTTGATCAGAGTTTCTCATTCAGGCTGGCTACAAGATTTAACAAGTTATTCAACACATTTATAGTCATTTCTGATTAAAATTTATAATTCAAACACCAGTTGCTTTTCTTATTGAATACTATGTAAATATGTCCTATTATTCTCATGTTTTGTTATTTTTATTATTAAATTTCTAGACTTTAAATGTTTTTTATTCTACAGACTAATTGCAAATTATATTTTATATAAAAATGGATTAAAATATATTAACCTCATCTGAAATGTTAAATAAGACTTACTGCTGACATCATTAAAGTTTCAAGTGAGGATTTTAGTTGCTCCACATCTCACTATTTACAGAATAATTTGGGGAATTTGTAATTTGTCACAAAGCCCATATCAAGTATTAACATCTTTTATTTTTCCTAGATTAAAAGCTATGAATTTTAATATGTCCAAATAAGAAAAAAAGGTTACTATATGTATATTTATCCTGTTCTGTTAATTTAAAATGCAAAATTAAGCATGGTAGTCCTAAACTTTAGGACATACAGTAATGAAAAATAAATATTATGGCTGAATGATATTATTAGTTCATTTCAAAAGACTTAAAATTGTTTTAATTTTCACAGTGAAATTGAAACTATTTTCTTTATTAGATAAAAAATATTCTACAGGAGAACCAACCTTCTAATTATTCTAAGGTAACTTTCTCATTTCTTTATTGATGAGCCTTTCTTCCTGTCATCACCTTCAAGTTTCAGGGACTGTGAAAACCAACAAAAGGAACAAATTGTTCTTTGGTGTCAGAGTTGGTGGTTTTATGGAAACTTAACAGGATCCTTGCTTCTCATAGCTGTCTGTATATTCTCAATGAGGACAGCTAAAAAAAGGCCAAACCAAATGTTTCCTTTCTGAGGTTTTGAGGCCTCTACTTCCAGTTGAGAAATAAAGGCACACATTTAGTGTGTTGGTCTGTTGGAGTAAAAACTACTATTCAAGGTTCGAGCAGTTAGATGAGTGGCGAATTAAAAGTCTGAAGATTTTTCTTAGAGGAATATTTTGATAGATTATATATTGATCAAGATGTCTAATTTAATTTTCAGCACATTAGATAATTTAGAAAATGGTTTTACATCTGAATTTCTGTACAGTGCTTTGAAAACATGTATCTTCCAGTGTACTATATAGCAGAGTCAATATAGATGACAATTTCCTTGAAGACAGATATCTTGTGTTGTTTATCTTTATAAACCAAGAGCTCAGCCAGCAGGTCAGTGGGCGATCACTAAATAGGGTTAATTAATACCTTAAGGAGGCAACTGTTCTGTTTAGATACAGTGAAATGAGAGTTGGATCAGTTAGTGATCAGAAAACAGGTTCTCCTTCTAATTCTATGTCCTGCTTATTAGCCTTAATTGCCTTAATTATGATGTGGAATAATGATGTCTGCTTGCTTACTTCAAGGATTTATATTAAGGCAAAAAAGGGAATTATGTATATTTTAAAACTCTATGTACTGGATTGCTGTAAAGGGTTATTAACATTAAATCCTATGGAGTAAACTTATTTTTGGGATTCCTGGACAAAACAAAGGTAGTGTATTTTCTTGATGTTCCTCACTCCGGTAGGTAAATCCTAGAAGCCAGAGCTCCATATGATTAGATTTCTCAAACTGAGATATAACTTAAGTACGATAAAAGGCACAGATTGTAGGTATATGTATACACCCAGATAATCATTAGGTTAATCAAAATATAAAACATTTCCACAAACATAGAAAGTTCCCTCCTGACCTTTTCCCACCTCTCTGACAATGGACAACCACTGTTCTGATTTCTATCATAGTTTAGTTTTGCTGCTGTAGAATTTCATAAAAATGGGAAATACATTGTGCATACCCTTTTGTTAGAATTCTCTTGTTCAGTATAGTTTTTGAGAGTCATCCTGTATCAGTTATTTTTCTTAATTTCTGAGTAGGATAAATGTATCATTATTTATTTATCCATTCACTTGTTCATATACATGGATTGTTTTTAGTTTTAGGCTATTAGGGAAAAAGCTGCTATGAATATTGTATAAGACTTTTTGTAGAGCATGCTTTAATTTCTCCCCTCTAAATACGCAGGAGAAAAACTGATGAATCATTAGGTAGATTTCTCTTTACTGTTTAGCGAAAATTTAAAAAGCACTTTCTAAGGCGGTTGCAACCATTTAAATACTCAGAGGCAATACATGAGGGAGTTCCAATTGTATTCTGTATTCTGCCCAACATTTGGAGTTATTTGAGCATGTGTGTATGTGTATGTGTGTGTATGTGTATATATATACGTGTGTGTGTGTGTGTGTGTGTGTGTATACCTACATATATAATCTTGGAAATTTCAGTGGGTGTTTGTTAAATAATACCTCATTGTGATGCTAATTTGCATTTCCTTGATTAAAAAATGCCTCTGATCATTCACACATCTTTTTGAAGTCTCCTGCCCATTTTAATTGTTCTTTATTTTAAGGGAACACATGGAGTTTTTTGTCTTTAGATTATTATTTTATAGTTCTTTATATATTGTTGATTGATACAAGTCTTAGTCTTTTTTGACATGTTAATTGCAAATATTTTCTCCTAGCCTATGGCTTGATTTTTTTATGTTTATAGTAGTTTATATTGTTGAGCAAATTTTTAAAAATTTTGATTAAGTCTAGTTTATCATTTTTTTTTATTTCTACAAAATCTTTGTCTCCTATGTTTACAAAGATATTTCCCCGTCTTTTCCTTCTGGGGGCTTTATAGTCTTAGCTTTTACAGTAGGCTGACAGTTTACCTCATGAAGGTATAGTGTGAGGTTTCGGTTGAGGTTTATTTTTTTTTTTCACATGCTTACTCAGTTTGCTTATGCAATTTTTGAAAAGACTTTTTCCTTAAAAAAAATTTTTTTGAGATAGTCTCACTGTGTCACACAGAATGGAGCACAGTGGTGTGATCACCACCCACTCAATCTCAACCTCCTGGGCTCAAACAATCTTCCCACTTCAGCCTCTGGAGTACCTGGGACTATAGCTATAAGCCACCATGCTTGGTTAATTTATTTTTATTTTTGTAGAGACTAGGGTTTCACTACATTGGCCAGGCTGGTCTTGAACTCCTGGGCTCAAATGATCCTCCTGCCTCTGCCTCCCAAAGTGCCAGGATTACAGGCGGCAAGAGTCATCACACACAGCCCATCTTTTCAAAACTAAATTGACTATATATATTTAGGTCTATTTCTAGGCTCTCTACTCTGTTCCACTGACCTATTTATTTATTCTACACCAGTCAGTACTAAGGAACACACTCTTATATGCTATACTGTATATCTTTATAAGAAGGCGTAAACTTAGTTAAATACTGGTACCAAAACAGATATATAGACCAATGGTTATATAGGCCAATTGGACGGAACAGACGCCTCAGAAATAACACCACACATCTACAACCATCTGATTTTCAACAAACCTGACAAAAACGAGCAATGGGGGAAAGGATTCCCTATTTAATAAATGGTGCTGAGAAAACTGGCTAGCCATATACAGAAAACAGAAACTGGACCCCTTCCTTATGCCTTATACAAAAATTAACACAAGATGGATTAAAGACTTAAATGTAAAACATAAAACCATAAAAACCCTAGAAGAAAACCTAGGCATTATCATTCAGTACATAGGCATGGGCAAAGACTTCATGACTAAAACACCAAAAGCAATTGCAACAAAAGCCAGAATTGACAAATGGGATCTAACTAAACTAAAGAGCTTCTGCTCAGCAAAAGAAACTATCATCAGAGGCTGGGCACAGTGGCTCACACCTGTAATCTCAGCACTTAGGGAGCCTGAGGCAGGTGGATCATGAGGTCAGGAGATTGAGACCATCCTGGCTAACACGGTGAAACCTGCCTCTACTAAAAATACAAAAAATTAGCCAGGCGTGATGGCACCCGCCTGTAGTCCCAGCTACTTGGGAGGCTGAGGCAGGAGAATCTCTTGAACCTGGGAGGCAGAGGTTGAAGTGAGCTGAGATCCGCTACTGCACTCCAGCCTGGGCGACAGAGTGAGACTCTGTCTTGAAAGAAAGGAAAAAGAAACTATCATCAAAGTGAACAGGGAAACTACAGAATGCGAGAAAATTTTTGCAATCTATCCATCTGACAAAGGGCTAATATCCAGAATCTACGAAGAACTTAAACAAATTTACAAGAAAAAAGCAAACAACCCCATCAAAAAGTGGGTGAAGGATACGAACAGATACTTCTCAAAATAAGACATTTATGTAGCCAAGAAACATATGAACAAAAGCTCAACACCACTGGTCATTAGAGAAATGCAAATCAGATACCGTCTCATGCCAGATAGAATGGTGATCATTAAAAAGTCTGGAAACAACAGATGCTGGTGAGGATGTGGAGAAATAGGAATGCTGTTACACTGTTGGTGGGAGTGTAAATTAGTTCAACCATTGTGGAAGACAGTGTGGCAATTCCTCAAGTATCTAGAACAAGAAATACCATTTGACCCAGCAATCCCATTACTGGATATATGCCCATAGGATTATAAATCATTCTAGTATAAAGACACACGCACATGTATGTTTATTGCAGCTCTATTTACAAGAGCAAGGATTTGGAACCCATCAATGATAGACTGGATAAGAAAATGTGGCACATATACACCATGGAATACTATGCAGCCATAAAAAAGAATCAGTTCATGTCCTTTGCAGGGACATGGATGAAGCTGGTAATTATCATCCTCAACAAACTAACACAGGAAGAGAAAACTAAACAACACATGTTATCTTTCATAAGTGGAAGTTTAACAATTATAACACATGGACACAGGGAGGGAAACATCACATACTGTGGCCTGTGGGGGTTGGGGGGCAAGGCAAGGGAGAGCATTAGGACAAATACCTAATGCATCTGGGGCTTAGAACGTAGATGATGGATTGATAGGTGCAGCAAACCACCATGGCACATGTATACCTATGTAACAAATCTGCGCATACAGCATTTGTATCCCAGAATTTAATATGAGCAAAAAATAAATAGTCCAAGTTTATTCAACTTCATCAATATTGTTTTGGCTATTCTGGTTATGTTGTATTTTCATACAAAATCTTTATAACAGTTTTCAATTTATATAGGAAGTTCTGAAATTTTGATTGGAATTGTATTGAATGTATAGATAACTTTAGGGAAGAATTAATATCTTTACATTATTGAGTCTCCCAACCCATGACCATTGTATACTTCTCCATGTGTTTAAGTTTTCTTAATCTTTCCCAGCAATATTTTGTGGTTTTTGGAACAGAGTTCTTGTACATTTTTTGGTATATTTATTTCTAGGCATTTTATGTTTTTATGCTATTGTTAATGGAATTGATCTTTAATTGATTTAAATTATATTTTGTTAATATACTATTCAGCACAAAAAATAAATGAGTTATCTAGACTTTTTTGTTATTGATTAAATTTAATTCCACTGTCTTTAACTATACCCTATTTGACACCAAGCTTCTGAAATTATTATGGTTTTATGTCACAGCATATTTACTTTGCTGAATGTTTTATCTGCATTTGAAATGCATATATATTCTGCAGTTTGTTGGGTCAATATATGTTCAGTAGGTTGATATCTACAATGGAATGAATGTTTGTGTCTACCCAAAATTAGTATGTTGAAATCCTAATCCCCAATATGATGGTAATAAGAGACGAGGCCTTTGGGAGGTAATTAGGTCATGAGGATGAAGCCCTCCTGAATAGATTAGTGCCCTTATAAAGGAGACCCCAGAAAGATTTTAGCTCTCTTTCTGCCATGTGAGGATACAAAGAGAAGTTAGAAATCCGCAGCCTAGAAGAGGGCTCTCACCAGAACTCAAGCATGCCCTGATCTCAGACTTACATACTCTGATATCAGACTTTTAGCCTCCAGAACTGTAAGAAAAAAATTTCTGCTGCTTTTAAGCCACCCAGTCTATGATACTTTTGTATAGCAGTTTGTACTAAGGCAATAGTGCTGTTCAAATGTTCTATATGCATATTTTACCCATTTGTTTTATAAATTAGTGAAAAAGGAGTGATAAACATCTATAAAAATCCTACTTTTATTGCAAATTTGGCTTATTCTTTCTTTAGTTCTGGCAATTTTTCTTCCTGATTTAAAACATTTTTTTTTTTTTTTCAGAGACAGGGTCTTGCTCGGTCACCTAGGCTGAAGTGCAGTGGCACAGTCACAGTTCACTATAACCTTGAACTCCGGGCTCAAATAGTCTTCCTGCCTTGGCTTTCCAGAGGGTTTGGATTACAGGTATGTAAAACTCTTTTTAAATTAATATTTATGTTGTTACATCTTTTTGATGAATTGACCCTTTATCATATAACTTTCATTTTATGTATGATAGTATTCCTTGTTTGTAGTCAGCTTTGTCTGATATTAATATAGTTATAACAGCTTTTTTATGATTAGTAAATGCATGGTAACACTTTTTCCGTTCAACTTTGTGTCTTTAAATTTTAAGTGTTTCTCCTGTAAGAAGCATATTCTTGGCTCATTTCTTAAAATTTATACTGACTTCTCTGTCTCTTAATAGGAATGTTTAGTCCATTTACATTTAATGTAGTTATTAGCACTATTGAGTTTGTCTTCCTATATATAAAATATAATTATATATAAAATATAATTATATATAATATATTAAGCTAATATATATTAGAGTAATACATATATTAGTGTTCCTTTCTTATATATTAGACTTATAAGACTAATATATGTTATATATTTTTATATTGATTATATATTTATATATATTAGTTATATCTATTATATTAGACTAATATATATATTAGTCTTCCTTTCTTATATTCCATTGGAACAATCAAATATTTTCACATATTGCATATCATTCCCTTTAATAACTTGTATCTATAATTCATTGCTTTATTTTTTGTTGTTTTATAGAGTAAAATGTGCATTTCGTATGCTTCTGTCATTTAAACTTCTCTCTGTGAGATCAGGATAAAAGTTTTTGGTTATTTAACACAAATATTATTTGTGTTCTAAGCTCAAATTACGGAGATATTGAAAGACAAGGTATTTTCACAGTGACTATGAGAGAGGAAGTTCTTATAACGGAAGACAGGAAGATGGGAATAACAAATCTGAGATAGACTGAGCCTCATTTATATTATTTGAACTCAGGAGTAAATATATAAATATTTTCTGTAAACATATTTTAGATAGGTGATATAGCACCATGAGACTTGGTCTAAAAATAGTAGTGCATGTCTGAAGCTATTATAGAAAGCTGTTATAGTTTTGAAAGAAAACTGCCTCACATCAATGAGAAATATATTTGACTATAAGCCACTCAAGGATTTACATTTACATTCTATCAAGATAAAATGTAACTCACTGTTTTCTTTTCATTCATTCATTCATTCATTCAGGAATTATCTGTTTGCAATGGATATCACCATGACCACTGGGAAGTCTTGAGTTGATTCCCAAGGATAAGGCCAAGAACAGCTAATGTTTCTTTTTTGTTTCTTCAAAGCAAAAGGAGGCCTGGCCTAAATTAAACTGGGAGTGCTTTTTGCAAAGCATACCAAGCTTTATGGGACTTCAAGCTCAGCATTTTAGGCACAGTATTTCAAACTAAATCACACGAAAAAAAAATTCACCACTATATTACTTCCTTTAAACAGTTCAGCATGGTGCATTTTTTCTTTGGAAATGGGATACAGCTGCTTCCTGGGTCATGATTATGTTTGATAATCTTTTTTGGTAAACTGAGGCCTCCCTGAAGTATATCACTATTAAAATGTGCAAAATATGAGTTCTTACTACACTAAACACTTATTCAGCTGTAGAAAAAATAAAGAGGAATAAATTTGTAACGAAAAGGAATGAAATTCCATCTTTCTAAAGCGTATTCTTATGAGTTTTGTAAATTCAGCATCTTGTTTTTAAACCATTAAGAGAAATTGAAATCAGATTTGTATTTTTAGTGAAAGAACACACTTTACCGAATAATACAGTATAAGAAGAAAGGGTTCTATGAACTTCTTCAAATGTTTAAATACAAATATATTTTACAACTAAACTTTTGTGAAACATTTCCTAATTTAACAGGAACTAAAAATCTCTTTAACTTATCCTTTATCTTAAAAATATTTTTACCATAATACAGATTACCTTACTGTTTCTTTATGTATTTTTAGTCCTTATTTTTTAGGAGATTGCTTTATTGGGATTTTCCTTTTTCTCTGATTTCAAGAGTAATAGATAGTAACTAAAAAAAAAAGCTGTAAAGGAAACATAAAAAGTAAATATTTTAAAGTATAACTTGCTCAAATAGCCTCTATTACTATCTTGGGAGATTTTCAAATTTTTTCTATGTATGTATTTAAATACCAAACATATGCATGCATGCACATATAAACACACACACATATAAACATATATATGTGTATATATAATTTTCCAAGTATGTATTGTTTTATATGCTACTTTTGCTCTTAAACAGGATTTAGAAATGTTACGTATCTATAAATATAGATTTAATTGGACTTTTATACCCATTCCATTGAAACTGTTCCATGGTAAGTTCCCACTAACTTCTATTTCAATGTGCAGTCTTCATTCTTCATTTTACTTGACCTTTACTTGACACTGGATCCTTGTTGTTTTTTTTTCTTGAACCACTGTCTTCATGTGGCTTCCAGAGCTCTTCTGATTTTGCTTTTCTGGCTGCTCTTTCTTGTTTGCTTTTTGTTTTTTGTTTTTTGTTTTTTTTTTTTTGAGACAAAGTCTCGCTCTGTTGCCCAGGCTGGAGTACAGTGGCATGATCTTGGCTCACTGTAACCTCCGCCTCCTGGGTTCAAGCAATTCTCCTGCCTCAGCCTCCCAAGTAGCTGGGATTACAGGCGCCCATCACCACACCCGGCTAATTTTTATATTTTTGTAGGGATGGGTTTTCACCACGTTGGCCAGGCTGGTCTTGAACTCCTGACTTCAGGTCATCGGCCTGCCTCGGCCTCCCAAAGTGCTGGGATTACAGGCATGAGCCACCGTGCCCAGCCTCTTGGTCATTTTGACTGGCTTCTCCTCAATTCCACTGTCTCTAAACATTGGAATATTATTGGGCTTAGTCTTTACACCACTTTCCCTCTATTTCCACAACCATTTTCTTAGTACACATACAGTCTGATATCTTTAAATATCATTTGCATAGTGGCATCTCCCAAATATATATCTCCACTCTGCTACCTTCTCTGAATTCCTTACTGCTGCATACAACTGAGTAACACCTTCATTTAGAGGTTTCATAGGCATCTCAAACTTAATATTAAAAACTTCAAAGTTCAAGTTCAAACCTGATTTTCTGATGTTATCTGCCAAACCTACTCCTCTTCCCTAGTTGTCATCAGTGAATGACAACTCCGTCTTTCTGTAACTCAAGAAAAAAACCTTGAAATAATTTTTAACTTATTTACTAATATCCTACATCAGATCTGATTTTTAAAAACTTTCTGTTGACATAAATATACCCTGAATCTTACTGTTTACTACCTCCTACGCCCAGGTCCAAGCCCCCATTATCCCTTGTTTAGATTATTGCAGAAACTTTGCTATTGGTCTCCTTCCTTCTACCCTTAGGTAATTCTAGTCTGTTCTAAATGCAGCAACCAGAGTGATCTTATTACAATGTGGGCAGATCACATTTCTTCTCTCCTCCATCCTTTCCAAAGCCCATCACAGTACCTCTTTTCCTCCTTGACCTCATCTCCTACTGCTCACATTTTTGCTCATTCCCCTTCAGTCCATGCGGGCTCCTTTCTGTTCCTCAGGGGCACTGGAATTTGCCATTCCCTCTGGGTTAGGTTCTATTCCTCCACACACGGGTGGCTTATTCGCTCACCTGCTTTAGGTCTTGTTGCAAATTCCACCGTCTCAGAGGGTCCTTTCTCAGCCACATTATTAAAAACCCTACCATCCCATTTAACTGCTTAATTTTTCTTCTTAGTGCTAATATAATATACTATGTACATTACTTAATATTGTGTTTTGTCTATCTCTGTAGCTAGAATGTAATCTCTAGGAAGGGAGAGCTTTTTCTGTTTTATTCATTTCTGTGTACCCAGAATATAGAATAGTACCTAGAATATTATGAGCAGTTAAATATTTGTCAAGTGAATAAACAAATTAAATGAAGTCACATTATTATTTGTAACTACTAATAGTGTTTTATTACATGGATGAACTGTTACTATTTTGAACCAATTCTGCATTGATGCGTATTTAGGTTATTTCTCACCTAACCTGTGTATTATTATTAACACACTATAATAACATTTCTTGACAACATGTAAGTATTCATTTAAGGTAAGTTTCTGTTAGTAAAGTTGCTGCATAAAAGGATTGTCATCATTTGGCCAGGTGCAGTGGCTCACACCTGTAATCCCAGCACTTTGGAAGACTGAGGTAGGCGGATCATGAGGTCAAGAGATTGAGACCATCCTGGCCAACATGGTGAAACCCTATCTCTACTAAAAATAGAAAAATTAGCTGCGCATGGTGGTGCGTGCCTGTAGTCCCAGCTACTCGGGAGGCTGAGGCAGGAGAATTACTTGAACCTGGGAGGCAGAGGTTGAAGTGAGCTGAGATCACGCCACTGCACTCCAGCCTGGTGACAGAGCAAGACTTTGTCTCAAAAAAAAAAAAAAAAAAAAAGAATTGTCATCATTTTAACACTTTAATTATGTGGCCAATAGTCCTCCAGAAAAGATGTGAAGTCACATGGCTGAACAGTGTATGTGAGTGCCTCTAGTGCAATGTATTGGCTATAGTGAGTATAATCATTCTCTATAATGCTTCCCAATGTGACAGCAAAAAACTTGCTATCTCAGCATTGCTTTTTGTTCATGCAATGCTTCTTTAAAGCCTACATGGTGCCATCTCTCTCAGCCAATAAGTGTATGGACAGCTTTGTTAGCAACAGTGTAACACTGTGTTAACTGCACAGGGCAATTTCTAGAAATTCCTCAAGCCTAATTGACTTTCCACATTCATATGTAGTTTCTTCCCTTTCACCAGACTCTGTACTCTGTTGTTTGGTCACCATTTCCTACTAAGATCTAGTAACATGACTGATATTAGTTTTTGCAGAAAACAATAAGCAAAACCAACATGCTATGGATTGAATGTTTATGTCTCCTCACAATTCATATGTTGAAGCTTAATCGCCAGTGTGATGATACTTAGAAGGTGGTGCCTTTGAAAGATAATTAGGTCATGAGGGCTTATCATTTATCTTTCATAAGCACCCTTATAGCAGAGGCCCAGGAGAGGTCTGTTACTTTTTCCATCATGTGAGAGCTCAGCTTAGATGCCATCTATGAACCAGAATGCAGGCCCTCACCAGGCACTTCTGGGGCCTTGATCTTGGACTTCCCAGCATCCCAGAATTGTAAGAAATAAATTTCTGTTA
This sequence comes from Homo sapiens, assembly GCF_000001405.40. NCBI lineage: Eukaryota > Metazoa > Chordata > Mammalia > Primates > Hominidae > Homo > Homo sapiens. The sequence continues at coordinate 15,875,215 of NC_000007.14, read as the reverse complement.
TTTATAAACCATCCCATCTATGGCACTTTTATTATAGCAACCTGAACAGATAGAGACACTACCATAGCTAACATGATCATCTTTACTAAAGAAAGTCACTTGGGGAGGTCCTCTCTGTCATTAGACCTTTGGTTAATTTTCAGATAGTTCAGGTTTTGCCATTCCTTTAGGGAGAAGTAAGATAGTCAGGAGTGTGTTGCTGTTCAGTGAGCCTACCAAGTCTTTTTAACTAAAGCCTATTTGCTTTGGCTCTGATTCTGACAGGCCTCCTTCCTGTCCTCTTGTTAGATTTTTCTGGAAACATTCATGAAATAGGGAGCCTGTTTCTTGGTGAATATTGAATTCCCTGTGTGATAACTTGTGATTTTAATGAAGTTTTCTTAATCTCTAAAACATGTGCTCCTTTGTGTCTAGTCCCTTTAATCTTCCTGAGCTTTTTTTCACTTACTTATTTTCTCTGTCTGTATATTTCAGAACTAAAAGGATGGCCTATGTATACATTTAAAATTACATTTTAAGAAATAAGTTTCTTCCAATGACTTTAGAAATAGAAGTTGGTTACTCTGGTTAAAAGTTGTGATTAATATGTTGGTTGAGACTAAACAGGGAGTAATAGTGACAGAGAAAAATGACTGTGTATGTGTGTTTGCTTTTTAAGGAAAAAGTAGAACTTTCTTAAAGCTGCATTTCCCAAACCTTTTGGTCTCTGAATACCTTTCCACTCTTAGAAATTGCTGAAGATCTCAAACCGCATAATTTTGCAGATTAGAACTATAATATTTTGCCATATTAAAGATTATAAATGTTTACTGTTTAAATACTGGCTCATTGATTTATTTAGAGATAGAAGTGGTAAGCAAATTTCATGTTAATAGAAAACATTTTTATAAAAACAATGGTTTTAAAAAAGTTCTTAGTGAGAAGAGTAGCATTGCTATACAGTTTTGTAAATGTCTTTAATATAAATTAGTAGAGAACAGGTAGATTCTCAACCTACTTCTGCATCCAATCTATGGCAGTATCACTCCTATAGCTTCTGGAAAACTCCAATGCACATTTATGAGAGGATGAGAATAAAAAAGACAAATGACATTTTAACATTATTATAAAAATAGTTTTGACCTCACAGATCTTCCGAGGGTTTTCCAAGGACCCCCAGACCATATGATGTCCTAAAAAAAAAGGCTCAACATGTAGCAAATATGAAAGAGCATAATAAAGGGCAAAACTTGGAAAGCGGATTTTGTCAGTCTTGGTTTAACGTACCTACATCTGAAAAGAAGCTATGAAGTCTGTTAAATTTTTAGTAACATTTGCTCACTTTTGAGGGGCTCACTTCCTTAGTTTACTGATTTGTGTTAACCTACTTTATGAAAGGGTTTTCTTTATTTCTATGCAACCTGCCTAGATAGCAGAGGCTTTATCTCACCAGAACAATTTTCTATGCTTTATATTGACTTTATTATGTTCCTGATTATTTAAGAAAAAAATAAACAAAAAAGAACAAAACTTCCTCACTTATGCAAGAGCTAACGTTCTTATAATGATACTGTCCTCTAGGTTTGTTTTCAAAATAACATCAGTTTTATTAAATAGGCAACTAGGAATTGTTTCTTAGATACCCGTTCTATATTATTAAACCTCCAAAATTGCCTCTGACAACTCTTGACTTTGCCTTCCCTAAACTGGTCCCTGAATTTAGAAGATAATGAAAACATTTTCAGGACATATTTTTCACCTAAACCTATATTTGAGATTTCCCAGAGGCCCCATGAGAAATCACAAAGATATGTTCTTTTACCTTATAGGAAGAAAGATATGAGTCAAATTTATGTTCATGTGATGTGATATTATTACAGGAGTTACATGGGAAAATTTGTCAGGTCAGGAAAGACACAGCCTTTTCTGGATAGTGTGTGTATTACCTAGGTAAAATTATATTAATACAAATATTCAGAAATATGGAAAATCCTGGAGTTGAAACGGGAGAGTTTCCAGGCCCCCCTTGCAGGACATGTGACAGGAGTATGGCTCTCTGTTCAGCTCAAACCCTTTATGGGAGGGGGAGCAGGAAGATGGACAGGTGCGGGAACTGAGGCAAGTGCTTTTGGGTTCTGGCCCCACGGCAGCATTTGGGGTGGGTGTCTGTGACTCCCAAAGCCCAAGTGGGCATGTGTTACAGTGTACTCCTTTAGTCTTGCCATCCGTGGACAGTTTAAGTGTTAACCAGTTTAGTGGACTCTCTGCCTTTTTGTAAGAACAGAGGGCCAGTGTGACAGCTTTCGGTATCCCAATCTCTTGTCCAGCATCGTGGAAGAATTGGGTCACACACGGACTTGAAGGATGAATGCGGAGGTTTTATTGAGTGGTGGAGGTGACTCTCAGCAGGATGGATGGGGAGCTGGACAGAGGATGGAGTGGGAAGATGATCTTCCTCTGCATTTTGGCATTCCAGTGGCTGATTCTCTGACCGTCCCCAGCTGAACTCCTCCCAGCGCTCCTTCTCCTCCCTCCTTCTCTGCCATGCCATTCTGCCATTTGCCTGATCATCTCTTCATCTCCTTGTCTGCTTCTGGAGCCTGGGGTTTGGGGTTTATATGGGTACAGGGTAGGGGGGCGTGGAGAGCCAAAAGGCAACTTTTTAGCTGTGAAACCATTAAAAAATTTGGGGGCCTGTTCTCACATAGGGCCGTGGGTATCCAGGCTTGAGGGTCGGGCCTTTGCTGGGGAACTACCCTCTTCTACCCAGTATTTTCCCGTCTCCTGTCCATATCAGAATTTGTCAATGTCTTCCCTATTTAATGTGCTTTATCCCCAGGAGGAAAACTGCTCAAAACTCTTATAAGTTGGTTATGTATTATACCCCAGTAGAAAATCTTACTATTTTTTATTTGGATACTTTTTATTGTGATGACAATATTTCTGATTGTGGTGACAAATTAATAACAGCCATCAAATCTCTTTCATCTATACACAATTTTGTTTTATTCTGATGCTTGCCTGAAGTCTCTGTCATAAGCTATAAGCCAACAAAGAAAGTCTCTGAGGTTTATTTTTTATTTATTTATTCTTTTTGAGACAGAGTCTCACTCTGTCACCCAGGCTGGAGTGCGGTGGCAAAATCTCAGCTCACTGCAAGCTCCGCCTCCTGGATTCACGCCATTCTTCTGCCACAGCCTCCCTACTAGCTGGGACTACAGGCGCCCGCCACAATGCCCGGCTAATTTTTTGTATTTTTAGTAGAGACGGGGTTTCACCGTGTTAGCCAGGATGGTCTCGATCTCCTGACCTCGTGATCCGCCCACCTCAGCCTCCCAAAGTGCTGGCATTACAGGCATGAGCCACCGCGCCTGGCCAAAAGTCTCTGAGTTTTTAAATGATTGGCACTTCAAAGACTAGACTCAGGTACGGGCTTCAGAGCTAACATCACTTATACAACTTTCAAACCATGTTAGTGGACTGCCTCATGAAAGCAGACTACTAATCCAAGGACCAGCAGAACAAAAATTAATTTCCTGGGAATAAAAAAACCAAAGCAGAAAATTTTACCATAATTTGGCATACTGTTGCTGTTGTTTTAAGTTTCCATTTTCTGAATATATGAAGCTCTTATTCTTCTTAAGCTGTCTATACTGCATATAACTTAGTAAAATCTGTTTTTTTAAACTTAAAGCATTTTAAGATAATACTTGATTCTTAATAACCACCTATATGAGTTATCTAGGGTTGCCATAACAAATTGCCACAAACTTGATGACTTAAACAACAGAAAGTTATTCTCTTAAAATTCTGGAGGTCACAAGTCCAAAATTCAAGGTGTCATCACAGCTTGATTTTCTTTAGACTCTGAGAGGGGATCTTTCCCTTGCCTCTCTCCTAGCTTCTGATGGTGGTTGCATCCTTGGCGCTCCTTGACTTGTGGGTATATAACTTTAATCTCTTGTCTCTGTCTTTACATGACTTACCCCAATGTGTCTATGTCTCAAATCATTCTTTTATTTTTCTTATAAGGGCACCAGTCTTTGGATACAAGATCCCCCTTAAAGCCAGGATGATCTTATCTCAAAATTCCTAATTACAGCAGCAAAGGGCCTATTTCCAAATAAGATCTCATTCACAAGTATTAGAATCTGAACATAGCATTTTGGGGGACGTAGTTCAACCCACTACCACTCCATCTGCATAATTCAGAAACTTAGCCTCCCAACTTTTCATGGAAATATTTACATAGGGACAAATAGAATCTGTCCTCTAATGTTTTGCCTGAGGTGTCATAGTTGAAAATAATGCTTTTTAAATCAGGTATGACAAGTCTTTATTTAAGGGGGAAAAAGGGCTTTGTTTAGGTGCCAATGCCTCCAAACTTCTCCCAAGGAAACTGACCCAGTGATACCTGGCGTACAGGGGGCCAGGCTTACCCTTAAGAATAGTAAGAAAAATTTTTGGCAGGCAAGGAACATTAAAAAATATGGGGGACTTCCAGAAGATAGTATAATTCATTCCATTGTACAACCCACTGCTGGTGGAACCTGAGGGGGAGAGGTTCTTAGGCTTAGCTTCCTGGCCTTGAAATAGAAAAATAGAGGCTTTTAAAAGGTACAATCTGAGATTGCTTATGACAATCCAGGCAAAGGTTCATTTATGGACTTTGTAGCTGTTCAATATTGTATGACACAGGAATTGCAAAACAAACTCAAGGAGCTTGTGTGGTAAATAAATACTCTTCCTGCACCTATGTAAATAATCAGGTCCAATATAATAGGCCTTTTATAATCAAGAATAACTTTTGAGATTATGATCACGGGGGAGAGACTGTCAGAAAAAATGGGAAAGATTTTGAACAGGCAAAGATTATTTGGTGTCCTGTCTAGCATACTCTTTTGGGTTATATGTGCCTTCCATTGTTTTTGAGCTATTTTCTTACTGTAATTTGTAGAGAATTGGTAGCAATAAAAATGATTCTTATTCATAAAAGCATAAATCAATTTTTTCTAATGTACCTCCAAGAAATCAGTTTTGTATCTATTTACAAAGTAATTTCAGCATCCCTGATTGCTCATATTGTACTCATTTAGTTTTCTTTTAAACGTGTTCTAATATTGTCCTGGTTGGCTCATTTATTAATAATAGTTTTAATAATAGTTATTAATGATCCCTTGTTTATTAATTAGCAAACAATTAAAATAAATAAAATATGTCTTGTGTTAAAAAAGAATAAGACATACAATTTGTATCTGTTAAGCTTATTTACCATTCAGAAAAAATAAAATCTTGAGAAACTTTGGGATAATGTGAGAAAATTACATATGTTCATCTTTTTAATTGTTTATATCTTCCTCTAGAATGGAAGCCTCATAAGGGCAATGACCTGGTTTTAGTCAATACTGTTGTCTCCAGAAATTAGAATAGTGCCTGGCACATACAAGGTACTCAGTGTTTATTGAATGAAAAAAAAATGATTGAATGAACACATTCTCAGAGAGTGGATTATAATTTTTTACCATGATTATGTTTGAGTCAGCATTTCAACTCATATCCATGGAAGAAATTAAAAGATTAATGCCTTGATAAAATTAACAACTCGAATAACCATTTAATACAGTTTAAGCCGAGAATATCATTTATGCATGTGTGCACTGTAAAATATATGTTAAAAATCATTTATGCTAATATTTTAATAAAAATACTAATTCAGTAAAATCCAAATGTTTTGTAAAAAGAAATTACCTGTTTTTAGCACTGTCCTGTCTGAAATAAAATAGTATGTAGTAGGTTATTCATTTTCTTCTATAGGTCTTAGTCCCTTTTTCAATGCCTCTCCCTCTCTTTCTCCTCTGTCCCTCTGTCCCTTTGGCACAGTGTCATCAGGCTGTTTGACTTCCACGGTTCACCTGTGGAAACATCCCTGCCTCCTCCCTGCGGGAGAACTAACGGTACCAGAGATTTCTAGGAATTCTCGTCACAGGTGGTATTATGGTACACATGGTTCAATGGCAATCAGTTGCCATATCCTTGAATTTCATATGCACTTTTCCTAAAACTAATCTGCCTTGAGAATATGCCTGAGGTCATGTGAAGATGAATCTTCTTTCCTATCTTCCTTATCGCAATCATATAATCACACTTTTTCAATAAGTATAGCTCTTATTTCATGTCAAATCTTACTATAATATATTGTTTCAATATGTAAAACCTCAGGGCACTAAATAAAGAAACATTAATTTCCACTTCATGAAGAGATACATTTACAAATAAATTTTATGTTCTGGTGATGAATGATTATTTATAATAATTCAAAATATGATGACTTGATCATTTGCATATCAATAATCATCTTAATAAAAGTTAAATCCAGAAAAAAAGTTTTGAGCCTTAAGAACTCGTCACAGGAAATTTTAAAAATTTCAATTTCAATGTAAATATACATGAATATATATATATTGTAGTCACAGCAAAGGGTGAAACAAAGGATGGTTAATATAAAGACTTTCGAATACAAAAATATGTTACTTAGAGATCAATTTGAGTGGGGCGAAAGAGGACAGAAATAGTATTTCAAGGAAAAAAATAAACTGAAGTGAAATTCCCAAATACTAAAGAAGAGCTTGCCATGAATATTTTGATAGATGTTGAATGTCAAATGGCTATTGTATTTACATTACAATTTAAATTGTACAAATTGAAAGGATATTCTAAAAAAATGCACACCTAAATGTGTTTAAGGCATTAAACTTGCCTTTCAAAACTTTCTTTTAGAGGCACAGTAGCAAAAAATATTGATTACTGATTTATGCTATTTTAAGTCTCTAGGTACTCATGAAAGTAATGACTAATAATGAGAAATCAATCTGTGCTATTGTATTAGCTAGGGCTGAGGAAACCTCATGTCTTAGTACATTAAAAAAGCCCAGAAAATCTTCACAAATTATTCTAATGATGGAACTTTAAATGATACGCCTATGGGAACAGATGTTCTTAATGGTAAAAGACTTTGTATTGTACTATTGGCCTTGTAGAATTTACTTGCATATAGCACAGTACAGAATATTGATTAAGACCCTGGCACACCAAATTACTATTATTTTCACCAAATTGCTTAAATTTCAAAATCCCAATCTCCATTGTTTAAAATGGGGCTCCGCTGTGAAATAGTCCTATCCCTTAGAATTCTTCTGAAGAATTAATTACATGTCAAGTGTTAAGTACAATGTCTGAAACATGAAAAACTATTAAATAATTGTTTAGTATTATAATTACCTACAAAAATGCTGATTTAATTCTTCTTTAAAAACTGAGTAATATTTATCCTTAATCAGTAATACATGTATTGTCTGCAATACATGACTACTATGACTGTTTAACTCATTCAGTGTCACTGAGGATCTTTCAAATTTTTAATCACAGAAAATCACTAATGTCAACATAATGCAAACTAACACATCTGTGAATCATGCATTAGGAAACAAAAATAATCTTTCGGCAAAAAGTAGGACTAACAACCAAAAATTTTAAATGGGTAGTTCTTCCTTTTTACTCCTATTGTTATATAAAAATAACCAAGAAAAAGCTTAAGGGTAAAAGCTACTTATTATTTAAATAACAATGTGGCCTTCATTTTATTGCCCTGCACTGCATTAGCTTCTTTCAGCCTAAAAACAATTTTAAATGACAAAAATAAAACACAAAACATTTTCTTTGACTATTTCATTATCAAGATGAAGGAATACACAGAAGAGAGGCTCAAGTCTGGGTATAACATTAATTTTAGAAGTCTGCGTTGTTCACTATTACACCATTTAGAACTTAATTAAATTTATAAGTACATAGACTTACAAACTTACATATATTCAGGTGTTTCACAGATGTGTAAATGTTTTGATTTGGAAGACTAACTCTATCTTATTGGCATAGGGTCTCTGATAATTTAACACCTATATAAAATGAGAGTTAAATAAAAATTTTCAAAAGGCTTGCCAAACATTCAATCAAATCATGCATCTCACTGTGTCCACAAAGAGCATTGCTCTCTATTCTTCTTGTCCTTTGACTATTGGTATAACCAATCAGGTTGGTTTTAAATTTATTTCCTGTTGGTTTTGTAGATCTGTGTACTGATGTTTAATGAAAGATGTAACACTTCTGCAGGGTTTTTTTGCATATTCTCAAGTGTCTCCTGTTGTCCCTCAGAGTACTCCTAATTCACTCACAGAGTTGGAGTCTAGCTAGCACCATTGCGGGGTTTTCAGCTTGTTAATCATACTAAATATTACACCACTTATTGGCTCTCATTTTAAGCTAGGATAAGATGTCAAATATAATCTCAAAAATAAATAGTCTAATTAGTCTGCATTCCAAATGCTGAAGAAATATGATAAGGCAATACCTGCAGAAAAGAAAAGCCAAGCAGCTTGCATTTGGTCTTTTTCTCATAAAATTGTGGTTGTTTTTCAGTTCTCATCTTACTCTACCAATCAGTGGCATTAAACACACTCGTTCATTCTTTCCTCATTTAAACACGTTCTTTACTTGGCCTCTGGAACACCCCGGCTTGATTTTTTTTTTTTTTTTTTAACTCACTGGCCTCCACTTCTGTTCTCCTTCCCTAGTTTATGTACTTATTGTCCAACTGCTAAACCCTGGTGTGCCCAGGAGTCAGTCTTAAGCCTCTGCTTGGTCTGCACACAACTCCAAATAATTTTTTCTTATCCCATAACTTTTAATACATCTACATGCTGGTAACTTTTACATGTAAATCCTTAATCTCAACCTCTTTGCTGAACTTTAGAGTTGTATACCCAACCATTTCAACACTTCTCAATGAATATCTACAAAAATCTTATTTTTTCCCACTAATTCCAAATGTTAAAATTGCTAATTCCAATATTGAACTTGTATTTCTCTCTCCCTCCAAAATAGCCTATCTGCAGGTGCGAGAATCTTAGAAAAAGAGTACTCTATTTATTCAGGGCAAAACCATAGAGTCATTCCTGACGTCTTTCTTTCTCTCACATTCTTTAGCCTGTCTTTCAGCAACATTCAGAATATATTCAGAATCTGGCAACTTCCTTCACCTCCACTGTTGTCTCCTGAGTTCAAGCCACCATTGTCTCCTTTCTGGACTATTGCATTTGCCTCCTAACACGTCTTCCTGCCTCTAACCTTGCCTCCTTTCACAGTCTGTTTTCTCACTTCATCAAGAATGTCACACCTGGTCAGGGGGCAGTGGCTCACCCTGTAATTTCAGCACTTTGGGAGGCCGAGACAGGCAGATCACTTGAGGTCAGGAGATCGAGACCAGCCTGGTCAACATGGTGAAACCCCATCTCTACTAAAAATACAAAAATTAGCCTGGCGTGGTGGCAGATGCCTATAATCCTAGCTACTTGGGAGGCTGAGACAGAAGAATCGCTTGAACCTGAGAAGTGGAGGTTGCAGTGAGCCAAGATCACGCCACTGCACTCCAGCCTGGATGACAGAGTGAGACTCCATCTCAAAAAAAAAAAAAAAAAAAAAAAAAAAGTCACACCTTTGCTCAAAACGGTTGAGAAGAGGAAAGTCTGAAGCCTTTATCATGGTCTATTAAAACCTACAGTTCTTACCTCTATGTCTGCTCCAAGGTCTGTGTCCTCTTCTCCATGTCCTTATTTTTCATAACTGCTAACTCAGTCCACTCCAGCCACACTGATCTTTTTGGTTTGCTTATAACACATCAGGTGTTCTTCTACCTCAGGACCTTTGCATGGCCTATTCCTGCTGCCTGAAGACTTTTCCTCCAGACAGCTGCATGATGACTTCTCTCCGTTTTTTTTGAGTTACTGCTTAAATGCCCCTCCCCTTTGTTTTAAGTACTTTTCTCACCACCTTCCTTAAAATAGCACACTCTCTTACTATCATCCTCTACCACTTACTCACCCTTATTCTTACTCTCCTTCTTAGTACTTATTCCCACATGACAGGTTATAGACCTGTCCATTTGTTTATTGCCTTTCTTCTCCTTTGAAACAGTAAACTCCTTGTCATTGGAAATCTTGTTGGATTTTCTGCTGTATCTCTCCAGCCTAGAGGAGTGATTGACACTGCTGAACTAACTTCCTATTGTATGATTCAATTCCAGGACATAGGTTCACTGAAAATGCCTTCCTTCATTCTCATTCCCTTCAATATGACACCTTCTGAAGGCAAAAGTGGACTAGTAGAGATTCTAATCCATGGTCCTGGATAACCAGCAGAGCTGACATTGGGGTAGGGATCCTCTCAGCCTTTTCCCACTTGTCTTAAAGCTCCTGTATCAGTTTGCAAACTTTTGGAGCCATATGTGCAATAGAAAATCCAATTTACCTTGGCTTAAACAATGAAAGGACAGAGTTAGCGCATGCTTTAGGATTGGTGGAGCCCTGGCCCCACCAAACCTTTATGAGTTTACAAGTTCTGTCCATCTGCTCTGCCCTACCCAGTGCTGGCTTCATCCTGAGGCTGTTTCTCATTGCGCTTAGGGAGTAGTTGTCTGAGCCATTAAAGTCACAAAGGATCTAGTCCATTTCTAACATGAAAGAGAGGCTCCCTCTATCCCTCTCAGCAGATCCATAAAGAACTTCTCTTGAACCTCCAGAACACTTTACATCTATTTGGCTAAAGTGAAGTCACATACTCATACTTGACTCAGTTGCCAGTAAAACAAGGAGGCTACCTTAGATGAATCATGCCCACCCATAAGCAGAGACTGATAAAGTCACCCTTCTTTTGAGGCACATAATTTACATGAAGGATGTTTGGAAACCTGACCAAACTGACTCAGGCTTCTCTGGAAGGCAAAAATAAAAAAAAAAAAAGAGTGCCTGCTAGTCAGGTTGCCAAGAACATTTACTATATTCTCAAACCAAAGGCTTGAAGGGACAGTGACTTGAAAGCCAAAAAAGCCAAGAGACTGCAATAACCATGACAGGGGAGGCAGGCAGTCTGGTTTTCCCAGGGAGCAAGGATATGTAGAGAAGGCTGCAGGCACATTTGTTGTTTCTTTGCCTGGGCCTTGGTCAGTTCACTGCTCCAAGTGAGTCTCGCCGAATGAATGAAGTGTGAATGAAGCCAAATCTTTAGCATTTATTTATTTTTTTACTCCGTTGGTGCTAAGTACAGTTCAAAAATTGTGTTTAGCTGCTTTCCATTTCTCGCTTGTCAGTGAAGTAAATAAAATATGGATTTGTGAATAAGAATGATTTGGCTCAAAATCCAACTTCACTTTCAACAGCATGCCCTTGGTGATGTTATTTTCTCCTTTGGAGATTCATATTTTTATTCACTAAATGGATAACTATAATGCTTCCCTTAATGGCATTTAATTCAGATTGAGTTAGATAGTGTGCATAAAACATTTGGCATAAAGTAGATATCTCTAAATACTCGCCTCAGACTTTCCTCCTTTTACAGTAAGGCACACAGCTGTGAGTTTCTAAAAGTCTACAGATTTTCATCAAATAATGGTAAGAGAAAAATAGGTAAGCTTTCTTTCTTCTAGATTATGGATCACAAGACTTGTTCAATTCATAAATTTTTATTGACAAAATAGTTAAATAAATGTTTTTAGTTGATTGGTTTATTTTCTTTCCTTAACCTTATTGGAAATAAGATAACTCAATCATTATTTGGCAATAATGCTGCATTTAATTCCAAATTTCAAATATATTAATATGTCCTTCTTGTGTATATATGAGATTTTTATATTTCTTGTGTTACATTTTTTAAACTCAAAATTAGTATGTATAATATGGTTTGTGTTTTTTTTTTCTTTCTGAGACAGAGTGTCACTCTGTCATCCAGGCCGGAGTGCAGTGGCACGATGAAGACTCACTGCAGCCTTGACCTCCCAGGCTCAAGCGATCCTCCCACCTCAGCCTCCTGAGTAGCTGGGACTACAAGTTCATGCCACCATGCCAGGCTAATTTTTATATTTTTTGAAGAGATGGGGTTTCTTCATGTTGCCCAGCTAGTCTTGAACTCCTGGGCTCAAGTGATCCCCCCAACTCAACCTCCCAAAGCATTGAGATTATAGGCGTGAGCCATTGTGCCTCTGTTAATTTACATGTGTTACTTCTTTCCTCACACTGGGTTTGAGAGTTTAAATAGTTTATAACTATATTGATTGAAAATAATTAAGTTGGGTCATATCTTGTGCAGTTTACAAGAATATCTCTGTGCCCATTACCTCTTCCCAGAGTCTTCCTGTTTACTCACTATGGGCCCAACCTCTCAGTGACCATTCTGACTCACAGATATAAACAGCTGTCATGTCAGTAGTGTTTCCACCACCACTTTGTGAAATTAGAGCATTGTCCAACAAATAAATGAAATGTAGAGAAATGGAGAAACCAAAACTTGACATGATTCATCCAGGTAAGGGCTAAATGTGTTTCTAAGTCATTCCTTTTTCTTCCTGGTACCAAAGCAAAGGCCAATAATGCCAGAAGCCTCACAATTCCCTTCAATACTACCTACTGGCTTTCATTGTCAGGGCATGAGAAGGGAACATTTTCCGTTTTTTTAGGCACCCAAAACTCTGGAACTAGCTCTGACCTTCTGCCAGTATAAATGAATTGCTTTAAGATAGTAGCTATTTCACAAAAATAATTAATTGGATTTCCCAGGCCAGATGACACTAGTGCCAGAGAATTCAAATAACTGAACCTAGCTCTAGGTCAACCACTGAAGTAGAGGAAAAGGGAAAAGAAAACAAACAAAAACATAGATCCAAAGACTAAACACAACACATTTTATTTGATAATTCTTCATATTTTCTAATCCTGTATAACGTCTAATGATTTCTTTATTCATGTCTCAGTCTGCCCCAGCAGCACCAACTGTGCTTTTCTTGGCATCCTTTACAAACCACTATAATCTCCGTGCAAGTTTGCTAGTGGAATCCTGTCTAGCACCCAGTTACACTTCAGTGGAGCCAAGGTTCTCAATTCCTCAATCACTTACACCAGCCAGGGGCTCCTCTGATGGGCACACGTGCTTTTCCCACCAGAGCCATGATTCTCTGCTGATTTGTGCTGATTCTACACACTTCTGGTTGTCAGCTCATATTTGGATCCAAGCAGTGAGATCTGTTCAGACTCCAGGGCCCATTAAACTTCATCATCTTGAAGTTCACTGGCATAGTTATTATTTTCAAGAACACTTAAAGTATGAAGCCCACATTCCACATTTGCTAAGTATAGCTTTCATCACTAAGAAAATTTTCATATTCAAAGTATGAGCTTAGATTTGATCTATGCTTTATGAAAGAAATCATTAGAGAGAAAGTCTCCATTACAGTTGAATACATTCTCTTTAATTTGTGTTTTTTCAAGAGATTAGTTATTTCCAAAAAGAAGAAACATTATATTGAGAAACCAGAAGATTCGCCTATAAGATAACTTTAAACATAAGCATCATTACATCTTATTCTGGCCTCACATCAACTCCAGCTGATGCTCTGGAGAACAGGAAGGCCTTCATAACAATGCCTTTTGTAAGGGTTGTTGTTATTATTTTTGTTGTTTTAAACATATTTAGAGGAATCAGTTGAAGAAAACAGCCAGCAATGAAAAATTAAGTGAGTGTTTATATTTGAGGCATTACCTCTGTGGGGATTGCTTTCATTACAAATATGAATCTTCATATTTACACCTTCAAAGTGGGCATATTAACTGAAAGAAAAATCAGTTTCTATTTACCTTTTCTATACAATTCTCTGAGTAGTCCTAAAGTGACTGAGCAAGTAGGATGGCAAACTCCAAGGTGGTTTTTTAAAATGTGATTATTTCCATTTTTGTGGTTTTTTCTTTTAACATATCAATACCTGACATCTCTCCACTGTCGGATCTATATCCACTGAGGTCCAAAAAATGTCACAAGTAGAGTGTGAAAGGAAAAGTTGGCATAATCTTTCTGGAGCTAATCAAAAAGTACATAATATTCGTATTCTAAAGAAACTTTAATCAGTAGATGAAATTGAAAAATCTTGCACTGGCAGTGAGGGTCAGTGATCTCCCTTCCACTTCCTCCGTGTCTTTGAAAGAGAACATGGTTGTCAAGTGCCCTAGAATTAATGACACCTTTTGATGGAAGCATGAGAAGGTCTACACTTCAGAGCCCCCAGCCACAGAACAGGAAATAGAGCTGTTTCCAAGAGAAATGAAGTTGCCTTCTCTGGGGGAAACACCGAGGAGCATTTGAGCAGGCAATTGATCAGCAGGAAGACTGCAAGGTGATAAAAGAACTGGAAGTCACAAAAGCCTTTGGCATAATAGTTTTAATAAAAAGGATTCTGTTCCAGATTTGCTTTATGCAATAAATTCCTTGACATATATTTCTAAATTTTATCTTTAACAATGCAGGTGTTTTCACTGAAAGCCAGCCCCTTTCATTACCAAAGTTAAAAAGATCCCTTTGGACTGTTTATCTGATTGACCAATCAGGATGTGCATTTATTTGGTTACTGATTTACTTTGCTCTTCTCCGTTGTCCTAGGAAGGAGAACTACAGTTTTGGATTAGTGACTTTTCACTGATTATATCTAGAAATAATTTTGAAACCATTAAAAAAATAAGCACCCTTGTTTCCCTTTTTTCAATTAAGTTACTACTTGGCAAAAATCCCAATAATTCTGAATAAAATATTAAATGGCCCAAATTGATTAGCATATAAAATATATTCTAAAACATTAAAGGAAGTTAATATTTAACATGAAGACTCTTAGAATATGCTGACTTGTATAATTTATAATGTGATAATTAGATTAGGATCTCACAAACAAGAACTAGATCATTATAAAGGTAGTATAACAATCACAAATGCATTCCATATCCATATCTCCTCTTTGTGAATATATCATTAGATGGCACAGAACCAAACTAGCTATTAAAATGGTTTTCAGTTCAAACTAGTATATCTGAGTTGCTAATTGGGATTTTCAGATTTGAAAATAAATACATGAATAAACAGTGGTAGCCCTGGCACCAAATGATACATCTTAGTGAAGAAATTCTCTTTGTGCAGAAATAGATTTGTAGCATGCTGAGGTGATCATGGTGAAGTTTTCTCTAGTTTTCTCCTGAATACTTTCAGAACAAACATTCAGCTGGGATTGCCTGGGTAGTTTAAGATATCAGTACCACTGCAAAATATCCACTTTTTTTAAACTTTCATTTTAAGCTCAGGGGTATATGTGCAAGTGTGTTACATAGGTAAACTTGTGTAATGGGGTCTGTTGTACAGATTATTTTCTCACTCAGGTATTAAGCCTAATATCCATTAGTTATTTTTCCTGATCCTCTCCCTCTGATAGGCCTAGTGTGTGTTGTCCCCCTCTTTGTGTCCATGTGTTGTCATTATTTTGCTCCTACTTATAAGTGAGAATAGGTGGCATTTGGTTTTCTGAGGATAATGCATTAGTTTGCTAAGGATAATGGCCTTCAGCTCCATCCATGTCCCTGTGAAGGACATAATCTTGTTCTTTTTTATGGCTGCATAGTATTCTATGTACCATATATGTACCACATTTTATTTATCCAGTCTATCATTAATGGGCATTTCGGTTGATTCCATGTCTTTGCTATTGTGAATAGTGCTGCAATTAACATACACTTGTAATTAAGACATCCACGTTTCAAAACTGGTGTGAATAATAAACTCCAAATCATATGCCCTAGATATTTCTTTCTTTTGGGATCTATTAAAAGGTGATTTGTTTAAAAGACCCTAGAAAAAGTCAGAAACTCATCAGAATCTGTTGTCCGTAAGATACACTGGAATTTTCTAAATATCTTTTCTAGTGGTTTGGGGGTTGGGGAGAGAAAAACTTGGAGGGTAGGCAGCAGTCTCTTGACTTTGTGTCTTAAGAGAAGACAGAACAGCTTTTGTACATCACTTCTATTCACAATCCTTTGGAAATGCTGCCTAGAACACAGGGAAAGATTAGAGAGAATCTCTCATGGAATCCCTGGCTGTCTATCAATATTTGTAATATCAGATTCATCTGAAGGTTACACCAATCCACCAAATATCCTACCAGGTACAGAAGAATGCATTAGGATTGGAGATGTTAAGGGATGCTTTCTTACAAACATAGAACATCAAAGCCATAATGTGTCCTTGGCCTGAGTCAAACCATTACTTCATGAGTCCTTTGTATATATGCTTTTAAAGAACCCAACTAAATAATAATAGTTGAAAGTAGTTAAAAATTTAAATATAGACTAATGTAATCTCATGTTAAATGTTTCATGTCCAACTCTTATTTATGTATTTATCTGTTGTAATCAAAGAAGACAACTGTGTCAGCTACAGCCGAAGAGATACATGTTGACTCTTCTTTATAGCCGTACTTTCTAATATTAGGTGCAAAGAACATAGGTATCAGAACCGGTCACAGCTGAATCAAGTACCAGCTCTGCCCCAGTGAGCTGTGCAAGTTTGAGTAAGCTTCTTAACTTCTTTGAGACTCATTTTCCATGAAATATAAAATATAAGTTTTCCTTGAGATTGTTTACTTTGTCTCACTTTTCATATAACCACTTATATGGCAGTGTCTTAGTCCGTTTTCATGCTTCTGATAAAGACATACCTGAGACTGGGAAGAAAAAGAGGTTTAATTGGACTTACAGTTCCACATCGCTGGGGTGGCCTCAGAATCATGGCGGGAGGTGAAAGGCACTTCTTACATGGCAGCGGCAAGAGAAAAAATGAGGAAGATTCAAAAGTGGAAACCCCTGATAAAACCATCAGATCTTATGAGACTTATTCACTACCATGAGAACAGTATGGGGAAAACTGCCCCCATGATTCAAATTATCTCCCACTGGGTCCCTCCCACAGCATGAGGGAATTATGGGAGTACAATTCAAGGTGAGATTTGGGTGGGGACACAGAGCCAAACCATAGCAAGCAGTAAATTCCCAATTAGGGAAATGCTATATTACTGAACAAATATATAATTTAGTGTCATAGCCAGTGTGACAATGTTTTAAAATTATGATTTCACTATAACTAGGGATTTATATAATTGATCACCCAAATTTTAACACTTTTGCAAATGAATGTGGGCATGAACGGTCATCTTAACTATATCCACATGAAGTGAGGGGTTGGCAGTGCAATTTAGGAGAGTCTGGGGGTAAAAACATCAGAATAAAAATAATGACTAATTATGTGCTTATAATCCCCTTAGGACATAATTATAATATAAAATAGTTTTTAAACTTAGAGTAGGCTTTTTAAGAGTTTGAGTACTCTATCAAAGGTTAAAAATGGTTTTTCTTAACTACTTTCATTGTCTACTCAACGTTAAGCATGGTTCCATAAATTAGGGACATGCTGGTTAAACAACTTGAAGTGGGTTTCCATTCTGCAGAGCTCTTTAGTTTCTTTATTACATTTATGACTGCCATTGACGTCCAAGGAAAGCTGCCTTAAGTATGGTTCCTCACAAGCAGATCCTGAGATGAACATTTATGTGCAAGGCATTTGCCAAGAAAGAGCTCCCAGCCCTTCCTTGCTTCTTTCCTCCTTTTCCTTCTTTCTCTTTTATTCCTTCCATTCCTTTTAAATGCTCAAAGATGGAAGGGAATCAACAATGTAAGTAACGGAAGGCACAATGTAGTATGAAAGTTCAGGGGAAGGAATTAGTTCTGCATGGTGGTGCGTGCCTGTAATCCCAGCTACTCGGGAGGCTAAGGCACTAGAATCACTTGAACTTGGGAGGCAGAGATTGTAGTGAGCCCAGATTGTGCCACTGAACTCCATCCTGGGCAATAGAGCAAGACTGTCTCAAAAATAAAAAGAGAGTTCAGGGGAAACTGTTTGATGCAGCTGTGGATGTGACAGGGAAGCATGAAGCAGAGGACCTATGCCAGGAGGAAAATGCAGGGCTAAACAGCTGGAGATGGAAGAAAAATCACACCATAATGTTCTTCTATGTACAAGGTCCCAATCAAGAGCCAGTGGTTTTTTTTATATTGAATTCGGAGTGGAAGCCAAACTTCTCTCCACAAAATAAAAGGTTATGCAAGATCAGGCCCCACCTGCCTCTCTGACCTCTTTTCATGTCATTCTTCCCTGCCTCTTCACTATGCCACAGCGACGCTAGCTTTCTGTCAGTTTCCTTAACCTGCCACACTCAGTCCCACCTTAGAAATTTTGCACTGGTTGTGCTCTCTGGAAGAGGCAAAAGGGAATTTTTTAGGGGAATGAAAATATTCTGTATCTTGACTGAATTGGTTGTTACACAGATAGATATAAATGTGTTTGTGAAAATTCATCAAACTGTATACTTAAGTCCATTTTATTATATATTGTATTGTTGACGTACATTGTAATACACCTCAACAAAGTTCGTTAAACAACAAAAAAAGATTCACTAGTTCAATTGTAGAACTCAACAATAAAGTAGAATTGATTTTACAATATTTCTTTTAAAAAAGAATTTTCCAGGAATGTGTTATCAATTCTTTAAAGTGACTGGTAAAATTCCACTTATGTGGAATTTAGAAGCTGATTTTCCCAGACATTAAACATAAATGAATGGACATAGATTCAGCCTAAAGGAAGTGGAATTTGGCAAGGGGCAGACTGCATGAACTGAAAATGGGTGGTGGACTAAGAATTCAATAGGGAGATATCACAGACTTCATCTATGATTTCCATCCAGGAACAGATCCAGACAGCTGTAGACTGTGTAGGGGGCCTTTAAAATACAGTTGCAAAACTCTATTTTATTTTAACTTGGTTTGTGTTAAATTCTTAAATCAGATCCCAGTTCATCACAGCAAAAACAAAGCAAACAAAAATTCTTTGGCTCCTTCTCTTTTAATATGGGGAGGTGTACTTAAGACAGTTTCAAGGATACTATTGAAGTAAGCCTCTTACAACCCACTTTGTATACAAGTAAAAGAGATCCTAAAAAACAAGCCAAGAGGGGACAAAGAAAGCATATACTACTGAGAAAAACAGTATATTGTAAGAAAAATAAAATTACTTGTGATTAGGAGCAGTATTTTTTTTCTTATTCTTTTTTTTGCTATAGCCTTGATTAAAAGGAAAGGGAAGGATTTATGCAGTTGGTTTACTACCCCCCAGATTTTTAGAATTATGTAAGGATAATAGTACTTCCCCACCCATCCCCTGAGGAGCTTTTAAGACTAGCATCTGTGAGGTGCATTTCCTAGATAAATGCAAACTGCCCTTTGACTCTCTTCAAGATAAGAAAACATTGACCCTTTCAACCAAGTTATTTATGACATTCACATAATGTGAAACAGTGCTTAGACCTGATGGGAACGCCCAGAAGTATATACACTGAAGGCAGTTAAGATTCCCCTCTGCTACTATCCAGGAGAGGCCACCACACAAGTCGAACAATGCCCAAGGCTCATTAAAGAGTTTGATGAATTTAATACAATTCAAATTAAAGAAGATCTCAGGGGAACATGGTTAGAAAAGAAAACCAGATGGGGCTCCAGGGTAGAGCATCCTGGGAGCAAGTGTGGGATGCCGTAAAATCCTAGAGATTCTGGAAACATGAGAAAATGCGATTTATCTTCTTGGCGAATTAACATACAAAATGCGTTGGTGGCATGGTATTGAGTTTCACATTTTAGAATGTAATTTCCAAGATTGTGAGGGAAAAAAGACCACTAGATATTGGAAGGAGTCACCTCCCCTTTCCATGAGACTTGCCAAAGTAAAGGGGAACAAAGTAAGAAAAATGCATGCAATATACCCATGCTAGTTATCAAGTGTGAAATGGCAGAATGTGAGTCACCAAGAAAATAGAGATCATAGATTAGAATGTCAGCTGGCCCAGGAGCTGTCCTTTCTTTTTCTTAGTATAGGAATAACAATGAGAAATGCTGCTGTTGGTCACTGGACTGAAGGGTGGTGTGGGTGCGGATTCTTTCAAAAGAAAGAGTATAGAAAAAGGGAAGAAACACTGTTTGCTATTTTACAAAATATACGTAAAGTTTCAAAATAAACCTTAAAATAGAAAGTAAGAAAACTGTATTGATTAAACTGGTCACAATGTGTTATCTCCATTTAATCTGGAGTTGCCAATTTGATTTAGTCATCATGGCATTACTGTTTGTGAAATAAACCCTGACTAGGCTCAGGCACAGGTGAGGCCTGGTATCTCTCTTTGGTCCGACAAGGGCTCCAAACTATGAGGAAATGATGGAAGGCTTTTGGTTTACTTTTGTTTTGTTTTGCAATATCTCTTGAAAACATTCTTACAATGGAACGTTGGTCATTTGCATTACTAATATCTTGTTGAAAATGTTGGCAGAGCTCAAACCCAGGATAAGTATTCCCAAATAAACAGAGCAAGGATTCTGGATTTTCAATGAGCAGCTTTCTTTGCCAGAAGGTAAAAAATTGTAAAAATCAAAGTCATCTGAAATTCTATTATTCAAATAGAATTATGGAAAAAAAAACTATCACAATATAAGTTCATACTTTATATCTAATTATGTACATGCTTTTCTTTTATTACATATAACGAATAGCTTTTCATTTCAAAATACTAAAGTAATTTTTAATAGCTGCTTAGCATATTATCTGTGTACACTGTGACTGTCACTAAATATACCATCTTAGAGCATTTAGGTTATTTTTAAATATTTTCTGTGCTTAAAAACAATGCTAGAATTAATATATGGAATTACTGGAACAAGTGCAATGTACTTTAATTATATTTCTGGTTCTTAATAAATAACAACATTGCAAAATTAAGGGTAGACTCAACAGTTTTAATTTTATAGTATATAAACTATAATGTATCAGAATTCCATTTTGCCCATAATTCTTTATCTTCACTTATTGACATAAACTGGTAAAAGGAAACAGGAATCATTTAGAGAGGAATTAGAGCACAGGAAGCCTGGAGTCTCCTACAATGACCTTATCAGAAACCCAAGGAAAAATATGTGTCACATATAAAAAATAACTTGACTGTAGCTCACGTTGGCAAGCTAAAATGGGAAATGAGGAATGATCAGAGATGGTTGAGAGAAGGGATAAGATCATCTTTAAAGGAAATCAAGAGATGCACAAACTATGGCAGGTTAAAACAGTAAAACAAAGTTGTACTGGGTAAATAAAGAGTTATGCTCTATATTTAATTGACAGACTAGTATAAATAAGTCATCAGGGATTCTGGTGAAACTTTTGGCTAGAATGTGCAAGCTGTCATGCTAAGCTGACTTGTGGTAGCAAAGACTAATGGTTTTCAGTGCACAGTGTCCATTGGGAGGAAACTGGAAGCAAACCTGGGAACTTCAGAGTGGTGATTCGTATCCCCATACTTGTCAGGAGGGCAGCAGCTGGAAAGAATGATGGCATCATGAATTCCTAGAACAGTATAACTTCTGGGGAGATATGTAACATAGCTTCTATAAGGGGAAAATAATGTCTCATTAATTAACTCAATCACAATTGGAAATCCCTATTAAATCTTCTAAAAATACATCTTGTCCCTTCCTTTCCTTACTGCTGCTGCTCTTTAATGGTGCAGAGCATTGGACTAGATTTTTCAGATAACTTACAAACATTCCTGCCTGCCTCCAGCCTTGCCTTCCATAGTATATTCTTTATTCCACCATCAGAGTAAACTCTCTAGCACATCTCTTATTTGTACCCACCCCTGCCTGCAAATATTTAATTGGCCAGACTGTAGGAACTCTCCACCATAGCTCAGAAGGCCTTCTGCAGTAGGGCCTCTTCCCATCTCATCTTCCTCCATAGCTCCTCTCCTGAAACACCTGCTAGCCTGCATGCCCTCCACCACATCATGATGCTGGTGCCTGCCTTCATACCTCAGTATATGCTCTTCCTTTTTCTCAGAATGCACCTCCTGTCCCTCGGGCACCAAGTGAGTTGTCTTTGAAGACTCGACTTAAATGTTCACCTCAGTTAAATCTCCGTAGACCTCCATGAAGGTAGAGTTAGAGGTTTGCCTCTCTACCCTCATTACAGCTCTTAGCAGACTGCAGACAGCAAAGCTTTTTGAAAGCAAAATGGGCTTTTCTTATATGTATCTTTAGAGTCCCTTACAGTACCTGGCACATAGAAGGTTCTCAGTACAGATTTATTGAATAAACGAGTCTAGATTTCTCAGAGGTGATATGGACAAAAAAGAAGGTAATTTTATTTCCACTTTCAAAGAGATTGAAAGTGTGTATCCTATAGGTGGTCAAACAACAATTTTAAAAAACCAATTTCCTTGTTATTATGGAAAGTGTTTTGTCTTTAAGTGCGGAAATGGCTTAATGACAGGAAGCAATGTGTAGGAATAAATGATCATTTCTCTACTTAGAGAAGTGTTAGTGTCAAGGTTCCCTAGGGACTGAGGCTGGAACACAGTCTCAACCAATATGTTAAATATATTGCTTAGAATAAAGACAAAAAAAAATTTTAAGTTTTTTCTCTCTTATTATAAGGTCTTCTGTGTAGTGAAATACCGAGTTGGTAGACATAGCAGGCAAGAATCCAATGAAAGCAATGAAAATAAAGAATAATGACATTTGACTTTGATGTAGGAAAATAAAGGTAACAGAGTTAAAGAAGACCCATTAATTCAACTCATTTTGAGTACTTATTATACATAATACAGAGTCCTATTTTAATAGCTGCAGGGTTACACAAGTGAACAAGTCTGAGCCATTGTATCTTGAAACATGAATGCAAATTTTACCCAAAATGCATTAAGCCTCAAAGTTATAAAGTTATATAGATGTTTCAAAATATTGAGAAAAATTTTAGTGGAAGAATCGGAGCTTCATAAAAACCATGTTATTTGAGCAGCTATTGATGTGTGAATATGATTTTTGAAGGTAAAAGTAGAGGAAGTGACTTAAAATAAAAATAAATAATAAGAAAAGATTGAATATGATTTCCTAAGTAAAATTCAGTGTGACTGAAAGGAGATCGTTAACAACAAAAAAATAAGATAGAAAGTTGATGTGAAGGGAGAAAAAAGGATAAGTTAGGATGGGGCAAATAAATATATAAGTTACTACACTCTTAATTATAAATCATGACCTAGGAAAAAAATCACGGAGTCTAGAAGACACCTTAGAATATTGTTGCAATGGTAACGGCAGCAACAACAAAACTATGCAATTTTGCATTCTAAATGTTATTGAAAATAAAGAGTGTTATTGGCAATAAAGCATTTTATTAGAAATAAAGCATTCAGAGAGACCCAGCTGTTGTGTAAAGCCACAGTGCTCCTCCACTTGAATAAGACTTAACATTTAAAGCTTTTTATTGTTTGCAAATTCTTTCATGTAGGTGACTTCACATCAGGTAAAAAAGAACAGGGCTGTTATATTCATTTTAAAAGTAGAATTGCATAGATCTAAGTGGTTTAAATAGCTTATTTCAAACTTGCATAGCTAGTAAGAGATAGATCAATCCAGGGATAGAATCTAGGTTTTCTGTAGGCAAATTCAGTGTTTTTTAATCTATGCTACTTAGCACTCAAGGAAGACACGGATATAAAGAACTAGAAAAATCCTAAAGAGCATGCTAAAATAATCAAGAGAGCAAAGGGGATTCTATAGAAAGAAAAACTTAAAAAAATATATATGTATTAGAAATCTAGTTTGAAAAGCAGTTGATTTTGTTAATAATTGTATAAATGTCACAAATAAAGTTAAGATGGCTTAGAACAGCAGTCCCCAGCCTTTTTGGCACCAAGGACTAATTTCGAGGAAGACATTTTGTTCACAGATGGTGACGGGGATCAATGTTTTCAGCATGAAACAGTTCCACCTCAGACTCAGATCATCAGGCATTAGTCAGATTCTCTTAAGGAGCACGCAACCTAGATCCCTCACATGTGCAGTTCACAATTGCTTGTGCTCCTATGAGAATCTAATGCCGCCACTGAGCGGACAGGAGGCTCACGTATTTACTCAGATAATTAGAATTGGAAGCTAGACCAGAAATTATAAATATATGGTCTGTCAGTCACACCAGTCTTTTAGATATACTTTGCATGACCTTTGCAGTATATTTTAACACAATATTTTAAGTGGCTGATATAATTTTGAAATTGAGAGGTTTTATAAAAAGATCCATATATGCAGCTTCTTTTTAAAATCAGAAGCTCTGAACAACATGTGCTTTGACCCAATAGAACACTCAGCCAAAATTGAATAGGAGCTTCACTCTTTCAAAGAGGAATTTTTTTTTTCTACTTCAGCACATTGTCACCAGGGTACACTACACAGGGTACACTTCTCCCACTGAATTACACCTAGACCGCCTCATGTCTTTATATGAACATGGTAAGTAGGCATTTCAGTGTTGGTCACTGCTCCAGAATCTAAGCACAGAAATGTTTGAGGTGCTATTTAATGATGATGATAGGCAAGTTAGTTGTATCTTCCTCCAAACTAACTGTTTGGGTATGCTAACAGAGAATGAACATCGAACGGGACTTTAGACACATTCTATCCATAAAAATGGGCTTCCATGTTAATGGTAGGTCTCCAGGGGAAAAAATCTAAAGAGTATTGTTTTGAAAGGACATGGCCCTGGTTCTTTCTGAAGTCAAAATTTATTTTTTCTCAGATTTTATAAAATTCAATTTCAATCATTTATTCAACAAATATTTGAATGCTCATTGTGTGCCAGTCATTCGTTTTAGTTGCTGAGGCCAAAGCAATTGGTCTATATATAAATCTTAAAATTGTATAAAATCTCTGCCCTCATGGATCTTATATTTAGTGAGAGTAGACGGAAAATAAACAATATAAATAAGTCAATATGCAATATGTTAAGTAAAAGGAGTTGAGAATCTATAGGGGATTATAATTTTATTAAAAGAGGTCATGTAAGAACTCACTAAGAAAGTTACATTTGAATAACAATTTTAAGGAAAAACAAGAAAAACTGAGACGTATCTGAGGGAAGAGGATTCTAAGTAAAGACTCTCAAAATCATTCCTATATGTTGCCCTTTGTGCTTGTTAGTTCAAGTTGTTTCCTGCTACTGGTAAATAAGAAACTTAATAATTTTGACCCCCCGAGTGTGAACCGTCTGATGATTCCTATGCATTAGATAATTTTTTAAAGGACATAATTTTAATTTATTAGTGGAAGGGCAAATGGAGTACTGAAGGATCTAGTAAGCTCAGTATCTAAAATTCTTTCAATTGCTCTTATCAACTGTATACTAGATGTAAGGTTTTCTTTTCATCTCCTCTCTCTTTTTTTAAAAAGAAATATCAAGGAGCTATGCATTCAAAAGCAAACCATTATTGCCAGAAAAATGTAGAATTAATTTGGTCTTTTTTGTAAAGTGACACAGGGGAAAATATAATATTTATTTCCCATGCTCGGGATTCTTCTAAGGCTCTCAAATTAATTGTCATATTTTAAAGGGGAAGAAAAGAAACTATTATTCATTTTGCATTGAGCATGGGCTAGATATTTTAACATTCATTTTGCCTCAGTGAGTACATTGAGACTCAGGGTAAATAATCTATACAAATTTATAGAGTTAATACAACAAGCCAGCCAGGATTCCACCTCACCTGATTTTAAAGTATGTTTCTATATTGCGATAAAACTGAAGGTTGTTCTTGACCCCAGTGTGACCATAACCAGGTAAACACAATGGCACTCACTTAAGATGGCTCTTGAATATAACACTAAGGAAGAAACTCGTATCATTTTTTGGAAGCATTGCGTGATGCTGATGAAAATATATGAATGGGGAGATTCATAAATAAATTGCTAGTAAAACAAGTGTCTGTTACTGGCCTATGGCCTTCTGCAATTCTATCTATGTACCGTTGGACAACACTCCCTCTTCCAAAAGCCTTCTGGAAAAGTCACCAAAACAGCAGTTCCTATATGTAGAAACCTAGAGCAATTTTTTTAAAAAGAAAAAAAAAAGGAAAGAAAAAGCTGAGCTCCCAATGGGCTCCATTGTGCTCAGGACACAGCAACAAAACACTGCTCTCTGCAAAAGAAATGTCAAGCCCATGGTGCTTGGAGAACCATCCAGCACTCTCACATAACTGTTCTGATGAGGTGTCGCCTATTTCCATCCAAAAGCTGTTGTAATATGATAACACCTTTGGGATAAGGCACTTTTCTGTCTATGAAATTATTGAATGCAGGCCTTATTCACCTCTCTACATTAGACTTGGATGCTCAAAATCTGACTTCAGGCCCTGCAGAAATGAGAGGAGGCATCCAACATACAAAAATCTTCCATCTGGAAAACTCTTTAATAGGAAATAGATGAACTAGATGATCCAGTGAGGTCTTCCACATCTTTAATTTCCATGATTCTGCCTAGGAAGTATTTTGGAACTTTCCTAAACCAAGGCAAATTCCATTGATTTCTAAGCGGGGTGGGGGACTGGCATTGAAAAAAGGAAAGGAACTGTTCCTGATTTCTAAAGAAATATGGAAAGCCTAGGGAGGGAGAAAGTGGGGGAAACTGATCTCATACCACCTTATCTTGGTGAAATACCAAGAAGAGAGAAGGAGAGAACAAGCTGCCAATTTGCTGACTCTTCTGGCAGTGGAGTGGTCACTGAAACTATCCTCCCAGTAATTAACTGTTAAGAAACAGACTCACTTTCCTCTTTAGGGCCTAAGGCCTGTTTTTACATAAAATAGGCAATTAAGTAATCCTTTTTGGTTTTCAGTCACTTCTTTAACTTCAGTTTTTAATCTGGTTGTGGTTAAATGTCCGTAAGAGATAACAACCGGCTGTAGAAGATCTCAGTGTGAGATAACCAGAAAGGGATTTGCAGTGTTTGGTGAAATATGCGTGTTACTGGACTAAAGGAGATATGGGATACGATCTGTACACATTTCTGAAATGTTGCTTGGAATACTAAATAAAAAATTTTCACTTTCAAATTTTTTGGACATAAGAAAATAAAATATAATACTCTACTACTTTATCTTAATAGTCATCAATGTTACGGAATCTTACTGAAACTATTGTGACAGAGCCAGTATTTCAAACCGGATCTGTCTTTCCCAGGGTCAAGGTTCTTAATCAACACACTGTTAGAATTAGAAATCAAAGTCTCTCTATTTGTTAGTGAACTAGTTGTATCATGAGTAAGGCAATTTCCTATTTGAAGTTAACCATATTTTCTTTTTCTTTCTTTCTTTTTTTTTTTGAGACATGATCTCCCTCTGTCACCCAGGCTGGAGTGGCAGGATCTCAGCTCACTGCAACCTCCACTTCCCAGGTTCAAGAGATTCTCCTATCTCACCTCCCGAGTAGCTGGGAGTACAGACACCCACACCATATCCAGCTAATTTTTGTATTTTTTGGGTAGAGACAGAGTTTCACCATGTTTGCCAGGCTGGTCTCAAACTACTGACCTCAAGGAATCTGCCCGCCTCAGCCTCCCAAAGTGCTGGGATTGCAGGCATAAGCCACCGCACCCGGCCAATTTTCTA
Source organism: Homo sapiens (assembly GCF_000001405.40). Taxonomy (NCBI): domain Eukaryota; kingdom Metazoa; phylum Chordata; class Mammalia; order Primates; family Hominidae; genus Homo; species Homo sapiens. Next base: position 15,847,742 of record NC_000007.14, on the reverse strand, counting down.
TTAGTTTTTAACTTTAGCGTTAGGATTTTGGATCCTTCCTGTGAGATTTGTCAAAAGTCTCTGCGGGTTCACTATTTTTCAGTGGTCTCTTATGACCTGTATATACAAGGATATCCTAGGTGCTTATTTCTGATTCTAAATATTCACTCATAGGATATGTTTCTATTTAAAAATACTTCAATAATAAATATATACTTTCTACAAAAACATGTTGTAAAGTATTTACTGAAATATAATTGTTACCTAAAGGGAACACTGGCATTTATCTAACCTGATATTCTTAAATAACTGCAAGGTTATTTTGTTTTTTAACACCTTGAGAATATCTACCTGATGGAAAAGTCCTCTAATCTCCTGACCCTTATTCCTGTACCTAAAGAATAAATTTTTGGCCGGGTACGGTGGTTCACGCCTGTAATCCCAGCACTTTGGGAGGCCAAGGCGTGTGGATCACGAGGTCAGGAGTTCAAGACCAGCCTGGCCAAGATGGTGAAACCCCATCTCTGCTAAAAATACAAAATATTAGCCGGGCGTGGTGGCACGCGCCTGTAATCCCAGCTACTCCGGAGGCTGAGGCAGAGAATTGCTTAAACCTGGAAGGGCGGAGCTTGTAGTGAGCCGAGATCACGCCACTGCACTCCAGCCTGGGCGACAGAGCGAGATTCTGTTGCAAAAATAAATAAATAAATAAATAAATAAATAAATAAATAAATAAATAAATAAAATTTTTAAAGTAATGTTTTTAGAGAGTAGGAAGTATAAGGAAAACTGCAATTCAAGAATCAGTGAAGGATGCGAATCAATGTCCTAGCATAAGCTCCATTCTCACTTACATGCCGCCTTTCACGAGTGTGTTACTAACGTCAGTGGCACCTGTGACTGATTTTGAAAATCAGTCAGCCTCCGGAGTAGCTGGGACTACAGGCGCCTGCCACCACGCCCGGCTAATTTTTTTTTTTTTTTTTTTTTTTTTTGTATTTTTAGTAGAGATGGGGTTTCACCGTGTTAGCCAGACTGGTCTCGATCTCCTGACCTCGTGATCCGCCTGCCTCAGCCTCCCTAAGTGCTAGGATTACAGGTGTGAGCCACCGTGCCCGGCCTGATTTTGAAAATATCAATGTAGGACCCTTTGATTTTTTTTCACTCCATGTAGCAGGAGACATTATCTTGGTGCCATGCCCATAGGCCATGAAGAATCCTCAATGGCCTTTGCTTGTTAAGGACCAGCTCATTCTGATTGTTGCCTATGGAAACACAGAGCAGCTCTTTCCTGCTGGGATTCCACCTAATATGTCCAACTCTGGGTCCCCAACTTTTAGCACACTGCCTTGCCTAAGGGAAGGCTCAGTACCTGTTTGTTAAATGTTGACTGACTAAATTGATTGAATAAATGAATGTTTATTCATTCATTGTTCATACAGAAACAGTATTATACTTTGTTTTTTTCCCCCTGTTGTAGGGCCACCAGCTGTTTGGAGAACAGTGAAGGTGGAATCGTATTATTATAAACAAACATGGTCTCCCACTAATTATACATGTGACCTTGTTCAGGGGACTTCCCTCTCTAGACCCTGGTTTCCTCATCTATAAAGTGGGTGAATTAAACCAGATAATCTTTGAAGTCCCTTCCTGTTATTCCTTACAGTGATTCCTGTGTGATGACATAGCACATGCTTTAGCGTTATTTACAGTTTCGGGGCCAGGGGACTTTCATGACACTCACTGCTGTTTCTAAAGGACATGATTGAGTTTAACAGGCAAGTGAGGAAGAATGCAAAAGTAAGGGATTTATTCCATTCCACAGCCTGGTAGTTTTTGTTTGTTTGTTTGTTTGTTTGTTTATGTTTCCAGAAGCAAAGAGGATAAGAAATGGAGTTAGAGCACAGAAATTCTTTTTAATGCAGGGAAATATTTTATTTAGATCAATTAACTGGATAATGGTTTTACTCAAAGGACAGTGCTTTTCATATTCATAAAATATTAATGACTCCAGATCCATTTAATTTCCACACATCTGTTAAGCACAGAAAAAAAGGAAACCTAATGATCTAAGAGAAAAACACACTTAAGGATAACATTTGGTGTGCAGATCTGTCATTCTGTTGCCAAAATGAAGTTACTGAAGCTTTTGTAGTAATTGCTGTGACCGGGCAGAGCAAATGCACTTATGTACATTCATGCTGGTATGTATACACATGTATTTACGCCTCTGGAGCCCATATTAGAACCTGCTATTTATTTCCTGAATGAAGCTTAAATTAGATAGTTGTATTCATTGATGCTATTGAGAAATGGATGTGCAATGTGTTCTTATTTAAAAGAGAGACAATGAGTAGACAGCAATACAGGAGCATCAAATTACTATGTCCCAATTTATTTTTGAGTGCAATTCCTGCTGAAAGGTCTTTTAGGAAAACAATGACATTCAGGGAAGTCATCCTCGGTCTCTGTTGGTGAATGTGTTTATCCAGAGCATGCTTGGTAAGCCTTACACAGACTCTTAGAGCCCCCATCCCAGCCTTATTTCCCCCACTTCTACTTGGTCATATTGCCTCAGCCTTATCTGAAATGGAGTAAATATAGAATGCGTATGAGGATCAAATGAGATAACCATGTAAGTACATAAAGAAACAGTGGGAAAGAGCACAGAGTGGTCACTGTTAAATTCACATCTTCAGAAGTTACTGCATTCAATATTACTATTTTCATTTGTCACAAATTTTGTAGTCCCCTTGGCTTTCACTAGGCAAATGTGAAAATTACCTTCTCATAGTACTCACATTGTCTCTCTTCCATGTTACTCCATAATTGTAATCATAAACTTACCACCACCATCAACCAAGACACCTGCCGCCTTCCAGGTAACAAAGTTATAATCCAATACTCCTGCATGGGGGAAGAAACTATTTGTTCACATGTTATAATGTATGAAATACAAATTGCATGTGAAACCAATTATGTAAATTGTGACATATACGTACAGTCTAACTTATTTTGCAATAGTCCAAACATTGCAAATATTAAGTTGATCATTAATTAAAACAGATAAAATATGAGTGCCATATTTTGGAGAAATCTACCACTACCACAATAGATGATAGTCTTCCAGTTTCAACTCCTCTGCTTTAGAATTAAAAAAAAAATTAGAATGCTATTATTGCGGGGGGAAGTTGTCATTTGCTCTCTACTTGCCTCTACGGTACTACTTCTTGATCTCCTGTCTGGCCAGGATAAAACCACTGCTGAGATGATAAGATGGATCTGGGTTGGCAGCAGTGGAAATCACCATACCCAATTATATCTCCCTTCCATCTTCATGTTCCCTGTGAATGTAGAAATTGTTTTTCTACAAAGATCTTTCCAGAACTGAGCATTACAAAATGAAAACCTGGCATCTCTACTTTTTAAAAGCTTTTAATGACTGCTTTTATTAATACCTAATTTCACTCTTTTTTTTTTCCCTCCACAAACTACTTGCTGCTACCTTTTACCAAACACATGTGCTCAGAAGCCCATGCTGTGAATCTCAAAGTGGGTGAATCCTGCTACTTAGGTTCTCAACCTTCTCTGCTTTATGCTTCCCTGGTATCAAAAGTATCTTCTGCTGTTACCTGTTGAACTCCTGTAATGAAAAGAGTTCGTCCACATACCGTGATGATTACCTGTCTCTCTCTTGGAGTTCCTGGCTACTTGATTTGTGTGCAAAAATTTAACTACTTCAGTTAATTCACCTCAAGTTTCCCTTTGAAAGCCAAGTGGTCTCAAACCACCTAAAGAAGGTTGCTGGCATTGACACCCTCCTGAATAAAAGAAGGGAGCATACCACATCCCCTTCTTTTACTTAACTCTTTTAATAGCATGTAACAATGGGTTCTGTGGCCAAAAAGCGTATTTGTTGACTTGAATCAATATTCAGAGCCTTTCTGCATATGTCTACCTCCTTAATGGTTCTTTTAGTTGAATTCTTTTTTTTGTTTTTTTTTGAGACGGAGTCTCGCTGTGTTGCCCAGGCTGGAGTGCAGTGGCGCGATCTCAGCTCACTGCAAGCTCCGCCTCCCGGGTTCACGCCATTCTCCTGCCTCAGCCTTCCGAGTAGCTGGGACTACAGGCGCCCGCCACCACGCCCGGCTTTTTTGTATTTTTAGTAGAGATGGGGTTTCACCATGTTAGCCAGGATGGTCTTGATCGCCTGACCTCGTGATCCGCCCGCCTCGGCCTCCCAAAGTGCTGGGATTACAGGCGTGAGCCACCGCGCCCAGCGAGTTGAATTCTTAAATATTTGAGTGTTGATAATTGGCCACAAAAGATAAAATTAGGCATAAGAGAAATAATAGTATGCAGTACATCATTCTTGACCTTATTAAACAGGATAAAAACAAAAATCATGAAAGATCTATTTAACCATAAATGTATGAATTTGATCACCACTCTTTGTAAACTCTAATAGAAAGATATGATGGTTAAAACTTTTCCAATCAATTATAGGGCTATATTTTAGCCATTCTAATTCAATCTTGGAAATTTAAGTTATATACACTTTTAAAAGAAAAATGTATAATATACAGTAATTATTTCTATTTAAGAGTTGTTTCTTTAGAGAAACACACATTTCAATATATCCATGTCAACCATATTTATTGTATTTCTTCTACTCAGGGCTAGTCTAGAGTGTGTGATCAATAATATTTGCTAAATAAATTTTTTTAAAAATACATATTTTAATTGATTGCTGACTAAATAAACATATGGCCCACAGATACATCTTTGATCAGAGGCTAGAATTCACAAATCAATTTGTAGAATCCATAGAGTGTGGGACAGGAAACAATGCTAATTAGCTGCTGCTGTCTCTTTATGCCTAAGTGTTAATAAATTACATTTTGTTGCTAACGAATAATTCATACTATGGTGGTACTGGTGATATTGTTTTTTTTTTAAACCTGAATTTTCTTATAATTCTTGATTTTCTTAAGGCTTCGCAGCAATATTTCCTATGATGTCTAAGAATGGGCCTTTCAGGCATCTCTGGGATCAAAGAGGTTATTTCAACTTGAAAGATGTTAGATTCACTTAAGTAATTTACCAGCATCCACAGATCACTATGTTCTCCTTCAGAATAAAAAGAACAATTGGGTGATTATAAATTATATTAAAGTAACAAACCAAATATTGGGAGAGGGGGCAATGTTGAATAGGGTTCAAAAAGGAATTTATATGTGTGGACCAATGTATTTTTCTCTGATTATATATTTTTTTATTGTGTAGATATGAAACCCTTTTCCCTTCCATTTGACAATTCAAAGAAAAAAGAGCTAAATAAAAAGAAAATTCCGAAGTTGTGAGTATGAATTTTAATAGTACAAGTGTATATATTTTAAATGATCAGTATAAATTTAAAAGAAACAGCTTAATGAAATACAAGTCAGTTTATTTGATATTCAGCCTACAGCTTTCCAAAGCAGCAGTTGAACATGTTGTTGAGTTTATACCATTCATTCATTCATTTATTTTTTCTTTCTTTCTTTCAGAAAATACTGGGTGTTTGATATTTGTTTCACTGTGCTAGTTTCTGGGAATGTGTAAGTCATATGCCATAGTTCCTATTCTCTATTTATCTCTAATTTAGGAGGCATTATTTTTATTTAGTGAAATATAAATCAACATAGAGAAGAGTCAGGTGGTCGTACTGAGCAGTCAGAGAGGTCTAATTCAAATGCCTTCTCTGTCTTTACCAGGCGAATGACTAGAAAATCTTATCTAAGTTGAATTTTCTTACCAGAAAAATAGAGGTAATTTTCTTACCTAGAGTTTTGTAGATTAACCAGATTGGCAGTTTAATGTGGTTAACTGAGTTTAGACATCCCGTAATAAATTTCAAGCCTCCAAAATGGAGGCTTCCTTCCATTAATTTGGAGTTTGTCACAATAACCATTTCTCTTGAACAGTCATTGAAAAAAGTCAATATATATAGTAAACTCTGCTGTCAATACTTAGCAATTAAGTAAAACAAAAAACACCTGAGAAAATGTAAACAATGAAGGATAAAATTGTTTGCTGATACTTTTGCTTTAGAATTCTACATCATCTAACATATTTACATTTTCCTTAAAAAGTCAAAATGGATCCCAGACCCTCCTATCTGGACTGTAACATTCTTCAATGTATTAAGTTGTTTAAAGAAAGAATATGTACCCTCATGGAGAAATCATGTGGGTCATAGAATTTGGACCATTCTCATCATGGACAGTAAGTTCTCACAGCAAAATAATAAACTGGTTGAAATATAATTTGGTTTCCTTTGTGACTTGACTGCAGGTAAGGAAGAGGCTGGCTGTGTGGATGAGAGCAACTTGCTTTTTACAATAATTATTTGTTATTGTAAATTAACAATTTGCTCTTCTGGTATTATATGGAAGTATTTGATCCTGTTGATGGCACTGCCTTTGCTTTTGCAAGATTAAAATGAAATGAAGTTTCTGAGATGTTAACTCTATTCTTGACCTCAAACATGACACCAAGATGACTGGATACAAGAAGAAAATTAATGTCACCTCAGGAAGTATCTCCCCCATACTCCATCAAGAGCACTTACGTGGCCATAAGCACTGGCCACATCCCCATGCACCTGGGAACAATCCATTTATTTTCTAAAACTTTAAAACTTTCTACAAACCTGATTTTTCAATTTTTGATATGTTTCTTAAAGTATTTTATCAAGATTTTTTATTTATTTCCAAATACTGGCTTGGATTTTTTTCTCATCTGAACACTGAGAAATTCCAGGAAAAAAAACTATATTTGGTACTTCGTGTCTTCAAATTTTGATGCAATGACTTTATAAATTAGCCTATACTGATAGTGTAAAACTGAGTTAAAAAAGGAAAAAACTTAGGCCCGTGTGGAATATTTACCAATGCTTACTTTAAGGTATAAAAATGTGAGTAAATGAAAGTAGAAAAACTGGGCTGAAATGTATCCACCACTCTTTTGGTAATACAGTAGTAGGTATTCATTATGATTTATTTTCCCTTGAAGCATATTTTGTCTTTAAGTTATTTCGGTGTGTAAGAACAGAGTACATTCACATTTGTGCTTTTTTTTCCAATAAAACTATTGCTGCATTGTTCGTTCTAATATTTATCTCTGCATTGAATTGCTTCTTGAATTTTTCTTTTTTATTTTTAAGTTTCATATTCTACATGAGAATGTGTTTACTTCTCTACTGTGCTGCTGGGAAGTTAAATGTAACAGTAAAACTTTATTGAAAAGTAGAAAATAGGAAATTTTTCGAAATTGAAATTCTATGTCTTTGTTCTTTTTGGAGAAAAGATTTTTTTACCTATGTGCTTTGGGGATTTGACATTAGTCATTTGGTTGACCCTAGGAAAGGATGTGAACTGAATCCTCTTGAATGAGATCATTTTTGTTGTTAAATTTTTTGGTATTCTTTGTGTAAAATTGATCTAAAAGATTCTATCTATTCTGATTGTTTTTCCCTCTATAAGGAAGTATATATATTTTTTAATGTTATCAATCCCTGTACCTATTTGTTAACATTTCCTTAAATGTGTTTTCTCCAGATGTTGGAAGTAAAAAAAACAAGTGCTTGTTATTTTTTCCATTGTCACTCTTTACTACTTTCCATAGGCAGCATATTGTGCAAGCCAAGAACTGGAGGAAATAACAGACGTGTGAGCCCCAAAATTATAGGCACAAAAATAACTTTCATAAAATAGGTTTTAAATGACACCACTTTCCAAAAAGCCAGCTCTAATTGAGTCAAGCCTAGAAAGCAGTTAACTTAAGGGAACATCAGACACACGTCCACTGATCCCAGAAAGCGTTCCACGGTGTGACATTAGCGGGGATGATGACATTCCCAGCTTGCTGCCAGCACATTCCAGAAGGCAGGCCCGGCATTTTGGTACCAGTTGGGCCAGTTCTCAATAGTACTGTTCTGATATCGTTGAGATGATAGTTTGTTTATACAAGCAACTTCCGAGACTCCCAACTACATTGCTCACCCGCAAGAGATAATAGTGGGGAAAAAAAAGATAGAACGCAGAAATAAGAGGGAAAACTCCTCTGGTTTTTTCTTTGAATGCAGACAGAATCCTCACCCGGGTTTACGGACTGGAGCAGCGCGGGTTCCTGCTGTTCATAGAATGTTACAGATGGCTGCCTGGGCAGGAAGCCCTCCCCCTTCCTTAACGGGGCTCTGGGGAATGCAAGGGGCCTGGAACCAGCCCTCTCCTTCCCTTCCAAACCTCTTCTCCAAACCCCTACTGAGTAAAAAAAAGAGAGAGAGAGAAAAGAAAAAAAAAATACGCATGTCCCTGGAAACATTTCTGCCAGTCTGTTTTTAGTGGAATCTTGAATTAACCTCTTCACTCCCGATTAGAGTAGCGATTTATAACTTTGCCGACATCTCTTTAATGTCCTGAATCAATTTCACCAGCTCATTGAAGTACCGTACCATTTGGGTTGAATTATAATAGTGCTTTTGAGTTATGCAACAATTTCAAGTGAGAGAAAGCAGGTTTGAATTCGAAAATAATTAAAATTATTTTAGCACATCAAATATAGTATTAATAGTGTTCTCTCCATTTTTTTAAAAAAATCACATTTTGAATATTTTGTTTTTCTCATAGTTTTTCCCCTGGTGGTATAAATTTTATAAATACCTCGCAATTGTGAGGGAAAGAAAATGGCAGAGGTGCTGATCCAGGACCCTGCAAACTTGAGTTGCTCAATTAACCCACCTGGAAAGGAAAACCTCTGAATTTCTTATGTGAGCCATATTGATAATTTTCTTTTTAAAAGCCACTTTTGTTTTGAAAATCTGTTACTTGCAGTCAGAAGCATCTGAACTGAAATAATACCTTTAGAGGAAGTGGGATGACTTTTATTTCCTAGGAATAAAAATGGAATGTCTTTACTTATATTCCAAGTAAGGGATTTTGTGATATGTATTTAGTTCATGCAGGTTTCCAAATCATAAAACTTCTTGGGAGGCATATTAAACCCCATGAAATCTAGATTCTAGAATTAAGTATTATTTCTTTGATAACCAGTCTTCCTCCATGCATTCTTAAATTTCAGTTTATCTGACTCTGATAGCTAACTTCAGGTGACTCTCAGCTTGCCAGTTTCAGAATCAGTGGTAGGGCCTGTAGTCATACCCCACAATTTGATCAACCACATCATAAAACACTCAATAGAAATATTGGCCAACACATTCAAGTGAGAGCCCAGGCCAAAAGCCAAAGTTTCCATCTCTAGATTTAATTGTCATTGACTCTAAATATGTATTTGAGGAAAAAGAAGGCCTATTGGGCAAATTAGAGCCTGTCGACATCAGCTCACTAGCTATATCACAATCATTTTCACATCAGGTGTATCAAATTCAGCCAAATCGAAGGGTCCAGAAAAAGGAGGCATGCTGTTTACACAGCACCTTTTGTCTCCCAGACTACAGGCTTCTTTTGCTATAGTACAACTGATTCCAGTTTGCATGGAGACAATGCTATTTGAAAATATATATATTTGAGGAATCTGAACAACTGATGTCATGTAGTTTATTGCTAAGTTGTTGAAGCCCAGGGGTTTTAAAAAGTTGCATTGATTTCCTAAGCACAGATAAAAATTTCATAGATATCCTCAGTAAAAAACAAAAAAGCAAAATAAGTTCTCTGTGTGTGTGTGTGTGTGTGTGTGAGTGTGAATGATTTCATCTATTATGGTTTTTACTGAACAGCTGAATAGAAAGAATCATAATAAAGATACATGAAAGTGGAAAAAGAACCTCTGTTGCATAAGTGTAATAGATAAAACATGAAGTGTGCTTCAGGGAAAACAATCAAATCACACTGGAAATGCCTTAAGTGTCTACATGTGTAATGATTCAGCAAGGCCCAATGTGCTAATGACAGGCCATTGCCACATGCCACAATGCTGCAAAGCAAAGCCATTCCTTTACGTTGCCCTTATCCAAGTCCATTAAGAAATAATGGTTCTAAGATGAAAGTCTTGTTAGGGTTTCAATGAAAATGTTTGGCACACCACGATAAAAAGTCAACAATCTGCTTTTAACGAGAGACACTGGAGAAATGTTGGTTAACATACCACTGAAAATATTAATTCTCCTTAATGGCAGGATGCAACGTAGCTTTTTATAGTTTTTGATCCATGTCATAAATTTGGCTATGACAAAGGGGATATTCCGTCTTTAACTCTCTGGCAAGAACATTAGCTATTTTCCAGCCCTAAAAAGTTTGGTCCTTAGTGTTCTTTGTAATGCACCAAAGGGCCAGATTTCTATCTTCAGAAGGACAGGCTGTGTTTGGGTATATGTACATACATTCACCTGTATTTGTGAGTGTGTAGTCAATGTGTGTGGGTTGATTGTGAGTAGTTTTCTTTGAACTTTTAGAGAAAGAAAAATATTACAAATCCCAAGTCCCAGATTGTAGCATCATTGTCAGAATTCCAAAAATTGCAAAGCTGAATGAATGAGGAAGATAACAGCCTTACAAAACACAATGACTTGGTTACTAAATGCCCCTTTCCACTGGATGTTGTTAGAAAAAGTATATTTTATCCTATTTTGTTTCGCTTAGCGTAATTATAAATTTTCAAATTTTAAGGGTGAGAAGGAATGACCAACAGGGAAAGTAATCCTCTCATTAGCTCAGAGCAATGAATTTTGGCTTTGAAACTTACATTTTAAAAGAGGGTTATCCTTGTTCAGAATTTTCATGTAAAGTCCTTTTTTTGTAAAATACCTACATATACGTGTGGGTGTATACAGCCCCTCCCCCACATACACACACACATACATATATATGTGACAAGTATTAACATCAGTGCCAGACTTGAACATTTTATCCCTAATGCCTTCTCTCAACTCTGCCAGTGAGTGAGTGTTTGTTTTGTTTTTTCTTCAACAGTATTGAAAGGAAAAGGAATTTTTTGAATTAGATAACTATAAGGAAATTTACTAAAGGAATAATGTTTTATTGCTATAATGGAAGTACATAATTATAACCATAATGTTTTAAGTTTATTCCTGATTTTTTGGCATTCTTCGACAACAAAAACTTTTAAACTTAAAATAAGCTAATAGATTTATGTTTCTTCAATTTAAATTTCAGTGTGTATCCAATGTTTTAGAGCAGTGATTGAAAAGAAAGAACTGTAATTACAGGAAAAATAATTCACCACCAGAACACCTTAATTTTTTTTTTTTTTTTTTTTTTTTGCGACAGAGTCTTGCTCTGTCGCCAAGCCAGAGTGCAGTGGTGTGATCTCAGTTCACTGCAAGCTCCGCCTCCTCGTTTCAAGTGATCCTCCTGCCTCAGCTTCCTGAGTAGGTGGGATTACAAGCATGCACCACCATGCCCAGCTAATTTTTATATTTTTAGTAACTAGTAGTTCTTTAACTTTCATGAACACAATCATCACTTAGTGGTGGTGAGTGACTTGTTAAATATCCAAGTTTCTTGATGCAGAGACTCAGTAGGTCTGGAATGCGGCCCAGGAATGTAAATTTAAAATATAACTTTCTCCTTTTCCCACTGATGCCATTGGTCCTTTTCTCAATTTTGAGAAAACACTGCTTTAGATCTTATGAAAAAATGTCTTGGACAAAGGGAGTTAGACTTATTCATGCCCCAGTTCGTTTCCTTGTTAGGGAGTATCTTCACACACTCATAGAAAATGTGTGCTCCTTTCAAAGACCATGGAGCCCTCTTCAATGCAAGTATTCCTGTGTTGACTTGACAAGCAACTGGAGAAAATGTTATAAAAAATTTTAAATATCAGAGGGATGATTAAATTAAGTTAGCTTCAAGGTCACTTCCAACTTTGACCTTTATTCCATGAATCCTGTATATGTTCAGTATTAATTCTTTTTTTTTAAAGTAAATATCAGAAAAGGGAAAGGGGATGATAAAGCAGTGAGTTGTCTGTTTTGTGTCTTTGATTTTCTTAAACAACATATGGTTGAGGACTAACATTAGACACCTGTGTGTAGTGGCCTCTGATTGCTTGGGGTTGAAATAAGCTGTCTCTTCAATCATTGCATGCATTTTTTAGTATATAGGTACTCTAGCAAAATATGTATTCTTTTAGAATGCACACATTTTTAGTTTACATACATAGCATGGTATTATATATCACATTCTGTTCTGTACTTTCCATTGACCATTATGACTTTAAAATCAATTTACATTGCAATGCATAATTGAATCTGCAGCATCTACCTGCTCCACAATCTCCATAAAGCGCATCCTTTACATTGTACCTATTTGTTCTCCAAGAGATGAAGGGGTTTCCAGGTTCCCTCCAATTCCTCACCAGCAAAAAAGATGCTAAGATGAACATCCTCTTACATATCTCCTGATGGACCTGCACACATCAATTTCCAGGCATATAAAAACAAACTTTAACAAAGAGAAATCTATTGGGGTTTCAAATTTTCTGTGTCTCTTAGAAACACTGAAAAGTCGATTTATGATAACCTTATGGAAAATGTAGCTTACTCCTTGAAATAATTGGTATTAATAGAATTCACCCATTCTCCCCTGTAGCACTTTCTAGAGTCAGAACCTGATTTAAACAAAAAGAAAAGAAAAAGAAAGAAAAAATAAAAATATTTTCTCTTCTTTGCTTTTTCTAAAACAAACAAGAGAAATAAATTGTACCTCCCCCTCTAACCTACTTAGGTGAACTTGACCAAAAACACAGTATTGTTCCCCTGTGATCATTTAAAAAAATCAGTCCAAATGTATACAATGGTCTGAATCAAATTTAGAGAATAATTGAATGTTTTTAAAAAAGTTGTTTCATAGCATTAGCACATTTTGAATTTTATATTTAAGAAATAGTATTTGAGATTCACAAATCTTTTAATAAGGTACATGCTTAACCCATCAATTCCATTAACAGGTCTGTCTGTTGTATCCATATTTATTGAATGAACTCTCACATCCTTGCATTTAATGAAGTGTTACTGTAATTTAATTTGTTTATCCAGTGCCTATTTCTTTATATTTGAAGTCATCCTGCCAGCCAACACACAAAAGCTGCTGTGCAGAGATCAGCAAATATCTTTAAAAACTTAGCAATTTAAGGGAAACTTTGGAGCACATGTTAGAGATCCTTGTACAGCCCTTGAAAGCATCTGCATGTGGCCATTTCTGTTCTTGATTTAATTTCTGTGCATTTTAAACAGTTGGATGCTCAGAATGATGGCTCAGTTAGCATGTCCCAATAAAATTAGGTTAAAATATATGGATTTTAACCAACTTGGCAAAAGCATTTTTATTGATTAAGCCTTTCAATGAGACAGCAGGAAACAACTTTTTAAGTGAAAGCAAAGATCTGAAAGCACATAGAAAGTCAAGGTGGAAATGAAATTTAACGTACGAATTGCCACTTAACATACCACTTCGAAGGAATATTAAATGAGCTTGTAGGAAGATGTAAGGTAATTTAAACATTTATTATTTTGATGATTGAGGACTCATATAAGTTGTAGGCTGTGCTTCATTGCTCGTGGTTCTTTAAAGCAATTGTTATCACTCTTAAGTTAGTTATAAAACCCTTTTCCACCGTAGAAACCTTATTCCAAAGCAGTAAGTAAAAGTGAGTAGGCATAAAGCTGTTCTGGTGGTGGTGGAAGCACAGCCTCACCTGTTTGAACTCATGTCTCACAACCCAACGCCTCCAAGTAAGTTTTTTGGCTCCATGAGAACCCATTTGGAAAACATTGATTCTAAAAAAGTAAAGACCATCAAGGAAATGTAAATGCAACCAACCCTTGTGTCTGCTTGCACTGATTAAAAGCAAAATGAGTATCACTGAGATTGAGAGTAGGAGATGAGAGGTTATCTTTCTGTCTTTGAGTCGGATGCAGACTCTAGAAGTTTCCTGAGTTAACCTGACTTGCATGACAAATTTCTTTTTCAGTATGCTACCGTCCCCACCACTGGGTCAGGCACAAAATGAGCACACAATACTCTTAATTTGAGTTTGTTGTGCATCATGTAAGTAACCCTTGACAGAGAAATCATTAGCCCTATTAAATACTGTGACTATTTTCTCACTTAATCTTCATTATCCTCTCAGGTAGATGGATTTCACCCCATTCTACAGATGAGGAAACTGAAGTTTGAGAGGGGGAAAATGTTTGTGGTAACATTTCTTATCATAACACTCTTGAATATTCAACAATACAGAATATCCCTCTTTGTGTTTGTACTCTAATTCATGAGCAAAATACTAAATGTTTTTAAATTTTGGGAACCTTTAAAAGTAGGTTTTATGGGTGGAATTTGTAGGAAAAATAAAACATAGGAATCACAAAGGAAAACAATGTTTTATTGGCTTATTCAAATAACACAATAGTTATTTTCAAAGGGAAACAACAGATAAACATTGTTTACATAAGGGTAATTCAGCATTACTTGGCTGCACTCATGTTTGTTGATGAAGCTGAAATGAACTTTCACTGAAATATACTTTGAAGCCCAGCTCTGGCCTGGTTCCAAGGGTGGAGTGAAGGAGAATTTGGCCAGCAGCTGGTCCCGATTGTATTCAGGATCCTATGCTGAGCACAGAAGATACCACATTTCCTTTGGAAGGCAAGGCCTTTTCCCTACTGTTTGAAACACCTTTTAAATTTTCTTCTCCTCTCAGATAAGCAGCAGGAGGAACAAGGGCTAGGATAGCCCTGTTTAAAGATCTTACAATTAATGTGTTATTAGAGTGTACTTCCTTGATACTAACTTGATATCCATGTTCTTAATTAGGCCAGAGAGACTCTCTGTCACTGGTGTTATTCTCACAGTCATCTCTAGAGATCAATTGGTTTTGGATAGGGCTGACTTTAGACACACTACACAGATGTGTAATATCTACACAAATGTCTGCCCAAAGTCCATCTTCAATTAGCTGGATGACAGAGCTCCAGAGTTCTGACTTTCCTCTCATATTCAACAGAAATCCTGATAATCTATATATATATAGCTTGAACATATGTATTGTGAATCTCTAAGAAAAGGATAAGAAATGTATTTATACAGAATATACATTCTGTATACAGAAATATACAATCACTGTATATTTGATCTCTGAATTCTAGAGGCCATTGGTGACTTATTTAATGTTTTACTTGGGTGTCATAAGGAAGCTAATCAATGAATAAACCAGACTGGAAAGACATTCATTAATCTCATCTTTCTTCTATAGTGGTTCTCAGTCTTGGTTGCATGATAGTATTATATGGCAAGCTTTAAAAAATACTGATTCTCAGGTCTGCACCAGATCAATTGCATCAAATCTCTGTAGATGAGGTATGGCAGTTTTCAAGAGTTCTGTGGTGCTGCCAGGGTTGAGAATTGTTGAGCTAAGTGAATATTTCTATTTAAAAAAATGTAAAGTTATATTGTATCTTTAGAATTTCAAAATTTAGGAGTTTATTTACCTAAAAATAGATAGGACTGCTCATCCATATTGAGTTTAAACTCACCAGATGACATTAAGGTCTTCATGTGCAGACAATGTAGTGCATGTTAAGGTAACTCTTTGTAACCTGACTTAACAATGTGTGGTTCACAAGTCTGGGAGCTTGTTAGAAATGCAGAAACTCAGGCCACATGACAGAATCATCGAATTTAAAATGCGCCTTTTAACAAGACTCTCTAGGGAGGTTTGCATGCACTTTCAAGTTTGGAAGGGATCGATATACAATTTCAGCTATTGGAAAATCTTCTGAAGTTAGTAGATCATTGTTTTTTGATCCAATAGTACATCAGAAAATGAACCAAACATGGAGTTAAGAGAGGGATGGAGGACATTTCCCCAATGTGTGGAGGTCATCCAAATGGAAGCTTTCCCAAGATGATTCATAGGTCTTCATTTCAGTCGTTAATTCTTTTCATCTGACACCTAGTTTCATTTCCTAATGAACGTGCTATCTTTTCACATATGCTTTCTTTCTTTGGCACTACACTGAATTTTTCATCCTATGTAAGAAAATTGCAACCAAAGGCAAGAGAGGCAAATATTGAGGGATGAGGGAATTTGGTGATTGGCAACTGGTGACTGAGAGTCTTAGGCAACAGAATATTGAGTTTCCAACATGCTTCATAGTGCAGCAACCAGGGTCACATTGAGTCTAAGCAAAACATCTTTAACTTATGTGTGTATGCGTGATTCGTCTACCTCTCTTCCGGGCTTAGTTTAATTCCTCTTGTGTTTCTCCTCAATCTCACCTTACCCTTCTTTGTAACTTGGGACAGGTTGGAGAGAAGCAGGCAGATAAACTTTCCCTAGAAGAACTAAGGATACTTGTTAACCTTAAAAAGCACATTCCTGGTAAGACTTTCGCTGCACAAACCTTTGGTGCATAGGAAGGCAGGGACTCTAGTTTGACTACTAATCCATTGCCACTTGGAGTACGTTCCCAATAAATGAGAGTTTCTTTCTTTCTCAAACCCTCTCCTCTTTCCAAACATCCTCCAAAATAGCTAATACTTTAAAAATAGCTAACAATTATTGCACATTTTACATTTATCAGAAACTAAGTACTCAATAGCTATTAATTCATTCAGTTTTAACAAGAAAACTGTGAGAGCACTGAAACACAGAGTTTTATTTTTGTTTTTTTAGGTAAATTTTTTAGAGCAATTTTAAATTTACAGAAAAATGCAAAGACAGTACAGAGAATTCACATATGCCACATATCCAAGGTAACATTATTATTAACACCTTACATTAGTATGGTTACAAATAAGAAACCAATATTAATATATTATTATTAACTGAACTCCATACTTTTTTAGATTTCATTACTTCTTAATGTCTTCTTACTGTTCCTAGCATGAGATGTTTAAAGTAACTTCCAGTAGGAGTTAGCAGATCTTGGATTCCAGCTCTAACTCCAGAGGCCCAAACTTTTAAGTGCTACTTTGTAATGCCTTGTGAGAGGAACGTATAGCCATTAAATCAGATATCTCAATAAGAAACTACACCAATTAAAAGCAGGAAAAAGGGCTTTTTGCTTTCGTTCTGGAAAAGCTAGTACAATCTGAGGAATCATCCTGATGTTGTGGAAAGCTCATATGTGGGGTTGTGGTCAAACAGATCAAGTCCATCTTCATCATTTATAAGTAGTTAGGCCTCAGTGTCTGAAAAATGGGCGTGATAACATTTAAGGGCTATTGAGAGGATTTTTATAAAGGGAAAGGAACTAAGATTTTTGTAAAACTGATTTTTGTAAAGGGGAAGATACTCGTTGAGAATGTTCGATATGTCTGATGCTAAACTACTTGAGCAATATTGTTTTCATTTTCTTTCTCTCTTGCATATCCCATACCTGTCGTCATCAACATTTACTTTCTGTAAAGAGACATTTAATTACTGTAAGGTGATGAGATGTAGGGGTGGCCTCTTAAGGGAAAACTGTGATATTTTTCTTTGTGCTAAGGAAGTTTGATGGCTCATCTTCTTGCATGACTGCATGTCACTGATTTTATGACAGCATCACAAGACTAGATCCACATGAGCATTTAAGGCCAGTCCCCTTCTATTTTTATAATGTGCTATCTCCCTATCTCAGTTTCAGGATATTTAAATAACTTGATACAAAACCCCAGAAGAATGATTTTATACACAAGGATGAACTCAGGATTTAGAGGCATTTTTCCAAGAGTTTGTCTGGTTTTGCAAAAGCGTTGGCTCCAGGGTGTTCCTACTTCTTCCTGGTGTATGTGACGGCATCAGGAACAGGGAGTTCATCTTTTCGACACAGAACATGGCTTTGGCAAAATGGCAAAATGTCTGTCCAGCCAGGAAAAAACTTTCACACACTTATTCATGTTCACTCCACCCACACCCAAGTCTGATCCTGGGAGCTGCCTTTATAGAGTTGTCATCATATTCCAGTGTGGATACTGGGGATCAGATAATACATACTGAGCAGTGCCTCAAGCCTAGTAAGTTGTTCCTCCTTTGCTGACCTGTCACTTTCTTTCCTTTTTTTTCCCTGTCATGCTTCAATATCTCTCAATATGTCTATGCTATGAGTGTTAGGATAGACATTTAATTACTTTAACCAAAATTTGCAGAATGTGTTAAAGTCACAGAAAGGGCTTTAAAAATGAGATATTTCAAACTTTGTTCCAGCACAGCCCCCTCATTAACTATAAAAGGCATAGTCTCATTTAAATGCCTATAGAACAAAATTTTAAAAACTTTTTCAAAATATATGAATATAAATAGAAGCCTAATTTAGAAATTCTGGGTTCTTTCCCACTTAGGATACCAGCTATTTCATTTTCTGCATGAAGGGAAACACATCTGAATCATACATCAATGAATTAAAAAATCAAATTTTGTAATATAGGCCTCAAAGGGCACCATGAGAATTTGTAACATTCATTCAGAAATTCCTAAACCATTTCAAATAATATTGTTGAAAATCTCCAGAAAAGAGATTTTGTGACTTTCTGTAAAGTGATCTATTTTCTTAAATCCTTCCTGTCTCCTGTTCATACCTCAAGGGAAATGGAGGATTATCATTTCCCATTAACATCCCAACAGGCTTACACCAACTCCACAAGAGGACGGGTAACTCCCACAAGGTCTGACTGCCAGTGCCAGTCAAGATGAATAAGAGTAGGCCAAGAATACCTGTGGCTCTGGGTAGCAGGATAGCCTCATGGCCAGGAATGTGTGCTCTAGACGTACACAAAACCAATTGTTTGGTTCTGCTACTTATCTGTTTGTTTGTTTGTTTGTTTGTTTGTTTGTTTTTTAACTATCTAGCTTTGGAAAATTACTTATTTTATCTGTCGGTTTCATCATCTTTAATTGAAGTAATAATACTACCCAACTCATCAAGCTGCGACAGATGAATGAACACATTTTAAGGGGTTAAAGATACGTTTGCTAGATGTGATTATTATTCTCTGCTCTACTAGACACTGTGCTTCCAGAGATATGTTAAACGTTTAGTCTGACATATCATTCATAGGCCATTAATATTCCCATTTTATGGATGAAGGAACAGGACAAAGTGGGATTAGAAACTTGTCCAAGAAGGTATCATTAAAAAGCCGCAGAACTCAGAGCTGAGAGTTGAACTCAAAGTGACCTCACTTCAAAGCTCATTTCACCATTCTGCCTGCATAATGAGGCAATTATCTTCTCTTCCTACAAAGGATACCTTGAGGTTCACTTCAGGTACCCTGTGAACATGGTATAATTTCCATTTATAATAATTAGGACTTTTTTTTTTTGAGAGGGAGTCTCACTCTGTGGCCCAGGCTGGAGTGCAGTGGCGCAATCTCAGCTCACTGCAACCTCTGCCTCCTGGGTTCAAGCGATTCTCCTGTCTCAGTCTCCATGGGATTACAGGCATACGCCACCATGCTCGGCTAATTTTTGTATTTTTAATACAGTCAGGGTTTCACCATGTTGGCCAGGCTGGTCTTGAACTCCTGAACCTCAGGTGATCCACGCTCCCTGGGCTCCCAAAATGCTGGGATTATGGGCGTGAGCCACCGTTCCCGGCTCTGTTTAACTCAACTGAATTTTTCAATGAGCAATTTAGACTTTTTTCCAAGAATGTATAAAGTGCCTTAAAGTGAAAACCAATTTTTAGGCCTCTTTGTTTTTTTTTTTCTCTGTTTATTCACACATTTATTTATTGAGCAGGTACTTATTGAAAGCTACCGTGTATACAATGTTGAAGGTAAAATGCAGATCAAAAACTGTTACTGCTAACTGCCACTTACCTTAAGGTATTATCTAAGTAGAAGAGATGAGACAACTCCTTATTCAATGTATGAAAAAAATATGCAACATCATATAATTAACTACTAACCTGAGTGTCACAAGAAAGAAAATACTGTGTAAACTGGGATAACTTTAGATGGCTCAGTGAAAAAAGTAATTCTTGAGCTAGGAATAAAATAGTAGAGATAATTTGCCTATAACATAGAAAGCATTCCAGACCAATGATATACCATGAAGGAAAGTGTGCAAGTACAATTAAACATGGCTTATTTGGGAAAAAATGAGGGAACAATCTCATTTGAACAAAAAACTGTGTTCAGAAGACTTGGGAGCTGGAACAAGAAAGACTATTTAAAGATTATACTGTGCCCAGCCACGGATAATAAATTGAAATGTTTTGATTTTCTCATATAGGCATTTTAACTGCCAGAAAACAGTGGAGTCATGTTAAAAGTGAGCGGCAAAATTCTATGACCAGCCAAATATACTTATGTGCGAGAGGAACGGATTGACATTATCAGGCATGCAAGGGCTTAGAAAGGATGTCACCCACAAACTTCCCTGGTAAGGATGACTCAAATACATGCTAGAGTAGATTGGAGAATAACGCAAAATTTCAAGAGTCTGGAAAATAATGGCATGAAAGAAACTGTGGTGTATTACGAAACCAGTAGACATACAATTAAGTCTAAATAATTGACTTCAGAGGATATACAATAATATATGTATTCAAAAGATTCTTACCACATCGTATAAATAGTTTAAAAATTAATAAGGCACATGTCAACAAAAACAGAAAAATAGGAAGAAAACGAGCTGGAGTTATTTTTACAAGAGATATTACATAGATTATTTTTCATGACTGACATTGGTAATTAGAAGAAACATTGGTTTAAATATAATTTAGGCAAAGATAATAAATGACACAGCTGTAGCAAAGCCTTACTTGAATCTGCATAATGTGTACATGGAGCTTCATTGAGCTGTTTTTATTTTGAGTATGTTAAATTATCCTATTAAAATAACAAAAATTGTCACAAAAAACTCACCCAAAGAGTTCTTCCCCTGTAGAATTCAACCCCTGGATCAGTAATGAGACACAGAAATAATTCAAGTGATATTATTCTAATTACAAAACAGATGCTAAGTAATTTTTTTTTTTTTTTGCTGTTGTTACGATGTATTTAATAACTAAAAAGTAATGACAACTTTTTTTTTTTTTTTTTTTTTTTTTTTTTATAAGGAGTCTCGCTCTGCCGCCCAGCCTGGAGTGCAGTGGCGCAATCTCGGCTCACTGCAAGCTCTGCCTCCCGGGTTCACGCCATTCTCCTGCCTCAGCCTCCGGAGTAGCTGGGACTACAGGCACCCGCCACTGCCCCTGGCTAATTTTTTGTATTTTTAGTAGAGACGGGGTTTCACCGTGGTCTCGATTTCCTGACCTCGTGATCCACCCGTCTCAGCCTCCCAAAGTGCTGGGATTACAGGCGTGAGCCACCGCGCCCGGCCAAGTAATGACAACTTTTATAAGAAGAATGCAAAGTATCCAAATTACTAACAAAAATTGCGAGGAAAACATGATCTAAAAGCAAAAGGTAGAAGAAGAAAAAGCACACTGAAAAGCACAACAAACAAAAACCGAGAAAGCAATGAGGATGACAGCGTTGAAACTAAATTTATGGGCCGGGCGCGGTGGCTCACGCCTGTAATCCCAGCACTCTGGGAGGCCAAGGCGGGTGGATCACGAGGTCAGGAGATCCAGACCATCCTGGCTAACACGGTGAAACCCCGTCTCTACTAAAAATACAAAAAATTAGCCAGGCGTGGTGGTGGGCAGCTCTAGTACCAGCTACTCGGGAGGCTGAGGCAGGAGAATGGCGTGAACCCGGGAGGCAGAGCTTGCAGTGAGCCGAGTTCCCACCACTGCACTCCAGCCTGGGTGACAGAGCGCGACTCCATCTCAAAATAAATAAAAAAATAAAATAAAATAAAATATATGAATATGTTAAATTTCTCTATATAAATTTGACAAAACATACAAATCTAGCATTTTTTATTTTACGTATTATTTATTTATTTTTTTAGAGACAGTGTCTCACTCTGTTGCTAAGGCTGGAGTGCAGATGTGTGATCGTAGCTCACTGCAGCCTCAAACTCCTGGGCTCAAGTGAGCTTCCTGCCTCAGCTTCTGGAGTAGCTGGGACTACAGGCATGCACAACCACCACATGTGGTTAATTGTTTTATTTATTTTTTTCTGTAGAGACGCTGTCTCATTGTATTGCTCCAGTGGTCATGAACCCCTGGGCACAGGCGATCCTCACACCTGGTCTCTCAAAGTGCTGGGATTATAGGCATCAGCCACTGCACCAGGCCCATTTGCTTTTTAAAAAATATACTCATAAAAGAATGATAGATACGGTTTAAAAATAAAAGAATGGACAAGTAAAACAACCAAAAGAAAGAATAGGCTGGCATCATTAAGATCACTCAAAGAATTATAGTACAAATAATTAAATCAATAAGAAAAAGGCCTAACATACAAACAATAAAATGGACAATAAATATAAATAGAATGTTCACAAAAATATTGAAACGGCCATTTCATATCTGAAATAATGTTCACTCCTACTAAGTTAGGTATATTTATACAGTTCTTGGTGAATTCTAAATTGTACATCTGTTCTAGAGAATAATCTTGAAAAATCCCCCAGATCTGTAATAATATATAGAGCTTTTGACCCAATAATTTTTTGCTAGGAATTTGTCTTAATGAAATAATCATGAATGAATACAAAGATTTGGGTGAAGAGTTGAACAGATGTTCACTTAAGCTAATTGTTTATAATAATGATGACATGGAAATATGTAAATGAAATTTCTTAGATCAAGTATGTCAGGATAAAATATGATGCAACATTTATAAATTATAATTTAGAGGAATATGTAATAATAAGAAAAAATGTCCCCAATATATTATTTATAAAGCAGATGTAACAAGAAAACAAGAAAAGATGAAATATGTATATATATTTTAAGACAAGGTCTCACTGTATTGCCCACCTTGGCCTTGAACTCCTGGGCTCAAGCCATCTTCCCACCTCAGCCTCCTGAGTAACTGGGACTACAGGTGCTAGCCATTGTACCCAGCTCTCTCTATATTTATCAACATGGTAATGATAGTATTTCAAATTTCTAATCAATATGCTTTTCATCCCTCTTCTCACATAAGGTTACTTAACTTGTTCTCCAGTACCCATTGGGCAACACTGAGGAATCCCTGAGTACCAGCAAGGTAGAGAACCAGATGACAAATTACTCCATATACGGTAAACGAAGTGATCTGAGATCAAGGTTGAGAAGTTAATACTCCCTTGCTCCACTGAGATTCATAGCACCTGCACAACCCCATCTCAAATTATCCTCCTTTCACCAAATTTAGGTGGGAAGAAAGCGATTAAAAGGATTTGCATCAAATGTAAAATCATTAAGAAATCCTTCAATTTAAATGAGATTAGATATATTTTTTCTTTAGGCAAATAACTTGCTTGGATTCAAAAAATAAATGGAACCAAATTTTATAAAAATTAAAAAATAAAATGAGCTAGAGTTTATAAAGTTGCATTTCCTTGGAAATATTTTTCATGGATAAATTTATACTTGCAACTTTAAATTGTCCTTAATATTAGTCATTTTGAAAAATAACCAATATATTCAAAAATTTGGCCAGAAGAATGGTATTATTTTACATTTTTGGAAATCTCTTTGATATCTTAATCAAAGACAGTTGGGTTCTTATATTTTTCCTGGAATTACTCTGTAGCAATATATTTTTTTCTTCTTGAAGTATATGAAGAAAATCTCCTTTTACACAGATACATAATTGAAAAGAGGAGGAGAATGGAAATAATTGCAGATAACTCTTCTTTGTTATTAAATTAACACCTGACAAGTAGTATTTTCTTTCAAGTTAGTTGGAATGTAAGAATCCGAAATTATATCAACAAACTTTTCTTACCCTCTAGAGCAAAATCTACTGGTTTATCTTATACTTTAGATGGCTTT
Source organism: Homo sapiens (assembly GCF_000001405.40). NCBI lineage: Eukaryota > Metazoa > Chordata > Mammalia > Primates > Hominidae > Homo > Homo sapiens. Next base: position 15,823,879 of record NC_000007.14, on the reverse strand, counting down.
TTTCTCATATATGATTTTGTAACTTAATACATTACTCATTTGTAAAATAATAGATTATTGGCTTATGTAGATCTCCAAAGGTTGATATACATTATTGAAAAGTCATATTTTTAAGTATCAGGAAACTACCAAACTCATGGTGGTAGATAAACATTTTCCAAAATTTTCATTTTCTTTTGACAACTCAAATTTTATCACAATTATTGTCACTTGCGTTTCTCAAAGTGCCAGGCTCATTTTATTCATTTTTGAGGAACTGTCCAATATCCAATCTGCAGAATGATAGTTTGTCTTTCAATCATTATTTCGAGTAAAATAATATTTCATGGTGTCATTTGAAGTCATTCTAAGGATTATAATCAGCCTTGAAAAAGGAAAAGAGAACTTTCTAAGGAAAGACATGAATGCATCGGCGTGAGTGTTATCCTATGGCCCTTGTAACTATATTAGTTAATTTGGAGCAGGACAGATAAAAAGAGCAAGGCTGGTAGAGGAAATTTTGTGGCCTGTTCAGAATCTTAAATTTATGTTAAAGTTCATGTTAAAAAATGATCTATTGGGAGGTCAAGGCTGGCAAATCACTTGAGGCCAGGAGTTTAGACCAGCCTGGCCAGTATGGAAAACTTTGTCTCTACTAAAATGAAAATACAAAAATTAGCTGGGTGCAGTGGCACACACCTGTAGTCCCAGCTACTTGAGGGGCTGAACCATTAGAATTGCCTCAGCCTGGGAGGCAGAGATTGCAGTGAGCCAAGATCACACCACTGCACCCCAGCCTGGGCGACAGAGTGAGACTTTGTCTCAAAAAAAAAAAAAAAAAAAAAATTGATCTGCTAAATATCGCACTTATTGAACCACAATTAATGTACCGAAATCTGGATTAGAGGTCATAAGAAGAAAATAACATTTTAAAAAATATATTAGCAGCATATTTCACTAGATCTTTATTCAGGATTATGATAGATCTTTTCTTTAAAAAGCTTGCACAGCTATATAAAATGAGGCATCATATTATTGACTGATCTCCTATAAACCTAAAAGTCTTCCTGATGATTAGAAACATTTTTTCTCTTTTGGCTAAATTATTGGGTTCTCTGGAGATAAGTAGAATCAGTACAAATTTTGCCCAAAGTCTGAAAAGGCAGCCCTTGGAAAGTGCTATTTTGACTCAACTTCTTTCAGTTACTTAAAGAGCAGCACTGAGTTTTAGGTGTTCCAGCCTATAGCTTGTTCTGGAAATCACTCTCTGCATTTTCACTTAGATTCCAAGGAGCTTTCTCAGTGGTTGTTCAACATTCATGTTTAGCTCTGACATTGCCTTCACAAGATGAGTAGAAGATGAAGAAAATATCAAAGTGTGTAAAAATGTCTGTGCTGTTTAAAGAATTTCTAACTCATTCTAAACTTGCCCAATAGCTAATGTTTTCTTTTTGTGATTTTTGGATCATATAGGAGTTTTATCCAAACTATTTACCCTAATCAGCAGTTGGAGCTGAAGAATGTTAAATAAACAATCTTATTTTGATTCTTTCTCTGGATGTTTACCAGGCTGTTGACAAAACCCAGAGAATGTTTAATGACTTGTTGGGGGAACTTGAAACAGAAATGAGAACTGCTCTCAAGGAGACTCATTTGCTTTTTTTTTCTCCCAGTACAACAAAAGGAAAAAGATGACAGGCCACCTCTTGGTACCCAGTTTGAATTAGAAAATTCATCAAGCTCCTTGTTGAGAATTCAATTATCTCACATTGCGTTGAATAAACATCTTCAATGAAAGCCAGAAAGAAACAGGAGAAATTCAGAGGTCTTTAAAAAGAAGCTACACAGGGGATCGAAGGAAATAGGCTCTCCAAAGTCTCACACATGGACTTATGCAAGGTTGCTTATGTGCCAAGAAATAAGGCAGGCCGCCTCAGCACTGCATTGTGACTGAAACCCTATGGGCACTAAATTAAGAGAGTTATCTCTTAGGAATGCAGTGATAAGCAAGCAGTTATGATACTGACCAAGGAAATAATTTGAATGCACATCCATTAAAGGAATTACTGGAGTTATTCAATTTTAAATCCTTATTAATCTTTTTATATCTTGGGTAATACTAATTCCTTAGGGCATGCTATTTAAAGCTTAGGGAACATGCATCCTCAAGGACCTACTGCCAGCAAAAAAGCTGTTCTCAACATCTGGGAATAAAAATCACCACCAAATATAGATCATTGGGTCAACTTGCTTTGGGAAATGGTGAAATTCAGAAACGTGAGTTCTGACATTTGCATGAGCTTGTTGGCTTCATGCTAACTAATTTAGAGTCTATTCCTGGATCTGTATGCTGACTGAAAAAGTACAGATGTGGTTGGTGTATTATTTTCCTAACTGCCAAGAGACATGTAAAAACATATTAGTGGACCAATTAATATGGTCACATTGTTCTCACTCTTCTCCTGATTTATTTTATTTTTCCTATTGATATCAAAATTCGGTCAAACTAATTATTTATAATTTTCTGTCTCTATCACCTTATCCATAATTACACAGAACTTGGAATTTGTATTGAGTCGCTCCTCTACCTTTAGAATATTTAAAACTGAAACCAAATTTCTCTAAACCTAGGATGTGGGGCATCATTTTGATACAGGTGTTATTCCAAAAGCTATCAGTCAAATAGTATTTAATAATGACAACTTCAAAACTCTTGTTTTTAAATTAGCTGTCATGGAATCATCTTCTAGTCTAGATTTTGCTCTCCCTATTACTATTTGTTTTTACTTTTCATCTAAACTTCCCCAAAGAATGGTCAACCATCCTCCTTTATCATTAGCTCCTAACTTACTGTAGTATTTTCCCAACTCAACAACTCAACAGAAATTTTTCTCATTAACAATAATGACTTCTTCATTGCCCAATCCAAGGGTGATCTTGCATTGAGCACATTTTATTTTGTCACTTGAAATGACATTTATTGAAACGATTCTTGAACACCTTTGTTCCTCAATCACTCTTTCTTCTCTGTCTCCTTTTTGACCATCTGTCTTCCTCCACCAACCCCCAAATTTAAGGTTCCCCATGGCCTTGTCTTGAATTTATGAATTTTTCCACTCTTCATTACCTCTCTGGTTGATAATTTTTATTCTCATAAAACACACACACACACACACACACACACACACACACACATTCTGTAAGTAGGATTCAGAATTTCTCTGGTAAGCAACAGCAAGTCTTCTTTTATCCAGCTGCATTCTGTATATATCCATTTGGCTTTCCCATAATAACTCAAATTCACCATGTGCAAAGTTGAACTTTCCCACTGACTCTTCTCTCAATGTTCACTAACACTATTGATTGCACCACACAGTTTTGGAAACTCGAGAGTTTCTAGAACTTCCTCATTCTCTCTCTCGTCTTAGTTCCGTCTACTCTTGACAGTTTTAGATGCGAAGTATTTATTTATTCTTTCCCCTGCCCCATCCTAAGTATAGCTTTCCTAGATTGGGCTTTCATCATCTTTTTATTGAATCACTGTAACAACCTCCTAAATGGTTTTCTGCTCCAATATTGTGTTTTCAAAAAATGTATCGAATATATTTTAGTCAGAAATATCTGAAACAAAAAATTCTGATCACACTCTGATTTCTGTTTAATAATCGTTAATGTCTCTGCAGAGCTTATGATGAAATAAAGTGCAAGCACCTAAATATATAACATAGTTAACTACTTGTAGTTAGGAGCTTTGGGTTTATTTGGATTTAATAGAAAAATCCAAAATGATACTAGAGTAGCCTATAAAATGAGAAAATTATATTTCTGTGTCATATATAAAAAGTCTGGAGGCAGGCTGACTTAGGCTGTTATGGAGGTTTCACAATGTCATTAAAAAATTCAGTCTCCTTTGCTCTGCCATGCTTAGCACAAGATTTCTATTCTCAAAGTCACTTTTTGGTCCAAGTTAATCACTGGAGCTCCAGCCATACTATCTGTTACAGGTAGCAGAAAAAGAAGACACCAGGTGAGGTTTAAGAAAGGAGAACTTCTGAAGCAACTTCTTAATTTTTTTTCTCCAAATGACACCCAATAGTATGAGAAAAGAAATATGATTTTAAAAGAATGACCCTGAATAGTGAGATATTATTATGTGTGTATCATGTCATTTTATTTATATTTAAGTATTTAGTATCTTATTATATTTATATTCTATTATGATTATATTCTAGTATATAATATTTATATTCTGGTCACATATTTTTCAATAATGATTTCTTCTCAGTCATTAGTTACACATAGGATTGTTTTGAAGATTAAATTGTGTTATGTATAAAGTGACTGAGTAATGCATGCTACGTAGAAGGTGCTAAATCAACTATTTTTTAATTGCAAATTGTGTCACTTATAGATGACGAGGGAAAAGGAAGATCTTAGCATTGAAGTTATGCTTAGAATGGTTTTACCCTGGACTATCTAAGAGATGGAATTTTTTGTAGATATTTGGCTTTCTGTTGCTTTTTATTCTCCTAGGTCACCTAGGTCCAAAGTCTTTCATAGATATGACTAGGAAAATAAAAAGGGTAGAACGGAATGGAAAGGAACATTGAGACATCAGGAGAAAAGTGAACAAGTAGTCAACTCTGAGAATCAAGAACAAAGAACTACTGGGCTACCCCTTGAAAAAGGGTGAAGTAAAGCCTGTACGAAATTAAACTAACCAAACTCCCTGTCTAAAGCAAACACATTCAGTAAGAGCTGTAAGCTCTATATCGGTACAATTTTCTAGAATTAGTGCATATTCCTAGCCACTTAATGATGTTTTGTATTAATAGAATATAATATTCATCCCTTCTGATATAAAGGTACATACATTAGTAATTAATACAACATTAACTAGTAATACTTTTTAGGTTTCCTTACTTAGTGAACTAATATTTTATGGCTAATTTATTCAAATAAGGCCTCCATCATAAATTTATTGTAAAGAATAGCATGATTTGAAAAATATGATAAGAACAATAAATAGTATGTAAAACTACAAATACATTGCTTGGTATATTTTAAAACCTGAATAAGTAGTTGATATATAATAATAAATTTCTGTCAGACTACTGTTTATCAGTTTGCTTTTTAGGAAAATTATACTTTATAGAATGTTTTTGTAATAGTATGGCTGAGTTAGACTCTTAGTTGCTCTGGGTTTTGTCACTAGATTCAAAAGCTAGGGACAAATTTCTGATTCTGCCACATTCTAAAAAGAACTGGACACCTAAGAAAATACACAGTGCAGTATTTAAAGAGACTTACTGTCTCCAAGTTTCAGAAAATAGATGGGTAGGTAGGTAGGTAGATAGATAGATAGATACATGGGTAGGATGATAAAATATATATAAAATTGATGAATCTAGGTAGATGAGTTTCTTTGTGATATTCTTTAAAATCTTCAGGCAATGTGGAATTATATCTAAATAAATAATATTGAAAATAAAAAAACTTTAAAAATGTGGGGATCAGACCCCGTTAGAATCTTCTTAGGAAGATACCAAATTAACTGTGCTATTCCCAAACACCCTTTCATTACTGCCTCCCAATCAATCTTTATGAGTGGAAAGATAAGAGAATGAGTCAATGAAGTAACAACTCACCGGGTCAGTGGGAAATTTTCAACACTTTTTTCCCTTTCCCTACAGTGTGAGTGGTGAAGGTAGTGCTGCCTACTTCCAATCTTGTGAGTGGTTCCTTAACAGTCACTTAGAAAAATTGAGACAAAGTGGAGACTGGTATCTCTCATCCAGTTAGATATCTGGGAAAGGGAATTGCAGAGTAGGAGAGAGTAGGATGGAGTGCGAGAGCAGGAGAGAGAGAGAAAGACAGAGAAGGAGGAAGAAACCTCTATGCTTAGCAAGTCAAATGGACACTGAAGAAAACAGTCAGTCTTGCATGATTTTGCCAGGGCAACCCTTCCTCTGACTTATGATTCTCTCACGGGACTTAATAGATAAATACTTTCCAAACCCTGCTGAAAGTCTCCCTGCACTTTTCATGACATGGGAGATTCACTTCCAATTACCTGTTTTCAGTGTTCCCGTCAGCTCCAGCTCCTGGTCATAGAAACTCTTACCAAGCAGCCAGCTGTCTTGAGTGGTGTTTTGGTGAAGTTGGGAGTAGCAGCCACTGATCGCACAAGCTTTACTATCTGGAGAGGGTAGCTGAGCCCAAATTGTTTACATCTTCTTTGTCCCCTGATGGAAAACAATTCCAGAGCAATCCAAAAGTCTCAGTAATCATTTACGTACACTTCCTTTTAAACACGCAATGGCAGAAACAAGCTAATCTGGCTGTGATCGAATATGACAAATAAACAACTTTGTGTTACACTTTGAGGAAAGGAATTCCTGATTTATGGAATTGAGACTTTAGATTCCTGGGTTTTTAGAATTATATTTTAATTTCATTGCTGTAGAATAAGATAAAAATATTTATTTCACTATTAATAGTCTTCAACCACTCTTCCTTTTATGCTCAAAACTTTTTTTTGGCTCCTTGCTATTTAAAATACACAGGCCCTGAACTTGCATTAAAGGCTCTGTGTAATCCAAGGTAGTCTCTCTTGCCTAATATTTCACCATTCCCCACATGCATTATTTAACCCAGCCTGCGATTTCCTTCTTACTGTCTCTGGTATTTGTCTTCTCCTTTATATTCCCACAGCTCACACTCTAGTCTATTCCATTATAACCTCACATCTGGATTATTACAACAGCCTACTTAGGTAGTCTTGTCAAAGCCGTTTTCAAACCATACTGCAGGCTGCTACCAGATAATTCTTCCTAAAACATGGCTTTGACCATGTCCCCTGTTCAAAACCCATCAGTGCCTCCTAATTCTCAAGAAAATCATTTTCATTTTAAGATTTTCCATGCTTGACTCCACAACAACTTGCCAACTTTCTCTGCTTTCCAAATAAACTCCGTCTCTGACTGTTTTTATTTTCCCTTTCTTCTACAATGTGCCTTACACATTCCCAACTTCTTTATACTATGCCTCAGCTTATCTGGCTTTTTGTTTTTATCTACAGAAATCTCCCCCATTCCTCAAGGCCAAGTTATTTTTTTTTCCTCTCTCTTCATGTAAACTTCCAAATAATACATATTCACATAATAGCTTCCATTTATAAAGTTAGTCAAATTATACTGTTTTTCTGGCCATTTGGAAGATGGTATTAGGAAAAAGAGCATGGACTTTCAATTAACAGAGCCAAGGTTTGAGCTCCAAGGCCATCACTTACTGCCTGTGAAACTGGACATGCTTTCTCATCTTCCTGAGCTCCATTTGCCTCATCTACATAAATAGAGTAACACAGTGTAAGTGTGTAGTCTTGTGTTTCCAAATAAAGTGTAGTCTTTTTTATTTTTTTTGATATGGAGTCTCGCTCTTGTCGCCCAGGCTGGAGTGCAGTGGTGCGATCTTGGGTCACTGCAACCTCCGCCTCCAGGTTCAAGTGATTCTCCTGCCTCAGCCTCCTGAGTAGCTGGGATTACAGGCGCCCGCACCATGCCCAGCTAATTTTTGTATTTTTAGTAGAGATGGGGTTTTGCCCCGTTGGTCAGGCTGGCCTCAAACTCCTGACCTCAGATGATCCACCTGCCTCAGCCTCCCAAAGTGCTTAGCATTACAGGCGTGAGCCACTGCAGCTGGCCAAAGTGTAGTCGTATAGAAAGCAGAATCCACGTCTTTTATTCTAGGTTGCACAATGCCTAGAGGTGTTCAGAATACAGCATACACACACACACACATGCGCGAGATCTGTGGGTGTACATAAAGATTTTCCAAGTAATGTACGGACAAGAAGAGCTTAAAATACGGGGCAAATTTCCAGATCCTCAACTTACATCTATGTACAGGCATACCTCAGAGATATTGCAGGTTTGGTTTAAACCACTGCAACGAAGTGATTGTTGAAATGAAGTGGGTCACACAAATGTTTTGTTTCCCAGTGGATATAAAAGTTATGTTTACACTATACTGCAGTCTATTAAGTGTACAATGGCGTTATGTCTAAAAAACAATATGTTAATTAAAACAATTTATTGTTAAAAATGCTAATGATCATCTGAGGTGTCAGTGAGTCGTCATCTTTTTGTTGGTAGAAGGTCTTGCATTGATGTTGATGGCTGCTGCCTGATATGGCTGGTAGTTGCTGAAGGTTAGGGTGGCTGTGGCACTTTTTAAAAATAAGACACCAGTGAAGTTTGCCACATTGAATGACTCTTCCTTTTAAGAAAGATTTTTCTGTACCATGCAATGCTGTTCGATAGCATTTTACCCACAGTAGAACATCTTTCAAAAATGGGGTCAGTCCTCTCAAACTCTGCCACTGCTTTATCAACTAAGTTTATAGAATATTCTAAATGCTTTATTGTCTTTTTAATAGTGTCATAGCATATTTACAAGGAGTTGTTTCTATCTCAAGATAGAAACAACTCCTCATCCATTTGAGTTCTTTAAGAAGCAACTCCTCATCCATTGGAGTTTGTTGTTGTTTTTGTTTTTTGAGACAGTCTTGCTTTGTCGCCCAGGCTGGAGTGCAGTGGTGTGATCTTGGCTCACTGCAACCTCTGACTCCTGGGTTCAAGCAATTCTCCTGCCTCAGCCTCCTGAGTAGCTGGGATTACAGGCGTGCGCCACCACTCCTGGCTAATTGTTGTATTTTTAGTAGAGATGGGGTTTCACCATGTTGGTCAGGCTGGTCTTGAAGTCCTGACCTCAGGTGATTTGCCTGCCTCAGCCTACCTGTGGTTCATGCCTGCTGGGATTACAGGCATGAGCCACTGTGCCCAAACTCCATTTCAGTTTTACTGTGAGACTGCAGCAGTCACATCTTCAGGTTCCACTTCTAATTTTAGTTCTCTTGCTATTTCTACCATATCTGCAATTACTTTCTCCACTGAAGTCTCAGACTCCTCAAAGTCATCCACAAAGACTAAAATCAACTTCTTTCAAACTCCTCTAAGTATTGATATTTTGACCTAATTTCATGGATCAAAAATGTGATTAATGGCATCTAGAATACTGAATCCTTTCCAGAAGGTTTTCAATTTACTTTTCCCAGATCTGTCAGAGAAATAACTATCTATAGCTGCTACAGACTTATGAAATGTATGTCTCAAACGACAAGACTTGAAAATTGAAATGACTCCTTGATCCATGGGCTACAAGATAGATGTTGTGTTAGCAGGCATGAAAACCAAATTAATCTCCCTGTACATGTCCATCATATCTCTTGGGTGCCTGGGTGCATTGCTATTGAGCAGTAATATTTTGAAGAAAAAAATATTTTTTTGAGTAATGGGTTTCAACAGTGAGCTCAAAATATTCAGTAAACCCTACTGTAACAGATGTGCTGTCTTGCAGACTTTGTTGTTCCATATATAAAGCATAGGCAGAGTAGATTTAGCATAATTCTTAAGGGCCCTAGGATTTTTGAAATGGTACATAAGCATTGCTTTCAAGTTAAAGTCACCATCTGCATTAGCCCTCTAAGAAGAGATTCAGCCTGTTGTTTGAAGTTTTCAAGCCAGGCATTGTCTTTCTTCTAGCTATGAAAGTCCTAGATGCCATCTTCTCCCAATAAAAGGCTATTTCATTTACACTGAAAACCTGTTGTTTAGTGTAGCCACCTTTATAAATGATTGTAGCTAGATCTTCTGGATAACTTCCTGCAGCTTCTCCATCAGCACTTGCTGCTTCACCTTGCACTTTTCTGTCATAGAGATGGCTTCTTTCTTTAAGCCTCATGAAGCAAACTCTGCTAGTTTCACACTTTCCTTTTGCAGCTTCCTCATCTCTTTCAGCCTTCACAGAATTGAATAGAGTTGAGGCCTTGCTCTAGATTAGGGTTTGGCTTAATAAGGAAGTATGGCTTTTTTGATCTTCTATACAGACCATTACAATTTCCTCCATGTCAGCAATAAGGCTGTTTTGTTTTAGTATCATTCATGTGTTCACTGGAGTAGCATCTCTAATTTCCATATATATATAATATATATTATATATATAATATATATTATATATATTATATATATATAATATATATTATATATATTATATATATATAATATATATATAATATATATATTTTATATATATATATTTTGTATTTACAACTTGGCTAACTGGTACAAGAGGTTTAGCTTTTAGCTGGCTTTTGACATGCCTTCATCATTGAGCCTAGTCATTTCCGGCTTTTAACTGAAAGTGAGAGATGTGCAACTCTTTCTTTCACTTGAATATTTAGAGGCCATTGTGAGGTTATTAATTGACTTAAGTCTAATAGTGTTTTATCTTAGTAAATAGGGAGGCCTGATGAGAAAAAAAAGAGATGAGGAAATATCCAGTTAATAGAGCAGTCAAAACACACACATTTATTGATTAACTTCACTGTCTTATATGTGGGCATCCTTTGTGGTGCCCCAATGCAATTACAATAATGACATCGAAGATCATTGATCACAGATTACTATAACTGATGTAATAATAGGAAAGAGTTTAAAATATTGTGAGAATTACCAAAATGTGACGCCGAGACGTAAAGTGAGCACATGCTGTTGGAAAAATGGTCCCATAGACTTGCTTGATGCAGTGTTGCCACCAACCTTCAATTGGTTATAAAACATAGTATCTATGAAAGACAATAAAGTGAAGTACAATAAAATAAGGCATGCCTATACTTTCCTAAGAGTCATCTACCTAAGAAAGTGCCTATAGTCAAGAAATTAATAGTTCTTTTTTTCTGTTTTACAACAGAAAGTTTTAATCTTATTTTATTTGTGACTCATGGTGTTCAAGTCTGCAGGCAGCTGAGAAAAGGGACAATTCAAAATATCGAGACACATGCACTCATATTTTAATCATGGCACTACTCAAAATAAAAAAGACATGGAATCAAACTATGTGCCTATCAACAGTGGATTGGATAAAGAAAATATGGTGCATATGTGCCATGGAATGCTATGAATAATATGCAGTCATAAAAAAAGAACAAAATTATGTCCTTTGCAGCAACATGGAAGCAGCTAGAGACTATTATCCTAAGCAAATTAATGCAGAAACAGAAAACCAAATACTGCATGTTCTCACTTATAAGTGGGAGCTAAATATTGGATTCTCATGGACATAAAGATGGCAACAAGAGACACTGGGGACTACCAGAGCAGGGGAGCGAGGAAGGGGAAAGTTCGAAAAACTATTGAGTACCATGCTCAGTACTTGGGTGAGGGGATCATTTGTACCCCAAACGTCAGAATCATCCAGTATACTTAGGTAATAGACCTACACGTATACCCCCTGAATCTAACATAAAAATTCAAATTATAAAAAATCTAAATATTGGTATTATGACACCAATGAAAATGAATGGCACTAATTTCTAATTACTGATTAATGAACTTTTTCTTTGTACATCAGATGGCTTCAAATTCTTTGCAATCAGAAATACCATATTAGACTATGATCTAGTTATCTACATAGTGATTATAAAAAATAATTTTTAGCACTAAATTACACTGTCATATAACTCAGAAATTGTTCAAAGAATTGAATGAAATAGCTAAAATAATACTTCCTTCATTCAATTTTTTAAGTTTATGACTACATGCTTCCTCAGGGCTTCGATCTATAAAAATGAAAAATGAGGATCAAATTGATGTTGGAACCCATCTAATTCGAGCAATATATCTTACTTCTTCTTTCATCCAAGGATTTAAAACCTAACTGGACAAAAAAAATGCCTATCTATCTCATTAAGAAATGCATTTCTTAAAAAAAATCTTCACTTTGAAAGTTTAATAATTACTTAACAAAATGTGAGTTATATCTTACTTGGATCAATTTTATGACAATAGAAATAATTACAATAAAATGCAGAAAAAAGCACTTTTTAATATTTAGAGAATTGTAATTTCAGAAAATGAGAAAAAAGTTAACTTTCCCTTTCAATCCTCATTATTGTGGCAGAGAAGTGTAATACATAAGCAATAAGATAATTTAAGACTAAAAATATAGTACATTTTGTCAAAATAGTCTTTGCTGGAAATGAGGTTATAAAGGAGCCAACACATACATTATAAAAGAGATTATAGATGATATCAAGTTGCTATGACGTTTATTAAAACAATAAACAATAAAAATAAACATTGAACAAATAAACAGTAAACAAACAGCAAATAGTGAGGAGGTTGATTTAATGCCAATTTGTATAATATTCTGGAAATCGTATCTCTTCCAAACGTATGTAAACATTTGATAAAATATGTATACATTTACTTGAAAATATGCATGGAAGAAAGTAATTTTTAAAAATTCCTTTTGGGAATTGAAGCAAAAATGATTAAGGCACACCATTTGAATTCCAACTATCTTTTTCTTACAAATTAATCCTTGCAATTAGGTGACACTCTAGTATACATGAAAGAACACACAAGAAAGAAAAAAATCTTTTGTTTTGGTAAGTCATACTTATAATCTTTCAACATATAAATTTTCAATAAAAACTAAAGAAAGCAATTATGTTTCCTTACCTGCTACAGAAATTGATATAAGACTTACCTTCCTGCCATAAACAACTAGAAAATTGGTATATTGATATTATTTGGCTCTGTGTCCCCACCCAAATCACATCTTGTAGCTCCCATAATTCCCACGTGTTGTGGGAAGGACCTGGTGGGAGAAGATTGAATCATGGGGTGGGTCTTTATTGTGCTGTTCTCGTGATAGTGAATAGGTCTGACATGCCCTATTCTGATCTGATGGATTTAAAAATGGGAGTTTCTTGCACAAGCTCTCTCTTTGCCTGCTGCCATCCAAGATGTGACTTGCTTCTCCTTGCCTTCCACCATGATTGCGATGCCTTCCCAGCCATGTGGAACTGTAAGTCCAATAAACCTCTTTCTTTTGTAAATTGCTCAGTCTCAGTTATGTCTTTATCAGCAGTGTGAAAATGGACTAATATGGTAAATTGGCACCAGTAGAGTGGGGCATTGCCAAAAAGATAGCTGAAAATATGGAAGCCTCTTTGGAACTGAGTATCAGGCAGAGTTTGGAACAGTTTGGAGGGCTCAGGAGAAGACAGGAAAATATGGGAAAATTTGGAACTTCCTAGAGACTTGTTGAATGGCTTTGACAAAAATGCTGATACTGATATAAACAATAAGGTCCAGACTGAGGTGGAGCTGAGGAACTTATTGGGAACTCATGTGGAGATGAGGAACTTATCTCCTCATGTGGAGATGAGGAACTTATCTCCTCATGTGGAGATGAGGAACTTATTGGGAACTGGAGCAAAGGTGACTCTTGTTATGGTTTAGCAAAGAGGCTGGTGGCGTTTTGCCTCTGCCCTAGAGATTTGTGGAACTTTGAACTTGAAAGAGATGATTTAGGGTATCTGGTGGAAGAAATTTCTAAGCAGCAAAGCATTCAAGAAGTGAATTGGGTGCTGTTTAGGCATTCAGTTTCAAAAGGCGAACAGAACATAAAAGTTTGGAAAATTTGCAGACTGACAATGCAATAGAAAAGAAAATCTCATTTTCTGAGGAGAAATCCAAGCCCAAGCTGGCTGCAGAAATTTGCATAAGTAACAAGGAGCTGAATGTTAGTCACCAAGACAATGGGGAAAATGTCTCCAGGGCATGACAGAGACCTTTGCAGCAGCCCCTCCCATCACAGGCCCAGACGCCTAGGAGGAAAAAGTGGTTTTGTGGGCCAGGCCCAGGCTCCCCATGCTGCTTGGTGCCCTGCATGCCAGCTGCTCCAGCCTTGGCTGAAAGGGGCCAAAGTAGAGCTAGGGCCATGGCTTCAGAGGGTGCAAGCCTTTAGCCTTGTCAGCTTCCATGTGGTGTTGAGCCTGTGAGTGCACAGAAGTCAATAATTGAGGTTTTGGAACCTCTGCCTAGATTTCAGAAGATGTATGGAAATGCCTGGATGCCCAGGCAGTAGGGACAGGGTCCTCATGGAGAACCTCTGCTAGGGCAGTGCAGAAAGGAAATGTGGGGTGGGCACACCCACACAGAGTCCCTACTGGGGCATTGCCTAGTGGAGCTGTGAGAAGAGGGCCACTGTCCTCCAGACCCCAGAATGATAGATGCTGGGGTGACTGCTTGCACTGTGTGCCTGGAAAAGCTGCAGACACTCAACGCCGACCTATGAAGCCAGCTGGAAGGGAGGTTGTACCCTGCAAAGCCACAGGGGAGGAGCTGCCCAAGACTATGGGAACCCACCTCTTGCATCAGTGTGACCTAAATGTGAGATGTGGAGTCAAAGGAGATCATTTTGGAGCTTTAAGATTTGACTGCCCCACTGGATTTTGGACTTGCATGGGGACTGTAGCCCCTTTGTTTTGTACAATTTCTCTCATTTGGAATGGCTGTATTTATCCAACGCCTGTACCCGCATTGTATCTAAGAAGTAACTAACTTGTTTTTGATCTTACAGGCTCATAGGCAGAAGGCGCTTGCCTTGTCTCAGATGAGATATTGGATTGTGGACTTTTGAGGTAATGCTGAAATGAATTGAGATTTTGGTGGACTCTTGGCAAGGCGTGATTGGTTTTGAAATGTGAAAATATGAGATTTGGGAGGAGGCAGGGGCAGAATGATATGGTTTGGCTCTGTGTCCTCATCCAAATTTCATCCTGTAGCTCCCATAATTCCCACATGTTATGGAAGGGACCCAGTTGGAGATGATTGAATCAGGGGGGCGGGTCTTTCCTGCACTGTTCTCGTGATAGTGAATGGGTCTCACGAGATCTGATGGTTTTAAAAATGGGAGTTTCTCTGCACAAGCTCTCTTTTTGCCCGCTGCCATCCACGTAAGATGTGACTTGCTCCTCCTTGCCTTCCGCCATGATTGTGAGGCCTCCCCAGCCATGTGGAGCTATAAGTCCAATAAACCTCTTTCTTTTGCAAATTGCCCAGTTTCAGGTATGTCTGTATCAGCAGTGTGAAAATGGACTAATACATATATGAAGCAATGGTTTGCAGACATTGGACAACTGTCATTATAGACCATGAAGATATTAATAATCCTGATATTGAGAAAAGATAACCAAGTGTGATGAGCCCTATGATTTTTGTGACTTTTTCTCTAGAGGCATTCTCCAGCCCATGGTGTAGGTGGTGGGGGATTCCCAAGTATAGAATGGTGATCTCTCTGAAGAGGCAGAGACTAGATTTCAGGGAGGTGGAGAAAGCTGAAAATTGTAGAGTGCCAGAAAAGAGGGAGCTGGAGAGTGAAAGCCTCAGAAATCTGCATAGGGTACCCTTGAGTCTGTTTCTAAATTTGAAATTGCCCATGCATAGGAAACAATCCACTAGTCAAGGAAAAGAAAGACTTGAGACCTGAAAGCTAAAGAAGTACAGAGTTTACAAGGCTAGGAGATTTGAGTTTTGACCAGCTAGAATGGAGAGTTTACGTTGCACACTCAGGACATTCAATATACACAGCAGAAAGAGTAGTAGGACTGAAAAAAAAAATTCCTAGTGCAAAACTACCCCAAACGTGCTCTACTAAAACTTAAAAATAAACCTCAAAAAATTTAATTTATCTACAAATAACTATCTGACAGACCAAAGTTTAATAGCCTTTAAACAATTTTTAAATTAGTACTCAAAAATATAAAACTCACAAGTGCCCAGCACTGAATAAGAATGATTAGAAATAAGAAACAGGAAATTGTTACCTATAAGCAGAAATAGAAGCAAACCCAAAAAATGGAAGAAGAGGTAAAATAAACAGACAATGATTTTAAAAGGGCAATCACAGGTATCTTCAAGTATTTAAAACAAAATGTGAGGAAAGAAATAGATGCAATGAAAAAGAACCAAAGAGAACTAAAATAAGTTTTACTGGATGAGATTAACAGATTAAACACAATGTTAAAAAAGATCAGTAAAGTTGAATATGCAGTAGTTCAAACTACAGAATGAAGTGCAGAGAGAGAAAAAAGAAAAAGAATGGAAAAAAAAATAGATACTCAGGGGCTTGTGATAAATATCAGATAGTGTTAAATCCTGAAGTGAGAATCATTAAAAATATTAGACGAGGTGCTGGACGCAGCGGCTCACCCCTGTAATCCCAGCACTTTGGAAGGCCTAGGTGGGCAGATCACATAAGGTCAGGAGTTTGAGTTCAGCCTGGCCAACAAGCTAAAACCCCATCTCTGCTAAAAATACAAAAATTATCCTGGTGTAGTGACGGTCACCTGTAATCCCACCTACTTGGAAGGTTGAGGCAGGAGAATTGCTTGAAGCCAGGAGGTGGAGGTTGCAGTGAGCCAAGATTGTGCCACTACACTCCAGCCTGGGCGACTGAGTGAGACTCTGTCTAAATATATGTGTGTGTATATATATATACACACATGCATATGAAGAAATAATAGCTGAACATTTTCCAAATTTAATAAAAATATGACTCCACTGATACATAAGGATTAATAACCCACAAATAGTATGAATCCAAGACCTTTCCAGCTTCTAGAGCCACCCACAATAATCCCATTTCTTCATCTCGAAGGATAGCGACATTGCACCTCCTTGTGAACTTCTTACATAGTCACATCTTCTTCTGTCTTTCTGAGTCTCTCTTCCAGTTTTGACTCCCTGTGAATACACTGAATCTACATACACAATTAAGACTCTATTTTAAGGTCAGTTAATTAGCAACCTTAATTCCATCTACAACCTTAATCTCCCTTTGCCACAAAAAGTAGTATATTCACAAGTTCCAAGTATTAGAGTGTGTTTATCTTTGGAGTGCCATTATTCTGCCTACCACAAATACCTAGGCACATCATAATTAAATTGCAGAAAACTAACAATACAGAAAAAAATCTCAAAAGTAGAGAGGAAAAAAGTGCACATTATATACAAAGGAATAAAATAAGTGTGACAGCAGAATTATTTTAAGAAGCTTTGTAAGATGGTACATAATGAAATGGTGTTGTTAAAGCACTGAAAAAATAGTGTAAACACAATAGAAACATCTCTCAAAAATAAAGACAAATTAAAAGGAAATATAAAGGGAGATCATGTTTAACAAGTGTACCAAGATAATTAAATGAGGAAGATATTTATTTCCAAAAATGGTTCCGGTATAATTAGACATATACTTGAAAAACATGTTCCTCAACCATTACCTTAACCTATACATGCAAAATTAGTTTCAAGTGGATCAGATATAAACATAAAAGTTAAAACTTATAAAATGTCCAGTAAAATAAGATAGGAGAAAACCTTTGTAACTTTGGGGGCAGGCAAAGGTATCTTGGGACACGAAAAGTGTAAATCATAAAATTTTAAAAGTCAACAATTGAGTCTTATTATATTAGCAACTTCTGCTCTACAAAAATATACTATCAAGAATGAAAAGAAGACATATGGAGTGGGAGCAAATGTTCACAGCACATATTAATATTTCTGACAAAGGTCTGGTTTCTAGAATACATAAGAATTCCTACAAATGTAAAGAAGCCAAAAAAATCAAAAAAAGCAAAATACTTGATAAATCTTTCATAAAAGAAAATATGTAAAAGACTAATAAGCACATGCAGGATGCTCAATATCATAAGTCATTCAGAAAATGCAAATTAAAATCACAATAAAATGCACTGCACATCCACTGGAAGGGCTAATATTAAAATGTCTGGCAGGCATTCTGCTTCTGTCCATAAAGGATTTACTGTTGCAGAGAATGTCTCCTCAATGTAAACAGAAAACTGGACAAAATAATGGAAACAACTGTTTCCAGATATTGAACGACAGACACCAGAGGATTATAATCTCTAAGAGAAGGAAAACAAATGGGGTCAGCGCTCTAAATGCTCCAGTGCTTCCTGGAAGCAATTTCCAGGCCTCAGGGTAGGATGGATGATCCCAAATGGAGCCTGGTGTCCTTGTAGATTCAGGGTTTAAAAAGATAGAGTTTGAAGAGGACAACATGCTGGAATTTGTGAGTCAGAATAGTTAAGAGGAGGAAGAAGCTACGAAGGGAGAGACTTTTCTTTAGAAATAGGCAGACTGATTGTAAAAATCGATATGGAAATTCAAAGGACATAGACTATGCTTATTAACATCGAAAGTAATGGCAAAAACTGCAACTGCTTTTGCACCAACCTAAAAGCAATAGAAGTAGAGGTCAAAGTTAGCACATTCTCTGAATTAAGAATTTAACAAAACTACAGTAATCAAGACATGGTCATAATGGTCTTAAAAATATACAAATCCAACCGAATAGGGAGTTTAGAAATATATCCAGTCCTTAAATAAATATGAACAATGATGTTGTTAAAAGTATGAAGATAAGTATGCATAAAGTATAGCCATCTCAACACATGTGATGGAAGAACTGAATACCTACACGAGAAAAGAAAAAAGAACCTCAGCATCACCACACACTTCCAGTAGATTAGAGACCTAACTGGGGAAGCTAAAATGATACAACTAGAAGAAAGCAGAGAAAATCATTATAATCTTGGCATAAGCAAAGATTGATCAGGTATATAAAGCTAAATTCATTTAAAATGTTAAAAAATGAGCTTCATTAAATTAAAAACATTTACTTTTCAAAAGAAATTATTTACAAATTAAAAGGCAAGCCACAAACTGGGAAAAATATTTACAAAACAACCATCTGATAACTGTCTTGTATCTAGAATATACAAAGAGCACACAAGTCAATGAGAGAAAGAAATATAAAAATAGGCTGAAGATTTGAACAGACATTTCATCAAAGAAGATATAAAAATTACAAGCACAAGAAAAGAAACTCAACATCATAATTAATTAGGTAAATGCAAATCAAAATCACAGTAAAATTTCTATTTCTCATCCATTGTAATAGTGCCATATTTAAGAAATCACTGCCTGACCCAATAAGATAAAGCTTTTCTTCTATGTTTTATTCTCAAAGTTTTGTATTTTAGGTTTACATTTAGGGCTATGCTTCATGTTGAGTTAATTTTTATATATGGCGTGGAGTATAGATTGAAGCTTTTATTTTTCACAGTAGCCAATTGTTCCAGCACCATCTCTTTTCTCCTTTTGCCATTGAATTGACTGGGCATTTTTGCCAAAAATCAGTCGTTCATATATATGTAGTTCTATTTCTGGAATTTCTATTGTATTTCATAGATCTATTTTTTTTTATTTTGATGCCATTACCAGACAATCTTGACTATTATAGCTTCATAATCATTCTTGAGATCAAATGTTAGTTTTTTTCAATTATTTTATCCTTTTTCAATAGTTGCTTTGACTATTGTTGTTCATTTCTACATAAATTTTAAAATCATTTTACTTTCCCCAAAAAATAGCTTGCTGAGATTTTGATTGTAGTTAATGTGACATACAAATTAAGTTGGGGCGATTTACATATTAAAATATTGAGTTCTCTAACCTGTATGCAAGGTAAGTTTACCAATTTATTTAGGTTTTTAAAATTTCTACCAACATTGTTTTGTGAATTTGTTTGATATAGGTCTAGTATATCTGTTTTTGGATTTATCCCTAACCTCTACATACCCTTTTGGTTTGCATGGGACATCATCAATCTAGACATCCAAACCAAATTTTATTGGGGGTCCATCCTGTTTCTGCAGAGTGGACACAATTGCAGGGAACATGACCATTGCCTTGAGGCAAAATATTGAAAACAGTGTTACCCTTCTCACTCAATCAGAAAGATCTTGAGTAAGAATGTCAATTGGCCTGTCTTGTTTTGTGTGCCCAACTCTGGCTATCTGTCAGGAGTGCTTTTGGCAATAAAACAGAAGATAACCTCCCAATAGTGGCTTAAACAATTGGATAATTTTTTTTTCCTATGACAAAACCAAAGGTAGACAGTTTGTGGCCAGAAAAGTGACTGAAGGACCCAGGCGCTTTCCATCATCTTGAACCAACATCTTTAGTGTTGACTTATGCCCTCAGGCTTATTGCTTCGTGGTTATAGAATGGATGCTGTGCCTCTAGCTATTACATCTGAATTTCAGGCTGGAGAGAGAACAAATGGGCAAAAGGACAAGCCAAGTGAGTCGGTTCTTTATTATCAGGGAAGGAAGTAAAATCTTTCCCAGAAATCCTATTCAGCAAACTTTCACTTACATCTTATAGACTAGAAATGGACCACATGGCTACTCTTATCCACAGAAGAGTCTGAGAAATCAATTATTTTGTCTTTTTCAGTCTCTGTGATAGAGTCAAGTAGGGGAGAATGTGATTATATTTGAGTATTGAGTGAGCCAAACTACAATGGCTGCCACACTGACTGATATTATGACAGGAGAATAGGAAAGTGTTATTGTCCTGGCCTGAGTTATGGGTCTGTCTCTGTGGTCAGGGAAGAGCCCCTTCTATTTTCACAAAAGAAGGATAGAGCATGACTAAATTGACAGAAAAAATAGTTATCAAGACACACAGAGTTAAGGCAAATCTCTGGAATCTGTCTCTTAGGATAATGATATAGCCTGGGCAACATAGTGAGGTCCTTATCTCTACAAAAAAGGAAAAAAAGTTAGCTGGTTTCAGTGTTGCATGCTTGTAGTCCCAGCTACTCAGAAGGCTGAGGTGGGAGAATCACTTGAGCCCAAGAGGTCGAGGATACATTGAGCTGTGACTGCACTACTGTTCTCTAGCCTGAGCGACAAAGTGAGACCTTGTCTCAAAAAACAAACAAACAAAAACAAAAAAACAAAACAAAGCAAAAAAAAAAGGATAATGACAATCAGTTTTAATTTTCAGGACTGTTTTTCTATATTTAAATCCGAAAGCGATAGAGTTAAAAATGACGTCTCTTATCCACTCCTAAAGCCTGCTGATGTTTCTCTAGATATGTACTGTGTAAGGAAAAATGAAGAGCAAAGTAAGAAGTCAAAGCAAGTCCTGTGTTCAAATCCTAGCATACCTACTATCTGAATTTGTCGTCATCGGTAAGCTACTTAAATCTTAGGAGCCTCAGTTTCCACCAGTATAAAACGGGGATAACTACACCCAATGGCTGTAGTATTTGGGGAGATTCATTGAGGTAATTGATATAGAGCATCTAGCTTCTACTTGCCACTTAAAAATGTCAGTTTTCTTCCCTGTTGCTTCTTTATTTTTATCCTTTTATTTCTGCTGACTAGATTTAAAGCATCTCTCAAGCTCCTATTTGTGCTCTTCCCCAAAGGACTCCTTAAATGTCAAGTTAAGTCCAGATTTTCAGAAGTTTGCATAATGTTTGTGAAAGAGCCATGGAAACATATATGTCTGGCCAAATGACCTTAACCTTCCCAGGTCTAACCAAGCTATAGTTTAGAACTTCTCAGCATGGCTGTGTTCAGGAGACAAACTGCTTCATGATTTTGAGATTTATTTCCTCATAGTATAGGTCAGCTTCGTGATATTTCTTCAGAAAAGCCTCCCCTAGTCAATTTACACATTTTATACTCATATTAACATGTACCTCTCTTTTCTAGCACTCAGGACAAATTCTAATTTTGCATCTGTGGGACTGCTTTTAAATTTTGATCTGTCTTCCTGAAAGAAGGGACAGTATTTTCTTCTGCTTACCGCTGTGACCTAAGTGCTGTGGCCAGAGAAAAGAGATAGCCAACATTCCAGAAGAAATAAAATACCTTCCCTGAATTTTCCCTGAAACCTGTCTGCACCCCTCCCCTTTCCATAGTTTGCGTTATCAACGTTCACTTGTCTTCTAAGAGTTAGGAAGCTGCATTTGTGTCCAAGATAACAAAATTAGGTTTCTCTATCACTATCAACTTAAAGACTTCCTTCCAAACATTTACTCCTTTAAACTTTTCATTCACTTGCTGAAATAATTTACTCCTTTATTTTTTCATTCACTTGCTGAAATAATTTTAAGGAAGAAAATATCTCATGCAGCTCTCATTTTTATTTTTATAAATGACAGGATCCGTTTTACAAAAGTGGGGATTGGGTTAAGAGGCTCTAAAAATGCATTTCCACTTAAGCTGATGCACTCTAGAACAATGTGCAGCTGAATGGACATTTCCTGTCCTACAACCACAGAAGAATGGGAAGGCAAGCTAATGATTGCCTGTTGGGGCCTGGGATTCGGAGTTCAGCCTTGTAAGAGCTGTGCTAAGAGGTTTCTGTACTGTCTACCACCTCCTATTTGGAAACCCATTTGACTTTTTCCATTAGTGTTTTTCTTCTTTTTGAAGTGTTGTAATTCAGCCTCAGTGTGTGGTCTGGCTTCGTTCTCACTAGAGCAGAGACTGGAAGAATTGAGCCAAACTGTGGTGGGCCAATGATAAAAATTGCTTCTATTTTCCATTTTAACAATTGTTTTGACTTTAACAAGTTTGAGGCTGGAACTTTTTGGTTGGGAGAATGGGCTTTTGAATATCAATGAATAAAAAATAGATAAAAATAAAGGGATACATCTATAGGATATGGTGCACAAGAGGAAAAATAATTGTCTATCCCAATATTACCCCTAATTTGTTTAATTTTAATTTTTTAAAGAAACTACTTCTTTGTGATTTGTCAAGAGTCATCAAATTGGTATGCACCACCACTGTGCCACCACAAACCCACTTTCTCTGCTTTATAGTACCATACTTCCTTTTAGATTCTAATTTGGGTTTCAATTCATGTCTTTCCATAAGTCAGCTCACTCTTGAACCTGAACCAACTCCCTGACAACACATTTTGAATGAGTTAATGGGGGAAATGTCCACATTTAAGACCTCATGTTATATTCATTGCCTTTCTGGTTACCCATAATTGAATGATTATAGAAGAGAAATCTGTTCTAAAGCACAGAGAGTGATGCTTCTCTCACTCTGTTGAAAGTTATGTTCATAATATAAATTATGTCATAAATGATGTCACAAATTCAGGAACAAACATGTGGCTACAAATTGATATTCAACATGACACTATCAAATTAATGTTGAAACATTAGACAAACCATTTATTTTTACTGCCTCAACTTTTTTTTTTTTTGAGATGGAGTTTCACTCTTGTTGCCCAGGCTGGAGTGCAATGCCATTATCTTGGCTCAACACAACCTCCGTTTCCCGGGCTCAAGCGATTCTCCTGCCTCAGCCTCCTGGGTATCTGGGGTTACAGGCATGCACCACCACATCTGGCTATTTTTTTTTTTTGTATTTTTAGTAGAGATGGGGTTTCTCCATGTTGGTCAGGCTGGTCTTGAACTCCCAACCTCAGGTGATCCTCCTGTCTCAGTCTCCCAAAATGCTGGGATTACAATCGTGAGCTGCCTCTGCTAAATGAGATAATGAAGTCTGTCTCCACTTATGTTGAAGAATTAAGGAGTTATTTTTAATAACGTGTTTCTAAAGTCATCTGGCCCCCAGATGCACTGCTTTTTAGAATAAGGTTAGACATAGAGAAATAATGAGCTTTATTCATTATTTACCATATAGCTCAATATTCAATGTCGGCTGAATTTAGAAGTTTTAAAGCACGATCACATCTTATCATTTTGTAAAAGTAATTTGCCCACAAGTCACATTCACCCTATTTTTTTAATTAATTATAACCACAGATTCTGAGGTTGTGCCTTCTTCCTGTATCATTGCTATATTACTCTGTTTCTCAGGATTTTGTTTTCATTCACTCTGAACTAATGCTATGAATTAGAAGTTTTTCTATTCATCAAACATTATTGCAAGGGTTTACTGAATTTGTTCACTTATTTATATTTTCAATACATGTTTACTGAACACAATGTATGTGCAAGACTTGGAGATACACCAAAAATAAGAAACACAAAATCCCTGCCCTTGGGTAGCTTATTTTTAGGTAAGAGTGGGTGAAGCTATGAAGAAAAACAGAAGTGAATATTGGACAGGGAGTGACAAGATGGATAATGACCTCTCTATGGAGGCAACGTTGGAAGAAAGACTGAAAATATAACAAGAGTCAAGTACTGTGAAGACCTGGGAAAGCATTCCAGGCAGAGAGAAGAATAAGAGTAGACTGAGAGGGAGCAAGGGGAGAGAGGTAAGGAATAGAGCCCCAGGGAACTGGGACAGAGCTAGACCCATAAGACCTGTGGTGCATGGCGAGTCATTAGGATTTTATGCTGAGTGTGATGCCCTTAGAATTAAAGTAAAGAAAACTTTTGTGCTGTTAGTCTCTAGTATTATAAAGGCCTAATTCTTGGAAAATTCAATCCATAAGTATATATTGGAGGTTTTCATTGTGCAAGGCGTTGGGCTCAATGTGTGAGAAAATAAAAAATACAGTTAGAAGCTTGGCCTCCAGAATCTAACAGGGTATTTGAGTAGATGAATCACATACAGATAATGAAGTGTTTTACATCAGGGAACTGTACCTGTCAAATTAATGATATGGAATAGAAACCCATATTTCTTCTCTTTAAAGAGCTTATACCTTATTGGGTCGATAAAATGGTCATAGCTAAAGAAAATGTATGACAGCATAATATGATACAATTTCTACCTGTAAAAAGTATTTAGAAAATAAGTACCTAAGTGACTGTTAGAGCAGTAAGGTGATGCTTGTTGGAAGAAAGAAGGCTTGAGGCGGAGGCTTGAGCAATAAGCATTTACATTAACATTCCATTGCAACTGAATTTCATGTGTGAGGTATGAAGTAGAAATAAATTACCACCTTTTTAATAAAAATTCAATTGACCTAGCACCATTTACTGAAAAGACAACCTTTTCCTTGTTGCATCTTTTCAGTTTTGTTGAGGTACAGTTGAAAATTAAAAATTGTATATATATTTGCACATTGTGAAATATTCACAATCAAGCTAAGTAATGTATATTTTTCTCAAAAGCAATTTTGGAGTTGTTTGAATCTCACAGTTGTCTTTTTTCAAAAACAATTTTGGTGTAAATCAGAGATTAGAAGATTCAATATTATTAAGATATCAGTTCTTCCTATATTTCTTACCTTGATATTTTCCTCCCTTTGATGTATTTTCTTTGATTTCTCTTGTAGCATTTTCTAGATTTCTATGTAGCAGTATTGCAACTTTTTATTAGACTTATTCCTAGGTATTTGGTGGCTTTCAAACTATTGTAAATTGATTTAGCTTTCAACTTTCACTTTTAAATGTTTGTTGCTAATATAGGAATGTAATTAATTCATATAGAAATTATACTCAGCAACACTTCCATTTGTATTAATTCCATTAATTTATCTATAGATATGGCATTTTCAGTCCTTTCTTTGTGCTTCATTACAAATTATTTTCTACTAATCTATAGGCCAAACACTAATCCCGTCTTCTGCAGTTTCTAAGGTGCCATTAGATTCATCCTTCAATTCTTAACTTCTTTTTTAAGAGTTGATGTTTGGGAAATTTTTAAATTGTACTCTATCTTATTATATACATTGAACTCAGTTATTTTAAATCTGTGTGTATCTCCAACAAAATTTAGATTACTTGGACACCTGTTCCTATCTGTTTTCTCTTTGGGTTTGGTTAGTGACTGTGTTTATTGACATGTTTTCTAAGTTTTTATTAAATGCTGGACAGTATGTAGGAAAAAAATGTAGAACATTTGGATGATATCTTCCTCCAAAGACGATTTCATGTGTTTTGTTTTTTCCAGTCCCAAGTACAGACAAATCATTTTCATCTAGGCAAAACTGGCCTATTTTTAGTTTGTTCTCAGTCATTGCTATGCAATGTTTGTAGGAATCTCAACTAAAAAAGAGCTTTGGTGTTTAAATAGGATCATTCTTATTTGGGGTATCTGAACACTACTTTCTGTCTTTCTAGCACAATAAAAGTATCAAAATCATTGCTAAGCTATTTTTTAGTTTCTAAGCACAGAATCAGAGTTTCTCAGTGTCTTAGAGTTCGTAAATGCTAAGAGTAGAAACTGCGTAGAACGTCAAAGTCACTTTTCTGAAGCTCACTGATTTCGGCCCCTCACATTTTTAGACTATTGCTTCATGATCAGTTTCTGTGCTTAGAGCTGAGAATTGCTTGCTAATGCAAAAAAGTGAAGGCAAATGAACATTCATCCTAATGTACTTCCATTCTCTTCAGGAACTCAGTTCCTCCATTTCTTGTTGACTTAGTTAATCTCCAATAATTTTAAGTAGTTGTTTTCTGCTTCATTTATTTTATGCAGCTTTCATAGTTGATCTCATTGAAAGTATTTGTATTATACCAAATACTGCACAGCAGAAAGGAATCCAGAGTAATAAATGCAGTTGAAGTAAATGAAATAATGCTGAAGAGAAAAATTGAAAAAGGAAAATCTATACATTATTATGCAATTTTTGCCTATTTAATGTAATTTTACAGTTCAAATGCATGGCATATAAGAAATTTTATAATCTGACTCTAAACTCTTCTCCAATATTATTTTCCACCATATTTCCTAAACCAAACTGAACTTCTCAAGGTTTCAAAAATATTTTATGCATTTCCTCAAATCTATGTTTTTGCATGCTATTTTATATACATACAACTAAGCTTCTCAACTGGTAAATCTTGAATATTTGCATGCAACCAGTGGACTAAATGTGTGATATTGATTCCACAGTTCATAGGATAGCTGGTCAGAGCCAGGGTGGCCAGAGAACACGAGAAAGTTGCTTCCAGCTGAGAATCATTTTCTCATTTCCAGAAGTGTGCCGTAAAAATATTAACGTATGTGCCATGATATGAACAAATTTGGAAGCAGTGGCCAAGAATATCTGATCCCCATATACAATCAAGTTTTGTTCCATGAAAGATTTTGGTCATTATTTAAGACATTCCTCAAGTGTAATCTTCTTTTTTTTTTTTTTTTTTTTTTTTTTTTGAGACGGAGTCTCGCTCTTTCGCCCAGGCTGGAGTGCAGTGGCGCGATCTGCAATCTTGGCTCACTGCAAGCTCCACCTCCCAGGTTCACGCCATTCTCCTGCCTCAGCCTCCCGAGTAGCTGGGACTACAGGCGCCCGCCACCACGCCCGGCTAACTTTTTGGATTTTTAGTAGAGATGGGGTTTCACCTTGTTAGCCAGGATGGTCTCGATCTCCTGACCTCGTGATCCGCCCGTCTCAGTCTCAGCCTCCCAAAGTGCTGGGATTACAGGCGTGAGCCACCGCGCCCGGCCAAGTGTAATCTTCTTTTAACTCATTTTATTCGTTTCTATAACAATTTAATTTCGTAATTTTGTAGCTTTTGATATTGTACCAAATACATGGGCCTTGAAGTTAGAAAAACTAAATTTGAATCCTACATGAGGACTTCTGGTCCTTGGTAAGTTTTCTCTGAGTGTCAATTGTCACATCAGGGAAATGAGGGAAATACTAATTACACTGTTTTAAAAATACTTACTGAATGCATATTTTATACTAACCACTGAAGAGGGTATTAGATGAAAAGAGAAAATTTCTATGAACGCATAGCAACAGCACAGGATATGACATCTTATAGTAACTTAATTTTAAATTTTTATTTTATTATTTTAAGATTAATAAATTAGATTAATAACAGTTGATGAAGGACTAGGATCAATTCATGGAAATTCCAAATGTTAGAGCCTGAGTAAATACACAAATTGTATCTTGCAACATTAGGCCCTCTAAGCTCTTATTGTTGTATAGGTGAGTTGTAAATAGTCGTCTTTGACATCCTTTGCTCGTAAGATTTATTAATATAAGTAGAGTATCATATGCATATTGTTTGCTTATTAATTCATGATTATATTTATTGCAGTGGTTCGTTCATTCTACACTGTAGGTTGTCAAGAATATAGGCCCTGAGTCAGGTAGACCTGGGGGTTGAATCCTGTCTCTACCATTAACTATTATAGCTCTTCATTACATGTTTATAATATGTTCATCGGCTAATGAACGAACCTAGGCTCAGGCTTCCTCGTCTATAAAAACTGGTGTGATGATATATGCCTCATAGGATTTTTGTGACGATAGAAGGAGATTCGACATATAAAACAACATGGCGTGGAACAATCAGTGTTTAATAACTGCTGTCTATTGTTACTATTTGAACCTTAGGCTCTTTTTTTCAGGGTCCTAATATATTAGCCAAGGAGCAATTTAATATATTTCCATCTTCCATTTCCATTTTCTAAAATCCTCAATCCCAGGTGAGGGTGCTGGAAAAGGTTTTCTTTCTTAAATGAATTTAGGCAGACCAGTTATTCCACATAAATCAAGTACCCCCTTGAGGTTCCCCGGTTCTAAAAGCATGGGAATGTGGGTAGTCTTGGCTTCACTGTCTTTGTCCGGTGTGTAGGATGTCCTGGCAGTCCATCCACTTGATCTGAAATTTGGCCTTGGGGCTGGGTTCTGTTCACTTCCTCCTAACTAGGCTTTCAGGCCAGGAAAATGTTGTAATAGAGTTTCTTCTCTCCAGAAAATCCCTAGAGATTCTTCCTCTTGGACTTGAGGGTAGACATTCAAATACTGCCTTCCTTGGATGTTTTTTAGTTTAGCTGAGGATTAAATTTTTCAAATTGTCTGCCTTAATAAATATGTCCAACCCTTCTATTCATTCCTTATTTGAACCCAAGGTCAGGGGGCTGTTTATATTTTAGCCTCTTCCAGAAACCCATATTCTTTTCCTTTGTAACCTTTTAACCCATTTTCTTTCTTTCTTTTTTAAGTGTTAGGATTTTTAGTTGCTTGCTGACTTTTCCGTTTTATACCTTTAATCTTCTTTTATGTTATATTTTAATATATGCACTAGGGCACAATGAGGTTTCTTTTATAATAACATGAAAGGCAGAGAAAAAATAGTTTGGATCAATAACAAAATATTCAGGAAATGGACATGGAAAAGACCCATTTTTAAGTGTAAAAACATAAGCTCTTTAGGGAAGGAGAAGGTGCTTCCAAAGGACAACCCTTGTAAAAGAAGAGACTCCCATGGCCCTGATTCACAGTGTATTTATTTTAGGCTTGTGTTTCTGAGTGCAGTGTGAAAAATGGAAGAAGTCATATAGCACAATTTATTGTTGAGACCCATAGGTCATGGAGCAGAAATTTATAAACATACTGAGGGATATATGTAATGACACAAATGACTGCACTGCTTTTCAAAGAGTGATCCACACAAAGCACCATTGCTTATAAATACTTCACTCACTGATATGGTTTGGTTCTATATCCCCTCGCAAATCTCACCTTGAATTGTAATAATCTCCATGTGTCAAGGGTGGGACCAGGTGGAGATAATTGAGACATGGGGGCAGTTTCCCCCATGCTATTCTCATGATGGTGAGGAAGTTCTTAGGAGATCTGATGGTTTTATAAGGGGCTTCCCCCTTCGTTCAGCACTCATTCTCTCTCCTGCCACCCTGTGAAGAGGTGCCTCCCACCATGACTGTAAGTTTCCTGAGGCTTTCCCAGCCATGCTGAACTGTGAGTCAATTAAACCTCTTTTCTTTAAGAATTACCCAGTCTCGGGTATTTCTTCATAGCAGTGTGAGAATGGACTAATACACTCAACTATCTAGAATTTGTTGTTTTCTGATTGAAGGCACAAGGAAGGGTAAGGTACATGCAAAGGATTACGCCAGAAACACAGAGATGACCCTGGAAGATCTTCATAGTATTCCTAAGAAACCTCATGAAAAGCCCTACAGTTGATGGCTGCAGAGGAGAGTGTGTCTCTCTTTAGCTAAGAGTTGCATGCTAAAATTCCATCTATATAATCTAGAGGTATTTTTTTCTCCATTTTATAAAAAGAAATCTAATATGCTATTTCAGTTATCTACACAGACACTGGTTCTGATGAATAATGCAGTGAGACCTGAATTCCTTAAAGAGTAGTCAGTGCCTTCTGGAATTAGGGTTTCTGAAGGGTCTCCGATGGATATCTGCATTACCTTAGACTATGAAATTGGCAAGTTTCACTGTCAATTCTTCTCTCTGTATTTCCATCCACCCTTCCAATTACTACATCCTATAACAGATATAGCACATAGTCCATTCTTACAGAACATGTGAAAAGAATTAGTTAACTAAATGAGACTGACCCCTGTCCAGGGAAGTGGAGGATCAAAATACATCTGCAGGAAGCTGTAGATCTAGCTTTGCCCTCCACCCCTATGCTACCCTTCTACCTTCTCTTCTCCTTGTAATGTACATAAAAGAAGGCCTGATTTGTCACTTGGGATGGTTACTGGACCCTTCTAAAGTGTACTTAGGTGAGGTTTTATATTCCCTGAAGTTTGACATTTCCTGAATTTTTATTAATTCTGATGACTTGGAAATTATCACCTAGTGAAATTTGTAAAATCAAAGTAGTCATGGGTCTCTCTTAAATACCATCTTTAAAATGCTGGTGGAGCCTGGCAAGCTAATTTGCTTTTCTGTATATTCCTTATTGCAGAACAATTGCAATTCAATACTGGGAGGACTTCCAGAAGGATTTCATCAAATAACAAGCGTGTTATTCAGAGATCCATAATGATATGTTCAGACCCAAGTACAGACACTTCTTTGGAATGATTATAGCAGAAGAGAAATTCAAAACAAACAGTAAGAATTTTTATAATTTTTAGTAATAGTACCATAAATAGTTTGTTAGGTAGTAAATGGGACTTTCTTCATTGTTTCCAATATTTTGATTAATAAAATTTAAGGATGCCATATTTAAACATATTACAAATGCTATTGCTACTGAAATATATTTATATTTACCATGTTGTTGACAGACAACAATGTTTACTTTGATCTGGGTAAAGAAAACTAAGCTGATATATTTTTAAATTTTCTATATTTTTGTGGATATATAGTAGGTGTATATATTTATGAGTTACATAAGATATTTTGATAGAAGCATGCAATGCATGATAATAACATAAGGGTAAATGGGGTATCTATCACCTGAAGGATTTATCCTTTGTGTTACAAACAATCCAATTATACTCTTTTTGTTATTTTAAAACGTACAATTAAATCATTTTTGACTGTAGTCACCGTGTTGTGCTAGCAAATAATACATCTTATTCATTTTTCTAACTATTTTTTTGTATTAATTAACCATCTGTGCTTCCTCCAGTCCTCCACTACCCTGCCCAGCCTCTGGTAATCATCCTTCTCTCTATGTTCATGAGTTGAATTATTTTCATTATTAGCTTCCACAAATAAGTGAGAATGTGTGGAGCTTGTCTTTCTGGGCTGGACTTATATTACTTAATATAATGACCTCCAGTTCCATCCATGTTGTTGCAAATAACAGGATCTCATTCATTTTTATGACTGAAAAGTACTCCAGTGTGTATATGTACCACATTTCCTTTATCAATTCATCTGTTGATTGACGATTGACATGTAGCTTGCTCCCAACTCTTGGCTATTATGAATAGTGCTGCAATAAACATAGGAGTGCAGACAGCTCTTTGATATACTGAATTTCTTTATTTGGAGCATATAGCTAAAAGTGGGATTGCTAGATCAAATGGTAGCTCTATTTTCAGTTTTTTGAAGAACTTCCAAAATGTTTTCCATAGTGGTTGTACCGATTTACATTCCTACCAACAGTATAATAGGGTTCCCCTTTCACCATATCCTTGTCAGCATTGGTTATTGCCTGACATTGGGATAAAAGCCATTATAAATGGGGTGAGATGATGCATCTCAATGTAGTTTTGAATTGCATTTCTCTGATGATCAATGATGTTGAGCACCTTTTTATATACCTGTTTGCCATTTGTAAGTCTTCTTTTGAGAAGTATGTGTTTAGATTTTTGCCCATTTTTAAAATCAAATAATTAGTTTTTTTCCTGTAGTGTTATTTGAGCTCCTTATATATTCTGGTTATTAATTTGTCAGATGGGTAGTTTTAATATATTTTCTCCCATTCTGTGGACTGTCTGTTCACTTTGTCAATTGGTTCCTTTCCTATGCAGAAGCTTTTCATTTGATGTGATTACATTTGTCCATTTTTGCTTTGATTGTCTGTGTTTGTGGGTTATTACTCCAGAAATATTTGCCCAGTCCAATGTCCTGCACAGTTTCCCTTATGTTTTCTTTTAGTAGTTTTATAATTTGAGGTCTTGTATTTAAATCTTTAATCCATTTTGATTTTTTTGTATATGGTGAGAGATAGGGTTCTAGTTTCATTCTTTTGCATATGGAGATTCAGTTTTCCCAGCACAATGTATTGAAGAGAATTTTCTTTCTCTAGTGTAGATTCTTGTACCTTTGTCAAAAATGAATTTACTGTATATGGATTTATCTCTGGGTTCCCTTTTCTGTTCCACTTATCTATGTGTCTGTTTTTATGCCAGTACTATGTCGTTTTGGCTACTATGACTCCATAGTATAAACTCAGGTAATGTGATTCCTCCAGTTTCATTCTTTTTGCTCAGGAGAGCTTTGGCTGTTCTGGGTCTTTTATGTTTCTACATAAATGTTAGGGCTACTTTTTATATTTCTGTGAGGACTGTCATTGATATTTTGATAAGGATTGCAATAAATCTGTAGATTGCTTTTGGTAATGTGGAGATTTTGGTAATATTGATTCTTCCTATCCGTGATTATAGATTGTCTTTCCATTTTTGTGTGTCTTCTTTAATTTCTTGCATCAGTGTTTTATAGTTTTCATTGTAGAGATCCCTCACCTCTTTGGTTAAAGTTAATTCCTAGATATTTCATTTTATTTGTAGCTATTGCAGATGGGGATTACTTTCTTAATTCCTTTCTCAGAGTGTTTGGTGTTGGCATATAGAAATGATACTGATTTTTGTAGGTTGATTTTGTATCCTGCAACTTCATAGAATTTTTTTTTTTTTTTTTTTTTTTTTTTTTGAGACGGAGTCTAGCTCTGTCGCCCAGGCTGGAGTCCAGTGGCGCGATCTCGGCTGACTGCAAGCTCCGCCTCGTAGGTTCACGCCATTCTCCTGCCTCAGCCTCCCGAGTAGCTGGGACTACAGGCGCCCGCCACCACGCCCGGCTAATTTTTTGTATTTTTAATAGAAACGGGGTTTCGACGTGTTAGCCAGGATACTGAATTTGTTTATCAGTTCTAATAGTCTCTTTGTGAAGTCTTCAGGTTTTTCCGAATATCAAGTCATATTATCTGCAAACAAATATAGTTTGACTTCTTTCATTCCAATATGGATGCCCTTTAATTCTTTCTCTTTTCTGATTGCTCTAGCTAGGATTTCCAGTACTATGTTGAATAACAGGAATGAAATTAGGCATCCTTGTTGCATTGCAGATCTTAGAGGAAAGGGTTTCAGTTTTTTTCCGATTCAGTATGATACTAGCTGTGGGTCTGTTGTATACAGCTTTTATTATGTTGAGTTATGTTCCTTCTATTCCCAGTTTTTTGAGGGTTTTTATTGTGAAGCAATGTTAAATTTTATCACGAGTTTTCAGAATCAAATGATAAGATCATGTGGTTTTTATCGTTCATTCTGCTACTGTGATGTATCACATTGATTTGCTTATGTTGAACCATCCTTGCTTCCCAGGGATAAACTGCACTTTGTAATGATGAATAATCTTTCAATATATTGCTAAATTTAATTTGCCGGTGTTTTGTTGAGGATTTTGTATCAATATTCATAAGAGATTTTGTCCTATAATTTTCTTTTTGATGTATCTTTATCTGGTTTTGGTATCAGGGTAATATTAGCCTCATAGAATGGGTTTGGAAATGTTTCCTTCTCCTCTGTTTTTTTGAAATAGTTTGAGTAGAGTTGGTATTAGTATTAGTTCTTCCTTAAATGTTTGGTAGAATTCAGCAATGAAGTCACTGGGTCCTGAGATTTTTTTTTCCCTGGGAGAATTTTTATTATGGCTTTGATCTCATGACCTGTTATTGGTATGTTCAAGTTTTGAATTTATTTGTGGTTCAATCTTGGTAGATTTATGCCTGGGAATTTACCCAGTTCTAGAGTTTTCAATTAATTGGCATATAGTTGCTTATAATGGCCGCTAATGATCCTTTGAATTTTGGTGGTATCAGTTATAATTTCTCATTTTTTATCTTTGATTTTATTTATTTAGGTATTTCTTTTTTTCCTTAATCTGGCTAAAGGTTTCACAATTGTTTATCTTTTCAAAATACCAACTTTTTGGTTCATTGTTCTTTTGTATTGTTTTCTTCATTTCAAGTTCATTTATTTTTGCTCTGATATTTATTATTTATTTTTTTCTACTAATTTTGGGTGGGTTTGCGCTTGCCTTTTTTTAATTCTTTAAAATACATAGTTAGATTGTTTATTTGAAGTTTTTCTTCTTTTTTTGATCTAGGCACTTGGAGCTATAAACTTCTCTCTTAGGTTCTGCTTTTGCTGTGTCCCATAGGTTTTGGTATGTTGTGTTTCCATTATTATTTGTTTCCAAAAATTTTTAATTTCCTTCTTAATTTCTTCATGGACCCAGTGGTCATTCAGGAGCATATTATTTAATTTCCATGTGTTTGTATAGTTTCCAAAATTTCTCTTGTTATTTATTTTTAGTTTTATTCCATTGTTGTCGGAGAAGATTCTTGATATTATTTTAATTCTTTTGGATGTTTTAAGACTTGTTTTTTGACCTAACATATGATTTATCCTTGAGAATGGTCCATGTGCTGAGGAAAAAAATGTGTATTCTGCAATCATTAGATAAAATGTTCTGCAAAGATCCATCAGGCCCATTTGTTCTATAGTGCAGATTATGTCCCATGTTTCTTTGTTGATTTTCTGTCTGAATGGTCTGTCTAATGCTGAAAGCAGGTTGTTAAACTCTCCAGTTGTTATGTATTGGAGTCTATCGCTCTCCTTAGCTTTAATAATATTTGCTTTATAAATCTGGATGCTCCAGTGTTCAGTAGATATATATTTAACCCTTTTCCCATCTGCCCCAAGAATACTTGTCAGCAAGAAAACATGCGGCTGCCATGTTTACCCGAAGATAACTTGGACATGAAATTACCTCGCTTTTATTATTATTTTTGTATTGCTCTAGTATATCAACATTGGACACAGACATCATTTTATTTATAGCATTCTGTTTTTAGTAGCATGATATGGTTTGGCTTTGTGTCCCCATCCAAATCTCATCTTGAGTTGTTATCCCTGTATTCCCCATCTGTTGAGGGAAGGACCCAGTGGGAGGCAATTGGATCATGGGGGCAGTTTCCTCCATGCTGTTCTGGTGAAAGTGAGTGAGTCCTCATGAGCTCTGATGGTGTTATAAATGTCTGGCATTTCCCCTGCTCACTCTTCTCTCTCCTGCTGCCATATGAAGAAGCCCTTGCTTCCCTTTCACCTTCTGCCATGACTGTAAGTCTCCTGAGACCTCCCAATACATGTGGAGCTGTGAGTCAATTAAACCTCTTTCCTTTATAAATTACTCAGTTTCAGGTATTTCTTTATAGCAGTGTGAGAATGAAATAATACATAGTGGTATTTCCATTTACAAAATATAGTAATTCTTGATTGCTGAAAATGTCAGACCCTGGAAAATGTGACATTTCATGTGACGTTAGCATCATTCTTGAACAGTTGTTGACAAAGATTCATTTGATCAATCTGATTTTTCCGAAAGGAATGATTCTGATGATTCTGATGTTAGTTCTGTTTAGAAATAACTCCAAAAGCAGTTTTTATATTTTATTTTTACATTGAAAATCAGTCAGATTTGCTTCAGCCTCGAAGAGCGTGTTTATGTAAAATTACATGAGTGCTGGCAATGAGCTGCGTTTTTTTTTTCTAAATAGGAATAGGATTAAAATTGTTATATCTTCTTCCTTAATCAACTCTTTTATCATTATATAGTGACCTTCTTTGTATCTTCTTATAGTCTTTGTCTTGAAATCTATTTTGTCTGACATAATTATAGCTACTCCTACTCTATTTTGGTTTCCATTGGGATGAAATATCTTCTTCCATTTATTTATTTTCAGTCTTTGTGTGTTTCTATAGGTCAAGTATGTTTCTTGTAGGCCCGAGATCATTGGGTCTTGGTGGTGGTTGCTGTTTAATCCATTCAGCCACTCTATGTCTTTTGACTGGACAGTTACTTCATTTACGTCCAATGTAATTATTGAGAAGTAGGACCTACTCCTGCCATTTTGTTATTTGTTTTCTGGTTGTTTTGTGGTCTTCTCTTCCTTCTTTCTTCCCTTCCTGTCTTTTTTTTAGTGAAGGTGATTTTCTCTGGTGGTATTTCATTTCTTGCTTTTTACATTTTGTGTATCCATTGTATGGTTTTTGACTTGAGGATACCATGAGGCTTGCAAATACTATCCTATAACCCATTATCTTAAGCTGATAATGACTTAACATTGATTGCATAATCAAATAAACAAACTAAGAAAAAACAAAATTAATGGAAATTCTACACCTTAACTTCATCTCCCTGCTTTTTAACCTTTTGTTGTTTCTATTTATATCTTGTTATACTGTTTATGTCTCAGAAAGTTGTTTTAGTTTTTATTTCTTGTTGCCTTATTATTTATTTACTTTTTATATTATATATTATATTATTTAATGATAATATATTATATATTATATTATTTAATGATAATATATTATATATTATATTATTTAATGATAATATATTATATATTATATATAATATAATTATTTATTTATTCATTATATATAATATAATATATAATATATTATTTATTTATTTATTTATTTATTTTTATTTATTTTTTAGCCTTTCTATTTAAGATAAGAACAGTTTACACCCCATAGCTACAGTATTGTAGTATTCTAAATTTTTCTGTGTGCTTACTATTAGCAGTGAATTTTGTACCTTCAGATGATTTCTTATTGCTCATTAATGTCCTTTTCTTTCTATCTGAAGTACACCATGTAGCATTTCTTATAGGGCAGGTCTGGTGTTAATAAAACTCTTAAGCTTTTGTTTTCCTGAGAAAGTCTTTAATTCTCCTTCATGTTTGAAGAATATTTTCAACAGATATATTATTCTAGGGTCAAAAAAATTTTTTTTGGCTAGGCGCAGTGGCTCACACCT
Organism: Homo sapiens; assembly: GCF_000001405.40. NCBI lineage: Eukaryota > Metazoa > Chordata > Mammalia > Primates > Hominidae > Homo > Homo sapiens. The sequence goes on along the minus strand of NC_000007.14, from coordinate 15,786,932 downwards.
CTAATCCCAGCACTTTGGGAGGCCAAAGCTGGTGAATCACCTGAGGTCAGGAATTCGAGACCAGCCTGACCAACATGGTGTAACTCCACCTCTACTAGAAATACAAAAAATTAGCTGGACATGTTTGTAGGTGCCTGTAATCCTAGCTACTCAGTAGGCTGAGGCAGGAGAATCGCTTGAACCCAGGAGGCAGAGGTTGCAGTGAGCCAAGAATGTGCCATTTGTACTCCAGCCTGGGCAACAAGAGTGAATCTTGCCTCAAAAAAAAAAAAAGTTTCCCAGCACTTTAAATATGTCATACTACTCTCTCCTGGCCTGGTGTTTTGCACTGAAAAGTCTGCTGCCAGCGGTATTGAGGTTCCATTGTATATTATCTGTCCCTTTTTCTTGCTCCTTTTAGGATACTTTCTTCACCTTTGAGTGTTTGATTATTAGATGTCTTGAGGTAATCGTGTTTGGTTTAAATCTACTGGGTGTTCTATCATCTTCATGTATATGGATATTGATATCTTTCTCTAGGTTTGGAAAGTTCATGGTTATTATCCCTTTGAAAAATTGTTCTACCCCTATCTTTCTCTCTACATCTTTAAGGCCAGTAAGTCTTAGATTTGCCCTTTGGAGGCTATTTTCTAGATCCTATAGATATGCTTCATTGTCTTTACTTCTTTTTTCTTTTGTCTCCTCTGACTATGTATTTTCAAAAAAACCTATCTTCAAGCTCACTAATGATTTTTTCTACTTGATTAATTGTGCTATAAAAGACTCTGATGCATTCTTCAGTATCTCAATTGCATGTTTTCACTCCAGAATTTCTACTTGATTCTTTTTAACAATTTCAATTTCTTTGTTAAATGTATTATGAATTCCTCCTCTGTATTATCATGAATGTCTTTGAGTTTCCTCAAAACAGCTATTTTGTATTCACTGTCTGGAAGGTCACATATCTCTGTTTCTCCATGATTAATCCCTGGTGCCTTATTTAGTTCATTTGGTTAGGTAATGTTTTCCTGGATAATCCTGATGCTTGTGGATGTTCATCTTTGTCTTGGCTTTGAAGAGTTAGGATATTTTGTAGTCTTTGCTGTCTGGGCTTATTTGTAGTCATCCTTCTTGGTAAGGCTTTCAGGTATTCCAAAGGACTTGGGTGCTGTGATGTAAACTTTATCTGCATTAGGAGGCATCCCAAACCCAATAACACTATGGTTCTTTCAGACTTGTGGAGGTACTGCTTGATGGTCTTTGATAAGTTCTGGAAGAATTCTCTGGATTACCAGGCAGAGTCTCTGAGTGTCTTCCCTTACTTTCTCCCAAACAAATGGATTCTCTCTCTCTCTGTTCTGAGCCACCTGGAGATAAGGGTGGAGTGATACAAGTACCCCTGTGGCCACCATCACTGGGACTGTGCTGGGTCAGACCTGAAGCCAGCACAGCACTGACTCTCACCCAAGGCCCACTGTAACCACTATTTGGCTAGCTCCTATGTTCTCTCAAGGCCCTGGGGCTCTACAATCAGCAGGGGGTGAAGCCAGCCAGGCTAGTGTCCTTCCCTTTAGGGTGGCAAGTTCCCTCTGGCCCCAGATGGGTCCAGAGGTGCCATCTGGGAGCTCGGGACTGGAGTCAAAAACCTTAGAAGTCTACCTAGAGTTCTCTTTTACTGCAGCTGAGCTGGCACTCAAATCATGAGTCACAGCTCTTCTCAGACTTCCCTCCCTTTTCCACAGGCAGAAAAGGATTCCATGGCCACCACCATCACAGGTCCATGGAGACTACTTCCAGGGTACCACCGATGTTCCCTTATGTTTCAAGGGCTCTTTAGGCAGCTTGAGTTGAATACTGTGTGGCCTCAGACTCACTCTCAGTGAAGTGGGGATGCCCTCTGTCTCAGGAGAGGTCCAGAAATGCTGTCCAAGAGGGAAGTCCTGGAATCGTGAACCCCAGGAGCCTGTTTGATGTGCTATCCTCCTATAGCTAAGCTAGTACCTAAGGTGCAAGACAAAGTCCCCTTTACTTTTTCCCATGCTTTTTTCAAGCAGAATTAGTCTCGCTCCATAGCTACCCCAGGTGGGAATGTGCTGAATCTCACCTGAAGTCAGCAAGCCTCAGAGGCTCACCCAAGGCCCATGGCGTACTACTACCTGGGTATTGCTGCTGAGTATTTAGGACCTAAGGGCTCTGTAGTCATCATGTGATAGGTCCTGCCAGGACTGAGTTCTTCCCTTCAAGGCAGTGGGTTCCCTTCTGGCTCAAGCTGTGTCTAGAAATGTCATCTGGGAGCTAAGGGGGCCTGGAAAGGGGAACTCCTACTGGTTCCCTATCCTATTGTGGCTGAGCTGGTATCTAAGAAGGAAGAGAAAGTCCTCTTTATTCTTCCCTCTCTTCTCCCAAGCAGAAGGAAGGGGTCATTTTTGGAGCTGTGAGCTGTGACACCTAGGGTTGAGGAAGGTGTGGTGCAAGCACTCCCTTAGCCACTCTGGCTGGTGTCTCAGTAGGGTCACAAGCCTCCCAAGTTCACTGGCTCTGAGCAGTAAGACTCACCTACAAGTTGCAGTCCTTGTGGCCTAGACAGCCTTTTAAGATTATTTAGAGCCCCAGAACACTTTAGCTTGTGGTGGTCAGGCTTGCTGAAACTCAAATTTTAACTGCTTGCAGGGTGATTCCCCTCTGGCTAGGGCTGTTTTAAATATGTGTGTCAGCTGCGTTCAGCCTGGTTTTGCTTTCTTCTGTGACAGGAGGATAAATTCAATGAAGTGTCTCACAATTGCTGCACTCTCCCTCCCCCAAGGGTACAGAAACACTCTCTGTACTACATGGCCACTGCTGGGGGATGGGGAAGAAGTAGTGCCAGCTATTCAAGACTCAGTAATATAAAGTTAAAGCAAGTACTATGAGTGCTCACTGTTTTTTGCTTCTTATGAAGGTGCTTTTGTTGTGTAGCTAGCTGTTAAATTGGTGTCCTTGCCAGGGGAACAACCAGTGGAGCCTTCTATTCAGCCTTCTTGCTCCTCTCCTCCCTAAGCTCACTTTTTTTTTTTTTTTAACTCCTTGAGTTACCTCTCTTACTGAAGAGCCTAAAAACTTTAAGTACAGCTCAAGCTAATGTTTTCTGTTATATGCCATAATTGGTTTTAAAAATTAATAAATATGTAATTTAAAAGTATTTTGCCTTTTAAAATATATGAAGTAAATCATGTATTTTACTAGACTTAATATTTTACATCTTCTGGTGATCCATGGAAACAGTCATAAAATATTTTCTTTAAAGCACAATTTTAAGAGGTGTGAATCCCTATGTATCTTTTCAACTTTTTAAACTAGAGTGAGAATCTTTTTCTTATTTATTTTTTTAAATTCATGCCCCTATTAAAGTCAACAAATAAACATTGAATAGAAACTATGTACTCAGCACTCTGCTCATAGGAAAATTATCAGCAATAACAAAAATTATGGCTTTCACTAGGCATACAGAATTTTGTTGGAGGGAAAATAAAAACATAAATAGACAACAGTATAAAACTGCATGCCAAACTGAGTGGAAGGAAGCAGATATAGTATATTATTTCAGGTAGTATTAGAGAAATTTTGCAGAACAATTGAGGTGATAGAGGACAGTGGATAGAAAAATGCCATATTTTAAAAGGAATAATTAAAGCATACAGTTTTGTAAGTTTGACAAAAAGTACTGACTAAATTCTTGTGCAGATTATTAAAATTTTTTGATTATTTAGAATAATTTTAATTGCTAAGCATTGGCAAGGCTCATGTTAAAAATAGGGCAATGTCTCTATTCTCTGTTGGGTGAGTATCTTTAGAGTAGAACATTACTGATATTCATATTTGTAACTTTTCTTTGTGCTTCAGAAGTGCCAAACTCTATGCATAGCACATTACACATAAAACCCTTATAATACCTTCTCACAACAATTCTGTAATTTTGGAACTCTGTTATTTCTATTTTACATATAAGGAACTAAGGCCTAGAGTGAGTAACTACTTTGCTTATATTCAGGCATCGGAAAAGCAGTAAATTTGTTTTCAAAGCACAATAATCTGACTCATAAACCTGTAATCCAACTTCTAAATTATAATATACAAAAGATATTTCACAGACTTCTGCTTCTAGTTATGTCAAAGTAACCAGAAATATGTATCATACTCATGTTGCTGATTAGTTCAACTACTGTAAAAAAGCTGAATAAAATGCAAAACACAAAAACAGAAACAGCCAGTTGAAGGGATTAGAGAGCAACCAATGAAACCTAGGAGAGAAGAAGATGCGTCAAAATAAGGCATACATTTGTCACTGCAATTACACATTGCAACATTTGATAATTCAAAGCACTGAGCGTAGAGGTTACCAGAAAAATAAGGTTAAAGATTTTTGTGATCAATCTGTGTTTGGGAGGTAAAATATTGCAATTTAAGACCATGGAGCCAGCCAAGATTTGAGGGGCTGACGTCCCAGATAATAAAGAAAATCACAGAGAAATGGACCTAACATTCTGTGTTCAATTTCCCCTTGAGGGATTTCCTAACTCCTAAACTACTCTTGTATGGGCCATATTTAAAATATTTTTTTAAAAAATAGAGATTAGCTGATAATGAAACCACCTTTGCAAAAATTGTATCTGTGAGAAAATTATGGCAGTGAAAGGATTCTGATTTAACCCTTTCCTTATCTCACCTTCTCCTTAATTATTCCTGGGCTTTCAGGCCAAGCTGACTTTGAGAGGCTTTTAGGTTACAGTTTAAATGATAATAGCCATTCGCCAAAAGTCAACTGCCTTTCTAAAGCTAATGGAAGGCCATCAAGCTAGGGAGAGGAGCTAATGTGTAGACTAGTCATTAGATACACAACTTTTTTGCATGTTTGACACTCATGGTGGTATGTGGACACAGTGACTCCATCTGTACTTGCTGACTCCCATTGCCGTGGCCCCACCCAGAAACAACTATACTCAAGAGAACAACTTATGATTTTGTCTCCATCCTACCTATCAGCAGCAAGTGCCCTTTGTAAAACCGCTAACTACATGCCTTCAAGGAGACTGATTTGAGGTGACATGGCTGGCTTCATGTCTATTAAATGCTTTTATTTACTGCAATGTTGTTGTTTTTCTTTGTGGGAGGTAGAACTCCTCAGATGGTTACAATAAGGAGCTAAAAAGTGAAACATACATTTTATCTGTCCCACAATGTTAGAGCTAGAAAAAATAGAATTTAGTGTTTATGAAGAAGAAAGAACACGTATAAATTGAGGCCCTGCAAAAAGATCTTTCCTACATTTAAGAACATACCAGAAATAATCCAGATGGCTCAATGACATTGAAATGTAAACTAAAATTATTTCAAATTTTAATTGAAATAACCTAACTCACGCATATTATAATTCATTGCCAGAAAAAAATTAAGTCTCTGACACATAAAGAGTCCACACATTTTTATATAGAATGTTTAGCATGCAACAAAAAAATTACCAGGCATGTTAGAAAATAGAACCAAATTATTGAAAACCAGGACAACAACGACAACAACGAAAACAAAAACAAAAAATAGAAACAGTAACACAGGTAATTTAGATAATGAATTTATCAAACGTAAATTTTAAAATATGATTAAAATGTTCAAAAATAGGTACAAATGGAGAATTTCATTATACAAGAGAAATCTATAAAATAGAATCAAGTGAAAATTTGACAACTGAAAACTCCAATAATTAGAATGAGGCACTAAGTAATAGAAACTCTACACAGAATAATGCAATAAAAGTCACATCTCATTATGGGTTAGAAAAACTTTTCAAAACCAGGATCTAAGAGATCTTTTTCAAAGCAGACAGATAAAACAATCATATTACTATCATAGGTGCAGTAGTAAGACTGAGAGTCACTGTTCAGCTGACAAAAGATAGTAGAATGACATCTTTAAAATGCTAAAACAGTAGTAGCAACCAAGCAGTCTATAAGCAAAAGTAATCTTTGCAAACAAAGGCAAAATACATAGATTTTTTTTAGACAAATATGCGTTGGCAAGAGAGTACATAAAGCTAGTATTTCTGAGAATGTGGCAAACATGCTAATTTGAAATATAGTTTAATAAATGGTAAATCTGGCAATCTCTGGGGTAACCACAAAAATGAGGAATGCATAACAAACAGAGGGGAAATAAAATAAGAACATATATAGATTAAAGAGAAATAAAGAGGAGAGAAAAGAACAAAAGTACTAGTAAAATTTAAAAGCTAGAGTAAAATGCTGGATTGAAATACCAATATATCAACAAAACTTTAAATGTAAATTAACTAGGCTGGGGGCAGTGGTTCATGTCTGTAATCTCAGTGCTTCAGGAGACTGAGGTGGGAGGATTGCATGAGCACAGGAGTTTGAGATCAGCCTGAGCAACATGGCAAAACCCTGTCTCTACAGAAACAAAACAAAACAAAACAAACCCACAAAAATTAGCCAGGCATGTTGACACATTCCTGTAGTCCCAGCTACTCAGGAAGCTGAGGCAGGAGGATCACTGGAGTGCAGGAAACGGAGGCTGCAGTGAGCTGAGATTGTGCCACTGCACTTCAGCCTGGGCGACAGAGTAAGATTCTGTCACAAATAAAATAATAATAATAATTGTAAATTAATTAAATCTTCCAGCTGAAACTCAACATTGTCAGACTGTATAAAACAACTGAAGTCAACTACTATATGCTGTCTGAGATACAGTCCTTGAATGTTTAAAAGTAAAATTATTGGGCCAGGCATGGTGGCTTACTCCTCTAATCCCAGCACTTTGGGAGGCCAAAGCAGGTGGATCACTGGAGGTCAGGAGTTCAAGACCATCCTGACCAACATGGTGAAACCTCATCTCTACTAAAAAAATACAAAATTAGCCAGGCGTTGTGGTAGGTGCCTGTAATCCCAGCTACTTAGGAGGCTGAGGAAGGAGAATCACTTGAACCCGGGAGGTGGAGGTTGCAGTGGGCCGAGATCGTGCCATTGCACTCCAGCCTGGGCAACAAGAGTGAAAATCCATCTCAAAAAAAAAAAAAAAAAGTAAAATTACTGGACATGTACTACGTGTACTCTAAACAAAATAAAACTAGTGTGGCTCTACTGATATCTGATAAAACAACTTTAAAGTAGGAGATATTACTAGACACAGAGACAGCAATTTTCTGATGAAGTTATCAATCCAACAAGAAGATATGCAATTCTAAATTCTGCACAATTTTAAAAATAAATTATGCACATTTATTTTGGTAGATTCTTGATATCTGCTTTTAGAAACTGATAGAAAAATGCAGGTAAAAATTACAATGTTAAGGAAGATTAAGAACATGATTTTCCAATAGTCAGGGTTCTTCAGTTGTGCTACAACCTTACTGTATGTACAGAATCCATTTGATCCCATCTGCATAATTCCTGTGGGGTGATGGGGGAGTTTGCATAATGCCTAAGCAAAATTGCTAATAATCTGCCCACTGTGCTGTGAGTAAAAGATAACCTTGTCCCTGGCTGAGGAGTCTCACGTCTTCTGCCAGCAACTATCAAACAGTAACAGGTTATAGGGTGTCTAATTTATTAACTTACAAGTAAGTAAAATTCCAGGTTACCTCATCACATTTCATTATTGACTTAATTATTATGTTTATTACTTACTACTTTAAAATTTATTATGTTGATCACTTATAAATATTGCTTGTTATTTTCCCACTAAAATGTAACTTCCTTGAAAGTGCAGAACCATATCTTATTCCTGGATTTATGCCCAGCCACTAGATTAAGTTTGGGGCATAATAAAACTCTCAATAAGTATTTATTGAATAAATAAATGAATAATAAACAAAATTCCTCACAAAATAGTAAGCACCTAAAATTAGATACATTTAAGTTCCATGCTGGGAATAAAAAGCTATATTACATGATTTCTATGTTCCCTTCTATTAAAATTCTATACTTCTATGATTGCTATAAGCAGCCAGTAATGTAATACATTATAAAAAGAGGATTTAAAAAATATGTATGAGAAATACCTAGTAATTCCACTTCCAAATAACTGAGGAGCAAGATGGTATAATTACTTTTCATGAATTAATATTTAGAAATGGGTTTTTAGATACCGTATTTCATTAATGTCATGTGTGCACTTGTGTGTTCACTGGTGGAATTGTAAGAATAAAGTAAAATGATTTCTTACATCTGGATTGAGATATCTGATAGACTGGTGATATGTTTTAAAGGTGAGTATAATTTTTTATTTTGATATGTACTTTTTGACACTTGAGAGAGAAATATGAAAATTCATTTTTAAACTTAGTGAATGGTTGGCAGAGAAGCAAGATTGTTGCAGATATTTTACCTCCAGGGAGTAGGTGGGTTTGACAGCTGGAAGGAAGAGGTTAGAGCTCATCGCTAGGGTAGAGTGGGAGGAAATTAAAACTCAGAGGTGGGTCAGAACATCTTTAAGAAGGAGGGGGATTTTGGCAAGTGACTAGATAAAGTTCCAGCTGGGTTGGTTAGTGAGTGAAGTGGTGCAGAATAATGGGCTGTGCCTGGGAGGAAGTTCAGTTCAGTCATTCATTGTGTGGAGTTAGCTTAGGTAAAAAGAAACAATTCTAAAGGCTTTTTTCTGTGATGGGAAGTGTAGGGGCTACGAAGACACAACTTTTATTTCCTGTAAGTTTTTTTTTCCTAATTACCTAGAAAGCCATGTTTATGTTTCCTAAAACATTGTAGTCAGAGTCCAACCATCTCTAGTACCTAAACCAGATAAATATTTGATGTTAAACTCATTGTTTCAGACATCAGTTTGACAAGTCATAGCTCTATGTAAAAGACAGTGAAAGAATGAATTCCTTTTCTTTTTTGCCTTCTCTTGAATCATTAGCTGTCATAATTTTAATTCTAAATTTTTACAGAGAGCTAAAAGAACATAATTATTTTCTTAGAGCCAACATACTCCAAATTTCCTCAGAAACAGTAAACTGCCATGACATACCAAGAAAAAAACAAAAATGGAAATTTATATTATATGATTTCTTATAGTAATAGTCTTATTTTTATGTTACAGCAAGATTTTACTATATCCTTTTTAAAAAAATGGAATTTTTGATTACATGAACAGATCACAGTGACAGACAATAAAAAGATTGGTCACCAAACGTCATGTTAATAAAATATTTCTGGCTTGATTCCCAATTAAATCTATTTAAAAAGAAGAAAAACTATTTTAAAATTGAAAATTATTCTCAATAGTATTGGAAAATGAAAACAAATGCCTTTAATTCCTGCCTGACCTGACACAAACAGAAGCAACTATGCAGGACATGACTGAAAAGGTCATACACATAATACAGCATCCTGCGCTTGTAGATGAGAGAGGACTTTCTGCAAGATACAAAGCAGATATAATCAGATTGACAAGAAACTTCAGCATAACGTGGCATAAAATACTTTAAGACAGCCTATCTATAGAGGAAGATAAAGCAAAGTAATTAAATGTAAGGAGCAGCCTGATACCCCTGGGATCTGCTGAGATGATTAATTGTAAACTTTGCAGGAATTACTGGCTGACTAGACCCTCTCCTGTGTCTTAGATTGGCCAAGTTAGAGGAAACAAAGTTATATGGACAATGTCCGAGGTAGGTGGCAACTCTTTAAAAGGAGATTGAGCTTCCATATGCAGAAGACAAACTACAGTTACACCTCATCCAAGTATATTATATTCATTTTCCATAATCAACCATGCAAATTCCTATAATCAGAAACAGTTCTAATAAAACTTGAACAGGTGTTTTCAAATACAACAATGATCACAGGATAATAAATCACTAAATACAGAAAAAAAAATCCCATAATCATCATAACATAGAAGGAAATTTCCATAATAAAAATTGGCATCATACATGAATACACATACGACAAAGTCGTAAGACAAATGAATAAAGAAAGAACTACATATTGAAATGCCATAGTAAAATGCAGAACTCTGAGGATAAAGAGTAAAGTTAAATCTTCTAAAGAGACAAAAATGAGTTACTACAATAGAACAAGAATTATATTAGAATAAAGCTTCCTTGTCAGCAGCAGATGCTAGAGCACACAAAGTAGTATTTAACAAATTCAGGAAATATGATTGTGAGTTTAAATCTTAGTCTTCTATCTAGTCAAACCATCAATAAATGAAAAGGGCAAAATAAAGACATCATAAAACATATAAATACTTATAAATTTTCCCAAACACAGACATTCCAAAAACGAACAAAAAAGTTGTTAAATTTTTTTAGGGAATTATTTCTAGCAAAATTCAAAATAGGTCCAATAAACAAGGCTAAAAGTGGTAATAGACATATGGTAAGGAAAAACACTAAATTTTAACTGTATGTAGCTGTTAGTTTCTAATGTAAAATATAATAACACGTGGAAATAAAATCCAGATTAATGGAACCTGAGGAAGTGAAGAGAAATGCAGAAGTGGAGAAATAAAAATATGCAAAATTTTGAGAAAGAGAAAATTGGTTTGAGGGAGAGGATATTGCTTAATCCTAGACTTTGGTAGAATAATTTAAGGGCAGATTTACAGAATAAAAAGCATAATGTTCATTAGCACACAAGATATAGATGGAAGCCCTCATAATAACTTGAAAAAAAATAAGGAAAAATAAAACAACAAAAGGAAGAATGGACTAAAATCTATCAAGAGCACAGTAAATAAGAAATACAATATACAATTACAGAAATATTTGCAAACATATAAATAGTTAAAACTTACATTGGTGAAATTAAACCTATTAAAAATTTCAGATTCACAAATTTTCTGAATATTATCCTAAGAATATATACTTACACAACATCTACCTACTGATACTATAAAGTTTTGAAATAAGAAGTAAATTTGCAGGTGAGTACAAAAGAAAGTAGGCAGAGCAATAAAAATACATTTATTTCATTGGGAAATTATTAAATGGAAAAAGGGAAATTATTTCTGATAAAAGATGTACCTCACCAAGATGTCCAAGGAATTAACCTAATATAGTTTTGAAAAATTCAAGGAGATTTAACAAATAAAAATGTCTGGGGAAATGTAAAGCAAATGACAAACATCATTCTACAAATACATATACATGTATACACACATACACATACACACTCTGTATTCTTAAAATAAAACTCTGCTTTAGAAAACGTGAGGAATTCACCAATTAGTGAGGCACTAAATCATAGACCAAATAAATCTCCATAGATTTTTAAAGTCAGGAACCATGCAGCCTACATTATTTTTCTTTAATCTCAAATTATCTACTCATTAATCTTAAAATGTTATTTTATAAATTGGGATAAAGAAGAAATCAAAAGAAAAATAAGAAACTCTTTGGCAATGACCAAAGATGGACTACTATGTATTAAAATCTTTGGGAAGTGACTTAAATAATTCTCATAACAAAATGTGTTTACCTATGAATGAGTTTATTAAAAAACGCAAAAATGTAGGCCAGGCAAGGTGGCTCAACCTGTTATCCCAAAACTTCAGGAGGCCAAGGCAGGAGGATTACTTGAGCCCAGGAATTTGAGACTAACCAGGGCAACATATTGAGACACCATCTCTGCAAAAATAAAAAAATTATCTGGATGTGGTGGTGCATGCCTGTAGTTCTAGCTACTCTATGGGGCTGAGGTGGAAGGATAGCTTGAGCCCAGGAGGTTGAGGCTGCAATGAGCCATGATCTTGCCACTGCATCCCAGATTGGGTAACAGAGCAAGACTGTCTCAAAAAAAAAAAAAAAGGACAAAAAACTCTCAAAACAACAACAACAACAAAAGCAAATGTAAAAATGAGTTATCCAAGTTTCATATTGATGCAGGAGTTTTTCTTGACCCCTTCATTGGACTTGCGACAGGGGTGCCCCATCTACTCAGTCCATCATACTCAACCTCTTGCAGGAGGCAGCACATGAGCAATTGAGTGCAGGATGCAGCTGACTGCTTTGGGCACCTGTAGGAGCAGGCTTTGTATGGGCTTTACTGCGGTGACCAGGTGGGGGGGTCTGTGACACCCGAAGCCCCAGAGGGCATGTTACAATGCTCTCTAGCTCTGCCATCCATGAACAGTGCTATGTTATCTGCTCAGTGGGCCCCTTGCCTCCTCACATGTGGCGGCTGCCCTCCACCAGCGAGGGCAAAGGGCCAGTGTGACAGCCTTTTCTGGGCACATGCACTCAGTGAGTTCTGAGCTCTTGTCCAGCATCCAAGAAGAATGAGGTTGCACAGACACTTGAAGGATGGTGGAGATGGAGAATTTTATTTAGTGATGAAAATGGCTCTCAGTGGAGAGAAAAGCTGGAGAGGGGACGGGAATGGGCAGATAATTTTCCCTGAAGTCTGGCTGGCTCTAGCTGGCTCTTCAAATGAAGGCTCTCCTCTGAAGTCCAGCCATCCCTCTGAAGTCAAGTCACCTCTCTCTAGTCAAGCCAGGTTTCTCTCCCTACTGGCTGAGTCTGGGGTCTTTATAGGCACAGGGTGGGGGCCAGGGTAGGCATAGGTAGTTTTGGAAAATGCAACATTTGATTGGTAAAAAGACATTATTCAGAAAGAACCAATTGGGAGAGAGTGGGCAAACAGAAATAGAAGTTCTCACTTTGGGCGGTGGGTTTCCGGCTTTTCAGCTCGAAGGTAGGGTTATGCCAGGGACTTGCCCTTGTCTCCCCAGAATTTCTTTGCCTCCTGCCTCTATCAATATTGAGAAAGTAAAATAAAAAACATATAAAGCAGAAGAAAGGAATAAATAAGAACACAATTTTCTAGAATACTAAATAGACACATGGTGGCAAGACTAATAACAAAATAAAATAAAAGAAAAGCAGCACTAAGTACTATTAGAAATGAGAAGTTAAGCATAATTACAGATATTAAGTGATATTAAATTTTTAAAAAATGATGAAATGTGGTATGGATTTAATTGTGTACCCCAAAATTAATATTTTAATGTCCAAACCTCAGTACCTAATCTAATGTGACCTTATTTGGAGATATAGGTTCTTTTCAGAGATAATCAAGGTAAAAATGAGGTGATTAGACTTAAATCTAATATGGCTGGTATCCATACAAAAAGAGGAAATTAGGACAGAAACAGACACATGTAAAAGGAAAATGATATGAAGAGACACATGGAGAAGATTGCAATCTACATACAAGGAAAGAGGCCTACAATAGACTCTTTCCTTAGAGCCTTCAGAAGAAATCAGTCCTGCCACCATCTTGATTTTGGACTTCTAGACTCCAGAACTAGGAGTTTATAAATTTTTGTTATTTAAGCCATTTCATTTATGATACTTTGTTATGACAACCCTAGCAAATGAATATACCCTGTTTGTATGCCAATATATTTGAAAATATATGCAAAATAGATATCTGTGAATACTTAAGTGTCATCTAAATCATCCTTGTAATTGGCTCAGTAATTAGAGAAGAAATAGGGTAGAAAATTTCAACATACCAACAGCCATTGAAGAAATACAAGACTGCTGAAAGTCAATATATTAAAGACACCCAGATCAGATAATTTTATGAGTTCTATGATAAGATAATTTTATGAATGAGTTCTATTCAAATAGATTATTCTAATCTTTTATACACTGTTTTAAAGAGTACAAATAGATGTAAATAGATGTAAAGTTTTCCTGTTCATTTTACAATACTAGCATAATCTTGAAACAAACCAAAAACATCTTCTTGGTTCACAGCAAAAGATACAGAGATTTCCCATATACCTCCTGCCCCTCCTTATGCATAGCCTCCTTCATTATCAATATTCCCAGCCATAGTGATACATATGTTACAGAGGATGAGCTTACTGTGATTCATCATTACACCCAAAGTTCAGTTTACATTAGGGTTCATTCTTGGTGTTGCACATTCAATGACTTTGTTTGTCAGCTTTATGGAGATACAATTGACAAATAAAAATGGTATACATTTAAGGTATACAATGTGATGTTTTTATATGTGCATACATTGTGAAATGATTTCTACAATCGAGCAAAATAACATATCCATCATTTCACTAGTTGCCATAGATTTTGTGGTAAGAACATTTAAGATCTACTCCCTTAGCAAATTTCAAGTACACAGTACAGTATTATTAACTATAGTCAACATATTATATATTAGATTTCCAAAATTTATTCATGACACATAACTGAAATTCTGTACTGTTTGCCCAACATCTCCCAATTGCCCTTTCTCCCCACCTCCTCCTGACAATCAGCATTCTACCCTATGCTTTTATGAGTTCAACTTTTTTAGATTAAACTTATAAGTAAGATCATGAAGTATTTTCTTTTTTGTGACTGGCTTATTTCACATTGCATAATGTTCTATAGGTTCATCCATATTGTCACATATGGCAGGATTTCCTTCTTTTTTTAAGGCTCAGTAATATCAGATTTTGTGTGTGTGTGTATATATATATACATATATATATATATATATAATATTAAAATCTTCAGTCTTAAATTAATTCCAAATAGATTTAATCAGCTCCAGTTGATTCCATATTTTGGCTATTGTGAATAATGCTGTAATGAATATGGAGTGCAAACATCTTTTTGAGATGCTGATTTAATTTCCTTTGGATATTTACCCAGAAGAGGAATGACTAGCTTATATGGTACTTTTATTTTTAAATTTTTTAGGAACTTCTATACTTTCCATAGTGACTGTGCCAATTCACATTCCCACCAGCAGTGTACAAGGGTTCCCTAGTCTTCATATCCTCCCCAATATATGCTATCTTTTTAAAAATAGTAGTAGCCATTTTACCAGGTGTAAGGTGATAACTCATTGTGGTTTGGATTTGCATTTCCCTGATGCTTAGTGATGCTGAACATTTCTTCATATACCTGTTGGCCATTTGGATATCTTCTCTTGAGAAATGTCTACTGAGGTTCTTCACTCATTTTTTAACGAGCTATTGGGGAGGGTTTTTTGCGATTGAGTTGTTTGAGTTCACTATATATTTTGGATATTCATTCCTTATCAGACATGTGGTTTACAAATATTTTTTCTCTCATCTTTTAGGTTGTCTGTTTACTCTGTTGATTATATCCTTTGTAGTGCAGAGCTTTTTGGTTGATGCAATCCCATTTGTCTATTTTTTGCTTTTGTTGCTTGTGGTTTTGGGGTCTTATCCAAAAAAGTAATTACCCAGACCAATGTCATGAAGCTTTCTCCCTACATTTTCTTCCAGTAATTTGAACAGTTTCAGCCATTACTTTTAAGTCTTCAAACCATTTTGAGTTGATTTTTTTTAATATTGTGTGAGATAAGGGTCTTATTTCATTCTTCTGCATATGGATATCCAGATTTTCTAACACTATTTATGGAAGAGACTTTTTTCCCCCATTGTGTGTTATTAATACCCTTGACAAAAATTAGTTGACTTTTTCAGTTTGGGCTTATTTCTGGGCTCTCTATTCTTTTCCATTGGTCTATGTACTTGCTTTAATGCCGATACTATACTATTTTTATTTCTGTAGCTTTGTAGTTTATTTTGAATTCAGATGCCTCCAGATTTGTTCTTCTCAAGGTTTCTTTAGGTATTATGGATGCTTTATGATTCCACATGAATTGTAGGATTGTTTTTCCTATATCTGCAAAATAATTTCATTGGGATTTTGATGGCAACTGTATTAAGTCTAGATCACTTTGAGTAGTATGAACATTTTAACAATAAGAATCTTTCCAATCCAGAAATATGAGATATCCTTTCATTTATTTGTGTCTTTTAAAATTTCTTTATAATCAATTTAACCACTTTATGCCTTTTGATTGAAGAATTTAGGCCAGGCATGGTCACGCCTGTAATCCCAGCACTTTGGGAGGCTGAGACAAGCAGATCACTTGAGGTCAGGAGTTCAAGACCAGCCTGGCCAACATGGTGAAAGCCCTTCTCTACTAAAACTACAAAAATTAGCTGGTCATGGTGGCAGCACATGTAATCCCAGCTACTCGGGAGGCTGAGGCAGGAGAATTGTTTGAACCCAGGAGGCGGAGGTTGCAGTGAGCCCAGATCACACCACTGTACTCCAGCCTGGGTGACAAGAGGAAGATTCAATCTCAAAAAAAAAAAAAAAATTAAAAAAGGAAGAATAACATTACATTTAAAATAATTCTTCACAGATGAGTACCTTCAATTGCCATTTTGTTATTTTTTTCTGAATGTTTTGAAGTTTCTTTTCCTTCCTTCCTTCTTTCTTTTTCTTTCTTTCTTTCCTTTCTTTTTCTTTCTTTCTTGTTTTCTTTCTTCTTTCTCCCTTTATTTTCTTTCTTCTTTCTCTCTTTTTGTCTTCCTGTATGACTTCATGACTTTTGTAGTTGTATGTTGTGATTTTTTCTCTTTATCTTTTGTATAGCTGATACATATTTTTTTGTGTGTGTTTACCATAAGGTGTTCACGAAGCATCTTGTAACAGTCTATTTTAATAACAACTTAACTTGACACAAAAATTCTACAATTTATCATCTCTTCCCCCAAGATTTTATGTTATTTGTGTCAATTTACATCTTTTTATATTTTGTATCAACTAACAAAGTATTGTATCTGTAGTTGGTTTTATTACTTTTGTCTTTTAAGTTTAAAATAGAGTTAAAATTGATTTACACACCACCATTACACAGTATCAGATATTGTAAATTTGACTGTATTCCAACCTTTACAGTGAGTTTTATACTTTCATGTAGTTAATTAGTGTCCTTTTTCAACTTTGATAATTTCCTTCAACTCTTCTTTTAAGGCAGGTCTAGTGGTCGTGAACTCCTCCACTTTTACTTGTCTGGAATAGCCTGTATCTCTTCCTCATTTTTGAAGAAAATCTTGGCTAGATATACTACTTTTGTTTGGCAGTTTTATCCTTTCAGCACTGTGAATAAGCCATCTCACTTTCTCCTACTCTTCAGTTTCTACTGAGCAGTCCTCTGATGGCCATTTTAAGATTTTCTTGCAGTCAACAAGGTTCTTTTCACTTTTTTTTTTCTGCTTCCAAAATTCTCTCTTCCTTTGACTTTTGAAAATTTCATTATAATGTATCTAACTGAAAATTTCTTTACATTTAATCTAAATACTAATTTCCCTTTCCAGATTTGGAAAATTTTCTATTATTATTTATTTAAATAAGTCTTCTGCCCTTTTGTCTTTCTCTCTTACTTCTTAAAACTCCCACAATGAGAATATTCGTTTGATGGTGCCCCATAAGTTTATAGTCTTTTTCATTCTTTTTCATTCTTTTTTCTTTTTGTTTCTATATGTGGGTAGTTGCAAAGAACATGTCTGGCAGCTCACTGATTCTTCTACTTGAGTGAATCTCTATGGAATTTTTTACTTTAATCATTGTGTGCTTCAGCTCCAGAATTTGTTTCATTCTTTTTTATGGTTTCTCTCTCTTTGTTCAGCTTCTCATTTTGTTCATGTTTTGTGTTCCTAATTTTTTTGTTTATATATCTATATGTATTCTCTTGTAGCTCACTGAGCTGTTTTAAAATGATTATTTTGAATCCTTTGTCAGATATTTTTTAGGTTCAGTTATTGGTGCTTTATTTTGTTTCTTTGGTGGTGTTATGTTTTCCTGATTATTTGTGATCCTTGTGCTCTTGCACTGGTTCTGTGCATTTGAAGTAGGCACATTTTCCAGTCTTTACAGACTGGATTTAGCAGGAAAAGCCCTTATCAGGCAGCCTGTCCAGAGACTGCTGCTGAAGTCTTCAGGTAGACTGGCCTGGTGCTTGGGTCAGTGAGCAGGTTTCTCTGGAGCTTGGGTCTCCAGGGTTGAGCCAGGTCCTGGGTCCACTCCATGGGCCTGGATTTTGGGTCAATGTAGGTGGTCCTGGTGTCTACATCTGTGGGTATTGGGCTAGATCCTGGGTCTACAGGGGACGGCCTTTCACTAGGTTTCATATGGTGGGTGATATGGCTTGGCTCTGTGTCTCCATCCATATCTCATCTTGAATGGTAATACCCATAATCCCTATGTGTCAAGGGAGGTACCTGGTGGGAAGTAAATGGATCGTGGGGCCAGTTTCCCCCATGCTGTTTTCATGATAGTGAATGAGTTCTTATGAAATCTGAAGGTTTTATAAGTATTTGACAGTTCGTCCTTCACATGCTCTCTCACATGCCACCATATAAGACATTCCTGCTTCCCCTTCTGCCATGATTTTAAGTATCCCAAAGCCTCCCTAAGCCATGCGGAATTGTGAGTCAATTAAAACTCTTTCTTTTATAAATTACCCAGTTTTGGGCAGTTCTTTAGAGCAGTGTAAAAATGGACTAATACAGTGGGTCTGACTACTGAATGGCTAGCCTGAAGCCTGGGTCCATCGTGGGAGACCTGGCAATGGAATAAGCTTTGAGCTTGAGTCTGCAATCACCAGCCTGGAATCAGAGTGAGCTTAGCACCAGATCCATGGAAACAAGCCTGATCCTGTGTCCATGGGGGGGCCAGTCTGGGTTCCTATTAGGTGAGCTTATAGCCTTGGACCATGGGGGAAGGTTACAGGGTCTTGCTTCCATAAAGGCTGGCCTGGAATCTGAGACTGTAGGGGCAGGATGTGTAGCCTAGATCCATGGTGGCTGGCAAGTGCCAAAGTTTACGGAGACAGGCCTGGATCATGGGTTTGCTAGTCTAGGGCCGTCATCAGCCTGGTGCTGAGATTGGCCTGGAGCCTGGAGCCATGAGGGCTGGTCTGGTGCTGCAGTGTGTCTGGAACCTGGGTGTGCTGGGCAGTCCTGGAGCCTGGGGCCATAGGGGTGAGCTCAGAGCCTGGGGACAAATCACAAGGAGGACGATTGCTTGATTGTATGGTAAGAGTATGTTTAGTTTTGTATGAAATTACCAAACCATCTCCCAAAGTGGCTGTACCATTTTGTATGACCCTTAGTAATGACTAAGACTTCCTATTATAATTTGTTTATAATCTCTGTTTTTTACAGAAATTGTCTTCTATATTAATTCATTTACTTATTCTAATTCTGTTGCCCCTTAATGGGATGTCTTATTATTCTTTTCCTAGGACAAAAAATAATAACTAGCTTTAGTTACAAGAAGCATCTTTAGTAAATATAACTTGACCAAATAAAACATTCAATGTAACTACCCTGCAGAGACTATATAAAAAGTTCTGGTAAAACAAAATATAAAAATAAAAATAACCTAAAATATACAAGTAAAACATACAGAGGCATTTAAAAGTAGTTTAAAATAATGTAAGTAGTAGTAACATAAGTAGTTTGAAAATGTATTGAAATATGCTCAAATTAATATCAACAGAAAGGCAAATAAAAAAGCAAGAAAATATTATGTGTTATCCATAATATTTTAAAAATTTGATTTGAAGGATAACATTGCATCTTATTACAGTTATTGGAAAATGGGGATCTCATATGGTTTCATTGAAATTGTAAATTGGTCATTTGTCATACACTACAAAATAAATATTTGTAGAACACATAAGAGAATAAAAAATATAGAGTCACTGTTTTCAAAAATTTTTGCTACTGGTAATATATATTGCAGAACTAGTGGCCTCGTTGTGTTATGTATTGTATAAATATTATACAACACGTGTGTCTTCATGAATCACTTCTGTAACTTGAACAACATGTTTAAATGAGTAGCTAATGATTACAATCTTATACCCAAATATGCACACTTTACCAACTGGACCAGTGAGTGTCTTAATTTTAGGAGGTGAGTGAAAAAAATTTTTAAGTATAAAACATTATTTTGCCATTGGAGATATTTTGTGTGTGTGTGTGTGTGTGTGTGTGCTGGTGAGAACTGGCAGCTTTTTAATATCAAATTTTCTGATAGATTTATATATTAACATATAATTTTACATTAAAAATAAAATAAAATATTTTCTTAATGAAAATTTCCCCTTGTGAAGATCAATTATAGATTTTAAGAAGAGGCCTAAATCTCATTCTTTATAAGAAGTATCTAATATTATCTGAATAGAGATTTAATTATATGAGCCCCTACCTTCTCTGTCTTTGTCTCTGTCTCTTTCTCTCTCTCTCTCTCAGATACATATTCTCTCTCTCTCTTTGTCTCTCTCTCTCTATCTCAGATACTTATTCTCTCTCTCTCTTTTTCTCAAATACATATTCTCTCTCTATCCCTCCTGTGAGATATAGAAAATGAAAAAGAACACTGAAGATTTCCCTATCGTTCTTCTAAATCAAATTTTTTTAACTCAACATGGCAGTGCACAGTTTGAAAGTTCCTTGAAAGCCTGCTGGACACATTCATTTCAGTCTCTTGAAGGTGATGTGCTTAACTTAAATAGTGTGGGAAGTTGTTCCATGATGATGCTAACAATATAGATTTATTAGTAAATTGTTTACTAATAGAGACAATATTTTGATCATAATTACAAATAAACACTTTGTGTTTCAAAAAATTCACAATTAGCTTATATAAATTAGAGGAAAGTAGAAAGGTCTAGCAAACATCTAATATTCAATTGGACATTTCCTTTGCTTCTTATTGGTGAAATAAAAGTAATCCAATGGATTAATAACATGCACATATTTAAGTAATAAAATGACATTGTTCTGAATATATGGTATCTTTACTAAGATGAAAGACATGATTATATCTTTTCAGTTATCTAAACAATTCATAACTGCTCAGTTTTGTTATTCAGAGTTGGCTTCATAGCTAAAATAATTTCTGAAATCTGCTTTCTGAGATTAGCAGTGCCCTCTCCTCTAATTTGAACAAAAAAATAATTGGAAAGGCACATGTATCAGCTTCCAGTTTATACAAGTTCATTTATTTGAAATCCCTTGAGCTCCTCCAATTAGAAAACAAGTTTTTGAGTTAATATCCTTCAATTGTTAGAAACTTGCGTCACTGCGAGAGCACAGTGAAACGTAAAGGTCCCAGCACGCTGGCAGTGGATTGTGAGGGGATGTGATTGTTCCACATTTAGACTGGAAAGGGTTAGGAACTCTGCTTCCTAATGTGCTTAATGAATGAAAGGAAAATTGGACCCCTGAGCTAGAGTCAATGACCTAAGAGAGTGAAAAATGTTCACAGGTTAACAAGGGCAACTGTTCTTTGCCATAATTCCCAGCGGAGGTGAATGACAAAGGGGCCAATGAACCTCTGTCTTGATATTATCTATTAATCAGTTTTATTCCAAGGAAAAATAACTTAGCATAGTTCTGGAAGACTCCAGTGTTGAACATCTTAAACTCTATGTTTGTTCCCTTTTGCTACTGATTCATTCTTTTGGTTAATATATTTTGTTTTAACAATTCATTTTGATATGTTTTATTTAAATGTACTAAGATATTTAGTGTATCATCTAATCAAATTTAAAATTTTAAGGATCTAATACACCTTAATGTAATAGACAAAGTCAGAACTGCTCACTTTATGTTCACATGGTAACAGATTCATTGGAATCTAATTAGTGCAAGTGACTATGGAGATTCTTTTTTTCCTTAAAGTGGGGATTATTTCAAATTTTTGTTTAAAAATATTTGTTTCTTTTGTGAAGGGAATTTTTATAGCCATACCCAAGCCACCACCCTGGTCATGTTCACAGATAGAAAACCCCTGATTGGCTCTTGATGAGTCATTCCTGGTGAGGAATCTTATCTAACACCTGCTTTATCTTCAATATCCTTTTCAAATTCTTGTAGTAAAACAATAACCAAGAAGGAAAAAAAAAATTGGGACGACTCCAGTTTTGAAACACCTGCCTTAGAGATAAAGATTGTAATTTTAGGCATTTGTAATGCCTTTACTTTTGGGCTGGAATTTGTTCTGCAAGCTGTGAGCATCCGCCAATTTTTTTGAACACGTGCTTGGCCTGGGCCTTACTTCAGTCTAGTAAATTACAAAATGACAAGATCATCTCTGTTACCATGGAAAAATCTGTGTATCAAAAAAATCTCTGAATCTCTGGCTTCATAGTAAATGCATTTTATGAGTTGAAGAAACATTACAGCATCAGCCCTAATGAATCAGTCAATAATCTTTTATGACTTAATTCCAGCCTGATACTGATAATCTGTAATTTAAAGTTAAAGAGGATATCCCAGGTTTATGTGACCACTGTGAACGAAAAAGGTCATTTAAAAAAAAATTGCAGACAGGAACTACACAGCTGGAAACCAGAAGCACTAGTTTTACTTGGGCTATTAAGAAAATTCACAGTTAACTGAATAAAAAATATTTATTTTACCTCATTTATTTTTCCATCAGTATTTAGACTTCTCCCACATTGGAGAGGTTATTGGAAGGGCACAAATTTGTTTTAAGATCATGAGTTAATTTGCTATGTAAACATAACTAATTACCAAGAGCATATATAATTTATGCTGTTACATTAATTAGTTATATTGTTTTTTTTTAATTTAGTTTTATCCTCATGTGTAAATGTTCTGCCACTAGACAGTCCTTGCCTGAGACTCACTCCAGCTGAACTCCAGGCACCCAGAAACTGCCTGGAAGAAAACTGTAGAAAGGGTATCTAAGCAAAATTAACCAGCTTCAGAGAGCTTGCCTTGCAAAACCAAATTGACTAAGTGATGGCAAATGTCATAGTACTAAAACAAAGTATTAAAAAAAAATCCTAAAAAGCCTCACAAGTTCCTTTTTGTGTGTTGCCTTCTGGGAATGTGCTGGCAGGAGTTTGATAAGATGGAATGATAGAGAAAAGCAAAGGAATCATCACGGGTCAGAAGAAAGAATGAAAGAAGTTGTGATTAAAACTATGATGAGGGCTGGGCGTGGTGGCTCAAGCCTGTAATCCCAGCACTTGGGAGGCCGAGGAGGGAAGATCATGAGGTCAGGAGTTCAAGACCAGCCTGGCCAATATGGTGAAACCCTGTCTCTACATGAAAAGACACTCAACATTATTAGTTTTAGGAAAATGCAAATCAAAAGCATAAGGAGATACCACTTAATACTACTATCATGGCTAAATAAAGAGGATGGACAATAACAAATTGCAGCTCATACATTTCTCATGGGATGATGAAAAGCTGTAGATACACTTTAGAAAATAGTTTTGTGGTTTCTCAAAAATCTAAATCTGGAGTTACTGTATGACCAAAAATTCCACTCCTAATTATATTTCCCCTAAAAATAAAAATATATGTCTGATAATAACTTGTACACTAATGTTTATAACAGCATTATTCAAAATAGCCAAAAAAGTAGAAACAACCCAATTGTTCATTAACTGATGAATGGACAAAAGTGATATATTTACTCAATGGAATATCTCAGCAAAAATGCATAAAGTACTGATACATGTTTCAATATGGATGAATCTTGAACACATTGTTCTAAATGATGTCAATCAGAAAACATCATGTATTATATGATGTCATTTACATGAAATGTCTAGAACAGGCAAATCCATAGAGGATTTGAAAGGAGATACAATTCAGTCCATACATTCTGCCCTTTGCCCCCCACATTTATTTCCTTCTCACATGTAAAGTTATATTCATCCCAGCCCAACAGCCCCCAAAGTCCTACCTTATTTCAGCATCAACTCCAAGTCCAAAGTCTCATTTAAACATTGTCTAAATCAGGTATGAGTGAGACTCAAGACAGATTCTTCCTGAGATGAATTTTTTCTCCAGTTCTGAATCTGCAAATCCAGAAGAGTTATGTGCGGCCAAAATGCTTGGTGAAAAAGAATAGAAAAACCATTCCAAAAGGAAGACATTGTAAAGATGAAAGAGGTAGTGAATCCCAAGCAAATCCAAAATTTAGCTAAACAAATTCCATTAGATCTTAAGGCTGGAGAATAATTCTCTTTGTCTAAATGCTGTGCCATCTGGGCCAAATTTGCAGGCCCACTGGAATGGCAACCCCACCTTCAGGGCCCAAAGGGGTGACAGTCCCATACCCTCAACTCTAGGTGGTAATCTCACCTTCCATAACCTGCAGATTGTCCCCTGAAGTCCTGTGCTAGGCAGCCTTGCCTGCAGAACCAAAGAGGTGTTGCAACCTGTGGAGCCAAGGAAGAGATTGCTTTGCTCCTCAGGTTTGTGCACTCTGGGCTTCTGGTGGCAGTGAATTATTTACAACTCACTCCGTAACAGGCACACATCTAGGATTGGAATTGCTGGGTCATGTGGTAAGTTTGCTTAACCTTTTTAGGAACTGCCATTGTTTTTCCAAAATATCTGAGCTATTTTATATTCCCAACAATAAATGAGGGTTCCAATTTCTCCACATCTTCAGCAATGTTGTGCTTGGTATTTCTGAGGCTTGACATTTTAAAGTAACTCCAGAGCACACTTACCTTCATCATAGTTTTTGTTTGTTTGTTTGTTTGTTTGAGACCGGGTCTTGCTCTGTTGCTCAGGCTGGAGTGCAGTGGTGCGATCTCGGTTGACTGCAACCTCTTGCCCCCTGGTTCAAGCAATTCTCCTGCCTCAGTCTCCTGAGTAGCTGGGACTACAGGTGCACACCACCATGCCCAGCTAATTTTTTGTATTTTTAGTAGAGAGTGGGTTTCACCATTTGTCCAGGCTGGTCTTGAGCTCCTGACAGGTGATCTGCCTGCCTCAGCCTCCCACAGTGTTGGGATTACAGGAGTGAGCCACCACGCCCAGCTGATTTTTGTATTTTTTGTAGAGACAGGGTTTCACCATGTTGCTCAGGCTGGTCTCAAGCTCCTGAGCTCAAAAGAATCTGCCCATCTTGGCCTTCCGAAGTGCTGGGGTTACAGGCATGAGCCACCATGCCCAGCCTATTGTTATATTTAAGAAACTACTGTTTAATTCAAGGTGACAAAAATTGAGTCCTGTGTTATCTTCTAAATGTTTTGTTGTTTTAGCCTTTACATTTAGGTCTATTGTCCATTTCGAGTTAAGTTTTGCATATGATGTGAGGAAGGAGTCTAAATTTACTCTTTTGCAAAAATCTATGCACTTGCAAAAAATGATGGAAAATTTAAAAAGGCTGTTTTCCCTCCATATTGGCACCTTTGTCTAAAATAAACTGACAATAAGTGTAAGGGCTTATTTCTGGACTTTTAATTATATTCCATTTATCTACATGTCTAGACTTATGTTAGTACCACATAGTCTTAAATCTTACAGATGTTAAGTTTTGCAATCAGGAAGTATGAGTCCTGCAACTTTGTTTTTGAATTTCAAGATTGTTTTAGTTCACTGGGTCCATGCCTTTTCATAGACATTTTGGGATCAGTTTGTCAATTTATTTAAAAAAAAGCAACTGGAATTTGTATGGGGATTATGTTGAATTTGTAGATTAATTTGAGAAACACTGTCATTTTGGCAATATTAATTTTTTCCAATGCATTAATTTTTATTTCTATTTACTTAGGAATTCTTTGGTTTCTTTCAGCAATGCTTTGCAGTATTCAGTGTACAAGAATTGAACTTCTTTTGTGAAATTTTATTACTGCTATGATTTGGATATTGTTTATCTCAACCAAAACTCATGTTGAAATGTGAATGTGGCAGATTTAGAGGTGAAGTCTAGTGGGAGGAGTTTGGGTTATGGGGAGATCCCTCATATATAGATTAATGCCCTCCCATAGAATGTGTTCTCACTCTCAGGGATGTGTTAATTTGTATGAGAGCAGGTTTTCAAAAGCACTCTGGCTTCCTCAGTTTCTTTCTTTTGCTTCCTCTCTCACAAGGCATTCTCTTTACAAATGTCCCTTCCACTTTCCAGTATGGGTTGAAACGGCCCGAGTCACTAACCAGATATAGAAGCCCAATCTTGAACCTTCCAGCCACTAGCCACTAGGATCATGAGCCAAATGAAACTTTTTTTTTTTTTTTTTTTTTTTTTTTTGTGAGGTGGGACAGAGTCTTGCTCTGTAGCCCAGGCTGGAGTGCAGTGGTGCAATCTCTGCTCACTGCTACCTTCGCCTCCTGGGTCCTGGTTCAAGCAATTATCCTGCCTCAGCCTTCCAAGTAGCTGGGATTACAGGCACGCACCACCATGCCCAGCTAATTTTTGTATTTTTAGTAGAGACGGGGTTTCACCGTGTTGGCCAGGCTGGTCTTGAATTCCTGACCTCGTGATCCACTCACCTCAGCCTTCCAAAGTGCTGGGTTTACAGGCGTGAACCACCGCGCCCGGCAAAACTCTTTAATAAAGTATGCGGGGCCTCATTTTTCTGTTATAGTAACACCAAACTGATTCAGACAATTGCCAAGTATTATTATTTTGATACTAAATGTAAATAAAATTGTTTTATTAATTTCATTTTTGGGTGTCCTTTGGCAGTATATAGGAAAACAATTGATTCTTTCTATATTGTTCTTATATCCTGCAATCTTGTTGAACTTGTTCATTAGTTCCAAAAGTTTTTTTAGGGAGAGACAGGAAATTGCTTATGAGTTTTAACATTCAAGATCATGAGATCTCCAAATAGAGGTAGTTTAGTTCTTCCCTTCCAATCAAGATGAATTTTATTTTATTATTCTATTTTATGTATGTATGTATATATCTTTTTGAGACAGAGTCTCACTCTGTCACCCAGACTAAAATGCAGTGGCATGATCTCGGCTTACTGCAACCTCTGCCTCCCAGGTTCAAGCAATTCTCCTGCGTCAGCCTCCCACGTAGCTGGGGTTACAGGCATCCACCATCACGCCCAGCCCAGCTAATTCTGATATTTTTAGTTGAGACGGGTTTTTACTGTGTTGGTCAGGCTGGTCTCAAACTCTTGACCACAAGTGATTCGCCCGCCTCGGCCTCTCAAAGTGCTTGGATTATAGGTGTGAGCCATTGCGCCCAGCCAATTTTATTTTTTTTCCTGCCTAATTTCCCTGTGTAGAACCTTCAGTAAAATGTTGAATAGAAGTGGCAAGAATAAATGCATTTGTAATAGATACTTTTTACCACATTGTAGTAGGTCTCTTCTATTCCCTGTGTTTTGTAATTTTTTTTCATCATGAAAGAGTTTTAGATTTTGTGAAATGCCTTTTCTGCTCTGTGTCTATTGAGATGACCATGTAGTTTTTATTCTTTGTCCTTTTAATATGATATATTAAACTGAATTATTTTCATGTGTTAAGTCAACCTTCCATTTTGGGATAAATCGCACTTGGTCATGGTGTATACTCATTTTTATTGTTGATGGATTTGTATTTAGGATTTTTACATCTTCATTCATAAGAGATGGTAGTATCTAGTTTTCTTTCCTTATTATACCTTTGCCTTGTCATTTTGTCTTCCTTATTTAGTCTTCTTTTGGTTTGTGAGGTCACTAGTGATGTGGACTTTTATTCCTGATTTTAACAATTTGACTCATCTTTTTTTTTTTCTTCATCCATCTAGGTTGTCAATACTTTTATTTTTTCAAAGAATCAATTTTTGGCTTTGTTGATTTTCTCTACTTTTTTCTTTTACCAATATCATTTATTTCTGCTCTAATCTATATTATTTTCTTCTTTCTATGGGCATTAAATTTAGTTTGATTCCTTCTTCTATTTCCTTTAGCTGGAAGTTTAGGTTCTTGATTTTAGAATTTTTTTCTTTTTGGTATAGACTTTTACTGGTATAAATTTACCTATATAAACTGTTTTACATACATCTTATAAGTTTTGGTGTATTGTGTTTTCCTTTTCATTAATCTCGAAGTATTTTCTATTTTTGCTTCTGACTTCTATGATTCTTGGGTTATTTAGGAGTATGTTGTATAATTTTCCCAACTTCGTACATTTTCAAAAACTCTTTAAGTTATTCATACATAATTTTGTTCATTTGTCTAGTTTCAATCATTAAGTTTATGAAGACTTTTTAAGGACCTAACATATTGTCCATTCTGCATGTGCAATAGAGAAAATGTGTATTCTGACGTTACTGATCTGAATATTTAATAGATGTCTGTTATGTCTGGTTGGTTTATAGTCTTGTTCAAGTCTTTTTTTTTATTTTTGGGTGCTCTGCCTACTAATCTATCCCTTTTTAAAAGTGGTATCGCAGTATCTATGTATTATTGTCAAATTGTTTTCCTTTCATTTTGTGAGTTTTTGTTTCATATACTTGGGATCTTTTTCTTAAATGGAAATATGTTTGTAATTGTTTTATCCTGATGAATTGACTCTTTCATCGGTATACAGTACTTTGGTATGTCTTTAGTAACTTTTTTTCTTAAATAATATTTTGTCTGATTTTAAAATAATTCTTTGAGCTCTTTTGTGTTAACTGTTTATGTGGTATTTTTTTGATCACTTTACTTTCAACCTATTTTTGATCTTTGAATATACGATGTGTCTTTTGTAGAAAATATTTTTTAAAAATCCATTCTATAAATTTCTATTTTTCTGTTGGAGAGCTTAGTCTATATTTAATATAATCAGTGATGAATTAAATTTAAATCTATCATTTTGTTATTTGTTTTCTGTATGTCTTATGTAGTTTTTTGTGTTTTTGTTTTTGTTCCTCTGTTTCTCTATAACTGCTTTCTTTTTTGTTAATGAGATATTTTCTAATATATAATTTTAAAAATCTTATTTTATTGTTATTTTTGGACTTATTCCCTGAGTGACTGCCCTAAAGATAAACATTAACATCTTAAATTATATAATTCAGATTAATATTAATTTAATTTTAATATTATATAAAAGCTTTGCTCTCATATAGCTGTATGTTTTCCCCTGCCTTTGTGCTACAATTGTCTTAAAAATTACGTCTTTATACATTATAACCTTATCAACACAGTTTTATAATTATTAATTTATGCCCTTATCTTTTAAATCCAATAGAAGAAAAGATTTACAAATAAAAAAAGCGTACACTGTCACTTTTATTTAATCTATGTAGTCACCTTTGCCAGTGCTTTAGTTTATTCATGTTGAAGCACTTCATTGTCTAGCGTCCTTTTATTTCAGCCTCACAAACTCTCTTTAGTATTTCTTGTAGGGCAAGTCTACTAATGATGAAGTCTCCTCATTTTGGTATTTGAGAATGTGTTAATTTTTTCTTTGTTTTTGAAGGATGCTTTTGGTATATAAATAAATCTTGTTTAACAGTGTTTTTTTCTTTCAGCACCTTGAAGAAGTCATTTCATTGCCTTTTAGTCTTCATGGTTTCTGATAAAATGCCAGCCATTAAACTTACTGAGGTTTTCTTGTACATCATGAGTCACTTTTCTTTTGCAGCTTTTGAAAGTCTCTCTTTTGACTACCATGTGTCTACATATACATATTACTTCAAGTTTAATAAGATTATTTAATTGCATATTAACATTTTTCTTTGAACTTGGGACGCATACAACCACAATTTTTTCAAATATCCTTTCTGCCCTTTACTCTCTCTGCACTCTTTTAGGAACATTATGTATGAAGTAGACAGAATAATGACTCCTCAAAAAACTTTCATGTTGTAATACCCAGAGGGTGTGTATATGTTAATTAACATGGCAAAAGGTGCTTTACAAATAAGATTAAGTTAAGAGTCTTAAAATGTGGTGGCTATTCTGAATTATTTATGTGAGCACCATATAACCACAAGAGTCTTTGAAAGTGTAAAAGGGAAACAGAAGGGTCAGAGTCAGAGATGTTATGACAGAAGCCGAGGTCAAGCTGATGTTTACCCACTAGCCAGAGATTTCAGGCAGCCTCTAAAATCTGGAAAAGACAAAAAACAGATTCTACCCTAAAGTCTGCATGAGGAATACCGTCCAATAGACTCCTTGGCTATAGCCCAGTGAGACTTCTGACCCCTACAACTGTAAAATAATAAATTTGTGTGGTTTGAAGTCACTAAATTTGACATAATTTATCATAGCAGCAACAGAAAATGAATACAATGAGTACATTCCTTTGCTTGATGGTGTCCCACAGGATGCTGAGGCTCTGTTCATTTTCCTCCTTTTTTTCTGTCTGTTCCTCACACTGGATAATCTCAACTGACATTCTCCAAGCTTTTTGATTCTTTCTTCTGTAAATTTAAATTTTCTTTTGGGCTCTAGTGAATTTTTCAGTGCATTTGTCGTACTGTTCAATTGCATAATTTTTCTTAATTTTTAAAACTAAATTCTAACGCTTTGTTGATATTCTTTTTGATGAGTTATCATTTTCACATTTTCTTTTAGTTCTTTAGACACAGATTTTTTAGTTGTTTAGTATATTTATAACAGCTTCTTTAAAGTTCTTGCCTAGTAAGTCTCATGTTTATGGTTTCCTCAGGGACACTTTCTATAGGCTGCTTTTTTTTTTTCCTATGTGAAGACAATAATTTCCTGCTTTGTTGCATGTCTCATTTTCTTTTATGTTATTAATTGAGTATCGTAGATAATATAATGTGAGCTCTCTTAAAACCAACTCCTACCCCTGTCCCTGGTTTGTTTTTGTTGCTATTTATTTATTGGCTTTCCTGAACTAATTCTGTAAAGCCTGTATTCTTTGTCATATGTGGCCACTGAAGTCTCTGCTAAGTTAGTGCACTAGTCAGCTCATGGTTGGACAGGGATTTCATTAAATGCATGAAACAAATGAATCTCTCAGCCTTTGCCAAGGGTGTGTGTGTGTGTGTGTGTGTGTGTTGGGACATGCTCTTAATGTCTTGACAGGCATTTTATAACTCTGCCTAAGTCTTTATTTCCTGATTTGTAAAGCCTCAAAATAAGAAGTGAGAGGATAAGGCCTCTAAGGTCTTTTCTGGGCATGCACGTAGCCCTGCACATGGACATGGCCTTCTAGATTCCCAGGAATATGTTGGAACTTTCAAAGCCCCCATGGACATTTCATTCCAAATTTCTTCTAAGTATTTTCATCAGCCTTTGGTAACCCAACTGGTATGACAAGCTCAGGCCAATACAATATTAAACATTTGTCACCGATTGTTTCCAACAGACAACTTGGCAATAAAACTGTTCACACATAGCAATCTTTTAGTCATCTCGAGTAAACACAAGCCCTAAGATCAAAGCTCTTCTAGGAGGCTGCCAGACTAGTCAAATAGTGGCAATTTTTAGTGGTACAGGTTATTTGGGGTGCTTCCAACCATTTCTGTTATCTACATTGGCTGGTAGACTGCTGGTTTTCACAGGTACCATGGTTACAAGGGTATTGGTTTTTAAGGCTACCACAGAGTTGGAGAAAGAGGGATGACGATAGGCTAAAATGTCAGAGTTCTTTGTTCTTAATGAGATTCAGCCATTTTCCTTAAATAAGTTCCCCTAGTGGTATTGTTGTAAGCCTTTGGTTAATTTCCAGAATTCTGTAAAAGTTTATTTTGATTGTCTTTGTTGTAATTTGTTTTATGAAATAAAGAATTTTTAGAACACCATTTCAGAAGTGCTCCATTTCAGAAGCACCATTTAGAGCACCATTTCAGAAGCACCATTTCAGAAGCACCATTTCAGAAGTGCTTCTCTTGCCTTTGTTTTTCATATTAGATATGGTCACCAATCATCTAGAGTTAATTAAATATTTTAGATTCTATCTTTGCTGAAGATCTGAAACAATAAGATGAATAAACTTTTAGAAATGTAAACTTTATTGAGGTTGCATTTATTACTTTAGCTCTCCATAGTTCCAGATTAATTTTTTCTGAATATGAATCAAAGATCTTATGGTATTCATTTTATGGCTTAGCACTGCTTGCCAAACATGCCACACTCACTCACACCATCTAGTTTTTGCATACTGCGTTCATTGGTTTGGCAGCTCCACTGACGAGTTCCTTCTAGTCATTTTTTTCAAGTCATAACTCATGCCAAACCTCAAGTCCTCTTTTACTGCATCCTTTTTATACTCTCAGAGAATTAATGTTTTTTCTTCTTCTTATTCTTCTTCTTTTTTTTTTTTTTGGAGACAGAGTCTTGCTCTGTCTCCTAGGCTGGAGTTCAGTGGCACAATATCGGCTCACTGCAACCTCTGCCACCCAGGTTCTAAGCGATTCTCCTCCCTCAGCCTTCAGAGTAGCTGGGATTACAGGCGCACACCTCCACGTCCAGCAAATTTTGTATTTTTAGTAGAGATGGGTTTTTACCATGTTGGCCAGGCTGGTCTCGAACTCCTGACCTCAGGTGATCCACCCGCCTTGGCCTCCCAATCTGCTGGGATTACAGCCACCACACCCAGCCTTTTCATATGTCCATTGCACCGTGTGCATTGTTCTTCAAAATGCTTTTTACATAGTACCTGTTTCTCATTTGTGTCCGCAACAACTGTAGGATTGAGATTACAGAATTTTAATTTTGTAAATCCTGCTCTTAGAACAATAGACTATATACTGTGAACTGCTTGTTCATATACTATACTGCTTGTTTATATACTATGAGCTGCTTGTGTATTTGCTAAATCATTGAGAAGTGACAGTCATTGACAAGAAAGTTTGTAGGGAGGTAAAGGATAATAAGGAGGATCATGGTGCTGGCCATCTTTAAGGAGAGAAGAACACAGTTTGGGTAACTTTCCTTTATCCCCTTTCCAGTGAATGACAAAATATTTTGTTCCTTTTTCTTCCTTGTTGAGGAAAGTCCCTTTTAGCTTAGTAATGCTCTCTGCACTAAGAGTTAATAGTTCAGAACTAAAAAGAAAAGACTTGGCATAGGCAGGGATGGGAGGAGAATTATGCAGCCAAAATATTTCTCTTCATTTTTTCCTCCAACTCTGGGAAGGAAGAAAACATAAAACTGAATATTATATTAAACATTAAGCAAGGCAAATATTCTTACTCTGTGATTAAAGAATAATGATGCTACTGTGGTGATGTCAGGTATAATAAAATAAAGTATAAGTAAATTTTAAGAAGGAATTTTGTTTGTACGATGTTATACTGGTTGACATGTTGTATCTTTTCCATTTGTAGTTTCCCTAACTTTCTGATTTGTTGCCAACAAAAATTGGTGTTGGTTAAGATGAATAAAAACTTAAGCATGGGAAGAAGTTGATGGATAGCTTTATGTGGTGTGCATGGAAAAATCCTCTTCAGGAAAGAATCCAAATTACTAACTGGAAAAGGGTGGGAAGAATAACTCATGTCAGTAAAGAAAAATTTATGAAAAATCAAAAGGTCAGAACTTTGGATATTTGTAAGTTAAGGTGTATTTTGACTTGTCCTGGAAAGATTCAACAACAACAATTGAACTGTAGTATTTCCAATAAAATCACTTAGCTTAAGTAATATCCCATTTCATTACCTTGCTTGCCATGAGGATAAGTGAAATAGACCAGTGCAACTAGCAGGCCAAACTACACAATATTTTAGGGAGATCTTGAATCATGAAAATATAAGCTACATTGCATCCATGTTTCTTTTTATGAACCACTGTTGTAATCAACAACTAGTTCTTCAAAGCAACCAAAACTACACTCAAAGTCTGTTTTATCTTCTATACTTAGTAAAGTAGTATATTTTCTCTTACCAAAAGAAAAATATAGTGGCTCACGCCTGTAATCCCAGCACTTTGGGAGGCCGAGATGGGCGGATCACGAGGTCAGGAGATCGACACCATCCTGGCTAACACGGTGAAACCCCGTCTCTACTAAAAATACAAAAAAAAAAAAAAAAAAAAAAAAAAATTAGCCAGGCGTGGTGGCAGGCACCTGTAATCCCAGCTACTCGGGAGGCTGAGGCAGGAGAGTGGCATGAACTCAGGAGGCGGAGCTTGCAGTGAGCCGAGATCGCGCCACTGCACTCCAACCGGGGCGACAGAGTAAGACTCCGTTTAAAAAAAAAAAAAAAGAAAAATGTATGTGCTTCATTATCAATATTATTGATTAGTTTAAAATCCAGAATTAGAAAATACAGATAGTGAAAACTATCTTCTGTCACATTTCATTTAAAATACTACTAATTGATTTTAAAATAACATTAAAACAAATATGCTAATTTGGGCAAGTTTTTATCTATCAGTTATTCCTATTCAGGAAAACAAATGTGCTAAAAACATTGATCTAACACATATTAAATTCCCTTTTTCCTTATATCTATGTGTTTTCAATTTGTGAGTTTCATACATATTGATAAATACAAGTGTTTAACAACGAAAATGTGATAAGCCCACAACACAGAAATAATTCAAGGTAGCTTTTGTGGAAAAATATACTTTTATTATTTTTTCATTTATAAATTAACATACAAAAATGATGTTATACAAACTTTTACATCTTTTCAAGTGACTAAACTTTCTTAATAACATTATTCCTTTTTTTTCCCCTCTAACACTTAAATAAAATATTCTACCTTGCCCCTAGAGGCAAATATTGGTAACATATTCAAACCTACTTAAGAAGTACTAGTCCCCTTTTATAATGGGGAAAGTAGATTTTCCAGAGCTTAATTTACTTATCCATGTTCACACAACTAGAAAGAGCTTAAGCTGAGTTGGAACAGAAAAATGTATGACTTCATGTTCTTCCTGCTCACCGTGCAGCATTTATTATTCTTAGTATCAGAGATCTAAGTGTTACTATTAGTTTCTAAATAAAATTAGTAGCACCAAAATATTTAAATCTTAATTATTATTACATTGTCAATGACCATTGACCTCAATGTCATCACTAACAGATTAAGTTGTCTGCCAAAATGTAGTACTTTTTTTTAATTCAGAAACCAGGAATTGTAATAGGACTTTATCTTTCATTACCACTTCTTGAATGAGTTCTAGTTTTTAAAGCTTCACAGCTATCCTTTCTTCCCTCTTCATTTCCTTCCTTTCATTATTCAACAGACATTTCTGAGAGTCCACTACATGCCAGGTAATTTACCAGTGTGCTGTACAACAAGAATTTAACAAATGATAAGACAAAAATTAAAAAAGAAAGAAAGAAAAAGAGAAAGTAAACCTCCCTGCCCCTTTGGAATTTAAAGTCTATTTTGACTTAAAATAGATTTGGTAACTCTAATGTTACTGTCAAGGAACATGAAGACCATGATAAAAATAAATAGCTGCCCTACCATAGAGTAGGGGACATGACAGGATGGCTGGGGAGGATGGCATCTACCAGGTTATGGATCAGAAGAACTCCAATATAGCAAGGTTATGCATTTTTTAAAAATAAATGACAATAGGAAGCAAGTAGTGGTTGAAGCAATAGTAAGCATCAGGATATTCTGCCAAGAAGTAAAATGCAAAAAGTTATCAAAATGGAGTTTAGAAACACAGTTTCTCTGGGGCTCATCAATGTTTGGGATAGGCAGGAGTTTAAATCCTTAGGTTACAAGACTCAAATTCAAAAGGTAGAACCCTGGTTGGTTTTCGTTTTGGGAAAGGGGCAAGCAAGGGAAGACATATGACTTCCCTAGAAGCCACTACAGCAGTGACTAAGCTTGTAAAGTCAGACTAAGACTTACGAGCATGTGTCTAGAGTATTATTGCTGGATACAGAAAGAGAGAAGCCCTAGATTACAGCAGAACTGAGTTAACTTCTCTGATTTACAACTCCTTGTATCATTGCTGACCAGGCTCAGGGTTGGATATAGATACCGAGGGAACACCAGAACATTCGGGTGTTTCTCAAGTGGTCTTAGCTATGTGACGAAAGGCTGGTGCTATCCAAAAAATTCTGACAGGTCATTATAATAAACAGGGACAATAGGAAAGAAAGGAGTAAAATAATATTTGGAGAAACACCCATGGGGCTTTTCTTCCTTTCTGAAATTCTGAATGACTAATTTGTCCCTGGGTACCACAAACATCAATTATGCATTCCAAAACTGCTTAGAACATTTTTTTGTGAGTTTTTACAAAACATTTTTGAATCATTACTTTCAAGTTATATGAGTAGACCTTAGATATAGCCCCTTTGAGCATTTTTATGTTATGATATATAGGATGCTGTATTTTTGAATGGGGTAAATTTCCATTGACTTTATATTTAGGCTTTCCAGGATCCTGTTCTCTAATACTGAAGAAAAGAAACTTGATTCCATTGAGGCTACATGTAAGTTATGGCATTCTCATAAACGTTGACTTGGATCACCCTAGAGAAGAAGCAAAAAGAGATACTCCACAGAATTGTCAGCAATAGTGGGTAAGAAGCCTGTGGTTAGAGCCAGGAGGGAGAATATGCACATATTAGAGTAAAGTGGTTTCCACGTAGCTGTCACAACGGTATATTATTGTGGTTAAGTGCACAGACTCTGAAGATGCAATAACTGGATTTCAGTCTCAACTCTGCTACTCACTAGTGTGTGATGTAGTGAAGTCACTTAACCTCTCTGCACCTCTGCTTGCTCATTAGTAAAATGAGGCTATACTCATTGGACCTACCTCACAGCGTACTATTATTACAATTACAAGAGTTACTATATAAAGCGCTTTGACCAGAAAATAATGATGATGATGATTATTTCTGGTTGGTGATACCCTGCACAGGTTTTGACAGTAAGTAGTTCTAGCAAGGCGAACTCAGAAGTATGCCTATTTTTCTGCTTATGTAACTAGAATCTGAGAGCAACCAAACTGAATTGGATAAAACTCACTAACCATTCCTTACTAAAGATTTGGATTCAAATGACCATGGCAGAAGTCATATAATGGACATTTTGATGAACTAAACTAATACCAGGCTGATAGCCTTCAATAAGAGAGCTTCTACTAGGCCCTCCATAATATAAACGTTCTCCTGACACACCTAACCTTGCCACTATTAGGCCAAGTGTGCAGTTCAGACCAAAAGACATGTCATCAAGTTTGATTTGAGTAGGGTTTGAATTAGGTTTTTTGCTCTTCATTTTCAGGCATCGTATTTAATATTAGTTTTCTAGCAGTTTCATTACTTTAACTCATGTTGTTTGAGTTTAGATTTAACTAAAATTCCATGTTGCCCCCAAAATTCTGCAAGGCTTTGAGTTGATCAGCAAGATGAGCTCCACTTCATTGCTTCTCTTATTTAACAAACTACCTATTTTAGTTGTATTGTTCCCAGTTAAAAAGTGACCTCATACTTGCTGACACATGTTCAGTGATTACACAAAAAACGTTGATATTTTGTCTTTCGTGCATCCAGTCAATCTTCTTTTCTCACTCTCTCCTAGAGTTCTGTCCTCCAATTTCTTTGAAGCCACTGTCCATTTGACATGAAAAATGTACTTATAGTCTTGTGGCTAATTATTTCAAGGGGAGGTGAAAAAAAATCTTGAACATGGCATGATTAACTCCATCTGCTTTAGCTAAAGCAATTGCACACTTCAGAGTTTCTTTGTAATGACAACTTTTCAGCAATTTACTTTTGTTAAACATTGCATTCCATTCCTCCAATGCTGGACTGATTTTTGTATATATCTTCAGAGAATTAACCCTATCGTACAGCATGTCTTAAAGATCATAATTTTTTTCTGTGAAATTATATGCAACTGAATTGCCTTGTTAGTTTTCACCAAATTATTATCACCTCTTGTGTTACTGTTTAAGTCTTTAGTTTCCTGGCTCTCTAAATTCCCATCACCAAAGTGGATGATCTCATTGTGGGTGACTGTCCCATTCAATATCTGAGGTAAAGAACTGCAGTTGAGGCTTGAGGCTAGACTGGGGAGTGCTCCTCAGATCATTGACATATGACTGTCATCTCTGTTAATCAGCCCTTATCAGGAGTGTATCTCTTGTTGCCATCAAACAGGATTCTTTGGCCCGGCACGGTGGCTCACACCTGTAATCCCAGCACTTTGGGAGGCTGAGGCGGGCGGATCATGAGGTCAGGAGATCGAGACCATCCTGGCTAACACGGTGAAACCCCGTCTCTACTAAAAAATACAAAAAATTAGCTGGGCCTGGTGGCGGGCACCTGTAGTCCCAGCTGCTCGGGAGGCTGAGGCAGGAGAATGGCGTGAACCCAGGAGGTGAAGCTTGCAGTGAGCCAAGATCGCGCCACTGGACTCCAGCCTGGGAGACACAGCGAGACTCCATCTAAAAAAAAACAAAACAAAACTGGATTCTTTGCAATAAAGCTCTTAAGAGTTTTACATCTAATTCCACGGCTGAGACTGGATTCTAGATGTGCAATCTAGTAGCTGTGTAAACTTAGGTCATTTAGGCCCCCTTACCCTCAGGTTCCTCATATGTTAATAAGGATAATTAATGCTAGACTATTCTTGGTGAGTTGTTATATGGGTTTATTAGAGATAAATTATTTAGTGTTCCACATAATGCCTGACATGTAGAAATTGCTCAATAAATGTTAGTTATTATTATTTCTGAAGATATACACTCTTGAAAAGTCTTTGTGATAATAGTGATTCAGCTTAAATTGTCTTGCATTAGAATGTGAATAAATGCTAAATAATGAGAATTTGGCACTGACTTGAAGTAAATAGAACTTTAAAAATATATATATGACTGCAATTTTTCACTTGTACCCTAAAGTACTTGAGAATAAAAAGAGACAGTATGCCAATAATATTATCTATATTTTATGAGTCCTAACAATTAAAGAGATGGCAAATGCCCATGTTGCAATCTGTCTACGTTTTGATGATTTCTCCTTCTACATTCTTCTTACATTTTTTGGATTCCTATACTATCTTCTACACCTAATAATTTAGCAATCACGTATTACACTCCTGTTACTCCCTCATCTGGGTTTGCTATCATGGGGTGTAACCACCTATACGTGGAGATTAATAACTAAATCACAGGTAAATAACTCATTCTGGTCATTTCATTGTTTGAGAATATTGGAGCACATGGTGGACTTGGATTTCTCTTTAACGAAAGACATTGCCAGTGTGGCTGGGAGTGCTCTTGGTGAGCCATGTTCAGTTGTCAACCACTGCAGAGATTGCCTCACTCAGTGGGATGACCCTTCCCAGAGTGTCCCACCTTCTCTTTGACATTTCCTTGACCACCCTAAAATCACAATGCCTTTCCTGTTTTGCTGCTCACACCCCTTCCCTATTTATATTTTTGTGTAGAATCTCTATATGACTTAACTTGATATCTATATCTATTTGTATGTTCTTGTTACCCTCTCTCTGTGAGGATGCAAGCTCAACGAGGGAAAAAGTTATGGTCTGTTTTATTACTGTCATATCCCAAGTGCAAGTACTTAACGCATAATACTTGCTTGATAATTCTTAATGAATGGTTGTGAACTGTACAGCGAATATCCTACCCTTTGTTGAAGGAGAAAGATAAAATATGAAGGATTCAATTGAAGAAACAAAACTGTTTTATAATCTGAATTTTTCTCAAGTATAGCTTCAGTGACAAAAGGTTTTTGTCTAGAATAACGAAGTTCTACTTTGTTTTTCACTTGGTTATTGGTCCTTGAACATTTACATTCTTACTTAAGATCTAAGAGAAGAACTATGCCTGGCAGTGAACATAACACTCTTCTAGAGTGCATGTGGAGCTGTCCAAGGCCGCTCAGCTATCTCTCTGCTATTTTAAGAATTTGTCCCTGTTCTGCCTCCTAAATTTGGCTTTAAATCTTCTTACACATATTTGGCTCTCTGTCATCCAGTAATTTGACTTTACACCCAGAACTCTGTTTTTAAAGAAAGGCCATTTTTAATGGGCTTTTTATTCAAAGACTCCACCAGACACTGATGTATGAATTCTTTCCTCTGTCCATGCCAGGCACAGCACATTATTGGCAACTGAAATCCTGCCTCTTTGCGTAACCAGGACTCTAGGCCATTGGTCCCAGAATGCACCCAGCAAAATATCCCCTGGTTTATGGGACAGGGAATTAGCTTAAAACATTTTCTTGTTGTTGTTAACTTTATTGAAGTGTA
Source organism: Homo sapiens (assembly GCF_000001405.40). Classification (NCBI taxonomy): domain Eukaryota; kingdom Metazoa; phylum Chordata; class Mammalia; order Primates; family Hominidae; genus Homo; species Homo sapiens. The sequence goes on along the minus strand of NC_000007.14, from coordinate 15,747,235 downwards.
TTTTACATATCGTAAAATTCACCTTTTTCAAATACACAGTTTGATGATCACTGGTAGCTTTAATGAGTGGTGTAAACATCACATAAAACAGTTTTATAACTGATTTTTAGCCTTCCAATAGGATCATTCCTTATGTACACTTAATCCCCCTCCCCATTCCCAGCTCAGGCAATAATTAATCTACTTTCCCTCTCTAACAATTTGCCTTTTATGAATATCTCTTATAAATGGGATCATGCAATATGTGGTATCTTTTGTTTGGCTTGTTTCATGTAGCATCATGTTTGAAGTTCATCCATGACATAACATGTTTCAATTGTTTTTATTACTGAATAATATTTTATTGTATGAATATGCCATATTTTGTCTCTCCATCCTTTTTTGTCTATCTAGTTGATTAGCAGTTTTTCAGGTTTTGGATATGATGAATAAGGTACTATCAACATATGTTTTTGTGTGGAAATACGTTCTCTTTGGTAGGTGCTTAGGAGTGGAATTGCTGAGTCAAAAGATAATTTTATGTTTATCTTTCTGAGAAACTGTCAAGCCATAGTCCAAAGTGGCTGCACCAATTTACATTCCCACCAGGCCTGTTTCTCCACATCCTCACTGATATTTGTTATTGTCTGTCTTAATTATTATCACAATCAATCTAGTAAGCGTGAGTGGTATCTTATTGTGGTTTTAAACTGCATTTCTGTGGACAAGGGGATGGGAGTAAGCCAAGTTAAGACATCACAAAGTTCAGTCGTTTTTCTGGAATATAATTGCTCTTCAGAGTATTGTAAGCCTTTGATTAATTTCTGGAGTTCCAAAAATGTTGATTTTGCTGATATTTTGTTGTGTTTATTAAAGAGAGGATCTACCAAGTTCCTCAATCCACCATTCTAATAGTCTCACCTTGTCTGAAGTATTGTTGTTATGAGTTCTTCTGTTACTTTAACCTTCTAAAATTTATCCTTATTCAGAAATTTGTTAAGTCTCTCCTTTATTTTCTTGTTATTTGATATCTAAACATTTAAATTTTTTTCCTTTTTTTTTTTTTTTTCTGAGATGGAGTCTCACTCTGTCGCCCAGGCTGGAGTGCAATGGCCTGATCTCAGCTCACAGCAACCACCGCCTCCCGGGCTCAAGCGATTCTCCTGCTTCAGACTCCCAAGTAGCTGGGACTACAGGCATGTGTCACCACGCCCGACTAATTTTTTGTATTTTTAGTAGAGATGGGGTTTCACCCTGTTAGCCAGGATGGTCTCAATCTCCTGACCTTGTGATCCACCCACCTCGGCCTCCCAAAGTGCTGGGATTACAGGTGTGAGCCACCACGCCTGGCCAAATTTTTTTCTTTAGATATTTATTTTGACAGAAGCTAGCCAATTGTCCAACTATCACAGATTAAATAATACTTCTCTTTTCCAGATGTTCATTATTACTCTTTGTCAGCTATGAGCATTTTTTAAGTTTATATTTTTATTAACAATGATACTCTTATACTTTTTAAAAACACATACATTTTAAGGGAGAAAAAAATAGCCCACTGAAACACAATTCAAATATTACTTATATATTTTATTATTTATCTCTATATCTATGTAAGTTTTTAAAAGTAAGTTTAACCTGGACCTGTAGTCCCAGCACTTTGGGAGGCTGAGCCAGGCAGATCGCTTGCGGTCAGGAGTTCAAGACCAGCCTGGCCAACATGATGAAACCCCGTCTGTACTAAAAATACAAAATTAGCTGGGTGTGGTGGTAGGTGCCTGTAGTCCCAGCTACTCAGGAAGCTGAGGCAGGAGAACTGCTTGAACCTAGGAGGCGGAAGTTGCAGTGAGCTGATACTGCACCGTTGCACTCCAGCCTGGGTGACATAGTGAGATTCCATAAGAAAAAAAGTTTAACCTAGGTATAATTTTTACATGATCATATTGACAAATAAGGGCAGAGATATCTACTGATGACACGAAAAATTCTTCAGTTGGGTATGGAAAATGCAATGATAATGATGATGATGATGATGATAATGATAGTATCGGTAAGGACAGCAAGCACTTATATAGTGTCTACAGTGTGCCAAGGTCTGTTCTATGTAACATACATGCGTTAATTCATTTAATTTTCATATCAAATCTATGAAATAGAAACTATTATGATCCATGCTTTACACAGAAAGAAATTGAGCCACAGAGGAGTTAAATAACTTCCCCATGGTCACTCAGCTAGAAAATAGTGAAGCTGGGCTTGTAAATTTTTTTGCTGTTAAATCCCTATTGCTGTCCTTGCTTTACATGATTTATTTAAGGCATAGAGGGGTTAAAAGAGTTGTTCAACCAACAACTGGTAAAACCATGACTTGGATTTACTCAGATTCTAGAGGAGACAAAGAGTAACTACTGGGGACAGAATATCCACATGCCCCTAATTTTAAGATAGATAATTTGGGAAAGACAGTTTGAGGATAAAGAGATTCCTATTATCCAGATTACTTAGGGCTTACACTACATTCCATATATCCATTCCCTGCCTACTAGCCTGGAGAAGAGAACGGCAGACAGTTCAAATGTACCCAGACAGAAGGATATTGCTTGATTAACAGGAGTTTGAATTCTAAGATGAGCTACTAAAACATCTCACCTAGCAGCCATCTGCTTTTGGCAACATTCTGGCTGCAAGGGCAGAACCACTCCAAGGTACGAAAGGATGCTGGAAAAAAGGCATTACTGATACACTTATCAAACACCTATTTGACCATCTTTTTCCTTCTGGATGAACTAGCAGTCTGGGATGACTGATATGATACTCAAGAGTCAAGACACATTGATGGCTCTTAGGTCATGACAACTCTGGGCATGCCAGCATAATGTACGCGTGGAGTATGTCACACATATTGGCCAATTCAGACACATAGACCTTCTTAGATTACCATAGGATGACCACCGCAGGCAGAACACCCATTCTACCCCCTCTCCCTCTTCAGATTCCAGAAAGGCTCTGTTTTTTTCTGCCCAGGCAGCACACAAAGCAGGAAGGGGGTCAGCTGTGATCTCTCCAAATTGTAATGGACCATCTTCTTTTTTGTCTTCTTTTATCTGCATGAAACATTTATGTTCATTTTCCCAAAGTTTATCTGGCCATGGTTTTCATGTGATCACTCCAGCCAGTGATTACATGTCTGTTAATTTTAAAATGTTTACACTGACAGGTGACAGTTAGGTAGTGACAGTTTATAAAAATTTTATGTGTTTCTAAGCATTTGTTTACTTTAACTATTGAATGTAAACTTGGAATTTCTTCAACATGTAATGTTAAACATATGCCATGGATTTTGAACTCAATATAATGCATAAAAGTATTTATGAAAATCATATGCAACTCAGAGTGTCAAAGGAATATACTTTGGCAAAATCTGCTTTTGCCTTCTGTAATAATGTATTTAATCAGAGAAAATTATACATTACTTTTATGAAAGTTTGGTTATTAGGCTTATTTAGTGGTGACTAGAGTACAAATTTGTAAATTATATCATAATATATAGGACTTACTAAATTATACTTTGTTAATAGTACCTCCTAGAATGGTACTATATGAGCTAATTTTTTACAGTAGACATCAGTCATTTATTTTTAACCAGTCATGATAATATTTTATTAGACTTCAGAATCTGGTAGCAAACCCTGCTGTAGGACTTGTGAATAATAACAGAGAAAAGCAAATTGTTTCCTTTGGCCCATGAGCTAGATCACACTATAAAAGGATAGAATGATTCTGCACATCAAAGTAGGTTCAATGATGTGCCCATTCCTTCCACCATACTTGCCCCCATGAAGATTACTGATAGGTCTCCAGTGAATTACATTTCATCCTATTGTTTACATAGGAGAGTCCAATAAAACATAGTTTGAGTCTTCATTTATAATTCATATCATGTGACATATTCGAGTCAGTTTTTTAGAAAGAATTAAGGCAATATTTTCCTCTATCTTTTGTAAGATAGAACACTAAGTAAATTTTCTCAAAAAATCTTCTATTTTCTTTAATAAATTATTTTAGGATATTTGTTTTTCCAAATCTTCCAAGAAATGTTATCTCTCTTGTGTCAGAGAATTGTTGATGAACCTTGTGCTGAGGTTTTGTGTGTAAATGGATTTCCTCATCCATGAATGAAGAGCTTCCTATCCCAGAACTCTGAAGTTCCCCTTGAGAGGGCATGTGGGTCTTGACAGTGTCCATCTATCTTGTTCTGCAAACACATTCAATAGAAGTGCTTCAACGGGGTCACATATCTAACAAGCACTCAGCCCATGAGGCCATGCTATTCAGTGGTAGAATTTCTCTGACTGCTCTGTTCAAAGACCAATGTACTCTGCAGTTTTCCATTGTAAATTGTAATATGCTTAAGATACTGTAAGATGCTCTGCTTCTACAGTGCTCCTTTTCCTATTTGACCTATAACTTTTTACGGTTATTATCAATTTTAGGACACATTAGAGGACACTTGTCTCCTCTGCTCTTAGAATTTTTTGTGTCCTAGAGTAAAATTTTCTAAGTGAATATAAAAAGAGAGGAGCTGGCACTTAGCACCTGTAGTGGAAGCCATTGATGTCTTCCATTGACTGCACCCATGGTGCACTCATCTCCGAGCTGTAGCAGTCAATGTTGGCTGCCAACAACTCTCAGAAGCCTCCTTCCTGGATAATTGCTCTGGCCCAAGGTTTCTCACACTCTAGCATGTATCTGAATTACCTGGAGGCTGACTAAAACACAGATGTTTGGGTCGCAGATGACAAAATTGAGCATTTTACTATCTCTCCCTGACACTTGTAATTGGTAGAAAATAACTCCAGTCAGCTCAACTGGGGACTTGAATAGGAAGGAGATGTAATATGGACCTGTGGTGCCAGAGAGAGAGAGAGAGAAAGGGAGAGGGACAGCAATAAGCACAAATACACCTAGATTCATAATAACTTTTTAGCTCCTGGTTTTAGCACCTCCTTAGACCCAGCAGTACTCGCTACTTGTAAATTCTGTGAGATGGATTGATTCCCACCAGTAAACTCCTTCTTCCACTTCAGCTGACTAAAACTTTTTTCTCACTGCTACCAAATGATCCCTAGCCAACACAATCCTCTGCATCTTACACAGTGTTCAGTGAGACACAGATAGACAAGTTTAAAGGATGAATAAATGGATATACAGTTGTAGGTGTCTGCTTTTGTTATTCCTTTAAGATAAAGGAGAAATGACAAATGGAATTTCAATATTAAGGATGAAGATTGTTAAAAAAAACTGACAGAAAAATTTAAACATCATGGCAATCTGAGTTCATTTAAAGCAAGGTTTCTCAAATTGTGTCCCCAGAAGAGCAGTATCTTTCAAGAAATTGATTCATTTTATCTGGTTTATTTGTGGGCAAAGAGTTATGTATAATATTTATTTATTATCCTTTTAATATCCAAAGGATCAGTAGTGATGACCCCTCTTTCATTCCTGATATTAGTCATTTGTGTCTTCTCTCTTTTCTTTTGGGGGCAGGGGTATTAACCTGGGTAGAAGTCTATAAATTTTACTTATCTTTAAAAAAAAACAGCTCTTGGATTCATTGATTTTATGTATTGATCTCGTGTTTTCAAGATCACTGATTTCTGCTCTAGTTTTTGTAATTTTGTATCTTCTTCTTACTTTGGATTTAATTTGCTCTTCTTTTTCTAGTTTCCTAATGTGGAAGCTTAGATTTTTTGAGTTCAGGTTTTTTTTTTCTAATATACACATTCAATACTATAAGTTTCCTTTGAAATGCTGCTTTCACTGTATCCTACAAATTTTGATTTTTTTCTCCATTTTAATTTAGTTCAAATATATCTAATTTCTCCTGATACTTCTTATTTGACTGGTCTGTTATTTAATACTCTGTTTTATAATCTCCAAATATTTGGGGAATTTCCAACTATCATTCTGTTGTTTTAGTTTAATTTTATTGTGAACTGAGAGCTTATTTTGTGTGATTGTTATTCCTTCTATTTTACAGTGCATTACGTGGCCCAGAAAAAAATTAGTGTTTGCCCTAGAGTTTGCAATATACATTTACAAGTAATCTAAGTTCATTTTCAAGTAACACTGTGCTGCTTCATGTGTAGTACAGGTACCTTATTACAAAGCATTCTCAATTACTCCCTCCCATGCCTTGTAATATTTCTGTTACTGATTTCACTTACTCATAAGCTATAATCACCAAATATATTGCTGCTATTAGAATTTTAAACAAATCCATTTATCAATTAAGAATGGTAAAAATAAATAATTTTATTTTACCTTTGTTTAATTCCTTTTCTGATGCGATTCCTTCATTTGTATAGTTAGAGTTTCTGACCTAAATAATTTAATATTTCTTGCAAGGCAGGTCTACCGGCAACAAATTCCTTCAATTTTTGTCTGAGAAAGTCTTTATTTTTCTTTCACTTTTTAATGATAATTTTATTCTTTATAGAATTCTTGGTTGGTGCTTTTCTTCTTTCAATACGAAATATTTTACTCCACTTTCTTTTAACTGGCATGATTTCTATAGAAAAATCTGATATAATTCCTATCCTTGTTCATCTATAGTTAAGATGTTTTGGGTTTCCCCATCCTTGGCTTCTATCAAGATATTCCCTTTATCTCTGATTTTCTGCAGTGTGGCTATTATATACCTAGGTATGTATTTTTTGTGTTTATCTTATTTGGTGTTCTCTGAGATTCCTAGTGTTGTGTTTTGGCGTCTGTCATTAATTTTGGAAAATTCTTAGCCATTAAGTACTTCAAATGTTTTTTTCTATTCCTTTCTCTCTTCTTGCAGTATTCCAGTTACATGTTTGTTACACATTTTGTAACTGTCCAACAGTCTTAGATATTTTGTTTATTTTTTCATTTTTTTCTCCTTGCTTTTCAGTTTGGGAAGTTTCTATTGATATGTCTCCAGGTCTCTGATTCTTTCCTCAGCCTCCAGTCTGCCTATCAGGCCACTGAAAGAATTTTTTTTTTCTTTTTCTTGCAATATATAATTTTTTATTTTTAGCATATACTTTGTATTATTTCTTAGAATTTCTGTGTCTTCTCTGTTTATGGCATCCATCTTTTCTTATATGGGGTCTACTTTTTCAAGAGAGCACTTAGGATATTTAATAGTTATTTTCTATTTTCAGACTGAAAATTCCAATTTCTGCCACCTCTAAATCTAATTGTGATGCTGAATTTGTATGTTTAGATTATTATTTTTTACCTTTTAGCATGCCTTGTGATTTTGCTGTTGCTGTTCAAAGCCAGAAGTGACATATCAGGTACAAGGTGTTGAAATAAATAGGCCATTAGTATGAAGTTTTGTATTATCTGGCTGGGGTTAGGCTGTATCTACAGGTGTCAGAGGCTAAAATTTTCTTCTAGTATCTTTGTTATTGCACCTCCTTTTGTCTTTGGATTTCCTTTTAGACTCTTTCTTAAGTAGAGTCTGAGCTTTGCACTTATTTCAGCTGTAATCCCTTATTACTATTCAGTAGTCTAATTGGAAATGTGTGGGAGGAGGGGAAGTGTTCTACACTCCTGTGATTAATATTTTAGTGGGCTTCTGCCCTTGGTCCCTGACCTTCAAAGGTGCTTGTCAGCCTTGTTTTCCTCTTTAGGTGAGACAGGAAGGCTAGAGAAGGCTGGAACTGGGTATTTCCCTTCCCCAAGGTCCTTCAGTCTCTGGAAAAACCCAAATTGTTTAAGTTCTGATAAAATAGAGCAGGACTTTGTTAGGAAGAACAGAAGACTATGGGGATGTTTAAAAATGGTTGCTTTTCCTTTTCCTCTGCCAGAATCTTGATAGTATTTCCTGTGATCTTCACGCTGAGAACCTGGTGGGCCCCTGGAGGTAAACACTCCAGAACCTCCAGAACATATGACAGCTTCTTCAAGGCTGGCCCCAGGAGGTTTTACCCCTTGAGCCAGTCCATGTCAGTCTTCAACAGTTTGTCAATTCCCTGTAAGTGTTCCTACCAGATCATGTCTTCTGACTGCTTCTGTTCCTGCCAAATTGTGACTCTCTGTATTCCTCGTTTTCTTCAGGACTTTAATTCTCTGATGGAATTCAGTAGCATTGTTAACTTTCAATTTGTTCAGCTTTCTTTGGTTATGAGGATGGGATTGATGAGTTTAAAGTCTTTACATGTTGGACTGAAAGTCAAAATTTTTTTTTATTTGCAAAGTACCAATGATAAAAATTAAAATCACAACAATTTCATTAGTTTTTTCTTTAACACATAAAGGAAGGTTTGCTAAATCAATTTCCTAATACCTGTCCAGAGGTAAGATTTACAATGTTGAACCTGGGCGCTTTGCTCCAGAACACAGTTGTGGTTAAGGATCATTCCCCACTCTTGTGTTTTTCAGAACCCCCACCATTTTATGTTCCAGGAAATTGTTTACTGCAAAGAACCACCTTTCCCCATATGACTCAGATAAGATTTGATGTCCACTATTTATTGTGACTCTCCTAAGACTGACAGATGAGCTCCTTGTTTACCTATGACAAGGCCAGATACAAAAGCTCTAAATTCCCATTCTTTGGCTCACCAATGATTAGGTGAAATGTTTGTCCCGTGATATTAACTAGACACAGAAATAAACATTTCTTATTCAGCTGATTGAGACACTCCCTGATTATAGAAATAAGCCCAACTGGATGATTGTCCACCTGTAACTTGTTTATTCCTATTTATAAATGCCAAAGTAAAATCACCCTGCTGAGAAACTCTGATATTCAGATCTGGAGTGTTCTCCCTATTGTAATAGACTGAATAAAATCAGTTTACTTGTTTGAATTTTTGTCTTTGACACCCCCTTCTAACAAACTTATACATATTCTCCTTAGCTTTAAGAAAAAGTTTTAAAGGCTTTGTTATTTTAATGTGTTGTGAATTGTAATGAACTTTTCTACATTAAACTCTCACTAATAATTTCAAGACATAATAAGACATTTTGGCATTTAGTCATATTATCCCATGCCCCAAATAACCAATCATGCGTTATTAGTTGCAAGAAACAAGCTTTGATTTGAATGTCAATTTAGATAAATCTGTGATATTATAGGAAGGAATTATTTTTCAAAACATCGTTATTTTGATAGCTTTCACGGAAAAATACTAATAAGATTGCTTGCTAGTATTTTGACATTTATAGAATTATTCATAATCTTGTTTTGTTATTCAATATAAATCTTAACAGCATATTGGCACAGAGTCTGAAATAAATGCAAATAAACAAAAAATTAAATACCCAAACTAATCACACGTTCTTGCAAGTTGCTCATAAGTGATGCCTCTTGCAATTCTATGTTCTGAGAACTACAGATTTGATAGTCAAATTCAATTACATCACATCCTTGGCAGTATACATTCTTGTAACAGGATGTTCAAATGGAAACCTTTCTTTTTAGTTTTGGTGGAGACTTCAAATTCCAAGACGAAAACAATAGCAGGCAAGTGCTTCCACATTCCACACTGAGGTGATATACTACTGCCTATATATGACTAGCAAAGGAAACAGTGCAGAAACAAAAATGCAAACAGTTTCTTGAACTCTAGCTACATATCCTTTATAGCACAACATTTTTCAGGTTAAAGAGCTAAGAGGATTTTTTTTTATACAGTTGCTGAACTGCTATGGATTTTTTTTTTGTCTCTATTCAAAGAGGCAAAAAAGAATGGAGGGTGCCCTAGCCTTAACTGAAGTCAGCTATGGGATCTTTAATCTAATCACCTAGAGAGCTTGAGATATATACATATGTATATGTATCTGTATATCTGTATGTGGATATGAATGTATAGATATATGTATCTGTATATCTGTATCTGTATATGAATGTATATATAAGATATAAATGTATCTATATATACATTCATGTACATGTATATACATATATATACAATACATATGTCTCCTGGAGATATATATATATATATATATATATATACAGCTCCTGAAGTCAAAAAACAGAACATACAGGTTCCTGAGCAATCTCTGAGAGAAACAGGAAAAGAGAGCGGCAAAGCAGCCATCACAGACTTCCCTGCAATGTGTTTTTTGTGATACAGGGATTGTGCCAAGTGAGAAATAACGGGTCAGAGATTGATTTCAACTGTGATGAAGAGGACCATCTGCAGGTTTGATATGATCTCAACCAAAGGGATATATCTTCAGAAATCTAAGACTGAGTGGGAAGGGAAAAATAATACAATTTATTATCCAAGTCAGGGGAAGTGCAGTAGGACTTCGTGAAAGAGTCAGATGTAAACGTTTCCTAAAGCAGGATCACAACAGTAACAGACAAGTCATAATGTTTCTTCGCTCACTGCTCTTTTTTCTAATTCTTCTTATGCTATAGAGGATAGAAACCTGGGGACAAAAAGAAGCAATAGTTACAAAATAGAAATGATGGAGACACATTCCCTTTTTCATTGCAGGCTCCGTACCTGAAAAGGTACAACAAGGAGGGATGAAGAAAGATCACTGACCAGAAATAAAATTGGGAGTTTAGACAATTAAATTATCTGGACATTTTAATTCCTGAACTACGACTAGGCTACAACATGCGGACTGCTGTAGATGTCACCCAGGAACAGAAAATAACTAGCCTCGTGAGAAAGTTTTGAATGGGCAAAAGGGAAATTGAATACAATTGTTTTTTGCTTGCACCATATAGAGGCGTATTCTTTCTATGTACAGTGATAGGAAACTGGTGGTGTTTGACATCATCCAAAAACAGGGCCCATTTTTTGAATCATAAATTATCTTCATGAACACACCCATTGCCTTCAACATACAGCCTAAGTCTCATACTTTCTAAAATATCTCCGGTACCTGCTCCAGTTCTCAGTGATCACCAATTCCTTTGTCCTCCAATAACATAAATTTCTTTTCTACCTTGTACTTAGAATTCTGTTCAAACTATCTTGTTGTATTCAAAATAATTTTAACGAGCTATAGTTGACATAACATATTTAGTTATCTATCTATGTATCTGTCATCTATCAATCATCTGATGAGAATTTATCATTACACTCAAGATAATGAGCTCAGACATGATTCCCAAATATTTTCTCATCAGGCTTTGTAATTCTTCCCTCTCAACACTCCCCAGCATCCCCCAAACCCAATAAACCACTAATCTGCTTTCAGTCACTATAGATTCATTTATATTTTCTGAAATTTTATATACAATGGAATCATTCACTATGAACTCTTTTTCATCTGACGTCTTATATTCAGCATAATTATTTTCATATGTTTCCGTGTTGCAGAGTATAATTTCGTTACATAGATATTCTATCTTATTTATCAATTTACATTTTTGTAAAGATTGTGAAATAAAAATAAAATCCTAAGCCCTGCAACTGACTGAGCAGACACCTGTTGCCCAAGAAGACTCCAGAAAAACTTTGAAAAATTGAGTTTCCTGGTCATGACAAGGTGGGAGGTTGAGTACCTCTTGGTGTACCTCATTCCTTGCCAATCTTTACTAGATTATTTTCTAAGGGTTAAACAGAAACTGGCCCTGGAAAAATAAAGAAATGAAAACTCACTCCTTTGCTGATTTCAGCCAACTGCTGGACACTGCAGCTGGAATCCTCTCCCTTCTTGTAGTTTCTACACAGCAGCTCACCAGTTTCATAGCACATTCCTTTCTGATTTTTTACTACCAGCCATGGACTGGTTCTGGCCAGATACAGAGGCTGCCCACAAGATGTCTGTCATCTTTTAATGTATACAGCCTAATTTTAATACATTTAAATGTTAATTCTCCATCCTAAAGTGAACATGTGACATATGTAATATGTATGTTTGCTTACTAGCATATGTGTGTCCCTTGTGAATATTCATAACTCTTTTTATAACTTGTTGATATGTATACTTAGCCATCCTGTCCAGTATAAATTCCTGTCTCATCCTTCTTCCATTGAAGTACCTGCTTTTGATTTCTGCTGGAGGCTATGCTTCCCAGTCTGCAGGGTGGCCAGCCTGCAGGCGGAAACCCTTTATAAGAAACAAAGCTCTCCTCTCCAAATATATGGATCTCATGATTTCAAGTCTACAAGACTTAAGTTGTTTTCTTTTCTTTTTTTTTTTTTTTTTTTTTTTTGAGATGGAGTTTCACTCTTGTGGCCCAGGCTAAAGTGCAATGGCACGATCTCAGCTCACTGAAACCTCTGTCTCCTAGGTTCAAGCGATTCTCCTGCCTTGGCCTCCCAAGTAGTGGAAATTACAGGCACCTGCCACCATGCCTAGCTAATTTTTGAATTTTTAGTAGAGACGGAGTTTCGCCATGTTGGCCAGGCTGATCTCGAGCCCCTGACCTCAGGTGATTCACCTGCCTCAGCCTACCAAACTGCTGGGATTACAGGCATGAGCCAAGGCACCCAGACAGTTTTCAAACTACTGTTATAAATAAAGGTGCTGTAAACATTGGTGTACAATCTTTATCTGAACATCTGTTTTTATTTCTCATGAATAAATGCCTAGATGTTAAACGGCAGGATTATAAGGTAATTATATGTTAAACTTTCTAAGAAATTTCTGAACAGTTTTTTCAATTGCCTGTACAATTTTTACATTTCTACCAGTAGTGTATGAGAATTTCAGTTGTTTAACTCTCTTACCAATACTTGTTATCTAATTTAACTATTATCTGAATTATTGTTATTATCCAAATGAAATTTACTGATTCTAGTGAGTAGTAATATCTCACTGTAGTGTTAATTTGAATTTACTTACTCATGATGTTGCACATCTTTTCATATGCTGATTTGCCATAAATTGCTGGATTACAGCTAATAAAAATAAACAAAATGAAATCATAAAAATACTAAATTAGCCCTAAAGAAAAAAAAAAAGAAAGGAAAGAGGAAGAAGAAAAAAAAATGGGACAAATAGAAAACAATGGGTAAGGAGACAGTATTAATTAATAATATCAATAACCACATTACATATAAATAGTCTAAATACTCAAAAGGCAGATATTGCTAGATAAAGTAGCAAGAATTGCTTATCACTGCCTTAAAAAACCTAATTTGAGTATATAGATAGCAATGGGGTAGAAATAACTGAATGGGAAAATATATACTAATATTAATGAAAAAATGCTAAAATGACTACAGTAATTTTAGACAGAGTGGGTTTCAGAGATAAAAAATATTCAAAGGAGCCACTGAAAACTATTTAACTTCCATCTATAATGTTTATTTTTTCTAGTGTTGCTTTATGCTAAAAGAACATTTTAATTTATTGCACTTGACTTGTTAAATACCTTGATTCTTTGTAATTTTAGGAATAAAGTATAGTTAATTTAAAGAAGAACTTTCAATGTAGCCTTTATATCACATTATAACTTTCCTCAGAAGGGTAATAGAAGCACTGATTCATAGTAAGAATCTTCTTTTTAACTTTTAGAAAATGTATTAAAAGAGCTAACGAAGACCACTGCATAATGATATAGGAGGTCAACTGATAGAAAATAACAGTTCAAAATATGTGTATGCCAAGTAACACAGCTTCAAAATACAGAAAGAAAGCAATGATGGTACTGCAAGAAAAACAGAGAAATTCACACATGTAGGATAAGATTGCATTCTTCTTTAAAGAAGTCAACCAACTAGACTTCATTTATATTTATAAACAATCTATTCAACAACAACAAAGTACATATTCATTTTAAGTGCACACAGAACGTTTACCATAAAATGTTATATTCTGGGCCATAAAAAAGTTCTCTATATTTCTAGGAAGGTCTCAAATTATACAGAGCATGTTATCTGACCAACATAAAATTAAATTAACAACCAATAACTAATATATTAGAAAAATCTTCAAACATCCAGAAACTACAAGATAAACTTCTAAGTAAACTATGGATCAAAGAAGACATAAAAAAAAATTAGAAAGTTTTTTGAACTGAATAAAAACGAAAACATACCAAAAGTTTAGCTTGTAACTAAAACTGTACTTAAAGACAAATTTATAACACTAAATACCTATGTTTAAAAAAGAGAAAAGGTATCAAATCAGTGATTTAAACTTTCATGTTAAGAAACTAACACAATTTGAAAAATATCAATCCCAAATAGAGCAGAAGAAATGAAATACTAAATGTAAAGGTAAAAAGAGAAAACAGAGAAAAATCAATAAAAGTGAAAGCTGCTTCTTTGAGAAGACAAATACATTTCTAGCTAGATTGATTTAAAAAAATAAAAATGAAGGCACAAATTACCGAACTAGTAATGAGAGAGGTGACATCACTGGTAATTTTGCACACATTAGAAGGATAATAAGCAGATATAATACATTTTATGACAAATTTAACAATTTCAATTTCAATGAAAAAATTCCTTGAAAGACACAAACCAACAAAGCTCACTAAAAAATAAATATAACTCAAAAAGCCGTAACTCTTTTAAATAAATTGAGCTTATAGTTAAACTTTTCCATGAGGAAAAATTGTGGATCAGATAGCTTCATGGGGAAATTCCACCAAAGTGTCAAGGAAAGAATAATAATTCTGCACAAACTCTTAGAAAATTGAAGAGGACAGAATGTTTTTCAATCCTATAAGGCCATTATGATCCTGATACCAAAGCCAAATAAGAGAAAACTGGAGATGAAAATCCATCATGAACATCGACGCAAAAATTTCTACCAAGGTTTTACCAAATGTTTATGTCACACACACACACGCATCTCATGACATATATAATATGTCATATATATGTCATGTCTCATATATAATCTCATGACAAAATGGGGCTTTATTCTAGGAATGCCTGCCTGGTTTAAGATTTTCAATTCAACCAATGTGATTCTTTTTAATAACAGCTGAAAAAGGTAATCTGTATAGCTGGAGAAAAGTTATTTGATAAAACACACCATCCGTTTCTAATAAAAGCTCTGAAGAAACCAAGAATAGAAGTGAACTTCCTCAAACTGAGAAGGTGAGGAGATTGAGTTGTTTTACAACTAGACTGAAAAAGTTGTGTTTTGTTTTGTTTTGTTTTGTTTTTGTTGTTTGTTTTTTTTTTTTTAATCTCTGAGGATGCCTCATTTGTGACTCTTGGTCAGGATAAGAGTAATGGCATTTATGTTATGCTGTTTAAGGTCCAAAACTCTCCTAATGGCCTTCAAAATCAGTTTCTTTACTGATATTTGCAACTGGCCTAACCATTTTGTCCAGCATGGCTGGAGATACAGATTGTTACATATGTGGGACATGAATATGAATAGTGGTCCCGGGGAAACTTCTTGTGGAATGTCTCTTTGGTATCTGATGCTTGCCTCAATTCTCTTTCTCTTTCTGTATCTAATCCGTTGCCTTTTAATAATAATCTTACATGTGTGTGTTCCATAGAGTCTGATGACTCCTTAAATATCCCTAAATGGAATCTATGAAAAACTAACAACTCAAATCGTACTTAATGGTGAAGACGGAATACTATACCTGTAAATTCAGGAACAAAGCAAAGTGGTCAAAGTGGTACACTCTTTATTATTTCTATTCAACATTTTACTGGAGATTCCAGCCTGTGTAATCAGGTTGAAAAAGAAATAAAAGGCAATCACTTATGTAAAAAATTCTAAAAAATCTACAAAGAAACTATCAGAATTAGTAAATGAGTTTAGCAAGGTTTCAGGATACAAGATCAATTTACAAAATTAATTATATTTCTATTATACTAGCCATGAGCAATTAGAAAAATGAACTTATAAAATGATATTATTTATAATGGTATAAAAATATAAACTACTTATGGATAAATTTGACAAAGAGGTATAAGTTCTAGACACTGGAAACTACAAAAGATACCTAGCATAAATTAAAGATTGAATATGTGGAGAAATATGGTGCATTCAGAGTGTGATGACTCAGTATTGTTAAAACATCAATTCCCTGCAAATTCATTCAATGCGAGCCCAGTCAAAATCTCAGTAGACTTTGCTGTAGAAATTGTTTGTTTTAAAATTTATATGGAAATACAAAGAACTTAGAATAATGAAAACATCATTGAAAAAGAAAAATAATTTTGAAGGACTTTTCACTATCTGATTTGAAGACTTATTATACAAGTTTAGTAATCAAGAAAGTGAGTATTGCTGTAATCATAGGAAAACAGATCAATTGATTATAGACATTAAATATAAATTCATGCATTTATGGTCAATCAATTTTTGCCAAAGGTCCCCAAGAATTTCAACTGGGAAGGATAAGCATTTCAACATACGCTACTGGAAAAATTTTATAGCCATAGGCAAAAAAAGAAGCCTTATTTTATGTCATACGTAAAAATAACTCAAAATGGATCAAAAACCTAAAACTATAAAAGTTTTGGAAGACAAAAAGAAAATCTTAGTGACCTTGAGCTTGGCAAATATTTTTTAAACTATAACACAAAAAGCAAGAACAGACTCAGTACATTTGACATTATCAAAATTAAAATTGTTAGGTTTTCAAAAGGCACTGTTATAAAAACAAAAAGGCAAGCAAAAACCTGAGAAAAAAATATTTGCAGGACATGTATCTGAGAAATAACTTGTGTTTAGAATATATAAAGAATTCTTCTAACTCAATAATAAGAAAATAAACAACATAATTTAAAAATGGGCAAAAGATTTGAACAGACACTCTTATTTTGATTTTTAGCTTTTCATGTGGGTAAGCCCTGAATAACCTACATTTCTTTAAGCTATCAGCACCAATCACAGTTAATAAATATGTTTTGAAAATGTCCAAACTGATAGGGAATGACTTAAATAAAAATCTGCTGCCATAAAAGTTATACTTTTCTCTACAATCTTTATTAGAGTTAACAGTGGAATAAACTAATATGGATGTTCAGACTACTGAACATACCAGTTCACCAATGCTCTACTTTTGTTTCTGTTTGATTTTGGTGCCTTTTTGCTTCGATAGTCTAGACATAGCCTGTGTTTCTTAGACATGTTTATAAATACATTGGAAAGGTGGTCTAAATAAAGGCATTGCTGAAATACAAAGCATCTTTTTGTTATACAGGGCTGTTATTAAGAAAAGATTCCAAAATAAGGCTTCTGGCAGTGAATCATAGATTCTGACTGATGTTTTCTACAGATGAGGGTTCAGCTCCACCTTTCTCAAAAATGTAAGTTTTAGAAGGAGAGGCCTTTCTTTCAAAGCCCTTGGGAAAAAAATTGTAGTGTAGACTGTGTTTCTTAAAACCACTCCTACCATTGTTTGAAATCCAATGGCAAAGGTCTTCTCTGGTAAATAAATGATTTTGAAACTCTAAAGCTTTCAACATATTTTGCTCCTAGATTTGAAGCTACAGCCTTGCAGTAGGATCTAAAAAATAAAAGAAGGGGAAACATTAAGGAAGCTAATTTTCCCTCATGAATGTGAAATTAAGTGTGAAAGTAAAGGTTCTTTGTGCCCTAAAATATGAAAGAGGCTTAGCAAATTACATTATCCAAAGCTTTATTTCATACATAAGGAAACTGAGACCCAGAGCAGGGTGGTGCTGGACCCAGGAGTGGAAACCTTAAGCCAGGATTCTACCTCTAATCCAGTGGTTTTTTCCATTACACCTTCTAAATGACAGGAGGAAATAATCTCTGACAACACAATTAAGACCACTTAAAGAGGTCAGATAAATTGCCCAAGGTCACGTAGCCAGTAAGTGGCAGTGCTGGTACAAGAATCTAGATATGTGAGACCCCAATGCCCATGATTTATACTATGCCATCATATTTTTAATATATTACTGTAAAACCAATTGAGCATATTTCTATTAAAATATATTTGAGTTTCATGAAAGAAGCTTTCTGGTTTTGTTCGTCAATATGTTCTTTAACATACCATAAATACACAATAAATATTGAATATTCATTCATAAGTTTATACATATTGATTGATTTTAATACACATAATGTTTACCCTGAATGCTTACCAACTATTCACTTAGAAGGCAATGGACATGTGTATTGGCTACAATTCTTTAGCAGCAAGAATTTACCTCCACTGAAGCTCTCTTAAAAATATATTTTTCTTTTTTTTTTTTTTTTTGAGACAGAGTCTTGCTCTGTCACCCAGGCTGGAGTGCAGTGGTGAGATCTCGCTCACTGCAAGCTCCGCCTCCCAGGTTCATGCCATTCTCCTGGCTCAGCCTGCCGAGTAGCTGGGACTACAGGCGCCCGCCACCACACCCGGCTAATTTTTGTATTTTTAGTAGAGACGGGGTTTCACCGTGTTAGCCGGGATGGTCTTGATCTCCTGACCTCGTGATCCACCCGCCTTGGCCTCCCAAAGTGCTAGGATTACAGGCGTGAGCCACCACGCCGGGCCAGAAATATATTTTTCATGACCCCAGATACACAGAAGTGTTGAGGAAAGTTTCTAGCTGATCCACTTGACTAACGTGGAAAAAAAAAAAAGAAAAAGAAAACAAAGATAGAGATTTTTATTAATATATGTCTGCAGGCATACTCAACTCTACTGATTTCCAGAGGAATTAAGCGATATTGGGCTGACAGAAAGGTGAGAAATGAGTGAAGAATTTGCTTTGCATAAGTCAATTTATCTTGAGTCCCATGGCAATTTAGGATTTGTTCCTTGAGCATCTCTCTCCAGCTATACTTTCTCATTTTCTATTTCGTTTCCAACTCCTCAATCTTTATCATTAAAAACATAGTCATTGAAATCTCATTCTTGCCTGTAAATCTAGTCTTAAACTCCCAGCACAAATTCTATTATATTGAAAATCAATATGAAATTGTGAAACAATATTTTGTTGGGAGATAACATAGTATATTTGTTTATACACGCCTCTCATGAATATGTTGAAAGTTGACTGTGCCTTAAAAATAGAACATATGAAGAAATGTATACAACATAGGACTTCTGGCAAGCATAATCTCATTTCATTTATTCTTTGTAAATACTTCAATTATGTCTGCTAAATATTTTTAAAATCACTTTCAACATACTGCAATGATTAAGAACAGACAGTACAAAGTTGACATCTTTTACATGATCTTAAAGTCTAGAAGGTGTGTGCTGTGAGTTTGTTGTACTTCTATGTGCCGTTAGATAGATTAAGTCTGTTTCTCCATGTAGCTCTTACTTAATGAACAATCCTAAAATAAATCACTCCAAGGTTGCTTCAATGTGCTGTATTCTGAGTACCTTTATTTAAAATATAGTTTAAAATACATTTAAACAGAGAAATACATTTAATTAGCACATTAATAAAGAGTAACTTCTGCATTCAAATTTAGTAAAATTTGGGAGCTCATATGAAATGAAAAGATATATACCTCAATAACAAAATAAAGAAAATAAGAGTGCAACTTGACATTAGAAGACATATAAATGGCCTATAAATAGAAGCAACTTGACATTAGAAGACATATAAATGACATATAAATAGAAGGAAACACATAAAAAGATGTTCAACTTCATTAATCTAATAAAATAAAGTTATACTTTTTACCTAGCTACTTAAATAAAAAGATTCGACAATATTCAGTGTGGGCAAAGGTGGGCAGAGTGTATAGTCATAAATATTTGGTGTGAGTAGATATGGGTTTTGGAGAGTAACCTGGGAATATGTATATAATTTTAAGATTGTCCTCTCTTTCTCCCAGAAATCAAAAATCTAAGAATCTATTCTTCAGTTACATTAGTCTAACCTCTACAGCACATACACATGCAATCAGAGACACTTATGCATAAACGATATTCATTATAAATGTTATTTGCAGGCTTAATATCAGTAAACAATAAAATGAGATAAAGAATTATAGTACCTATATTTAAAAATTACTATAAAACTATTAAAAATAATGAGGTACTAATCTAAAATGGTAAATATGATAATTGAGTAAGTGGATAAACATTTAAAAAACAAACCAATATTTGTAGCATGATTCCAATTTTGGAAAACAAAGAAAGTAATTAATAAACATAATAAATAGATCAGAGTGCACATGTGTATTAATATATAGGCAAATGTGTAATAAATATATCTGATCTATTAAGTAACATCAAGGCATAATGAATATACAGGGAAATTAAAGAAAATAAGTATTTGGACTATGGCCCGAGTACAATCTGCTCCACTGGAAATGGCTGATCTTTGGAAACTTGGTAGACATCTATGATGATGTTCCTTTGAGAATCAAGGTTATCTGAGGCAAGTTATCAAGCTGACATATTGGAAGGTAAACAATATGACACTACAAGAATTGTGCGTATCAGTCAGTAAGTCAAAATCCAAGTATGTATAAAGTTGGCACCGAAGAGCTACTACTAGTTAGAATCTCCAACCACTGGGTTAAGCTACTGGCCTCCATAACCGTGGATCTTTTTGAGATACAAGACAGGATATCAGCATATAAGATAGTGTACTATCCAGCTAATGAAGAATGGATATGAGATAAGAAGACACAGTCTCAAAGAACAAGACAAACACCACAATAAGACGAGCTAAAAGAATAATTTGAGGTTGAGATGCTGACCTGCACACTCAGAAAGCCTGACTAGAACAGAACAGGAAGATAATTCACTTGAATAAGAAAAGATCTATCTCACATCTTTGCTCACAGCTTGAGTGAAATATATTTTTTCCCTCATCAAAAAACAGACACTTTATAATTTTACTTTTGCTCCCAATGGCATCATTATTTTTTCAGTCCACCAGACTCAAAATTTTAAATTATCTGTAACAATTTTTCTCCTTTACCAGCTTCTATAAACCTTGATAATTATAACCCCAAACTGGACATTTTCATTTCATTTGAATTACTAAAATAGTCTTATGATGTATCTTCTTTTTTCTGGTCGACCTTCCACAGAAGTGTCAAGATAATCCTTTTCAAATTAAGTATTTCTTACAAAGTCCTAATTCTTCCCAAGAGCACCGGCTGGGATGAAATGATGTGTCTCAGACAGCCACACTCCCAGACTCTCCTTTCTCAGATGGTTTGCATTGCCACTAGGTTGGATAATTTTCCATTTCTTCATCTCCAGAAATTGAGGAAAGTTTTCCTCTAAGTATATTAAAGCAGAGTGCTTAAGATCACGGACTCTAAAACAATACTCAGTTGATTTTGCAATTTGAATCCACCATATTACAGCTGTATAACTTTGGACTGTGATTTAACCGCTCTAAGTCTAGGTTTCCTTATTCATAAAATAGACATAACATTTCTAAATTCATAAAACTGTTGTTAGAATTCAATGTTATCATCCATGTAAAGTTTATTGCTGTTATTTTTGTTGTATTGGTAGAGTGTCTGGCCCATAATATTTACAATCGTTATCATTATCATAATCATTCCTAGGCATGTCAGCATTTTTCTTTCATTTTTAACACATTTCTTACTAGTGTATGCATAGGGCCTTTTACAAATATACATATTTTTGTTCATTTAAAGAATATTACAGTGTAAATTATATAGAAGAAATCACTTACTGATATGAAGTAACAGAATTTAACTTTCAAGTTCTTTCCTCATCTTTTGAGTTCTCTTTGTTTTTCCTTCATCACATAAGCCCGTAGGTCTTTCCACAGTCTGTTCTTTTAGGTGAAAATCCTCCCCTGGAAATGTGTCAATCTAAAGCTAAATGGTTTCTTTGAATCACTTTAAACAAAAGAAATTCAGAGTGAAGACTAATCTAAATATGTATGTTACGGAACACTTTATTATTCTTCCTGGTTAAGGATAGTGTTATTTTAATGAACATAAATTAGCTAAGAAAAAATGAATGTATCCGATGAACACAAGGGAATCTCACCAACTGACTGAAAGAAAGAGTAGCCGGGACTCCCAGGAACTAAAAAGTAAGCAGGTAGCTGGTCTCCTTTCTCTATCTGCCACTCATTCCAAGGCATGCTCATTAAGCCAAATACTCAGAATATTTTATTTATTAGACCACACAATAGCACCAGATTTCCCTGTTTAATTATTAACTTAAACATAGATGAAATTGGCCACTGGCCTTAGAATATATAACCTTAAGGTGTCAATATCTCTGAATACCTCGGAATATCTCTGGCACTATTAGTATGAATCACTGGAAAAAAATCAGGTTTGTCACAAATAACCAAATGCTTATTCTTGTCTAATCAGCAATGGCCAGAGGTATAGGGCTCCCTGGATAACGTTGCTCAGTAAGCTGATACTGTGGAACAGATGAACTCTGAAAAAGAAGCATAGAAAATATAAATGAATTGACTAGCACACATTAGCAACATGTTCTTTCCCTAACCGCCCCCCAAACCCAAATTAATATCTCAAGAGAACCATCAGTCTCTCCATAAATGACAGTAACTGATTAGGTAGTTATAAGGTGCCAGAGTGCTATCCGCTTTTCTATTGTTATGCCAAGAACAGCTCGTTGTTCACTTTTCATTAGTCTTCTACTATGTTAATATCAACAGCTTAACAACTTAATTAGAAATTATAATAACACTGATCTAGTACCTATTCAGATCACATATTCAATGCAAGGGAAGAATAAGTGTAGAGGAATGGGAATTTGATAAGAAAATACTCAGAATTAAAGAGAAATTGGGAAAATGGTTCTTTGTTCTGTAATCAACTTCTGTCACCACTTGCCTCACCCTCCTGGGGGAAGGAGGGGCTTTCCAAAGCCAACTCTGAATAGGACTTCAGTGCAATTTTTCCAAGACAAAGTCAGACATTGACAGTATAGAATCCAATGATCCTTCCTTTTTATTGGTCCTTATAGGAGTCTTTGACCAGCCACATATCCAAAATAACATACAAGGAAAGAACCATCTTTTCATTATTCATTCCACATTTGAATAGAATATATACATTGAGCATGCAACATCCCCTGCCCTGGAAGCTGTGGACAGAAGCGATATACAAATTAAATAGAATGCCAGGCCATTTCATTATTTCTCTTGAAAAAGTCAAGAGTGGAGATGGCGAGGTCTAGCCACACATTAGAATCAGATGAGAGTTTTTGATAGCCTACTGTTGCCCAAGATCTACCCCCAACCAATTTAATCAGAATTATTGGTTGTGGGTCCACACATTGGTATTTTTTTCAAAAGTTACCCTGGAGATTCTAATCTGTAGCCAGGTTTGAGAAGCATAAGCTAGCCCTTGGGGAAATAATAGTTATTAAGAACACATGGGAGGCAGACTCCAGCCAGCTGGCTGTACTTCTCCAAACTTAAAAAAGAAAAATGCAAAAGAAAAAAAACACAACTGGAGGAAGTCAGGAAAATCCTAAGTATTGAAGAAACCATGGAAAAGAGAGCTAAGTGTGCAAGCTTCTTGCTCATAGAAGGGCTGCCACTCACAGTTTCTAAAGTTGTGCTCCCCACCTCAGGCATGGGGCAGAGGACACTAAATTCAAATTGATCACACACTTTGTTTAAACACAAAGGACAAACATGGAATATTATTCTTACTGGGACATTGTACATAGCTAAGATTTAGTCCTAAATTAATGCTATTGAGACTGACATTTTTCAGGAACTGTTGTCGAGCTATAAGGGGAAGGAGCCCTGAATGATCATTGTCACCTGGCGTCATGGTGCCATTCCTTCAAAAAGTGGCCTTAGACAAGCCTTTTAATCAAACTACCTCTCAATTTCTTTGTTTCTAAAGTTACTGAGTTGATCTGACTGTCCACTCAAACATCCTTTCATTTATCCAGTGAACTGACAGTGAGAACTCTCTCTTACCAGGCCTTGCCTTCAGCGCTATCCTTCTAAATGGATCACACGTGCTTTCTGCCCATAAATGTCCTACAGTCTATTGAATTGCAAGTACGGGGTTGCAGTACAGTGTGAATTGGAAACGTGGGGAGTTAAAGAGAAGGGTTCAAGAGGTCAGGAAAGATTCTCTGTGGAGTTTTATTTTAGTAGGCATTAAAACACGAATGAAGATGTCCTAAACATATGAGATGGGTGGGTAGGAGTGGGGAACAGGAAGCGAGAGAGCAAAGCCTTTAAAAGAACTGTCATGAATCCAGTGTGGCTGGATTTCAGGTTGGAGATGGAGAAGTGGAGGGATGAAGTGCCATCATAAGGGAACATTGTTGAAGGCCTGTGTGTATTTTTATGCACTGATGATAGGATAAGGAGATTAGAAAAACCAATCTACTGTGCAAAGGAAGAAGAATGGCGACACTGAAGTTAGGTATTAAGTTAGGGAGTAAAGTAATAGCCCAGAGAAGAAATTATGATGGCCTAAATAGAGCCTTTTAGGGGCATACTATTCTAAGTATACGTTAGAGAGCAAGGATGAGTGAAAAAATGAACTCATAACCTCTAAAAATTAACACCTTTGAAGTATTTTTAAATGTATAATAAATGCTATTTTCATAGTAATTCTACTTCGAAAGAAATGTATAAGTATTTAAAACTTTGAGGCCAAGTTTTCATTGTCTTTCATTAACCACCAGTAACAAGATTATATTAATGTGAGAATGACTAAACCTATAGGGATATTCACTTAGAGTACTGTGTTCGAAGATACTCACAGATTTCTACACAGTTCTATACATCTTTACTTATCTCATCTCTAATATAGCCCTGGGGATTTTTAGAAAAGAGCATGTAATGTCAACTTGGTATTCAAACTGTAAGCATCAAAGCCTTGGGAACTATCAGGTTATCAGTCTTTACTAGTGAAAACATAACAGGATTTAAGTAGAGCTACTCTAAATGGTTCAGATTACATTTAGGTAATATTTTGAATGAGATGAAGACGGAGAGATTTTCACCCAAGTGACTAGTTTAAATTGCCTACATTTGTGTACCAGATTTTTGTGTGTGTGTGAAGTCAGCTAAGGGTATAAAAATTTTTCTCTCCAAAAAAGAAAAAGCTCTTTATGTTGCTGATATCCAAACAAGTACAAACTAAATATTCTTTCTCCCTAAAAGATAAAAAAAAGAGGAATATAATTTCTGGTTCTTTAAAATACTTCCTGAAGTTTTAAAAGAAGAAATCGACCAAATAAGGCTTTATGATTTAACAAATATAATTTTTGTTTCATTTGCAATCTATAATGGAGGTTACATGTAAAAAAAAATACCTTGAGGTACATAATGTTTACATATTTTTACTATTTATGCTTATAAATAATTTTTTTTGAATCCTTAGAGTAGATCCTAATGCCACAGCCAATTCAGTTACCCATAAAAGCATTTGTGCTTCATCTTGGAAACATGCTTGCTCCTCAGCCTCACCAGTTGCACTGGTTCTCAAGTTTACATGGTCTTTCCTGCTTTTCCAATTGGGTGGTAGACATCTTGGGCCTCAAAAGGACATTTATTTCAAAATGCTCAAGTAATTTTTCTGCTTCTGTCAGAAGAGAAGGAGGAAGAGGAAGAAGAGGAGAGAAGGAAATGAGTGAGTGTGGAGCCAACTGACTGTTGGTTTTGGACAGAGAAGCTTATACCACATACTCATGAGAGACTGTAATGTCTTTTAACTAAAGCAGGGCTTCAAGGTAAAACAGAATAGTGCATTTTTCATTCCACAGGCTCCAAACCAAACGACTACACCAAAACAGCTTGTGGTAATGCTTTAATGATTTAGTAACGTGTCGTTTCAATTATTTCCATTTCTGCAAGAGAAAAATACAGACTAACCCCTAGTGTTTTAAATTGCAAGCTCAAATCAGTGCTAGGATAAAAGATAGAATTTTTCTGGACCTTAGGATACCATGAGAACGCCAGTGAAACAGGAAGTCATAAAAGTATCCACTGCATGAGATACCAACACAGTTAGAAGGACATAGACAAACTATGGGCACTATATTTTCCTGGAGAACATATTTGTAGTGATGAAAGGAAAATGAACTTTGAGATAGTAATTAGCTTAGGAAGCTATATTTTTCTATGCCACAGGGATCTAAAAATAATGATTCAAGGACTATGGGATTATATTCTTTTGGTTAACTAGAAATCCCCTATATAATTTATTATGAGGACATAATAAAAGTATTAAATGAAGAATTCAAAATAAAATGTTTCATATATTAGACACCATTATATATTGTTTCAGAAATTGTTTTGGTTACTTAAAATCAGAAGCTTTGTTTTAGAACTCGGTTTTCCCTTGCAGTTTGAACTGTGACTGGTAGATGGCGCTGTCAGGATGTGATTCATTGTTACGTATAAAAACATTCCTTCTTCTTTTCTCAGAAATTCAAAAACAAGTTTCATATTTGCAGTCTGGTGGGGAATGTTCTTAGCTAGAAAACATACCGAGAATTAATTTTCTAGAAAATTCTCAGAAACGTCAATATATTTTGGAAATTACTCTTGGGTGTTTATTGTTCTAGATAATTAAGTTGTCTATTTCTGTTCCTGACAGACTCTCACTTCTCCAACACTTAAGCATATTTTCCAATTATTCTTTTTTTAACTTTTTAAAAATATTTCTCCCCACATTTAGGTCTTTGTGATGAATCAGAAAGATCTTGGAAGCAGAGGTTCTTTAGGGAACAAGGCCCTTTGAGTCTGTAGCTATAAATTTATTCTTTTCTAGTGCAATTTTTCCATTCCAGAATATCTAAACCTTGATTTAAAATCATGCAGTGCTAAAAAAGGATAATAAATTGTGCGGCAGAGCATTTCTTTTTCTCACCTTAAATGGTGACATCGATTTTATTCACTTGCTTGAGAGGTTAATTAATAATTTCAAAACAATAGTAAAAGAGATTCTGAAGTTCCTAGGAAAATCAAGTAATTCAGAAGGAAAAAAACCCAGGAACAAAACAAGGAAATGTATCTTTCAGGTTCAATTTCCTTAGTGTTGTAGTGGTGGAGTCAGCCATTTTTATGGTTCAGTCAACACAAGTTCAAAACATCTGACCACTGGAAAAACAGGGATTTTCCACATCTACGTATTATGGGTCATATCTTGAATAACAACAACAACAACAATAAAACACTCCTTAGACGTTTGTTCCTAGATCTACTCTCTTATTAAAAATTGAAAGTTACTTGAAAGAGTTATGCCCTGCTGTTTTATATTCTAAATGTAAACTATAATAGTTTTAAAAATGTACAAATACAATATTTTGCAAAATGATTTGGTTCAATGGATTAAAAAAATTGACAGTGTTTCTCAGGCCCATTTTTTCTGATGGTTATAGCTGAAAATTTCCACAAAGGCCATCTAAAATGTTTAGTTTTTAGATTGACATTTTATGTTAAAAGCAAATAAGGGATATTCTTAAAGGTAATGTCTATGTCCTCTCTTTTCTCTATAAAACTCACATGGTATTTAACGCAGGCCATGCATAAATCTGTAATATAAAACAAAAATAGATAGCTGAACATTGTGACTTTTACTTTAAAGTTCAATTCTGGGAGCATTCTAAATATTTTTTCCTTGCTAAAATTAAGAAAAGAAAAAAGGTAGAAACATTTAAAAAATTACGTTGTCTAAATTAAGTATATCATTAGAATATTCTCTTCACCTGCAGAGATTACTTTTCTTTCCAAATCACTCAAAATACATTGTATTATCTGGATGTGTTCTTAGTCAAATCTATCATCTTTAGCATCTGCTATGTTGACAGAAATGTTTTACAGTGTGAAATGGTGGTTCATATTTATTGCTGAGAATTGTATAGAAGTTAAATTCCCTTAGGGAGGCAAGAATTTGGGAACCCAAATATATATCCTCTTGCATCAGAACACTACTGTGGGAAAGAATGAGACAGTCTATGCTTCTTTGTTTACAGAGAGCCACAATCTTTTGACCAGATTTTAAATCAAGTCAATGACTTTCAGTTACCCATTATGTTTCTTTTTCTTCTTTTTCTATTGTGATAGCATTTTTTGTTTTCATGGGGAGGGAGGATGATCAAAATTGTTTCAACTCTGTTTGAAGATTTGCCATCACGGTATAATGGCAGTTGTAAATCATGCACGTTGAGAACGTTCGTATCTGTATCAGCCTCAATACCAAAACCCGAATGAGCTTTTCTCCTTCAATCATAATAATAAGAATTTTACAAACTCTCTGATTTGGTCTGTTTACCGTCATTTGTCTTTATAAAAGGAGACTTACTGTTTGGAATATTATTTGCTTAAAATAAGAGTTTTTATGTTCTGATTAGTTCAAGAAAATCTTTTTTATGGTTTAGTGTATCAAGTATAATATTGAAAATATTAATATTACACTGTTAAGGGGTAATGGGAAATGCCCAAATATCTTTGAACCAAACTTTCTTATACTAAAATATTGTATTTTAAAATATTCCAAATTTAAAATCAAAACAAATAATTAGAATATGACAAGAAGTCAGAAATTCAGCTTAGTGCTTCTAACTGCCCACTGGTATTTCTTCAACTTATCAATATTATTTTGCCTCAATCCATTCCTTTTTTTCTTAAAATAAACTCAAATTTCATGAGTCATTTAAATTAAAATACATATCTACAAATGGTCAATATTATACTATTATATTTCTGTGACAATGTAGAGATATTTAAATTACATGGCATAGTAATTATAGATGTGAAAATTTATACATAATAATAACATTACAATAAGACAATAACAACATTTCTTAGTACGTGAAGCTGGACTCAGAAGTAAATTTTGTTATAGTGTTTTTCAAATGCAGGCTTGCTTTCTTCAAGTTAAGAAGGCATAGTGTGAATTTAAAATAAATGTTATAGAAATTGAACGAGAAAAAATACTCTTCAGATTATATAATTTTCTATTTATTATATTTATGGCAGAAGATAGCACATCCAATTGAAGAAGTCATATTAAATCAATAGTGGTGATCATAATAATTGAAATTCATTCTTTGCCATCTTCTGGAAGAGATTAAGCCTTTATATATCTTGAAAAAATAATAATTTCAATACACATTTTTAATGCCACTCATATTCAGATAATCACTAATTGTAAAAGCCTATGTCTTGCTACTTTTGCTTGAAAATTGGAATACATCCTCATAGTGCTTAATAAATATTTGTTGAGCAGACAAAATCAATGTTGTCACTGGTGGTTGTATTTCTGACCTGACCCACAACGTTCTGTTTAAGCTATGGATTGTGCATAAAGAATAACTCTGGCCTAGCATTGCCAAAAAATTATTAAACGTAAGATAAATTCAGACAAAATCCCAAATCCAGATGACACCTTCACACCTCAGCCGTGACTTCAAACTGAGAAAACTCTGCGCGGTTGCAGTGCTTGGTATTGTATGAGCTCTAAGCTACTGTTGGGAGTTCCACGTCTGGACAAGTGGTCTGGGTGGCCAGGAGAAAAAAAAAAAAAAAATGCAGATTGAAAAAAAATGTTCCGTCAGGAGCACACTTCCCTGTCCTGGAATCACCTATCACAGTTGTTGTGTTTCTCCCAAGTCTGAATTTGGCTGCATAATTACCTTCTGCTGTCTGTGCCTGCTCCCACCAAACTCAGATATTCTCTCTCCCCTTCCATGAACAGAAAATGAAGCAACAGTTTCCTTCCATCTCTTCTTTTCCTGAAGGGAGAACGCAGAAACCCACTCAAGTTTTAAGGAATCTTCATAGCCGTTAACAAATAGAAAGAAAAGCTGTGAAGAGGGCTCCACTTATATCTTTCTCTGTTTTTCCCCTTTTCCCCCTTTGCCTTCTCCTTTGATAATCTACAGACACAAAAGTACACAGGAATAATAATTATGAGACATGCAGAAACTTGCAGTTCAATTCCTGTGAGGAATCCTATATACTCAAACGCACTCAGCCAGCAGCAAGTCTCTGATCATTTCCTTTTATATCCAGGAGCATCACTCTGAAGGAAGAATGATAGACTGAGATACATATTCTCAGGGGAGGTGGGAGGCAGGAGTGTGTTCTCTTCACCTTTGTCATGCCCTTTTTATCTCACTATCTGTCCAGACACAGTAAATCCTGCCCTTGACCAGAATTAAGATGAAGTAAAAAATGTGACCATCCCAGAAATTAGATGAAGTGAGAAAGTGGCCAGCCCAAAATTTAGATGACCTAAAAAAAATGACTAGGGCTAAAGGGAATGCAATGTAAATGTACTTTGTTTGCGTGTGTGTGTGTGTGTGTGTGTGTGTAAGTGTGTAGATATTCTAGAAAACATCAGATTTTGAAATAATGAGATAGAAAGCAATCAAATGTAATAGGGGGGAAAGGTCTGGAAATCCCCTGAAATATCATTTTGGAAGGAGGGAAGATTTTCCAAATTCCTAGGCTGAAAAAAAAAATAAACCCCAAAAAACTAGTAATTCTTAGTGACATTTAGATTTAGGAGACATATTTAAGTTAGATTGATGCAAACTGACAATGTGTCTCCACTTTTAATTGTGCCTTGATTTCCTTCAAATAATTACTTTTGTTTGTTTGTTTGTTTTCAGATGCATTAGATACTCTGCCAGAATGGTCACCAAAAGTTTCAGAAGTGTGCTAGCTGCCAAGAATAACACAAAACTTGTAACACGACATGTCAACATAAAACAATGGATGTGCAGATTGGCTAAACCATGATATATATAACAATAGCCAAACATTGTTAACTTGAAAAATTCATGATTTCTCCCATGTCATAAATTTGAGTTTTATTTCTAAAAAATTTTATTTCCGTCTTTACTTTTCCATACTTTCAGCCCTAACACTGCCCCCAATTCTAAACTGACTTCTGTAAAAGAAATTTGTTAAATGAACTCTTATAGTTAATCCCAGTAATACAGAATGCTATTCATGCACTGAAAGTGTGTGTGTATGTGTGTGTGTGTGTGTGTGTTTTCTCTCAAATAAATTCTGGAATTCAGTTTAAGAAATACAAATCTTGGGCCAGGTGCAGTGGTTCAGGACCTGTAATCCCAGCACTTTGGGAGGCTGAGGTGGGTGGATTGCTTGAGGCCAGGAGTTCGAGGCTACCCTGGCCAACATGGTGAAACCCCGTCTCTACTAAAATACAAAAACTAGCTGGGTGTGATGGCACATGCCTGTAATCCCAGCTACTAGGGGAGACTGAGGCAGGAGAATTGCTTGAACCCAGGAGGCAGAGTTTGCAGTGAACCGAGATCACACCACTGCACTCCAGTCTGGGTGACGGAGTAAGACTTCATCTCAAAACAAAAACAAAACAAAACAAAACAAAACAAAAAATCTCATAGTACCAATCTTTCAATCTGTAGATTTACATCTAAGAAGTAACGTCAGTCTATTCTTGTCTTAGAATTACTGCCATTCAATCTACTGCTAGTCTTGCAACAGTAATAAATAAAAATCATTCTAAATAAATTATCACAATAATACAATGTAAATGAAAGGAATATTAAGCCAACACCATATGACTTCAAGTGGAAATTTGTCACAGATCAATAGTCTAACTTATTCTTACCATAATTTCTATCGTACATAATACAGTATGTATGTGTGTACATACATATGTATGCATGTATGTGTGTATGTATATGAACACACACATACACTGTATTATGTGTATATAGCTATATACAGATATATATAGATATAAAGGCTGCTTCACTGCTTCAAGTTTCTCTTATAGTACAATGGCTCCCCTAAGAGGGTTACAGAATTCCATTGACTGCTCTGTGAATTCATTTGCTGTGAGTTATTTCTGGCCAGCAAAAGCATGCAGTTACCTTTTGAATATCGTTCAAGTAGGCACTCCATGACTTTACCAGAGGTTTTTCCTGTAGAAATAAATCTGTGTATTATTTGTCTAGTCAAAAACAGAGCATGCTGACATGGGATCAGTGGGGGATTGGAAAATGGATCTGGGGTTGAGAAGAACGAGTAAGAGGGAATGTACTTATTTCAATAATACACCCAGGACAAAAAAACAAAATATATTATTTAAAGTTATGGAAGTAATGTGTGTATGGAGCTATATGCAGGAAAACCTTAATCGGTTTAATTCCTCTACACAAGTACTTAACTCTCGTCTGTGTATGATGTAATTTTATTGTCATTTGATTTCCATTCCCCTCGTTAATTATTATATTTCACCACTTTTAACACCTTCTTGTTGTGCTTGATTTAGGAAGAGATGTAAATACGCAGCTTTTAAAATCCTGGAGAAAAATTATCTACTCACCTCCCATCATACGCATACCTAAAAAAGCGTATGTATGCACACATGCACACACATGCCACAAATCTTGACTTTCCATCCTAAGAATGCACAGTGAAAAGGACATTATTTGCCTATCACAGTATCAAACAATAACTCTTAAAAGCTCTTCCCATCACACTTCCTTTTAAGATAAGTGGGTATTTTTTACATTGAAACGATACATAGTAACCTTCTAAAGTAAGCCCCTAGATTTAGAATATTTTGGCAGTAGTGTTTTTAGTGAGTATACAGTGACTGATACAGACATTGTTAAAATTAGAGGCTGAACATGTTTGATGTTTATCTTCCCTCCTTCTCCTCCTTTCTCTCATCATTTCATAAAAGCAATGACTTGGATTTTATTATGGAAATTATGCCATTCTGTTTAGAGACATCATTTTTAAATTTAGGTTTAGGTATATATTTGTCTAATAATTAATCACTAATACTACCTGAGTCAATAGTAAAATTACTATTCAATAAAATTCCTGTAAGATATAATTTAAAATGTGATAGGGAAATGTTTTCAGTGTGTTTTCTTTTGACTTTTGTGAAAGTTTTGTATGCTTATCAAATGCCTTTATATAGGGTTTTCTTTTCATAGACATTGTGGTACCTATAATTCTTGATTATTTGGCCTTAGTAGTTACAGCTAAGGTTAAATTTGCATTTGCATTACATTTCTAAAATAAATATAATATAATTTATAAAGTTCTTAATCACAAAAAGACAGGCCAAACCAACAAAGCTTAAAACTTTAGTACTAAGCTGGGCACCAGAGTTCGTGCCTGTAGTCCAGCTATTTGGGAATCCGTGGAGCCCAGCCTGCACAACAAAGTAAGACCTCATCTCTCTAAAATAAACTAATGAACAAAAACACCCAAAACAAAAAAGTTCCACCTTACTATGTCTGGACAGTCACATGCAAAAAAAAAAAAAAAAAAAAAAGAATTTAGAATGAGACCTTATACCCTTCACAAAAGTTAACTCAAAACTGACCACTGACATACATTTAAAATACAAAACTATAAAACTACTAGCAAATAACATAGAACTTCTAGATGATCTTGGGCATGATCACAACTTTTTAAATACAACACCAAAGGCAAGATCTATGAAAGAAAGAACTGATAAACAGGGCTCTATTAAAATAAAAAACTTCTATTCTGTGAAACATACTGTCAAGAGAAGGAAAAGATAACCACAGATTGGGAGAAAACATTTGTCCAAGACTTAACTGATGGACTGTTATCCAAAATACAAAAATAACTCTTACAACTCAACAATAAGAAAATGAACAACCTAATTTAATAAATAAGCCAAAGTTCTGAACACTTCACCAAAGAAGATACACAAATTAAAATAGCATATTAAAAGATGTACTACATCTCATGACACTGGGGAAGTACAAATTAAAACAACTATGAGATATTTTGACACACCTACTAAAATTGCCCAAATCCAAAACACTGACAATATTGAATGATGGAGGGAATATGGAGCAACAGAAACTTTCATTCCTTGCTGGTGGGAATGCAAAATACTACAGAAACTTTGAAATATAGTTTGGCAGTTTCTGACAAAGCTAAACTTACTCTTATCATATGACCCAGCTATCACACTCTTTGATATCTACCTGAAGACGCTAAAAACCACAAATGTTTATAGAAGCTTTATTCATAATTGCCAAAGCTTGAAAGCAAACCAGTATCCTTGAGTACATGAACAGATAAATAAACTGTGGTACAGCCAGACAATGGAATATTATTTAGCCCTGAAAAGAAATGAGCTATTGAGTCATGAAAAGATATGGAGGAAACTTAAATGCATATTACTAAGTGGAATAAGCCAATTTTTCAAGGCTACATACTGCATAATTCCAACAATATAACATTCTGTAAAAAGCAAAACTATGGGGCCAGTAAAAAGATCAGTGATTGTCTGGGATTTGGATAAAATAAGGGATGAATAAGCAGAACACAGAGGTATGCTAGGGCAGTGAAACTATTCTGTATGATGGATACCTGTCATTATACATTTATCTAAACCTTTAGAATATAAAACACGGAGAGTGAATCCAAATGTAAAGTAAGACTTTGGTGAAAATACTGTATCAATGTAGGTTTATTGTGTAACAAACGTACCACTCTCATGCTGGATGTTTAGTAGTGGAGGAGGCTGTATCTGGAGGTGTGGGGAAGGAGAATACAGGAATTTTCTATACTTTCTCATCAAATTTGTTGGGAACTTAAAATTGCTCTAAAAGATAAAGTCTATTGCAAAAACAAAAAAACAACTAAAAAACACACGAACGAAAAGCCTTAATAAAATGTTTTCTCTTAAGGAATGAAGTAAATCAAATTACATTAAAAAAATAAAGTAGCCATAAAGCACCTTCCTGCCCAGGTCTCAAAGTACTTTTTAGCTAGCAACTCGTAACTGCTATATCCTTGAAGGCTTGTCAATACTTGCAGGAATTTTTATTAGTCGTCACCATAATAACTATTAAAGTCAATTATAATGCTTAACTTTTACTTTACAGATGAGAACATGAATGAATTTCATACCATTACATGTAGGACTAATTCTTAACTTTTAGCAATGATTGGGGGAAAGGAATAAAGCAGATCTTGCAATTCACATATTATCTGAAGCTTTCACACTAATTTCAAACTTATTTTCTATTAAATCATTTTTTAGAGGTGATAACCAAGATTGGGCAAATTCTGTCCAATTTATGCCTATTGTTCCATTATTGGAATGCTAAGCATGTGGGAGTTATTTATATCTTACTGCTCAAGATCATCGCCAAAGCCTGATTGCAAAAATTCAAGAAACTGCAACCTCAGGCATAAATGGGTTAATTTGTGTAATGCTTTTTTTCTTGTCCCTGCTGTCTTTTCTTGTCCATGCTTTTTCCCCCTTGTCTCTACCCTTTGAAACTGCTAATTAATAATGAAAAGTCTACAAGTAAGATCGACAAATAGGCATACGAGAAAATCACTGAGTTTGGATTTCTCAAAATTAGACAATTCAAATTTAGCTGAAGTTAGCAGAAGTTTAGAAATTCAAAATTTACAGTCCTCAAAACTTGTCTGATACTGAGATATGTGCGACAAATCTGATTTCCAAATGTGGATGAAGTCCACTTCGCTTTTCATAATTTTCCAGAATAGTTTCTAATCTAAAAAAATTCACCATTTGCTTTATTTTGATTACTTAGGTTTTGTTATATGGCTTATAAACGCTTTGAAACAACCAGTTCTGTTTCAGGTAATCTGTAATTCTGCAATCTCTAACCATTAATAGCTACACACAGACTTTCCAAATAGAATACAAAATTCATGACTAATATAAATGCCAGTTGGACAGATGACTAGGCCAACCCTTTCCACTATGAGAAACAATATAGCAAGTGTTCAACATATTTCAGTTAATGAATGAATGACCTAATGAAATTAGGAATGGACATTCCCAAAGGATTCCCATAAATAAACCTAAAAATCGTCATTTAAAATGAAGTTTTTTAATGCATGAGAGTGAAAAAATAATATTATGTTTTTTTCTTCTAATAGTGAATTTTGTGATGATAAAATTTATATTAATAATACCCAACATGTAGGATTCTAGGAACCATTCCATTTGTAATTCTTTAAAACCCCTTCTGCTGCTGGATGAAATGGGAACTGTTATACCACAGGTTTCCTACAGCACTGCAGGATGAATGGTCTTTTTCTAAGTGGCATTTGTATCACATGGATTGAATTTTAAACTGTTTTTTTCAGTGACCAATCAGACATTATAAAATAGTTATGCTACTGACTTGGTATGTGTTCAATGTCAAGCCATGTTTTTCCGTTGACAGCTTGAAAAGATTGTAAAACCACTAAAAATTTAAATTTGTGGTTCAAAGACACTTCTGCAGTTAGGCTGCTTTTATTTTTTCTCATTCCATTTAGTGAACACCTGCCTTTCACTGGATATTAAATCAATGCAAAACCTTTTAGATTTTGTTTGGAACCTAGGTAAAAACAAAAAAAAATTAAATATTTGGATAAAAGAAAAAGGATGGACTTATTTGTAGTTAGACTTTACATACTCAGAAGTACATACTTGTAAGACCTAATTTTTTTTTAATTATGCAACCTATTACTTAAGATAATGGAATATTATTTAAGGAAATAATGACTTGCTGTATTAGATTGAAGGTCGCAGTTCTGGAAGAGTAATTTAAGATGTAGTGGCCTGATGCTACTAACACTGTGATCATAATTGCCAACTTGTTAGCACCTAACTGAAAATTAATTGTACTAAAACCTGACTGTACATTATCCACCATGTATACCAACAGCTTATATAGAGTTTAGTACACAGAAGACATTTAGCTTACAACTGTTAAATTGAATTTTAAAAAACTGTCTTTTGAAACTCAGTGTTTATTTTCAATCAACAAACTTTTGAGCACCAACATTATATCAGACGTTCTTTTAGGTACTTAGGCTACCAAGGAAAAAAACATAGTCATATCCTCAAAAACTAAAACCCTAGTAGAGGAGAAAGAGAAATGTTTCCTAATAATTGGATATGGCAAGTGATCGAGAGCAGGGTTCTAAATCTTGACTTCCCATTAGAACCAGCTGAGAAGTTAAAAGCAAATAAATCTCACATCCAGGCTCTTCTGCAAACCAGTTGAATCAGATGTTTGGATGCGGTTCCAGGGCATCAGAATTTTGAAATGGTCTACGGGGTAATCCTAATTTTCAGGAGGTTGAGAAGGACTGTGCTTGAGGCAAGCAAGATGATAAGAAAGGCGCTCTTGATTCCATCTGGTAGAAACAGGGCAATATATCTAGGAAAGGTGATGCTTAAACTAAGCTTTCAAGAATGCTTGAGATCAGTCAGATGAAGACATGGTGAAGGTCATTCTTGGCAAAAAGGAAATAATGACTAAAGGGGAGGAAGAACATGACACATTTAAGGAACAGGAAGTGGTTGTTGTGATTAGTATTTAGAATATGTGTAGGCAAATCTGGAGTAATAACATGCAAAAATCGAATATGTTACATGAAATATGCAATTGACTCTTCAATATTCATTATGTACTAGATAATTATTCTCCAGATATTAATAAAACTATCATAGTAATTTTATTCCTTCTTTTATGATTGGCTCAGGAG
The DNA here is from genome assembly GCF_000001405.40 of Homo sapiens. Classification (NCBI taxonomy): domain Eukaryota; kingdom Metazoa; phylum Chordata; class Mammalia; order Primates; family Hominidae; genus Homo; species Homo sapiens. The sequence goes on along the minus strand of NC_000007.14, from coordinate 15,709,925 downwards.
TAGATGAATCTAAGCAAATTTAAATCAAGGAGAAACTTTCTTCAACTCCATGGAAAAGAGAAAAATCTTTTCTGCAACCAGATGGATGGTGAGAGGTATGTTTCATGGTTGCTGCTCCATAAGAGAAGCCAGACTGAGAATAATTAGCTGATACTGGGTTACAGGCAGAGTCAAGTAAACCTGAGAAGCAGGGCTGGAAACTTGAGGTATTAGAAACTAGAACCCAACGCTTGTTCTAAGCTTCATGTGAGGTGAGATTTAAAATGTTCTTCTTGTTAAGCCACTTTGAGTCTGGGTTTCTTAGCAGTGAATTCACCCAATCAATTCATCAGGCAAAGAATTTTCATTGTCAAGGTATTGAGGAGGCATTGCAGCAATTTAGGAAGTGGATTTTAAAAGACAGAAACATTCTGCTACCTTAAAGTAGGATCTTTATATATGCCAGGCAGTGTGTGTGCATTTTATATATGTATAAGAAATCATAACCAGATTTGGGTTTTATTCTTCTGGTAGTAACATGTAGGTTGGATTTGAAGAATCCTAAGCTAGAAACAAAAGAATATAGAAGTTATTTTACAGACTCAGCTATAGAGATAACTATGAACAGAAAAAAGAAAGAGCCAAGATATATTTACGAGATGAACTTTCTAAAATTTGACAAATGGTAGAATTTTATGGCTAAGAGAAATGGAAGATTCTAGAATAAACTGTTTGTTAGAACTACCTGTGTATGTCTCAGTAAGAATGGACTAAACTGAATGTGAAACATTGGCTGATTAACCCTGGTTTTGGGGCAGGAACTTAACTTGGGCAGAGCAAATTCTGCACTAAAAAAGTTACTCAAGCTTTCAAATTATTCTGCGCATAAAGTGAGTGTAAATAATTATAACTTGTTAAATCTGAAGATTTTATGCCCAAAGCAAATACATTTTTTAAAAATCTCATAGAAATTCCAGCAGCGGCAGACCCTGAAATTTTCCTATTGAGCAGGTGTGGTGAATAAAAGTCAAATGCCTTGTATCTATTTTACTTACTTTAAGTGTGTGAACTCTAGTGGAGAATCCTCCTATATCATGTATTATAGTTAGATTTTTATTTCAAAGGTTGTAAAACATTGGTCAGGGTTTTCAATGACCTCAGTCCCTTGGCTTTCAATTTCTCATGTAATTTTCATTATAGTAGTAATTTTCCTTCCATAGGAATTTTCATTACCTTCAGTTGATGAAGTAGGTATAGCATGCTTCATTGGTGTTCTATTGATTCCTTCTCATATATTAGTTTTCATAGCTTTATATTGTATTTACAGAGATAATTAGTTAAGTTGAGGCCATATAAGATTAGAGTGGGCTCTAAATTCAGTATGACTGGTGTCGTTATAAGAAGAGAAACACAGTAATCAAGGCTATGTAACCATGGAGGCAGGGGGATGTAGCTGCTATCAAAGAACACCAGGGATTTCTAGCAACCCCCAGAAGCCAGGAAGACGCAACCAAGGATATTTCCCCTCTGCCAACAAAGGGAGCATGACTCTGCCAACACCTTGATTTCAGACTTCTAGCCTCAAGAACTGTCACAGAATCAAATCCTATTAAGTTACACAGTTTGCTGTCATTTGTTATAGAAGTCATAGGAAACAATTTACTCCCTTAATATGCATCTTCAACATCAGTTGATTCATTCACGGTCCATACTGGAGTCATGTCTTGAGTGTTCCAAGGCAGTTTTCAAGAGTACATAAACCTCACCTCCTTTTAAAAGAGACACAGAGCTGCATAATTATCTCACTCAATATTTTGTCTCAATTCTTATACCAATTTACAAAATATTAACATTTCGTTTTTCCTGAAATTTATATATGCTTGATCTCACAACTTCACCATTCCCTATTTTTAAGTAATCTTTATAAGATTTCTTTACAGCATCCTAAACTAACACTTGTTATTCTGAGGTAATTTCCTGGGGAAAATTTTTAAAAATTTATTAAAATTTGTTTCTCCTTTTTAATCATAAATGTATAATAATCATAAACATTAAAAGCATTAATTGACATTGTTTCAGATTAACATGTCTCTCTGAATAGTGGTTTAAAGCTAAAAATAAAGTAACTGAGAGAATGAGCCATATCAGACTATGTAAAGATTCAATGATTCAAACTATGGCATCCTGTTTCCTGTAAGATAATATTGGGAAAATGCATTGTCCTAATGTTTGAACAAATATGAATGTTGCTTGACAGAACTCACTGGTCAATTCCAAATGAATACATTCTTAGAAAGACGCTGAAGTGGTTTAAAGTTAACAAAGTAAATTACATATTTGTATGAAAGAGTAAATCTTTTGTAAAATTCATGACTTGTAGTGCTTAGCACTGTATTCTGATATGTACCTAAAATTGGATGTGTAACAATTTCCTGAAATCCTAATGAGATAAATATTTAGTTAGCTTTCTTTACCAAGTTCTTATTGGTCAGAAACTTGATGTGCATATTTCTATTACAGAATTACATAGCAGAAAATTTAGCTATTGGGTTATGTATTATTGATTTTATTATTTATTTTAGATTTAATTACAGATACATAAGGAGAATGCTATATGTACCAAATTCAAGCATCTTTAAAATAGTAAGGTCAAAAAGAGAAATATACATGGATCAGAGAAACCAAGACTGCCAAGCAACATATTATTATTTAATACCAAAGTGATAATTTTTTCAAAACTCTATAATCCCATCCCAGCATAGGGAAAAAAAAAATCAAGATTTTTACTTTTCTTTTTTTTTTTTTTTTTTGAGAAAAAGTCTCACCCTGTCACCCAGGCTGGAGTACAATGGTGCCATCTCGGCTCACTGCAACCTCCGCCTCCCAGGTTCAAAGGATTCACCTGCCTCAGCCTCCTGAGTAGCTGGGATTACAGGCGCCCGCCACCAAGCCGAGATAATTTTTGTATTTTTAATAGTGAAAGGGTTTCACCATGTTGGCCAGGCTGGTCTTGAACTCCTGACCTTATGATCCGCCTGCCTCAGCCTCCCAAAGTGCTGGGATTACAGGTGTGAGCCACCGCACCTGGCCACATTATTTTTAAAGTAGCATGTCTCTCTCTCTCTCTTTTCATTTAAAGGAAATTCTCCACTTGTATTCACCCTCTGTAACTTCCAAAAATATAACCGTTTTCATAATTTTTGCCATTTCCAACTATTTCTCAATTATCCACTCAATATATACTGAGCCCAGACATGTACCAAGTGATGACAACATAATCACTTTCTTTTCTTCAACTTAATTATCTTAAGCATTATTTCTTAAGACAAAGCAAATAAACAATAGCAAAAACATTTTCATTGTCGTTGGTTCTCTTTTAGATAGCTGCATTACTTTTTTTCCTGTTCGTATCTAGATTTCTGATAAGCCCTGCATCTATCTTCTCTTTTCTTGCTGTTTTCTGGGTCCTCTGCTGCTCTAATGAAACATTCTCTATACTGTTATCCACATCCTTCCCTGAGGCCTTTCCCAAATATTATCTTCCACAATATCTCTACTTGAATCTCTTCATTACCCATTTCCAGAATTTTTCTCTCCTCGTGGCTTTCTGGATATTGTGCTTGCTTGCTCCTTGCTTCTCTAATCATTTCTCTGACAAACCTTCCTTATGAGGTTTCATCCTTTTCTTTCTTCCTGAGAGTGAGACTACCTCCAGGAGGAGCATTATTTTTGTACTGTCACTCTGTGCCATCTCAGAAAGCTTATTTAAAATCATAGTCTTAATCATCATTTGACAATCAAGCCTTAATTTTATCCTTACTTCTAATGCAAATTCCAACTCATCAAATAAAGGAATATATTCAATATGCAACCATCCACTTGAATTGTATGTATTAAATACATAATACATAAGCACTCACCACTTTCCTCTCTAGCTAGATCCTTTTTGATATTTCTAATTCTGTCAAATACAACAACATCTCCTACTCCCAGGGGCATGGACTGCATGGCCACCAATAACTACTTTTTCAATCCTAAAATACAATCAACTGATAATTCTTACCTAACTTTCTGCCTCAAACAACACACAAGCATCCTCTCCAAATGAAATTTCAAACGCTTTTCTAATTTGTGTTGTTTTATCTTCCCATACACCTTTTGCAGGCCACTCTAACATGTAAAGTCTCTATTTCTCTCTTTCTGGCTCTTTATACTCTCCTCCCTCCCTCAATTTATGAATTACAGAAAACTATATATATTCTTGTATATATGTGTAAATCTTGTCTTCCTAGAAATCCAACAAGTTTTCTCGGGAGAGGAATCTGCCTATACTTTTAAAATCTGTCTATACCTTTATGACTGAGCACCTCATTAGATCTTCCAGTGGGAATTTATCTAGTTTTATTTTACTTGAATTATTAGATGATTAACAATTTTCTTGCACAGCTAGATTAGTGTTTAGTAATTAAACCTAACATACAAACCTGAAATGTTTTGGTAATCATTTATATATAATTTATATGTACTTAAAATAAAATTATGAAGTCTATATGGGAAAAGTTGAACCAGAAAAATATGTTTTGATAAACAGTTGTCACTTATTTCAAACAAGAACCAATATAACCAAATGCTGGTGAGTGTAATAATCTGTGTATGCTTTATTGCCTACTGAAGTAAGCACTGGTCCCTGTTTCACAAATGTATAGAAATACATTTTATCTTTCAAAGTATATTTGTTGATTTTTACCCTGGGATTTTCACTATAGAAATAAATTATTAAATTGATTTCATAATTTTTATTTGCACTAAACATAGTAGTGGAATATACGTGCTTTATATGTAAATTATCTCTCAGATAAATCAGTAATACTTGTCTTCAAGAAATATAGAATGATTTTTATTTTATTTAATAACTCTGGCCTAGACATATTTTGACTAAAAATATAATGTCTTTTATGGCATATGGTTAGTGTTATTTGCAGGTCATATAATTGTTAAAACCTATCATGTTAAGAAAACAATTGTGGGCATTTGTGCTTAACACATCCTCCTATAAACTGTATTATTTCAAACCTACACACATTGATGAAGGCAGTCTTCTTTACTCTTTTTACTGATTCAAATGTTAATGTCTTCCAGCAACACCCTCATCAACATACCCGTTAATAATGTTTTACCAGCTATCTGGCCATTCCTTAGCTGAGTCAAGTTGATATATAACATTCACCATCACAATTCACCCTTGTCTCCTGGGCACCCATATGCATGTCCTTTAACCGTACTTAGTTTCCAAATAAAGACAATAACAAGGCCATAATTCTGCCTTATGTAATACAACTATCTTGCATAAAATGGAAAATCCACTAATCCCTTCCAGAGGATACAGTCCTTAAGTAATATTTATCCTTCTAATATTTTATAACTCAAATACAATGATGTAAAATTAACGATACTAAATACTGATATAGAGTCACATATCTTATGTTACATAATAGCAGAATAAGAGAAAAAAGAAAACAAGGATATTTGCTTAATATATATGTAAGCAAAACATATTCATAACAAAATAAGGAGGAAATACTCATGACAAAGTTTTAGTTTCTGTAACTGGTCTTGTTGTCATAGCTGGTGTTTATAACTACCTTCTTCTACTACCCATTATGTATGTTCTTTGCTTCTTCACGAACCTTATCTGGTCATGGTTCTTTACCTGGTGGGGTGACCCAAACCATTCCTGAAGAGTTTGGGCCATTAGTAGTCCTGTTCAGATGAAGTTGTTGTAGTTTTCCGTTAACCTTGATCACAGGCATGGTAATACTAGCAGAAGTCCTAAGGAAGCCTCTATATTTAAGATATGCTCATTCTTACCTCCATTGTGGAGTAGGCCAATTTCCTTTTGGTAGTCCAGTTCAATTTCCCTAGTCAACACCAAAACTCCCTTCTTGTTGACTCAGAGGCATGAGTTGCCCAAAGTGTTAAGGAGGCAGTCTTAACTTGCAGTTCAATAGAATCACTGTTGTGTCTCCTAGTGGAAGCATTCCTCCCTCTGGGATTAAGCATTGCTCCCTCTGGGGCAAGCACAGCACAAAGTCACGGTAACAAAAAAAATATTTTGCTAATAGGTCACTAGGGGTAATTGTGAGTGGTACCACTCTCATTTCTACTTCTTAATTCCTGGGCCTGTGAATCCTTACTATAGAAAAAAAAAAAACATTTATTGGGTGCTGATTCAGAGCATGTATAGCCTCCTGGAGAACTTGGTCAAGTGGTATTGTCACCTAACTAGCACTGTAACTGAGCCTTCAAAAGGCCAAACCACCATTCTATTAAGGCAGCTGTTTTAGGATGGTTGGAGACCTGGTGAAACTAGTGAATTCCATGAGCATGAGCCCATTGCCACACCTTTTTTGCTGTGAAGTGAATTTCTTTATCAGAAGCAATGCTGTATGGCATATCATGACAGTGGATAAGGCATTCTATACGTCTACCAGTGGTAGTTTTGGCAAAATCATTGCCTGCAAGGAAGGAAAATCCATATCTAGAGTTAAGTTTTGTCCAATAAGGACAAAATGTGGACACTTTCATAATGAAAGTGATTCAGTGGAATCAACCTGCCATCAGGAAGCTGGTTGGTCTCCCCAGGAAGTGTTGCCATCTTGTCTCGTAACTGCTACTTAAATGTCACAATTATTCAAGTGTTTCATGAAAACTATTGTCAAATATCAACATAAGTTTAACTGAAAAAAATGTACACAAGTACATATTCGTATTCTTGATATCTTCTTCGGAAATGTTGATGAGAAATTTTAAAGTGTAAATTTATTGTACTAACCTTTAAAGCCAAGCCATATCTGTCCTATTAAAAGTTAAATATATGGCCCACTTTAGAGTCAAATATTCTGATCACTATGTTAATACATATTAAAAAGCTCCTATTATTACAGCTGCAATGTATCAAATACAATAAAAGTTTTTAATAGAGACAAAAGAAGTCAAGTTCAAAAGAGAGATACACTATTGACTATCAGATAAAATGATGTTTTCCTCCATCTGAATTAGTCAGGATTATCTAGAGAAACAGAGCCAACAGAATACACACACACAAACACAAACGCACACGTAAACAAATACAGGGAAGTTTATTATGGAAATTTGCTCACGTGATTATGGAGGCCAAGAAGTCCCAGGATCTGCCAGCTGGAGAAGCAGGAAAGCCAATGGCATAAGACGTCTGAGTCAAAAGGCCTGAGAACCAGGAGAAGTCATGATGGAAATCCTCGTCAAAGTCCAAAGGCCTGCGAACCAGGAGTGCTGATGTCCAAGCGCAGGAGACAATACATATCCCAGCTCAGTGAGCAAATGTGCCCTTTCTAAGCCTTTTTGTTCTATTTTTCCTGCAGCTGTCCCCTTTAGGGTGATGCCTGAGTATTATGCAGAACATCTGTTAACCAGGCCCTAGTCTTCTCTTCTTCTGTCAAGTGATCATAGGGAACTCCGTGAGACCACAGGTGCAGGCTGCAAGAGAGAAGCTAGGGTAGTAGAAGTGGAGACCAGAGGCATTTGGGCCACTTCTTCATGTAACTGACTTGTGCCTTCACAGCCTGCTAGGGCCAGATCACAAATATGCCACTTCCATTTGATGATGGAGTGTTATTTCGCACACCAACTTGATGGGTTGATGGGTCAGATAACACCCAGTTCATGACGGGTAGCTAAGGTCACATAGTTACTTGGTAGCCCATTTTTCTACCTGTGGAAACATTAACCTCTTTTCCTTATAACTGCAATTTTTGCCACAAAACTTTCAGTTCCATTATCATTTTGCAACGAAAAATATATATCCAGCTGGGTGCAGTGGCTCACGCCTGTAATCCCAGCACTTTGGGAGGCCGAGGTGGGCAGATCGCCTGAGCTCAGGAGTTCAAGACCACCCCGGGCAATATGGTGAAATCCCGTCTCTACTAAAATACAAAAGAAATTAACTGGGTGTGGTGGCGTGTGCCTTTAGTTTCAGCTACTCGAGAGGCTGAGGCGTGAGAATTGCTTGAGCCTGGCAGACAGAGGGTGCAGTGAGTTGAGATCGCGCCACTGCACTCCAGCTTGGGTTACAGAGTGAGACACCATCTAAAAAATAAAAAATTAAAAAAATAATAAAAAAATAAAAGCTTTCCGTGCCGATAGCACTCACGGAAGCCTGGTTAACGTTCCTAAAACCCGCCGGACTTTCTGTAAGAAGTGTGGCAAGCACCAACCCCATAAAGTGACACAGTACAAGAAGGGCAAGGATTATCTGTATGCCCATGGAAAGCGGCGTTATGACAGGAAGCAGAGTGGCTATGGTGGGCAAACCAAGCTGATTTTCCAGAAAAAGGCTAAAGCTACAAAGAAGATTGTCCTAAGGCTTGAGTGCCTTGAGCCCAACTGCAGATCTAAGAGAATGCTGCCTATTAAAAGATGCAAGCATTTTGAACTGGGAGGAGATAATAAGAGAAAGGGCCAAGTGATCCAGTTCTAAGCGTCATCTTTTATTATGAAGACAATAAAATCTTGAGTTTATGTTCAAAAAAAAGAAAAGAAAAGAAAAAAGAAAAAACTATATATATTCAATGAACATCATTGATCAAATTCTTCCTAGTGTATAGGCTAATTATTTTATGAGAAAATGTTTTTTATATTTGGTTTCTCATGGCATGAACTAAAAAGTTATTCTAAAGTATAAGAATGACTGATGCCTTAGTGAATTATGGGACTTTGAGATAATATAATAATTTATAGCCAATTTAAAATATTTGCTGTTTACTTTCCTTAAATGAAAATTATTGGCCAGGCATGGCGGCTCACACCTATAATCCCAGCACTTTGGGAAGCTGAGGTGATTAGTTGAGCCCAAGAGTTCGAGACCAGCCTGGGCAACATAATGAGACCTGCTCTCTACAAAACATTTGAAAAATTAGCCAGGTGTGATGGCATGTGGCCGTAGTCCCAGCTACTCTGGAGGCTGAGGTGGGAGAATTGCTTTAGCCCAGGAGTTTGAGGCTGCAGTGAGCTGAGACTGCACCACTTCAGCCTGGGTGATGGAGCAAGACCATGACTCAAAAAAAAAAAAAAAGAAAGAAAAAGAAAAAAAGAAAAACAGTTAATGGAACAATAAAATATTAATATTGATATAAATATTTTGATATGAATTAGGGTACTCCATTTTTCTCAATCTTCAAATTAGTTCTTCCTAGATATAAATATGTATTAACTGAGGTCACTTAGAAATTTTGGGTCAAAATATTAACAGCTAAATTAACTTTGTAATTATATCAGTTTTGTTGACTATGTGAAATTTAAATTTTGTCACAGCCTCTTAACAAATTACTACTAATTTCTAATTTAACTTGTGACTTTATAGATCATTCATATGCTACAAATAGCCCCTGAATTCTTCTTTTTAAATAAAGAGGATTGAATCAGTTGATCTCTAAAGTCGCTTCCATCTGAGTCTAAGATTTGTTTTTAACTTTACATTTCAGTGGACTTTAAGTACAGTTTAAGCTCTCATTATGCCAAGAGTATTTTCATATTAGAGACATCAATAACAGTATCTAAGTCATTTGCCAGAGAAAGAGAGAGAGAGAAGAGGTAAGTGAATAAGAGGGTGGAAGATAAGGATAGGGATAGGGAGAGGAAGAGGATATTTACTACAAACGGATGTTAAACTGTGTTTTTTTCATGCAATATTTTTAGTATTAATGAAAAACTATTTCTTTGGTTATGTATTAGAAATTTGAATGTGCTTATTTTTGGATTGTTAGTTAAATATTTGTATTTTGCAAAATGGTATCAACTCAGGAGCAAAAGTAACACTATGAGTCTTGTTTGAAATTTGGTGTAAAAATCTCAAGACCCTGAAACTCTGTAAACTTGTGCTTTAGCACTGCAGCAGCCCGTGCCTCATAGGTAATAGAAGGTGTCATGTGATACTCTGAACTTTTCCTTGTCATCCCTTCATTTGAGAACACTTGCTGCCATTCTGACTCCCACTAAAGATTAGACCCTATCATAGCAAAAAACCCAAAAATGTCCCTGCCCCAGTCTCAACTTTTACACATGGGAGAAGAATTGGTTTCAATTTACCATAATTCAAACTATTAAATAACTATATTTGTCCAAGATAACACCCTGGTTTATACCCCCAGATACTACCAACCAGCCAGTATAAACTCTTGACCTTAAGTGTAATGCACGCCATATGCTTCACCTTACTGCAGAGGCAGACCATTGAATCCTTCACATTTGAGTTGGTTCAGATTAGTGCCAAACTGGAGGTAGCACAACAATACAATTTTAGAGTAATGGATGTTATTTAGAAAGAGAAACAATAGTTTCAAAGGCAAAGATTCATTAAAGAGAATCAATGCCTTTAACACAGCTGCTGGCCAATGAATAATTACGTGATGATGGTGTCTATACGTAATGGACTTATTTAACATGTGAAAAGTTGACTTCAGCCACTACAGATTTTTTTCTAATATATAGGACGTCTTTTAAATATTTAGAAATAACAAAGTCATTTTCCTGATAATAAAGTGTACACATTCACTATAAACAATTATAAAACTATTTTGAAACTGTTAGAAACAATACAAATATCCACTAATCTCACCAACTAGAGATAGTATTAATAAGCTCAAATTGTTGTCATTTTGAGTGTGTCTTTGAAATCAAATATATATATAATAAATACAACAAAACATGTATGGTGTGAGTGTGTTTGAATCAGATGGTTGTAACCTGCTTTCTTTCTCAGCATTATATCATGATTGATTTTTCATATTCTCTATTATTTTAGAAAATGATTTTTAATAGGCTGTACTTATCATGATTTACCATAATTTATTTAATCCATTTTTATTGTTTGACATATTTCAATATAATAAGTATCACTTCAGAGATACAATTGTATGTACGTCATTTGATATATCTAATTATTTCCTTTCACTATATTAATTCATCTGCAATTATTGGATTAAAGTTAGCATTTTACTTACTCCTAAAATTTCCACTAGATAATCTGTCCTAATTACACTCTTCCCAGAAGTGTAAAACATTTATTATTTTCCAAAATCCTTTTCATCATAACCTATTTGTTTTTTAATGGTTATCAATTTGATAGGTGGAAAATGCTATCTTTTTTAACTTTCATTTTTATTACAAGTAAGTTTCCAGTAGTTTAATATTTCTTGATCATAAATAGTTCTACTTTGATAATGCAGTAATTCATGTCCTTTGTTCCCTTTTTGTTAGGCTCTGTTTTTCTAGCACTGAATTCTATGGGGATTTGATTTTTCTAGATTCCACTAAGTAACATTTTGCTGTTCAGGCCTTACAGAGATGTCCCTTTTTTTAAAAGAAAATTGACTCTTGATAAATACAAGGGTATTAGATTAAATTTTCTGCATTAGAAGTATTTCTACATTTATAGTTGTAGGAAATCTATATTTATATATTAAACAAAACTTAGAAAACTGGAAGGAATTAATAACTAAATAGCTGAAGACAAAAATTAAGGAAAATAAGGTGTGGTGGCCTACACCTGTAACCCCAGCACTTTGGGAGGCCAAGGTGAGAGGATGGCTTGAGGCCAGGAGTTTGAGACCAACCTGAGCAACATGGTAAGACCCATCTCTATAAAACATTTTAAAAAATTAGCTGAATGTGGTGATACACACCTGTAGGCCCAGCTACCAGGGAGGCTGAGGCAGGAGGATCACTTGAGCTCAGGAGTTTGACGCTGCAGTGAGCTATGATTGCACCACTTCACCCCTGACAGAGGAAGATCTTGTCTCCGAAAAAAAAGAAAAAAAAGTTGCTCAAATATTTACCCCAAGAATGTACCTATCAAATGAATTAATAGACCAAGAAAACACAGGTATGGCATTTGAGGGGCCATTTCACCGGCTGTATTACATATATTGGAGAAATTAGTGCTTGGTTTTTAGGTTGTGTCTCAAGATCCATTTGTTTCTTTGTAGGTGCCACTCATGAGCCCGTGGGCTGTAAGGGGAGGGGAAAATACACTGAGCAAGTGGTGCTTGGTGCCCCTGACCTGTGTCCATCCTGATAGCTCTGGTTCTCACTGTCCTTACGTAGCTGTGTGCTACAATGTGTTTCCTAAAAACAAACAAACAAACAAAAGCCAGAGGTTTCTTCTGATATTTAAGGTTTGGAAACTTCTCCTTCAGAAGGTTCTCATGTCTTTATTTTATATTACACTTTAGTCTATAATGTATTGACTTTTAGTGTTTATTTAATCTATAGTCTTTATTCTACATTTACATTTTGTTTTACCAAATTGTACTGTAAATCACCACAAAACATTTCTGGAAATAGGAATTCAATTATAAAAGAATGTACATTTTAGTTGGCACTAAGCAGTACATTGAGCTTATTTTCGGCATAGCTTATATATACTCACTATATGAGTCAAGCATAAATGATGTAAATAGATGTAAAATCTTAAGTTCTATGTTATTCATTTTATGAGTATTTTATTTCATTGTTAGTATGCTTATTTATTTGGAGTTAAGTGAGTTGCATATTACACTATAATTGAGGTTAGGGTTAGTCCCGTAGTTATAATCTCACTAAACCTCTGTTGTTACAGGACAGTTCATTACTTTTGAACTAATGGCTAGATCCTGTACAACCTAAAATCAAATTCCACTGTAAATTTATCCAAAGTGCTTTAGGTAAGAAATGACATATGGCTTTTTCTTTAGAATTTAATAGTTCTTTTGGCCATATGAAGCATTTTTGTCAGGCATCTCAAATTCCGGGTTTTATATGCCAAGAGTCTTTGTTTTACTATTACTTTGAAGGAAGTGGAAAAGCCAAGTGAAATATGTACAACCTAAATGTATAATCATTTAATTAAAAATGTTGATAACTAAAGTTACATTTATCATTAGCATATTATTTATTTGATCAACAAGTGTTACCTGTGGAGGGTGTCCATGTTCCTGGCATTTTGAACAAAGAGTTGGACAAAAAGCACAAACAAAACCACGAAGGAAGAGCACAGATTTATTGAAACAAAAGTACATCCCACAGAGTGGCAGCAAGATTGAGCAACCTGCTGGAGACCACCGGTTACAGAATTTTCTGGGGTTTAAATACCCTCTAGAGGTTTCCCATTGGTTACTCGGTTTACGCCCTATGTAAATGAAGTAGTGATCCGTGACCAGTCTGGCTGGTCGTGGGAGGGGACCAGTCATAGGTACTTTTCATTTTTCATCTGCCAGGCAGAAAAGGGGCAGGTTGCAAAGGGAGTATAACCTCTGATTCTTTTGTTACTTGGGCGAGGAAAGTTGAGATTTTCCTTTAGATTTAGTTATAGGAAGTCAGTGTGAATTGGCTTTAGGCAGTGTGAACTGCCTCTGGAACTTATTCTCCTGCCTCACAAGCATTTATGAAATCTGGCCCTAGACAAGATGTCTCAAGATATTAGAGTGTTATTTGGGAGAAAAGGTGGAATGAATGGTTAGATATAAGTAAATACTTCAAAATTTTCTTACAAAGCTTGTTTTCGACAGAGTGTGGCTTCCTTTTAGTCAGAACACGGACCTGAAAATTGATGATAATGATGACAATAATAAAAATTAACATAAAGATAGTATCTATCATTTATAAATACACTGTACATCAATTTACTTGCTAGTTGAGTAACATAAATTATATAATTTAATTGTCAACATGAAGCTATAGAAATAAACATCTTTATTTTAGAGATGAGGAAACCTAGACACAAAATATTAATTAACCTGGGCCACAATCAAAGTGTTGAAAACTGACAAAAACAAGACACAAATCAAAGTATCCTTTTCAGAGACAATGCTATAAATCGCTATAAAATAGATCGTATTGGCTGCAAAAATATATAATGTCTCACTGGGAATAAGTCTGATTTACAGAGACTGGCATCACAACTGGTGTCACAATATGACTGCAGACACTGTGGGCAAATCCCCAAAGAATTTGAAACACTGTTATTGCATATGGACACAACTGTTGTTCTAATTCCAGTGAAAACTAGAAATGAACCTCTGCTCAAGGGCAGAAAACAAAGCAAAAATTATGAAATAAAAAGAAGCTAGCAAACAAAACAAAACAAAAACCTGAAGCTGGGATGAGCATACAATTAGTTAAATTTTCTTTGCAGTTGTAGAAGCAGTTACATTTTCCTGATGTGGCCCAATAGCTACGTAGGTACTAAAATCTTTTGATAAAGTGAAACTCTTAGATCTAAATGCGCTATTAAGTATATGTATTGAGCTCTTGTTTTGTGCCGGACACTATGATAGAAAACATCAGCATAAGATGCCATCAAGCAACAGGAAGTACAGAGTTTAGTGGTGTGAAGTAGGCCTAGTAGGAGTACATTTGAAGTTTGTCAAGACCTGTTGTAACAGAAACATTTACTGCTCACCAAATAGCCATCTGCTTCAGAATATTTTCTGGTCCTCTCTCAGGTATGCATGGCTTTGTTCTGGTCCATGAGCTGTGAGCAGAAATGGCACCTACCACCTCTGCCTCAAAGTATGTAACACCAGGCATGTGACCCTCCACCTCTTTTTCCCCCTGCTGTGGGATCTTGGAGACACATGCTGAGATGACTGATTCACAACGCCAACTGCTGCCTGGAGAGCCAACCATCTTGTGCCACGATATGCAGGAAATTTTTCCAAGGCAATAAGATGTAGAGGTAAACTTGTGACAGCATTGTCTAGTTCATCCTGAAAAACACACCTGGCTCTTCTTTATTCAAAAAGGACATTGCCAACCAAGCTGTTTTAAGTGTATCAACAGTTAATTAACAGTGATGCTCCTGATACACAAAGGAATAACAGACGTCTTCACATAGGGGGTTTTGCTGTTTCAGGAATTTCCTGTGTTTCCTTGAGATCTTGTTCTGGAGGTTTCCAGGTGTGGTACCACATTGTGAAGCTCCTAATCATGGGGTCAAAAGGATCAACTTACAGAGAGACTTTAGGTCCTACATCATTTTGACAGATATATATGTAATTTGGTACCTATTTGCAAGGGGAGGGAATAAAAGAAAGAAAAAGTTAAATGACACCCTCTAGCTTAGCACTGTCCAATGTAAACCACATAGGTCATTTTAAGTTTTCTAGCATCTGCATTAAAAAAGTAAAAAAGAAAGAAAGTTAATTTTAATAGTATATTTTATTTAGCCCAATGTATACAACCACGGTTATTTTAACATGTAGTCAATGAAAACCTTCATTAATTTCACAAGAAGTCTTTGAGATCTGGTATACATTTTAATCTTAAAATGAATCTCAATTTGGAAAAGCCACATTTCAAGTGCTCAACAACCACACGAATCTGCATTCCACAGTGAGGTCTAGATGTAACTTAAATTTGTTAAACATTTGTGGAGCTTATGCCAGTCATGATGGTAAGTATGTTCACAGCATTGTCGAAATTGTTTATTGTAATATTCTCTTGAGTTAACAAATGAATATATCCACAGAATTAGAAACTGACAGAGCTAAGATCCAAATCAATTCTCCACCCTGGCTCTGAAGATGGAGGAATGCTCTAGGGAACTACAGGATCATGGGACCCCTCTATAATTTAAACAAGATGAGTGAGGCCCCCAAATAAGGTACTGACTGGTGGTGGAGAGGATTATGGAGTTAATGAACATTAAATAAGTATAATTGGGAATACTTCACTTGATGATTGATTGCATGGGGGAAAAGGAGAAGGAAGGAGGGGCTTGGCAATTGTGGGTTCCTAATTCTGACTTAAGCAACTGACTTGTCAATAAGGCTGTTTAGAGAGAGACTGACATGGGACTTGCTCACTGAAAATTGAGATTTAGCAATGTTTGATCACTGGAATTGCTAGTACAGTACAAGGAAAATAACCCACTTTTTTTGGTTCTAGCCATTGCTATATTTGACACAAATGCCAGATTACAGTGATCTAACAATTGCTTCTTAAGAAAAATATTGTTCACATAACAGAACTAGACATAGATTAGCAAGCCTTTAATACTGCTACAGAAAGAGAAATAGCTAATTCAATAACCTTAGATTTACAGTGCATAATATTTACAAGCTTCTATGTGATTCTTTATATCTTTCTTCTCTAAAAATACACACTTCTCTAAAAATAGGCTTTATCACCACATGTGCAACAGTGAACATTTTTGCAGTTTTAAAACTTATGTGCTTGTCTTTGGTTCTGGAAGGATTCCAAGTGGTGCTACCTGGGCCTGAGACCTTTGCCTGGTGGAGTCTATCTGATGAAGGTATGATCAGATCTTAAAACCCAAAATGACTCAGCTTTCAACTTTGATCAAATCGCATCATTAACTGTAAGAGGTAGGATATCAGAGGTAACCAAGAACAAAATGTGTAGAAATTCAAACATTTCACAAGCTATTGACAGGTACTACTGGCCCACAGATGATAATTATGATGAATAAAGTAATTAACATGGAAGGTCATAAATGTGCTATTTTTATTGCTCTATAGTTACTATAGCAAAGGAATGTTCTTAAAATTGTTTGCAATAAATAGAGGTATTATTATATTTGATTATGGGTCAAGTCTATTTAATTTGACCTTGAGTATATCTTCAGAGAAACATTACCATCACTTTAACCAGCACACTTAATCATCTTTAATAAGTTATTTGCAGAAATGCTGCTTCAGATTACTACAGATGTCCTAAATTAGAGGAAAAACCTGTCAGTTTTCTTTTACTCATAAAGTCCATTTTCAACATCAGTTGTCAGTTTGATTCTATTTTATCATGAAGTATTACAAGATTATTTTGACCTTTTCAGTCACTGTGCTCTTTTTCTACCCATTAGTTTTTTTATACCCTCAAGAATGAATTGTTAGAAGTGGAATTGGACCAACGTAGAGTCCCGCAACTTTGAGCTTATAGGACAAAGGTCATGCAAAATGCGTGTCCGGTGGGGAAAAAAGAATCTTTTCTAGTCACTCTAAGGGTTGAAGAGGTTGCATCTAGTATTTATACAATCTTATATAATATAGAGACAGCTTTGTTTTGATCACAGGCCCTTTTGTGGATGAAAACAACTGTTAGCTGGTGGTATGAGAAATTGCCTTGTCTTGGGCCTTAGAGCTCAGAGCTGGTATTCCTCCTGGGTTCTGGTTG
Organism: Homo sapiens; assembly: GCF_000001405.40. NCBI lineage: Eukaryota > Metazoa > Chordata > Mammalia > Primates > Hominidae > Homo > Homo sapiens. Next base: position 15,692,741 of record NC_000007.14, on the reverse strand, counting down.
GTGTTTGGTACAGAATTTCCTTACTTGTGCTTTGAAGTGCTTTACAGTGCAGTTGGCCCAGGACTTCTTTTTTTTCCTCAGACACTAACAGCTGTTGAAAACCAGCTTATTCCCTTCCCATATACTATGACCCCAACTTAGCAGAAATCATCCTCTAAAAATAGATGAAATTTAGAAAAACCTTTTGCTTACAATGAGTTTCAGGTAACAAATTTGTAAGACGAAAAGGTAGTGATTATTCAGAACTTCAGATATTCAATAGCCTACACATGTCTAAGCATTGATCACATCTATATCCACATTTCACATTAATTATTTGAAACTGTTTCTCAGAATAGTAATATTTCATTATTACTTCTATCAACAGTATATATGCCGTGCAGTTAAATATGAACCTTTCTGATTACTTATTTTTAAAATTCCAATTAAACCGAGATATGAACCTGGAATCTTTTTACCATGATCATATGTGGCTTACAATTTATGTATTAACAAATTTAAAATTATTTTTAATATCTTTAAGCTTGTCTCACTTTCTGTCTTTTCACCTGCTAAATACTCTTCTGATTTTTTTTTTTTTTTTGGCCCATTCTGACCTTCTGTTACCTTTCTTGTTTCTTATGTTAATTAAGACATGGGCAGACAGTTGTCATTTAATCATTTCATCCTTGTTTTGATCCATTTCCATAAAGCCATTGCCTTGTATGAAATACTCCATATCACTCTCAAAATCTTCCAAAAAAAAAAAAAACCTGTGCTCCATCAAAGTACTATTATAATGTTAAACTCTTAAAAATATGCTTTTATAAGAGATCTTGTATTTGGCCTTAACTTTTCATTTTGTTTGGTATACAAATATACAACATTTTTCCTTTATTCCTAAAAAAAAAAGTTGACATAAAAGGCAGCTGGTATTTCTTTGTTGAGTCTGAATCATATAAAATATGAGTGTGCAATTAAATATTTTGGAGAACTATACTAACAGCTAAAACACAGAGGTTTTTAGTAATCCAAATCATAAACCTGAGCTCAAAATGGAAAAGCCACTTTAAGAATAAAACTTGCTACAAATTGATGAAGTATGAAAAATAAAAACACACAAGAAAAACTTATCATAGTGCCAAAGTTACATTGGTTATGTTGAACTCTTCAAGTTGGAAAACTTAAAACAGAAGACTAAGGTTTTACTTATAATTCCTGTCTGTATTTTCGATTCAATTTTTCTTCTCTGAGGTTTGTGAACTTTTCTAAATTCAATTCATATAAAAGGATAGCCTTGCTTTTTAAGACATGGGAGAAATAAACGGTGTAGTTCCCTTAAATTGTGGATAGAAATGTAATGGTTATGAGTTGGATGCTATAGAAAATATAACATAATATAGAGCATTTCATTATAGAATTCTCTTGAATTAGTTTGCCTGTACCTCTCCCTGTTATGGAAAGGATATAATTTTCAATGACAAAATTTTGAAAAGGCCTACATTTATCAATAAAAATAACATACAACGTGAATGCAAATGAAAATGTAGAAATTAATTATTGTCTATTAGCATTATTATGAGTTAACTATCAAATAATTATGGATTTAAAACAGGTGAACAAAAGGAAGTCCAGATGGAAGTGTTTGAAATTTGAGAGGCAATCTATGTCTTCCCAATCATAAGACGCCTCACAAAATAAAAAAAGAAAAAGAAAGACAAGAGATCATTAGAATTTTATTAAGTGTGAATACATATTATGAAAGAATGCATATATTTTGAATTTTTAATTCAATCTTTTAGATTTAATTTTATTAGTCATAATCTATATTGCATGCTGGCTTTCTAAAGATCATCCGTTAAATAGTTCTAATTTTGATATATTTTGTTTCCTCTCTTATTGCTTTAGGCAGAGTTATATTTAGCGTTGAGAACAATTTCATTGATTATACTATACCGGAATTGAATGGAAGAAAAACACTAATTCCTGAAAGAAATAAATTTAAATGCAGGAAGACCTAGAAACTAGAAAAACAAAGTACGTTGGATTGTTTTACAGTTTAGAAGTAAGGTTTTAAGTATTCATTTCTTTTGGTACATGTAAAATGAATGTAACAATTTTTACTGTGAATGTACCAATTAATGTTATATAAAAATAATAACATTTTAAAAATGTGTAAAAGTATACAGAATCACTAAATAACATGCATTAGCCATAGCAAAATTGTTCCATAAACTTTATAATGCATAGTTCCTGGGGAGAATCAGTTCCTTAGTTTTATAAAATAATGTACATCATAAATCACATAAATTACCATTGGGTATTTAGCATATTTGGATACATTTTCAAAATTCTTTATTTCAGAAGAACCAACTGAAGGACATAACTGCTACTTTTTGGCAAAATATAGCAGAAATAATATTTCTATACCCAATAAAGTTTTCAGAAACAAATTACAACATTAATTTAATTATCCACCCTTTAGTTCATATATTATGAGTATATGTTACCAAGGAAAATTTATCTATTAGGTAAAATTCAAAGTAGAGTTTCCTATTTAATTTTAAATATTTGAAGTTCCATGACAACTCATGTCACACGTGTGCAGAAGAATGGCAACTTTTAAAAGAATCGTTGTGAATCTTAAAGTAAAATTTAAATACAATTTTGTTGTATTGCTTAATATGAGCTCTAGTCCCCTTAAAATAAAATAGTCCTAATAAAAAGAAATCTCTGCCTTTACTCTTGAATGTCATTTTATTTAAGCCGAGGAAACAATAGATATACACACTTATCAAGTTTAAAGAACCTAGCCTACGTTTAAAATAATTATAGCTGTGGACCCTGCAAGAGCTAAGTAGCTTACCTTTTCACAGAATCAACCTCTTTATAATGTGTTACTTGATATTGAAACCTTACATGAAATGTTGGCATTAATATAACTTATCTTCAGGAAAACTCAAGTATATTATAAATGTAGGATAAATACTATATCATACATAGTTGTAAATGATTGTTATATAGAAATTTTATAATAAATTTTATAATTTTTACCATTCTTCTTGATATCATTAGGTAAAAAGGCATCTTTTCAATATTGGATTTTATGGATGTGAACACTGAAGTAGCTATTATAGGAAATGCTAGGGATTTTTTTCCCGTTGTTACTACATTTTAAAAATTTCTCTATAACCTAGAACATAAAATTCAATATTCTATCTTATTCCAAATATTCTAATAAAATTTAAAAATCTTTATGTAATGATTAATACATATTTAGAAATCCAGAGAAAATTAAAGTTATATTTAATTCTGGAATTCACCAAGACGTCCTTTTTAGTCCTTCATTTTTTCCTTCCAAATATTTTCCTTATATTCTGTTTTCTATAAGAAAACTGGACATCATAATTTTTGCTGATATTAAATGTTCTGTGTCTTCAATTAAAAAGACCTTTCTTGCTAGCTTTGTTTTCATTGCATGCCTTTGGAATGACTTCCTCCTTTTCTAACCTTTCTTAAATTTTTCTTCCCAGGTTTCTGGCCCCACAGTTCTAGAGGCTGACTGACTGGGGCAGGTTGTAGAGAAACTTCTGGACAGGTTGTTAACATCTGACACAGTGAGTGAGAAAAAATCCAGCACAGTCACTGGGCAGGTTTAAGAAGAAGTGGCAGCCTCGGGAGATGAAAGGTTTGTGTGTGCTTGTTGCTGGTTACCTGCAACACACTGGTTAAATTCAAATCCATTCATTTAGTAATTGCTTAGCTTCCTCTAAACCAATGTAATGCAAACCAAAAGGACCGTTGTGGATGTTTTGTACTGATGTCTGCAGATCATGAGTAATTTTAGTCTGTCTTGTCTGACATTTTCCACAATGCTTTTAGTTGACAGCATTATATTATGTAAATATTTCTGGTTAGGTTTATTGAGGTGGTTGCCTAAATCTCACTTTAAATAAAGCCTTTAATGCTTTCACCCAGAATCCATAGAGAAGCTACATGAGTTGGGGAAGTTTAGTGTTGCTCTTTGTACTTTAACTTTTAATATCAGAGCACATATTGAAACCATAAACACAATGAAAATACAAAAAAATATTCCGACGATATTGGAGGACTATAACTCCCCCACCTCTTTTTATTCTTAAAGAGCCAAGGGCGTGGGGAGTGGCAGGAAGAGATATTCTCAAGATCTAAGTCCTGGACGCCATCCTGCGAGTGCTTAAAGCCCCTAGAAACGTGCAACCTGAACAACACCCCTTTTCGAAGTCTAAAACAATATTAGATTCCCAAAATATCGGCAAAGAAAGTCTTACCGTCAGACTTGCAGCAGGTTTCAGCTCAGACCCAGACTGAAAAGCTGAGCAGCTGGTGAACAAAAGATTTAGTTTTTTTTTTTTTTTAAACGAAGTCTGCAAAACTAATTTCCCTCAAAATAGAGCTCAATTTCCGTTAAAGAAAGCAGCGCTTACAAATCTCAGAATTCCTGATCAACCCCCACTCCACCCCACCTCTGAGCAATAGAAAACAATTCGATCTTTCACACGGATGTTATTGCGAAGCCACTATTCTGCAGTGTGACTTAAAAGAAAAGAAGATAGTGAGGCTTAAGCAAGGGGACTGGAAGAGGAGGGGAAAGGTTCTGCTTTGGGGACACCTCTCAAAGATTAATCAATGCTTTTTCCTAATTCAAACCAGATGTCTAGCCCAGTTTGCTGTACCCATTAATCCCACTAACAACTTCAAAGACCTGGTCATCATCCTCTGGACACCTGAGACAATGAAAAAACGGGGCGACACTGCTGGTGGCGCATTTGGGGCCCCGGGCAGAATAGGTGACTACAGATATTCTCCTGATGCGACAGGTCGCAGATGGGACATGACTGTTCCTCCTGCTCATTACAGCGCCACTCACTTGTGTGTAAACGACTCTGCCCCCAGCGGACCCTGTCGCCCGCCAAGCAAGTAGCAGCTTCAAAGCCCTGCCCTCGCTCTCGCATGCTTACTAGAGGCGAGTTTTCTATTTTATTTTCAGGGGTGCAAAATTGTAACCAAGTGCCCACGGTGAGTGAATTTTGGGAGCTATCGAAATGTAAGAATTCTCAGTAAATGGAACCCTGGTGGTAAGGAATGCATTAGCGGATTTATTTTTGAGCAGAAGAGAGTGGATTTCTGGAGGAAACCGAGGAGATCTGGGCTAGCTCCTGAGGGGAAAGGCTAGAAATGCGCGTGCAATCTACACATCTCATATGACCGGGACACAATCGCTTGGAAATATTCTTGACCCAGGAAAAGTTCTTCTTGGTGGACAAGTGGCTAGGAAATTGAGCGGGACCGGGAAAGAGGGGGAAGGGAGCCTCCACCTGGCATCGCACGTGAGGATGCCAGGGAGCAGGCATCTGCAACCCTTTCAGACTCACGCCTTCCTCCCACCCACCCAACCAGGTCCGTCTTCTTTCTGCACTGAGAACCGCCTTTTCCAGGCCATGGTGCTCATCCCCGCAACCTCAGATCTGGCGTCCCAGCCTATTAACAACCCACCGACAGAAACCAGCTGCGAAAACCTAGGCGCGCTGCGGCGCCCGGGGCACGGGAAGATGCAAAGTTTGAAAAACTTCGAGGGTGCGCCAAACTAGCTCTGGTCTTTTCCTTTAACCCTATTACTTCTTTCGTGTTCCTGAAAGGATAGGCGTATCCCTAGCTTTTCTGCAGGTGACAGTTCCCAAATGACACTGACAAGTCACGTTTCCCCGAGAGGAAAGTGAGTAGGTAGGAATCAGGGTGCTAGGTTGGGGGTGGTGTGCGCCGCGCCCAGGCCTCCAGAGTCTGGAGGGCAGAGCTGCTGCCCTCCCGGGCGGGACTTAGACGTTGGCGTGCCGCTTGTAGTCCTGGCAGCCGGCAGTGCTGGGCGGGCGTGGACGCTCTACGTCCGTCCAGCAGGAGATAGGAAGTGGAACTGGGAGCGCGTGGCGCAGGCTGAGCGGGAGTTTTGGAGGGAGTTTGCATGTGGTCAACTCTGGGCTCCTAAGCCAGCCCCCAGCTCACGTTACACTCTATTTATAACTTCTCAGAGCCATTTCCCCCTGAAAGCAGTTCTCTGGGACCACCTTCTTTTGGCTTCAACCTCTCCCACTCTTGACATCTGAGTAGCTCAGGGAAGCTCTTCCAGGTCCGACTGTTCATATGTAAAGGAGACTGGCCGCTGGGGCTCAGGACCGGGATTATCCGAGCTCTGCAGAAGTGCACCGCTATTGCTTTGGGAGGTTAAAAAAAAAATCACACGGTTTCCAGTGAAAAAGTGACAGAGGGTGGTGGCCTTTGGAACCGCCGTGAAGTCTTCTGCCTGGAACCCGAAACTTGCATGCTATGGAACACCCGCTCTTTGGCTGCCTGCGCAGCCCTCACGCCACGGCGCAAGGCTTGCACCCGTTCTCCCAATCCTCTCTCGCCCTCCATGGAAGATCTGACCATATGTCTTACCCCGAGCTCTCTACTTCTTCCTCATCTTGCATAATCGCGGGATACCCCAACGAAGAGGGCATGTTTGCCAGCCAGCATCACAGGGGGCACCACCACCACCACCACCACCACCACCATCACCACCATCAGCAGCAGCAGCACCAGGCTCTGCAAACCAACTGGCACCTCCCGCAGATGTCTTCCCCACCGAGTGCGGCTCGGCACAGCCTCTGCCTCCAGCCCGACTCTGGAGGGCCCCCAGAGTTGGGGAGCAGCCCGCCCGTCCTGTGCTCCAACTCTTCCAGCTTGGGCTCCAGCACCCCGACTGGGGCCGCGTGCGCGCCGGGGGACTACGGCCGCCAGGCACTGTCACCTGCGGAGGCGGAGAAGCGAAGCGGCGGCAAGAGGAAAAGCGACAGCTCAGGTAAGGGCGCGCCAGGCACCCTCGAGAGTGCGCGCCGGGCTGGAAAAGGGGCGGAGAGATACTAGGGGAGATTCTCGCACTGGAGGGTGGCAGCAGGGAAGATGGGAATGTGTTGCCCTCTGTGGCTTCCTGCGGCCAAATTCGGCGGTGAAGCTTTGGTCCTGATATTTGGGGACACGTGTTTATTCGAGAGCAATGCGTATACAGCCAGCAGCTCTAAGCCCTCCAAAGTCCTAAACTAGTTTACCAGAAGGTTGATAAAAAAGGACAAGTGGCTGTGAAATCGATTGTGAAGCGTGACCTTCCATCCCAGCGCTGGGGAGGGAGGGGCGTGCGCCCAGGGATGCAGCGTCCGTTGGGCAGGCGTGCGTGCGGGTGCCGCTTCTTGACTTTTCTCTTGCAAGTTGCCGACTCTGAGTGGCTCGATTTTTCCCATCGTTAACTGGATTTCCAAATTATTGCACAATGTTTGGAACTTGCAATGGAACTTGGCAGAGCGCATGAGAAAAAAAAGTTTCAGTTTTTTTTTTTTAACATTCTTATTTCAGCGTTCTTTAAATAGCACCCTATTTCAAATGGTAAAATTTTCCCTTTATTGGGGAAGAAGACATTATCTAGGAATTCAGATTTTAAGGAATGTGTCAGAGAATTGTAAATAAATAGATGCTCACACTGGAAGAAAGACGAACCTTAATAGTACATGTCCATGTGGTGTAAGCTAATTACAGAACCTAAGTTTCAAAAGTGGAAAATAAATCCCTCTACCAAGTGGGTATTAGTAGAGACAAATACTGCGAAGCAACAGCAACTCGGGTACTGTTAGTTAGATACGTGTCTAAAGGGGTATGCAAGGGTGCGCGCAGGAGGCGCTGATTTCAGTGGGGATAATTTGAGCAGCCATGCAAAAGGGGAACCTTCCTGACCTCTGGTGCTTGAAGGCACAACGTGCCGAATAAATTGTAGCAATCCAGAGAAACTCAAAGTTTCCAGACAAGTTTTCAAAGCTCTTACCTACCTGTATTTTTATAAAATTGTTAAAAGATACTTTAAAATTAAGAGACTTGTGAGTTTTCTTTCGTGGGTATAGTGCAACCTGGATTAAATACTTTTGGAAGGTGTCATTTGTTTAATATAATATTTGCATATTTTTCTTCCTCTGTGGAATTGGGTTAATAATAGTCCTAGAAGGTAATCCCATATGTTGGTTTGAAGGATTGGAAAAATGTTGATCGTGTGTAAAGCTTTAGGTAAGATGCCACATAAATGAAAATGATTGGCCGCATATTTAATATTCCTTCACCATTCACAGCAATATCAATTGTTCTTCAGCGTTACTATAGGATGGATTCTTCTCTCACGGTCTCAAAAGCTAACTTTTATTTTCCAAGGTCAGGGGGTGAACTTTTAATGTTCCATCACAAATTAGTTTTTATAAGAAAATTACCAGTAGTGTCACTGATATTTAATGTATTTTCCTAACTATAAGTGAAACTCTCTTTAGATAGTGAGTTGAAAGGTTAATCATAGCAAAAAGGTTTCAATTTTTATTAGAAAAACAGTCGATTTTAGAATGCAGTGACAATTTCATAAACTGAACATTTGATATCAGTGTAACTTTGGAAGCAGATCCCAGTTCGGGTTGATGAGCGTACTCTTGCAATTCCCATAAGCTCTTACGGTTCATTTTATTTCTTGCAATGAGAAACCTACATGATAGATTGTTCTTCATGCTTCCTGAACTGAGCCATTGCCCTTAAGTTTCTCAGGGCAAACAATTTTCATACAAGCACATGTTATTTTGTTTGGGGAAAACTGAGAAAACGGAATTCAATAACTGATTCCCTTAATTTATTTTAATAATTTTTTTAAAAAATGGAATAATTTAACAAAACTAATTTATCTCTCCCCCCCAACTTAGTGGGAAATAACCATTTAACAAAATTAAATTCATTTCTACATTTTGAAGCTGATAATGAGGGTACTGGAAAAACAAGCAAATATAAGTGTTTGTGTCAGCTACATAAATTATTAACAGATTAAAACTTCAGTGGAAAGTACAATTAGTCATCACCAAGGATAAAAATACTGGGGATTTAGAATGAGCTTTTCTTTCCTTTGATATGTTGAAGAAATATTGACTAAAAGGAAAATCACAATAGTTTCTGTTTAAATCTATGTACACTTATTGAAAATAAAATTTTATTTGCCAATTTCAGCTGAAGGTATATTTGTCAGATATTGAGATAGATTTAAATTAAAGATATCTTTCTCGTGTAACAATTGCATTAGGTGTTCCATAAATTATCTTCAAAGATATTTTATTTCATAGACATCTTGATCTAGCACAAACTAAAACAATATTGAAAATGATTATGATCCTGGTATGCTATTAATACGTATATCTCTCATTGCTTATAGCACATTTTAGTATTTCAATATTTCTAAAATATAAAATTGAAGTGATTTCGGAACTCCTGAAATTTAAAATTGTATTAGATAAAAATGTCATCCTATATAGTGAGATCATTTGTATTTTGTTAGGTAGTTTATAATTACTTTGCATTTATGGTTGAGAGAAAATTCAGTACATAAATCCAGGGTAAAGTCAGGACCAAAATTCTGTATCCCTGCATCTAATACTTAGACTGTATGTGTATGTGCTAATTCTAATTACCGTGTTAAATTCTAATAGAATTTTAAGCACCAGAAAGTATTGAAAAACAGCTTAAATATTTATAAACCTTACAATTTTATTCATAGTAACGATTTAAAACTATAATACGTAAGCTTCTCTAGCATATATTTTATGCACTTTCCCTCCACAAATGCACATGGACACACACATATGCAAACTCTAGCAGCTTCATGTTTTGGAAGCAAATATTTATGGACTTTAGGCTTCCTTTATGTAAGTTTATTGACAATTGAAAATAACCAAATTTAATAGAAAAACACACCATTATATTTTATATGTGTTAAACATTTTTGTAACTTTGAACCTGCTACGCTTTCCAGCATTATTAGCAAAGCCAACATCTGCCACGTCTTCAAAGGGACTCTTAAAAATCAAAACTTTACAACTGCTGAAAAAAATCACTACAAAGCAGGTGATTCTGAAAAATGTCTATAAATAGTGTGAATTGCTTGGCTTCAATTACATTTGGTTGCTCTTTGAGCAATCTAGTAGTAGGAATAAACTGCCCAGTTTTAGTTAAAATAACTAAAATTAATTCATTGATCGAACTTTAGCTTTTGTGCATGGTTATACAGTGTACATATCTAGATATTTTCTATTCAAATTTATGATACATATTTTATAAAAAATAGAAATTACATCAAAAAAGAAAAGAGCGATTTGGGGAGGTAGACTTTACTAGGTTTTGAATCATATTAGATTCTTGTAAAATTACAAATATTTTATTTATAGCTACTATGTCATAAAACCTTTGCTGTCAAATTATGTCTGTCTATATGCTTGACTATGCAGAATGACTAGCAAATATTACATTTAATAAGTTGGAACTTAAACTCAGAGTAATACCTTATCAACCTCATTCAGTATGATATTGTAATATTTCCAAGATATTTCAATCATTGTGTTTTCTGAAAGGAATAAATTAGTGTTATTATTCATTTCTGTGTTACTGGATTGTGGCTTTTCAGCATTTGCTTTAGAATTTAAAAAATAATATACTGGATCTTGAAGATTAAAGTGAAGTATTGAACAAATCAAATGGAGTACAAAAAAAAACTTCCATTCTTTATCTTGGACTGGTAGACTAATTTTAGGTGTGAACATTTAAAAATGGTAATCTGACATAAAAAATTCTAAGTATCATTGACCTACATGAGGGCTCTAAAATGTGATCTAAAATAATCACACTCAAGTTAAAAGCAACAATTCCTTTAGAATTAAAATGCTTTATTGTTGAACATTAGCAATGAATGGAAGGAAGAATGCAAATAAAAGTAGGAATAGTTTCCAATTCTGTGTAAATTTCTTCATTTATAGTTCATTTTAAAAGAAAAATCATAAATGCAAGGCATGGTATTGCACAAACTTTCACCGGGCTTAGAAATCCAGAACTTAGTATTTAAAGTTTTAATCTTTGTTTATGGTAATTATCAATAGAAACCTTTACAATGACATCTTATAAGCTGATCTTTACTAATAAACTGAAAAAACAGTACTTCAGTCATTACCCCATTCTCCCTCTGTGTTTCAAAACATAGACCGTTCATTATAACTCTGGAATTTAAGTTGTAATATTTATAATAAAATCTAAACATCCTAAGAACTTAATTTTAAGCAAAAATGAAATATCAGAAAATGTCAATCCTTTCTCTTAGATTCTGAGAAATTTGGGAGGTGAATTCCATATGTAATGAAATAATTACATTTTTTTTTGCACTTAAGAAATGTAAATCTATAGATGAATTAATAGCTGAATTATGTAAAACATCACCATATATAAGCCCACTACATGTACTTAGCCTGATAATGCTGCCTTGCTTGCGAAATTTTATTCATTTAGTGTTTTTATAATGGCAGCTTGACACACACAACCTAATATGAAGGTTTTTTAGATTTTAATTTCAAATGAGAAAAACCAATATAATACAGCAATATATTTTAGTTTTGAACTGTATTCACCTCAGGAATTTATTTCTAAATTTTCAGAGCAAATCTCTTTTCCAAGCACTGCTATGAGGGCTGCAAATATCTTTGAGCGATAAATACTAAGGATGCAGAAATATTAGAAAATAAATTACAGGTAGGAATTTCTTAAATAATATCTGTTGAATTAATAGTTGTGGATTATTTATCTCACCCAAATTTTCTTTATTTTTCTCACTTTTTTTTTTGATAAATGAAACATTTTGTGCAGGAAGATATATAAGCATTTCCCCCCTTGATTGTAATAATAAAAAGAGAAGGCTTAATTCTCAACTGGCCAGTTACATTGTATTTCCTGGCTTATAGTATTGGTAAATGATTTCAGTGGTTAAAATCAAAAGCAAAAAAATAAAATAAAACACAAACTAAGGCCAAAGTCCACAGATTAAAAATTGAAGTAGATGTGATTTATTTCCTATTTAGCATATTTAAGAAACAAGACACATTTTGTAGTCACAATTTGTTTCTACATATCATGTGCTTTAGATGTTAATATGGTTTACTGACATACATGTTTTGTAAAGATTGTAAATATAATGAGGCACTAACATTTTGCCTACTTTCCTTAGGATGCTCTCATGACTATTTCTTTTACTAGCGTGTTGAACTGAACCCCCAAGTAGAAAAGGAGTAACGGTGTAAAGTAAAGTTAGTTGCAAAACTCTCTACATTACTCCTAAATCACAGTCATCAGTGAGATTCAAAATCCCATTGGAGAAAACCTCGCAGAATATTTTATGTGTTTTAATGTAGTAAAACTTAGAATGGTCAAGAACATATAGGGCTCAGCCTACAATTTGCGTTAGAGGCAGAATTAATCTAAATCTGATGCCCATTTCTCTAACAGTTCTTCCCGTTTTACTTACATTATAAAAATATTGAATTTTTTAAAGAATGTTGTACTAGATAGTATTTTATGATACAAAATAATCAATAATGTATCTATTGATCCATTTGTGCTCATCTCAGATGTTGTTTTTATGTTTCAGAATAAGTATTTTCATTTAAAATCTCTTGACATTATTTATTACCAAATTAACAGAAAGTTACATGGTAAGTGTATGATCGAATGGGTTATTAATTTTCATGGGTCATGAGTGGGTTTTTAATTTTCCTCTATATTTGAAATTTTTGATATATAATTTCCGGAATAATAAGTAGCTCATTATTCCTGAAGCTTTCATTTATAATGTTACTTTGTGTACAGAAATATAATATTTCTAAATTTATATATGTTACTCACTACTAATTGTGCACTGTATTTTTAAATATTGGTTTTCACAGTGTTATGAAAATAATTTACATTTTTTTGGTTTCTTACATCACCATATGCACAAGAATGATCAGGTAGAATCCGTACTGTATCTATACATTTTTGGAAAGGGTTTGTATGAAAGATAGAAAAACCCTTTCAAAAATAATCCCTTGTTTTATCAATAGAATTAGAAATTAATAAACTGGATCATTAACTTGTATGATAATATTGTTATTTTATTTTTAAAATTTCCATTTATTTAAATGTTTAATAATTCTAAAATGTTTGTGTACCTTGATGACAATTCTTATGTCCTTACAATGTGTACTTTTATTGCAAATATAACATATTTTTACTAGGTAGTAACTCAGTGGTAAAAACTTTAGGGTACTGATTATAGCTCTAAATTCAAAAGCTGTTGCTCTTCAAAATTTTGTAGAATCAATTCAATGTGAATGTTTCAAATGTATTTAAGTATTCTGCTGTTTGTGTTCATAAGCTTTCTTTCTAAGATGTTAGACGTATGTTTCTTAAAGCTTGCATAGGCTACATTGATTAAAATTATGATTATAAGCTGCTTACTTTCATAGTTTTTTGTTTTTATTGTAGTCTAGTAGAGAGGACAATGGCAAGGAAAGGATAAAAGGGAGGGTGCTGAATTAACTAGGACATGGAAGCTATACTTAAAACACACGTTAAAAGAAGGCGTTTACTTTATATATGTATATACATATATAGGTATATGCACACTCACACCCACACATATATATGCATGCATTACTGTAACTCCAAATTTAATTTCCTGATAATAGTAAATCTGAATTAGAGCATCCTTATTAAATGCATAATATGATTATAAATGTTCCAATTACAAAATTAAATATTAAGCTTGAAGCATATATAGTTTTGTGAAGAGTCCAGCAGGCTTAAGCTGGCAATCAATGATAGTTATAAAAGTCCCTGCAGTTTTTGTTTTCTTTTGTTTTTCCTCTTTATTTAGCTCATTATTCTTCACACACTTCAAGAGAATCCCATAATGCTACAAGGAAAAAACAAATTCGCAGTTATCTTACGTGACTGTGGGCAAGAAAATGACTAAGGTGAAATCATCTGTCAGGCTCCGCAAAACCTAGAGGAGGGTCCAGCTTAGGTTGGCAGATGCCAGTAGAATTTTAAAGGCCTAGAATTTTACTCTTTGAAAATATAGCCTTAAATTTTTGCCAGAAATGACACCCAAATGAAAACTTATTTTTGCAAAGTGATAGTTATTTGCAAATGCAGTAGTGAAATATATTCAGAGTCTGTTGAGGTAGCTTGTCCACTGTCTGGACTGCACAGTAAACATTTGGATGGTTATTCTTAGCCACCCAAAAAACTAGCAAACTAAACTGAGGTGTATTCTTATTAGTTGAAAAGATTAAATGGGCATGCCTCTTATCAAATTAACAATGAATGCAAAGCAAATTTTGCAAATCATTGATTTATGTTGGTAGGTAACACAAACAGGAAACTATTCAGAAAAATAAATATGTGTTATCCGAAACGTAATGGGGACTAGCTTGGTTTTGTAGAACAACAGCAATTTAGCAAATAACTTTCACATTTAAAGAACCATATAAATAATGCTTTAGCACTCACTGCATAGGTTGGAATCAAGTGATGTCTTATTTAATATTATTCAAAGATAAAATGAGGTCTTAGTATGTGTAGTGCCTTTAACAATTAAAATTTTCTCACCTATAGGCTATGCTTACGTGGGAATTTCTTTTTCTTATTTGAAGTATAAACAGATCTGGATGCATTAAACTAGACAGAATGTAGATGTAAAAATGATTGAGACATATTAAAATGACAGGAAAGTCAGAGTTTAGGCATCCCTATTTGGAGGCTTGCTGCCACCCATGTTTCTAAGATTACAGTCTTGTGAATGTCCACACTCAAAATTCAGGGAATTATAAATAATTTTTCCTCCAGAACTATTCTTTGCTCCTGGAAGTAGAGCTGTATAATTTATTTTCTAGAATACCCAGATGTTTAGGAAAGTATAAGTAAGTGGCAACACTTTTGCATATTTAGCCATTAGTTGATAAATCATAAAAGATTTATCCTATTTCTTAATTATCATATTAGACAAGGAAATAGATGTCACACTCAAAGGGATAATTGAAGAGAGTTTGATGATGGCAATTTGATGGTGAGTAGAATGTAGGGAAACCACAGGAAATGATGAATCCCCCAGGGTCTGTCCACAGTTGGAATATATTAGCACCCCTAACCTGAGAGGGTAAATGCAGGGACCTCTTACCAGAATCCAATGAGCGCAACAGGACAGAAGCCTTCTGGAAAAGTTGGGACCTCAGATGGAGGATTGCAGCTCATGTCGAATATCATCCAGTAACCTGTCTTCATGTCCTCCAATCTTCTTTTGTTGCTTCCATTGATCAAACACTATCCGAAGCCAGAACCCCGGAGGGTTAGGTGGATGCAACCCTAAGAGTCAACCGAAGAAGAAATGAGGCAAGCATATCTGGGAGAACACAATAGTTAGGGCTAAACCCCCGCTGTGTCTCTTACTATTGTCACCTCTTGGCCACAAATTTAACTTTTCTCTACCATCGTTTCTGAAAAGGAAATTGAGTTAATATACACAAAGCAATTAGAACAATGTCTGGCTTAGTAAAGTGTCAGTTATTATTTTTATCATCTATCAATGAATGTACAATTATGTAATGCATATGCACCATCTGAAAATAATCTATTTTATGCTACCTGTTTGCATTTTATTACAAATACTGCTATAGGAAATGTAACTTGCCTAAGTAATTACTAAAGATTTAAAATAATCATTGTCCTTAGAATTGTAAACGGCATGAAATTTCCCTGAAATGTAAGGTGAATTCTAGCCAAGTTATGTAAGAGGCTCAAGTTGCCTTTCCCACCCTTAAGATTTCCATTCCACAGCCTCTTTTACTTGGACCTCTCCTAACTTCCTCTTCTCTTGGGTCTCCTGCTACTTCTCCATTGAAAAGCTGTTTTCAGGAAGAGTGCATATTGAGCAAAATAAAGAATAAAATGAGGACTCTTTTTTTTTTTTTGAGACCGAGTTTTGTTCTGTTGCCCAGGCTGGAGTGCAGTGGCGCAATCTTGACTCACTGCAACCTCTGCTGTCCGGGTTCAAGTGATTCTCCTGCCTCAGCCTCCTGAGTAGCTGGGACTACAGGCGCCCGCTAATTTTTATATTTTTAGTAGAGACGCGGTTTCACCATGTTGGCCAGGCTGGTCTCGAACTACCTACCTCAAGTGATCTGCCCACCTCGGCCTCTCAAAGTGCTGGGATTACAGGTGTGAGCCACCGCGCCCGGCCAGAACTTAACTTTTTAAAAGGAGTGTACAGAGGGGCAGGGCATTTAGTCAAGAGGAAACAGAATTTAAATAAAAGGAATTCAAATATGACAATGAAATTTTGGGTCTCTGTTTTAGCTGTTAACTAGGAGGGTGGGAATGACATTTTCCTGCTATGTTAGAAACTTTATTGCAGAGAGAATTTTCTTATTGTTGCTCTGTTATTTTTAGCAGTTCCAGTTGCAGACCCTTAGGAATGGCAAATGTGCAAATATTACTAAAAGCTGAAAACATGTATGTCCCACACAAAATGCATGAACAGAATTTTATTTTGGTGATATAATTTCTTTTTACAAAGAACATATTTTAATTATTTGTTTGTTCACATTTGCATATTTAATACGTTATTGAGAAATATCACTTAGATAGAGATAAAAGAGAACAACAAACCCCTGGAATTGCAAGTCCTGGGTGGTTGACTGCGTTGACTCAGTTTAGTCACCTCTCCCACATCCATAAGGCAGTGTGCAGAATTCAGACATGACTTCAGCGAAATTTTAAATGATCATATATGCGAGACTTCTACAGTGCCTTTTGAATAAATAATAGAATCAAGCATTATATTAAAATCACAAATGCAGAGTTAACTTTTTAAGCATTTTCAGATCCATAGCAATTTGATCCCTAAAACAAGAGAAGTTTAAAGGAACAGAGAGTGTTTCTCTGTTAGATAATAGAAGAACTGGGAGGATGTAGGTAGAAGAGTACAGGAAGAAGAGCAAAATATTAAATGTCCGATAATACACAGCAGGGACAAGAAGGGTCCAACGGCATCAACCAGTGCGTTGACTCTTTGATTTTAGAGGAGGCTTGATTTGTCAAAGTTTTCTTAATGAATTGTAACCTGTAATATTTAAACAGATGATTAGAATCAAAATAATCAAGACACTAGAAGAGCCTCAAGGCACTACCCAGTTCAATGAATGTATTTCCTAGATGAGGGAATGTGCCCAGAGAAGTTAAGTAATGTCTGTCCATTCAGCCAAGTAGTGGCAGCTGAGCTTCCATATCCTGACTTCAGCCTAGTGCCCTTAAAAGGAAAATCTCGTAAAATATTTTGAAGCCTTAAGTTTTTAGTCTTCCCAATAAAAATAAATTTCAGCATCACTTAAAATGTTGACTACTGCTTTTAAGTGAACAAAATGGAATTTGACAAAGTGCTTTGCTTGAGTGTAAATTACCTCTCCCAGAATCTGATTTCATGATTACCTCAGACATTTTTCAGCTTTGTTTTATGAATGTAAACAGTGATCAACTTTCTTAGCTTCAATTTTTAATTTTTTTAATGATGTAGCTCTTGTGGTCAATTACCAAAGTACCTGAATATATTTGACACAGTTTAATAGCTGGCAATGTGCAGATGGGCTTTGCTGTAAATAGTAGATATTTATGTGAACAGAATCATATTTTAGGCAGTTATTTGTGAATTGAAGTATCTGTTTTTTGTTTAAAAATTTAACATTTAATCCAAGTAAATTTTGTTAAGTTGAGCATTACCTATATTGTATTTGCCTTTTTTTGTGTTTGGATAAAATAATAAAAAACATTACTACAAGCAGAACACCAGGAAACCTTCCCTTATCTCAAGTCCTTAACTTTATCCCCAGTTTTAGAAAACCATTGATTTTAAAAAATTTAATATAGTCTTTTTGCACAGAAGATGCTGAAAAATATTAATGATTGGTCATTTTTCTTATGCTAACCAGGCATGCTTTCCTTGTTTCTCCTCCTCTCCTGTTCACACCCATCTTCCCCACAATGTGTAAACACCAGACCCATCTGTTCCTCTCTAATACAATGAACTGTGTAACCTCTGGAGCAGTCTAACATTGACCATTCTTGTCTATTTCAGATCCTTAGTTCTTACAAGACTCTCAAAACACAGAATTAAATATCAAAAATACAGTTAATTATTCCATAACTTTTTTCCTTTTGTTTTCTAAAGACAACACCATTTCTAAACATGCACACACACACACACACACACACACACAGAATCTTTTATCTAATTAATTTTAATTTACTGCCAAATGCTTTCACATTTATAGTCTCAGCTGATGATTTCTTCTTTTCTATTAGACTTATATTTAAGACTGAGTTCCATTGCTTCATCCTACCAGAGCATGGTTCAAATCCGTTCTATTCCATATTCTTCTATATTTTTCCCCTTTGCCTACTTTCAGGTCTCTTGCACTTAATTTAGTTCTTTCCCCCAGGACTCCCAAAGTGAGTATTCTCTGAACATCTTTATCTCTTGTCATTCTTCTCTAATTAAATGCTGCAGAATAATACAACATGTAGTATTATTTTGACCGTATCATTTCTGTTTGTGGAATTCTATGATAACCTGAAATTATTCTACACTTAAAATACAAATGTTGAATTATTGGCTTTGAAACACATGACACAGGGACCGGCTAATGTCAATCAATAATATGTTATTAGATATTACTTGTACTGGCTTTTGTGTGTAACCAAATTTTGTTTAATATTATATCTATCTATAGATATGTATGTATTATTATATCTATCTGTCTATCATCTATCTATCTATATACACATACACATATATGCGTATGTGTGTGTATTTAGAGCACTGCTTTTGTGGCAAAGTGAACTTTTCACTTAGTCTTTGGAATATGATGCTTAATGTTAGGAGTTTAAGACAATGTTCTGATATTTTCTAATGTGAATATCTAAATGTTTATAGTTTAGCTACATTCAAGTTTTCTACAGGATTTTCCACATCTCTTAGTTAGTCAAGAATCCCCAGTGACATGTTATGCCTTACTATCGAATCTCCTCAGAAAAGAATTTAGACTATATTTTAATGGATTTCTGTCTACAATCTCTCATCTTAATCGGTACAACCTTTATTGACCAGCTAGGACCGTTTTTGTTGATGTTGGTTTTGCTTTTGTTCTGACCAATCTTTTTTTTTTTTTTTTTTTTTGATAGACTTGTTTATGTCTATTCCTCATCTAAAAAAAAAAATCTTTATTTTGAGGTAATTGTAAATTCACCTTCAGTTGTAAGAAGTAATACAGAAGGAGCCCTTATTCAGATTTCACTGTTTTATATGCACTTCTGTGTGTGTATTTAGTTCTATGACGCCTGCCAGATTTATTTTTTATTTCTATCCCATAGCCTGTAATATATTTTCCCAATCTATATGCATCATTTTCATTAAAATGTGGATGGTTACACCTTTTAAGATCACTACCTCCCTACACTAATCATTACTTTTCCCTTGCCATATAATATCTATAAAGTGCAGAAGACTACACTTACATTTCCCCTTGTGGCCTAGTTCACATGTCTCTGGTTTTTTACTTGGATCAGAAATATGCACTCCCTAAGGAAAAATTAGTGTTTTCTTTTTCTTTTAGTGTGTTTTCCAGCATAGGCTTAGGTGCACAGTTCTTGGTAAATCCTATTTCTGGCATAGGAAATGCTTCCCTTATAATGAATGATTTCTCCTTGTTAGGGGTGTTTTGAAGGTCTTGGTTCCAGGCTTTTAGAATAGGGCAAATTTCGAAGATGCTTGGGCAATCTGTAGGAGAGTTGAATGACTGTCCAGGTTAAGTTTAATTATCTGTGTTTGTGTCTAATTGATATTTATGGATACTTTCTTTTTTCTTTTTCTTTTTTTTTTTTTCAAGACAGAATCTCGCTCTGTTGCCCAGGCTGGAGTGCGGTGGCACGATCTCGGCTCACTGCAACCTCTGCCTCCCAGGTTAAAGCAATTCTCCTGCCTCAGCCTCCCAAGTAGCTGGGACTACAGGCACGTGCCACCATACCCGGCTAATTTTTTGTATTTTTAGTAGAGATGGGGTTTCACCATTTTAGCCAGGATGGTCTTGATCTCCTGACCTCATGATCCGCCCACCTTGGCCTCCCAAAGTGTTGGGATTATGGGTGTGAGCCACCGCGACCTGCCCAATATTTACGGATACTTTCTAAAGTGAAATACCTTTGATTGTATGTGATATATTTGCTATTATTGGATTAATCAGGACAAAAATAAGTATGCATTTTTAAAAGTTTAGCATAAACCAGCAAAACAATCTATAATTTCAAAGGTAAGATGTCTATATTTTTAAGAATTTGGAAACTGTCAAGCCTAATTTTCTAACATGTGAGAATGCCTCATTACATTATTTTTAAGTAAGACATAAGATTCTATATACATTCTGTGCAGTTATGCTATACATTGTTGAGCTTCTGAGCATTACATACAGTCAAGAAACATAGTATTTAATATGCCAGTCTAATAGAGACAAAACATTAAATAAAACATGGAATCATTGGACAACTGAGAAACATAAGGAATATCAAGCAATCTGCATTGTAGTAATGGATAATGGCGAAAATAGTTGGTGATTTGAAAATAAAAAATAGATTAATTTCAAATTTTTCAATTGATCACTTTGTTTTTTTGTTTTTTTTGTTTTTTTTTAAACGGAGTCTTGCTCTGTCACCCAGGTTGGAGTGTAGTGGTACGATCTTGGCTCATTGCAACCCCCGCCTCCTGGGTTCAAGTGATTCTCCTTCCTCAGCCACCCACGCAGCTGGGATCACAGGCATGCACGAGCATGCCTGGCTAATTTTTGTATTATTAGTAGAGATTAGTAGAGATTAGTATTATTAATAGAGATGTACAATTATTAGAGACCATATTGGCCAGGCTGGTCTTGAACTCCTGACCTCAAGTGATAAGCACTTCGTGGTCTCCCAAAGCACTGGGATTACAGGTGTGAGCCATCATGCCCAGCCCAAATTGACCAATTTTTAAAAAAGAAATGAAAAATCTCCTTTATGAGGACCTTGATACAATGATACTGATTTAAACTGTAATACCTGTGTCATGTCACTCTGATTTGAGTATGACTGGTTAACCATATTCCTCAATGCTGTTTGTTTGTGTAGTTATGAGACACTGATAAGTAACCACACTGTGGCCTGGCTTGTAAGGAAGGAGAAATGATAGTGAGGGGTGGGCAAGCTAATAAAGTCATTTCAGCTCTGGGTCTGGGCTTAGTCACGTAAACTGTCTAATAAAAGGAAAGTGTGCAATAAGTTTACTTGTGCAATTGAGTTAGCATTTATTTCTGTAAGGAAGTAAAAATCAATCCATATTGCAACACATTTTGATAGGTTTAAAAAAATCTGTTAAATCTGATCAGTTTGGTTACCAATGACTCTGATACTGATTCCATTTTAGCAATTTCTTTAGTTCATAAGAACAGATTACTGTCAGACTCTCCATGCTTCTTTAATTTATCATAAAATTACTTTTTTTCTGACTAGTAATTCTCAACACTGATGTTACATTGGAGTGATATGGGCATTTTTAAGAAATACTGATATCTCATAGAATATGATTAAGTTCATCTAGAATGGAGCTGGCATTTAAAAATTTTTATATTGGAAAATTACAGCATTTAAAAAATAGAGAGAATTGTGTAATGGACTTCCCTGTGTCCATTATGTTCAATGTTTATCAACACATGGCAAATCTTATTTATTTGTGCCAACCCACTACTGCCTCATAGTGTCCCAATTATTTTGAAAACATCTCAGATATCTTATTATTTTATCTGGACATTAGTATTTTTAAAAAAGCTTCCAGGTGACTGCAATATATAGACAAAGTTGAGAATTACCAGTTTAGAATAGTCTTGTTTCTCAGTTGAAAAGTTCTGAGAGTCAAGGACCCCGTAGTCTAAATATGATCTTTTTCTGCACCTGGAGAGCAATGTCAGACAGGGTTGCTCAACAAATATTACAGATGTGCTAGAAATGACCATTTGTACATATATGCTCAGCATCAATTATTTTAACACTGTTTTATGTCATGTAGTATGGTATGTAAAGCCACATGTTGCTATGTAAATTTAAATTTTAACTAAATAAAATTAAAAATTCAATTGTTTGGCTCCACTAAGCACGTTCCAAGTACTCAATAGATATATGTGGCTACTAGTGAATGTATCAGGCAGCACAAATATAGAACATTTTCATATGTCAGTAACTCCAGCTGGACAGTCATTCTAAACAACGAGACAAATTTTCTTACCCTTCAGCTACTGAAGGAGGCATCAAGGATGGGATCCCTCTCCCACCTCAATGGACAAAGAGATTATCAGATTCAAATACCACAACAAGCCAATTACAATGAAAAGTTGAAGCATATCTGAAGGTGAAATGTAAAGAGTAGTATTTTACCAAATGCCTTCATGGATAAATTCTTGCATCTATCAACCAAATATTTATGAAAATAAAATGCATTCATTGTTTTGAAGAGGACAAAGTGCATCCTAAAATAATTATTAAACATAATGCACATGTGTAAGATATGGGGACTTATCAAAATAAAAGCAAAATCAGAAATATGAAATCATTGAATTGTAGATACCCAATTAAAATGAGGTAAAGCACAACATAACAATGGAAGTTAATGTAAGAAAAAAAGTAGAATTTTGGAAGCAGGAAAGCAAACAATAAAAGCATATTCAAGAATGTAAGGTCAACTAGGGAGATTCTTCCAGGCCTCTTGAGGAATGGGGAGGAGACATTTTTCTGGGAAAGGATGGGGAACACGCCAGGAACTAGGCTAGATTTTCCAGGGGGAAAGTATGAAAACTTAATCGAATCAGGCAGTGGCAACTAATGACCTAGAATCATTAACCTTTAAAGCCTCTCAATAGATGTAGTCTTTAGAAATCCGTGGTCTGAATTCCAGAATCGCAAGTCAGGTAGCTGAGAAACAGAAGCTACTAGAGGAGTTTTTAACTTTTTAGAAGGAGAATAAAGTATTCATCCTGGCATTAGAAAAGAGCAAATGCAAAAGAAAAGAGTGACGTATAGGGAGTCTCTTGTCTATACCGTGAAACATCTGGGCCTGTTTGGCCGTGGCCATACATTACGCAATTCAGCTGCCACGACTGCAGAGTTTTGACTATGTGGGAAGCAGGAGGACTATTCACCAGTGAATTCATTTTTAATAAAGATTAATTGGGAATTAATTGAGGATTAACCTGCTAGTGATTTGTGATAGAAAAGGTAGTATTAACGCTACACATTAGGCAAAGATATTACTGGACATATTCACGTTAGAATTTATGAGTTGAGAGTGTGCGTTAAAGTATGAAAATGTAGAAAAAGTGTTAATGATTGCAATCAGGATATCTTAGAAACACAAAAAACAAATATACATATTATAGCACTTGAGCCAAATATAAATAAGTGCCCAGGCAACTCTCATTATTCACAAGGGGTTTTGGAACAGAAATAAGTCTAGACCAAATACAATTTGTAGTAAAGTTTTACTGGCGGTATAGAAGAAGTGTAGAGAAAACCTTTCAGTAGTTTTCATTGAGTGACATTTATGAGTTTACTTTTATATTGAAACTTTACTCGTACGATATTGGTGTCATTGGTGTGTAAATGTGTGGATGTGGTAATTGTGTTATTAATACCAATTGTTTTTTACTTTAGATTAATAAATCTGACTTTTTGCAAATTAAGAAATGGTGCTATTGTTTTTTCCGTGGACATAGTAAGGAGAGGTAAGAGATGATGTTTTAAATAGAAACCACTTAGAAGAAATAGTTTGCGTATGTATAGCATCCCTATTAGAGACACTAATTAAATTTATGTTAATTAACTGCAGTAGAGTTGACCCTTGAATAATGTGGAAGTTAGGGGTGCAGATCCCCATGTGCAGTTGAAAATCCATGTATAACTTTCAAGTCTCCTAAAACGTAACTACTGGCCAGGTGTGGTGGCTCATGCCTGTAATCTCAGCACTTTGGGAGGCTGAGGCGAGCGGATCATCTGAGATCAGGAGTTCGAGACGAGCCTGACCAACATGGTGAAACCCCATCTCTACTAAAAATACAAAATTAGCGTGGTGGTGGGTGCCTGTAATCCTAGCTACTCAGGAAGCTGAGGCAGGAGAATCGCTTGAACCCAGGAGGCGGATGTTGCAGTGAGCCGAGATAGCGCCACTGCATTCCAGCCTGGGCGACAGAGCAAAACTCTGTCTCAAAAGAAAAAAAACAAAAACAAAAACAAACTTAACTACTACTACTAGCCTACTATTGCCCAGAAGTCTTATCAATAACATAAACAGTAGATTAACACACATTTTTAATGTTATATGTATTATATACTGTATTCTTACAATAAAGTAAAGCCAGAGAAAAGAAATGTTATTGAGAAAATCATAAGGAAGAGAAAATATATTTACTATTCATTAAGCGGAAGTGGATCATCATCAAGGGCTTCAGTTTTCATCACCGTCAGGTTGAGCAGGCTGAGCAGAAGGAGCAAGAGAAGGCAAAGGTCTTCTGTCTCAGGTAGGAGAGGCGGAAGAAAATCCATGCATAAGTAGACCTACACAGTTTCCACCCCCTGTTGTTCAAAGGTCAACTGTAGTTAAATGCATGTTAGTACACAGTAGAAATAGGTAGTTTCCACATTACTTGGCTTTACCTTGAAAACTCGGGATGTGAGAAAAACGAATTAAACCAATAAGAAATTTAAATATGTTATTCCAAGGGGATGGAATAAAGTGGATCTGTTGTTTAACTGTGTCCTAAAGAGGTGCTGAACTAGGGAGGGACTGCTTAACACAAGAGGCACACACACAATGTGATTAAGGGATTTTCCTCATTAAGTAGCTGAGCTATTCTCAGGTCAGATATAAATACTTCCTCACATTTTCTCTACACTTCTAATACCTTGTAAAAACTTTCTCCTTTTACATCTCTTAATGAAAATATACTTCATTTAAAATCACTTATTAACCTTAGGAAGCACATTAGTATTTTAGCCCAAGATGAATTATTTAAAGGGAGGAGCTCAGAAAAGGATGATTTTCATAAATGGTTATTCATTTCAAATTGTAGCCTACCTCCCCTAGGTCCCCCAACACACACACCAATGCAATAGGTGTTTCAGCAGCATCATAATTAATAAACTTGTACATAATTCCCTAAGTTCCAGGGACTTGGCCCTACGCTTTGGGTACACTAAGACGAACAGAACACCTTGAGGTTTCTGGAAGCGTCCGCAGTACAATAGGGAAGCCAAAGATGGAAACAAATGGTGACAATCTGTGACAGAGGGTATAATAATGCAGCAAACATGATGCAAATATTCAGAGAAATCCAGGGAGTTTCCAGGAAAAGGGTGGCAGCTGCCTCAACTCCTCTCACCTCTTATTTCCTACTTTTTTTTTTTTTTTTTTTTTTTGAGACAGAGTCTCACTCTGTTGCCAGGCTGGAGTGCAGTGGTGCAATCTTGGCTCACTGCAACCTCTGCCTCCTGGATTCAACCAATCCTCTTGCCTCAGCTTCCCAAGTAGCTGGGACAACAGGCGTGTGCCACCACACCCAGCTAATTTTTTGTATTTTTAGTAGAGACGGGGTTTCACCCTGTTGGCCAGGATGGTCTAGATCTCTTGACTTTGTGATCTGTCCTCCTCGGCTTCCCAAAGTGCTGGGATTACAGGTGTGAGCCACTGCACCCAGCCTTATTTCCTACTTCTAAAAGCTGATGAGTACATGAATATCTAGTAGATGGTGGCCAGAATCTAATCATTTTGAAGAAAAACATAAGGGACCTTGTCAAGTAATAAGGATATTTAATTCAGTGTGGCTTTTGGGTTCCTGGAATCCTGTGCAAAATCTATTCCTAGGATATTCTTGTTCATATCCTCAATTTTTACCATTTGAATATATATATATATATATATATATATATTTTTTTTTTTTTTTTTTTTTTTTTTTTTGAGACAGAGTCTTGCTCTGTTGCCCACGCTGGAGTGCAGTGGCACGATCTCGGCTCACTGCAACCTCCGCCTCCCAGGTTCAAGCAATTCTCCTGCCTCAGCCTCACAAATAGCTGGGACTATAGGCACATACCACAACGCCCGGCTAATTTTTTGTATTTTAGTAGAGACAGGGTTTCACCGTGTTGCCCAGGCTGGTCATGAACTCCTGACCTTATGATCTGCCCGCCTTGGCCTCCCAAAGTGCTGGGATTACAGGCATGAGCCACCTCAGCCGGCCCCATTTGAATATTTCTTTGTCTCATGCACCAAGGTTTGTGAAGCAGTAATTGATCCAAGGTTACTAAACTTTGTATTTCAAAAATACAATTCCTAGGACATCATTAGATAAAGTCACAGTGAAAGGCAGGAGATTTTCATAGCTGGTTAAATATATATAAGCTTTATTATTTTTGGCATGAAATCAATGCCATTTTGATAAGGTAAGGGAGGATTAGGCCTATGGAAGTCATTGAGAATTACATTTATAGGCATGACATTGTATTGGCTCTCCCATGTTTCGAGGACTGACTTTAGATGACAATTATGAAACAAGTTATGTGACTTTTAGCCCTTTCTGAGTTTCCCTCCATTGGTCTTGGCATTTCTTCCTTTATTTCCATCTTTATCTTGAGAGCTGTTAATACCTTCCTGCAGTCTACATTTGAACACATTCTCAGAATGTTAGAATTGGAAGGGGTTCTAGAATCCATCAAAACCACCCTCTCAATCTTAAATTTGAGAAAATTGAGGCTCAGAAAGTGGCACCCCTAAAACCATATATGCAGAGGTGGGAATAATAGCATCCCATTGAGTATCTTCTATAATCTGCTGTTTGAACATTTAATTTCTTTGTTTATTAAGGTGTCAAGTAGCTGAAATTTTACCTTTGAGGATTATTCAGCTGCGCGCTTTCAGCAATAAGGGTAAAGATAGCATATAAATCTACTTTCCTAGTCTAGCAAAATTAATGTTACATTACTGATGTCCACTTGATCTGAATGAATACTACAAATTACTTTGCCAGTATTTTTAAAATGGAATCTAAAAGGGATGTAATTCTTATTGATGAGATCTCAGTATCTGACCTGCATGATATTTACTACATGGTAAAATTGGTCATTTTGGGGGAAGAATAATTTGGACCATTCTGGAGTTGATATTTATTCTTCAAATTTATTTTGAAAATTCAACTTAACATTAATATATTTCATTAGTGACTAAAATGACAAGTAAATCTATAGTGCTGTTGTACTTAAAACTACTTCAGGATCTGGAGTTTCAGGGTTTTCTTGTATTCTCTTTCTAAATAACAGACATCTTACTTGAATTCCTGAAATTAATCTCTTTTTGCTTTGAATATTCCTTCAAGTATTTTCCAAAAGATAATTAGGGCTGCTGATTGATTAAGGTGCTTTTTTTTCATACTTTAAGGTAAACTTAGTTTTCTTTGCTCATTTCATTTTCCCTGGGTTATTCTGGCAATGTATCTGGAGGAAATCATATAGATTCACAGATTTGATGATATTGAATCACATGGCTCTGGTTTGCCAAAATGTGTAACATTGTCTTGACCATTTAGAGTGTGGTTAGAAGGAACCCTGAACTGTAAGAAAAGTAGAGGCTTTGTGTGTGTGTGTGTGTGTGTGTGTGTGTGTGTGTGTGTGTGTGATGTCCACTTAATAATAAATCTGTCATCACTGACTGGTGTTCATTTCCTCTGAAATAAACAAATCACTATTAAGTCCTTTGAAACAGGAGACTGCCAGGAAACACAAAAGTCACTTTTGCTTCATCCTCCAAGATAAAGTATTTAATAAGTGGAAATGAGATGCAACAGAAGGAGTGGTGGGGTCTTCACACCTGCTAGAAAGTCCAGCAGATATCCACAGAGCACGAATTCTAACAAATCTCAAACCTTGACATTTAGCAAAAGAGCAGAGACTAAGCCAAGAAATAAATCTGTACAGCCCTTGCAAACTTCTTAATTAGAAAGACTGATTTGTGGGAACATAGGACGTTTGAAGAGAAAATGTTAGGAATTATAGCTGGAGGGTTGTGTCCCCCACCCAATGAATTAGCCCTGAAGTATTTTTATTTTTAAATTATTTCATATTCTACTTTAAATCAAATGGTAGTTGATCCCTATATAGGAGCTTTTACTAGAAAGGTGGGGTCTTGCTTGAGGAGTAAACATCAAGCATCTATTGCTGAGAGTTTTTGTTGTTTGTTTGCTGGCATATTTGATGTTGGAAAATTTCAGAACTATGACTCATTGTTGTTTACCTCAATCAAAATAAATGAGTACCTCCAAAGTAACTGCACATATATTCTCACTAGCAATTTAATAGGGAAATACAAGGTCAGGTAAGATGTAAGAAAAAGAGAAGCCAAATGCCACAACAACTAGAAAGATCAAAAAGCAAATACAACACAAAGGGAAGAAACAGACGTTAAGAGGAAGACCAAAAGCATATCCCAAAATTAAATTTAAAAGCATATTTTTGTTTAATCCCTTATTTCTTATTAATGAATTTATGTGTCTCAATAGCAGAGTAAATCCCTCTTAACCTATCTCCTTCACATATATTGGGTCTTTAAGTACAGCCAACTGTAGTTCATATTTGCTTTAACAATCATGATGCTAAAAGAAAATAAAAACAAAAACAAAACTTGATCTGAACTAAAATTTTTATTTGAACTCAAAATTTTCTTTCTCTCAAGATTTGATAAACTTCTCAAATCAGTTATCTATCATCTATCTGTCTGTCTATCTATATCTATCTATACATTTTCAAACAGATAGTATTGAACAGAGCAAGAGCCTAATTAGGAGATCAAATAACAAGTTATTTTGTCTCTTCCAGCAGCTTAGTGATTGGAATGATGCTATTACTACGAGCTATGATTTGCTTCTTACTGCCAGCCTTATGCCCATCTCTCTCTTTAAATGCCTGCCACAGTGCGTTTAATTTAATTTATAATAGTCCCAACCTTCAGAAAGCTTGCATGTTATTTTTGTCTTTCAAAAAATAAGTTTAGTGCTATGTCATTTTTATATATTAAAGATTATTGGCTGGGCGCGGTGGCTCACGCCTGTAATCCCAGCACTTTGGGAGTCCAAGGTGAGTGGATCACGAGGTCAGGAGTTCGAGACCAGCCTGACCAACATGGTGAAGCCCCATCTCTACTGAAAAAAAAAAAATACAAAAATTAGCCGGGTGTGGTGGCATGCGCCTGTAACCCCAACTACTCAGGAGGCTGAGGCAGGAGACTTGCTTAAACCCGGGAGGAGGAGGTTTCAGTGAGCTGAGATCGTGCCACTGCGTTCCAGCTTGGGTGACTGAGTGAGACTCCGTCTCAAAAAAAAAAAAAAAGATTACTACAGAAATTTCTCTTGCTTGACATTAACACAGTTGGCCACAAGATGAGT
The DNA here is from genome assembly GCF_000001405.40 of Homo sapiens. Classification (NCBI taxonomy): domain Eukaryota; kingdom Metazoa; phylum Chordata; class Mammalia; order Primates; family Hominidae; genus Homo; species Homo sapiens. The sequence continues at coordinate 15,663,279 of NC_000007.14, read as the reverse complement.
TCTTACATCTTTTTGGAAAATTTTGTCTTCTTACTCATTAATTTTCAATAATGAATTTATAATTATATTGATTTTCAGAAATCTCTGATATTTTTAAAATAAAATGTTATTTGTGGCTGTGAAAGAGTGTCATGTCTGTGTGTTCTGTGTGGCCTCAGTCACTGGGAACTTCAGTAGGGACGCTAGTGTTCTATCTGTAGAATAGATTTACAGATTGGTTATTTATAGATGTGAGAATGACCACTATGTTAGTATATTTCATGCTACTTACATCCTTGAATTATTTGATAAAATGGTATGGAGGCCTCTTAATTGTGGGGCTTCTGTTCCCAGGGTATTGGTAATAACTTAGACTTTGACCTCCAGAACAAAATGCACTGTCTGTTAGATTATTTTCTAATCATGGGAATCATTGATTGGTTTAATGAACTGTGCTTTTAAATTTTCATATGTCCTGCATTCAGTCATGAATCTTTTGGAGTGGTTTCATTTTTTATAAATCTCAGTACGAAATACAAATAAATTACCAAAAATACTCCCAGTCACTGCACTTTTAAAGAGGATGTGGAAAAACTTTGAAGGAATGGGGGCCTGCTCCATTGTTCTAAGCCAAAAATATCAAAATTTGGCTTATAACACTATGGAAACTAAAAGTCTGCTTATTCCTATAGGGGATGAATGCATTACTCAACCTTGAAAAATTATATTGCCTGGCAACTACAAAATATGTTTAATTTTCCCAGTCCTTTTGTCTCTATTCTTTTATTTTGAATCTAGTATCATTCAAAAGTTCTGTTCTGCTGACAGTTCAAATCTCATTAGACTATTGTGCAGCTGATATTCATGCTATTGGAGCAGTTTGGTATACAGATTTTTAAAATTAACTATAAGTAGAATTGTCTCAATCTTTCCTTCCCTATCTACTTAATTGCTTTTAGTTTAAGAAAATGGAGAACTGAAAACCCCTATAACTAATACACATCCCTAAAGAAAATATATTATGTATGACATTAATATTACATTCTTATTTGAAGACCTCAAAGTTGCTAAATTAGAATTCTCTAGATAATGGACTTTGACTGATTTTATTTTTCCTTCTCAAAAATTAACTGAAATGTAACTAGCAGTAGTAGTGCTAATTTTCTGTTCGAGATTTTCCTAGTCAACACCAGTAAAGAGAATAAATGGAATTGGTAGGGTGGGGGGTGGGGGAACACTGATCTTTTTCATTTTAATTCCAGGGTGTAAGGATGGACTTGCTTCAGATGAAAATGAAATTGTTAACTTTGCAAAGTTCTGTCTAAATACAAAACAAGTTTATTTTATTATACCCTATTTAACTTGACTCCATTGCATAATGCAATTTTACAGTATGTAGTTGTGCAATTATGGAGGTAGTAGCATCTATGTTTGCCACCCCAGCCAGTCATTATCTGTTACTGAATAATTTGTCAATGCTTAAGCAGGTAGAGTGGTACTAATAATGTCAAAACCACAGGCTTAGGTTTTGAACGTTCGCTTCTCTCAGAGAATGATTTTCTTTCGTGGCTATATAGCACTGCCCTAATCGTTACCAGCCATATAATAAATGCATTCTGTCTTACACAGGGAACTTTGTGTGTTTGCCTTGCCATAAAAGGAAAACGCATCAAGAATGCCACTTTGAAATGGCTGATCATATTTTTTAGGATGATTGATTCATCTCCCCACTCCTTCAGTCATTCAGTCACTTATAAAGTGCATATTGAGTCCCTCCCATTGGCAAAGTGATGAACTTCTAAAAACATATGTGGTTGATTTTAAAAGCAAAACGCATTCCAAAATTCAGGCCCCATAGTTTATGTAGGTAGCTATTTGATCAAGTCATTTTCATGAATATGCTAATATATTAACCAATCATAAAGAAAATTGAGAAACTTTGAATATCCCTCTCTTAAACCATAATTAGCTTAGCGCTAAGAAAAATTAGAGATGTGAGTGAATACGGTTCTTAGTTTATTATGTGAAGTAGCTCAGCTATAGGTCATGGCAGATTTGGTAAGGAAAAAAGATAGCCACTTATCAACAGAAAAGCTATTTATGTTTTTAGTTATCAAAGCCTACCAATTTTACATTCTGGGCAACTGTTTAATATTTCCCTTAACCCAGTTTCTTAATTTAGAAATGCTATTATTCACCTGTGACATTACAACAACCCCTCTTCAGTGTATCCTAATGCTTCCTTTCTCTCTCTTTCTCTTTTTTTTTTTTTTTTTTTTTTTTTTTTTGAGACTGAGTCTCGCTCTGTTGCCAAGGCTGGAGTGCAATGGCATGATCTCGGCTCACTGCAACATCCACCTCCCGAGTTCAAGTGATCCTCCCACCTCAGCCTCCCGAGTAGCTGGGATTACAGACACCCGCCATCATGCCTGGCTGATTTTTGTAGAGGTAGGATTTCACCATGTTGGCCAGGTTGGTCTTGAACTCCTGACCTCAGGTGATCTGCCTGCCTCGGCCTCCCAAAGTGTTGGGATTAGAGGCATGAGCCACCACGCCTGGCTCCTTTCTCATTTTTAAAGCAATGGTGACCGTGGATTTAACCATTGTTCGTTGAGCACTATATGACAGGCATGGACCTTTAATATGGGATCAGTGGTTCTCAAATCAGAGTGATTTTGTTCCTCAGGAGGTGTTTGGTAATCTCTAGAGACAAATAATTGTCACAAGTCGGAGGCGGGAATAGTTCTACTGGCATCTAGTGATTAGGGACCACAGAAGCTGCTAAATATCTTACGATGCAAATGACAGTGCGCCACCATCAGGAATTACCTCATCCAGAAGGTCCATAGTGCCAAAGCTGAAAAATCCTCGAGAGAGTAGGGTGGACAGGATTTAAAGAATAAGGTCAGGTTTCTATTCTTCAGGCATACTCATCTAATACTGTGCTGAGTAAAATTCTTGATTTTTATTTATACTCCCTGTTGCTCACAGCCTACACTCTCCTGCTAATTTTTTCTACCATTCTCCGGTGTTCTCCATGGGCTAGTTTTAGTCCCAGAAGAGTATGATTTTCCATAGGACATTCTGTGCTCTTTTGTGTTTCTAGATTGTGTTCTTGCTATTTCCTTTGGGTGGAATACCCTTATTTTTGCATCTACAGAAATCTCACTCATTCTTTAAGATCTAGTTCAGGAGTCACTTCCTCCTAGAAGCCATCCTTAGCTCATTCAAGAAGGAAAGGTGTTCACTTTTCCTCTCAATGATATTATAGATCATTGCACATGCTTTTATTTTTGAATAAGTCACTTTGCATTGTAATCATTTATTAACTTCTGTCTCCTAAACCTGATTACAGAGACAAAGTCTGTAGTTCTGTGTGCTTAAGACAATGACTGGTACAGAGTATTACTCAAGTACTTGATAAAAGAATAAAATAAATATTTGAATAATTGTGGAAAGCGAATAAAGAATCTATATCGCATAAAACTGCTAAAAATCATTAAGCTGGATCCTCTTTGCTTTTTTTTTTTTTTTTTTTTTTTGAGAGCAGTCTCGCTCTGTCACCCAGGCTGGAGTGCAGTGACGCGATCTCGGCTCACTACAACCTCCGCCTCCCGGGTTCACGCCATTCTCCTGCCTCAGCCCCCTGAGAAGCTGGGACTACAGGTGTCCGCCACCACGCCCAGCTAATTTTTTGTATTCGTAGTAGAGACAGGGTTTCACCATGTTAGCTAGGATAGTCTCGATCTCCTGACCTTGTGATCCACCCGCCTCAGCCTCCCAAAGTGCTGGGATTACAGGCGTGAGCCACCGCGCCGGGCCCTCTTTGCTTTCAAGTGCTTAAAATTCTGGGTTTAGACATTACAGATACTTTGACACATAGCAGACACAGATATAAAATTTTCATTTTATATGCACACACCCGACTGCAAAAGCATTTGTTTTTTTACTACCACTAATTCCTGTGCTTACATATAAATATATGAAAATTGGTTGCAAAAAAGATGCAACATTATGGTTTCCACACCTTTCATATTTTAAAATAACATTGCCTAGTTTATAAATAAGTTATATATTAAAGTAAATTTTTGGACTTCTGCTTCATCTCTACAAAAACAATAAATAAAATAAAAAATAGCCAGACATGCTGGCATGTGCCTGTAGTCCTAGCTACCTGGGAAGCTCAGGTAGGAGGATTGATTGAGCCCAGGAGATCAAGGCTGTAATGAGCCATAATCATGCCACTGCACTCCACCCTGGGTGCCAGAGAGAGACCCTGTCTTACAAAAAGAAAGTACTGGCTCATTGGACATTATATGTAAAACGAACATAAGGAATTTCTGAAAGATAGAAAGATGAGGCAGAATAGCTAGTGTCTTAGTCAATTCAGGTTACTGTAACAAAACATTACAGACTGGTTGTCTTAAAAAATAAATATTTATTTCTCACAGTTCTGGAGGCTGGGAAGACTAAGTTCAGGGTGGCAGATTCAGTGTCTTATGATGATCCTTTTCCTGATTTGCATATGGTTTCTTCTCACTATGTCCTCACATGCAGAGAGACCATTTCTCTTGCATCTTTTCTTATAAGGGTGCAAATCCTGTTCCTCAGGGCTCCAGTCTTGTGACCTATTACCTCCCAAAAGCCCCAACTCAAAATACCATCACATTGGGGATTAGAGATTTCAACATACGTACTGGGGGAAGATACAAACTTTTGGTCCATAACAGCTAAGGATTTTGAGATCGTGAGTTCTCTTTTTGCTTTTTTGCCTCATTAATACCAGAATTGAAGAAGCCAGAAATCCAACACACCAATATATACACACAAAAAATGTCTAACAGATGTTTGCTGTTTTTAGACAAAGATCCAGGAAAGGAGGAGCCTCACAAAGCATAACAATTTAAGACAGCAACCCCTCTACTCCAGTCAAACACCGTAGGAAAAAATCCCATGGCTGCTTCTGCATCCACACTAGTGAAGGCTGAGTGAACAGCCTAGACTTCCACCCTCACCAGGCTTTAATGAGAACCCCAATCTTCCTCCCACCTCCCCTGCAGGCTGAAGTCAGAGAAACCTGAATAAGGACCCAGAGCCAACTGGCAGTAATGAGTTACTCATCCTGTTCCCCAAAAGGATGGTTTCAAAGGAGGCCTCGTAGAAAGTCTCTACTTTCAGAACCACACAGTGTTAACGAGGACGACTCCACCTACCCACTCCGTGGTATTAGTAAAAAGTTAGTCTTATCCTTGCCAGCTAAGGTGGCATTATCAGAGGCCGAGTGGGGAGCTAGAAATCCTACCTCCAGCTGGCAGTAATCAGGAACCTTCTCCACTTTTGATGTAAACTGAGGCTCAGTGGGGAACTTCTACTTCAGGTAGCACTAAGGAGCCTGCTCCACCTGCCTTGCCCCTCATTCCCTCACTATCACAGCAGTGTCAAAAGAAGCTGCTGAAACAGAAGGTTTAAATAAGAGTACCATACATAATACTAAAACTATCCAGGTTTCAGTTAAAAAATCACTCATCAGATCCTGACCAATAACTAGGTAAATCTAAAGTTGAATGAAGAGTGACCATCATTGCATCTTAAAATTGAGATAATAGAGAAGTTAGATGTCATAATTGGCTAAAAATGTTTTAAATCAATAATCATAAAATCTTTTCAATGATTAAGTACAAACATGCTTGGAACAAATGAAAAAATAGAACATCTCAGCAAAGAAGCAAAAAATTCAACAATGCTCTAGAAGACATAAAGGAGAACCAAGTGGAAATTATAAAACTAAAAATATACTAGCCAAAATAAAATCTCAATGGATGAGCTTAATAGCAGGATGGACAGTACAAAGGGAAAAACTGGAGAATGTGAAGATGGAACCATAGAAATTATCCATAATGAATGATAAAAAGAAAATTGAAAAAAAATTTTTACCATATGGATCTGTGAGACTGTGACCAAAAGCAATCTAATATTTGTGTAATTGGAATTCCTGACGGGGAGGAGAAAGAGGGTGAAACTGACAGAGAAATTGTTGAAATAATGGCTGAAATTTTCCAAATTTAGCAAAAGACATAAACCTGCAAAAACAAGCAGCTGCGAGAATCCTAAAAAGGATAAACACAAATAAATTTACACTAAACGCATCACAGTCAAACTTCTGAAAACTAAAGACAAAGAAAATAAAATTAAGTCTAAATCAGTGAAAGAGAAACAATACCAATGAAGAGCAATTTTTCAATGATAGTAAATTTCACATTAAAAACCATGGAGGTCAGAAAGAAGTAGTACAACATTTTCCAAGTGCAGAAAGAAAAGAACAGTCAACTCAGGATTTGGTACTCAGAAAAAATATTCTCAGGAATGACAGGGAGATCATGACATTCTCAAGTGAAGGAAGACTAAGAGAATTTTCCTAGCAGGACTACCCAGAAAGAATGACTAAAGAATTTTTTTTTTGGACAAAAAAGAAATGATAAAGGAAGTAATCTTAGAACATCAAAAGGAAAAAGAACAATGGCAAGGGTAAAATTATAGGTAAATACAATACATTGTCTTTCTCTTTTGAGTTTTATGTTATTATTGTTACATAAAGCAAAAGTTATAATGTTGTCTGATGTGGTTTTAAAATGAATATAAAGGAAATATTTAAGATAATGGTTTTATAAATAGGGGAGGTTAAAGAGGAATAAAGGGAGGTCAGGTTTCTACACTTCACTCAAACTGATAAAATGAAGACACCAGTAGACTGTGATTATTTATATCCAGCACAACATCAAAGAGATACACTCAAAAACATGAGACAAATCAAAACTGTATTCTAAACAAATGTTTAACCAAGGGAATGGCAGGAAAAAAAAAAAGAAAAACATGAAAAACCAAGGAAACAATGAAAAAACAAAAAGTAAAAGGGCAGATGTAAGCTCTAGCATACAATAATTATATTAAGTGTTAGTGGCCTAAAAACATAGCAATTAAAAGTCAGAGATTGATAGAGTGGTTTAAAAAACTTCATGAACCAACCATTTATTGTGTACAAGAAACTCACTCTAAATACAATCATAAATCTAGGTTGGGAGCAAAGAAAATTAAAATAAAAAAGGATTTACCAGGCAAACTTTAATCAAAAGAAGGAAGGAGTGGGTATATTAATATGAGATAAAGTAGACTTTAGAGAAAAAAATTACCAGAGACAGAGAGAGATATTAAAAATGATAAAAGTCAATTCATTGAGAAGATGTAGGTATCCTAAATGTATATTCACCAAAAGCAGAGCTTCAAAATACATAAAACAAAAACTGATAGAACTAATAGGAGAAATTGATAAGCCCATTATTATAGTTGGAGATTTTAATATCCCTCTCTCAATCGATAAAACAGCTAGACAGAAAAGTAGCAAGGATATAAAAAAACTTAACAACACCATAAACCAACAAGACCTAATGGACATGTATAGAATATTCTATCCTGAAACAGCAGAATACACATATTTTTAAAGCTCACTAAGTATATATCAAGGTACACCATAACCTGAACTATAAAACAAATCTTAACAAACTTAAAAGAATTGGAATCTTACAAAATGTGTTTTCTAACCAAATTGAAATTAAACTAGAAATTAATAACAAGAAAATTTCCAAACACAGAAATTACACACACTTCTAAATATTATGGGTCAAAAAGGAAATCTTGGTAGAAATAAAAAATACATTGATCTGCAAGAAAATGAAAATACAACATTGTTAATTTTGTGGGATCTAATTAAAGCAGCCCCAAGATGGAAATTTATAACAGTAAATGAACATTGGGAAACAGAAAAGGTTTCAGAACAATTGTCTAATCTCTCGTCTAGACAAAAAGAGCAAAATAAACTCAAAGCAAGCAAAAGGAAGGAAATAGAAAAGATAAGAGCAGAAATCAATGATGTTGAAAATATATAAAAGTAATAAAGAAAATAAGTGAAATAAAAAGCTCGTTCTTTGAAATGATTTTTAAAACTGATAATCTTCTAGGAAGACAGATAATGAAAAACAGAGAAGCCACAAAAATGCCAGCATTAGTTATTATATAAGAGATATTGCTACAAATACTGTAGACATCAAAAGGACAAAAAGAAAATACCATGATTAATTCCACTCAAATAAATTTGACAATGTAGAGGAAATGGACCCACTTTTTAAAAAGCACAAACTAGTGCAATTCACCCAATATGAAAAAAATTTTTGAATAGTTCTAAATTTATTTAGGAAATTGAATTTATGATTTAAAAATGTCAAAAAAAATATATACAGGCCCATATGATGTCATTTGAGAATTCTACCAAACTGAAATAAGAATTAACATAATTCTATACAATCTCTTCCAGAAAATAGCAGAGGAGAGAGTACTTTCCAATTTACTTCATAAAGATAGTATTATTGTAATATCAAAAGCAGACAGTCAGTATAACAGAAGAAAACCACAGAGTTATATTGCTCATTAAAATAGATGTAAAATTCTTAAAATAATAGCAAATAAAATTCAGTAGTATATAAAAATAATTATATACTATGATCAAGTAGTGTTTACTGTAGGGTTGCAAGGCTGATTAAATATTTAAAAATCCATGTAATTCACCATATTAAAAGCAAAAATATTCTCATGATTAAACCAGTTGGTGGCGGAAGAAATATTTGACAAATTTCAAGATGCATTTACCATAGAACCTCTCAGAAAACTAGAAATGGAGGCAAACTTCCTCAACTTGATAAAAATAAATTTACTGGCAGCCTACAATTAACATACTAATGATGAAAGACTGAATGTTTTACCCTTAAGATCAGGAATGTCCTCCCTCACCACTCTTATTCAACATAAGACTGAAAGGTATAGCCAATTCAATAAGGCCAGAAAAGGAAATAAAATGCATACAGATCAGAAAGGAAGAAAAAAAAGCCTGTTCTTATTTGCAGATGATACATGTGTTTTCAAGGAAAAACCATGGAATTTACCAACAAAATCCCCCAAATATTAGAACTTATATGTGAGTACAGAAAAGTAGTGGAATAAAGATAAACATACAAAAATTACATAATTTTATTTCTGTTAACTGGCAATTAACACATGTACTCTAAAATTAAAACACAATTCGAGCTCCAATAGCTCAACCAGAAATATCTTAGGTATAAATCTAACAAAACATTCACAGGATCTGCATGCAGAAAACTACAAAATGCTGAAGGAAATCAAAGAAGATCTAAATAGATGGAGAGACATATTGTGTTTATGGACTGGAAAATTTAACATAGTAAAGATGTCAATTTCCCCCAATTTGCTGTAAGTTTTATGTCAGTCTATCAAATTCCCAACAAGAATTTCTGTAGACATGGGATTTTCTAAAATGTATATGAAAAGCAGAGACACTAGAATAGCTAAACGATTTTGAACAGGGAGAATGAAGTGATAAGAAGTAGCGGATTCTATTTTGATGTATTACATACCTACATTAATCAAAACTGTGTGGTATTGGTGGAGACACAGAAACATATATTAATGGAAAAAATAGAAAATCAACAGTGGAGAAAGCATACTCTTTTCAACAAATGGTGCCAAGGCAGTTGGACAACCATAGGTAAAAAACAATCTTGATCTAAACCTCAGACCTTATACAAAAATTAAATCAAAAGGAATGATGGATGTAAATGCAAAACATTCACTTATGATACTTAGAATAAAATGTATGAGAAAATCTTTTGAATCCATAGAGCTTGGTGAAGAGTTGTTAGACTTGACATCAAAAGCATGATCCATAAAAGGAAAAATTGATAGAGCAGACTTCATCAAAATTACAAGTTTTTGCTCCGTGAAAGACCCTGTTAAGAGGATGAAAAGACCAGCTGCACAATGGGGGAACATGTTACCAAACCACATATCTGATAAAGGACGAACATCAAAAATACATAAAGAACTCTCAAGTCTCAACAATAAAAAAATCAAATACGAAAGTGGGCCAAGGATAGAAAGAGATTTTTTATCAAACAGAATATGAAGATGGCAAATAAATACATGACAAGTGTTAAACATTATTATCTGCTATTTGGAAAGAGCAAATTAAAACCACACTGTTATGACACTACACAGCCATCATACGAGCTAAAATTGAAAAATGGTGATTCTAACACATGATGGCAAGCATGTGGAAAAACTGGATCATCCAGACACCACCGCTAGTGGGAATGTAAAATGGCCCAGCCACTCTGGAAAAAAGTTTGACAGTTTCTTAAAAAAACAAAACATGCAACTATCATATGACTCACCAGTTGCACTTTTGAGTATTTATTTCAGAGAGATGAAAACATGTTTATACAAATATCTGTGCATGAATATCCACAGAAGTTTTAATCATAATAAACAAAAACTGGAACAGTGCAAATGCTCTTCAACAGGCAAATGGTTAAACAAACAGTGGTACATCCATAACATGGAAAACCACTCAGCAATTAAAGAGGAGGGAGCTGTTGATGTATTTATAGCAACTTGGATGAATCTTTAAAGAATTATGGTGAGTGAAAAAAGTCATTCCCCAAAGACTAACAATGTATTATTCCATATAAATAGCATTCTCTAGAGGACAAAAATTACAGACATAGAGAACTTGCAGAAATAGAGATTGCATGTGAATCAACAACTATCTCAAAATAAAAAGATTAACCTAATTAAAAAGATAGTGGCTTAGTTTTTTAGAATATCTTTATTTGTACTATATGTTTATTTATTTATATGTTTACTATTTATAATGGGCCATGATATGCTTTATACTCTTCTTAGATATTTTCTTTTCCAATGTGGCAGTGTTATTGCTGCTTTCAAAATGGAAAATACTTCTGGCTGAGAATAGAAGACCTGCTTATATGACTGGTGTTTACAAAAGATATTGTGACATATATTACATGCTTTTATGCCACGTACATTTTGTTAAAAATATTATAGATTACTTAATGAGAGTATTCAAAATGCATGAGTAATTACATATGCATTTTCTACTTTATGACAGGGTTCTAAAGAGGCATCTCAAAATATCCTATAAATCAGTCACAACTAATTTACCTAATAGTTCTTTTGAACAGTAAAAGCATGTTACTGCATTTGAAAACACATTTTCAGAAAAGTCAAACGAAAATGAATTAATTGCTGAGAAGCCTATAGGTTCAAAGCAATTGAGTCTTAAATCCCTATTATCTTAAAAGATTATTTCTTTTAAAGATGGTATTTTGTAAGCTGTTCAGATCCTTTGTTGGTAGAGTCTAAGACTGGGAAGAAGATGAGTTAATCATTGAATGGTTCTAGATCATTCCTTTTCAGGATATGCTTGTTAACATTCAGTTGTCTTATGTTGGGGAAGTGAAATTACTAAGTAATCATGTCAGTCTGTTAATGATGTGGTCACCTGTGTAATTGACGACCCTGAGATTGTTGAAATCATGTATGGCTTTGAAGTTTTTCAGTAGGGAAGGTAGAAGCCATTAAATGTTGTTCATATTTTTTCCTCCTTATTTTTCCTTTTTTTCAGTAGAGTCTTTCTTACTATGAATTCAAAATAGAACACTTGGACAAGGGGCTCTTGAGCACTGATCAAGAGTACAGAGTCTAGTGCAAGATTTCTCAGAATTAAATCCCCGCCTTTGCTGGCTGTGTGACCTGGCATGTGCTACTGGACTTCTTGTGCCTCAGTTTCCTCATTCTTGAAATGAAGGATTGTGTAAATAAATGTAGGTGCTTAGAATACAGCCTGGTGCATAATCAGCACTCTAGAGGTTAGATATTATTATGTCAATATCAAGAACCCTGTAGAAATTACATTATATTCTAAAATAATTTCTTTTATTTTGAGTGATTAGAAATAGTATTGCATTGCAATTTTATCAGAGAAAATTTCTTACAATTTTTAGACCATTAAGAACATGCCAGAGTTAACTGATTATTTTTTATTCAATACCTACAATGCGACAATACTGGATATATATATTAATTACTATGGGCAGGAGAAATTCTCAGAATATCCAAGGAGCGTGGATATTTTCATAGCAGTATTGAGGGAAAGTATATCACATTTCATTTATACATACCAAAGTTAGACATTCAAACCTATTTTATTCCCCACTCCCTCTCAATTTTAAAAATCACCAATGGCTTCCTATTAACAAGAGAAAATACTCAGTATGAAAATCGAGGACTTTCACAGGCTGGTCCAAGCCTCATCTCTCCTCTTTGCTCCACGTCCTTGTTTCCAGCACTTTCAGAAAGTAAGTGTTCCCAGTACATTCCGCATGCTCTATCTCAGTCTTCTGTTCACTTGTGTAAATGCAATCTGCCCTCATTTCTCTTTTAGACAAACTCCTCTCTGTTTCCAAGTCCTGATTCATATTTACCTTCTCTGGGAGTCCCTTTTAATAAAAGGCAGGCAGATCGAGTGCCTCTGTTGTCTTCTTGCCTGTTCTTTTTAAATCACTGTGGAAATCCCTCCATGCTAATAGCAACTCTTTCATTGCATTGACTTTTTTTGTTTAATTGTTTTTATAATTCAAAATTTTAAAAGTATGGAGAAGTCTCCCCCCCAAAAAAACTCAATTTTTTTCCCTCTATTTCTTCTCTCTCCTGTATACAATGATATGATCCTTAAGGGAAGGAACAATTTCTCATTTATCTTTGTGCCCTGCACAGTTACTGGCACATAGGAAGCATTCAGTAAACATTTATAAATAATATATTCACAAGATATGGCATTAGTCTGAAATATGTAATGAGATCAGCATTATTTGCACGTATGAAACATACAAAGGTAAAATAGAAACAATTTTCAAAGGAACAGTAAAAGCAAATTGAAAGGTACCTAGAAGGTAGGTAAAAAATTAAGTGTGAATTGCACTAAGATATTATTGCAGTAATCTTAGCACAAGATGCTGAATCTGGTGCAGGTGTTGCTTGCCATCTCAAAGGAAAATTACACAGAACATTGCAACTAAGTTATGGGGTATGGAGAAAAGTGGAAAGCAGTAGAACTCTTTAATGATTTTGAGCCCACAATTGGGAAAATTGTGGTGCAATTTACAGAGAGGTTGGAAAAGGAAGCAAGTATAGTTTTTGTGAAGAGGAATTTAACTCTAAACCAGTTGACTTGTAAGGCATGGCCAAACATCCAAGTGGAATTTCCCAGTAGGCAATTAGAAGAGCTGGACTGGTGAGAACTCTCCTGAGATCCACCTCTATTTATTACTGATCCTTAAAACATTTGATCTATAGGCTTGGGCCTATCTGGTCACCAACTTTGTGAGTTTGGACCAAATTGCTTTGTGGCAATTTAATATGGTTCTAGCACTCTGCTTAATTTCTACAGCGTTGGCTTAATATGGAGACCTCTGCCTTGCTTATCCAAAAATATAAGCTCTCTGCAGGGCAAGACCCCTGTCCTGAGTTCCTGATGGCTTATCAGCAGCATAGTGTCCTGATCTACTCAGCCCCATGATACCATTGCCTGGACATCTGTACTTTTGCAATACCCCATACTCATTGCTGTCACAGAACAGTTTTTCTGCTCAAAAATGTTCAACTTCGTCCCTCAGCTTGTCATTCATTCATGGCATCGACATGGCATTAACCATGTTTCTGAAATGAGCTTTGCCATCTCTCCCATTTATATTCCAGATACTCACTGTTTCCTGCACTGACTAGTCAGTCCCTAACCTAAAGTCTTTGTTCTTATTTTTCTTGTCATCTGGAAAGCTCTTTTCTGCCATAGCAGAAACTCTGTCCTTTCTAGAAGAACTATCATAAATGTAATTTGCTTGTGAAACTTCATGATTCTTCAATTTATGTGATTTTTCCATCTTTCATCATCCATAGATGCTTCTATCTCTTTTCTAGTACAAAGTATGTTCTTCGATGTTTTAGCTATTTTTGAAATTATTTTTGTCCATTTCTGATGTCTCCCCCCACCCTTACTGCACACTATTTTTATAAGCTCCTTAATGAAGTTACATAATATATTACTTACAATTTGTTTCCTAGTTATTAAAACAATACCTTGCATTGTAAGCATTCAATAAATACTGTATTTGTTGAGTGGAATTCATGTGGTAGTTAACAATTTAAAAACCGTGAAATGTTTAAGATATGGAAATTATTTATAGAAAAGATCAGCATATGCATGGCTATTGCAGAATTTCCCATTTTGGGAAGAAAGAGTAATGGAAACAGAGATGAGGAATCCTGGAGATGGTGACTTGCTTTGTTACTCAGGGAGTTGTGGGAGGGCCTCCCAGAATTCAGGTCAACTGTGTCTCAGCAAGGGAACAACTTAATTTCATGTAAATCAGCTATTATTAATCATTTATGGAGTGAGGCATTTCTGCTCCTGTTTTATAGTCGTGCTGGCAAGTGGGTGCCAAAGGAAGAGGGAATTCCCTGGGTAACTAAACTCCAACCTCAAATCTCTTTACTTCCTCTGGGTGATTAATTATGTTACAAGGTTCTAAACAAAGAACCCTTGATTCAGATTCTGAAGCGCTAGGTTATTGATGCTGCAGCACTTTCGCTACATCCTAGTTCAGTTAACTTTTTCTCAAAGCTGGTTTCTATTTCTGGCAGTAACTCTTCAGTTCTGGAACCTCAGTCCCAGCCAAAATAAACTATTGTCTCAGGTCCGTATTTTTCCTGAAGCACCATGGCATTTTTATGGAATGTGGAGACAGTTTTATGTAAGACTTTAATGGTAACAATAAAGGACCCAGATCCCTTTCTCCGGCCTGCTATCCTTTCCTCTGTATCCCAGCAGTGATTATACAGTTTCCAAAAGAGAGCCATCTTAAACTTTCCAGATACAATCTCTCTTTTGTATACTCTGGGATGTAATTTACGCTTTCTTTTTATTCCTTCATCCGCACCGGCATAAAATTATTTTTTATGTATAGTTGGTTACAATTTTAAGGAAAAAGCAATCTCGTTTATTACGATTGTAGGGTTAAAATTGCTTTTTATTCATTTAAATAATGCTCATTCAGTTTTACTTCTTTAAATAGCTGTGTTTTATCTGTAAATATTTATTCATGCTGTTCATAATAATTCAGAGAAGCAAACATTACATTAAATCTTAAAAACTTAAAAATGTAAAACACGTAAAGCTTGTCTATTTTTGATTTTTTTTAAATACCTGTTAATTAAAAATATATGTCATTAAGGACGTATTTGCATGCTATGGGACTATCTCTAGCCTGATAGTATCAACATCTTAATATTCAGCATATTGAAGGCCAGATTCCCCAACTTCAATGAGTAAAAGAAATGCTTCTGAAACTATTATGTTTCCATTATTTGAATTTTTCTTACAAGTGATCCAAAACATGGTCTGTAAATTGAGAAGTTTAAAAATAAAGGAGAGTTCTGAAGTCATTTCTTTATTAGAAGATGAGCTAATGCCTCCATGGTAATCCTAGAAACAGTGATCATTTTTTAAGGTCAATTAAATTTTAAAAGTCCTACTCTTTTATTAAATGATTATCTTTTAAAATGAGAAACTACGTTTTAGTAATTTCAAGAAAATTGAAATAAAACTTTTCATGATTTGTTTTTGTTGTTGGCTGTTACAAATAATTATAAAGTTTCAGCCATCTAGCATTGCCATTATTATACAGCGACTGTTCACAGCAGCTTTAGTTTCATGTTCCATAAAATTGAGCTTCCTGTCTTTACATTTTAGAACCTAGATCATTATCCTTGAGAATGTCTATGCTAATGCATAAGATTGCTAAGAAAAGGAAATACTGTAATATGAGAAGACAAAGAAATTGAACCATCAAAGTAGACTCTTGCATAATAAGCAGAATCTTAATGCTTGTTGAGCTTAGCTAGAGAATTTACTAAAATGTAGCTTGCAGCCATATGTCTGGAAATATCTTACCATTTAATGCTGAAAGCATGGGAACCTCTCTGAGATACTGCTATGGTGGGTTCATGAGGCAAACTTGGATTATTGGTAAAAATAAGCAATTGTGATGTTCTTCCAACACTCATTTTATGTATGTTTGAGTATCATAGATTTCTGGGAATTGGATGATTACCTTTTTCTCAACAGAAACTTTAATATTTTTAAGGCATGATATCTATCAAAAACAAATGTACTTAGCTAATAAAAACTTTCTTCCTGTAGAAGTACTGAAATAACTAAATTAAGGAATATTTCTAATATATGAGTCTTATGAGCATCAAACAAAATGCAAGCTTTAGCTATAGTTTAACATAATAAATATATACTTACTATATTTGTTTCTTGGGGGAGTATGTCCAGATATATAAATGCACTGGATGTGTAGATAATACTGTATATAAATTGCCTTTAATGTAGCAAATATATTTTGACATAAGCACTTAAACACAGCCAATATAGTGTCTTGAAGATAACAGAATATTAATAAATAGAAAACATTAATTAAAATCAACTGTCACCTTAGAGAAGAAGAGTAAATGCTCATTCATTAATTAGTATATCAATCTTTCATATTCTGAACATTAGTTTTATGTCAGTGTGATTTTTTAAGTGACAAATATTGGTGCTCTTTTCAAATATGTGATTAAATGTAATTACGAATTATGGAGACTTCTTCCATTATGAAAACCTTCTTATGTTCCTTGAAGTACTTTCTTTTAAGAAGACATTTTCATAGATAAGTATGATAGAGCTCTGTTTGTAAAATAATAAGGATTTAAAATATAATCAAACAACTAATATTTTCAGTAACCCAGAGTTTTAATATCATGGATTTTACTGACTATACTTTGTCAAACTCAAATTTTGAACTTTTGTATGTTACAAAGAGGATCTCCCTCAGTTGAGAAATCATATATTCCAGAGCAGGAAGAAGTAGCTGTGTAGCTATGTGAGAGATGATAGTAGAATAATAGAAAGCCAATGTCATTTCAACTGAGGTTTGGGAAGGAAAAAACACAATTATATTGTGAAGATATAAGTGCTATAGGAAGTTTCCAAAGAAGAAAATTTATGTTTATTTATGGGGGAGTTTATAAAATACTTTCACGTATATTATCCCATTTGTTCATTTACAAAAATTTGGAAGTCAGGGAGTAAACTAAGAGTAGAGAGATGTTAAAACTATCAGATAAATAAACAGGGACTAGAACAGAGGTTTTTATGCCAAGTTTGTTGCTATTCTTATTTTCATAGCTACCACCACAAAATATAGGGTTTTAATGCAGAGTAATTAGCATTTATTGTGTGGCTACTAACTTACATATTATCACATAAACATTCTTCTTAATTTTGAGTATTAGGCATCTACTTATGAAAGATTTCCTTTGATCCTGTACTTAAAGAGAAGATATAAACCAGAAACACTTTCCTTTAGTACTGCCACAAGGACATACACATATGCACACACAAATGCTTGTGGCACAAAAATATTCATACACATTTCTCAGAATACAAGGTATATATATATTTCCGTGATCATTTCCCTTCTGTTTACTATTGGTAAGCCAACTCTCTCTAGAGGTCAGGCACTCTGCATATTTTACTTTCATTGTCCAGTACTTAAAAATAGCATGACAGCCAAGATACCACTTGAGAAATGCTTCTTTCTTTGTTAATAGTCCCCAGATAATTCAGGTACTCAATAACTACCAAGGGTGTTTTTTACCAACCAATTCTTTACATTTCTGTTTGCTTTAAGCTGTAAATTCCTTAAGTAATTTCAATGTAGAAATATTTTCAATAAAAAATAATTCCAACATCCATCTTAAAAGAAAAATATTATTGCAGTCATGGCGAATTTGGTGTTTCTTTTCACTGGTATGAGCCCATGTCTATACTTTTACATTTCGGTATTTGGATATAAAAGGGTGTTTGGTTTCTCCTTGATATCTTTTCTCAATGCTTTAGATTTGTCATAGCTGTTATTTCATTTAAAGAACACTGCTTACTATGTAATGCACATGATTAAAAAGAAATCTTTTGTACTTATTTATGGCTACTCCTAGCAATTTCCTTCCTTACAATGACATTTGCATAGCCCCTGTGATTTACCTGTTTTGGTGAATTGATTGTCAGATTAACACTACAAGAAAGGTTATTAATGAATCAGAAAAATATTATCAGTTTTATAGATGAGCTTTTAGAATATCACTTTCAATACTGCTGTCTAGTCATTGAGAGAACTTTCAAATTAGCTAATCATACCTCCTTACCTTAATCTTCTTTCTTTATTAGGTTATCACTAAGGAGATTGTTATCTATTATTTTATGACAGCTTCTGAATACCAGGATTCAGTTTGTGAACTAGTAAGGTATTACAGCAGTGGGCGTTCTGGGGCCAGTGAGTAGAGGCTCTAGGAAGCTGACCGTTAAATTTTCAGGAAGTTTGTAACCCTCTTGAAGTCACCTTAGCTTACTGGCTTGGAATCCCCTTTGGTGGGTGTATTTACTTCATGGGAAGTGGCAAATTGTACAAAACGAGCATTTCTTCCCTCCTACCAGCACACAACTGGGTATAATTCACTGTACATTACTCCAGAAAAAGATTCATATATTGCATAAGTAATTGACAATAGAAAAAATCTGGATTTTCTTTTCAAGGCCGGGTTTGCATTCTCATCCTTCTGGGTTCTGCCACTATCCAAATCATGTCCAGAGCACCTCCCTCAAATCCTGGAGCAAGGAGATGAGCTGCAGAAAGTGACATCTCAGGAAAGGCTGTGCTGCAGATCTGTCCAAGGTGCAGGAGCAGATTCACCTTTTCTTGGAGAACTTTCTTGGGTCTATGTTCTTCTCCATCCTCCTCTGTTTCAGGCATATAAGGATTTTGCTCTTTTAGATTCCTTGTGAAACACTTTGAACAAATATTTTGAGAGAAAACACTGAAATTCTATCATAAGGGGTAAAAGAGGGAAACTCCAGGCACCATATTTAGCCACAGAACTCTGAGATCCTAGCTACAGGAACAGGAATTTCCACAACCCCTACAGACCTTTGGATTGGCAGAGGGAGCCAAATGGAGAACATATAGAGGCACTGCTTGAACCTAGGTAGGCCCAGAAGGCTTTACTGGGCTGGGCAGCTACAATGAAAATGTGACTCTGAGTGCTCATCGCCCAAGGCCCTCATCCTGCACTGAACAGCTGCAGCTCCTGCTGTCTGCTAGGCTAGGAGAAAACAGAGCCCAGACACTCTCATGCACCCAAGACAGGTCCACAGCCATTGTCAGGGGAGCAAGATGCATCTTAAACACATATTGCCTTGCCTTCCAGCCACCCCTGCAACCAAGACTGCCTGCCTGACTGTTCCTGCAGTGGGGCCACAGCATTGTCTTGTTTTGTTGGTGGCCTGGGAGCAGCTCACCAACCCCATCACAGGTGATGCTTGACCCCGAGGGCCAGAGGACAAAACTGCTGGTCTGGTCCCAGTGCCCCAGGACACAAGCACACTGCATAGGGGCATGAAAATGGGATTTATGGCTTGATCTTGACTACAGGAGGAGCCCCCATTGTTAGAAAACAGAGAAGAGTGTGGCACAGGTTTGTTTAGGGGCACAGCGGCTGGGCACCCCTCCCTTCATGAAACTGTAATGTGAAGGGTGTGTGGCCTGACAGCCGCAGTTTTTCCCTCTGGGAGTCCCACAGTCTGGAAAGCCTAAAATGGCTCAGTGACCTGGAACAGACACCTTGGGATGAGCTCAGGCCTGTTGCTGGGCTGGACATGGGAGGAAGACTCCCCTGGGCATGACTCATGTCTGTCTGCTGGGCTGCAAACCGCAGCCCCCTCCCCCACCCCTGTTCCCCTATGGGAGCTCTGTGGCACAGGAGGGACACCACTGAAGGGTTGGCCCAGTGGCCTGAGAGCTGCCCCTAGACCTTGACCAAGGTCAGTGCTTGTACCTGCCTTGGAGAGCCTGGTGGCTGAGTTGCCTGACCCAGCGTCACCCAGCTTTGCCACCTCCAGCTACCTTGGCAGCAGAGTGCAGAACATACCCCCAGGAGCCCCAGCCCCACCCTTCACCAGGGACATACCAATACTTCCTTTGATCAACAAAGGCCAAGCAAAAATCCCACTGCCAACAGTGCAACTGCCTCTCACCTGCAAGCATCACCTACTGGCTGGGAGGTCAAACTGCATGTCCCATCACAACTTCTGGCATGATTGTAGGGAACTCAACTGGCTCTTACTTGCAAGAGCTACCTATTGACCTGTAGCATAAACTGCATGACCCAATATAATTGTTGACAGAACTGCACAGGGAGGAACAAGATAAGCCTCTCTAGACCTCCAACACTTTATCCTTGTAGGAGACAGTGAGTTTGACCACAAGCACTGCACATCACTACTACAACGTACAAACAAATAGCGCTTAAGAAAACCACTAAACTAAGGTTCTCTACAGCCAAGGAAATCATATAGAGCCTTGGCCCCCTAAAAGCACAAAGAAACAAAGCTAAAGGGACCTACCCAGCATATGCAATAGTTACACCCTCAAGAGGGGGAAACCTCCACTCAAATGAAAGTAAGTTCAAAAATAAGAAGTAATAGCTTCTGCAGATAAGAAGGAACCAGCATAAATAATTCTAGCACCATGAAGAAACAGAATGCTCTGACACCCTCAAAGGACCATGTTAGTTCTTTAGCAATTGCTCCTAACCAAAATGAAAACTTTGAAATGAGAGACAAGGAATTCAAAATATGGATTGTAAGCAAGATCAATAAGATCCAAAAGGAAGTTGAAAATAATCACAAAGAAACCAGAAAATCAATTTAGAAGACAAAAGGCAAGATAGATATATTAAAGAAAAGCAAAATAGAAACTTTGGAAATGAAAAATGCACTAAAGGAAATTCAAAACACTGTGGCAAACTTAGCAGTAGAGTAGAACAAACAGAAAAAAATGAAATTCAGAGCTTGAAGACTGTACTTTTGAATTATCTCAGTCAGACAAAAATAAAGAAAAAATAATTTTAAAAAATGAACAAAGACTTCCAGAAATATGGGATTATGTGATGCAAACAAACCTGTGACTTGAAGGCTCTCCAGAGAGAGAAGACAAAAAAGTAACTAACTTGGAAAACATGTTTGAAGGGATAATTCAAGAAAATTTCCCTAATATTGCTAGAGAGGTAAATATCCAGAAATTAGAAATGCAGGGAATACCTGCAAGATGCCATACAAGATGAACATCAACAAGGCATATAGTCTTCAGGCTATCCAATGTCAACATGAAGGAAAAATCTTAAAGACCGATAAAGAAAATAGTCAAATCACCTATAAAGGCAATCTCATCAGACTAACAGAAGATTTCTCAGCAGAGATTTTACAGGCCAGAAGAGATTGGGGGCTCATTTTTAGCCTTTTTTTTCGAATGGCAACAAAAAATTTTGTATCCTGTCAAACTGAGCTTCATAAATGAAGGAGAAATAAAATATTTTTTTCAAACAAGCAAACACTAGTAGAATTTATCACCATGAGACTAGACCTTCAAGAAATGCTCAAGGGAGTTCTAAAAATGGAAATAAAAGGACAAAACTTACTAGGACAAAAGCAAATGAAAATACAAAGTTTATAGATGCTATGAAGCAATTACACAATTGGGACTACAAAGCAACTATCTAACAACACTATTAGAGGAACAAAACCTCCCATATCAATATGAACCTTGATTGTAAATAGCCTAACTGCCCCACTTAAAAGATACAGATTGGCAAACTGGATGTAAAAAACAAGATCCAACCATTTACTGCCTTCATGGGACCCACTTCACATGTAATGACACAGGCTCAAAGTAAAGGAGTGGAGAAAGATCTACGATGCAAACAGAAAAGGAAAGAGAGCAGAGGTTGCTATTCTTGTGTTTGATAAAACAGACTTCAAACCAACAACAGTTAAAACAAACAAACAAACAAACAAACAAAAAACAAGGAAGAACATTGAATTATAATAAAGGGTTCAACTCAATTCAGTAAGATTTAACTACCCTAAACATATATGCAACCCAAATGAATACATTTCTGAAACATACAATCTCCCAAGAGAGAACCAGGAAGACATTGAAATTCTGAACAGACAAATAATGAGTTATGAAATTGAATCAGTAATAAAAAACATCTACCAATTAAAAAAAGCCCAGGGCCAAATGGATTCATAGCCAAATTCTACCAGACATACAAGACAGAAGTGGTACCAACTTACTGAAATTATTCCAAGAAATCAAGGAGGAGAGTTTCCTTCCTAACTCATCCTACCACGATATCAAAATATGGCAAACCCACAACAACAACAACAAAAATAAAATCATAAGCCAATATCTCTGATGAACATAGATGCAAAAATTCTCAAGAAAATCCTAAGAAGCCAAATCTGGCAACATATCAAAAAAGATAATTCATCACGTTCAAGTTAGTTTAATTCCAGGGAAGCAAGGATAGTTCAACATACACAACTCAATAAATATGATTCACTATGTAAACAGAATTAAAAACAAAAACCATATGATAATCTCAGTAGATGCAGAAAAAGCATTTGTTAAAATCCAGCATCCTTCATGATAAAAACCCTCAACAAACCAGGCATTGAAGGAACATACTTCAAAATACTAAGAGCCATGTATGACAAACCCACAACTAACATCATACGGAATGGGGAAAATTTGAAAACATTCCCTTTAATAACTGAAAGAAGAAAAGTATGCCCACTCTCACCATTGCTATTCAACATTCAACATAGTACTGAAAGTCCTAGCAGGGCAAGCGAAAGAAACAAAAGGCATTCAAATTTGAAACAAGGAAGTCAATTTACCTCTGTTTACTGATGTCATGATCTTATATCTGGAAAACTCTAAACATTCCTTCAAAAAACTCCCAGATGTGAAAAATAACTTCAATAAAGTTTCAGGATTCAAAATTAATGTATAAAAATCAATTTCATTGTATACAACAACAGTGCTCAATCTCAGAACTGAATCAATGACCCAGTCTCCTTCACGGTAGCCAGAAACACACACACACACACACACACACACAAACACACACACACAACCCCCAAACAGCAACAACAACAAACCTAGAACAGACCTAACTAAGGAGGTGAAAGAATTCTACAAGGAGAACTACAAAGCACTGATTATAGAATCATAGATAATACAAACAAATGGAAAAACATCCCATGGATAGGAAGAATCAATATCATTAAAATGACTATATTTGCCCAAAGTGATCTACAGATTCAACACAATTCCTATTAAACTACTAATGTCATTTTTCACAGAATTAGAAAAACAATTCTAAAATCCACATGGAACCAAAAAAGAGAGCTCAAATAGCCAAAGCAATCGTAAGCAAAACAAACAAACAAAAAACAAAAGCAAACAAAACTGGGGATATGACATTACCTGACTTCAAAGGGTACTAGAAGGCTTTAGTAACCAAAACAGTTTGGTACTGGTACAATAGACACATAGATCAATGGAACAGAATAGAGAGCCTAGAAATAAAGCCACACTCCTAATGCTAGCTGATCTCCAACAAAGTCAACAAAAATAAACATGGAGAAAAGACACCGTTTTTAATAAATGGTTCCGGGAAAACTGGCTAGCTACATGCAGAAGAATGAAACTGGAACCTTATCTCTCACTATATACAAAAATTAACTGAAGATGTACCAAAGATCTAAACATAAGACCCAAAACTATAAAAAAAAGAGGAAAATCTAGGAAGAACTTTTTTAGAAACTGGCCTTTAGATTAAGACCTCAAAAGAAAATGCACCAAAAACAAAAGCAGACAAATGGGACTTATTAAACTAAAGAGCTTCTGCACAGCAAAAGACACAATCAATTGAATAATCAGAAAACCTAGAAACTGGAAGAAAATATTCAAAAACTCTGCATCCAACAAAAGACTAATATCCAGAATATATAAAGAACTTAAACAAATCCACAAGAAAATGACAGACAACCCCATTATAAAGTAGAAAAAGGACATGAACACATACTTCTCAAAAGAAGACATACAAGTTGCTAATAAACATATGAAAACATGCTCAACATCACAAATCATCAGTGAAATACAAATAAAAACCCCTATGAGATACCATCTCATACCAGTCAGAATGGCTATTATTAAAAAGTCAAAAAAATAACAGATGGTGAGGATGTGGAGAAAAGTGAATACTTTTACACCGTTGGTGGGAATGTAAATTAGCTTATATCCTATAGAAAACAGTATGGAGATTTCTCAGCTATAAAAAGAACTATAATTTCACCCAGCAATTCCACTACCGGGTATCTACCCAAAGGGAAAGGAATAATTGTATCAAAAAGTCACCTGTTTTTATCATGTTTATCACAGCACTATTCACAATAGCAAATTTATGGAATCAACCTAAATGTCCATCAACAGTTGATCGCGTAAAGAAATTGTGATATATATGCACCATGGAATATTATGGAGCCATAAAAAAGGTATCAAATCCTGTCCTCTACAGCAGTAGAGATGGAGTTGGAGGCCTTTATCTTAAGTGAAATAACTCAGAAAGAAATGAAATACACATGTTCTCACTTACAAGTGGAAGCTAAACGATAGGCACACATGGACACAAAGATGGAAATAATAGACCCTGGGGATTCCAAAAGGGGAGAGAGAGAAGGAGGAGAGGGTAAAAAATACTACCATGTTCACTATTTAGGTGATGGGTTCACTAGAAGCCCAAACCTTACGATTATGCAATATACCTACGTAACAGACCATCACATGTACGCCTCTGAACCTAAAAAATAAAGAAGATCTAGAAATGTTTTACATATGCACAAAATTTGCATGAATTAGACTAAATGCATATGAGACCAATGAAGACTAAATAAAACAAAGTATTTTAAGTGTGTTAACTGTAAATATATATGCCCATGCACATACAAACGTACATAAATAAAAGATAATGCCATTTAATTGCACTCAGAAAAATAATTTATGCTTTAAACTAGACTGCAATTTTTAGCAGCAAAGCTATAAAACATGAAAGAAATAAAAGCATACAGACTTTCACAACCTATTAACTTTTTAAAAAGTAATCATACACAACTCTTGCTGATTGCTTAAAGAAATTATGAGGATTGTGGATCTTTTAAAATACACAGGGGTGGAAAGAGCTAGAAAATAAAAATCATCTTTTTACTAAGTTCAAGATCACTAAAAATGAAATAAAGGTGTATTTCACTAAATGTTACGTGTCAAATGAAAGTTAAATGATTCAAATGAAATATGTAAACTAATAAATTTGACTTAGAAAAGGCTAATAAATGTAACAGTACCATCCTACTCCTGGTACATTTTAAGTTTAATATTACTAATAGTAGGTTTGTATTATTGAATTGATACTATATCTCAGATATACACACTTTAAATTCTCTAATTCTCCTATTTTCAACAATCCTGTGGATTCTTAGATGGGGAATCTGAATTTCAAAAACCAGCCTCAGAAGACCACACAGTAAGTAGCAACAACTGATATCCAACCCAAGTCTGCTGGCTTCAAAGCCCCGATATGTTCCCCAGCCACTCTTTCCTTCTAAATAACTAGAGTTGTAAACAGAACTGTACAAGTTATAGAGCTATAATTATAACTACAATTCTGTTTAATCAATGAAAAACTTTAAAAACTGGATACTACTAAGATTTTTCTGCTTATTGAGAAGTATTGCAAGATTAGCAGATGGTATGTTTTATGTGTGTGTGTGCGTGTGTGTGTGCGTGTGTGTGTGTGTGTATTGGAAAATTACATTTTAGGAGTAAGCACATCCTCTTTTTGTGGGTGGTAGCACACGTGTTCAGTAAAACAAAAATGTGTATGCTTCAAGTCCCTTTCTCTCCACCATGTAATGGAATACTGAATGCTATCTAATATCTAACTGGAAGAAACTTATGAATCATTTCAGAAATTATAAGATGTAACCTATGACGTATGTGAGTTTTGAGTGCCTGAATTTGTTATGCAATTACAACCCAAGGATTATCTGTAAGACCTAGATGAAAGCTTCACATTCACAGAAACTTAATGCCGTATCATTATATACTATCTTGGCAGAGATCAGAAATAGGTGTAGGACATTTTTCACATTTAAACTAATATGAAATTAAGTATGATTTTAAAAAACATTTCAGACTTCAGTGAAATTATTTTCCTAGTATAATTTACCCAACAGAATATTAAAGTTAGTCTCTAAAATATCATAAATAAATGGATAATTCTATGGTCTGAATGTGTTTCCCAAAATTCACGTGTTGAAAACTTGATCCCCAGGGCAACAGTGCTGGCAGGTGAGGCCTTTTGGGAGGTGTTTAGGTCATGAGGATTTCACTCCCATGAATGGATTAATGCCACTATGAAAAGGGCTTATATGAATGGGATCACGCTCTTTTGCCCTTCTGCCTTTTGCCATTAAGGATGCAGCCAGAAAGCACTCACCAGATGTTGCTGCCTTGATCGTGCACTTCTTCTCAGCCTCTAGGATTGTAGGAAATAAATTTCTGGTTTTTTAAAATAAATTATTCACTCAGGTATTCTGTTATAGCAGCACAAAATGGACTGAGGCAGATAATAATTACATTTATGTTCTTAAATTTCTATATGGCATGTATAATTGAATTTAAGATCTCCAAAGAAATGATTCAGATGCTCTCTAATTGGGAAAATCTTTGCAAAAAACAATCACAATTTGATTATAATGCAGATTCGTCAGCCTGAGATTGTTTTCCTTCTTGCCAATACAGCTACAATCATGTAACAGATCACAAGAATTTAACTTCACTAGCGCAGTCAAAAGGAAACTGATGCCTGAGCTAGAACCCTATGTTGTTTGGTATTTTATAATAAGTTTTATTTCATTACCTTTATGCATTATTTATTATTGTTTATAATTTGTTTATTATACTTTGAAACCAAAGCAAAATCAATTTATAAATTCTTGGTCATTAATCTTCCGATATGATTATTTCAGAAAAAATATCTAAGGGATTTTTTTTCTCAAACCCTCTATATGAAGAAACTCATAATTAGAGAAAATTTCTAAGTAAATAACAGCACAACATTTAAGAGAATCGGCTTGTAAGTGTTTTCAGTAAATACTTCTTATCTTGGTCTTCTAAAAATCCATTTAGAAGTATTAATTAAACTTTTTTTAATACTTTAACCACTAGGCAGAATGTGACTCCTATCTTCCTACATTTATGTACCTGTTTGACAGGACTCTAAAAGAGAAGAAACACACATACCCACACAAACACAAGCACACTATCTGACTCCGTTTTATTGGGTATGCCAGGTTTGGTTATGTTTCACTGAATTTCCAAATAAAACTTGCAGAGGAAATACAATTTCATACACTGATACCACTAAGCCTTGTAAAGTGTCACCTCCCCAGGTTCCTTGGAAAATTGTAATTAAACTTTCAGCTTCGTTTGTACATTAGCCAAAAATAACACATAGATACTTTTAGGGGCCCAACCATTTTTCAATGTAAAGTGGAACTCTGCTAGTCACTGTGTAAATTCCTAAATTCTTAGATTTTTAGATTGAGGTCCATTTTAAAAACAAAATTTTCCTACATTTTAAAAAAACTAATTATAACACATGATTTTATCAAATGCATAATTTTCAATTGCTAAGGCCTTGGACCACAGTCCTCTCCTAATAACGGCTAGAGTTTACAATTGATTATTGAGTGCCCGTAATATGTAGGCATTGTTCTACATGATTTGCTTAATTTAACCCTCTTCACTTAAAGTCTGTGTTAAAGATGAGCACAGGGGAGACAATAGGGGTTGAATAAGCAGATAAGGAGCAGAGAGGATGCTCTTAATATCTGTGTATTTGGAATGTTTGGTACTCAAGATTCTGTTTGAGTATTTTAGGTTTCATAACCATATTTAGTATCACAATTAAATGGCAGTGGTCCTCAAATCCTTGTTGTGAAAAGGCCATGCAGTAGGTAAAGGATATTTCAGGAGTTCATAAAATGTATTCCTGTTGGTTTCTGAAGCTGAATGACACTTAGGCCTAGGAACATTCTGTGACTATCTGTGACCATTGGTGAGCCCTTCAGCCACTTTGAGCCTCACTTTTCTCAGGTAGAGAGCAGGTGGAAATAGACGGTTTGTAAGAATCTCCTCAATTTCTAAAATGCATGCCTACAAAGTTAATATTTATTAATTCAGTCAGTATTTAATTAAATGATATGGATGTA
Source organism: Homo sapiens (assembly GCF_000001405.40). Lineage (NCBI taxonomy): Eukaryota > Metazoa > Chordata > Mammalia > Primates > Hominidae > Homo > Homo sapiens. The sequence continues at coordinate 15,635,039 of NC_000007.14, read as the reverse complement.
ATCAAATAGTTGATTTATTATTAGTGCTTATGTGCTTTGATGCATTGTAGAAACATAATACTTCCCTCTGAAATTTACTGAAACTCTCACACCTCTAAGGGATGGCTTAGGAACATGGTAATTTCTATGGTGATGCCATATGTGTCATTTTACTGTTCCATGTGGATAATCCTCTGAAGTTAGAGTCACTTATTCTGCAGTTATATTTTGGGTGAATTAGCACTGACAAAATCTCTTCTTGAACAATTTTATCTGCAAATAATCTCGTCATTGGCTTGGAGGAGACAAGGCGTGACCACAGTATAAAGGTGGGATTATTTACACATAAATAATGCGTGCAACTTATGAATCATGTTGGTCATTCCTAAAAAGAGTTGTATAACTGAAAGTTATTGATGTCTTCATCCAAATATTATCTATATGCAATGATTCTCTACTGGGAGCAATTTTTCCCCATGGAGTACATTGGCAATTTAGGATTGCCAGATTTAACCAATTAAACTACAGATATCTGGTTGAATTAGAATTTTCATACAACAATAAACATTTTAAAATACAAGTATGCTTTGTGTAATATTTGTAACATACTAAAACTTTATTTATTGTTTGTCTGAAATTCAAATTGGACTGGGAGAACCATATTTTATCTGACAACACTAAAATTAGGGTTGAGGTTTGCTACAAGCATCCAGTGAGTAGAAGCCAGGGATGTTCTAAACATTCTACAAAGCCCAGAACTGTCCCCACCTCACACAGGACATCTTTATTTTGAATATGTTTATGTTTCATTGAATACAAATGTAACAAGAATTATCCAATCCAAAATGTCAATAGTGCTGAGGTTCAGAACTATAATCTCTGGGCAATATGTTCCTTCACTTCGTATAACATTCAATGATTTTGGTTTCAAATTTTATAATAGGGAGACTGATTTGGTACTTTTCTATGTAAACATGTTTGGAGATATCGTTATAAATATAGAATGAAGATAACATTACTTGTCTGCCATTAGTTACACGAGATATGTGTAAACATGTCTTAAAAGTTAATAGAAAGCAATAATAAATGATACTTTTCCTTTTTCTAAGCTGAAGGTCAGTTAAATTTCTATGCCAGAACAAGGCTCCTTAGGGTTATCTTTGTAATTATAATCTATAATCAGATCGTAAAGTCAAAGATACAGCAGAATAGTAGGTATTTAGTATTAGAAATACAAAGATGAGGAAGACAAAATTCATACTCATAAGTTACCCAGAGTCTAGAGTCCAGAGAAGCAAAGCAGACATGAAAATAAATGAAAAGTTCAATAATTTCTACATCACTGCTTAAAAATACATTAAAGCGACTATGATGACTTGCTAAAGAAATGGCTCAGAATTACAGCATAAATGCTAGTCCTTACACTCTGAGAAGGTGTGGACTTGTCTTTCATAATATAAATAAAAAACTCCATGGAAGTTTTCCTGTTGCATGTCCAAGGGTTTTACTGCACTACCGGCAGAATTGGTGCTGAATTTTCTGGCATCACACTGCAAATCTGTATGGTGTTATCTGATGCCATAAGAGGGCTCAATCCTTTTTGCCCTGTTGACAGCTGTAAATTAGAAATGTCACAATTCTTTCTGCCTTTGCCAAGTTACTATTGTCCTTAATTTGTGAAAATAGTTTCTTTCCCTCCCCATCTTCTCAAATATGCAGTAATACCATGTAATTCCAGGCCATTTGCTGACATAAGAGCTGAGTAGGAGGTGAATGGGGGACACATGTGGAAGCTTGAGTTCTCTTCACTATCTTGCCTATTGCTTCTGCGTGTATTAAAATTAAGTGTGAAAACAAGTATTATTTTTATTGACCTCCAGTGTCTGAATAAACTAGAACAAGAATTGGCCTCAAACACTTACGTTCTAGTATAGGAGAGAAAGCATCCGTACAGTGACATAATGTGGTAAGCATTGTAAGAAAGGAACAAAAGGAGTTTGAAGGGAGCTGACAGAAGTGGTACCCTCTTTAAACTAATATAATCAGGGAAAATGGAATGGAATGCTTTATGTCAAAAAGTCTTAATTAGGGCCTTTAGTCCCACTGTAGGTGCAAATGATGACCTTTGAGAAGTCCTTTGCTATTAGACAGATCCAGGCACAAGTGCCTTGTTTTGTTGGATGGATAGCCATGATCTTTCTTTAGTTTATGTTTTCTCTCTGGACTATAGCAAGAGCCATAAAGTCAATTCTGGGCTCTGTAAACTCTTTCTAAGCCTAGAAATGTGTAGCAAAATCTACAAAGTTTATTTTTACCCAGAAGACTTGTCCCGGTTTTGTTTTTGTGTTAAGTGCTTTGAAGTTGGTAGTTAGAAGAATCAAATCTGTGTCAAATTTGACGCAAGTAAATTGCATTATATTCCTATTTTATGTGTCTCTGGCCTTTAAAAATATTTTTTAACAAAAATACTTTGTTTTTGTTAATTTTGTTAAAATTTGTTTTGTTTTCGAATTGCACATTAATCATGACATTAATTTCATCACCATTTTTAGTTCTTTGTGAATTTGTACTTAGGTCATGGAAGAAGAACCATTGGGTTGGCATATTCTTACTATGAGGAAGCATTACATAATAATAAATTCTAGGAAAGGAAAGATAAAATTAAAACAAAATGACACATTAAAATCTCATCATTTAAAAATAAGGGTCTTCACTAAACAGGCTGTAAGGTAAAACTGAATTCATATATTGATGGGCACAAAAAATAAGGAATTAAAATGAGTTATGTACTATGCACCTATTTTAAAATGGCTAAAATTTCTGTAACTTCCATCACCTCAAAACTGTAGAGAAGAGAGGAGGAAGCAAAAAGAAAGACTTTGTTCTAATACTAGCCAGTTTATTCCAGCAATGCAATGCAATGCCAAGGAAATTTTATTACCTACTTCAAGGAAACGTCTACATCTAAGGTATGGAGGACTTTAGAGACCTAAGTATTTTATTTTTGTATAAATTCTGAGATATGTGTTTGCAAATTTTTCAAATCCATATCCATGCTAAGTTGCTAAATTTCTACCAATTTAAGAATAATCTTGTGCTATTTTCTCCTCTCTCTCTCTCTTTCTCTCCACACACACACACACACACACACACATTTAACCTTGGCTTAACTTGCTCTTTTCTTTTTGGTAAAATTTTATAGCCTGTGATAAATTTATGATATTTCCAAAAATTAAAATTCTCTTTCATATTAAAATAATATGTAAAATATATAGATTTTATAAAGCATCTCAAATCTTCATACTTTCCCATTTATATCATTGCTTTGTACAGCATAAATTATAAGTTAGCAATTGTAATGTTTTCTTATGTAAGTAGCTATTGCTAAATACTGATGCAATCATGTGAATAAAATTTTCATCAATCTCATTTTAAGAATGAGTGGTGTAAACATAAGCCTAAATATATTGAGAAAAAGTCAAGTCTATAAACTTAAATTGAAAAACTATTACATAAAACTTTTAGCTATACAGTTACTCTTTCAATATAGACCATTATATATGAACTTAAATGCCTTTAACAGGAATAAATAGGATATCCTCTATAAATTATTTGTTCAAGACATATAATTGGCTACATAAATATAATAAAAAATAATCTATCTTCAATAATACTAAATTGGGATTTATCTGATTTATTTCCTCCCCGAAAGCATATTAGACAAACCCAAGAATAATCAAGATATTGAGCAGAGAGGACAGATAGTGAAAAAGAGTACATCTGCCAATTGATAATCACTGCTCAGCAGGTACAATGATTTTTTTTTTTTGCATTTTGAAGAAAACTATCACAATAATAATTATAACTCGATGGAAATTCCTTTTTTGGTATGTAAAATTTGGGTTTGCTTTGTAAGAGAATGTATTATTATAGCTATCAAAGAGGTACAAGAAATAATAGATGTTTTCTGGCTATCCTATTCTGGATCTAACATAGTGGTGCTCGATCCAATTTTTAACTCCTCACACACCTTAGTGTATAATCGACACATTCATGAATCATAGTAGCTCGCTATGACTGTGGTTCTCAAATCTGGAAAGTGGATTGGCAAGAGGATTTAAGAACTCCTGGAGAAGGTTGTTTACTTTGAAAAAAGAAGAAACACTGAGAAGCTGAAATGCTCACTCATTAATGAGCTGGAGTAGCAAGTTGGATAAGTGCCCATAAAGAAGGCAATTTCCCCTTTAAATGTGAAAATTACTAGCACCAATAGAATGATTTCATAAATTTTTCTGACTCCATCCACAATCCCTATGCCTACGTAAAAATTATTAGCTTTCCATAACTATGGGTTTGTGCAGTTTTGTTAATAAATAATGAAATATCTCTCATTTTGAATAGTTTACAAAACATTGATACAAAAGTTACAGCAATATGCTGAGGCTTAGTATTCATTTTTCTTCAGGATATGGAACTAGAATTTATATTAGTCCAAGCTATACAGACATTCCATTCCATTTTGATATTTTACAGACATAGGTAAATTATGTTCTTCATTTAAACGAGCTAATACGTTTACCCAGAGTAGCCAAAAATATTCTCAATCGTACTTTTATTTCTCTTTTGCTAAATAGCACTCTGTGCCACTAGTGAACAGACCAAGCCCTCCCATTACTTGTCTTCAATAAAACATTATTATCTTTTGGCATTCTCTTGCACTAGGGGAAATAAAAAGTCACATGTGGAGAAGTTCTAAATGCTAGACAGAAATGATCCTTGGAGGGCAATTTTTATCCTCCACGGAAGTATTGCAGACTTCTTCCATTAGCGTAGTCCCAGGGAGCAAAAGGTTAGGGAACTGGGACTGCCAACCATACCTGAACACATAAGTCAACATTTCCTCGAAGCGCTGAGAGAGTGTGTGAATGGACCCACAGGTGCATTAAAGTATCTGAGACGAAAAACAACAATTGTAGTATTTTACATTGGAATATACTGTACAGATGGTGACATTTTGTTTGTGGTTGTAGAGAAGAAAGGAAGGCAGTGTCCAGATTCCCCCCTCAGCACCTACCATTTGGCATAGGATATGGGAGGTTGAAGAAAAGGGAGGGACTTTTGCCTCACTTAGAACAGCTGGGAAACAGATGGAAACTGATGCAAAAATTGTCAAATGCATGGTGCAAATCTTCCATCCATTTTCTACCAAAGAAAGTCTAGCTGGGTAATGGCAGTAGAGGCCTTAGGGTCAGCAAGTGATAGGGTTTGGAAACTGTAAAGAAAGAGGTAAAAATATTTTAAAAAACCAAGACTGTAGGAAATACAAATCCAGAAATGCAATTCCAAGAAGCATGTTTTTAATAAAAGAGAATGAGGGTTGTGATGGAAACCACACTACAAGGGTAAAAGTAGTGGCTGGATTAATCAACACTGGTGCCACTTCAACTACATGAACGTTCTCTCTCATAGGAGGTGATATCAAGAAGCATACATCCACTCTGTCATCTAATTTAATGTAATTTAATTACAATTCAATGGTTCTTTGTGTGGTTATAAATATGAGTGTGCACAAGTTACTTCATTTTAGTCATTGGATTTCACTTTGTGAGCAATTTTTGGTTTGGTATTCAAGCATTCAGTAAATAATTTATGGATTTAAATATTGAACTACAGCCAGATTTTAGCTTAAATCCAGTCACTGGCTGTATAAACCTCCTGTTGTATATTTCTAGTTACAATGAGTGTGTATATAGACCCATTACCTGTGAGTGTCCTTCTGAGAATTGGCCCATGTTTTGTGTTTTTGTTTGTGTGACTGTGTGGTATTTATGAAGTACTTTTGAATATTGCAAAAGTTAAAGAAGATCACTTTCAAAGAAACTCAAATAAATACAAGTCAAAGCCTTTCCTGAATTTGAATTTGTTCATTCATGCTTACATAAGGGAATGTGCTAACCATGAATCATTCAAATTGAACTGCTCATGAGAAAAAGTGTGCTGGCTTTACTGTCAGTTTCCAGAGTTGCTTGACTGAAAGGAAAAGAGCATTGTCTCCACATAAAGAATAATCAGCCACAGATTTTAGGCAAAGCAGGGATCCAAATTGGCAAAAGTTCTTTCAATTCACCTGAGAACGTGGATGCTTGTGAGAAGGTCTTGCTATCTGAATATTCTGTACTGTGACTGAGTTTGCAGGCTGCAAGAACAGCCCACGGAAAAGTTTAAAAAAATCAATCATTTGGAAATGTTGTTCACACAATGCCAGAATAGCTAAATGCTCCACCAATGTGGATGCTGACATATCTGTAGCTAGAGGCAATTGGATGATGGACTGCAGTTTCCATCCTTGCAGCCAGGTAAGTTGGCACCATGTAAACATGGCCTACCTGAGAGCACACACATCATCTCTTATGTCACTCACCTGGTCCCAGTGGCTTTCTATAAAGTGCAATCAACCTGTGCATGACATGTCACAAACTACTTTGGTGCTGGATAAAGCCCCACATACCCTGCTAAGGTGAGAAGCTAGCTGATACAGGGATAAGTGACAAGCCCAGAAACGTGGTCAGTGAATGAAGAGTTTTAGATAGTGCCAGTGCACCAGTGAGTGAAACAGTCTGTGATCCATCAGAGGATAAGTAATGGTCAGTGTGCCAAGGTGTTGAGGCAACTTATTGCTGCTGCTGCTGCTACTAGACCTAGAAAACTTTACATCTGGCTCACTTAGATACTGCTAAGAATCAAAGTAAAAGTCTTTACATTAAAGTGCCTTGTCTAGTGAATTTCCATTATGCAGGGTCCTCTTTAGTTCAGTTAAACATCCCTCAGGCAGACAGAAAGAAATAGAACACTAAAAAATTCATTTTTGTACTTCTTAGCATATTTAAGCATCATTGCATGAAAAAAAACATAATCTAAAAAGATCCTGCATAAGCCATGCCTTATTATATTTGTCAATTAAAAAAACAATTAAAATGTCACTCTTTGAAACCTTTGGTTAATGATCATCTTTCTACATCAATTTTCTATCATTTGGGTTCCTAGAAGAGTTAAGTGTATTCACACTTTTTAAAGATATCACAGCTTGTTTGTACATGTGCAAAAATAATTAGATACCAGAAATAATTTTCAGGAGAGCATTAATGTGCCCTTTTTTCTTGATTATGTTGATATTTCACTGAGGATAAATTTGCCCTAAGTTATTAGAGCTGGGTATGATTACTTTTTACTTGACGTGTGTGTGTGTGTGTGTTTACTATTGATTCACGTTCTGCTTTTTAGTATATTAAGAATGTCTTCTGACCTACATTTCAGGGGTATTTATGAGGATAAAAGAAATTCTATACGTTAGTTATGTATTGAACCCTTAAGAGGAAAAATGGAATGATATACTCAAAATTGCTATTGGTATTTTACACTGCATTATAAGATTTGATGTTGTGGATCACTGATGTTACATGTTGTGCACCTTATGTTTATCTTATATATAATGAAAAACACATTTAAAAACTCTGTTCATAGTTTAAGTCATATGAACACAATTTCATTTATAGATTCCATGTTGGACTAAGTATAATATAAAATAAAAGAACATTGCTATTGCCCTCAAGAATTTTACTTAAATACAGATAAAAAAGCCAATAAGTACACACATACTTTTACATACGCTCAGTCTGAGCATAAAATTTTTTATGGTCCAGTTGCTAAACGTTTGAATTTCTCAAATACTCCTATATTGAGATGCCACTTTTTAAAGGATTACTATGTTCAATCTTACTTAGACCTCAAGTACGTATGTTCAACAACTTATGAAACAGAACTTCATATCTAAAAGTGTTTTCTAGAGAGGTTTTGGTTTATCTTAATATCATACTACAAGCAGTTAAAGGTTTTGTTAATATTTTATAAGAAGAAAATTACATGCTTTCCCAAATGGACTGTGAGTTACCTGAAGGAAGATGAAAAAAATAAGAATTATATCTCCCCCCGTTGAGCTGCCGTCAGTCTTGCTGTCTTTGGTCTCTATTTGTTCCATGTCTAGCGCAGTACCTGGAAAAGTAGTAATTCAATAACTGTGAATAATATGATTGCATGTGTTTGAATAAATGAGTTATTACCAATTCTGTCTCCCTTTTTTTTCAGACTCCCAGGAAGGAAATTACAAGTCAGAAGTCAACAGCAAACCCAGGAAAGAAAGGACAGCATTTACCAAAGAGCAAATCAGAGAACTTGAAGCAGAATTTGCCCATCATAATTATCTCACCAGACTGAGGCGATACGAGATAGCAGTGAATCTGGATCTCACTGAAAGACAGGTAAAGCTGGGCATTATCATTATATGATCTTTTTTAATTGCCCTGGGTCCACAGTCTTCTTTGCCATATTTGAAATACCTAGATCCAGAATTCTTGAATACCATTTGGAAGACAGTTATACTATTCCATGATAAAATTTTGCCAGCAAAATAACAAAATTAAAAATAATATAGTGATATTTGAAAGAAAACCATACTTATTGAGTTGAAGAAAGAATCCTCCTATGATTATTATCCTTCTGTATTTTTGGGTTTTAAAATATTATTTCTTTTACATAATGATGGCATACAGTGAGGAGTTGTGCATGCTTATATGTTAAAATCTCCTTATTTGGCATATTAGAAAGTTGGTAAACCCAGATTAGTTTTCTGTATTGCTCAGGATAGGTCATGATAAGTTGCAGTAACACATTCACCCTCAAATCTCAATGGCATAACATAAAAATGTTCATTACTTACTCACTCTCCATACAAACTCTACATGTCCAGCATTCCAGATAATCACTCACAGACCCATTCTGACTCTTTAGCATCTCAACATGTGGTGTCCATGGTAACTACAAGAAATAAGAAAGAATTGGAAGTTTATGCACTGACCTTTAAATGTTTTCACCTGGAAATTAGCCATGTCACTTCTATTTACACACTAATGTCTAGAATAGTCAAATGGTGCGGCTTAGGTGCAAGATGGCTGGGAAATGATGAAAGGCAAGGACACATAGATCATTGGTAAATATTTCTGCCCCTTTACCCAAAATATTTTTGAAATTGTATCGGTGTCAGTAATTCAAAATTCTGCTACCCACTCAGAGAATACTTTGAAATTATTAATGTTTTTGGACTCCAATTAATGAGACCTAAATAATATTTTTAAATTAATTGCTTTTTAGGTCCCTTTCTTGCATTTTTTTTGAATGACAAATGATTTGTTCTAACAGTGTTCCCAGTGAATTCCTTGTACAGATTCTTGTTTCCCTGAGGAGAATCTAGCCTACTGCCGGTTAACAGTTGCTAATCTTTACAAAAACATTCCTGAAAGGCAAATGCAAACATCTTTATGGACAGTGCAGTTATGATTGGCACTCTTAGGGCTAGAGTCTCATTTCCTCTTTCACTGTGTGTACCTCCTCCAGGATCCCATTGGAACCAAAGAAATATCAACAGGGTGTGGACAAATGAATGCATGTCTTAAGAGAGCAAGTTATTTTATCCAATTTCTTAAATGACCTGCTTTCCTTCTGTTAATTTTTACATTTCAGCTTTGGTAGGTTATTTATGGGTAGTAGAAATATACAGAGGAACACTTTTCTGTGGTTTTATTTATTGGCAGTTTGTATTTTATTACATATTATGACTAGTACCTATGTTATGGAGCACAGCATTTTCCTTCCCTTAGACTTCACATACAAAATTCCCTCTATGGGTTCAACATTTGGCATGCTGGAAAGCAGGATCCAAAGTCTACATCATCAGACCTCTATTTTATTATTTTTTTTAAACAGGGAACGGAAAATAAAAAGGTGTATGTGGAGGGAGAATTACACACTAATGTTCTTATATAGAGATGGTGAATTCTAGGAAATGCAACCGTGTTTTATATAGTAGATGAAGGAACTAGGAAACTAGGATTTGCTTCCAATCTGTAGAAATGACAGGATCCAGTACTGTGCTCTCAGCCAAGAGGAAAAACAAGATTCTGTACTTGACATTTTGGGGGTGGTCTACGGTTATCTGTCATTGTTTGACCACGGAGCAGAATCATTTATCTTTAGAAGCAGTTTTGTAAATCTGGTTTGAAAACGTTGAAGGTGTCTTGGATATTTCTTCTTTCTAACTGACTTCAGGAGCTTGGTAAAGAATTACATGCAAGAATTATATATACCTATACATACTATTTTAATGTTGTTTTAAAGATTCTTTTAACATTTTGTGTTAGTTACCCTTTGCTGTGTAACAAACCACTCCAAATCTTAATGGCTTCAAATAATAACCAAAGTTTTATTTGCTTTAGGTTTTGTAGGTTAGAGATTTTGACTGGGCTTAGTTGGACAGTAATACTGCTGGCCCTACATGGAACCCTCATGGAGCTCCAGTCAGCTGGTGGGCTGACTAAGAAAGAGATGGTTGGGCCTCAGCTGTGGTTTCATCTTCTTATAGGCTAGCTTGGGATCCTTCCAATGGTGATAGAAGCATTCCCAGGAGCACTGAGGGGGAAAACTCCGGTGAGCAAGGGCTTTTCAGGCCTCTTACGTCATATTTGCTAGTGTCCCATTGTCCAAAGCAAGCCATGTGACCAAACTCAGTGTCAGTGTAGGACAAGATCGCTTCATTGGAAGTCATTCCTGAAATAATCTAACCACAGCATCACAGGGGGGAAATTAACACAGAACATGAGAGATAGTTCAGTTTTCATTGAATTGAAAATTTGTTATTGTGCACAATATATTTTTATTCCATAAATCTCTACGTGCAGTTTTGCAAGTTAATGTGAAAAGATGTATACATGCAGAATTTAAATTCCTAATCAAAACTAAGGCTTTAGAGGGCCTCCCTGGGTTAGTCAAAAAGAATTTAATTGTTATGAAAAAAATCTGAATAAAAATCCAAGGTTTGCTGATTAGAATTGTGTGTTCTTAAGTAAGTAACAATCTCCCCAAGGCATAAAATGGAAATTAAAACCTGCTCTTTCTTCTATGTAGATTTGTATATCATAATGGGTATGAAATAATTTTTAGTGTAAACTATAAAACAGAATTATCACCCAGGTGGGAAAAACCTTTGCTATGCAAAGCATGTTGAATTAATCATTTTGTAACACAAATATTTGTTGAGCTAAGTGCTGGAAGTAAAATCTTAAGCTAAAGAAATACCTGTTAGAATTCATAGAAGAGGTAAAAATTGAACAAATATTCACAATTGTTATGAGTGTAGAATGTCACAGGAGAGGAATGATGTAATTGTATTGGATAATGTTTCTGGTTGCACCATTTCATTCCAACATTTCTATGCACACATATTATCTTAAGTTTCTTAAATTAAGAATCTGTGCACAAAATATCTTAAATTAACAATCAAGCTGGGAGTGGTAGCTCAAGCCTGTACTTGTCCCAGCACTTTGGGAAGCCAAGGCAGGCAGGTCACTTGAGGTCAGGGGTTCAAGACCAGCCTGGCCAACATGGTGAAACCCCGTCTCTACTACAAATACAAAAATGAGCCAGGCGTGGTGGCAGGCACCTATAATCCTAGGTACATGGGAGGCTGAGGCAGGAGAAACATTTAAGCCTGGGAGGCAGAAGTTGCAGTGAGTTGAGTTTGCACCACTGCACTCCTGCCTGGGTGACAAAGTGAGACTCTGTATATAAAAAAAAATCACATACTTAAATTATGTGTCTATTTTAAGTTATATTGTATTTTCTGGGCTGAATTTTACTGTGCTGAATTTATCAGAAAAAATATACTATGATGTCAGTTGTCAACTTTGCTATTCTTGAAGGTCAGATGGCATATTCTTTCAAAATGCCAGGGCTCTCATCCCAGTGAAATATTTTCAGTTTATTTTCTGGAGGTTGGGGTTTTAAAGTTATTAACAGAATTACAAACAGAACACTTTAAAATCCATCTTCTGTAATTTGCAATGCAGCTTGTAGTCTATTGGGGCTGCTATAATGAAATACCATAGACTGGGTGGCTTATAAACAACACACATTTATTTCTCACAGTTCTGGAGGATGGGAAGTCCAAGATCAAGGCATCAGCAGATTCGGTGTCTGGTGAGCACACACTTCTTCATAGACTTCCATTTTTCCATTCTACCTTGATATGATGGCTGAAGAGGCTAGGTAGCTCTCTGGGACCTCTTTAATAAGGGCACTAATCTGAGTAATGCTAGATCTGTTCTTACGACCTAATCTCATTCCAAGGGCCCCATCTCCTAATGCCGTCACCTTGAGGGTTAGGATTTTAACATAAGAATTTGGAGGAGACATAAATATTTAGACCATAGCATGGCTATTCCATTACTTAGATTTTATATTAATCTCATAAATGCTATGTTTAGCCATGTAATCTATATCTTGACCCTATATAATCTTAAACAACATCCTTCCCTAGGATTTCCACATGTAAAATATCTAATTATAGATATGTTGTCTTTTCATATTCATTCTTTAAGACTTATTTTTTTCATATGTTAAAATAACCTGAGATTCAGTAAAATAAACATATACACCAAGGAATATTACATCTAACCTCATATTGTTCAATATTTTCCTTAGCTTTAATAGAATTATTTGAATATAAAATAGTTTCCTTAACATTGTCAAGGTCTTTTGAAATTCAAATGCAAAGACAGGACTTATAGGCTCATTTTATATGGGTGTGTGATTCAAAAGCAGAGACAGGACTCATAGGCTCATTTTATGTGTGTGTGTGTAAATATACACATATGCAAACACATACACACACATATACACAGATATATATGTATGTGTATGCATATAAATATATACACATCTCCATACTTCTAACTATATGTATATCTATCTACATCAAAAGAAAGATATCATGCAAACAGGGAAAACAAATATTAAATTATATAATAAGATTGCTTTTGTTTGTGTGTTTGTTTTTTGAGACAGAGTCTCGCTCTGTCACCAAGGCTGGAGTGCAGTGGTGCAGTCTCGGCTCACTGCAACCTCCGCCTCCTGGGTTCAAGCAATTCTCTTCCTCAGTCTCTCTGGTAGCTGGGATTACAGGCACCTGCTACCATGCCCGGCTAATTTTTTGTATTTTTAGTAGGGACGGGGTTTCACCATCTTGGCCAGGCTGGTCTTGAACTCCTGACCTCGTGATCCACCAGCCTCGGCCTCCCAAAGTGCTGAGATTACGGGCTTGAGCCATGGCACCTGGCCTGTAACAGAATTGTTTTTGAGAAATAATTTTCTCCTAAATGAAAACTTACTTTACAATCAGAACTAGTCTTTAGACATATTGTCATGTGGAAATTGTACATGATTGACAATAAAATGTGCATGTCTATCACTGATGTTATTTGTGGCTACCCCTACCTTACTTATATCACCGATCAGTATATCCAACACAAATTTTATGATGACTCATATATGTGTCATGAAGATTTGCAATAATAATTAGGTTTCCTTTTAGAAAAACATAAGGTATATTAAATCCTTAAATATCACTCAGGACTTGAATTTCCAAATTCCATTCTGAAGAATAGTCATGGAATCACACAAAGATGTCACACTCTTACATTTGCATCTTCCATAATGCAATGTCAGGGTAGTCTATAATTCTGTTTGAACTTCATCTGGCCAAAGAAGGAAAAAAAGAGGCTCATTCTGCAAAGTAATTCCATGTTAGCACACAAGTGTTAAAGAAAATCATTTTATGTTAAATAAAAATGCAGAAACTAGAATGAAGCTGAGCTTCAAATATTTTAATTATATAATGTTGTTTGTTGAACAGTTACAGATCACTCCAGTAAATCTTCTAGCTTCTAACTTACAGCTTCTAGTTTACAACATATTCTCATATAACCTTCAAGATCAACAGATAATAATCTTCAATTGTCAGAGTCACCCCGAATGATTTGCAGAGAACTCAGTCTAAAGGCTCTCCAGTTTCAAGGTATTTTTAATTTGGACAAGCTTATTCTGGCGTTTTTTTCTCCATCCAGATAAACTTGGAGAAAACTCCCACCAGATTTTTAATATCTCACAGTGGGAAGACGAGAGAAAGCAGCTGCAGGAGCATATAAAAGAAGTGGTAAAATGGACATTTTTATAGAGTTAAGGCTGCCAAATATAGACAGAATGGGAGATCCTTTCACTTCAAAACATCTTTTTCACAGAGCTAATCAAAGGTGTAATGTTGTAGACTTGTAAACTAGTTAAGATTACTGGAATAAACAGACTAAATTAATGATACTTCTGCCAAGATAAATGGAAAATCCCACCTAACGAGATCATACTCCATTGGTGGAAATGAGAGGGATTATGTTTTGTTTTTTACTCATAAATCATCAAATGGCCCAATGCCAAGTATTTTCAAAATAGCTATCATTTTTTTGATGACTACTAAAGAGAAATATTTTGTGTGCCAAATAAAGAGTGGTTTTGTCTTTTGCTCAGCTGTTTTTTTTGTTTTGCTTTTTTGTTGTTGTTGTTGTTGTTTGTCACCCAGGCTGGAGTGCAGTGGCTTGATCTCGGCTCACTGCAAGCTCCGCCTCCTGAGTTCAGGCCATTCTCCTGCCTCAGCCTCCCGAGTAGAGTAGTTGGGACTACAGGAGCCCGCTACCACGCCCGTTTTGCTCAGCTATTTTACACAATCTCTCTGCTTCATAGTTTTATTTCTACAAATGTATACATTTAGTTACTTAGCTAATTATGTCTCCATGAGTTGACTTATTGTCTATTCATGTTAATTCAAGTCTACCTATGTAGCCACACTTTAGAATATTTCTTTATTTCTTTACAGCAGTATATAGGAGTCATCTAGAGAAACAGTAAGATGTTTTATTTGCTTAACTCATGATATGACAATTATTAAGAATAATTTGACTACAACTGGTAAAATGGGGAGAGTAAAGGGTAAAAGAGTTGACGATGGGATATGAGAGGGGATTTTAATATTAAATATAAAGAGACATTCCTGATAATGCTTTTATTTAAATAAATAAATACATATTGACAGTATTGGTAAGCATCAAAAACTAGACTCAAAACTACTTCAGCTTCCACACAAAAAAGGTTATGATACATGAAAAGTAACTTAAGATCAATAATAAAGCAAGATCTATTCGGTGCAAACAATGTTTTAACCTAAAATTAATTTTCAGAAATATTACCTGTATAAAGTAAAAGACTAAGAAATAAGTAACTCATCCCTAATAAATGTAAATATTTAAATTTCAAATAATATTTTAAAAACCAAAGAAAAATAAACGTTACCTTTATTGAACTGGCCTTAAGAATATATAATCTGTTTTCTTTTAAAATGCTATCTTTCTTTTGATGTAGATAGGTAGACATATGTATAGTTAGAGGTAAGGAGATGTATCTATCTATAGATATATATACACACACACATATCTGTGTATATGTGTGTATGTGTTTGCATATGTGTATATATACACACACACACAAATAAAATGAGCCTTTATTTTAGAGATTTTACTGAAATTTGCTCCTCTGATTCTTGCTGTAAACGTTCATCAAGCTGGTATAATAAAAGGATAAAGATAATTCTTCCCAGGAGTCTAAGAATTTTCCACTTTTTGTTTCTCAGTTTCCTCACTAGGGAAGCAAAAATATTAATTTATATGTAATCAACAAATTAACAATAATGTTAGGGAACATATCATACATTACATCACAGCATCATCACTTAGAGTGTACTGCTAAAGAAAGAGACTTCTGCTATGAAAGATCACTCCCAGCATTCCTTTTCTACACTATTCTTGCATCCATAAGTTTTATTCATGTTAAAAAAAATTCTAAAACTGAGATGCTTCTAGATATTTTGAGAAGCTCGTGCAAGTTTTGTGTTGGCATTGTCAATTTTAAGAAAATTTTCTACTATCTACATCTTTATATAGAAGAGTACATACATATGTTCTGTGACATCTATACAATAATAAACCCAGGCCTAAGAGAACTGACAATTTTCTAGAGACTTTGACTATAAACGACTTTGTACCAATTATTCTCCATATTTCTATGTCTCCTCATGAAAAACTCAGAGATGCATTCAGTTTAGAATAGACTTTGAACTTCAGATCCCTTTGTCACTTCCAATTTTTTATGATGAACGTATATTTTTAAATTTTTGACGGTTTTGAAGTTATTAAAATTATTGACTTTTCTATGGGTCAGTGTATACTCACACAGAACTAATAATTTTATAAGTTTATATAATAAACTTGGATCTAAGGTGATAGTCTCTAAATCTGATAAATGAAATAACCAGGGCAGTAAAGTGTCACATAGATTCTGATAAAGAATTTAAACAATCATAAATAATCAAAATATTAATTTAATATTAATAAAAATCAGAATATAAATTTAGATTGAATCATAGTAATATTTCAGTATTCTACTCTTCTTATATAAAGGATTAGTTCCGTTGTTTCAGCTAAATATTTATATTCGATAAGTTATACTTAGAAGCTGTTAGCCAAAATATTGATGGTATTATGTTGCCAATTATTGTTAAACATGAGCCAAGAGATTGGGCAAGATGTTGAGATCAAAGACCATCATTCTAGTTGGTCTCAGTAGTTTGAACAAGATAAGCATGAAGTAGTGGCTCAGAATATACAAATTCCATGTCTTCAGGTATTGCTATTCAGTAATTTTATAACACAATAAAGAAAAAAAGTGCCTAATTTAGTTTTGATATTTTCATTAAATTTGATATAGTCTTTTATTCATGAAATACTTGAGTAAACAATATTTTACTTAAAATAACTAAAAGGTGTGTCTATTTTTTATCTCCTGTAAAAATGGGATTAAGAATAGTGAATTTTTACTGTAAATATGGTGAAAGAAGCCATTCGAGTTGAATTTTACCAGGTATAAAGGAAAACAATGGTTTACTAAAGGCCAAGTTAAAAGGAATCAATCATAGAACCACTTTGCTTTATCATGTGAATGGTTGCTTTCGGTTCATTTTTGGAAAGAAGAGTGAGAGTATAAGGTTGGCTCATAATTGTGCCTGTGAGATTCAAATCTGTCGTGGGGAATTTAATCTGTTGCCCCAAGAAAGGGTTAATCCTTGTTCAATATGTTATTTGTCCATGGCTGTCTATAGCTAATGTGTATTCATTTTGTTTTAAAAACATATGAAATGTGTAATTTTAAATGTTATGATTACATTAATGAGCCTGATCCACAAGACTTGGAAATAGAAAAAGAAGAGGCTTCAGAACTAAAAATTACAGAGGTAGGAAAATGATTCCCAATGTGCTAAATCAGTGGATAAAGGTGAGAGGCAGCCCTGTAAACAGGACTTAAGCCTTCAGTTATGAAGTATATCCTAACCCTCCACAGCCTCCCCAACACACACAAACACCCTTTAATTGTGGTAGAAACAACAGAGTCAATTAGTGGCTCCAATAAGCTTTTGGAAATAGCTGAAGAATTCCTTCTCTTAATCAGATATAAATCCATCTATTCAGGAAGAGTTAAAAAAGCTTTCTTTTCCCCATTTTTCACCTTTACTTTTAAGCATTCTTGCTTCTAATTCTAATACTACTAAATCAGTTGTAGTTCAGCTACTTTGTTAATGAATTACTTAGGCTAGTCTTTGGATTTACTAGATACACTGCCATGATCAAATTTAATCACTAGGGATGTGATCAAATCTGAAAATTTTATTTGTACAATTATCCTTTGCATGTTTTCACATCTCAAAGATATAAATAAATATTTGTTAGACAATGTCTACAATATTCCAAGTGCCCAGATAAAAATGGAAACAGTTGGAATATTAAATCTACAAATCCCAGATGTTTAGAGGCATCTGGCTATGTCACTGAAATTTTTAGTTTTCATCCAGATGTTTGATGTTATGGCTTTTTTCTTCAAAACACAGACATTTATGGTGTTACATAAATATGGGTTATTGCATTATATAGATTCAACTTTCTATCAACCTATTTGCCTCAGGACACCTTAGGAAATTGTGTGACAATACAGATTCATAAGTCACTTCTTTTGTCTGGTAATATATTGTGAAACCTAAAAGGACAGGTGTGAACTTACATGGTAAAGGGTGTAATGTGATGGCCAAATAAGTTACATTTACATTTCCTCCATTTTCTTGACCGTGAATACCTTAAGGGCAGGGACTATGTTTTATTTGTGCTTCAACACCTCCCATCTTTGATCTAACACAGTACAGGTTACTGGACATTTGGTAATATTTTTAAATGTATGAATGAATGAATAGAGATCCCAAGTCACCAAGGAAATGTGAGAATTCTTGTACTCTGTGTAGTTTATAAATTAATCTTATTATATAAAATGTGCTTATAAATTTAAATAAAAATAATTCAAATACTTATTTTTTAGTAAATAAAATTTTAGGCATTTGGATGATGATAATTTAGCTGTCTTAAAAACAAAAACTAAAAGTTTTTTTCATTACAGTCAATAAAGCTGGGTTAATAAAGTGATACTAAATTATACTATGAAGTCTCTATTTATAAATTGACTACTGTCCTACATTAATGACAATATTGATTTATAACCTGGAATTAAATTTGCAGATTTTGTTGGGGGGATTGCTAATACCGTGATGCTAATAGAAAAATGTGTGTTTTTCCAAAAATCCTTCTCCATTTATTTTAATTCACTCCAATATTTTATAGTATATTTGAAAATAAATCTGAACATATTGACTTTTAGAGTTCTATATTCTTCCTTCTATTTTCTATAAGATATGCCCATTATGTATTTGTTGCAATTTTTTGTTTCCTTGCTAAGATCACAGAATTTCAGTATCAAATATATAATCTAGGTTTTAAATAAAATAGTATATAAGGTATTAGAGTTATTCTATATAATCAAATGCATATTCTTATATGTTTATATCTATTCATATGTATATACATGTAGCTACTGTTGGCAATTAACTATTCAGTCTTTTTTCAATCTATTTTAAAAAATAAAATGGTAAAATTTCAACGATAGACATAGAAAACAACACAAAATAGGCCATAATATATCTAAAATCAATACCATATTCTTACATTTAGAATTATCTTATTTAGAATTGCCCATAACAGGTTTTATACTGATATTATATAATTACTATATCCCTTCTCCTAGAAAAAGAAATATATGTGGATTTTTAAAAGTATATTTCTCCTCTTTTTCTGCCAGGATTATTTAGACTGAATGTTTCAGCTCTTGGTGACAATGATGATGATCATGACATATGTATTTCTTCCATCTGGAATTGTCCATGAGAAAATATCCCTATAGGGAATCTTGAAAGGCTTATGATTCCAATATTAGAAATATGAAAATTGAGGTAGAGAGAAGTAAAATTTTCTCAAATTCACACAAAATGGAGAAGTAAAGCCAAGAGTAGAACCCAACTCATGTGGAATAGATCTAATGCAAAATACAATGTCAAGCTTGCAAAGGTAATTAAACTCAGTAGCGTAATTACCTAAATTATAATACAGGAAAATAGTGTCATATTTACAAACCTAATTATATCAAGTGGGAGAATTACCTGAATGATAGTAATCACATGGATGGCGTCCACATACTCTATATGCTTTTTTTTTATTACAAATGCTTTAAAAATAGGAGATTGAAATATAACAGGAACCAAAACAAACAAACAAAAAAACCAAAAACAAAACCCAGAATCTGGAATCAAACAAACCCCAGCCCTCACGTTTAAATCCTGGCACCAGGGTTTCCTTTCTGTGTAATCTTAGGTAAGTCACTTAACCTTTACCTCAACTTTATCATCTATAACATAAGAATAATGGTAATAATATCTGGAAAACTGTATTAGAATACTGTATAAACAGCACCAATAGTATAGCTGTCTATCCCTACATAGGTATATAATAAAAGGGAATTACTGATTATTTTGTTTAGTAAGTAATAATAATATGTGAACACCCGTCAACTACTTTTTAGTGAATCTTTTTTGTACTATTTTTTCTTATTTTTTATTGTCAAATTGATTAATACATGTTTGGGCAATATATGATACATGATTTCAACTATGGCTCTAAGTGAGACCAAGAAAAATCCAGAATAGAGAAATATCTCAGTTTAAATATTTCACTGTGAAAGCATGCTGATGAAGCATCGTGATTTGAAGATCACTGATATAATTATGTCTTTGGAAATTTAATATATTTTTCTTCACTGTCTCCATAGCACTATTTACAGAAATTGAAATTATTTCTAAACTGAAAATAGAGAATATTCAAAATATTTCTAACGTAGAAGAATGAAACAGAACTATCCCTAGCAAATATAAAGGTTTATTATAAAATTATAATTAATAAGATAATGTGGTTTTATCAAAACTATAGAAAAATTAATAAAGGAACAGAACAGAATACAGCAATAAAGCTATGCATATATGGAAACTTGATTTATGAACACAGATGAAACAGTGATCACTGGAAAAAAGCTGGGTTATTTAATAAATGGACCTGGGACAATGTGTTATCCATTTAAAATAAAGTAAAGTTAAGCCTATTCTTCAGACTATATACTAAAATCAGTACTTCATTGATTAAGTACCTCAGTTTGAAAGGCAAACTTTTTTTTTCTTTTTGAGACAGGATCTTGCTCTGTTGCCCAGGCTGGAGTGCAGTGGTGCAACAACCACTGACTGCAACCTCAACCACTTGGGCTCAAGCAATCCTCCAACCCTAGCCTCCTGAGAAGCTGGGACTACAGGCACTATGCCATCCCACCCACCTAATTTTATTTTATTTTATTTTATTTTATTTTATTTTATTTTATTTTATTTTATTTTATTTTATCTATTTATTTGTAGAGACAGGGTCCCACTGTGTTGGAAAAGGCAACCTTTAAAACTCTTAGAAGAAGACACAATAGAATATCTTACTGGCTTCAGAAAATAGATTTTTTTAGAAAAAGAAAACACAAAACACTAGTCATAAAAGAAACAATAGATAAATTTAAACATATTAATTAATATTAAGAGTTTCTAATCATCAAAAGACACTCTAAGAAAAGGAAAAAGAAACAGCATACATTGAGAGAAGATAGATAGCAGCAGCCATATAACTGCAGTCTCCAGGGAAGTTCCCATGATATGCTTATCAGGACACAAATGCAAGAATGTCTATAGCAGCATTACATATAGAAAAAAAAGAATTCAAATATCCATGGATGGTAGAACAGAAAAATGGTGCTATATTGACAGAATTTGGAATATTATACAATGATAAAAAATAAATAAATAGAGTCTTTTGAATCAACAAAGATGTGGCAAAAAGCCTACACTTAGGAACATTCCATTGATAAACCTAACAAACAAATAAAATTAAAGAGTATAGTTTTAATATTACTTGTTATGAAAAAAATTTGTTTTCTTTTTTAAGAAAGACTTGGAGGTGACACACAAAATTCAGGCTTGTGGTACTTTTAGGTGGGGTAGACAGAGAAATACAATGTAAAAAGAACACTTTGCTTGCTAGAAGCTATAATTATGAGAAATGCAATGTGAAAGAAACAGATTTCCTCCTAAACAAGATGCAATAATGCCAATTATATTCTAGTTCTGATAATGTATAGACCTTTAATGTCTGTTTGCTGTTTTTTTTGTTTTTAATACATATATGTTATTTAAATATATATATTTATTTAAATGTATTAGGCAAATTCAATGAAGCTTTTAAAAAGAAAATACCTGTACAAAGCTGATGTGAATGATGTAGTATATAATCTTGGTGTTAGCATTTAACAAATGTTGAGAATTTTTTATTGTGACCATATTTTAAAGAAATCACTAGATCAAATATTTGCAAAGTAAAATAAATGAATTAAGGTAGAAAATAAAAAGAAGAGTTCAAAAGAAGATAGGCTCAGTGTGAGGTGGAATGGTCAAATAAAGATTTGTGAAAGCAGCAGTAGTTTCTGATGGCAGAGTATGGCCTTTCAGATGCCGCTTAATCAGTAGCTGCAGGAGCATGTTTTAAATTGGTTCAGGAAATGACAGCTGGATGTCAAATCAAAGAAGAACTTAGGAGTGGGGGGCTTTGACCAACACAAATATTATGTTAGCTCCAATTCACAGAAGCTCTTTATAGACGCAAGTGCTTTGAGTGCCTTAAATGACAAAGTTTTTGTTTAGTTCCATATTTTACATTGTATGCTGTAAAATACAAATATAGTACTTTGTATGCACCTTTTGAAACTTTAAAAATTATTATCATGAACATGTAACCTGATTAAATTCAACGTGGATTTATTTTTCTATTCACTCCTTCATGGTGTCTTTGTATAAGCCTTTGAGGAACTTCTTTTCATTGATGACACTAAGGAGAAAAAAATGTCACTTTAATTATCTCTTTTTTTCTGTTTGTTTGTTCCCTTTCTTGGTTGAAGGTGAAAGTCTGGTTCCAAAACAGGCGGATGAAGTGGAAGAGGGTAAAGGGTGGACAGCAAGGAGCTGCGGCTCGGGAAAAGGAACTGGTGAATGTGAAAAAGGGAACACTTCTCCCATCAGAGCTGTCGGGAATTGGTGCAGCCACCCTCCAGCAAACAGGGGACTCTATAGCAAATGAAGACAGTCACGACAGTGACCACAGCTCAGAGCATGCGCACTTATGATATAAACAGAGGACCAGCTCCATTCTCAGGAAAGAAATGTTGTGATGGCAAGCCTTACCCAAATATCGTTTACACAGAGAGATGACTATGGCAGTGATGTTTAATATTATTAAATCCAGGCATTTCGAATCTGTTTTTCATGATTTATAGAGGGTTTACACAAAGTGCCACTTATTAAAGAGCTTCCACAGTGAAGATGGAGAAGGTGAACTTGCTTTGAATATTCCAGATGTGTTTGGTCGTGCGTATGGCAGTGAGCAGGTATGTGTTTGCTTTTGCTTGCACTGA
This sequence comes from Homo sapiens, assembly GCF_000001405.40. Taxonomy (NCBI): domain Eukaryota; kingdom Metazoa; phylum Chordata; class Mammalia; order Primates; family Hominidae; genus Homo; species Homo sapiens. The sequence continues at coordinate 15,612,098 of NC_000007.14, read as the reverse complement.
AAATTAAATTGCTATCAAGAGCAAACTATGAACGGTTTTTTATTCAAGATGTCTCCAGAGTGAAGATGCCGAGGATGAACTTGCATTGAACATTCCAGATGTGTGAGATCATGTGTATTACAGTGGGCAGGTATTTGCTTTTGCTTGCACTGAAAATTAAATTGCTATCAAGAATAAACCATGAAACATTTTATCCTGAACAGCCACAGTGCCTGAATTCACTCAAGTGGATAAAAAGTGTATTTTAACTCTGTATATATTACCCTTAAGTCATTTTCCTGTCTTCACTAATTTAGCAATGCATTCATATTAGCTGATGAAAATAGGCACTCACAATGACAACCAGAGCCAGTTTCTTGTCTTTTTTATACATTTTGTCATCCCAGAGACAATCAGTATGTGCTTACCTGTGTTCAAGTAGAGAAAAATACAGTAGAGTCTGATAGGACATATTCTTGTACCACAGACAAAACAAATCTTATGTTGCATTTACTATCAACTGCTGCTAATACGTTATTATAAAACTTACCTAGCTCCTGAATTCTTCCTATCTTATAGCTTAAAACAATTAGGATCATAGGCAAATCAGTTACCTTGCAGAAAGAGCTTTGTATGACAGACATTGTCTTATTTTATTTCTGTAAAATATTAGCTGTATGAATATGATTTAATTAACAAGAAAACATTTCTTCCTGATTGACAACAGTGTTAGACAAGGTGCAAAGCGAAACTGGTTGCTCAAGTTGATAGAAAACAAAATTCTGAATATCTTCAAATTAAATTCGGTAAAAACACATTATTTTTTCATATGTGATGTATTCATGCAGAACAACTATCTTTGTATTTTGTTTTTAAAATGTGTTTAATAAATGATCCTTTGTAAATAACTTTGGTCTCCCTACATTAATTTTCTTAATTTTTATAGATTTCAATATCAATGATTAACAAAGTCTCAAATCTATCTGCACTTGTGCAAATCCAGATGATTATAATTAGTGGATTATTTACATTTTTTCATTTCTGAATTTTTTTATTATGGCAGGAAAAAAATAAATCCTTGTGTAATCAAAGGGCGCCTAAGAATGGGCATATATTAAGCTATTTCTCTAATTTGAAGAATACAGTGAATGGATTTTTTTGTGTGTTTTATGAAGCCACAGATAAAAGTAGGAAAAAAGTATTAAATAATAGTATTCACCACAGTGAGGAAAATAAAATAGTCATACATTTTTAAAGTTATGTCTGATATATGTAAGTTAATCCAACAGTGGTTTTATAGTCTGAATATGCAGAGTCTCTGATGTGAAATATAAGCTAAAGAAGCTAATCAGAGTCCTCAGTTCTAATGGGACTAATGCAAGAAGTAAAGGATGCTATTAACATAATGTATTTTGCATCATGCATGATTGCACACGCATGGGGTGCCTTAGTCCTACTTATAGCTTTATCACATTGTTTTTCATTTGTTTCATATTCTAAGCAGAAATGCTTGGAAACATTGCCAGCCTTCCTCCCCTGCCTCAATCCGAAACAAATACAGAAAAACAATCAGTAAAAATTTCCAAAAACCCATCAGTTAATTGATTACACTTGCTTTAGAATGATCAGACTGACAAAAATTAATTTGATATATTTTAACTTAATCTAGCGTGATATATAGAGAGTATCCCAGAAATAAATAATTTTTTTGTATCACATTTTCCTTTCATGTAATACATTTTACCTCAGTAGTTGTCAGTATTTTAAAATTAACTGAGAATAGACCATTCGAATTGAGGTCTCCCAGGCATGAAACAGACACTTTTCCATTAATCACCTGAATTAATACAAAGTCTGCTTGTGCTGATGACATCTACTTGGGTGGACTGACTTTCTTACTGTAGAAGAGGATTTAAATTCAAAACATCTTGACAAATTAGTGAAGTGGGAAGATATGAATCAAATTGAGTTCAATAGGGACAAAGTGGAGGATAATTCATTTGGGCAGGAAAATAATTTCCAGAAATAAGAGAAAAGGACCCCTTAGAAGTAGCTAAAAGGAGAGCTAATGGTTGTAGCCAAATAGACGTAAGAATTCCAATGTAGTAAGAAAATGAAATAGGAAAAAGGGATTCCGAATAGATATAACATTCGGGAAATGGGAGGTTTTTGTATCATGGCCATATCTTTATTAGAGAATTGTAAGCAATCCTGAAATGAAATTTGATCCAGAGAACACAAAGTGGTAGGAAAGGCCACATGGCTGACTGAAAAGAGACATCACTTTCTTTATGATGAATTAAAATGATCTGCCTGCCGCATAAGACACCTGACACATTATCACATTGTCAACACACTGACAAACAGGGAAGCCAGAGTAATTTTTATTAGTGGAACTTGCCATCTTTTTAAAGTATTTCAGTATCCTCCTGTCTTCAAACTGATGCATAGGTTAGCTACATTATACCCCAATATCCTTTTGGAATTAAAATTCTTTGAGGAAAATTAAGATATTCTCATGAACTATCTGGGTTTAATTCACTCCAAAGGTGCCAAAAATCTGAAAGAACTCTACTTGTTTTTAATCTACACTGGGTTCCTGGCATGCCATGGTATCTTATTGCATAATGCCCTTTTCGTGTAATTCTATCTCAGACCCTGTGGCTCTGTGGAAATTCATAACAGCATGAAAGCACCTTTCTCTGAAAATAGTATGAAATCATGGTTAGGATGATTTTTTTTTCAGTAGGATTCAGAAGGATGAACACTACAAAGTTTTTCCAAAGACTGATCCACATATTTTTAACTCATTATTCACACGACCCCAATTACTTCCTACTTCCCATATTTACCATCTGCTGTCAGACTATATTTTCCTCTTCAGAAACCATACATAATACCTGAGTTTGTCATTTTGTTTTTTTAATTTGAAATAAATGCATTTAAAATAATCCCAATCACATTTTTAATATGCTTATGAATGCCATTACATGTAATAAATGTGGGAATCACTTGTGAAATTCAATAAAAGCTTTTCTCAGACTAGTAAACTAAGATCAGAGGCCAACTTGGCCGGGCGCGGTGACTCACGCCTGTAATCCCAGCACTTTGGGAGGTCGAGGCGGGCGGATCACGAGGTCAGGAGATCGAGACCATCCTGGCTAACACGGTGAAACCCCGTCTCTACTAAAAATACAAAAACGAAAAAAAATTAGCTGGGCGCGGTAGAGGGCGCCTGTAGTCCCAGCTACTCGGGAGGCTGAGGCAGGAGAATGGCGCGAACCTGGGAGGCGGAGCTTGTAGTGAGCCGAGATCGCGCCACTGCACTCCAGCCAGGGGGACAGAGCGAGACTCCGTCTCAAAAAAAAAAAAAAGATTAGAGGCCAACTTAAAACAAAGTAAGTTATAAAAATAAATATTTAGTAAGTTATAAAAATAAATATTTTATATTTCCAATGCTACTCGTTTTTGAGAACATTTCTTAAATTCCTGGCGTACTGATGACAGCAGATGCTAATTTTCGCCTGACAGAAGTTTTGAGAAACTATACAGTTAAAATCAGTCTCAAGAACAGAGTATCCTGGTAGTGACTGAAAAGATTTAAAGAAAGTATTTTTCACTTTAATTTCTAAATACACTGAGGCTGGTGACTTTTAAGAAGCAGCCATTTATGCCATGACCTATTTTCTAATAAAATGCTTTTAAAATAATTCAGTTCATATTTGAGGTGACTAGTATTTAGACTATAATATAATATTTAAAATATGAACAACAAATACTTACCTGGCATAGTTCTTTGAACTATTTGGGGGAATAACTGTATTTTCTTGGCAGCTCTCTTTGTTGCATTCTTTCAGTAAAAAGCAATCTAGAAAGAAAAATAAATTTCAGCTACAAACATTCCAAATCTTACAAGCGTGGAATACGCAGGATTGATCTGCAAATACTGTCATAAAAGTGGCTTTTTTGGTTATGTTTTTATATCTCCTGCCTAAAGCTGGTCAGGGTAATGAATAACAATCCTCATGGGCACCTCAACATTTCTGCTTTCAACTCTTGCAAAATGTTGCTAGAAGTCGTAGACAAAGGAACAAAAATGGCTCCAGAAAACAGGATTGCTACACCAAACTCTAAGAACCTATAAAAATATGCGGCTCAAAATTTAAATATGTTTTTTTCTTTAAGTAATTCTCTGATATCATGTATTTTTACAATACTCTTATCTTCACATTTACGATGGTTAAATACATTGAAAGTATATTTAAGACTAAAAATTTTTTTATGAATTATTTTTCCCCTTAATAGCTAAGTTTTATTCAAATGCAGCTTAAAACTGTGGTTTGAAAAATTCCAGAAAACTTTTGATTGCATCACAATGTATTCAGCCAGCTCAGTAATCCCCCATTAAAATATTGTTTACTTTGGTTACAGATGGTTTTCAGAAACAGCTCCCAAAATAGAATGAATTTGCAAATACAAATTATTGTCACATTCATTTCATGGAAGAGATGATACAGTGATTTGAGGACATAGTAATATCAAGTTTAGGCTGTACTTTGTATTTCTGTACTTCAAATAGTGATTCACTGAAATAGACATGTATTTTTTTAAATTAAAGAGTAATCAGATGCTTTGGGAACAATCAATTGTCCTATAATTAAGTATAGGCTTTGTTTCTGCATATGTGTAATAACTATAGTTGAAAACATTAAAAATTTTCTTTTCCTCAATACATATTAATTTTAAAAACAATGATTAGAAAATACTTGTCATTAAGGATAGGTAGTTTTTTTTAAAATTACCACTGCTGGCTTTGTTTTTCTTTAAAGAAAGGCGGTTTATTCTACCTTTTCCTGAATATACTACTGTCAATAAAGGAAAACAATCAGTCAAGATCCTTCTAATTTTCCTATTTGATGAAATGTTGGACTCAAACTGTTATTTAGGGTCAAGCTATTAATTCAATTGGATTATTTCTTTGGCTTTTATTTTTCTAGGGCAGAGTTTAATTATTTTCTTTGGACTCATCGACAGTGAAATACAGTAATTTTTCATGATCACAGATATATATGGTGTAAGCAGGTGTTTAGGTATTTAAAAGCAGCAAAAAATGTTGAAAGAAAAGTGGATGCTAAACTGATAGAGAACTTAAAAATACTTCTTGAATTGTTCAATAGCAAAAAAAGAAATTGGCTCATGAAATTGCACGTTCTATAAAAGTATCACCAACTCAACTTCTTTTAGAAGAACGTGTGAAATAAGCCTTTCAAAGTTGCCTCTGACTACCACATTTTTGGGCAAATTTTTGCTTACTGGAGGCATGTGATTGTAGCCAGTGTCAAAGAATGATGATTGGGCAAAATCTTATCATTTGTATCTGAAATAAAATATTTGCTAAATGTTATGAAATAAAAATCAAAGGAGATATATCTTGTTTGAATTCAATTTAACAACAGACCACAAATCGGATTGGTTAAATGAAGAGATGTTCAGTAGTGACCATATTCTTCTCTGGAAACCTCATATAGATTTAGGTGTCCTTGCTAACAACATATTACACTTGATCTTAGCCAAAAGGCTGAGAAGCAATGCTAACATACATTAAATCATGTTCAGATATTTCCTTATGATAAACGCTTTTTTAAAAAAGAACATATAAGACAAACCTTTTTATTCACATGATACATAGTTTTAGAAAATATATATCTGTATAAATGTATATTTTTAAATAATTTTGGAAATATACCATATATGCTGCTCTGTAAGCTAAGGTGTTTCTTTGCATAATAATAAAATATAAATATATTTAATAGCTGAACAGTATTTCTTTTTATGGATCTATGATATGCTATTTAATAATCCCTTACTATTGGATATTTTTTTCTCCAAGTTTCCCTTTAATAACATTGAAGTGTTTTTTTACATAATTCTCTGTAAAATTTAATTTTTCCCATAAAGGGATTTTGTAGAAATTGTATTATTGGGACAAGAAAGTATGTTTATTATTAGGACTTTAAATATACATTATCAATTTTGTATTGCAAATTTACACTCATTCCAATACCTATTTCTCCATAAATAGGATAATTTTAATTATTAGAATTTTTAAAAATTATTTGCAATCTGATGATAAAGCATATTTTAATTTGTATTTGTTCAATCATTAATGAAGTTGAACATCTTCATGTATTTATTGATAATTATAGTTTTTAAATTATTGATCATATTTTTAATTTTTTTTCAGTTGTAACATTTTCATTTCTTATTAATTGGTAAGAACTTTTTACATATTAAGTGTATTAAGTATGTATATGTCATGTTATGTAGTTATAAAATTATAAAGTTAAAAATTAAGCATTTTGCTACTTTGGTAAATTTCCAGAGTATGTTATTTTTTAAAAAGCAACAGGTAATTAGTAAAGAAATTGATCAAATGAAAAAACCTATACATTCATGACTCATGTCTTACATATGTAAGCAATAGACTAAATGAATATATCTTATTTCATTTTCAGTAAATCTTTTTCTTATTAATAATACATAAATTCTAAAACACTAAATAACTACATTGTTTCACTTAGTAGGAGGTCATACAAATGATATCTTAATAGTAACAAATATAATAATTATTAAATCTCTTAGGTCTTTTGGTTTGGGGAAAACAACAAGAACACAGACAAACTTTGATGTCTCCCTTAAACATATTTTCTTCCTTTAGGGGCAGTAGTATATCCACAAAAAGTTAGAAAGGCAAAATCAACAGCTTTTTTAAACAGAAAAACAAAGCCACAACAATAAAGCTACCTATCTATAATGACAAGTATTTTTTAATGATTACATCTTTAAAATTTAGATTTCTTCTAGGAGTTACCAGCCATGTCTTCCAGGCAAGTCACATATGCAGCTGAGAAAACACCAGATAGAGCTGCAAAGATAAAAATATACCTTTAAAAAGTACCACTGTGGTAAACTTTCCTTGACTGCACTAGAAACAGGCATGGAGGAGCAGGTGGGTGTGAGAACTGCGCCTTTTAACAGAAGCATCAGGTCTTAGGAAGAGGAAGAAACAAATACTTTGAGGGAATTTTTTTCTTGGTCTTTTAGTTTTTAGAGGAGCAATCAAAATGAACTCCAGATGTATTAAAGATCCCATGTACATGCTAATGTTAATTATAAAATTATTGGTGATAATAAGATCCATTGTTTACTAAAATTTTTCCACTACTCAGGATGCTGAGGCAGGAGAATCCCTTGAGGCTAGGAGCTGGGGTCCAGCTTGGGCAACAGAGCCAGATCCCCATCTCTAGAAAATAAATTTAAAAATTAAACATTTCATGCATGCAAAGCATTATATAAGTTGCTATAGTGAGAGCCAAATAGAAACAAATAGAAAATCATTTCTTGTTCCTCATGAAGACTTTGGTTGTTAATTTTTTAAAATGTACCATCCACCTATTGAAAAACTTTAAATTATTAGTGGACACCATTATGGAGAAGCCTATATAACATTCTGATATTACAAAATTAATGCAAAGAAATTGTTCACAATAAAATTACTTTAAATTTGCTTTAATTTTTTTTCACGCTACCTTGGCCAATATTTTATTATAGTCAATTTAATTCATTCATTCATTCTATAAATATTTCTGTACTAATTTTAGGTAATGTTCTGCTCAATCATCATTTAATTTGCTGTGCTATTGGTTTCTGTTAATATATTCCTCAATCTTGGAGAACATTTTAAATAATTGCCTATTCAGCATTTCTATGGACATTGTTCAGCCCAGTTCCATTTTGTTAATGCACAAAGCAATTCAATTTCTGTAAGTGCAGGCTAGGAGCAGCCAAAGCTGTCCTTGTAGTACCTTCAGAGGCAGTTAATAAGGGCTGGCTGACATTTATGACTTATCTTTTCTGTGTGTTTAACCATTACTATTTTTCCACCAGTAAATTTTCAAGCTAATGCGGCAAAACCAATATTGATTCTGACATTTATGCTTTATATTTTGAAATTTATTTTGACCATTACTTATTATTTTATTGCTGTTACTTTGAAAATATTATACATTTTCATTGTATAAAATGTCATTAGACCGTGCAAAAAGTTTATTTCTTGTAAATAATTACTTTAGGAGTTTGAGTGCATCTACGGTTCCTTCTGTTATTCTTTCTAATCAAGAGTCTGATTACATAAAACAATCAAAACGTGACTTAAAGATGTTCAAAATAATTTTGATGAACATGTTCAAAATTTAAAAAGTCATCTGCATTAAAAAATTTTATTAATAAAGCTGTATGAAACAGTGACTTTTTTCCAAGCAGCAGTAAAAGTTCTAGATAGTTCCCCGGGCAAGAGGACAGAATACAATGCCCTACCCTGAAGTCACTTAACAAACTGTCTAGGGTAATGTAACACATGAAAATAGCTGTCTCCCCTGTTTTCCATTCTTCTTCTGCTGTATGTAATCAATTTTCTGCACTGCAGCTAGAGCGGTCCCTCTAAATTGCAAATCAGATTAATAAGCGGTTCATAGTGACTTGCAAATGTAAGATACCATGTGAAGGTGTAATGGTCCATAATGAAACATTTTTACACATTTTTAAAAATACAAATCAGATCATAGCCCTTCTTTGCAGAAAACACTCCAATGACTTAGAATAAACCCCAAGATTCTTACCTGGGCCTCCCAACACTGTAATATCTGGCCACACACTGGTCACCTATCTTGTTGCCAACACTTTCCCCGAATAGCCTCACAGCTCCAATCACTCATGCTTCCTCCTGATCTCTGCCCACAATGAGATCACTTATGTCTCATTCAGGCCTGTATTCCCAATCCTGTTGCCTGGAATGCTCTTCCACCACATATATTTGACTTACTCCCTCATTTCCTTTAGGTTTTTATTTCTTCACATAGCTAATATCGGACCTTCTCAAACAAAATGGCACTATCTGTGACATTCTACCATTTTAAGAAGTACAGCATTGTTTTTCTCTTACCCCTTGGGTAGTTATCTACTGATCTTTTCCCCTTATTGAGTGTAGGTTTCATAAGAGCAGAGACTGTCTGTTATGTATATGTCTCTAGCACTTTGAATGGTCTCTGGCAACCTCATTACCAACCCACATCCAGAATTTGTATGAATTAGAAAAGGGTACTACTGACTCAAACACTAGACTACCATTGCCTGGAGACCACCGTAAAAATGATATAACTCTATGCTAATTGTGAAGCAAATTATACCCCCTTCATATATATATATAGTTGTGCAAATTATACCCAATTCATAATTTGCACAACTATAAGCACTGACTCTGAATTTGAGAATTTGCAATGATCAATAAATATTTTTGAATAATTGCATGAATTAAATGGCATGAGATCCATGCAAAAAATATCTCTATATCTAAATTAATATAGTTGAAAATGGAGCCCTAGAATATTTTTTAATAGGCAGTCTACAAATATCACAAATCAAAACGAAAATCTGGTTATGATCTTTCAAACATCATTGCACTAATAATATGCAATCAGAAGAGAATAAGTAGAAAAGTTAAGATCATGTTTTAAGAGATGTTCATATATGATTTAGAGAAGAAGGGAAAATTTTCCTTCTTCTCAAACGCCCATCTTGAAATTCTCACATTTTTTTGCAGACAGTTTGGCTGGTTTCCAACACACATCATTGCTTGTCTGGTATGAGGAATGCCATCTGTGCAGTATGGAAGTCCTTTTTAAAAAACAGGCTGCTAATTATGCTCTGGGCAGGTGCTGTTAAAGTGAAATCAGGTGTCAAGCTTACAATTGCCTAAAATGACCAAATTATACTGAGAAAGAATGGTATTCCATATTGTAAAATGGAATTTAAGCATGGCATGTAAGCATTCCATTTTTTGGGTGTTACAGAGGTCAGGTTGCATAGCAAGGCTGTAAAACTTTTAAACTACTTCACTTCCACCATCAACAAGAAGAGAAAGCTTTACTTTAAATCAAGATTATTGACTAGATCAAAGTTATATATTTTCTCACTACAGTATCTTCCCAACTATATATTTTTAAATGAAAGTAGATGAAAGAGGAACAGTGACCTGAAAAGTATGACAGCCAATCCTAAAATACATAAATTAATTTAGTGAAACTAGAATCAGTCTTCCATAGTTATTAATTGGAACTCATTTTGTAATTGCAGGAAATAGGGCTCAATAGAGCTATTCAGCTCCCTGCAGGAAAAAATGATCAATTTATTTTCTTTAAATATATTAATCTTTAGAAGTATTAAAGCTTGTCTCAGTTTTACTACAGATTCATGATGACATATTTGATACTGTTCTAACTTGTATATAGCAAAGCAGAAAATTCTCTTGTAGATAAATTTTAAAGCGTGAATATGAATATTGCTACAATTAGAACAGTTTATTATCATTATATGAATCTAACTTTGTTATTGCCCTTATGTGTGACCTGTTTTCTGCTTGCAATACAGCTAATACATTCTGTCATTTAATCTTCATGGTAGTTCAGTGGCTAGATTCCATTATCGTTCCAGGTTTCAGGTGAGATTATTGAAGATTACTTGAAGCATCACAGAGGCCAGTAACTGGCAGAGCTCAGGCTTATATTTCTCTAGAACTGTTGAACTCCAAAGCCTGTGTTTTGATCACTCCAGAAATGGTCTCAGATTCACCTTATTAGCCAATCTAATCTCAATGGACATATCATTAGCATTGTAAACCATTATAATTTACATATTACTTGGTTACAGTCAGAATGTCAGCCATTGTAGTCAAGGCAAACAGGACCACAAAAAGGAAGCCTAGAGGCCTCTCTCATCATGTAATTAGTGGGTCTCTTAAAGCCAAGAGACGTAAAGTGGAAGGTTTGTTCTTACATCCAATTTCTTTTAGTTTAGTTATCTTGTTTCTCATCAAGTTGTGGTTTATAAGTATCAAATAAGAAATGGAAAGTTTTTGCTTCCAGACACAGGGCTATGAACAGAACTAGCATTTTAAATATCGAAGGAGAATACAGAAAAAAAACAAAGAGTAATTTGGAGGTATTGCCTTTAGATTAAAAATTTCCCTATTATAGCAGTATAAGAGGATTTTGTTATTATGACCTATAGACAGAAGAATTCATTGTAGTGGGAACTTGCTAGAGATGCAAATTCTCAGGCTCCACCCCAGACCAACTGAACCAAAAGCTCTATAAATGAGCTTAGCAATCTATGAAGCTACCAAAAAAAGAGGATAATTTTCCAGAAGCAACATTTTTGAATTGCCCTGATATGTAAAGAATAACAATTTTAAACACCATTTGGCCAGAAAAAATATTTTTGAATCTATAATTAATTTTAAGAATTTTCATGAACCATCTTTGTTCTTATTTTATCTAGTAAAACAGCAAAACTTCTAAAATACAAATTATCTTGAGGCGAATTTTGTAAAGTATTTAATTATCTCAAGTCACATGCTTGAAATTTGGAAATAGTATTGATAGCAGTGGTGGCCCACCTGGAGCAGCCACCACCAAGATGCTGGCTGCAGTGGAGGTGTGGCTGAGCTGCATGCTCCAGGGAGCCAGCAGGAGCTGGGAGCAGGCAGGAGCCCCACCCTTCCGGATGCAACTGTAGCTGCCCAAATCGTGGCTGCCCAGGCGGCCTCCCTGTGATCTTGGGGACTAAGAGAAGGCAGCAGCCCTGCCCTTCTGGGCACAGCTGCAGCAGCCCAAGTTACAGTGTGGACCCAGGTGTTCCTGTGCTCTTGGGGGCTCAGGAAGGCCCCCCACCTCAGCAGGTTTGGAGGTGTGTGCTCCTGCTGCCTGGCTTCTCCTCACTCCTGGCATACATGCTCCAATCTTGGAGTGAGGATAGGGCAGAGCCTGGGCACTGCTGCAACCCAGCCGGGTGTGCGCACTCTTGGGGCAGTGCTCACACACACCTTCCCCTTGCCACCATGGTCCCTTTAAACTCTGGGCACCAACAAGCATGGGAGGGAGGGCTGAGAGGGTGCTGATGGCAGTTTGGTGCTAATCTGCAGGCACCCCTTGGCACAGACAGCCTGGGCACCATAAATGGGGACAGGAAGCAGACAGGCTCCTGGGCAAAAGAGGGCAGGTCTCTGGTGAAGCCTTGCCTTCAAGTCAGTGAGGGCCTGAAGCCTGGGGACCAGACAGCTGGTCCAGCAGACTTGAGTGGGTCTTTGTTGTGCTTTTTCCAGCCACTGCCCATGGACCAATCAACATGCACTTCCTCTCCTCTGAGGCCCATAAAAGCCTCAGACCCAGCCAGACTCAAGTAGAGGATGGAACGACCAGCTGCAGAGAGGATCTGCCCACCCCAGGGTCTCCTCTCTGCTGAGAGCTGAAGGGACAACAGCACAGCCAGCTGTGGAGAGGAGCTTTCCACTCCAGGGTCTCCTCTCTGCTGGAAGCTGAACACTCACTGGGACACGCCAGCTGCCGAAAGGAGCTACTCACTGTAAGTATCCCCTGAGCTATTCTATCACTCAATAAAGCTCCTCTTTGCCTTGCTCACCCTCCATTTGTCTGCATATCTCATTCTTCCTGGGCATGAAACAAGAAATTGGGACCTGCCAAATGGCGGGACTAAAAGAGCTATAATACAAACCAGGCTGAAATACACCCTCTGGTCACTATGTTGCTTGCAACAAGAAGGAGAGAAATGAGAAGGAGAGAAGAGCTGTGGCCCTTTGGAGACCCCAGACCTAGGGGTTCCCCAGCCAGGGCTATGAGATCCTTTTTGGGGCTCTGCAGTTCCTGGCATCTCCAAGTTTCTGGGCAACACCACATTCCTTGGTGCCAGCATGGAAGCTGCTTGTAGTATGACTGGTTCAGCCACAGCCTCACAGGGAGCCAGCCTGCCTCACTGCAGCCAGCATGTCTGGCTGTGCACAGTGGCCAGACCTCACGCTTGCCCACAAACCCCTCACCGCTCCATGCTGGACTCACCCTTCGCAGGTGTGGAACTCAGGCGAGTAGCATGAGCTGAGTGCAGCCTACCAGGCCAAGTGGGAGGAACAAGCCCAACAGGCCTGAGCAAAACTCGGCAAAGGTGCCACTGGCCACAGAGGTTTCCAGCCAGAAAAACATTGCCCCAAGAATCCCAGGACAATATATTTAGCACCCTAAATAACAGTAATTACTTTTATCTGCCACAGGTAGTAACTGCATGAAGTGTATGTCCCCTAACACCTAAGGCAACAATACTAGTTTGGAGCATTAGGGAAAGAACAATTTTTAAAGTTTTGGAGAGCATATAAATGTACTTATATATGATTTTAAAATGAATTTTAGTTTGGAAATGCTAATATTATTATTTTCACTAGTAGAAAACACATGGACACATGTGCACACACATACACACATACAGCATTCCAGGTTAATACCTAATCATTTGAAAATATATGCCAAGATTAATCAGTTCGAGTGCCAAAACCCTATGGGAAGAACAAACATGAAAACGGAAAAAAGTGTTATTATTGTTGTGTAAAGAACACAATGCAAAATGTGCATTTAAACTGCAGTGTCAGAAAATGAGGTAGTTAAATATCAAAAACATCAAGAAGGAACTCCCTACATCATCACTATATAAAAAATACTCAACTAAAGTCAATAATAAAGTATATACTATTTTTGTACGTTTAATGGAATCAGTACCCCATTTTAAGTTCAATGGTACTGCTCTATTGCAATCCTGAAGTACAGTAATTATAAAAAGACCAGACTTGGGACGTTTTATTATTTCTTCTGCAGCCATAAGAACATACAACTGCCTCAAAAATATATATTTTGCTATTCATAGATAAAACATAAGAAATCCTTACCCTCAACACATTTTATGCTTCTCTCCAAATTTTATTCCTTCTCCAACCTCACACCCTAATCATTCCATCATAAGAACGAATGATGGAAGAAACAGTCAAGAATGAAAGAAAAACTCAGCTTCTTGCTATAAGCTTCTCCCTTCACCCTGTGAGGTCGCTTTCTGATCCCATGATCTGCCATGGAGTATACGAATTTCACTAGATATTTATCACTTCAGATTCTCTCCGAGTCAAGTGAATCGGACATTATCCAAGCCCACATATTAAGTTGAAAATGGTCTGAAATATTTTAAGAAAATAAGTGAGCACAAATCAACACTGGCTACCCTTGTTCAGCAGAGAAGAAAAAAGAGAGGACCATAATATTGTTTAAGGGAAAATGACGTAGACTAGAAATATTTTCAAATCATGAAACATCTACGATTCTAGATCTCTTGATGCTTAAATGTAGGGTCCAAAATATCTTTCCATTTCTTCCTAAATTATCTCTAATAGTTTGTCTAGTGTTGTTCTATGCTGATAAATGCTAGCCAGCATCTTGCAAATTATCCTACTGTTCTCATCCTACAAATGGATCCTGGGTTTCAAGGAGAACTGACAGTATTACTAATTTCACAAATTAAACAATTAGAACATATGGTATATTGAGACCATAATGAAATTATGAGATTGTAAATTCTTTTGCCTGCAATTTAACTTTTAATGGCAAAAATTAATCTATGTTGTCTATTTGTAGTGAGTGACTGAGTAGCAAATCACGTAACTACATATTTTTAAGTAACATGACTATAAACTATGCAATTCAACAAAACTGCATAGGACAACCAACGTTGAATTGTACCCAACATTGACTGATGAATGATTACTCTTGCTTTTGCATAGGACTATTCTCTTACCTAGATCTTGTTACATGATCATCTTTCTAGGGAGTTCAATGACTTGCTCTGTCCATTGCTTAACCAAATTTTGTTATTAACTTGTATTATCTATCGTTGTTCATTAATAAATAAAATTGATTTTTATAAAAAAAAATTCTTGCTAGAAGTTTAGATCAGACACTCCATGGTCCTACTTTCACAGGTTCAATCCACTGTAGGTGTCAATGGGTTTATCCAGGCTTTCACCTGAGTGCAGCATTCTGGAGCATCTCTGAAAGATGTTCCAGGCACTTACTTTCAACAATCAATGCCTTTTAATGTCTTGGAGTAGCTTTAAAAAAAGACAAAAACTAATCTGGTTTATAATATAATTTACCACTTTTCTGCACCCGAGGAGATAATACGATGCCTAAATCTCATCTCAAAGGTGTAGCTTTTTCCTTTTTATTAGACTTACATAGTCATAAGGAGCTTCTACATATCCTTCACCGTATTTATAGTCTTCTCCCATTTTTAGCTCCTAATAAAACACGACATCTGTCTAGATCATATGACATGAGACTGGAAAGAACTTATCAAGAGAGAAAAGTTTAAGAGTTTCTACTGTAACCCACACCATTTGCCTGGGACTGCTCTTCCTAATCTCCTTGTAAACAGTCGGTAGCTTGTGACATTTTACACAAATGAAGAAAAAGTTTCCGTGTTCAGAAAAACATCATACACCATATAGATCTTATGCAGCCAGTCAAGGAAAAGGAAGAATAAAATATTATAACAAAATAAGAACATACTCAAAAGGTAAGGAAACAGGGCCTATTATTGCTAAAAGCACAATGGCAGGATGCTGCTCTTTTGCATAATCCTGGGACGGTTAATATTACAGAACTCCTGTGTCAAAGGGAGAGCTCCAGAACACCTACACATTAGATTGAAGTAAGCTTTACATATGTATGGTCTATCAAAAATATGATTAGGGAGTCGTCTTCTGTCAACAGCAATAAAGGTTATTTCTTCCTTTATGCCTCTTATTAGAAAATTTTTTTAACTTTGTGTTTTGAATTCATTTTAAAGATCCTTAGTTAGAAAAAAAACCTTGATAGGAAATTGCAATTATTTTATCTTTCATTCAAAATGTCGGTATCTGTGTGTATATTCTCTGCCCCCAAGCATCTGATGCAGCTGAAGGAGCAAGGGTCTATTGATAATCACAAGTCAGTTGTGAGCAAATCTCTGAGGTTGGCACAAAGGTTGAAATTGGAGGGACCAAGGAAGACTGGCTCCCTAATTTCCTTTAGTTTTTAATATTGTTCTGTTCTTAAACTATTGCTTTGAGTTCTGACTTTTGGAAACATATTTTTTTATAGGAGATTACCACAAAAATCTATTTAGGGTGATAACTTTTCCCCCTACAACGGGAAATGAAAAATGAGAATATAAATTACTTGTGTTCCTAAGTAGGGGAAGCATGACACAAAAGGAGGGGTAGGTGATTTGCACAAAGAATATGAACAAACTAAAGACATAACTCTTGCACTTTATGGTTTTGACTTAGTGGCTTTACAAGACCAATTAAAATAGTACTTTATAAAAACATGATTTTGTCTGCTATATTTTTGGTTTATATTTTTACATGAAGCATAATTTATTATTTTTCTGTATCTTACCCCTGCCTTTCTGCAAAAAATTTATAATATACTTTACTTTGGTCTTGATGCAACCTTTGCCCTTGTTTAGGAAAAGTGTTTGCTCTTCACTCCTGCTTCTATGATATTATATTTAAATTACTATTACTTTGTTAGTCAATGAATTACATTTTGCTGTTATTAGTAGCTTTTTCTCTAAAATGTCTATAAATCCAGCTCTAGGAAATTGGGTATAATGACAAGTATTTTTAGCCTTACTTGGCAAGTACTATTACAGAAATTTTCAACTAAGAGTCTCTTTCACAATCAAAATGACATTTAACAAAATACTCATATACGGTAAATGAATATTATGGCCGCATATTAAGGATTGGAAAATATTTTTATAATTCAAAATATAATCAAATGTATATTTCCCAACAGTAGGTTTTACATGAAACATGTAGAGAAGTAATTTTAATAATCCAGGATATATCAGTCTGTTTGATTATAGCTACAGCCCTTATATGTCTTCATATATTTTTGCAGGAAAATGATTTTAACTTATTTCATTAAATTATTATACAGAAAATGTTAAGGAATCTTCCTAGCGTATTTCCAGCCACTCCCAGAAACCCCAGACATTGTAGTCACAATTTACTAGTTCTGTGTGGTACAGTCACATCTCCAAACCTTGGATTACAATTTTTTTTTCTTTTTTTGACACAGAGTCTCACTCTGTTACCAGGCTGGCGTGCAATGGCACCATATTGGCTCACTGCAACCTCTGCCTCCCACGTTCAAGGGATTCTCCTGCCTCAGCCTCCTGAGTGCCTGGGACTACAGGCCCGCGCCACGACGCCCAGCTAATTTTTGTATGTTTAGTAGAGACGGGGTTTCACCATGTTGGCCAGGCTGATCTCGATCTCTTGACCTGATGATCCACCCGCCTTGGCCTCCCAATGTGCTGGGATTACACGCATGAGCCTACAGGGCCTGGCCGCAATATTTTTTTTTCTTCTGCTAACATTGTAGCAAATGCTCCAAGTTTCATTTGTTTGTTTTTGTAGCTTTGTAGCTTATCTTGAACACTTATCTGGCAGAATTCATTCCTCCTTTTGCTTGGAATGCCTTCCTTGACCGCAATTAACAAGCCTGCACCTATTCTTTCAGGTTCTGCTTATACAGAGCCTCTGCAGGATGGTACAGGTTCTCCTCTGCACTAGAAAGCTGTCTAAGGGAAAGACACCAGGAGGGGATAAAATCTAAATAGCTGAACTGAGGTTCTGAAACAGTTAGCAGGATTGGCTCTTATACTCTTTCACCACCTTTCTGAAAGTTTCAATAAATAATAATAGTAATTATTATCCAAACTAACCATTTGGCTTTTCTATCAAAATCAAGGTGGAAACTTTTCCTGCAGTTAAAGTGTTTGTAGTCCCCCATCCCCATTTCTTATTCATTGAAAATAAACACTACTTTTAGATCTCTACCCTACTTTCTTTACTATAATCAAGAAAATAATATATTTATAAGATATATGCTTGTGTTGAATGTAAAAATGCATTATTTTCCTTTGGATAACAAATTTATGAATGGCTTAATCATTTTTCACTAAATATTTGTTCTTCATATAGCCTAGGAGTGATTTATAGACTCATTTTTCACCATGAAAATAATTACCATTTATTGGAAAGGGATTTTTATGTAAATATGCCAAGAGAGAGAAAGAGAAAAGATCACATAGAATTTAGCATATTCATGTAATTATAAATCATATTAAAGCTTGCAAGCAATTAAAAATGTAAATCTGTTTAGTTATCCACAGTTTTCAAATATTATTAAATCATTATATATAGGCCGGAATTGAGAGAGGAATGTCTTCTGTAAAGTTGCAAACTAAAGGAGACAATATATTTCCAGCCTATACTGATGTTTCAGTAGCATCACGTTTCCAGTTGAGTGGGAAAACCATACTGAGATTCAACAAATGGACTACGAGTTTTATGAATTTTACTTCAAATATGTAAAGTAATACTTCCACTTCTCTTTTATAAATTTGCTTTTCCTTTATGCACTTAGAAGAGCTCATTACCAATATGACAATTTGTATGTTTTAGACTTTCACCACATAGCTATTTCAGATGAACAGTAACAGGTGGCAAAGCGTTCACATCATGCATATCCAGGCTGCCAGTGATGGCAAATGCAAACAGTCAGGTCCAGACATATAAAAAATATTGTTTTCCTAGACGCTTTTCCTGTAATAGGACACATCTCCACCTGGAATAAATCCACAGATACTTCAAAGTGTAATAAATCCCCATCCAAGCTTATTAGCTCTTTCATTTCCTAGACCCACTCCTCCTGTGTTATGTCCTACTCAATTTATACCACTGCCATCCTCCTAGATGCCCGAGGTAGAATTTGAAGTCAAATTTGCCTCTTCCTTCTGCTTTATTCTCTATTTTAACACTGAAACTGACGGTAGATAGTTCAGTTAATTTCGCTTTAAGTCTATTATTTTGGGCCCCATCTTTGGTCTCATTACCTTGACAAAGACATTCATTAGCACTGGAGATCTGGATGATTTTGTCTTTCTCCAGAAAGGATTTGTTTCCTTCTGAAATTCTTTTAGGGTACGGCATATAGCCTTAATTCAATTAGGAATGAAGTAATCTGAAGCTGAGTTTTAATCTATTGTAGGGATGATCTATTTCTAATTCTTCCTTATTCTTGCAACTCTTTGGGTTTCTCTTCATTATTGGAGACAAGAACTTTAATTTTTGCCCCATATCCTGCACTCACCTTGAGCTCCAACACATTGCTGAAAGTTATACTGAGCTTCAAGTTCTGTCAACTATTTTCTCTCAGTCCAGTCATTTAGCCTCTTAGTTGATGCCTGGAATTATCACTAAATGTCAGGATGACTTATTTTCACTTTTCTTCTCCTGAGGACCTTGGCTTATCAAGTCCTACCTATGCTGTTTGCTCTCTGATATCTTAAAACAGGGGTGCTTTTTAAAAATGTGGTAAAGTTTACACAACATAAAATTAACCCCTTTTAAAGTGAACAATTCAGTGGCATTTAGTACATTCACAATTTTGGGCAATCACTATCTCTATCTAATTCCAAACATCGTCCCAAAAGAAAACACTATACTCATTAAACAAGTACTCTCTTTTACCCTTCTATAGCCCCTGGAAACCACCAATCTAGTTTCTGTCTCCATGAATTTCTATTCTGGGTATTTCATGTGATGGAAATTATACAGTATGTGACATTTGTGTTTCACTTTTCACTTAGCATGATGTTTTCCAGGTTCGTTTTTGCTTTAACGTGTATCAGTACTTTATTCCTTTTTATGGGTGAATAGTATTCCATTTTATATAGAGGCCACATTTTTGTTCATTCATCTGTTGATGGACATTGGAGTGTTTCTACCGTTTGGCTTTTACGAATATTGCTGCTATAAACCTATGGGTCCAAGTATTTGTTAAATATGGGTTTTTGGTTATGGGGGGTATACACCTAAGAGTGGAATTGATGGGTCATATGATATTCCTATGATTAACTTTTTGAGAAACCATCAAACTGTCTTCCACAGTGGCTGAACCAGTTTACATTCCTAGAGCAATGTAGGACAATTCCAATTTCTTAACATTTTCCAACGCTTCTTATGTTTTCTTTGTTTGTTTTGATACTAGTCAGCCATTCTTGTGGGTATAAAGTGGCATCTCATTGTGGTTTGGATTTGAATTTCCCTAATGACAAACCTTGAGCATCTTTTTATGTACTCATTGGCCATTTGTATTTCTTTTTTGGAGAAATGGCTATTCAAGTAGTGGGCCCATTTTTAAATTGGGTTGTCTTTTTTGTTGTTGAGTTCACTATGTATTCTGGATTCTCTATGTAAGAGTTCTCTATGTATTCTGGACACTACTCTTTGCAGATACATGATTTGAAAGTATTTTCTGGCCAGGCACGGTGGCTTACACCTGTAATCCCAGCACACTGGAAGGCTGAGGCGGGTGGATCACGAGGTCAAGACATGGAGACCATCCTGGCCAACATGGTGAAACCCCATCTCTACTAAAAATACAAAAAATTAGCTGGGTGTGGTGGCGCAGGCCTGCAGTCCCAGCTACTTGGGAGGCTGAGGCAGGAGAATTGCTTGATCCCAGGAGGTGGAGGTTGCAGTGAGCCGAGATCGCTCCACTGCACTCCAGCCTGGTGACAGAGCGACACTCTGTCTCAAAAAAAAATAAAAATTAAAAAAAGGGTTTTCTCACATTTTGTAAGTTGTCTTTTTACTTTGTTAAATATATTATTTGATGCATGCAAGTTCATAATTTTGATGAAGTCTGATTTATTTTGTCTTTTGTTTTTCATGGTGTTGGTGTCATATCTAAGAATTCATTGCCTAATCTAAGGAATCTAAGGTCATAAATACTTACTCCTACATTTTGTTTTGAGAGCTCTATAGTTTTAGCTTTCATTTCTTGGTTGTTAATCCATTTGAGTTAATTTTTATGTGGTGTGGTAGCAGGTAGGAGTTCAGCTTCATTCTTTGTATGTGGATACCCAGTTTTCTCAGAACTAGTTTTTGAAAAGACTATTCATTCTCCTTTGAATGATCTTGGGACTCTTGTCAAAAATCAATTGAACATAGATGTTTATAGTTTTATTTCTAAACTCTCAATTATATTTCACTGGTCCATATTTCAAGCCTATGTCAGTACTATACTGTTTTGATTACAATGGCTTTTAATACACTTTTAAAATCGGAAAATGTGAGTCTGACTTTTTTCTTATTTTTCATTATTGCTTTGGATAATTGGAGACTTTTGCAATTTCATATAAATTGAAGATTGGATTTTGTCATTTCTGCCAAAAACATTGTCAGAATTTTGATAGGGATTGTGTTGATCACTTTGATATCTGTAGATATTGCTATCTTAATAATAGTAGGTTTTCTAATCCTTGAATATGGGATAATAACAGTAAATTTTCCTATCCATAAACACATTTACTTTGGAGTTCTTTAATTTATTTTAACCTATTTTTTAATAGACTATTTTTAGACCAGGTTTAGTTTCACAGTGAAACTAAATGAAAAGTACATAAAATCCCCTTATACCCTCTGCTCTTTCACCCCAACATCTCTCTCACTATCAATATCTGCATCAGAATAGCACATTTGTTACAATCAATGAACCTACATTGACACATTGTCATCAAAAATCTATACTTTACATAAGAGTACATCACTCTCTGTTTTAAATGCTGTGGATTTGGGCAAATACATTAATGACGTGTACCTACCATTATAGTATGCTGTAGAGAATTTTCACTGTCTCAGAAATCCTCTGTGTTCCATCCTTTGATTCCTTCCCCACTATAAACCCAACAATCATCAATATTTTTACTGCCAACAAAGTTTTGCCTTTCCACATTTTTTTTGTAGTTGGAATAATATAATATTTAAACTTTTTATATTGGATTCCTTCAACTTAGCACTACTCATTTAAGGTTTTTCCTCACCTTTTCATGGCTTGGTAGCTCATTTCTTTTTAGCACTGAAAAATATTCTATTTTCTGGGCGTACCACAATTTATTTACCCATTCATATGCTGAAGGACATATTGGTTGCTTCCAGTTTTTGGTGATTATAAACAAAGCTACTATAAACATCTGTATGCAAGTTTTGTGCAGACTAAAGTTTTTAATTCATTTGAATAAATACCAAGGAAGACAATTTCTGGATCATATAGTAAAAGTATGTTTAGTTTTGTAAAAAACTGACAAACTTTTTTTCCAAAGTAGTTGGAGCATTTTGCATTCTCACCAGCAATTAAGGAAAGTTCCTATTTTTCACATCTTCACTAGCATTTGGTATTTGTCAGTGTTTTGAAATTTGGTCACTCTAAGAGATGTGTAGTCATATCTTATTGTCATTTTAATTTTTAATTCCCTAATGATCAAATAGAGTTTTTAAGTATAATTTTTTCATGTTACCTATTTTTTTAAACCATGGGAGAATTCCTCTGCAACAAAGTTGTCTACTGTTATTGAAGGTACAATTCTAAAACACTCAAAGGTTTATTTAGAGTCAAACATTTATTGACCACCTACTCTGGCCCAAGTACTATGCTATATACTTTGTACACAACAGTGAATAAAGCAAATGTAGTTCCATGTTCCTATTGTACTTAGGTATTTAAGATACTACATTGTATCTGTTTATAGCCCTTTCTCACTTTTTTATTAGATTACAAGCTAATCAATAGTAAACTCTCTGTGTGTGTGTGTGTGTCTGTGTGTGTGTGTGTGTGTGTGTGTGTGTGTGTGTGTGTGTGTATGTACACAGTTGGCCTCCACGAGAAAATAACATTTTGGTAAGAAAACAATTCTCTTCTCTTTTGAATTTTCTAATTAACATTTCCTTAATGCCATTTATAAATCTGTCAAAAGAGAGCTAAATGTATAGCAATATGAAGTCTAAGCTGTAATAAGCCTCAAGGAAATTATAATGTATCTGAGAGCAATAAGAAAGGAACATAAAATCCTTAAAGATTTTAATCTTAGGCATCTATTATAAGACTATACATTAAAACATGGACTGTGTTAATCCAACCTTAAAACATTATTTACATTACACTAAAGTATTTTAGTTTTTCAATCTCTCTGACCTATTCCCCATCAAATCTGCTTCATCCCTCCCCACTTAAATGTGGGTCTGTACTTATCTCACACAATTTACACTATACTTAACCCTACTTTTGTAATTTTATTTGTCAATTCTATATAGTCTAATGTTTAACATTATCACTGCATTATATTTAAATGTCTGACTTGGATGTTACACAACTTGCTACAAAATTATTCCCATTGACCTTTCACCTCAAAACACAACGTTTCTAAAACTGAGTTTACCATTATTTTCCAAAATGCATATTTTCCAATTCCAAAGATATGTGAACTCATTCTTAAAGAAAAGTGGTCTTTAACTCTTGGAATAATTACTTCAACTGTTCTCTGTCTCCATATCCAGTCTTACATTTTAATCACTCTTTTATCCATTCTTTTTATTGAATTCCCTTCATCACCACCAGGTACTGATCGCCTCACACCTGAGGGTATTGCTGATGCCTGCTAATTGTCACTCTGCTTCCACTTTCTAATCTTTCCAATCAATCCTGTGAAACACTGCTAGAATAATTTTCTTACACCATTTTTCCATGCTTTTTTCTAATGTAACTGTCAAATACCTCTTCAGATTACTCACTCACTGCAGAAAAGAACCTGCATAGATCCAGCAAATTAAAACTACCGATTTGTTCACAGAGCTTGCCTCCGGGATTGTATGACCCACACTCCCAATTAAAGTATTGTATTCTCATTCTCATTCTGACACAAATGTCAACAACCTGCATCCTACTTTCTACCTGATACGTCCCTAAATGCTCACTCTTCTCAATTTCTGTAGCTCTTATGGAGTCTACTATTTCATTTTATCGTGAGTCATCTTTTTATGTTGTGTTTCCACAACACTATTGCAAATTCTTGTTGGGGATGATAAGATGAGTTTCCTCTTCCTAACCCAGATAATGACCATAACTTTTATGGTGTGGTTCAATGTTTTCTATACTGAATGGCAACCTTGCAGTCAGAAAAAGTCACTAAGAGAAAATGCCATGGCACAATTTTCTCTTCTGAAGGAAAGGTGGCATAATTTCACATTTATTTATGTTAAAATGCTTTCTGACAGCTTCCTCTTTGTAACAATTTGGGCCAGGCCCCATGATACCAGCAATGAAGAAAACACTTTAAAGGTTTTATTAATTATTGTTCTAGGCACATTGTATTATGTCTTCTTAATTTTCTTTTATTTATTTATTTATTTTTGAGACAGAGTCTTGCTCTGTCTCCCAGGCTGGAGTGCAGTGGCTTGATCTCGGCTCGCTGCAACCTCTGCCTCCTGGTTTCAAGTGATTCTCGTGCCTCAGCCTCCCGAGTAGCTGGGACTATAGGTGCATGCCACCACACCCAGCTAATTTTTATGTATTTTTAGTAGAGACGGGGTTTCACCATGTTGGCCAGGATGGTCTTGATCTCCTGACCTCGTGATCTGCCTGCCTTGGCCTCCCAAAGTGTCTTCTTTATTTTCTTGGGCCTAAGTCTTTTATGTTGTGGGAAGTCAGGGACCCCGAATGGAGGGACTGGATGAAACCATGACAGAAGAACATAAATTGTGAAGATTTCACGGACATTTATTAGTTCCCCAAATTAATACTTTTATAATTTCCTACGCCTGTCTTTACTGCAGTCTCTGAACATAAATTATGAAGATTTCATGGACATTTATCACTTCCCCAATCAATACTCTTGTGATTTCCTATGCCTATCTTTAATCTCTTAATCCCGTCATCTTCATAAGCTGAGGATGTATGTCACCTCAGGACCCTGTGATGATTGTGTTAACTGCACAAATTGCTTAAACAATATGAAATAAGAGATATATCACTGAATTCTTTCCCCAGTAAGGAATATTAATTATTAACAGCCCTGGGAAAAGAATGCATTCCCAGGGAGGGGGCCTCTAAAATGGCTGCCCTGGGAGAGTCTGCCTTATGCAGATGTAGATAGGGATGAAACATGCACTAGTCTCCTGCAGCGCCCCCAGGCTTGCTAGGATTAGGAAATTCCAGCCTGGCAAATTCTAGTCAGACCGGTTCTCTGCTCTTGAACCCTGACAATGCGTGCACAGCAAGACATGGAAGTTCATTGGTGATTCTAGTTTCTCCCTGACCTTCTGCCTTGTGATCTTTTGTCACCCTTGAAGCATGTGTTCTCTGTGACCCACACCCTATTCGCATACTCCCTCCCCTTTGAAAATTGCTAATAAAAACTTGCTGGTTTTATGGCTGAGGGGGCATCACGGAACCTGCTGACATGTGATGTTTCCCCCGGACACCCAGCTTTTAAATTTCTCTCTTTTGTACTCTTTCCCTTTATTTCTCAGACCGGCTGACACTTAGGGAAAATAGAAAAGGACTCACATTGAATTATCAGGGATGGGTTCCCCCAATACTTTTAGAAAAATTTATTAGCCATAAGTTGTGTAAATATTTTCAAGGTTTTGGGGAAAAAAATCCCTAAACCTCAAAGCAGCAGGAACATTAATTGAGGAAAAATCTATTTAAACTACAGCCATATGCGTTCTTCTCTATACGGCCACATTATGCCAAGGAGACAGGTCTTTAGCTCTGCTTTATACATCAACACAATGGAGTTTTTCCAGGCAGGCCAGGGTCTATGCCAATTTTGCCTCAGTGAAATCTAGAGAACAGGCCTTCCTATTTTAAGAACTCTTAAGCCGTGAGCATTGAAGTCATCCAAACATCTCCGTTTTCAAAGTGCATAATGTCAGAATTTCTTTCAGCTTCCTCTAATTTGCTTTGAAAAAGGTTTGCACTTACTGCTGATGTTTAGAAATTAATGAGTTCTGTAAAAGTCATACTCTATTGTATTTCAGTTCATTGAAAGTTTCTTGGAATTTTAATATTTGAATCAATAAAATATATTTTATGTAATACTTGTTTGCAGCAGGAGTTATAAAAATCATGCCTTTAAATTTTTTGTTAGGAGTTAAAGAAAAGTTCATTTCAATTTTCTATATCAATACCTGTATCCTGATAATTTAATAGACTGCAAAATATATGAATTAATTAATTAGAACCTTTAATAATTATATAGGATGATTAAATGTCTTTGCAAAGATGTTAATATAAACTTCTGCTAATAGTCACTAGAAGCAAAACTATGTCAAAAATTTTAACTTTTTTGGGTGCTTTATTCATGGAAGAATTCTCCAGTAGTAGAGAACTAGATAGAAAAAGAAGAAAAGAAAATAATAAGGAACAGACAAAACAAGTAGAACACATATAGAAAGACAATAGACTTAAACCTAACCATATCAATAATCATATTTAATATAAATGCACTATGTATCACAATGATCAGGAAGAACTTGTCAGATTAGATATAAAACCAACACCAATCTATATGCTTCCTGTAAGAAACACACTTCAAGTATAAAGACACAATTAAATAAAAAAGTAAAGTGATAGAAAGATATATACAATGATAATACTAATCAAAAGAAAGCTGCAATGGTTATATTAATATTGGAAGAAGTGGATTTCAGAGAAAAAAATATACTCTCTGATAAAGAACTCTAGTTCATAACAATGAAGGGCATATATATTAAGACCTCATAGCATTCCTAAATATTTATAACCCAATAACAGAGCTTAAAAATACATGAAATAAAAACTTAATGAATTGTAAGAAGAGTAAAAATATCCACAATTATAGTCACATATTTCAATTATCACTTTCTCAAAAAGAAATTGCACAAGTAGAAATTGGTAAGGATGTAGAAACTTGAGCCCTTTTGTATTTGTCCATTCTCACACTGCTATAAAGACATACCTGAGACTGGGTAATTTATAGAGAAAAGAGGTTTAATTGACTCACATTTCCACAAGCTGT
Organism: Homo sapiens; assembly: GCF_000001405.40. Taxonomy (NCBI): domain Eukaryota; kingdom Metazoa; phylum Chordata; class Mammalia; order Primates; family Hominidae; genus Homo; species Homo sapiens. Next base: position 15,585,218 of record NC_000007.14, on the reverse strand, counting down.
ACTGGAGGCATTGCTTGGGATGGCTCAGTAAACTTACAATCATGGCAGAAGGCAAAAAGGAAGCAATCATAATCTTCACGTAGTGGAGCAGAAGAGGGAGAGATTAAAGGGGGAAGTGCTACATAATTTTAAACAACGAGATCATGTTAGAACTCACTATCATGAGTGGGCTCCCAAAGCCTTGGGCAGCTCTGCTCCCATGTCTCTGCAGGGTACAGTGCTCACAGCTGCCTTCACAGTCTAGCATTGAGTGCCTGTGGCTTTTCCAGGCACATGGTGCAGGCTGTCAGCGGATCTACCATTCTGGGGTCTAGAGCATAGCGCACTCTTCTCACAGCTTCACTAGGCATTATCCCAGTGGGGACTCCATATGGGTGCTCCTACCCCAAATTTCCCTTCTGCACTGCCCTCGTAGAGGTTCTCCATGAGGGCTCCACCTCTGCAGCAAACTTCTGCCTGGACATTCAGGAATTTCCAGTTCAACTAATCTATAAATTTAGTGTAGTCCCAATTAAAGTCCTAACAGATATTTTTGTAGAAATTGGTAATGCTAATTCTAAAATTCAGGTTGAAATTCAAATGATCTGAAGTAGCCAAAACAACTTTGAATAAGAAGAACAAAGTTTGAGAACATTCCCTGATTTCAATAATCATTATAAAGCTACCATAATCAAGAACATATATTGGTCTAAAGAAAGAAAACTACATGAATGAAACACAATACATGGTCTAGAAACAAACCCATACTGTAACTGGGCAACTGCTTTTCAATAAAGATTCAAAAGCAATTCATGGGGAAATAATAGTCTTTTCATCATATGGTGACAAACTAGTTGGCTATTTAAATGCAAAACAAAAATGAATATTGATCAATACCTTACACTATACACAAAAATTAACTTAAAACATTTTTTAGATCTATCGGAAAATAAAAAAAAAATAAGACTTCTTGTAATAGGGGAAACATTTATTTCCATGGGCTAGACAAAGACTTTTTCATATAAGAAAAAAAGAGCACAATTCATAAAAAGCTGATAAGCTGTATTGCATCAAAATTTAAAACATCTGTGTGTCAGCATACAATGTTAAGAGAATGTAAAGACAAGCCACAGACTGGGAGAAAATAAATTCAAATGATATGTCTAATACAGGATATTAATAAAAATATATAAAGAACTCTTAAAACTCCATTAAAACAAAACAAAAACAACTAAAAAAAAATAAAAAGATAGGTAAAAGATTCGAACAACTAATTCACCAAAGAAGTTATAAAGATGGCAAATAAGCAAACAAAAAGATGTTGAATGTTATTCATTAGGAAAATGTGAAATAAGACCACAATATCACTACACACATATTTGAAAGACTAAATTTAAGAAAACTATTACCAAGTATTGCGAAGGACGTAGGGGAACTGGAACACTGTCAGTAGAATTGTAAAATAGGATGACTACTTTGAACAGAAGTTTGCAATTCTTAAAAAGGTAAATGTACACTTACTATGTGATTTAGCCATTCCACCACAAGGTATTTTTCTCAAGAGGCATCCAGGATACTTCCGTGTGTAACAGCAGTGCTTTGTAAGCACTCCTTCAATCTATCACACAGAATATTAAAAAGATGTGCACTCAGGGATTGAGACTGAATAAATTTAACATTTTTAACTGCTTCAGCAAGGACATTCAGCTTTTTCTTTTTCTCCCCAACTGCCAGTGTGCAGTCATGACAGATGCCTAGTACGGGTTATTACCAGTTATACCCCGCATTGCTTTTGCACACAGTAAATTATTATAATGAAAAATAATTTTGTCTTTCAAGTCCCCTAAGGGGTATTGGAGAACCACAAGATTTTGCAGGCCACACTTTGAGAACCATTGGAAATCATGACACAACTGAAAAATACGAAAAAAAAATGAGGTTATAATAAAGGCAAATAGTACACAACAAAGAATCTAAAACACCAGGGGAACAAACTTCTAAAAGCTGCACAAGTAAATTATACTCCAAATATGAAGCAAACTAAAATGTGGCATGATTTTAAAGAGTGGAGTTTGTGTCTTAAAAAATAGTGTTAGTAACATTTTATTTGTATAGTCCAGGGTTCCTGACATTGGGACACAGGAAAAGAAATATAATCCTTGTATATTTTTTGGCCAGCAGTCAACAATATTTTTATAGTCACATAATTCACTGATCCTGTTTATTTATTTCCAACCTTTAGAGTGAACAAATCTTGTAAGACTTGGTTGGAATTGCAAAAGAGATTCATGTATTAACACTGATGTCATGGAATAAGAGCTCACCAAGGATGGGGCATGACAGTGGAAATTGGCGGGAAAGTTGGAGGGAAAAATAAGTTGTTAAAAAATAGGAGGCAAGGGATATTGTTGAAAGTTAATTGAACAAGAGCAGAGATTTAAATCAGTTACTTAAAATTACTATTGTAATACTAATATAAATAATCCTAGAAAAAACAACATTTAAAGGAGAATATGTAGAAGAACATGATGGCAAGAATGAGCTCAAATAATCAAGTGGGCAGGAGCTAACTGTTCAAACTGATAATTCAAGGTTATCACTAGCATAATTAAAAATATTAAAAACTTGATAGAATTCTATTTCTAGAAAATAGTACTGAGGTACAGAGGAAGAATGATGCTTTTCAACATTATGTCTTCTGTAGTGTTTTTTTCAAATACATGCAGTTATTAAATAATTATATTGTAATTATATAAAATATATAATATGCATTTGTCATGTTTTATGTTAATTATATAAAATCTTTATATCTTTATATATTAGATTGTATTTTATAAAATATAATTGATTATGCAATTATATAATTAGTAAATTATGTAAATAAATTATATAAATTACTATATAAAACAATATTATTTTCCCTGGGATTTAATTCATATGAGTTGCTTCCATAGTAATGCTTCATCTTTAAGTTGAATCACCTTGGGTGTATAGACTTTATTTATTCTTTATATTCTTATGCTTATTACAGTGTCTAGCATATAGTAGATGCTCAATAAATATGGCATGGACATATAGGCTGCAATGATAATGCTGTTGCTTCAAAAAATACTGTGACACACTTTAAGTAATTTTATCTGCGACTTCACTTTTCTCTGCCTTTCATTCTGGGAAATTCTAGTATATAATAAATTACAGGCTGGTGGTAAGTGCTAATTTTCAAGAAAAGGAAGGGAAAATAGTTATGGTTTTCGAGTGCCTGCTACTTGCTTCATATCATTTTATTTAATCTTTACAACAACCATAGCTATAAGTCTCAATAAATGGTTCATTGAGCAAATAAATATCCTCAAAAGATATAATTAGTTCAGTTGAAAACATGAGTAAACAAAGGATCAGAAAACGTAAGCATTTTTTTTTCAGAGTGTTACTATTAATAGAACTAGTAAGCGGTTTGAAATTTACATCTGGTCAACATCAGAGACTAGGGATTCCCATTATGCCCTAATGTGGCATTTGGCATCAGCCTGTGGGTTCTGTGTGGTAGCTCAATATCATGAGTTTTTTTTCTAAATTAATTTAGTTTTGTTTGACTTTAAAGAAAGAACTTTATGTCTGATCCTTGAATAATCTTCCAGAATGATGATGACAATGCTTTTTTCATCCCCAATTAACAGGCTGACAGTCTGCAGCTGCTTTCCCAAACTGAGCTACAGCTCTGTGAGTGGCACGCTATTGACTTGGAATACCCAGTTTTCCCAGAAAGAAACTAGTAGGAAATTGAGGTAAAAGCAATAGCAGCTATTACATTTAACATTGTTAAAACCTACATAAATCTGACTACATGTATTTTGTCAATGTAGCATGTTAAGGAATAATTTTTAACTAGGCCTTGTCTTATCATTGACTTTGAAGATTTACCAAGCAAGTTGGCTCAGTCATAATGACCCGATCCAAGCATATTCGATTTTCAGTTAGGTATGTCAGTGCCATGTTTGTTTTTTAAGTACAATCACACACACACACACATACACACACACACAACACCAGTAAAAGTGAAACCACATTTAACCTAGAGTGGCTGGCCAAAGGGCAGCTTTTGGTTTGGCGTACTCTGCACCAAGACTGTGCTACACTTGGTAACCAGACTAATAGTAAATGTCATATAAATCCCTAAAAGTATAGCAGTGCCAGTTTTGATATAGTTTGCCCAGGAAAAACAATATGAAAGTCAACTTTTCAAGGATTTTCTCTTTTTGTTAGCTTGTTTTAATATTCCAAGATAATGTTAAATGATAGAAATAAGTTGCATTGGCTCAGTTCTCAATAGCATTTCAAATCCAGTAAGTGGAGGCTTATTTCACATTGTTCTGTCTAGCCTCTCTCCAGCTTATACTTTATGAGTTGTGTTTAGTTCAGGTCCAGAACTCAGAAATTCAAACAGGAAGCATCTGGGGATTCTCTGTTCTGAAGCAAGGAGGGGTCAGGAATAGCCTAGTGAAGTGAGAATATTGCCTGCTTTAAAAGGGGGCTAAATTTCTGATTCCACCCAAGTTTGACAGATATCATTAATTCCTTGAGATACTGCAATAATTTTCATCAAATGGAATGTAAAAATGTAATCAATATAAAGCACTCTGAAGTCAGTAGGTGGGAAAATTCCAGTTTCTTACTTTCTAATTCATAACATTTTTAAATATTTCCATTGTTTGAACCAGATTGTACAATTTCACTTTTTCACTTCCCAGACAGGACAATATAGGTACATCATTTTACCTTCTCTTTGGCATCCCTTTGAAGTTATTTCTGCTAAGGCACTGAGCACATTATAGCTCAAGGATGAGCTTACATGATTTTCATTAATAGGACTGCAGGTTCCTCAGGTAGCTTTTATTTATTTTTTCTTTTTTCTTTTTTTTTCTTTTTTTTTTTTTCTGAGACACAGTCTTGCCCTGTTGCCCAGGCTGGAGTGCAGTGGCGTGATCTCGGCTCACTGCAACCTCCACCTCCCAAGTTCAAGTGATTATTGTGCCTCAGCCTGCCAAACAGCTGGGATTACAGAAGCACGCTATCATCACACCCGGCTAATTTTTTGTACTTTTAGTAGAGATGGGGTTTCACCATGTTGTCCAGGCTGGTCTCACACTGCTGACCTCAAATGATCAGTCTGCCTTGACCTCTCAAAATGCTGGGATTACAGGCCTGAGCTACTGCACCTGGTCAGCTTTTATTTCTTATTCAGCTTTAAAATAAAGTGATGATCAGTAAATGTTCTTTTTAACGTAGGCATAGTTATCTTCACCTTTTGTCACTTTTAAAAATCATTAACATGATCTTAAATAATTTAATACTCTTTATGACCCCTAGTTGTCTTTATCTGAAAAATAACAACAGAAGAAGGCTCATATATGAGGCCTCCTATAAGATCAGATAATGCAATATTCATCAAACTTAACTTATACGAGTATCAATTTTAAAAATTTTGCCAGACTATTTATTAAATAAATTCCACCTTAAAAATAAATGAAATTGGCTGGGCACATGGCTCACGCCCACAATCCCAGCACTCTGGGAAGCCAAGGCAGGCGGATCACCTGAGGTTGGGAGTTCAAGACCAGCCTGACCAACATGGAGAAACCCTGTCTCTACTAAAAATACAAAATTAGCTGGGCAAGGTGTTGCATGCCTGTATAACCAGCTACTCGGAGGCTGAGGCAGGAGAATCGCTTGAACCCGGGAGGCAGAGGTTATGGTGAGCCGAGATTGCGCCATTGCACTCCAGCCTGGGCAACAAGAGCAAGACTCTGTCTCAAAAAATAAATAAATAAATATAAAATAAAAAATAAAATAAAATTACTTGGAAAGTAAACTTTATTACTTTCTGCAAATGGATGGTAATTGAAGAAAGAAAACAATAAAAATAAAGTATCATTCAATACTTTAAAAATTAATAAAAATAAGAACTTAAATGCAAATTATGAAAATCTAATCTATTAAATGCATAACTGAAAAATGTTTCTGAATGAATAAATGAAATTATCAAATATCAATTGTCAATGAACTCAGCATTGGCCTCAGCATTGCTTTCTTTAAGATGAAGATGAGTGTGTTTACTGCAATAAGTTTCTGTGTTTTCCTTTGATATCAATTAGCATAGGAATACCAGATGGTAGATGTATAGAGCGGTAATTAATATTATGACATATTCAAATTCTTACTTCAAATTTTAATACAGGTGGGCAGCCTGACTGTTAAGTGGAGGAGGAGAACAAAGTAGATATAAACTCACTCATGCCCACTCATCCCAGACTTGGGTCCCACTTCACCCTTATTTCAGGAAAATGGATTCTAAGAAACCTATGAAATTAAAATAACTTCATCTTCCCCCCTTATCACTCCCTACTATGGTGTCCTACTGTTATATTACATTTGGCCTAAAGCTGCTTCCTTACATATTTTAATTTTGGTTCTCCTTATGTACTAAACTGAAGCGTAACTGGATTTGTAAGTGGACGGTAACCTACACTTGTAAGAAATAGCCCAGTCTCAGCCAATCTCAGCAGCCATACTTGTCACTCACAGGCAGCCAACTGTTCAAACTGTGCTCCAATAAGGTGGTCGCCTCGTACGGTTGTTTCTGTACCTCCCTTCCGTTTTCTATATATCATTTTGTTTTTTCGGTCCAAAAATCCTCTTTAACCATGCAGCACTGCCTGAGTTGCTTAGAACCTATTCTGGTTCAGGGAACTTCCTGATTTGCAAATTATTCTTTCTTCAAGTAAACGCTGTTAAATTTAATTTTTCTGAAGTTTTTCTTTTAACACTAATAAGCTAGGGTTGTAACTGCCCTGGTAAAGGGAGAGGAACAGCGAAAATAGAGGGGCCTGGAGCATTAATCTCCTCCACACTACCACATTCTTTTTGCCATTTCCAGTTGTGAAAGAATGCCATGATTCTTGTGGCCTCCACCTCAGTCACATACAGATGGATATCAGCTCATACCAAGCCATTTCTTCCAGCAGCCTGAGCAGCAAGGAGGGAACAGTACCAAGAACTTCCTCAGTCGCCTCAGTGGGAAGCCTGGACAAATAGTTGCCCTTGAACCTCCAAACTCATCTCGTATTTCATATAATGATCCTGTAGTTGTGGCAACAGAGAAACATTGAACTAATGGACATATGTTTATTAATTCTGATCTCTTTGTCTTAACTTGCTGTGTGAGCAATATCTGAAAATGAAAACTAAATGTCTCCTCCTTTGCTACTTTTTCCATAATGTGGTTTAAAAACTTGTAATATTCAATTCTTTTTTTAATTGAAATTAATATATAATCATTATCAAAGTTGTCTAATAATTCATCTGTGTGTAAAGCAGAGGTTAGCAAAATAGGACCTTCAGGCCAAGTGCTGCTGCTGCCTGTTGAGCAAATAACCTTTTACTGGAACTCACTCCCACTCACCTGTTTACATGTTGTTTATGGTGGCTTTCTCACTGCAATGGAGTTGTGTAGTTGTGATAGTGACTAACTGGGTGGTTTGTAAAGTGTAAAATATTTACTACTTGGCCTTTTACAGAAAAAGTTTGAAAGTCCCCAATAATTGTTACACGACCGTTTTAATCCAGAGATAGCTAGTGTTAATGGCTTAATATATTGTCATTTTATTTATTTATATATTTATTTCAATTATTATTTATTTTTATTTTTTTGAAATGGAGACTCGCTCTTGTTGCCCAGGCTGGAGTGCAGTTACGCCATCTCAGCTCACTGCAACCTCCACCTCCTGGGTTCAAGTGATTCTTCTGCCTCAGCCTCCCAAGTCGTTGGATTACAGGTGCCCACCACCACACCAGGCATTTTTTTTTTTTTGTAATTTTAGTAGAGACGGGAGTGTCACCATGTTGTCCAGGCTGCTCTCGAACTCCCGACCTCGAGCGATCCACCCACCTTGGCCTCCCAAAGTGCTGGGATTACAGGCATGAGTCACCGCACCCACCCTGTCCTTTTATTTTATGTGTGACACTTCAATGCCTCATTACCTTACAGCCCAGCCTTAAATCGCAATATAGTAAGTCCTTCTGTTATTGTGTAAATATTTTAATGGTGTAACTGATGAATCTGATACTCTCAAGTAATATAATATTTTAGAACTATCCTGATTTATACTTTAAACTCCTTTCTCCTTTCTTTCTTGAGTCTTTCCTGACCACAACACAAACTTCTTTCTCTCTCCTGAATTATTTTGTACCTCCTGTAATTACCATTCATTTAGCAATATACATATCGTTTTGTCTTGTTATCAAAGTTTCCAACATAAGAAGTTTGGAAACGACACCTTCACTCCTTAATGAAAAATAAACATCCTCAAGGGAGCAATTTTTAAAAAAATTCTGATGCATTTTACTCAATTCAGCTGAGACTACACACTATCAAAGAAACTAGACTTTATTTTAATATGTAAAAAATTCAAGTGAAATACTGAACCAGTTATAACAAATTTAGAACACCAGATTTTTTGCTAAGACTAATTCAACTTATCTAGAGAGATTGACAAAAAATTGATTTAAATTTGCTGGAAATTTAAACAAAGCTGGCAAACATTTGTTATATTAAAAGAATGTTGGGTAATATAAGGAAAGGGACAAAATAAAATACTAGTACAAATCAGGAATTTATTGATAGATTAAAAATAAAGTTCAGCACTGCTGTGTAGCTGTGCAAGGCCCAGTTGGTGGTTGAAACTCCTAGGGAGCTGGAACTTTCCAGATATACTTTCTTTACTGTTGGGCTTAGAGGTCTCTGCCCTAATGTAGGCATGATCTAGGTTCATGCTCCATCCTCCAAGCTGTGAATGCACACGGTAACTGGACATTATGCTGCTGTAGAGATAAGTATGGATGTTGTAAATCATATCATAGCATGACAATAAAAACTACAAAGTTGAAAAATCCTAGGAATTTATATGCTTCAAATATTCTCATTTGTTTCATGAATATAAACTTATATACTAAACTCTTTGATTATTTTTGTTGTATTTATTTATTTATTTATTTTGAGACAGGATCTCACTCTTTACCCAGGCTACAGTGTAGTGGCATGATCACCAATCACAGTCCGCTGCATCTTTGACCTCCTCAGGCTCAGGTGATTCTCCCACCTCAGCCTCCCGAGTAGCTGGGACTACAAGCATGTGCCACCACACCTAGATAATTTTTGTATTTTTCTGAAGATAGGGTTTCACCATGTTGCCCAGGCTGGTCTCAAACTCCTATACTCAAGAGATCTGCCTGCCTCAGCCTCCCAAAGTGCTGGGACTACAGGTGTGAGCCACCGCACCCAGCCTTAAGCAATTTGATTAAAAAGGAGACATCTACCTGGCAGTATCAGAAGTAGAATCTTCAAAGACTTGGAGATAGAATAGATGTGAATGTGGAGAGAATGAGAGGAATACGGATGCGTCCAGGCTCTAGAAAAGTGGCGACGTTCACAGAAGTAGAGATATAGGAAAGATATACAGTTTTGTTGATGGTAGTGTGAAAAGGGAGGCAAGGATGAACAAAAATGAGCTCAATAACGATGTGTTAAATTCTAAATACGTGTATAGTATCCAACTGGAGATATCCAGAAGTCAGTTGGTATTCAAAGAAGACAACTCTAAGTGGGGCATTACTTACACTGATTCATGAAGAAATGAGAAGGATCCAGGAATGCTAAGAGGTCAAGAAAAGTATTCTAGGCAGAGGTAAACATGAGCTTGAAGGTGCTGAGGTACATGGGGATATTGACAGTAGGATCACAAAGAGTGAAGTGAAAGGGTGGGAGGCATATAGTGAGGTTATGGCTGGGGTAAGAGAAACAGGAGCCAGGTCATGTTATAGCCTCAAATGTAGGTACAGTGGGCATGGGGGTGTGCATCACTTTACTCCAAAGGCCATGGATGCCAGTGGAGAATCATAAGGTAGAGAAAGGGTCGATATGATTCAGATGCTAAAAAGATTTTTCTAGTGGCTATCTGGCAGTGGATTCAAAGTGTGTTGGAGAGAAAGCAGAGAGGCAGAAGAGAAGGTAGAGAGTGGCTCAGAGGTGTGATGTATGATAGTGGTAGAAATGAAGAGAAAGCGTCCGATTTGAAGCAGCGGTTTGCAATAATTTTGTAACTGGAATTTACATTTTTTAAAAGATTCAACTCTGTGTAAGTGTATGTCTGTGACTGTGAAACAAAATCTTGTAAATAAAATTAATTTTATCACTGGTAAAACATAATAAAATTTTGGAATAATTTTATTATCTTCTTTCTGTTCTAATTTTTAAAAATTCTACTCATGACCCATTAAATTGATGTTATAACCCACTAGTAGGTTGTAATAGTATACTGACTTACCAGAAAAACTTACAGGTGTTAACGTTAAACTGAATATGGGAAGTAAGACAGTAGAAGCATCAAAGGAAACTCCCAGATACAGGCAGGGAAATCTGACAGAACAATTAAATAGTTCCCAGAAACTCAACACCGCAATGGGAACTTTTAGCAGGTTGTATAAGAAGCCTATGGATTGTGTGATGTATCTGTAATAAGTACAAATGAATGTGCTATGAACATGTGTGTGCTGGTATTTGCATGGGTATATGATTTCACTTTTCTTGGGTAAATATCTAAAAGCGGAATGACTTGATTATTTGGTAAATGTATGTTTAATTTCTTAAGAAGCTACCAAACAACTTTCCATAATGATTTGTACCATTTTTTTCATTCCTACCAACAGCTTATGATGGCTTCAGTTCCTCCACATCCTCACAAACACTTACTAGCATGTCTTTTTAATTTTACCTATTTTAATATGTGTGTAGTGTTTTTAATTTGCATTTCCCTAATGACTAAAGGCGTTGAGCATTTCTTTAGTATTTATTTGACATATGAATTTCTTTAGTACAGCATCTCTTCAAATCTTTTGCCCTTTTTTTAAAAAAATTGTTTTTGAGTTTAGCATTTTCAGCATTATTTATTCCAGATCCAAGTATTTTATTAAATATAGCATATGTAAACATTTTTCAGAGTTTACAGTTTACCTTTTTATTCTCAGAACAGTAACTTTCGACGAGTAGAATTTTTAAATTTTCATATAGTTCTGAGGGGGGAGGGAAGATGTGGAAGCTACGTGGCTTTGGATTTGTTTGTGTAAGTTATCCTCTATTATTCTGAAGAACATCCATGACTTAGGAAGTTGTTGTTCCCCGTCCCCACGCCCCACCCACTGGTTTAAAAAAAAAAAGCAACAAGCTGATCGTGAGGCATCCAATTCATTCCTTTGAACAGAGCAGGTGACGGTGACAGGCAATAATGTTCTAGTGCTGGCAATGAAGATGAACAGAAGATTTCTTTCAGACATTTCTGATTTCAGCTTAGACACAAGAATTCTTGACTAGGTGATGGCAACAATAGCACAGTGGTTCATGATGGGGCAAAGAAGTTACATATTGGAAGTCTATTGCAGCACAGTTCCTTACGCAGAATATTAAGTGCTAATAATCTTCCTCCAAGAAAAAGTCTAAAGTAAAAATCAGTATATCAATGTGTGTTTATTTTGGGAGATAATGCTTAAAATAAAAGTTAAAATAAATGAAAAATATATCAATTTGCTTGGATCATGAATTGGTGTCCTAAAAATCTTTAGTTGTTTTCCATTGTCATAGCCAGCAGTCTGGACCCACCAAATAATGGCTCTTCTTAACTACAATCTGTGCTGTTGTAAGGATAATAAAGATGTGTAGGTGTCTTCTGAGAAATGCCTATAAAATGAGGCACTATCTAACTAGAGAACTGCTATTTTTGTTCATCACATGATCTATTAGCTTACTAAATTTTCTACTTCATTACAAGAAGAGATGAAAACATTGTGTATCAACACACTTAATAAAGCTCAATGCTCACGCCTGTAATCCCAGCACTTTGGGAGGCTGAGGCGGGTGGATCATGAGGTCAGGAGATCGAGACCATCCTGGCTAACAAGGTGAAACCCCGTCTCTACTAAAAATACAAAAAATTAGCCGGGCGCGGTGGCGGGCGCCTGTAGTCCCAGCTACTCGGGAGGCTGAGGCAGGAGAATAGCGTGAACCCGGGAAGCGGAGCTTGCAGTGAGCCGAGATTGCGCCACTGCAGTCCGCAGTCCGGCCTGGGCGACAGAGCGAGACTCCTTCTCAAAAAAAAAAAAAAAAAAAAAAAAAAGCTCAATAAAACAAAGTGAAATAGATGATAAGATTTAGGCAAAAAAATATATGTATATATATATGTATATATGTGTGTGTATATATTTATGAGCAGGAATCACTGTGAATCCTGGAATGAGTTCAGCCTGTGCAATGATCTGAATGTTTGTGTCCCTTCCCCTCAAAATCAGTACGTTGAAATCCTAACACACAAACTGATTATATTAGGAGGTGGGGCCTTTGGAAGACGATTGTGTCATGAGGGTGGAGGCCACATGGTCGGGATTAGTGGCCTTACAAAAAAGGCCCCAGAGATCTCTTTTGCCTCTTCTGCCATGTGAGGGCACAGTGAAAAGATGATTATCTATGAACCCAGAAGCAGGATCTTACAAGACAACAAATTTGCAGGCATCTTGCTCTTGGACTTCAAGCTTCCAAAACTGTGAGAAATAAATTTCTGCTGTTTATAAGCCACCTAGTCTATGGTGTTCTCTTATAGCTGTCAGAACAGACTAAGACAGTATGCCGCCCTTTGAATTCTATACACTTAAGATTTATGTCACACATTTGACACTAAGTTACCTATTTAACCATCTGAAGTGGGAAACATGATTAGGTAAGTGATTCATAGCATCCACAAAATTAAATAACATAAATGTCGTTCAGGAGAAACACATTATTCTTGGTACTAAAACTAGAGAAACATTCTTAACCACATGTCCTAAAGAATGGTAAGAACTGGATTTAAGTCTATGATGAATTGTTTCAACTCTGTCTCATAAAAGAAGGTTCACAGGGCCTGTCACCAGCAGGCAGCAGTCCCTGTGATGAGTCCTTAGGTAAAGGACTGTGCCTGATCTGCTGCCATTATTAGAAACACAATCTGTGTGTAGTGTAAAACATGATGGAACCAATCTTTTCTTATTTGTTTTCAAACATAGACACATCTTTTATAATAATTTTTCCTCCAAGTCATGGACGTTAGTTATGATTACCAATATCAGTGTTATCTATTATTTCCTCAAAAGAGAAACAAGTCCTATAGACTTTCTAAGTTAGAGTAGCAACCCCAAGTCACGAATCAGGTAATTCGCACTTTTAGAGTCGTTCGCTGGTGATAGGTTAACAGGAACGCTGTAGTAAATTACAAATAAGAAACTGCAGGTTGAGCAAATTAAAATAAATTTGTATGCTGCTGGACTTCTTAGAACCTTTGAAATATCTACATATTTATCTCTGAAAGAAATACTCAGGAGATCTTCCACATTCTTTTATTCTGCACTGTGAATTTGGATTAATTCCAACACTGACTGACTCACGATCAATCCCATAAAGAGAATTACATAGATTCTGACACTGATATGTATGCAGCACTTTGAGTCGTTCTTTTGGCACTGACTACTGTTAAAATAACAATGAGATGTATTAGCTTGATGGGGTTTTAAAGAAATAACTTCTGAAATACTATTTGTTTTTTATGCTCTGACCTCAAGTGTATGCCATCAATTTGTTTAAAGATCATGTTCTACCTGATCTTTGCCTTCTAAGTCGTGGAAAGGACTTTGGCCAAAAGTAATAAAATCTGATCTGAGAAAATAGAGAGTGATTTAAGTTTCATATGCTGCTGTTTTCTAATGAAAAGTGTTAATACAAAAGATTCAAAGACTCTTAGAGACAATATTAAAATTTTGGCAACACACAACTAGATTCTTTAAAAAAGTGTCCTCAAAATATATGGGACTGTAGTAAAAGGGAAAATAATTAACTTTTTATTATGGAGATAATATTCTGTACAAATAATGTAGCCAATTAAATCAGAAAGGGAAAATAAAAAATAAAAATAAACCTGCACATATCAATTTCTGCAAGTCATGCAGAGAAACTGGAACTCTTGTAATAATGGAAATACTAAACACACACTTTGAAAAACAGTTTGGATATGTCTTAATATTAAAATATGTTTACCATACTATATATTACAATATGAACAGTATTCTCTAAAAATTACTTATATTATGAGATTATTTATAGTAATATGTAAATTATCATATATTATGTTTGCATTTGAACTCCAAAAATGGTCATGAAAATAAAATAAATATAATAGATCTGGTTTTCAAACTAAAAATGAGTATTATTTATTCATTTGAATATGATTGAAGTGAATACATGAAAATCATTCTTATGTTTGGCTTGTAATTAGTTTTGTCAGTACTTTTTCTTTTCATTGAGAATTCTATTTTGGGCTTTGAACTCCAGATTTATATATCAACCTGTGCAACCATCTCGACTTTGATGTCTACAGGCATCTCATATCATGCTTTAAGCCAAATCTTGCAGTTTGTCTATCACAGTAAATAACAACTTTATTCTTTCAGCAGGTTGAATCAAAGTCTTGAATTATTCATGTCTTCTCTCTTTTAATCTCATTCCCCACATCTGATCTCTTAGCAAACCTTATCAGCTCTACCTCTAATATGTTTTCACAATCACCCTTTCACTTTGACTCTTTCTGCTGCAACTATCCTAGTGAAAGTAAGCAAGATTTACCTGAACTATATCAACTATTTATGAAGAGTCCTCTGCTTCCAGCCTACCTCTCTAAAGTCCATTCTTCACAAAAAAAGCAAAATGATCATTTCATACAATGCATTGGACCATGTGACTCTTCTGTTCAAAACCCTCCAATGGTTTTCTGGATATATTAGTTAGGAGATTGTTAGCCGTTAGGTGAACAAGGTTCAAATAATAACAAATAAAACACAAAATACATTACAAATTTGGTATTTGCTCATATAATGACCTGATTGATGGGCTGCTCTTCTCTATGTAGTAACTCAGAGACTCAGACACCTAATTTGGGGCTTTGTCTTTTCATCATGTGGCTTCCAAATTTTACAAAGCTTGACCTCACATGACACATAGAGTATGAACTCTTCTATGTAAAATAATGTGCCTGAAAAAGACCCTAAATACAAGATGTTCATTAAAATATTGATGAGACTACAATCTGATTGGTGTGGTTATGAGTGCTTTTTTTCTTAAAAATCTTCTGCATTTTCTATATTTCTACAGTAAATATATATTATTTTATACTTTTAGAGATATAAACAAACTTTTTAAGATGATCATGTCAGTGTAGGTTTCCAGTCTAATTCCCAGTAAATGATTCTAATGACTAAAGAGAAAGACACGTGGAGAAGGAAAGGATTTCACCAGTTCAAGAGTACAGTCTAGCAAACCATATGTCCCCTCATTTGGAGAGTTAAAGTTTGGAAATATGGCAGCATCAAGCAGAACGTTAGGATTTCCTTTCTTGAATTCCCCTTGAAATGCATCTCTGTATGTTACTCTTAATCCTTGGTTGTAAGACAACCATTCAATGAACTACTTCTTCAACCCAGTTTCTTTAAAAAAAAAAAAAAAAAAGAAAAAAAAAGAGTTTCTTTCCTCTGCTGTAATGGATGAACCCTGTAATCTGCATGTGGTCAGTACTGGTGGGGAGAACTATGAGTGATATTGATACATTCTAATTGGAGTCATTTTGGCTTTGAGGGCCAATGACAGCTGAGGAGAAATTTACCATCCAAAGTGGGGGAGTTATAGCAATTGTTACAAGCTAGAAATGTCATGGATTGAGAATCTTTCTTCTAAACAAATTCTCATTTGTCACAATTGTCAATTTGTCCAAAAGCAAAAGCCATGTTTTCTGACTGGGTTACCCCAAACACTAGGCCTTGGACTTACCCCAGCTTCAACAAATACAAATTATAGGAAGATCTCAAATGGTACTTTTGTATGTTTATAGAAAGAGTAGAGGCCAAGGAGAACAAAATCAAAATAAGGAAAGCTGATACGTGCCATGGCAGCTCTAATTCACTGTAAAAGCCTGCTGGGATAGCTGGGGCTGCTGAGTGATAGCTCTATCCTCCACCATCTCATGCTGAACCGATAAGACAGACCTAAACTCCAAAGTGCCACGTATACCTGGAGTGGACCCAAGGACTATTCATCCACATCTTTTTTTGTTTTTTTGGTTGGGGGGAAAAGAAGCATAAAGAACCCGTACCCATCCACAATAAGACAAATTGGGAGTGAAGGAGGGGAAAGAGCT
The DNA here is from genome assembly GCF_000001405.40 of Homo sapiens. NCBI lineage: Eukaryota > Metazoa > Chordata > Mammalia > Primates > Hominidae > Homo > Homo sapiens. The sequence continues at coordinate 15,568,923 of NC_000007.14, read as the reverse complement.
TATTAAAAGTTGATAAAGAACATGCTTTTGAGTATTATCTCCAGGAAACTAAGAATAATTTTAGGCAGAACTGTTGTATACACGCAAGTGAAATAGGAAAAAAAACTGAAGAAAAAATGAGGCCATATGATAAGAAATAAATACAAAAGGAAGACTGAGAGAGTTTAGGAAAACATTTAAGAAAACAAATAATGCCATTGTGAAATTTGAAGTAGACCCAGAAGGAAGATGAAAATAGCAAAAAAAAAAAAAAAAAAAAAAAAAAAAACACAGAAAAACAAAAAAAACTATACCCAAAGTATAGACTTAAGAAGACAATATCAGAAAATAAAAAGGAGATGAAAATGGACACAGACAATATAATGGATATGGTAGACAAATGGTATCTGGTAAACAGATAAATCTCATTTGTGAAGAAGTGTAAAAAAATCAATGGAACATAAATAATAGGCACAAACACAATGGCAGAAATTGCCCTAAAGCAAAGGAAGATTCAAATCTGAGGTTTAAGGACGCTCACCTCTTAAAAATATTCTACCCAAAATATAAAAAACTATAATGATTTAATTTCAAAGGCACAAAAATATTCTACAAGCACCCAGGAAGTAGAAATGAATGACTTTTTTTTTTAAGGCAAGTTGAACTCAGACTTAATATTATTTTGAAATATTAGATGCCAAAAGAAAAGGCAGATCTATAATTATAGAGGTTCTACCACTCTGGTTTTCTTACATAAACACTTCCCAGAAAAGCCTTTACATTTTTTACAATTTTATAAACATTGAAGCTAAGTGTTATATAAATAAGAGACTGTGATGAAGACTTTTTATAATTATTAAAGAGTGTTATGTCTTGTACTAATTATAGGTTTATTGCCTCTCATCTCCAAATTCAAACTTTATTACCTGATTTGTGAAATGGAAATAGGTCCTTTCAATATTTTTCTTTGCTAGCTGACATGACGTTAAGCTTTGTCAGGAGTGGGCTGCAGACAGTCATTGTTAAAGGAAGAGGTTTTCCTCCCTTGTTCCTACATGCTCACTTGGCAGGGTCTTGTAACACAGGCAGATTCTTCAGTGCCCAGTTCCTGAAATGCATAGCAGCCAGTAGCTTACCTGGCACCTCTTCAAGTGGTTTTGTAGGAAAGTGCCTCTAGTGAGAAATTCCTGGTGAGCAGCGTCTTCTGTCCTTTTTCATCCTAAAGGGCTGATTTAAAGCAAGTTCCCCAGTCCAGCCCTGGGAGTAGTGGCTGCCCCTTCTGTCTTCTATTCCTATGTTCTTCTGAGTTTTCTTAACTTTTATTAGCCACTCCCTTATAATGCCAGCTACCTGTTACAGCTGGCAAACCTTTATATTAAATTTCTCCTATTCAAATTACTGTGTTTTCTCTCTCAAAATTGGACCTTTATCAGTATCACCAGAGGTTCCTAATCAGTTGTTTCTTTCATGTCGTTTCAATAAAGATCTTTTGATGTCTTTTTGTGTTGATTGATTTGCAAATGCAAATACTGAGAGTAAATAGTTCCTCATGTAAGACATTCTCATGGGATGTCTGACACTCATATTAGGCTCTTCTCAAGCATTTTCCCTTGAATTAGACGCCCCCCCCCCCAAAAAAAAGGGAATCCCCAGCAGAATTCCTTTGACTAGGTAGCTTTGAGCAGAGATCTTGTCAGATCTTGTCAGATCTTGTCAGAGTTACTCAGACAAGAAGACATCCGAAAATGTCCGGGGTGTTGATATAGTTTGGCTGTGTCCCCACCCAAATATCATCTTGAATTGTAGCTCCCACAACTTAGAAGTCCCAATAGACTTCTAATTATCTACCTTATTCTAAATGTATTTTTTAAACTAATTTGGAAGATGTTCCTCTTAATCTTATAATATTATAATTATCGTAGATATATCTATGACTACATTTCATATTCAAATTGTGGAAGGGACCTGGTGGGAGATAACTGAATCAATTGAATCATGGGGCCGCTTTCCCCCATTGTTCTCATGACAGTGAATAAGTCTCATAAGGTCGGATGGTTTTATAAGGGGAGACCCCTTTCACTTGGTTCTCATTCTCTTTCTTGCCTGCCGCCCATGGAAGACATGCCTTTCACCTTCTTCCATGATTGTGAGGCCTCCCCAGCCACGTGGAATTGTGAGTCCATTAAATCTCTTTTTCCTCACGAATTACCCAGTCTCAGGTATGTCTTTTATTGGCAGCGTTCAAAAGGACTAACACAAGCGTCCTCTTTTTGGTTCATGTGAAGGTTCAAAGTCCTGTGTTTTGTCCACCTTGGTTTCACCTAACAGGTCTTCAGCCAAAGTGCTCTGTCTCTGTTGAATTTTGAAAGAATTACTATTTGAACCAAAAAGTGTATATTTAGCCAACTTATCCTTCACATAGATAAGCAAAAAAAATTATAGTAAGGTATGCAATTATACATGTACTGTCCTGAAAACTTTGTGCAATCTGTAACAGTACAAAGGAAAAAAAAAAGAATGGAAGATATAAGGAATAGAAGTGTTGGAAGTGAGCATTGACATGATTTAGTCATAGAATTAAGTTCAAATGATTTTAGTATATACATTAATTCATTCAAAACAAATTTATTGAGTGTCTCCGATGTCAATTCTTTCCATATTAATCCATGAATTTAATGTAGTTCCAATTAAAATGCCAACAGGATGCTTTGAAGTTTAGTCTAAACATTTACACAAGCAAATGTGTAAAAACAGCTTCATATTTTTGAGTAATAAAATTCAAGCATGATAAATTGTTCTACAAGTTACCAGAATTTATTATGACAGTACAATAATGAAGACAACATGGTACTAGCATAAGAGTAGATAAAAACATCCATAGAGCTGAATGAAGAGCCTGGAAATAGTACAGGTACATAGAATAGTGGGGAAAGTATTGACTGACTAATGGTGTGGCAAGAACTGTGATCCATAAAGGCAAGGTAAAAAGTCAAATAATTACTACATACCATATGGAAAACTAAATTCCAGATAATTGAAACAACAGAAATCTTTTAAATGCTCCAAAAAAAAAAAATCAGAAGATTATTCTTACGGAATTCTGGCAAGGGAAATGTTCATAAGCAAGATCCAAAAGCAGAGGTAACAAAGGATAACAGCACACACAAAGTTACAATTGCAGTATGACAACATATAGATAACTAGTGAATATGAAATGAGAAAATACTTGTCACATATATCAGAATATATATACTGTACATAGAATTATATATTTATAATACAAATGGCCTATAAACCAATAATGACAATGAAATAAAATAATGTGCAGCTCATATTAAAAAATAAATTTCAGATTAAGAAGCAAAAAAACATTAATAAATGTACTGAAAGATGTTCAGTGTCATTAGTGAGATGCAAATTAAAACAAGATACCATTTTTTCATTAACTAATTGGCTAAAAATTATGAAAGATTAATAATAGCCAGTGTTAGCAAGAGTGTGGAGGGGAAGGCAATCTGAAAGGGGAATTCGGCAGTAATTATCAAAGGGTAAATTTTACATCATCTTCATAGCATAATTCCGCTGCTAGGAATCTATGTAACAAAAAATGTGCAAAATGTATAAATATTTATACCATGATGTTTATTGTTGCATTAAATTTATTAGTTAAAAATGGAAGACTGCGTTTACACACACAACAATAGAGGAGTAATTAAATAAGTTATGATGGTGTGCTGGTTCTTGGTTGACTTTTTCCATAGATTGATTCTTCCCTCCCTTTCTCCTTCAGCACTGTGTGTAGTAAGAGGTTACCTTCAGCAGGCTTCTTTTTCTAGCTTTTTCTGTCAACTGGCTTTTGACTCATTTAGCTTGTATTAGTCTATTCTCACACTGCTGTAAAGAACAATCTGAGATTGAGTAATCTGTAAAGAAAAGAGTTTTAGTTGCCTCATAGTTCTGCAGGCTGTACAGGAATAATTGCTAGGGAGGCCTCAAGTAACTTTCAATCACTGCAGAAGGGGAAACAGGTGTGCCTTACATGACCAGAGCAGGAGGACGAGACAGAAGAGGGAGGTGCTACACACTTTTAAACAACCAATCTCTTGAGAACTCACTCACTATCAGGAGAACAGCAAGAGGGCAATCTACCCCCATGATCCAATCATCTCCCACGAGGCCCCTCCTCCAACACTGGGGATTTCAATTTGACATGAGATTTGGGCCAGGACGCAAATCCAACCATGTCATAGCCTAATGGGAAGTACTGTTGGGAGACTGGTGGGCAGGAAGAAGGGAGAAGCCATAGTACTTCCCTTTCTTCCCTCTCTGCCATGGGTATTATTTCTGGCTTTGATTGGCTTTGCTCCATGGGAAATACTCTTGCTAGACAAGCCAATGGTGGTTCTAACTTTTCCTAGATGACCATAGCCCCTGGGCCCTACTAATACAACCTTCTCCATTTGTCCCTACAATTTAACAATGGTAGTGGCTTCCTATTGGTACTAATCTCTAGATTACCTCTTTGTTCCTGCTTGGTTTTTTACTTCTCCCATCATCTATGTAACAACTTTTTTCTTGTATAAAATTGCTTCTGCTTTAAAAAGTTAGAAATAATTTTGTTTTGCTCATTGAAATGCACACACACACTTTTGCAGCCAGTAAAAACAACGAAGAAAAGGCTGTACCTGTATAATCATATACTAAAAAAGAAATGTTCCTGGTAAGTTATTGACTCCAAGAAGGAACTTGCTGTATCTTATGTTTGATAAGGTCCATTGCAAAATCGAACCATTATGTGTATATAGAAACGTATTTGTATAGTAATAATGATAATAACTATCCCTTTTAGGAAAAAACAGATATGGCAAAAAAAAAAAAAAAAAAAAACCCCACCAAGAGGATATGTTATCCCTATGAAGTGAAGTGCAAGGTGTGCATATATTGAGAAGAAAGGATGCTGCCACTTTTGACTTTATATACAGCTATATTGTTTGTATTTTTTTCTCTTGTATCACATTGTTAATTTCCAAAATTGTTTTGAAAGCAGGTAATAAAACAGTATGCCTACTATGATCATTTTTATTAAATTTTTTTTTGTTTTTGTGACAGAGTCTTGCTCTGTCCCCCAGCCTGGAGTGCAATGGCAAAATCTCCACTCTCTGCAACCTCCACCTCTTGGGTTCAAGCAATTCTCCTGCCTCAGCCTCCCGAATAGCTGGGACTACAGGTGCCCATCACCACACCCAGCTAATTTTTGTATTTTTAGTAGACACGGGGTTTTGCCATGTTGGCCAGGCTGATCTCAAACACCTGACCTCAGGTGATCAGCCCGTCTCGGCCTCCCAAAGTACTGGCTGGGATTACAGGTGTGAGCCACCACGCCCAGACACCTTTATTAAAAATTAATGTCCATATGTACTTATTGGTAATGGGAATGGTCTGAAAGGACAGTCAATTCTGCTATAACATGTGCTTTGAGATTAAATTTGTTCCAATGTGATTAATATACCAGAAAATAATTTGAGCATACTGCCTATGCTCATGTGTGATTTTATTTTCAGTGAAAAAGAGTAGTTGAACTTTAAAAAACTGAACTGAAAAACAGAAAGGCTTAGGATGCACAAAATACACCCACCACTTATAGTAACACCCTCACTTCACCTGTGTGTTGTGAGCCTTGACACCCATATGTCATATTGCAACTTTCTGTCTGATTTCAGATAACCCACATTTCAACAAGCTAAAGTAACTTGCAGTTTGCAAATCTTCCAATGCCTAATTTCCAAAACAAGTTTCAGGTCTTTTTCAAGGTAAAGCATCATATTTATTTTAGTATTTATGTATATCTTAACCATGTAACGTGTGAAAGTGTGCTACCATTTTTATTAGGCTCTCATCCTTTTTTTCTTGTTCCTTGTGGGTCATTATGAAGTTTTTGAGTATTTTACCCTAATCACATTTTTTCTCACAAGTCCCGTGGTTTTTATTGCACAATTTTGTACAGTATAGTGATTTTTAGGAATGGATATATCACATTATAGCAAAACTGACCATACATGTACCAAAATGTTAATAGCGTTTTGGGCAGCTTATTATTGCTTATCTATAGTTTCTATATTTTTCTAAAACAATCGTGCATTGATACTTTAATTAGATCTATGTAAACATCTTTAAATGATGAAATGGCAGCTAAAGGATGATTACAGCTGTTTTGGGTAAAGAGCTGAGGCTATTCTGGCAAGCTCCACATATTCACTGGTAATGTAATAAATTAAGTGCCTTCTAATCTACTTAAAAGGTACAATCACTTAAGCTCTTTCTGTAAAACAGAAACAGGTCTCACAGCAACATCTTGGCACCTTCTTTAATCAGAAAGTTCCCATAAGTACTAAGAAGAATAGAGAAGATGTGACTAGCCAATTTTCCATTAAATAATGTAGATTATGTAATAAGCCAAATGCCCCTAAACTGGTTGCAAACATTCAGAAGTGGTAATAACATGATTCAGATACAGAAATATAGATAGGCAATAAGGAGCCAGATATTCAGTGCTTACTGACTTTCAAGCTATTATTAAGTAGCTCGCCTATACACAGTCTCTGTAGGAAATAAAGAAACTACAAGCTTGAACACATTGTAAATTTCTAAATGAGGAGAAAAAAAGGTTTTTCTATGTGACTTGATGCTTGAATTTCTATCCAGTTTTTCAGAGTGAACATATACCTGCGTTATCACTTTTTTCTTTCCGAGACACTATTATGATGTTTTTTCTCTTCTTTTTTAAGTAGTAACTTGCTCCACCTACAGTCAAACTGCACTGTATGACTTTGATTTGGGTATGAGTCCTCTTTTCCCTCCCCCACATGCCCTGTTTCTGGCCCAGCGCCCACTGAACTCTGTACTTGTTCTTGATCCTTGTATTTTCCTGTCTCTCTACACAGAATCGGCTGTTGAGTGTGCTCTCAGTGGAGCTTTGGTTTTAGCTGTTCTCTGACAAAGAGCTTGTTCTGAGCTGCACATCTCGTCCTCTTTGTTCAGCCTCAGGCTTCAAGCATTGAATCCTAAATATTCTCCAGCTGGGAATCAGACAAGGGCAGAAATGAAGAACCCAGAAGCCCAGCAGGATGTTTCAGTTTCCCAGGGATTTCGCATGTTGTTTTACACGATGAAACCCAGTGAAACTTCATTCCAAACATTAGAAGAGGTGCCTGATTATGTAAAAAAGGTGAGACTTTATTGGAAGAGGCTACTCTTATTCTTGCTGCTTTCTTAATAAATGGTAAGGTCAATCTCCTTAGGGTTTTGTTCACTTTCATTATTCAAATGATTACATTCTAATAATAATAATTCAGTTTCTTAAAGGCGTGAAGCAAAAGTAGAATTTCCACTTGAATTTTCTTACAATCCATAGCCATCTTCACCTGTAAATTCCCTCTTTTATATGTCACTCCAGAATATGACAAAAACAAAAGTTTAAAGTTTTCCTGGACTCCATGGCATTGTAAATGTAGCTATTGGAAGCTCAATGACAAATAGTTACACCACATCAGTAAACTTTGTAACAATTTCATTTTTAAATCTTTCACTTGTCCACCCCTTCCAGGGAAACTATTTCCTCTTTCATTTGGTAGAGTAGTTCAGCAGAATGAAGGATATGCAGCTTGACCAGGTCCAGCTCTGACTTCCTAAGTTTGAATTTGACCCAAGTTTTCTTTGAAACTCTGAAGTGCTCAGAGGCACATTTCACTTCTGGTTCCTGGCTATGATTGGAAGTGGAAATATCCAGAATTAGAACTTGAATACTGAAGTTCCCCACCCTATCAAAGTTATTCCTACAACACTCACTAGTTCATGGCAGAAATAGAAAAAAAATGACATCATAGAATATGTTATTGAGAGTTCAGTTTAGAAAGCTTCAAAACTCATGATTAGCTTCCAAATGAGTAAAATCCGTATCTTTTTCAAGATTAGATATTACACTTTCTTTCTGAGTTTTTAAGTTAAAAAAAGTGGCACTGATATCTTCATAAATTATTATTGTTTATACTGCAATATCAAACCAAATTCAATGCTCCATCACCAATAGTGGAGCTTTCAAAACATCTCTTATTATGTGAAACAAAAATCAAAACCAAATGAATAAAATCTGAATCATGTTTTAAGCAAACATGTAAAATTACCATATTCTCTAAAATTCTAAGCAGAAAATTGTCTCTACTCTTTGAATTTCATCATTAGAAATAGTTCTGGTAAGTCTAATATGAAAAATTAGAATTATGTGCATCTTTAAGGAAAGCCTCTTGAAGTGGGTCTAAATTATACATGTAGAGACAATAGACCTCTAATTATCTACCTTATTCTAAATGTATTTTTTAAACTAATTTGGAAGATGTTCCTCTTAATCTTATAATATTATAATTATCGTGGTTATATCTATGATTACATTTCATATTCAAATTGGATGATAGAATTTGAGCACATGTTTAGTGTATGTCTAAAATAATTAGACTTCTTTACCACTGTGTAGGAAGTAATCCTCTAAAATGAGTGTCTACCATCTCCTGCAGGGCTTCCCAAATCTGGGCCTTTCAATTCTGAAATGACTAATCAGGAAATGTAAAATAATTTCATATGGAACATAATAGCATCTCTTTTCTGCAACTTCCTTTCCAGGCAACTCCATTTTTCATTTCTTTGATGCTGCTTGAACTTGTTGTCAGCTGGATTCTCAAAGGAAAGCCACCAGGTCGCCTGGATGATGCTTTAACGTCAATCTCAGCTGGTGTTCTGTCTCGACTTCCAAGGTGAGTTAGATGGTCAACAACGCTGAGCATAAAAACTGAAATTGCCTAAGTATGAGGGGCAAAGGAACCCAATGCATGGGAGAATTAGTTTATTTACACAAATTTTCCCAAAAAATTCAGTTCATGTCATTATTTAAAATTTTGATATTTTGTTCTTCATTGATTTTTTGCACTTATTTAAAAAATCACCGCAAACATTATTTATCTTGACTCTGTTGATATCCCTTTGAAATGAGTGCTTCATTTGCCTTATTGAGGTTCCAACTCTGAGTTATGGTCTGGTTCTCTATTAAAATTGTGTTTTGTCTCTTCCAGCTTCAGAAAGAATAGCTGTCTCGGGTGTAGCCATTCCCTAGAGCAGGTCACACAAATCTCTGAATAACTACAATAGTTTGCTAATTGGTGTCTGGCTCTAGTACAACCCCGTTTGCAGCCAAGCATTTCCATAATATGAATCCAGTGGAAACCCTTCACTGGCTCTCTATTGCCTCAAGTGTAAGGTAAAAATCCCTGTCTTGAACTATAGAGAACATTGTTTCTCTGGCTTTGCTTTTGGATCGTCCACTCTCCTGTCTATTTGTCATGTTTATCCTGTCATGCTTTACTACTTGCCATTGTCCACATGCCACAGGCACTTCCCTCTGCCTGGAAAGCCATCCAGGCCAATTCAGATTCATTCATTAGGTCTAAGCATAGACATCACACTCTTCAGCAAGCTTTATCTGTTTTCCAACCTTATGTTAGGCATTCCTGCATTCCTACACTACAGTCCCATGGAATTGTGTGCTTATCCCAGATCTAGAATTATCACATGACATGATGCTTACCTGTTTTTCTCTCAGCCCTTCCTGCTAGCTTGCACACAACTTGAGAGCAAGAGGTGTATGTTCTTAATAGTTTTAGCTCCTGTGCCTGGAATGATGTCTGTTGCATGTAGTTTCCCCAAAAGCAGTAATATTCCTGTAACATTATGTTGATGATAAAATTAGATGATATTGGGACTCAATAATAGTAAGATATAAATGACCTACTATTTTTTAGAAAGAGTACATTATAATGTGTGAAGAGGAAAGACCAATAAATGGAAGTCATCTTCAACACGTGAGGGCTTACCAAAGAGGCAGAGGGTGAGGAAAGATTCCCTTAGAAGTCTGTGCTTTGAGCTGCTGATGAATGTTCTCATTCCAGCTTCCCACCCATTTCTTCTTGTCCTGTTTTAAGAGCTTTACTTCTGACTGGTGCTCATTGCTTTGGAATGTTTCTATTAACCGCCCAGTGGGAAGCTAAGGTGGATTTTTAAAAAATAACATTAAAACTTTAAATATCTAAAAAAGGTGGAATAATTTCATATATTACATAAAATAGTTTAAATAAAAGTAAACTTAAAAGTAAAATTTTTTCAATAAGTGTTTGAGAAAAGTGCATTATTAGGTATATAGTAGAAGTAATATTAATAATATTTACTCTGAAAAACTACTTGTAATTGTTGCATTTTGCAGTTGAAATCAGAAGAAGATAATGTCTCCAGAAATTTGCAGCTAATTCCCAGATTATCATGAATAAGAATTTACAATTATAGATAATTTCCTTTATTATAATACTTGTCCCCTTTAAGCAGAAATGAACAAGAAAAACATTCAACATGCCCAAGGGTATATAGATTTAGATGTAGATTTAGTTATTTAAAAATACCCAGTTGGTTAATTTAGCTCATTCTCAGAAAGTTAAGTGTATAGGTTATGGAAATCAGATTATTGATAAACTATAAACGTCACCCAATAACTGAAAATTGCCCTGTATATACGATTATGGGTCATATATTTTACTGAATTGGAATGCATTTGTTAAGCATTTTGACAATGAATTTGACAGCAAATTGAATGAACTCTTCAGAATTTTTTTTTTTACCTTTTAAAGTTTGATTTTGTTCCAAATGAAATTAGATTGTTCTCTTATCATAACATTGTAAGTACCAGAAATACAAACTGTATCCTCAATACAATATTTTTGCTTAGCAGTGTTATTTTAAAAAGGTACAGAGTTATAACAGGAAAACAAGAATAAAAGAGATATTTTTACAAAAAATACACCCCAAAAAGCAGAGAGAAAGGGGAAAGGGGGGAGAGAGAGAGAGAGAGAGAGAAGGAAAAAAAGAAACCAAAACAAACCAGTCCTTCAGGGATAGAACATGAGGTTCTTTTCCTTCACCCACTACTCATAACAGTCCTTAAACTAACACAAACTGTTAACTCTGGTGCCCTTTGAGAGAAAGGTAAAAGGTTATGAACTTTAATTTGGAGAATATTTTTCTAAAGTATTTTAAATGAGAATAGCAAATTACTCCTTTCTTCCTTGTAGATGTAAAGAACAATTCTAAATTATGAAATGTGGATTTTTAAAAAGTTTTTCAAGGAATTTTCTCTTTTACAGCCTTGTCTGAAAGATCCCAGTAAAGCAAATTATCTGAAAATGCATTTTTTTGTTTTGTTATATAAAACTATGGTGAAAAATATTTTTATTTTATTTTTTGCTATTAAAAAAAAATCCCAAACCCAGATATAAACAGAAAAGGAAAAGCGAGCCTGTGGATCCATTCCTCTCAATCCCCTTTCAGAAAAAAAAAGGAAGAATTTGACATCAATTCTTAAAACAATATTTCAGTTGAAGCCACAGCATCAAGGGGAATCCCTGTGCAAATCATTAACAGCTGAGGGTTAGATTAACACGGCAATGATCGGATCCTCTCCCAGGGACTAATTTCATTTTCTACACTAGCAACAGGGGCTTGCCACGTCCTTCAAATAGGTGATTGCAAGACAAATGGTAGTATGCCTTTTGCTAATTCGTTTGTGAAGAATTATGCTTTGGATAATAATTCCAAATAAGCATGTGGCCTCTGACAAAAGAAGTGGAAATCAAAGCGAACGTGTTTTTCCACTTCGCCATTCATGTAATAGAAATGTTGTGTGCAGACTTTGAAGAAAAACCATGTTTTTTTTTGAGGATCTTAATTTCAGGATTACATAAAATTTCAGGTACCTTAAAGATTAATAGCGTGCCTACCATGTTGATAGAAAAGACACATGCTGCCTCTTTCAAACCTTTATCTCAAGGAAAATATTAACGATGGACAATATTATGTCTTGTTTACAAGCCTGTTGGACAGACCATGATCTGTAATAAAAGTCCATCTGTCCTAAGAACCAGATTCTGGACAGGCTTACATCTGTTTTGCTCTTCTGAAATCCAGTAGGCAGACTTCCTAGTCAGATACTAGTCCTACTTATAAAAATATATGTCTATGTATTCTAGATAAACACAGTGTATCATGCAGATAATCTGCGTTTCTAACAATTAGTTGCATATGTGACTGTAAAAAAATTAAACTTGATTTAACAAAATATTTACCAAATCTATTGTTTAAGCAAACGTATCTAAAACTTGTGAAATATCCTGCTACTGACTTAAATGTTAATGAGTGAAAAATAATCACATTTTTTTCCTGCTTGTTTAAGCAGAACTCAATTTCCAATCCTTCATTAGAAAACTGGGACTTCAATTTGTTACTTCCTTCCAATGTTTCTGCTTCCATAAATTGCATCCTCCCCAGAGAAGTTTTATTCCTGATATAAATATCTACAGTATGTTTGTTTTTAATGGGTTCATTTATTCTGTTGAAACAGCAGATTATAAATCAAATTGCAATAGGTTAGAGGGATAATTTAAGTAGGTAAATTTTCAAATAAAGTTGGGGACACTGCACTTTTAATACATATGGGTCACTGCCAATTTTTACTATGGAGCTAGCTCCACAATGTTCAATCATATATATGCATACTTTTACTGGCCATGCCTGCCATGGAATTTTCCATTCCTGACAAGAAAGTTTCAATTCATCAAAAAAAAAAAAAAAAAAAAAAACTAAAAAGGAGGAAATTAAACTTCTTTAAAATATTTTTGACTCTTTGGGGTGGGGCCAGAGAATAAAGAAAAATTGTATACTGGGTTTTTATACTAGGGGCCTTGGCACGAGAGGCTAAATGTTGCCTTGGCAAATCAGACCTAACAAATGAATGTATATAATTTTGGGTGATGACTTTAATAAGCAGCAATTCATTGTCCAAAATAAGAAATAAATGAATCTGTGTAACGTTAATAATAGTACTTTATTATTAATACTAAATGTATTAACTTAGAAATAATTATTTAAAATCCCCATGTAAGGGAATAAATTTTAAAAACTTGTTGGTTTGTTAATTACATTTGAGAGAATGTCTCATTTGTTCTTAATATTTGCATTAGAAAACTAATAAATAGACTTTGTCTTTGTTATTAATTGCGTAACTTCAGAAACTGCTATTAGATGAACCTTCCCTGGTGAATGCAAGGTTCACTGCTTATTAGTCTGGACTTGTGTGTTTATTCAATTGAGTAATACATTTCCTGCAAAGTAAATAATGTATCAAATTCATTTCTTTCAAATCTATCACATTGTGTTTATAAAGGTTTATGGTTTTATGGTTGCTGTTAAGAAGAAATTAAAGTAAGTGATTGTTTTATGAATGTGATACCATTTAACAATAATAACTAGTAGTACGCATTTTATTTGTTTGCAGACGGTAAAGGTAATATTATCTTTCTTATTATTACCAAGCAAAAATCAATATTCCACTAGATGGAGCAAAAGTGGCAGTAGCTTTACAGACGGGCAGTGCAAACTCCTGGATTCAGTTGAAGAGATTTTGAAGTAAATAAATAACAAAATTTCCCAGAAAAATTTCTCTCTCTCACTCTCTTTACATATGTGTGTGTGTGTGTGTGTGTGTGTGTGTGTGTGTGTGTGTGTGTATATATATATATATATATATATGATCCAATACATTAATTTATTTGTAACTTCTTGGAGTTTTAAGAATATTTGTAATAATCTTTTTTAAATATTGATTTATTTTCTGGCTCATAAAACAAGATTATTAGAAATAAAAATATCTAATTTTTTTTTAGTTTTGTATAATCTGGCCAAATCAGAACACTCAGCTATAATGACAGTTGTGGAATAATATAAATTGGCAGATTTGTATGAGTGTATTACATGAGTCTACTTATTCTGAAACTTGCTCTCTTAGGAGTTTTCAACGACAGTATTACACCAAATGTCACTTGCTTTCTTAATGACAACAACGTGAGAGTCGTTTTAGGGCTCATTCAGCTTAATTATCTCATACCTTAAATTATCCTTAGACACTGAAAGAGTGAATGTCATGCCCACTCTCACACTTCTATTCCTGGTGATGGGTAGACTCAGATGGAGATGACTTTGAAAACTAATTAGTTTCTAATTCTCAATCCCCAAATAACATTTATTTCTGATTTATTGATTATTTTTCAATCTTAACATTAAAACTGAATTTTATTTTGTAAAAAATGAGGATTAATACTAAATAGCAATTTAGTAACTTAGCAGCTTTTTTTGTAGTAACTGAACATTGACAAATTTCTAGTGATGAGAGAAAAATATTAGGTAAAACACACAGAAAATCAGTTCACTAGTTAGAGAAGTAAGCTACTTTTCATTTACTGAAACATATACTTCAGACCCAAGAGAAAACTGCTGTTTGGGGGAATTCATGAAGAAAATAGGACAATAGGAGGAAAGTCTCTCTATATGCAGGTTGCTAATTAGAGGATTCTAATGTCTCTTTACATTTAGATCACTTTCCTGGTCTTACATTCAAACTTAAGGCATAAAAGGGATCTAGTATTTGGGAATTCCAAGCCCCTGTGCTACCCAGTATTCCATCTTCATGTGATAAAGTAAGCTTACTATATACGTACATATTTTATATGCCTCTTCCCACAGGATGGAGTTTAGACAGTTTAAATTCCAGGGTGCAGAGTCATGTGCTGAGATTGCAGGGTGGAAGGGGTAAGGGGGATTGAGAAGAGAAAGAGGAAGGAACTTTGGTTTATGATTCAAGGTCTTCTGAGAACATTTTTGAAAATGTAGGTGCTATTTTCTGCAATCCAGGGCTTTCCAGAGCTTGATAATCATTTCCCAGCTGTATTGGTTAGGTGAATTGCTTTTAGTTGTGGGCACTCCATGGCTATTGTTTCACATATGTAATAAAAGGGGATCAAATTAATTTTGCTAATAGAAAGCAGGGAATATAACTCCCACAGCTTCTCCCCTCTTTCTTTGTGTCTTGAGGGAAGTTAGGCTTCATGCTAATGTGTGTGGGATGTGGTGGGGGGAAGGCTTGACTGTAGTATGTTAGGCATATTTCAGCTCGATTTGTGTTAACCCTAATAAGTCAGTTGACGGAGTAATAAATTGGGTGTCTGCTCAAGACCTGGCACCTGTACAGGAAATAGAAAAGTATTTCAATTTCAGGCAGGTTTTTGAAATTATTTATTTATTTATTTATGTATTTTTTTACAAATGGAAGTTTTTCTAGGACCTTCAGTCTGTTATTGAGATCTTGGTATCTTAATGCCTATTTCCATTTTCACTGGAGTTGACAAGAAAGATAGCATATTTTTTTAAAAAAGGTATTAAACTGAGGGAATATTTATAAGGCTGGTGGCATTTGCCCTGTTTAATAGTGTGTTCTTGTGTCTTGTGCTGTGCCTGGCACTTAGTAGGCTCTTCATATGAATTCATTGAATGACTGCCTGAATCCATGGTTGAATCTGCTTTGATACCATGTGCTAATACTTAAGCCATTCAGCTAGAGATGATTTCAACTTTCTACTACACTTTGTTTTAATCTTTCTTTTTTTTCTATTTTATTTTATTTTATTTATTTATTTATTTTTTTTATTATACTTTAAGTTTTAGGGTACATGTGCACATTGCGCAGGTTAGTTACATATGTATACATGTGCCATGCTGGTGCGCTGCACCCACTAACTCGTCATCTAGCATTAGGTATATCTCCCAATGCTATCCCTCCCCCCTCCGCCCACCCCACAACAGTCCCCAGAGTGTGATATTCCCCTTCCTGTGTCCATGTGATCTCATTGTTCAATTCCCACCTATGAGTGAGAATATGCGGTGTTTGGTTTTTTGTTCTTGCGATAGTTTACTGAGAATGATGATTTCCAATTTCATCCATGTCCCTACAAAGGACATGAACTCATCATTTTTTATGGCTGTGTAGTATTCCATGGTGTATATGTGCCACATTTTCTTAATCCAGTCTATCATTGTTGGACATTTGGGTTGGTTCCAAGTCTTTGCTATCGTGAATAATGCCGCAATAAACATACGTGTGCATGTGTCTTTATAGCAGCATGATTTATAGTCCTTTGGGTATATACCCAGTAATGGGATGGCTGGGTCAAATGGTATTTCTAGTTCTAGATCCCTGAAGAATCGCCACACTGACTTCCACAATGGTTGAACTAGTTTACAGTCCCACCAACAGTGTAAAAGTGTTCCTATTTCTCCACATCCTCTCCAGCACCTGTTGTTTCCTGACTTTTTAATGATTGCCATTCTAACTGGTGTGAGATGGTATCTCACTGTGGTTTTGATTTGCATTTCTCTGATGGCCAGTGATGATGAGCATTTTTTCATGTGTTTTTTGGCTGCATAAATGTCTTCTTTTGAGAAGTGTCTGTTCATGTCCTTCACCCACTTTTTGATGGGGTTGTTTGTTTTTTTCTTGTAAATTTGTTTGAGTTCATTGTAGATTCTGGATATTAGCCCTTTGTCAGATGAGTAGGTTGCGAAAATCTTCTCCCATTTTGTAGGTTGCCTGTTCACTCTAATGGTAGTTTCTTTTGCTGTGCAGAAGCTCTTTAGTTTAATTAGATCCCATTTGTCAATTTTGGCTTTTGTTGCCAATGCTTTTGGTGTTTTGGACATGAAGTCCTTGCCCATGCCTATGTCCCGAATGGTAATGCCTAGGTTTTCTTCTAGGGTTTTTATGGTTTTAGGTCTAATGTTTAAGTCTTTAATCCATCTTGAATTGATTTTTGTATAGGGTGTAAGGAAGGGATCCAGTTTCAGCTTTCTACATATGGCTAGCCAGTTTTCCCAGCACCATTTATTAAATAGGGAATCCTTTCCCCATTGCTTGTTTTTCTCAGGTTTGTCAAAGATCAGATAGTTGCAGATATGTGGCATTATTTCTGAGGGCTCTGTTCTGTTCCATTGATCTATATCTCTGTTTTGGTACCAGTACCATGCTGTTTTGGTTACTGTAGCCTTGTAGTATAGTTTGAAGTCAGGTAGTGTGATGCCTCCAGCTTTGTTCTTTTGGCTTAGGATTGCCTTGGTGATGCGGGCTCTTTTTTGATTCCATATGAACTTTAAAGTAGTTTTTTTCCAATTCTGTGAGGAAAGTCATTGGTAGCTTTATGGGGATGGCATTGAATCTGTAAATTACCTTGGGCAGTATGGCCATTTTCACGATATTGATTCTTCCTACCCATGAGCATGGAATGTTCTTCCATTTGTTTATATCCTCTTTTATTTCCTTGAGCAGTGGTTTGTAGTTCTCCTTGAAGAGGTCCTTCACATCCCTTGTAAGTTGGATTCCTAAGTATTTTATTCTCTTTGAAGCAATTGTGAATGGGAGTTCACTCATGATTTGGCTCTCTGTTTGTCTGTTGTTGGTGTATAAGAATGCTTGTGATTTTTGCACATTGATTTTGTATCCTGAGACTTTGCTGAAGTTGCTTATCAGCTTAAGGAGATTTTGGGCTGAGACAATGGGGTTTTCTAGATATACAATCATGTCGTCTGCAAACAGGGACAATTTGACTTCCTCTTTTCCTAATTGAATACCCTTTATTTCCTTCTCCTGCCTAATTGCCCTGGCCAGAACTTCCAACACTATGTTGAATAGGAGTGGTGAGAGAGGGCATCCCTATCTTATGCCAGTTTTCAAAGGGAATGCTTCCAGTTTTTGCCCATTCAGTATGATATTGGCTGTGGGTTTGTCATAGATAGCTCTTATTATTTTGAAATACGTCCCATCAATATCTAATTTATTGAGAGCTTTTAGCATGAAGGATTGTTGAATTTTGTCAAAGGCTTTTCCTGCATCTATTGAGATAATCATGTGGTTTTTGTCTTTGGCTCTGTTTATATGCTGGATTACATTTATTGATTTGCGTATATTGAACCAGCCTTGCATCCCAGGGATGAAGCCCACTTGATCATGGTGGATAAGCTTTTTGATGTGCTGCTGGATTCGGTTTGCCAGTATTTTATTGAGGATTTTTGCATCAATGTTCATCAAGGATATTGGTCTAAAATTCTCTTTTTTGGTTGTGTCTCTGCCTGGCTTTGGTATCAGAATGATGCTGGCCTCATAAAATGAGTTAGGGAGGATTCCCTCTTTTTCTATTGATTGGAATAGTTTCAGAAGGAATGGTACCAGTTCCTCCTTGTACCTCTGGTAGAATTCGGCTGTGAATCCATCTGGTCCTGGACTCTTTTTGGTTGGTAAACTATTGATTATTGCCAGAATTTCAGCTCCTGTTATTGGTCTATTCAGAGATTCAACTTCTTCCTGGTTTAGTCTTGGGAGAGTGTATGTGTCAAGGAATTTATCCATTTCTTCTAGATTTTCTAGTTTATTTGTGTAGAGGTGTTTGTAGTATTCTCTGATGGTAGTTTGTATTTCTGTGGGATGGGTGGTGATATCCCCTTTATCATTTTTTATAGTGTCTATTTGATTCTTCTCTCTTTTCTTCTTTATTAGTCTTGCTAGCGGTCTATCAATTTTGTTGATCCTTTCAAAAAACCAGCTCCTGGATTCATTAATTTTTTGAAGGGTGTTTTGTGTCTCTATTTCCTTCAGTTCTGCTCTGATTTTAGTTATTTCTTGCTTTCTGCTAGCTTTTGAATGTGTTTGCTCTTGCTTTTCTAGTTCTTTTAATTGTGATGTTAGGGTGTCAATTTTGGATCTTTCCTGCTTTCTCTTGTGGGCATTTAGTGCTATAAATTTCCCTCTACACACTGCTTTGAATGCATCCCAGAGATTCTGGTATGTTGTGTCTTTGTTCTCGTTGGTTTCAAAGAACGTCTTTATTTCTGCCTTCATTTCGTTATGTATCCAGTAGTCATTCAGGAGCAGGTTGTTCAGTTACCATGTAGTTGAGCGGTTTTGAGTGAGATTCTTAATCCTGAGTTCTAGTTTGATTGCACTGTGGTCTGAGAGATAGTTTGTTATAATTTCTGTTCTTTTACATTTGCTGAGGAGAGCTTTACTTCCCAGTATGTGGTCAATTTTGGAATAGGTGTGGTGTGGTGCTGAAAAAATGTATATTCTGTTGATTTGGGGTGGAGAGTTCTGTAGATGTCTATTAGGTCCGCTTGGTGCAGAGCTGAGTTCAATTCCTGGGTATCCTTGTTGACTTTCTGTCTCGTTGATCTGTCTAATGTTGACAGTGAGGTGTTAAAGTCTCCCATTATTAATGTGTGGGAGTCTAAGTCTCTTTGTAGGTCACTCAGGACTTGCTTTATGAATCTGGGTGCTCCTGTATTGGGTGCATATATATTTAGGATAGTTAGCTCTTCTTGTTGAATTGATCCCTTTACCATTATGTAATGGCCTTCTTTGTCTCTTTTGATCTTTGTTGGTTTAAAGTCTGTTCTATCAGAGACTAGGATTGCAACCCCTGCCTTTTTTTGTTTTCCATTTGCTTGGTAGGTCTTCCTCCATCCTTTTATTTTGAGCCTATGTGTGTCTCTGCACATGAGATGGGTTTCCTGAATACAGTGCACTGATGGGTCTTCACTCTTTATCCAATTTGCCAGTCTGTGTCTTTTAACTGGAGCATTTAGTCCATTTACATTTAAAGTTAATATTGTTATGTGTGAATTTGATCCTGTCATTATGATGTTAGCTGGTGATTTTGCTCGTTAGTTGATGCAGTTTCTTCCTAGTCTCGATGGTCTTTACATTTTGGCATGATTTTGCAGCGGCTGGTACCGGTTGTTCCTTTCCATGTTTAGCGCTTCCTTCAGGAGCTCTTTTAGGGCAGGCCTGGTGGTGACAAAATCTCTCAGCATTTGCTTGTCTGTAAAGTATTTTATTTCTCCTTCGCTTATGAAGCTTAGTTTGGCTGGATATGAAATTCTGGGTTGAAAATTCTTTTCTTTAACAATGTTGAATATTGGCCCCCACTCTCTTCTGGCTTGTAGGGTTTCTGCCGAGAGATCCGCTGTTAGTCTGATGGGCTTCCCTTTGAGGGTAACCCGACCTTTCTCTCTGGCTGCCCTTAACATTTTTTCCTTCATTTCAACTTTGGTGAATCTCACAATTATGTGTCTTGGAGTTGCCCTTCTCGAGGAGTATCTTTGTGGCGTTCTCTGTATTTCCTGAAACTGAACGTTGGCCTGCCTTGCTAGATTGGGGAAGTTCTCCTGGATAATATCCTGCAGAGTGTTTTCCAACTTGGTTCCATTCTCCCCATCACCTTCAGGCACACCAATCAGACGTAGATTTGGTCTTTTCACATAGTCCCATATTTCTTGGAGGCTTTGCTCATTTCTTTTTATTATTTTTTCTCTAAACTTCCCTTCTCGCTTCATTTCATTCATTTCATCTTCCATCGCTGATACCCTTTCTTCCAGTTGATCACATCGGCTCCTGAGCCTTCTGCATTCTTCACGTAGTTCTCGAGCCTTGGTTTTCAGCTCCATCAGCTCCTTTAAGCACTTCTCTGTATTGGTTATTCTAGTTATACATTCTTCTAAATTTTTTTCAAAGTTTTCAACTTCTTTGCCTTTGGTTTGAATGTCCTCCCATAGCTCAGAGTAATTTGATCGTCTGAAGCCTTCTTCTCTCAGCTCGTCAAAGTCATTCTCCATCCAGCTTTGTTCCGTTGCTGGTGAGGAACTGCGTTCCTTTGGAGGAGGAGAGGTGCTCTGCGTTTTAGAGTTTCCAGTTTTTCTGTTCTGTTTTTTCCCCATCTTTGTAGTTTTATCTACTTTTGGTCTTTGATGACGGTGATGTACAGATGGGTTTTTGATGTGGATGTCCTTTCTGTTTGTTAGTTTTCCTTCTAACAGACATGACCGTCAGCTGCAGGTCTGTTGGAATACCCTGCCGTGTGAGGTGTCAGTGTGCCCCTGCTGGGGGGTGCCTCCTAGTTAGGCTGCTCCGGTGTCAGGGGTCAGGGACCCACTTGAGGAGGCAGTCTGCCTGTTCTCAGATCTCCAGCTGCGTGCTGGGAGAACCACTGCTCTCTTCAAAGCTATCAGACAGGGACATTTAAGTCTGCAGAGGTTACTGCTGTCTTTTTGTTT
The DNA here is from genome assembly GCF_000001405.40 of Homo sapiens. NCBI lineage: Eukaryota > Metazoa > Chordata > Mammalia > Primates > Hominidae > Homo > Homo sapiens. Next base: position 15,547,872 of record NC_000007.14, on the reverse strand, counting down.
GTCTGTGCCCTGCCCCCAGAGGTGGAGCCTACAGAGGCAGGCAGGCCTCCTTGAGCTGTGGTGGGTTCCACCCAGTTGGAGCTTCCCGGCTGCTTTGTTTACCTAATCAAGCCCGGGCAATGGCGGGCGCCCCTCCCCCAGCCTCGCTGCCGCCTTGCAGTTTGATCTCAGACTGCTGTGCTAGCAATCAGCGAGACTCCGTGGGCGTAGGACCCTCCGAGCCAGGTGCGGATATAATCTCGTGGTGCGCCGTTTTTTAAGCCGGTCCGAAAAGCGCAATATTCGTGTGGGAGTGACCCGATTTTCCAGGTGCGTCTGTCACCCCTTTCTTTGACTCGGAAAGGGAACTCCCTGACCCCTTGCGCTTCCCGAGTGAGGCAATGCCTTGCCCTGCTTCGGCTCGCGCACGGTGCGCGCACCCACTGACCTGCGCCCACTGTCTGGCACTCCCTAGTGAGATGAACCCGGTACCTCAGATGGAAATGCAGAAATCACCCGTCTTCTGCGTCGCTCATGCTGGGAGCTGTAGACCGGAGCTGTTCCTATTTGGCCATCTTGGCTCCCTGTTTTAATCTTTCTTCCAGATCAGTTGTTTCAAGGCAGAGGTTATCAACTGGGGAAAATTTTGCTCCCCAGGAAACACTTGGAAGTATCTGGAGACATTTTTGTAGTCATAGCTGAGGTGAGAAGGAAGGGTCCTAAATCTAGGTGCTAAAGAACAGCAATGCTGGAATACATTCTATGATGCACAGGAAAGGCTCTTGAAACAAAAAATTACTTGGCCCAAATTGTAATAGTGTTAAGGTTAAGAATTCCTATTTTAGAGAAATTGTTATATTGAAGTATATGAAATTAATGTTATTTGCCATTTTTAACCTAAAACTTGAATTTTATATGGGTAACCCTTACTAATGAACAATAGTGAGCAATTTTAAGATTTCATAGTTTCAGTAAACGTTTGCACCAAACAGCCTCTTCCAACAAAGAATTATCCTGTCCAAATGTCAGCAGTGGCACTGTTGTGAAGCCCTCATCTGAACATGCAAAAGTAACCAACAAAGCTAACAAGATTTACAGTAGAATTTGTTCTCACCGCCTACTTTGACTAGCATACCTTCATAAAAATTTGGAAGGCAGGTTTTAAGTGTTCATTTCATAGATTCCTTGGAGTTTCCACAACACTTTGGGAACCCTTGGCCTCATGGCTTGTCCTGCCCCAGGAGGGACCTCACACACCTGTGTGTGGACATCCCAGACCTCTAGCCCCAGCTCTGTCTACATGCCCCAAAATAGCCACCCTTGGCCACTCTGTCAGGTTGAGGGGTTTGGACACCTGCAGAGGTCTGCCCTCAGGAAGAATGGCTCAGCAAACAGGCCCATGCAAGGCACACAAGCAGGCTCAGGGCCACTGCAGCAATGTATTCTAGAGTATTCAGAGTATTGCTCAGATTGGCAATGTGGTATGGGTACAGGATGAGTCCTTTGGGTCAAGGACTTGAACTCACGGACAAAACTGCTTCTTCCAACCATGTAATCTCAAATTGGAGATTGAGTTTTTTAATGTGTGGTGATGTGTACTCCTGTTCAAAATTGTGAGCATTTGGCATTTCTCTGAGTTGCATATATTAATGCTGTTATAAGACAGTCTAGTGTTTTATTTTACAGATTAAATAATAATACTTTGAAATATTAAAGTATGAGAGGTTATTTTAAAGATATTAAATCACAGTTAAAGTCATACAATAATTAAATTCAAGAATAAAATTAAAGGGCTGGATCTTTAAAAGACCCAGTAAAATGCTAATTCACAGAAACTGACTCTGTGAAGGGAAATACTGTAAAAATAAAAAATTTTGGTAGTATAATAATCTGCACCACTTCTTCCACTTTTATCTAAAATTAGAATATTTAAGAAGTTTCTCAGAATTTTCAGCACCAAACTTGTTGATGACTTATAAATATATCTTTATTAACTAGAATGATTAATTCATTTTATATTTAATAATAAATATAGAAGGAAAAGTCAACTCAATCAAATTGATAAAAGTGACAAAACAAAACATCTAGAAGCTAATCTTAAATTTGATCATATAAAACTTGAAAGAAAGAATAATATACTTTCTAAAATTGAAGTACATTTTATAGGTTTTTAAAAGTTACTGAAAATTTGTGGAAGCTTGATAAATAGATGGCAAGATATATTCTAGTGTCTGAGTTTTAGAAACAATTGTTTATTTTAATTAGGTTTGTATACCTTACTTCGAAGGAAATATTTTTCCTAATATTATGAAAACCCTAGTTTATATTACTTATAAGAAATGTTGAAATGCTCTGAGTATCTAATACCTGATGATAAGTATAATATATATGTGTGTGTATGTGTGTGTGTGAAAGAGAAAATAAAAAGGAAGGAGGAAGAAGAGAAGAGAGAATAGATTTAGACAGAAGCAACTTTAACCTAAAGGCAAATTTTATGGGATCAAAATATTTGAATGCAGTAGGCAATTTGCAGCACCCTTTAAAATATGGGCATGTATAATTTTCTGCCTTTTAAATTCCCTTTATAAAGAATTCTTAATATGTACTTCAATAAGATTTAGAAATGACAATCACAGAAATTAAGTTTTAGTCTTGTCCTATTTATGTTGTATGGGTTCCATGAAAAATATTTTAAGAGACATAAAAAATGGCCTTTTAAATTTCATGAAATTGAGAGCACAAACAGCTGGCATCCATGATGCCTATGAAATAAAATAAAGCTTCCTGTGAATGATTTTGATACCAAGGAATTTGAGCCTTTAAAAGGAATGACATAGAAGACACAAAGTAGAAGAAAGAGTTTCATTTTTTTATATGAAGATATTAATTTTAAATGTTATCTAAAACATTTTAGCGTAATTTTTTTTCTAAAATGTTATATAATCACTGATTGTGAATTTTATCTTCCAGTCTATTTTTCAGGAGCATTGAACTGACCAGTTATATTTATATCTGGGAGAACTACAGGCTGTTCAATTTGCCTTGGGATTCTCCATGGACTTGGTATTCAGCCTTCTTAGGAGTTGACTTTGGCTACTACTGGTTCCATCGTATGGCTCATGGTAAGCTGCAAATGAGGACTTTTTGTTAACTTATGTTGAACTGTGTTTGGTACATAGTACATATTCAGTAAACATTTATTGAATGGATAAATACAGGAATAAAATAGTATATTTTACGGATATAAAAATTAATAATGAAGGTTTACTTTGCAATTTAAGTGGAGAAAATCTGAAGCCATATTTTAAAAATGATATGAAATTATTGGAAGTACATTTTTTTCGCTTCTAATTTTAAAAAAGATTAGAAAGTGGTGGCTATAGCATTGTATTTTTATTATTTACCATTTGGTTTTTAATGAAAATTTTAATTTTTATGGGGATATTTATTAGTCAGAACCCAAACAAGGTCCTAACATTTGGCTGTTGGGATAAAAGGTTTTTTTGTTTGTGTTTAATTTTTTATTGCAATAGGTTTTTGGGCAACAAGTGGTGTTTGGTTACATGAATAAGTTCTTCAGTTTTGATTTCCGAGACTGTGGTGCACCTATCACCCGAGCATTGTACCCTGTACCCATTGTGTAATCTTTTATCCTTTGCCACCCCCACCCTCTCCCCCTAGTCTCTAAAGTCCAATGTATCATTCTTATGCCTTTGTGTCCTCTTAGCTTAGCTCCCACATATGAGTGAGAACATATGATGTTTGGTTTTCCATTCCTGAGTTAATTCACTTAGAATAATAGTTTCCAATTCCATCTGGGTTGCTGCAAATGCCATTATTTCATTCCTTTTTATGGCTGAGTAGTATTCCATGCTAAATATATACCACATTTTCTTTATCTGCTCATTTCTTGATGGGCATTTGGGCTGGTTCCATATTTTTGCGGTGAAAAGGGAACAGTTTTATACCGTTGGTAGGAAGGTAAACTAGTACAATGACTATGGAAAACAGTGTGGAGATTCCTTAAAGAAGGAAAAGTAGATCCACCATTTGATCCGGCAATCCCACTGGAATTGCCAGATCAAACAGTAGTGGATCTACTTTTCCTTCTTTACGCAGAGGAAAAGAAATCATTATATGAAAAAGATACTTGCACATGCATGTTTATAGCAGTATTGCATTTTAATATACTGCCTTCCATTATTGTTATTATGATATGCTTGATAGAGTCTAAAAACGTACACAATATCAAACTTCACAGCACAATTATTGAGGGTCATTCAGAAGGACCCTGCAACAGTGTGGAATTCTAAGTAATGTGTTCTATTATAGTAAGTTCAATTCAATTTGTTGGCAGTACTTCCACATTACAAATGAAAATGCAATCAGCTAGGCGCTGACCATATGCACTTTTCTGTTACCATAGTTTCACAAAATGTCTCATCTGCAAAAGCCCTCTTACTGCACTGGTTCACTGAATTTGCTTTTTGGGATTCTTGGCTGCACTTCCCAAGAAATGTTTTGTTATAGAAAGGGAAATGGAAGAATGAGGAACAAATCTAGGTCTGAACCTCTGCAGGGATAAGTAGGGGCTGAGGAATGATTGTAGAGCTAAGGTGAGCAAGTGGTCTCTGAGGAGAAAAAAGCATGCCAAAGTATTTCTGAAGTTCTAATCTTGAAAAACTACTGAAGAGCACAACTCAGGATTTCAGTGGGTGGTTGGTTGAGTGGGTGTGGAGGAAGGAAGGAAGAGGAAGGAACCTGGAATAATACTAATAAATAGATGGCAGATGGACAGAAGAGACCAGAGATCAGGGTGAATAACTGAGCTCTCTGTGTAGGAGTGAGTGTGACCAAATATCCTTCCCAAGCAAGGATGAAGGAAATAGGAGTAGCATGGATTTGTGTTATGCTCAAGGCTGTTAAAATTTAAATATAGCATCGTTTATGTTAACCACCTTAAACATGTGCACTTAATGAAACTCTATGAAGGCTTAATTTATTAGAACAATTTGAAGTGAATATATGAGTTAGAAAAAGTTATTAAGTTTGTGCGTGATAACCTTTGTCTTTGACACATAATAGGTCAGTTCCTGACACTATTTCCTCATATATAAATGCAAAGGCTACTCCAAAATCAAACATGATTAAGAATAAATATGGTTTACATAATAACATATTTGTGTTTTATTTCAAACTGGTAGTTTTCTCCCTAAAATAAACTCATCGGCAATCTTCCTCATTTTCTATGCAACAAAGGGGTGTTGCAGAAGGCATTTATATTGTACTATATTACATACTTTCAAGAACCTTCCTCATGCCGCACTACCCAACACGGATGTGTTTATTTGGGAAATCTGCAAATTTGTTTACTCCTGGAAAGCCCATTATAACAGGAAACAAAGAATCAACAAGATATTACCAATATAAAACTATTAAAAATATGTTGATTATAAGTGTTCTCAGTTGGGAAGAGCAATAAAGTAAAATAACATATTAAAAATGTGGCATCAAGGCTATTTAAAGTATGCTTCTCATTAGAAATTTTGAACTGAATCCAGTAAAAAAGGCAGGCATTAAAAAAATTTTGAAAACCTTCTGGAAAAACATTCACAACCTTCAGGCTATGGAGCCAAACCGTAAGTTCAAAGACTTTTGACTTGTAATGGAAAGCTAGTAGGAAAAAAGTAACTTATTTAAATGTATCAACCTTCAACATAATGCTTAATTTTTAAATTTTATTTGTAAATAATACTGTAAAATATTAAAATGGGTTTTTAGAAATCAAGACACACACAGGGCTAAAAAAAACCCCATATAATATCAAATTTCTTGAGCCTCTTGGATTACTGTCAAAATTGAATAACTGGTCAGATTTATTTAACTGAAAAATTTCAATAATTCCAAAATACGTATGTCATCTTAAAATATAGTAAGAAAAAAATCAAATCCTACTTTTTCTATTCAATGTATTACTTTCCTTTCACTACTTCAAAATGATATAGCAAAAACATATTTCACATTTGTTAGTATGTTAAATGCTGTGAGTTTTGAAGAAACAATATATTATGTATTTAAAATTTTGTCTTTACATGTATTTAAATTGCTTCCTTAGGATTCCAAATCATTGCTAGATTTGTTGTTGTTGTCATTTGTTTGTGTTGCATATATGTCGCATTTTCTCACAGTTATGGGACAGTTAGCAGAAAACAGTTTATTCTCAACATTTGAATTCCATCTCTATCACTATGCCAAGATATTGAAGTTCTGTATGCTCTTTATATACTTTTTTCTTCCTCTGGAATGAAAAAGAAATTGCTAATTATGGTCAAATTACACCAAGCAAAGGCAATACAATAGTTCTATTATAGACAGCTTTGATGATTTTAGAAAAATATATAGAAGGATAAATAGTTCTTAAATTTAAAAAGTAGCTTTGTGCACTCTTTTCCTCCACATAAAAATAATGCATTAGGCTGGACACAGTGGCTCATGCCTGTAATCCCAGCACTTTGGGAGGCTGAGGCTGGCGGATCATGAGGTCAGGAGTTCGAGACCAGCCTGACCAACATGGTGAAACCTTGTCTCTACTAAAAATACAAAAATTAGCAGGTGTGGTGGCCCACGCCTGTAATCCCAGCTACTCAGGAGGCTGAGGCAGGAGAATTGCTTGAACCCGGGAGCCGGAGGTTGCAGTGAGCCAAGACCGTTCCACTGCACTCCAGCCTGGGGTGACAGAGCGAGACCCCGTCTCAAAAAAAACCCACAAAAACAAAAAAACAAACAAACAAAAAAACAACTGGCATATTATTTTTCTTTGTACATTTTATTAGTTACACTAAACATGTAAGAAAACAGGTAAAGATTTTCAAGGAAACATTTTTAAAAGCTGATAATTACTGCTTGGGAGGAACAAGAATGAGACCTTCAGGGTCCTGATAATAAGCTCTATCTTGCCTTGGGTGCTATTTACATGAGTGCGTATATTTGTAAAAATTCATTGAGTTGGTTGTACACTTAAAATTTATACATTTTCTATATATATACTTTTATAGAAAGTTAAATTCATAAATAATGTCACCAATGCAATTTCTTGGTTTATAGTTCTAAGGCAGAATGCTATAGTATATAAACAAATTTAGAAAAACAATACAAGAGGTTATGATTTGTGACTCTATGTATAAATATGTGACCTTATACAGTTTTTAACTGTATCAGTGTCAACCAAGTATGGGGAAGGGCCAGCATGCCAGTTATTAATTTATTGCCTCTCTTATCCAAATCTATTCTTCTTTGCCCTTCCTTCTATTGTCAGAGCTGCATGCTGTAGACATTTCTCTTTTGCCAGCTCACTTGATGCTAGACTTTGCCAATTTAAGGGGCTGGAGGGACACTGCAAAGCCAGAACATGAGAAAGAGACCTTGCCTCCATTTTCCAGCGTGCTCTTTTCTGTCTGGCACTTGGAGGTTTGGTATGTGAGGGATGTGGTACTCTTCACCTCTTGCTCAGCTGTAGCCTACACCCTCTGGCAAGATTCTCTGCCATTCAGGGGGCCACACCAAAAAACTAGCTGTAGCTCATACACTCTGGGATCTATATACTCTATTTAGTAAGTTTCTCTGTCACCAACAGAGTTCCAGTGGTAGCCACAACCTCTCCAGAGATGTCTGAGTCTTAGACCTGGGGGTGGTGTGAGTGTATGAGTACATGTGTGGGACTCTTCTAAAGGTATAAGTACCTGCTTGGTTCTCTCTCCCTCAGTTCTATAGGCAGTAGCTGCATTCTTTGGTTGCTACTTCTGTAACATTGAATTCCTCCCTCCTTACCTCTTTAGTAGTTCACTTCCTCTTTACCTGTTAATAATTCCTTATATTAACTTTTCCTTATTCAAGTTACTAATGTGGTTTCTGTCTCTTGATTGGACCCTGACTGATACAGGCAGCCTCCTCATATATTACATAGAATAACAAATTAGGGTTTTCATATGAAAAAAGCTCAACATCACTAATCATTACAGAAATGAAAATCAAAACCACAGTAAGATACCTTCTTACACTAGTCAGAATGACTATTATTAAAAAGTCAAAAAATAGCAGATGCTGGTGAGGTTGCAGAAAAAAAAGGAATGCTTATACACTGTTGGTGGGAGTGCAAGTTAGTTCAGCCATTGTGTAAAGCAATTTGGCAATTCCTCAAATAACTTAGAATTACCATTTAACACAGCAATCCAGTTATTGAGTATATGCCCAAAGGAATATAAATTGTTCCATTATAAAGACACATGCATGTGTATGTTCAATGCAGCACTATTCACAATAGCAAAGACATGGAATAAATATAAATGCCCACCAATGGTAGACTGGATAAAGAAAATGTGGTATATATACACTATGGAATACTATGCAGTCATAAAAAAGAAAGAGATCATGTCCTTTGCAGCAACATGGATAGAGTTGGAGGACATTATCCTAAACAAACTAAGGAAGAGAAAACCACATACCACATGTTCTCACTTTTAAGTGGGAGCTATACAACGAGAACACATGGATGCTAGGAGAGGAGCACAGACACTGCAGCCAACTCGAGGGTGGCGGGTGGGAGAAAGGAGAAAATCACAAAAAAATACCTATCAGGTGCTATGCTTATTACCCAGGTGATGAAATTATCTGTACACCAAATCTCATGACACACTGTTTACATAGAACAAATCTGCACATGTGCCCCTGAACCTAAAAGTTAAAAAAATAATAAAATTAATAATAATAATCATAAAAATTAAAATAAAGAATTTACCCAGTTGCACCTTTTACTATTATATTTCATTCTGAGGCATTGATTATATACTGAGGCTACAAAATTTTGTTTAGTCCTGAAAGCAGGATCATCATCCAAAACTGTTGTAATAAGCAATCCATAATATCCCCTCAAACTGTAACTTTTTTTCCTCAACACATTGCTTAATTCATTTTAAAATTCCTCTCATTCTGTATGTAAACAAGGTAGTGATCACAATTTTTGTGTAGTTACAAATATTTATTCCCACAACTTCATTTTGATTAAGTGAACCCCTGTATATGACTCTTAAATTTAAAGTTATTCATTGCTTTCTGACTTTAGAAGTTGAAGTTAGATTATCCTAATTTCAATCACAGTTTAAAAAAGAAAATAAACAGACGTATTGCTGAGAAATTATTTTAATTTGTGAAGGTGCCAGGATTGTGGTCTGCACTGATGAATAGATTACTTACATTCTTCTGTACTTGTGTTTCTTTTTTGATACCAGAATATACCTAAGATTTTTGTAACTCTTTGCTATACATTATGACATTCTTTATTTTAAAAATACACTATGGAAGGTATGCTGGCTCATACCTGTAATCTCAGCACTCTCAGCGCCTAGGGAGACCAAGGCAGGAGGATAGTTTGAGGCTAGGAGTTTCAAGACCAACCTGGACAACATGGAGAGACTTCGTCTTTACAAAACATTAAAAAATTAGCTGGGTGTGGTGGCACGTGCCTACAATTCTAGCTGCTCAGAAGGCTGAGGCAGTAAGATCACCTGAGCCCAGGAATTTTAGGCTCCAGTGAGCTATGAGTGTGCCACTGTACTCCAGCATGAGTGTCAGAGTGAGACCTTGTCTGTAATAATAATAATAATAATACATTGTGATTGTATTCTTAGTGGATCACTTAGGGTAAACTCCACCTTGTATTTGCCTGAGTTACTACCATTTTTCTTGTCTTCTCTCATGATCCCTTACTTTTCCTCAGTCCTTGAAGTGGGATTATTTAGCACCTCTACGAGAGAAGCCTTGGAATTCCCATCAACAACTTGCCTATGCCTTTTAGTTTCTTATCATTACTTTCAACCAAAAAATATGGCACCTATGTTAACCATTTTCCTCTGAGTTTATTTCAGTGACAGGCGCCATCCCACGTCAAATGTTAAACATTTGTCCGTTGAAGCACTTAAAATATGTATGAACTGGAAAGGTCACCATTATTTCCCCTCAAAATGCCTGATTTGAGGGGCCTTTCTCGGAGAAATAGCATATTCTTATCAATAGCAACTGTAGTCATTTTGAAAGATACAGACTAACTTTGCTTTGGTGTTCTGAGATTCCATATGTAGATAATGTATAGAAAGTACATTTGAAAAAAAGATTATGGCTATTATCAAGGGTTTGTAAGCATAAATTCATTGAATTATTAAACAGGGAAGTCATAAACAAAAATAAAATATAGGGATGCCAGGAATCTCCATCAGTCTATTTTTGAACATTGATTGTAAAGTATAGAAATATTTCCAGGAATAATTAGGAGAACCGAGGGCGGCTGTGCAATATTTTCGAGAAATTTAATTAAAAGCTGTGAAATGAGTAATCAAAATTAAATCAGAAGGCATAAATGGAGTAAAGATTATAAACTTTAACTTACTTATGATTTTTTTAGGGACACAAAATATGCCGTGTTTTTCTTTTAGTCTTAGAACGTAATGTATTTAACTCTTACATTGCAGAAAAAGCATTAAAATTTGAATCAAAAGATCTAGGTGTGCACCACCGTGCAACTGCTTACCACACACATAACCTTGGGATTAACCACTCTGAGATAGATTTTACGTATTTTACTCATCTTCTAGCTTTGTGAAACAATTCTAATGAAAATGCTTTGAAAGTCCAGGAACCAAGTATAGATGAGTGAATGAATAAATAAGCCAATTCAAATAAAGTAAGATGGAAGGTTATGTGAAGGTTTAGGGATGTTTCAAATGGGAACAGGAGGGAAAACACTTAAGTTTGAAGTAGACTTTAGGATTGTTTTGGAACAATATGCAGTTAAATATGATCTGGAAAAAACAGATTTTGTCCCAAGTAATTTTATTCAGAAAAAGAATTTGGAAGTCTCTTTCGCTAAATATGCATGATGCATTAGCACACAAAATATTTGAATACAGCCATTTTAGACCAAAAAAAAAGTCAAATCAAGTGGAATTCTATCCACTTTCATTTATTGAACAAGTATAATTATGACTAAATTTAGCGTTACCATATAAAATAGCATAATGAAAGACGGCTGTGTGAATTACTAAAAGGGTACATTAAGATTTTTGCGGTAATCATCAGCTTAGATATTTATTTCTATAGCTATTGACTTCACTTATGCATTTATTTGTGAGTAAATGAATTAATACATTTACTTATGTATTAATTTTTTCAAAAAATATTTGAGACCACTTATCTTGTACCAACCCTATACTAAGTACCTGAGATACTTGCTTAATAACAGGTATGGTCACTGATTGTTTATTCTATTGTGAATCAGAGACATCAACAACTAATTACAATAATAATAGGGGCAGGTTCTAAAATTGATAAATAAACTGTCCTCTCATTGCCATTAATTCTGAAATTTACAAATTTCTGAAAAGTCTATAGTTGTATGCATAAACATCAAATGGGATTCTGTTAAAATTCTTATTTCTGAAATGATGATGCTGGTAAAAGTACTAATAGTAATATAGAAAATTAAATTTCAAGTATCATTGAAGGGCTTTGGAGAAGCGACAAGTATAGTGGTAAAAAAAAGTAGATTCTGGAGCCAAGTTCCCTGAGTTCAACTCTTTGTACTGACACTTATTAACTGAGATTTGAGCCGTTTAATCTATGTCTTAGTTTCTTCATCTATAAAATGGGAATAATAATGGTAATAGTATACATCTCATAAGATTTTCATAAAGCTTAAATGAGTAAAACTTAGGGGAGTGACTGTCAGATAGTTAATACTATTTAAATATTACCACTGTTATTGAATACATGTTTTTTATATTGTTAGGTACTAGACTAAGTGTTTTGTGTTAATAACACAGCATATTATATTATTTAATTCCCAGAATAACTCTATAAAGTAGGCACTCAGTCGTTCATGAGACATTAACTGAGTACCCACGTATATTATAAAGCCTCCTAATTGCTAGGATTATAACAGTGAACAAATAAAAGTTGCTGCCCTACCTTGTATTTGATAGCACACCTGGGAGCTTATAGTTAATAATAATTTAATTATTCACTTGAAAATAACTAAAAGAGTATAACTGAATTGTTTGTAGCCTAAAGGATAAATATGTGTAGTGATGGATATCCAATTTTTTATGATGTGACTGTTACACATTGCATGCCTGCACCAAAATATCTCATGTACCCCATAAATATATACACCTAGTATGTACCCACAAAAATTAAGATATTTTTTTAAAGTTGTTACCCTTTGGGTGCTTACATCCTAACGAGGGAAGAAAGTCCAGATATAAAATGTATCCTATGTAATATGCCAGGTAGTGAGGCATGCTGTGGAATACAGAGTGATGGACCCAACAGTCAGGTAAGTTCAAATGCCAAAGTAATTAGTTTGAGATGCATAATTTTTGTTGAGTTTGACTAATTTCCTAAACTATTATTATATTTGTTCAAAACCAAACAATTTTCTTATTTTAACTTCATTTTGTAATGTACTTCTTGAATTCCGATTCTTTTATTCCAAAGGTAAAAAGAAAGAGTATGCCCCCCCATTCCTAGAAAAATAGGAATAACTTATTTTTCTTATTCCAAAGCTTATGTCTAAGAAATAAATTGCAGAAAAAAGCACAGGTGAGCAAAAGATAGAAAATGAAATGTTCATCTAAATCCATCCCCGAGAGACAGGCTCTGTAAATAGAGAGTAAGATAATAGACTCTGGAACCAAACTGCCTGGATTCAAATTCTATTGCTACCACTTTTTAACTGTGTAATATTAAGCAAGTTATGCCACTTCTTTGTGTTTCCTTATCTGTAGATGCAAATAACAAAAGTATAATTTTCACAGACTACTTGAGAAGTTTAAATGAGTAAAAATGGACAAAACACTTAAGGTGCAGTCTGATACATAAGTAAAAAAGTTATGAATTCATATGTTGTCTGACCTGTTTATGTAATGTATTATATATAATGCAATAATATAAATATTACTATGTTTTCTCTAAATAATATTAAAATACATTGGTAGTTATAAGAATTGCCTTACCAAAATTCAGGGTTAAATTTACTTATCCTCATACAAACTTAATTTTTTTCTCACTGTTAGCTGGGGATAATAATACTTCATAAAGGACCTTATAAAGATATAATATATTTGTGTATATGTACAAATGTATCATATAACATAATCCAAAGCTAGGGAAACTTGGTTGTATAAAGAATGTCATATTGATTTCTATTTATCAAATTGTAATGGAATTATCTTTGTCTTTAATAAGATGCCTCTACAGGAAAATGAACGTTTTAGTTGTCACAGAGACCATTGACAGTCTGTGTTTTAGATTTATACTGAAGTTAGACATGATACTAATGATCTCTTCCTAGATGAATAGTTGTCAACTGTAATAAACAAAATTATATTTTGCTTTTATAAAGAAAGTCTCTTTTCCCCAAGTGAATATCATGGAATTTGATTTCTTTCTAGTAAATCAAACTTATCCGTATTCCCTTTTTCTTTCAACACTTGAAGTTTTTAATTTGCTATTTTAAAGATTTACATGAAAGGTTTTAAAAGAAATAAAATCCATTAGAATGTGTACATTTTGCCTATATTTTAAAATGTCTTTTGTTGTCCTTTCATCTTAATTAAATATTAATTTGTTAAAATATGCTTTTCCAGCTAAGAGATTGAAATGTCTTTTCGAGAACCTAGGAAATGACTTGAAAAAAATTGCTAAAACAGATTTGTTCTTTCTTCTCTTACGCTAATGGGTAATTTGATTTTGTTCTTTTTTTTACAATCGAGGCCTCATACTTCTTAAAATAGCTTCTAAAATGTAACTTTGTGCCATAAGTATGTGTCCTAAAGTATGTATAGTATATAGTTTTATTCTCTCGAAATCTGCAAATCTTGGTAATAAAATACCCCCACCATTGTATATTATCACAATATATAGCTTGTGCTACATCATCTTTTAAAACAAATTTTTAATGCCAGCTCTGTGTTTTGGAACTGTTTGAAGAATGAAGAAGACACGTTTTCTATGTGAAGTGCTTATACTGTGAGTTAAACAAACAGAACAGAAGAGCCCCGGAAAAATACACCAGATGTGCAGGTGGTAGTTAAATCAACAAGAAATCTGATTTCATCAGTATTAGATTTCATTAGCAGTGATCTTTTCTTCTTTAGAAATATAGGAATATAGTGGAAAAATAAGTCATTATGCAGAATCTGATGGCTCCCACCATGGTGAAAATACTGCTCAGGAAAAAATCTGACTCTAAGTAAAAGGACAAAGTGAACTGCACGTAAAGCATAAAACCAAATGAGTAGGAAGAGAAAACAAAGAATGTAAATGAGGTTGAGTAGAGGATATTTGAGTGGAGGCAGTGATATATAAATCATATTTATAGCAAAGATCTGTAAAACAAATTTAAAAATTTTACTAAAAATGAATAGTACAGGCAATCATAATTTAATAAAACCAGATAACTATATAGGTACATTGTTATTGTCATAGATTAATATTTTGACTAAATAAATATCATAAGAAAAATGGCAAATGAAAATGCAACAAACACCATTATTAATCCCAAGAAAATAGATTGATGAATAAGAGAATGGAGATAAATAAGAATAAATACATAACCACAGCATAACAGGAACTCTTTGGAATGGCAATATATATTACTTAGATCTTAAGTACCAAGTATCTTTTTAGTGACTCTAAAGACATATCTCCATGTGTATAAAAACCAAAAACTGAAACAGAAAGTACTTAAGGATACTACTCTGAGAGGTATTGCCAAAATCTTGTGGGTGAAAGATGAGCACTGAATTTCACTAAAGTTGTAAGGAAGATTTTTTGTTTGTTTTGTTTTGTCTTTTGAGACAGGGTTTTGCTCTGTCACCCAGGCTGGAGTGCAGTGGCATGATCTCGGCTCATTGCAACCTCCACTTCTTGGGCTCAAGCCATCCTACCACCTCAGCCTCCTGAGTAGCTGTGTCTGTAGGCACATGCCACCATTCTCGGCTAATTTTTAAATTTTTTGTAGAGATGGGGTCTCACTTCATTGTCCAGGCTGTTCTTGAACTTCTGGGCTTAAGACATCCTCTCACCTCGGCCTCCCAAAGTGCTGAGATTATAGGCATGAACCACCGCACCCAGCCTAGGAAGATGTTTTATAGTTGACAAGATGCTCTCTTGCTATTTTTCAAATCCTAAAGAACTCAAGATTTTGAATCTTCTTCACTGGAATCAGCCACAGCAAAACAAAATATGTGTGTCAGTCCTACTAGTCATTGAAAACCTGTCATTTTATTAAATAATATTAACAATTAATTAGTATTTACTAGGTTCTTACTAGGTATTCCTAAGGGATTCTCATATATGTTTCATCTTTAATTAAAACAATAACTAACTTGATGATGTCTATCTTTGACAAAAGAGGAAACCAAAACAAAGCAAATTTAAGCAACTTGCCCAACTCTCAGAGCTAATGCACCAGAGCCTTAATACATTGGCCCAAGGCCGTTAATCTCAGAGCCTATGGGCTTTGCCGTTTCTTGACCCTACTAATAAAATTAAAAATTTTCATTAAATGCAACACACACTAATATCAACACCAATCCTATCTATTTTAGATCATGGTGACATATATAAATCACCAACTATTTTGGTAGAAAACAAAAATTATATTTAATGATTTGGTTGTTAAGGTTTTCAAAACATTTACTGAAGCATTAACCTACACTAGGATAGATGAAGTGATGCTTCCTCTGCTTCACTCAACATACAGTATTGCAGTCATATTATAGTTCTCTCAATCCATTATCATAGCATTTGCTAGATGTTTGACTTGTGCAGTAGCTGCACATTAGAAGCATACTGAAAGCTTTAAAAGCTATTGGGCCAGGGGTGGTGGCTCAGGCTTGTAATTCCAGAATTCTGGGAGGCCAAGGCAGGCAGATCACTTGAGGTCAAGAGTTCGAGACCAGCTTGGCCAATATGGAGAAACCCTGTCTCTACTAAAAAGACAAAAATTAGCTGGGCATGGTGTTGGGCACCTGTAATCCTATAATCCCAGCTACTTGGATGGCTGAGGTATGAGAATCGCTTGAACAGCAGCAAGGTGGGGAGCCAGAGGGTGCGATGAGCCTAGATTGTACTACTGCACTCCAGCCTGGGCAATAGAGTGAGACTCCCTCTAAAAAAATATATATATTTATATTTTCTATATATATAGAATATATATATAGAATATACATAGAATATATATATAGAATATATATAGAATATATATATGGAATATATAGAGAATATATATATAGAATATATATAGAGAATATATATAGAATATATATAGAGAATATATATAGAATATATATAGAATATATATAGAGAATATATATAGAATATATATAGAGAATATATATAGAATATATATATAGAATATATATAGAATATATATAGAATATATATATAGAATATATATAGAATATATATAGAATATATATATAGAATATATATAGAATATATATAGAATATATATAGAATATATGTATAGAATATATATAGAGAATATTTTTAGAGAATATGTATATAGAGAATATATATAGAATATATATAGAATATATAGAATATATATATAGAATATATATAGAATATATAGAATATATATATAGAATATATATAGAATATATAGAATATATATATAGAATATATATAGAATATATATAGAATATATACAGAATATATATAGAATATATATAGAATATATATAGAATATATATATAGAATATATATAGAATATATACAGAATATATATAGAATATATATAGAATATATATGGAATATATAGAATATATATAGAATATATAGAATATATATAGAATATACATATAGAATATATATAGAATATATATGTATTCAAAAAAGAGCGAAACTCCATCTCAAAATAAATAAACAAAAATGGTCTGTATTCCAGTCATCTGGAATACAGTCATCTATATACAGTCATCTATATATAGAATATATATATATAGAATATATATAGAAATGTATATATAGAATATATAGAGAAATGTATATATAGAATATATATAGAAATGTATATATAGAATATCTATATAGAAATGTATATATAGAATATCTATATAGAAATGTATATATAGAATATATGTAGAAATACATATATAGAATATATATATAGAAATACGTATATAGAATATATATATAGAAATACGTATATAGAATATATATATAGAAATACGTATATAGAATATATATATAGAAATACGTATATAGAATATATATAGAAATACGTATATAGAATATATATAGAAATACGTATATAGAATATATATATAGAAATACGTATATAGAATATATATAGAAATACGTATATAGAATATATATATAGAAATACGTATATAGAATATATATAGAAATACGTATTTAGAATATATATAGAAATACGTATATAGAATATATATAGAAATACGTATATAGAATATATATATAGAAATACGTATATAGAATATATATGGAAATACGTATATAGAATATATATGGAAATACGTATATAGAATATATATGGAAATACGTATATAGAATATCTATATGGAAATACGTATATAGAATATCTATATGGAAATACGTATATAGAATATCTATATGGAAATACGTATATAGAATATCTATATGGAAATACGTATATAGAATATCTATATGGAAATACGTATATAGAATATCTATATGGAAATACGTATATAGAATATCTATATGGAAATACGTATATAGAATATCTATATGGAAATACGTATATAGAATATCTATATGGAAATACGTATATAGAATATCTATATGGAAATACGTATATAGAATATCTATATGGAAATACGTATATAGAATATCTATATGGAAATACGTATATAGAATATCTATATGGAAATACGTATATAGAATATCTATATGGAAATACGTATATAGAATATCTATATGGAAATACGTATATAGAATATCTATATGGAAATATGTATATAGAATATATATGGAAATATATATATAGAATATATATATAGAGAAATATATATAGAGAAATATATATAGAGAAATATATATATAGAAATATATATATAGAATATATATAGAGTATATAGTATATATATAGTATATATGGAATATATATTCTATATATAGAATATATATAGAATATATATAGAATATATAGTATATATATATATTCTATATATATATTCTATATATATACTCTATATATAGAGTTTATATACTATATATACTCTATATATAGAATATATATTCTATATATATAGAATATATATATATTCTAGTCTAAGAACAGATTCTAGTCTAAGAACTAGAATCTTAGAATCTCTAGGGGGTAGAACCTGAGCTTAATTGTTGTTTTTTTTGTTGATGTTGTTTTAAACTACCCAGTTACTTTAGTGTGTAGCCCAAATTAAATAATAGTGTCTACTTATTGAAGATTATTGACAGATGAAACAAGCAACATGCCAGTTCTTTTGAAGTTACATTAACAGTAATATATATTTAAATATTATAGGGTGGTACATTTGTTTCAATACTTTCCATGTATGTTGAAATATAACCACCCCAGTACTACATGATGCATCCTCCAATAATAATAACATTTTTCTTTTAAAAACACCATGATTATACCTAAGAAATTGAGCAATAAATCGATTATATTATCTAATGTTGTCAGTGCATTTTAAGAATTCCCCCAATTAAGCTGAGAATGTCTGTTTTGAACGTTTTAATTAGATCAAATCAATGTTTATCCACAAGGTTTTTTTTGTCTTTTTGTGTCTTTTAAGTTGATGCCATAACCCCACTTTCTTATGCAATTTACATCTGAGTCCAGGAGAGTTGTCTTGTAATAATGGTTGGCCGGGCGCGGTGTCTCATGCCTCTAATCCCAGTGCTTTGGGAGGCTGAGGCAAGCGGATCACCTGAGGTTGGGAGTTCGAGACCAGCCTGACCAACATGGAGAAACTCCATCTCCAATAAAAATACAAAATTAGCCGGGTGTGGTGGCGCATGCCTGTAATCCCAGCTACTTGGGAGTCTGAAGTGGGAGAATCACTTGAACCTAGGAGGCGGAGGTTGCGGTGAGCCGAGATCGTGCCATTGCACTCCAGCCTGGGCAAAAAAGAGTGAAACTCCGTCTCAAAATAAATAAATAAATAAAAATGGTCTGTATTCCAGTCATCTGATTGTTCCTCCTAGTACTGCTTAATGTTTCCCTCTGTCTTCTGAACTCTCTGCAAACTGGATGTCAGTTTCAGACTCTGGATTGATTAGATTGAGGTTAAATATTTTTTGGCAAAAAAAGTTCATAAACGATGTTAGGTACTTCAGATCAGGATTACCACAAGACAGGATGCCTTATGTATAATATATAATATTATGTATGGTAACACAAGTGTACTTTGAAGATGTTGTGGGTTAGGCTCCAGACCAGCATGATAAAGTGAATATCGCAATCAAGAAACTCACACCAATTTTTTTTGTTTCCTAGAGCATATAAAATTTATGCTTATACTAATACTACACTGTCGTTTACTAAGTGTGCAATTGCATTATATCTATAAAAACAATATATATATACTTTAATCACAAATCACTTTTTTTGCTAAAGATGCTAATGATCATCAGGGCCTTCAATAAATCATATCCATCCATCAGATGAATCACTATCTATGGCAATGGTAGCCTTACAAAATGCATTTATTAAATAGTAAGGCTGGAAAGTTGAAATTACTCCTTGATCCACATGCTGCAGAATGGATATTTTGTTAGCAGGCATCAAAACATTGATTTCCTTGTACATCTTCATCAGAGCTCATGGGAGACCATGTACATTGACAAGAAGCAGTAATACTTTGAAAGAATTCTTTTTTTTTCAGAGCAATACATCTCAATACTAAGCTTAAAATAGTCAGCAAACCATGCTGTAAACAGATGTGCTGTAATCCAGGCTTTGTTTTTCCATTTCTAGAGCACAGGCAGAGTACATTTAGCATAATTCTTAAGAGCCCTGCAATATTTGGAATGGTAAATGGCTTCATCTTAAAGCCACCACCTGTATTAGCCCCAAACAAGAGAGTCAGCCTGTTCTTTGAAGCTTTCAAACTTCTAACTATGAAAATTGTAGATTGCATCTTCTTCCAATATATGGCTATTTAGTCTACAATGAAAATCTATTGTTTAGTGCAGCCACCTTGAATGGTCTTAGCTAGATCTTCTGGGTAACTTACTGTAGCTTCCAGATCAACACTTGTTGGCTTGTCTTGTGCTTTTATTTTATGAAGATGGCTTCTTTCCTTAAACCTCATGAACCAACCTCTGCTAACTTCAAGCTTTACTTCAGCAGCTCCCTCATCCCTTTCATCCCTCATAAAATTGAAGAGACTTAGGGTCTTGCTCTGGATTAGGCTTTGGCCCAAAGGAAATTGTGGCTAGTTTGATCTTCTATCCAGAACACTAAAACTTGTTTCAAATCAGCAATGAGGCTGTTTTGCTTTCTTATCATTCATATGTTCACTGGACTAGAACTTTTAATTTTTTTCAAGAACTTCTTTGCTGGATATCCACTACTTGGCTGCTTTCCACAAGAGGTCTAGCTTTTAATCTTATCTCAGGTTTTAACTTACCTTCCTTCTTAAGCTTAATCATTTCTAGCTTTTAATTTAAAGTGAGAGATATGTGAAACTTTTTTTTGTTACTTGAACACTTAGAGGTGATTGTAGGGTTATTAATTGGCTTAATTTCTATATTGCTGTGTCTCAGGGAACAGGGAGGCACAATGAGAGAGAGAAAGACAGGGGAACTGCAGGTAAGTGGAGTACTCAGAACACACAAAACATTTATCCATTAACTTAATGGCAACATAGAGAGACCCCTAAAACAATTGTAATAGTAACTGGTCATAGGTCACCATTACAGATACAATAATAATGAAAAAGTTTGAAATATTGTGTGAATTACCAGTGTGTGATACAGAGACACAAAGTGAGCACATGCTGTTGGAAAAATGGTGGTGATAAAATTGCTAGACACAAGGTTGCCACAAACCTTCAATTTGCAAAAAATGCAATATCTGCAAAGCCCAATAAAGTGTAGCACAATAAACTGAGGTATGCTTGTGTTAATGGAAAAAAGCAAGCTCTGTAAAATATTTAAAATAGGTTTATTCTGAGCCAATATGAGTGACCATGGCTCAGGAAAACACAAACCCAAGAAGGCTTAAGTGGTCCCAAGGCAGCTGGATTACGGTTTTGGTTTTATAAATTTTAGGGAGGTAAGACTTACAGGCAAACGCATAACTCAATGCATGGAAAGTATACATTGGTTTGGCCAGAAAAGGCGAGATATCTTGCAGTGGGGACTTGCAGGTTATAGGTAATTTAAGAGACTCTTTACTTTCCGATTTGTTAAAGAAGTAAGGCTCTCACTAAAACTTGGAGTCAGCAAAAAGAAATGTTTTAAGTTAAGGATGCCATGTAGCAAGATTGATGGCCTGCAGACAAGACTTAACTTTTGCTTTGTAGGGCCTTAAGTCTTATTTATTATTTGGTATCAAAATGATGCAGGATTTTTCTCAGTCACTTTGCCAGCTAGAGACCTTCGGCCAGCAACGCCCCTGCCCAGGCCTTGCTCCCACCCGGGTTCGCTGCAGGAGACACCCCATCTACTCAGCCCGCCGGGCAGTGCCTGGCTTGCACCCTGGCGTGAATCCCATGGCCACCATGACTGCGCACTCAGTCCCTGGTGGGAGGAGGTGTGTGAGTGAGCTAGTGCGAGCTGCGGCCCGTGGTTCTAAACACTGGCACAGGAGTGAGTTCCATGCAGGGCTTGCGGCTGGACTAGGCGTGTTGCAAGCAACTCCTGCAGTGGATTCCAGTGTTCAGACGAGGGGAATGCAGTGGTGCCCAGAGAGAGGTGCCTGCAACCCTGAGGCCCCAGAGGGTGTGTTACAGCATGCTAATTAGCTCTTTTAGCCCACTGTCTGCAGCCTGATGGGTGGCGGTGCACTCACTGTTCTGTCAGCCCGTTACCCCTCTCCAGCCTGGGGCTCCTGGGCTGGCTCAGCTACGCCTCTGCTTCTCATCAAGTGGGGCGGCTACCCTTACCCGGTCAAGGGCAGAGGGCCACGGTGTTACCGTCTTCTTTGTACCTGCATTTGATGAGTCCTGAGTTCTTGTCCTGCATCCAAGAAGAATGAGATCTCCCTGAAAGTTGAAGGGTGAAGAGGGCGGAGAAGAATTTTTTTGAACAATGAAACAGATCTCAGCGGGGTCTCTCTCTCAGCTGGGGCTTTTACGGGCTCAGAATTGGGGAGTGCATGCTGATTGGTTTGTGAGTATGCAAAAGAGGCTGAAAGACACCACTCAAAGGTGAGCATGGCAGTGTAAAAAACCAATTAGGGAAGGGTAGGTATATGTAAAATAGTTGAAGGGTGGGGATCAATCAGAGGAAGTCATACCAAATGGGAGGAAGGGTTCTCAATCTAGTCCGCAGATTTATCCAAGATTGTGACTTGGTTTTTCAGGCTTTAAACTGTCTTTGGTTTGAAAGTCGGGTTTCACCAGGGGCCCACCCCTATCTGCCTAGGATTTGTCTGCTTCCTGTCGTTATCATTATTGCCATGAAGAGTCTGTTTTGTCAGCCTGAAGACTTCTATTTTAACATAAAAGCTTCTCAGTTGCTGTGCCTGAACTCCAAAAGGAAGGGAGTATTATGAAGCAGGACTGACTTCCCTTTTTGTCATGGCCAAGAATTCAGTTTTTAAGGTTTTTCTGGGGTCCCCTTGACCAAGAAGAGATCCATTCAGTCAGTGGGGGTTAGGATTTATTTTTAGTTTCCACCAGTATTATAAATTTTACATACATATAATTCTATATATATTATTTGTGTGTGTGAAATAAACAAAGACATACAAAGACATATTTCTTTCTTTTTTTTTTTTTTGAGATGGAATTTTGCTTTTGTTCCCCAGGCTGGAGTGCAATGGCGTGATCTCAGCTCACTGCAACGTTGGCCTCCTGCATTCAAGTGATTCTCCTGCCTCAGCCTCCCATGTAACTGGGATTACAGGCATGTGCACCATGCCTGGCTAATTTTTGTATTTTTAGTAGAGATGGGGTTTCTCCATGTTGGCCAGGCTGGTCTCAAACTCCCAACCTTAGGTGATCTGCCCACCTTGGCCTCCCAAAGTGCTAGGATTACAGGCATGAGCCAGTGTGCCCGGCCACAAAGACCTGTTTCTAGAAAAATATGGTTGCATATCCAAACTGATTCAATAAAGTAAGGAAAATACAAATTTCCTGTGGGCCATTAAAAATTTAATTAGTTGTCAAAAATTAGCATTTTTTATAAATAATTACCAATTAAACTTTAGCACATAGGTATGTCTTAGTTCCACCAAACATTTCATAATTATTTTAGCCTTCATTTTTGAAAATCGTCTGAATCAATTATTATACTGGAGTTATAAAATCATGATTTTAAAAAATCTATTATTCCTTTTACACCATTACCCAGCATATTCTTCCTGTTCCTCCTAGTGGACAGAGATAGAATATATGTATGTGTATATGAATATAAAAAAAAAGTATATATAATCTTATGTTGATATCTCAAATTCAAGTTTACTATTTTAGCATTTTACTCTTACACTTTCATATTTATACTTCTATTGTCTAACATTGAAAATCTTAGTTTATAATAATAGTATATATTAATTATTTGCTATGTCATATACAAATACATACACAACAAAAATATCAAACAGAAAGTTTACTACTAGGCTTCAATTGTTTGTATTTACTTTTATTTTTATATGTATCTAAAATATTTCAAAAGCATATAAAATGCATTTTCAGACATACTGTTACATTTCATTTTCCCTCAACCTTACTATGACCATACCATGTAGTTAACCATTTAGTAAGTTAAATGCTATATTTTTTATTCTTCCTGGGTGTCTTTTTTATTATTATTATACTTAAGTTCTGGGATACATGTGCAGAATGAGCAGGTGTGTCACATAGGTATACATGTGCCATGGTGGTTTGCTGCACCCATCAACCTGTCATCTACATTAGGTATTTCTCCTAATGCTATCCCTTCCTCCCCTTGACTCCACCACCAGACAGGCCCAAGTGTCTGATGTTCCCCTTCCTATGCCCATATATTCTCATTGTTCGACTCCTACTTATGAATGAGAACATGCAGTGTTTGGTTTTCTGTTCCTGTGTTAGTTTGCTGAGAATGATAGTTTCCAGCTTCATCCATGTCTCTGTAAAGGATGTAAACTCATTATTTTTTATGACTGCATAGTATTCCATGGTGTATATGTGCCACATTTTCTTTATCCAGTCTATCATGGATGGGCATTTGAGTGGGTTCCAAGTCTTTGCTATTGTAAATAGTGCTGCAATAAACATATGTGTGCATGTGTCTTTATAGTAGAATGATTTATAATCCTTTGGGTGTATACCCAGTAATGGGATTGCTAGGTCAAATGGTACTTCTAGTTCTAGATCCATGAGGAATTGCCACACTGTCTTCCACAATGGATGAACTAATTTACACTCCCACCAACAGTGTAAAAGCATTCCTATTTCTCCACATCCTCTCCAGCATCTGTTTTTTAATGATTGCCATTCTAACTGGTGTGAGATGGTATCTCATTGTGGTTTTGATTTGCATTTTTCTAATGACCAGTGATGATGAACTGTTTTTCATATGTTTGTTGGCCGCATAAATGTCTTCTTTAGCGATGTGTCTGTTCATATCCTTTGCCCACTTTTTGATAAGGTTGTTTTTTTCTTGTAAATTTGTTTAAGTTCTTTGTAGAGTCTGAATATTAGCCCTTTGTCAGATGGATAGATTGCAAAAATATTCTCCCATTCTGTAGGTTGTCTGTTCATGCCGATGATAGTTTCTTTTGCTGTGCAGAAGCTCTTTAGTTTAATTAGATCCCATTTGTCAATTTTGGCTTTTTTTGCAATTGTTTTTGGTGTTTTAGTCATGAAGTATTTGCCCATGCCTATGTCCAGAATGGTATTGCCTAGGTTTTCTTCTAGGGTTTTTATGGTTTGAGGACCTATGTTTAAATCTTTAATAAATCTCGAGTTAATTTTTGTATAAGGTGTAAGGAAGGGGTCCGGTTTCAGTTTTCTGCATATGGCTAGCCAGTTTTTCCAACACCAGTTATTAAATGGGGAATCTGTTTCCCATTGCTTTTATCAGATTTGTCAAAGAACAGATGGTTGTAGATGTGTGGTGTTATTTCTGAGGCCTCTGTTCTGTTCCATTGTTCTATATACCTGTTTTGGTACTAGTACCATGCTGTTTTGGTTACTTTAGCCTTGTAGTATAGTTTGAAGTCAGGTAGCATGATGCTTCCAGCTTTCTTCTTTTTGCTTAGATTGTCTTGGCTATACAGGCTCTTTTTTGGTTCCATATGAAATTTAAAATAGTTTTTTTCTAATTCTGTGAAGAAAGTCAATGGTAGCTTCATGGAGATAGCATTGAATCTATAAATTACTTTGGGCAGTATGGCCATTTTCATGATATTGATTCGTCCTATCCATGAGCATGGAATAATTTTCCATTTGTTTGTGTCCTCTCTCATATCCTTGAGCAGTGGTTTGTAGTTCTCCTTGAAGAGGTCCTTTACATCTCTTGTAAGTTGTATTCCTATGTATTTTATTCTCTTGGTAACAATTGTGAATGAGAGTTCACTCATGATTTGGCTCTCTCTTTGTCTATTATTGTTTGTATACGGAGGCTTGTGATTTTTGCACATTGATTTTGCATCCTGAGACTTTGCTGAGTTTGCTTATCAGCTTAAGGCATTTTGGGGCTGAGATGATGGGGTTTTCTAAATATACAATCATATCATCTGCAAACAGAGGTAATTTGACTTCCTCTCTTCCTATTTGAATACCCTTTATTTCTTTCTCTTGCCTGATTGCCCTGGCCAGAACTTCCATTTCTATGTTGAATAGGGGTGATGAGAGAGGGCATCTTTGTCTTGTGCCAGTTTTCAAAGGAAATGCTTCCATCTTTTGCCCATTCAGTATGATATTGGCTGTGGGTTTGTCATAAATAGCTCTTATTACTTTGGGATACGTTGTATCAATACCTAGTTTATTGAGTGTTTTTAACATGAAGGGGTGTTGAATTTTATCAAAGGCTTTTTCTGCATCTATTGAGATAATCATGTGTTTTTTGTCATTGGTTCCATTTATGTGATGGATTACATTTATTGATTTGCTTATGTTGAACCAGCCTTGCATCTCAGGGATGAAGCCAACCTGATCATGGGGGATAAGCTTTTTAATGTGCTGCTGGATTTGGTTTGCCAGTATTTTATTGAGGATTTCCACATTGATGTTTATCAGGGATATTGACCTGAAATTTTCCTTTTTTGTTGTGCCTCTGCCAGGTTTTGGTGTCAGGATGATGCTGGCCTCATAAAAAGAGTTAGGGAGGATTCCTTCTTTTTCTGTTGCTCGGAATAGTTTTAGAAGGAATGGTACCAGCTCCTCTTTGTACCTCTGGTAGAATTCGGCTGTGAATCCATCTGGTCCTGTGCCTTTTTGCGGTTGGTAGGCTATTAATTACTGCCTCAATTTCAGAACTGGTTATTGGTCTATTCAGGGATTCAACTTTTTCTTGGTTTAGTCTTGGGAGGGTGTATGTGTCCAGGAATTTGTCCATTTCTTCTAGATTTTCTAATTTATTTGCATAGAGGTGTTTGTAGTATTCTTTGATGGTAGTTTGTATTTCTGTGGGATCAGTGGTGATAACCCCTTTATCATTTTTTTATTGTGTCTGTTTGATTCTTGTCACTTTTCTCCTTTATTAATCTGGCTACCAGTCTATTTTGTTAATCTTTTCAAAAAATCTGCTCTTGTATTCATTGATTTTTGAAGGATTTATCATGTCTTTATATCCTTCAGTTCTGCTCTTATCTTAGTTATTTCTTGTCCTCTGCTAGTTTTTGAATTTGTTTGCTCTTCCTTCTCTAGTTTTTTAAATTGTAGTGTTAAGATGTTGATTTTAGATATTTCATACTTTCTCCTATGGGCATTTAGTGCTATAAATTTTCCTCTAGACACTGCTTTAGCTGTGTCCCAGAGAATTCTGGTATGTTGTGTCTTTGTTCTCACTGGTTTCAAAGAACTTATTTATTTCTGCCTTAATTTCATTATTTACCCAGTAGTCATGCAGGAGCAGCTTGTTCGGTTTCCATGTAGTTGTGCAGTTTTGAGTGAGTTTCTTAATCCTGAGTTCTAATTTGATTGCGCTATGGTCTGAGAGACTGTTTGTTATGATTTCCATTCTTTTGGATTTGCTGAGGAGTGTTTTACTTCCAATTGTGTGGTCAATTTTAGAATAAGTGCTATATGGTGCTGAGAAGAATGTATGTCCTGTTGGTTTGGGGTAGAGAGTTCTGTAGATGTCTATTAGGTCTGCTTGATGCAGAGCTGAGTTCACAACCTGAATATCCTTGTTAATTTTCTATCTCATTGATCTGTCTAATATTGACAATGGGGTGTTAAAGTCTCCCACTATTTTTTTCTGGGAGTCTAAGTCTCTTCGTAGGTCTCTAAGCACTTGCTTTATGAATCTGGGTGCTCCTGTATTGGGTGCATATATATTTAGGGTAGCTAGCTCTTCTTGTTGCATTGATGCCTTTACCATTATATGATGCCCTTCTTTGTCTTTTTTGATCTTTGTTGGTGTAAAATATGTTTTATCAGAGACTAGAATTGCAACCCCTGCATTTTTCTTTTCTTTTTTCTTTTTTTTTTGGTTCTTTTTTTTTTTTTTGGCTTCCCATTTGCTTGGCAAATCTTCCTCCATCCCTTTATTTTGAGCCTATGTGTGTTTTTGCAAGTGAGGTGGGTCTCCTGAATACAGCACACCAATGGGCCTTGACTCTTTCTCCAATTTGCCAGTCTGTGTCTTTTAATTGGGGCATTTGTTCCATTTATATTTAAGGTTAATATTGTTATGTGTGAATTTGACCCTGTCATTATGATACTAGCTGGTTATTTTGCCCATTAGTTGATGCAGTTTCTTCATAGTGACAATGGTCTTTACATTTTGGTATGCTTTTGCAGTGGCTGGTACTGGTTTTTCCTTTTCATATTTAGTGCTTCCTTCAGGAGCTCTTGTAAGGCAGGCCTGGTGGTGACAAAATCCCTCAGCATTTGCTTGTCTGTAAAGGATTTTATTTTTTCTTCACTTATGAAGCTTAGTTTCACTGGATAGGAAATTCTGGTTGAAAATTCTTTTCTTTAAGAATGTTGAATGTTGGCCCTCACTCTCTTCTGGCTAGTAGGGTTTCTGCAGAGAGATCTGCTGTTAGTCTGTTGGGCTTCTCTTTGTGGGTAACCCGACCTTATTCTCTGGCTGTCCTTAACATTTTTTCCTTCATTTCAACCTTGGTGAATCTGACCTTTATGTGTCTTGGGGTTGCTCTTCTCAAGGCTAATCTTTGTGGTGTTCTCTGTATTTCCTGAATTTGAATGTTGGCCTGTCTTGGTGGGTTGTGGAAGTTCTCCTGGATAATATCCTGAAGTGTGTTTTCCATTCTTCTTATCACTTTCAGGTACAACAATCAAACCTAGGTTTGATCTCTTCACATAGTCCCATATTTCTTGGAGGCTTTGTTTGTTCCTTTTCATTCTTTTTTCTTTAACCTTGTCTTCATGTTTTATTTCATTAAGTTGATCTTCATTCTCTGATATCCTTTCTTCTGCTTGTCAGTTCGGCTATTGATACTTGTGTATGCTTCAGGAAGTTCTCATGCTGTGTTTTTCAGCTCCATTAGATCATTTCTGTTCTTCTCTAAACTGGTTATTCTAGTTAGCAATTGCTGTAACTTTTTATCAATATTCTTAGCTTCCTTGCATTGGGTTAGAACATGCTCCTTTAGCTTGGAGGAGTTTTTTATTACCCACCTTCTGAAAGCCTACTTCTGTAAATTCATCAAACTCATTCTCCATCCAGTTTTGTTTCCTTGCTGGCGAGGAGTTGTGATACTTTGGAGGAGAAGAGGCATTCTGGTTTTTCAGCCCTTTTTGCACTGTTTTTTCCTCATCTTTATGGATTTGTCTACCTTTGGTCTTCGATGTTGGTGAACTTTGGATGGGGTTTTTGAGTGGTCGCCCTTTTTGTTGATGTCAATGCTACTGCTTCTTGTTTGTTAGTTTTCCTTCTAACAGTGAGGCCCCTCTTCTGCAGGTCTGCTGGAGTTTGCTGGAGGTCCACTCCAGACCCTGTTTGCCAGAGTATCACAAGTGGAGGCTGCAGAACAGCAAAGATTGCTGCCTGCTCCTTCCTCTGGAAGCTCTGTCCCAGAGGGCCACCTGCCAGATGCCAGACAGAGCTCTCCTGTATGAGGTGCCTGTTGACCCCTGCTGGGAGGTGTCTCCCAGTCAGGAGGCATGGGGATCAGGGACCCACTTGAGGAGACAGTCTGTCCCTTAGCAGAGCTCCAGTGCTGTGCTAGGAGGTCCGCTGCTCTGTTCAGAGCCAGCAGGCAGGAATGTTTAAGTCTGTTGAAGCTGCGCCCACAGCTGCCCCTTCCCCCAGGTGCTCTGTCCCAGGGAAATGGGAGTTTTATCTATGTAGTAAGTGCCTTACTAGGGCCGCTTCCTTTCTTTCGGAGATGCCCTGCCCACAGAGGAGGAATCTAGAGAGGCAGTCTGGCTACAGTGGCTTTGCCAAGCTGCGGTAGGCTCCGCCCAGTCCGAAATTCCTGGTGGCTTTTTTACACTGTGAAAACCACCTACTCAAGTCTCAGTAATGGTGATGCCCCTCCCCCAACCAAGCTCGAGTGTCCCAGGTCAACTTCAGACTACTGTGCTGGCTGGGAGAATTTCAAACCAGTGGATCTTAGCTTGCTGGGCTCCATGGGGGTGGGATCCTCTGAGCAAGACCACTTGGCTCCCTGGCTTCAGCTCCCTTTCCAGGGAAGTGAGCAGTTCTGTCTCACTGGTATTCCAGGCACCACTGGGGTACAAAAAAAAAGGAAAATTCCTGCAGCTAGCTCGGTGTCTGACCAAACTGCCGCCCAATTTTGTGCTTGAAACCCAGTTCCCTGGTAGTGTAGGCACCCAAGGAAATCTCCTGGTCTGCGGGTTGCGAAGACCATGGGAAAAGCATAGCGTCTGGGCTGGAATGCACCTTTTCTCAAGGCACAGTCCCTCACAGCTTCCCTTGGCTAGGGGAAGGAGTTCCTGACCCCTTGCACTTCCCGGGTGAGGCGATGCCCCACCCTGCTTCTGCTTGGCCTCCTTGGGCTGCACCCACTGTCTAACCAGTCCCAGTGAGATGAGCCAGGTACCTCAGTTAGAAATGCAGAAATCACCCACCTTCTGCATTGGTCTCGCTGGGAGCTGCAGACCAGAGCTGTTTCTATTCGACCATCTTGCTCGGGAATCTGGGTGCCTTAATAAAAAAATAAGTATATACACACACACACACACACACCCCACACTAGATTAAATTTTTTAATCACACTATTCTTCTTTTCCATTTTGTTATCTTTTTAATTTAATGAGTGAGGTGTGCTAAAGTCTTGCATTATGATTAATTCATTATAAGTCCTTCTTGTGATTCCATCAAGTTTGACTTTATATATTTGGGGACTATGATATTAGATGCACAATACACACTTTCAAAATCATTATATTGTCTTGATGAGTTGAAAAATTTAACATTATCAAATATAAGCTCTTCATCTTTTAAAAGTGTTGATCTTTCTCAGTGGTGTTCAAGCTGCTTCCTTCCTGCATTCAAATTGTATTTAGTTTGTCAAAAAAAAAAGACTCTTGTGTTATGACTTTGGACAGTCAATGTCTGTTCTTTCATGTGGAGACTCTTTCTCTTTATTCTATACAAGCAAATGTTAATGAAGCCCTTGCCCCTCATCCTCCCATCCTGCTCTCTCCAGAGCCAGAAGGAATTCAGACTGCTTATTTTTATACTCACCGATATCCTGCAGAAAAAGGTAAGGAAGAGTTTATAAAACCTGAAAAAAAAAAAGGATGTAACTTTTTCACTTCTCCCAAGGGCTGAGTCTCCTGTGAAATAACTGACAGTTTTTGGATATACAGAAGGAAATGATGAATTGAGCTAAGTGTCCAGATGTGTGCTCAACAGATGTATAAGGTTACAATTTAAAAGACAAGGAATGCAATACCTGCATCTTTACAAAGGAAGTTGTAAATAGTAAACACATCATTCAGCCTTCAGTAATCCGACTTTTTTAAGGTTTTTAAAGGAACAGATTTCTTTTTCATCTTTTTAAACCATTTAACAGTGCACTAAAAAACCTTATATATGTAAAACCAGTTCAGTAAAGGTCATAAACTGAATTAAATAAAATTGAGACTTGGAAAATGATAAAACTTGCTGTATCATTTGTAATATGTAGATGAACATTTGTGATGAATTCATTTTTACCGTAAAATAGAAATGAATCATTTAAAAAATATTTACTCATCTATAATTGGGGGATTTTGTACATGCTTCCCTCACCATCTTCTCCTTCTCTCTCTCTCTCTTCCTTTTTTAAGTATGAGCAATCTTTATTGTTGTTATTTAAAACATTATGATGTTTGGCCTACTTCCAATAATTTCATTATTTTTAATTGATTAAAATTTGTATATATTTATTGTGTAAAACATTATGTTTTGAAATATGTATACATTGTGGAATGGCTCAGTTGAGCTAATTTACATCATACCTCACATACTTATTATTTTTGTAGTAAAGTAATTTACATCATACCTCACATACTTATTATTTTTGTTATTCACTGTAGTCACCATGGTGTACGATCGATCTCTTGAACCTATTCCTCCTGTCTAACTGAAATTTTATATCCTTTGTCTAGCATCTTCCCAACTACTCCTATGCACATACCCTGTCTACAGTACTAAACATCTTCATCAACAGCTTGAAAATATTCTGAGTTAACTCAGGCTAAAGAAAACTGTTGAAGAAATAACAAAATGACTTCATTGCTTATAAATCCTACAGGACAACATTGTGCTTTTTGAAATATATTTCTTAATTCTCCTAGAAACTATTATGAATAATATCTTAAAATATAAAACAAGAAAAGTTCAGTCTTTCTACATGAGAAGGCTATTGGAGCATGACACAGGAATGTTCTAGTTGGAGACAGATATTGCCTTCATTTAAATATGCATTCATATACAGCAAAATTGTCTTTTATGTTCCACATGGTTACCATGCCTTGCATGCTTTTTAAAAGCCAAAACGTACATCCACGGGAATGACAACAAAGCACATTCTAATTCCAGGGATTTAACGGGCTCTGGGATTTCAAGTTGAACTTCTTTGGCTGAGCTCCAATACACAGCTGAAGAAGTGGGGAGAAAGGAACCGTTTGGGTTCTGTGTTTTCCTAAAGCTCATACAATTCTGGAGAGAAAAATAATGTCCAAAGTAAAAGTATGATGACTTGCTCAGATAACAGGAAGCTGATTCAAAGTGAATTAGGAAGGAGGTCTTTACTAAAGAGAAAGTTGTCAGTGGAAATTCACTAGAGAGTTTTCCCAGAGTAAAACCTTTTAGTAGTTTCAGAAGCATAAACAGACAGAAGTGATTCCTCACATTGAAAGAATAATTTTAAAAGTCATAGTGCTTCCTTTTCATCCTCTGTAAATTCACCCAATGGATGAGCTACTTCTCTAGGGTTTAACTTCCTCCCGTGCCTAAACAGACAATTGGTGAGAGAAAAAGGTGAGTAGAGAAAATGCAGAAAGAGGAGGCCAACACTTGATAAACTGTTGCAGCATTGCTGAGCTCACTCACTGCCTCCCATCTCCCACAGCAACCTCTCAATCCTAACATAGATGATGTAGCTTCTCTCCTTCCCTTATTTGTGTTTGAGCACAGAGATGTGGTAGATGAGGGAGTGAGCAAGCTGCCCAAAAGTTGATGAACCCATTTCTGGAGAAGTCTCTGCACCTGAACCAGTAATTCTAAAAGACAAGAGGAAGAGATGCTGAATAAAAAGCTTAATTCAATTATTCATGCAAAGTATACTACTAGAACTTTTTTCCCTTTCTTGATGACATTAAGTAGTTATGCATATGACGATTCTTTTATTGAAGATGTAAATGCATTTTCACATATTCATATACTCTCTTAAGGCATTTCTTTACTTCCTTTCCAAGTTTTTAAATGCCCTTCATTTTTAGAGCAGTGATTTTATAAAGAAGATTAGAGAAGATATTTAAGTTGTGTACAAATTCCTTAATTTCTCTGAGCCTCAACTTTCTGTGTAACATGGGCATAAATACTATATATCTCTCAACGTTTGGTGAGATTAAATGAAATCATTGTGTGTTCAGTGGCTGGTACTAAATACCATATTCATACTACGGTCATTGTTTTAATTATTATCATTCACATATATAACAAGTATGTGGTGACTATTCCAGAATCCGTAAGAATTAGTGCTAAGTGATTAAGGTGCTTTGGCTTATTGATACCATAGTCAATCTCAGAAACTTTAACAGAGAAAAGAAAAGCGGGCTAAGCCGAAAAGAGCACAATAAGTAGATTTTATAAGCCAGGAGTTGATGAGTTCAATTTTAGATATGCTAAAATTGAGGTATCAGACCTCCAAGTGGAAATGTCAATGAGGAAGTTGGATCTAAGACTGGTGTTTAGGGAAGAGATTCAGACTGGAGATATAAACTTGTACATCTTTAGCATATTGGTGGTATTAAAAGCTTTGAGAGAGATTGAGATCCAAAGAAATGGGTCTGGAGGAAGAAGACACTCCAAAAGTTTAGCCCTGTTGTTTTCCATTATTTAGTGTTTGGGGGTCATAGGAGGAACCAGCAAATTAGACTAGGGAAGCAGCATAAAAATATCACAGAAGGGTGGTGGCGTGAAGTCCTGAAAGAGAGTGAAGAAAGTGTTTCAAGGAGAAGATAATGATCTTTTGTGTCAAATACTGAAGAGAGATTCCTCCTTTAGCAATGGTTTCCTCTTAGAGGTCAATTAAAACTCTTGGATGAAAAATAAAAACTGTCTTGCTAGCTTCAGAGAGATGCCAAAATAGTGAGAGATCTCCAAGCCCAATCTTGAAAACAATAAGGACAGAAAATTAAGGTAGCTTTCCAACCCACATTTATTGTGTGGCCACTGGCAAGCCTGCAGAAACAGCCATGGAAATAAGTAGTGATCCTGATTGTCTTGGGGGACAAGAGAGTAGGAGTAAAAGCTCAGGGTCTGCCTTGATGGGGACTTGACAAAGGTAAGGGTCAAAAAGTTATAAATCCACCACCTCACCCACACTCCCACCAGAATGTGAAGAAAATATTGTCTTGATTCTGGGGAAATAGAAGAAATAAAGAAAGAAAAAACAGAAATAGCCTCAGAGAGTTTGTAAATCAAACACCAGCCCGAACAGATAATTATAGTCAAAATCCACAATGCCAGGTGTATCCACAACATTTTGTGGTTTAAAGTTGTGCTATAGGTATCTGATAAAAACTGAAGTAAAAGCCCCTGGGAAAATAGTAATGTTCGTCTATGTCTCAATTATTTTTTCAATAGCAATGACCATCACATATCAAAGAACATCAGGCACACAAACAGACAAGCAATTATGCTTGACAATCAGCAAAAACAAAAGAAAAATGAAACTCAACTGCAGATTTCAATAGTATCAGACACAGATTATGAAACAACTATGTGTAATACCTTTAAGGAAATAAAGGCAATCTCACAAGTAATTAGATTACAAAAACAATTTTAAGTGACATGCAAATTTGCAAAAGAAATAATTTCTGGAGATGAGAATTATGAAAATGGAATTGAGTACTCAGATCTGATAACAGATTATAAAGCAGAAGAGAACATTACTCAATAGTAGATTGAAAGAAACTATACAAAATATAGTAGGAAAAAGGAAAAAGGAAAAAAAAGATAGCAAACATAGAGAATAAAGTGCGGTTTCATGTATATTGAATAGTACTTGGAGCCAATGCTAACATTACTCCAAAGAATTATAGGGAAATAAAAATACATTGAAATAGAAAAATTTCTAGAAAATATTATCTGAGAATACCAATCCATATAGTAAATAGCAAGCAATTTACTAAGTGACAATATGTGAGACACTCCAAATAGTCAATTCAACTAAATATGTAGGCAAACCTCTAGTTGACATACTTATCAATTGAAAAAGGAGTATCAGACTTTAGGCCGGGCATAGTGGTTCACGCCTGTAATCTCAGCACTTTGGGAGGCCGAGGAGGGTGGATTGATTGAGCTCAGGAGTTCGAGACCAGCCTGGGCAACAGGATGAAACCCCGACTCAACAAAAAACAGAAACATTAGCCAGGCATGGTGGTATTCGCCTGTGGTCCCAGCTACTTGAAAAGCTGAGGCAGGAGGATCACTTGAGCCCTGGGAGGTGGAGGTTGGTGCCGTGTTGGCGCCTCTGCACTCCAGCCTGGGTAACAGAGTGAGATCATGTCTAAATAATGATAATAATAAATTTTAAAAAAGAAATATCAGACATCATCATTAGTGTTGTATGACAGAGATCAGTGCTTGCTATTTTATTTTAGAAGATGACACAAGAGGTTAGTACAATTAAAGAGTTGTAACTGTTGTATCAGTCTCAAATTGCAACATTTGTATGAGTGATACCATTCTGCTACAAAAGAAGTCATAGTTATCTTATTAAAATTATTTTGTATGTTCATTTTCTTTTCTCTTCTCTTTCTTTTTTTTTTTTGTGTGTATTCTCTTGGCTTAAAGAACAGAATGTATTTCCCCATGATTCTGGAGACAGTAAGTCCCAGACTAAGGTGTCTGGTGGGCTGGTTTCCTTAAGAGGCTTCTCTCCTTGGCCAGTGGATGGCTGCCTTCTCTGTCTGCCTTTATGTGGTCTTTGTTCTATACATGTGGATGTCTGTGTCCAAATTTCCTCTTTTTTGTTTTGTAAGTTAATTAAAAAGAATTTCAGCTTTGCTGAAGTATAATTGACAAATAAAACTATATATTCAACATGTTCCATGTACAATGAAACATGTATACTTTGTGAAATGATTAGCACATCAAGTTAATCAGCGTGTGCATTACCTCACATAGTTACTTTTGGGGGATGGGAATACTTAAGATCTATTCTCTTAGCAAATTTCAAGTATACAATACAGTACTTTGTCTATAGTCACCAGGCTGTACATTAGGTCTCCTGAACTTATCCATCTTATAAGTCCAAGTTTGTGCCCTTTGCCCATCATCTCCCCATTCCTCTGCCCTCCAGCTCCTAATAACCACCACTCTATCCTTTGTTTCTTTCTACAGCAGGTCCCCAAAGAAAGTTGTTTTGTTCAAAGTCATTTTGTTATAATGTTGATGAGAAAAAAAATTGATTCCTGGCCAGGAGCAGTGTCTGTGAGGAGTTTGCATGTTTTTCCCACATCAGTGTGGGTTTTTTACAGGTACTTTGCTTTCATACTACGTATAAAAGATGTGCTCATTAGGTTCACTGGCATGTCTACATGGTCCTGCATGAGTGCATGTGGGTGGGTGTGTGAGTGCCCTGTGATAGGATGGCACCTTGTGCAAGGCTGGTTCCTGCCTTGTGCCCTGAGCTGCCAGGATGAGCTCCAACCACCCATGATACTGAACTGGAGTAAGTGGGTGAACACGATCTTACTTTTTACTATTAGTCTTTCTTAAATGTATGTATAGTTCACATTTATGTCAATGTTTAACATTAGAAGTGTTGTGTATCTTTTTTTAGAAGTTTGGTGATGTTTTTGTGACCAGAAATAAGCCATAGGAACTTGTTTATATTATCATATAATATAAACATTATATTATATATTTATACATATATACATAAACATATATTATATGTTATATTTATAACATTAACATTATATTATAATATAAACTCTTGTTTATATTAATCAGCCTGTAATAAAATGTTTCCTTATGCATAATTTTGCTTGAAGTCTCAGTTTCCAAGAAACTGTCAATAACGTTAAGTAGAGACTTAACAGTTTTTGATGTATTTAGATTCCACATGTGAGATGATGCAGTATTTTTCTTTCTGTGGCTTATTTCAAATAGTGTTAATATCCTCCAGGTTCATCTACGTTGTTGTAAACAGAAAGATCTCCTTTTGTAAGACTGAATAATTTTCTATGTTATATATGTCATATATATCACATATATGACATATATATATGATATATATAGATATATATATGACAGCATCTCACAGTATCTTTATTCGTTTACCCATAAACAGATGCTTAGGGCCAGGTGCAGTTGCTCATGTCAGTAATCTCAGCACTTTGGGAGGTGGAGACGAGAGGATTGTTTGAGCCCAGGAGTTCAAAATTAGCCTGGGCAACATGGCACCATCCTGTCTGTACTAAAAACAAAACAAAACAAAAAAAACTTAGCTAGGCATGGTGGTGCATGCCTATAGTCCTAGCTACTAGGGAGGCAGAAGTGGGAGGATCACTTGAGCCTCGGAGGTGGAGGCTGCAGTGAGACATGTTCACACCATTGTGCTTCAGCCTGAGAGACAGAGTGAGACCCTATCTCAAAAACAAAACAAAAGATGCTTAGGTTGTTTCTATATCTTGTCTCTTTGACATAATGCTGCAATTAACATGGTACTGCTGATCTCTTCCCTATACTGGTTTTATTTCCTTTTGATATGTTAACCAGAAGAAGGGTTGCTGTATCATGTGGTAGTTCTACCTGTAATATTTTGAGAAAATTCCATACTTTTCTATAATGGCTGTACCAATTTACATTCTCACTCACAGTGTACTAGGGTTCCCTTTTCTCCACACGCCCCAATACTTGTTATCTACTGCCTTTTAAAAATATATATACTGGCCATCCTAACAAGTGTAAGGTGATAGCTCATTGCATTTTTGATTTTACCTGATGATTAGTAATGTTGAGCACCTTGTCACATACCTGATGGATATTTGTATGTCTTCTTTGGAAAAGAAGTCTATTCAGGTCCTTTGCCCATTTTTTAATCAGGTCATTTGGATTTTTTTACTGATGAGTAGTTTCTCCTATATCTTGGGTCATATACCTTTTATTAGATAGATGATTTGCTTTGAATCTGTAGAATGCCTTTTCATTTTGTTGATTGCAGTGAAGAAGCACTTCAGTTTGATATAGTCTATTTGTTTATTTTTACTATTGTTTCCTGAGCTTTTAGTGTCATATCAAGAAAAAAAATTTCCAAGGTCAATGTTAAGGAACTTTCCCCATATGTTTTCTTCTGGTATTTTTACAGTTTCAAGTCTTAAATTCAAGTTTTTAAGTCATCTTAAATTGATATTTTTGTGTACTGTGTAAGATAATTGTCCAGTTTCATTTTTATTTTTTTTTTTGCATGTGGGTCTACAGTTCTCACAACATCATTTATTAAAGAGACTGTTCTTTCCCCATTGTGTATTTTTGGTGTTGTTGAAAATTAGTTAACCATATATGCTTAGGTTTATATCTGAGGTCTGTGTTCTGTTCTATTGGTTTGGGTGTATGGTTTTATACCAGTACCATAGTGTAACATTTCCTTTTCTCAATGTAGTATCTAATTATTTGCTCTTAATTATATTACTTAGTCTTCCAGAGTCTCCCTTTTTAAATCTAAAAATTAGAAACAACACTACTGGTTCCTTTTACCTGATTGCATAGCTGTGAGCCTGAAAGGCAGTAATTTGTGCCAGAATTTTAAGGGCTGTAGAATTGTAAGGGATAGTTTCCAAATAAGCAAAGTTGGTTTGTCAATTTTTAGCATTTTTGACTAAATTTCTTTTTGTTACTTACCCATGTTCTTAAAATAAACTAAATTATGTAGAAAGCATGACATACATTTAATTACATTCACCTGAATGGAATGTATTATGGTATATTTTTATGTGTTAAATATCCATACATTATTATTTACATGACTTAAACAGAATGTGGCAAAAGATATGGTTAGGTTTTTTTTTCCCCTCTCTAAATGTTAAAAAAACTTTTTTTTTTTTCTATACGAAGTTAAAGCTAGTACAGGTGAGGGATGAGAAGTGGACTATCTCCCACTGTGCGCAGTGTACAGAGGCTGTCTTGTGCGAGCATTCTTATTGGTGAACTTTCCCTGGCATCTGTTTCTCTTGTGGACTAGATTGAATTCAATTGGTGTTGTCATATTCTTATCTCTTTATACACTTTTTAGTTCCCTGCATATGTTTATTACCCACTTCCTAACAGAACATGTTATGAATATGAAAGAGGGTTTTTATTGCAGGGAGCAGCTTCCTCAAACAAATTCATTTCAATAGTTCCACTGTTTATGAAAACAAACAACCCACTATAGCCTCCGATTTTCTAAAGAATCAGTTACTTTACAGATGTCAACTTGCATCCATGATTCATCGCAGCTGAATGTAAGTTATTGTTTTTACTACATCCCAGACAATGCAAGGATCACAAAATAATTCCATTAATTCTTCTAAGTTTTGGTCATTTTTTGTTAGATATTTTAATTTTATGTATATTTCAACCTCACAAGTATTATTATTTTAAACAATATTCATTTAGATTTACCTGCTTGCATTTTCTAGGGACTAATTTTTTTCCCTGCATTATTTCGTGCTCATCTGGAATAATTTTCCTCTCCGGAAACTCCCTTTTGGTGCTATTTTAAGTGCAGATATGCGGGTAACAAATTCTTTCAACTTTTCCTTGTTTGAAAATCTCATTTTATTTCCATTTTAAATTTTATTACGGTACATTTTTAACAATGACAAAAGTGAGCACTTGAGAGTCATCACCCATCCCAGCAGTCATCACCTCAGGACCTATCCCACCCCTTTCATATCCACATCCACACCCACAAAATTAGTGTGAAGCAAACCTCAGACATGGTATCAGTGCATTCACTTGATCTGTGAATAGTTTACTGTAATATCTATCTAATATGCTTTTTTGTTCCTTTTTAAAAATTCTTTTTTTAACATATCCACTTGACTGATCTGTAAAAATGTTTAAAAAACATTTCTTAATATCATCAACTAGTTATTCAGTGTTAAAACTTACCACTGTGTCATAAATGTCTTAAAATTCTTGTGGCTTAGTTTTTAAATAAGGATGCAGTAAAGTTATGACGCTGCAATTTTTACCTTATTTGTTAAATTTATTTTAAACCATAAGTTCCATTTCCATTTCCTTGTAATTTATTTGTTGAAGGCATCGTGTCTCTCTTCCACCCACATCCAGCTATCTAGGTTTTGTTGATCCTTCCCTGTGGTATAGCTAAACATATGCCTCTGTCCTACGTAATTCCTATGAATTCTTGGTAGGTTCTAGAGGCTGGATAAGATTCAAGTTTGACTTTGTGGACAAGATAAATTGAGCCGTAGTGTTGTTTTCTTTCCTCAGGGGGGTCATACTGTTGTGCATTCCTTTTTTTGCAATGTTAGTATTGATATTCATGCTACCCATCCCTATGTTGATAATTTTCCAGTCATTGTGGCTTTCTGAAGCTTGTTCTTTAGTAGATTCCACTGAGAACAATATTTCTTGAGTTTGTATATGCTGATAGCACTTTGTCCTTGACTTTTGTAGCAGTTTGTACTTGGAAGTCAGAATGGCTGCATATAAAATCCTTGGCTCACACTTTCCTTAACTATCATAAATATGTTATTCCTTTCCTTTTTCTTTGTTTCTTTTTTAAAAAATAAAGCACCATTGTCAATAGAATGATGGAAATTTTATTTCCTTTTCTTTTTAAATGACCCAGCCAGATCTTTGGTACATGAGACCACAATTCTTTTTTCTTGCTCATTTTAGGAAAAATTAATTTTCTTTAACTTTGGGAGAAAGGGGTATGGTGGGGTAGCTCTCTAAGTCTCACAGCATTAGAGCTCTTTTTTGTTGTTTTTAGGGACTCTCTGTCTCTCTCTCTCTGTGTGTCTGTGTGTGTATTTACCTCATCTCACACTTTCTGAGATCTGGCTCTATATTTTGTCCCACTTTTATCTGAATCTTCCATTTCCTATGTGCTGTAGCAGTTTCTGCATCTACAGTGGTATTGGAGTTAATATGCAGATGAAGAAGACTATTTCAGGTACAATAGAATTGCCAAATAATATTTGAGAAACTTGGCTTTATTTTTGTTCTTGTTACACAAACAAAGATATAAAAGAAAATACTGAATTGAGTTTCAAAACAAAAACAGTCATAAACACACATATAGTATGAGGAATAGTTATCTATCAGGGAGTAATTGTCCTCCAGGAATAATGCCGATGTATGGAATAAAGACAAACGAATGTTAGTATCATAAACACATAGAGGGCAAGTGCTGTACTGTTTATGAGCATGGCCTCTGCAACTTGACCCTTGGGGTTTGAATTTCTGCTCTGTCATTTAG
Source organism: Homo sapiens (assembly GCF_000001405.40). Classification (NCBI taxonomy): domain Eukaryota; kingdom Metazoa; phylum Chordata; class Mammalia; order Primates; family Hominidae; genus Homo; species Homo sapiens. The sequence continues at coordinate 15,506,345 of NC_000007.14, read as the reverse complement.
AATCTGTGTAACTCGAGCCAGTTTCTTAACTTACCTCTGCCTCAGTTTCCTTATTTGTAAAAAAAAAGTAATAGTAATTAGAAAGGTAGATAATGCATATCATTTACATTCAGTTTCTGGCACAGAGTAAATGCTCAATTATGAAAACTTTACTCAGTGTATCTTTGGAGGTTTTGAGCAATATTCAAGTATCTGAGTTCAAAGTCTGTTTCCAAGTAAATTGAATAATTTGACTCTACTTTTGAATGTTAATAAAAATAAGGGAAATCACTGTTCAAATGTAAATGAATGTTCTTTCTAGGTAGTTTTGAATTTTATGAGATCAAAATTGTATTTTCTGGTTCTTTTCTAAATTTGCCACTGTGGTTGTCTAAACTTTGGCAAATTGCCAATTATGTAGGTGAACTCTTCATTTTAAAGTACTGAATTTTGGATCATGCTGAAACTATTAAACTTTAAAAAGTCATCAGAAGACTCATCTGATAGTAATTTTTGTTTTACTTTTTTTCTTAAAAACAGAAATACAGAGTCTATTTGGATTTCTTAGACTCTGTTATTAATAATTTAAACAAGGAAAATATTTTTCAAAAATTATGAAGAAACAGAAATTATCCAAAATATTTTAAAATTATGTCTGCATGGGAATTTAACATTAGTTTGTTTTTTTCAGAAGTAGTCACACTTGTTATGTTCATGTTATGTTCTCTTTGTCCCCAAGAACAAAAACTCAAGACTTTTCACAACTGTGTAACAAAAAGTAGAGGCCAATGCTTATTTTTGTTTATTTTAATAATAGGAAACGAATCGAAGGGAGAGTGACACAGACTTTGTGTTCATTAGAATGATATAGGAATAACATCTCCCTGCTTGGTTGAGTGGCAAGGAGTAGTTTTAGTTGTATGCCTGAGTACGCACAGATTTCTCTAAATTCTCCTGCCTTGTTGACTGCATTTCAACCAGACAGACACGTTTTAGCTTTGGATTCTCTTACATGAATACAAGGTCTCCGTCTCATCCTACCTTGGCTATATGGCCCATCATCTATACTACTCATAAATCCTGAGGACCTTGAGAAGAACATAAAGTAAATAGCCTTAATTTCTTAATCCTGTTATTTTAAGTAAACATCATAGCTCTCTTTGTGAGTACAATGTAGTAATTCCATCTATTCGTATATCACTACATGAAAAAATGTAGTAGTTTGGCAATAGATGATTTGACTTGAAACGTGGATAAAATCAGAGGTACAGATTATTTTGGGGCAGCAAGCAAGTTTAATGCTGTACATAATAGTCATGAAATTAAAATTGGCATTACAAAATTGAAGACCTGGAGCACACAAGAATTCTAAAGAAAAAAATACTTCAAAGATGAAAGGGGAATGATTACTGATGATATTTTATAGTATGATAACTAATAATTTTTTGAAAGAGATGAACATTAAACTGACCATTTCACATTTATTGAGGGAATATTGAGAAATGATTTGAGTCTTCAGTTCCAGATTAGGGACATTCTTCTAGGACTCATGACAGGATGTTTTCCCTTAACCCTTTTTTTTTTTTTATTTTAACTAGAAAAGGAAAAACCTTTCTTGCCAACTTTTTTTTTTAACCCTGTCTGGATAAACTTGTATCCAAGAATGTAGTTGTTAGAAAGTACTGTTATCTATTTAAAACTTACGGAAACACTTAATTTTTAAGGCAACATTAACTGAGGTTGAATTATGGAGCAATTCCTCCGGAAGTTCATGTCAGAGGAATGTTATTGCCAAATAAATCCACTATGATCAGTTGAGCGACAGTGAGTAGGAAAAGCACTTAAAATAATTGGACACTCAGGAGTACCTTTCTAAAAACTGTTGTGACATGTTAGCTATGTCACTTCCATTAAACCAGTGGGGGTTTTGAGGTTGAAATTCATCTTTACAGATTAAAGGCTTGCTTCTTAATACGCAGCACTGTAGAAACCATCAGAGAAGGCCAGGCTTGGAACATATCAAATGTTCTTTGGAGAGTAGTGGCCCTAATTTTTCCCTCCTCACATTTATCTTTATAAAGTTTCTAGTTACAAATTTTGATGCATTCAACTAAAGAAGGAAGGAGAAGATATAGCATTTACATTAGAATTTATGCATTAAAAGCATTATTTCTGCAGTTGGTATGCTGGGTCAGAAAATAACCATTGCCTTTAAAAAACAGTTTCCTTATATTACATCCAAAAATGTATTCTTTTTAGATCTCCACTCCCTCTACTGGTATTAATTGGATGACTAAGTTTCTCCTTAAAGGACTAGAGGGCTTTTACATAAACTGTGTGGAATTGCCTCTGTCATTGCTTTGAGGACAATTCAAGACATAATGATTTTCAGAATTACGCAGAATCAGTCTCCCTTTGTAACCTGAAAAATAAAAGTATGTTTACTTTACTTATTACAGAGTAAAATATGTTTTTATCATTTTCTAAATGAGGGCATGAAATGGGATTCACTTTTTCTCAGTGATTTCAGAAAAAAGTTTGCAGTATTATCAGAGACTATGAGTAAATGCTTATGTTCCTTGCATGCCCTGACTCATGTTGTACAAATAAAAAGTGCTTCTATTATAATTTTAAGTCTATTTCAATGACATTCAAATATAATATTTGTGTTACGCCATTCTTGGAAATATGTTAATACATCAATAAATGGTTTAAAGATGAATGGAATACAGACAAATGGACGCCAGTTATTTCTTCTGCAGCTCATATTGATTTATTTCCCTGGGATTATTTATTCTTGGATTATTTCTTCTTGACAGATTTAACTTTTCATGGAGATTTTCTGTTTTTCTTCTGCTACATAAATTTCCATTTTTTTGTTTAATTGTACTCAACTTCCTATTAGACTTAGAATTAATGTCCTAAGCCTATTTTTTAAATAAAAATAAGCAAGCCTATTCTCAAATCCCTGCTCTGTGACCCAGCAGCTATAATGTATTCATCTTTTAAGGATAATTTATTTATCTTTTTTCATCCTACTTTCTTCATCTGTAAAATCTGGATAATAAAACCTCCCTCTCAAGGTGCTTGTGAGCATTAAGTGACACAATGTATGCTTGACACCAGCTCTTTGTTCAACAATCATCTCTATCCCAGATTAACAGGTGTACCTTCTAACCTGGCTCATCTCATCTATCCAAGTGTCTTGTGTGGAGTAGGTTATAGAGGAAAGAACTGAATGAATACATGAATTGAAAAAAAATGAATGAATGACTTAAAGTGGTGGGTCAGTTTGTCTCTAATTTGTCTTGTCCCTCTGAATCAATGTCTCAGTTCCAAAAATGACACCAGTAATGGTGGCCTTGAGACATTGGTGTAGACAGGTAAAGGCAGGTATGTGAGGGAAATCATTTTTATTATCGTTCTATGTCCCTAAGTTTGAGTCTATATTACTAGCACAGAAGCAGAAATCTAAAACAGGATGGAACTGCAATTTGATCACAGGTCTTCAGGTATTAAAATCAATGTTCTTTTTACCATATCACACATAACTCTCTAGCCCATTAGTGACTACATCAAAATAGAAAGAAAAGAATTTTCTCTATTTCATTCAATACGTTACCTGATTTGCTTTTCACATTCTTGTTTCTTCATACCTAGCGTCTAACCACCAAAAGCATTGCTTTTCATCTTAGTTGCCAAACTGAGGTCTTCCTTTCTGTAGTTCATCTTTTATTGCTTAGACTAATTTACCCCGGCATTTCCTAGGGTGGCCCTTACAGAATCCAGGAGAAGAGGTGAGAGGGAGCTTTATGAGGAGCCAACACAGGATACAAATGCTAGCCAGACCCTCAAAACCATCAGCGACTCTCTGGAGATCTGACCCCATATGCTGAGGACCACTGCTTTGATAATTTTAAGAGGTCCATTGTTTATTATAAATTGTCTCTCTCTCCAAGGTGACAGCAGCAGTATATATGATTATAAATTGCTTCTCAGCCTCCTGCCTCTTGCATTCACCCATGCTGCCAGAAATGTGTATTTAGGGGTGGGGGACTTGGGGGGAGCGAAAGAATGTTTAGCAATGAAGGAGGAGGGGCAAGGCTGGACTCAGTTGATCTCCTCTAGTCTGAAACAGTGCAAAAGAATCAGAGAAATTTGGAGAGGCAAGAAAAAATAAACTTGGGTCATATAATTCAGAATGTCAATCATAGAACACTGAGATAATTTCTTTAATATCCCTCACTTTGGAGATGAGGAAAAAAATGCCCACAGAGGACAAATGGATTAACAGGATAATTGTCATCCAAAATCTGAGATTCGGGCTTAGATTCTGGACTTCAAGACTTGAGAGTGCATACTGCCTCCAAATTGTTCTTTCCATTTTATATTCTCTGGGCAAGTTTGATGACATTTATTTTTAAAGGAAAAATGATATGGCAATTTTAACTAAATATAGAATTAACTACCCTGATAGGGAAAGCTCCTTGAAATCAATTTTTTTTTCTGCAGCTCATTTTGATTTATTTCCCTGGGATTATTTATTCTTGGATTGTTACATCTTGACAGACTCAACTTTTCATAGAGATTTTCTGTTTTTCTCCTGCTATGTAGCTTTCCATTTTCTTGTTCAATTGTACTCAATTTGTTACTAGAATTAATGTCCTAGGCCTATTTTTAAATTAAAAAATCCTATGCTATCAATATTTTTCGCCTACCATCATAAGTCTACCATCCCTGCATTTGTCACTGTATTATCTTTTATTTCACCTCTCATCTTCCTCTGTAGGGCATAATAATGGAGTTCTTGTATATTAATTTGATTTGACTTAAAACCAGTCATTAAAACAATTGGTTCATTTTTCTCACATTTGATTTTTTTTTTAATAAAAATTTCCAAATATACACAAAAGTGGAGAGAATACCATGATATATCCCAAGGTCCTCATTATCAGTTTCAAAATTATCAACATTCTGCCATTCTTATTTTGTTCATCACAAGCATCTACTTTTTTGCCTAAAATATTATGAAGGCAACCCCAAATGTCGTATTTCACCTATGAAAATTTTACTTTTTAATTGCCACCCTACTGACAGCATTAGACAGATAATGAAGGCAGATTATTAACAAATATATTCAGGTCCTGAAATCAAGACTTGACCAAATGGACCTAATAGACATTTATGGAACGCTCCAGCCAAACACCACAGGATAGACATTCTTCTCATCACCACATGGCACATACTCAAAAATCAACCAAACAATTGGACATAAAACAATATTTAATAAATTTAAAAAGAATAAAATCATACCAACCACAATCTCGAACCATAGTGTGATAAAAATAGAAATAATACTAAGAAAATTGTTCCAAACCATACAATTACATAGAAATTAAACAACCTGCTTCTTTTGGGTAAATAATGAAGTTAAGGGGACAAAAATCAAGACATTCTTTGAAACTAATGAGAACAAATATACAACATGCCAGAATCTCTGAGACGCAGCTGAGGCAGTGTTAAGAGGGAACCTTAGAGCACTAAAGGCCCACATCTAAAAGTTGGAAAGATCTCAAATTAAGAACCTAACATCACAGCTCGAAGAACTAGAGAAACAAGAGCAAACAAACCCCAAAGCTATCAGAAGACAAGATATAACTCAAATCAGAGCTGAACTGAAGGAAACTGAGACATGGAAAACCATACAAAAGATGGATGAATTCAGAAGTTGGTTCTTTTCTTCCTTTAAAAAAATATTTTAAAAATATTTTTCCTGGGAAATTGGTAAAGAGTTATGGGAGTTTCTTGTGCTATTCTAGAAACTTTTCTATAAGCTTGATATCAAAAAATGTACACACACACACACTCATATACAGCACATGAATCGATACTCTTATTTTCAAATAAAAATAAATACTGTAGGGTTTTCCTTCTTGGATTACTTTTTAAAAATCTTTTTACTTACAATGAGAAATTTGGTTCCTAATGACATTAATACCATTACTTATCTGATTTATTCCACTTTCTTTAAAGACAAGGCCACTTAATGCAACATTAAACTCCTTGTGGCTCTTTTTGTCCATTGAATATTCCCTGACTGGGACAGACACTCAAAAGACTCAGTTTAAAAGCACTAGAAATAAGACTTCTCTAGTATGTCATTAACATGGTATTCAGTTAAGCTCATTTGTTAACTATTTTTAATTTTTAAGAATTGCTTTTACAAATTTTAATCTTCTCTTTTAATTTGATAATTTGCATCCAAAACCAAAACTGTAAGACAATGTACATTCAGAGAGCATTTGCTTTCATATACAACATATATACTCATACCTAGTTTTGTCTTTATCCATCTGTGTAAACATTTTTACTAACTCTTACTTCAAAATCCAATTGCTTTTTTCTGGAAAAATATATATATTATATATATATATGTGTGTGTGTGTGTGTGTGTGTGTGCGTAATACATATAATATTCCCATTCCTTCACACAATTGCATATGATAAACCTAATTTGTACATTGCTTTTCTCACTGAGTAAAATATCTTGGAGAACATTTTAATCTCTTTTACAGTTGCATTGCACATTTTTGGGTATATCATAATTTATTCAGGCAGTTCTCTATTGTTGAACATTTGAATTAGCTCAGTCTTTGGAAGTAATAAATAGCCTCGTGCATATATCCCTTATTCATTTTTGGAAATGTAGATCTAAGACATTATGGATTTTAGAAAGGATGCCGCAAAGGGGAAATGAATATGTGGTTTTGATAGTTATTGGAAATTCCCTTACAGTGGGGTTGATCCATTTTGTATATGCATCAACATTGCATGAGAGTGCCAGTTTTCTCACAACTTCTCCAAAAAAGTGTGTATTGTTGAGCTTTTAGATATTTGCCAGCCTGATAGGTAAAAAATTTTAATAGCATATAAACTCTGTTGGAAGCCAGTTGGAACATCTCTGATCAGAGTAATGATGAAGTATGTTACAACTTTTTACGTACATGTAGAGGTGAGGGTTTGCTTCAAAGTTTTGTTTGGTTCTACTCAGGCACACAAAAGGTGAGTGACTGGAGTGGAATTTTTGTTTTTTAAAAAAACATCTTTATTGAGGTAAGATTGACTCCTTTATAGAAAGGCTGTTGTGGGATGAAAGCCTCCTGCACATTGCTCTTAAGCTTACTTCTAGACGGAAAAGACAGGCAGAAATGTGCTGTATCGGAGTTTTTATCTATCATTCCCTAGGTGTTCACTTCACAATGATCTTCTTTGAAAAGATCTAGGAATCATAACTTGGAACTTTAAGTGTTTTTCAATGTTAAACACAAGAATAAGAAGAATTCTGTAACTCTATGCATGCTAATATTTTCTACTCTCAGCATGTATATCTCCTGCAAATTCATACTTTCTTTGGGGATGAAATAATTTTTATCTCAGAGACTGTTTCATATTAGATATCAAATAAAACTTTCTTACATTTTAGATGCTTCTGAAAAAGTTCGAAATCTAGAAGCACTGCTGAGAAAATATACAAGAGATGTCTTCAGAAAGTACGTTTCTCACTGTTTCTCATTTATGTTCTGAAAACACAATAAAACAGAAACCAGATACCATTTACATGTTCATATCTTTGATTAAATTAGACACTTGTAGTAAATCAAAACGCATTTTCTAAGTAGAGGAATAGGAAGCCAAATTGCTATTTGGGCTGAAGATTTTCTGGAGAAAAAAATAAAGCACATTGTTTTGATTTGGTCAGTGCATCCATAAATTTAATTTTCCAATTGACTGGAGAGATGCCGTAATACCTTATACAAACATGATTTGTAACCTTCTAACCTTCTTTATTCTGTGCACACAAAATGAAACTATTTTTCATCTGTAACAAACTGCAGAAACGTTAGCATGGAAAAGTCATTTTTTGCTTCCTGTATGTATACAATGACTTAAACAATGTAAGTTAGCAGAGTAATATCTCCAATAAAAGGTATTAATCAGTTTTCTGATGCAAAAAATAGTTAGACTTGAAACTACTAAATATCCCCACTAACTACCTTTCTTTGATAGTATACAAAATAAATTATCACTACTACTGTTTTTCTAGATGAAAAAGTTTAGCAAAGAATTGTAACAAGTTATTTGTGTGCCAAGTAATTGTAATAATTTCTTTTGAAAAATTGGCTTTTGGATAGCTTTTGTATTCTGAGGTGTTTTTCCCGCATAACATAAATACAACTGACATTTAGGTAGCCTTATTGTAAGTTATAAGCTTTTGACATAGTATGTTTAATCCCTGTGATCTAATTCACTGAGGGGAACCGAGCTAATTATCGTGTGTGTTGTGGGTGCAGTATACATAGTATAACTTGAAGAGTCTTCTTGCTACCAAATACTTCTCCCATCAAGCATGATATGATGCCCATAAAAGTATTGTTCCAAACATATTTCTTTTTGTTGAGGCATTGGTCTTTAAATCTGCTGTTTTCAAAATAACCCAGTAAGGCTTCTAAAATCTTCAAATTCAGCTTATCCAACCCAATCTATAGGAATATCTTAGAGATGGACCCAAAAATGCTTTTTTATGTTGATTTTTGTAGGCTTTCGATTTTAGTAACCACTGAGTTGAGGAAATATATAGTCATTAAGTCCTTCTGTTAAATTGCAATAATAAATATATGATTTTAGAATGAATCAATTAATTGTGTTCTTGTGTGAGCTTTAGTGTTAATAGGACTAAAGGTGCATGCACACACACTGTGTTGTAATTGTCAAAGTAAAAAAGTCTAATTGTTAAGCAAGGAGGTATTCTTCTGAGGGGTTGCTGTTATGGGATGCCACACTGTATTTCACTTCTCAAAGCCAGTGTGGAGTTTTCTATGCCTTGATGATGTTTGTACCTCCATTTATAGAATTCCATAAAATTTAAAATATAGTTTCTCAACTAGATTTTATATGTGATGTTAAAAAAATTCCTGTGAAATAAGATATCTTTATTATAGGAAGAAAGAAGTAATGAGGCTTGGGGGACAATACAAACAAGTGGTTGTAGTCCCAGGCTTTGGAGTTTGACAAGTCACTGTTCAAATCTTGCCTGTATCATGAAACCCTTACCAAAATATATAACCTATCTGACTCACCTTTTCTCATCTGTCAAATAGGAATGATAGGGTTGTTGTGAGAACTAAATGTGTCAAATTATCTCAAAAATTACTCACTGCTCAACAAACACTGGCTAATTGTAGGAATCAGTGGGAGAACTACGGTGAGGGCTCCAGTCCTCTGACTTCCAGCTCATATCTTCTTCTTCTATGGCACACCTAAGAAGCTTTTTATAAAATCCATCTCAAAATTTATAGCCAGCAAAGAGCTGGCCAAGAATGGAATATAATGTAGACAAGATTGGATAGTAGAGAAATAGGCTCAAGTATATGGGGCATTTGAGGGACAACAGGTGTTGCTAAAGTACCTCAGAGGTTTCGGCTGGTTGGAAATCTGCTCAATAATTGATAAAAGAGTAAATGACAGGGAACAAATGAATATTCAGGGTGAGGTAATGCAAGTGCGCTTTGCTAATTTCATTCAATTTCTGACCAATTGAAGTAAGATTTTTAAAAACATGTATGTAACCAATATTTTATTATACATATTTCAATAAACCAGAAAAGTTGACAAAATTACATAAAAACACTCACATAACCACCCACTCGCTAGATTTTACAATGAACTTTTTCATGTGTTTGTGTTATTTCATATCTGTTCATTTGCCCATCATTCATGTGGCAATTGCAGTAGGAATAGTATTAGCATTTTTTTTTTGATTCCTCAGCCTCAATTCTCACAAGCAAATACGAAAAAATGCCAGGTGACACTAAGACACACAATATGTTACATTACAGGGGAGAAACCCTGAGTTTAGGGAATCTAAGCCTTTTATAATAGATATTAAGCATCCCTGCCCTTTTCTCTGAAAAGAATATTTATCTGAAATACAGTAATTTGTCTTTTTGTTGAGGTATAACATTGATTTACTCTCAGCACTCTTTATAACCCTGATGCACAAAGCCAATCATTTATTCAGTGGCAAAACTGGTTCTGCAGCTGATCAGGCACATCTTAGTTTTAGTTTGTCAATTGCTTTTCTCACTTTCTCACTGTGGTGTCACCCTCTCAAGTTGGTAAGGTGATCATATGGGAGTTGAGGCCTTTCCACTCATCTCCATGAGAGGGGTGATGCTGTTTGCAGTTCCACCCAAGCTGTGCAAATCTATATCCAAGACTATTGCCTCTTTAATGTGTTTCCAGTGTTTTGTAGATGTTATGGACTGAGTATTTGTGTCTCCCAAAATTCACGTGTGGAAGCTGTAATCTCCAGTAATGGTACTTGGAGTGTGACCAAGATTCAGATTAGGTCAGGACAATGAGACTCTCACAATGAATTTTGTGCCCTTATAAGAAGAAGAAGAGGAAGAGTGAGAGAGCAAGAGAATGAGAGAGAGAGAGGAGAGAGAGAGAGGAGAGAGAGAGGAGAGAGAGAGAGAGAGAGAGAGTCTCCATCCCCACTTACAAAGGAAAAGCTGTATGAAGCCCCAGAGAGAAAGTGGCTGGCTGTCTATGAGCCAGGAAGAAGGCCTTACTAGCAACCAAATCTGCTAGAACCTTGATCTTGGACTTCTCGGCCACCAGAACTGTGAGAAATAAATGTCACTTGTTTAAACCACCCAGTTTATGGTATTTTGTTACAGCAGCCTGAGCAGACTAAGACAGTAAATGTGCTGAAAAACTGAGACATGGGAAGCTATGAGTTACAGGAATTTAAAATCAAACACACTTTCCCTGCTAGTTACTTTGTAAAGCTTACAAAATCCCCCCTTCTATTTGAAAGAGAAGTGATGTATGAACTGGCTTAGTAAGACTACCTGGGCATCAAGTAATTCTAAGCAACAGTACTTTGATGGCATACGAGTCAATGAATCAGAAACACATGGACTGAATTATCTCTGAAACACAGTGGAGCATAAACATAAAAAGGAAAGGGTAGTTATTGGAAGAATGCCAAAACTATTGGGCATTGCCAAGCCTAAGTAAGTTTGAGAAGAGAAGGGGAAATCTTACAACTCTCTGGGAACAACCAAAGCCTTCTGAGTCCTGGAGCTTAAGGTGATAAAATGTTAATATTTTGAAGCACCAGGCAAAACGTTATAAAGCAAACATGTATTAGCAAAAGCATCATGATGGGGGTTTATATTATTACATATAACACATTAAATTATGTGTTATTTGCTAAAGCAAACAAATGAAAAGTCATAATTCAGGTTATACTGGTAAAATTCCTTAGGTCTTAGGCTTAGCAAATGCAAGGCTATATTCATCAGTATTTATTTACAATTATGGCAGCTGCCTTCTCAGGCAAATTGTAAAAATGTCTTTCTTCTTAGGAAATACACTCTGCATTTCTATGCTTGTGCAAAACTTGCATTTAGTAAGTCTGAGACCTAAGGAATTTTGCAACAGGCTTGCGAGAGAGAAGCGGCTTTGCCTGCAGAGTTACATTTTCTTCAGGACACTATATTTATTCTGGTAAATTGTGTCTGTATTTCTATGCTTGTGCAAAATGGAGCACTCAAGTCAAGATCTTTTCTGTTATACTTAAGAGGATTTTCATGCATTAGGCAATTCCTATTCATTAGCCATTTATTGACATAACTATCAAATGGACGAGGAAAAAGGCAACTTTTTTTTCTCTACTTAAAGCTCCAACCACAGTGCTTCTCCCATGTGGCACATGGTCCAGGAGCATCTTTGCTACACAGGCTGGGAGCAGCTTTACTGGGTGCTTATTAAAGTGTTCACTCCAGCTATTTTAGCCGACACATAGTAATTAGTATAAACACACCACAACATCATTTCATGTATTTATACTATAATTGCATATCTTAATCTCAGTCATTAAACATATTTAGAGTGCATTAATTTTAAAGTGAAGTAATTACTTTAATTGTAGCATGAATATAATCAAGCATAATGCTCTAGATCTGGTATGAAATTCAGTTTTAACATATGCCACAGCCTGAGCATAGCTGTGCTCAAATATCCTGAACCACTTATGTTTTCATTTTGATGAGCCTCTATTTTCAAATTAAAACTTAGTAGAGGAGTGCCTGCGGAAAGCCCCTTTCTTGTTGTCTTAAGAAAGTTATCAGGAGATATTTATTTAGTTCCCATTAGGTGTAGTATACTATGCCAAATCCTAGACGTATATGGCACCATGGGATTCACTTGTTGACCTTAAACTCCTTAACCCAGTGTCAAGGAGGAAATAAGAAATATACATTAAATTTAAAAAGAACTAATAGAGTATAACTGGATTGTTTGTAACCCAAAGGAAAAATTCATGAGGTGGTGGATACCCCCACTTATCCTGATGTGATCAGTACACATTGCACGCATATATCAAAATATCTCATACAACCCATAAATATTTATACCTACTATGTACTCCCACAAATTAACAAAAAAAGAGAAGCATACATTACACATGAAGGTCTGTCAAACCATGCCCTGATTTTGAAGATTGTACTGGGATTGTGTAACTGAATCTCTTTCTTCTCAGGATATGCACTCTAAAGGATTCAGGGGTAAAGGGGCATGAGGCCTCTAAGATATTATCAAATGATCAGGGAAAAAGAAATGTGGGCCGGGCGCGGTGGCTCACGCCTGTAATCCCAGCACTTTGGGAGGCCGAGGCGGGCGGATCACGAGGTCAGGAGATCGAGACCATCCTGGCTAACACAGTGAAACCCCGTCTCTACTAAAAAACACAAAAAAATTAGCCGGGTGTGGTGGCGGGCGCCTGCAGACCCAGCTACGCGGGAGGCTGAGGCAGGAGAATGGCGTGAACCCGGGAGGCGGAGCTTGCAGTGAGCCGAGATCGCGCCACTGCACTCCAGCCTGGGCGACAGAGCGAGACTCCGTCTCAAAAAAAAAAAAAAAAAAAAAAAAAAGAAGTGTGTGTGTGTGTGTGTGTGTGTGTGTTTTGTGTGTTTGTGCGCGTGTGTGTCCGTGTGTGGGTAGTAGAGACAGAGAAAGAAAGAATGAGACTAACAAAACATATGGACAAAACGCAAAAAAAACAAACAAGCTGAATTTGGATAACAATTATATGGGAGTTCCTTGTACCTTGTCTGCAAGTTTTAAGTTTGAAATTATATAACAATAAAAATAAAGCACTGATATAAACCTTTATTACAGCAATTTGGCAATGCCTTAAGCTATAGCCTTAAAATGTTTACACATGAAGTTTGAAACAACCCTTCCACTCTTAGGAATCTATTCTAAGGAAATAATGGGAAAAATGCTTATAGCAGCTTTGATTATAGTAGTAAAACACCTGTAAAACATTCTGAATGTCCCATCATAAGAGACGAAAGTGATGGCGTCAAGGCTTCAAAAATGGAAACTTCCTTGAAGATGTAGGAGAAGACAGAGGGGCTGGTAAGATAACCCAACGCGCGACCAAAAGGAGAGGTTGCAAAAGGACTAGGACAGAAGCAGGATTGCAGAAGCATCTTCCTTCCCCTTTTTCTCTTTCTCCCCACCTTCCTGCCTTCCTTCCTTTAATCAACATGGATATATTGCATACCATCTAAGTCTCAAGCACTATATTAGTGTTGGGGAAACAACGGTGAACTAGATAAAGAAGGTTTCTGTCTTCACTGACCTTATGACCTAGTAAAAAATTAATTAATAATAATAATAATAAAAACCTCCTCAATATAGTTATTCAAACCCATTCAGGGAGCATGGGGGACTGAAAGGAAAGGAGTACTCTTGAGTGTAGGTACATTTGAACTGTGAGGACCACAAGCACCTAAGGACACAATTTGGAACCTGCAATTCTAGAAGATTCTATTTCTGGTCTCCATAGGACTTATATAGCCCTGCGGAAAGTCTAGACGTTCTTTATGGCTAATGATTGAATTTATTATTAATGTTTTTTTTTTTTTTTTTTCGTATTGGGCCTCAAAATGACTTGCAAGGGTTTGCAATCGGTTCCATTTACCCATTTTAGTAGCCCAGTAGGACTTAGTCTTAACTCCAGGAAGGAACTACAAACTCTGGATATAGGGTAGGTGGCACAAAAAGCCACTGAACTTCTTTGATAATTAGATTCTAGCTGTGTTATGCCAAACCAGTCATTTCACTTCACAATTAAAAAACATATCTCCCTATTTACAATCCTGGACTGAGTATCAAATAAGATATTTTTGAAACCACTTTAGAAATTAGGAAATGCTCCACCCTGACTATGCTACCACTGTTGGTGTTGCCACAATGCAAGGTCTTAGGAGGAAAGAGCCTGGCTTTCACTATCTTTTACTTTCAAACTGCACTGCGAATGTTTCTAACTTTGGTCTAAATAGAGTAATGGGTGTGGAAGCAAGACAATACCTTCCTTCTCCCAACCAGTTGAAAGGTGATAGATTTAAATCCCTCTGATTTTGGGATTAACCAAATGGCTTAGTTCCTCTGTGAAGATCTACATACTGTTCATTGACTACAAGTAGAAAAATAATGCCCTGAGATAATTTTTCTTTCATCTCTGTCTTAATTCTTTTGGTATGCTCTGAGGTCCTCAGTCCTCACAAATGCGAAAGAGTGAATTTTGCATGAACTGGTGAATACCATGTTCTCACAGTGTATCACATGATAATCTGTTTTTCCTTTGGGGCTTCATCTTGGGTTGTGTCGTTACATTTTAGCCATAGGACATGGTGATTTATTTTCTGTTGCTAATATAATGAAGTGAGTTAAATGAGTTAATAGTATTAAAGTCCTTAGAACTTTTTATATAGCACTTACTTTGTGGTATGGCACATAATAAGTACTATACTTAAATTTAAGGGTTTAATAACAGAAATTTCAGTGTACTTACTTATTTCCAATCTCAACTAATGGAGGGCAACTAGAATAAATACCAGTGTGAAACCAGTTAAGCAAGTGATGCTAAGATCACCGTAGGCATGACACTTTTCTTAGCATTGCTTAAGTCACAACACCCAGTATAATTTGCCTAGTTTTGCACATATTACACTGAATAATTATGTATTGCTCATATTTCATTACTCCCCCCACCAAGCCCCTCGACTAAACCATGAGTTCTTACTGGACAAGGGTCTTTCCGCTGTCATTTCTGTATTTTCCAGGGCCTGCACATAACAGTATTTGATGCATCTTTGTTGATTCAGAGACTGATAAATAAATATAGCAGTGTATAAATGTAATTCCATTTAATTTAACAATGGGCAGATTAGAGTTCTCAGATTTACAGATGCTAAACCACCAGGATTTTCCTTTATTCCTCTACTTGGCACAAAGTCCTGGTGATAGAGGACATTATTAACAAAATATTCATGCTTGAGCTAAACTAGAATGCATAACTGGTTTCATCAAGTTAGATTATTACTAACTGCTTTCAAGCATTGTATAACATTTGATTTTTAAATCATAAGATTTTCTTTTTAAACATAAGTTTCTGATGAGCTCAAAGGGCAGACAACAGGTATTCTATTTGCTCCTCAGGTTTACTTTGTATATGAAATGGTGGGATATTTTTTATTTTCTTATATCAATTTTCCTCTTCATTTGATTTAAATTCCTTATGCTCTCTGCATTTTGAATTGTCTATTACTAAAATGTTCCTTGCAGATTGTTCAGTTTATGGTGCACAATATTGCTTTTTCATTGGTAATTGCACTGCAGATCATTATATGAAAAAAGATCCATTCTTTTCTTGAGGCATAAAACCAAGTTCCTGTCTGTGTTGCGGATGTTAATAATCCCAACACACTTAAGGAAGAAGAGTGGGAGTATTAACTCTAGAAAAAACCTTTGGCCAAATCCCCATGAAAAGCCTCTCTCATCATAGCACAGGGGACCAAGATTGTTAAGAATGATCTCTGTGAAAGAACTACTTTATGCAACTACTATAAAATATTGAGGATTTCTTTAGATTTTTATGCACATTCTTTTCCAAGAGGAAATCCCAAAACATTTTGTAAAACCTCACACATTTATACCACCAGAGAGTAAAATGAATGATTTAAACAAATTATCAAAATTTCAGGAACAATAATTTAATTGATTTATGAAATATCCTAAATATTGAGTCGCTAAAAATGAGCAAGCTTTTCCCATCTGAAAATCTTTAATGCTTACAACACAATAGTCCATTTCATATAAATCTGATATTTAAAAATTGTTTGTTTAAGACTTCTAAAAGTAAGAACCAAGATTTTGTTATAATATCTTTTTGATATAGTTCCTTAAATTAGATATTTTTCCATTCAGTGTGCCATGTGCACGGAGAAGGATAAATTCTAAAAATAATTCACTTTTTAAGATACTTTAACTTTTTTCCATTTAGTAATTTGTAATATTTTAATTATCTACGTTGCATTTTGAGGCTGTTTACTCATGATTCTGTTGAAATATTGTTACCTTTGTTATTATAAATTATTTTCCTTTAAACTCTATATCTTCATCTCAAAGTACAAACTATATCAACTTTTTGAAGTATGCTAACACTGACCTAGGCATTAGCTTAGATGATGTCGGGTTAACAAACCACAGGAGTCTGTGCTACTGTGCCTGGTAGAATTGATGAACGCACTCATTTCAACTGGGGACTTTGTGTGTGCACTGGTTGTTAAGATAAACACAAAGTGTTGATGCCAAGAGGATCAGCCCAACAGAGCAGTAGATGGATGTTATTATTTTTACGAAGAAGGCCTCTGGTGATAAAACAAGGTTGACCCTGTTAGTGGGAGCTCCATAAATCTTTCCTGGCTGAAGGTTCCTGGCCGTGCAGGTTGGAGGGAGGACAAAAGCATCAAAAGGTCCAGGATGTACTGTACATGTGAAGATTGCCTATGGGACTCTGCAATAATATAACAATAGCCAAGACTGCACTGCACAGCTTCAGTTCCTGCCTGCTTTCCTGCTTCTAATAACATTTTTAATTTTACATTCCTCTATTTCCTCTGAATTAAAGAAAATTCTTAAAGTTATGTAAGTTTTTGTGAAGCTATTTAGTATTTTCTCCCCTGCCCCCATAAAGGGCTCTTCATGATTCTACAAAGTTTTATAATAACTTTGTTATTTTGTTGTCACTTTATGACAATTGTGAAAGTAATGTTTCTTAATTATTTATGTTGAACATGTTTAAGAGACTTTCCCAAATTTAAAAACAATCATTAAAAGCTAAGAGTTCATGTTTTTATGGCAGTGTTCATACTAGTTTGAAGATATAGTATATGATTTGTAAGAATCCTTGTATTTTATCAACTATTGCAAATAAAAGTAAGGATAAACTGATATGTCACATCGTAACTTTTCCAAGTCATTCAGTTTGAAGAGAAATCCCAACCTTTAGTAAACCATCTCAACACACAGTTTATCAAATATTGTCATCTTCTTCTGTTCATTTTAGCATAACAAAGAAAATAGTTGGTAAAAATTATATTTCTATTATTATTTACACATGGTTAATTGTAAAAAAAAAACAACCGAATGTGCCCTTATGTAACTAAGCTTGGGCACAAATATGCAAATGTAAAATCTTTCTTGCCTGGCTAGTTATCTTAGGAATAGTTTGTGATAATCCAAATTCAATAATCTTCAAATGTTTTTAAGTACCTACTATCTGTTCAGCACTATTAAGTACTTTGTCGTTTAAAAATGAAATATTTGCTGTGATTCTCAACGATTTTCTAAGTTTAGGTCAAAGCCCAATAATTCCCTATATTTTGCCAAACAGATGATGAAATGAGGTTTATGTTATATGCTCCATAATTAACTAGACAATGCCAAGAATGGGCTTGTTTAAAATTTATTGAGGCTGCTAGCTTAAAGTAGTCTTCAAATTTTACCATTAACATAAAGAATATTATAGAGGCCAAATGTGCTTTAGTGTGTTTCTCTGAAAGACAAAAGCAAAAACAGTTTTCTTCTTTTGCATTAAAGTTTCTGGCTTTAAGTATGCATTGTGAATGATTAATGAGTAGAAACAATTTTTAAAAAAGAATTTTGCCAACAAACTACAATTCTAAACATTTTTAATAACCAAAGCTAAACAAATTCACTAGGTGTGTAATATTCAGAAACTGCTTTCTACCTTCTGCTCAGCTGAAAAGCTCAGGTTGAATAACTTAAGAACTTGGGCAAAATGTGTTCCACTTTTCAATAAACTTGGTGGCTTTATGCCTTGCTCTTTGCTTATGGGCCAGCAATAAAATGTGCTCCTTCCTTTCCTTCTTAGAAACAGAGCCTCATTCTAAACAGATCTCGGGGAAAATTTTATGCATATTGTTAAAAAGAGAAATTGCTGAAGACTTAAGCCTGAATTATAGATTTTTTTTTGAAATTTTTGACTGTGTTAGATTATTTTTCTCAGGAGATGATGTAGTATTAGCAGTGTCTATTCTAATCACATTGTAGGTGAAAATATATTTTACTTGCCACTGACATTCCAAAAACTTATAAAATGTTTCCAAATACTTTCAAGGGCTCTGAATATAGTTTTCATTACTTTGGAAAGCCATGCCCATTTTATGTGTTTTTTTTTCCCCAAAATATCAGACACAGTTTGGCAAAATGGTTTGATTGTAAAGCAAAAGATGGGATTAAGAAACATGTTTAAATCATATAAGGACGTTTATTGTTAGTTTTCATAATGTTCAGGGAGAAAATGGGATCCTGCTTGTTAGGGAGTTTGAAACATTTAAACATACGTATTTTAAAATAATTAGATATCTAAGTTATTTGCCTAAACAAAACATGATACCTGATATATGAATCAAATCACTGTCCAGTTGATTTGATACCAAAATGATTATGAAAGTGCAATTGTAATCTTAATCTTTACTATATTAAGTATATTATTCAATTTTATTTAATATATGCACTTACCCTCTAAGTTAAACCTGCCAGCACAAGGAGGTTATAGATGCCCCAATCACACTTATATAACCATATGTTGCTTTTGGCCTCCTTATTTTTGCCCCATTTAATGACAAGACTGTAAGTCTTATTATAATATACATTTTAAGTGATTCTATTTTGTTTTACATTTACATCTTGCTATTTTATTTCAATTATTTCTTACAGTTCATTTAGAATTTTTCACCAAGTTGGAGTGTAAAATATAACTTTTTATTTAAAAATATTTGATAGGGAACTTTCACCCAACATTATTTTAAACATAATAGATTAGAGCAAATTTTAAAATAAGTAATTTAATGTCTTTTTACTAATTCCTAACTTTGCTTTATCTACTCAATCTGAATGTTTTTTAACAGCTCTTCCAGAGATGGTGAGAGGGATGAAGGGGTGGAGGATGCGCCTGTTGGTTGTCAAGGAAATGGGACAGCCAAAGAAAGACATTATTGCCTTAGTGGTTCTTTGTTTTGTCTCAGTTGCATATTTTTTTGTATGTGTGAAGCAGAAATGAGCAGAAACAAGCTACTTAACGCAAAATGATTTTGTCTATTTTTTAGCAGTAAAAAGTATTCCCCCACTCATGGACATGTTTTAGTCAAAATTACCGTGATATTTCTAAAGATAAAATAAAAATTAAAAAGTATATTCTTAGAAATCTAAAGCGAACATTGTTATTTTTATTTGCCATGGAAATAAAATAAAATTATTATTACAATGTACAGTGTGTTGTAATTGGTGTCTTATAATTTAACCTGTGGTCTCTTAATTATGGTACTATTTCCTTTCAACTATCACATTTTGTCAGTTTGCTTACATTTAAATTTTCTTTTTTACAAAATCTAAGCTGTGGATATTTTTTCTCTTATGTAATTATTCAGGATGGCTTACAAAAAATTCAGCAGTCATTTGAATGTTTTGCTCCCTCAAACAAAATCTGCATGTGTTCGTGTTTACCAGATATTGTCACTTTCTCAAGCTTGTTTACTTCAGTTCCTGAGAAAATATGTTTTTTTAATAAATCCAGGGTCACGGGTTTGAACTGTACATAGCCACATCTCTTCCTAGAATCAATACTGCCTCCTAAATCACAATGGTACCCGTTACTGTCAGAAAATTCCACGTTGATATGTTGCTCCTGGACCCACTGAGCTTGCTGATAGAGCTAGATACTGAACACTAATGTTATAGCCCATGTCTGCTTGCAAATGTAATAGCAACACCTCTGTACAGTTGGAGGGCAGTTTGCGTTATCTCCAAATGTTATAGCAATGATCCAATACATGGGCTGCATGCTGCAGTGGAAAAAGCAGTGCTTTGCAATCACACTATTCTAATCGTTCTGAAGCTCAGAACTTCTGATGACAAACATTTCTTAATCCAAAACACAGAAATAGTAAAGATGTGGTAAAGTATAATTGAACTTCACTTGAATGAGACCAGAAAATCACTCTATAACTATGCCTAAACCCTTAGAATATTTTAGATCTTGGAACCCCAAATAAGGTCAATTTGAAATGAAGGTCTACATAGGGAAAGAAAAAATGCTTCACCGAGAGAGCAGCCTTGTTGGTAAACAAAAATTATCCTTCCTTGATCTTAAGAGCAGGGAGAAGGAGTAACACAATCCTGGTAATGATCAACAGGGCACCGTGCTAAGAGTGTGAAGCCTGTAATTCGTCATCTACGTTTTCTTCCAAGGCTGCCATCAATCTCCATCAGGCCCTAACTTCTCTAAGACTCCCCCGCAAACATGGGAGAAATAATCTCTGTTATGCTTGAAGAAATGGGTTGCAAAGTGCATTTGTTAACATTGAACAGGGTTCCCTGACCAAAAAAGCATTAACCACCCCAGAGACCTCATCTGAACATGAGAAAATTGATTAAGTCTGCTAAAAGCTTATGACATGACTACAGATAAAGGTAATTTGAGCTTCTTTGTTTCCATCTTCTGAACTGATATTGTTGACAATCACTTTTGTATCTCTCTTCATTTACTCTTCTCAATTTTTCCTACTTAAAACTCATTTTTCATTTTTCTTTTTTTCTTTTTTTTTCAAACAGAATCTTGCCCTGTCTCACAGCCTGGAGTGCAATGGCATGATCTCGGCTCACTGCAACCTCTGCTTCCCAGGTTCAAGGGATTCTCCTGCCTCAGCCTCCATAGTAGCTGGGGTTCAGGCGCCCGCCATCACGCCCTGCTAATGTTTTTCTTTTTTTTTTTTTTTTTTGTATTTTTAGTAGAGACGGGGTTTTGCCATGTTGGCCAGGCTGGTCTCGAATTCCTCACCTCGATGATCCACCCGCTTCGGCCTCCCAAAGTGTAAAACATATTTTTCTTATTACCCTCTTTCTCATATCTCTGTACTTATATCACATTATCTTGTATCCCTACCTCATTTACTTCTTCCTACTCAACCACCCCTTAGAACTTCTCATCTACCCCTCTACATATTTCGTTGATGTCTAAGTCTAGCTTTGCAGAAATCATAAAACTATTTAAACAAGTTTGTCTTCAATTACTCTTTAAAGTATGTGATATTATTTCTTTCCTCCTCCTCTGAGACATTTTGAGTTTGTTGTTTCTCATATAATTTTAGAAATGCTTTGACCCCCTGCCATCTCTATCTTCCCCTTTATCAAAGCATGTTCTTAATAACTTAAGTTTCTAGTACTTTTCTAGAACTAGTTCAGTTTACTGCCGTGTCTTTTTTTGGATTGGGTGAAAGATTGTTTTTTGTCAAAACATTTCAAGAGCGGAATACCTACTTGGTAGTTTTTCATGTTTTAAATTCCTGTAAACATTTTTGAAGTATGGCATATATACAAAAGTGTCCATAAATCCTAAGTGAGCAGGTGGATGAATTTTACAATGTGAACACACCATATATCCACCATCCAGATAGCCATCTTGAACTTCCTCAGCACACCTGATATCTCCGTCATGGCTCCCGTCAGTCATTAACTCCTCAATGTGACCACTACTGTCTATCTTTCTGGAAATTAAATTTTCCCATTTTTGAACTTGATGCAAATGAATTTGTACGATACATTTTGTACCAGGCCAAAGAATGGGATATAATATTTTCAATGAGTATAGCTGATGATCTATAATGATAATAATAATTATAATAATTTCTTTACTCTGCCTCTACTTCAACATTTCATATGTATTAATATTTTATTTTCTTTTAAGCCATCTTCAAGGGCTTTTGCAATGTCTTTTTTGTGAAAATATAAAGTGGTGCAATCATTTTGGAAGGCTCTTTGATGATATCTTCGTATATTAGAACTATATGTATATCCTAAGACCCAGAAATTCTACTGCAGGGATTATACTCACCAAAATGAATAGGTATGTGCACAAAAAGATATATATTGGAACGTTCATTGAAGCATTATTTTTCTATCCTTGCACCAATAACAACGTGACTTAAATACTGGCATTTTAATAAGTATGGATATTAGGTAGGTTAGGTTCTCTAACTTTTATTTTTCTTTTTTGTTGGAATGGTCCCCTGAATCTTTATATAAATTTTAATCATCTTGCACAGTCCCTCAAAAAAAATACTGAGTTTTCTTTAAAATTACAATTGTATTGAATTTATAAATCAATTTGTGAGTGTTTATATCTTTACAGAATCAAGTTTTCCAATCTAGAATATGGTATTTACCTCCATCTAGTTAATATTTTTTCAATAATTCCTTCTAATTGTTTGTATAAAAGGCTTTTCCATGTGAGCTAGTTTTAGTCCTAGAAATTTTATGGTTTTTTGTTTGTTTGTTTGTTTGTTTGTTTGTTTTGAGACAGAGTCTTGCTCTGTCACCCAGGCTGTAGTGCAGTAGCACGATCTATCGCGGCTCACTGCAAGCTCCGCCTCCCGGGTTCACGCCATTCTCCTGCCTCAGCCTCTGGAGTAGCTGGGACTGCAGGCGCCCGCCACCACGCCCGGCTAATTTTTTGTATTTTTAGTAGAGACGGGGTTTCACCGTGTTAGCCAGGATGGTCTCAATCTCCTGACCTCGTGATCCGCCCGCCTCGGCCTCCCAAGGTGCTGGGATTACAGGCAATTTAATGTTTTTTATATCATTAAATATTGTACCATTTAAAAATATCACTTCTAATAGCTTCATACTAGTTTGTATAAATATAATAATTTTTGGATATTGAACTTGTATTCAATGGCCTTATTAAATTCTTTTTCAGATTTAAAAGTTTACAGTTGTTTTGGATTTATTAAATACATAATTCTAATGTCTGCTACAGTAACAGTATTATTTTCTTCTTTGCAACCATTACAACTTTGATTTCTTCTTGCCTCACTGTACTTATTAGTACTTTTGGTAAAATAATCAATAAAGGAGTATTTTAAAGATAGATACTTATAAAATAGAGGAAATTACCTTTGTTCCAAATTTGTTAATTTTAAAAAATCATGAATGGATGTGTGTTTTCTCAAGGGAATTTTCTACATCTATTGACATGCTTATATTATTTTCCCTGAATTTTGAAAAATATGATTAATTGAACTTATTGATTTCTCTAACATTAACCAAACCCACCTGAATAGAAATACACTCAGATTGCCCATGCCATACTATCCTTTTTGTATATCATTACATAGGCTGATATATTTAGTGTTTCTCATTTATTTTTATGACAGATTATCCTACAACTTTCCTTTTTATAATTTCCATTTCTAGATTTGTTACTAAAGAAATGCTAGTATCAGCACAGAGATGACAAGTGTCCCTACTTTTTCTGCTCTACAGTGCTTAAATTTGTCACTATTTCTTCCTTAAATGTTTGGGGTAATTCAGTTGTGAAACAATCTGGTCCTGGGTATTTAGTATGGGGCTGATTTCTAATTACAGATTCAATTTCTCTAAAAAAAAGTCACCGTGGAGATTTTCTAATTATTATTTCCTTTTTGATATATTTTTGTTTGTAGGTACTTGTCCAATTTACTAAAGTTTTCAAATATATTGTCATGAAATTATGTCATCCCATTAACTTTTTTTAAGATCTGTAGGACTTTTAGTGATATCTTAGGTTTTATTCCTGTTATAGGTAATGTGTATCTTCCTTATATTTTCTTAGACAGCCTTGTTAGTGGTGCACTGATTTTTTTCAAACCTTTCAGAAAACCATCTTTTGGTCTGGTTGAGTACCACACATTTGTTTCCTGTTTCTTTTTATTTATTTTCTTAATTTTTTATTTCTTCTTTCTCTTTTTCTGTTTCATTTTCTTTTTTTCTGATTTTTTCATGTGGATATGGATAGCATTGATTTTCAGCCTTGTTTTCCACTAATATGTGTGTTAAAAGTACAAATGACCCTCAGAGAACAGCTTTATCTGCATGCCACAATTTGTGATATGTTATGTTTTACTGTGATTTCTTCTTGGACTTACAAGTTATTTACAACTACATTGCTTAATTTCTAAACACTTGGGAGTGTTCTAGTTAGATTTTTCTTATTGATTCCTGTCTTAGTCCCAGTGTGTTCAGAGAACATACACTGCTATTTCCATCTTTTGAAATGCATTAACCTGATTTAGCAAAAAAAAAAAAAAAAAAAAAATACATTTAGTCCCAGAAAATGCATAAATGCATCAGGGCACTTGAAAAGAATTGTATGGGCGGATCCTGAAAACACAATTAACAAAACTTGGTCTAATTTCTATATTCTCATTAAGTATTTTGCCTGCTTCTTTTATCAGTTTTTGAGAGGTATGTTAAGTCTCCCTATCTGAATATACATTTATCTATTTCTCCTTTAGTTTTTTCTTTTTCTTTTTGCTTATACATTTTGAAGTTATGTTGTTCAGCTATTTTGTGGAGTTAGGTGTATATGCTTTAGAACTCTTACAGTTGTCTTGTGGACTGATCTTTTTATCATTATGAAATATTTCTTTTTATTATTAGCAATGCTTTATGTTTTTTTAAAAATCAAGGAAACTGTCTAGCTCTTCTTCATGTTAAGCTTTAATGGTTTTGGCAGAGATTCACGGACTGCCTGGTAACTCCCAACACTTATGTCACCCTCAAAGTGTTCTCAGAGTCCTTTCCTACTGACAAAGATTCCGTTGCAGTTTTCCAGACCTGCCCATTATTAGGACATGCAGATAGGATCCTGGCAATAAAACATTTTGTATTAAAAATGTCAGCTCTTGCTTTATTTTTTCTCCCTGTTTTCCTTTTATATGCCACCATTTATTTTTGAAACAGTAAAAAAAGTTAAAATCTACAAGTAATTTTTCTTCAGCCCACAGTTCTGTGGTGATATGTTGACATATATATCATATGTATAAACATATGCATAAACATATTAATGTTAATGTATATGTATATAAACATGTTAATGTTTATACATTAATTGTGTATAAACATAATGTTTATACATTAATTATGCTTGAACATAATTAATGTGCTGCTTTTATTTCTCTCTGATGCCCAAGAATCTATAACTATGAGGATTTTTTATTCATTAGTGACTCACCATGGCCAAAACAAACTTAGTTCCAACTTTCCTTAATCTTAGGTGGTGTTTGACTAGGCCTTCAACCAATCATTGTCACTTTCCTGTAGCAGTGGCAGGTGCTTTGACAATAATTTTCTTTATGTAATGGCAAAGACTTAGAAAAAGACTATAAGATCCAAACTATAAAATTTTCTTGTGAAATGGGAGAACAGATAAAGGTAAGTTTCATCCAAACGTGTTTAACACTTTAAAGCAAAATAGTTCAGCTATTTTGTGAAGTGTTTGAATTGGTATGTAGCCAGAAAGGAGAATTCCAGGCAACATCAGGACAATTTACAAAACCCTCACCCTAAATATGACATCCTGCTGTTTAATTATAACTTAATTGTAGAAAGTGCTAGAATCTTTCATCTATGTTGTTGTCCAAGTCTGTCTTTATTCTTCTTGCTTTTAGTGCTTTTCTTTACCCCATCAACTATGCACTGAAGGCTACTCAATCCCATTTTTACTCCTTCATTGCAAACTGTAGAAGTTACATTCAACTGACTCTAAACATTATTGCATTAATCATAAGACTCTCAACCTGAAGATGTCCTTAACAGAACTTATCTCTACTGATAAACCCAAAGTTTCTTCCACGTAACTGAAGCTTCTTTACTCCATCTAGATAATCCTTAATTACTCGCACTAGCAATTTACAGTGATTTTTAAATTTCTTCTTGAGATGGGTATTCCTATCTCGGAAGTAACTACTGCCTCAGATTCTTCTATGCCTTTTATTTCAGGCTCAACATCTTCTCAGGCTATAGTAACCGCTTTTGACTTGATTACCCCGCTGTCTCACCTTCTCGTTTCTCTTGTCTGTTGCCACAACAAAGCAGAGTAACTTTCCTAAATGAACAGATTCATGTTGCTTTTTTTTGCTTTAAGTCACCCTTTGACTCTTGACTTGCCTAAACATAAGTTAAAATCCTTCCTACGGGCACATCCTTCCTAATCGAGTTCTTTCTTTGAATTCTAGCCGTTACTGAGCTCTCATCACCACTCCTACCTATCTTTTTGCAACTATCTATTTATATGCCTGTCTCCTTTACTAAGGAGGAAATGCTCAAAGAGCAGAGCCCATGTCCTCTTCAGTTTTGTATCCCTTGCATTTAGCACAACCCTGGCACAAGGCAGGCCTTCAGGGTTGATGGAAAGCATGATGTGTGAGAAAACAGGTCAATTTTTATTTAAGAGACTTTTACTAAATTGCATTCGCAAATGTTAACCCAAATCACGGCTTTGTTTTCATTACATTCATTTCATCCATGAAAAAAAACCATGATGATCCCTTTCAAATTTGAACGATTTACATACTGTGGAAATATTTACATAATCTAAAACTGTGATTATGGGCGATAGTGAAAAGAACATTGGCTCAGGAGTCTGGAGATCCTAGTTCTAGTCTTACGACCTTAAGGCGAGTGACCTAATCCTTCAGAAACTTATTTTCTTCCCTGTCTTGTTTCTAAGATCTTTTCATTTCTAAGTTTCTGTGGACTTAGAATGATGTTGATATCACCTGTGTATTCAATCCATTAGATTTTGCTTAACTTTGATTGGCTTCTTCCCTTTCTTGGCCCTGCCCCATTGTACTTTTGTCACCTTCAACTCTGTTATCACAAACATGAGAGCATCTCTTATTTTAGGTTGTCCCCTCTTTTTCACACGAATTATATCATATTTAATGTCCGTAATTTCTACATAGAAACTTCTATGTAAAACAATATATCCTTGCACTGTCTATGCAGATATTTATATTTATTTTGATGAAAACTATGCATGAACAATCATGTTTCTAACTTGAATGTCAGAGCTGTATCACCTGCAGGTGCAATGTTTATTAGCTCGTTTATCTTCCATAACAGTATATAAAGTTACTATACAAGATTAAGTTTCCCATACCTATCCTAGATGATGAACAGCATGACCGATTAGGGCTCTAGTGCACTAAATTTAGGATAAAGCTAATTATCTGGGGTGTATATTTTTCAATATACAATATCAATACAAAACCAAATCATTAACTTGAAAATGAAAGAGAAGTCTTGATAAATCAAAGTAATTGCTTAAGATCTTATCTGACCTGAACAGGCTTTAATACAAAAAACAGACTCTCTGGCTGGCCCTGGAGTGAGAACAGGAACATGACCAGTGATGACAACGCTTGACATGGCCAGCGTCTGAGGTTCCCAACGTGATGTGTAGTGTTCTATTCAGTTCAGCAAATTCCACAGGATTTTGCACCCCATTGACTGTGCTAATGACAAGATCTGATGTCTGTCAGCAGATGGGAAAGTCACAGCCACATTGTGAGCACATGCTGGACTCTCCTGGTTTTTGTAAAGTATATTAGCTGGTTTGCTTCAGCGATCACTTTACAGTCTGACCCACAGTGAGTTTGGAAAGGATAAAGCAGTTAAACATTTCCCCTGTACTTCAATGTATTTTCAGTGATTCTTGGTTGATACAGTTCTTCTTCTTAAAGAAAGACCCTTGGAGATTACCAAGCTTTAGCCTTTAGTTTCATAGACAAACAAGTTAAAGGTTGATGAGGTTAAGTAATTTGCTCAAGGTCATATATCAAATTAGACAACAAGTCGAGTGCATGAATTCAACTTCTTCTAATTTCTAGTCCAGGACTTTCTCCACTCTTCCATGCCCATTTTCTAATTAAGGCTTCAGCGATATCTAACTCATAAGTATTAAAGTCATCCATGAGTATTGAACCATAATCACAAACAACTTTTATTTTTTTACACTCCTGAGTGGATGATACCTGACCCAAAAAGGAACATTTCTCTGAAGAATATGTGTCCCTTCAATATACACAGGAGAAAGGTGTGGTTCTACCTGTTCATACTTAGGGATTCTCTACAAGTAAGAAAAGTGTTGCTTTCCATGTGACCCAAAATTCAACGAATATCCAGTATAGAAGTGGTTATCAATGTTGGCTGTGTATCAGAATCACCAGGAGTTATGTGATTACTTATTGATTTGTTTAGAAAATTGACTTAATTCTTGTATTGCTTTCATACATGAGAAACCAATTTTATAACAGTGATTTTGAAGAAGAGCTATGACAAAATTAGAAAAGAAAGGAAGAATCACTTTTGAGTGTCTGGTGATCAAGGCTATAATATTTCTAGAGGTAACTAATGGTAACAAATTTGATATCTGAAACAGTAAGTTACTTTACTGGCTTAGTGGACATCAGTGAACTGCCTGCACATTGGTATTTTAGATACAAGCTGCACAGAAATATTTGGTAGCCCACAAGAATTGCCGAATTTTTCATTCAATGTATGCAAACTAAGAAACTTTTAAAAATTCTATTGGCAGCTGCCAATCTGTTCGCATTTCCTTGCACCAGTGTCTCATTCATTCACATCGATTATATGCTGCTTTGTTGAATGTATTTTCACCTTGAAACATGATACGATCATATACCAAGACAGAGTGACTGTGTATGTAACAAGTATTTGATGAAAGCATTTGTTACTGTCTATGGGACATATTTTATAACCCATTTTAGTTAACTGTTTCAGTGACATCTAACCACTCACCCAAAAGACCCTTCCTTATGTATATCTTTCTATACATTGTTTTTGTTCTTCAATATTTATTTTAATGTTTCATTCATACCTTTAACTTAAAATTCTCAACTTTGCTTAACACGTAGAGCAATTTTGAGAAGTTCTCTTTGTAAAAAAAAAGAATGTTCTAAAATAAATAGTCTGTGATAGGCTAATTCCTTTTCTGTGTATACGTAATTTGAGTACCCAAACTGATGCCATTCAATGAAAAAGAGGACCCTCAGATTATTAGGAAACTTTGTATTGGTAGATTTTCAGATAATAAGCTGGTCATGATCATAAAGAAGTGGTATCTAGACTCAGAATGCTAGAATTCAAATTCTAGATCAACTAGCAAGCAAGGTATTTCATTTATATCATTTAACCATCTCTGTTTCTCCATTTCCTCATCCATAAAATAATAAAATTAGCCTCAGAGGGCTGAATTAAATTCTGTGACAGGCAAAGTCCTTCAACTGATACAAACCTTCAGCTATTTTGTTTTACCCGTGTTTCATAATATTTGGAGATGTGTTTCAAAATGTTTTAAAGTCCAGCCGACATAATCTAACGAACAACTTTCAAAGCTGATAGAAGGAAAAGGGCTCACTGTTTTTGTTGCACTTGCCCTCTTAGAGACTGCAAATTAAACAGAAAGACTTATTCACTAAAGAAAAAGAAAAAAAAGAAACAATTATCACCACAAACCCAGATTGTATTTTTCTCTCAACTTTGAGAAGAAAATGTTACAGAGATAATAACTTACTTCGTGCCATAGAAAGATGAAAATAAAACAACCACCGCCCTTATCCATGTTCTGCCCTACTTAGAGCTTCTTGTAAAATAAGCACAAACTGGGGCATGAAGAAGCATTCCATGGAAAGAATATCTTCAAAGACTGAATTTTTCATGAAAGTTATAGTTCCCTACTTTCAGTAAAATGTCAAGAATGATACAATCCATATGTGGATTAAAGTGACCTCACAGAAATCTTTGAAATGTTAGATACTGTTTTGGAAAACTGTTACCTTGGTTTCCACAATCCGTTTCTAATGTCCTCTGCTTACTCGAGCAGCAAGGATTCTTGATAATAAGTTCATCTTCCATTCCTGAAGTGAAATTCGATTTCTACTTCAAAATATATTCTCACTTTGTACATATTATCTATCAATAAGCTTCCACTTAAAGTGACAGTGTGTCGCTTACTCATCCAAAAATTTTGTCTTGAGTCCAATTTAAACCAGACCCAGCATCTATCTCACTTACCATGGTCATTAAACTCCAATGCATTGCTGATGCTCTATTACGTCATGATTTGGAAGCATTTCTACCCTATGGTTTGAAAATTGATGCTCACAGAAATGAGTAAATATGTTTAGATCTTATGTGGGATAAATAACTGCTTATACTTATAGCTCATTCCATCTTCTTTTAATCCTACTTTCAAATAATTTTACTTAGTTTCATTTTTGGGTCATAATCACATCTAGTTCAGTTGCATTTTAAAAAAATCTAAATAAGTTGAAAAAGCATGACAAGATTTACATTTAATAAATCTAAATTCCTTCTTTTTCTTTTTTTTTAAAATTATACTTTAAGTTCTGGGATACATGTGCTGAACATGCAGATTTGTTACATAGGTATACACATGCCATGGCGGTTTGCTGCACCCATCAACCCATCATCTACATTAGGTATTTCTCCTAATGCTATCCCTCTAGCCCCCCACATCCGACAGGCCCCAGTGTGTGATGTTCCCCTCCCTGCATCCATGTATTCTCATTATTCATCTCCCACTTGTGAGTGAGAACATGCGGTGTTTGGTTTTCTGTTCCTGTGTTAGTTTCCTGAGAATGATGGTTTCCAGCTTCATCCCTGTCCCTGCAAAGAACATGAACTCATCCTTTTTTGTGGCTACATAGTATTACATGGTGTATATGTGCCACATTTTCTTTATCCAGTCTGTCATTGATGGGCATTTGGATTGGTTCCAAGTCTTTGCTATTGTGAATAGTACTGCAATAACATATGTGTGCATGTGTATTTATAGTAGAATGATTTATAATCCTTTGGGTATATAACCAGTAATGGGATTCCTTGGACAAAAGGTATTTCTAGTTCTAGATCCTTGAGGAATTGCCACGCTGTCTTCCACAATGGATGAACTAATTTACACTCCCACTAACACTGTAAATGCGTTCCTATTTCTCTACATCCTCTCCAGCATCTGTTGTTTCCCGACTTTTTAATGATCACCATTCTAACTGGCATGAGATGGTATCTCATTGTGGTTTTGATTTGCATTTTTCTAATGACCAGGGATGATGAGCTTTTTTTCATGTTTGTCGGCCACATAAATGTCTTCTTTTGAGACGTGTCTGTCCATATTCTTCGCCCACTTGTTGATGGGGTTGTTTTTTTTATGTAAATTTGTCTAAGTTCTTTGTACATTCTGGATATTAGCCCTTTGTCAGATGGACAGATTGCAAAAATTTTCTCCTATTCTGTAGGTTGTCTGTTCACTCTGATGACAGTTTCTTTTGCTGTGCAGAAGCTCTTTAGTTTAATTAGATCCCACTTGTCAATTTTGGCTTTTGTTGCCATTGCTTTTGGTGTATTAGTCATGAAGTCTTTGTCCATGACTATGTCCTTGATGGTGTTGCCTAGGTTTTATTCTAGGTCTTTTATCATTTTGGGTTTTACGTTTAAGTCTTTAATCCATCTTGAGTTAATTTTTGTATAAAGTTTAAGGAAGGGGTTCAGTTTCAGTTTTCTGCATATCGCTATCCAGTTTTTCCGACACCAGTTATTAAATAGGGAATCTTTTCCCCATTGCTTTTGTCAGGTTTGTCAAAGATCAGATGGTTGTAGATGTGTGGTGTTATTTCTGAGGCCTCTGTTCTGTTCCATTGGTCTATATCTCTGTTTTGGTACCAGTACCAAGCTGTTTTGGTTACTGTAGGCTTGTAGTATAGTTTGAAGTCAGGTAACATTATTCCTCCAGCTTTGTTGTTTTTGCTTAGGATTGTCTTGGCTATATGGGCTCTTTTTTGGTTCCATATGAAATTTAAAGTAGTTTTCTCTAATTCTGTGAAGAAAGTCAATAGTAGCTTGAAGGGGATAGCATTGAATCTGTAAATTACTTTGGGCAGTATAGCCATTTTCACAATATTGATTCTTCCTATCCATGAGCATGGAATGTTTTTCATTTGTTTGTGTCCTCTCTGGTTTCCTTGAGCAGTGGTTTGTAGTTCTCCTTGAAGAGGTCCCTCACATCCCTTGTAGATTGTATTCCTAGGTATTTTCTTCTCTTTGTAACAATTGTGAATGGAAGCTCACTCTTGATTTAGCTCTCTGATTGACTATTTGTGTATAGGAATGCTTGTGATTTTTCCACATTGATTTTGTATCCTTAGACTTTGCTGAAGTTGCTTATCAGCTTAAGATTTTAGGCTGAAATGATAGGGTTTTCTAAATTTACAATCATGTCATCTGCAAACAGACAATTTGACGTCTCTTCCTATTTGAATACCATTTATTTCTTTCTCTTGCCTGATTTCCCTAGCCAGAACTTCCAATATTAAGTTGAATAGGAGTGGTGACAGAGGTCATCCTTGTCTTGTACTGGTTTTCACAGAGAATGCTTCCAGCTTTTGCCCATTCAGTATGATATTGGCTGTGGGTTTGCCATAAATAGCTCTTATTATTTTGAGATACATTCCATCAGTACCTAGTTTATTGAGAGTTTTTGCATGAAGTTGTGTTGAATTTTATTGAGGATATTCACATTGATGTTCAGCAGGGATATTGGCCTGAAATTTTCTTTTTTTGTTGTGTCTCTGCCAGGTTTTGGTATCAGGATGATGCTGGCCTCATAAAATGAGTTAAGGAGGAGTCCCTTTTCTTCTATTGCTTGTGATAGTTTTAGATGGAATGGTACCAGCTCGTCTTTGTACCTCTAGTAGAATTCAGCTGTGAATCCGTTTGATCCTAGGCGTTTTTTGGTTGGTAGGGTATTAATTACTGCCTCAATTTCAGAACTTGCTTTTGGTCTATTCAGGAATTCCACTTCTTCCTGGTTAAGTCTTGGGAGGGTGTATGTGTCCAGGAATTTATCAATTTCTTCTAGATTTTCTAGTTTATTTGCGTAGAAGTGTTTATAGTATTCTTTGATTGTGGTTTGTATTTCTCTGGGATCACCTTTCTAATTAAATATTTTATAATATAGATTTATGAATTGTTGATATTTCTTGATATTTTACACTGAGGAAAATTAGCTTTGGTCATGTTGGTGAAACATACAACAATCATGAAGAGTTCACTGTGCTGCTGAAAAAGAGGACAATGGATTTCCTATTGCTTTGTTTCCTACTTGCTTTTGTTCTAATTTTGCAGCCAAAAGTCACTTTTAGGGCTACTCCATCACATTGAATATGATGGGATAATTCAGAAAAGAGTAAATTCACATAAAACGATAGACTATTTTGGTTGGATAATGTATTCATAATGTAAAAATAGTGGTATTGCCAGTGTATAGGCTAATATTACCACAACAATGTTCCTTTAAATATTGTCAGAAAATATGATCACATAATATTCTTAAAACATCAAACAAGTATGTTTTTCTGAATCAAAATAATTTTAAATTAACTGTGACGTTTAATTCTTTCTGTGATTTTACAGCACGTCTGTGTGTTCTTTCTCAAAGCAACACTGCATTTTACTTTTCATGTATAAAGTTGAGAGTTGCGGCTGGGTGACATCTGAGGTTTCTTTCAGGTCTAAAGTACTGTGATTCCAGAGTTGTTCTATGTGCTAGAAATGACTTCCCATATTTAGTTCTATATTTTCATTTCAAAGATGAGGAAATGTGTTAAAATAGTTTGCTAATTGCATACATCTGAGTTTACTGAAGATCTTTCCTTTTAAGAAATACATTTCCATTCAGCTTTTTGAACATATTTTTGTCAATTATTCTTTCTACTCAATGAATTCATTAGAAAATCAACCATTGCATGAGTCTTTATGACACTGTGATTATTATCGCTGAGCCAGAACTTCAACCCAAAGGTTGACAGGAACTCACAGCACTGAGTACCAGGTAGAGTGAAGTTTATACATTTGATTTACACATAGTCCTTAACCTCAAGGAGTTTAATGTCTACCATGAGATGATAGAATTTAATACACCTTTCAAAACGTTTTCATCAAAAATTATAGGCTTCAGCATTTTGAATGGCTGTATCACTCAATATTAGGCTCATATCTATTGTTAGGATTCTTCTTAAAAATATTCTTTGTTTTCATGCTCTGGTCTCTGGGCAACAGTCACCTTGCTAATCAGCCTATACTTCTAAGACTTCCAAGAGTGAAATCTGAATTGTTTCTTTCCTCCTCAGAGATTTGCAATCCCATTTGTTTTTAAGCTTTTTGGAAGATTAAAAAAAAATCTTGGCTTTACATAAGAGCTGTACCTTGTGGAAGTTTTGGAAATTTTAAATTGCAGTCAAGATCCCCACTCACAGGTGAAACATTATCTGGTCATCTTGTCATTAGTACTGACAGTTTTGGCTGAGGTTGAAGTTAAGAAAAATGCTGGAATGAGCCTGGAAACAGTCATATGTTCCTCATCCATCACCTCATTAATCACAAAGCTAACATTGTTTCTAAAACAATGCTGCTTTATTGTAAGGTAATCCTCATTTATAGTTAAAGCTACTAAACAATATTCAAGAATACAGATTCTCCTCTATGCCCTGCCAAGTGTGGTTGAGACATGACAACCATGACATTATTTATTGATAATTAAAGTAGAAAGAAAGATCCTGGGTAATGATCTCATTTTTATAGTTATAGAGAATGGAATATGCTTATAAGAGGTCCTGTGTAGACTCATAATTATTATGTTGAATTTTTCTTTTTACTATTTGCATTAAACCTCATGTTCAGATATACGATGAAGTCAGAAAACATTAAATTTAGAGTTCTATACTTCAGAGTATTACCTCTGTCTACCAATGGCCAAGGTATTTAATAGCTCACCTCCAGCTTGCAGAGTTGTGAGATCATACCAGTGTGGGATATCAATACAAAGCATGATAGAGGAAATGGAAAAATGATAATGATGACAATTGGGCACAATTCTGATTTATGTTCATGCTGTTCCAAAGGTATAAATAAACCACTTAGGAAAATTTGTCCATTTTAATGTGCTGGAGTTGCAATATATCACTAAATCCAGAGAGCAAATGTATCTCCATGAGTACTTAATTTTTACTTAGAGGCATATGGCTGGCCCAGAAGCATCTGGCTATGCTTTTAAAAACTATACAACTTAGGGCTAAAATGATGGATATATTTATTATTCTGAAAGAATATATACATACTTATATTAGAGAAAATGAAATGTGTTAGCTATTTGCTCTCCCATAATAAGAGTACATTTGAAGTAAGTATTTATGTTTATTGGTATTCTAACAAAGAACAGTGAAATTTATCTCTCCTGAAACTATAGTTCTTTCAAACTCTTTCAAAGTAACAAAAAGTAATGTTTATGTTGAGAATTAAAAAATAGATAATAAGAACAGTGAAAAAAACCAGGAAAGTATTTAAGTGATACAAGATTGCTTAATGTTTAATTTCAGCATTGTAAGGGTTTGAGGGAAGAAGATCCACTTAGATAACATAAGTCAATACTGGATTTTCCATATTTAATTTAATATAGCTGAAAATTGAGGTTTAATCTGTAAAAAGTCAATTTATTAAGATTCTAATTATGAATACTTGAAGTTGAAAAATTTTAGAAACAATTTGACTTTATTATTGCTTACTACTTAAAAATGTATAAGCCCATGAAACAGAAAAAAAGAGAAAGATGAAAAAAGAAGCCATAAATCTACAACATGACTATTTAGACCATTAATGTTGTATTACCTCACTTTCTTCAAATTTCTTGTTATTTACTCCTAAAAACTGTTCCATCTAGTTTTTGTTTCCAGCAGTGTACCAGAAACTCTTCCTACAATGGTTAAATATAATCTTCTAATGATTAAATATCAGAGCATATTTCCAGATATTATTTTATCTCTTTACTTCAACTCTTCACATGCTATGCTATCTTTCTTGAATATCCATCTGCCTTCCATTTTATGACATCTCCTAATTCTTCTACATCTTGACTACCCTCTCTCAGTCATTCACCTATTCCACATTTTTTGCCTTAAAAAGTGGAGTGGAAAAATCTTAAAAAGTTGTTTTTATTGGGTTTTTGCTGTTTGGTTCTTTTACCTATAAGTATTCCCAAATAATATCCCAAATAATATCATCCATTCTTTTGTTTTTCCTCATATTCTATGCCTACGTATAATTGACACATGACAATCATCCTAGTCTCCATCTTCACCTGCTCTCTCTATCCTGAGATCTAATCATATTTCCAACTGTGGCATCTCTTCCTAGATATCTCCTAGCCCCTTCAAAATTAACTTGTGTTAAGATGGAAACTTCTTCCTTCCTGGCTTTCCTTATGTATTCTCTATCTCCTTTAATATCATCACCATCTCATAACCACAGTCTCCCAAAAGAACATTAACTTTTTTTTTCTAATTCTGTCACATTGAGACAATCACAAAATTCTGTCAATTCACTGCTAAGATGGTCTTGAATGCCCTCATCTCTTTTGATTTCTACTGTTCTATTTCAAATGACCTCTTGCCATGGGGCGTGAGGAACACAGCTGACCAGCCAAGGTTACTTATCCAGTAAGTGTCTCAGCAGGTGGCTGAGCCCATGTGTGTCTCTGACTCCTAGTTATTTAGTCAGATAATCAATGGTACAGTACATAGATTTATTTTGTTATAGTCGGTTTAGTTGTTGCTGTTTTGTTTTTACATATGCTTTAACTTTATATAAACATGTCTTAGATATTATAGATAAAATTTTAACTAACTTTCCTGAGCTGTAATACATTAAAACAATGTGACATCAGTTTATTATTTTATGAGACGGTCCATGTTCCTAGCTTTTGACGATGAAAAAAAAAATAGTCCTGTTACTGCCAAGAGCAGTCTGCAAGAAGATAGAGCAATTCTAAAGCACATGTGAGATTGGTCTAGATTGCTATAATTTTAAATTGTGGTAACTTATCAACACAAACCAATTTATTATACACTCACTGTGTAACATGCAACGAAAACAACCCGTACATTCCCACATTAAAAATCTTACTTCCTAAATATGTTCTGAGTTTAAATGTATGCAAATTGGGAAGAAAAAGAAAGCAGAAATCAACCTGTAATTTAAATAGAATTCTTAATTTACTGTGTTTTAATTGCTATATTTTTATTGATATAAAAGTAGATATTGGAAAAAACCAACAAGAGCAGCATTTTAATGAAATTTATCTCACAGTTTACAGTATTAAAACAAAATTTGAATCATAAAATCATCCATCTCTGCCCGGATTACCTCAATCCACAAACGTGCACAAGCTTCAGACATTTGATAAGCAAGTCAAACATAACCTCTTGTAGATAAAACTTCCTGTAAGTAAACACACACATATACACATATGTATTTATATAACATTTATGTGTATTTTATGTTCATATATGTAATATGCGAATACATATCTCTATACTTTGAAGATAATCTGAATTTATATCTCTAAGGCACGTTCTTATCAAATTTACAACAAAATCATATATATATGATTTGTGTGTATAAGCATATATACATATGAATCATACATTTAAATGCATATGTATAATTATTACATGTTTAAAACATGTACAGCTATGTGTTATACATGTACATATAATTATACAATTGATATGACTATGCATTTTCTTTACAGTGAAATTATTAGATAACATAGACAATTTCAAATGTAAGTGAGTTTGCTTTGAATATTCATAAATAATAATTATTGAATCGTATAGAAAAAATTTCTTGGTATAGTAATCTTGGTACCAGTGTCTGGTATTGTCATCATCCAGGAGAAAAGTAAAAACAAAAGCAATTCTCACTTAGTGTTGCCACTTGTAAGAATATTACAAGGGATGTAACAGCTACAACAGTATTTTTGCCATCACCATTTTGGATTAGCAACTAAAGCCAGCATTTAAATTCAGTATCTTCTTGAGGAGGTATCCCCAGAAGTATATGAAAATTTAGTGAATTGCCCACCTTGTTCAGTCAAGAAGTGGGAGGAGAGCTGTTGTGAGCAGATTTGTTAGAAAATCTTGTTAAGTTTGGTAAAGGAAGAGTTACAAATGAGAAACAGACTATTAGGTCTGCTGAGGTCAAAGGGGAAGTTGAGTTTGTTTGGGAGGGTGGCAGGGAGGGTACG
The DNA here is from genome assembly GCF_000001405.40 of Homo sapiens. Lineage (NCBI taxonomy): Eukaryota > Metazoa > Chordata > Mammalia > Primates > Hominidae > Homo > Homo sapiens. Next base: position 15,467,923 of record NC_000007.14, on the reverse strand, counting down.
GGGATCCAGGGGTGAAACAGCATTTCAGAGCCGTACTATATTGAAGGAAGGCCATTTCCCTAAAACCGGGGCATATGAAGTCACTCTTCTAAAGGGTTTAAATATCTTAATCTTCAATTATATTTCCTTAAAATTATAGAATTATGAATAAGACTTAGTGATTTCAAATGTAGATTTATTTAACAAATCCCATAACTGCCTGAGAAATAATATTCCAAAAATACAGATACATGTTATTTAATATGGAGCAAATACGCTGTGTAAAATTCTGGATTTTCTATTTGTCTGGAAGAACCATTATAGAAACAGTGTTGGGGTGTAAATATTTTCAGGAATCCTGCTATTATTAAATTCCCATGCACCTTTGTGGAGTTTTAGTCCTTTTGTGTGTATTTAAAATGCTTTTGATTTTGTTTTGTGGAAAGGAAAAACATTACAATGTCTTCAGTTGAAACAAGGTTAATTAGGGAACACCCATATCAAAACTAGTAAAAATAATGTAACTAATTATATTGTCAGAACAAATATTGTAACTGCCATTCTGGCCTTCCTTTCACATGAGTTAAATCTGATGGGTTTGGCTAAATTTGCCTCCAACACTAGAAACCCCTTGCTCTTAGGCCTTTAATGTTCCCTAAATGTATGCCTTAGCTACTCAATATGTTCCACATGTCCTCATGAAATTGGGGAAGCCATAGTGAATTCAACACATCTATTAGGCATGGAAGAGTACAACATTTTATTGTTGTCTGGATTGCGTTTTCCATATAAAATCCCCAGAGACTATTACACTGAATAGGATTTACATTCTTTCACTCTTTGTTATATATTTTTAAATTCAGCAGTATTATAGAACTATATTATCCATAATTTAGGATATTATTGCAACAGTACTTAAAAATCATCAGGTTCACTCTACTAAATACTGTTTTATTTTTCTAATTTGTCCTTACCTTGCTAAATCATTACTAATCATTGTCCATTACTAATCATTTTCCTCCTTTCCATTTCCCTGGTAACCTTACCTACAATTGTTTACATAGTAGAAGACAGACAGTACAATTAACGCAAAGTATGGAATCCGGACTCATAATTTTGCTTGAACCAACTGTATCCTTTATTTATCCAATGCTGACACAGTACTTAAAATGAGAATATTTAAAACTATTTGAAATGCTTTACAAATAATTTCTTTAACTCCTTAGCGATACTATGATTTATATACAATCTAGTCCTCTTAACAGATGAAGGGATTGCGTCACAGAGAATTCAATGTCACCCAGCTCATAAACAGATGAGCAGATATTCAAACCTAGGTAGTTTAGCCCTAAAGCCTCCATTCTTAAATTATTATATGCTGCATGTCCATTTATAAAACCCTAGGCAAGTTCCTTAATCTTTCTCAGCTTTTCTTCACCTATAACATGAGCCATTAATGCTACCTACTTCAGGAAGTTGTGAAAATTAGATGTGTTAATAGCAGTAAAGTGCTCACGGTGATATGTTGCATATAACATTAACTACATTATATCATTAAATTAATGCTTGTCTTCTCCACTAGACCAAAAAAATGCTTACGAGCAGCAAGGATGCATAAAATTCAGATTACCCAGAATTGAATCCTGGCCCCACTAATTACTTTGTGTTTTGAACAATTTACTTCATTTCTCTGTGCTCCATTTCTACACTTGTATGTCAGAATAAAGATAGAGCTGTTATGAATATTAAAGGATATGCACCCAGTAAATATGAACTATTATCACTGCCATCACTGTTATCATCACCATTGTACCAGCAACAATTAGCTCAGTGGCTAGAGAGTAGGCTTCAGAAAAATAAAACATGAGATCCCTAAGGACCAAGATTTTGGTCCCTTTTATTCACTTTTGTACCCCCAACTTATAAAGAAGTATTGCTAACATATTAGGTGTTTCAGTACAAATGAATAATTAGATGAATGAGAAAATAAATTTTAGTATTTTTATTCCATTTGCATTCTTGAAATTTTATCTGACTACTGATTTAGGAGGGTATTCTTATAGTCATCTGGAGTAGTTTAAAAAAGACTGAACTATTAATTTTGTGTTATGCTTTTCCTTATTGACTGGTAGGAACAGGTTATCAAGTAAATACAGATAAACAATGATTGAAAGCATAGATTGACTCTTAAATATATGAGACTTAGGTGTGGTGCTCACGCCTGTAATCTCAGCATTTTGGGAGGCTGAGGAGAGACGATTGCTTGAGCCCAGGAGTTTTGGAGCAGCCTGGGCAATATAGGGAAACCCTGTCTCTAAAAAAAAAATCATATATATATATAAATATATATATATAATTAGCCGGACGTGGTAGCACGTGCCTGTGGTCCGAGCTACTTGGAGGCTGAGGCGGGAGAATTGCTTGAGCCCCAGATGTCAAGTCTGCAGTGAGCCAGTATCATGCCACTGTTCTCCAGCCTGGGCAAAAGAGCAAGATCTTGTCTCAAAAAAATTCACAACTTTGAGACTTTTATTCTGTTTTCCAAGTCATCTTGTCTCACATATTTATTCATATATATGTGTGTGTGCGTGTGTATATACACACACGCACACACACACTCTAATTTCGGAAGACTTCTATATTTACTCTGATTTAAAATTCAAGGAAAGTGTGTTTCTGGGGAGCAGTGCTGAGAAGAGAGGGAGTGGCATGGGTTGGTCCTGGCGAGCCCACATTTGGTGAGTTCGGCTCGCAATAGGTAATCCTTAGCTTGTCGAAAGTAGGGGCATAAAGGCTACTCAAAAACAAAACCAAACAGAACACACAGAGTAAAGACTTTTAGCTTTTTCTGAGGTCCTCTTACTACTACAATAAATTTCTCCAGTAAAAGATAGTGCTTCCTAAGCTACTTTCTCTAATTACAGAAAATGACACGTGGGAACATGGACTTAGCAAGTGTCGAGCAGTCATTGACTTCTGGTCTGTGCTTGCTAGTCGCAGTGAACACAGAACATTGCTTCTTGCCAAAATTGCCTCATCTTATGTTATTAATCACAAGCTATCAAGTTATTATTTCCTATTCAAGAGTTATTTTCCTGGGGATTAAGAAGTTCCATAATTGCTTTTTTGGCCTTACCCTAACAGTATTTATTCTTTTCTAGTCAGACTTGGTGACTCTTTTTAGGAAGAAAGCCTGTGCTCACAACTACAACACAATGCACTATGTTTATAACTGCTGTCTTGTCTACAAGCAATGTTATGACATTATAGTCTCAAATAACCTCTAACCTCACCTCAGATTTTTCTAGGCCCATTTCACTGAAAGTTTTCATATTAGAAGACGTTCCTCTTAGATTAATCACCTAACTTTTTTGAAACTAATGTGGCCAGTGTCTTCATGGGTTGTGGAGGAAGTGTAATAATAGAGAAACTACCAGAGGAATTAAGTAATTCGTGAACATTGGTACGACTTACTTGTTTAAAAAGTGATTTTATGAGGAATTTTTTTATTTCCAGATATACCATGTCACATGCAGCATGCTGGAGATTAGTTTGCCTAAAAGCACAAGTTCAAGTCTATGTTTTAATCTGTAAGTTATTTTTAATATTTAAAAGAGTGTCAGCAGCCAAGCATCTAGTTTATTTATGGCAAATGACCAAATAGCTCTAGCTAAGATTACATGTTTTTATGGAGAGATGAGCTAAAAGCCTTTGGTAACCTCCTGGTCCCACTCCAGTTCAGCCACAGCACTGCAGAAACAAGAACTCTAATGGGTGTGCATTTATTTCTGTTTTAATTAAGGAATGTGTGGACAAGAGTTTCTGTAAGTGATCGGGACTGTGCTTACCTTCTTCAAGCAAGCTAGTGAAAGAGTAAGAAATCTCCGTGGCTATTACTAGAGAATATTATTGAAAGAGATTGGTCAATAACTTTCTCATGATTCAGTATGCCAAATTATGCTCAAAATTTCAGTCAGCCCTATTGAAATATTCTGAAGGTGATTTCTCAATCTTACAGCATCGGGTTTTATCCAGACTTAGAACTAAAAATAATCAAGCACAGCTTTGAAACTTTTATTCTGTTTTCCAAGCCATAATTGTTTGAAATGGTCATAGCAGTACTACAACCAAACATTCAAACTGTAATTTCATCACTTGTAGTAGTTCTGTATACTTCAGACAGAAAGAAAAGGCTCAACTCAAATTTTGCTACTGTTCTATCTCTTTCCAAATGATTATTGCATTGTCCAATTTCACACCTCTAGATAGATGCACTGGCTCAAGCAGTACATTGAAAAAAAATACCTGGATGTACTTCTTGAGGAAGGGGACCCTATGTAATTTATTTTTTCTTGTATCTCCAGTGTATTCAAGAAATGCTTATTAATTCTTTGCTCGAAAGTACATAGAATTAATGTACAACTGTAGAATCTTAAGGACAACTCAATTTATTATTTTATTTCTGTATGTGTGTACGTGCACATGTGTGTGTGTCGCCAGTTTGGGTGAGTGTGTAAGAGAGGTTCTGGAAAAATCTCTGGCCTTTTCCTTTTGGCAGCTATTGTGACACAAATACAGTTCAGCTTCTTGTGCCCTAGTAGGAAAATGAGAGAAGTAAGCATCAAGTAAACAAAATTCTGTAATGTTTTCACTGCTTCCAGTAAAATTCTTTATTGAGGTCCATGTCCATTACCTCTACTTATGACAAGCAAGAACAACAACAGAAAAGCCTCTGTTTGCAATCTGGCCTCTTATAAATACTTTCTGTATATTTTAAACAAGTACTGTAGAGTGATGAATCATTACATCCTTAATAAGCATATCAAAATTTTACTCAGTAATTCAGAAGAAAGGACAATGGAATGTACTTATTTTTATATCTTATTCCAGTTATCCACTCTCGATAATCTTATACCCCAGATGTTTCCATCCAGCTAACTTGATTCACATTTTACAGTGAAATTCTGGGCAAAGGGTCCTTCCTGGGGAATCCAAACAACCTGACGTTGTGTAGCTTATACCTGCTGATTTCTCCTGCCCTCCAGGAAATTTGACTCATTGAGTTTTAGAAGATACTTTTAGGGCAGACATGAGTGATTCTACTTTGTTCACTGACTCATTTTTCTTTCTTTCCCTATTTTGCATGGATTCATTTATGAATCAATATTTCTCTATTTGGTATATTGATTGCATATATGAAGTTTTCATATAGGGCATTTTAGCCAATCACATGATAGAGCTTAATTTTTCTTGCACTGGTGAAAAAGTTTTGTGAATAGAAATTTGTAACTTTTTGTTGTGAGTGAACCAGAAATGTAGATAGATTTAGGGCAGATATAGATCTAAAGCTCGTACATGTCTTGCAACCTGCATGACTATAATTTAGCCACGCCTATTAACTTTTATTTTTAGAGTTCAGTAGTGAAGGCTTACAGTTTATTTCTTTGTATATTTTAGTACTTAATCAGACATTTTAAATAGTAGAACTTTTCCAATGTTGTGTACGACAGGGAAAAAAGTCTCTGGCAATAGTAGAACTGATTTTCCAGCAAAATAATAAATTTGATGATTTATATGCAATCAAACAATAAATAACTTTTATTAGATTTTTCTAAGCTTGAATCTGTCTCTGCAGCAAGTAAATTAGAAGGTGATAATTTCACTTTACAAAAATTTTATATCACTCTCAACTGACAGTTCTTGAGCTAAAATAGTGTGTGATGCATACTTTAGGGTACCGGGGAATAACTGCAGTGAAATTAGCTTTCTGATATTCTCCGAAACTTGTCTTATTTAGAATTCTATGTTTATGTAGGTGATAAAATGGACCTACAGCATCATGCATGTTTTGTGTCTTGTTTTAATTTTAGAATTTTTTTTTACCTTTTCCAAGTAGGATTCTTCTGGGTCCCACTTAATATCCTTCAACCTAAAGTTTGTGGACTTGTGGTCATTTGAAGAAATATTATGAATTATTTGGACCATTTGTGGTATATAAATAAGGAAAAGGTCCTATTTCATTTATTTTAATGTTTGTAATACTTTTTTATCGTGACATTGAATCTCTGGTCCTTTTGCCAAATATAACCACAAAACAGTATTCTTATTTTCCCAGGAGCCCTGGGAATTTGCACTATACTTCTTCAAGTATATACATGTGTAAATATGTGGCTTTTCAGCCCCCCAAAGACTCTGCTTTTTGTTTCTTGGCAAGGGAAACGAATTCTAAAATCCTGAATCATTTACTGAGTGTGCTTTCCTTCTGATCTCCCAGAGGTCTGATCAACAAATACCAAAAGACATGCTCATTCTAGAGAGACCAGCAGATCGGGTGTCTCTGCAGGAAGATTTGATAAATGCTAATGAGAACCCCTACTGCTCAGATATTGACAAAGGAGAGCTCAAATAAAATAAGTTCTTCATGACCATCCTAATTTTTGAGTAGACCACCTTTTCCTTTAGTTTTTCACTAAAGTTCTTTATTCTTGACCTTAAGTATAATACATGATGATTACTACTATCCAGAGGTGCTAACAATGAAGTTGTAATATTGAAAAGAAATATTAAGGGTGCTGTTTCTCTACAGCCTTTATTTATCATGGTTTTTTTTTTGAAAATAGAAAAGGGGTATAAAGTTTTTTTTACATATGGAAGGTTAAATATGGAATATTTATGATTATCTTTATATATAAAATTCTAAATAAATATTAGGCCAATCTCAAAAGCATACAGCATTGTGATAATGAGGCAGTTGACTGGGTGGCAGATATTTCTAATTACTTTGAAGCAATAACTTTATGTTTCATGACTCAGGCTTCAGCTGGAGATATCTCCTTATCTAGGGGCCTTATAAAATAGCCATACATTTTGAACAATAGTGGGCCCTATTAGAGCAGGAAATACATCTGTCTTCTTCAACAACAACTAGGTCACACAGTAGGCCCACAACAAATGCCTGTAGCATTAATTACTACAACATAATTCATACTAATACATAATTCTTGATTATGACTCAGGGAAGGAATCATATAACTATCATAATTTATCATTATTTCATTAATAATAAATCACTTCAGCTTTATCAAGAATTCAGATTACTTTCCAATTTAAAAGTTATTGATTGCTTCTTTTTGTCTCATATTTTATCTGGAGTACTTCATACATTTTATTTTTCTTCCAACCTTCTCTGATCAGTTTGCTACAAAGGTTGCTGATGGTATATATTTGGCATATTTTTCACTAATGCCTTATTTTAAAATCATGTCAATGTGAGTTAAAATTTGTATTTCTAAATTAGCATAAAACCTAGGTCAATATTTAATTTATTATATCTCATTAATATCTTATTAAAATTAAAATTTTTGACACAATATGTAAGAGTCACATTTATTTCTGAAAAGCAAGTATAATTGAACACAATCTGATTTAAATAAGATAAAATATTTTTCATAATAATGAATATATTCTGTTCATTTCTGAGGCTTTTTATAAAGAAAACATAGCCTTAAAATATGTGGTTGCAGATATTAAGTATGTGAAAAATTTAAAAGTATGGACTTCCATCTAAGGTTTGATACAAAAGTTTCATTAAGAAAAATAAATGTGAGGTGGGTGGATGACTTGAGGTCAGGAGTTTGAGACCAGCCTGGCCAACATGGCGAAACCCCATCTCTACTAAAAATACAACAAATTAGACTTTAATCCTAGCTACTCAAGAGGCTGAGGCAGGAGAGTCTCTTGAACCTGTGGGGCAGAGGTTGCAGTGAGCAGAGATCACGCCACTGCACTCCGGCCTGGGGGACAGAGCAAGACACCTTCTCAAAAAAACAAAAAAAAAAGGGGAAATTGGGTAAATAATTACTTTGAAACTTTGTGCATCTTTTGTGTCCCCAGGGATACAAAGTACGTAGGTAAACTTGCTATACACATAGTAAGTGCTCAACAGGTACTGGTTTATAAATAAATGAATATTTAATCAGTAAATGAATTATCAATGAATGATAATTCTTAATAAATCTTAATCTCAATACAGTCAAATGAAATAATAATCTCTTATAAAACATGGTATCTGATAGAATTCAGTGTAATTAATGAGGCGACCTCTATCTTAAACAATAATTTTTAGTTTTTCTACTCACATAGCTTGAAATATAGGTATCTCATTCTTACCCTTATTTTTATCATTTAGTTTAAACTGAGTCAAATACAGTCCATGCAGTTTTAAAAAATAACTGTTTTAGAATCATTATAAAATCTATGAGCAAAAATTATTAAATTCATGACTTGGGTGGTGTGATGTTTTTTAATGACTGACAACCATACACACACACACACACACACACACAAACGCACATACACACATTTAAAGATCAAACCAAAATTTTACCAATCCCTTAAGTTTGGAAAATAATTATTTTGAGATTCAGAAAAGTTCATTCCAGGACCTTTGATGATATCTATGCCTCCCTGGGGAGAGGGCAGGAAATGAGAGCATTCGGAACATAACCACTCTTCCCTCCCTCTCAGCATCCTGAGGCCTTGCAAAAAGGCCATCTGCCATCTGAGAACTCTCTGGATCTCCTGCCCAGAAGCACCTTTTCTCACTGCATCACTTACGCTGTTTTTGCATAAACGAACCCTTTTAAACTGACTATATTGATTTATTCACTACAAAACAAAAGCAAACAGTTTTCACTCAAAACAACTCATTGGGTGATTTTATTTGAATTGGCTTAACTAAATCAATCAAATTGACGAAACCCGTGTGTGTGTCTGCATAGACACAGCTTGAACTACTAAAGTGCTAGAACTGAAGTTTCAAAAAGAAAAAAAACCCACTTCTTAAATGTTTGTGATATAGTTTAAAATAGGACATTTGTATGTGGGCAGTATTGCAGATTATCAAATATGTTTATAGGGGTTCTATATGCATTAGATTGAACTATTTGAAATTGCTCATATTCCTCTTCTGACCTGAAAAAAAGGTAATTTTGTATGCTTCAATCTGATATATGATGGAAAATAACTAATGTAAGCTGAAGTTTTGGAAAGCTAATTATAAGAAGGAAGAACATCTTGCAATGGTGGTAGAGGGGAGTGCCCTCTCTGGATTTGAAACAGAAGTCCAGGGTTCCTGACTTGGCCCTGCAATTTTGTGGTTGTGTCGTCTTAGGCAATTCACTAATCCCTTTTGATGCTCAGTTTTCTCTTAGATAAAGCAGAGGTATTAATAATACCCTCAACAGTTGTTGCAAGGATTAAAGGTGGCGATGTATGTGAAAGTACTTTGCAAACCATAGAGAGCCATAAAAATCCAAGATAATGTGCAGACTTCTGTTTAATACTGTCTAGCAAAAGTGAGATGAATAATGAGAAAAGCATAATGATTCCTATCATAAAGTGAAAACAAGTAAAATATTATATTTGTTGCTTTATAAGACAGACATCCCATGTGCATTTTTAAGCTATGATATCTGCCAATAAAATTCCCAGGCTAGGCCATTCCTTTCCTATGAAAGCAAGTCACACCACTCCCAAGCTTCATGCAAACTGTCAGTGCCATCTAAAAATACTCCTGCACATTATGAATTAATGTTTCCCACTTTGAAATTACAATATTGTTTTTATATACCCTCTCAGCACTTTCCTCCAAACATGATTTTATTAATGCCGATTTTTGCTACAAGACAAAAATCTTTGCAAATATTTGTTCTGGTTTTTCCTTGGAACTGTGAGAGGAGACTCCTGGCTGTTGAAGGAGGGACAGGATGTCTTTTTTGGGCTGTAGTTGTATTTGGCTTGATCCACTGAAGGAGAGATGGTGCTCTTAAGTGCCAATATTTGGTTAAGAGCTAACAGCAGAAAAAATAGCTACTTTGGTAAATCAAGTGATGCTTTCTTGTAGGCAAGTGAGAGAATAAGCAGTCCTACAAGTTAAATAATCTCTTTTTTGCTTCCTAGTTATGAATAGTTTTTATGCAAATTTACCCCCATTTTATTTCATCATATAATTTATAATTGGAATGTCAATTTTAAGCATCACTAGTGGGTTAGATATTCAACACATGTGTCTGTACCAAAGAGTAAAGCCTGGAAAAGATGTGATTTATGAATTAACTATAGAACTTGGTTAAAGTAGATCTCATGGTAGGTGTAAGGTACTCTTCAGATTTGCATCTTCTAAATAAAATTTAGCTTTCATGCCAGATGATAGTATTCTAAATATTATTACCACTTCTTTCAGTCATAAACCCTTAAAAAAGAATATATGTATTTTAAAGAATGAAATGTAGGATCTTATTTTTGACAAACTTATTAATCAAATTGGAGGCAAGAAGTATTATTTACCATGGCAAGCTAATTTGCTGTAAGCAGTCCTGTAATACATTTAAAATAAACCATCATAATTGCAATACATGATAATTACACATGATGCCTGGGCAAAATGTACTCGAGTAAAATTTTGAATTCACAGTAGGGTTTCTAAGAATGTATTGCACAGAACAAATCTACTGGATGTTGTTAGGAAGTTTGCAGAAAAATTGTTAAACTGTCAATTAAGTTTAAGAAATCCAAGATTAAACAAAATTAACTATGTTTCTTTACTGCAGGATAGCTTTGAATCATTGTTATTGTAATGAATGTCATGTATTTCTAAAAAGGGAAATATGCATTTATCAAAGTTATCTGAACACTGAATTACAGTAGACTTTTAGAAAACACTGATTTTGAAGCATAGAATACAAAAGGAATCAGTATTTCCTGTTCTGTGTTTGAAAATTAATAGGCTTGAAATAAAAATTCCAAACCTTCATTTGAACATTAAAGTTCATTGTTTAAAAAGCAACTGAATACTGAATATTACACTATTAAATATTATGAAAGGATAACCTCATATATTATTATCCTAGTTTACAATAGAAAAACATGGATACTGGCTTCCAATAAATATGGCTAATTGAACATGTGCTTTCATTTCTGCTTCTTCTGAAGCCTCTTGAAAATTGTAGTAATAAGATGGACAAAAAGAGGCATTAACCCCCAACAACATTGAGCAATAAATGGAAGGTACTGCAACAAAACTTTGAAAGCTGGAAGTTGACAGACAAGAATTAAACTTGTTAGCTAAATCAAGAAAGCTGAAACCCAAAATAGTAGCGCACAGAGCCAAGGTGAAAGATGAACTGCACCACAGAACTCCAGAAAATTTCAAGAATTAGAAACCACATGTGCATCTGAAAGAGGTGTACAGATCAAGTAGAAAACTAAAGGACCAGTTGAAATCCTGTGGAAGAAGTAGTGATCCCCAGATTGTCAGCACAGCTGAGCGAACTATTTCCTTACTCAGGAGAAGAATGAAATCTTGCTCTCTGATATCCACGAACTAGAAGATCCCCTGATCTTGTGGATAGCAGGTAGAGCTGAGGGCAAGAGAAGTAACCTGAACATAGGAAAACTTAATAAATCTGTCCTCACTGGCCTCAAGAATCCCTGAAAAATTCTAATCATTCTCAAAGCCAACAATAGGAAGACTTCTTCCTGATGTGTAGAGACTCAAAGTAATTGAAAAAGGTAAAAGTCAATATAAAAACCAAGTGACAATAACAACAAAAGAAACAGGAGAAACAGAGACAATGCAAGGAACATAAAAATAGTTTTAAAATTACATTATACTAGCATCTTAGAGTAGTATTGTATTTATAAAACTGGAGGATGTTATATCTAACAAAAATACAGAGAACAAAGTGAAGTTTGAGAAATTAAATATATGAAGACAGAAATAAAATTATCCAAACACGGTTTGGAATATAAGCTTGAGAAAATCTTCCATAAGATAGAATTTTTAAATGGAAATAACATAGACATAGATAAGAAAACTAGAGAATTAGTGCAAGAGGTCTGAAGCATAGCCAACATGTTTTTCTCCAAAAAACAAGAATAGAGAAAATGGAAAGCAGGATATCATAAAAAAATGCATTAAGAAAATTTCTGAGACCTCAGGGAAGGCAGTTTTCAAATTTAGCATGCCTCAAGTAAGTAAACAAAAAACCAAAAATCTCGACTTAAATGCTTCATTGTGAAATTTTAGAATATTGGGAATAGAAACGTAAACTAGCAGCTTCCAAAGAGGTGAACAAAATCAGGTCAACTGTTCAAAGGAGGTGGAATCAAAATGGCATGAGATTTCTCAGGAGCAGCTGAATTCTAGGAGCCTCTGTATCAATGCCTTCAAAATTCTGAAGGAAAATCATTCCCAACCTGAAATTATATACTTAAATAAACTATCAATCAAGCATGTGAATAGAATAAACATATTTTCAGAAGTTGCTGGTTTCATATTTTCCCTTCTGTGGACTAGAGGAAATATTTAGCAAGACAAGGAGGAATAAATAGAGGAGAATAAAGCGGCATCTTGTAAAAAGGAAAACCATCAGGAGAGAGATTAAAGAAACCTCCAATTGATGGTGGAGGGAAATCCTACTAGGAAAAATATGAAGCCAACCTGAGAGTCATCAGTTTAGGAAGCTGGTGACCCAAAGTCACCATAAATGATGTCCAAAAATAAATACATAACTTTCATAGACTGTGGATATATTTGAATATATTAATAGGAGAATATTTCTGCAGCAGAATTTGGGAATAAACTAATGATAGATTGTAGAGAAGAAACAAACCAACATAAACCAAATGTGGAAGAAGAAAACATCATAACGTGCTGCATAGCTCAGCAGTGCACAACATCTTCATAGTCACAAAAATGTATACATTTCATACTTATTTACCAAAAATAATGATAATATAACTCTATTGAGAGGACATGAAAAAAGTGTGTGTGTGTGTGTGTGTGTGTGTGTGTGTGTGTGAGAAAGAGAGAGAGAAAGAAAATGCAAGCATTAAAGAGTAAATCTGCATCTACCGTAGCACAGGTTGTGAGTAGTTGACATATAAAATATCTTAAAAAATACTAATGGAAGAATGCCGTTTAACAACATGGAGAAAAGTACCAAAGGCAGAAGCTAAAATGGTTCAAAGCGGTTGCATCTGGTAAGTGGGAATCAGAGGTAGGGAAGGTTGGGTCAAGGTTTGCTGTTTTTGTTTATATGCCTTATGTAAAATTTAACTTTTAAAACTGCAATATGTATTACTTTGATACAAATGTAAAATATTTAAGGCATGAGTATCTATGGTGATAGAAGAGTCAAAGCTTTTGAAACGATGGTGATCATATATATAATTAGGTTAAATGCACACTAAAAAGAGAACATTATGGAACTGTTGAAAATGTTTGAGGATAATAGAAAATTTTTATTATATATTCCATATAATCTTTAATTACACACACATACACACACACACTAAGATTGGAAGGCTACACACTAAGATGTTAACAATGACGATCTTATATAGGTCAATAGTTTTTTTAGAAAAAGGTTATTGAAAACATGTATATTTAAGTTGTATGTAATGGTGTTTTGTTATACATAGTGAACTGATTACTACAGTCAAACTAATTAACATATCTGTCTCTCCACATAGTTGCCACTTTGTGTTTGTGTTTGTGTGTTTGTGTGTGTGTGTGTGTGTGTGGTGAGAACACTTAAGATCTGTTCTTTTGGGAAATTTCAAGCACATTCAAGCACATTTCAAGCAAAAGCAAGCAAATTTCAAGTATACAAGACAGTATTGTTAACTATAGTCCCCACACTTGTATGTTAGACCTCTGGAACTTAAGTTAGTGTGTGTTTCTTTTTTCCTTTTTTTAAACTTTTCAAATTTTCTACAATGAGCATATATTTACTTTTCTAGAGAAAAATAATATTTATGTATACCTAGTATGTGGCTGAGGATAAGGTAACATTCCACATGTGTCATTAAGTTCTCTCAAAATTCTCTCTAGTGGTATATATATATAAAAAATATATAAACATATTTTATGTATATACTTTTAAAATATATATTAGGTATATAATATATAATTACATGTTTATATATTACATAATAGATATTATATAATAATGAAACATTATATTTTGTGTAATAAAATATAAAAAATATATATTTTAAAAACAATCCCTGAGACTCAGAGTGGCTACTTTGTGGAAGGTCTCACAGCAACTTAGATAGTGGAGCTGGGATGAGAAGCCACGTCTGTGTCCTCCAAACCTGTTGGCAGACCCTTCACCTGACCCTGCTGCCACAAATATCCTGTGCTGACCTGCTCAGCTCCACAAGCTGAAGCTCTAAGCCTGCAGGAGTGCTCATTGTTCTCCAGATGTTTTTCACCTTCTAGGTTTTTCTGACTTTGGTATTTTCCTTTGCCTGAAATAAGTTTTTTTACCCGGAGAAATGCTTCAAGACCTGGTTTGAATTTATCTGCTCTGTGAAACCATCTCTAGCTCTGTGTTAGAATGAATTGCTTTTTCTTCTTCCCTGTTTTTACATCTCAACTGTTTGTTAAGGCAGCACTTTTTGCAGCCTGACTTGTACGGTGTTCTGTTACACTGTGTCTGCTTTCTCCACTACACTGTGAAGTTGTTTCAAAGGCAAGAGGCAGTCATCTATTGGTCCACATTACTTAGAATAGACTTGGTTTTAGTTTTTCCTTTTGCTTTAGTTAAGTGAAAAGACATATTATAAGACCACGTATAAAAGCTTCTTTTTTCCCCTTTCTTTACTCTCCTTCCCAGAAGTTTTTATTTTAATTTATTGAGATATAATTAACATACCATAACATTTGCCTTCTTAAACTGTGCCATTCAGTGGCTTTTGGCATATTCACAGGTTGTGCCACCATCTCTACTTTCTAATTCCAGAACATTTTCATCACCTCCAAGGAGATCTGGTGCCCATTAGCAATGACTTCCCATTTCCCCTCCCTCCCTCACCCTTGGCAGCCGCTAATCTACTTTCTGTCTTTGTGGAGTTGCCTATTTTGAATATTTCATATAAATGAAATCATTCACGATAAGTCCTTTTGTATCTGGCCACTTTCACTTACTATAACATTTCCAAGTTCATTCACACTGCACATGTATCACTTCATTCCTTTTATGGCTTGCTA
This sequence comes from Homo sapiens, assembly GCF_000001405.40. Taxonomy (NCBI): domain Eukaryota; kingdom Metazoa; phylum Chordata; class Mammalia; order Primates; family Hominidae; genus Homo; species Homo sapiens. Next base: position 15,452,883 of record NC_000007.14, on the reverse strand, counting down.
ATATTCCATTGTATAGATATACCACAATTTATTTATCCATTTATCATGGACATTTGGGTTGTTTCCACTTTTTGGCTACTCTAAATAATGCTGTGAAGTGCATCTGTGTGCAAGATTTGTGTGAATGTGTACTTTAAATTTTCTTGACTATATACCTAAAAGCAGAATTGCAGAATCACATGGTAACTGTTCTTCTTATTGAAGAACTGCGAAACTGTTTTCCAAAGCAGCTGCACCATTTTACATACACACCGGCAATGTTTCAGTGTTCTAACTTCTCCACATCCTCACTAACATTTAATATTGTCCATCTTTTTTATTATAGCCATCTTATAGATGCAAAGTGGTATGTAATTGTGGTTTTGATTTGCATTTTCCTAATAACTAATGACATTATGCATTTTTTATGTGCTTACTGAACATCTGTATATCTTCTTTGGATAAATTTCTATTGAAATACATTGCCCATTTAAAAATAAGACTGTGTGTTTTTCTATTTTCAGTTGTAAGAGTTCTTTATATATTCCAAATACTAGACCTTTATCAGATATTTTATTTGTAAACATTTTCTTCTATTCTGTGGATTGTTTTTTCAATTTTTTGATAGTATTATTTAATATACAAAAATTTTAAAAATTCGATGAAGTATATCTATTTTTTTTTCTCTTTGCTTGGCCTTCTGGTATCATATCCAAGAGACCATTGCCTAATCCAATGTCATGAAGATACACACTTATATTTTCCTTTAAGAGTTATATAGTTTTATCTCTTGTTAAAGTGATCTAAATATAGCCTGAGAAGGACTCTGTACTTGTATATTTGAATCCTTGTAGATGAACTTCAACCTAGCTTAATAGGTAGACAAGATTGAAAACCTAACTTAGGAGTATGCACCTCTAACAATAGCTGTGTCTTGGCCAATCCCAACAGCTGTCCTTCAACCATTCATACACTGCTGAGTGTTGTGTTCAAACCGTGTTCCAATAAGTAAGGCAAATGCCAACCTGTAACCAACCCAACTGTTCTGTACCTTCCTTCCCATTTCTGTACGTCATTTCCCTTTTTTTTGGTCTATAAATCTTCTTCTGCTGTGGTGGGGTCTCTGTGAATCAGCTCTGATCCTAGGGACTTCCCAATTTGCAAATCATTCATAACTCAATTAAACTCCTTTAAATTTAATTCGGCCGAAGTTTTTCTTTTATCACTCTTATACTAAGGTCTTTAACCCATTTTGAGTTAATTTTTGTGTAGGATAAGCAGTGTTTTACAAATAGAGGGGTCATAGAAAATATTTATTAATTATGATATAAAAGAGACCTGAGGGAATTTGTCTGCTCGTCCACCATGTAAGAATACAGTGAGCAAGCCCCCACCTAGACCCTGAATCTGCTGGTGACTTCATCTTAGAATTCCCAGCCTCAAGAGCTGTGAGCAATACATTTCCATTGTTTATAAATTATCCAGTTTAAAGTATTTTGTTATAGCAGCCCAACTAGTCTGAGGCACTCTCTATTAACTACTGTATGTAATTACCCAGAATTCATCACCAATTTTATAAAGATTGGAATCATTTTATCTTCTTCAAATATAGGCAAAAATTATAAACATCTTCTCTGAGTCTTAGATTTTCCATTACACCGAAAATAATTTTATATCATATCAGGTTTCATTTCCACTGACAAATATGTATCTATATACCTCTCTCTATAAAATTGTTTGCTTCCCTTAATGAAAAGGCTACAGAAACCCAGCTAAAATTCTGGATGAAAGAGATGAAAGGATGGAATTTAAATGTCTTCTGCTAATTTTTTTTTAATTTTCATATAATAAAATGTGACAATAGGCAATTTTTCTAACATATTTACCTTCATTATTCACAGATATAAAACAATGTTATTAAATCATTAACAACAGTTAGCATAATCTATTGAAGTTTTTTCTTTGCTTTAGTTCTAATTTCATTTTTGCCCCATCCAAAGTATTGCCTAAAATTATTTAATTTTATTATTAATATTCATGTTTGGATTTCTATGTTGTTCAAATGTAGGAAACTTGCCTAATGAGTTGGTTTTATTAAAGGAGAGTGAATAAGTCAGCAATAGGCCTTTCAGTAAAACCAAAGGAAGTTACATACATTCATGAGCATTTTTTTCTGTGGGCACATTATTTGCTAAATTGTAGAAGCCAAGAGCTTTATGCATCCAGAATAATATCAGACTTGCTGTGTGTGTGTATGTATGTTTGTGATTATGAATAGACAAACCAAAATTCATAATATTATTTGTGTAAATATTTCTCTGAACTACAAAGATAGTCTTGGTCCTTTCTTTCTACATAAAAGTATTTCAACAAATATTTGTGGTAAAGTTTTCAGAGCACTAGCATAAATATGTTAAGGAAAAATTAATATTTTCAGTAAATTTAATTAACTGAAATACAAATTTTTTTTCTTTTTTTTTTTTTTGAGATGGAGACTCGCTCTGTTGCCCAGGCTGGAGTGCAGTGGCGTGATCTTGGCTCACTGCAAGCTCTGCCCCCTGGGTTCATGCCATTCTCCTGCCTCAGCCTCCCGAGTCGCTGGGACTACATGCGCCCGCCACCATGCCTGGCTAATTTTGTGTATTTTTAGTAGAGACGGGGTTTCACCGTGTTAGCCAGGATGGTCTCGATCTCTTGAACTCGTGATCTGCCCGCCTCGGCCTCCCAAAGCACTGGGATTACAGGCGTGAGCCACCGCGCCCGGCCCTGAAATAGAAATTTAAAATGTTTAGTTGATGCAATCAATTACATTTGTAATACTTTACTAAAAATTTACTAAGGGTTTTAAATAACCAAGTTGCATGATTATGTAAATTAAATTGGAAAAAAAGAGTTGAACAGAAATTCATTTTAAGTGACTGTGTATTACCACTATTTGTTGTTAAATTTGAAAACAGGTGCTCTTAAAATGTGATTTAAGTGGTACCTCTTTATTTAAAACAAGTGATGTTCAAATCCCATTTTTTCTTTTTAAGTGGGACATTATTAAGTTGTTCATATTTTGTGGACTTGACTTTACTCATTAGTAATAGTACCTAAAAATGCACATAACGTGATTTTTAAAAAAATAAGTAGTACTTTTAAACCAACGTCTGCTGGTTTAATATCAATGTCTATGTTCTGAAAGAATGCAAACTATAACAGATATACTGCACTGTAATGTGCAGTTAGACAATTCTGCTATGCAAACCTCATAGAGTGTACTTACACAAACCTAGATGGTATAGCCTACTACACACCTAGGCTATATAGTATAGCCTATTGCTCCTAGGCTACAAACCTGTGCAGCATGTTACTGTACCAAATAATGTAGGCAATTGTAAGACAATGGTAATTATTTGTATATCTAAACATATTTATACATAGAAAAGGGATGATCAAAATGTGGTGTTATAATCTTATGGGACCACTATGATATATGTGGTCTGTCCTTTACCAGAGACGCATTATGTGGCACATGGCTGTATATGTTTATACATGTACAGAGAGAGAGAGAGAGAGAGAGAGAGAGAAAGAGAAGCACTCTTAATATGCTAAATTTCAGGCTTGTAGGGAATTATTATTTTAACATTCAGACAGAAACTCTATCCCTTTCTGAGGATTAACTTGGTCAATCAAGTCTCAGCTGTATATTGAACTTCATTATAAATAATGTTTGCACAACTAATCTGGCACTAGTGGTTTACTATTTTTTATTGTTTACCTTTTTGTATGAAGGTGTTGCTCTTCTTTTTCCATCTAAACAACAAACTTTGCATTACTTATCTGTAGTTTCTTTCACATAGAAAAGAGAGGGCAAACACCTGTATCATAACTCCGGAAAGAATGCCAGCTCTGGTGCCAAATAGGTCTGGATTTAAACTCCAGCTCTAACACTTAGTAGCTATGATCTTGAAAAGTCATTTCTACAATTTCCTCTTCCTTAAAACAGTGACAATAAGAACTAACACATTGTAAGGATTGACAAAAATAATCTCAGGTACCTGCCCAGATCTCTACACATTTTAATTTTTCAATTTATGTTATCTTTTATCTCTCACCTTCAAACCACCTTCAACTCTCCTCACAGCTGACTGCACACATTTTTTCAGTCTTTACTCTTTCTTCCATCTTTTAGAAAATAGTGGATTTATAGTGTTCTTAATTCAAAAGCAAAATTTAAAATTATGGCAGAATTTTGCTTATATTTTCTAAAATCTTGGCAATGGCCTAGGCAAAAAAAAAAAAAAAAAATTAAACTTTATGGAGAAATCAGTCATTGCTTTTAGGGTCAGTTTGAACTTTTATGCTTAAAGCTTTTACTTGAAATTGAACTAACATTCATATCTTAGTCCCTTTGCACTACTATAACAAAATTCCATAAACCAAGTGGCTTATAAACATTAGAAGTTTATTTTTTATATTCTAGAGTCTAGGAAGTCCAAGATAAAGAAGTCAGCAGATTAGGTGTCTAGTAAGGGCCCACTTCCTGGTCCATAGATGACCATCTTCTCATTGTAAACTCATATGGCAGAAGAGGTGCGGGATCTCTTTGGAGTCTCTTTTAGAAGGGCACTAATCCCGTTCCCTAAGCTTCTAATTATCTTCCAAATAGCCTTGCAAAGGGCACCACCTCCAAAATGCCCCATCTGCAAATACGATCACCTCTCGGGTAAGGATTTCAACATATGAGTTTTGGAGGGACACAAACATTCAGCCCATAGCAGTTCATTTCATTGGATGGTTCAAAGGATTAGGTCTGTTGCTTAAAGCACAGAGTTAATAAGACCAAAGTCAAATCCCTACACACTGCATTGTTTTCACTGGGTTTGGTGGTTTTGACATTTGTAACCCGAAGCAATCAAAAGAATTTTTGTTTATATCAATCAGAATTCAAATAATCTATAAGAAACAAAACCCCCCATTCTGTTTCTGCTTGATATTGTGAATATAGGTACATGGTTCTTTATGAAAGATAATACCTTAACTCACTCATAGAAGTGAGAACATTGCAGGCTGGGCCCGGTGGCTCACGCCTATACTCCAGTGCTTTGGGAGGCCAAGGCAGGTGGATCACTTGAGGTTAGGAGTTCAAGACCAGCCTGGCCAACATGGCGAAACCCTGTCTCTACTGAAAAAAAAAAAAATTTAGCCAGGTGTGGTGGCGTGTGTCTGTAGTCCCAGCTACCTGCGAGGCTCAGGCAGGAGAATCACTTGAACCTGGGAGGTGGAGGTTGCAGTGAGCCAAGATCGTGCCACTGCACTCTAGCCTGGGTGACAGAGTTAGACTCTATCTAAAAAAAAAGAAAAAAGAAAAGAAATGAGAACATTGCAGACTTTGAATGACTCTGCCATGGTCACACAGCTTCTGAATGTCTTGCTTCTATAATAGCACTTTATCCCGCTATGGGGTTCAATGGTTCTTAAACACCTGTTTTATGTCAAGTTACGTGAATTCCTTTCATTTTACTTAATGTTGCAAGTGTTCATTCCTATTGCTCTATTCTCCATAGGGGTGGAGGTATAGCTGGAACATGTTATAATGTAGAAATTACTTCTAAAATGCATACTGACAATTGCTATTATTAACACAATTGATCACTAAACTCTTACGTCTGGGAAAAAAGGGTCAAGATGTCATTAAGTCGATCAAGATTCTCCCAGGTTATTATGAGGCTGATGTTTTAGGAAAACTTTTAATGATAGAGGAAACTTTGACTTTTCAATTTCTTTTAGCATTGCTAAAAATGTCTGGAACTTAAAAGAGTACTACTGCTGTTTATCTAACCTTTCAGCTACAATATTCATTTATTCCCTTTCATCTCATCGTTTGGTGCCTCAGTGTCCAACTACTAAGAGCTTTGAGCATTGTGGGGAAGATGTCATTGGGATCACTTATTGCCATTAAAGAACTTCCCTTCTGGATATTGGCTGACAAAGTAGGTGATATCCTGCAGAGCAAGAGAATGAGGACATAGATTGCAGTGAACCTGAACAGTTTGCACTTCCTAGCAGTGACACCAGACATCAATCTTTCCTTAAAGACAGCCCAGAAAGAACACATGAAAATAAAAACTCTTTACAAAGAACAAACGAGGCATTATCTAACTGCCAAAAATGCTACCAGAGCAGTTTTCTAATAAGTATCTCAAGGATAAATATGCACTGAAATTACTTAAATTGCCATGTTGGTTGTTTAGAAAAACAACTAAATGCAATCTATTCTTTATAAGGTGGATATTTATGAGGTTTGAATTATGTATGGCATAGCATTTGAGAATCATTTAATTTCATCTCAAAGTATGTGTGTGTTTCATGTTTTACATGTGCATATCAGCTGGCCTTACAGAAGAATGCAATTTGGGTACAGTTAATCTTCTTCACATGGTGTGCAGCGTCAAATGTGACATCATTGTAGGAAATCATATTATGCAACTCTGCAATACCAGGAGAGCTGGGGTTTTTTTTGGTCATTTATTGATATTTTTAAGTTGACTTATATAATTGCATCTATTTATGATGGGCAATGTTTCATACAAGCTGATCACAGGGAAAGAGAGAATTACTAGGAGAAATGTACTTAAATCATTGTTTTAATTTATATTAATTTGTCTTGTTATCTATGAATAGATTTGTGGCTGCCCAAATTCACATTGCACTGCAAAGCTCAGAGATCAAGGCAAGCTATCCATTACTCGCTGTTATTTGACTGTTCTACATGGGCCTTAGGCTTTGACAATATTTTGCTTCATGATCTTTTAAATATTTTGCAATTTAATGGATCTTCATCACATGTACGATAGTTTTGAAAATAACACTTCCTGACACTAATGATATTATAAGATGTTTTCAACAACTTGTTTTCAAAATGATATTTAAATACAAAATGGTACTCCAAGGAAATTGTTATTTTTTCAATTACGATTTTTTTTCTTGTATTTGATGGAATAGGATTAAGTCCAGTTTACAGTAGGACCACACATCTTTGGAGTGGCAGAAGAGAGGCAGGGAAGAGGTTCATGGAAGCCATGATTGACTTCCTTTAGATTTTAAGAACAGGTGAGGATTACACAGCAACAGAACCATATGAACATCCCTACATGTCTTAACCATTTCTTTCTTCTCTATTTGGGAACTTAAAAATGTCTGGGACATTTGGTGTAGTCATATTCTTTGTTTTTTTATGTTTGATGTTTCTGAAGAGAAACTATGACTAATAAGAGTAATATATCACATTCATATTTTCCCAATCTCAAAAGTGTATCAAAAATGATCTATTAAATATCTTCAATTAAGGATTAATTTTATCATGGGATAAGCTTAATTATGAGCAAATGAGGTAGCTCTGGTAGTGGCATCCTGTAAATGGTTAAGAAATCTATAAATAGCATATAGGGGGATGGGCTCCAAGTTTGATATTCTAACCCCAGGACCAAAGGAACAGCAATATATCATGTGATAATATTGAATATACTTTGTTGAAATAGAAGAAAATATCCTTTGAGAGCTATCTCATCATTATAGAAGTTTAATGTGTCCAATATAGTTTTGAATGTTCTTCATGAACTTTTCTTTTAAAATATTAAATCTTTGATAGAAGAATATCTTACACATTATTATTGACCTACACCAATACTGATGTTATTCCTTGTTACCTTTGCCTTTTCACATTTCTCTTCATAGTTTTCTTAAATATACAATTGTTTGTTAGTAAGAAACAAGTTTTAGACATGTTCGCTACAGTGTTTTAAAAGACACTATCACAAGCTAATGTTCAGTATTTTAAAAAATTATTAAAAAATATTGGCTTTTGCCTGATTATGTGCTAAGAACTTCACAAATACATAAAGAGAAATCAGAAAGATACAATAAAGCTCTGAGATTGAGTTCCATCTTTGAAGTCCTCCCTAGATGTCAGCTCCCTGGCCTGGGTGATCAAGATGATGATAATGCCATTAAGCAAGAAAGTAAAACAGGGGAAAAGCAGGAAGGCAATGAGATAGATTCAGAGAATAATATGCATATAATTTCCAAAAGGAAATCAGGTCTAGAGTTCAACAGAGAGCTGCAGATACATACTTGGGAGCCATCAACTTTTGGATATGTGCCTATTGAAGTCATTGTAGGTGATAGGACAACCATGAAAAACCAGCAGAGTGAGGAGTTGAGAAAAACAAGAGTTGATCTTTTAAAGTTAGATGAGAACAAGGGAGGAAATCAAGGAAATGCACCCAGTTGGAGCAGAGATGGAGGAGAATCAGGAGCAAAGAATGTTACTCAAGCCAAAGGAAAAGATTTTTCAAAACAGAAGAAGTGATCAAATGTTTTAGAAAGTTCAAATACAACGGCATCTAAACGGAGGCCTTTGGTTTTGGCAAGAAGGCCAATAATTGCTTTGGAAAGATTCAAGTGACTTTAACAATGAGCTTAAGAAAGAATGGGAGGTAAGGGAGTAAATAGTTCATTCTTTTCTCATGCTGGAGATAAAAACAAATTAGGGAATGGGAGGGTCAAGCAAACATTTCCAAAGTGGAATGTTTGGATATAACTGAAATTAGGGAGAGGGAATCAGTGTAAAGGGAAAGGAATATTACAAAAAGGATTAATTTTGCTAACAAAAATACATGTATTTAGCAAATAAAATAGTGTGACTTGGTTATTGATCATGGATATGAACCAATTTTACCTGATTAGCATATGTTTAATTAAAAAAATATATTCGATACTATATAAAAAACAACGGTAGATGCTGTGGAAAATACGAAGATGAATAAGTTCCCTCTCATTAAGAAGCTTATGAAATAGTGGTGGATACAAAATAGTAGAGTATTAGTAATGTTAATACTGTCCTTAGGTCTACCTAGGGATAATAAGCATTGCATAATACTTTTGGCTGAGGAGGGCTAAAGATAGTTTCTTGAAGAAAATGACATATGCAATAGTTCTTGAAAGACGAAGAATACTTTGACAGATGGCACAAGGAGAGGGGACCATGAAAATGCTGAGAGTGTTCAAAAAGCTCAGAGAACAGTACATGAGAAGGAGGAAGATACAGATTTTTTTCAATATAATGTTTATGTGTCATAAACTATTACTCTTCTGATTTTAGTTCAGGTATTTGAAAATGTAAAAATCATTCTTAGCTCTCTGGATGTACAAATCAGGTGGTAGGCAGGGTTTGTTTTATGGTGACAGTTTGCTGATGCCTGCACTAGATTTTGAGTGCACATGGACAGCACAGCTCATATACAGATATGGCTCACTGAATACCTGTTAATGGTGTTGAGGTAATAAGGCATCAATCTAGGGAAGTAGTTATAGAACAGCAAAGGAAGGATGCTGACAATGCAGTGGATTGATGAAAAACAATAATGAAATCTTGGTGGGTGTTAGGAGGGGAATGATTAAAGGTATAATAGTCAAAGTATTGAAACAAGAAAAGTTCCCTTGGCCCCTTACAGGGCATGAGATGGGCGTGGCTTGCTTCTTTGGTGCCCTGCTGCTCAAAGCTCTAGGGGGAACATGAAGATGGGCAGGCTGTGGGGCTCCAACCCCACGACAGCATCTAGGGGTGAATGTTTACAGCTTCTGAGGCCGCAGTGGGCATGTGTTACCATGTGCCCTTTTAGTTTTGCCGTCTGTAAGTAGCTTGTGTTTATCAGCTCATTTAGACCCCCGGCCTCATCATAAGCACAGAGGGTTTTCTGTATCCCAGGGTTTCCTGCCTTGGTGTACCAGAAGAATTGGAACACACGTGGACTTGGACAATGAGTGCAAGGTTTTATTGAGTGGAAGTAGCTCTCAGCAGATGGCGAAGCCAGAGGGGAGATGGAGTGGGAAGTTGGTTTTCCCTGGAATGGGGCCACTCAGTGGCCCAGGCCATCCTCTGACCTCCCTAGCCAAACTCCACATCATTCTGCTTGTTGATGGCCTGCTGCCTGCTAGCATCTGTTGGTGTGCTCTTACATCAGTGCCTTCCTCTTGACGTCCAGCCGCTTGTGTCTTCTTCCACTTGTGTGTTCCTCTCGATGTCCAGCTGCTTGTGTCTCTGCCTGCTAGGTTCTCAGGTTTTTTTAGGCACAGGATGGGGGTGTGGCAGGCCAGGGTGGTCTTGGGAAATGCAACATTTGGGCATGAAGGCAGGAGTGCCTGTCCTCACCTAGGTCTGTGGGTAGAGGCCCCGGGGGTGGAGCCCTCACCAGGGACCACGCCTTTCCCTCCCAGCACTTCCCTGCCCTCCTCCTGTATCACTATAAGATCAAAAAACAAAAAGAGCAAGCATGGGCAGAAGGGAATCAATTCAGTTAGTAAATAGATTTGGGTTTGGATGTAATGTCATTCAAGGGTCAAGGTTGGGGAATATAAGGGTATGACATGAGGTTATCTGTACTAGAATAATGGGGGAAATGTTCCTACATAAAACCTTCCATCTCTCAATGCCAAAAAGTCAAAGAATATTACATAAGACCTCTTCCTCCTGTTGTAGCAAGACCTGATAGTCATTAGTATGCCACCTTTAAAACCAGACATACATTCAGATTTGAGGAGTACCATGAAAGGCATAGAAGAAAGAACAAACTAAGTCATCAAAATAACAACATCTATAATTGGTAATAATAGAGTTTCTAAATGCACAGACAGAAATCTATCACAGGGGCAGATTGCTTCTTCAAAGACCACTAACAATGCTAATGTGCATGACATCATTCACAAAGGATAGACCAATCTGTTTTGATGAGGACATTCAGTTCTGATTCAATCTGGCACTTTCAGGGGACACACAGCCTTATTCCTTGCAAATTCAGTAACACTGAAAGTTTCTATTCTGAAAGCCACACTCATTTGCTATGACGTTCTAAAGTTGGTTTCAGGACACCAAGACAAATGTTAAGACCAATAGGAAGTCCTGATTAGTAGCAAAGAGATCCTGGTAAGATTTTGTTGACAGGGGTAATATACATCCACTCAGGAGGCTCATTAGGGAGGAATGAAGAGAGATTGCAGTTACTTTCTACCTAGTGATTTCAGTGCTCTTTTTTTCTCTATTTTCCTGTCTTTTCCTAAGAATTCCTGGTTGTTTTGCTTTCCTTATGTTCGTCTCCTTTCAAAATGGATTCCGTAGCTTGTGGAGACAAATTATAGAAAGCATTGTTCCAAATATAATATGGTAGAAGTTCATTGTGTCTTACCGCAGGCAAACGTGCTGCAGGGGAGGAGCGTCGTAGGAGTGCTTGCCAATCCTAGCTAACTCTATTGACATCAAGACAGTTCTCCCATGATTTCTGCCTCCTAATTGTGCTACTCAGGTTATTATGGCTGCCAAATATATGTCATTAAATACTTTGGAAGATTTCTTGCTTTCAATCTATGTAAAGCATGTGAACTCCTTTTGAATGTATTTAAGCATGATAAAATCCTTAACTGCACCAAAACCAAACTCACGGTGTTAATGTTAGTGCTGACAACCAGGAACAAAGTGCACCAGAATTCGATTTCATTAAGTAGATAAAAGATTTTCATGCAACATAAAAATTGTCAAATTCATAATTATTTTATAATGTAGTACTGATAACTTTTATTTCAAAGTATTTTTATCTAATCATGACAACTTTTGCAGAGAAGGACAGTTTTCCTATGTACAGGACTGGTTTTCCTTATGTTTGAGAAGTGTAGTAAACTCCCTTATCCAAAAATATTTCTTCACTGGCCTGTTACATTTCTGGAAATTCCAATATTCATACTACTTTAGAATGCTTTGTTTTAAATAACACATATTCTGTTGAGGGAGGAAAAGCTCTTTATGCATGTCATCAAAAATATTATTTAGGATCCCCTAACAAATTGCCAGACCCATGGCCTAGGGCTAAGGAAGTCCAAGTTCGAATCCAGAGATCTAGGTAATTGTTGGGTCTTGGCCATTAGCAGCACACAAATGACTGGTGATGGATACAAATGGGAATGATGGAGCTAAGAGAAAGAGGAGTATAACTTGAAATCAGACTGTCTTATCCATAACATTACTTTCCATTAACCTTAAATATAACTTTGTAATAGATTGGACAATAAAGTTAAAAATTACACATTTTTTATTGGTTAGTAGGGAATCACTTCATCTCCTGGGTTGCAAGTGTTACAGAGGTTGGCAACATGTAATAAAGCTCACTCTGCTTTGAATGACGACTATAAAGTGGAGCTCTCTCGGCTCTCACACGTAACTAACACAGTTTCTTTCTTATCTGCCTATAGGTGAAACCATGAGCACCATACTACCTATCTGTAACACCTAAATATGGAAAATAAGATGAAACTATGTGTGTTTTTATACCTGTTCTTTCTACCTTAGCAAATATACATAAATACACACAGAGTTGCCCAATACACACACAATGTATGTGTGTATACAAATTACACTGTGGCTTTTCTCTGTCTCATTAATTTCTTGAGAAAATGAACCTCATTTCTCCCTTCTCTTCACAGATTCACTTTCATTCTTCCCTTTTCTGGTTTCCAAAACATATATATGAGCAATACTCTCCTATGATTGAGTGGTATTTAGAAATCTTGGTTGTAAACTGGCTTTTGGGAATTTGAAGCACCTTTTCTCAACAAAATGCATGTTTGTGAGCTTGTGTTCTCAGATCTGCCTGTATAAAGACATATAACTCATCATGAAATGGAAACACTGGTACTTATTGGACATAAGTACCATATTTAATAATATTTTAAGAGGGGACTGCTGTTAGTCCTTGAGCTTGGGAAGCCCACAAGCATCTCTCTTTCTCTGTTTTTGCAGTGAGATCAGAAACCCCCTCTCGCTTTCTCTTTCACTTGCCTGAGTCAGGCTAAGGGAAATACACATTTATTTTCAAAATACAGCTGGTTTGGTGTTTTGTGGTTTTGGACAGGGCTCTAGTTTGGAAGGGATTAGATAAAGTGTGGGGAGAGATTGGAAGCAAGAGACAGGGTCGGGGGGTCTCATCCCAGTTCCTAACATGAGCTCCTGGTAAAGTTCAAAAGTTCTTGCTCTTCCTCCTTGATCTGGCATGTTTCACACTATATCACGCAACTCTTTGTATTTGTAGGTAGTAAAGGGAAAAATAAAATCATACATAACTAATATAATGGTGGGTCTTTGGTCCACAATAATAAAATTAACCTACATTTTGGGAAAAACAAGTAGCCAGACTTGGGCTTTTCAAAGCACAGTGATGCTCAAAGAACAAGGGTGTAAGGCCAGAAACAATGTTAAAAATAAGTGGGCACTGTAAGAGGACAATGGAAATGGGACTTGCAGCCACTACTGATAAGATATGAGCCCTGTTTTTCTTTCTTTGATATGTTTTGTTAAACACAACTGCCCAAAGGCAAGGGGCAGAGTACAAAGTGAAGAATGATTCAAGGTAGCAGAAAGAAGGGAGGGAGGAAAAAGCTGCAGGATATGTTCTGGATTTTATTATTATTATTTCTTTTGAGACAGAATCTCACTCTGTCACCAGGCTGGAGTGCAGTGGTGTAATCTCAGCTCACTGCAATTTTTGCCTCCTGAGTCCAAGCGATTATCCTGCCTCAGCCTCCCTAGTAGCTGGGACTACAGGTGTGCACCACCACGCCCTGCTAATTTTTGTATTTTTAGTAGAGATGGGGTTTCACCATGTTGGCCGGGATGGTCTTGATCTCTTGACTTCGTGATATGCCCACCTTGGCCTCCCAAAGTGCTGGGATGACAGGTGTGAGCCACTGTGCCCGGTCATGTTCTCGATTTTCTATAGATATCCCTTTGAAGCAGTAATTTTGGAAGGTTGATGATAAGAAAATGTTATTTTGAGCTATGCTAGTTGGTTACTTTTAAAAACATAGGCACCAGCTTACTAGTTTCCTAGGAAGTGCTTTCCCTATAGAACACAGTCTGTAAGAAACTGAGTGAAGAAGATAGACTGATAAATCACTCTATATTTGTGGTTATTGCATCACATTCACATGTATTAATAACAACAAATTAATAGTGAGGATGTATTGTAGTTAGTTCACTGAGCAATAGCAAATCCCAGTGAATTAGCACAATGAATATTTACTTTTCACTCACAGCCTGGTTCAGTATGGGTCAGGGGGTACTCTGCTCCATGCTGTCATTCAGGGACCCAGAATCCTTCCATCTGGTGTCTTTGCGTACCCTAGGGCCTTAGTGTCCTCTGCTAAATATTCGTCATGTTGATTGCTGTTGCAGAGGAACAGCGAGACCGTGAAGAAGGCACACGAGTTCTTTACCTTGGCTCAAAGTAAAACATGTTATTATCACTCACAGTGCATCATTATGAAACAGTTCCGTAAACCTATCAAGGTGGTAAGGGGCTAGAAAATATAGTCTCTGTAATGAATAAAAAAGTGTTAATATGCAACATGAAAAATAATCATTACTTTATGTAAGTTATTAAATATTATTGTATCTCCATTTCTTCATCTATAAAATGGAAACTATATAAATATCTACCTTCTAGTTCAGTTCTGGGAAATGTATGAGTTAATACCTGTAAAGTGTTCTAAATATTCCCTACATGATAAGCTTTCTTACTCTTATGTGTTTATAATCACTAATATTTATTATTATTACTAATAATATTGTTATCAATATAATTTAGATTTTTAAGTATTTTATTCAAATGACAATAAGCCCTACATTAGTTCTTGCTTTTCGATTGTATGAAAACAAAAGTTTAGGTTGAAAAGATGATAAATTCTTAAGGTACTTTTTACTTCGTACTAAAAATCTATCGTTTTATTTTGTTTAAATGTTGAGAATATTGTCACACAAATGGAGACATCTTTTTTAAATTCTGCATACTAGAACTTAAAAGCTTCCATCTGAACACGAATAAAAAAGAAAAAATATGTTAAAGTGTGATTATGGGATAGAATAAAGGGAAGGTATAGTGTTTGCCACAGTTTTAGCTCCATCCTAAAGTGACTCCTAAAGACTCATGGAGCTTACTCTTCTAGAGAGATTATTTAATGTCTACATGTGGCCAAACATCCGGGCGCAGTGGCTCACGCCTGTAATCTCAGCACTTTGTGAGGCCGAGGCGGGCGGATCACGAGGTCAGGAGATCAAGACCATCCTGGCTAACACGGTGAAACCCCGTCTCTACTAAAAATACAAAAACAAAAAATTAGCCTGGCGTGGTGGCGGGCGCCTGTAATCCCAGCTACTTGGGAGGGTGAGGCGGGAGAATGGGGTGAACCCTGGAGGCGGAGCTTGCAGTGAGGGGAGATCCCACCACTGCACTCGAGCCTGGGCGACAGAGACAGACTCCGTCTCAAAAAAAAAAAAAAAAAAAAAGGAAAAAATTTGGTTGCTCCTTCAGAAGCCTGGTTTCTATCATGCTGAACATATGGATATATACAAATATACAAAATGTGTGGAACAAAAATATGGAGGCCCAGCCAACTTACAAATTTTATTCTAATTAATTTGGTAGTTTTAGATATACTTAATTTGTGTTCTGATATTAAGTGAGCAAGGATAGAATAGAAAAATTATAAGACAAAAGTTTCTACTTACTGAATGAATTGGTAATGCCATTTATTTTTATCATCACCAACTGTATTTGCTGCTATAGGAAGTGAATGAGTTATGATGATAAAATTGATGACACTTCTAGTTCATTCAATGAATAAAGAATAGTGAAAGAAATTAGTGTATATTTATTGTTATTCATGGGCTATTATATTTTTTAGTTAGACTTTAGTTTGGTAGCTTGAGTCTGTTACTAATTTTATTTCATTTACTTAGCTCAATTTATTTATTATATTTATTTATCAACTAAGCTTTGATATTAAGAAAAGACAAAACAAAATTTAAAGGATTCATTTATATGGGCACCTCCAAGTTCAAAGGGATGATTGTTTTCAATCTAAACTTAAAAACTTAATATTTTATATTTAGATATCTTGTTAAAGACCGTTGCTACAATTCAAGAAATTTCGCACTATCATTTAATAGCATGTGTTGAGCTCTTTAATCCCTTTTACATATGGAAGTTACCAAAGATGTGCCATGATTGTCCCAGAGAATACTTGGACCCAGTCACCTCCATTTCTGAAGGATTAAAACAAAATCCAAAAGAGGAAAGAGTGTATCAAATAAGTCACTGTTGAGAAAGAGAACAATGAGAAACATGTTCTCCTTCTTTAATAAAACTCTTTTTTTTCCATTCTTACTTTCAATTTTATTTTCTTTATAAAATTAAAAGTTTGGATTAAGTAATTTCTAGACTCATGCAGCTCGCTGTTGTTTGACTATTTGTCTCCTACAGAATTCATGTTTTAGAAACTTAATCACAAATGCAACAATGTTAGGAGGTGGGGCCTAATGGGAGGTGTTTAGGTCATGAAAGCTCCACCCTCAAGAATGGATTAATGCCCCTATAAAAGGGCTTTTGCGAGTGGGTTCACTCTCTTCTGCTTTTCTGCCTTGGGAAAATACAACGTTCTTCCACTTAGAAGGAATCAGCATTCATGATGCCATCTTCGAAGCACAGAAACAACTCTAACCTACCAGTGCCTTGATCTTGGACTTGCACAGGGACTGTGAAAAATAAATTCCTGTTTATTACAAATTCCACAGCCTCAGGTATTCTGTTACAGCAGAACAAAATGGACTAAGGCATAGCTCTTCTGTTCTATAGTCATCGTACAATATGCTAAATGTTGCATAAAGTGCTAGCAATATGATTTCAGTGGTGTCAAGCATCACTACCATTTTGCAAATAGGCCTATAATATTTCTTCCTTTATAACTAGGGAGTTTTCCAGATTATGAGTGAAACCAACATCATCATTCCAAGGTTGCGCCAAGACTTCTTGGCCTGCCCACTATTGGGAATTAAATGGCTATCTTATATGTCTGTGAAAATTTCTTGTAGACTTGTCTTTATGTCTTGAATTAACATACAGGATCATGTCCCTCCATTTCATAGATGACAAGATAGGAGAGAACATATTTTAAAGTGCATTTTAGATATTTAATATATGTAGGAGGGTTACATTCTGGATATTTAGATATTTCTAATTTTTCTGAAAAATTTCTCCAAAATTACCTTTGTTTTTTGTTATATACACCAGAAAACTAAATAAAATCATCAAGAATATAAACTGGATTTCATGAAAATTAAAACTTTTGTTCTTTGTATGACACTATTTAAAAAAAAGGCTATGGCCTGGAAGAAAATAAATGCAAATCACATATTTAATAAAGGACTTTTATGCAGAAGATACAAAGATGTCTCAAAACTTAAGAAAACAACCCATTTAAAATATGGGCACAAATTTTGAATAGACACTTCAAAAAGAAGATACATAGATGGTGATTAGGTACATAGAGCCATTGTCATTAGCCATTACAGCAATCTAAATTAAAATTTCAACATGATACCACTGCATACCTATTATAATGGCTGTCAAATAAATACAGATAAAATTAATGATGTCAGGTGCTGCCAGAGATGTGGAGCAACTTGAACTCTCACACACTGCTGGTACTAATAAAAAAAAAAAAAGGCACAGCCACTTTGGAAAACAATTTGATAGGTCCTTAACAAGGTAAATGTAGGCATATCATACAGCTCAATAATCCCACGCCTAAGTATTTACCCACGTGAAATAAAAACTCATGTCCACAGAAAACCTCTATGATAACTACTTGATAGAACTTTTATCTGTCAAAAACTGGAAACAACTGAAATGTTCTTCAACTCATGAATAGATAAAAACAAAACAAAACTGTGATATAGTCATTGAAGTGGAATACTAATGATAAAAAGGAAAAAACTACTCATAAAAACAGCAAAATGAAGGGATCTTCAATGCATTATGCTAAATGAAAAAAGACAACAGACTCAAAAGGCTAAAAATACTGTATGATGTTATTGATAGGATACACTCAAAAAAGCAAAACTAAAAGGAAAGAAAACAAATCATTGGATACTAGGGACTGAGAATGGGGTGGGGGTGGGAGTGAGGGATTTTTGACGACTGCATTAATTATCTATTGCTTGTAACAAGTTACAAGCTTAAAACAAGAAACGTTTATCATCTCATAGTTTCTGTGGGTTAGAAATTGGGGCATAGTTTAGATGAATGTCTCTGGCTCAAGTTCTTTCAGGAGGTTGCTGCGAGTCGGTTCAGCTCTTTGCAAACTGCAGTGTCATTGGAATGCTCAAATGGAGAAGGATCTGCATCCAAACTCTCTTACATGGTTGTTGGCAGAATTCAGTTCTTCATGAGGCTTGGACTGAGGAGCTTAGTTCCTTACTGGCTGGTTATCCCACTTCCCTGACATATGTATTTCTTCAAAGGGAGCTCATAACAAGGTAGCCAGCTTTTCTTAGAGAGTGTTTGAGTATGAGAGGACACCCAAGACACAAGCTACTGTCTTCTTTAAATCTAATATCAGAAGTGACATCCCATCATCTTTGCTAAATTTCTGTTTACTAGAAGAAAGTCACTAAATCTGGCTCACACTCAAAGGTAGGAGATTATAAAAGGCATGAATACCGTTGGATAGGAATCAATGGCGGCCATTCTAGAGGATGCCTTGCCTAGTTAGCCCTCTGGACCTCAGTGATTCATATTTCTCCCACATTCAAAAGACACTCACTTCTTTCCTGTTCCCAAAAGTTTCATCCCACTGCATTATCAGTTCAAAGTCCAGAACTTGAATTATCTGAAGCAGGGAGCCATCTTGAAGTCTGACTACCACAACCACAAAAAGGAGGTGGGGGAACTCTTTGGGGTAATAAAATTGTTCTGTATCTAGAGTGCAGTAATCATTAAACAGCTGCATTTGGTAAAAACTCATACAGCCGAACATTAAAAGAAGATGGATTTTGTTGTATGTAAGTTACATCTTCATAAAAAAATTGAAAAAGAAATTCAAAAATACAACACAGACCACACACACATTACATAAAATGTTGGCCAAATGAATGGAAGTGTTGGCCAATATATTAATAAAATATACAGAATTACATTTGGCACTAGAAAGCAGCATAATCATTTCTAATTATATCATGGAAAAATTATAATAACATATACATATATTAATATAATCTATAATTTTCGTATAGAAAAAGAAAAATGTTATTGAACAGAATGTATAATTATATGAAGTCTTTCACAGAGAGAAGCTTATTCTAAATAATATCTTTTTCTCCTTCTTAATATTTGTTTTCATTTCTTAAAACAGATAATTCATCAATTCAAGTATTAGGGAAGATGATCATATAAATGCATTAAGTTTTTCTCATTTTGTTCACAAAAGAACTACTGGAATAACTTTCCATAAAATGCATTTTCATAATCACTTTTGAAAATAATTTACCTCCAATAAGCTGAATATAGACTGTGAAACAAATTCAGTATTCCTTCTTTTTTTTTTACCAATTCTGAAAAGTGACAGAGGTGAGGCAGTAGGATGCTGTTACTGTGCCCTGTTTGCACAGCTGTACCTCATTGAATGAGGCTTGTGTTACACACAGTTTGTGATAGGAAGTAAATGCTTTTGAAACAACTAGAAAGACAGATCTTTAACCTCCACCTTTGTGGATTCTTTGTTTCACCGTTTAGCTTCTGTAGAGGGTATAAGGAAGTGGCTCCCAATATATATTATGACTCTCTAATGGAACCTCATCTGATTAGCTCATCCTCTTGTTAACTCATTTTGTGGATGCATTAGAATGAATTTTTTAAAAACAAATCCTGACAGGTCAAAAACTAGACAATGTATTGATTTTCAATGAAGGTTTATAAGTCATAAGTTATAAAATCATAAGTTATAAAATGTTCAGCAGTGGGTATGTTCTAAAGAGAAAATGGTGTTTAGATTACTTCAGGATCTCTATCTGTAAGCGGTTTTTAAACTTTAGGGGATTCATCAAATTTATTACCTCTTATTCAACGTCCACCTAACATCTGAAGATATAAAGTGCCACAAGGGTCTTTTTATATTTCTTATGTACAGCCATTAGGCTTATCAATAAACCAGATAATTTGGTTCTGTGTTATTTCAAAGATTATGACTGCATATTTTTAGAGGTCATTATGGTGAAGTAGTTCTCTTTTGTGTAAGAACAATTTCCTTAATTGCTAGCATAGAAATACAATGTCTTTCCTACAAATGATTAAAATAATTAAATCACCAACCAATTGGGATCTAAGTTACATATCTGCTGTGGTTGATGACAATACGTGTTCCATTGAAAAATATATGACTTTAATAAAAATGGCATTTGTTATCTGTTCATAATAAGACTAACCACAGTTCTGTTTATAATATTCCTTATTATACAGAATTAAGTCCTTCTTATATCTATGAGCTATCATTTGTTTACCAAGACCTTTTTTCTTTAACAATTTTGTTTGGTAATTCTCTATACAGACTGTTCAGAGAACTTTCATTTTGAAAGCAATGGCCAAAATTTACCCAGATAGTGTATATATATATGTGTGTGTATATATATATGTATGTATATATATATATATATACATATATACACACACATATATATGACCATGATTTTCATAAAAACTTCTAAAATTATTCTACTATGTACCATGCATTTTAACAGTCAGTATATGGCAACTGCAAAGAAAATTAACCTGATATTTCCAGTTCTAGCTTCACTGTTTAGTTCCTATACATCCAAGCCTAAAAGATTTAATTTCTAACCTATACTGGCAAGGATATGATGATCATGTCACATAGCTAATTCCATTTCCTGGATTTGTAGCAAAAGACTAAACATAAGTTACTTTAGCTAAGAACAGATTTTTTTAAACTGAATAGAGTATAATGTGACATTTCGATCTATAATTTTGTTAGGAAATGAAAAATGGCAATACAATTTTTAAAATATGGGCAGAATAAAAAATGACTTGGGCTATTCTGTGTCAACTACTTAGGGGATCAATGCAGTGTCATATTTGTTGTAAAAATTTTTTTAAAAACCACACTTCTTTGGAGTCTGTATGAATTCCAAGACAGTATGAGAGCAATCTGTATAGTGCTTGATGAAAATAAACAACAATCATTTTCCTTTTTTATGAACACAGATAAAACTATGTGGAAAAATTTAGAAATGGTTTAGTATTTTGGTAAGGTATGGGAAAACCATAGGTAACTGTTAGCTAATATCTTTTTATAAATAAAAGAGTACCTGAGAACTTAGTGCAAAATATTACTATGCTATGCTTTCTTCTTATTCCAACAGATTTTGAGACTTCTCAGAAAGCCATGAGGAAATAATTTCATTAATATTTTATTCCAAAATTTCCATACCAATTTCTCCCATCAGACAATTTTTCTTTAGTTAGAAACATGTTATCACACGCTGAAAAATCATCACTATCCGTTGAATGTATTGTCACAACATTACCAGCTAGCTTTTATAATCTGTCATATTATAATATGTTAGCAAAGTATAACTTTTGGAATTAATGTCAGTTTGTTGGAGGCATTTAATTATAACATATAAACTATACATATTTATTGGCTATGCTTTCATTTTTATTTATTTACAATGTATACAGTCTTTGGTTCCAAAAATTATTTCAGGCAGCATATTTTAATTATAATTATATTGGCCAGCTTTTACAGAGATGTTCCAGATTTTTCTTCCTCACTCAACAGAGCAGCATGCATAACTGAAAATGGAAGTTGCTTTGTTCTTATTCTCATGGCTCATTGCAAATTATGTGTTTTGCAGAAGTTAATATTATGTGGGCCGGACACCAAACACATCATAGTTCTGAAGACTATAACTTATCCACAGCACTGAGACAGTCTGTCCTCCAGATATATACTTCCTGGGTAAGTTGTATGAAATGGAATAAACATGGTAATCTAATTTGTTTTTAAGTCTCAGCTATTTCTATTTCCTCAAAAAAAAAAAAAAACTAATAGAAGGTGTTTTACTAAAATGCTTCTCTCTTCTTTCTAAAGCCAGATGCTAAAATCTTTCTTTTCCTTCTGTAAGGCCAGACACACATGAAGCAAATGCTGTTTTTCAATAGAAGCATTTTATTTGACCCAGAAACTCAAAGTATACGACAATGTGAGAAAGTGAATGGCTATTTTTTAATTTACTGTAACCCAGGAGGGTGATGTATAGATAAGGTATCTCCATTTAAATATATGTAACAAGGATTTCAGTAAAAACTTTTACCAGTTTTTTTTTTTTTTTTAAAAAAAACCAGTTGTTTTTTTTTTTTAAAAAAAACAACTAATTCTCTAAAATCTAGTTGAATGCTTTGCTTTTTGTTATCATAATAGATCAATATCATGATCCAAAAATTTTTGGCTCTAAAATATTCTCACACAAGGAAATTACAAGATTAATGAATACCAGAAATAGCCTCTACTTGTAGAGTTCTTTTGACTCATGGGGAAATCCTGATCTACTTGATAATATCCCTTTTTTTGTCATCTTCCTTGCTTAGCTCTTCTTGGTTATGAAAATACATGATACTGAAATGTATGTTGAACAGTGAGCTAGAAAGTCAGAGTAACTGATGCGTAAAATCAGTAATCATACATACTTAATATTGGTGTGTAAAATCAATAAGCTATTTATTAACTATAAATTATAATGGTCAAACATTTCCGTGGTTCAAAATACTTTGCAAGGTACTTTTGTTAGATACCATTTAATAAGTACGTACTATGTGCCACTCTTCTAAAATCTCCTTATATATTGACTTACTTCATCTTCACAACAGCCTTCATACACAGAAATTATTATTGCTCTTATTTTAAAATAGTAGAGCTGAGTCTATAGTTCAGTCACACCACTAATAAAGGAAAAAGTAGAACTGCAGTCTTGTTCCAGGACCCCTGATCTTAATCTCTGCATTCTAAATGCTCTTCTACATGCCTCCATATTGTTTTTCACTTATGTTATCTTTTCTGATCATCATAAATAAGCCTATGGTTCTCTAGATCAAGTATTATCATTCTCAGGGAACTGAAGATCAGTGAGGTTAATTACACAGCTAGTAAATGATAAAGCCAAGTACTTGAAACCAGATGTTTTATAAGCCTTAGAAAAATACACTGGCATGTGTGCTAACCCAAACAGCAGCATAGGCAAAACAAATCTATAAGCCAGGGATGTTACTAATACATTTCCTGGAATGGATCTTAACAGGAATTCACCCTCAAACTCCCACACCATACACCTGTGATGACGCTTGTATTCTTTTTCTAGAGCTGCCATAAGAAGATACTACTAACTGTGTAGCTTAAAAAAACAGAAATTTATTATCTCACTGGTCTGGAGGCCACAAGTCAAGTCAAAATCAAGGTACTGCCAGGGCAATGCTCCTATAAAGACACTAGGAAAGGATCTTTTCTGGTTCTCTCTCTTAGTTTTTGGTTCTTTCTGGGCTTGTGACAACGTAATTCTTATTTTCACATGGCGTTCTTCCTGTTTCTTTGTCCACATGTCCTTTTTAGGAGGATACCAGGCATATTGGTTTAGGGACTTGCCATACTCCAGCATGACCATTAGTTAAGTTAATAATCTTAACTAATTATTTCTACAACAACCCTATTTCCAAATAAGGTCACATTTAGTGGGTATTAGGGCTCAGATTTCAACATGTGAATTTGGGTAGGGAAGGCACTATTGAAGAAACACTTCTAAGCAATATATGTGGAAAGGAAATATGTATATATTCATAACCTATAGCTTATGCTGGAACTCTGGATGATTAAGTACAAACAAAAATCACTGCCTATTTTACAACTGTATAGTTCAAGACTGGATTAAGGCTTCAGAGCAGTTAATGGGGGGAAAACAGGGCACGTGATGGAGGAAATCGGTACTGTTCATCCTCCCTTCTTAAAAAATTGCTGCATTAATACAGCCTTTTCAAAAGGCTGAATATATAGGCTGGATATATGGCTGGTCTCCAAAATCTTTACTCTCTTCTGACTTATATATTTCTCTTTTATTAAAGACAACTGAAATCTCCAGTAGTTGCATTTTCAGAGAGAAAGCCTCCAAGAAAGGAAGTAGCTGCATTTGAAGTTGCTCTGGGGAAATCAATGCAGTTAATTAATTACCTGAGGAATTATCAAAGGGAAAAATTATCAGAGCATCATTGACTTCAGAACTAGAAGAAATCTTGGAGATGATATATTTAAGTCATCTATTTTCAAAGCTATAAATATGAATCTTAAAGAAGCCCACAACATCAGTATTGAGCAATGCCAAGTTGGAGCTTGAGTCCAGTTTATTGTAATCTCTGTCTTGGTTTCTCTTGTGTCCTTTTCTTTATTAAGTCAATGCATACAAAGTAACAAAGCAGCAAAAATCTATGTAAAATGAGACTCACACTTGTTTTATTGCCAGAATAATTTATCTTTACAAACTCATGCCATGTTGTTAGGGAATGTGCTGAATAAGGCAACGAACATTGAGAATGCATGACAAGCTGCTAAATATTTTTGGAAGGGGACTGCGGGAACTTGCATGGTGGGAAATGAGATATAGGGATTGTAAGTCAGCCTGGATTCTTACCTAGCATTTCTAGGTCCCTTGGAAGATAGGAGAGATGTTTTAAGGGCCTGTGATGGTTAAAGACTTCTAAGAGGACTTCCTAGACATCAAAATTATAGGGCACACTTCAGGTCTCTTCATTTTTGTTGAGTCATTTGTCAAGATTTTTCTCACCAACATTGTTACATGAGGCCGATAATTTAGCAGTTACCAAGGTAACAATGTATTTTAGGACAAATAATAAATGGGCCGCATCTTTGAAAAGAAAATTGATCTGTGAAATGAAATGTGAAATTAAGCTCATTTCACATTGAAATGTGAAATTAAGTATATTTCTTCTATATTACTATGAAAATTAGAACAGCACAACTTTTGAAGAAGTTACACATAAGAATTCAACTTTCTAGAATTTCTAACCATATTATTTGCATTTTAAGCCAATTTTAAGCTTAATATTACTCACCAACAAGGAGGGCTATTGATAGAGTGCCATTTTAAGTGAGACTTCTTTACTGCATATACACTGCAATATATGGTTTTGCATGCCACTTCAATCTTTGATTATACATCCTACTATCATGTCTTAAGAATAATACTCTATCCAATTTGCTAATAATAAAATAATGATAATAATAAAATGTGTTTAAATTCATGGATGTCATATAAAATATTACAGTATCAGGATTATAACTTCATTTTTTCTGACATTATAGATAAAGTACTTGAATGCTGAAATTTTATATTCAGAGCAAAGGCACTAAAGTGCGTGAAAAAGAAATTCTTCATCTGGATGGAACTCTAAAACAGAAAAAGAACATTAGGGATTAAACATACAAAATCCCAACTAGTGAATTCTAAATAAAGTGTGGAATTCGATTAATACTAATGTACCTGTGGGTTTCTTAGTTGTGGCAAATACAGCATAACAATGTGTTAGCAATAGGGGAAAGCAAGTAAAGGATACAGGACGACACTTTGAGTTATTATTGCAACACTTCTGAAGATATTAAACTATTATAAAATAAATAGTTTATTAAAAAACACAGCTACACGTGCATGTGTACGTGCTTATACTCAGAGCCACTATACATTATGTATCTACTATAGAAAAAATATTAGAATGAGCCATCAACAGTAGACATTGTTTCCTGGGAATCCTAGAGTATTATAAAGAGCAACAAATATATCAGCCAATATTACTTTTAACTGGATATTATCCTAAAGAAACTCTTCATTTTTTCATTCTTTATCCCTCAACCCATCACCCACTGTTTCCTTTTCAGACCACCATTCGAATGAAGCTAACTCTGCCTATAGTTTAGAGAAAGGAATATAATAGACTCCTTATCACATGCAGAGCTAGTCAAAACTTGGTTTCGTCTCTCCAGTTTCATCTTCCACACACCCCATTTTCATCCCATCTCCAATTTAACGATTTTCACTTCTCTCAATCTACCATGCCATAATGCATTGCTATTTCTTTGCACATGCCATTACCTCTGCCTGGAAAATTATTTTCCCTTTACCTCTGATTGTTCTATCCTTCCAAAAAAAAAATTTTTTTTTTGACAAATTGTCACTCTGTCGCCCAGGTTGGAATGCAGTGGTGTGTCTCAGCCCACTGCAACCTCCACCTCCTGGGTTCAAGCGATTCTTTTGTCTCTGCCTCCTGAGTAGCTGGGATTACAGGTGGGCACCACCACGCCCAGCTAATTTTTTTGTATTTTGTATAGACAGGGTTTTGCCATGTTGCCCAGGCTGGACTTCAACTGCTGGCCTCAAGTGATCCGCCTGCCTCAGCCCCCCAAAGTGGTGGGATTATAAGCATGAGCCACCGCGCCTGGGGAAGATTTTGGTTTTTGTTTGTTTGTTTGGTTGGTTGGTTCCATAAAACCCTTGCATTTATCTATTTTAGTAGTTAACGCTTTTCATTATTGTTATTTATGTTGGCCTATAAACTTTCAAAGAAATTAGTCTATTTTTCACTGCTGTATACCTAGTATATGTAAGTGTCTACTACAGAATTAGTGGTTAATAAATGTATGTTACATAAATGAATGAAATAGAAAGTATTATAGTTGTCAAAATAAATTTGGCAATGGAAATATTTTTGCTAAATTAACTAGAGTCAGGCCAATGTGAAACTAATAAAAGGTAGAATGTGTGAAATAATTTACATCTGTTATTCATTTAAATATTTTTATTTAATAGACACTCCAAAAATTACAGTATAGGATATATAATTTGTTTACCTTTTGCAATAAAATATATTTGAACATATTTGTTTTATCTATAAAGCTAGTATTGAACAGAAAATAGTGAGCTAACTGCTTTCAAAGAGTTTAGTATTTCTCTCAAAAGCATAATAAATTAATGACAAATGAACTTAATTGAAATTACTAGAGTGAGTGAATTTTTTAGCTCTGTCATGTCTTTCCACCTTTAAAATTGCTATGTTCTCTACGTTGGTATTGAAATTAATTTTATAAGATTTAGCACAGTATGTTTATAACATATTAGCAACCCTAAAAAAGGTAAATTTTACCCACCATCAGAAAAAATAAATACAATTGGGCTGGGTGTGATGGCTCATGCCTGTAATCCCAGTACTTTGGGAGGCTGAGGCAGGCAGATTGCTTGAGCCCAGGAGTTCAAGACTAGCCGAAGCAATATCACAAGATGCTGTCTCTACAAAAAATAAAATAAATTAGTCGGGTGTGGTGGTGCACGCCTGTAGTCCCAGCTACTCAGGAGGCTGAGTGAGATGTGAGGATCACTTGGTCCCTGGAGGTTGAGGCTACAGTTATTCGTGGTGGCTCCACTGCACTCCAGCCTGGGTGACAGAGCAAGACCCTCTTTCTCAAAAAAAAAAAAATAAAATAAACAAAAAGAAAAGAAATACAATTATAACATCAAATTATGAAAATCTCATTAATAACATTATTACATTATCATATGGAGAATATGTAAATCAATGATGATCTTATTATATTTGAGCATAATAATTTAAAAATATATTCATTTATATTTAGGAAACAGTAAATAGCAATTGACTAGAAATAAAGAAAACTGAGTCCCACGCTAGCTTAGTTGTTTACTCACTTTGCTAATTTGAACCGATCAATTAATGTTTGAGTCTCAGTGATTTTGCATATGAAATAGACCTCTTAATATTTACTCTGCCTTCTCATGTGGTTATTTTGAAGATCACTTTAATTTATGAGTGTGGAAATTCTCTGAAACATATCAAGTATGATTCTTATGTGTGATATTATTTTTATATTACATATGAGACTGCAGAGAAACCTTAGTGAAATCTCAGATCTTTTTATTACATTGTACTCCCTGCCAAACTACATAAGCAAAGACTGTTTTTCAATATGTGGGAGTTGGACTTATATAAAGACAAATGTGAACAAATAAAGATACAAGAAACTAACAACTTTGATGTAATGCATTTGAATGCACTGGGGATAAATTCTCATAACTCTTTGTCACAAAAGGAAAGCATGCATTAAGCCCCCATGAAGTAAAGAAACAAAACTTTTCTCAGAACTTTGCCTCGGAACTCCAAGGCATTCCTTCTTCACCCTCAACCAGCACTTAAAGATGACTAATAAGACAAAGTTTATGTCCATTAAAGAAATGAGGCTCTTGGATAGTTTGAATCATTGCTAGTATCAAAGACTAATGCTAGCATGCGTCAGGAAAATGGAATTAATTATTCTGTAGCTTACAGAAATATTCAAAGTCATTTTGAAATTTGGTAAAAAATAAAATTATTCTCTGATTTTCAGTGTTTTTCTTTACAGAGATTTGATAGTCATTTATAGTTCTAATGAAGGATAAACAAGAGGAAGCAAATTGAGTTCTCTCTAAAGTTGCATTGTCTTATTGCCACATATTTAAAATGTACAAGTGGCTAAAAATTTAACCTCCTTTATGTGTCATTGTTCTTATTATGATAGTGCATCACCCATTTTTTTCCACATATACTTTTGACTAGCAGGGCCAGTCATGGTGGCAGAGATTGGGGATATAAAGATAAGTAAGAAGTGAGCTTGTGTTCTCAAGGTGATGGTTTTACTTGGAGGGAGTCATGTAACTGAACAGCCATTGCCACAAATTTTGAAGGTTTTAGAGAGAAGTGTTTGCACTGAGAACCGCTATGGGTCAAGGGAAGCTTCATAGAAGAAATAAAGCTTGAAGCAAATCTGTAATGAATAAAATTTTGCAATGGAGGAGGTTGTAGATAGAATATTATGTAGAAGGACAACATCTGTAAAAACACAAAATTATAGAAAAATATAATACATTTTAGGAATAACAATAAAAATGTATGGCATGTGTATTAATTTCCTGAGGCTGCTGTAACAAAGTACCCAGAGCTAGGTGGCTTAGAACAACAGAAATTTATCTTACAGTCCTGAAAGCTGGAAGCCTGACATCAAGATGGCAGCAGGGTTAGTTCCTTTTGAGGGCTATGAGGGAGACTCAGTTCCATGCCCCCCACCTAAATACTGGTGGTTTGCAGCTTTGGTGTTCCTTTGCTTGAAGATGCATCACTGAGATCTCTGCCTTCGTCTTCATGTGCCATTCTCGCTGTGTGCATGTCTATCTCCGTGTCTAAATTTTCCCTGTATATAAAAAGACAAGTCCTCCTGGATTAGGGCCCACCTAATTAACTCATTTTAACTTGATTACCTCTATAAAGATGCTATTTCCAATTAAGGACACATTCTGAGGTACTGGGTGCCAGGGTCTCCCACACCATGTTAATGAAAATCAATTCAACTCATAACAGTATGAGTGTGGCTAGAATATAGGATGTATACAATGGTGGAATGGGGTAAAAAGGAAATGGTTAAGTGCATAGAAATGGGACCAGAAAAATAGGCATAGGTTACTTAAAGATAATGACTTTCTAAATAGAAACACAAACTCTTATTTCAAACATAAAATCTAAGTAGATATGTCTTAAGGACAGAGATCAATGCTCTCTATCTATAATCAGGTAATTTTGATCTGTGTCATTACTAATCATAGACTTAAGGAATGTGGCACATGCTATTTGATTCTTCAATCTTTAGTTTCTGAATTCGGATGAACATTTTTTTAAATTGCTTTTTCTCTAAAGTAATGTAAAAATAAATGAAAATCCTAGAAATATGTACATTAGTAATGTTAATGAAATATTTTTCAACTATTAAAATAAAGTAGACATGAATTCTAGAGTCCAAAAGCTTTTTCGTTTTTCATTTATTTAAAAGTAATTTTACGCTGTTTAGCCATTTGCTTAGCAGCTTACTCGTGGAGTACTTTACTCTCTCACCTCCTACATTTTCTGTTTGTCATTGCCTCCTCACTTTACTTACCTCGTCCAAACTAAGAAGCCTAGTTTCCATGACTCTGTGAAGCACAGTCTGCATCCTCTGCTGAAATCCTGTGCCTTGAAATCTTCAGGCCATGAGTAAATCCAGTCATCTACCCTCTTCACTCCCACATCCAGATTGCTGAGTGCTGCAGGCTTCCTCTTGTACCAGGTTGGCAATTTCGTGCCCCTCCATGTATGGATTCAGATACACCTGACCCCTAAATACTGCGTACCAAGCCATGGACATGAGACTGCCCTATTTTCTCCTCTCTACCTTGGGGAAACTCTTTAGAATTTCACTGTCTCCTCAAGATCTCTTCCCCACTGCTGCCTCTTCAACATATTTAAAACTTCAAAGAGAAATGTGAGGGTTTTTTTATTTTTTTCAGTTTCCCTTCTCTGGTCTTCCCTGTTCATACATTTTCAATTAAAACTCATGAACTCACAAGTGAACATGCATTCTTACCTCTAGTTTTATAGAAAATGTTCACCTCTCTTCCGTTGGTCTAATCCTTAGGTTGGTGACATTGCTCTTACCTTACTGTTTTTTTTCTCTTGGACTTTGTGCTATCAAATACTCTTGGCATTTTCCCTCTTCCTTTCAACTGGCTCCTTCTGAATAAGCCATAAATATAGTAAGATCTCTCACATTAAAAAAAAATAAACAGGTAATATCTCCTCCCTCATCCATTGTTTTATTGAAGGAATACATCCAGCTGTCTCCTTTTTTGTTATCAGAGAAACATAGAGGTAATCCCTCTTTTCATTTTGTTACCTCCTCTGGCTGATTCTTAAACTTACTAACTTGGGTTTGTGAACTTGAGGACTGCATTCTAGGCCTACTGTTCTGCTGATTCATACCTGCAAATTCCATCTCACTTATTTTTTTTCAGTTCCTATCTCACTTGGACATTAACTGGGAGTCTTCTCTCTGTCTCTTAAAAATTTCTCATCATCTCTGATGATGCTAGGTACCAGATCTTTCCCACCTCTGAGACTGTCCTGTTTCAGCCTCATTTACTGCAACTCTTTCTGACTTCTCATAGAGTTGCATCTTTGACTATCTTCCCACTGTGGACACACCTGTAAGCTAAATAAAATTGATATTTGCATGACACCCATATCAACAAGTTCAACCAAGACACTTCCTGATTCCCTGAGATGTAATTCCAGCCAGACATTTCCAAAATCTTACTCAATAGCCTCCTGGACATACACCCCATAGACCCCAACACGACATTCCCCAAGTTGAACTTTACAACCTATTCTTCCTCCTGTCCACCTTCTTGGTGAACAATATCACCAACAGACAAGCCAGAAATCTGGGTGTCTTCCGACACTGCTATTTACCTCTCAACTCCTATGTTTAACAGCTGCCAAATCCTTAAATCTGTTGCATGTACTTTATCTCTCCATCCCCATGGCTACTGCTGTGATTAAATATGCATCACTTTTCTCTGGGCTATTGAAATAGGTTCCAAACATATTTTTATATTTTCCATCTCTTACATGCTTAAAAAGATGTGAATTGTTTCCTTATGCCCAAGCTTCTTGAAATGGCTCCCTTCTCTGGTTTAGCCACTGTCTAAATTCTTTTTCTGTGTTGGCTGTGGCGAGGCACAGACATACCGAAGACTCGCTGATGAAGGCTATCAATTGTTTCTTGAGAAAAATACACACTCTCCCACGCACACAGGCTCACACGTTGTTATAATGGCATCAAGGGATTCATGGATTCCCTGAGGTCTGTCAAGAAATCCCATGGTCCAACCTGATTTCTAGCCACACTACTCTCCAACGCCTTCTACAATAGCAAATATGTTTAGCTTCCCCTAAATGCCATATTGTTTCTTGCTTCATGATACTGTCTCACACAACCCCTGCTCGCCACGTTCACTTAGTAAGAGAATAAAATCCACTCATCTGCTGTCTGTTAGCCTTAGATCGCCTTCAGGCTTGTATTCATTCTTTCCTCAAACACATAGGTCTGGGTTGTTTTTCTCCATTATAGCCTTATTATGTATGACTTCTACAAGACAATAAAATGACCTAGGGTAGACAGTGTAATTTAAAGCTAAAGAAACTAAGAGTCAGAATGACATGGGTTTGAATGCATGGTAGATATGGATGTATTTGGTAAAGGGTATCATGTGCCTAATCCAGCTACCAAGTTACTCTGAGTTTGAGGATGGAGAAATTTCTTCAGTTAACTTAGTACCATATAAAGATTTATAATGGAAGTGGCCTTTAAATTGGTTTTATAAGTTATATAGGATTCGGAAATGCAAAGTTTGGAGGTAGAGAAGAAAAGTGAGAATTCTCCTACCTGGACCACATTTACTAAGCTGCTTTCGATTGTAAAAATTAGAACCTTGATTGTGTCATTAGATTCTTTTTCTAGAACAGTATTAATCATAAGAAATTATCACTCATGTGATTCATGTGAATTATTTCCTCACCTATATTTTTTGTTAGAAATATAGTATTTTGGAATTCATAGTGAGCTTATTTTTCCATTGGTCAGTTCCTCATTATATTACTGATATATAAGATTTAGCACACTGTTTCATAAAATGAGTTTTCAGAAAATCTAATCCTATGGTAAACTCATCAAGAAAGTATTCTGTGTGCTAATAGACTTGTGATTCACATTAGCATGGTAAAAGCTCTTAAAAGACCTGTGTTAAAGAAACTTCAGTTGTTTAATTTACCACTTCACGACTTATCTGATCTTTTAACCACTTTTTCCATAATAGCTGTCATTATTTCAAGGGACTGCTTCTCCACACTTTGGGAAATTATAATGAACTATAAATATTCATCTGCTATGCATAGTCTTTCCAAACAGAACTACTTATTAAGCATCCAAAATAAAGTTGTTTCATATTTTTCTCAGCTCTCAAAGAGGAGATTCCAAAACACTCCTCAACTTAGAGGACTTATATCATAGGCCATATATGTTTTGCAAGTATTTTGCTGTTAACCTATTGGGAGATAATTGTTTTAATGTATTATGAAACAATCAAATCATAGTATCACAGATCTTTTGGAACAAAAAGGATGACTATGTTTTAAATGGTTTTCCCCTCCGCCACTAATTTCAGGAAACTGAAGCCTAGAGAAGCTTAAGAACTTAGGGAGTATCACAGAGAGAGTCTCTAGTGGAAACATGGACTAAAAATTGATCTCTTGAATGAGAGCCCAGTATTCTTTTCTCACTAATCTAATCCATTGCTTAATAACATGTTTATATTAAAAAAAAAACATTCTACTTATGATGACAGTTGAAATTTTTATGACAAGTTTCAAAACAAGAACTAGACGAGTTTTACATGTATAATCATTGCTAAACATCCTTGAAATTACATTTTGCATAACTGAGAACATGTCATAAAATAACTTTAAAATAAAATTATAATACTCAGAAGAAATATTTTTAAAACATCCAGTCTTTCAGAAGTATAAACTCTATAAAATTAGAAATGTAAAGTGAAAGTCAGATTCATTTTATTCTCATTTGGTTATTTAGTCTCTCATTTAATAAAATGTTTCTTTCCAGCATGAAACCACTCTTGGGGATCAAAGTCATTAGCAGAACAAGCAGATCATGCTTATTAGTTAATTCTAACCAGTTCTGTGGTTTAATCATAAGTTGTCTTTGTAAGGAAGAGGCATTTCTGTTTATTACGTAATATGGACCTTTAAAATTTTTTTCACCATGGAACCATATCATACCTCCTTCCTAATAACTTCGAAAAAATTAAGAGATATGATGTCATCAATCAATCATACAAAAACCAAGTTAAAAGGAAAAGTATATGCTGTCCTCTCCTTGTATGAAATTAATTTATTTTATTATAATTTCACATTATTATTGAAAATGCCAGGTAATAATACAGAATTTGGGAGCTGTCAAAGGTATAAAGTCATCCATTCCTACATTTTTTAACATAAAGAGAGTATTTGTGTGTACATAAAACATCCCTTTAATTCCAGAAAACACATCCAACCTTTTTAAAATTAAGGAAATAACACACAACATATAATATTTTAACTAGACAATATTAAATGCAAAATCAAAGTCCAGTGGCCTTAGCTCCAACATGTCTGTAACTGTATCACCATGAGGAAAATTAATGTTGCAAAGTAAACATGGCAATAAAATATACAGTATATAGTATGAGATATATTTCCTAAAGAAATATGCATTCAGAATATTGAACCATTAACAAAGCATTGAGAATTCATATATGCAAATTAATTTTTTTTTAATTTTTTCTTTCAGATTTTCTACTCTCCCCTGGCCCTCTTCATACCCCCTTCAGTATATGCTGTTCATCTTCAATTCAATCTTCTTTACCAATTTTGGATCCATACAGAGGTAAAACTTTTTTTTATCTTTGTAAGTTTTATACCTAAACAGCCTGAAGCAATGTCCTGGAAATCCACTAGCAGATGATTTATTGTGTAAGAAAAATCTTTGTCTGCCTTTTCTAAGGAGAAACATCTGTTCATTTTTATTCGTTTTTAGTGAATATATATTGCAAAGTTTATAAGAAGCAATGAGGCCAGTTGGTCTCAATTAAATAAAACAATTTTTTGAACTATTAAGTGCCAAAACATTTTAATACTATATTCAATACAATATCTTCCTGTATTACAGTTTATTAAACATTATTTACCAAGAGATGTTGAAATTCATTTCAATTCAGAGATATAAACATATGTATATGTGTATATATAAATATATCTATAATCTGTTGAAACTCTTTGAAACACCCTTAAAAATTGTATAGAAATTATGAAAATAATTTTTGATTGGAAAACTTGCTCTAACTACAGAGATTAAATTTTATTTAAAATTGTTCAGTATATTGTTAATTTTTTTCCAAAAAAACCTGAAGAAATGTAATTTTAGAGTCTTCCGTGGCATTTCAAACTGTCAGATTTGAATGTTTGTAATTATTAAGCAGCTGATTGGTTTATGAATATTTGTACCAATCCTATTGCTAAAATACCAAAAATCACAGACCTAGAAAAATTCTTACCTATACACACAAGCACTCTTTTAAACATTTGGTATTTATTGGAAGCCTTTTGAAGTTACTAGAGGAAGCATGTTGACAGGTGTTGCAACTGGTTAAACAACACTACAAATCACAGCTGCATTATATGTGAAATCTTGATACAACAAAGTGCATTATTCCATTAACCTGCAGTATTTTATGCTACTGATTTACTTGGAATAAAGAGACTGTTACCGTGACTTTGGACATATGTAGCATTATTTGAAGATCTATCATGAAATAGTATTGTGTTTTATGATACTTAACACACATCAAACACTCAATACCACAACCATCTGAAAGAGATGTTGCGGCCAATTCTGACTCTAGAGGTCAAAGACCAAATTTGTTTAAATCAGTGGAGGGAAGCTTTCTGATGATTTACATGGAGGGGTTAAGGGAGAATTACATTTTATAGCAGCTCTGCTCCAGGTCACGCCATGTGTCGGGTCAGGTATTAGTTTGGATACAGAACAATAGTGCCTCAGTCACTTTCACCTCTTCCTGTGTCCCGATGAGAGGGCCATGAGCTAGGTCTTGAGTTCCATTTCATGAAGTAAAGCAAGAGTGGAGAAAAGCCACTGGTGAGACTTATTCCTGTTTGCCAAGAACCTCCAAGTGGCTTCATTTCCACTTCAAAAGCAATGCTTAGAACCTCCCCCTTGTGTTACACTTTATGCTTTTCAAAATACTTTACTATGTGTGGGTTCCTACAGTTGATCTGCATGGGAAGCAAGAACACATCTTCTGAAATTCATGGTTTGGATCTTGGAATTTTAAATTGTATTATTAACCGTGAAAACATTTCTGAAATATTTCTCAACCGTGTAGTTACATTCGTTTATTATACACAACATAGAATAGTTTGTTTACAAATAGTAGAATAATTCAGGATGGAGAGCGAAGAGATTGGACACCATGACTGCTTCTGGAGAGAAAGACAAATGGAATAGAGGACTGGAGTGGGAGGAGTATTAAGTATTTTTTTAAAATTATTTTTATCATTTGCTTGTCTTGCTTTTTTCAATTAAGAGTTAATACACAGATTAATAAGTAAAAAGTAAAAACTGAAAATGACAGCCTTTAGTCTAGAAAGATACTCACTTTATGTTTTCCTGTACTGTAAATTGTATGAAACCCTATAGGCCACTTGCATACTGTTTAATATCAGGCATCATACTTGGATCTCCATTGACAGAAATGATATGCGAGCTGTAGAGATGACCATGTTAGCCAAAGAGCCCTGCATATTCCTGAATAGAGTTTCATTCTTACAATTGTTTCACTTCTCCTAACATCCATAAAAATCAGTTCTCACTCTAAGGGGAATATGATCTTAAGAAGATACTGATTTTTTTGAAAGTGAAGAAGATTCAGTTCTCCTAAAATCAATCACATTAGAATAAAAGGAAGGAAAAAAACCTTAAAATCACATTTTTGAAAGACTGTGAGATAAAAAATAGGCCATAAAACGTACCAAATAGTTTATAGAAATTTTCTGTTTACTTTTGAGTTATTTTGATAAATAAACAAAGTCTAGACCTGGCACAGAAGCTCATGTCTGTAATCCCAACATTTTGGGAGGCAGAGGCGGGCAGATCACCTGAGGTCAGGAGTTTGTGACCAGCCTGGCCAACATGGTGAAACCTCATTTCTACTAAAAATACAAAAATTAGTTGGGTGTGGTGGTGCGTGCCTGTAGTCCCAGCTACTTTGGAGGCCGTGGCAGAATAATTGCTTGAACCTGGGAGGCGGAGCTTGCAGTGAGCCAAGATCATGCCACTGCACTCCAGCCTGGGCGACAGAGGGAGACTCCCTGCCCACCTCCAAAAAAAAAAAAAAAAAGAAAAAAAGAAAAGAAAAACAAACAACAAGGTCTATTGTCATCCTCTTTTTTTGAAAGTTATGAAACATTTGGCTTGAAACTCTACTCTGTTGCTTAATTTTTTTGATTATATTTTTGTCTGTGTATTGTTCATGGATCTAAAGCCTCTGCAGCACATATTCAGTTATAGTCTCTTCTTGTGAATTCACTAAAGATAGCAAGAAAATCTTTTTATTTAATACATGTTTTTAACTTAAAACTGTGGAAGGTTTTAAGTATTTTTTTAGATGTCAGGTGTTATTTGGGTGTTAGCTGAGTTTTCACAGTACACTAGCAATCATATAATGATACTATTACACTATTACCTTTGTTTTATCTTAAATTTATTATCACATTGTTTATGTATATATCATGTAATGCTTGAGTAGAGAAATGTAGCAGATAAATAACTTAATTCTTTGATATTGAAGATTTGAACCGAATGATTCAATGATATTTTTTTTTCTTTGAGGTAGTCTCACTCTGTTGCCAGGCTGGAGTACAGTGGCACCATCTCAGCTCCCTGAAACCTCCACCTCCTGGGTTCAAGCAATTCTTCTGCCTCAACCTCCCAAGTAGTTGGGACTACAGGCACGCACCACCATGCCCAGCTAATTTTTGTATTTTTAGTAGAGATGGGGTTTCACCATGTTGGCCAGAATGGTCTCGGTCTCTTGACCTTGTGATCTGCCTGCGTTGGCCTTCCAAAGTGCTGGGATTACAGGAGTGAGCCTGTTCAAAAAAATTAGCCGGGCATGGTGGCGGGTGCCTGTAGTCCCAGCTACTCGTGAGGCTGAGGCAGGAGGATGGCATGAACCAGGGAGGCAGAACTTGAAGTGAGCTGAGATTGCACCACTGATGACTTTTCATGAACAGAAATATTAAATTTTGAAGTTCACTATTTTTTTTAAATATTCTCTAAGAAATCTTCGACTATCACAAACTCTGAAAGATAGTCTTCTAGGATTACTTTTGAAAATTTCAGAGTTTTAACTTTTACCATTATTCTGTGATATTCTTGAATTAACTTTTACATATGGTATGAGGTAGAATCAAGATGCCAGATTTCTTTGTACATAACCACTATAGCCCCATTTATTATAGAGACTTAAAAAAATCCATTAGATGTCCGTGATGACTTGTTGAGAAAAAGTTGACCACATATGTTTGTATTTATTTTTAGACTCATACTCACTTTCATTGATGTATTTGTTTCCCTTTATGTCAGTTCCTCAATTTATTGATTATCATAGCTTTAAAGGATGCATTATTCACACATTTGTAAAATAATTTAATTTTCTCTAGGATTTTTGTCATGCATAATTTTGTGGTCTTTGAATAAAGACAGTTTTGTTTCTTTTTTTTCCCCTATATTTGTGCTATTTTTTTTCTTGCCTTATTGCTCTGGCAAGGAGCTAGATGGTATAAGACAGAAGTGGCTAAAGTAAAATGTAGGCATCCTCTACTGACTTGTTTTCTCTCTCTCTCTCCCCACCTTTCTCCCTCTCTTTGTGTGTGTGTGTGTGTGTGTGTATGTGTGTCTATTCTAGGGATTAAATATGCATTCCTATCATATCTTACCTTGAATTAATATAATACTTATCATAAATGTAAGACTTTTATAGTAATATAATTCAATCTAAGCCCTCCCAACCTTTTAGCTAGCA
Organism: Homo sapiens; assembly: GCF_000001405.40. NCBI lineage: Eukaryota > Metazoa > Chordata > Mammalia > Primates > Hominidae > Homo > Homo sapiens. The sequence goes on along the minus strand of NC_000007.14, from coordinate 15,414,341 downwards.
TTCTCACATGTGCTAATCTTTCACATTATAAATCCCAAAATACGGCCGGGTGCACTGGCTTATGCCTGTAATCCCAGCACTTTGGGAAGCTGAGGTGGGTGGATCATGAGGTCAGGAGATCGAGACCAATCTGGCTAACATGATGAAACCCCATCTCTACAAAGCAATTAGCTGGGTGTGGTGGCAGGCACCTGTAGTTCCTTCTACCTGGGAGGCTGAGGCAGGAGAATGGCATGAACCTGGGAGGCGGAGCTTGCAGTGAACCGAGATCACACCACTGCACTCCAGCCTGGGTGACAGAGTGAGACTCTGTCTAAAAAAATAATAAAAAATAAACAAATAAATAAATCCCAAAATATTGTTTTTATTATTTTAGATTTAATTAGTCAGTTATATTTAAAGGAATCAAGAAGATAAAACAGTTAATCTTCTTTATTTGCCCAGATGTTTACCTTCTAATCGTCTTCATTCTTTCCATTAACCTAAGTTTTCAACTGTTATTATTTCTTTTCAGACTGAAAAACTGCATCTTTTGTAATGCAGACCTGTAGCAACAAATCTATTCAGTTTTTGTCTACCTTAAGATGTCATGTTTTCCTTAATTTTTGAAAGATACTTTTCTGAATATGAAATTCTTAATGGATATTCCTTTGTTGCATTTTTTTCAGTACTTTAAAAAGTTTATCTCATTGTCTTTAAACTTTTATTTTTTCTAATAATTCAATTTTCATATCATTATTATATCATAGATAATGTGTCTTTTCATTGCTAGATGTTTACAAAATTTTTCTCTTCCTTTTAAAATATTAGCAGTTTGACTACAACGTGCCACTGTGGTATTTAAAAAACATTAATCTGGGGCTTACAAGTATGTGCTTTGAAAATCAAATTTGGAGTTAAGGGGTCCTGGTCATGATTTTCTTAAACATTGTTTCTGTCCTTTTCTCTTTCTACTCCCCTCTGGGAACATCAATTACATGTGTATTCTGTATGACACTACCTTAGAGATCAGAAATGCTCTGTAATTTATAAGATTTTACTTTCTCTTGTATCCAGATTGAATAACATATTAATTTGTCTTCAAGTTTATTTAATCTTTTACCTACTTTCTCCAAGCTGCTATTGAATCCATTCAGTGTATTTCTCACATTAAATATTATACATTTATGTTCTAGAATTTGGCTTTTTTAAATAAACAGTTTTTCTCTGCTGAGAGGCTCTTTCACTTACTGTGACTATTTTGCCTTTATGTCCTAAATGTAATAATTATTTAAAAATTCTTGTCTGCTAATTCCAATATCTGGTTCATATTCAGGTCTACTTCAATTGACTGTTATTTTACTTGATATGAATCGCATTTGTGTTTTTTCTTTGTACATCTAGTAATTTATTGTCAATATTACATGTAAATCATTATGGCAGATTTGTTGTAAAGACTCTAGATTCTGTTTTGTCCATCTGACCATTCCTTATTATGATTCTAGGAGGTGGTGAAATAATTGGCTAACTACCCTGTATTTTTGGAGACTTTGACTTATACATTGTTAGGATATGTGGGGATTTTTGGCACCGCCTTTAGCCTTAGGGCATATTCCTTATCCTTGGTGATCTTCAATTTTAGGGCAAGCCTTGTCTTTTTTTTTTTTTTTTTTTTTTTAAATAATGAAATGCTGGAGGTGTTTACAAAGCCCCTCTCACGTGGCAGGATTTGAACTCTAAATTCTCTTTTGCTAGCACCAGACAGCAATTGAAATCTCTGCTTAGCAATTTTACAACTTTTCAACCTCTGAGTTTTTCATCAGGTTTCTTAGTGTCTTGCCCTACATGTGAGTAATTTAAGAGTCAGCCAGGCTTTGAGGGCACTTTGTATGCAGATATTATGGCTCCCTTTCCGTGGTCCCTGTCTTTCTAGGATTTCCCCCTTATATTTCCAGTCACTTTAGGTATCCTTAAATTTGGCCTACGACTCCTAACCTAGTGCATACACTGCCCATTCAGTGATGTAATTGACAAACTATCAGGAAAACAAATTCTTCTCAGCAACACTCTATACTCAAATAACTGCCCCAATTAGTCCTTTTGTCTGGAGATATATTTATGAGATACCTAAATAGTAAAGGGCAATAGAAATCAGAGTACAAGAGAGCTGCAAGGATGCAATGTGCAAAATGAGAAAGCATAAGAAATGTGCAGCAGAATTATGAAGTAATATATACAATGAAATAATAGAAAGCAGAAGTTTTCAGAAGCTAACAGATAAAGAGAAGAATAGAAAAATTTTACTCTATAGCAGCAAACGCAATAGAGTGGTAGCAGGATGAGCAGAGACTTAGAAGATCTGACTTCTGAGGACACAGATAATAGAGTGTTTTGGTTATTGCCCTTTAGCATCCAAAATTAATGGAAGTCTAAGAGTATTTATCTAATCTTCAAAATTATATTAAATTTACTCAAGATCCACTCATGTGTAAAGATACTTTTTTTTAGGTAACTATCTCCATTCTATTTATCTTTTAAATAACACATCAAGAAAGAAAAAAATACATACTATTTGTGATATGTATTTTAAGTAATGATTGTAGAGAAACATGTTTAGTGAATATTAAATTTCTGTAGCTGTTATTTCACCATTTGTGTAGATAGGAAATGTATTGGAATTATTAATCTACTTGGCACATATTCGTTATCAAATTAAATATTTATTTTGTGTAAAGGAATATGTTGCCTGGGAGATTTTTTTTAATATTTCATATACTATGATTATAAAAACTTTAATATGAATATTGTAAATACACAATTAGTCATCTCATGCTTTTTAAAAAAACAACTTACATTACAAATAAGTAAATCATTTCATTAATGTAAACTGCATTTTTTATTTTGTGGCCTTTGGGATTAAAGTGCCTGAGTTTGGCTCCTGATTTTATTTGTTACTGTGCCTATGAACTTGCACGGAGTTCTTTACCTTCTTGTGCTTCAGTTTCCTCCTGTGTGTAATGAGGATTATAACAATACAAAGTATCATAGTCTGTTTTCTGTTGCAATAACAGAATACCACAGACTGGGTAATTTATAAATAATAGAAGTTTATTTGGCTCAAAGTTCTAGAGGCTACAAAGTCCAAGATCAAGGTACTGGCATCTGTTGAGGGCCTTCATGCTGAGATATAACATGGCAGAGGGCAAGCAATCATGCAATACGGAGAGCAAATAGGGTGCAAATTTATCCTTTTATCAGGAGCCCATTCTTCACATAACTAACTCACTCCCCATTTAGGTAGTAATAGTATTAATAAATTCATGAAGACAAAACCCTAATGACCTAATCACATCTTAAAGATTCCAATTCTTAAATCTGTCACAATAGCAAGTAAGTTTCAATATGAGTTTCAGAGGGGACATTCAACCATAGGGTATACATTGTTGTGAGGATTAAAAATGTAGTTCATATTTCAATCTAACAATTAAAATAATGCTTGAAACTCAAGCACAAGAAGGCAAAGAAGGTAAAGAACTCTGCCCAAGTTTACAGTCATAGTAACAAATACAATCTGGAGTTGAACTCAGGCAATTTAATCCCTAAGGCCACAAAATGAAAGATGCAGTTTACATTATAGAAATGATCTTACTTACTTGTAATTTATCACATAGAAAGTACTAAAAAATGTTTTCAGCATTGTTACTTTATCTTTTTTGAAATATAGATACCTGTTTTACTGTATGTCACTTACCACTCTTAGGCATCATGATTATTCACATACATTTTGTGACATAATTTTAATGCAATAGATATTTTGTTTAATATGAATTATTAATATGAATAAATGCAATCAAATTTAAGACTTAAATAATTAATGAATCCCCAACTTACTTTAGGGAAAAAAATTGCATTCTTAACTATAAAAATTTGAGATTCTAATCATAAAGTACATTGTTTAGGGTTTTTTTGTTATTTATTTTTTGATCTGTAAACTGATTAATGTACAGATTATTACATATGACAAGTTCAACATATTTTTAAAATATTTCAATTATTGTGGTCCACAGACATTTGTGAGAATCTATTGCTATTCTTGTAGCATCTTGCTACTACACATAAGACTAAGTATCCTAGTCTTATGTACATAATAAAAAAAAGTTAAATGGTGGAAAAAGAGTTATAATTTTCTTCATGAAGAAGTAGCTAATTTTGAAGAATATATTTTAAAAGGACTGAAGTTTAGAAGCACAGTTACAGTGGTCTCAGCCCAAGAATTCTCAGTTACTTATAGTTACTGAGAATTGGACTGATATATTCCAAAGAAAATTTAATGAGTATCATTTCTATTTATTTATTTATTATTTATTTATTTTATTGTGAGCCTATCCAGTATTCATTATTTTTCAGGAAGTATTTTCACATTAAATTTTCAATAACAACTCATTAGAATTTGTAGTGGTATTACCTCCAATTAAATATACTGAATAACTCACCCTGGGCCATATGATTAGTAAGTGTCAAACCTAGGGTTTGTACAAAGTAGTCAGACTCCATATTCTTTGCTCTAATCTACTACACTATGCAGTTTCCCTCTACAATGGTCATTTCTGATCTTAATGTTGTAATAAATAGCCACCATGTATTAAGCATCCAGTACGTGCAAGCAAAAATTGCTCTCTTAATTCTCACAAAATAATTTGAATCTCTGAAGGATAATTAAAGTTTTACAGGTTGTAAAGAATGAATTCAGTAATGGGGCTTTATTTTAAGGGTATGAGTAGACATATATGCAGCAGGAAACCATTCTAGAAATTTAATAGAAAGTCAGAAAACTAAATTTTTTATATTCATCAAACTCTGTGATCAAACCCCATTCCTTTTAAGGCTAAGAACGTTGATATTCTATGATTTATGTAAGGCAACACAGCATTCATGGGAGAAAAATTTTGACCATACTTCATTCACTTGTCACACTTTTTCCTCAAACAATACATTTATCTGGGTTTCACTTGTTAGACCCTGGTGGGTGGCAGCAGAGTTCACAAAGAACTGATATGGTAGAGTTAAAAGATCAAGGTCATTGGCTAAGGCCAAGATCAGTTGTAATTCTTCCTGTACCAAATAATTGTGCATACTTTAGCCACATTTACTTCCCCCATCTTAAAATCTAACCTATTTTCAGAGGCCAGCCCTGATGAAATACTTCGGTGATGTTCTATTGCTTACTGAATAAAGTCTAAATTCCTTTCATTTCATGTTCTTTGTGTAGCGCCTTCCCACTATATCTCCTGGTCTATGTCTCATTACTTTCCATACTGTGCAGCTCAATAATACTGGACCGTTTTCCATTTCTCAAATTCATCTAATACCCAATTTTTGCATTTTCTCTTCTTTTCATATTTTCCATATGCTATTATTCCATACATTCTTCAAGGCCCAACTCAAATTCTCCCTTCCCCAGAAAATGTTTCCCCTGTTAAGAACAAACCACTATATAGCTCAGACCATGTGTTAGTCATTATGCTAATTATTTTACATGTATTTACTTATTTAATTATCACACAACCCATGGTCCCCACTCAAAGTGAGGAAACAACTATACAGAGGTTATGTAATTGCCTACTGTTGTTGCAGCTAGTTAGTAGCAGAACCATGATTCAAAGCCTGGTAAACAATTCTCTCTCCTTTCCTCCTCTGAAATCCTATATCATTGATTTTACATCTCTTACAGCTAGGGTGTCATATGTCTCAGCTTGCTTGGAAGAGCCCCAATGTGTACCTATTTTTTCTGGCATAATTGTTAATAACACAGCCATTCACTCTTAAAACAGTCATTATACACTGGTTGAGTTGTCCTCCTAAATAGTTCGTTAATACCGCTTGCCTTTCCATCTCTATTGCCCTGCCTGAATTTATAATCCTTCATCAATTACATAGATGGTTACAACAGAATTCTGGTTTTTTTACACCTACACACTCTGCCCTCTCCTATATATTTTCATACAACAATTGTGATGATTATTTTAGAACCCAAATAATATTAGGGTGCTCCTAACATGAGAAAAAATTTCTTAAATGACTTTCCCTTGTCCCCAAGATAAAATCAAAACCCTTAAATTCATTAACAGATTTCAGGGCTCTTAGAAAATGACGCTTGTTTACAACTCCCATCCCATCCCATAAGTCAGCCAGTACAGCTAAACTGCCCTGCTATTTGCTTCCTGAAATACTTGGGGGTTATCTGTATTTGCACATGTTCTCTCTGTGATAACCTTTTTTAAAACATTCTTCATGACGCAACCCAATTACCACTTCCTCTGCAACATCTTTCTTTTACCTCCTAGTAAGAGCTCGATGCACTTTTCTTTACACTAACTCTGTGTGTATTTCTATTTCCATATTGGTAGTTAAGAGTTAGGAGCACGAGCTCTGTTTGGAGAGATAAATTAGATAACACATTAGTTTCTGCACATGGGAAGCATCTAATTATTAATAATAATAGTGAAGTTTAATTCTTATGCCACTCTGTTGTATTTGTTGCTTAACTCTCTCTCTCATTATTCTCTGAATTCCATGATAGCAAAAAAAGTTTCTCATTTATTATGTGTTTGTGTGTATATGTAAACATTTTAAACATACAAATATACACACACATAAATTTTAATAAGCATTGTATTTAAATAAAAAATTCTATTGATTGTTGATAATTATTGCTAGAGTTAAATATTAATGAAGATGCTTATGGGTTTCAAATCAATGTTTCCAATACCTTACTTAACATATTCTTAGAAATATTTGCTACTACCCTGAATCAGCATATCTAAAATGTATTTTATTATGCCTTTCATCACCTTAAGTCATCTACTCTTCTACTTTGCTTCCATTTCTCTGAAGTCAACATCAAGATCAAATATTGATGACACCTTTGGCTTCTTGTTCTCTCTTGAAGCCCATCTTTAATGGAAATCCTATACATTTCTTGTTCTATGTAAAATAATCTTTCCTTCTATTCTACAGTTACCTTTTCAGATAATTCATCACCCCATTGCTTATTCATGTATGCATTTCTAGTGTTTATATAAATATAATGGAGTATACATATAAGTATATACATATATATATATATATATGTATTCCAAAGAAAGGGGCCTTTCAAGTCTTCTGACCTAAACTGGCACCCTTGTCACTAACAATTTTAGGATCACATATACATATATCTATATGTGTATACGTGGGTATATATGTGTACATATGCACACATATATGTATATATGTGTATATATACACATATGGAATACATATATATGTATATTCATATATATGTGTGTATATACATATATATACACATATATATGTATATTCCATATATATACACACACATGTGTACATGTGTACTTATATGGAATATACGTGTGTGTGTGTGTGTGTGTGCGCGTGTGTATTCCAAACAAAGGGGCCTTTTGAGTCTTCTGACCTGAACTGGCACCGTTGTCACTAACAATTTTAGGATCACATATACATATACATATATGTGTATACGTGGGTATATATGTGTACATATGCACGCATATATGTATATATGTGTATATATACACATATGGAATACATATATATGTATATTCATATGTATGTGTGTATATACATATATATACACATATATATGTATATTCCATATATATACACATATATATGTATATTCCATATATATACACATATATATGTATATTCATATATATACACACATGTGTACATGTGTACTTATATGGAATATACGTGTGTGTGTGTGTGTGTGTGTGTGTGTGTATTCCAAACAAAGGGGCCTTTTGAGTCTTCTGACCTGAACTGGCACCGTTGTCACTAACAATTTTAGGATCACATATACATATACATATATGTGTATACGTGGGTATATATGTGTACATATGCACGCATATATGTATATATGTGTATATATACACATATGGAATACATATATATGTATATTCATATGTATGTGTGTATATACATATATATACACATATATATGTATATTCCATATATATACACATATATATGTATATTCCATATATATACACACATATGTGTACATGTATACTTATATGGAATATACGTGTGTGTGTGTGTGTGTGTGTGTATTCCAAACAAAGGGGCCTTTTGAGTCTTCTGACCTGAACTGGCACCCTTGTCGCTAACAATTTTAGGATCACACCCTCCTTTGAGAATCTGCTGGGTTGTAGTGACTCTTTCCCAACAGAAAATAAAGAACCAAAGTTAGAAGAGTTTTACTGAGCTACCTGAAGCTGGACTGTCTAAAATTTCATGAATCTTTATTAAAAAATGTCTGTTGTGAAAGGATTGGAATTTAAGCTCTTAGACACAAGGAACATGATGGAAATTAATTTGCCAAATTGAAGAAGAGAACATTTCAGGGATAAGAGAGTAGTATGACATAATGAATAAGATTATACATTTTGAAATCAAAGAGAAATCTGTCCTATTTTAGCTTCATTAGGCATTTGTCCAGCTTGTTTACTGCTTTGTTCTCAGAACCCAAAAGAGACTGTTTTTTGACTGAATAAATGAATATGACTATTTGCTAAACTTACTTAGACTCTCTGACCTTGCTTCCAAATCTGTTAAGTAACAGTAATCATACTCACCCATAAGAGTGTTACGTGGATTAATGAAATAACAAATGTAAAGCTCATAGTTAGGAACATAATATGTTTTCAATGAATAGTACTTATTTTGAAAAAGCCAAATGACTACATTCTGGAATTGGTTCATAAAGTCCGAACTAGAATTGAAGCAAGGGTAGGGTCACCTGCATGCATCAGAATAATGTGAATGCTTATCAAGATACAGAATGATTGCTCCCTTCCAAGAACCACGTAAAATAAATCTCTGGTGAGTGAAGGTAGGAATTTGCATTTTGAACAAGCATTAGACTGAATGTAAATGGAATAAATTTTGAGCATCATGAACATAGAAGCTGATAGTAAACATCTTGAGGATAATAACTATGTTGTATTAATTTTTGTTTTCCCAGTGTATAAAACTTAGATCACCACCAGCAAACATCTTTTTAATGAATGAACGCACTGATTGTGTTAAGTAGATTGTCTACAATATGTTTGTTTATTGTCAGGAGGCAGAGAAAGCGACAAGAAGAATGTACTCATAGGAAAGACCTGAGTCAGAATGGATGTATTAATAATATAGATTTTTTAATCCCTAAGAGGACAAGGGAAAGGATATGCTTTAGTAAGATAGCTTGTCCTTAGCAGGAAGCTATGAAAATGGAAATGACAGGGCAAATGAACTTAAGACGTGTAAGTCCTTATAGATTCTAATCTAGTGTTTGAGAATGTATTATATAATATTTGACTTTAAAATATTAGTATCTGAAAATATTTTTTAACAGATAAAAGTTTATAATGGATGACAAAGCGATCTAACATTCGAGAATGGAAGCTAAAATGTAGATTCGTATTTGCTTTGTTTACTAAAGTATCTAATGCTCAGATGATGTCAGGCACATAGTCGGTTGGCAATCAATAATATTTGTTGACTAAGCAGTAGAAGTCATATCTGAAATTGGGAATATGATCATAATGGCAGTCACAATACAGTGAGCTTTAGAAAGAGTCAAAAGTATGGAGCTTGTACCATAAGACTGTGGATTGGAGTTTTGGACACGGATTACTTAACCTTTCAGTTTTTCAGTTGCCTTCTTTTAAAATAATGTTATTATTACTCATACTAGCATGATTCCATTTATCACTGGATGCCTAAACCTGTAAATATAAAATGATGTTACATAAGGATGAAGTTTGAGATGGTTAAACCTATAAATGTTTCCAGTTTTTCTTCTGTAAATCTACTCCGTGTTGTTTAAAAATAACAAAATAACTTATTCTCCTTTGAGGGAACATGCTTAACAGTTACTTGTGTTCATTTTTCCAAGTAGAAACCAAAAGTGTTATTCAAAAGATATGCTGAAACAAATTCAAATAAAATGCTAACTTGTCCTGCTCTTGTCTTTTTGTTTGAAGAATAATGTAATCATAAGTGACAAGAATCAGCCTTCAAGATAATTTATTATAAACGCAGTCCTTTAAAACTTTTGTTTATTGTATAAACATAACCTAGTCCCATTCTTCATTAAAACTAAGCCTTTAACTCTTTATCCCTGTGGTATGGATTCATCAGAAATTTACTCCCTCTGAAGCTCCTTATGATCCCAACAGTCCTGATTCCTCCAGATTGTTTTATTTCCAAACTATAAATATTGTTTTTTCACTCCTTAGTGTGGAAATTCAGCTACCTCCATATTACATGCTTACTGAAGTAGAAAACTGTCTAATCAAACAGGAAAACATTTGGCCGTGAATAAATCAGCATTTGTCCAGCATTTCAAAGTGTGAAACTAGGCAGACAAGCACATATCCTAAGAGTTCTGCTTTCTCTTCCTTCCCTGCAGATAAATCAGAGGCTAATATGGCCGCCACTACCATCTGTCTAAATACTTGTGTGGTTGTCTTGAATTAACACAGCAGAAATAGTGGAAGAAGTAATTAAGATTTTATTTTTACATTTCATCACCAGATGCTCAATAATATAAATGTATCCATAAACATTCAGGTTGATTAAGCTTGTAACAAGTAAAACAATAAGTGTTTAAAGATCAACTAATTCAGAACAAGAAACTATTTTAATATGTTGACTTATAGTGTTCATGGATTTTATTCTTTTTCTAAAACTTTAAATTAGAATTGCTGTAGATTTTATTGATAGTATAAAATCATATTTTTATGTATATTCAAACAATAAATGCTGATGTTGTCATTTATTCTACCTTTAAGTTAATAAATACATAAATTAGTAGACATTAAAATGTAATTTCCATTGTTCCACTCTATGACGTCTTGAAAGATCTTACTGCAGTACCTTGTACTCAATAAATAACCAGAGAATAAATGAAACCCATACAGATTATTTCAATTTCTGTATAATCAGTTGAAGAAATTTATGAGCAAGAAAGAATAATCTAAATTCTCTTCAGTAATAACCAATGAGAGTATTTGCAAATCTGCACTACAGGAAACTAAATAAAAGCACACATCTACACTAAAATTAATTTTCAGCTTGAGACTTGGAAAGGGAACTCATTTTGCTTCTTATTAGACAATGCTTGTGCCAATTATAAGTTCAAATTGATTATAAATTCAAATATCTCTACTGCGAAATAGTAATTGAAAAAGAAAGAAAAATGAGTGATTTTTTTCATCAGTCCCAAAGGAAAACAAAATTATGTGGAAAAGGTAACTTGTTTGTAAAATCTTTTTTTTCTGATACAGTTTAAACTTTCCATTGAAGGGTCCATTGGAGTGTAAATTTCCTTCAGGCAATGCTTGTGTATTACATCATTTCTTTTCACTTTTAAAACCTAGTGAAGTCCCTAGAAACTCAATAAATATTTGCAGAATAAATGAACTGGCTGACAAGAGACATCTTGCTCTCTTGTTATGCAAATAGCTTTGAGTAAGAGATTTTGATAAGAATTTATAAATACAGGTTTTAACGCTCTGAAATAGATTATTGCTAGTGTTGATAGAAAACCCTTATTGGTAGTTTAGTATTTAAAACAGTAATTGTTCAGCATTTGAATATTTAATATTTATTAAATATATTTGTATATATTTAATAAGGTTAATATATATTTATATTTAATATATTTAATATATATTATTATTAAATGATAAATATATTTAATAAGGTTAAATATATGACTATAATACATAAGATTTGTGCCCTTCAGGTTTTCCATCTGCAAATGAGAATATGGGAATATCTTATTGAAGGAGCACAGAAATATTTATTACTGCACACTTTTTAGATAAGTATGCATGAGCCTATAGTGAATTATAAAGATCTTTCCAAATAAATTTTTGTACATATGCACACACACGTTTAGATAGATAAGATAGATGGATACAGATAGATAGATGAAAGAATAAATGAACAAAAAGAGAAGAAGAAGAGAGAGAAAAAGAAAGAGAAAAAAATAAAAGAGGAGGAGGAGGAACAGAAGTGAGGTGTGGGAGAAGAAAAGTGGCCAGGAAAAAGCCAAGTAATTATGGTGTACATATTAGTTCATTTAATTTTAGACTTGGCTTACACTGAATTGTCACTAATTTACCTGAAAATTAATCTTTAAAAATTGTCATTTTCAAACTTCATTTTAAGCATATCTTTCTCAGCTGAATCTAACATGACAAAGATTTTCATATCAGATAATAAATGTATGAGAAGCTGGGCTTAGTATTTCCCTTCAATACTGGTGGCAGTGAATAAGGAGACCCACAGTGGTCTGGGCTCCGCTGGAACATCATTCATGCATGACGCTGTAACGAAAAGTCTTGACTAGTTATAGTCAATGTTGTCACTCTAACCTATGCTCATCAAAATGCAGACATCTATTCCACTATGAGATTTCATTTCACTTCACCCAAACCCAGTCATTCCTCAGCATTTAGCATATCATCTTGCACATGCATGTTTATAAAGAGGGTTCTGTAAAACACATGCTTTTTAGGATATATTTTCCCTATTATGATTTTTCCCTCTCAGACAAGAATCATAAATATTTGTAAGCATCTTTTATTTGGGATGAACTTTACAATTAACCATAGATGCATGCCTTCTTTCTGAAAAGTAAGTGGTTATAAATATTCCTATGACTTTTCAATAACATATTCTAGTATTTTAGTATCCATTTGCAGATGTAAAAATTGAATAATAGAAATATTATGTGACATTCCCAATATTTAGGAAGTCTCTTCTCCAACCTCAATAGTCAGAATGAGGTAAGAGGAGGCAAATTTCCAAGCAATTCAAACAAATGAAATAATTTGTTTTGAACAAACTGAATATTTTTGATGAAGATAAGTCTTGTTCTGTAACTAAAATCACCAGTTAATTGCATCTCTACTTTTAACCAAGCCACAAAAATCTAACTAGTCAATGTTTGCCAATCAAAGGAATCAAGAGAAATAATTATGAATTATATAGAATAGAATAAGTTAATTGTATATAAAATAATTTCAGACAGGACATTTATTTAGAATATTTATTTTGATGCTTTGTAGAATTCAACTCTAAAGTATTTTTCAATTTAAATGGGAAAGACACAAGACACAGAATTACATTTTTTAGGTAATGTAAGGTAGTGAGAAAACTTCTGAAAATTGTATCATGAAAAAAATTGTGATCAGAGTAAGCATTTAATTAATTTATCACATGTACATAGGTTATCAATTTCCATAGGAAAATTATTTCAGACTGGTCACCTAGATACAATGGGAGTTTCATTAACCTTTTAGGTCTCTACATTATTCAACTTAATGTGTAAGTGCAGGATAGGGCGGATCATAAGGATTCTCAAAAGAAATTTCATAATCACTTTTCCATCTCTGGCTACTTTCATTTGAAACTGAAGCTCTCATAAAACTGAACTCAGATAATATAAAATAATTTATGGTATTCACTTGCCAATGATCACCAGAATTTAATCACCTTATTATCCAGTTTTACAGTTCCTTGCTCTGTGATTTTGTTTCTTTTGTTTATTTGTTTGTTTGTTTTGGCTCCTTCATTTTAGCTTTTTATCTTAACTTGCCCAACTCACTTGATCAAAGATCATGCTCGGACTTTCATTCCTGGCTTCAAACTCCAAGAGCTCCAGACTCATGCTTTGCCTTTGGTCCTGGTAATGACCACCACACTCACTCCCTACGACATTCCTCTCACCAACTCCCAGATTAGAACACAGAAATTATACAGTGTTTTCCTCCTGAACAGTAAAGGTCTAGAGCACGGAATGACACTCATACCCACAAAGTAGAATTCTTCAACTTCAGCACTATTGACATTTTGTACCAGATAATTCTTACTGTGGGGCTTGTCCTATTTATTGTGGAATGTTTAACAGCACTAAACCCACCACTGCTCACTAGATGCCAGTAGCACTTTTCCCAGTTATGACAACTAAAATTATCTCCAAACATTAAAAATTGCTTGGGGGGGTGGTGATAATCACCCCAATTTGAGAACCGCTGCTGTAAAGAAATAAGAGTATGAGAGGAGTAAGGGGGATTTATCTATTGAATATACTATTGTCAAACAATCACGATGTGTAAGCAATGTTGTATGTGACCTGAGAGACACAGAGAATGGTAAGGCACAATTTTTATCCTCATGAAACTTGCAATATAGTATGAGAAATGAAAACAAGTAACTAGCACAAAGAACTGGAAGACATGAGAATTAATGATCTCTCAATATGCATTCAGAGAAAGGAAAACAAAACTCATTGGAAAAATCAAGAAGAGTGCTTGGAGAATTGGTCTCGAAGATAAAGCAGGATTCCAAAAGGTAAGATAGAAGGTTAAGGTCTTAGACGGAGAAGAAAGAGAACATTAGAAATCACTATCCAGAAAGAATGTGAACAGCTTTGAACTCTGAAAGTTTTGGACATTGTTTGGTTCATTACAAGGAGTCTTTTTATTTGGTTTCATTTTATTTTTGGTCAGGGGAAATGACATAACGACGGTCTTATGGCTCCCTCTTCTCTTGCTTTTATATTTAACTCTTCTTCCCCACTTTCACCAGAGACTGGAGAGGAAGAAATGAGGAGTTTGTGATCATTCCAACAAATTGTCCAGAGCATTTTTGTTGAATGAAAGTGAGTCATCATGGAGCTTACTGTTACAAAATTGTTATTTGTATTATTTATATATTTATGATGTTACTATACAAATAAAATAGCTTAAGAAATAGTCTGAAAAATTTAACAGTTTTAAAAAATGTGCCCCAAAAAATGTTTTAAGTTTCTGTGAAGTTTGGGTGAGAAATTAGCACTCAGGTTTTACTTATCTGTAAACTGACAACACAATATAACTAAGAAAGGCAAAGGAAATAACCTAGTCAACTCTGTTTAGAACATTGGCTCTTAAAGCTTTATGAACTCATGTTTCCTTTTCAGTATATAATAGAAATTGTAGAATTTCTCCCCAGAAAAATATCATAGGTGCTTATTTATAAAATTTCATCTAAAACTTCAGGGTCTTCCTGACTTTCTGAACCCCTTCATGGCCCTTCTAGGCATCCATAGTTCTCAAGTTGTAAGACCGAGAAAAAACAACTTACAGAATACAATATTTAGAGCATTGCTTCAGAGACCAAAGGAGCAGCAAAAATCCCTAAAATACCATATGGGGAGGTTTAGAAGCTGAAATCCCTGGGATCTTTATAAATACCTGGCATCATTTTAACTAATATGAAATACAAAAGGAATTATCATTTTCTATTAAAGTTGTAAAAGTTTAAATTATTTTTATTCAATGGAAAATTGCTGTATGTCTTAAAAACAATATGATGGATAAGTAGAAAGATTCATGAGCTGAAATCGGAAAGGCTTTATGGCTTATTCCAAGCTGATTAAACTTAAACTAGTAGTTTAACCTCTCTGAGCTTCAGTTTTATGGGTTTTTTAAAAATAATGAAGTATTGGACTATGTTATATTGAAGCCCTCTGTATGTCCTAAAATTTGATAATTTAAATAAACCCATCTATGTCTAAAAAATTAATACAAACAAATAACTTCTAAAAATGAGAATTGCTACAATTATTCCCAGAGTAACATATTTTCAGGAAGTGATTCAAAGCTAGACGTCGTCGAATTGCCAAATGCCTGAATTTGCAAAAATAGGCGATAATTAAGCCGTTATGCTCAACCCTTAATAAATATTAATGAATTCTCCATGACTTTGAATTGGAAGGGTTTTTTACATGAGAGGTTCTGACTGGGCTGTCAGAATGATGAATCATCTCTCACTCAGAGGTGGTCTTCCCCAGCTCCAAGGTACTCATAGGCACTACCAGGAAATTTATCTGTGGTTGACTGTGTTGTACTTGGCTTTTAACTATTTTTTAAAAAACGAACTTTCAATATTGTTATCACCGTGCTTTAGCCTGCAGGAGCAAAAGATTTTCACCGCAATAAAGAGCTTGACATTAAAAAAAAATAGTGCACTCAGCCAAGGCTCCAATCATCTGCATGCACTCACCATTTGTGTGGCTTTACATCTGGCTGCACACACGCCAGGGCCTAGGATCAGAAATTCATCTGGGGAGCAGAAGCTGGTCAGTGTAGTCCTCTCCACCCACATTTGTTGTTTGTTTTTGTAACACATGTTGGGCACCAAAGAAACAAACAAGGGTAAACTGGTTTTCTCCTTTCCCATCTGGTTCTCTGTCATAGATACAAAGCCCAACCAAAGCATCAGATTTCAATGTCCTGACTGCTGAGGATCCCCCACTTTCTTGTTCTCTATTTTCCACCATTTTTCTTAACAAATAGTTTTTCACCAAGTAGAAAGCAATATAGTCCAATAAAATACAGGGTTATTTATCTGTACTTTCTTCCCAATTCCTGGTTATTAACAGTGTGTGCTTTACTTCATAGGAGTGTATTCTTTTATAAGAGCTATATATTCACAGTATTTTAAACTCCTGAAATTAAAAATACAAATAATCTTTGGTGTATAAATGAGCTCCATTGTATGAATTAATCCAAAGTTTTGCTGTTTGTAGGCCAAAATATATCTCTCATGGAAATAACTTTAAAAATAGTGGATAGCACCCCAGATTAGAAAAAAGAAAGAGAAAGAGAGGGAGAGGTGGGGAGAAAAGGAAGAAGGAATGAAGAAAGAAGGAAGGAGGAAAGTAAGGTAGGTAGTGAGAGGTAACAACGTGCTAGCAGCCCTTGCTAGCTCTCAGCGCCTTCTTGGCCTGGGCGTCAGCTCTGGCCGCGCTCGAGGAGCCCTTCAGCCCGCCGCTGCGCTGTGGGGGGCCCTCTGTGGGGCTGGCCGAGGCCGGAGCCGACTCCCTCTGCTTGCGGGGAGGTGTGGAGGGAGAGAGAGGTGCGGGAGCCGGGGCTGCGCGAGGCGCTCGCGGGCCGGCTCGGGTTCCGGGCGGCTGCGGGTTCGGTGGACCGCGCACTGGGCGCGGCCAGCCGGCGCCTGCTGGGCTTGATCAGGGTCTGGGTACCATGCGCGGACCGCCGTTCCCTCTTCGCGGGGTCGTAGGCCAGGACGGCGGGTCTCCGTCTCTTTCTCGCTTCCCCACTTTTCCTCTTGGTTGTCTGGGAGAGCTCCCTCTGGGCTGCGGGAGTGCCCAGGATAGGTACCGCAAAGTTTCCTGGCGGGTGCCAGTGACAGGTGAAGCCAACTGGGCTTCTGGGACCGGTGGTGACTTGGAGAACTTTTCTGTGTAGCTAAAGGATTGTAAACGCACCAATCAGCACTCTATGTCTAGTTAAAGGTTTGTAAATGCACCAATTAGCACTCAGTCGCTAACTAATCAGGTGAGGGGACTTGGAGAACTTTTCTGTCTAGCTAAAGGATTGCAAACGCACTAATCAGCACTCTGTATCTAGCTAAAGGTTTGTAAACGCACCACTCAGCACTCTCTCAAAATGGACCAATCAGCTCTCTGTAAAACGGACCAATCAGCTCCCTGTAAGATGGACCAATCAGCTCTCCGTAAAATGGACCAATCAGCTCTCTGTAAAGTGGACCAATCAGCTCTCTGTAAAGTGGACCAATCAGCTCTCTGTAAAGTGGACCAATCAGCTCTCTGTAAAGTGGACCAATCAGCAGGATGTGTGGGGGAGGGGGCGGGGCCGGATAAGGGAATAAAAGCTGGCGATCCAAGCAAGGAGCGGCAAGCTGTTGTCCTTTTCCTCGTTGTGGTAGCTTTGTTCTTTTGCTCTTTGCAATGTATGTATTGCTGCTGCTCGTTCTTTGGGTCCCTGCCACGTTTATGAGCTGTAATGCTCACCCGGAAGGTGTGCAGCTTCACTTCTCAAGCCAGCAAGGTTACTGAACCAAGGAAACTCAGGACGAGTCACTTTTACGAACTGTAACACTCACTGTGAAGATCTGCAGCTATACTCCTGAAGCCAGCGAGACCAGGAACACACCTGGAGGAAGAAACTGCAGACATGTGTGAAGAACAACTCCGGAGAAGCTGCCCTTAAGAACTGTAGCACTCACTGCGAGGGTCCGTGGGGCTTCTTTCTTGAAGTCAGCGAGGCCAAGAACCCACCATTTCTGGACGAGGGAGGGCTAAATTGACATATAAAACAAGGTTTACAGTCTTTTGCATGCAAATATTTCTGTCCGTTCTGAAATGGAAAGTGGAAATCCCTTAGCAGCTGGGCAACAGGGAGAGAGACAAGAACTCTTTTCAGGTGGGTAAACAATGTGCTTAATAGGGAGATGATGATGATGATGGCTCCTGTCCCAGAGAAGGATCCGCTTTGATATGTGGCAACATTGCCACAGCTTCCATTTCAAGAGGGGATGTGATGCCACAAGCTGAGGATATGGTCACCCCACCTATTCACATGTATTGAGCAACTGTAAATTGGGTGTTTTAATGCCAGAGGTTGTCAAAAAACAAACGCTCCTAGATAAAGAGTTTTGTATTAGAGATATGTCTGAGACTTAGGCAATTTATTATTTTCAGTTGGATTAGTGAGGATTTATGGACATTACTAGCAGTTTAAATTTTTAACAAACTTTTTCAAACATTCATAAAATTAGAATAACAATAAATTTATATATCCATTTTGTTTCAAAACTCAAGATTTTGATTAATTTGCATCAGTTGTCCTTTTTTCTTTGTTTTTTCATTGCCAAAATATTTCGTAGCATAATCTGGATCAGCTGTCGTGTATATTTCAGTTATACAACGCTAAACAAATGCATTTTCTAACAAAATGACAATGTTATTATAACTCCCAATGAAAATATTTTTTCCTATTAATACCCTGTTTATTATAAATTTTTGTTTTTTGCCTATAAAATGTCTTTTATGTTAGGTTTGTTCAAATCGATATCTAAAGGTGCACACCTTAAATTTAGTTATGCATCTTAAATTTTTTTTAATTTTAAGCAGTCTTATCTCTATTTCTTCCCGTGACACTGACTTATCAAATTCATATCAATGTCATAATTGTCAGTGACTATTTTGCCCTTTCGCATCATTTAACTCATTTCTTTATTCCTCATATGTCCTCCAAACGGAAGCTAACCCTAAAAGTGAGTCATGTCTTAAAATATCATAACAGTGTATTGATTTTGTCATTGGTAGGCTCTAACAAATCAGTTTAGATTGTGAATAAAGAAAAGTAAAATATCTTGGTATCTGCCATGGTTGGTGGAAGATCTCAAATTGTCCAGTATTATTCATGTAACATACCAAATGTCTTACATCTGGGCTGCTATACTTTTTTCATGACACCTACCTGGTTTCTATGATTTTTAGAATTTATAGACTCAGAACTAGGGGAATCTAAGAAATGTGAGAATTAGGCACCAGATATTGAAGTAACTTTAATTGTGAAAAAAGGCCTTTTTATATATTTGACTTCGAATTGTGCCTCTAAGATGTAATGGTAGACCATGCCTCTAAAGGTAAGAGATGATTTAGGATTCTATTTGAATAAGTAGGATCACCCTAATGCCGTAGATTACTGATGCAATAGTAAGTCGTTGCTGCATGGCTGATTTACAGGGTGAAACAACTCCGGGAAACATAACACAGTTGTTTTCACTCTCCTAGTTATACCCTGCTCCCGTAAATAAAGCTATAGTTGGAAGGCAAAAACTATAATGCAACATGAAATCTAAGGGTAGTGTGCCTTGGTGATAGTGGTGTGTAATACAGTAACATTCATAATCCTCAGAACAACGTTATTATGTAGATATGTTACTATTTCCATTTTAAAGATGAGAAAATTGAGATATGAAAACCTAGTCGTTTCCCCAGGATCACACAGTAGTAAGTGGAGATTCCTGGAGCTGAACTGAAAGTCGTCTAGCTCTTAACCACGACACCATACTCACCATGCCACGTCTCAGAATAGAGTTTTGAGATTACTATTGTCTTTATATGAATTCCAGATTTCAGTGGAACTTTTTTCCACTCTCTGATACCAACCCTGAAATTCGCAATATCTCTTAATTTATGTGAGTTTCTAATGTGAGCATTTATATACTAACACACATTTAATGATAACTACATGTATAAATATTCCTTCTGTTTTAAACAGGTCATCAATAACCTTGGTCCTTTGGAACTGATTCTTAATACTCCTAGCCATCATAGGGTTCATCATGGTAAGGAAGTTTTGTTTCTTCTCTCTTTTCTTCATTTCTCTAAAAATTGCATTATTATTTTCCTTAATCTCATTTAATCACAATTTCCCAATATAGTCAGCACACATTTTACAAATAAATAATAGTTTCTTCTTTTCTATCTTCTTTGGTACAAGCCTCATCTCCAAAGTATGAACTGGTGGGGTGGGGTGGGGTGGGGTAGGGGGATTTATCTATCTGACTTTTGGATTTTTCTTTCTACCTAAATCTTAGCTCCACTGTTGTAGAAAATGAGTTAACCAGCTGAGGAAATACACATTTTATGTTTTAAAGGATTCTGTCAAAGGCTACTTCTTGACCCAGTGCTGAAGGTCATTCCTATCTATAGTCAGAGAGTTAGTGGTCTTGAAAACTGTTTTGATTTAAGGAGAGCCCAATAAACAACACTTCACCTTCCTGCCTAAGGCGTTGAACAATCTCAGTATAAGCTGCGTTTCCCTGACGAGAAAATCCCAAGTGACAAGTGCCTAACGTTTAAAGACACCAACTTAAGTAACAACAAAAATGTTTACATTGTGTACCCCAAGCCCTATATAGCAATGTGCATATCATCATTATTTGTGATAGAAAAAATAGAAATAATTCAAATGTTTTTCAGCAGTAGAATAGATAAATCTTATATTATACATGTAATGGAGAAGGATATAACAATGAAAATGCCCAAACCATTGCTACATGCAAGGGCATGAATAAATCTCACAAACAATACTGAGAGAAGGAAGCCAGTAAAATGAATACATAAGTAAATGCTATTGTTCTGTTTCTATAAGTTTCCAGTCTTCCTCGGCAACCCTGAATCCCTGAAGCCCTGCCTTTCCAAGAAGGGCAGGTCCCTATCTTTATGGCAGGGAGTCGAGTAGAAGGGGACTCCCCAGAAGGGGAGAGGCCAGATCAGAGGGCACAGGCGGTTTCCTCTTCCAAACTCAACAGTCATTCTCCAATTCCAGGGAGGACAGAAAGTCCTTGATTTATGATTGGTTCGACTTTTAATTCTTCGACTTTCACAGTGATGCAAATGTGATCCATGTTCAGTAGAAATCATACCTTGAGAACCCATATAGCCGTTCTGTTTACTTTCGGTACTATATTCCATAAACCATGTGAGATATTCAACACTTAGGAAACAGGCTTTGTATTAGATGATTTTTGTCTAGGACTGCAGGCTGATGTAAGTGCTTTGAGCGCATTTAAGGCAGGCTAGGCGAAGCTATGATGTTCAGTAGATAAGGTGTATTTAAAGTTGTTTGTTTGTTTGTTTGTTTGTTTGTTTGTTTTGAGACAGAGTCTCATTCTGTCGCCCAGGCTGGAGTGTAGTGGCACAATCTGGGCTCACTGCAACATCCGCCTACCGGGTTCAAGTGATTCTTCTGCTGCAGCCTCCCAAGTAACTTGGATTACAGGTGCCAGCCACCACGTGTGGTTAATTTTTGTATTTTTAGTAGAGATGGAGTTTCACCATGTTGGTCAGGCTGGTTTCAAACTCCTGATCTCATGATCCTTCCTCCTTGGCCTCCCAAAGTGCTGGGATTACAGGCCTGAGTCACTGCACCCAGCCTAAAAGCATTTTTGACTTTTAATGTTTTTTAATTTAGATGGTTTATGGGGACATAACCACTCCATAAGTCAAGAAGTATCTCTAATTGGGGAGTGGAGAGGCCAAGGGGATTATACACTTGCAGTTCCTTCTATATACAAGGAAATAGGGCCGGGCATGTTGACTCACGCCTGTAATCCCAACACTTTGGGAGGCGGATCGCGGATCACGAGGTCAGGAGATAAGACACCATCCTGGCTAGCACGGTGAAACCCCATCTCTACTAAAAAAAATACAGAAAAATTAGCCGGGTATAGTGGCCGGCACCTGCGGTCGCAGCTACTCGGGAGGCTGAGGCAGGAGAATGGCGTGAACCCGGGAGGCAGAGCTTGCAGTGAGCCGAGATGGCGCCACTGCACTCCAGCCTGGACAACAGAGTGAGACTCCATCTCAAAAAAAAAATTAAATTAAAAAATAAAAAATATAGGAAGTCGAGAAGAACAAGTCCACATTACCAAATGAAACAGTTGCTACTTCCTCTGACTTCATCTTCGCATGCCCACGCCTGCTTATATCAGGGTTTCCCAACGTCGGCACTATTGACATTTTGGGACAGATATTTCTTTGTTGTGGAGGATGTTCGGTGCACTGTGGGAAATTTAGCAACGTCACTGGCCCCCACCCATTAGATGTCATTAGGATCCCCTCCCAGGTGTGGCTACTCATGTCTCCAGAAATTGCCAAATGTTCCTTAAGGGGCAAAATGCTTCCCTACTAATTCAGAACCATTATTTAAAGCATGTATATAGCAACGGTGTCTGCATCTGTTCAGCCAATCTCTCTCTCCTTTTATACTATGGGAGATTTTTCTTTGTATTTGTGCATTCAAATGTGTGGTTGCATGCATGGAAACCATGCAAAGGAATGGGAACACAGGATAGTTGAGCTTCTTGGGGTAATGGCTTGGTTAATTAATTATTCTTTTTCTTAAGATTTACAGTCATGTGGATATCATTATGTCTACTTAAGTTTTATAAAAAATGTATTAAATAAATAATGACCAGCTATTTGCATTATAATTATTTAGCGGCAGGAAAAATACATATGATATGAGTTTTGAAAAAGTTAAGGGTAGTTTATTTTTTACTGTGGCTTTTATGATCTTAAAAAAACTAGTCAGGTCTAACTCTAGAAAATTTCCTTCCTGAAACAGATGCAGTTAAAAAGGATAGACATCCCATCAAAAATTTAAAATAAAAACATTTATATACATCGTTTTCTGATTTTATTTCTCATTTATAATTTTTGGTATCATTTAATTCTTAATTTTTATTCTTTAATGGTCCTGAAAAAATTATTTACATTTATTCCATTTTTATACTGAAAAACTGTGACAAGAAAGCATGCATCTAGCTTTAAGAAAACACTTCCCCTTTTTAGTATAATTAATTGAAAAATAAAAATTCCATTATTAGACAATAAAATCTGATGTTATAAATGAGAAGACATTCCCAGGGAAATTGTACCCTGTTTAAATCTGAATTTTATGAATATATTCTAAAAAACAAGATGGAAGTATCTCAAAAAGCATAACTATTTTTCTGAAAAAAAATTTCTAATATTTTGTCTCATAGGCAGAAATCGTTATTGCATAGACAAAAATTATGCTGGTGTTCTTATTATTTGGGATAAAATTTTTGGTAAGTAAAATGTATTAAAATCAAAAAATTAAATCAGCTCCTTTACTTTACAGGAAGCCAAATCTCATATCTTTATATTTATCTTCCAGGGACATTTGAAGCAGAAAATGAAAAAGTTGTATATGGCTTAACACATCCCATTAATACATTTGAACCAATCAAAGTGCAGGTAACATACTTGTTTTTTATTCTTTCTTCATTTATATCATTTCATAAATCTTATAGTTAAGAGAAAAATCAGCTGTAGAAAAGTGAAAGTATATTACACTAACCTGAAAAAATTTTTAACTGTTAAAAAATTTACAAATAACTCTTTGTTACACAAGCAAAAGTTTGAATCAAATCAGGCAAAATACATTTTAAAACAAGTAATTTTCAAATATGTCTATGGCCTAGAATGAAAAATAAAGTGGCTTCTAAACATATCCTTTCTCAGAATGGACCTGAAATATGTTCATGTATTCAGTAGGAGCAATAGTAACATGTATAATTAAGGCTGATCCCGCAGTAAGAAAAATATTTGCTTCCAGGGTGCATGACTCTGGTTAGAAATTCATCGTGAGGCCTTTGTGTTACTGTTCTTGGACCCAAGTGTCAGGAACTATTACAGATTGGTTAAGTCTGTGCATTACCTCGCTTGCTAAGACTTGTTGGACTGGACCAGTTTTCTCTTAGACATGTGGTACTGGTTGTTCATTGGTCTCGATGGTTGGCACTAGAGAAATCAGGAATGTCTGTGAAGCTCTGATCCGTCAGAGTCAGACCACCACAAATACTCCTGGGGTTAGGCACTCATAAATGAGAAAAAGATAAGAATACTTGAAAAGCTGAAGAGGTGGGTCAATGACAGCTCTGTACGGGGGACTGGTTACAACATTCGGTAAGTGAGGAACTTACTGGCTCATGTTGGGTCAGCTTTTCCAGACTACTTCGAGTTTCACTGAAAGTTGAAATAACAAAATTGTTAACATCTATTGAGCTTCTACTATGTGCACTGCTAACAGCGCAGCAGAAAAATATTTAATGTAGCTATTACTAAAACCTTATAAAGTAGTGGCTCTTTTCATTCCCATTTTCTGATGGAGGAAACCAAGGTTCTCAGAATTTAAATAATTGACCCAAAGTTTGAAAACTTGTTAGCTGTAAACTTAACCAAGGTGGATTGAAAGGCTAAGCCCAAGATTTGCTTAACTCAATTTAACTGATACACAGTGCTGCCTCTTTACGTAAAGGGCCATAACAAATTCCCTTCAGTTGTTCAGTGAAAGGCATTTTTATCTCCTCGTACACCAAAAGAAGAAAGGTGGTTATCTCTCTTCTTTCTTCTCAACTATATGGCATTTCTATCTGTGTCTGTATCTTGATTAAACTTACTAAGAATATGATACACCTCAGGAGAATATAAGCAAATATTTTGGATCCTTTCTTAATAATAAGCTTTGTGTAAATAAAACCAATTGAGAAATGGTACACTGAAAGCTCCCTTTTCTTCATATAGGAGTTGTCTCCTTATTGCAGTCATTAAAAAAGAGACACCTTCATCTCTATCCTCTAGGGGCAGAGCTTTGCAAACTTAATGTTCATGTGAATCAGAGAATCCTACTAAAATGCAGATTCTGTTCAGTAGTTCTGTGGTCTGGTCCAAGATCCTGTGTTTTCTAAACAAGCCTCTGTATGATGCCAGTGCTGCCAGTTGATGGGTGATTTCTT
Source organism: Homo sapiens (assembly GCF_000001405.40). Taxonomy (NCBI): domain Eukaryota; kingdom Metazoa; phylum Chordata; class Mammalia; order Primates; family Hominidae; genus Homo; species Homo sapiens. The sequence goes on along the minus strand of NC_000007.14, from coordinate 15,389,129 downwards.
TCAGAAGCAAGGCTTTGGGAGTGTACAGTCTTGCTGAGGAAAACGGCATTTATAATTGAGACAGAATGAGAAAGTGAATATTAAATACAATAAGAGCTGCACACATAGTGGGATGATTAGTATTTTGAGAGGAATGGTGGTCAGAAAATCACAGGTATTTAGGAACAGCTGCTGAAACTGTTAGGTTCAATTCTCTAGGTCTTTCCCCCTCACATTTCCTTCAGCATAGTAATTGCCACAAGTGGGTCTAAGGTTTACTCTTCTACATGTTTACTTACATTGTCAGAAATGTCAAGCCGGCAAGTTGTGATAATTAGGAATACTTGAACTTAGAAAAATATTCACTTATTTTCACTTCCATTCCTTTATATACAGGTAAATTTCTCACCTATTCTGCAGAGGCATCAAAGCAACTTAGGATGGCTCCCAACAGACACAGGGTTTTGTTTGTTTGTTTGTTTTCCTTATTATTAGGCGTAAATCATTGACCTTGCCCTCCTTTGTCATCACACATTTTCAGAGCATTGGGAAATAAATAAGTGAAAAACAATATTTTATTTTAAAACATTACCATATATTTCTCATGGCTTGTGTCCAGAATGATAGAAACAAAACTGTACTCAGTTTCCAAAATTACAAAACAAATTAAGTATATTAATGTACATTATAACTTCTACGCACATTGGTTTTCTGTATTATTATTATTGCAAAGCCCCAGGCGAAGCTTCCACCTAACATTTACCTATTCCTCAGATCTATTCCATTAACCCATATGCCTGAGGTTGCAATTTTTTTAATTTTTCCAATTAGAGCTTGGCGATGACCTTGAGCAGTAGGATATAAGTAACCCACATGCTTAGGGTTCCAATAATGGAACACTAGGCATAAATGGTTCTAAATTATTTCTGAATTGCTTCAGATTCCTTATTGTCATATTTTAAGCAATTTTAAATTATTTTTTATAATCTTAATGGTTCAACTCATTGAAAACTAGCAAAATCACAAATTCTGATAAAGCCAAAACAGAAACCCTGTCGCCACTAAAACTACAAAAATTAGCCTGGCATGGTGGCAGGCACCTGTAATCCCAGCTACTCAGGAGGCTGAGGCAGGAGAATCACTTGAACCCAGGAGGCAGAGGTTGTAGTGAGCCAAAGCCGCTCCACTGCACTCCAGCCTGGGCAACAGAGCGAGACTCTGTCTTGGGGAAAAAAAAAAAAAAAAAGAGAATGTGTCATTAGGGAGGGATGTTGAGTGCACAGGGTGCTAGTTAATTCCATTGGAAGCAAAGCCTCTTAACTCATTTTTTTCCTACTTTGCTGATTGTCTAAACAATTGCCCTGTTTTTACATTTCAAAATTATAATTTTATTGAACTTTAGATATATTGACAACAACGCACTTAATGGTATACAGTGCATAGAATAGATTACAGCATGGAATGCAATTACACATTTCTGTTGCTCTAATCAGGCATAACGTTTTAAATACGTAAATTACCTTGAACAATAAAATAATATACATAACTTTTGGTATTTAATCTTTCCTATTTATCTTATGTGAAATAAGCTCTTTTTTTATTGTTTCTAGTTCCATCACTTATTTTCCATATGGACTACATTCTGGGCCACACCTGGATTCTTCAATAAGTTTTCTGTCATATTTAAGGGACCGGGATGGGGTCCAGGTAAACCAAGACTTGGTCTCAGTGAAGAAATTCCAGAGGTAAATAGAGTTCACAGAATTGGAGATGGTGAAGATTGTCTCATATTGTCAGGTCTACAGCCAGCCTGTACATACGCTGTTTTCATGCAAATCTGTAAAAAGATGTTCCCCCAGTCAGATGCAGTCCTGTGGTGCATAACTTACTTAATGAGTATCCACCAACTTTGTGCCAATTAAAGGAGTGCCTTCTCCCAGGTGAACACTGCCTTTTACCTAGGAGCACAGATTGTGGAGCAGTGCTGCAGAGGCTGGTTTTCATATCGACTTGAACGCTTGCCTTTGTGTAGGGCATAACTTCACAAATACATGCAGCTCAGACACAGAGTCCTAGAACACTAGAGACGGAGGGAGCCTTAGGAATGAGCCAGTCTAAACTTAACTCCACTCATGAAAAACTGAGGCCCCCAGAACAGATGTATCTAAAGTCACATTAAGACAGTGTGGATTTTGGGTCAAACCATAACTATATTCATTTTATAGTAGAGTAGAACAATTAAATGCAGAAACCACATTGAAAACCAAAAATAAAAAAGATCTTTAAAACAGCAGAACCCAAATGAAAAATTCAGTTTTAACCCAAAATTACTCTTCTGGGGAAGAAAGAGAAGGTGCTTTTTAATCATTTAGAATATAAGTTGTGATTTCTTATCAAATAAATGTATAGTAATGCAGAAACAATAGGAAGAGTAAACTACTCTTAATTTCAAGGATGATACTATGTGTACAAAAGTTAGCCTGTGATGTTTCAAGGAAATAAGATGTTTTATTTAAATACTGTTATTTTGAAAAAATCCTGATCTAAATAATGACATTTTCTCATTCAGTTACCAACGCCGCTAGGAATAAGTTTCCCACTTCCGTTTATGTTCACAATTCATTGTGCAACAATCCACCAACTTGATATAGGTGAAATAATTTTTATATTTCAACTCCAAAAAGCTGTTTGCTATGATCGATTTATTATTTTTCATTTTGTCAATAGATAACTCAAAGTGAGTACAGTATTTTAAAGTTATGTGAGTGCTGGAGTCTGCATTAAAAAATATAGATGTGTAGCATTTTGGGGAAACTTAAATGCTAGAGTAGAAACGTAGTCTATTGGAAAAACTTCTCCAAAGTTTCCAATAAATAACTTTAGAAAAGTTGTTTCCAATAAAATAGTATTTTTCTTTGAAGCATGATTACCTACACTGCCAAGATCACCTTTTTTTTCTTTTCTTTTCTTTTTTTTTCTTTTGGGACTGTTGCCCAGGTTGGAGAACAGTCATGCAGTCCTGGCTCACTGCAGCCTCTGCCTACCAGGTTCAAGCAGTTCTTCTGCCTCAGCCTCCTGAGTAGCTGGGATTACAGGTGTGTGCCACCATGCCCAGCTAATTTTTTTATTACTGGTAGAGATGGGGTTTCACCATGTTGGCCAGGCTGGTCACGAACTCTTGACCTCAAATGATCCGCCTGCCTCGGCCTCCCAAAGTGCTGGGATTACAGGCGTGAGTCACCACATCTGGCACCTTCTGTTTTTTCTTTTACTTTGCTTTTGCCGCCAGATGTGATCGTGGACATATCAAATAGGGAAGATACATCCCATGCATTTTGGCTCTCTTTATTATTTGCACATATTGTTGAATTAGTTCTTATGCTGCTCTTTAAGGCAGACTACGTCATAATTGTAATGCTTTCAAAATGAGAAAGTCTCCTAACTTAGACATGTTTCTATTTTTAAAAATTATGTTTGTCTTTTTTTAAAAAAAATAGCAGATACTTTTTTCAAATATCTCTTAGTGTGAATTTCAGTAAGAAAAATGAGTCTGGAGCAATATAAAGGAAATGGTTCTTGTCTCCCTAGGTCACCGGCAAAGAAGTTCCCTTCTCATCATCTTCATCTCAGCTATTAAAGATATATACAGTTGTACAGTTTGCTCTGATGTTGGCATTTTATGAAGAGACCTTTGCAGATACAGCTGTAAGTAATATCCATTTTAAGTAGTGTGAGAACATTATCTGTTACTTTGTTTGAAAATGAAAATAAGCTCCCCATATTAAGGCTGTCATATATTCTCTGTAGTGGTCTGCTGTAATTTTGGCAACGTCTCACATTTAAATAGGTAAAACAAATCTTCTAGACTACTAAATGTAAATGAATGAATTCTATCCAAAATGCTTCTGTGCAGAATGTTCACTGAGTGGTATGCTGTGAATCTGTGTGATAAATAAGAAATTATTTGCCATAAACAAATTTTAAAACAATTACAATAAAAATACTTCAGAAGTCAGAATTAAATGTGTGGGAAATTACACTTTTCATCAGTTTCAACATACTTACCTTCACTTAGAGAATTCCCTGATAGAATTTAAAGGGTTTTCAGTGTAGAGTTTAATTCCTTTAGTTTGACATTTCTGAAACATTCAGAATATTCCAATTTGTCTGGTGCAAATAGAAGAGCACTAGACCAGGATTTAGTTCAGGGATCGCCACTTTGGGGATCATTTTTTTTTGGCCACAAAAGAATACTCATACTACCTAGGTTTTGGAAAGAGCAAAAATAACGTATATAAAAATATGTTGTAAATTGCAAAAAAAAAAAAAAAAAGAGAAAAACAGGTATTTTTTATAGATTTATTTGTATTCTTCATTAAAAATTTACAGTAGATCAAAAAGGTACATGAAAGCAGTAAGGTAACTAAATTGTAAGTAGGTGAAGTAGAAAATAGAATCACAGGTGAGTTTAAAAAAATGCTGTTTTTATACCTTGTTACCAATAAAGTAAGCACCCCATGAAAAACCTCAGTGAATCAGCAATGTTGAAAGTTACATGGTAACTCTGAATAATAGTTATATTGGAAAGAAACAGGTGTAGCAAAGTGGTGGTTAAGATACGCCTATCTTTAAGGTGTATAGGACACTTAAAATTGATGGATAAAATATACAAAAATGTAATTATTAAAATGCACAGAACAGCTAGCAAAAATTGAAAGACACCTAAGGAGTTAAAAATGTTGACAATATATGAATCCAGTGAGGCAACTGAACATATATTCTGATAGTTGTCCTAGCTGTCATTTTTAAAGTAATTAAAATAAACTTTAAAAATATAAAAATATAACTAGCATGCAACACTCAATGGCTTACATAGCAGCTTAAACTAGTGCATTAAAAGATGGACTAAATTGAGGCTGGGCGTGGTGGCTCATGCCTGTAATCCCAGCACTTTGGGAGGCCAAGGTGGGCAGATCACGAGGTCAGGAGATCGAGACCATCCTGGCTAATACGGTGAAACCACGTCTCTACTGAAAAATACAAAAATAAGTAGCCAGGCATGGTGGCGGGCCCTGTAGTCCCAGCTATTCAGGAGGCTGAGGCAGAAGAATGACGTGAACCTGGGAGGCAGAGCTTGCAGTGAGCCGAGATCGCGCCACTGCACTCCAGCCTGGGGGACAGAGCGAGACTCAGTCTCAAACAAACGAAAAAAAAAATAGATGGACTAAATTAATCATCCATTACACAGTGCTAAAGTCAATACATAAACAGATTAAAAACATGGAAGAGATGTTATCTTCAGATATGAAGAACTCTGAAAAAGCCTAAAAAGAAAAATACAACAATCCGGGAAAAAAACCTAAATGAATAAAGATAGGATTAACATTCAGTGAATACAGAGAATAATAAATCATTTTCAAACAACAATGTGTATTATTGATAGGCATGAGTCTATCTAGTTAAAAACTCCATAAGTAAAAGAAATTAATAAATAATATATGCTGAAAAATGAATCTAATCTAGGATTATCAATAATTTCAATATAAGACCTATGGAATTATTTTAGTTAGGTACCAGTGTAATAATCTAAGTATGAAGATGTTACTGTAACAGTTCTATATATTCTGTATGATTTATATAGTTAATTATAAGGAAAGGAGGTTTCTTGAAATAGGTCCTGAGCAGGACTTTTAGGCAGGAGTGTTAGGTGGGACTTTTTTTTATTGTTTTTTTATTGTATATGGCAGAAATTCAACGCAGAGTGGATTTATTAACTAACGTAACTGAAAAGTTTGGGACTATTGCTTCTTTAGACAGTGCGGACCCAAGAGGGCAAATAATGTCATCAGGAATCTTCTTTACTTCCTACAGCTATGCTTTTCTGAGTGCAAATTCTCCTGTAAACTGTGACCCTTCATGGTGGCAAGATGGCTACCAACTTGCTCTAGGTAAAATACTGCCATTCAAAGAACCCCACAAGTGAAAATACCCAAATTGAGCCTGATGTTGTGGCTTAGTTTATCTGTACATCACTGAACGAATCTATGTATGTGGTCCTAGATTATGTACCCAGCCTACGAATGGGAGGGCAGGGTCAACTACACAGGATCCTCATGGTCTATGAAGAACAACAGAGTGGCTTGAAAAAAAAATTGAGGTGATAGATTATAGAAAAAGGCAAATAGGCTCAAGTAGGCAAAAATAACAAATGTTACATCTATATAACAATAGATGTTATCACACATAAATACGTGATTTGAACTTGTTTTCAAACAAAGTATCTAATCATTTATAAACACCTAGTGACATATAAAAATGCCTGTAGGATAACATCTTAATTAAGATATCTATGGTAGGAGTGTCCATTAGGTGTCTTCTGCTCTAAAAAAACAGAATATTCAATTAAATTTGTCCGGAATATGGCAAGTGTTTCCAGGATTGATTACTTCAGCAGTTCAAACATGCAGCGCTTCTAAAAGGGCTTCTCTAATTCCTTTGGATTTTGTTATCATAAAATAATTGCAATAACTCCAGTCATCCTGCCCTTACAGCTTTTGACCAAAGGCAGCAAATTCAATACTTCTACAGCATCTTGTTAATTTTATTTCATTTTATTTAAGAAGGAAAACACACACGGAGACACATTTCTTCTGAGCGAACTTCCTTTCATGCCTCATTTTTCAGGACATGCCCACACTAAACCCATAACTAACATCAGGTCATGAATTTAACCATGAGTAAATTATACCAAGTATAATTCTTGCCCTCAGGATACAGTGGTACTCACTTCCCCCGAGCACATTCCTCGTATATACCTGGACAAAATCAGCACAGTATTAGTACAAAAGAAATGGGAGATATGTTTTGGCTGGGCATCCAATTGTGTATGCAATGTATCCTGCTAAATAGATTTTCAGAAAGTTGTTATAGAGATTATTGAATAATGTATTGAGAAAAGCCATCTTAATTTTTTTAAACTTTTATTTTAAGTTCGGGGGTACATGTGCAGTTTTGTTACATAGGTAAACTTGTGTCATGAGGGGTTTGTTGTATGGATTATTTTATCATCTAGGTATTAAGCCTAGTACCCAATAGTAAAATCCTCTTCCTCCTCCCACCCTCCACCCTCCAATAGACCCCAGTGTGTGTTGTTCCTCTTACGTGTCCATGTGTTCTCATCATTTAGCGCTCCCACTTACAAGTGAGAACATGCAGTATTTGGTTTTCTGTTCCTGTGTTAGTTTGCTAAGGATAATGGCCTCCAGCTCCATCCATGTTCATGCAAAGGACATGACCTCATTGTTTTTGGTGGCTGCATAGTATTCCATGGTGTATACTTACCTAATTTTCTTTATCCAGTCTATCATTGATGGGCATTTAGGTTGATTCCATGTCTTTGATATTGTGAATAGTGTTTCAGTGAACATATGTATGCATTTAACTTTATAAAAGAATGATTTATATTCCCTTGTATGTATACCTAGTAATGGGATTGCTGGGTGGAATAGTATTCCTGTCTTTGTCTTTGAGGAATTCCACACTGTCTTCCACAACGATTGAACTAATTTACATTCCCACCAACAGTGTATAAGCATTCCTTTATCTCCACAAGCTCACCAGCATGTTATTTTTTGAGTTTTTAATAATACCCAGTCTGACTGGTGGGAGATGGTACACCATTGTGGTTTTGATTTGCATTTCTCTAACAGTCAGTGATGTTGAACTTTTTTTTTTCATATGATTGTGGCCTGCATGTATGTCTTCTTTTGAAAGGTTCGTGTTCTTCGCCCACTTTTTTATGGGATTGCTTGTCTTTTTCTTGTAAATGTGTTTAAGTTCCTATAGATGCTTGATATTATACCTTTGTTGGATGCATAGTTTGCAAAACTTTTCTCCCATTCTGTAGGTTGTCTGTTCACTCTGTTGATAGTTCCTTTTGCTTTGCAGAAGCTCTTCAGTTTAATTAGATCCCATTTGTTAATTTTTGGTTTTGTTGCAATTGTTTTTGGCGTCTTCATCATGAAATCTTTGTTTTTGTCTGTGTCCTGAATGGTATTGCCTAGGTTGTCTTAAAGGGTTTTTATAGTTTTAGGTTTCACATTTAAGTCTTTAATCTATGCTGAGTTTTTGTATATGCAGTAAGGGAGGGGTCCAGTTTGAATCTTCTGCATATGGCTAGGCAGTTATCCCAGCACCATTTATTGAATTAGGGAATCCTTTCCCCATTGCTTGTTTTTGTCAGGTTTGTTGAAGATGAGATAGTTGTAGTTGTGCAGTGTTATTTCTGAGTTCTCTGTTCTGTTCCATTGGTCTATGTGACTGTTTTTGTGCCAGTACCATGCTGCTTTGGTTACTGTAGACCTGTAGTGTAGTTCAAAGTTGGATAATGTTATGTCCCCAGCTTTGTTCTTTTTACTTAGGATTGTCTGGGCTGTTCGGGCTCTTTTATTGGTTCCATGTGCATTTTAAAGTAGTTTTTTCTAATTCTGTGAAGAATGACAATGTTTGTCTAGTTCTGTGAGGAATGTTTAATAAGCATAGCATTGATTCTATAAATTGCTTTGAGCAATATGGCCATTTAAATGATATTGAATCTTGCTATCCATGAACATGGAATGGCTTTCCAGTTGTTTGTGTCAATATCCGATTTCTTTGAGTAGTGTTTTGTAGCTCTCCTTCTAGAGATCTTTCACCTCCCTGGTTATCTGTATCACTAGGTATTTTATTATTCTTGTGGCAATTATTAATGGGAGTTCATTCCTAATTTTGCTCTCAGTTTGACTGTCATTGGTGTATAGAAATGCCAGTGATTTTTGCATATGATTTTGTATCCGGAGACTTTGCTGAAGTTGTTTATCAACTTAAGAAGCTTTTGGGTTGACACCATGGGGTTTTCTAGGTAGAGGATCATGTCGTCTGCAAATAGGGATAGTTTGATCTCCTCTCTTCTTATTGTTGCCCTTTGTTTCTTTCTCTTGCCTGAATGCCCTGCCCAGAACTTAAAATACTATGTTGAATAGGAGTGGTGAGAGACGGAGGGCATACTTGTCTTGTGCTGGTTTCAAGGGGAATGCTTCCAACATTTGCCCATTCAGTAAAATGTTAGCTGTGCGTTTGTCTTATATGGATCTTTTTATTTTGAGGCAATTTCCTTCAATACCTAGTTTATTGAAAATGAGCAATATGAAAGGGTGTCGAATTAAAGAAAGTCTTTTTCTGCATCTATTGGGATAATCATATGCTTTCTGTCTTTAGTTCTGTTAACGTAATGAATCACATTGACTGATTTGTGTATGTTGAACCAACCTTGCACCCAGGGATAAAGCCCATTTAATCATGGTGGATAAGCTTTTTGATGTGATGCTAGATTTGGTTTGCCAGTATTTTATTGAGAATTTTTGCATTACTGTCAGTCAAGGATATTGGCCTGAAGTTTTTGGAATAGTTTCAGTAGAAATGGTACCAGCTCTTCTTTGTACCTCTGGTAGAATTCAGCTGTGAATCTGTCTGGTGCTGGGCTTTTGTTGATTGGTAGGTTATTTGTTACTGCCTCAATTTTAGAGCTCACTATTGTTCTCTTTAGGGTTTTAATATCTTCCTGGTTCAGTCTTAGGAGGGTGTATGTATCCAGGAAATTCGTCTAGATTTTCTAGTGTATGTGCATGTAAGTGTTCATAATATTTTCTGATTGTTGTTTGTACTTCTGTGGGGTCATTGATAATAACCTCCTTGTTTTTGATACTGTTTATTTGAATCTTCTGTTTCTTCTTTATCAATCTAATTAACAGTTTTTCTACTTGATTAATGTTTTCCCCAAAACAGCTCCTGGATTTGTTGATCTTTCCAATGGTTTTTCATGTCTCAATCTCCTTTGCTTCAGCTGTGATTTTGGTTATTGTCTTGTGATAGCTTTGGGATTTCTTTGCTCTTGATTTCTCTAGTTATTTAGTCGTGATACTAGGTTGTGAACTTGAGATGTTTCTGACTTCTTGATGTGGACTTCTAGTGCTATAAATTTCTCTCTTAACACTGCCTTAGCTGTGTCCTAGAGATTCTGGTATGTTGTGTGTTGTGTCTTTGTTCTCATTAGTTTCAAAGAACTTCTTTGAAACTTTTGCCTTAATTTCATCATTTACCGAAAAGTGATTCAGGAGCAGGTTATTCAGTTTCCATGTAATTGTATGGTTTTGAGTGAATTTCTTAGTCTTAATTTCTAATTGTGCTGTGGTCTGAAAGAATGTGGGTTATGATTTCAGTTCTTTTGCATTTGCTGAGTAGTGTTTTACTTTCATTTTTGTGATTGATTTTAGATTATGTGTCATGTAGCGATGAGAAGAATGTAAATTCTGTTGGATTTTAATGTCTTTGTATGCTTTTAGACATCACTGAGATTAGAAAGGCACTATAGAATTTTGCCACCCAGAACTCTGGGTGGAGAGTTCTGACTGTATCTATCAGGTCCATTTGGTCTAGTGCTGAGTTCAGGTGCTGCATATCTTTGTTAATTCTCTGTCTGGATGATCTAATATTGTCAGTGGGGTAGTAAAGTCTCCCACTATTATTGTGTGGGAGTCTAAATCTCTTTGAAGATCTCTAAGAACTTGCTTAATAAATCTGGGTGCTCCTGTGTTGGGTGCATACATATTTAGGATAGTTAGGAATCCTTGTTGATTTGATCCCATAAAGGGACGGAGAAAACACTACCAAGCAATTGGAAAACAGAAGGATGGGATGCAATCCCAAGTTTCTGACAAAACAGACATTAAACCAACAAAAACCATTTTAATTTTAACATTATTTTAAAACTTTAATGATTGGTGTTGTCCATATATATTTATTTTGTGCGTGTGTTCAAAGTTAGTAACCAAATTATTCTTCATATAGGAACCCAAATTTTAAACAATAGATAAGTTTGTATGTGCTGTCTGTCCAAATATAATTTTTTAAAATAAAAAGCCACAGGGAAACATGAAATCGACTTGTATTACTGTAGCAGAAAACAATGAGTTAGATTCTTGTTTCCATTTTGTGAAGCAAATGCAGGAACTAGGATACTATGGGGCCAGAAGTTTTTTGAAAATGTAATGATTGGACATATAGTTACTGTTTGTTTTTCTTACCTGTGCTAGAGCTAATGATGAAACAAATTGCATAGTGTACCAGGTTTATTTGGCTTTAGCCCCCAAAATGACAAAATTTGAAACCAAGAATTTCTTTTTGGACCAAAGCTTTTATAACTGTGGCATGAACCACATTACGCTTGGCAGTGCACACCTAAACATCAAACCACCAAAATGCTTAGACTTCATATTTGTTTAAGTAAGGTCTCATAACCCCTCACTTAACTACTTTGTTTAATATATTAACTTAATATGTTCTCCCCAAGTAGAACTAAAATCTACATCATTAATAGAGCTTAAATAGTTGAATGAGACCAAAAGAAAAGCCAGGGTCATCTGTGTCTAAATATCCAACTGTTGATATACTAACCAATGTTGAGTACAGTTCGCATTGTTGATTTTTCTTAGTTGTATTAAATAAAATCTCTAAATAAATTATACTGATTCATAGAAACAAAAGATGGAGACTTACTCATTTTAAGCTATGTGAGCCTCCATGTTAAATTTGAAATAGTGGCCATTAACATTTGAATGCCTGGGCATGAGTGAGTGCTTCCTGGGTAAAAATGTAGCCAGACACTGTGTACATTAAAATATGTGACTTACAGCATGGTTTTCTCAAGATTTCTCTACTGTCATGAAAAAATATATGAGAAACTCATGTAGATATATTGACGAAGAGAAATATCAAGTGTTGAAACCCTTTACAAACTGAAAGTAGAGTTGGAGACAGCTTCATTCCTGACACAAATTAATTTTGAAAGTTGTATTTGCTTGTTTCCCACATGTGTTTTTCTTTGCTGAGAACATGCTGTGTGACTAGGAAGAAAGGTTGTTTATTTGCAAAATTCTATAGTGCCTTTCTAATCTCAGGGATGTCTAAAAGCATACAAAGACATTAAAATCCAACAGCAATATTTTTTTCCAGATTCACTGTAGCCAATAATCACACAGAAAAGTTGTGGCTGACTTGTAATTGGGGACCCTGCTGTGGTCCCACAGTCTTTTCTGTTTATGCATATATTAGAGAAGATAAATACTTACTTGTTTTATGTATGCAAGTTCTATATAAATAACTTTGGGAGTCAAGAGAGCAATTTGATGGCCACGACAAAGGTGTAAGAGACACATTCCTTTCTTACTGAAACTTGCAAAGCATATATTTAAATATATAGTGTTTAGTTTAGTGATATGACCCACGGACTTTTATGTTGATTTTGGTTTAGTAATCCTTGAAAAATCAATTCCTCAGCTGCCAGTGTCCACTTCCTGGGGTGATATCATGAGTACATGTTGGAAATAAAAATATGTATAATATGTATTGCACTAGCATGTTCTACAAACTAAAATTGAAAAGGCAATGCTTCTTTTAACTAATAAACACACAAAAAACAGTTTGAATATTCAATAAGGTCTTATAATAGGATATGTAATAAAGTTACTGCAGATACATTTGAACACAGATTACTTTGATGATATATTTCAAGTTACAGGGCATCTGAGAGTATCCAATATAAATTTGGAAACATTTTTATGGTTTTTAATTCCCCTGAATGCCATACTCTGTAAAACATTATGGGCACTACAATTTTGTAACTAATATTTTCATGTTGGCGTTTTTTAATAAAGCTGCTGAAAAAAACCTGTAAAAAAATCAATATATTTTGGTCGACTCTTACAGCAGAGAGTGCCACCTGCACAAATTAGATCTAGCTTAGGTTCTTCATGAAAGTTTTCAAGTCAATGTCCAGGGTATACTGTTTTTCTCTAGTCTATCCCCTTGGGATTTCATTTCCTTAAGATTTTCGGTGGTAACTAAGTTACGTAATGTGGGGGAAAAAAAAGGAATGTGGGCCAAAATGAGCATCAATTATAATACAAAGGCATGAAATGAATGTAATGGATTTGTAGTAACGGAAGACTATTAACAAAAGCTACCTTTCAAGTAAGCATAGACTACAGAAATGTAGAAAAGTGATCATTGTATTTTCCTAAATACATTATTTTTTGTCCACTACATTTAAATACATTGATAAACTGGGAAATTACACATTTAATAGTATATGCATCAAATAATAGAATGTTAACTTTGAAATTAAATATATCTTCATATCACTATAAGTGTTTTCTAATTTGGTGAGGATCAGGCAGCTTCTTTAAAAAGTTACATAACAAACACAATGATAACCTCCTCATAATTTAAATCATAACCTCACTTAGATTTGTTAAGTGTATGTAAAAATTAAGCAATTTAATTCTGTTTTGGAAACTCCCAAGTCTAAATGCGCAGTTCTTTGGAGTTACATTTCCTCATTAAAAGTATTCCACGTGAAGAGGCTGGGCACAGTGGCTTACGCCTGTAATCCAGCACTTTAGGAGGCCGAGGTGGGTGGATCACTTGAGGTCAGGAGTTTGAGACCTGTCTGGCCAAGGTGGAGAACCTCCGCCTCTGCTAAAAATACAAAAATTAGCTGGGTGCGGTGGCAGGTGTCTGTAATCCCAGCTACTCTGGAGGCTGAGGCAAGAGAATCACTTGAACCCAGGAGTTAGAGGTTGTGCAGAAGCCAAGATTGTGCTACTGCACTCCAGCCTAGGCAACAGAGCAAGACTCTGTCTCAAAAAAAAAAAAAAAAAAAAAAAAAAATCCTTTTAGAAAGAAAGTCTGATCTGTCTCTGAAACAGTCTTTTAACATCTTTTCTCTTCTGTATTTTGGAAAATAATGAAAAGGTATTTAGTTTGTAGATCCACTTGTTTCTTAGTAAGAAAATAAAAGTTTCCTATTAAAAGTGCAAGGAAATTTGATCTTGAGGCAAATACAGATTATTCAGAGTGGCTCCCACAAAATAGTTTTATGGAGCATTCAAAAAAGATAATATGTTAACAACAGACTCTTTTGGCAACTGTTGTAGGATCTTTCTTTTCTAGAGGTTTTCAGTCTTGGACCAATTACTACCCAATACTGAGGCACAACCCTTTGGTGTTCTCTACTTAGTGAATGTCCAGTGAATCATGAGATTTTCCAGTCTGTCTGGTAGGAGTATGCATTACACACATACTGGGCATTGTAACTCTGATCCTTTTTTGCCCTTGGATAATTTCTTCAGGGTATCACGCATGAGCTGACTTGCTAAAGACTTGACCGACACTCTGCAAATTTTTAGGGTTCTCTATGCATAACTCTTCCTTTTTTGGTACTCTATTTTCCAAATGCTAGCCTTCTTGGTTTCTCTCAAATCCTGGCTCTTTCTCCACAATTCAGGGAATCCACCAAGCTCCTCTGGGTCCCTCTGTATTGTAACCTAGAAACTCTCAAGGTGGGAAACTGGTGCAATATGGATCATGTCATTTGTATCCTATTTCCCTGAGATCGCTGTTCTTTTTTGCCTTGTGCCCTGTGATTTGAAAACAATCATTTCAGATATATTGCTATTGTTTGTTTTTCCAGGTAGGAGGGTGAAGTTCTCTATCTTATCAGGTACACATTCATATTTTAATGGAGTAGAACCATAGTGTCAAATATAATTGTTACATATCTAATATTTTGGTATTTATAAAATACAATGTAATCTTTGGCTTTTATTTCTTACAATTTTTTGTAGAAACTGATGAACTCCATGTCAATTCAATGTTTTGAACTATATGTTAATTATACTTTTTTAGCCAATATATTTTCACCTTTGATATATTTATTATGTTTGCTTCTTGCTTGAAATTCTAGCAAATGTTTACTGTAATTATATTCCTCTTAGTATGCTTTAGTGGTAGCCACCTAGGGAGTTCTGAAAAAGTAGGGAAAAGAATAAGATAGCCAATATTGACAATTATTTTAAAGAGCAAGAAATTCTTTCAAGACAGATTCTTGAGACTCACATATAATTATACATTGCAGTATGGTGTCACATTGGATTCTGCTCTTGTGTTTATGTTGTAACACTGAGAAGCATCTTCAAGCCTTCGGATTCAGCATAACAAATCCGCAAGCTCACAGTGTCTGGAAGATTGGGGCCCTCAGAGCTGCAGAGATATTAATAATGGCAGCAGGGATAAGTATGCCAAGAAAGCCAATCTGCTGCCTTCACAGCAGAGATTGTAGAGGTTTCAGTGTTAGGCAATATTAGCCTCATTTTACAGATGTCTGAGAAGATGAGCATTAATCAAAATAATAACTTTTGTAGACCTTGTCAGGCACCTTTTAGAGAAACTACTAAAAACGTACCAACTTGTTTTAATAAGAAAATCTAGAGATTTTCATTTCTAAAGCCTTAGAATAAAATTATGGAAAATATTATCAAATCATCTTTGACAATGCATAAAGTTTAAAAAAAGAATTTTTTCATATGGAAACATACTGTTATTTTAGGATGTAGTGACTGAGTTTGATACCTCCTTTGTGAGGTTTGTTTGGTGGAGAAATGTGAGAGGAGGTTGTATTGACCCCTAAGGTTTTCCCATGCAAGAGTAAGACAGTGATAGTCCTCTTCAAGAAGAAAAGGGCTTTCTTCTTTATAATATCTGTGGGCAAAAGAAGAATTCCCACACATTCATTGATTAAGTAACATGGCGTCAAACATGTAATTCTGCTGTTTTTGTGTTGTTAATGATACCTTTTCCTAAGTATTTTTTTCCCATCTATTTAAAGAAAGTTGGAGTAGATAGGGTTCTGCAGGCGTAATTGGGGCTGCAAATGTAAACCATCATCCTTGCACTGGGAAACCTATGAAAACGAGCTACCAAATAATTTTTTTTTTTTTTGAGACAGAATATCACTCTGTTGTCCAGGCTGGAGTGCTGTGGTGCCATCTCAGCTCACTGAAACCACCTCCTCCCAGTTTCAATCAGTTCTTGTGCCTTAACCTCCCAAGTAGCTGGAATTAAAGGCAAGTACCGCCACCATGCCCAGATAATTTTTGTATTATTTTTGTGTTTTTAGTAGAGATGGGGTTTTGCCATGTTGGCCAGGCTGGTCTCGAACTCCTGGCCTCAAGTGAATTGCCGACCTCAGCTTCCCAAAGTGCTGGGATTATAGGCATGAGCCACCACACAGTAGTGAAACTTGACAGATAATTTTTAAAAAGGAAAAATAATTTATTGCCTCATAAAGCTATTTATGGTTATGATCTTTCCCAAATGCTTTCTGTGATTAAGAACCGATCATACGTCCAAATTAAAATGGAACTAATTTAGAATAATTTCAATTTAGCACTTTAGGACAGAGATACTTTATATGAAAGATAAACCAGCAGTATATAATTTGAAATGGGAGTAAATTAAATGAAAAAATAAAATCCTCCCTGTTATAAAAAACTAATAAGCTACGTGTGATTTCACATATTGTTTAAAACACAGGAGACTAAATATTTATAGTCTTCAAAACCTATAAATTCTATTTTTTTTTCTTTTGCTCTAGTGTAGTTGGCCAGTGGTCTTACGGGCAAATACTAAGGTGGTATGAATTCAAGGGCAGGGATTTTGTTGTTCTTGGTTACTCAAACTCATATTTACCATAGTGCCCAGCACATATTCAATATATATTCATGGAATGAATTTGTAGAATTTATTTATTTATTTATTTTTGAGACAGAGTCTCGCTGTGACGCACAGGCTGGAGTGCAATGGCATGATCTTGCCTCACTGCAACCTCTGCTTCCCAGGTTCAAACAGTAGTTTACTCCTGCCTCAGCTGCCCAAGTAGCTGGGACTACAGGTGTGTGCCACCATGCCTGGCTAATTTTTGTATTTTTAGTAGAGACGGGATTTCACCGTGTTGGCCAGACTGGTCCTGAACTCCTGACCTCAAGTGATCCGCTCACCTCAGCGTCGTAAAGTGCTGGGATTACACGCATGAGCCACCACACCCAGCCGCATGTTAGACTTTAGAGACGTTCAACTGATTATCTCCCTTAGTAGTCTATCAAAGGATACTATATAGAAAAACTTAAGTTCCATAGGAAAATGAACCCTAAATTAAGCATATGTGTTCTATGTTGAATTCCCTCTTCAATATTCTCAGTTTCTTTTAAACTCATTTTTGGGATATTCTGTTTTTTAAGGAATTAAAGGGATAAATATTAAGGTACTTAATATTTAAATATTTAATATTTAGAAACACTTAATAATTTAATATTAAACTATTGATTGAATAATTTAGTTGAATTTATTTTAAAGTTTGAGGAATATAAAATATTGGTATTAGATGAGGTGTGGTGGCTCATGCCTATAAATCCCAGTACATTGGGAGGCTGAGGCCAGACTTGAGTCCAGGAGTTTGAGACCAGCCTGGACAATGTGGTGAAAACCCATCTCTACAAAAAAAAATACAAAAATCAGCCGTTGGCTGGGTTCAGTGGCTCACGCCTATAATCCCAGCACTTTAGGAGGCAGGGGCAGGCAGATCACCTGAGGTCAGGAGTTCGAGACCAAGCCTGGTCAACATGGTGAAACCCCATCTCTACTAAAAATACAAAAAAATTAGTCGGGTATGTAAGGTGGTAGGTGCCTGTAATCCCAGCTACTAGGGAGGCTGAGGCAGGTGAATTGCTTGAACCCAGGAGGCGGAGATTGCAGTGAGCCGAGATGGCGCCATTGCACTCCAGCCTGGGCAACAAGAACGAAATTCTGTCTCGAAGAAAAAAAAAAAAAATTAGCTGTGCGCACGGTAGCATGTGCCTGTAGTCCCAGCTACCTCTGGAGGCTGAGGCAGGAGAATAGCTTAAGGCTGGAAAGGGAGGTTGTCGTGAGCTTAGATGGTGCCATTACACTACAAACCTGAGTGATGGGAGTAAAACTCTGTTTCAAAAATAAAATAAAACATTGTTATTAAATATTTAATATTAAATTATTGATTAATTGTATTAATGTTTTCTTCTAGGGTTTTTATAGTTTGAGGTCTTAGGTTCAAATCTTTAATCAATCTTGAGTTAATTTTTATATATGGTGAAAGGTAGGGGTCTGGTTTCATTCTTCTGCATATGGCTAGCCAGCTATCCCTCTACCACTTACTGAATAAGGAGTCTTTTCCCCATTGCTTTTGTCAACTTTGTTGAAGATCATTCTGGACATTGGCCTAGGGAAATAATTTATGAGTAAGTCCTCAAAAGCAACTACAACAAAAACAAAAATTGACAGATGGGACCTAGTTACAATAAAGAGCTTCTGCACAGCAAAAGAAACTATCAACAGAGTAAACAGACAGTCTACAGAATGGGAGAAAATATTTGCCAACTACCCATCTGACAAAGGACTAATATGCAAAATCTATAAGGAACTTAACCAGATCAACAAGAAAAAAACAAATAGCCACATTAAAAAATGGGCAAAGAACATAAACAGGCACCTCTCAAAAGCAGACATACAAGTATCCAACAAACATGAAAAAATTATCAACGTCACTAATCATTAGAGAAATGCAAATCAAAACCACAATGAGATACTGTTTCACACCAGTAAGAATGGCTATTGTTAAAAAATCAAAACAATAGATGCTGGTGAGGCTAAAAAGAAAAGGGAACACATACACACTGTTGGTGAGAATGTAAATTAGTTCAGCCACTGTGGAAAGCAGTTTGGAAATTTCTCAAAGAACTTAGAACTACCATTTGACACAGCAGTCCCATTACTGGGTATATATCCAAAAGAAAATAAATCACTCTAAAAGACACATGCACTCATGTTCATCGCAGCATTATTCACAATAGCAAAGACATGGAAGCAACCTAGGTGCCCACCAACGGAGGATTGGTTGTTGAAGAAAACGTGTTACATATATACCATGGATTACTATGCAGGCATGAAAAAGAATTCATGTCCTTTGCAGCAACGTGAATGCAGCTGGAGGCCATTACTCCAGGTGAATTAGTGCAGGAGCAGAAAACCAAATATTGCAAGTTCTTACTTATAAATGGAAGCTAAACATTGGGTACCCTGGACATAAAGATGACAACAATAGACACTGGGGACTAAGGAATAAAGGAGGGGGGCAAAAGTTGGAAAACTAATTGTTGGGTACAATGCTCACTACCTGGGTGATAGGATCATTCCTATCTCAAACCTCAGCATCAGGCAATATACTAATGTAACAAACCTGCAAATATATCTCCTGAACCTAAAATAAAATTTGAATTTGTAAAAAATGAAATAGATTCAGTTTTCCCAAAATAACATATTAGCAATGTAATAACATTTAATGTATTAATACTAAAACAAATATAAACATTTTATCAGTCTTTCAATAAACATATTGAGTTCTATATTCTAGGCCCTTGGGATACGACAGTGAATGAAGAGATAAAAACTTTCATTGAGTTTACATCCTAGCAAGAGGAGACAGACAACAGAGAATGCACCAACAAATATATACGTGTATAGAAGTGGAAAATCATATGAAGAGCAATAAAACAGAAAATGGTTACAGAGAGTTATGGAGAAGTACTATTTTGTGTCGGAGGGACAAGGACATGTATTTGAATAGAGACCTGAATGAAATGCACCCTAATGATCACTAGGGGAAGTCATTTCAAGCAGAGGAATAGTAGGTGAAACAGACTTGAGTGGGGAAAATGTTTGTCATGTCCAGGAACAGGAAAATTTCTGGCATGGCTTATGTTGAGTTAAAGAGAGAACACTAGGGATTAATAGTGGGGTATGGCGTATTTGGGCTAGAGTGATGACTTTGAGCTTTATTCTGAGTGAGCCCCTGGAGGGTTTAGAACATGTGTGACATGATCTCACATAAGCTTAAAAGGATCACTCTGCATGCTGTGGGTTGGGGGCTGTGGTAGGTGGACAGGCAATTTTAGAAGTAGGAAGACCAGTTAGGGGAGTATTTCAACAATTGTTGGGGAGATCATCTTGGGGTGGAATAGGGTATTAATTGTGCTGTTTGTAACACATGCTTTTATTCTGGATATATTTTAAATATATCTCTTGATATATTAGAAGTAGACAGTGACAGAAAAAGTTAAGGACCAGCCACAGGTTTTTGTCTTCAGTAACAGAAGGCTAGGAGGTATCATTTTCTAAGATGAAGAAAACTAGTGAATATATGTTGTAGAGGAGGAGCTCAAAGGCAGTGTTTTAGTCATGCCAAGTTTCAGTTGCCCGTTCACCAGTTAGAGATGTTGACTAGGTGGTGGATTCCTGCATCAAGTTGGTTTCCACTCTGAGTCCAGTAGTCAGGATGCAGTTTGGTAAAGAGTTATTTGTATTGTCCAGGGATCATAGATTTCCTAACCAAAGTAAATACATGTACTTATTTCATCTGTGAGTTTCCTGTGACATCTGGAAGAGCTAATTAGAACTTCTATTTATGCTTCTCAGTTGCTCATCTTATTGTAATTAAGATTAGCCTAAGCTCCTGAACATAGTAACAATAATACTAACCATGACCATCAATTGACTTTTTTACTCTGTGCCAAACACTCTTTTAAGTATTTAATAAGATTACAGTCCTTGCCAAACGCGTATTTTATTTCAAATGTACCAAACGCATAGCTGAGGCTTTAAAATGTCAAATAATTTGCTCATGTTTACATGGGTGATAGGTTTGAAAAACAAATTCTGTGTTCTTAAAGAGCATTTGCAATCATACTACAGATTTTGACACAAATCATTTCTCCCTTATATGTAAATTTTTCCCCGCCAAAACCACAATGAAGCAATATAGTGAGAGATGCCATTTTAATCAAACAAAGTAACAAACCTTAGTTACTTCTACCACCAGGAAAATATTTTTCTGGTTTTTTTTTTTTTTTGGTCTCATTCTTCCTAAGTGGACATCGCCGACCTTCACATATCAAAATATTAATAGCACTCTCTTGCTCTGGTCTAAGACATTCTGGCTTTCACTGACTCACCCATCCTGTATCTAATACCTATCATTGTGCCCCTATTCCTAAACATTCTAATCCTTTTGTATTCAGATTTTTGACCACTCAGCAATACTCTTCCACTAAAGTATTGCTTTGGAGGGTTTAAAATCTCTTGACAATTCTGGCTGCCATTCCAGGAAGTTGGCCGTGAGAGATGGGGCTGGTTTTTAAGAAGGTATGAAGCTACAGTACTGCATGTGAGCAAAAATTGTGACTGGTGGCTTTTGTTTACTGTGTATAACTTTGGACAGATGCAGTTGAGTTGCAAGTAAGGATATTAGCTAATAGGTGAAATTCCTTATATTCATTTCAAGGGGAAACAAAGGAAAGAGTGCTTGCATAATGTTTTGGGCACTATTTTAGCCAATCTGTTGTATCACACCTCTGGGTTTTCATAAAGATGGAACTTAAGCTCCACCAGTGAGTAGGGAACTCATCCAGGAACTGTGTCCAATACTTTGAATTTACTGATCCACTTTTAATCTGAAGTCGTATTCACCTGGCTCTAAACTTTGGCTATGTAATCTCAATTTAGACTTCTGCCATTAGCTCCTTTAAATCTATTGCTCATATGTATTCTACTGTCATCATGCTTTGTGATCAGGCAGGCCTATTTTGAGTTTCAGAGGCGTTATTTACTTTCTGTGTAATGATGGAAAAAGTTAGATAATCCTTTGTTTCCCAGATTGTTTGCGTTTTTTTAAAAATAAAGCCGATATAATGACAACTACTCTGCCAAGTTATTGGGAATGTAACAAAATTAAAGTACAAGAAACACATGCCATAGAAGCTGTAAAATAGTAGATGTTCAATAAACATTAAATTTTAATATATAAATTAAATGCATATTAATTTTATAATTCTGACAAAAATGTTTTGTTACAATGATTCAAAAGATAATTTTTTTTAAAAAATTATCATTTATTTCCAGTACATTAGGATAAAAACCCACTTTATGCAACTGTACCCTTTAATTCATTTTTCCTAAAGAAAAGTACAAAAGACCAGACTAAAATTGAGACAAATATTTAAAGGAAAGTCCTTTGACTGAGAGTCCAAAAACAAACTGTAAATGGTTCATTTTTCCAAAAGAATTAGTTTTTATACAGAATGTAAAGAATTTTAAACAATAAAAAAAGACTGCCGTACATGTACTTAAATTAGAATTCTAGTATCTGCTTTTCCTCTAATTCTTCTGGAGCACAAAGCATATTTGCAAGTTAGAAATCTAATAATCTCAATGGACAGACTGTCTTAGAATAAGCTTTTACCCTTAAGATACCTGGAAAGATAGTACTCATTCTTTCCCTTGGCTCAAAGTCCAATATATCAGTAAGTTTTAATTTAGTTTACAAAACTCTGCCATATTAACATGAAGAGCACACTAATGCTTAATGTTTAAGCGTTAAAAAGATAGCTTTTGACATGTATATATGAGCATGTAGATTGAATCAAATATGAGTGTATATGTGTAATCTCCTTTATATATATGTTTTCACTCATAAACACAGTCTCCTTTAAATATTTTCTATATTAGAGAAAGCTTTGCATTTGAAACCACAAAGATTTTGTTATACTAAAAATGGCTAATTAGAATACAGTATTTATACATTAAAATGTGAGTAATTTATCCATATGTGGGGACTCACATGCTTCAAAAAATTATAAAAGTCAAAACTTTAAAGGATAATTTTAAATGATGATGAACACTTTAAGCAAAATATCATTATGGAATTGTCTAATTCTCCAAGTGTCCAACAAGGAACTGAAAGACATTAAGAAAACCAAAATGTTTTCTGTGTAGTCAAGCTTTCTGTAAAGTGTCAATGACAAGTGGTGCAACAGGACATAAAATTTGGGCTGTTTTGTAAGCTTTAACCGTTCGTGTACCTTTTAACAATTCTTCTAACGGCTCCATTGATCTCCGTGTTTGTTTGACAGGCACTGTCGCAAGTTACTCTCCTTCTGAGGGTTTGCTTCATTATCCTGACCTTGACTTCCATTGGATTTCTTCTGGATCAAAGGCAAGAAGTGAAATTCTTGCATTGTTTTTACTTTTACTCAATTCAAGAATTTTCCACAGAGTGGTAAAATACCAGTATATTATGTAACTAGTGTAGTTTTAAAAATAAATATAAAATTTTGGTATTTGACTTCTCATTATTTTAGAGAAGTTAACTATATCAGTTCTCCTAACTACTCATTTTTTAAATGAATGAAGTATGAAGACATTAAATCAGTGAAAAGAGTCTCACTTACTTTAAACCCTAGAAATTTAGTTGCCTAATATTTATTAGCTGAAAATAAACTTCATAACTCATCAGTGCTCAAACTAAGCAATATGTTGATGAAGAACAGATTTTCCCGAAAAAGATGAGTGTTCTTTCTTAATCACTGTTTTCAAATTGCTTCAGGGGACATGCTTTTCAAATATATTAAAATACTAGGTATTTCTTGAGAATGAGAAGTTTATATTAATTATAACATGTGAACATATAAAGAGCATATTTAAAGCTAATGCATGTTAATGACATTTTATTTCAGACCCAAGGCAGCTATTATGGAAACTCTCCGTTGCTTGATGTTCTTAATGCTGTACCGATTTGGTCACCTGAAGCCTCTTGTCCCTTCATTGTCATCTGCTTTTGAGGTAAGACATTTGTTTAGGTAGCCACAGGATGGCGTATACCTATCGCACATTTAATTTATTCATTCAAGGATGTTTTCTCTACTTCATTTCTGACCAGTACATGTGGGAAATCTTGATCTTTTTTTTTTTTTTTACTTACCAGTACTTGTTAGTTGTGTCATCTGAGCTAGTTAATATTGCTGAGCCACAGTTTTTTGGCCCGTAAAGTTGGATTGATATCATCAACCTCATAGAGTTGTTGGACACATTACATTACACAACCTTTATAAAGAAATCAGACCATGTAGTAGGTTCTCAAGAAGTGGAAGAATTGATTTTACAAGAAGTTTTTGGCAGAGACTCTGCCGTTTGAGATTTTTTTAAAGCTTTTAAGGTGAAAATTGCAATCAAGTTTCCTTGTCAATTACCTGTAAAAAGTAATCATTCTACAGAAATAAAGTCACTGAAGTCAGTGGGATTTTTCTACAGCTGAAAAATATGTTCTTCTGTGATGGTTAATTCTTATCTTCCAAGAACTGCATTGAACTTTTGGGTCTATATTTATTGTTTAGAATCTAGGCAGCTGTTAAAGACATTTATTTTCTCATCACTAGTGCATTAATAGAGAGTGTATTATGTTTGCAATTCAGGGTTATATTGTTTAACTTTGGTGCCAAGACACCTGCCAACATCACCAGAATGTGCAATGTATAACTTTATTTAAGCATTAAACATAAATACTAATATCCCCCGCTCTTAGCATCAGTGAAAAACCCAGTATATACACTTTCATTATTTAATATTGATTATGAATTGAAACAACTCCTTTGGAGGTAATTTGGAGATATCTATCAAAATTGCAAATACACATACCCGTTAACCCGGCATTTCACTTCTAGGAATTGGTGCTACTGAAATGATATACTCACACACGCGAATCGGTGTATATGCAATATTATTCCTTGCAGCATTATTTGTCATGACGTAAGATTAGCAACAACTTAAAGGCCATGAATGGAGGACTATTTGAAATTATTATTCATTAATAAAGTAGTAAAATATGCATCTATAATAATAACACAAGAAACCCTTTAGTACCAATAAGGAGCAATCTTAACAGTAAAACATGATACAGGATTCTCTGTGAAGTATCCTGCCATACAGTGCACATAAGTATAAAAACAGGGAGAGGGAGATATCGGTATATAAATATATAAATGTATTTTATTGTATGTA
Source organism: Homo sapiens (assembly GCF_000001405.40). Taxonomy (NCBI): domain Eukaryota; kingdom Metazoa; phylum Chordata; class Mammalia; order Primates; family Hominidae; genus Homo; species Homo sapiens. Next base: position 15,364,298 of record NC_000007.14, on the reverse strand, counting down.
TGTAAATATATCTAGGAAGATAAACAAAACCTAACATGTTGCTTGTGGGAAGAAAAGGTGAATTTTGTGGTTAGAAGAAAGGAAGAAGCAGAAGATTCTTTATTAATATTCTTTGATACCTTTAAAACTTCTCAACCTCTAAACCATAGGGGTATATATACACATTATATATATAATGTGAATTTAAACCGTGAAGCATACTATCTTAGTATCAGGATCTTGGATATCATCTAATTTAATATATTCTGCATTACAGTTGATTTAATGTGTATGTTCATTTTGTTTCTTCAAATTATAACCTAAAAGCAAAATAATCATAAATTATACATATTTAATAAAATTCAGAAATATACATGCTGAAAAAAATCATAAAATCAAAGAAAATGGCACTTTAACACCTTAGATGAGGGGCACATTCTAATTTAAGGCATGAAAGACAATAATTTCATTTAATGAGAGTACTCTTAGGTTTATGGTGATAGTTTATCTTACACACACCAGAAGGAAATAGAGAACATAGGTTCCTTACATTAGCCAGTGTTGTAAATATGTGGGAATGTTTGCTTACAAAAACATACTGCATTTGGTATTCTTTGATGATGAGATGGTGGAGGGCAATGTAGTATGTCCAGCTTTTAAGTGTGATGAACGCTAGTGATAAGATGATGGCAGTTTACTTATTTAGTTAATAGATAAAAGTAAATGGTAAAGACTTGAACTTTGAAGCCGTATTGCCTGAATTTGATTCTTGGCTTAAGAACTAAGTAGCTATGTGTTCTTTGGCAATTACTTCACCACTTACCTATTCTTGGTCTTGCTTTGCTCGTCTGTAAAAGGAGGAAGTATAACATCCATCTAAGTAGGATTTTGAGGATTAAATAAGAGAATATGTGTAAGGAATTGAGCACAGTGATTAACACATAGTAAGTGCTCCACAAAAGTTAGGCACTGTTGTTACTGTTATTTTATATGAACTTAAGGATCATTTGAAATAACTATTTGGCCTTGGCCTGCCTTGAGATCCCCAAGTCAAGTTTGGAGACAGCTAGAATGAGAAGTGGGGAAGAACAACAATGTTGAAGGAAAAGTCAGTGCTATGAATTCTTGGTCCTGACACTGTATCTGTGACTTTGGACTCTGTGCCTCAGGTTGTTCAACTGTAAAATAGGTTTTATAAGAGCTAACATGCATTGAGCTCTTACTACGTTCTAAATGCCTTACTAGTATTATTCCATTCAGTATTCATATCAAACCTATGATGTAGTTACTTCCATTATCTTCATAATGAGAATATTGAGGGGTGTACACAACTTGTCTAAATGCACATAACTATTAAGTGAATAAGTCAGGGAACAAACTCAGGAAGTCTGACACTATAACTCTTAATGATCAAGGTACATTTTCGTCCATGTAATGATGATAATACTCATCTACCTCAAGCCTTGTGGCAAAATATAGCAAAAGTAGCTTGGAAAATGTAAAGAGCTATAGTAAAATGTCTTATCAATTTAACTGCAAAAGAATTTTGAAAAGACACGTGGTTTGAATAATTTACCTCTGGATTATCTTTGGTTTATGATCCAAGGAAAAGAGGACCTCATGGAAAAATCTTTCAGGGTGCTTAGCTACTCTTTCCAGAAACTGCTTCTGTCCATCTGGGCACATGCACGGCCAGTTCTTCAAGAGTAGATGTTGCCTGGGACTTGCCACTGGAATTTTTCGTTAAAATGTTAAAACAGTATTTAATTCACATGGTTTGGTGGAAAAATGAAGTGCCACAAAGGAGAGAACATAGGAAGAAATTGATAAATTACAGTTATCATTGTTCATATTACCATTATTAGAGTGTTACTATTATTATTATTAAAACCACAAGCCATTAATGATTAAACTTGAGCAAGTCTTCTCTGTTGAGAGGTCAAGTGAGATGGCAACGTAAGACTGGATAAATATTTTGCTAGCAATCTTTTTTTAATCTGGAAAGTAGCCTTTCCACTTCTTTTTAAAGCTAAACATGGTAAAAATTACAACCAGTTACCAATTCTTATATTATTAATTATGAATTTCAAATCTGTGTTTTCTTCATATTTGTATCTCTTAAAACTTTATGTAAATCTTTGCCATTTACCTGAGTTTTAATAAAACTGTTCTTTTATTAAAACTGTTCTTCAAACAATAAGTATAGAAACCTAATAAATGGCCTCAGTGACTCCAGTCAATATGAATTAGGGCTGACTGACTAGGAGTGATTGTACTATAAGGACACTATATTCTCTTCATTTTTCTTTGAAGCTATCACTAGAATCAATGTCAGTGAAGCAATAAATCCCCTTTCTCCTATAATATAAATCAATGTTGTATATATTGGTAGCATCAGCTTGCAACCCTGTGACTCTTCTCTATCTAGAAGGCTAGCTGGAGGTTTTCTGTTGTATTATTTTATTATATAAGTCAAACTTAGTAAGTCTGCATGGTAATAGTCTTCCTACATTATTTGGGAGGTGTGTGCCTATCAAATTTATAGTTATCCTCTTTCTGGCAAAGTTATTTATCTGTTTTGCATAAACTGTTCGATGCGGAGAAAATAGATTGTAAGAAGATATAACCACACTTCATTAGTGGTTATGTTGATGTGCTGTTACCTAAATGGTTTTATTCTTTCTCTCTCTCTTTCTTTTTTTTAATTTGGTGATGAATGTATTCTTTAATGAGCATAGATGTCCTTTAATCTAAATCTCAAAACCTTTTTTTTTTTTTTTGAGACACAGTCTCGCTCTGTTGCCCAGGCTGGAGCACAGTGGCGCGATCTCGGCTCACTGCAAGCTCCGCCTCCCAGGTTCACGCCATTCTCCCACCTCAGCTTCCTGAGTAGCTGGGACTACAGGTGCCCGCCACCACGCCCGGCTAATTTTTTTGTATTTTTAGTAGAGATGGGGTTTCACCATGTTAGCCAGGATGGTCTCAATCTCCTGACCTGGTGATCCGCCTGCCTTGGCCTCCCAAAGATCTTTTTTTTTTTTTCAACTAAGTTCACATGTTCAGAGTTTTGTGATAGGTACTGAGAGGAAATATTTGAGAGATATGGCTGCATGACCCTAGAGTTGTCACAGTTTCAGTCAAAGACACCATTGTGCTGATGACAGTGACAGTGAGCAGCCCACTGTGGAGAGACGCTGCTTCTAAGCTGTGTTAGCAGTGTCCTATGGCTCCTATTCATATAAGGCATCACTTAGTAACAAATGATTTCCAGAAACCAGGATTCTTTAAAAATGCCAATATTCTAGCTATAGCTGGCTGGCATCACTAAGGTGAAGAAGGCATGGGAATTATTTTGCCTGCTTATTTCTGCTTTATTTATAATTTATCTGGTTTTTTCTTCTTATTTTCATGAGGATCATAACCTGATTTTATCTGCATGTGTTCTCAGGTGTGGGCATGAGGGCATGCGTACGTACTCTTTATTAATCTCAGAACTGCCTGCCTTAAGAATTGACCATATCCTGGCAGTTATTATAGCTTTTGGATCCAATTGACCCTTAAACAACAAGGGTTTGAATGCACAGGTCCATGTATATGTGGATTTTTTTTTCAATAAATATTACACTAAGTGTGCCTGTCTCTCCGGCCTCCCCTTACACCTCATCCACCTCCTCCACCTCCTCCAACCTCTGCCACTCCTGAGATAGCAAGGCCAAACCCACCTCTTCCTCCTCCTCCTCAGACTACTTAACATGAAGATGATGAGAAAAAGAGACCTTTATGATGACCTACTTCTTCCTTATTATTTTCTTAACATTTTCTTTTCTTTAGCTTTATTGTGAGAATACAGTGTATCATACATTCAGCATACAGAATATGTGTTAATCGTCTGTTCATGTTACCACTAAGGTTTCTGGTCAACAGTAGGTGATTAATAGCTACATTTTCCGGGGAGGTGAAAGTTATAGGCAAATTTTTGACCGCACGGGGGGTTGGCCCCACTAACCTCCGAGTTGTTCAAGGGTCGAGTGTACTTATTGCTAACGATGTAATACTTCCTTTGAAGCTTGTAGTTATTTTAATTTTGTTATCAGTCATTCCAACCAGATTTTTGAGTACCTCTGTCTGCTTTCATTTCTCTTCTGCATAATGAGAATAATAAAAGTAGTACCTACCTTGGTGGGTGGACATGTGGATTAAATAAGATTATACATACAAAAAGTACTTATAATAATGTCTGTAAATGTGCGTGCAGTATGTTGTGCCTACTCCGCCAAAAGCTTCAGTACAACTAACATTACCACTCCTATAATTACTACTGAGAATATAATAAAAGCACAGGCTGTAGGGCACATGTGATGATTCTTAGTAAGGAACACATAAGTTCTCCTTTTCCCAGTTAGTTTCTCTGAGTATTAAAAATGTCTTTGGAACATGAATTTATAGTATTTTTCTATAATTCAAATACACTATCATATGGAAAGGTTTCAGGATTTTTTGTATTTTATGATTTCATATATCACAAATTAGTCATGATTGCAGTGACCATGTAACATACAATAAAACATTTTATTTAGAACTTGTTTGGCAAATGTGGATTACTCAACCCAGCTTAGTGAGAAATGAACCAGGGGTAGGAGTTTAGTTGTTGACGTATTTTAGGATAAATAAAATGATGGCTCTAAGACACAGCAGATAACTTTGCTTCTAACTGAGTTGTATGAAAGATTACCTTTGTTCATTGGACTCATATTTAAGAACTGCTTGCAAAAAACTTTACTTCTACAAAAAAACATACATGATATATATGTAGGCCACTTTGACTCTTCTCAATGTTTATATTTAAGGTATTTCATTTTAAAAAATGTAAATATATTTCTTTTAAATGAAATGTTTTCACTACAGTAATAGAAAACCACACATTAGAAACACCCAAAGCATAAATTTAAAATGTCATCAATTTATGAGCAAAAATTAAAGTAAATATGAGTAAAAATAATAAATCTAATTTCTTTTTTTTTTTTTTTTGTTGAGACGGAGTCTTGCTCTGTTGCTGAGGCTGCAGTGCAGTGGCGTGATCTCGGCTCACTGCAAGCTCCACCTCCTGGGTTCATGCATTTCTCCTGCCTCAGCCTCCCGAGTAGCTGGGACTACAGGTTCCTGCCACCATGCCCAGCTAATTTTGTGTATTTTTAGTGGAGACGGGGTTTCACCATGTTAGCCAGGATGGTCTCAATCTCCTGACCTCATGATCCGCCTGTCTTGGCCTCCCAAAGTGCTGGGATTAAATCTAATTAATTTATAAAACTCCATATCTGAAAATAAAATCCTTATAAAAATGGCATTGAATAGGATCATCCAGTAATATGGGGATATTTATCTTAATGCCATTGTTAAAATCGCTTCTATCATTTCCATCCCAACCCCTGCTTTATTTTAAAAATGTTACATTTAGGTCATCATCCCCAATACTTCAAGGAATAAAGGCAAAGCAAGCAAAATTAAGACAGGTAGAACAGACCTAAAACTCAGAGAGGCGCTTCCTTGTCCTTCTCTTGCTGGCATTGGGTGACAGAGATTTACCACAAAGACATGTTCTGGGAGTTGCTGTTAATGTCAGAGAATACATGAATTTGAGTTATCTAGGAGTGGGTTTGGGTTGCTTCCTTCTCAATGGTTCAGAAGTCCCTGCTAAGCTCAGGAGAGTGGAAGTTTAAGGTCTTTTTATCTTGGGGAGGGACTGAGTTTGGAGTGCAGAAAATCCCACCTGCATCTAAGAAGGGAATCCCTGGAGGGATTCTTACCCTCCTAATTCACAGTTCTGACTGAAATCACGGAGTACCAACATTAATTAGTACGTATCTCACCCTTTAGGAAACACCCTACTTGTCTTCCAACTCTGCAATCTAATTATTATGCCTTCTTATTATCCTTTCCACGTTATCATCTCGTCTGGGCAGCTCTTTTGAAAAAGCATTAACCCAAGGTTAACAATTTGCTGCCTCAGCCATTTTATGTGCAGAAGAAACCAATACTCAAAGCAGCAACCTTAAGACTCTTCAATTTTTATTGATCTATTCAATAAATATTAAATGTGCACTGACAATTCCTGCTATGTAGCTGTTACATGCCAAACTTCAGAAGAACACGTTGTAATTTCAACTCTTAAATAGAATGGTGAATTAAATGTTCATTGACTTCAAAATGCAAGGGATGCATATTCAGATGTCTCGTTTTACCCAGTTAATATGTCAACATATATGTATCAGATAATGAAGGAAGATTCAACAGTTCTTAGCAAACTTCATACTTTCATGGGTTCTTCCTTTTCCTGTCTTGCTTTTTTTCTCTTCCTTTCTTTTCTTTGGTATGTATATATGTGTTTATTTGGTAAAATTCAGGCTTCCTTGGCATTTATCTGTTTTTGCATGACCAAGCCAAAACTTAATGGCTTAAAGCAAATGAAGATTTATTATTTCTCACAATTTCTGTGGTGTTTTCTCTGCTGCGTTCACCTGGGCCTACTCATTCAGCAGTATTCCACATAATCAGCTCAGATAAAAGCGAATGTGGAAAGACTTCTCTCTGGCTGTCAAGGGAGCGCACTGTTTTCTGTCCGCATAGCCTCTCACCCTCTAGTGGGCCAGGCCAAGTTCTGTACATTGCAGTTGCAAAATCTGCAAGGCTGAAGACTGCATTTGCAAGGCTTCTTGAAGCCTAGGCTCAGAGACTCTATATATTTCTGCTACATTCCATTGGTCAAACAAATTATCAGACCAGCCGAAAATCAAAGGGTGGGGAAATAAACTCTTTTGATTTGAAGAGCAGTAAGATCAATTGCAAAAGGGCACACATAAATTTATGGCCTTTTATCCGTCTACCACGCTGAGGTTTTATTTATTACTTGGGTTCATCTCACGGTGGTGGTTAGTGTATTGTCATCACAGAATGTTTGTCTGAAGTCATCCTAAATGAGTCATTTCAACTGTTTATCTGGCTACAAGATGAATGTAAGGAATAGACTGTCCTCAACAATGTTTCATGGTAAGTATGCTAGTCTGCTATATACGTACTTTTGGGTTCAAGGTGAAACACACACACACACACACACACACACACACACACACACGAATATTCATAGTATAGAGCAATTTTGACTCATCTATTTCAGTATTATCCAAATGTCTATTTTTTTCTTTTTTTTTTTCATGAGACAGAGTCTCGCTTCTGTGCAATGGTGCAATCTTGGCTCACTGCATCCTCCGCCTCCCAGGTTTAAGCGATTCTCCTGCCTCAGCCTCCTGAGTAGCTGGGATTACAGGTACCTGCCACCACACCTGGCTAATTTTTTTTTTTTTTTTTTTTTGTAATTTTAGTAGAGAGGGGATTTCGCCATGTTGGCCAGGCTGGTCTCGAACACCTGACTTCAGGTGACCTGCCTGTCTCGGCCTCCCAAAGTGCTGGGATTACAGGCTTGAGCCACTGCAACCGGGCCCTAATATTTTTATAAAGTGTACAAAGTTTGCATTTATAAGTAGTAGCTATATTAGTTTTATTTAATATTTTTAATCACATTTTTTCATATAGCATTTGAGAGATATTAAATTAGATACATTTTTATAAAAGATAAAATAAACACCATTCTAAATAAAATTATATAATACCAGTCAAGTATTAATAACACTGTATTATCTGCTGTCTGTGTGATACCACTCATATTTCCACAGATAGAACAGTTATTTTGTACTTTGTGCTTATCATTTCCATGATTTTAATTTTTCAGATTTTCTTCAAGGTATCATTAAGCAATATATTATTTCATTTTTTAAAATTTGTGAGTACAATAAAATGGTATCTTATATACTATATATGGTTTCTTATATATAGTTTCCTATGCTATATAAAATTTCTGCAAAAATGTTTATTTTTAAAATGTATTCTTTTTGTTGCCTGTACTTGTATCCATTTCTATTCCTGTAAATTGGTTCACTGTTGACTATACATATCTGTCTATTCTCTAGTGTTTGTTTCTATTTTTTTCTATTGCAATGCTGCAATAAAAATTCATCTACACATCTAGTGCACATTGCATGTATGTAGAGTTTCTCTAGTTTATACATCTAGATGGGAATTGCTGGATTGTAGCAAATGTGCTTGTTTAAATTCTTTAGCTGATGCCAAGTTGTTTTCCAAGTGATTATAAAATGTCCTTCTATCAGTGGACCTTTCCTCACCGAAGTTGTAATTGTCAGATTTCTAACCTATTGTCCATTTGGGAAATTAAGTAGTATCTGATTGTATTTCTAATTACTATTTTCTGTTTACTATTGAAGTGGGTGGATCATTATGTTTGAAGGAATTTGTGTTTCCTTTTCTGTGATTTTTTTGTACCTTTTACCCATTGTTTTCTTTTTCTTGATTTTTAGAAATTCTGTGTATGATTATAATATCAGTCCTTTGTCATTTATGTTTATTGAAAGTATCTTCTCCCAGGTTGTAGTTTGTCTCATCACCCCTGGACTGCACGCAAATGGTTTTTATTTCCACAGAATAATTCCATATAATACAATACTCCCCTTTATGTATGAAGATGGTACTATTATACCATCCATTATTATTAATTCAGATAGACATCAATTTTTTCCATATAGTGCTGATATATCCAGCTACAATTCCTCCTCTAACAACCAGTTTCCATTTGTACAACTCCTGGGGAGGGTTATGAATACAGGCTATAATTATGCAAAAATATTAAGCTAATACATAATTTGAATTAATTCCATGATCTTACCTTCTTTTTTTTTTTTTTTTTTTTGAGACAGAGTCTCACTCAGTTGTCCAGGCTGGAGTGTGCAGTGGCATGATCTGGGCTCACTGCAAGCTCCACCTCCCAGGTTCACGCTGTTCTCCTTCCTCAGCCTCCCGAGTAGCTGGGACTACAGGCATCCGCCACCATGCTTGGCTAATTTTTTTGTATTTTTAGTAGAGACAGCGTTTCACCGTGTTAGCCAGGATGGTCTCGATCTCCTGACCTTGTGATCCGCCCGTCTCGGCCTCCCATAGTGCTGGAATTATAGACGTGAGCCACCGTGCCCAGCCAATATTGGCTTCTTTAGCAAGATTTACTGTTTTAATTTTAAGTGCACAGATGATGATTTTTCTCTATTCTTGTATAGGGGAGGATACTCACATTTAAAATTAATCCCAAATTCACCCTACATCATATCAAAATTTCTGAAACATTGGAAAATCTATGTCCATGGTACTATGTTAGTGAGTGCAGGAATCTTCTCTTCAATAGGCCAAATATTTATCATTTTACCTGTTCATTAGCCATGTATAAGTGAGCATAAGCCACTTCATCCTAGCATAGTCCCAGATTGTATCCCTTTTATATGCTATAAATTAACATATTTGAAAATTACCTTTATGTAACATATGAGAATATATTTTATAGGATATAATATATTTTTATTTTTAGAAAACAAATTCTCGTGAATTACGAGAAAAAATTCAGGGAATAGCGTAAAACGTAAACACTGGGGTTATTAGCAGATCCTCTTTGATATTTTTGTGTTAATATAATAAAGCTTTGCATTTCTTCTTCTTTCTTAACTTCTAACTCAATTTGAGTATCCCGCCACTTAAAAAATTGTTTTCTTTCACTTACCACCCTTATGAATATTTTTAGAATATAAGGGTATAGTCTTTCTCAAGATGTATCATTCCATCACATGCAATTAACAAATGTTTACTGTTGCAGGTCCTATGAGGGGAGCTATATATATATATATATATATATATATATATATATATATATATACACGTGTGTATATACACACGTGTGTATACACACACGTGTGTATACACACACGTGTGTATACACACACGTGTGTGTATACACACACGTGTGTACACACACGTGTATACACACACGTGTATACACACGTCTATATACACACGTCTATATACACGCGTGTATATACACGCGTACGTATATACACGCGTGTATACACGTATATATATTTATCTCATTCGTGATATACATCTATCATGTACACATTTTTTACTGTTCTGTAATGGTACATAGAAAATAACTGATGGACTGAGTTGTGGGGCTAAGTTGAAGGTGAAAATAAGCCATTTGGGGTGATTTATTTGTGGTCTCCTTTAAAAAAACATTGTCCTCTTCCTGTATTCCTTCTAAAAATGGTCACTTTTTCTTTCCATGAACAACAAAATACTTGGAAGTAAAATTAAGCAATATTAGAACATAGTATTGCTTCTCTGCTTTATAAAAGACTAGTTTTGACACAGTAAATTGCAAACTATCACATGAAATTTTCCAAAATGTATTGGCTTTGTATGGGTTTTTAAAATACTGAATCCACACCTAAGAGAATAATACATGATAGTTTTCTATGCATCATCTTTATTAAGGCAATTAAAAGACACAAATATAGCTTATATTCTTACTCACCTGTCCCTTCTCCCATATGCTGTTATTTTTAAAGTACCAACACAGGCATCCAACAAGTGCAGTTGCTTTTGCAAATAATACTTTGTTCAAGTAGATGTCATTTTCTACTATTTGTTCACTGTCAGTTTAATGTATTTTAATATTATGTCTATTTTGAGCAACACTAATATATATTTCTGATTCACACATACTGCAATCATCAGAACATAGGTGTTTTCGGAAAAATTTCACGTCCAAAAAATACTGAGTTTTTTAAAAAAGTATTTTAAATACATTTCTTTTTTCTTTTAGTTGAGTAGTTTTGTTTCATTTAGTCTTGCTTTTGTGCTTGTTTTACTTTGGTCTGAAAACAGGCAGGGATTCCCCCCAAGAGTAGATCAACTAAGAGCAAACATGTTGAATTTAGTTTAACATCATAAGCCTAGGAATTTTGAGTGAGTTATAACATGAATACAATCCCCATTAATTAGATTGTTTGGATAAAAAGAGATTTGAGAATGTTAGAAATCCAGCTTTCTGCATGGCTTGTTCTTCACCAAGGAACCAGTTTCCACCCTGTTGACACATCTCTACATTTTTCATGGCTGTCCTATTATTACATGACTTATTCGTGGATGTAATCTACCAACGTCAGCGTGGTGAATTACGAGCAGCAGCTTAAAGTAAACATCATTTACTCCTAAGAAGTTATTTCCACCCTTGGTTTTCTGCTGGACATTTAAAAAAGAACCCTGCCCCCTTCCCACCTTTTTAAAAATAATCACCTGTCCTACATTTGAAATAACAAAGGGCCTGCGTTTCACCTCCTTTCGTCTGAGTGTGCCGTGCGCAGTGCTATGATTTATGACCTGCGCATCCGACACTCCCCATGCAGTAACAAGATGGCCGCTGCGTTTGAAATATATGCCCCAAATGAAAGTAAACACAATCTTATGATATAGAGCCATGTCAGCACACAAGGAATTAAACACATACACGTTCTAATTTTTAGCTTTTGTTTTTGCATTGTCTTTAATAGCGAAAACAGGTGAAGATCTGTAAGTGGACAGATTTCAGATACTAGATAATGGCTCTAAGGAGAATCCTGTCGCTGAGAAAAAGGCGCATGGATATTTGGCAGACCGTCAACGTGGTTTCCACTAGTACATGACAGGGACTCATTATGGGCTTGCTGTTGCCTGTAAGCTGGTTTCCCTACCATCAACTCAAGGCCAGAATGTCTGGTTCCAGATGCTCCCGCCAATTGACCGTAAAATTGCCACGCATTTCTGGCCAAGCCTGAGATTTTAAAAGCACCACCCCCTCCCCTGAACACCCAAACGCCCAGTTCCCTCTGAAAAGCTGCTCATTATTCTTCCTTTGCACCCTGATCTAAGGAAAAAAAAAAAAAAACATACTTCTGGAATCAATTAGAAATGTCTGCCCTTGATGAGGTTTGCACGTGAGTTTGTAGTTGTGAGACTGTGATAGTGGCAGCCAACAGCTGCAGTTTCAGGCGGTAAAATCTGAGAAGGAATTTTCCAGGGTTTATTTACCGTCATAAAAATTTTTTAAATAGGCAGGACAAGTAGGGAGGCCATCTTATATGCCTTTGAAAGTGAAGTTAAATTTGGATTGTATATTTATTTCATCCATAATGAGCAAACTGAAGATCTATGGCGGGGTGATCTTTCGATTCCCCTAACAGTCCGTGAAATGGTTCTAAATACTGGAAATAGAGGTCTTCTTGCTATAGCTTAATGGTAAAAGAGCATTTGTTATTTCTTCTGTCATATTAACTGCTTGACAAGAGTCAAGGTTAATAGAAATCAAACCCATTTTCTGAAGATAATGTGAATTAACAAGCTATTTATTTGCAGATTCTAATGTAAATGCTATCTGGGCTTTATTAGGTCAATATTACCGAATTCATATGTTACTGTGTAACAATAAATATTCCACATGATTCATAATCCATAGTGCTATTCATCTTTGTATTTTAACACTTTCTCAATGATTCATTTAAACAGATTTAAAAATAATTTGCATAATATGTTTGCTTACTGTTTTTATCTCTAGCCGTATACTTTGTTATTTTTAAAAAGAATTGCATTTGATAAGCTGCTATAAATTTATTTTTATTTATGTGTCCACTTAAAATGTAGTAGCTGCTATTGCATGAACATGTCATTATTTTCCTAAAGCCAAATTGAAAAGCATGGTAACAACTCAGCTATCTGGATTGTCACCTGGCACTTCCAAGTATTTAGACTTTCTTTTTTACAAGATACGATGTACATGATACGCACATGATATCCTTCCTAGATGTCTGCTTTTTTCTTCTGCTGGCTAAAAATCAGAGGCAATTTTACATGCACATTTTTATTACTAATCACTCATGCCTTTAAGAAATGCTATCAAATTCTCCTCACCCCTGAGAATCACTGTTAAATATAGGGGTTTAGCTTCCTGAACTACCTCTTCTGTAATCAAAATGGTATTTTAAGTATATGTTATATCTCTTTCAAGTCTTGCAATTTCTACTTACATAATGGCGGAGAAGTGAGCCGGGGAGATTTTGTTTTTGCTCCTCTGATGTTATCTACATATGTAAAAACAATAGAGATAAGTTTAAATTTGCATTTTCATGAGGACCCTTTCCCATTATGCAGACATTTGCCCATGAATTGTTTAGTTTCTAGAATGAAGATTACTACCTGCTATAACTAAGTAAATTCAACCTTCTTATCAACTATACCTAAACTATACTGCAATTTTCTTAGCCATCTGATAACTTTGGCTGAAAAAATTAGCTGCTTAGAATGCCTACTATCTCATGCATGCCCACAGTGAGCTAAATTTTCTTAAAAAGCATTTTTTGCCTAATAACTTGTTGGGCAGAGTAACACATACCAACAACAAGAAGAGCAAGGAGAAACAACACTGAACAATGTTTAATTACTGTCTCTCCAAAATAATGCCTCATTTATTCTTCTCAATGTTCTCCATATGCTCAGCACATTATTGGTAAGCCAAACTTCCTTTTATTAAGATAAAATAATGAAACTATACACAGCCTTTAACAATATTCTGGAATTTACTTCCCTATGATCAAATTGTCACAGAAAGGAAAAGTTGACTAATTTGTTCATTCCTTTTCTCTGAGGTAAAATATCCCTCATGCCAGCTTTCCCTAAATGCGTTCAGATCTAGGAACAAATTCCAGCTCTTTTTTATTGAACCCATGAACAGTTGAAACATTCTCACTTGGGAGAAAACAGAAATCTACTCTCTCTGACTCTCAATGTGAGTTTTCTTCCTAGGTATCAGGTGTGACTGTAAGCTCTCTAAATATAAGAGAAAAGCAGCTAGCTACCAGAGAATTACTGCTTAAAACTCTTATCTACCTCTAATAACTTTGCTATTTAAGTGGCATCATCATCTCTCATGCTTACATACTCCAAGGACATTGATGGATACAGATTAAAACCTAATGTGGATTTTTTATACAATTTATGCTTTTATGTTAACTGATTTTATATTTGCTGAATATTTACCAAAACTCAATATTTATACATAATTTTATTTGATTTAATGTACAGCACAAGAAGGTATAATAATATCCTTCATGCTTGGTGTTTGTCTATGACACTATCTGACACTGGATTGGTCTATCCTTGAACAAGTATTTAAATTACTATGATGAAATGGAGAAAAAACTGGACCCAGGTTCCAGAAACACAGTTATTATGAATTAACATTGTGAGGAAAGCCACTTAATTCTCAGTTTCATGATTTGTGAAATCAAGAGAATAATCAGTGTTTAAGATTCCATATTGGATGTGGGATATAAAAAATATTAAATAGTTACCATTTGTTCACATTTGATATGATTTGGCTGTGTCCCCACCCAAGTCTCATCCTGAATTTTAGTTCCCATAATCCCCCCATGTCATAGGAGGGGACCCAGTAAGAGGTAATTCAATCACTGGGGGAGGTTACTCCCATCTTGTTCTCATGATAGTGAGTTCTCACCAGACCTGATGGTTTTAAAAGGGGTTTTCCCCACTTCACTTGACACCCATTCTTTTCTTCTGTCACCCTGTGAAGAGATGCCTTCTGCCATGATTATAAGTTTCCTGAGGCCTCCACAGCCATGCAGAACTGTGAGTCAATTAAACCTCTTTTCTTTATAAATTACCCAGTCTTGAGTATTTTTCTTCATAGCAGCATGAGAATAGGCTAATACACCATTTGTATATTAATTCACTGAGAAGAATAGGATTTCTAGGAACCTGTGAGAAATGAGGTAGGTATTGGGTCTATGAGATTTTTTGGTATATGGTGTTTGAGAACATAGAAACAAAACGGAGGGAATAGTGAATCTAATTCTACTTTGCAAGAATTTAACTGTGTCTGCATGTAATCACCACCATGCCCTTTCAACCTATAAAGTCAATCTAAAAAAATGAATAATCAAAGTAGACAAAACATTTTGCTTGCTATAAACCTTCTGGCAAGGATGGCACTCACAGTGGTTCCAGATAAGTTAAAATGAACTCAGATCGTTAGGGAGCCTGGGACAAATCTGTTAGTGGGAGAATGTTGGATATTGAAATACCAAAGCCAGTTATCTTTAATGTAAATGACAACAGGTGTTAAAGAAGGTTTTCTGAGAGTCCTTGTGCCAAGAACTGATGATAGGCCTGTATATAGAACATTTAGCAAGATGATTATTGTCCATGTGCCTCTAGTAAAGGCCTCCAAAGGTATATATTCCTTCCATGTTGTACTCATAAAGTGTTACTTATAAATCATTGAGGTGTCACTCATAGAAATAAGTCACAATGTGAATCACATTAGTGGTTTATAATAAGCATGTGGAAGTGTTTAATCAAAATGCATTAGGCAGCTAATTTAGAAGAACTTTGAGGTTCTATTTTCTACTTTTTTATTAGTGACACTATGTAGAAATCACGGTGCAATTTTTTTTTCAGTTTGCTAAATATTCTTCAGATGATTGCTGAAGGCTATGGGTAATTTTTGCATGTGATTTTCATTTACTGTTAAACCAACCAAAATAGTGGACTTAATTCAACCTGCAATGGAGCATCTAGCTCTGGCTTATTCCATTATTCCATAGAAAAACCTTCAAGTGAAAAACAGAGTGATGCTATACTCATATTTATTTCTAGTAAAAACAGCCTTAAAAAAGTAGATTCTCTGACTGCACAGATACACGAGTGTTACAAAGCAGAAATGGAAAGAAATTAGCCAAAGCTATAGAAAGAAGAAAAATACAAATTTGAGAAGAAATGTTGCTGAATAATTATAATGGATATTCCAAGGCATTTAATTTTACTTAAGATTTTCAAATTTGTGTTACTGTCTTCATACAACTTTCTTTCATTTGATCCTGAAATCATTTTTTTCTGGTAATAGCATTTTTCTGGCTTCTTTTTTCCTATTGATGCCTAAACAGTTTCATCGATCATTCAATGCAATTTCACTTGCTTATCTCCGGCCAGGATCATTTTAAGTAGTATGTGTTTGACTTTAGCACTATATTGATGTATATTGATGAGGGTTTCTCCCAAGACAGAGGATACAGATGAATGAGTTCAGGTGTCCTTTGGAGTTGGAGTTGACTCATTAGGATATGGACCTTTGGGAGAACATGAGACTGTGCTAAACTGTTCCTTTTGGATTACATGTCAATAGGGATTCTGTGTTCTTTCCATCTCTGATACAATATTACCATTAATATAAAGGGGCAATAACATGATAAACATCCAAGTTACCCTGGAAGATCAAAAGTCACAAAAAGTAACAGTTAACTTCAGGAAAATGTCTTTGAGATCAAGAGCTGAGTAAACTATATTTAGTAAGAGTAAAGTCAAGAAAAGTTATAAGCAGTTGCTTTTGACATAAAGATAGGGCTAGTCTCCCATCAGTATCCTCTATCTTGTGTCAAGGTGATGATACTGTATTTAATAAAGTATTTATACAGACTGTATTTAATTTAGTTCCTTATCAGTCAGCAGGTTCTAGACTGAAACTCTCAGGAGTCATAAGCTAAATACAACACTTGTCTATACTTTGCTTGATCTGCACAGAGCTATTTATTTTAAAATTAAAATTTTATAGTTTACCAACATTTTTTAATCAGGAGATTTTAAGAACTTGGATTAGTGGTTTCTCTTGAAAAATTCAAAGATCTGGCCACACTGCGCCCACATTTTTTTTGGGAAATCAGTGAGTTCGGACTGAGGATGTTTTTGAGTCATGAATTATCTTCTAGGCGAGGTTTTAATTATTTTAAGCTATAAGACATCAAGTAGGATAGACATATAGAGGAGACAGATAAGATCATAAATCCCTGTGGCTTTCAGACATAGAGGTAAATAACTAACTTTCTATCATGGATTAAAGAAGCATGTTTAAACATCAGATGAAAATAAATGGAGCTGTTGTCAGCTTTCATCAGTTGTGCTATTTTATAAGTGGGAGAAACCTAATTATCTAGTTTGGCATTTACAATTCACAAATGTGCTCTGCCTTTAAGAGGTTAAGTTTGTTGGCCAGTTACACGGTTAGTGAAGAGCCAGGAAATAGATCTAGGTCCTTTAATCTATGTATGTATATACGGTTGTACGTGCATACAATTGAACAGGAATTATACAAAAAGACAGTAACATTGGAATCCTCTGGGGAGAAGAATTGCAATACAGGAAAATGGATAGAGAAGAGAATGTTTCACAGAGTCATTTAAAGTTTGATTCATTTTAATGTAGTACCTACATTCACCTTAATGTAGTACCTACTTATATTCAAATGGATATAGAAGAGAACTTTTCACAGAATCATTTAAAGTTTGATTCATCTTAATGTAGTACATACTTAAAAAAGGAGCCTATATTTACACTCCAAAGAGTCGTTTTTCCATGAATGAATGAGAAATAAATATACATAAAATATAAATTTAGATATACAAAATAGTTACTTACTACTAATTTAAACAAGTTCTAATTTTAAAATCATAATAATAAGATACAGTTCAATTCAGACAACTTGTTTTTTTGCTTATATTCTGCACTAAAATGTTTTCCAAAGCCATATATTACTTAGGGTCAAGTTGATTTTTGGATTTAGCTCTTGAATAACACTTAAAATGAGCATCTTGATTAAAATAAAATGGTTGGATATTTCTGAGTATAACTTCTTTATGGTATTTTTTTTTTTTACTTTTTAAGATTTATGATACAAAAATTAGGAGGCTTGAAATATAAAGAAGAGTGACAATACAGTGTTGCTTTTATATCGTATTATTTAAGAAGGATTAATGAAAATAAATATCAATTAAAAACATCCTAATGAAAAAAGATTAAATAATGGCCTGTTTTACAATTAAATCCTAAGCACAAAACACGTGAAACACTATTAGTTTAAATGTTGGAAGTAGGTGTCATGAAAAAACAAATCTACAAAGCCCAAGTTATTTACTAAATAAAGTACTCGGGACTAGACCAAATAATGCTGTTACCTCTTTCCCAATGGAATTTGAGTGATTACATCTGTCTTAGCAAAAGTGGTTTGGTTTATCTTAATGTAGAGTCCATGTAATGCTTATATTACATTGTTTACATTGCTGATTGAAAGTTAACATACTGTATATGCAGTTTGAGATGCCTGTTTCCAGTTTGAAAAGCATAGCTTTTATATGGCAAAACTTATCTGAATTTAACAGAATTTTTGGCTATACCAACCAAGCGGGAATCAGCATTTTCTTGATACTAACAGCAGAATATACTTCAATGACTATCTCTTTGCTTTAAAAGGAAAATGTTCAGCTATATTGATCAATAATTGTACTAACGTTTTTAATAAGAGTTAATATATTGGAATTAAAACATTGATGTTTCATTTCCCTCACTTGGATTAATAGATCCAGCCATTACTCACATACTCAAAAAAAAATTAAGTACCAATTTTGTAAGGGAATTGTTATTGTAGTAATGAGGAATAGAGGGTCAGGACTCATACAAATTGAGGTCCTGGCTTTGAGATTTATCAGATGGGTGAATATAGATAAGTAAGTTATCAAGCTTTCTGCAGATAATAATGTTGACTCCTTAGGATTGTTGTAACAATTAAATGAAATTCTGTGTATAAAGAACTTAGGGTACATGGTAAATATTTAAAAACTGCTAACAACAACATCAGTACCAAGTACCAAGATAGATATTGGGAATGTAGCAAATTAGACATTTTCCCAGTCTTTAAGAATCTGGAGGATCAAATAAAATAGTAATTACAGTAGAGTTTGAAAAATGCTATGTCAATGTTATGCACAGCACACTCCAAAAGAACTTAGAAGGGAAACATAAATAATCCAGCTGTGGCATGTGATAAGATTTCCTGAGGTGATGATTTGTATCTTGAGTGTGAGTTCACCATGCTGCTTTCACAACTGAAGGGTATGAGGGAGGGCA
Source organism: Homo sapiens (assembly GCF_000001405.40). Taxonomy (NCBI): domain Eukaryota; kingdom Metazoa; phylum Chordata; class Mammalia; order Primates; family Hominidae; genus Homo; species Homo sapiens. The sequence continues at coordinate 15,345,368 of NC_000007.14, read as the reverse complement.
TCCAGACCAAGCTTGGTCTTAGGCCAGGAGGTGAGAAATTGCTTACCATGTTGGGGAACTGAAAATCGTTCCTTATGGCTGGAGTGTTCCATAAAATGGGAAGAACAGCAAGAGAAAAAAACTAGAAAAATTACTAAGAATAATATCAGAAACTGATGGGTATACAGTGCACTTGAGCTTGGGATTTTGTTCTCAGGCCATACTACTGATGCAATTGAAGAATTTTAAGCATAGAAACCATTTGATTAGATTTGCATTTTTGTGTTTTGTAAAGAAGAAATTGGTGGAGGTAGGTATAATACAGGAAAACCTATTAAAATATATTTTAGTAAACATGGAAAGATGTGACAGTGGCTTGAACGAGGACAGTCACTGTAAGGATAGAGCCATAGAACCAGAAAACTGAAAGATTTAGGATAATTGTTCTCATTCTTTGCATCTCAAGAAAACAACAGTCTCCACAGGGAGATAAATCTAACTGATGTGATAGAGTAAGGTAACGCATTCAGATAAAATGTTGACAGATGTTTTATTTAAGTTTAGGGATATATTCAACTGATGAAAACGCATCACACTACTCAAGTGCATCTACCATATTTCTAATGGAAAAGTCTTCTCTTGAGAGCAAAGAAAATCTGCATCCACGTGTTTTTGGGTTTTTTGTTTGCTTTGAGACAGGATCTTGCTCTGTCACCCAGGCTGGAGTGCAGTGGTACCATCACGACTCACTGCAGCCTCAACTTCCCAAGCTCCAGCAATCCTTACACTTTAGCCTCCTGAGTGGCTGGGACCACAGGCGTGCACCAGGATGCCTGGCTAATTTTTGTATTTTTGGTAGAAACGGGTTTGTCATGTTGCCCAGGCTTATCTTGAACTCCTGATCTCAAGCAGTCCATCTGCCTCGGCCTCCCAAAGTGCTGGCATTACAGGAGTGAGCTACAATACCTGGCCTAGCATCCAGATTTTAAGTTTTAAATTATAAAATGTTTTTACTATGAAGATCAGATCTACATTGAAAACAATTAGTCCTGTTGGAAAATAAGCTGCGTTGGCACCTCAGTAAGTGTTGCTTTAGCTTTTTGGAGAAAAGACTAAACATTTTTAAAGAAATTGGTACATAAATATTGTAATTACATATTTATGCAACTTATTCATTCAACAAATATTGTTGAGTGCCTTCTATGTGCCATACATTGTTTAGATGCTTCAGGTATATCAGTTACCAAAAATATGCATCATTTTCTAAATGAGTAATCAAGAAATTCTTGATTTACTCTCAAACTTGGAATTTTACATTTTAATTTATATCAATCCCCATGTCTGACAAGTGTCTATTTTTAAGTTCCAAAATCTGTAAAAATAAAATGATAGCTAATGTCTTCCAGTTAGTTTTATGGATAGTTAAAGGAAAATATTATTATTGTTTTCTAAATCTCATTTTCCTTGTGTACATGAGAGAATGAGTATAAATGTCAACTTTTAAACTATGCTTGCTTAAGACATACTACAAGAAAGGCAAGTTTTGTCCGTTATTTCAATACTAGGTAATAAATGAATCTCTCTGCTTCCCTTTCTGTGATTCAAAATCACTTTTGAAAGGTAGACACTAACACCAAATACAATTTTATTAGAGGCTTGTGGTTAATATTACAGCAAAATGTAAGCTGAAACCACAAAGCTCATGTCATTTTCAAGAATATACAGATAAAACAGCGGTGAGATGAAGCAAAGAGGTTGGTAACAAGCTGTGGATGTGATTCAGAATTTTGATGTTACTCTTGTAATTTGATCTTTCAAATTATATTTCTATACCTGATAGTAATAAGTCCTGAAAGACTAAGATATTATAGATGCCAAAAAGTAAACCTGTATGTACTAAAAAATCTTTTAACTGTTTCTCCAGCCCCTTTCATTCTAAAATCTCTTAATCCTAAGATTTGGGGCTGTCTGCCTTATATTTCGTATCACTTAGAGGCATCTTGGTAGTGGGATAAAAAATGAGTTAAATATTTGACACAATGTTGTCTATAATTATTTCCGCAAGATATTGAAAGCTTGAGTTAAAATAAGGGTGAATAGAGAGGTAAACTCATTGGCAGAAAGATAATTTTCTATTAAAGATATTACTACATTCTGTCATTAAAGGGGCATAATAAAAAGAATTGATCATTTTACAGTGGCGAGTGGGGAGATATGTTATCACACCAATATACAATTGAACACGATGTCTTCAGAATCTGAATATCATATAAATTTTAGATTCCAATTATTGCTATAGGAAAATATAAAAGTATAAATTTTCTTAAGGTTTTCCACTTGTATAATATTAGGTACCTTTTCAGATACTGTCAGAAAAAAACATTCATAAAAGGGAATGACACTAGTACCTACTATCAAGAGTCTGCTCCATTCTAAGTATACATTTTCATTTACTCCTCACAGAGAAGCCTTTTAGTACCTATTATTAACCACACTTCTCAAATGAGGATATTGAGGCCCAGAGAATTAATGAACTTATCCAATGTCATATAGTCATAAGTTGTAGAGGTAGAATTCAGATCAATTTTTTTTTTTTTTTTTTTTTTTTTTGCAGCTATACTGTACTCCCACATAAAGAACAAAAGCCTTGACTATGTTGATCAGAAAATTAATGAGATGACAGTTCCTTTTCTAAATATGTATTTAATGAAACAAGCTTTTACACACACACACGCGCGCAAAATCAGGAGAGAAAGCCGAAATCTGTTAGTCAAGATATTTCCATTCTGAACATTTTTATTGAGGAACCTGGCTAAAACCTTGAAGAAAATGATATGATGAGGTTGAATATAAAGCCTTTCTCTCAATATACTAGTAAACCTGGTTTTGACTAATGGGAGGGAAAAGGGATGGTTGGGATGGGTGGGGAGTTTACCAATGAAGTCATTAGCACCGGATTTTAAAGATGAACATACTTTGCTTAGGTAGAGAAGAATTTGGAAGACACTTATGAATTCATTTCAATTTAATTTTGGAGCAGCAATTTTGACCTTTCCCTCCTTTGTTTTCTGGTCTTCACAGCATTGCACACTTGCAGGTTTTACTCCTCCCTTGCTGACCATGGCTTTCTCAGCTGCTAGAGACTTCTTTTCTTCCCAATCTCTAAGTCTCTTAGTGCTTCAGGACTTAGTCCTTTTTTTTTTTTTTTTTTTTTTTTAACTCTGTGGGTATCTACTCTCAGCTTACTGGAGGCAATTCACCCAGTCACATGAGTTTAAATGCTTTCTAAATGCATCCTATGATTCAGCCTGTGACCTAGGCAGAAGACTTAAAAGCAAAGTGAGCATTCATGGCGAGATACAGATATGCTTTGGCTGTGTCTCCACCCAAATCTCATCTTGAATTGTAACTCCCATTATCCCTACGTGCCATGGGAGGGACTCGGTGAGAGATAATTGAATCATAGAGCAGATTTTCCCATGCTGTTCTCATGATAGTGAATATGTCTCACGAGATCTGATGGTTTTATAAAGGTCAGTTCCCCTGCACACACCCTCTTGCTAGCTGCCTTGAAAGACATGCCTTTGCTCCTCCTTTGCCTTCTGCCATGATTGTGAGGCCTCCCCAGTCATGTGCAACTGTGAGTCCATTAAACCTTGTTCCTTTATAAATTACCCACTCTCTCAGGTATGTTTTTATTAGCAGCATAATAATGGACTAATATAGTAAATTGGTACTGGGTAGTGGTGTGCTGCTGTAAAAGTACCTGAAAATGTGGAAGGACCTTTGGAACTGTGTAACAGGCAAAGCTTGGAACAGTTTGGAGGGCCCAGAAGAAGACAGAAAGATGTGGGAAACTTTGGAACTTCCTAGAGACTTGTTGAATGTCCTTGACCAAAATGCTGATAGTGATATGGACAATAAAGTCTAGGCTGAGATGGTCTCAGATAGAGATGAGGAACTTCTTGGGAACTGGAGCAAAGGTGACTCTTGTAATGCTTTAGCAAAAGGACTGGTGGCATTTTGCCCCTGCCCTAGAGATCTGTGGAAATTTGAACTTCAGAGAAATGATTTAAGGTATCTGGTGGGAGAAATTTCTAAGTAGCAAAGCATTCAGGAGGTGACAGAGCATAAAAATTTGGAAAATTTGCAGCCTAATGATGCAGTAGAAAAGAAATCCATTTTCTGGAGAGAAATTTCAAGCAGGCTGCAGAAATTTGCATAAGTAACAAGGAGCCAAATGTTAATCACCAAGACAAGGGGAAAATGTCTCCAGGACATGTCAAAGACCTTCAAGCTCTGAAATGATTTCCTTTGACTCCATGTCTCATATCCAGGTTACTCTGATGCTAGAGGTGGATTCCCGTGGTCTTGGGCAGCTCCACCCCTTTGGTTTTACAGGGTACAGCACCCCTCCTAGCTGCTTTCATTGGCTGGCATTGCCTGTGGCTTTTTCAGGCATATGGTGCAAGCTGTCAGTGAATCTACCATTCTGCGGTCTCGAGAACGGTGGCCCTCTTCTCACAGCTCCACTAGGCAGTGCCCAGTGGGGACTCTGTGTGGGGGCACCAACCCCACATTTCCCTTCTGCACTGCCCTAGCAGAGGTTTTCCATGAGGGCTCCACCCCTGCAGCACACCTCTGCCTGGACAACCAGGTGTTTTTATATATCCTCTGAAATCTAGGTGGAGGTTCCCAAATCTCAATTCTTGTCTTCTGCACACCCATAGGACCAACACCACATGGAGCTGCCAAGGCTTGGGGCTGGCACCCTCTGAAGCCATTGCCTGAGTGGTATCTTGGCCCCTTTTAGCCACAGCTGGAGTGGCTGGGACACAGGGCACCAAGTGCTGAGGCTGCACACAGCAGGAGGGTACTGGATCCAGCCCAGGAAACCATTGTTCCCCCCGAGGCCTCCTGGCCTGTGACAGGAGTTTATGAAGCCCAAAATTTGTTATGTAGTAAGATTGTCTCTGGCACCTCTAAAGAGCCGACCTGAAGTCTTAAAAGTAATTAGGTTGAGCATCCCTAAGTCAAAAATTCAAAATCTGACATACTCCAAAATCTAAAACTTTGAGTACTGATATGATACCACAACTAGAAAATTCCACACCTGGCCTCATGTGACATGTGATGGGTCACAGTCAAACTGCAGGTGTGTAACGTGCAATTTATTCAGCCTTTCCAAGGAAAAATAAAATTACCTTCAGGCTATGTGTATAACGTGTATATAGCATAAATGAATTTTGAGTTTAGGCTTGGGTTCCATCCTCAAGATACCTTATTGTGCATATGCAGATATTCCAAATCCAAAAAAATCGGAAACTTCTAAGCACTTCTAGTCTCAAGCAACTTGGATAAGGAATACTCAACTTGTACTTGTATCTGTGCTATGCTCCTTCCATCTATGCCTCAGTCACAGTCACTTGTTGATATCCAATAACTTATGGGCTGAATTATAAATGTAACATTGTTTACCCTTAGCTAAATATTAATAATGAACATAGCAATTTCTGAAGAATAGGGCTAAAAATTACGATTGATACTTGATTTAAAAAATTGCTTTTAGAAATATCATGCTTTCATTAACTAACTTCATTGGATTAATGGTAGCTGAACACAGGAACTTTTGGGGGGATTTTTGCCTAAGGTATTTTCTTTAAGGATAAAGGGATATTGGTGTCCCTAGATTTTTACATCATTTTCATACAGGGATGGGAAAGATACTGTAAACAGTCTATATAACTTTAATACATTTAATTTCTTCAATGGGACTGCCCTGACATTCTGCATAAAATGCAGCAAGCCCTATTTTTCAATAATGGAAACTCATTTCTGACATATAATGTTGCAAATTGACAAAGTTTGGAGCAGACTCTTCTGACATAATTCCAGCTGAACATCCTCTAAAATTATGTTTGGATTTTGTTAGATATAATTATATGCATAATCACACTGTATATGCAGAAGTATTTAAATTAAAGTGTACTTATCCTCAAATAACTCAGTGTTAATTACAATCATGTCTTCAAATTAAAAAAATGACAGCATTCCATTTGGATATCTAATTCTGTAAATAGTAATAAGTATGATTTTACACAAACTTTGTCTTCCATGTCAGGGCTTTGTGTGGTGAATTCTGGCCCTGTAGATATTTTTGCAGGCCCCTCAGCATGAATTGATCAACTAGTACTCATGATCTGGGATACTTCTCCCTCTTTCTCCCATCTCTCTTGTAGGACTTATTCATGGTTAGTCTGGTAGTTGATGGCTGTTGCTAGAAAGAGCTATAGAAGAGCAGTGGTTTCCATAGCTTGCAGTTCCGCTACTACAGTAACCTGGAGAAATTATAAGATGCTGATTCCAATACCCAAGATCTTTAGACACAAACTTTCCATGTGTTTCTACTGTTTAGCTAGGTATAAAAATGTATCTGGAGAATTGAGGCTGCTCCCCACTTGCCAACCAACCTTCTACTGTCCACATTGTTTAAGGTGTAAATGCTTATTTTACAGTTAAACATATAAAGACACTGGGTAGTTTTTATTTTGATGAGTGAAGCATGTAAACTGAAGGTAACATTGAAATGCTGCAAGATTAGAGCACCCTTTTCCAGAGGAAGAAAAGTGGCCAGTAGTTACAAGAGGTTAAATGACTAGTAGAAGTGGAATGACAATTTTGGGAGTAAATTCAACTAGCTGTATATAGCCCTTCAGCCCTTCCTCCCTTTGCACAGTGATAAATCTTTAGAAATATTATATATATTTTATTAGTCTTAAAGTTGTTTCAGTTTTTAGGAACTATAGCAGTGCTAGGTCTCCCAGTACCTGAACAGAGACTGCACTGGGGAAAGAGGAAATTTGTACCTATGGAAGACTCATGAAGGTACATTTCTATCAAATGTTGACTTTAAATTAAATAAGATCAGAGCATCACAATGCCAAATCTCAAAAACAGAAACTTATCTGCAAAATTTTTTGTTTAACAATAATTTGACTGATTAGAATGCAATTATATTGTCCTTCTCTACAGTTAAAAATTAATGTATATAACTATTAAATGTTCAGCTATCAGATGAATGTGTAAAAATTCACCTTTTCTTCTCCAGGTGATGAAAATGTTTTGCAACTTGGTAGCAGTAATGGTCTTGTAACATGAATATACTAAATGCCACTGAGTTGTATATTTTAAAATGATTTATTTTATCTGAATTCCACCTTACTTAAAAAATTTAATTATAATATTACACAGAGAAAACATAAAATATACATATTCAGGAGTTTCTAGATGCTAAAAATTAATTACATTTGTTCACATACATGAACATACTCTAAAAGTAATTTATAAAACATTCCTTTCCACCTGAGATAAAGTTTTGGTCACATCTTCCCTGGAGCTGTCCAAAGTCACTGCTTAATTACAACCCCAGATCACCTATTATGTTTGCCTTGGAGATTTTCATCGCTTTCCTCAGCTAATTGCTGCAGCTAAGAATCCACTGGAGAGAAGCTTCCTTTTGCTAGTCACAGTTGCAAAGGTGGAGCCCAGGTGCCTAATATATCTGCCCCTGGTTAAAAGCGTTAGCAATCTGCTAAATGTAAGAAACAGCTGGTGAGACTCAGCAGTCGCTGCACTCAGAAGCAGGTGGACAAAGACTGCCACAGAGATTTTTGCCCCTTGACTGATGCTGCTTTGCATTTCGTGAACCTATTCCTATCAAGCATTAGGATTGTTGAGGGTGAGCAGGTGGGTTGCAGTTGGCCCTCTCATTTTCCCAGGCAGAATTGTAATGACCTCTTCTCTACATATGTGTTGTAGTGGTAGATTTAATCAGTTTTCCCACCTGCCCTTTTCTCCAAAATCCTTTTCTCAGCTGGGAAGATCACTGGCAAGGCAGAGATAAATAGCTGAGTAGCTGGGATTGATTTCAAGTGTCTCCTTGAGTTGTGCAAGGCTACCAGACCCTCCTCTGTTTTATGGCCAGTCATTCCTCTCATTGCCTGTCCCCTTCCCTACTGTCTCCCTCTTTCTCGGGCATGATTGAGAATATGAATTATATAATTATGAAATATATTCTGTTATTAAAAAGTAATTCTTGGCTTAAGGCCTTCCTTCTTGCATATTTCCTGCATTATTCCAGTCTTTGGCACCATTTTATTTTTGAATACAAAGGAATTTAGAAAGAGTGGTCATGCTTGACTCCAAACTTTAGAAAGCCTGTAGTTGCAATATAAACTTCTTCCTCATTCAAAAGTCCTTGCTCCTTATCCCACGGATTTAGGGATGTGACATTTTGCTAACCTGATAAAATGATCCAGGAATTTCCTTTCAAGAAAATTTGATGGCATATGATGATATTGTGATATACACAGTTACATACGTTTGAGTGCCCCCAGGGAGGGCACTGGAATGTTTGACAATCTCACACATGTTTTCAGATGTTGAAGTTCATGAACTTTAAAAGGACCAGGTGTCAAAATGGTTTTATGTGGTTTGAGAAAATTACTCTATAGTCTAAATGTAAATACAATTTAGGCCATCTTGATTTGCCTGAAATATATGTTATGTAGAGCCTGATAAGTAATTACTTAATAAATGCTTTTTTAAATCATGTAATTATTATAACCTAAGACTAGCCATGTTGAAATTAGAAATAACACAGTTTAGTTTCTCCATGACTTTCTCAAAATGTATCAGAACACACAAAGTAGCAGAATTACAAATACTTGATGAATATAACAGCCCATATTCTACAATCTAAAGAATGTGATTAATATATTCGGTGGCACACATTTAAATGACAATTGAAATTTCCCAAAATCATTTGCTAGGAACACGCAATTGTGTAAAATATCTTCTATTCAACAGCAGTCCTTCTACATGAATTAGTAAGATTGATTTTGGGATTCAAGATGAAGAATAACAAGTGGGTATGCTGAAAGTTACTGGTGTTTTTTTTTCTTTTTTTTTTGCCATATTGAGTCAACCGATTTTATAGAAAAGTACAGTGTTCACCAAATTTAAAGAAAACAAATAAACCTTAAAATAGTACAGCTGCTTTGATTTAGTTGGCATTGAGATTTTCTAAATAAACAAAAGAACTGGGTGGACATACATTTGTGGTAAGAGCATAATTTTTTTTTTGGTGAATGTTATGAATTTCTTTTGCCATCATAATTTGTGCTATAAATTGAAATTGAATGTGTTAGAAGAGATGACCTGTAGAAATTTTGGGGGAGTATGTGTTATTTTGTTTGCAGGTGAATGCAAGAATTTAAATAAATAGAAGGAATAGTAGTAGTTGAATTAGCCTCACATAGCGGACAACCTGTTAGCTTTCAGATTATTATATATTTTTACAGGGCTCCAGGTCTTCAATGTGTTTTGGAGTAGATCTTCCACTTACTATGATGTGTTTCTCATGATGGAGATATATTACAAAGTTAAACTGATTTCTCTCTGGATTAGTTTTAAACAATGGTAAATCCCTACATTTGGTTTAGTGTGATCTATTTAAAATAACACGAAGACTACATTTAGATTTTGGTGAGAAATCCGAATATTGTGAATGGCTACTGAAACCACAACTGAAGAAAGGTAATATGTAGTGTGTACATTGCTACCGTGTTATCTAAGTTATAGATGTGAAAACTGAAATATATTTATCTACACATGCTATAATAAATCTTAACAGTAACTGGTATGCAGAGAACATTTCAAAGGTAGTGCTGGCCAGACACAAGTCATTTGGCAGTGGCCTTCGCTAGTATATATTTTCAGGGCCTGTCTGCACAAAGATGCTGGCAGGTTTACCATGATTTCTATTCCAGGTGACGGATTTCTATCCAAGTAAGCGAGTGACTAAATATTTTCCGGTGGAATCTAGGCACCATAAAATCACTGAAGCCAAATAAAAAAGTTGTCGACCTTTCTAAAAAAGTAATTATAATTGCTTTGCATACCACTATGACAGAAGAAATATTTCCACTTAGATCACCAAATATTCAAATGGGTTGAACTTAATTAGATCAAAAAAGAGTAATATGAGTTTGCTGCCAATATTTTCTTTCATCAGTATTAATGAATGTCTTTTTGAATTTTCATAAATTTACAGAAAACTTCCTATTCATTAACAATAGCTAAATGCATGAATTCCACATCCAGCTCTATCAAAGAAAAGAAATCTAATCCTAACCCACTGAAAACTCATGCCATCATCACTTCAGCTGATTTATTTTACACGAAACCAGTTAAGAAATGGAACACTTTACATTAGTTTATTTGTGTTACTATAAGCAATTAGAGATGAATACGGCTTCCCAAGCCATACAAATGTGAGTCTCCCTTTGTGGCAGGTTGTTTAAATTTACAACATAAAGCTAGCATTTCCATCTCCAATAAAAATCCAAACAGACATTTAATTTTGGTGCATGACTTTTCTGACTAAAATAGAGCCAGTAAAGGCTCTCGGACAGCTCTTATTGTTCATGAGTTTGAACAAATGGGGGATCTGTGAATTTATAGCTAGGTTTTGCTCTACTATTGTTTAAAATATAGCACACATGGAAAACACGCCATGGGTATGTTGTAATTCAGCTTTAATGATGTAACACTTGGTTTCAGTCAGTTGTTGGAGGGTTGTAAGTGACACTGGTTTTGTGCTTCAGACATTGCATGTAACTTAGCAATTATAGTAAGGCTTTCAATAATGGTTGTTGGCGGGATATCCGCAAGTGAAGTCATAGCAATTTTGAAAGAGAAAGCTAATAAAAATACACCTGCCTTGTAGTGGAAAGTGAGCCTTTAATATCTCTGCTTTGAAGTTGGGCAAAGCCTTTGGTATTAACTAACAGATATTCTGATGAAGAAATAATCTACTGCCCTAGGGAAAAGCAAAGGATTGAAGTTTTGACAGATTGCTGTTTTCTAATCACCTACGTTTTAGTCACTTTGATATCACAGAAGGAGAATAGAATGAAGCGACTTAATTTTTTAAATGACCCAAAGACAGGACTACTTGAAAGCAGATAATTGTAATTGTAAATAAATAGCAGATGCATATTTAAAAAAAAAAAAAACTCACCAAGGTTATAAATAACACTTTTTTGATAATTTTATGTTGTTAAAAACTTCAGAAAGATTTCAGATTTTACATTTCTATATGTCATTTCAATATGATGTTTAGCATTTCAAATTTGCTTTGTGAATCCTTATTTTCTCTTTACATCTTTTCTTTTGTGACTTTTAAAGCCTTTGTTATGAGTTTTTTACATATCAAAGGTAATAAGAAAATATAGGCACTTGTAAAACTACTTTTTACATCATTTAGAGAATTACTGCCTTCAGGAACCTCCCTTGGTATTGTGAAAAATAAACTTCTTCCATTGTTGAATTGCTTCCTTCACATTTGGACTTACTTGTATTCTATGGTAACTTTTAATAAAAATTTAAAATATTAAGTCCATAAATGCTGATATATTGAGAACACTGGAAGAATTATTATTTTAGGAATACATGCAATAGGAATTGGGATACTATGAAAGAAAATGACCACTAAATACCAAACTACAATTATTGTAACTACATTTCTTTGATATTTATTGCAGTCATGTTGGGAATCACTGATTGTGATGTCTAGATTAGTGTAAGATAATTTGCATAATCAATACTTTTCCAAGCACTTTAAATATTGGTGGTTTTGTTTTGTCATGTTATTTACAACTGAATGTTTGAACTCAAGGCAGAAACATTCTTTTTATTTTTTTTCTTTCTTTTTTTTTTTTTTTTAAATTCAGTAGTTCGTCTCTATAGAGAGTATCAAGTAATCCAAAGGGTATACATTAGCACTTGTCAGGGCCATGTTTAACATCAACATGCTAAACACAGTGAAACTTACTACCAAGTTCAAAAGAAACATAAGGACTCTAAATCCCTTGTTAATGTGGTAAAAAATAATCATCAAGGTGTTTGTTTTGTTAAAAGTCACATTTTATTTCTTACTTATGAAATGGACTTTGATGTTTCTAAGACCAGAAAAACATTTTCCCAATTCATTTATAAGTGCACCTTATTAGTGAATAGTACACACGAAGCCTTTTTCATGTGTGTGGGGAAGAAGGGAAGTTGTTTTCTCTGTAGAATTTCAGTGTGTATTTTGCATTTAACTTTAAAAGTGGATTGTTGCTGAGTCTTGACACCTGCTGGGATGAGTATCCATTTCAAGCTACAAAGTGGTGCTCTGTAATAAATACTGGCAAGCTTGTTAAATTTTGTCAGCTGTATCATCACATTAGCGCAGGATATTATGATAAAATAGAGTTGAGTTCAATTTTCTGGTTATAAGCTTGGACTATATGCTTTTCCTTCTAGAGTTTATGAAGAGTTTCTGTTGCCAGAGAGATTTCAAATTAAGGCAGGGAGAAGCACAACAAAGGAACTGATACATTTAACTTTCATATGCCCAGGAAGCATCATGAAATGTATACCATAATGCAATATACTGATATTATTTTGTAATATCTGTCAGAGTATTAGGATAGGAAAATGTAGGATTTTAAATATCATTATGTATTTAAAAAGGTGAAATATATTTTCATTTTATTAATAAATATAAGCCATTTTGATAAATAATTTTTATTTTGAATAACAATAAATACTGTTTATTAAGCACCTGATAAGTACCAGGTACATTCATGGGTCTCTCGCTTCATTTACTTTATCTCATTTCATATTAATTATTCTTAGAATATACAGTGAAAATCTTACATGATATTTTTACTTGCCAAGGGTCATACAGCTTCTAAGTGGGAAAATCAGGTTGTCAGGTCAGGATGGGTCAGAAGCTGTAGCCATGTTGGGCAAGTGATGGGGAAACATTAGGTGATATATTAGAGGATATAATGAGTACATTAGAACAGAGAAAAGTTGATGTGAAGTACATGAACCCAGTGTCTGAAAACATGGTGTCTTTTAGCTTCATTCCATGAAGTTTCCAGACGAGACAGACCTTTAGTCTCCATGTTACGTTTAACAGTTTAGATGAACTCAATTTCTTGCAATTTAGTGTCTATGCTGTACCAGAACCAGGCACAGAGTAGGCTAACAACAGGGAGGGGAGTCCTGATAGGGAGAAAGGTTTCAGTGTCAAGTGCAGGTATGTATTAGTCAACACCACAATACTTACTGTAGCAGATAAACTCCAGAGTATTACTGGCTTAACACGATTGTAAGTTTATTTTTTGCTCAGAAAAAGACCAATGTTAGCCTTCCTGTCTAGTGTGTATCCTTTTATGTGGTCTGTTAGGTACCTAGGCTCCTTCCATCTTATGATTTCACTCGTCTCCATTTTGAAAGAAGAATTGAAGGTAAGTAGAAGATTGCCCATTGGAGGTTTTGGGGCAGCATATTTCACCTCTGCTCCCATTCCATTGGCAGGACTTAGTCACATGGCAATTTTTTTTTTTTTGAGACAGTTTTACTCTTGTTGTCCAAGCTGGAGTGCGATGGTGTGATCTTGGCTCACTGCAACCTCTCCCTCCCAGGTTCAAGCAATTTTCTTGCCTCAGCCTCCTGAGTAGCTGTGATTATAGGCATGGGCCACCACACCTGGCTAATTTTATATTTTTAGTAGAGATGGGGTTTCTCCACATTGGTCAGGTTGGACTCAAACTCCTGACCTCATGTGATCCACCTGCCTCAGTCTCCCAAAGTGTTGGGATTACAGGTGTGAGCCACCGCGCCTGGTCGGCAATTCTTAACTAAAAATGAGCCTGGGAAATATAATCTATCTCAGCCAAAAAGGAGAATATATTTTAGTGAACACATAGTGTTGGCTGCAGAGTGCAAAAATCTTTACAGGAACACAGCCTGTTTTCACACAGGGCTTCTACCCCTTTCCCTGAATTTTAAGCACTTGGCTTCATGCTTTCATGCATGCTCACACACACAGACACACATTTTTAAATCTCATTATATATATTTTTTCATTTTATTCTCACAACATTTCAACCACAAATATATTATCCCTGTTCCAGAAATTATGGCTGTGTAACAAATTATCCTAAACCTTAGTGGCTTAAGCCGTAATAATCATTTTTATTTCTCACAGCTTCTATTGATTAGGAATTCAAAAAGGGCTTAGCTGAGCAGTTCTTTTCTTCATATCCTCCTTGCAGTTTCATTCTTTCTTGCCTGGGGACGAAGTCATTTAAAGGCTAGAGTAGGACAGAAGGATCCAATTACAAGGCTAGTACAAAGATACTGGCTATTAATGGAGTGGCCTCCTTTACTCCTATATAGATCTCTCTGCTTGATTGCCCAAAGGTTCTCAAAGGATAGCTTCTAGCTTCCCCCAGAGAGAACAATCCAAGAGGCCAAGGGGGAAAATGTAATGCCTTCTATAACCTAACTTTAGATGTCACACAAGATCACTTCCATGATATTCTGTAGGTCACACAAACCTAGTCCCAATTCACTGTGGGAGGGGCTTACAGAATATTTGAATGCCATAAAATATAGATCATTAAGACCAGTTTGTCAGCGGATTTCTACACTTCCATTTGGCAGATTAAAAAAAAATAAGGAGAGGCTTAGAAAGATGTTAAGTAAATTGTCCAAAGTCACATAACTAGCAAGCCCAGACCTGCATACAGGAATGCTTGACTTTAAAATTCCTGATATTAGCAACTAAAATATATTGTCTCTATAGGCAGATAAAGTATGTAAGAATGTATTTCTCCCAGAAAAAATATGTGTAGTTGGTGAGCGCAAACAGAAGGGAAGGCTTCTGTAGATACTCAAATCGCTCAAAGGTCAGAATTTGAAGTAAAGGGAGTGCCTAACCTCAAAAATCTCAAAACTTTCTAGTAACACAAATCCAAAAATGATGACATACATGACTGCCAAAATATTGTCTTTTGTTCATATAGATTGTATTACTAAGTCATCAGTTCTGTTTTTGACAGTGAAATTAGCAGAGAAGCAGGACTTCAGTGAAGGATAAAGTTAAGAATTTAATTTGTATAAGAACAAGCCCATTTCTGAAACCAAGACAATTGCTTCTACTTTTATTCCTGCCCCATACATAAAGTTAATGTTTATCAATGATTTCAAGGAAGGGGTGTACAATTAAATTATGAGTCTAGGATTTTATTATTTTAGTACTACTAGTAGGTTGGCAGATGGATGTATTACTTTTTAAACACCTTGAAATTATTCAGCTTATCCTGGTGACTGCAATATCAATAATGTGATCCTTAAAACAGTAATCTCAAAAACTTTTAAGAAATCATTTTATATATTAACTTCAATAGAGATAGAAAGAAAAAAGAAAATAATTCTATATTTTAGTTATCCAAAACAATGCCCTAAACTTCTATAAATTAGTTATTTTTTCCTTCCACTAGACCATTAGTTACCTGAGTGCAGCATCTGCATATTGTTCATTTTTCAGTCCTCTGACCTAAAGCACAGTGCTGCTACTCTGTTAACTTTAGAGACCCGCAGCTCAACCCTCTACCAAACCCAACAAAGTAAGGATGCTCGTGGGATATGAAGCTTCCTTACCCACTTCAGCAAATAGCATCTGAATTCCCAGAGAGAGTTTTGAATTCCGAAGACATCCACTCCTAGCCCATACTCTTGACTAAGTTACTTAATCTCTGATTCTCTGGGAAAACAAATCACACTGGGTTTGAGAGGATTAAACATAATAATGGACAGGATATATCAAGAATAACATAGGTGTAATTAAGCGACGCCTTTAGTATCAGTAAATGTTAACTATATGAAAATGGCACCTGCTTGTTCCTAGGTTATTCCTCTCTGATAGAAGAGAAATGTTTGAACTGTTGTTCTGTCATTTTAATTTTAAAAACAAATGTTTTCCCACTAAGGACGTATTTTTTGTTTGCCTGGTTCAAGGCCACACAAGGATAGACAATTTCTTGTCATGTCCTCTGGGAGCTTGCACCTTAATCTTGAAGGGTTTCTTTTTCTGCACTACTAAACTTAAATTGGTGCTCCTCATCACCTATGTGCCTGGATTTCTGAGACTTTTCATAACTTGTTTCTGCCACCAATGGCTTAATTCACTGAAAGAAAAAGGGAAGCAACTATGTGTCAAGAATTGTCTTGGGTATTTAGTATACCGAAACAATTAAAGTATATCAAATACAATACAGACGAATATCGAAGCCCCTGAGGAGTTTACGTTCCAGTAGAGAAAGATGTTTTCTAGCAATAAGTTAATAAAATATACAGTATGCACATAGTGGTAAGTCCAATATGTGGGACAACAAAGAGAGGGGAAAGGATAAGCACTTTTGAGGTGCAGGGGAGGAAGGATAGTGAAGGATGTATGTGTTTTCTATGAACTCTTGGCAAACTCCCGAAGGAGGTAAAGGAGCAAACCATACTGCTATTTTAGGGAATAGGAGTTCAGGTTCAGGTAGAGGGCAAGGATGCTTCCAAGACCTGGTATGGAAAGATGAGTGTGTTCAGGAAAGAAATGGAAAATCATTGTGGTTGGAAAGGGATGATGGAAAGGAAAAGGAGAAGGAAATGCCTCAGAGAGGTTAACACCAGAATAAAAATCTAGAGAGACTTGGCCAATGTCAGTAATATATGGGAAACTCTTGGAAATTGGTGAGCAGAGGAGTAATGTAATTTGACCTTTAAAAGGCTCACTGAAATTTCACATTCAAAAGAAATATTGGTTTGACTACTTTGAAATAAAAATGTGAGTTTCCCTCTGTCCTCTGAAACCCTTAATGGCTGCTTCCGGGCATGAGGCATAGCAAAATAAGACCCTTTTAGCTATGGTTAGATTCTTCAGCAACAGATTGGTCTTTCAATTATTCCTGTACTTCCCTCTCAGAAAGAGGGAATTTCTTACAATTAACACAGCTCCTATGGGAAGAATCTCCTTTTCTTGCTTTTCAATCACAAGACTCCTTCCTTACTTAGCCTCAATTATTCATTGTTTAAGAAATCAGGCTGGGCGTGGTGGCTCACGCCTGTAATCCCAGCACTTTGAGAGGCCGAGGTGGGCCCATCACCTGAGGTCAGGAGTTCAAGACCAGCCTGGCCAACATGGAGAAAACCCATCTCTACTAAAAATACAAAACTAGCCGGGTGTGGTGGCACACACCTGCAATCCCAGCTACTTGGGAGGCTGAGGCAGGAGAATCACTTGAACCTGAGAGGCTGAGGTTGCAGTGAGACAAAATTGTGCCATTGTACTCCAGCTTGGGCGACAGTGAGACTTTGGAAAAAAAATAAAAAAGAAAAGAAGGAAGGAAGGACTCAGTGTATTGACCAGGCACAGTGTCTCATACCTGCAATCCCAGCACTTTGGGAGGCTGATGGGGGAAGATCGCTTGAGCCTAGAAGTTCATGACAAGCTCAGGCAACATAGTGAGACCCTGTCTCAACCAAAAAAAAATTTTTTTTTTTAAATTAGCCCGGCAACATGGCATACACCTGTAGTCCCCAGCTACCCAGGAGGCTGAGGTGGGAGCATCACCTGAGGCTGGTAGGTCAAAGCTGCAATGAGCTGTGATGGCAACACTATAGCCACTGCCCTCTAGCCTGGCAGCCTGGGTGACAGAGTGAGACCTTGTCTCAAAAAAAAAAAAAAAAAAAAAAAAAGAAAGAAATCAGTTTATCATTTTTTCATGAAAACCTCTCTTTCTCTCCCCCTCAGGGCTTAATTACATATACCCTCAACGTAAATAACCTTCCTATATAGTCTCCCATTGTCGTTTATAGTTCCCATATCACTGTGCTATAGTAGTCTCTTTTCTAATCTCCTTTTCTCATTAAACTCCTAAATTTCTCAGTTGTCTAATATTTATGGATGTGTGGTCCTAATTTGGTGGCTGATGCATTCTAGGTGTTGAACAAATGATCTTTGCATGTGAGTGAATGAAGCTCCAGAAAGATGTCTGAGACTCAGCCCCAGTCATTCCTACACTTGCTGCTTTTCTTTTTTGTATCCGGTTCCAAGCATGCCTTTTGGTAGCTGATTAATTTGCCATATCCCAAGATGTTTGGTCTTCTCCAACACTTATTTCTTTTTCTTCATGGAAACCTAGCCCCAAGCATTTTCTATTTTTAGCTGTCTTTCCACTAAATGCAAATATAAACTAGAAAATATCAAATAGAGGTGTAGTAGATGAGTCCAAAAACATTTCTTCCAAAGAACAGCAAGTTGAAAACCGAGCCAGGTTATGATGCCTGTTCTGGGAACGTAATTAGACCTACTCTTAAGCTCAGAGGGTCACTCATTGCACAAAGGCTTCGTAACACAATATGGGATTCAAATCTCTGCCTTCACAAAATTACAAATATTATATGTTATGAACTTTCAGCATTGATCAAAAACAGAACAATTTACATTAAGACAAAAAATGCCAAATTCTAGCCTCTGGAAAATGGCAAACTTTGCAGCAGCTTATAAAACTTTACTGTCTTGGTTCTGGATCTCTAGTTTGGTAATCTTTTCCAAGATAATTTCTGGAAGTTTAATTATTAATGGCAGAGGGCACCAAATCTCTGTTTTTGTTTTTTTCTTTTTCGCTATGCCTTTTGTACATAGACTTCCCAGAGGCCTAAAGATGAAACAAAATGAATGGTATCTGTTTGTACCAAGTTAGCCATTTGTATTTTTGAAGCTTATATCCATTTCATAGGTATTATGGTATAATTCTGCCATGGGGAGAGAAAGCCACTTCTTCATGTGAAATTACTGTAAGCACACGTAAGAGAAATATATGGTCAACACCAAGAATGAATATTTCATTAATCAGTGGGTTCAGAAAAGAGTAAGGCAAGAGGAGCTGGAATAACCTTAAGAGCATTAGTAAGCATCCTTGAGAGGCCTTCCCAAAATAGGTAGAATGCGAAGAGGCAGGCACAAAAGTTAAGAGGTCTGTGTATTTTATGTGATGGAAGATCTGTATTCAGGAGGGAGGATTCTAAAGAGAAGTCATGTTCACTTTTCATCAATTTACATTTTGCCAAGACGCTATATTCTAAAAAACACCTATCATCCCTTACCCCTTTCAGGTTAAACTGATTATATGTCATTTTCAGTAAGTAATCAAATACAGCCAAATGTAAACACAGTGGGAGTTTTGCCATATAGATGCCTGGGCTCCATCTAGTGGTAAAAGTTAACTGTAAGTTTTATCATTTTCCTTAACCCCCCCTTTAATTCAAATGTATTTAATAAATAGAATGTGTGTCTTGAGGAGATCATAAATTAAGTTTTATATTTTTTCTAAGAGTAATATCCCAGTTTAAAAAAAACCTGTATCTATTATTTAATTTAGCACTGCTTCTAATGAGAATATTTCCTCTGCTTTATAAAACTTGGCTTAGTTACTGCAGTGACTGCTCATTTATAAACTTTTTTTATTCTTTGGTTTGTTTCTTCCTCTTGCTCTCCCTCTCCTCCTCCTCCTCCGTCTTCTTCCTCTTCTTTTTGTCATTAAAGGGGACAGAAACAAATTGCGAACAACCAAGTCAAGATGTCATAAATTGCTATAGTAAAATGTTGTATAAAAGCAAAAATAATAAAACTTCCTATTAAGATAATCCTAATGAAAAATTAATATACAGGGTTCAAAAATAATTGGATGACAAAATTTGGATGACTCAAAAGTAAAATGTGAGCTGATAAGGTACAATGCTATATTTTCAGTTTAAGCATTTTGCTTTTTACATGACATTTCTTTTAAAGTTTTGAGTTATTTTTTCTGTTTCAACCATTTTCCTTTTTGATTGTTTATATTTTAAAGGCCTGATGTGCTGTTGAAATAGAGTCCTTTTGTATGTGTGCATGTATAGGTGTGTAATGTTTTATTCTTCACCAGTTAGCTTGGATGTAAATTTTGTGAGAGAAGTTTGTTTAAAAAACAACGGAAAATAATTAAAAATAAGCTTTTTAAGGTTAATCTTAATCTGACATGCCCTTGAACGCTCACTGATTAAATAATTGCAGATAATATTATGTATTAAATTTTACAAATAAAATTATTAAATGTAGAAATGCTAATATATAATTATTTAGATATGTGTGAAAGTACATATTTGATATAGTGAATACTATTTATTAGCCTTTAATGCCTTCCAAGTAAAGTCACGATGCAGATATATAATGCAAGTTAATTTGGATATATAATTTAAACATGACTGCATGAAACTAAATCTATCTATCCAGTATATATTTCTCAAAACGTGAAATTAAAATCAGGTATAATAAACAAAGTTCTTTTTATTCAAATGTTACTTACCAATAAGAAACAATTACAGGGCTTCCTGAGGGGTTTTCAAAGCATGTTAAAAATGTTAGGTATTTGAATTTTTTAAACTCAAAAATTTTTTTTTAATTTTTAATTTTACTTTGGTTTGGAGTGGCCTACAGAGATTCACTAGAGCTGGGGTCCCCAACTCCCCAACCACGGACTGGTTGGTGGCCTATTAGGAACCGGACCACACAGCAGGAGGTGAGCAGCAGGCAAATAAGCATTACTGCCTGGGCTCTGCCTCCTGTCAGATCAGTGGTGACATTAGATTCTCATGGGAGCTCGAACTCTATTGTGAAATGCACATCAGAGGGATCTAGATTGCGCAGTCCTTGTGAGAATCTAATGCCTGATGATCTGAGGTGGAACAGTTTCTTCCTGAAACCGTATCTTCTCCCCGACACCGCCCCCCACCATCTGTGGGAAAATTGCCTTCCATGAAACATGTTCCTGGTGTCAAAAAGGTTGGGGGCCACTACATTAGAGGACAGACCTCAGGAGTGAGGGAGATGAGGGGGAGAAGAAAGGCAAAACCCTGGGGCCTCTGGCCATGTAGGGGTCTGAAGCCAGAGAAAAAAAGAAATCAAGAAGGCACTTCAGGACATCTAAATAAGAACAAGAAACCAAAGCTTATAAAGAAAATGCCTTGAGAGATCCTACTGTAATAGTAGGAATAACCCAAGATGGGCGCTTTAAAAGATAGAACATCAGCAACTAGGAGAGCTGACCTTGGGATCTGGAACTTACAGGATTGGGAGACAAACACGTGGGGACAGGGTTGCCTGATACCAACGTCTAAAAGTCTGAGATACTGATGCAGTTTTCTGTCTCAACTATGGCACACACCATTATTATTACTGCCTCTTTGTGAAAGTGAGTGAGCAGAGCCTGGTCTGAAGGCCAGTTTGTATTAGCTGAGTGTTGGGTTGCTGCGCTGGAGTAATACTGATGATTGTCTGATGGAAACATTGGCTTAAAGTAGTCTTATTTTTACTACGCTTGTATCTCTAATACATTGTTACAGCAACATATGGTAGTATATAGAACAATTACATAAATATGCACTTTAATACAAATTACAGTTTTAAAGAAAGCCACAGTTTCAAAATAGAAATGTCTGCGGCAAGCTTGAGTTTTAAATGTGGCTTACTCTGAGGTAGTAGCAAGAACATTGACGTTTCAAACCCTTGCTTGCAGTTAAAACAAGCTGAAAGCAAAGAAACACAGATTTGGCAACATCTCGTGTCTGTTTTGATAATTTCACAATTTAAAAATGATTAGAAAGTCATGAAATCATCTAGCACAATACCACGAGGCTTTCCTTGTTAACAGCTGCAAAGCTGCTCTGAAGCCCAGAGTCAGGAGGCAGTCTTTTCCATCCCATAGCCCTTTGCTCTGGCAAAAGTCATGCACTGCAAGCTCGGGAGACAGCTTGGAATCATATGAGAATCAGCGCGTTATTTTCTGTCTAAATATTATAAGAAATTGGGAGTGTTTTAGTGACCTACCTAGATAAAATTTTAGCAGTCTTCTGTAGCATGAAATTGTAAGACAAAACTCAAATGAAAAGTATAATGTTGACAATATCCCTCCTACCATCTCCATATGACATATTTATTGTATACACTGTATTTCTCCTCACACTTTATCTTTTATCCCCCTTGAAAGGAAGGTGATGGGATCTCTCTATGCTGGTTATTTTTTTCTTTGTCTGACTTCTTCCAATTCTTTTATATCAATGTATTAACAAAAATAAACAATATAAATATACAAACAAAAAGTTAAACAGTCAGAATTAATTACTATTGGAAATGTTTTCTTAGGGCAAATTGTAACTGCTCATGGTGATTATTCAATAAGCAAAATTATCTTGCTCTTCATCTGCACTGTGAGAAACAAGATCATTCGCTTATCATCTCTTTATATTGGAAATTATAAAGAAGTCTTATTACTCCAAGGATTGCACTGATCTTTAACTAGGCTTATTTAAACATTAGATAGTCTAATTTCTTTCCCTTAGTCACTCAAGATGATCACAGTTGTGTACATAACGACCTACAAAATTTCCTTTCTTGATACAGGAAAAAATAAAAAATAAATACATATATATATACACACACGTGTTATATATATATGCACACACACACATATGTAAACACATATATGTGTATATATATATTTTTTCCTGTATCAAGAAAGAGTTTTGATAATTTTGTGTTATGTGTCACATTTTTTTTTATAATTTTGTGCTATGTGTCACATGTATGTGTATACATATTTTTTCCTGTATCAGGAAAGGAGTTTTGATAATTTTGTGATATATATATTTATATATATTTATATATTTATATATATATTTATATATTTATATATATTTATACATATTCATATATTTATATATACATATATTTATATATATTTATATATATATTTATATATTTATATATATTTATATATATTTATATATTTATATATATTTATATATATTTATATATTTATATATATTTATATATATTTATATATTTATATATATTTATATATATATTTATATATTTATATATATTTATATATATATTTATATATTTATATATATTTATATATATATTTATATATTTATATATATTTATATATATATTTATATATATACACACACAGGTATATATATGTTTATATGAACTACTCAGTTTTGGTAACTTATTTTATTCTTTTCAACCCCTTGGATCCCAATTGTTTTCCCAACTGGTATGGCATATATCTGCCAGTTTTCTATAAAGTTTACTTAGTGCTTTTGTTTTTTTAAGTGGCGTCTGATGATATGTACCTTGGTATTTCTTATATTATATTACATTATATTATATATTTATCTTTAACAAGGATGTAAATTATCTTCTAGTAATTAGATTCTTTTTCAATATTTTATTTAGAAATTTAATTGTTTTAGAGATGGGGATCTCATTATGTTGCCCAGGCTGAACTTGAATTCCTGGGCTCAAGCAATTCTGCTACCTCAGACTCCTGAGTAGCTGAGACTACATGTGCATGCCACCATTCTTAGCTGGCATCTTAAGAAAAAAGCCTAACCTCTTTTCCTTAGTTTATTTTCATTTTTAATGAATTTATAATTCTCAAAAACCCAGTAAGAAAAAAATTGTATTAAATAGACCTCCAATTTTTCATTATTATATCTCAAGATTTAGGGCTCTGAAGAGTGAGTCTGGTATGGAGGTTAAAGTATAGAAAAATCGACTATTTACTAGCCTATGGGGAATAATAATCAATCTAGCCATATTTTTTAAATCTTTTTGAGTTCAAGTTACAGAAAAACCTATTGAAAGAACCTCAACACTCTTTTTTTCTTTCTTTTTTGTATTAAAATTTAAATTTGATTTTTGTTCCGTAGAAGTCGTCTTCTAGATGTAGACATCATATATGTCTTTTATAAATGTTTAAATCTTGCACTATTAAATTCAAAACTTTAAGCAAATTGTCTTATCTACAAATGCTAAGTGTAGAGATGAGTATCTTTTTTATCTTACCATTTCCTTCTGGCTCTACTCCCCTCAAAAACATTCTCAAGAACTCCATTCTTATCATATGTAAATTTTGGGTATATCTGTTCTTATTTGAAGGTGACGATGTACTTACAAACTTTCGCCACCAACAGATTCTCACTATTGTTTAGTACAAGAAAGTATTTCACTCAGAAACCTCTAGTGTCAGAAGTGTTTGGAATTAGATATATTTTAGAGTTTTAGAAAGGTGCATGCATAATGTAGAACATCCGTTTGGGGTTTGTGGCAGCCCCTCTTTGTCCAACAATCTATCTATATACGTATGTATGTGTATATAGCAGAAAAGTGTATGAATGTTCACCCTAAATTGTCTAAGTGAGGAATAGAAATAGCATTCTATTAATTCCAGTTAGGTTTATGGCCAATTCAGTTAAGAATTACAATAGCAACAAAAATAGTGGGATTTTGGAGCTTTTGAACTTCACAACTGCAAAACAAACAAAAATATTGTATGAAATAGTCCTCTCAAAAGTTGTTTCTGTCTCTGTCTGTGTATTGCTAGGACAGGGTGAGTGGGTGGTTGGGAGTGAGGGAGAGTTTCCTTACAAAAGTATTTCAGACAATTTGCTGAAACCCTTAACTTGTGCAAGTCACACAACAGTTAAACTTTATTGTTTTAAAAAACTAAAGTTATACCATCCAAATGTAACATATATTTGAAAATTATGTTAAACATAGTTGTTTCAACTTGAGGTCCTTGTTTAGAAAGAAAATAATAGATTTCCCTAATTTGTAGATACTTTCAAGTTTGTTTGTATGCATCCATTTATTAAGGCATATATAACATTATGTGATATATATCGTCTCATTTAATGATGGTTGTTAGCTTATATCCCAGGAAAGACAGGATAAACAAATATGAAAAAATTCAGCTTCTCTGAAATTCTAACCATTTAGAAAATAAACTCTTAAGTTTATATTTAATACTCCTTTTTATTATTCCCCAATTATGAAGATGCCATGTGAATCTTTTAATGCATGAATGAAGGAGAGTTGAGATATCAAAAGTTCTTTTTTAACTTTTTTGTAAAGTTAATCATAATCAATTTAGAGTCTTTAGTAGAAACATTTCTAAATTGTTACAGAATTTGGTATGAGAAACATTGGGAAAGAATCCAGAAATAAGAAATGGTGACTAAAATATATGGCTTCTCTGTGGCTACTGTGAAAATTTGTTTTTGACTTTCTTCAGTTGCATTAGGATACATTATATTTTATTTATTTATTTATTTTATGTGTATATTTTTATTATACTTTATTTTCTAGGGTACATGTGTAAAACGTGCAGGTTTGTTACATATGTATACGTGTGCCGTGGTGGTGTGCTGCACCCATTAACTCGTCATTTACATTAGGTATATCTCCCAATGCTATCCCTTCCCCCTCCCCCACCCCACAACAGGCCCAAGTGTGTGATGTTCCCCTTCCTGTGTCCAAGTGTTCTCATTGTTCAATTCCCACCTATGAGTGAGAACAACATGCGGTGTTTGGTTTTTTATCCTCGCAGTAGTTTGCTGAGAATGATGGTTTCCAGCTTCATCCATGTCCCTACAAAGGACATGAACTCATCATTTTTTATGGATACATTATATTTTTAGTTTTATACTATCTAGATAATCCTTTTCCAAATCTTTTATGTAACTGTATACTGCTTTCTTCCTCTCAAATTAAAGCTTGGCATATATCTCCTTAAAAATATTAAAGACATATAATAATAATTATGTCAAATAATTCCAGTTTTGAGTTGGAAGTGAGTCTATTCCATTGCCTGTCATTTTTCTTGCTGCTTACTAATGGAATCTTTCCGTGTGTGTGTTTCTGGTAATCTTTGATTGTGTAATGGATATTAAATTTAAAGTTTAATTCATGGAAATAAGTTTGAGTCTTCGGAAAACGTCACTTTCCCCCAATGTGAATTGTAAATTACCATTGCCAAAATTTCTAGCAATTCAGGTAACTTTAATTCAACCCTGACACATGAGACTTTTTCTCCATAATGACTCAAGACCAAGCTTCAGAGCATGCAAAGCTTTGTTTATTTATTTCATATCCTTATCCTAGGGTACATCTCTTTGGATCCCCAGTCCAAATTCAGGGTTGTTTTATGAGGGCCTCTCTTTTGAAAGACTTTAGACTGATTTTATTCTAGCCTCTTTCAGTTGATAAACTCCATGAGAACAAAATATTCATGAAAGTTGAACTCACCTCTCTGGATTTTGTCCTTTCCCATTTCCTACTCTGGTAATTCCACACTAACATCACTAATTTCCCTCAACCATATTTTAAAATTATTTTATCTCACTTTTTTAGTAGCTTTTTTGCAGGGATTGGTTGCCAAGATTGCCATTACAGAAAAATAAAACCTATGCTGAGGCATTAACAATCAACTTCTTGAAAAATAGAAATAAGACAAAGGTAGAACAAAATGAGGCCAGTAGAGAAACGGGAGGAGGAAAAAAGAAACCGATGAAAGAGTTTGGCAATAATCAACTTTAGAATAAAGAAGGAGGAATCAGAGAAGACAAAGGGAGATAGCATTTCAAGATGCCAGTGACTATCACCAATAAGAATGATCAAGTAAGATTCGTCACAAGAAAAAGCCAATCAAGTGTTGTAATTAGCAAGGCAGTAGAGAGGATTTTGTGGACAGCATCAAGAAGCCTGATTTTAGAGTTTTCAAAAATGCTGCTTAGCTAGAAAGCATAATTGGCAACCTGTAAAAGAGGATTGATAAAAACAAAGAAAAAAATTGAGCCAATGTAGAATATAATTCTAGCCCGTATTTTTAAAAATATTTTAATTAAATTAAAAGGTTAAATTATGATTAAATTTCCTCATAAATGGATCCTACAGATAAAGCTCATGATATTCTTCTGTTAAGGCTGGAAGAGTATTAGATCCTGCATATTTTCCTTAATTTCATAATATTTAATTTCTATATGCTCAAGGATCATCTTTTGACACTAGCTTGTGAACTTTGTCTGAGTCAATCATATCAGCTTATTTGACCATGTGGATTAGGATTTCAAGATCAGTAAGACATTTTTATCTTTAAACTGATCCATTTAAATAATGCCATTTTGAGTGATACACTGTATTCAAGCAGAATATCTTTTTCAGCAGAAATCTGAAATTGATGACCTTTTATCAGAATAGAACTCATATAAAGAATAATGCCAAGACTTCATAATCTTTTAAACATGTAGGACGGGCACAGTGATTCTCGCCTGTAATTCCAGCACATTGTGAGGCTGAGGCGGGTGGATCACTTGAGATCAGGATTCGAGACCAGCCTGGCCAACACAGTGAAACCCGTCTCTACTAAAAATACAAAAGTTAGCCAGGGATTGTGGTGCATGCCTGTAATTCCAGCTACTTGGGAGGCTGAGGCAAGAGAATTGTTTGAACCCCAGAGGCAGAGATTGCAGTGAGCCAAGATTGCACTACTGCACACCAGCCTGGGTGATAGAGCAAGATACGCTCTCAAAAAAAAAAAAATATATGTATATATATACGTGTATATATATATACGTGTGTGTGTATATATATATATAGTGTGTGTGTGTGTATATATATATATACGTGTGTGTATATATATATACGTGTGTGTGTATATATATACGTGTGTATATATATATACGTGTGTGTGTGTGTATATATATATATGACAAAAATATAAACCTTTCAATATCTCTTCTAGTGGAATTTATGCAATGGTGCCATTCATTGAATACCACCATTGTCTTATTGTGTGACAAATTGTTTTCTACTACTTCTTATAACAGACACTTGAATTAAATCACTTCTGAATCTCTTTGGAAAGTAATGAATAAATGAAAGTCCTTTGGGATATTTTATTTTACCATTAGTAGTTATAATAATAATGCGTTCATG
Source organism: Homo sapiens (assembly GCF_000001405.40). NCBI lineage: Eukaryota > Metazoa > Chordata > Mammalia > Primates > Hominidae > Homo > Homo sapiens. The sequence continues at coordinate 15,317,614 of NC_000007.14, read as the reverse complement.
TTCACTCCAGTCAAGATCATAAGGGGATTTAAAAGGTGTTTAAAATGGTAAGAAATTTTAGACAAACCAATAGGTTAGGACACTTCTCTTATTACGAGGTGATATTATACCCAACAACGTGAGTGTAATTTGATCCCCTTTGCCTATCCCCACTCCTGATTTAATAAAGCAAGCTGGATTACTCTATCATGATTTATTCTAGTCCGTGTTTATTTTTATGTCCCAACACTAAATATAGGCATCTGGTTTCATCTAGACATCTGTCAATGGTCAGGTTACATTCAAATAAGCTTTTACTTGACTACTTTTCCGGGTCATAAATTCATACCTTATATACATTAGATATAATGCAAATCAGGAGTTACCATAAAAATAATCTTAAACTGAAGGATGAAGATTCAAGTTAATACTGATCCCCAATGTACTGAAATGTTTCCTTGATTTGGGTGAAATGACAGAATTTACGAAGTTGAAAGTCAACGTTACCACTTTGAAAATGGGAATCACAAAGAAGATTCACTTGATGAATCAAGGGAAAATACAGTTGTAAACTGGAAGTATTTTTAAAATACTGACTTTTTAATAACAATGCCACATGTGGATATGCTTGATGCATTTCCTTTTGCTTATGTTCATCCTGCCAATTACAGAGAGCAAAAAGCTGAATATTCTCTTTCTGTGAAGACAGTTTGATTTGATTACCATGAAATCAGAGTGCCATGGGCAGAGTGGGTTATGACGTCTACATACTGTCTAAAATAATCAAATAATTTAAATGTATGTTATTTAAAAGCCAATTAATCTATAAAGTTGGATTATTTATTCAGTTACACTGAAATATACTTTGTAACTTCTTTTTCTTGGATTTTTCGCTAAACAGTGAGAGGGGAAACGTTACTAAATACATTAGCCTGTTAAAGTATTTAACTTATTTTACAGTAAAGTATCTATTATTATCCCCTCTGCTTAGTTATCTGAATAATGAACTTGTGTGTGTGTGTGTGTATATTTGTTGGGAAAGGCAGTCTCATACAAGAAGTCTTCTGACCCATTCTTGGCCAAGCAAAGATGAACCTAGGGCCTGTAACACTTCCTTATCAAAAGATAAAGAGCCCACACAGCCTGTGCCAGGTTTATCACCTTGACTGAGTAGATCTTTGTTTCAGACTCAATGAGTACTTTGTTCTGAGTCAGTGGCCCTCAAGTGGGCCCCCAGTTTTCTGTATTTCAGACGCCACTGGCAGGGAGTGTGGAGTTCCTCTACTGTGGCAGAAGAGGGGTGCATGTAAGCCAATTGCCCTACATCAGCTGCAGTGGATGTGGGGTGGGAGAGGAACCTGCTGGTTATGGGGGACTGATGCATACTCTTGGAGCTGATGTTGCCTAGTCTCTTCAATATGTAAATTAAAGTGTTCTGTCCTCTCCATTACTGTGTTTTGTTTTTCCCTTGGCAACTCCAATACCAAGATGCAATGGGCACAAGTGTTGGGACTTCTATTTCTAGTGGCTGCCATTTTGATGATCTTTGCTATCCTTTATGTAGTTAGGGTCATTCCCTGGCGTTGGAAACCAGTGCCTGCTGTTCTGCTTGATAATATTACCTCTAATAATATCTCTCAAAAGTACTGCTTCTTAAAACATCATTTATAAATTATTTCCCTAGATAATCAAAATAGTAGATATTAGAATGGTCTTGTATTATTAACATTTACTAAATTGATGAGTCATTGTGTAGTTGACCTACAATTAGGTAATTTATAGAAAATGGTGCAATAAATGTTTTTTTCTCTTTGTGAATGTGGTTGAGGACATTGTTTGCTATGGTCCTCTTTATAATAGAGACTTTTCCTCTTATCTCAATAACAGGTATAGTTATGCAACCAGAGTAACTCATTTATATCTCTCATGTATGTAGATGTCTATTAATTTTAGAACTAGAACTTTTCTGTTTGTTTCTGTTGCTAAAAACTTCAGAGCTAAATATACAGCAAATGGCTGGGCACAGTGGCTCATGCCTGTGGGAGGCCTAGGTGGGCAGATCACAAGGTCAGGAGATCGAGACCATCCTGACCAACATGGTGAAACCCCGTCTCTACTAAAAATACAAAAGTTAGCTGGGCGTGGTGGCGCATGCCTGTAATCCCAGCTACTCTGGAGGCTGAGGCAGGAGAATCGCTTGAACTAGGGAATCGGAGGTTGCAGTTAGCCTAGATCGCGCCACTACACTCCAGCCTGGCAACAGGGTGAGACTCTGTCTCAAAAAAAAAAAAAAAAAAAAAAAAAAAAGCAAATATCCATGTAAGTTTTGCTTATATCTTAATTTTCATCTCAATCATACTTAAAAATTTTGTTGTATGTATTAGTTTTCTATTACTTCCATAGCAAGTTACCACAAACTTAGTACCTTGCAATAACACAAATTCATTATTTCATACCTCTATGTGCCAGAAGTCTTTGTACGTCAAGCTTGGCTAATCTGGTCTCTGCTCCAGGTTTCACAAGGGCAAAATCAAGGTTCACTCCAAGCTCTTTGTGGCTGTTGGCTGAATCCAGTTCCTTGTAGTTATAGGACTTAGGTTCCCATTTTTCTTGCGGGCTATCAGCTGGCGGTTAGTATTATCTCTAAAACATGTCGCTTCGGTCCTTACATTGGGGTCCCTACAGATTAGAGCCAGCAATGATGTGCCAAATCCTTCTCACTTTTGTAATCTCTCTGATTTTCCCTTATGTCACATCTTTTTTTTCTATTCTGCCTCTAGCAAGAGAAAGTTCACTGTTTTTGATGGCTCAGTTGATAAGATTGGGTGTACCTAGATAATTTAGGATGATCTGCTTGTCTTAAGATTCATAAGCTTAATTCTATCTGCAAAGTCCCAAAGTCATATAAGGTAATATACTCACAGGTTCCAGGGATTAGGGCTTGGACATCTTTAGAGAGGCCCTACCCACATCACTATTATTTTATATATTTTTGAATATTGTTTTTTGATATGTCATAAATAACATTTTTGAAGTTAAATAATTATTATGCAGTGTTCCAGTGAACTAAAAACTTCAGATTAACCTAAATGTCAGGAAAATCCAGTTAAACTTTTAAAGACTAGAATGTGATTTAAAGTACAATATAACTGTTTCCCTAGTCTTAATTTAAGAATTAGGTATATAAAATCAACATTTATAAACTTTAAGCATACATATATACCAAGGATTTTTTGTCCTATTTTCCTGTTACTGAACAAAATATATGTATGACTCAATTATATCATTACTGTAGTCCCATCTTATCTGCAGCTTTGCTTTCTGTGGTTTCAGTTACCATGATCAACTGTGCTACAAAAATATTAAATGAAAAATTCCAGAAATAATCAATTAATGAGTTTTAAATTGTGCACCATTATGAGTAGCCTGATGAAATCTCACACCCTCCTGCTCAGTCTCACCCCGGATGTAAATCACCTTTTTGTCCAACTTATCCATGCTATATATGCTACCTGTCCATCAGTCATCAACATTATCTGCTGCTGACATCCAACCATCAACACTGCCATGGCTTGATGATCCAGGATCACCGGAAAGCAGCTGATCCTTCTGACAAATCTTCAGAAGTTCAATATTAGCCTAACACTACATCACCTATGTCATTCGCCTCACTTCATCCATCAAGTAGGCATTTTCTCATCTCACATCAACACAAGCAGAAGGGTGAGTATAGTACAGCAAGGTATTTTGAGAGAGAGAGAGAGACCCCATCTGCATAACTTTTATTACAGAACATTGCTATAATTGTACTATGTTATTATTAGTTATTGTTATTAATATTTTACTATGTCTATAAATTAAACTTTATCATAGGCATGTATGTGTAGGAAAAATATAGTATATATATGGTTTGGTATGATCCGTGGTTTTAGGCATCCACTGGAGGTCTTGGAATGAAACTTCCTGTAGATAAGGGGGAACCATTTTATATTACTATGAGTTTACTCTATCTCCTCTTATCTCTCTCCTTTCTGTTTGAGTTCATGAAGCAATTTCTTTACTGAATCACATTTAGTGTTTGCCAGAACCTGAAATCCTTTGACTCTGCAAAATATAAGCACATCTGCTGGTAAAAATTGCCCATCCTTTTCAGGAAGCCTAGCTGTTAACATGTGGGTTTTTGAAACAGACAGAAGTAAGACTGAATATGGGCCAAAGTACTTAGTAGTTTTAGAATCTTTGAACACTTAAGCAGCAAAATAAACTTCTGTTCTAGTTCCTCATTTGTAAATGAGTTTAATATTAGCTCCCTGACAGGACTATGGATAGTGACTGTAAAATGTTTAGCATCGTGTGTGGAATATAGTTAATAGAAAGTCAATGATGGGGGATGTTATTTTTCCTAAGAAAACTTTTACTACAGGGGATCAGTGAGAAACATGCCTTTATTGTTACAAAACATCGAAGGAGTTTTCTTTGTGTACTTAAAACTTGTTTTCATTTTTAGCCTCACAAGACATTGATCTTAGTTATGTTTCACAGTGAATGTTCCCATAGATATGTCCATGTATTGTATTTCCAATATCTTTCTCTGCATTCTTTATTATCTCTGACCTTGTATATTAGATCACTTTTCTTCTGATGAAATTCATTATTCAGAAATTCTTGGCTGCATGTGGTGGCTCATGTCTGTAATCCCAGCACTTTGGGAGGCCGAGGTGGGTGGACTGCTTGAGTTCGGGAGTTTGAGACCATCCTGGGCAACATGGCAAAACCCTGTCTTTACTAAAAATATAAAAATTGGCTGGGCATGGTGGTGCTCAGCTGTGGTCCCAGCTACTCAGGAGGCTCTTGAGCCCAGGAGGCAGAGGTTGCAGTGAGCAGACATCATTGCCAGTGCACTCCAGCCTGGGCGACAGAGCAAGACTCTGTCTCGGGGGGAAAAAACAAAATTCTTTTAGTGAGTGTCTGATAGCAGTAAACTCTTCAGTTTTTGTTTGTCTTAAAATACTTTGATTCACAACTTTATAACTTTATTCTTGAAAGATTTCCACCACAGCCCTGTCCCTCCCCCTGATAACCTCCCCCCACCGCCCCCGCCATGCACTGGGTATAGAATTCTACAATGGCAGCTGTTTTTTTTGGGCACACTAAAGATACATTTGATTGTCCTGTGATTTCCATGACTCCCTTGAGAGGTCAGCCCTCATTCTAACACTCAATTACTTAAAGGAAACTTGCCTTTTATTTTCCCCTTGTTCTGGCAACTTAAAACATTTCCTTTTTGTCTTTAGTGTTTTGTTGTTTTAATATTATGTACTTAGGCTTGGCTTTCTTTTTATTTATCATGCTTGGAATTCATCTGGCTTCTTGAAGCTATTAAATTGTATTTTTATATCAGTCCTAGAAGACTTCCAGCTTTTTACTCTTCTGATATTGCCTCTACCCAGTTCTCTTTCTTTTTCCTTTTGGAACTCTAATTACATGTTTGTTAGACTTTCTCAACTCTTATCTTCCATGTCTCTTAAGTTTGTTTCTCTTTCTTTCTCTCTCTCCCTGTCTCATTCTCTTTTTCATTTTTCATCTATTTTTTTCTCCCAGTGATGCATTTGGAGAGTTTCATAACAGCTCACAAATGCTTTCTTCAGGTGTATCTAATTTGGTTTTACAATCTGATATTAAACCCATCCATTTACTTTCAGTTTTTGGTTATTGTAATTTTTATTACTAGCATCTCTGTCTTCTTAAAATATATCATTTTTAGCATAATTTTCCCTAAAAATAGATTCAAATGTATCTTTTATTTACATATAGCCAGTGGAATTATTTTAGAATATATGTCTGATAATTTCAACAGATCAATTTCTATTTTCCACTGTTTGTGTGTGTTCTCACTTAAATGCTTTGTTTTCTTGTGAAATTTATTACCTCCTATTTTGTATTGGTCCCTGATTTTTAAAAATTTATATAGCGGTTTATTAAGACATAGAATGATGGTGACTTCCTCCAGAGGGAATTTGTATTTGCTTTGGTCAGGCAGCTGGAGGTTTTACCAAAGCAGATGTTAGGTCCACCTAACTGATACAAACTTGGCTGCACATCTGAGCCCGGATTGGTTTGCGATTGCAGCTTCTTGAAATTTTTTTTTTTTACTACCTCTGCTCAGGCCTAAGCAACTTTCTCTGTACTAACTTGGTTTTGGAAAGGTAGGATAGGATCATTTAAGGTTCCAGCTTAATGTGGGGAGGGTTTTCTGTTAGATTCCCAACCTGGCATGTTTCCTGGATTTTTACTTATTTTTCTAAGTGAAAATGTCAAAAATGTCACCTCTACTAGAGCACAGATGTCCTCAGCCAAAAAGTAGCTTTTGCGCTATATGAGTTTCCATATTTGTTTGGATTTGGGGCTCTATAATTCTCTAGTTAGCTCTTCAGTGCTTTTGATAATTTTTTTTTAATCTAGCATTTTTGGTTTTGTTTTTAGTAGCAGAGTTGTTCACCTTGTGTTGGAAGCAGAATAACGGTCCCCCAAATATGTCCATGTTTTAATTCCCAGACCTGTGAATATGTTAAGTTGCAAATCAGCTGACCTTGAGATGTGGAGATCATCCTACATTGTCCAGGTGGGCCTCATGCCGTCAGAAGTGTTTTTAGAAATGGAAGAGGGAGGCGGGAGAGTCAGAGTGAGGTGATCTGAGAAGGACTCACTATTACTCCTGCGAAGATGGAAGAGGGCCATGAGCCAAAGAATGCGGGCAGCCTCTAGAAGCTGGAAAAAGCAAAGAAACAGATTCTCCCTTAGTGCCACCAGAAAGGAACACAGCCCTGCCAACACCTTGATTTTCGAACAGTGAGGCCCATTTCAGACTTCTGACCTCCAGAACTGTAAAAAATTAATTTGTGTTGTTTTTAAGCCATTAAGTTTGTGGCTATTTGAAACAGCAGCAATAGGATAATAGTATACTCTGCCTTACCAGAAATAGAAGCACTCCCTCATTTTATAAAGAATGTAGTTAAATATTAAAAGTATGAAAATAACAAAAATATAATTTCCAAATTTCTAATTAGACACATTATTACTTAAAATATTATAATAACATGATATAGGAAAATAAGGACTTTTTTGTCTGATCCAATTATTTAATTTTGTTTTTTAGTATTAGTAACTGATACTCCTTACCTTAAATCCAGATTGATTTAAAGCTAAAAGACAAAATTTTCCAAATGGAAACCAAATATGTTTATTTCTGGCAAAGGATAGAAACTGAATTTTTTTTGCAGGGGCCCCTTACTCCAGAGTCATGCAGCTAAGAATGAAATTTTTGCTAAAAATGTTATCTTGATATTTTTAGCAAATAAAAACCTGAATAACCACAGCTTTGATCATTTACTACATGTGATTTTTTTGAGCACTTTTGCATTTGTTTAAATAACATTACTGAATCAAATTATTCTTTAAATTAAAACCAAACTTGATCTATTTAAAGTGTGCCAAGTTCGTCAGCCTCACTGCTATGTGTTTGCTCATAGCAGCTGCTAATCCAGAAAGAACAGGCACTAAGCATGTGGGGAGCTTGGGAGTGGAATCCTGTGACACACCATGATGAGCAAATATTTCCTTCCAGACAGAATATGATATATTTTTTCATCATAAAATTTATATGAAGCTGAAGGGATATAAATGTATATAGTGCTAATTTGGAAACCTGCAAAGATGATATTGGGAAAATTAAACCTTACTTCTGCTGAACCTGGAGCCAGTATACTTTCCAATAGATAACATATTTATTAAAGATGGGGAACAATGTTTATTAAATGGCATAATGATCTTTGATTGAGGGACATTAGGCAAGCCAGTTAACTTCTCTGGGCTTTATTTGTATTCTCTCTAAAATGATGAGGAATAAATATAATAATAACTAAGGTTATTTTCTCTCTAATAGTCTATTTTAGAGAGGATATATACACAAATCTACACATACATATATATGCACCTACAATATTACTACATTATATAGAAAACTAATAATTAGGGACCTGTCTTTTCTAACATTTTGCATATCTCTTTAAAAATAAAATTCAATGAAAACAACACCTGACTTACATTGGCTAGATGAGATCTTATGTTGACGCTTAGGGGAAATGGAGAAAAGTACATTTCAATAGGGCACTGGACTTCAAAGTTGGCTTAGTTTTATCCCACCCAGAAAGTTTGTTTTATAACTCTTTTGATACATTTGAAGATTCTCACAACACAGAGAGCTGTTAAGAATGTATAAAGTATTTCCCCTCTGCTGATCATCTTTTTTATTGGTACCTACTCAAAAATTTGGAGATGTACTCCTATGGAAAAAAAATGTTGGCCCTACTCAGCTTGCCTGTCTGTAAAACTGCTCAGTAAGGATAACGATAGTTCTTCATTACGTGTGCCTGTAGTTGCAATTAAGATGTTCCCCCAAAGGATTTTTAGCAGGGCTTGTCTTCCTATAAAGGCCATGTCTCTTTCATACTGAGTGTTTAATGAATAACTAGTCTAAGGAACTATTGCTGATGAACTATTGCTTGATGTGGCTGATGGAGCAAATGGTTTCAGCCCAGTGCCTGAATACTTGGGATAATTGCATGAGTAGTAAAGTTGCTTACCATTAACAAATAGTAAGCGTTTAAGTTGTGAATTCAAACCAAATCACTCCATTTGACCAACCACAAGTCTGGACTTTGAAGTCTAACAAATTGGATTGAATCTGTTTTACCATACATTGACTGAATGTGTTTAGGTAAATTATTTAACCATTGCGAAACTTTGTTTCTTTATCCACAATATGTAAAAAACACTGGTGGCTTCCAAGAGTTATGTGAAGGCCTTTGAGAATTATAAAACATAACACATTAGTTGTTATATTTTCATTATATGTGCTGTAATAATATATCAACAGATACAGGAAAATCCAAGAGCTTTGGTTACAGAAAAGTTTTAAGTGGTTTCATTGTTTAACATTTTGGTGAAACATTGCTCTGGTGAAAAATAATTTAAAGGCATAAATCTTGTTTTTAGAAAGCTTACAGTAAATTGAGACAAACAAATGAGACAAGCAAATATGACAAGCAAATGAGTTAATACAAGCAAATGAGACAACAAACAGTTACTGTGCATAGTGAAAAACACCATGATGTAGGTAGATAGTAAGCAAACGCTGTAAGAGTATAGAGGTGAAATCTGACATTGGCAGGTCAGAAAAGTCTTCTCAAATGAGGTGAATGAGCAAAACCTTAAAAAAGAAGTGTGGGGGTAAGGTCAGTAGTGAAAGGAACAAGGATAAATTTTTAAATAGGAAAAAATATGCAAATTTATAACAAATTATTTATATTCAGAGAGTAACCAAGGATTTGGATTGATGGTGCTTGTGTGAGGGGTAAAAGTCTGATTGTTAAGGGATGAACATACAGGATAAGCAGAATTTACTCCATTCTGAAATTAGAACAGACATACTTTAAATAAAGAAATGACATAAATAGATTTGCTCTTTTGGAAATGTTTCCTGGCAGCCTGTGGGTAATGGATGGAAAACTGAAGGGGTGTAGTGAGGACCAGCAAGCCTGGAGGTATTGAAGCTTGTGGGGAAATTCCAGGTATTTAGAAAGTGGGGAGAGAATAGAGTTAGGTCAAACCATTAGGCGTTAGGAACTAATAGGATTGACAAGAGAGAGACATAAAATAAAAACTCCATCACACTTGTTTACTGATTGCTCAGAGGTGGGATATGAAGGAGGTATGGGTCTTATTTAGTCTTGTAAATTTCTGAATTGGTGAGTCCATATTTGCACTGAGATGGAGACCCAGGAAAAGGCAAAGATCTGAAAGGAGAGATACTGAGTTTGTTTGTGGGCATGTTTACTGTGAGATATCCAAATCTCAGTTGCAAATCTGTAACTTAGGAAACTAGGTGAGAGCTGGAGGTGTAAATTTGAGTGTCAGTTTGAAGATAGTAATTGAAACTATATGCATAGAAGCAATCACCTTGGGAAATGTTTTATTGTTCCTTGCTTTAATACAATTATATGATTAGGTAATTATAGTGTCCTTCTTATAGGCTTCATAAGAAAAAAAAAACTAGTATACTTTACTGATTTATTTCAGAACATCCTTACTAGTTTTAAAACAAATCAACTAGAGTCCTGTTCTTTTAGAGTTTAATTGATTAGCCCATCTAAATAAAGTTTTATTCACCACTGGCACTGTCACTTTTAGATTAAATATTTTGAACTATATTTATAAGTAATGGTAAATGCCTATTTTAACTTTTTACCATGTGATAAAATTGGTGATTCAAGGTTTCTTCCAAATAGATGGGCTTGGCTTTTGAAGACAAGTCATGTCAAACAAGGATTCCCACGTTTTATGGCCGCAGAACAGTCTGTCATAAGGGAATATAAATTATGTCCTCACCTCTCACAAGACTGTTAACAACTAGATAACTAGACTGGATAATAAGATATTGTAATATATGAATGTCATCATCATTACTAGTAGATTTGTCCTATTAGTGATGGGTGAACTGCAAAATTACAAATGGAAACTTATTTTTTGGAATCACTTTATAATTATTTCGTTTTTGAATAATTTTAAGTGTAGATCTTTGTACAACTTTCTATATTAAAATTCACCAAAATTCAGTATGCTTTAATGATTATTTCTCATGATTGTAACGTATGCATTTAATATTGCAAACTATTTTATACAAAGAGTTCATTACCTCTGTTATGATTATAACTTATTGTAATAATATTTTATACACTAACTGAATAATTTATGTTTCTCCAACAGCCCTTTCCAATGTGGCATACTTAGCATAATAAAGTAGAAATCTTAGTTTAGGGACATATTCCTCAGCCTATAAGAACTAGTACAATCTAAAATAGTAGGTGAAAACTTAAATTGTGCTAATTCTAAACATTAAAATCTAACTATTTGAAGCATTAACAATCCTTAATAGTGCCATAAACCATATTAACTTTTTAGCAAGGTAACACAAATTGCCATATTTTGTAATGCTTTTTTTTTTTTACACAGTCATATTCTGTTATAAGTGAAATTGGGCTCCAGGCCAAGGAGAACTTTGGAGAACTTTTAAGTTTGAGTGACTGTCTCACAGCTGGAAACCACCCCAAAGTGCATTGATTGCAGAAGAATATGTTTCCTATTATCCAGTTCTCTACCAAACTATTTTTTTGTAGCTTGAAAATAATAAAGATTTTGTAAGCCCCAAGGGGTCTTTTTGATCCATGAATGAAGTTACCCTGGATTCATATAACTAAAATCTGACTTCCTTTCAGCCATTGAAATTCAAAACCCTTTCCATTTATTAGTATGAAATAAAAAAAGACCTTCAAAAATGTCAAAACGTTGCATTTAATGAAGTCAATGTCAGTGCATGTCAAAGTTTTGATTCCATTTAAGATGAGTACAATGTGATGTGAAAGGAAATGTAAAGTGAGTAATGGCAGTCGGTTAATTAAAGTAGATATTGAAGGATGCAATCTGTTAGCCTTTAAATTATTCTTTAAAGTTTTTCTTAATCAAAAGATACACTTTTTATAGTTACCATAAAATTTATGTTAGTCATATTTAAATGTTTAGAATTTATGAATTACCAGAAAAAAATAAGATACTTGATTTTTTGGTTGCTTTAAAATTTTGTTATCTGGAATTTTAAAATGAAATCAGTCTTTAAAAAAAGATTTGTTCTTTTAGGTTCGTTCATGTACCCATAGTGCCATTTTACTAATGATTCATTACACATTCTTAGTGCCTTTCTGGAGGAAAAACAAGTACAGTTCACAGAATCTTCCGTATGATTTCTCTAGAATTCTAGTCTTCATTTATAATGACACAGTAGAAACCGAGTTGCTTATATAACTATAGTACCCTAGTAAATTAGTTGCATGTCTACAGTAAAATCCAGATCTTCTTTACAAATTCTAGATCAGATATACAGCCAAATCATATAAATATATATATAGGAATGTAATTTTGAAGTAATTTCTGTCAGAGTAAAATTATAAATTGTTACTCATATTTAATATAACCATTCGACTCACAGGAAGTAACTACAGAAAACACAAGGTTTAAAAACTGGCACAAAAACTCATTTTGCCAGGTGAAAAGAAATTGATGCAACATGTTGAACTTTGATCATTCATGTTTCACCAGTGAACCCAGATGCACGGAAAATACTTTACTCAAATTGCTCACAATAAGTGCCAATCCTCATTTTTCCATATCAAGGAGAGATGGGGATATGGAAAAATATACAAAATTGGCAGATAATCTTCAAACCTTATTTTAGGCAATATTTTTCACTTCCTGTCCTATCAAACTTTTTTTTTTTTTTTTTTAACCAGATTGCCTGACAAGGTTGCCTTGTCCTTGCCCCTGCCTGCCCTCTGGTGGAGAATAGCAGGATGGTAAAAGGAAAATAAGGAGAAAATCCATGGTGAGATGATGAATAAGTACCTAAGATAGGTGCTACCACAAGTTACTGGATAATCACTTCTAGTAACACTTTTATTTATATATTTCAAATATAACTATATATTCTTAATATTAAGTTTGATTTTAACTACTCAATGTCAACTAGCTCATCCTGCTTTGAGATGGCAGGAGGGAAACCCTGGGGGAAGGGGGAAGCAAGAGAAAATTTTTATCCAGTGTGCTCTCCAAGATTTAACTAAATCATTTGTTATAGTTGACTTTCTTCTTAAACATTGTGTGTAACTGAAAGAATAATAATAATGCCTCAGATTTTCATGAGAATATATGATGGTGGGCTTAGAGGAAGGCTTATCATTTTCCAGTTCTGTATTTTTTAGTTGACAATTTACTAGTAATTTCATCTCCATTCATGCAGACAACATCCTATAAAATAAATATGTCGGTTTATTTGAGTTCATTGGACTGTTGACAAATCATGGCCCTATAAAGTACGAATCAGGGACTTTTGAAACAGATAAACCGAACCCTTGACTCATAACGAAACTGAATAAATAAGATTTTTATTACAAATAACTTGACAAACCCAAATCTTTCCACTTTATCTTCCTTATATTTCTGTAATAAAACTGATGTAACAAACCCTAAATCACCACCATTTAGTAATAGCAAAATTGAAAACTCAAAAATTTTCAGTTTTCTTTATACCAACAGATTTGAGATTGTACCCAAAATTTCTGTCCTGGTTTGGCCTTGAATTTCAATCCAATTCTTCCCTTCCACAGCTGTTTGCTGGGTACGCTGTTATTAAATAATGGGGCTCTGTGGAGAAGACCTCAAGGGAGTTGAGGGGATCGAGAGAGCTGGAGAAGAGAAAGGGATGAAAGAGACTTTAAAAGATGAAACAAATGTTAGGAGTTTATGTAGGTCAAGACATTTAAAGTTAACTTTCATTTGTATTGTAATGGGGGAATTTTCCAGCTATTAATATTTTGAGCAGAGAGCCCACTTATTTCATAGAATAAAAAATTAAGAGGATGCCGTCAAGCATTGCATAAAGGCATTGACGTGGCATTGTTATATGTAAAAGGACTGAAAATTGAACTAACACAAGTTTGTTATTTTAGACTTGGGCCTCTAGGAGTTCATGGAAAATCGTATTGGATATTTTGAGCTATTAGAGATATACCCACAGACCTATTCTCTTCCAGGTCTATATCATGATTTTAACGATAAAAGTTTAAGAGATTATCAGAGAAAGAATTGATCCTCACAATTAAACACAGCAACAAGAATATATGTGTATGTGCTGTGTGTGGGGGTAAACATACAAGAGTATACATACATGTATTTCCTTGTATCTTTCTTTTCTACCAAACATTTCTAAAGTCAGGGCTAACTTAATATTTCATTTTTCCATAGCTTGTATCAAGTTCCCCATGCTCCACTTCCTTCTTCTGCTTTTTAGCACCTTCATATTCCTCACATTCTTTTATGGCAGAGCACAACTCTCTCACTTTTTCTAACAAGAAACACACATTGCAGTTAAACAGCCGAGGTCATCCCCATGCTCGCGTCACAGGTCAAGCAAGATCACTTACATTTTTTAGGGGGTCATTTCTTCTCACTGGGTGGGATATGACCTTGTTCCTGTTTCCAGAAAAGAAACCACCCCAGATGTTCACCACCCCTTCTCTCTCTTTTTTTTTTCTGTTTTTCCATTCTCTTCCTTGTTTGATGCCAAATACACAATTAGACATTCATCTTGCTAGTATTTTTCTATGTTAAAAAAGATCTTTATTTTTACCTAATGTATCTTAAATACAAAAATAAGCCAAAAATACAGAAAATCTGACATTTAATTAAAATTTAGGGGATAGATACTATTTTATAATTTGAATGTACCATTCTGAAAACTCCTTGGTATTTTCAGCATATTATAAAGTCACTATTAAGATACATTTCTCTCTGCATCTGTGCCGCCATCTTAATATCATCTGTGGGCTGCACTTTTTTTTCAAAACCATCTGCATTTTGAGCTGTCTTTTGAGAAATGGCTGTAAGAATACAATTAATTCTGTTCTCCCTGTGTGGATTGTTCCTCCTGGGTTTTCATTGACCATCCCAGACATTCAGCTTTCAAGATCCTTTAGATTTACTCACTGAATACAACCAAGTTTGCAGTGGTTTTGTACTGATTACAAATATATAGATACTTTTCCTGACTTTATTTTTTACAAACATAGTCAAGATGTAATGCCTGCAGAAATTATTACTCTCAGTAACAATTTCATGGCTTCAGTCCTATCTTTATGAAGCTTAACTCTAGTTGACTGCTCCATGACTTACATGAATTGAACACATACTGTATTCCAGCAACCGTACCATATGATGGAGGTACAGCAATGAACAAAACAAAACAAAAAGGCTTCTCTTCATGGAGTTTACAGTCTAGTGAAAATAGACTTTTAAATTGAAAACAGCTAATATATTAGAAAATAAATACCTGCTTTGTAACAAGTACTGCGCTAAAAGCTCTATGCCAGTCTCCTTGATTTATGTATTTTTTAATTGTCATTTTCAAAGATTTTAATCTTTAAGGAACCTTTGCATTTTAATTTCTGTATTATATTTTGAAGTTTGTTCTTATTAAGTTCTAGAGTTAGAACAAAATAATAAATTTTGAAATAAAATCTGGTGGAAATACTGTATACCTTTTATTGCCATACCAACTTTATTAGACCCCAACTTTATTCATACCCTGTTAAAAGTCCATAACCAATATAATTTTTGAAGAAAGTTCATGGTCTAATTTTTGGTTAGAAGAAGAATTCTGTAAATTAAAATCAAATTTCTCATGATGTGACACATTTTTTCCCAAAGAATGTTTATTTCAGAGGTAAAAAATATTTGATGAAGACCAAACTAATAGTTTATCTTCAAGAGAAATTATCAAATTTTATCCTTAAAAATCTAATAAGTACCAATTAATTCATTGACTCAAAAGGATAATTAATGTTTTGATTGTGAATTATTATAAAACAAAATGCTAGCAAAAACAGGCAAACTTGTATGTACCACAAAGGGTTTTATCAAATCTCATTATACTATATCCACTTAACATATTTTAAGTAAATAAAACATTAAGAAAAAGTTGAGGAGCTCTCTTTACTTATTCTCCTCTGATACTATTTCCCTTCTTTCAGCACCAGAAGTAACTTCAGGCAGGATGACATTTTGACTTTCATGAGCCTTAGGCACTTTTGCCTTCTTGAGCCCTTCTTGAGCCCATTTCTATATAATAAAAAATTATTCAGCTGTTAAAAATTTAACAGTAAAAATATTATATTATACAACAGTGTTTCTAAAAAGATGTATGTAATTCAGATTGGTTTCACTGTTATGTATCCAATATTATTATAGTCATTTTTTCTTGGGTTTTTAAAAGAAATGAAAATTAAAACATTTCTATTATCCTCTAAAAGTATCGTGGACCTTCAACACTGTGAATTCAGCCTTTTAGCATTCCTATGCTTTTGCTTACATATTCATCTGTATAGATTTTTAAATTACCACTTATTGTATTGGTTTTAGAAAATGTATTGAGAACTAGTTGTATAATTTTAGTTGGTTTAAAAAAAAACAAGCAAACAGTATTTGCCTTCATTTTGAGAACATATTCAGCATTTGCTTTCTTTTTTTTTTCCTGAGACTGAAGCTCTCTCTGTCTCCCAGGCTGGAGTGCAGTGGCGTGATCTTGGCTCACTGCAACCTCTGCTTTCTGGGTTCACGTGATTCTTCTGCCACAGCCTCCCGAGTTGCTGGGATTACAGGCATGTGCCACCACACCTAGCTAATTTTTGTATTTTTAGTAGAGAGGGAGTTTCAGCATGTTGGCCAGCCTGGTCTCGAACTCCTGACCTCAAGTGATCCACCTGCCTTGGCCTCCAAAAGTGTTGGGATTACAGGCATGAGCCACCGCGCCCGGCCAGCATTTGCTTTTAAATTAGTATCAATAACACTTTTAATTTCACCCACAAACACATGCAATCACTGAAATAATATAAATATAGAAAAGATTTCTTAAATGTATGATTGTTTTCTGGAGCATAAAAAGGTGTTTTCTTATGTTCTCCAGTAGAAAGTTCCTCTGTGTATATGTGTGTGTCTATTTAAGAGAGAGACAGATAGATTCAGCTGATTCCTTAGTGATGCTTGTAATATACAGCAAATTGACACTAAAATTTTGGCATGTTTGGAGATTAATCCTAGGAAAAAAGTACATTTTGCCATGGAGAGAGTGCTTGCTGTTGTTTGGCTTTAGAGTTCAGTGCTGTAATTTGTGTCATTTTTTTTGGACAAGCAGTGCTACAGAATGTCATCCACACCTTTAAGATTTGCTAATTTCCTCCAGGAGTTTTACTCTTTCTCATGCCAGTTAGCGGTAGAAAAATAGCTTCTTCCATTCATCAGATGAGGTAATGCTCTGTTACTATTCACATTTGAGTGTAGTATGAGTGTTGTATTTAAATGATACCAGCAAGAAGAAAAATTGCTGCTTTCTTTTGAAGGTTATTTCTGTGCTTTCACTCTTTAAGGGTTTTAAAATAACTGTAGCAAGCATTTTCTTGATTTTTTTTTCAGTTTTCTTCACCTTAATTAAATAACAATGAATGTGTCAGCCACTTGTTCAAGGCTTTGAAGATGTCAGTACAACTGTGATAATTTAATCCCATCACGTAGCTGCTATGCCTAAGAATATGCTTTGATGTTCAACATACCCAAATTTGGTTAAGCTGCCAAACCATCAATCTGGACTCTATGTTTGTTGGTGAAAGACACTAACCAGTTTTGCTATTGTGAACTTTAGTAGACTTATTTGCTAGCAACTAAACATACTCAGCACTTCCCTCACTGTGCTTTAATTTTTTCCCCTCTATCTGATATTTCTAACTTGATCTCTTGGGTATCTCTTTGTTCCAATCCTAGCTATCTTTCCAAGTATCAACTCAAATGCTATAGACTCCTTAAAATCTTCCTCATTTCCTTTCTATTACTTCCAATTCTATTTTTCCTCCATTCTTCCACCCTGTCAAGATGGAAATATTTTTCTCTTCTCAAATTCCATGCTTTGGTCAGTTTCTATTTAATAGTATTCACAGCTTTCTTCCCTCTGTAACTATTTGCCCATATAGTCTGTTCTTTACATGTTCTTGTCTGCTAAGTAAGAGGAAAGGATATGTTGAACACAAAACATACTGTGTGTGTGTGTGTGTGTGTGTGTGTGTGTGTGTGTGTGTGTGTGTGTGTGTGTGTATGTAGACAGAGTCTTGCTCTGTCTCCCAGGCTGGAGTGCAGTGGCTCAATATTGGCTCACTGAAACCTCCACCTCCCGGGTTCGAGCAATTCTCCTGCCTCAGCCTCCCAAGTAGCTGGAACTACAGGTGTGTGCCACCATACCCAGCTAATATCTTTTGTATTTTAGTAGAGACTGGGTTTCACCGTGTTGCCTAGGCTGCTCTAGAACTCCTGAGCTCAGGCAATCTGCCCGCCTTGGCCTCCCAAAGTGCTAGAATTACAGACATGAGCCACCGCACCTGGCCATATAATATATACTTCCAATCCATGAAACACAGCATTAGCCCTTAGTGAATGCTCGCATGAGAAATGGATATCAGTCCTTAGTACTCATAGATTAGGTGCTGAGATAGAGTTGAGTAATTTACTACATATTTTCTCTCAAGGTGTTCAGAGAGTCTGCTCGGGGACACAAAAAATAAATTAGGGCAAACCACTCTTACCAGTATTACATAAGTATAAACAGCACAGGTCAGAGAAAAAGACCTAAATATTTTGGGCAATGTACTTTACTTTCACTGAAGCAATAACCTTTATATTATATTGTTATTATATTATTATATTTATTATACAGATGAGATAACTGATGCATAGTGAGGTTAACTTGTTCAGAGTAAATAACTCATATGTAGCAAAAAACACACTTTGAATTTTAGTTCTAGCTAACCTTAAAAGATGCATGAGAAGAAGAATCCAACTACTGGGGTGTTGATGAAAGAGTGGCTAGAGATGAATTTCAAAAAGAGGTAACACTTGAGCTGAGTCTTGAAAGATACTTAGAAATCACAAAGTAGGGAGTCCTGGGGGACAATAACGAGAACAGACATGAGGTGTGAAATATCACGGGGAGTTAAGGTAAATGAAAATAGTTGACTGTGAGCGAGACAAAGAGTGATGAATTAGAGGGGTGGACAATAAGAAAATCAGAAGATATGTTATACTAAAGCAGTTGTATTCCAAATCAGTAGTAATAAATTTTAGACAAAAGAATAGAATGGTCATTGTTTCTCTATTAGATTGGAGGCAGGTATGACAATTAATAGGCTATAGCTTAAAATTAATGAGTGGCTTGATATAGAAAAACATAGACTGAGTGTGGTGGCTCATCCCTGTAATTCCAGCACTTTGGGAGGCTGAGGCTGGTGAATTGTTGAAGCCCAGGGGTTCAAGACTAGTCTGGGCAACATGGAGAAACCCAGTCTCTTCAAAAAATACACAAATAATCTGAGCATGTTGGCACACACCTGTAATCTGTAGTCTCAGCTACTTGGGAGGCTTAGGTGAGAGGATCACCTGAGCCCAGGAGGTCAAGGCTGCAGTGAGCCATGATTGTGCCACTGCACTTCAACCTTGGTGACAGAGTGAGACCCTGTCTCAAAAACAAACACACACAGACACACAAGAAAATCATAAAAGAGGTATGAGATAATTAGAGGATACAGTTGATCACATTGGTTGAATGATTGAAGTGGTATGAAGGCAAATGATTAAGACGGGAGAAAGCTGATTTAGTAGACGATATAGCTAAAATTATGTGTTGAGCTAATTAAATATTCTTACTGCATTTTTTATCACATTAATACAATTATAAGGAAACTTGTTATTTTCTGCCAGTATGATGCTTGTTATACACAAGTAGTCTATCTGTTTCTCAGTTTTAAAGATAAACAAAGAGGACATAACATAACATAATATGTTTGTTTATAACATGTCCTCTTCAAAACACAGAGGACATAAATTTGTATGGCTCCCTTTAATGGGATATGTTACTGACTTACCTAGAATTAAAGTATTGCCTTTAGACGGTAATGATCTTACAAATGGACTAAAACATTTCTTTTGAACATTGAATTCAGCATTCTTTGTAATAAGAAATATTTAACCAATAAGAATAGCCTTCCTGGCTATTTGGATTTTATGTTAGTTCAATATCTATTATTTATTCTTTATACAAACCTCATTCACTCATGTTTGCCTACTTTCCAGTCAACTCATTAAATGCATATAATTCTCTTTCCATATATGACAATAATTTCATGGAAATATTCTTAGAGCAAATACATTCATAATTGTTTGAAAACCTTTCACAGGGTAGTGATCAAAGTTTCCCAGGAAGGGGGGTATGCTAGTTAGATATTTTTCTTTTCCCAGGAAAAGGATTAAGCTAGTTAGATATTTTTATTTTGCTAATTTCTGTATCTTATTCTCAACTTCGTGGCCAAATGCAACACTAACTTTTCTGTGATTTACTCTGTAGTAAATCAAAAAAGAGTTGAACTTTTTCTTTCAAAATCTGCATGTTTTGGCAAGCACTCATGAGTCATTAGATGCTGAAAATTTACCACAGTGTACAGTTATAGCCCCATTTCTGTAATGATATTTGACTTGAAAAAAGTCCATTTAAAACTTTATTCCATAATGCCAATAACTACAATAGTAAAATGTAGCACCACCTAGGATTTATGTACTCTTGTCCTTTAGAAGTATTAAAATTATTTTCCATTTTCACTGCTCTACATTTTTTACAGTTCTGTGTCAGTAGGGTTGGTCTTTGATGGTAGATTCGGGGGATTTCGTACTTATGCTATCTTTCATACTGAAATTAAAACAGCTAAGAAAGGGTTACTGGTGATAGGTTAATTGGAATTCTCTTTAGGTCAGTTCAGCAGGTATTTGTTGAGCAAATATTTTCTTCTCTGTACTGATTGTGTCTGTGTGTGTGAGAGAGAGAGAGACAGAGAGAGATGGCTAGGTGGTATGAGAAAGAGAGGTATGAATAGCCGTAATATTATACAAGGTAGCCTAAAATTCACATTCAAAGTACATTTGAGAAACGGAAAAGAGATTTGTTCTAGCTGAAGGATCCTAGGAAGGTTATGATGATGTGGAAAAATGGAAGAAAGAACCACAAAACACTAGCTTTGGCTTCTTTAAGACTCAAGGACAAATTTCCGCTCAGCTAAATTTGTAGTTGTGTTACTGCAGCAAGTTATTTGGTCTTCCTGAACACCAGTTTCCTAATTTGGAAAAGTGAAATAAAGTACCTACATTGTGGTTTGGGGTAGAGAGGGACTAACAGAATTTACATTTGTTAAGTATCTCCACTAGTTACTTCTTAATTATGTCCTTTTATAATGTGTTTGTATTGCTGTTATTATGCTTATTATTACAAATGTTATTTATACTATTAAATAAGGAGGATAAAAACCATGATGTAAACCATGAGGAAGACTTTATTTAACAAGGAGGTGAGAAAAGAGTGGCTGTCTTCTCTTGGAAAGGATGGCACTGTGAGCAAGGGAATTTAGCTGTGACGGTACAGTCCAGTCCATCTGGACTTCAACGATGGTGCACAGGGAAGAAACTGTTAATATCACGCTTCTAGTTGGAAAAATTCTATGTGGTTAGACAAATGAGTAAGGCACTTGTCTTACATCCTTTCATATGTTCCCAGTCTGGAACTTGTAATTTAGTCAGATAAACTTAGGGCTTGTAGGATAACATGGAAGTTACGTAGAAGTCTATTTTTGCAGAGAGTGGACCTCTATCTCTGACATTAGCTAAAGAGTTACTCTTTTTAGGCATAATGTGGAGTGGCACTATATTGGTTGAGAAGTTAAACTTAGTGATTGTATAGTCCCATTCACTATAAAAGTCTGTAATTCTAGAAAAAAAAGACTAACATCTTAAGTCAAATTATTTCTACATATTTTATTTTCTGAAATATTTTTGTTTTGCTTGTAAACATTTCCATATGTAAACATAATTGAAGAAAATTTTATATACAACAAAATTATCTGATTTTTAAAAATATTTTCCATGTATTTATAGGTCTTGCAGGCATAATTTTTAATGACCACGGAAAATATGTGTATAAGGATAACATTGAGCTCTGTGTAAATATTGGTGGACATTCAGTCTTCCCAATTCCAAATTTATTAACATTTTGACTGTTAAAACTGCGTTGAGCATTGCATTTCTTAAAAGCTATTTCTCTAATTCTGTTTACTTCAGTTAAGTTTCTAGAATTGGAATTCCTGAGTCAAGGGTTATGAACATTCTTAAGAATTCTGATAAATATACCACTTTGCTTTTGGAAAGAATTATAGCATTATACATTTTCATGAATGATAGTTGCCCATTAACTTTCATTATTTTCAAAACATCTATATATTATTTTAATCAAAATTATACTATTAATAGCGAGGATTAAATTTTAGGTTACATTGTAATTCTCCAACTACTTATTTGTTAATTGGAAGCTACAGTCTGCCTCCTCCCACTATCACCCACATTTCTTCTTTCTCTGCATTCTTTTTCTCCATAGCAATTATTGTATTCTAATATATTAAACCACAATTTCTCATCTTGTTTAATGTCAATCTGTCCTGCTTAAGGGCACTGCTTATTGTCTATCTGCTGCCCTTTCTTCAGATTTAGAACAGTGCTTTGCTTACCTTATAGTTTGTGCTCAATAAATATTTTTTTGAAGAAATAAATAGATACATTTCTCTTTGTAGGCTTTTTTGGTCCATTAATTCTTAAAGGAGTATATATTTTCTTAATATGAATGAGGCCTGTATACAACAAATACTCAAATCATTTCTCTGTTTTATATTCTAAAAATATTTTCATAGTTTGTGTAGCTATTAATTTTATATGTATATTTCAATATGGATGTTTTTATTAACTGTTCCTCCTTTCTTTTGCAATTATAATTATGTTCATAGTTTGAATAATGAGAAATACATCTCTTATTATTGAGGTATTTAAAAAATATATTTGGTTCCCTATTAGATTTTAGTTTCTTCCATAATTTTTAATTATTATTTTATTTAGGCATTATTTAGGTTTATGACGTGGAAGTTAAAATTATGTTTTCATATTCATTGTTAAAGTATCACTTTTCGATAAATTTCATGACTTTTCAGTTGCATATGTTTTCTTTATAATGTATTAAATTATCATATGCAGCCTACATATTGCTTTCCATTTGTCAGATATTTTATTCATCAGGATAAATCTCTAGATACACTTTAGAATATTTTAATAAGTCTCGAACAATTCTCAATTATGTTTAGATAGGAACAGTTTTCATCTTCCAAATAAATATGTAAACACTTAACACCTTTAAAGCAATCAGCCTTCCCATCGCCTCAAATTATCTTTATCTTAAATTATTCACATTTTTAGGAAAATATTTTGTAGTATTATTTTAAGACCTTTAAAAATACATGTCGCACACATTTTTTTCAAGTTTTTCCTATTCAGTTTGTATTTTTGTTGTTGAAATTGAGGTTTTATTGTATTTTATAATTTGAAATTATTGGTATGTTAAATATTATTCTACATTTATGTTGTTCTGCAATTTATTGACCAATTTACTCTCTTGCTTTTCTGTGTTTATTTCTCATTTCTGTTTCATGTCTTTCATTGTACTTTTAAGGACCTCCAGAAATATTAGGAGATATATCTGTATTGCTTTCAATTTTAATGGAATATTTCTAGCATGTTATAGCTAAGTTGTTGTGGGTTTGTATTATATGTGATAATATCTTTAGAAAAAAATAATATCTTAAAGGTTATATCTATTCCACTATGATTAAATGCCGACTCTGTTTTACTATGAATCTAAATAGTATTTACTAGCTTCTTGGCACATAGTTTGAAAAACCTGCTTTATTTTCTGGAACCTGTTCAAGGTTTTGAACTTCAAAAATTTAATTATTCATTAAATGTAAATACTTTGAGCTAAAACATCTACTTATTAATAAATTTTAGTCACTGTTAAGCTATAAACTCTCCTTTCTTAAACATCTCTTTACTTAGACCTTCTGTTAAATTCAACTTTACCTAATAACATTATTTCTTCAGAGATATTGCACCTCTGTGTGTTCTGAATACTTTAAATTTTATACAACATTTTAAATATACACAAGTGTTAGGAACACAGAAGTATTTAAAATTGGGGATGATGAAGACAATGTGTTATTTTAAGCAAGGCACTTGCATAAAATATTAGTTTAATACTCACTGGCAAAAAGGCCGAGTACTGCTTAACCACACAAAAATACAAAGAATTAGGCGTAGTTTACATTATTATTATTCACTTATCAAATACTGATCTTTCTTTGAACACCTGAATATCGAATTTAATCATTGGTGTGAGGAACTAGAGTAGAAGCTGAGATGTTAACAGTTTTTTGTAACTAGTACCCTGGTAGTTTTTGTTGTTGTTGTTTCAACATTTTTTTATAACTTACATAAATTATAGGTTGGTGCATAGAGGTAATCTGAACTTTACTAGGATTACGCATGCAGAGATCATCTGGAGGCAAATAAATCCTTCTCTCACTCTTATCCCCCTACCCACATATTCACCTTACCTAACCCGCCCGGTTTAGTTATATGCTGAAATCTATCAGCAACACGAGATAAATAGTGCTGTTTAATTCTAGATCTCTCCTTTAGTTTTAGTGTTTCATTGTAAGAATTATCCAGCTTCTGGGTAGGTAAATCCTGCCCTGCCTCAGTGACGTTTACTAATGAAGGACAGGGATATAAGCGGCCAGAGTCTGGAAGGAAGATAATAAGCTTTAAGTAAAATTGAAACTAAGTCTTACTTGTCTTTTGTTGAGCCTGTACCATGAAACCTGGCTCATAGAATGAATATGTGATTGTTTGTTGAAGCTAAATAATAAACAACTCAGGCTAAACTGGAGGAAGAGCCGGATGCAGTGGCTCACACTTGTAATCCCAGCACTTTGGGAGGCCAAGTAGGGCTGATCACCTGAGGTCAGGAGTTCGAGACCAGCTTGGCTAACGAGGTGAAACCCCATCTCTACCAAAAATACAAAAAAAAAATTAGCTGGATTTGGTGGCGGGTGCTTGTAATCCCAGCTACTCGGTAGGTTGAGGCAGGAGAATCACTTGAACCTGGGAGGCGGAGGTTGCAGTGAGCCGAGATCACGCCACTGCACTCCAGCTTGGGAGACAAGAGTGAGACTATGTCTCAAAAAAAAAAAAAAAAAAAAAAAGGAAAAAAAAAGGAGGAGACTGTATTTCCAGAGGCTGGAGACTCAGAGATTCTATTGATAGAAATCTTAATATTTACATTCTTCTTTGTCTTTCTTTTTATTTTGTCCGTAGGAGCTTTTCTCCTTCTCCCAAAAATAATATTTTATAAACAAGTGCAGAAAGAACCTCTACAATATTGTAACATGCTTTTCTTTAAGTTTAAAATATTAAAAATTGAACTCACTATCATGTTCACAGTACTAGTCGTCCTCATATTTTGCATCATTGTTAATGCTGAACAATTTAGTTCCTCCAGTAAGAATCTCTGGAACCAATCTTACGTTTTCCTTGCTCTTATCACCCAAACGCGTCAGCCATTCAGCCCACTAGAACCGACAATGTAATTGCTTCTCAGTTGTGGCTGCACATTAGAATCACCAAGGGAGCTCTCAACAGTACAAATGCCTTGGTTTCACCCCTTTCAGAGATGCTGCTGTATTTGATCTAAAGTACTGTTGGGCCATTATACTTTTGCAGCTCCCCAGCTGATTCAAATGTTTAGCCAAGATGAAGAATCTCTGCTCTGAATCCTCCAGGTTAAACCCTCATCACCTCTTGCACAGCATATTACAGCTTCCTTCTAATTTGTATTATTTTCTCATCCCTCCCACCTCACAGTATCACTCTTGTAAAAAAATCTTTGACTCCTCATTGTCTGCAGATTATAGTCTAAATTCACCTTAGAAATTTTTAATGCATTTCTTTTATTGGCTTACTTGAGTCTTCTATACTTGACACGTGGTCGCATTCATGCCTGTCACACTCCGTCACCACAATCTACACAGGTCATGTCCAATTCCTGAGCTCCCCCTACTGTATCCGGGAATGCTATTCCCTTTCTTCTCCAGAAGGAAGCTCCTGTTTTGCCTTCATTGCTCTTCTTTCAGGTTATGTCCTTTATGAGTTTTTACCAGATGCCCACAGGCCTCTAGCTTCTTGGCATTTGTCCCCTGATGTTTCTACGATGCATTTATATGTTCATCTTCTGTGCTAGGCCGTGAATCCTGTTAGGCTAGGTATTCTGTTTCAATCCTCTCTTTGTACCCACTGTTCAACCCTAGCAGGGTTCTTAGCATCAAAAAGCTTTTCAGTTGACAAGTTTTTTTTTGTGTGTGTGTGATGAATACATTGAAAATTGAAAAAAGAAATTTTAAGATTATGATACTATTCCATGGGTTCTAAAGAGTTTCTTTCTCCTTAATATTTAAGCAAACAAAGAATACTTTCCAAATTTAAAAAATTTCATATTACAAATATTGAGTCATACTTAAGAAGAACACTATACCGGCAAAGTTAGAAATACAATAGAGCTGAAGAAAACATCTGCTTTGTGTAAATATTCATGTTTCAGGAATATATAATCTGTTATAGAATCGTAACGTTTCCCATTGGATATAATGGATAAAAGTTGTTAAAGCATTAATTTTGTCGATATATCTCTATAGTTATGTATGTGTGAGTTAATATTTAATGTAGGTATATACACCTACCTTAGACTTAACCACAAACATTTTAATTTTAAAAAGATAAATTAAAAGTTTACATGCCATAAGAAACGTAATGTGCACCATCTAAGGACCTTAAGGGAAATTGTAAATATCATCAGACTTGCACATATTATTATATTCTAAGTATATGCAGAGGGATTACTGCCACCCAGAAAATTTGTAAAGCTTGAGTTTTATTGCACACAAGAATGAATAAAATGCACTTTCGAAAAAACGGAGCTAAATTTGGCTGACTAGACTCTATTATCCATCCTAATATATTATTTTCTAGCTTTTCTTTTCTTAATAAGAACCCCTGGAAAAATAAATTGAAATTCTATATTAATGGCCCCCTTGTCTACAGATTCTGAATCAGGTGGTCTAGTGTAAGATCTCAAAATACCTGTTTTTAACTATCATTCAGATTGTTTTAAAATCATCACGAAAGTTTGGGAAATATTGACATAGGTACAATTTAAATAATTTTTTTGATGATTTGATAAAATGGAATGTGGGTATATGTGACCTATCTAATCTAAACACTATCTATAAGACATTCACCAAATGATGCCAAATGATGATATAAACCAACTGCCTGGTGCCCATTCCTCTATGTGACCACATGTAGGCCCAGTCCCTGTTCCTTATGTTCAAGATGGACCTCACTTAGAACAACAGAAAGCATATGAGAGCCATTCAACTGCAGCTAGTAAGAAGATAATAATGAGTGTATTTGATTATCTTCTCTTAGGCTTTAAGAAGTCCTTCAAAGAGAAAATTTCGTAGATTTTTATTTAATCCAAAAGTTCCTTAACAATATATCCTAGAAAATTTTCTATGCTCCCACACCCTCAACATCTACTAATCATCTATGAGAAAAGTGTTCTAAGAGATCTTTGGCCAGGCGCAGTGGCTCACACCTGTAATCCCAACACTTCGGGAGGCCGAGGCAGGCAGATCACGAGGTGAGGAGTTCGAGACCAGCCTGACCAATATGGTGAAACCCCATCTGTACTGAAAATACAAAAATTAGCCAGGTGTGTGGCGCATACCTCTAATCCCAGCTACTCAGGAGGCTGAGGTAGGAGAATCACTGGAACCAGGGAGGCAGAGGTTGCAGTGAGCCAAGATCATGCCACTGCACTCCAGCCTGGCAACGGGGTGAAACTCTGTCTCAAAAAAAAAAAAAAAATCAACTTAAGGTGGACCAAAGACTGCACTGTCCATCCTGGGCAACATAGCGAGACTCCATCTAAAAAAAAAAAAAAAAAAAAAAAAAAAGATTTCTGGAATAAATGATACTCTTGGATGTGATGCTACAACAGCCACTCAAAAGTGAAAAATTAAGACAAAGAATTAGGCATGTAGATCCCTACCCAAGAGAATACTCATTTATTTACCTTTTACTATAATGAATGTAATTATTTAAACAATGTTCATTTCCTCTGTTTTAACAGATCAGTTAATTGAGCCACAGAAAAAAGTTAGCTTAAATACAATAATTCAGTATTTACCTCTTTCTTTGAATTACTCCTTAGACACGTTATTTTCCAGGGAAGTAGGTAGAAGCTAGTACTGAATATTCCATAGATAAACTTATAATATCTATTATTAAAAAATATTATAAACTTATTAGAACCTATGTATGAACTGCTTATGCAATTAGACCTTTAAATTTCTTTTTTGGAGATAATATATACTTGGTGAGCCACAAAGCATGTATTACCTAAGAAATGGCTAAACCAGAGTCATTATTGTAATACTGTTACTTACTAGTAATAGCTGGAATTTTATGTCTATAAGCATATTTGATTAAATATTGTTTTTAAAAATGTACCTACTTTTTTTTAGAAAACAAACTCGGAATCTTATAGAGACAGCTATACATACATTCATAAATTTGATAATAAATAATTTATCATTTAATTCTATAAAGAAACAATTAACATTCTAAATAAATTTATTTCGTGTAATTTACTGAAAACTTAAAAATAACGTCCTTATTGAGGGCATAATGCAAAACAAAAAGCAAATATTTTAATGATTTAAATTATGAAACAAGTAAATTGCTTTATGTATGGGGCCGTAACAGTAAAGATTTTTTTTTGTAAATAAGAAGAAAGAAATAGCTCTGCCATTACTGTTAAGATTTGAAAACAATAGGAAAAGAAAATTTAAAGAATGGAGAAAAAATGTTTCAAAATAAGCCAAAAATGTCAGGTAATAGAACAACAGCACACTTAGCAAATCTCTGACTACCAGAATTTTGGATCAACTCCCAGGTTTAGGAGTTGGATGAAACTGGTGTGATGTTTGCCAAAACTTACGGAAGCTTTAAAGAGATAAGAGTGTATATATATTTTTTTTTTTTTTATTTTTTATTTTTTTAAAGCCCTCTGTTTAAAAAGATGTTAATGTTCTTTCTTCTCCATGCATAGTTTTTCTTTCTTTTTTTTTTTTCAGGATGATTTATTCCTCAAATCTATTGCTATAACACATTCAGTCACTTAATTTGAAGGCATGTACAAGTGGTGATTAAAATTAAACTGAAAAAATTTGCATCAGAATCTTTATAAAGGCATAAGAAATTTGCAGATTTGTAAGACTGCATATAGGATTCTTTCTCCTTTCATGTCTGAATTCTTTAGTGAGTAAATATGTACATAGACTGATTTGGATGTGAAAGACTCTGCCTTTATAAGTTATTAGAATGATTCTTTCATCTTTCCTACTTAAGGGAAACAAAAAATAAAAGATTCATTTTTATGTAGATTCATAATATCATAAGTTATCAGGAAGAAATGCCTCGTGATAAGAAATGCATCTACAAACGCAGTTCCTGCTCACCATAAAACCCTGGCTAAGTAGGATTATACCTTATATTTATAAATTTTAATGTTTTACTAGGAAAACAATGTTTAGAAAAGTATATGTTTAAAAATTTGTACTG
The DNA here is from genome assembly GCF_000001405.40 of Homo sapiens. Taxonomy (NCBI): domain Eukaryota; kingdom Metazoa; phylum Chordata; class Mammalia; order Primates; family Hominidae; genus Homo; species Homo sapiens. Next base: position 15,288,274 of record NC_000007.14, on the reverse strand, counting down.
TATTTTCGAGGTCAGGAGATCAAGACCATCCTGGCTAACACGGTGAAACTCCGTCTCTACTAAAAATAATAATAATAAAAAAAATTAGCCGGGCGTGGTGCTGGGCGCCTGTGGTCCTAGCTACTCAGGAGGCCAAGGCAGGAGAATGGTGTGAACCCGGGAGGCGGAGCTTGCGGCGAGCCGAGACTGTGCCAATGCACTCCAGCCTGGGCTACAGAGCCAGATGCCATTAAAAAAAAAAATTCAATAAAATTATTGTTATTTTTCAAAATCATTATCATTTTTAGAAAGTGACAGCTATTCTAGTCAAATTAATCTGAGAGTCAAGATTTCCATAGCACCTGAAAAATAAAAATTATGGCTACATAACTGTTGATTGACTCAAAATGCCAGTAATTGAAAAGGTTAGAATTCTGGAGAAAATTCTTTTTACATTGAAAAACATTTGGTAATGTATTCAAAAGGACCAGATTTATCATACAAAAAAAAATTTAGCTACGTTAAAATGCATTTAAAGTATTCATTGATGCTAATGAAGACATTTGATAAATCAGTGAAATTATTTCGAAAAGTTCTGGTGCCTACATGTAAGTAGTTTTAAATATGTACATATTGACAAATTCTCAGTGTGTTTTGGATTAAATTGATACAACTCACTTTTAAAATATAGTACACATACTACAAATATTTTGTTTGTAAATTTTCATAAATTGACTGAAATCTATCATGACTTTCTTAGCAAGATAGGTTAAATAATCTACCTTTTGTTCAGAATAGAACAAAACTATTGATTTTCACAAGATCCAAATAGAGAAGTTCAGAGTAAATATTTTATATTCTTGAACAGGGTAAATTATTTAATGAAAATGTTTCTCTGCGTGGTGAGGAGGACATATCGGTGGCAAAGAAAATAGGAGTGGAAATATCAGATATGAGACATTTCTAGTTACAGAAGTCATGAAATAACATTGCTAATCTTGTCCCAAATTTTTTGATAATTTCTATTAATTTTTGCCCATGGTTTCATGTTTTTTAAAAAATATATTTTATTTCAATAGCTTTGGGGATGTACATGGTTTTTGATTACATGGATGAATTGTATAGTGGTAAAACCTAAGATTTTATTGCATTCATCACCTGAGTAGTGTGTATCGTACCCAGTATGTAGTTTTCTATCCCTTACCTCCCTCTCATCTTCCCGCTTCTATGTCTCCAAAGTCCATTATACCACTCTGTATGCCTTTGCATACCCACAGCTTAACTCCCACATATAAGTGAAAGCATATGGTATTTGGTTTTCCATTTCTGAGTTACTTCTTAGAATAATGGCCTCCAGCTCCATCCAAGTTGCTGCCTGAGATGTTATTTCATTCTGTTTTTATGGCTGAGTAATATTCCATGGTGTATATATACCATATTTTCTTTATCCACTCATTGGTTGATGGGTACTTAGATTGGTTCCATATCTTTGCAATTGTGAATTGTGCTCTAACAAACATGTATATGCAGATGTCTTTTTGATATAATATCTTATTTTCCTTTGGAGAGATACCCAGTAGTGGGATTGCTGGATACAATGCTAGATCTTCTTTTAGTTTTTTGAGAAATCTCCATACTGTTTTCCTTAGATGTTTTACTAATTTACATTCCCACCAGCAGTGTATGAGCATTCCCTTTCACCATACCTGCACAAACATCTATTCTTTTTTTGACTTTATAATAATGACCACACTTGCATGGGTGAGATGGTATCTCATTGTGGTTTTAATTTGAATTTTCTTGATGATTAGTGATGTTCAGCATTTTTTGATATATTTGTTGGCCATTTGTATATCTTCTTTTGAGAAATGTCTATTTATGTCATTTGGCCACTTTTTGATGGGATTATTTGTTTTTTTTCCTGCTGATTTATTTGAGCTCTTTGTGGATTCTGAATATTAGTTCTTTGTCAGATGCATAGTTTGCAAATACTTTCTGCCATTCTGTGGTTGTCTGTTTACTCTGATGATTAATTCTTTTGCTGTGCAGAAGCTTTTTCGTTTAATTAGGTCCTATTTATTTTTGTTTTTGTTGCATTTGCTCTTGGGGTCTTAGTCATAAATTATTTTCCTAGACCAATGTCCAAAAGAGCTTTTTTCTAGGCTATTTTATACAATGTTTATAGTTTCAGGTCTTAGCTTTAAGTCTTTGGTCCATCTTGAGTTGATTTTTATATAAGGTGAGAGATAGGGATCCAGTTTTATTCTTCTACATATGGCTATCCAGTTTTCACAGCAACATTTATTAAATAAGGTGTCCTTTCCCCAATTTATATTTTTGAATGCTTTCTCAAGCCTCAGTTTTGGTTGTAAGTATTTGGCTTTACTTGGGGCCCTCTGTTTAGTTCCATTGGTTTATGATGCACCTACTTGTATACCAGTGTCATGCTGTTTTGGTAGTTATGACTTTGTAGTATCATTTGAAGTCGGGTAATGTGATACCTCCAGGTTTGTTCTTTTTGCTTAGGATTGCTTTAGCTATTAAGGTTATTTTTGTAATCCACAGAATTTTAGGATATTTTTTCGAGTTCTGTTAAAAATGATGTTGGTATTTTGATAGGAATTGCATTGAATCTGTAGATTGCTTTGGGCAGTACGGTCATTTTCATGATATTGATTCTGCCAATCCAAGGGCCTGGGATATGTTTCCATTTGTTTGTGTCATCTGTGATTTCTTTCAGCAGTTTCTTTTAGCTCTCCTTGTAGAGATCTTTCACCTCCTTGTTTAAGTATATCCTAAAGTATTTTAGTTTTTTCAGCTATTGTAAAAGGAATTGGGTTCTTGATTTGATTCTCAGATTGATCATTGTTGGTATATAGAAGTGCTACTGATTTGTGTACATTGATTTTGTAACCTGAGAGTTTACTGAATTTATCAAATCTAGTAGTCTTATGGAGTAATCTTTACAGCTTTCTAGTTATACAATCATATTATCAGTGAACAATGATAGTTTAACTTCCTCTTTTTCAATTTTGATGCACTTTATTTCTTTCTCCTGTCTGATTGTTCTAGCTAGGACTTCAGGTGTTATGTTGAATAGAAGTAGTGAAAGTGGACATCTTTGCCTTGTTTTAGTTCTCGGGGGAATGCTTTCAACTTTTCACCATTCAGTATGACATTGACTGTGGATCCATCATATATGGCTTTTATTATTTTGAGGTATGCCCCTACTATGGCTAGTTTGTTGAGGATTTTTATCATACAGTGATGCTAGATTTTATCAAATGCCTTATCTGCATCTGTTGAGATGATCATATGGTTTTTATTTTTAATTCTGTTTATGTGATTTATCACATTTTTTGACTTGCATGTGTTAAACCATCCCTGCATCCCTGTAATGAAACCCACTTGATCATGATTTATTATCTTTTTGATGTGTTGTTGGATTCAGTTAGCTAGTATTCTATTGAGGATTTTTGCATCTGTATTTATCAGGGATATTGGTCTGTGGTTTTCTTTTTTGTTGTTGTTGTTATATACTTTCCTAGTGTTGGTATCAGGGTGATAATGGCTTCATAGATAGTTAGGGAGGATTCTATCCTTCTGAATCTTTTGGACTAGTTCCAGCAGGGTTGGTCCCAATTTTTCTTTGACTGTCTGGTGGAATTTAGCTGTGGATCCATCTGGCCCTGGTCTTATTTTTGTTGGCATTTTTTAAAATTACTGATTCAGTCTTGCTGGTTGTTATTGGTGTGTTCAGGGTTTGTATTTCTTCTTGATTTAATTTAGGAGGATTGTACGTTTCCAAGAGCTTATTCATTTCCTCTAGATTTTTTAGTTTGTGTGCATAAAAGTGTTTATGGTAGTCTCAAATGATCTTTTGTATTTTTGTAGTGTCAGTTGTAATGTCTTCATTTTCATTTTTAATCTTATTTGAAACCTCTCTCTTCTTGATTAATCTAGCTAATGGTCTATCAATTTGTTTTTGTTTTCAAAGAAGCAACTTTATGTTTCATTGATGTTTTGTATTGTTTTTCTGTATCAATTTTATTTTGTTCTGCTTTGATCTTTGTTGTGTATTTACTTGTGCTAGCTTTGGGTTTGGTTTGTTCTTGTTTCTCTGGTTGCCTGAGGTATGATATTAGATTGTCAATTTGTGATCTTTTATACTTTTTGATGGAGGCATTTAGCACTACAGACTTTTCTCTTAGCACTATTTTTGCTGTATCCCAGAGGTTTTGATAAATTACATCACTATTATCATTCATTTCAAATAACTTTTTAAATTCCATCTTGATTTCATTGTTAACCCAAAAATAATTTAGGAGCAGATTGTTTCATTTTCATGTATTTGTCTAGTTTGAGGGTTCCTTTTGGAGTTGATTTCTAGTTTTATTCCACTGTGGTCTGAGAAGGTACTTGATATGATTTCATTTTTTTTTAAACTTCATTAAGACTTGTTTTGTGGCCTATCATATGGTCTATCTTGGAGACTGCTCCATGTACTGGTGAAAGAATGTATATTCTGCAGTTGTTGGGTAGAATTTTCTGTAAACATCTCTTAGGTCCAGTTGTTCTAGAGTGTAGTGTAAGTTATTGTTTCTTTGTTGACTTTCTGTCTTGAAGATCTGTCTAGTGTCAGTGGAATGTTGAAGTTCCCCATTATTATTGCATTACTATTCATCTCATTTTTTAGGTCTAGTAGTATTTGTTTTGTAAATCTGGCAGCTCCAGAGTTAGGTGCATGTAAATTTAGGATTATAATATCTCCTTGTTGAATTGATCATTTTATCATTATATAATGACCTTGTCTTTTTTTTAAACTGTTGTTTCTTCCATGTCTTTTTGATCAGATATAAGAACAGCTACTCCTGCTTACATTTGGTTTCCATTTGCATCAAATATCTTTTTCCAGCTGTTTATCTTGAGTTTATATGAATCTTTATATGTTAGATGAATCTCTTGAAGACAGCACATATTTGGTTTGTGATGGTTTTAATCTATTCTGCCAATCTGTATCTTTTAAGTGGAGTATTAGGGCATTTACATTCAACATTAATGTGAGATGTGAGGTATTATTTCAGGCAAAATGTTATCTAGATACTTTGTTTTCTTCATTGTGTTATTGTTTTATGGGCCCTGTGAGTTTTATGCTTTTAAGAGGTTCTATTATGTTTCATATAGGACTTTTGTTTCAACATTTAGAACTACTTTTAGCATTTCTTGTAGGGCTGGTCTAGTAGTGATAAATTTCCTCAGCATTTGTTTGTCTGAAAATAACTGTTTCTCTTTCATTTTTGAAATTTAGTTTTGCTGAATACAGAATTCTTAACTGACAGTTATTCTATTTAAGGAAGCTAAAGATAAGACCTTAATACTTCTGATTTGTAAGGTTTCTGCTGAGAAGTCTGCTGTTAGTCTAATAGATTTTCCTTCAGAGGTTACCTGATGCTTTTGTTTCACTGCTCTTAGAATTCTTTCCTTCATGTTAACTTTAGAAATCCCAATGAGTATATGCTTCGGTGATGTCCTTTTTGCAATGACTCTCCTAGGAGTTGTTTGAGCTTCTTGTATTTGGACATCTAAATTTGCCTAACAAAGCCAGGGAAGTTTTCCTCAATTATTCCATCAAATAAGTTTTCCAATGTTTTTGCTTTCTCTTCTCCCTCACCAATTATTTGGAACACCAGTTATTTTTAGGTCTGGCCATTTTAAATAATTTCATATTTCTTGGAGACATTGCTCATTTCTTTTGATTCTTTTTTCTTTATTATTTTTCTGATTGAGTTGACTTGAAAGACTTGTTTCAAGCCCTGAAATTCTTTCTTCTACTTGGTCTAGTCTGTTGTCAAAACATTCCACTACATTTTGTAACTCCCTAAATGTATCTTTCATTTCCAGAAGCTTGATTGGTTTTTCTGTAAAATATCTATCTCTTTATAAATTTTTTCATTCATATTCTGAATCATTTTTCTATATTCTTTATGTTTTCCATTTTTCTTGATATCTCCTTGAGTAGCTTAATATTCAACCTTTTGAATTCTTTATCTGGTATTGTAGAGGTTTCATCTTGGTTTGGATCCATTGCTCAAAAGCTAGTATGATCTTTTGGAGATGTTATGGAATCCTGTTTTGTCATATTACCAGAAGTATTTTTCTGGTTGCTTCTTATTTGGGCAGACTATATGTTCTAATTATTTCTTAGTTTATTTTTGATTTTATTGTTTTTTAAAATTTCTTTATTTTTCCTTGGAGATGTGAATTTAATTTTTATAGCAGATTGAAAGCTAATTCTGCTCTTGGTGCTTTCAGAGGTCAAGACCCTGTATGGGTTCCTAGGCTATAGAGGGCCTTTTTGTAGTAGCTTTCTCAGATGCTCATTGTAGTAGCAATGTGTTTGGTGTATGAGCAAATTCACTGTCTCCTGTGAGGTTGGAATGGCAGAAGTTTCTTGAGGCTTATCTCATTCTCTTGTGGTGTACACTTATTTAAAAATCTATTTTCCCCTCAATAATTTATTTACTGGGTTGAATAGTTTAGGCTTCAGGCCAGTAGGAGTGGTGTCCCTGGGTAGAGACTGGTGTGGCAAAAGCAGGTGTCCATCAATGGGTATTGCAAATGCCTCTGTCCTGACAGAAGTGCATGGAGGAGCTCTCAGTGGAATAGACTGAAGTCTTGTCAGGGAAAGAGTAGGCGCCACCTCAGCTCTCCTGCCAGGCTAGCAGGAAAGTGATCCACTTCCTAGACACACTCCTGACCCAGACACACTCCTGACCCAATGTTCTGGCTATTCATCAGAGAGGCACCTCTTTTCATCTACAGGAATGTTGATTTTCCAAGTAGAGAGGAATTGTGACTGTACTCCTTGTGCAAGCCTGAACCTGGAGGGCCCTTCTCCTGTGGAGATGCAGCCACACCCTGAAGTATTCCAGAAAGGCTGTCTATAGGTAAACCCATGCCAAGCTCCCATGGTGGAAGCCCCAGCTGTATCTGCAGTGGTGGACAAGGGGAGAAAGAAGTCTCCTTCTCCAAGACCTTTCATGAGCATCAGGGCTGCCTGACTATTGGGGTGGAACTACAGACTTTCCTTGCTGAGCCTAGCACTGCACCTGTGTCTCTGCTGAATGAAACTTTCCACCTGTGGAAAGTTCTGGGACTCAAGTCCTGCCATCTGGATTCTTTTGTCCCATGGGGTGTTCCCATGATGTGTTGCATTCCCCCTTCCCCTAGGAGTAGGAGGCCCTGAGAGCCAGACTACTGTAAATGCTGCTGCTCCTCTGAGTCTAGCCACCCAGTGGTGCTGCCACACTCCAGGCTGGTGCTGGGGAATGTCTACAAGAAATCCAGTGATGTGACCTATCCTCACGTATCCCAACAACGGGCAGGAGAGTGATGTAGACTCTATCTACATTAGAGATCCTTTGGTTATAAATAGCCATAGTGTGTTGGCTTTCTCAGATACTGATTGTAGTAGTAATGAACTGGTCACATGGACAAACTCAGGACCACGTATTTAGCCAGGTCCTGTAGGCAATGGTGATGGCTGAGGTCACATACAAGTTTTCTTCTTCCTGGGTGTAGGTTATTCTACCCAGAGATGCTGTGATGGACCGTGTTGGTTGGCCTCCAGCCAAGAGGTGGCATTTGCAAAGGGCACCAGCTGCAGTAGTAGCAATGGGATGTGTGCTTGCCTTTTACCCAGGAGAGGTATTCTGGATTTTCAAGCTATAGGTGGGGCCGTAGAGCTGCCAAAAGTTTCTGTCCTTTGTGTTAAGCTATCAGGGTGGGTGGAGGGACAAAGCCAGGTGGGGGCTGGGTCAGGCAGGCCTGCACTCTGGCTTTCTGCTTCCAGGGCAAACTGTGGCCCCTGTGGTGTGAGGGGGCAGTTCTCTGGACACTGGGGTCATGTTCCAGGGCAGAATGCAGCTGCCTCTGCTGTGAAGAAGTGTTGGCACAGGGAGTGGGGAGTAAGCAGGCAGCAGTAAGCCCCACCCAGCTTCCATGCATTTGGCAAGGCAGGTCCCACACCCACACTGCTCCACCAGCTGCAGCTAGCTAAGTTTCAGGCAGTCTGTGCTCAGAACTAAAATCTGACCCAGGCCATAAACCTTCCTGGTGGAGACAGCAACCACAGCTTTCAGACCATTCCCCTCCCAGTCCACCTGCAAACCTGGGGTGCCCAATTTCTGTGCTCGTGGCTACAGTAGGCTTCTCACTCACCCCCTGATTCTGGCCAAGGGAGTTCATCCTCAATTGAGATTATATCACTAATTTCAGCTGGAAGCTTCTTTCAACCTGTGACCACTGCCTGATTTAGCTGGCAGACTTCTTCAAGGCCCCTGTGAGGCAGGATCAGGAATAACTTCCCTCGGTCCATGCTGGAGATTGAAAATGCACACAAGGCTCTCCCTACTGTTGCTTCTTCCTTGATATTCCCCAGTGCTCTCTGAATCAGTTCCAGCACTGGGTATGGTGAAAGACTTCTCCCTTGGCCTGGATTGACAGGTTCCCACAAGGGAGTGTGAATCCTAGAGGCAGTTTATCCCCAGCTCTTACTCTGGAGGCTTACAGTTTTCTGCATGGCTCATGGTGTAGGCTGCAGCCTGCTGCTTCTTTCAAAGGGTCTGTGGTTTCTTTCAGTGTTCCTGTTAAGTTCCTGCATTGTTGCTTGGAAAAAAAGTTCACAGTGTAAATCTCTACACACCAGTTTGTCTTTCCAAGTTGGAGGGGCATGTTAACATTGCCTCCAATCCACGACCTTGAGAACAAAACAAAACAAATCAGTTTCATGTTTTGAAAAAGCTTATTAAAAAAAATAAAAAAAAACAACCAGTGTTCATTCCAGTTCAAGATGGTTGACTAGAAGCAGCTAGTGGACACCTCTGTCATGGAGAGGAATCAAAATAGCAAGTAAATGTTAACAATTCAAGTAGATCTTCTAAGAGAGCATGCTGGAATTCATCAGATAGGCAATTGGAATCAGAGAAAGCAGAGGAGAGTGAAGCCAGGCAGCCTGCTGAGCTGGGACCAGTGCACAGCTGAGAGAGGACCCCTAATGCAGGGAAGGGATGAGTGAGAGAACCCCAGGGTTCTACACTTCTGCCATGGACCTTTACAATTCTAGACGGGGGAGAGCCTCCTCCCCCAAACCTGGGTCTGCAGAGTAATCAGGGAGCTGCCTGAAGACTGTACACAGGCATTGCTCAAGGTCATGTGGCATCTCACAGGTTTTTGTTCCCCAAGCAACCTAGCACCAGCTGCCACTTCTCAGAGTGGGAAGATTAAGCACTTTCATGTGACTCAAAGACAACTACCACAGCCATCCACAGAGGAGTGGGCAGACTACACACCACACGACTCCCCGCCTCCCCAACCCACTGCTAAATGGGGTCCATGCTTCAGTGTCAGTTCCTCAGTGGAGTCACCCTGTCCCCATGTGAGTACTATAGCTGCAGCCTGGTGTTCCTCTGAGAGTCCTGTCCCCAGAGGGCAGCAATATGTCCTTGGCTGCCACAGCAATTGCCACCACTGCCACCACTGCCCCGGCTGCCCTGGACCAGGGAGGGAGTGAGTAGGCTGGGCACCTTTGCATGTTCTGGACAGCGAAATCTACTACCACTTCTGTGAGAGGAAAATGCAAGCAGGCTGTGTATTACACAGCTGCCAGTCTCCATTGCTCCAGCTGAGGAGGCATTGCCTTTTCCAGTGAAACGCGCTAGAGCTCCCATCACCCGAGAGTTCTGCCTGCCCTCACCTGAGAGTTCTGCTTGTGGCCTAGAGGCCAGTCACCCATCCCTATCACAGCCAGCACCTGAATTCTGGGGCCCTGAGAACTAGTTCACTGGCCCAGTCCCAGTCCAGTCCCTTGAGGACTCATACATGCCATTGAATGGGCCATCTAGATGTTTGGGAGCTGTGGAATTGCCTAGCCCATTCCAAAACTGCTGGCATCTGACCACTCTCCCCGGGTCCTAAGGTCAGGCTGACCTAAACTGCTGGCACAACCACCTCAGCTAATGCCCACCCACATGTTCTGAAAGGTAAAGTCACTCCCCTTCTGTACATGAAGCAGCAGTGTTACTGCATTGGAGATCAGATGAGCCACAAAGCTGTCTGTATTGGACTGAGTGAAGAGATTCTGCCCTGAAACCCCTCCTGTGTAGAGCTGTGGGACAGATGTATTCCACGGCTTTCAGTTACACTGTGGCCTGGAGGTAGACTATAGTATGCATCTAACCTGAGAGTCATGAGCCCTGGGACCAGGGGTATGATAGGGAAACAGATCTCATTTCTGTCTATCTTGGATGTAAAACTTGTACAGACCCCTCACCTCCACAGAGACCTCAGTGCATTTCACTAGGAGCTTCTCCAGACACCCCTATTAGGGCTAGCGCCCTTGTCATCATTGGGATATCATAGGCAAGCCAGGTGTTCCAGCTTTAGCCAGCTGTGCCTGACCCCACCTGGGCCTGCACTGAACAGGAAACTCGGGGCACAATGGACACCTCTATCCAGCCCATTGTCTGAAGCAGAGAGCACTTGATGGTAAACAAAGATCAAGTACATACCCATCTGCTTTTACTGCAATTGGCTATTACCTGTAATTGCCATTTATTAGCCTATAGATTGAACTGCACAATCCAATATAAAACCTGCTGACAGAAGTGCACAGGGCTAAAGGAACAAAGCCAGAAGATCCTATCCAACATGCTTTATTGTCTCACCATCAAGGGATGGAGAAAATTTAAAATAGAAAAAAAAAATCCAATCCAAATGAAAACAAATCCAAAAGCAAGAAGTGTCAGCTTCTCCAGATCAGAAGGGATCAGCATAAGAATTCTGGGACTATGAGAAATCTGAATGTCATGACACCACCAAAGGATCAGAATAGCTCTCTAGTAATAGACCCTAACTGAAGTGAAAATGCAGAAATGACACATAATTTATTTATTTATTTATTTATTTATTTATTTATTTATTTATTATTTTTTGAGACAGAGTCTTGCTCTGTAACCCATGTTGGAGTGCAATGGCATGATCTGTACTCACTGACACCTCTGCCTCCCAGGCTCAAGCAATTCTGCCTCAGCCTCCCGACTAGCTGGGTTTACAGGCACCCACCACCATGCCCACCTAATTGTTGTATTTTTACTAGAGATAGGGTTTTGCCATGTTGGCCATGCTGGTCTAGAACTCCTGATCTCGGGTAATCCACCTACCTTGGCCTCCCAAAGTGCTGGGATTACAGGTGTGCGCCACCACACCCAGCAAATAAAAAATTTAAACTTTAGATTGTAAGAAAACTCAATGAGATTCAAGAGAAGATTGGAAACCAACACAAAGAAACCAGAAAGGCAATCCAGGAAATGAAGGAAGAGTTAGATATCTTAAAAAAAAAAAAAAAGGAAAAATGGCACAGAGTTCTGGAAATGAAAAATTCACTTAAGGAATTACACATGAAAGCTTTAACAATAAACTAGACCAAGCAGAACAAATGTGTCAGAACTTGAAAACTAGTCTTTCAAATTAACACAGAACAAAATAAAGAAAAGAGGATTTTAAAAATATGAACAAAGCTTTCAAGAAATCTGGGATTATATAAAGTCACTAAAACTATGTCTTATAAGCATTTCTGAAGGGAGAAGGAAAAGTAAAAAAATGTGAAAAACACATTTGAGTGAATAATGAAGAAAAATTTTCTTGATTTTGCTAGAGATGTAGACATCCAGATTCAATAAATTTGAGGAGCAGCTGCTAGATAATATATAAGACAAATATCATCAAGGAAAACAGTCATCAGATTATTCAAAGTCAACCTGAAAGAAAAAAAATCTTAAAAGCAGCTAGAGAGAAACATCAAATCACCTATAATGTAAATCTCATCAGATTAACACTGGATTTCTGAGCAGAAACCTTACAAGCCAGAAGAGCTTGGGAGCCTATTTTTGGCCTCTTTAAAGAAAAAAAAAAATGCCAGTCGATACTTTTGTATCCTGCCAAACTGTGCATCATAAATGAAAGAGAAATAGTCTGTCCCAGACAAACAAATGCTAAGGGTATTTGTCACCACTAGACTGGTCCTACAAGAAATGCTCAAAGGAGTTCTAAACATGCAAAAGAAAGTATAGCACTTGCCATTACAAAAAAGACATTACATAAGTTCAAAGCTCACAGATCCTATAGAGCAATTACACAGTTAGCTAACACTAAGACAACTAGCTAACAACACTAGGACAGAAGCACAACCTCACATATCAATATTAACATTAAAAATAAATGGCCTATCTGCTCCACTTAAAAGATACACAGTGGCAAATTGGACTAAACAAGACCCAACCGTTTGCTGCAAGCAAGAAACTACCTAATGACGAAAGAAACCCACAGACTGAAAGTGGTGGAAAAAAACATATCACACAAATGGAAAACAAATGCAAGCAGGAATAACCATTATTATATCAGATAAAACATACTTTAAACCAACAATGGTTAAAAAAAAAGACAAAAGCATCATATAATGATAAATGGTTCAATAGCACAAAAAGATATCACCATCCTAAATATATATGCACCCAACACCAGAAAACCCAGATTCATAAAATAAATACTACTTAACCTAAGAAAACATAGCAACACAATAGCAGTGGGGACCTTAACACCCCACTGGTGACAGAAGGCAGATTATTAAGACAGAAAATCAAAGAAATTATAACCTTAAAGGGGACTGTAGAGCAAATTGATATGATAGACATTTATAGAACATTCTTTCCAACAACTACAGAATATACATTTTTTTTCATCTGTGCATGGGACATTCTCCAGAGTCAACCACATGAGATTAAGTTGACCCTTAAGCAAATCTCAATCAATTAAAAAAACTGAAATTATATCAAATGTCTTTTTATACCACAGTGGAATAAAATTAGAAATCAATACCAGTATGAACTCTTAAAACTACACAAATTCATGTAAAATAACTTGCTCTTGATTGAATTTTGGGTAAAGAAAGAAACTAAAGCAGAATTCAAAAAAATCTTGAATGAGGAGACATAATATTAATATACCAAATATCTGGGATACAGCAAAAGTAGTGCTAAGAGGAAAAGGTTATTGTGTTAAATGCCTACCTTAAAAAGATAGAAGTATCTTAAATTAATACCCTAACTTTGCACCTCCAGAAACTGTGAAATCAATAACATACCAAACCCACAGCTAGCAAAAGAAAAGAAATAACAAACATTAGAGCAGAACTAAATGAGATTGAGACTGAAAAAATGGTACAAAAGATCAACAAAATGAAAAGTTGGTTTTTTGAAAGGATAAAAAAAAATCGATAGGCCACTAATGAGCTCAATGAAGAAAAACAGAAGATTCAAGTATAATCAGAAATTATAAAGGTGACATTACAACTGATACCACAGAAAAAAAAATGATTAGAGACTATTATAAACATCTCTATGTGCACAAACTAGAAAACCTAGAGGAAATGGAAAAAATTCCTGGAACCCCATGATTGAACCAGGAAACATTAGAAATTCTCAATATGCCAATAACTAGTAATAAAACTGAATCAGTAATGAAAAAATCTACCAAAAAAAAAAAAGCCCATCACCAGATGGATCCACAACTGAACTTCTACCAAATGTACAAAGTACTGGTACCAAACTTACTGAAAAAAATAAAGGAGAGATTCTTTCTTGACTGATTTTATAAAAGCAGTATGATCCTGATACTCAAATCAAGAAAGGACACAACAACACAAAATAAAAACATAGACCAATCAAACCAAATCCAGCAGCACATCAAAAAGCTTATCCACCATGATCAAGTGGGCTTCACCCTGGGATGCACGGCTGGTTCAACATACGCAAATCAATAAACGTAATCCAGCATATAAACAGAACGAAAGACAAAAACCGCATGATTATCTCAGTAGCTGCAGAAAAGGCCTTTGACAACATTCAACAGCCCTTCATGCTAAAAACTCTCAATAAATTAGGTATTGATGAGACATATCTCAATAAGAGCTATTTATGACAAATCCACAGCCAATATCATACTGAATGGGCAAAAACTGGAAACATTCCCTTTGAAAACTGGCACAAGACAGGGACGCCCTCTCTCACCACTCCTTTTCAACATAGTGTTGGAAGTTCTGGCCAGGGCAATCAGGCAGGAGAAGGAAATAAAGGGTATTCAATTAGGAAAAGAGGAAGTCAAATAGTCCCTGTTTGCAGATGACATGATTGTATATTCAGAAAACCCCATTGTCTCAGCCCAAAATCTCCTTAAGCTGATAAGTAACTTCAGCAAAGTCTCAGGATGCAAAATCAATGTACAAAAATCACAAGCATTCTTATACACAAATAACAGACAAACACAGAGCCAAATCATGATAGAACTCCCATTCACAATTGCTTCAAAGAGAACAAAATACCTAGGAATCCAACTTACAAGGGATGTGAAGGACCTCTTCAAAGAGAACTACAAACCACTGCTCAACAAAATAAAAGAGGACACAAACAAATGGAAGAACATTCCATGTTCATGGATAGGAAGAATCAATACCGTGAAAATGGCCATAGTGCCCAAGGTAATTTATAGATTCAATGCCATCCCCATCAACCTACCAGTGACTTTCTTCACAGAGTTGGAAAAAACTACTTTAAAGTTCATATGGAACTAAAAAAGAGCCCAAATTGCCAAGTCAATCCTAAGCCAAAAGAACAAAGCTGGAGGCATCACACTACCTGACTTCAAACTATACTACAAGGCTACAGTAACCAAAACAGCATGGTACTGGTACCAAAACAGAGATACAGACCAGTGGAACAAAACAAAGCCCTCAGAAATAATATCACACAACCATCTGATCTTTGACAAACCTGACAAAAACAAGAAATGAGGAAAGGATTCTCTATTTAATAAATGGTGCTGGGAAAACTGACTAGCCATATGTAGAAAGCTGAAACTAGATCCCTTCCTTACACCTTATGCAGAAATTAATTCAAGGTGGATTGAAGACTTAAATGTTAGACCTAAAACCATAAAAATCCTAGAAGGAAAGCTAGGCGATACCATTCAGGACATAGGCATGGGCAAGGACTTCATGCCTAAAACACCAAAAGCAATGGCAAGAAAAGCCAAAATTGACAAATGGGATCTAATTAAACTAAAGAGCTTCTGCACAGCAAAAGAAACCACCATCAGAGTGAGCAGGCAACCTACAGAATGGGAGAAAATTTTTGCAATCTACTAATCTGACAAAGGGCTAATATCCAGAATCTACAAAGAACCCAAATTTACAAGAAAAAAACAACCCATCAAAAAGTGGGCAAAGGATATGAACAGACACTTCTCGAAAGAAGACATTTATGCAGCCAACAGACACATGAAAAAATGCTCATCATCACTGGCCATCAGAGAAATGCAAATCAAAACCACAATGAGATACCATCTCACACCAGTTAGAATGGCGATCATTAAAATTAAGAAGTCAGGAAACAACAGGTGCTGGAGAGAATGTGGAGAAATAGGAACACTTTTACACTGTTGGTGGCACTGTAAACTAGTTCAACCATTGTGGAAGACAGTGTCGCGATTCCTCAAGAATCTAGAACTAGAAATACCATTTGACCCAGCCATCCCATTACTGGGTATATACCCAAAGGATTATAAACCATGCTGCTGTAAAGATACATGCACACATACATTTATTGTGGCACTATTCACAATAGCAAAGACTTGGAACCAACCCAAATGTCCATCAATGATAGACTGGATTAAGAAAATGAGGCACATATACACCATGGAATACTATGCAGCCATAAAAAATGATGAGTTCATGTCCTTTGTAGGGACATGGATGAAGCTGGAAACTATCTTTCTCAGGAAACTATCCCAAGAACAAAAAACCAAACACCGCATGTTCTCACTCATAGGTGGGAATTGAACAACGAGAACACTTGGACACGGGAAGGGGAGTGTCACACACCTGGGACTGTCGTGGGGTGGGGGGAGGGGGGAGGGATAGCATTAGGAGATATACCTAATGTAAATGGCGAGTTAATGGGTGCAGCACACCAACATGGCACATGTATACATATGTAACAAACCACGTTGTGCACATTTACCCTAGAACTTAAAGTATAATAAAAAAAAGAAAAAAAGGGCCAATATCCCTGATAAACATATATGCAAAAATCCTCAACAAAATACTAGCAAAGTAAATCCAGTAGCACATCAAAAAGATAATTCATCATGATCAACTGGGTTTTATTCCAGAGATGCAAAGATGGTTTAACAATATGAACAACCATGCAAATCAATAAATGTGACCCACTGCATAAACTCAATTAGAAACAAAAACCATATGGTCATCTCAATAAATGTAGAAAAAGCATTCAATAAAATTTGGCATCCTTTTTGTTAAAAACCCTCCACAAACCAGTCATTGAAGAAAAATATCTCGAAAGAATAAGAGCCATATATGACATATCCACAGCCAACATCACACTGAATGGGGAAAATGTAAAAGCATTTTCCCTAAGAACCAGAACAAGAAAAAAGTGTCCACTTTCACAACTTCTATTCAACATAGTACTGGAAGTCTTAGCTATAGCAATCAGGCAAGTGAAAGAAATAAAAGGCATCCAAATTGAAAAAGAGAAAGTGAAATTATCCCTGTTCCTTCATGAAATAGTTGTATACCTAGAAAACCCCAAATATTCCTTCAGAAGACTCCTGGACTTGACAAATGACTTCTGTAAATTTTCAAGATACAAAATTAACATAAAAAGATAGTTAATATTGCTATACATCAATAATGATCAACCTGAGAACCAAATGAAAACTCAATCTCATTTACAATTGCCCTCTCAAAAATAAAATACCTAGGAATACATTTAACCAAGAAGCTGAAAGGTCTTTACAAGGAGAACTACAAAACACTGAAGAAAGAAATTGCAGATGACATAAACAAATGGAAAAATATCCCATATGATGGGATGGAAGAATCAATATCGTTAAAATGACCATACTGCCCATAGCCATCTACAGATTTAATGAATTTCTATCAAATTACCAACACTGTTTTTCACTGAGTAAGAAATATCAGTTTTAAATTTCATATGGAACCCAAACAGAGCCAAAATAGCCAAAGCAGTCCTAAACAAAAAGAACAAATCTGGATGCATCTTATTCCCTGAGTTCAAATTATATTACAAGGCCGTAGTAACTAGAACATCAACAGCATGGTACTGGTACAAAAATAGAAACATAGATCAATGGAGCAGAATAGAAAACCTAGAAATAAAGGCACATACCTACACATAACTGACCTTTGTCAAAGATGACAAAAATAAACAAGGGGAAAATGACACCCTATTCACTAAATGGTGTGTGGAAAATTGGCTAGCCATATGAAGAAGAATGAAACTGTACCACTGTTTCTCACCATTTACAAAAACTAACTCAATACTTAAAAATTAAAGACTTAAATATAAGATTTGAAATTATAAAAATCCTAGAAGAAAACTTAGGAAAAACTCTTCTGGACACTGACCCAGGCAAAGAATTTATGAAGAAGATCCCAAAAGCAAATGCAACACATACAAAAATAGATAAATGGGACTTAATTAAACCCAAAAGCTTCTGCACAGCAAAAAAAAAAAAAAAAAAAAAAAAAAAAAAAAAAAAAAAAATTATCAACAGATTAAATTTGTTTAATCTACAAAATGACAGAAAATATTTGCAAATTATGCTTGCAACAAAGGACTAATATCCAGAATATGTGAGGAACTCAAACAAGTCAACAAGACAAAAAGAATTAACCTCGTTTCAAACTGGGCAAAGGACATGAACAGACATTTCTCAAAGGAAGACATACAAGTGGCCAACAAACATATGAAAATGCTCAACATCATAGATCATCAGAGAAATGTAAATTAAAATCTCAATATGATATCATCTCATACCATTCAGAATGTTTATTTATATAAAATAATAATACAAAGTCAAAAAACAACAGATGTTGGCGTAGTTGCAGAGAAAAGGGAACCCTTTTACAAGGTGGTGGGAATGTAAATTAGTACAACCTCTATGAAAAACAGTGTGGAGATTTCTCAAAGAACTAAAAATAGAACTACCATTTGAACTAGCAATCCCACCATGGGGGTATCTAGTCACAGGAAAAGAAATCATTATATCAGAAAGACACCTGCATTTATATCTTTTTTGCGGCATTAGTTACACTAATAAAATCATAGAATTAACTAAGATGCCCATCAGTGGTTGACTGGATTAAACAATGTGGTATATATACACCATGAAATACTAATTTCATAATAAAATTGAATGAAATAATGTCTTTTGCAGCAACATGGAGGCAGCTGGAGGCCCTTATCCTTAGTGAGATAGCTCAGAAGCAAAAATTCCAATACCACATGTTCTCATTTATAAGTGAGAACTAAACAATCAGTACACATGAATATAAAGATGGAAATAATAGATACTGAGGACTCTTATGGGAGTAGGGTATGAGAGGGATGATGGTTGAAGCCTTACCTATTGGTTTCGTTGTTCACTACTTGGCTGACGGATACACTAGAAGCCCAATCCCCATCAATATGCAACAATGTGCAACAAACTTGCACATGTACCACCTTGAATGTAAAATAAAATTAAATTAAAAATAATCTTCCTGTCCATGCCATTTCCACCACCTATCCTATGGACCTTATTACCCTCAATAACTACCCCCATCTCTGGATAATCTCCCTTTCATGCACCCCTATCTAACCTTCACCTCCGCCTCCTGTCTTTCCAGCTCACTTGAGTTTGGTATCCTCATTCCTAGCATTCTCTGATTCTATTGGGACCGGGAATCCTTGTCCATCATTGTTCTCATGTGCTCACTTGCCTTTTTACTTGACTTAGAGTCTATATTACAACACATTTACCTAAATCTTTTGGAAACACCCTTAATCTTCTTGCACTTCTCTCATTGCGTTATACTCACTGGAAGAAAAGACTATTGATATCCATGTATCTTCCACCTTCACTTGCACACACAAGCTGCTAAATCAGGAGTCAGCACACTAAGTGGACTACGGCCTATTATTATAAATACAGTTTTATTGGAGTACAACCACTTTTAGTAATTTCTGCATTATCTATGCCTACTTTCACATTACATTGGCAGAGTTGAATAGTGGAACAAAACGTGTATGGCCCACAATGCCAAAAATTCTTTATTATCTGTTCCTTTATAGAAGAAATTTGCTCAATCCTAAGCTAAACCATTGTAAAACGATCCACCACCATGCTACTGGCCTCATTGTTTGTTTATATTTTCAAAACTCAAGTCAACACCCAGCTTCAACAGTCATGACTACTACAAGTCCTAGTAAGATGCATTCCCACATTCATCTGTTGACCTTACCGCAAAATAGAGAAAATAATCTAACAAGTCAAAATAATTTCATCTTTACATTGTCTAGTCCACCTGCCTCATCCAAATGCCTACATTATCCCCATCCCTCTCTCTTATATTCCCCCACCTTTGCAGATCATATATTAATATTACCCATCTTTTTTTAAAAAAAGAACAACTTTATTTGACTATGTATCATTTTCCAGCTCTTTACCACTTCAATTTATCTTCACAGAAAATTTCCACACTCAATGTATCCACTCTTTTAAAACAAAGTATTAATCAGTTTGCTAGTTTTTATTATTTGACAATCTCACACTGAATTAATATAATTCCAGACTCCTTCACAACTAAACAATAAATATAATTGCATGACCATATGGAATGCATGCATACATTTTTCTTTTTGAAATATTGATAACAGCCAGTAGATATCTGTTTCAATCTGCACAGACTCCAAAAGGATTTTGGGCTCCATGTTGGGAATAATATGGTATGAGATGCGGGAAGAGGTAACAGTGAGGGATTAAGTAAAGTTTGATTTTGAAATAAATGATCTTGAGAGGTAATAAAGGAAAGGCTTTTAAAACTTAGAGTATTCCTTAAAGAAATGCAAAAGACAGTCTGGATCCAAATCCTGATTAAACATGTAAGGCAACTGAGACTTCATAAGACTATATTGATTTTGTTTTTTCATTACATATTAATAACAGGCAATCAGAAAGGGAACCTAATATGATTCATGTTATCAATTACAGATTCAGAATTAATAACTCTTGGTATCATATTAATGTTTCTCTTAACAGATAAAATATTTCTTTATTATCATGCAACCTATGTTTGGCACCCACAATAGTTGTTCACTAAATGTTTGGTAACAGTTTTGAGATGGATAACAAAGAAATTTAATTTAGAGTAAAATTTAATAGATTCATTATATTTTAGTACATAACATTTTCTCTGGCATTACTCGGAGTTGTTATAAATTGCTTTGCTACATTTCTTAGAGTTAGAAATATTTCTAATATCTTGAAATACTCTGCTTTAGCGTTTTGGGAAACAAGACCTAAAGTGTTAACTTTCCATTTTGTTACAAGTTTTTCCCTTCAGCTTGTGTAATCACTGCTCTTCAATGTTCCAGTTTCTGTTTCTGAGCATATGTGCACTCATTTTTATCTTCCATCTTCTCTTACTCATTAAAATGGGTAGAAGCTGTGTGCCCTACTAATTGAGAATATAGTACCATAGTAAGCCACAAAGGAAAGATGGATGTGGAACAGAAAAAGTGTGAACTGTTGTTCAGACCAGTGTAATCCAATTTGTCCCTGAATGACTGTCGTGAACATAAGTAAAATATTGAATGAAGGGAAATGTAGATTGGATTGGATAAAATCATTTTTGGTGCATGTCAATGTAATCATTCTGATGCATTTTTGCCTTTAAAGATTATTATCATTTGAGAAGCTCACTTTTTTTCATGATGTTTAAAAACAGATGGAGTTTTTATTCTGTCTTTTTCACTTAATACTGATACTAGCTATCATTAGACTAATGTATAGAACATTTCAGTGTAGTCAGTATATCT
Organism: Homo sapiens; assembly: GCF_000001405.40. Lineage (NCBI taxonomy): Eukaryota > Metazoa > Chordata > Mammalia > Primates > Hominidae > Homo > Homo sapiens. The sequence goes on along the minus strand of NC_000007.14, from coordinate 15,267,281 downwards.
CATTATAATTATACATAGTATATTTTCTGAGAAACAAAGAGAAATCACTGGAAATACTTTTAAAGCAAGAAAATAATGAGGATTAGTTCAAGCACATAAAATCTCTGCCAATTTTTTGCAAATGTTTTTAACTAAGTCACAAGGGATTTCCCCTTAATGAGAAGCAACCTATCACTAAAATTCTCTGAAACAAAGTAGACGCCTCTAATGAGGAAGATTTCATAAGAAGGTCAAATAAAGTAGTTTTTCATTTTCTTTATGTTCTCTCTTCCACTAAGTGGCCATTTTGGCAAAAGTAAAGGAATTTATTATCACATTATGTCACTGTTTTAGAGAGTAGATTGCCTCTTCTGTGGAATTTCGACAATTGGCTAGTCTAGTTTGAGATTACTGATAGTAGTAGGTCCTTTATTTTGTTTCTGTAAATATTAGGTGATGTCATCTGAATATTTTTGTTGCACCAGTCAGATTCTTGGAATTTCCTGATTTTTTTTTTAGATACTTAAACATAAGTGAGGCAAATATATAAAATAAGAATATAGAAATAATTTTATTTGTAATGTTTATATCAGTGAGGAGAATAATTTAATGAAAACTCATCAAGGAAAGCTCCCTACATTAAATAAAAAGCTTGTATCTCCCTCTCAGCCTTTACTAGGATACTTTTCTGATACTGTGGGCACCCGAGAAAGCAGCTGAAACTGACAATCACTGAGCAGAAGACAAATGGAAATAGAAGCAGCAATAAGACATATGGGTAGAGAAATGAAGCATTGTCCAGGGGGAAACACTTTCATTTAGTAAAATTTTAATGTGATAAAGTTATAAGAAAGAAATCTTTCACATGAGCCCTTTGAAGTTGTTAAAATTACTTTTTTTTGCTTTTTCCATTGCAGTAAAATATGCATATCATAAAAATACCATCTTGACAATTTTTGTTTATTTCAATGAGAGGATGTACATTTATAATGAACATCCATCTTCACCGTCCATCTCCAGAACTCTTTTCATCTTGCAAAACTAAAAGTGGATTAAACAAGATAATTAAACATTCCCTATTAAACAATACCTATTAAACAATAACTATACCTATTAAACAATACCTATTAAACAAAAACAGTACCTATTAAACAATAACTCCCATTCCTTCTCCCCTGATCCCCTGTCAACCACCATTCTCCTTTCTGTCTCAATGATTTTGACTACTATAAGTAGCTCATATAAGTGCAATTATATCGAATTTGTCTTTTTCTAACTGGCTAATTTCACTTAGCATAATGTCACCAAGGGTCATCCATATTGTAGCATACATCAGAATGTATTGCCTTTTTAAAGCTGAATAATATTCTATTGTATGTGTATACCATATTTCGCTTATCTCTTCATCTGTTGGTGAACATACACTGACTCCATGTTTTGGCTATTGTGAAGAATGCTGCTGTGAATATGGATGTCCAGTTATCTTTTCAAGACATGGCTTTCAATTCTTTTGGGTATACACTATGAAGTGGAATTGCTATATCATATAGTAATTGTTTTAGAGGAACCATCGTATTTTCCACAGTGACTGTTGCCTTTTACACTATTATCAATGGCATGCAGGGCTCCAATTTTTTATATTCTGGCAAAAGCTTGTTACTTTCTGTTTTTGAAATTAACATTTTTTTTTTAATTGTATCCAGCCTAATGGGTGTGAGATAGAATCTCACTGTGGTTTTGATTTGCATTTCCGTGACAGTTATTTTGAATATCTTTTGATCTGCTTATAAATTTTGCTTTTAATAATATAAACATTGTAATCAGTCTTTGGTCTATTCTGTTCTTTTTTCTTTTTTAATAGTGTATTCTAGATTAAATGGTACATGTGCAGGTTTGTTACATGGGTATACTGCGTGATGCTGAGGCTTGGGGTCTGAGCGATCCTGTCACCAGGGCAGAAAGCATAGTACCCAACAGGTAGTTCTTTAGCCCACACTTCTCTCCCTCTCTCCATCCCCCATCTAATAGTCCCCATTGTCTGTTGTTCCATCTTTATGTTCATGTGTATTCAATGTTTAGCTCCCACTTGTAAGTGAGAACATGTGGTATTTGGTTTTCTGTTCTTGAACTAATTCACTTAGGATAATGGCCTCCAACTGCATCCATCTTATTTGAAAAGACATGATTTCATTCTTTTTTAATAGTTGCATAGTATTCCATAGTGTATACATATCACATTTTCTTTTTCCAGTCCACTATTGATGGGCACATAGGTTTATTCCATGTCTTTGCTCTTGTGAATAGTTCTGCAATGAACGTAAGAGTGCATGTGTCTTCTTGATAGAATGAATTATTCTCCTTTGAGTATATATCTAGTAGTGTGATTGCTGGGTTGAATGGTAGTTCTGTTTTGAGTTCTTCGAGAAATGTCCAAACTGCTTTCCACAGTGACTGAACTAATTTATGTTCCCACCAACAAGGTATAAGTGTTTCCTTTTCTCCCCAGTCTCACCAGCACTTGTTATATTTTGACTTTTTAATTACCACCATTCTGAATGGTATGAGATGGTATTTCACTGTGGCTTTGATTTGCATTTCTCTAATCATTAGTGGTGTTAAGCACTTTTTCATATACTTGTTGAATGCTTGTATGCCTTCTTTTGAGACATATCTCTTGATGTCCTTTGCCCATTTTTTAATTGGATTTTTTGGTTTTTGCTTTATTTGTTTAAGTTCCTTGTAGATTCTGGATATTAGACCTTTGTCAGATTAAATGAGAATAGAAATAATAATTGATATTATTCTATTTGTTTGAAAATCTGCCTTATTGCATTCAATACTAGTTAGTATCATAGAAAAGACTTAATGATGAATTAATCTAGGGTGCATTTTTTCCCAAATAAAATTTAAAATATTTTGGGTCTAGGGTTGTCCATTACTTTGGTTTTATTGCAGATAATTTAAGATAGAATATATGGCAATTATTTCACTGTAAGGAAAGTCTCATGCCATTTTTGACGTAGTTATGATGTATGATTGAAGGGGTAAAATATATATTTTAAGCTTTTCTAAAATTATTTGAAAATGAATAATTACCAGTCTTTTAAAAGGTTGTTTTTTAATTGGTCATTATTTTAGATGCACACAACTAATTCATAAATATGACACTAAAATATTTTTTGCTTTCTTCTCTTTTCTAATATTTAATTTTTTTATTTTTATAAATTTTTCATTTTTTATTTCAATAGGTTTTTACTGAACAGGAGGTGTTTGGTTACATGAATAAATTCTTTAATGGTGATTTCAGAGATTTTGGTGCACCCATCAACCAAGCAGTGTACTCTGTAGCCAATGTGTAGTCTTTTATCCCTCACCACGCCCCACCTATTCCCCTGAGTCTTCAAAGTCTAATGTATCATTTTTATGCCTTTGCATCCTCATAGATTAGCTCCCACACGTAAGTGAGAACATACGATGTTTGGTTTTCCATTCCTGAGTTACTTCACTGAGAATAATAGTCTCCAATTCCATCCAGGTTCCTGAAAATACCATTATTTCATTCCTTTTTCGTGGCTGAGTAGTGTTCCATGGTATACCATATTTCTTTATCCCTTCATTGGTTGATGAGCATTTGTGCTGGTTCCATATTTTTGCAGTTGCAAATTGTGCTGCTATAAACATTCATGTGCAAAATTATTTTTTCATATAATGACTTCTTTTCCTCTGGGTAGATAACCTAGTAGTGGGATTGGTGATCAAACGGTAAATCTACTTTAGTTCTTTAAGGTGTCTCCACACTGTTTTCCAGAGTGGTTTTACTATTTTACATTCCCACCAACAGTATAAAAGTGTTCCCTTTTTACCACATCTATGCCAATATCTATTTTTTTTATTATGCCCATTCTTGCAGGAGTGAGGTGTTATCGCATTGTGGTTTTGGTTTGCATTTCCCTCTTAATGAGTGATGTTGAACATTTTTTTTCTATATGTTTGTTGGCCATTTGTATATCTTCTTGAGAGAATTGTCTATTCATGTCCTTAGCCTGGTTTTTGATGGGATTTTTTTTCTCTTCCTGATTTGTTTGACATCTCTGTAGATTCTGGATATTAAATCTTTGTCAGGTGTATGGATTGTGAAGATTTTCTCCCAAACTTTGGGTTGTCTGTTAACTCTGCTGTTTATTTCTTTTGCTGTGCAGAAGCTTTTTAGTTTAATTAAGTCCCAACTATTTATCTTTGTTTTTGTTGCATTTGCTTTTGGGTTCTTCGTCATGAGGTCATTGCCTAAGCCAATGTCTAGAAGGGTTTTTACAATGTTATCTTCTAGAATCTTTACGGTTTCAGGTCTTATATTTAAGTCTTTGATCCATCTTGGGTTGAGTTTTGTAAGGTGAGAGATGTGGATCCAGTTTCATTCTTCTACATGTGGCTTGCCAGGTATCCCAGAACCATTTGTTGAGTAGGGTAACCTTTTCCACTTTATGTTTTTGTATGCTTTGTCGAAGATCAGTTGGCTGTAAGTATTTGGCTTTATTTCTGGGTTCTCTGTTTTGTTCCATTGATATATGTGCCCATTTTTATGGGCCTTATAGTATAACATCAGGTAAAGTGATGCCTCCAGATTTGTTCTTTTTGCTTAGTCTTGCTTTTGGCTATGCAGGCTCTTTTTGGGTTCTATATGAATTTTTGGATTTTTTTTTAGTTCTGTGAAGAATGATGATGGTATTCTGATGGAAATTGCATTCAGTTTGTAGACTGCTATTGGCAGTATGGTCATTTTCAAAATATTGATTCTACCCGTGAGCATGGGGTTTGTTTGTGTTATTTATGATTTATTTCAGCAGTGTCTTGTAGTTTTTCTTGTAGAAGTTTTTCATGTCCTTGGTTAGGTATATTCCAAAGTATTTTATTTTATTTATGCAGTTATTGTAAATGGGGTTGAGTTATTAATATCTCAGCTTTGTCACTGTTGGTGTATAGCAGAGCTACTGATTTGTGTACATTAATTTTGTTTCCTGAAACTTTGCTGAATTCAGTTACCAGTTCTAGGAGCTTTTTGGATGAGTCTTTAGGGCTTTCTAAGTATACAATCACATCAGCAAACAGTGACAGTTTGACTTCTTCTTTACTGATTTGGATGGCCTTGATTTCCTTCTCTTGTCTGATTGCTCTGGCAAGGGCTTCCAGTACTATGTTCAATAAAAGTAGTGACAATGGACATTCTTTTCTCAGGGGGAATGCTTTCAACTTTTCTCCATTCAGGATAATGTTGGCTGTGGGTTTGTTGTAGATGGCTTTTACTGTCTTAAAATATGTCCCTTCTATGCTGGTTTTTCTGAGGGTTTAATCATAATGGGATGCTGGATTTTTGTCTAATGCTTATCTATTGAGATTATCATGTGATTTTTGTTTTTAATTCTCTTTATGTGGTGTATCACATTTATTGATTTCTGGATGTCAAATCATCCCTTCATCCCTGGTATGAAACCCACTTGATCATGGTGGATTATCTTTTTGGAATGTCATTGGATTCCATTCACCAGTATTTTGTTGATAATTTTTGCGTCTATGTTCATCAGGGTTATTGGTCTGTAGTTTTCTTTTTTTTGTTATGTCCTTTCTTGTTTTGATGTTAGGGTGATACTGGCTTCATGGAATGATTTAAGGAGGATTCCCTCTTTCTTTATCTTTTAGATAGTGTCACTAGGATTGGTACCAATTATTTGAATATCTGATAGAATTCAGCTGTGATTCAGTCTGGTCCTGGACTTTTTTTGTGTGTTGACAATATTTTTATTATCATTTCCATCTCACTGCTTGTTATTGGTCGGTTCAGAGATACTATATCTTCCTGGTTTATTCTAGGAGGGTTGTGTATTTCCAAGAATATATTCATCTCTTGTAGGATTTCCAGTTTATGTGCATAAAGATGTTCATAGTAGCATTGAATAATCTTTTGTATTTCTGTGGTATCACTTGTAGTATCTCCCATTTCATTTCTAATTGAGCTTATTTGGATCGTCTCTCTTTTTGGTTAATCTCACTAACGGTCTATCAACTGCATTTATCTTTTCAAAAACAAGCTTTTGGTTTAATTTATCTTTTGTATTTTTTTTGTTTCAATTTCATTTAGTTCTGCTCTGATTATTTCTTTTCTTCTGTTGGGCTTGGGTTTGGATAGTTCTCGTTACTCCCGTTTTATAAGGTGTGACTTTAGATTGTCTATTTATGCTCATTCAGACTTTTTGATGTAGGTATTTAATGCTATAAACCTTCCTCTTAGCTCTGCTTTTGCTGTATCCCAGAGGTTTTGATAGGTTTTGTCACTATTATCATTCAGTTCAAATAATTTTTTTATTTCCATCTTGATTTCATTGTTGACCCAATGATCATTTAGGAGCAGGTTATTTAATTTCCATGTATTTGCGTGGTTTTGAGGGTTCCTTTTGGAGTTGATTTCTCATTTTATTCCGCTGTGGTCAGAGAGAGTACTTGATATAATTTTCATTTTCTTAAATTTACTGAAATTTGTTTTGTGGTACATCATATGATGTACCTTGAACAATGTTTTATGTGCTAATGAATAGAATGTGTATTCTTCAGTTGTTGGGTAGAATGTTCTGTAAATATCTCAAGTCCATTTGTTGTAGGGTATAGTTTAAGTCCACCGTTACCTTGTTGACTTTCTGTCTTGATGACCTGTCTAGTGCTGTCAGTGGAATATTAAAGTCCCCCACTATTATTGTGTTGCTGTCTATCTCATTTCTTAGGTCTAGTAGTAATGGTTTTATAAATTTGGGACCTCCAGTGTTAAGTGCATATATATTTAGAATTGTGATATTTTCCTGTTGTACTAGTCCTTTTATCATTATATTATATCCCTCTCTGTCTTTTTTAACTGCTGTTGCTTTAAAGTTTCTTTTGTCTGATAAAAGAATAGCTACTCCTGCTCTCTTGTGGTGTTCATTTGCATGGAATATCTTTTTCTACCCCTTTCTCTTAAGTTTATGTAAGTGAGTCCTTCTGTGTTAGTTGAGTCTCCTGAAGACAGCAGAAACTTGGTTGGTGAATTCTTTTTTTTTTTTTTTTTCCTCGCTCTGTCACCCAGGCTGGAGTGCAGTTGTGTGATCACTTGCTTGGTGAATTCTTATCCATTCTGCCATTCTGTATCTTTTAAATGGAGCATTTAGGCCATTTAAATTCAATTTTAATATTCAGATGTGAGGTATTATTCTATTCATCATGCTATTTGTTGCCTAAATACTTTGGGTTTTTTTTTCATTGTGTTATTGTTATATAGGTCCTGTGAGATTTATACTGTAAGGAGGTTCTATCTTGAACCTTGTATTTCCAGGATATATTTCAAGATTTAGAGCTTTTTTTTTTTTTTTTTTTTTTTTTTTGCAGTTCTTGTAGTGCTGGCTTGGTAGTTGTGCATTCTCTCAGTGTTTGTTTGTCTGGAAAAGACTGTATCTTTGCTTCATTTATGGAGCTTAGTTTTGCTGGATACAAAATTCTTGGCTCATAACTGTTTTGTTTAAGGAGACTAAAAATAGGACCCAAATCCCTTCTAGCTTGTAGGGATTCTGCTGAGAAACCTGCGGTTAATCTGATAGGTTTTCCTTTATAGGTGACCTGATGCTTTTGCCTCACAGCTCTTAAGATTCCTTCCTTTGTCTTGCCTTTAGATAACCTGATGACTATGTGCCTAGGCGATGATCTTTTAGCAATGAGTTTCCCAGGTGTTCTTTGGGTTTCTTGTATTTGGATGTCTAGATCTCTAGTAAAGCCGGGGTAGTTTTCCTCAATTATTCCCTCAAATATGTTTTCCAAACTTTTAGATTTTTCTTCTTCCTTGGGAACACAAATTATTCTTAGGTTTGTATGTTTAACATAGTCCCAGACTTCCTGGAGGTTTTGTTCATTTGTCAATTTTTTTTTCCTTTGTCTTTGATGGATTGGGTTAATCCAAAAGCCTTGTCTTCAAGCTCTATGGTTCTTTCTTCTGCTTGTTCAATTCTATTGCTGAGACTTTCCAGTGCATTTTGCATTTCTCTAAGTGCATGCTTCATTTCCAGAAATTGTGATTGAGTTTTATTTATGCTATCTATTTCACTGAAGAATTTTTCTTTCATATTCTGTATCATGTTTTTGATTTCTTTTGGACTTCACCTTTATCTGGTTCCTCTTTGGTTAGCTTTGTAATCGACTTTCTGAATTCTTTTTCTGGCAATTCAGAGGTTTCTTCTTAATTTGGATTCATTTCTGGTGAGCTGAGATGATCTTTTGGGGGTGTGAAACAACCTTCTTTTGTCATATTACCAGAATTGTTTTTCTGGTTCCTTCTCATTTAGGTAGACTATGAGATTCAAGGACTGCTGTTCAGATTCTTTTTTCCTGTGGAGTGCTCCCTTGTTGTGGTGTTCTCCTCCTTCCCCTAAGGAATAGGCTTCCTGAGAGCCAAACTGTAGTGATTGTTTTTGCTCTTCTGAGTCTAGCCACCCAGCAGAGCTACAGGGCTCTGGGATGGTACTGGCGAGTGTCTAGAAAGAGTTCTGTGATGTGATCTGTCTTTAGATATTGCAGTCCTGGATACCAGCCCCTGCTCCAGTAGAGGTAGCAAGGGAGTGGAGGGGACTCTGTGAGGGTCCTAGGTTGTGTTTTTGTTTAGTGCACTGGTTTTATGTTGCTTGGCCTTCAGCCAGGAAGTGGAATTTTCTTTTTCTTTTTTTATTTTATTTTTTATTTTTTTTTGAGAAAGAGTCTTGCTCTGTTGCCAGGCTGGATTGGAGTGCAGTGGTGCATTCTCGGCTCACTGCAAGCTCCGCCTCCCGGATTAAAGTGATTCTCCTGCCTCAGCCTCCCGAGTAGCTGGGACTACAGGCGCCTGCCACCACGAATCAGTATTTTTAAATACAGACAGTGAATCAACAGGTAATTTGGTTATCTAAAAACTAAAGGAAAAAGAAGGAAAGAACATACCACCCCCCCCAAAAAAAGAAAAGTATACCAAGCCTATAATTAAAAAACAATTATCTTTGGTCCCACATAAACTATTTCCACTTCAAAATTTATTTCAGATTGTGTGCTTTGAAATTGAAAGCCATAAAAAAGTATTAAGATATTGGCTCATAACTAAAGATGATAGCTTAGCTGTTATGAAATTATAACCTAAAATAGTACATTAATACTAGGAATTTATACGGATAGTGTTGTTATAAGATGGCAATCCGGTTGAGAATGTTATCGCTCTAATGAAGAATGGAGAATCATGTGTTTTTAGTTTATTATTCTGAGTTTTCATACTATGCTAAATAGATCATTGAAAATGCGGTTTTGGTTAACTACAAAGAAAAGACTCCATAAAATCAATCTGTTTGGGATATGTGATTGGGTGTGGCTCTAAGAAGCAGCTTTATGTTTTAGCATAAACTATTAAACGGGTGGGTAATCTCCACTGCCCACAACAGTTGCACACAGAAGTTTTAAAAAGTGGTATGAAAACATATGATTTCATTTAGATAGAGTAGCTATTAAATCCTTCCTTGCCTGTCTCCCACCCAGGTTTTTAATTATCTTTCTTATTACTGTAACTTCCTAAACAGATAGTGTTTCAGCTGAATTATGTTGATAAGTAATATGTAACATCTTTTAGCTCAATTATTCTTGTTACACTGGATTTTTTGTGAGAATTTATTTGCCCCAAGGCAATTGTATTTCTAATCATCAGAGGGGAAAAATTGCAAAAGAATCTCCTCACTTATGTAGAAGTTTATCTTTTTTTATATTTACAATTAGGAAAGTTGATACTCACTTAAATTTGCTTCTTTACTATGGCCCAAATGTCAATGCAATATCAATAATAAATATCTCATTCTTATAAGAATATAGGTGAATTAATATTTCAATAAAGTAATCCAAAATTTTATTCTACATTAAAACAGCATTAAATCATTATAATATTAATATGTCCATAGTAGGTATCAAGTTCATACCTTATTATTTGGAGTATATTAAAAATATACCTGAGATAGTCTTCCTATGTTGTATATAGTTATCTTTCTTAGCCACTTATTCCATATTTGTTTATATGGTTTATGTAAATAATGCATTTGAAGCATTTTTCACCCCTTTAGAGTTCGTGAATTATTATCCATGTTGCTTGAAACTTTTTTTAAAGTAAAATTTATACTAAAACCGCAGCATACAAAAACATATGCCAAAAATAACCACAGTTGCTTTTATCATTCTTTCATTTTAGAAGTATAGAATCATGGAAATACAAATGTAAGACTTATAAAAGAAATGCACCTCTTTGTTTAGAGGCTTACAAGAAGAACACCATGGAATGCCTACCTATTTATTTATTTATTTTCTCTGGTATCTCTGTAGGAATTTCTTGGATACAAGGCAGTTAAACAGTTTATGATTTTCCCATGCCATCTTAGAATTGTTGGTGAACATCATAGAGTGTACAGTACTTACACAAACCTAGGTGGAATAGCCTACTACACACCTGGCTATATGGTTTAGCCTATTGCTCCCAGGCGACAAACCTGTGCAGCATGTGTCTCTACAGGTAGAGAACACTGTAGGCAACTGTAACACAAACCAGTAGATGATAGAAATTTTTCAGCTCTGAGCCAGGTGCAGTGGCTTGCGCCTGCGATCCCAGCACTTTGGGAGGCCGAGGTGGGTGGAACACGAGGTCAGGAGATCTAGACCATCCTGGCTAATATGTGAAACTCCGTCTCTACTAAAAATACACACACAAAAAATTACACACGTCACACGACACCAGGCGTCGTGGTGGGCGCCTGTAGTCCCAGCTACTCGGGAGGCTGAGGCAGGAGAATGGCGTGAACCTGGGAGGCGGAGCTTGCAGTGAGCCGAGATTGCGCCACCGTACTCCAGCCTGGGCGACAGAGCGAGACTCCGTCTCAAAAAAATAAAAAATAAAAATAAAAATTTCAGCTCTGTTACAATTTATTGGACCACCACCGTATATGTGGTTTGTTATTGACTGAAATGTTGTTATGTGGTACATGACTGTACATGGAGATGTTCTTTACAAAACTCTGGCTGCTCACCTCCAGTGATTCAGTCCTTTTTCCTACCTGAACACTCTCGTTTCCTTGGATATATCAAAGATTCTGTCATTACCAATAACTGCTGCCACCTCCAAATTCTGATTTTCATACATCCCCCTCATTGGTCAGCACCTCCTATTTTATGGGTTTACCACCTCAAGTATTTTAGCTGTAATAATCTTTTCACTATACCACGGCATTGAATTGATGGAGTGTTTTTCTTTTCATTATCTTCACCTCCCTGATATCTGTTCTTCTCTCTTATTCAGATTGAATCCCATGATCAGTCATTAAAAACACTTTGTGTATATTTTCAACCGTCTTGCTGTCTTTATTTCATCATGGTGCTTTACAAAACCACAACCTGGCCAATTTCAAACATTCACCTATTCCTTTTCTGTACCTACCTACCTAAATTTGAACAGAAAAAAGCCTCCACAGAAATGATATGGCCTTTATCTTTTATTCTGTTAATGCAATGTATAACTTTTATTAATTTGCATATATTTAACCATTTATGCGTCTCTGGGATGAATAAAATTTGATCATTATGAAGATCTTTTTAATGTGCTATTGAATTCTGATTGCTAATATTTTGTTAAGAATTCCGGCATCTGTGTTCATCACGGATATTGGCCTGTAGTTTTCTTTTTCTTTCTTTCTTTTTTTTTTTTTTTTGTATTCTTACATGGCTTTGGAGACAGGCAATGCTGGCCTTGTAGAGGGAATTCGGAAGAATGCAATCCTTTTCAGTTTTTTTGAAATAGTTTGTAAAGAACTGGTATTAGTCTTTCTTTAAATGTTTTGTACAATTCGGCAGCGAAAATATCAGTTTCTTTAAAAACTTTTTTTATTGTGCTTTAAGTTCTGGGGTACATGTGCAGAACGTGCAGTTTTGTTACTTAGGTATACACGTGCATGGTGGTTTGCTGCACCCATCAACCTTTCACCTATATGAGGTATTTCTCCTAATGTTATCCCTTCCCTAACCTCCCTCCCCTCCCCGGACAGGCTCCAATGTGTGATGTTCCCCTCCCTATGTCCATATGTTCACACTGGTCAGCTTCCACTTATGAGTGGGAACATGCAGTGTTTGGTTTTCTGTTCTTGTGATAGTTTGCTGAGAATGATGGTTTCCAGCTTCATCCATGTCCCTGCGAAGGACATGAACTCATCTTTTTTTATGGCTGCATAGTATTCCATGGTGTATATGTGATGGGCTTTTCTTTGATTGACACTTTTTATTACTGCTTCAATATTTTTATTCATTATTAGTCTGTTTAAATTTTCTATTTCTTCTTGATTCAATTATGGTAGGTGTCGAGGAGTTTATCCATTTCTTCTATGTTTTCTAATTTGTTGTTATAAATTGTTTATAGTAGTTTCTTATGATTCTTTGTATTTTTGTGGTATCAGTTGTAATGTCCCCTTTTTCATCTCTGATTTTGTTTGAGTCTTCTTTTTTTTTCAGGCTGGTTAAAGGTTTGTCTATTTTCTTTATCTTTTAAAATGACAACCCTTTGTCTCATTGATCTTTCGTATTTTGGTTATTTTTGCTCTGATTTTTATTATTTCTTTAAAGGGGATAACATCCAGATTTTATAAGGAACTCAAGCATCTCAATTGCAAAATAACAATTAATCTGATTTTAAATGGTCAAAAGACCTCAACAAACATTTCTATAAAGAAATGACCAATAGGTGTATGAAAAAATACTGAACATTACTAACCATCAAGGATATGCAAGTCAAAACCACAATCAGATATCACCTCACCTCAGTTAGAAGGGCTATTATCAAATAACAAAAAAAGTAATGATGCTGGCGAGGATGTAGAGAAAGGGGAACTCTGATACTCTGTTAGTGGTAATGTAAGTTAGCACAGCCATTATGAAAAAATGTATAGAAGTTCCTCAAAAAGTTAAAAACAGAGCTAACATATGATCCAGAAATCCCACTACTGTGTAAATATTGAAAAGAAATAAAACCAATATGTTAGAGAGACATCTGCACTCTCACGAAAATTGTAGCACTATTAAGATAACCAATATATGTAATCAGTCTAAATGCCCATCAATGGATGAATGGAAAAAAGAAAGAATAAAAAGAAAATATGGATATTACACATATCCACAATGGAATACTATACAGTTATAAAAATGATAAAATTCTATCATATTTGCCTGTCATTTTGTGACTACATGGATGATAAGCCTAGAGGACATTATGTTAAGTGAAACAATCCAGGCACAGGAAAAAAAAAATACTACACAATCTTACTCTTACATGGAGTTGAAAATATTGATCTCATAAAAATTGAAAACAGAATAATGGTTACCAGAGAATTGGGAGAATAGACGAGAGAAGGAGATGGGAAGAGGCTTGTCAATGACTACGGTGTTACAGTTACATAGGAGGAATAAGTTCTGGTACTCTATTGCACAGTAGGGTGACTATAGCTAACAATAACGGATTGTATATTTCAAATAGCTAGAAGAGAGAATTTTCAGTATTGTCACAACAAAGAAATAATAAACGTTTCTGGTGATGGATATACTAATTATTATGACTTGATCTTTATACCATGTAGACATATGGAAACAACACATTGTAGTCCCTAAATATGTATAATCATTATGTGTCCATTTTAAAAAAAGATGTAATACCATCCTGACTCATCTCACTTCAAATTCATTATTAGGAAATGCAAGCTGGCCCTGCACCTTGCTCAGAAATCATTCTCTTCTTCCCATCCATTCCCTTCTCCAGATAATTATTTTATATCCACTTTCTACTTGAATGACTAATAGCCTCCCTTCATCTTCATTTTTAGCTGATAGTCTTACTCCCTGTTTAGTTGGGAAAGTCAAAGTAATAAAAGAAAGAACTTTGGTAAATTCACATGTACCAACATTAGCATCTCCATAAATAGCTACCTCTTAAGTTCTGAAATGCACACTTTTTTTGTTCCTACCCAGGCCTTTGCTTTTGAAAAAGCCCAATCCTTTCTCATCTACACAAAAATAGCACTCCAGAAATTTTGTCTCTATTTCATGTTGTCAATTTTTCTATGCCGTTATTTCTTTCATCTCAAAACAATAGCAAATTAATATCTACAATAGCAAATGAATCTTTGTTCTTCATCCCATGAGCTGCTGCCCATTTATCAAATTTAATTTCACTACTCTTTTGAATCTGTTCTTGTGTAGTGTATCAATGACTTCTACTGAATCTAGGGGTTCTCAATTTATTTTATCTTTTACCAGCATTTGACATAGTGGATCACATCCTCTTTCTGGACACATTCTCTTCACTTAACTCTCTGTATGTCATGATCTCTTGTCTTTTCTTTCAACTTACTGCCCCCGCCCACCCTTTTTCAGTATCTGTTACTGATTCTTTCTTTTCTTAAAATGGCTTAAGTGTGGAGTGTTACACAGCTCAGTCCATGCAACAGTTCCAGCTGGAAATCTAACAGGCATTTCAAGAATCACAAGTTCTTAACTGAGCTTCTGACAGTTATCACCATAGCTTTGCCTTGTCCTCTGTAAGCCTACAATCGAGCATCCAGAGCTGTGGTCGTATCTGAGGCTTGACTGGGGATGGATCTATTTCCTAGCTCACGTGGTGTTCAGTGTCATTCAGTTCTTCATAGGATTAGAGTGAGAGCCTCTGTTGCTTGGCTGGAGTTTGCCCTCAGCTGCTTTCCACATAGGCATTTTCTAAATAGCCACTTTCCTCAAAGCCAGAAAGGGAAAGGCAGTACAGTCATATGTAATGTAATTACAGAATTGACATCCTGCAGCCTTTGCCATATTCCATTTGTTATAAACAAGTCATGGGCTCCACCCACACTCAAAGGGAAGGAATATCACAGGGCATGAGTACTAGAAGGCAGGGCTCATGGAGCCGATCTTAGAATTTTCCCATCACACTTGACCACCCTGTTTAAGATTGTAAGCACCACCACTACTAACCCTTCTGATCCTTCTCTAGTTCCTTTTCTCCATAATACTTACCAACTTCTTACATACTATATAATTTATGTTTGTTATTGTGATTATTGTAGGTAAATGAGTTAACAAACCCCCTTTCCTCACTGCATGGGAATCAGATCTTCAGTTAAACTTCTGGCTCTGTTTCCATGAAAAGACCTAAAGATGGTGTCAACTGTGTTATGAAGCACAATCGCCTATGCTAATAATGACCCTTGATTAGTAAATTACATCAGAATGGGAGCAAACTATGAATGAACTACAGATAACCTGGTAAACATATTATATTTTGGGCTTATCTGAATGTCAGGAGTCTTATAACTAGCATGCCTCTTGCAAGGAACACTGAAAGTTATGCCTATGGAATTATTAAAGGCAACATTAATTCCTGTGGGGCATGAAGTTGTAAGGCAAAGCTGTGTTGTCCATTAGTTCTTGCACTTGCCCCCCGTGCCTCACTTTGCTACTTCTGTTATCTTCTACATGGCTGCTGCAAGGACTCAACTGGGAGGAATGTCTAACACTAGCCTTCTAGTAAGCTCTGGTTCCTGTCCTAGATCCTTCTGCGTAGACTGGGCAGTCCATTGAATCTAAATGCTTAGTAGAGACCAAAAAGTCACCCTACTAATAGGCTTTATAATGGTTATCTATCTTGCTTTCTTAGAACATTAACTTCACAAGGACAGAGACTTCTGACAGTTTTGTTTCCAGTGGTGCTGGTAATACCACCCCCTCTTTTGTTCTCAAGTCTAGGAATGTAGTTGCTCCCTTTCTTCATTGACTTACTCTCCCCTCTTTGGCTTCTTAGCTCTTTCATCACAGATGGAACAAATGTTCTGCATTAAGTTATCTTGTTTTAATTTCCCAGGACAGTTTTTACTTTCCTGGTTGGTACCTGATTGTTATAGACCCCTCAGTCTCTGATTTAAGTTCAAAATTCCAAATCTCTAGGAGGGTATCTAATTGGCTCATATTGGTCATGTGTATACTCCTTAATTTGTGAGCTATGGACAAAGAAACAGGGCCATGAAGTAAAGGTATAGCTAATGGGACCAGTGAAAGGCTGTCCCAAAGAAAGAGGCAGCATTTTGAGCTGGGCTAAAGTATTTAATATTCTAGTTGTGCTATCAAATATTATATTAATATATTTAAGCAAAACAGGCCTGTATAAAAATATATATGTATTTTGTATATGTATAAGCAAACTTTGTTGGTTCAGAAATAATTTTTTTCCTGCTAACACATTCAGGTATATATATATATTTTTTTTTTTGAGATGGAGTTTTGCTCTTATTGCCTAGGCTGGAGTGCAGTGGTGCAATCTCGGCTCACTGCAACGTCTGCCTCCCGGGTTCAAGCGATTCTCCTGCCTCAGCCTCCCGAGTAGCTGGGATTACAGGCACCTGCCACCATGCCGGTCTCATTTTTTGCATTTTTAGTAGAGATGGGGTTTCACCTCTACTGTTGGCCAGTCTGGTCTGGAACTCCTGACCTCAGGTGATCCACCTGCCTCAGCTTCCCAAAGTGCTGGGATTACAGGCGTGAGCCATGGTTGAATATTTTCCAGTGGTCATCTCCAGATTTCTTCAGTTTCATATTTATATCTGCAAATTAATTTAGTGATATAAACCAGAGTGTGTGTGTGTGTGTGTGTGTGTGTGTTTAGTGTGTGTGTGTGTACTTCAATTTCCATTTAGGCTCAATTCCTTCTGAGACTTCTCCTTACTGTAACACATTATCAAAGCATCAGATATTGAGAATAATGCTTGAATGCTATCAGACTCTGGTTCTACCTAGTACAAAATAAACAGATTATTCATCTTAGTAATTACACACGTTTTGCTACTTTACTGTTGTGCCTTAATTTTTCATGTATATGAATCTGATTTTCTTAACAAGGAAGACTAATTGTCTAGTCTTGAGTGTATTAGGATTCTTTGTACAGTAGTGGGAATATAAATAAATACTTTTTTGATAACCAATTTTATCATTAAGAAAAATTAATTGCAGCGGATTTCACAGACTTCATTTATAGGGATCAACTAGGGGAGCTTGGGTCAGCCAACAATATGAAATTTGGGTTTTAGCTAATCATTTTACAAAATGTGATAACAGCACAATTATATTAAATTGTTGAAGGCTTCAACTACACTTACTAAAAGATTAAGGATAAATTCACAAGTGGAATGTAATCACTTGTCTACTAGCTGGGAATAAATACTGACCGGTGCAATCTTGTGAAAAGACTGTTTATCAAACAATAGTTTCTAAGTAAAGATTTAAAACCTTTCTTTAGACATTTTTCCTAAGAGAAATGGTATAAACCTAAAGTTCTCAAGCTAAATTTTAGAAACCATTGAACCTATGATATTAAGTCATAATTCTTTCCCAATTTCACATCTGGGGAAAGTATTTTGAGAGAAGATAGTTTCCTACCCATCTCCCAGACATGACTATGGATCTAGAAAATTTGGGGAAATAGATGTACCTCATCTTTCAAATCCCACCACCCCTTTTATTTCCCCCCCATCACATCCTTGTAACTCTGTTTCTGATTATCCACAGCCTTCATATTAACCCAAGACTTGCTCTAATAAAGTCTATTCCATACTCCATTCAGGTGAGAATGACTTTTTATGGAAAAGGGTGTCATACTTCAGAATTACCTTTTTAAATATCCTTCTGCCCTGATTAAAATCATCATTTCCTCAAAACAAGAGATATGGGATAGCAGGAAAACAATGACAAATTAAAGTGTCATACACTCTAAATAACAAAATATTTTTCATCTATCTATAGGTATTTTAATCTTTGGGAGATTTTTATTCTAATAATCTTATCCTCAACTTTTTATGTTTCCATAGTTACTCTTCTCCCTCTTTCCACACTTACACACAAGAACAGGCTATATTCTGTCAGCTACTTCTTCACTCCTAAACCCACTGCAGTTTGAATTCCACCCATACATCACTAATATTCTATCCTTAAAGTCAGATATACCTTCCAATTGTTAAATTCAGCAGCCATTATTCAGCTCTTAACATGATTGTTTCAAAAAATTTCACACACATGAATACTATTTCTTGAAAAAATATGAAAACAACTCTACCTTCTTGGTATCCATGGCACCTAATGCTCATCCTATTTTCCTGGCCAACCCTACATAGTATTGTAGGTTCTTTGGTGTCTTTAAATATTGGAAAGGAAGGTTATCCATACTCATTTGTTAAACTGTGTTTTCCACTTAGCATACCGATTTATGTATCCTCCCTTTTTATCAAAGAAAGAACTTAGAGTCTTACAAAGAAATCAGAGAGTAAAATAGGACGTTTTCTTACATTGCAGTGATTGGCGTTGTAGAAACAAGGATTATCAGATTGCCTCCTCACTTTAAGCTCTTTAATGACTCTGCACTTGGCTCAAGTCAAGAATTCTGAGAATAGCAGAACAACTTTATGATGGCATCTACATGCCCATTCAGCACCATTTCCTGTCATTCTTCCAAATACAGCCTATGTTCTAGCCCAAAAATAGCCATGGGACAATATGTGTCTTGTGTGTCACCACTCTCAAGTTCAGTGTTTATAGCAAGTGTCATTAATTGTGGGCATCACTCATTACCACTGAACTTGGTTGAGGAGCAGGTAGAAATTTCTTTTGAAAGGTGGAACAAAAGACTCATAAGTCACCACTTGCCCTTAGGAATGGTCTAGATGGGAATGGGAATTTTTCTTTACTCAGATATTCCCAATGAATAGAAATTGGCAATTAATTTGAAAGTCCTTGCCATCTCTGGTCTAGATAACCTATTCTAAAATACTTATTTGTTATAGCTTTCCACCTCTCCATGGGCTCTCTGTGATCAGTCTCTGTTTCCAGCATGTTCTATATGATCCTCTTGTATGCTATATATTAATGGCAAGAGGAATTTCATTAATTTAATGCTCAGAAAGAAAGAAAATAATTATTTTTAGACTAGAATTGAAGATGAAGATATATATATATATATATATATATATATATATATATATATATATATGGTGCTGGATCACAGATTTTGTGACACTTCTTTATGACATGTTTAAACTCGTCTTACACCACAACAGCTAATGATTTTCTTGTCTACATCTTACATCAGCTACATTCATGCTTATAGTTTCTTCTGTTCGAAGCATTCTGTTATTCTGCTTGCTTGACTAATTCCTCTCTTCTTTTTAAGACTTCACTTACTTCAGTTTCTCTAAGAGGCTTTGTTTGATCTTCCTCTTCCCTCAATACATTCTCTGACTAATATAGGCATTCATCCTCTGTGTACTTTATGCACTCTTCTATCAGAGAGCCTTTTGAGTTGTCATTTGGATCTCTGCCTCTACCACAAACTCAATTTTGAATTGACTTATTTCCATTGTCTAGTATGGTTTGGTGTATATGGAAATTTTTTATTCAATGAAAAAATGAATAATTAAATCTTTCACTGGTAGTATTTAAAGTATATAATAAAGTGATATAATTTAGTCATGTTGGGAAAATATTTTGTTATTAGTTTTCAGAATATGCTCCTTTTCTTTTTTGTTATTTTTGTAAACAGCATATTGCAATTGAAATGGAACTGTTTCACTGTGAATGTGTCTGTGTATGTTTGAGGATTGTCAGAAAATGGCTTTGGTGGTGAATGCTAATGGAGCAGTGGCTATTCATATGTGTAAAAGGATATACTGTCTCTCTCTCCCTCTCTCTCCCTCTCTCTCTCTCTCTCTCTGTGTGTGTGTGTGTGTGTGTGTGTGTGTGTGTGTGTGTGTGTGTGAAATCTCCAAGTCATATATTAACAAAATGTAACTATAACTTGGAGACTATCCTTGTTTTATCATATTTTATCTTTTCAGCATTTGAAATTTTAATAAATTTTAAAGAAAAATATTATCCACTTTCAACATGAAAATGTATTGTAAATATAAATACATATAATTATTTGCATTTTTTTAAATAGCTGTTTAGCATTTATTAGTATTGATAAACATCTTTCTCTACTGTTGGACATTTAATTTGTTTCTCAGTTTTTTTTTTAGGATAACCAGTGCTGTGAGATGAATGTTCTAATAAATAAATTTTTTTCAGGCTGGGCACAGTGGCTCATGCATATAATCCCATTACTTTAGGAAGCTAAGTGGATGAATTGCCTGAGCCCAGGAGTTTGAGACCAGCCTGGACAATAGGTTGAAACCATGTCTCTACAGAAAGTACACAAATTAGCCAGGCATGGTGGTGCATGCCTGTAATCCCAGCTACTTGGGGGCTGAGCGGGAAGGAATGATGGAAAATAGATTTCTAGTGTGCCCTGAGGTTCAATGGGAAGCCAGAAAATAGGAGAATTTAACTATAGAATATGCTTTTTAGAAGCTTGGCTTTCAAGAGGAGAAGAGGAATGCTAGCTAGAAGCAGGATGAAAGGGGAGGTTGAGAGAATCTTAGGCCTGTTTAAAGGTAGAAAGTGAGAAGTGCTAGGTTCAAGAAAGAAAGAAGGCATTTGACATGCATCCATGTATATTATGAAGGAATATGATATTGGGTCTTCAGTACAGGAGAGGAATCATCAACTGAAGACCCCGTTACCATGGAAAGTAGAGATAAAACAGTAAAAATATGAAGTATGGGGATGTATATTTGGGGCTACAAGAATTTGAGAAAGCTCTATTTGATAGCTTCTGTTTTCTGTTGAAGAATGCAACATCATTTGTGGAATGTGAATAAACTTCAAGTCATTGTCTATGAACTCCAATGGCAATTTTTTAAAAAATCTACCTTATCAGAGAATATAAAAAACAGGATTTTATCAGTAGTTGTTTCTCCAAAATGTCAATATATAAAACATCTTTTGGAGACTGTTTTAATAACAGCAGTTCACAGGAACAAATGTATTCATTAGTTAAACAAATGTCTTTTGAGTACCAAATACAGCCTATTCAGTTTGGAAAAAACGCTTATTTATTTTAACCACTTGAAGCTATTATGTAAAATCAGCATCCTTAGAGAGCTAACGCTGGAATGTGTAATCACTTTGGCATAAAACTTAATCCCTAAAAATGTAGTTTGAATTATTACATGATTTCTTTATCTTTAGTAAAAGAGAGTTTGTGATGAAACAGAGGAGCCATTTAATCAGCTTTTTTTTAAGCCTTCAGTGATGTATTCAAGGAAAATGCTTTTATTTTCCATGGTAAGACATCTCTTAATCGTACTGGACAGTTTCATTGTATGTGCAATAAAGGAAAGGAACAATGGAAACATTTATGTAGTGTCTGATTGCCTGGGGATGATGACCTATAATATGCAGACCTATTATTTAATGCTTTGGGGGATTCCCTTCTTTTCCTCCATTATTCCTTTAATCTTTGGTTTCTGTACTAATCCTAAGGAGGAAAATCCAAGCATTTGTGCTATTTCTGGATTGGCAAATTAGACTTGTACTTAGGAATTAAATAATATTTTTAACTAAAAATAAAAGTGGTTAAATTATCATGAGTAATCATTGTAGCATTTTCTCCTTTTTAGTAGCGAAAATTGTTCATAACTTTAGGCACTCAGAACATGTATATGAAACTCCCAATTTGCAGGTTTCTGATGGTAGTCTTGGAATATTTATGGTGCACAATACCTCTATGATAGTGATTTATTTTTACTGAACCTCTTGGGTTGCAGATTGCCTTGCCAAGTTGAGGGAGGATCAGAAAAAGGAAGGAAGGCTGAATGCAATTTTGTTCCCTGTTGAGCTAATTAGGAATCTAGGACTAATTTAGAAGTCTGCAAATCTCAAACTCCCTCTCAGCCAATTAGACTAGCTTAGGCTCTAATTTAGACTATCCTTAGCATTTCCCCTGGTCAAAGGGGAAAGAGAGGTATATTATTCCCAGACCTCAGGGAAAACAACAACAAGAAAAGGGATAGGTAGTGATGACGACATTGGGAATCTGGTAGAGTAGGAGATTAGTTGGTGCAGAGGACATCTTTCATTGTAGTCAAAGAAAAAGGAAACATTAAATTTGTAATGAAATGTACCATATAATGTACAATACCCTAATCTACTAGGGTACTGGAACTTCAAGGTGATCTGGAATACATTCTTATCCTGATAGTCCACAGGCTAACCTTTAGTTTTAATTTCCTAGACTTGAAGATGCTTTCTTTTGTAGTCTAAGAATGAGATATGTATTTTTTCCAAGATACTAAGTCAATTAGTTACACATTTATCTCTTTAAGAATGAGTAAATACTGGCCGGGCGTGGTGGCTTACGCCTGTAATCCCAACACTTTGGGAGACCAAGGCAGGCAGATCACAAAGTCAGGAGATCGAGACCATCCTGAGTAACATGGTGAAACGCTGTCTCTACTAAAAATACAAAAAAATTAGCCACGCATGGTGGCGGGCACCTGTAGTCCCAGCCACTCGGGAGGCTGAGGCAGGAGAAAGGCATGAACCCGGGAGGTGGAGCTTGCAGTGAGCCGAGATCGCGCCACTGCACTCCAGCCTGGGCGACAGTGCGAGACGACTCTGTCTCCAAAAAAACAAAACAAACAAACAAACAAAAAAAAGAATGAGCAAATACTTTATTGTCTTTGATTAAGTCAGAAAAGAAGTACTGGTCTCATCATCAATCTGTTTATAGTACACCATTATTTCTATAGAATATAAAGATTTGCGTTCTTTGCATTGACATTTATTAGCTTTTGTTCTAGAATATACCCTAATGGGAGGGATTAGGAGTCGGGTAATGGTGTTTTGCAGTGCTTTTAATGCATAAACTATACAAAGTCAGACGTGAGATAAAAAAGATATACAGTCTATAGCCTCTTTTTTAGAGGAACTTTACAAAAAAAGGGAGAGAATGTTCATAAACAATCAACAATGAATCAAGGTAGTCTTTTATATATTCAAATATATTTTGAGCAGATCATCACCTGGTTCTAAAAATCAAGTGGACAAAGGTAGACACATTGAGAATGTTTATTTTCTCTCACATTTTATGCTTTGTATCCTTCTATTTATTGTACAAATTTAAATTATATATATGCATTTTTATTTTCCCTTCTTTCTTAACTCTCACAATAACATATGTACACCATTTTGTCTCTCAGACAGGGTTTGCTAGGAGATCTGAACAAAATGCTTTTAGGAAAGGACAAAAGAGCAAAATTACTTCTAGCTCAGCAGAGTGGAGGGATGTTTCAAGGATGACAGGTTGTTTGATTTATGACCTAAAGTATGGAAATACAGGGGAAGATCATTCCATATTAAAACAATCAACATCTCATAAGCAGGAAAGTGGAAGTTTAGAAAATGATTAGAAAGTATCAAGTAGTTGCCTAGAGTATAAATGGAGAGAGTAGTGGCAGACAAAACCGGACAAGTGGCTTAGAGGTAATTGTGGGCATTTTTGTTTATTATAGCCCTGAAATTTTTCGTGCTTTGAAAAAATACACAGATTGTGCATTTTTGGAATTGGTATATTTCTGGGGTTTGATGACTGCTAAAATCTCCTTATTTGACTAAACAACTCAATGGTTTTTATATTACTACTTAAAATATTTAAAATCCAATTTAAATCTTAATTGGTATGTGTTTTGATCACTGTGTAACTTCTGTCTTTGAAACTCTCCAGCCACGATCATGCAAACTCATCTCAGCTTAGTGTCAAGTGACGTTTACATTATCCATAGCTATCCGTCATACGCCAACACTAGAAAAACAGAGATTCTTCCAATTCCCAAACAGAGAATAAAATAGATGGATCTGGATTGATTTAACTTTTTGCTCTAACTTGTAAAAAAAAAACATCTAGCTCATAAGGTTTCTAAGTAACCAGGGTCTATGAATTTTAACCGGATGCTCTTTTGGGTCTACAGATACAGAATAGTCTAGAGAATAATGCTGTAGCTGCTTAGAAGAACAAAGAAACATTGATAAATATTTACCACCCAGCTCTATAAAGAACTTGGATTTAATTTGAAGATGTTCATTTTCCTGATGATTTGGATTTAGTGAGTAGGATTATAAAAGCAATCCCTTGAGAACTGACCTATGTATATTAATAAGTCTTATATATTAATATTAAAGATATTTTCAGTATCTAAATTCTTGTATTTTAACACATATACAATTATTAACACAAAATAATAGAATAGCCATTTAAAGTGATACATTAAATTCCTTTCACCTCCCCCCACTGACATCTTGCCCCAGTTCTTACCAATAATGCTTATTTTTTGACTTAAAATCTGTCCCACATCTTAGATTAATGAACTTCCTAAAATATTGTAGTAGCATTCATCATTATATACACTTAATGTCATTTATCTTATTTCTATATTTCAATAGATTAAATCATTTTATTGTTTTAAAATAACTAGTATAATTATCAGGTGACATTGTTTCACATATTTATTTTATATTTTGTATATTAAGATTATCATGTGTTTTCCCCTGAAGTTTTTTACTCAGCAGTGGGGAAAGTGGTAATCATGTAAATATTTAGGTCCTTCTCTATTTCTATCTCAGTTTTATTGATTACTCCTAGAAATGCTTAACTCTTTTATCTGATGTAGTTTCTAACTTAGTTATTTGTTGATCAGTTTAACAGTCTTGGTTTCTGGGACCAATATGCCCAGGTTAGATACTGGATCTTTACACCCACCAGTTAGCAGCTTAGCCTCACCAATCTTTTGTATTCTTCCTCCAGCATTTAGTTTTAAGACTATTGACATTACCATTTACCAATGATAATTTTACTCCAAACACTGTGGTTAAAAAATAAGCCCAATTTTACCCTACAACCTTGTGATGTGAAGTACTTGTCTATGGATGGAATTAGGACTTAAATTTAGTTCTCACTATCTGGAAGATCCATCCATTAACTAGATGATCTTGAAATTTCTTCTAATTCTTCTTGAGTTCAAGAGATCATGTGTAGTAAGCAGAATCCTAAAATGGTCCTTCATGATTTTCTGCCCTAAACTTAGATTTGTGAATATGATAATATATCATGCCCTGATTATGTATGACAAAGATGAAACTAAGGCTACTGATAAATTGATTTTAAATTAATCAAAAGAGAGGGATTTTTGGGGAAAAATTTAATTATACTCTTGAAGAACACAGGGTTTTCTCTGTCTGGTAACAGAAGAGGATGTCTCAGAGATTCCAAGCTTAAGAAGTATTCCATGTGGCATACTTATAAGATTGAGGGAGGAAATATATGTGACAAGGAATGTGGGCATCCTGTAGAAGCTAACAGCCAGCAACAGGAAACTCAGTCGTAACCTCAAGGAACTGAATTCTTCCAAAAACTGAATGAGCTTAGAAGCTGATTCTTCCTCAGAGCCTACAGATAAGAGCCCAGCCTGGTCTACACCTTTTGACCTTTGAGACCTTAAGCCAGGAACTCATCTAAGTCTACCTGGACTTCTGACTCACAAAATTATGTAACAATAAATGGGAATTTTTTAAGCCATTACATTTTTAGTATTTTGTTACACAGTGGTTTTGGGGAAACTCACAGTCAAGAGATAAAAGAAAATTATGAGAGTCCAGTGAATCTCTTCATCTTTGACTCATCATGTCAGTTGTCTTCCTTTACTAGGATGGAGGGAAGGACACAGCAAAGTCAAAAGAACGGAACCTTGCTTTCCCATGGTGATCATTATTTCCTAAGGACTGTCTACTCTGTGTCTTCCCTAGTCTTTTTTTTTTTTTTTTTTTTTTTTTTTTTGAGACGGAGTCTCACTCTTTCGCCCAAGCTGGACTGCAGTGGCGCTATCCCGGCTCACTGCAAGCTCCGCCTCTTGGGTTCATGCCATTCTCCTGCCTCAGCCTCCCGAGTAGCTGGGATTACAGGCGCCCACCACCACGCCCGGCTAATTTTTTGTATTTTTAGTAGAGACGGGGTTTCACCGTGTTAGCCAGGATGGTCTCGATCTCCTGACCTCGTGATCCGCCCGCCTCGGCCTCCCAAAGTGCTGGGATTACAGGCGTGAGCCACTTCCCTAGTCTTTACTTGAGTGATAGATGTTACCATGTTGGCTTGATACCTACCAGAGTGAGCGCATTCTATCTCTGGGATATTCACTTTTCCTGATAGGAACTGACTGACTTTCCCTGATATTGATGATTTCTTCTTTTGGCAACATGTATTTAATATAGTGGTTAAAGCTCATTGGAATCTAGATCCAGCTGATAAAATGGACAAAATGTGTTTAATAGATGGAGAAAGACCTAGTTCAAATTTTGCTTTCACTATTTACAATTCCTGTAGCCTAAGGAAATGAATTAACTCCACTGAACTAGCTTTCTCATATTGGAAAAAAAAATCACCTAGATGTTATAAGAATTAAATAATAAAATTCTAAAACAATGTCTTGAAGCTTCTAATACGGATCTGAGCATATTGCATGTGTTCAGGAATTGTTGGTATTTATTCATTTCTTTAAAAATGTCTTAGATCTCTGAAAATTGCCCTATAGATTATAATTTTAAACAGGCAGTATCTGTATTTATTAGAAATGTGGAATATGAGAGAGTGATTGTAAAAGTTATCAAAATAAGTATTTGTTTTATATAACATTCTCAGGTTGATTTTGCTTTTTAACCTTAAGAAAGACTAAGTTATGTCCATGTAAAGGATAAAAAGATACTAAAGATCAGTCTTTATCTCTGCACCTAAGTGAAACTGGCAGCCTACGTGTATGAAAGAAAATGATAGAAGGAACATTTTTAGAACAAAATGACTGAGATAGAAAAATGTGTCCTCTGTAGGTTCAGCTTCTCTCAATTCTTGTCAGATGAAGGCTGGTCACTAAGAATTAGCACATAAAACACAAAAGCTCAATTAAATTTAAATTTCAAACAAGCAATTAATTTTTTAGTATACGTTCTAATATTGCATGACACATATTTATGCTAAAAATATATTTATGGTTTATCTACAAT